>NW_021160017.1:2750224-5500449 GCF_000001405.40 Homo sapiens
AGATGAAATGATGAAATGATGAGATAAGTTGAAAATAGTTGATGAGATGATGAGATGAAATGATGAGATGAAAAGATGAGATGAAATGATGAGATGAAATGAAATGATGAGATGAAATGAGATGAAATGAAATTAGATGAAATGTAATGAGATGAAATGAAATGACATAATGAAATGAAAAAATGAAATGAAATGAGGTGAAATTAAATGAGATGATGAAATTAAATGATGAAATAATGAAATGGAAATGATGAGATGAGATGAAATGATGAGATGAATGATGAGATGAAATGAGATGAAATGATGAGATGCAATGATGAGATGAAATGATGAAATGATGAGATGAGATGAGATGTAATGATGAGAGGAAATGATGAGATGTAATGAAATGAGATGAATGAGATGAAATAATGAAAGGAAATTGAATTGAGATATGAGATGAAATGAGATAAAATGAGATGAAATAAGAAATGATGAGATGAAATGATGAAATGCTGAGGTGAGATGAGATGAAATGAGATGAAACGATGAGATGAAATGAAAGGATGAGATGAAATGATGAGATGAGATGAGATGAGATGAAATGAGATGAAACGAGATGAAATGATGAAATGATGAGATGAGACGAGAAGAAATGATGAGATGAAATGAGATGAGATAAAATGATGAGATGAAATGTAGTGAAATGAAATGAAATAATGAAATTGAAATGAGATGAGATGAAATGAGATAAAATGAGATGAAATGAGAAGAAATGAGATGAAATGATGAGATGAGATGATGAGATGAAAAATGATGAGATGAAAAATGATGAGATGAAATGATGAGATGAAAAATGATGAGATGAGATGAAATGATGAGATGAATTTGAAATGAAATGAAATAATGAAATAATGAAATGAGATGAAATGAAATGATGAAATGATGATATTGAAATGAAATTGAAAGATGAGATGAAATGATGAGATGAAATGTTGAAATGAAATGATGAAATGAATAGATGTGACATGAAATGATGAGCTGAAATGATGAAATGAAATGAAATGAGATTCAATGATGAGATGAAAAATGATGAGATGAGAAATGATGAGATGAAATGATGAGATGAAATGAGATGAGATGAATTGAGATGAGATGAGATGAAATAATGAAATTAGGTGAAATAATGAAATGAGATGAAATAATGAAATGAAATTGAAATGAGATGAGAAGAAATGAGATGAAATGTAATGAAAGGAGGAAATGATGAGATGAGGAGATGAAATGATGAGATGAAATGAATTGAGATGAAATGAGATGAAAAATGATATGAAAAATGATATCAAAAATATGAGATGAAACGAAATGAGATTATATGAAATGACAAAATGAAATAAATGAAATTAGATGAAATGAAATAGTGAAATGAAATAATGAAAATGAAATGGAAATGAGATGAGATGAGATTTGATGAAATGGTGAGATGAAATGATGAGATGATATAAAATGATGAGGTGAGATGGAATGAGATGAAATGATGGGATAAAATGATGAGATGAAATGAGATGAAATGATGAGATGAAATGATGGGGTGAAGTGATGCACTGTCACGTGTGTGTCTACTCTTTTTCCCAAGCAACAAAAATTATAATTCATTAATTTTAATTTTATTATTTAAGAATATTCTTAAGAGTTGAAGGAAAAACAATATTGTAACATAAATTGTAACATTATGGGTTACAATCTAAGTATAAATAATACATAAATATATTAAAACTTACAAAGAATATGTTTTGGAATCGAATATACCATGCTTCTGTGATGACAGTTATTTCATGCTGGTTGTCATAATTTTACATGAAAAACTAATGAAAAAATGTTTTTAACTGTTTCTAAAAATAACAGTTTCCAAAACAGTTTTACATTCGAAATATGAAAAAGATGTCTTTGTGTTCCTTAATCTGATGAGATTTTCACACTCTGCACATGATAATTGTTAGATTTTTATTGTGTTGATAAATTGTATATCAAATAAAAAATGTTATTACCTCTTAAATTAGGATTTTTAGGTGATATAGTCAGAAAGGAAGGCAAGTTTTTATAACTTTTTCTAAATGAACTTTCTAAATGCCTGAGTATTAAAAGATAGCATGTCTATAAATCACAATGTATATATTACTGTATGACCTAGGACCAATCAAAACCGTTACCTCTGATAACATTATATTGTGCCCAGTATAAAATAGATATAATAATACCTCAAACTTAAATCCAGGCATTGTTGAATGTCTTAAGAATATGCAGCAAAGGTGCTTTTAAAAATACAAGCTAGTGATTGTACCAAATTTGTAAATCACATAGGATAGTGGGTCATTTTAAGAATATTAGTTATTTCAATCTGTAAACATGGATGTCTTTCCTTTTTTGTGTTTTCTTTAATTTCTTTCATTAATACCTGTCATTTTTGTTGTCAAAATCTTTTACTTCCTTGGTTAAATTTATTTCTAAGTACATTTTTGTAGCTATTGTAAAAGGAATTGCTTTCTTAATTTCTTGTTTCAGCTAGTTTACTATCAATATATAGAAATGCTACTGATTTTTGTATGTTGATTTATATCCTGCAACTTTATTAATTTCATGTATCACCCTAAGAAGCTTTTGGTAGAGTCTTATTTTTTTCCGTGTATAAGATCACATTGTCTTTAAACAGGGACAATTTGACTGTCTCCTTTCCAATTCAGATGTCCTTTATTTCTTTCTCTCACCTAATTGTCCTGGTTAAGACTTTCACTATGTGAAATATGATTGGTGAGAATAGGCATCCTTTTCTTGTTCCAGTAAAATCTTTTTCTTGTTCACAGTAAAATCTTTCACCTTTTCCACACTCAGTATGATCTTAGTTGTAGATTTGTCCTTTATGTCCTTCTGTGTTAAGGCATATATTTTCTATACTAAATTGTTGAGAGGTTTTTTGTCATGTAAGAATATTTAATTTTGCCAAACGCTTTTATTGTGTTTATTAATTTAATCATATGGTTTTCAGTATATATCCAAAGGAAAGAAAATCAGTATATCAAAGAGTTACCTGCACCCCCATGTTTATTACAGCACTATTCACAATAGCCAAGATATGGAATCAACAAAAGTGTCCATCAACAGATGAATGGATAAAGAAATGTGACATACATATATAATGGAATATTATTTAGTCATAATAAAGAACAAAATCCTGTTATTTGTGGCAACAAGAATGCAAGTGGAGGGCATTATGTTAGGTGAAATAAGCCTGGCATAGAAACATAAACACCACATAACTACATGTTCTCACTTATGTATGGAAGCTAAAATTTTTAATCTCATAGAAGTAGATAGTAGAGTTTTGGTTACCATATCCTGGAAAGAGTAGGAGAAAGAAGAGTATAAGAAAACTGTGGTTAATACATACAAAATTACAGCTAGAGAGAAGGAAGAAGTTCTAGTTCTCTACAGCACTGTTGGGTGACTGTAGTTAACGGGAATTTATTGTGTGTTTTCAAATAACTAAAATAAAAGATTTTGAATATTCTCACTGCAAAGAAATAATACATGATTTAGGTAATGGATATGATAATGACTCTGACTTGATCTTTACACATTGCATAAATATATCAAAATATCACGCTGTACCCCATAACATGTACATTTATTATATGTCAATTAAAATAAATTTAAAAGACAAAAAATGAGGTAAAGGTAAATGTACAGAATTTAATTACTTCTTCTTCTATAAAACCCGAGTCAGTACCAAGAAGAGTCAATTTATTAGTTTTCTAAAATAAAAAAAATCAAAATCACCAAAAAAGAGCAATATCCAAGAAAACATTGAAAATGAAACACAACATTTAGTAAGAATAGAAAACTTGGGCACTGTATCACCCTGTTCCTAGATACCGATTTACTGATGGCCATTTAAATAGAATTTTATTCTATCTAATTCATTTATACTCCCAGAGTTCGAAATTACATTTTACCTACAATAAATGAGATAACACTTGTAAATTATATGGTACTCTGCCTAACACACGTTAATAACTCAATACATGTTAGCAATAAACTTTTAGTATAGTAGTCAAAGTATTAATTTCTCACATTGCAATTTCCTTCAAAGACATGAATACAACCTTTCTAATGACTCCTTGTTCATCAAGATACCTCTTCAAATTATTCTATTTGTTTCATTCAGTATATTACCTGTGTATACCGATATTACACTCTTTTCTTTTTTTGAGATGGAATCTCATTCTGTTACTGATGCTGGAGTGAGGTGGCATGATCTCGGTTCACTGCGACCTCCACCTCCCAGGTTCAAGCGATTCTCCTGTCTCAGCCCTCCAGGTAGCTAGGACTACAGGTGCATACCACCATGCCTGGCTAATTTTTGTATTTTTAGTACAGTCAGAGTTGTACATACAATTTTTATGAAAAAAATTATCAAGTGCATAAGTTCATAATAGAAAAACCAATAATACTCCAGGCACAAGTTAGTACTAAAGAAATTATGTTGAATATTCTCTAATACAACATGCTTTTTCCCTTCATGAACAATTTGTGTTTTACTGAGAAGAGTCATTTTTTATGGTAGACATTAGACTACAGATGAATATGTACTTTAAACACTCTTAGTTGCTTTCTTAATTTTATAGCTGCTGCTTTATGCTTCTGTTTATTTTCATTCTTTCCAATGTCTACATTCTAGTAAATTTGAATATTTTAATCCAAGTTTATATACCATTTAATATTGCTTGTATAGTTTAGTATTTTTAAGACTCAAAAAGGTTTACAGAAAGAAGAAAAAGATCAACATGTTATTAATCATTTAAAGATCATTTTAAAATCTTTGACCTTTATATTTTCATGAATAAAATGTTAGTAGTTATTAGTATAAAATAATTTATGTCTTTTGGACTTAGCATCCAGTATTTCTTTTTTAATAAAGAAAATAATTATTCTCTTGCAATGTACTATGTTTATCTGGGTTTTGAAAAGTGATGTTTCCTAATATGAGAAAGCCATTTACATTTTTAAATCTACAAAGGCAAATGGAATGGTACTAAATTATTTACATAATAATGTTTAGATGGTGGCCCTTATAACATTCTTTCTATACTTCCTACAGAGTTGGGGATATGCAATCCTAGAATATTTCTGGGAGCTAATCATTTTGCTTGATGAATGAAACAAGACTTTTAAATAAAATTAAACTTTCAAATTATCCACGTAATGGGCCTGTCTTTTAATTCAATGGATATGGAGCATAATGAATTATCCCCTGTTCATTGGGTAATAAGTTCTCATTCTTAACTTATAATACTCAAAATGTCCTTTAATTTTTAATTTTTGATAGTCATATCATTATCCCTAGGTATTTTAGCTTCTATCTTAAATTCTAAAATGATTTTGAAACAGGAGAAAGTATTCTTTATTACTATATGTATTAAACATCATGGTTTTCAAATTTAACTGCAAATGTATCTTTTCATTGCTTCTTGATGACACCCTTCACCCTATCCATATTGTCACTACCAAGTGGTGATTACTTTTCAGGTTCACATACTTATTCTTTAGAAAAATCTTCTCTGTGCTTTATAAAGAATATGATTGTTGGCATTCAAAAGCCAGTGAAGTATACATTATTAGCCTGTTGCATAACTCATTTCTTTAAGAAACTAACTAATTACCCACATACTTATGTTTTTATTTCCTCATTATTTCTGGAGAAAACAAATACTGCTAACATGATATTTGTAAGAGAGAAAAAAGTCTTTTCTTGAAAAGTGCTGTCATTGTAGTACTAACTTATAGTATCAACTTCTTTATCAACTCCTTATACACTTTTTATTCTGAGAGAAATAAAAAAGCTAAAAGTGAAATGACTTTTTTACTCTCCATATTATAAGCACCCATCTTGGTCATTTAGGGTCTTTATAGTTAGGGTAAGTTGTGTCATACCGAGGTTACAAAATAAAAAATATTTTGTCTCTTTGGGCCTTTCCTTATTCAGTAATACTGTCAGTTTGGCTTTTTTTGTAGGTCAACTTATTGAACTCAGTATTCTGAAATAATATGTCTACTATCTTTTGATAAGCATTTAAAATATCAGATTTATTGTTACTCTTCTGCTTTTATTGGGCTGGAAGAATAATTGTTTCACTCCACAAAAGCCAAGTTGCAGAGAAAAACACATAGACATTCAACTGCAAAGCAGAGAAACTTGACTATTTTCTGCAATTTTAAAGTGTATATTGAATAAAACCATCTTTTTATTTTCTTTTTTGCTCACTGGCAAATATTAACAACATCAAGTGTATTATTATAATGTTATCTAGTTAAAAATCTCAAAAAGTTTTCATAATTACCATTTAAAAATATATAAATAGGTGACCTAATGTTAATTTTTATTGTCTGAGACCATGTCTGTTATTTCACTCTTTAAATTCAGTTAGTAATGCAGAACCTAGCACTTAGTAGATACTCAAAAATTATTTGCTGAATAAAAAAAGGTTAAACATAATATATACAAAATGTACTGGAAAAAATGCACCAAACAATTTTGTTATACCAGTTTAATGTAAATATTGCCTTTAAAAGATAATATAGTTTTCAGGTGTCTACAGTGATTTTGTAATATTTGTGCACATATAAAATAATATTTCCAAAAATGTAATCCAGTGGGGAAATATACTTTCTAAATTCTAGATTTATAATTTAGGGTTTAAATTATAAAATCATTAAATAAGACACAAGTGAAATATAGTCAAATATCCCCTTGGAAAAAAATTAAGTGGCCTCTAAAGTGAGGTATTAATATATGTAATTTTACAATCCTCTAGTGATAGAATTAAATACATCACCAAATTGATTATCTCCTACAGTGTTAAAAGAGAAGCACTAACAATGCCAGTGACCATGTAACATGGATTTAAGCTACAAGTCATAGAAATGTGATGAGAAGCCTCAGCGCTGTAAAACAGAGGGTGGAGGAAAGATTTTCCTCTCTCAAATGAGCTTTGCGAGGTATACTTCTTGAAGGATAGAAGTTGAAGTGTTCAGGACTTTTATGTCTATTCTACTTTGGCTTAGTTTACATGATTCTTAGTTTATTAGCCTAGAAATGGCCAAGAAAACTTAAGGTTCAATAATTAGTTATAAATATGAAATATCCCCAATTTTTAAGACAAAAACAACTTATAAATGTATTTGTCTGTAAAAATTGTGTATATTTTTACAGAACATCTATTTCTTTCTTTTTTTATTTTTTAATTATACTTTAAATTCTAGGGTACACATGCACAATGTGCAGGTTTGTTGCATATGTATACATGTGCCATGTTGGTGTGCTGCACCCATTAACTCATCATTTATATTAGGCATATCTCCTAATGCTATCCCTCCCCCCTCCCCCCACCCCACAACAGGCCCTGGTGTGTGATGTTCCCCTTCCTGTGTCCAAGTGTTCTCATTGTTCAATTCCCACCTATGAGTGAGAACATGCGGTGTTTGGTTTTTTGTCCTTGCGATAGTTTGCTGAGAATGATGGTTTCCAGCTTCATCTGTGTCCCTACAAAGGACATGAACTCATCATTTTTTATGGATGCATAGTATTCCATGGTGTATATGTGCCACATTTTCTTCATCCAGTCTATCATTGTTGGACATTTGGGTTGGTTCCAAGTCTTTGCTATTGTGAATAGTGCCGCAATAAACATACGTGTGCATGTGTCTTTATAGCAGCACAATTTATAATCCTTTGGGTATATACCCAGTAGTGGGATGGCTGGGTCAAATGGTATTTCTAGTTCTAGATCCCTGAGGAATGGCCACACTGTCTTCCACAGTGGTTGAACTAGTTTACAGTCCCACCAACAGTGTGAAAGTGTTCCTATTTCTCCACATCCTCTCCAGCACCTGTTGTTTCCTGACTTTTTAATGATCACCACTCTAACTGGTGTGAGATGGTATCTCATTGTGGTTTTGATTTGCATTTCTCTGATGGGTCTATTTCTTTAAAACAAAAGGAGGGGAGTCTCTCATTTACATTAGTTTTTTTCATAGCCTTTTGAACTTTGCAATTTCTATGTTTCAGAACCGATTTCTTACAGTTTTTCTATGCTAAACTCTGTCCTAGTCAGTTCTAGAGTGTATGAAGAACCAAATGATGTAATTGTATGCGACCTGGCTGTAGTGGAACAAATTTGACTCTAAAGTATGCAGGCTCCAATTTTCCTGTGTGGTTTTGGTAAGTATTCCTTACATAGGTTTTTTCTTTGAAAATCTGGGATTGAGAGGTTGATGAATGAAAATTAATCCTTTCACTTTGTTGTATATAGGTTTGCAATAATTAAGTCAGAGTGGAGTTTTAAGGTCATGGAGGGGTCTGATGACTTACAAATGGGCTCTGATTGGGCAACTACTCATCTGAGTTCCTTCCATTTGACCTAATTAAGCTTGTGAAATTTACACTAAGCCATGAGCTCATCTTTAAAAAGTTTTATTAAAAGATTTTCAGCTGTTCCAAATGGGACTTATTAGTGGAATGTGTTTTAAAGGATCATATCAGATGAATGAAAGGTATTTGATCCTTCGTTTCCTTAATAATAAAATGATGGTTTGGAAAAATAGGCTGCAGTCTAACCACAGTGCTATTATTAGGCTTTCATGTTAAACATAGGTCTAAGCCTAAGTATGTCAATACAACAAATACTTACTGTTTCATTTCTAGTAATGAAAAAAAAAAAAACAAGTCTTTCTGGCATAAGGATGATTTTCATCTGGTCATTTTGAAACATTTTTGTAAAATAAATTTACATCTATAAAGAACATTTTTATTTGTAAGGAGGGGTATGTCTCTGTGCACTGGAAGAGAGGGAGGACTAAATCACTGGGAAGTCTTATGATAAAGAAGCCATTGGCTTAAATCAGCAAAGCAAGCCGTCCCTTGGTTTAAGGTGTTTTTCCTGGCCATCCTGTCTTGACTAGAACTTTACCTACACCTTCCTTTTTGGTTTAGGCAAATTATAGTATCTAAAACTGAAGTCTCAGCTCTGTGTCTTTGAGATATAAATGTTCTACCATGTCTTCTCTGGAACCTGATAACTATCTATCTCTTTAAAATGCAAGTCTAGGGAGATGACTCATCAGAAAAAGAAGAAAAAAGAGGTATTTGGAAATTGTGCAAATTAAAGCAGCCCCTGATGCCAAAGTCTACACATTCCTGAGTGAGTCAGTTCTGGCCAGTTCTAGCTGGATCAAGAGAGCTCTGCTGGGCAGGCCTGAAGAGCACCTGGATGGCAGACACCTGAGGAGCCAGGTGCCTGAAACTTCCTCCACCTACTTGAGGAGCGCCAAAGCCCAGGTGCTGGCTGGACAACCCCTTCTGGCTGCCTAAGCAGATGGCAGAAGAAGGAAACAAGGTCAGAGGCGGAGTGTTGAACCCTGCCTCCCAGGTGGGTGGAAGATGCCTGTCGCCAAACTAGGGCCCAGCTTGCCAGGTGAGATGGGTGAACTGGTGATCCCCCGAGAGAGTGGACGTCAGAACTACATGTTCCCGGACTTCACCTCGGCCAGCGAAGGAGAGAGAGGGTTAATGTTAACTGCACGAGGCTCACTCTAGCCTTAAATTCTGTAATTCAAACCCTTCCCTTGGAGACAAAACAAACATGACAAGGAATTCTGAGGTCAGGGGAGACGAATCACAAGTTCCCTAGTGGGAGACTGAGGAGGCAGTGTCCTTCCTGCCCTTGGTCTACTGGCTAAGAACCTTCCTTAGCCTCACCTTTGCACATTGCACTTTCAGCTCTGTTTGCAATTTTCCTCCTTTAGTGCTGAGGGAATCCCAGTGTTCGATCCTGAAATCTATAGGTTCCTAATGGGTGGTTAAAAAAAACCTCAGCGAGAGAAGCAGAAAATGTTTCCTCTTCCTGAAAAACTGTAGAAAGGCAGGCACCATTCTGGGTGAGGACATGGTCCTTGCAAATGTCTTTGTGTTTTTTTTTTTTTTTTTTTGAGATGAAGTTTTGCTCTTGTTGCCCAGACTGGAGTGCAGTGGTGTGATCTCTGCTCATTGCAACCTCCGCCTCCTGGGTTCAAGCAGTTCTCCTACCTCAGCCTCCCAAGTAGCTGGAATTACAGGCACCTGCCACCACACCTGGCTAATTTTTTGTATTTTTAGTAGAGATGGGGTTTTGCCATGTTGGCCATGTTGGTCTCGAACTCCTGACCTCAAGTGAGCCCCCCGCTTCTGCCTCCCAAAGTGCTGGGATTACAGGAGTGAGCCACCGCATGCAGCCTGCAAACGTCTTTAAAGACAGCATGTTTCAGAGGCTGTGACAGTGCCCTGTGAACATGCCAATTCTCGCAGTCCCGGCAGCTCTGAGGAGCAGGCTCGGCTCCTTGCCAGGCTGATGGTACTGAAACTCTGCTCTCCAAGACATAACCTGATGGCCGTGCAAGATTTCTTAATCGACTGTGGACCGTGAGAGTCTGCATCTCATTTTAATTAAGATGGGAAAAGAAAGAACAAAAGAGCAACTCCCAGGTTATAGAGAAACTGGATTTTAGTATAATATTCAAGTGTAACATTGCTAATAATAACAAACCTTTCCCCTCCCAAACGGTAAACACTTGCACTGCCTATTATACAAAAATTCAACCACCCTCTCTGTTCCCCCGATATCTCCTGCCCAGTGACCCCCGTTTCATGCGGCCTCATGAGCCTGGCCAGTGGTGAATGGCAGTTTCATGGGCATGAGACTCCACGTGAGTGGGACTCAGCTGGGACCCCTCTCCACGTGGGAGCTGGAGAAGCCACCCTAGTAGCAGCTTAAAGTGTCCGTGATGTCCCTGCTGCTGAGCTAGGGGCCGCCTCTGAGCTGGTATCGGGGTGTGAGCTGCTGCTGGTAGTGGGCTCTGCCCTGAGTGCCTGGTGGCTGGTCAGAACGGCAGGCACACATGGGTGACTCCCCAGGAACTCAGGCCACCTCCCCACCACAGCCCTGCACCGTGTGCTCCAGGCATGTGCTGAGTGCCTGGTCAATCACCAGTGCCCTATTGATCCCAGTCTCCAGAGAGATCATTTAGTGTCACTCCACAGAGGGGGAAACTGAGGCCCAGAGAAGTAAGGTGACTCTCCCCAGTCACAGGGCTGGTCAGCAGTAGGATGGGAGGCTAGTCCCTTGCTGTCTGACTCCCTGAGCCCACCCATATCCCAAGGCAGCCAACCTCTGCCCGCCCTGGTTCAGGACCCGACTGGCTCCTGTGGTGGGTGATGTCTATCTTCCTGGCCTTTGTGCTCCCAGCCAACTGGGATGGAGCCTCCAGCTGGCATGACATGTTGTAGCTATGGACAGAAGAGTGGCTGTGAGGCTGCCAGGAATCTCACCAGGGCCCCCTCCCAGGGCCTGTCCAGAGTGAGGTCTGGGTACCCCAGGCATTGCCAGACCACAGGATCTGATGTTGACCAAGAGGCCATGGCCACAGGCTTTCTGAGGCTGGCCCCCAGGGAGAGTTCAATCCCACTATCCCAATTCCTGCCCTGGCCTTACCTCTCAGTCTCACCGAGCCGCTTCATGGTCCCAAACCAGGACCCAAAGTGCTGCTTGGGCTCAAGGTTGTAATTATATGCAGCCAACTGGAGCAGCGGACCTCCTTGCTTACTTTGAATTCCTGGGTCCAGAGGGAAAAACTGGGTGGTGACAGGGACTGGACAGGGATGCCACAGGGGCCCTGTGGGGGTGTTAGATTGGGTGGTGGCCAGTCTTTGCTCATAGGGGACACCCTTCTCCTCTCCAGTCCTGTCCCCACCTGTTCTCAGAGCTGGCTCAAACAGCAGCTCCTCCAGGAAGGTGTCCTTGGTTTCAACCTGGTACTCCCACCTGCAGGTCTTCCTGGAGTGTCTCCTCTTTCTCTCTGTCTCCCCATAAATCTAAGATGAGGGGGATGGATTTGCCCACCGCTACTCACCGTATGACTCTTGTGAGGTTGATCAGTCTCCCCTGGAAGGCCAACAGCTGAAGTCCATCAGAAAGGGTCCTCTGGCCCAGAGCCAGCCCCTGCCCACCCCTGTCATGCTGCACCCAGGGTGCAAGCCCCAGATCAGGTCTGGGTGACAGGAGGGGTATAGAGGGGCTGAGGCTCAGGGGCCTTCTAGCCTAACTTGTCTGGAGACAGTTGGGGAAACTGAGACCCCAAGCAGGTAGGTATGGCTCCGAGAGATTATTCTCGTTAACCTGGAACATTTTTGCAAGCTGTTAGGTATAGGAAGTCTGTCACAGGTAAGAGAAATGCTTTTTGAGAGCATGAGAGACAGCAGGGCTGTGACAATATTGAAACACCACCGTGCAGATTCACCAATTGCCACCACCGGGAGCCCCCTGAGAGTCATTGCAGATGCACAGCCCTCCCCTGCAACCCCTGGACCTCCCCATGGTCTGGCACCTAAAGGGTTATGCCTCATGGCAGGAATCAGGGCCCTCAGGATGCCCTGCCCACTCCAAGGTCTGCCTCTGCTCTGATTGGTCACTGACATTCAGATTGTCACCCAAATATAAGGACGTTAGCAGAAAGACTCATTCAATACAAGTGGACTCAGACATAGATAGGAATTGAGTTGCAAAAAGCCCCTTTTGTTTCTTTTATTTTGGAAAAAACTTTTATTGTGAAATTCACATATATATATATGGAAAAAAAACTGAATCAATGCAAAAGGATAGACAATGAACAAATGAATTCCCCTTCCACTCCAGATCCCCAACTCAGATCCAGACCTCCTGAGCCCACTTCCCCCATCTCATCACAGATCCAGACCTCCTGAGCCCACTTTCCCCATCTCATCACAGATCCAGACCTCCTGAGCCCACTTTCCCCATCTCATCACAGATCCAGACCTCCCCCACTTTCCCCATCTCATCACAGATCCAGACCTCCTGAGCCCACTTCCCCATCTCATCACCAGTGATTTCTTGGGCTCTGCATTAGTTTTCTATTGCTGCTGCAGCAAACAGCTACAGACTCAGTGGCTTCCATTTCCGTCTTATAGTTCTGGTTGCCAAAAGTCCTAAGAGGATCTCACTGGGCTAAAGTCAAGGTGCTGGTGGGGCTATGTCCCTTCTGGAGGCTCAAGGGATGAATCAGGTCCCTGCGTTTTCTAGCTTCTAGGGGCTCCAGCTTCTGGGTTTGTGGCCTCCTTCCTCCATCCTCAAAGCCAGCAACAGCAGGTGAAGTCCTCGCCCATCGTGCATCACTCTCCCTTCTGCCTCCTTCAACTTTTTTTTTTATATTTAGGGGGAACGAGTATAGGATTCTTACATAGTCAAAAAGCTCCTTATAGAGAAGCTCAGAACTTTCAATACAGCTTTGCCTTTTTTGCCATTTTAATTTTCCGTTTAATTTAAATGTATTCTCTCATTTGACCTTCATACTCTGTGGAGAAATATTCCTGTTTTGGCTTGTATTGACAAGTTGTTTTCACACAGCCCCCACATCACCCAACCAACCAGCAGAGATCCTCCTTCCCAAGAAACAGATAAAGAAACTGAGGCCCAGGAAGGCTAAGAGTCCTGCCAGGATTATTCACCTTTCAAGGTAAGGAGCCAGTTCCAGACCTGGGTTTGTGCAGCTCCAAGCTCCCCCGTCTTTCTACAATGCTAGATTTAGACTAAAGCAATCTAGCAAGTGTGGCCACACAATGGTCAAGTTGGATTTAGATGATGTTCTCTATAAATCCATTCTCCTCTCCCGTGTAAGCAAGGCAAAGTACTCCAGGCCATGGGGAGTCCCTGAAGACTCGATGAACTGCAGTGGCCACATCAGGAGGTTGCAGGTTAACCAGAACTCACCGACACAGCAGGAGAGCAGCTTGGAACCTGCAACCTAGCCAAAACCTAGTGCCTTGGATTGGGGGAGAAAACATGCAGCCATTCCTCTCTCTCTGCTGGCTAGAGGGGATTCTGGCTTTTCCTGCCAGAGCCACCCCTTTCCCTCCTCCTAAAGTTGATGGTGGTTCTTTAAGGAAAGGGAGAAGTGCACGGTGTGATAGGGCAGGAAGAGAAGAAAACGGAGGAGAGGAGGGGACTTTCCCATAAGCAGGCAGAAGAAAAGGCAGCTGTGGTGTGTGATGGACATGGATGCAGTGGTGTCCAATGTGGGGTCAGCCCTAGAGGAGAGACAGAGAGAGAGACAGAAAAGTGAGAGAGTCCTGACCCTTATTATTAACATGGGATCTGCCTGCAAATGCTGTTTAGGGTCATCGCCTCTTCCTGTACCACTATTTTTGAGAGTGATGCTCCTGAGCCCCACGACCCAGTCAAATTTGATGTCCCCTTGAGCCAGATTCAGTGCTGGGAGTCCAGTGTGATCTGCCTGGATCTTGCTGCATTGAGAACAGGCCAGATCTTGACCCCAATACAGGGGCTGGATATGAACAGGCAACAGCTGAGTTTCTGAGTCAGAAAGACTTGGTTAATTGCTAATTGCTTAGGCAAGTAATTTAACTTTGTTGCATCAGATTCCTCAGCTACAAAATGCACATGACAGTACTTATTCCTCCAGGTTGTGGGGAAAATGGAGATTCTAAGCACGATGTCCATTTCACAGAAAGATACCAATTTGGTGGCTTATTTCCTTTCTACCTTCAGAAGTGGCTATCCCTGCCACCCAAACAGACCCTTGACTCTCAAGTGGATGTCCCATTTGCACAGGGGGAGACCTTACAGCCTACGTTGAGTCTATACTTACCACTTAGTGAGCATGGTATCTGCTCAGGGGCCTCTGTGGGCATCTGTCTCCTCTGCAGCATCTTTCCTCCCCACTGCTGGGTCTGCACATGACCCCCTCCTTGGGTTAGGCCTCTGATCAGTGATGACCTTGGTATGGTGGTAATGGTCAGTCTTGGCATCAAATGAGCCAGTTTATATCATCAGCTATTCAATAAAATACTAATCTAGGTGTCACCGTGAAAGTATTTTGTGACATTGTTATGTACATATTGTTACAAATGTGCATGATGCATTTACTACAGCATAGAATTTTGCCTGGGTGCCACCCTGAAGTCTGTCCGACAGATCATAGCCATGTTAGTCCCACAGTCGCAGGGGCCAATTGATTAAATTATTTTATCTCCCTTGAGAACTAAAACTAAAATCCTAAGCCCCCCACCCAACTTAACAGACCCCCTGTTGGCCAACGGAACCTCAAATAAATCTTAAAATTCAGTTCTTGGCCATGACAGGACAGGAAGTCAGACATACCTCCCTGTACCTCCCTCCCTCTTATGGTTTAGACCCAACAACTGAACAGCATTGATGTTAAAATAGAGATCATGAGACTGACAGAACAGACTCTTTGTGGCAATAAGACCTCAAATTATAAACAGGACCTAGGGCCATGCCAGGCGAGGGTTAAGTCTTGTACCCTACTCTTAAAGAATTAACTAGATTCTAGCTACCACATGGGTTTTATTTTTCTCTAGCAGCCAAGCAAGCACTGGCTGTGAGAGATGGCTGTGAGAGAAGATTAAAACAATTACAACTCACCCAGTTCACAGATGCTGAGTAACTGATCTCCTGCCCCACTAACCTTAACGACAGCTTTCTCTGGACAAGGGACTGATTTCAGTAACTTTCTCCTGATAAGAGACCATCCTCCATGGACTGGTTCTGGCCAGTTTTAGAGGCTGTGCCTTTACGAGGCTGAGTACCTTCATGTCCCTGCTTCACTTTTTGATGTGTAGGGCCTAATTATAATACATTTAAATGTCAAGTCTCCACCCCAGAATGAACATGCATGTTTATTGAATATGCATGTGTTAGGACCTCTTTTATGAGTATTCTCATAAAATGATATAGCTCCTCTGATATCCTATTGAGTATGTATATGTAGCCAACTCATTTGGCTCAAATTCCTGTCCTCTCCCTCCCTCCCTGGAAATGCCTGCCTCTGGCCTTGGCTGTAGGCCACACTTCCCAGCCTGTCATAATGGCCACCTTGCAGGCTGCAAACCTTTATAAGAAATAAAGCTCTCTTTTCTAAATTTATAAAATTGTGTGATTTTTCAGTTGATCCTCTCTTTCTACACACACACACACACACACACACACACATGCAATTTATACAGAAGGAAATCTGGAGAATATATGTGGGAATGGATATTAAGTGTGTGGCACCATGGTGAAAGTAACATAAAGTTGGATTAGGCTAAATTTATTAATGTTGGCCCACTAAACAGAGATTCTGGACTCAGAGTTGTAGGTCAAAGCTTTAGAAAGGGCTCCAAGGGTTGGTTTGATCGGTTACTTGGTTGGTTGCTTGCTTGGTTGGTGGTGCTTGTTTCCTTGCTTGGTTGTTTGGTTGGTTTGTTGCTTGCTTGTTTGCTTGTTGGTTGATTGGTTGGCTGTTTGCTTATTTGTTTGGTGACTTGGTTGGTTGGCTGAAACAGAATCAGAGTTTACCTAAGGTACATAAAGTTGAGATGCCACAACTTCCTTGGTTTATGTGTACAGAAAGGTATGCAAAAACTCAGGGAGACTGGATTTATTATGTCAGACCTGCTCACTCACACTGAAGGGTCTACAGAACATACTCCTCACAACGATCATGAGAAAGAATATTGTGAGATGAGCCCAGTATCCTGGAAGAGCTTTGAGCTTGTGCTCTCAGTAGGCAAAATGTTACAGCAGGAACTGCAGCCACTGGACTGGTATCTTTAAGTAAAATGAGGATAATTGAATCCTGGGGTGGCAGGGAACATGGGCTGTCCTTAATCACCAAAGATGAGGTGGGTGTGGTCACCACAGTGGAAAGCAGTGTCAAAGCAGCAGTCAGAATGGTTTGACTCACAGACACCCATGGCATTGTGTAGTCCATGGTATCCACAGGGAGAGCTAATGGGCTGTACCAAAGTCTTAGTTGTTGTTTAAAAAATGAAGAATTCTAGGTCAACTGAATAAAAGACTAACTCAAATTAATGAAACACAGATCTAAAACCCTCAATCAATTCCCAGACTTGAGCCAGTTCACAGGCCCACAACCCCTTAAGTGAAGGGGAGGCTGGGTGATCTTGGGGAAGTACGCTGCTACATTGCCAAAAATTTACATTGTTAATCTTTTTCCCAGTCTTCCCCAAAGGGACCTACAGCCTTCTGCCAGGATGACTGTGACTTAAAGAAAAGAAAATTCTCAGATATTTGGGGAATTACTGGACACTGGCTCTCATTTGACACTATTATCACTATGTTGCCTAGGATGGATTCATGCTTCTGGGTTCGAGCAGTCCTCCTACCTCAGCCTCCCAAAGTGCTGGGATGACAGACATGAGCCACCGTGGCCAGCAGAGCTTTGAAACTAGAACATGGAGGTCCAGTGGTAAATATTTGACAAGTCTGGGAAGAGATTGGGCCAAGGCAATGTTGATGATTCCTTTTTTTTTTTTTTTTTTTTTTTTGCAACAGATTCTCACTCTGTTGTCTAGGCTGGAGTGCAATGGTGCAATCTCGGCTCACTGCAACCTCTGCCTCTGGGGTGCAAGCAATTCTCCTGCCTCAGCCTCCTGAGTAGCTGGGATTACAGGTGCCCACCGCCACACCAGGCTAATTTTTTATTATTTTAATTTTTTTGAGACAGAGTCTCACTCTATATCGCCCAGGCTGGAGTGCAGTGGCGCAATCTGGGCTCACTGCAAACCCCACCTCTCAGGTTCACGCCATTCTCCTGCCTCAGTCTCACGAGTAGCTGGGACTACAGGTGCCTGCCACCGTGCCTGGCTAATTTTTTGTATTTTTAGTAGAGACAGGGTTTCACCATGTTAGCCAGGATGGTCTTGATCTCCTGACCTCATGATCCGCCCGCCTCAGCCTCCCACAGTGCTGGGATTACAGGGATGAGCCACCATGCCCAGCCATACCAAGCTAATTTTTGTATTTTTTTTTAGTTGAGACAGGGTTTCACCATGTTGGCCAGGCTGGTCCCTGACCTTGTGATCCGCCCGCCTCAGCTTCCCAAAGTGCTGAGATGACAGACATGAGCCACCGTGCCTGGCCAATGTTGATGATTCTAAGCAGCCGCTAATGTGAAAACCATCCAACTGGAAGACCTGGCCTTTCCCAGAGGACACAGTCTGGGTGGTGGGCAGAGACTTCAGCTGACTTCCAAGGCAAGCAGCTCCTTGCTGCCCGCTTGCTGGGGATTTTACTTACGGGGCAGAAGCTGGCAAGTGATTTGGGGGCAGGAATTGCTTCCTGGATGGTATAGGATGAACCACACTCCCCAGGAAGGCACTCATCCTGGTGGCCTAACAGAAGTAGCCCTCACCTCAAAAGGTAATGCTGCTCCACTAGTTTTATGGGGTGACTCCTTCCTGTAGGTTCCTTCCAGCTTTACCAGAAACACAGAACATCTTTCCTGACAGGGCATTGGTTTTGTTTTTGAACAGAGAGATCCTTCTTTTAAAAAGTTAGTTTTTTCTTTTTTTTTTTTGTAATGGAATCAACCTAGGTCCTAAGCCTAGCAGGTTATTATTATTATTTTTATGATTATTTTTTGAGATGGAGTCCCACTCTGTGGCCCAGGCTGGAGGGCAGTGGCACGATCTCGGCTCACTGCAATGTCTGCCTCCTGGGTTCAAGAGATTCTCCTGCCTCAACCTACAGAGGAGCCGGGATTACAGGCGTGCACCACCATGCCCGGCTAATTTTTGTACTTTTAGTAGAGATAGGGTTTTGCCATGTTGGCCAGGCTGATCTCAAACTCCTGACCTCAGGTGATCCACCCACCTCAGCCTCCCAAACTGCTGAGAATACAGGTGTGAGCTGCCACACCCAGCCACAGGTTATTTTTGCTGATCTTCTCCCTCCTCCCACCCTCTACCCTCAAAGAAAATGTGGTACATCTACACCATGGAATACTACGCAACCCTGAAAAGGAACAAAATCATTTTTTTGTTTTTTTTGTTTGTTTGTTTTTGCAGCAACATGGATGTAGCTGGAGGCCATTATCTTTTTTAATTATTTTTATTATTTTTTATTTTTTCTATTCTACTTTAAGTTCTGGGGTATATGTGCAGAATGTGCAGGATTGTTACATAGATATATATGTGCCATAGCGGTTTGCTGCACCCATCAACCCATCATCTACATTAGATATTTCTCATAATGCTGTCCCTCCCCCAGTCCCCCACCCCTGCAACAGGCCCCAGTGTGTGATGTTCCCCTCTCCGGGTCGATGTGTTCTCATTGTTCACTTCCCTCTTATGGTGAGAACATGCACTGTTTGGTTTTCTGTTCCTGTTTCACTTTGCTGAACATGAGGGTTTCCAGCTTCATCCATGTCCCTGCAAAGGACATGAACTCATCCTTTTTCATGGCTGCATAGTATTCCACAGTGTCTATGTGCTGCATTTTGTTTATCCAGTCTATCACTGATGAGCATTTGGGTTGGTTCCACATCTTTGCTATTGTGAACAGTGTGGAGGCCATTATCTTAAGTAAATTAACAGAATGCTGCATGTTCTCACTATAAGTGGGAGCTAAATGTTGTGTATAGGTAGACACAGAGAAGGGAACAGATACTGGGTTCTAGTTAGGGGGAGAGAGGAAGGTAGAAGGACAAGAGTTGAAAAAACCAACTGTGGGGTATTATGCTCACTATCTGGGTGATGGGATCACTCATACCCCAGACCTCAGCATCACACATCGTCCGCATGTAAGAAACCTGTACATGTACCTCCTGAATCCAAACTGCTCCACCATTTGCACCAGCAATTCCAAGACTGGGCATCTACCCAGAGGAAAAGAAGTCATTCTACCAAAAAGATACATGCATGGTAAAGTTCCTTTTTTTTTGTTTGTTTTTTGAGATGGCGTCTCGCTCTATTGCCCATGCTGGAGTGCAGTAGCAATCTTGGCTCACTGCAACCTCTGCCTCCTGGGTTAAAGTGATTCTCCTGCCTCAGCCTCCTGAGCAGCTGGGATTACAGGCATGCGCCACCATGCCTGGCTAGTTTTTGTATTTTTAGTAGAGATAGGGTTTCACCATGTTGACCAGGCTGGTCTTGAACTCCTGACCTCAGGTGATCTGCCCACCTTGGCCCTCCAGAGTGCTGGGATTATAGTGCCCAGCCCTGTAAGGTTTGTCACAGCATGACTTACAATAGGAAAGTCATGGAATCAACCTAGTTGCCCATCAGTAGGGTACCGGATAAAGCAAAAGTGGTTCTTCTACAGCATCGAATACTACACAGCCATGAAAAAGAATAAAATCACATCCTTTGCAGCCACATGGATGTAGCTGGAGGGCATTATGCTTAATGAATTAAGAACAGAAAATCAAATACCACATGTTCTTGACTGGATAAAGCAATTGTGGCCCTTCTACGCCATGGAATACTGCACAGCCATGAAAAAGAATAAAATCATGTCTTTGCAGCCACATGGATGCAGCTGAAGGGAATTATGCTTAGTGAATTAATGCCAGGAAAAGAAAATCGAATACCACATGTTCTCCACTAGATAAAGCAAATGTGGTCTTTCTGCATCATGGAATACTACGCAGCCATGAAAAAGAATAATATCATGTCCTTTGCAGCCACATGGACACAGCTGAAGGACATTATGCTTAGTGAATTAATGCCAGGAACAGAAAATGAAATACTACATGTCCTCAACTGGATAAAGCAAATGTGGCCCTTCTACACCACGGAATACTACACAGTGATGAAAAAAATAAAATCTTGTCTTTGCAGCCACATGGATGCAGCCAGAGGGCATTATGCTTAGTGAATCAATATGAGGAACAGAAAATCAAAGACCACATGTTCTTCACTAGATAAAGCAAATGTGGTCCTTCTGCATCATGGAATACTACACAGCCATGAACAAGAATAAAATCATGCCCTTTGCAGCAACATGGATGAAGCTGAAGGGCATTATGCTTAGTGAATTAATGCCAGAAACAAAATCAAATACCACATGTTCTCAATTAGATAAAGCAAATGTGGTCCTTCCGCATCATGGAATACTACACAGCCATGAACAAGAATAAAATCATGCCCTTTGTAGTCACGTGGATGAAGCTGAAGGGCACTATGCTTAGTGAATTAACGCCAGGAACAGAAAATCAAATACCACATGTTCTCGCTTATAGGTGGGAGCTAAACATTGCCTGCACCTGGACACAATGAAGGGGCACCACAGACCCTCAGTACTAATAGAGCAGGAAGCAGGGGCGGGGGTACAAGGGTTGAAAAACTACCCTGAGATTCTTTGAATTTCAGGCAGAAAGCAGCAACT
The DNA here is from genome assembly GCF_000001405.40 of Homo sapiens. Taxonomy (NCBI): domain Eukaryota; kingdom Metazoa; phylum Chordata; class Mammalia; order Primates; family Hominidae; genus Homo; species Homo sapiens. The sequence goes on from NW_021160017.1 coordinate 2,771,518, forward strand.
GGAGAGAGCTTTGGGTCACGGATTTTTCTGTTGCATTTTCTTGCTTGTTTGTTTTCTCTCTCGCTCTTTTTTTTTTTTTTTTTTTTTTTTTTTTTTTTTGAGATGGAGTCTCGCTCTGTGACCCAGGCTGGAGTGCAGTGGTGCAATCTCGGCTCCCTGCAACTTCTGCCTCCTGGATTCAAGCAATTCTTCTACCTCAGCCTCCCAAGTAGCTGGGATTACAGGCACCCGCCACCACACCTGGTTAATTTTTGTATTTTTAGCAGAGACGGGCTTTCACCATGTTGGCCAGGCTGGTCTCGAACTCCTGACCTCAGGTGATCTGCCTGCCTCGGCCTCCCAAAGTGCTGGGATTACAGGCATGAGCCACTGCACCTGGACCTCTTCTTATATATTCTAGAACTCCTCTAGAATTTGGGGTTTGTTTTTCTTAATTACAAGGAATCAAGTTGAATCATTAGTGCATATATAAATATGCATTTTATTTTTAGTACACATTATATACCTCAGGAATGTACAATGCTCAGTGCCTGGGTGACGGGATTATTCATACCCCAAACCTCAGCAACGTACAATATCCTCAGGTCACAAAGCTGCCCGTGGATCCCCTGAATCTATAATAATAATAATAAATAAAAAGTGACTTTGTCATTCGCAGGGAAATGCAAATGACATTCACTCTGCCTCTCAGGCCCTTGGATTCCCAAAATTTGTTTTCATCACGCCCAGGGGACACTCAGAATCTCATTTTCAGAACATGGGTTGTTTTTCTTAGAAACACTTTGCAAAACAAAATAGGAAGCAAAATCTTTCTCACTCCTTCCACTCCGTAATAGACAAAATAAAATGAGGGGTCAGGAATCCAGAGACTTTGACTGCAGTTGGCAGATTTATTGTGGTACAGACATGAAGGCAAACAGTGTTCTCTCTGATTCTACAAACCGTACAGCCCGGGCCGGCTGCCTTCTGCTTTCTGGATGGTGCAGGCATGAGCTCCAAGCCCAAATTTCACCGGAGCTCCAGGAATCGAGCCTGGCCCAGGCACTCACTGCACGGGGGCCAAGCGTGAAACCAGTGATCACTCCAGCAAGGTAACAGGACAGCTTGGTGATCCTTCTTGCCGGCCACAAAAGGTTATAGCCAGAATTCCACCGAATGTGGTCTTTCTGTGTCTCTCCCCAGACAGCGAAGCTGGACAAACCTGGGGGTGGGGGGTGGGGGGTGCTGACCTCAGTGGGGTGTCCTGGAGGGGCAGGAACCAGGGTTTACAGGGTGCAGATCCTACTGAAGCAAATGGACGTGGCATCCGCGGGCAGAGCTGGCTGTGGCGTCCCCCCTCTGCCTGCGGTGTCACCAAATGTACCCAGAGACCGCTTGTAAACCTGGAGGGTGTGCTAACGTCAGTGGGGTGTCCTGGAGAGGCAGGAACCTGGGAATCCAAGGTACAGATTCTACTAAAGCAAATGGACGTGGCATCCGCGGGCAGAGCTGGCTGTGGCGTCCCCCCTTCTGCCTGGGGTGTCACCACATTTCACCAAGAGACCCCTTCTAAACCTGGGCAGTGTGCTGACCTCAGTGGGGTGTCCTGGAGAGGCAGGAACCAGGGTTTACAGGATGCAGATCCTACTGAAGCAAATGGACATGGCATCTGCGGGCAGAGCTAGGTGTGGCTGGCCTTCCAGCCTGGATGTCCCCCCCCTGCCTGGGGTGTCACCAAATGCACCCAGAGACCCCTTCTAAACCTGGGGGGATGTGCTGACCTCAGTGGGGTTTCCTGGAGAGGCAGGAACCTGGGTTACCAGGGTGCATATCCTACTGAAGCAAATGGACGTGGCATCCTTGAGCAGAGCTGGCTGTGGCTGGCCTTCCAGCCTGGACGTCTCCCCCACTGCCTGGGGTGTCACCAAATGCACCCAGAGACCTCTCTTCTGAAAGCCCATTCATGGGAAGCCTCCAGGTCTCCTCGGTAGGCAGCATCACGTCTGATTTAACTGCGTTATCAGGTAATGCAGGCCTGTTCTACCTGTGTGAGTGAGCGCGTGGGTGCCGTGTGGGAGTGTGTGTGTTGATGTGGGTGTGGGTGTGTGCTTGTGTGGCTGTGTGTGCCTGTTTATGTGATGATGAGTGTTTCTGTGAGTCTGTAAGACAACGTGTGTTTCCATGCATGTTTCTGTGTGAGCGTGCATTCCTGTGTTTTATGGAAGTGTGTTTTTGTGATGGTGTTTGTGTGTGCCCCTGTGTTTATCGTATTTGTGTGTTTGTGAATATGAATGTATGTGTGTGAATCTGTATGGCAATGTATAAATTCTTTTTTTTTTTTTGAGACGGAGTCTCGCTCTGTCACCCATACTGGAGTGCAAAGGCACAATCTCAGCTCACAGCAACCTCCGCCTCCCGGGTTCAAATGATTCTTCTGCCTCAGCCTCCTGAGTACCTGGGATTACAGGCACCCACCACCACATCTGGCTAATTTTTCTTTTTTGATACAGAGTCTCGTTCTGTTGCCCAGGCTGGAGTGCAGTGGCGTAATCTTGGCTCACTGCAACCTCTGCCTCCCGGGTTCAAATGATTCTCCTGCCTCAGCCTCCTGAGTAGCTGGGATTACAGGCATACGCCACCACATCTGGCTAATTTTTGTATTTTTGAGTAGAGACGGGGTCTCACCATGTTGGCCAGGCTGGTCTGGAACTCCCGACCTCAAGTTATCTGCCCGCCTCGGCCTCCCAAAGTTCTGGGAGTACAGGCGTGAGCCACCTTGCCCGGCCCCGGTGTGTGAATTTTTATGTTTGTGTGTCCACATGATTATGTGAGTCTTTTTGTGACTGTGTTTGCATGAGTGTGTGACTGTATTTATGTGTTTGTGTGTGCTTGTGTGATTCTGAGTGTGTGTATGAGTGTGTATGACATATGTGAGTGTCTTTGTGGGTGAGTAGCCATCCACGTGTTTATATGAGAGTGTTTTCATGATTCTGTTTATGAGTGTCTTTGTATGTATACATGTTTGTGTGCTTTGTGAGAATGTCAATGTGCATGTGCACCCACGTGTGCAAAAAAACACACATTTTTGTAATTGTGTTTGTGTGTGTGTCCCTGCGTTTGTGTGAGTGTGCATGTCTTTGTGTGTCCATGTGTTTCTATGAGTGTGTTTTGTGATTCTGTCTTCGTGTTGATGTGTGTTTGTGTAAGTGTGTGGTTGCATTTGTGTCAGTGATTCTGGAGCAGGTGAGTTGATCACAAGCCTGAGCTGAGAATCCATGGAGCTCATTTACAACAGAAGCCAGGACCCTGTGCAAATCCTTCTGAAATATCCCCGGTTTACAGAGCTCCTAGGGGTGGGGAAGAAAAATTCCCTGACTTTTCGGCCTCAGGGAAAGAGAGAGACACCCCACTGGCCATACGCCTCTGCTGTTTCTCAGAAAACGGATGGGGCATCACTCTTTCCCAAATGACGGTGATTTTGAGAACGGTTCACCTTTTGAAGAGACGTTTCTGCCCTGGCGATCCATACATATTGAACCAAAATGAATATTTTTTAATTAAAAATTTTTATATAAATATACATTGTGTATACTTTATATTAATATATTGATATAAATAAATATATTTTATTAATATAAACATATGATTTTTATAGTTCATATAAATAATAAAGTTATATATAGTGTATATGTAAAATATACTTTTATTTGTAATACATAATTTTATAGATTAAATTTTATATACTAAGCAAAGTTATATGTGATATATACATGCCATATAACATCATTTATATCATATATACCTTTATGTAAATAAGTATATAATAAAATTGATCTTATATTTGTTAATACATAATTATGTATATATACTATGTAAAAATAAAATTATATGTTGTATGTGCATAATTATATTTCCATAAATACATGCTTAGGTGTGTATTTATACATGAATGCCTGTGTTTGTGTGAGTACATCAGTGAGTGCGTGAATGTGTGTGTGCACATGTGTGCCTGTGTTTGTGTGAGTGTAAGAGTGTTGTACATTTATACACACACATTTTGTTTTCTGGTTAATAACAAGATCTATCTTTGATTTAGGATATGAAGAATTCTTATAAGCAACCCCCCCACACACACAATTTGTATTTATCTTAAAATATTCTTAAAATATGGGTTCTTTTATTTTTGCACAAACAGACAAGAGTGTTTTTTCTTTCCAAAACTTTTATTTCAAATTCTGACCCTGAGGAGGAGAAAAAGAAGAAAACATTGTGTAACCTTATATACATTAGAAACATAGGTAGTTACTAAATGCAATACAGATTTTGACAACATGCATTTAGGAAAAATGAGGAATTCAAACTCGTAGCTGCCTCAATATTGAACTTTCTAATGTTTAATTTTTTTTAATTAAAAAGTATTCGTTTGGATTCAATATGTATGGATCTCCAGGGCAGAAATGTCTCTCCAAAAAGTGAACCACTCTGAAAATCACCGTCATTTGGGAAAGGGTGATGCCCCAGGTGTCTTCTGAAAAATAGCAGAGGCTTCCGGCCAGTGGGATGTCTCTCTCTTTCCCTGAGGCCGAAATGTCAGGGAATTTTTCTTCCCCACCCCTAGGAGCCCAGTAAACGGGGGATATTTCAGAAGGATTTGCACAGGGTCCTGGCTTCTGCTATTTATGAGCTCCATGGATTCTTGGCTCAGGCTTGTGATCAGCTCACCTGCTCCAGAATCACTTCCCGTCTTAGCTTCTGGGCTAAGACACCTCAAAACCAGCAAAGGAAAGTCCTCACTGGTCAACGTGTCCATCCCAACTCCCCCATCTCCCCTTAGGGTGGGTTTGGGGTTCGGGACTGCTTTACTGTTCCTTTCAAAGCAGACTGGGAGGTAAGATTTTATTCTGCTTCCAGAGGTTCAGGATTTCTGCAGACGGTCAGCAACTCTTTGCATCCTACTGGTAAAAGTTTTATATACTTTGTATTTATATAAATATGCATTGTGTATATTTTATATGAATAGATTGATATAAATATATTTTATTAACTTAACCATGTGACTTTTATATTTTTATATAAATAAAGTTATATGTAGTGTATATGTAAAATACACTTTTATTTGTAATACATAATTTTATAGATTAAATTTAATATATTAAGCAAAAATATATGTAATATATATAACATATAACATCATTTATATAATATGTAACTTAATGTAAATAAGTATATAAAATTATTATTATATTTGTTAATACATAATTATGCATATATACTATGTAAAAATAAAATTACATATTGTATATGCATAATTATATTTCTATAAATACAATTATATACTATATATAATTATGTACAAAATAATTGTATAATAAAATTATATAATAAATTTTGAAACGTTATAAATTATTATACATAGTATTTTATTGTATTAAATTTAGAAATGTGTTATATGTTTTATTATAATAAATGTAGATTATATAAAATTTTATTTATAATAAATTATCTTATGTATAATTATAATATGAGAAAATAATTATATATCATTGTATTATAATAAATTTAGAAATGTTATACATTATTATATATAAAATTTCATTATATTAAATTTAGAAATATATGCAATAAAATGGTATTATATTAAAATTTTTATGTAACATTTTATACATGTATAATTTTATAAAATGTTTTATAATATATAGAATATAAGTACACAGCATATAAGTACAAAAATATTTATATACAGCTACACGTAATATAAATACATCAGTGTAAGATGTTTTGTGTGTGTGAGATGGAGTCTCGCTCTGTTGCCCAGGCTGGAGTGCAGCGACACGATCTCGGCTCACTGCAACCTCTGCCTCCTGGGTTCAAGCGATTCTCCTGCCTCAGCCTCCCGAGTAGCTGGGATTACAGGCATGCACCACCACACCCAATCAATTTTTGTATTTTTAGTAGAGATGGGGTTTCACTGTGTTAGCCAGGATGGTCTCAAACTCCTGACCTCAGGTGATCCACCCGCCTTGGCCTCCCAAAGTGCTGGGATTACAGGCATGAGCCACAGTGTAAGATACTGGCTATTAAAAAATAAATAAATATATATATTGCAACAGCTGATTTGTCTGGAAGAGTCTGGTCAGAAGACAGTGTATTAAGAAGACTGTGAGTCCCCAGAGGAATATAAGAATATACATCATGTTGATATATTATATATAACATAAATAGCTAACTACATCTGTGTATATAGTATAAACAAAAGTACAAAAATATTTGTATATAACTATATGTAATATAAATATATCAGTGTAAGATATTAGCTATTAAAAAATATATATATAGAGAGAGAGAGAGCAACCAGTGATTTGTCTGGAATATTCTAGTCAGAAGACAGTGTATTAAGAAGACAGTGAGTCCCCAGAAGAATATAAGGATATACATCATGTTAATATATTATATATAACATAAATACCTAACGACATCTGTATATATAGTATAAACATAAACTACAAAAATATTAGTATGTAACTATATGTAATATAAATATATCAGTGTAAGATATTAGCTATTAAAATATACATATGTGCGTATGTATGTGTATATGTGTATATAAATATTATATATATATATATAGTAACAGCTGATTTGTGTGGAAGACTTTGGTCAGAAGACAGTGTATTAAGAAGACAGTGGGTCCTCACAGGAAAATAAGAATATACATCATGTTTATATTACATATAACATAAACAACTAATTACATCTGTATATACAGCATAAACATAAAGTACAAAAATATTTGTATATAATCATATGTAATATAAATATACCAGTGTAAGATATTAGCTATTAAAATATACATGTGTGTATGTATGTGTATATGTGTATATATAATATATATATACATATATAACATATATAATATATGATATAGCATAATAATATAATATATTATATATAATATGTAATGTATATTATATAATTAATATATAATATATAATATATTCTATGCTATATAATATATTATATATTCTATGCAGTAAAATATATAGCATATATATATATATATATATATATATATATATATATATAGCAACAGCTGATTTGTCTGGAAGAATTTGGTCAGAAGACAGTTTATTAAGACAGTGAGTCCCCAGAGAAATATAAGAATATACATCATGTTTATATTATATATAACATAAATAGCTAACTACATCTGTATATATAGCATAAACATAAAGTACAAAAATATTTATATATAATATAAATATATCAGTGTAAGATATTAGCTATTAAAAAAAATATATATATATATAGCAACCGGTGATTTGTCTGGAAGACTGGTCAGAAGACAGTGTATTAGGAAGACAGGCAGTCCCCGCAGGAAGCATGGTGCAGGTGGGATCTGGAGGTGACTCTGGGCTGCCAGAAGACGCCCTACTGCTTTGCGGCAGACACAGGTGGAGAGGTCCTCTCTGTAGCTTCAGCGTGGACACTGTGTGTGTCTTGTTGTGGGAACACTTCTTTCTGCTTCCCTCTCCACTGTGACCATCACACTCACTGACCTGCCCTCCTCCTTCCTCTCGCTCTCTGGGGCCCCTGTGGAAAGAGGGTCTTCCCTCCATGCAGCAGGAACCCCCAGGACCCTCCCCATTCTCCTGGGTTCTGAACTTCAGGGACATGTGATCCTACCTGACCGGGCACAGGCTCTGTTCACCCTCAGGAACCCCTGTCCTCCCAGGACACCGTGGACTGGAGAACTGGCCTCCTGAAAATCCAGAGAGAACTTAGCACTCACAACTTCTTTTTTTCTTTTTTCTTTGAGACGGGATCTTGCTCTGTCCCCCAGGCTGGAGTGCAATGGCATGATCTCAGCTCACTGCAACCTCCTCCTCCCAGGTTCAAGCAGTTCGTCCTGCCTCTGTCTCCCGAGTTTCTGGGATCATAGGTATCCACCCCTGCAGCCAACTAATTTCTGTATTTTTAGTAGAGACGGTGTTTCACCATGTTGGCCAGGCTGGTCTCGAACTCTTGACCTCAAGTGATCCACCCACCTCGGCCTCCCAAAGTACTGGGATGACATATATTAGCATGATGTATATTATTCTATTCCTCCGGGGACTCACTGTCTTCTTGGGCAGTAAACCACTGTGCCCGGACTTCTCTGTCCACATCTACACACGTCTAAACCTCTGTAGATTCTGAATTGTTTTTCCTTTGCACAGAATGAGAGGAACTGAAGTCGGGAGGCCCAGCCCCAACATGGTCCCTCTGGCTCTGTGCTCAGGTGGTTTATGGCTGACAAGGACTTGGGGGGTTGAGGGCTTCCTATCAGCCCAGGAGACATTACCCGGGTCTGGGAAGCCTGCTCTGCACTTGTGGGTCTCGAATTGTCTGTTGCATTTACCTGCCTCATTATTTTTTCTCCCTGTCTCTCTTCTTACATATTTCTTTCGAATTTGGAGCTTGTTTTTCTTAACTACAATCAACCTGAATCATTACTGCATATATAAATATAAATTTTATATTGAGTAGACATTATATACTCAATCTATTACACATTCCAACACGGGCCATATCTAAGATGAATATATTTAATGTTTAAAATATGTTTACATTTCATATGGAAAAATATATTTATATTTAATATATATGTGTATATTTAATACAGGAAATACATATTTATATTTAATATATAAAATATATATTTATATTTGACATAAAAATATATGTTTATATTTAATATGGGAAATATATGTTTATGTTTAATATACAAAATACATGTTAATATTTAATATAGACAATGTATAGTTATATTTACTATCCAAAATACATGTTTATATTTAATATAGAAAATGTTTATATTTAATGTACAGAATACATATTTATATTTAATATAGAAAATACATATTTATATTTAACATATACAGTATTTATATTTAATGTATAAAATATGTTTACATTTAATGTGCTGAATATATGCTTATATTTAATGTCTAAAATGTCTATATTTAATGTATTGTATACATTAAATGTACCAAATGTATTCTTATATTTAATGTATACAAGATGTTTATATTTAATGTATATGTTTACATTTAATGTATAAAATGTTTATGTTTGATGTATAAAAGATGTTTATATTTAATGTATACAATGTTTATATTTAATGTACCAAATATATTATATTTAATGTCCAAGCCAGCCAAGCAAGCCAAGCCAGTCAGCCAAGCCATCCAAGCCACCCACCCAGCCAAGCCAGCCAAGTTAGCAAGCTAGCCAGCCAGCCAAGCCAGCCAAGCCAGCCAGCCAGCCAGAAAAACCAGCCAAGCCAGCCAGCCAGGAAAGCCAGCCAAGCCAGCCAACCCAGCCAAGCTTCCAGCCAGCCAAGCCAGCCAAGCCAACCAGCCAGCCAAGCCTGCCAGCCAGCCAAGCCAGCAAAGCCAGCCAGCCAGCCAAGCCAGCCAGCAGGCCCAGCCGCCCCAGCCAGCCAACCAGCCCAACCAGCCAAGAAAGCCCAGCCAGCCAGCCAAGACAGGAAAACCAGCCAGCAAAGCCAGCCAAGCCACCCAGCCAGCCAAGCCAGCCAGCCACCCAGCCAGCCAAGCCAGCCAGCCACCGAGGCAGCCAAGCCAGCCAGCCAACCAAGCCGGCCAAGCCACCCAGCCATCCAAGCCGGCCAAGCCACCCAAACAGTCAAGCCAGCGAAGCCAGCCAAGCCAGTCAGCCAGCGAAGCCAACCAAGCCAGCCAGCCAGCCAAGCCACCCAGACAGCCAAGCAAGCCAAGCCAGCCAAGGCAGCCAAGCCAGCCCAGCCAGCCAGCCAGCCAAGCCGGGCAAGCCAGCCAGCGAGCCCAGCCAGCCCAGCCAGCCAAGCCGGGCAAGCCAGCCAGCGAGCCCAGCCAGCCCAGCCAGCCCAGCCAGTCAGCCAGCCAAACCAGACCACCAGCCAAGCCAGCCAGCCACCCAGCAAAGCCAGCCACCCAGCCAAGCCAGCCAAGAGAGCAAAGCCAGCCAAGCCGGCCAAGACAGCCAGCCAGCCAACCCAGCCAAGCCAGCCAAGCCTGCCAGCCAGCCAAGCCAGCCAAGCCACCCAAGCCAGCCAGCCAAGCCGACCAAGCCAGCCAAGCCAGTAAGCCAGAAAAGCCAGGCAAGCCTGCCAGCCGGCCAAGCCAGCCAAGCCAGCCAAGCCAGCCAAGCCAGCCAAGCCAGCCAGCCAAGCCAGCCAAGCCAGCCAAACCACCCAGACAGCCAAGCCCGCCAGCCACCCAGTCAGCCAAGCCAGCCATGCCAGCCAGCCACACAAGACAGCCAGCCAGCCAAGCCAGCCAAGCCAGCCAGCCGTGTAAGCCAGCCCAGCCGGCCAGCCAATCCAGCCAAGCCACCCAGCCACCCAAGCCAGCCAAGCCAGCCAAGCCACCCAGCCAGCCAAGCCCGCCAGCCACCCAGTCAGCCAAGCCAGCCATGCCAGCCAGCCAGCCAAGACAGCCAGCCAGCCAAGCCAACCAAGCCACCCAGCCAGCCAAGCCAGCCAGCCAGCCAGCCAGCCAGCCAGTCAGGCAGCCAAGCCAGTGGGCCGCCCAGCCAGCCAAGCCAGCCAAGCCACCCAGCCAGCAAAGCCAGCCAAGCCACTCAGCCAGCCAAGCTGGCCAAGCCACCCAAACAGTCAAGCCAGCGAAGCCAACCATGCCAGTCAGCCAGCCAAGCCAGCCAGCCAGCCAAGCCAGCCAAGCCAGCCAGCCAAGCCACCCAGCCACCCAAGCCAGCCAAGCCAGCCAAGCCACCCAGCCAGCCAAGCCAGCCAGGCACCCAGTCAGCCAAGCCAGCCATGCCAGCTAGAAAGCCAAGACAGCCAGCCAGCCAAGGCAGCCAACCCACCCAGCCAGCCAAGCCAGCCAGCCAAGCTAGGCAAACCAGCCAGCCAGCCAAGCCACCCAGCCAGCCAAGCCAGCCAAGCCAGCCCAGCCAGCCAGCCGGCAAAGCCGGGCAAGCCAGCCAGCGAGCCCAGCCAGCCCAGCCAGCCAAGCCGGGCAAGCCAGCCAGCGAGCCCAGCCAGCCCAGCCAGTCAGCCAGCCAAACCAGACCACCAGCCAAGCCAGCCAGCCACCCAGCAAAGCCAGCCACCCAGCCAAGCCAGCCAAGAGAGCAAAGCCAGCCAAGCCGGTCAGTCAAGCCAGCCAAGACAGCCAAGCCAGCCAACCAGCCAGACAGCCCAGCCAGCCAGCCAGCACAGGCAGCCAAGCAAGCCAAGCCGGCCAAGACAGCCAGCCAGCCAACCCAGCCAAGCCAGCACAGGCAGCCAAGCAAGCCAAGCCAGCCAAGCCACCCAGCCAGCCAAGCCCGCGAAGCCAGCCAGCCAAGCCACCCAGCCAAGCCAGCCAGCCAGCCCAGCCACCCAAGCCACCCAGCCACACTCCATCTGAAAAAAAGAAGCACTCCATCCAGCCTGGGCAGTAGAGCGAGAGTCCATCTCCAAAAAAAAAAAAACAAAACAAAACACCAGCCTGGCCAATATAGTGGAACCCCGTCTCTAATAAATATACAAAAAAATCAGCTGGGCGTGGTGGCACACGCCTGTAATCCCAGCTACTTGGGAGGCCCAGGCAGGAAGATCTGTTGAACCCGGGAGGTGGAGGTCGCAGCGAACCAAGATTGCACCACTGCACTCCAGCCTGGGCAACAGGGCGAGACTCCCTCTCAGAAAAAAAAAAAAAAAAAAAAAAAAAAAAAGACCAGCCTGGCCAACTTGGTGAAACCTCGTCTCTACTAAATATACAAAGAAATTAGCTGGGCGTGGTGGCACACACCTGTAATCCCAGCTACTCAGGAGGCCCAGGCAGGAGGATCGCTTGAACCCGGGAAGTGGAGGCTGCAGCAAGCCAAGATTGCACAACTGTACTCCAGCCTCGGCAACAGAGTGAGACTCCATCTGAAAAAAAAGAAGCACTCCATCCAGCCTGGGCAGTAAAGCGAGATTCCATCTCCAAAAAAAAAAAAAAACCAAAAAAAAAAAAAAAAAAAACACACCAGCCTGGCCAACATGGTGAAACCCCGTCTCTACTAAATATACAAAAAAATTAGCTGGGCGTGGTGGCACAGGCCTGTAATCCCAGCTACTCGGGAGGCCCAGGCAGGAGGATCACTTGAACCCAGGAGGTGGAGGCTGCAGCGAGCCAAGATTGCGCCACTGTACTCCAGCCTGGGCAACAGAGTGAGACTCCATTTCAAAAAAAAGAAGCACTCCAGCCTGGGCAACAGAGTGAGACTCCATCTGAAAAAAAGAAGCACTCCAGCCTCGGCAATAGAGCAAGACTCCATCTCAAAAAAATAAGAGAAACACCAGCCTGGCCAACATAGCGGAACCCTGTCTCTAATAAATATACAAAAAAATTAGCTGGGCGTGGTGGCACATGCCTGTAATCCCAGCTACTCAGGAGGCCCAAGCAGGAGGATCGCTTGAACCCTGGAGGTGGAGGTTGCAGTGCACCAAGATTGCACAACTGCACTCCAGCCTGGACAACAGAGCCAGACTCCATCTCAGAAAAAAAAGAAAAAAGAAAAAAAGACCAGCCTGGCCAACATGGTGAAACCCCGTCTCTACTAAATATACAACAAAATTAGCTGGGCGTGCTGGCACACGCCTGTAACCCCAGGTACTCAGGAGGCCCAGGCAGGAGGATCGCTTGAACCCGGGAGGTGGAGGTTTCAGCGAACCAAGATTGCACCTCTGCACTCCAGCCTGGGCAACAGAGCAAGATTCCATCTCAGAAAAACAAAACAAACAAACAAACAAAAAAAAGACCAGCCAGGTCAACATGGTGAAACCCCGTCTCTACTAAATATACAAGAAAATTAGCTGGGCGTGCTGGCACACGCCTGTAACCCCAGCTACTCGGGAGGCCCAGGGAGGAGAATTGCTTGAACCCGGGAGTTGGAGGTTGCAGCGAACGAAGATTGCACCACTGCACTCCAGCCTGGGCAACAGAGCAAGATTCCATCTGAGAAAAAAAAAAAAAAGACCAGGTTGGCAAACATGGTGAAAACCCGTCTCTACTAAATATACAAGAAAATTAGCTGGGCTAATTTTAGTTATCACATCTGTAAAATGGCACTAAGTTACAGGGATATTGTCCAGATGAATGTGTCTGGTACATAGTAGCAATAAAAAAGACGTTAGCTGGCCAGGCATGGTGGCTCACGCCTGTTATCCTAACAATTTGGGAGGCCAAGGAGGGTGGATCACTTGAGGCCAGGAGTAGGAGACCAGCCTGGCCAACACAGTGAAACACTGTCTCTACTAAAAATACAAAAATTAGCTGGCGAAGTGGCTTGTGCCTGTAATCCCAGCTACATGGGAGGCTGAGGCAGGAGAATTGCTTGAATCTGGGAAGTGGAGGTTGAAGTGAGCTGAGATTGGGCCATGGCACTCCAGCCTGGGCGACAGAGCGAGATTCTGTCTCAAAAAAAGGGAAACATTAGCTAACATTACCCTCAGCATGGATATTCCTACCAGTCTGATGTTCTGTTTTAGGTACTTAGTACCATAATAGCCTCATTGTTGGAGCACTGACTATGTTCCAGGTACTACGCTAAGTGCTTCACAAGCATTGTTTCATTTCATCCTCCCAACATCTCTCAAATAGGTACTAGCACTGTCCTCACTATTCAGGGGAGAAGTCTGCAGTTCAGAGGGGTGAAGTGATTCCTCTAAGACTGCATAACTTGTAAGTGGCAGAGCTAGGACCTGTCAGACTCTAAGAGCTTCATACCACACCTACAGGAAATATCTAGCAGCCAGTTCCATGCTCAGTTTCTTGAAGCATGAGATTCCAGGCCCCTAATATGGCACATAACTGTGGGCAGTAGAGGCCTCAATTCTCCCATCTGAACCATGAGGAAGGTCCCCCCGCCCTGAATCCCCTACAGGGCTGAGAGGAGGGCTCTAGAAACCTTGAAAAGGACTTTGTAGACTCTGAGCTGGGCACCCTCAAAGGCTTGGTTAGGAAGGAGACAAGAGAAAGAATTAATCCACTTCCTGCCAAGGAAGCCAAGAGCTGAAGGAGAAATGGTCCGTGTCCTCCTCCAGGGCCTGCCCCTTAGCATGGTTCCTCCCTGTTAGGAGGGTTAAGAACTTGGCCAAGTCTCAGCTCCACTCATCTCTGGCTGTATGTTCTTTGTACTTCCCCTCTCTGAGTGTCGGGCTTCTCAACTGTGAAATGGGGGTGATAATGATAACAGCCTTACCAGGACTGTAGTAAGGACAAGCCTTGGCCCATCGGTTCATTGTCTTAGTCTGCTCCTGTTGTTATAACAAAATACCTCAGACTCAGTAATATATAAACAACAGAAATATGTTGCTCATAGTTCTAGAGGCCGAGAAATCCACGAACAAGGCGTCAGTAGATTGGGTGTCAATGAGGGCCTGTTCCTCATAGAGGACGTCTTCTATGTGTCCTTACATGGTAGAAGGGGTGAACAAACTCCCTCAGGCTTCTTTTATAAGGGCACTAATCCCATTTATAAGGATGGAGCTTCATGAAGTGATCGCCCCCAAAAGTCCCACCTCTTAATACTACCACATTGCAGATTATGTTTCAATATATAAATTGGAGGAGACACATTGAGACACATGGATATTGGTTGAATAATTATCTTTTTTTTAATTTTTTTATTATTTTTTGAGACAGAGTCTTACTCTGTTGCCTAGACTGGAGTGCAATGGCACGATCTTGGCTCACTGCAACCTCTACCTCCTGGATTCAAGTGATTCTTCTGTCTCAGCCTCCCAAGTGTCTGGTATTACAGATGCATGCCACCACGCCTGGCTGATTTTTGCATTATTAGTAGAGGCAGGGTTTCACCATGTTGGCCAGGCTGGTCTCAAACTCCTGACTTCAAGTGATCCACCCACCTCGGCCTCCCAAAGTGCTGGGATTACAGGCATGAGCCACCATGCCTGCCCTGAATAATTATCTTTTGACACCTGGTCTGCAATTCTCATGGAGTTTCCGGTCTGGAAGAAGAGTCTGTATGTAATGTGTTTGGCACAGGTAGGTGCCCAATGGGTGGGTAGATGGATGGATGGATGGATGGGTGGATGGATGAGATGAGTGACTTACTGCAGGTCTCACAGTTATAAAGTAACTCTTCCTGATAGCTCACACTGGCCACCAAAGACACATTAAACACTGATTTGAGAGGTACTCCGTGGACCAAATTACATGAGCAAAGTCTTAGAATTAGGAATTATTGCAGCATGGATGAGAGGCACTCATTTTATGTTCTCTTTCAGTATTTTTCCCAACAAGATCCTGAGAAGGAGGATCTGGATGGAGGTTCTGCCAGAGCCCCCTGGAGCAGAGCCAGGAGGTTGAGTAGGGAGTTGCGCCCCACAGCCCATATGAGCAGGCAGGAGCAGGCCAAGCCTGAGGGTTGGGCCTCAGAGGCCTGGTCTGGCCGTATTTGGTTTTCAAGGAACTGGAAGGCTTCTCACCTCCTCTGCTGTCCAGGCACAGAAGCAAAGCCACCCACAGTTGCTGAGTCAGGGAGGCCCCTAGGGCAGGAACAGAGGCCCCACAACGGGGTAACTTGAACACAGTGGTTCAGAGCCTGGTCTCTTAGTGTCAAGAAGATATGGTGCCGGGAACAGTGGTGTGTCCCTGTGGTTCCTGCTCCTCAGAAGGCTGAGGCAGGAGGATAAGCCTAGGGATTCTTGAGCCCAAGAGTTCTAGGCTGTAGTGTGCTATATTGATCGAGTGTCTGTGCTAAGTTCAGCTTCAATATGTGACCTCCTGTAAGCAAGGGTGTCTAAGGAGGGGTGAACAGGCCCAGGATGAAAATGGAGCAGGTCAAAACTGTGCTGATCAGTGGAGGGATTGTGACTGTGAATAGCCACTGCATTCCACCCTAGACAACATAGTGAGACTCCGTCTCTAAAAGCAAATAAATAGGCTGGGTGCAGTGGGCTCACGCCTGTAATCCCAGCACTTTAGGAGGCCAAGGTGGGCGGATCACTTGAGGTCAGGAGTTCAAGACCAGCCTGGCCAATATGGCGAAACCCTGTCTTTACTAAAAATATAAAAATTAGCTGGTCATGATTTCATGTGCCTGTGGTCCCAGCTACTCAGGAGGCTAAGGCAGGAGAATCACTTGAACCTGGGAGGCAGAGGTTGCAGTGAGCCGAGATCACATCACTGCACTGCAGCCTGGGCAATGAGTGAGAACCTATCTCAAAAAAAAAAAAAAATTAAATTTAAAAATGTAAGTAAATAAGTAAATAAATAAATAAATAAATAAATAAATAAATAAAAGCTGTGGGTTCAAATCCTGCTCAACAACCAATAGCTGTGTGCCTGGCCTACATATCACCTATCAGAGCCTTTGTTTTTTTAATCTGTAAAAACAACAAAAATAGCAGTAAAAACAAGCACCATTACTGAGTTCATTATGTACAAGCCTCTGCTAAGCACCTTACCTGCATTATCTTATTTAATTGTCATCACAGTAAACAAGTTTTATTATTGTCCTCGTGAAACAAAATACATGAGAACAGTGTCTCTCATCCATGCTGCCATAATTTCTAACCCAAGCCGTTGCTCATGCAGTCCCATCTACCTGGAGTGTATCTCTCTTTTTTTTTTTTGGAGACGGAGTCTTGCTCTGTCTCCAGCTGGAGTGCAGTGGCACAATCTTTGCTCACTGCAGCCTCTGCCTCCCGGGTTCCAGAGATTCTCCTGCCTCAGCCTCCCGAGTAGCTGGGATTACAGGCAAGTGCCACCACACCTGGCTAATTTTTGTATTTTTAATAGAGTCGGGGTTTCACCATGTTGGCCAGGCTGGTCTCAAACTCCTGTCTTCAGATGAGCCACCTACCTCGGCCTCCCAAAGTGCTAGGATTACAGGCATGAGCCACTGCGCCCAGCATGTAACCAACTCTTATGCAACCTTCAGTGTTCAGTGTAAGGTAACCAAAAAGTTACTTCCTGACTCTGAGACCTGGATTTCCAAATGAGGAAGCTGAGGCACACAGGGTGAGATCACATTCAAGTAAGAGACAGAGCTAGAGGCTGGGTGCAGTGGCTCACACCTGTAATCACAGCACTTTGGGAGGCTGAGGCGGGTGGATCACCTGAGGTCGGGAGTTTGAGACCAGCCTGATCAACATGGAGAAACCCCGTCTCTACTAAAAATACAAAATTAGCTGGGCATGGTGGCGCATGCCTGTAATCCCAGCTACTCGGGAGGCCGAGGCAGGAGAATCGCTTGAACCCGGGAGGTGGATCCCAGCTAGTCAGGAGGCTGAGGCAGGAGAATCGCTTGAACCCGGGAGGTGGAGGTTGCCGTGAGCCGAGATCACGCCATTGCACTTTACCCTGGGCAACAAGAGTGAAACTCCGTCTCAAAAAAAAAAAAAAAGACAGAGCTAGGAAGTGCTTACAACTTCCTCATGCTTACCTACATTTCAATTTCTGTTATTGAATCTTTTCCCCCTCAAATATACCCTATCAGCTTCTATTTTATTTTTATTTTTTGTGATGGAGTCTTGCTCTGTTGCTCAGGCTGGAGTGCAGTGGTGCGATCTTGGCTCACTGCAACCTCCACCTCCCACGTTCAAGCGATTCTTCTGCCTCAGCCTCCTGAGTAGCTGGAATTACAGGCACATGCAATGACACTGGGCTAATTTTTGTATTTTTAGTAGAGATGTGGTTTCACCATGTTGGCCAGGCTGGTCTCAAACTCCTGACCTCAGGTGATTCACCCACCTCAGCCTCCCAAAGTGCTGGGATTACAGACGTGAGCCACCGCGCCTGGCCTACATTTTTTTTTAAGTGCTGTCAAATGCATACCTTCTACTTTTCTTCAATAAATGTCAACTCTTTACCCATTATGTGCCAGTCCCTGTGGGGTGTGCCAAGCAGAAAAAGCACTGATCTAAGATGTGTGGCTCAGTTATGTGTAGATCCATGACCTTGCTGGGCTTTAGGATCCTTATCTATAAAATGGATATCATTATATCTTACCAGTAAGAACTGCTGAGGATAAAGGCAGACCGTACTTGTGAAAGTGTTCTGTAATACAAACTAGGGTTGTTCATTTTCCTTCTGCAGTGCTCAGCTCTGGCCTCACCTCTCCTGTTTGCATTTTCCGTTTCCTTCCTGCCTGTGTTCAGGCCTGCAGACTTCTGTCTGTCCTCCCTGGTCTAACTCCCTTATCCTACTTGCCAAGCCTTACTGTGATGTCATTTAATAAATTCTGGAGACACAAGGAGTGCCTCGTAGAGATGGACAATTTCCTTCAGTAGTCTCCTGCTGTTTTTAGAGTTGCCTCCAGGTGCCTGGGCCTGTGGGTGTTGGGCAGGAGAACCCTCCTCCCATGGCAGAAATAAGTGGGAGAAGTAGGGATTGCCTTCCTCCAATAATAATGCTTTGGCCCTAAAAACGAAACTCTTGAACCCCATAGAATATTTTATTTTATTTTTTTGAGACAGAGTCTCACTCTGTCACCCAGACTGGAGTACAGTTGCACGATCTTGGTTCACACAATCTCTACCTCCCAGATTCAAGCAATTCTCATGCCTCAGCCTCCCAAGCAGCTGGGACTACAGTGATGCACCACCACGCCTGGCTAATTTTTGTATTTTTAGTAGAGATGGGGTTTCACCGTGTTACCATGCTGGTGTCGAACTCCTGGCTTCAAGTGATCCGCCCTCCTTGGCCTCCCAAAGTGCTGGGATTACAGGTATGAGCCACCATGCCCGGCCAAACCCCATAGAATATTGAAGAAGCCCAAATGGATACTTGTGTCTTACTGAGTGGACAAACTTTAAAGTTACTTCAAAACATGAAAGGATGACTTGCTCCATATCAAACCTCCTAATTAATCCAACAGCAATTTTATTTTATTTTGTTTTATTTTATTTTTTGAGACAGGGTCTTGCTCTGTTGCCCAGGCTGGAGTGCAGTGGCACAATCACAGCTCACTGCAGCCTCAACCTCTTAGGCTGAAGTGATCCTCCCAGCTCAGTTTCCTGAGTAGCTGGGACTACAGGTGTATGCCACCATGCCTGGCTAATTTTTGTATTTTTTTGTAAAGACAGAGTTTTGCCATGTTGCCGAGGCCGCTCTTGAACTCCTAAGCTCAAGCAATCCACCGACCTCGTCCTGCCAAAGTGCTGGGATTACAGGTGTGAGCCACCACACCTGGTCTGCAATTTTTATCTAAGGCAGGATTTACTGATTTATTTAGAGACAGAGTCTGTCTCTGTTGCCCAGGCTGGAGTGCAGTGGTGTGATCATGACTCAGTGCAAGCTTAAACTCCTGGACTCAAACAATCTTCCTACTTCAGCCTCTTGAGTAGCTGGGACTACAGGCACACACCACCATGCCCAGAAAGGTTGTTTTTTTTTTTTGACATGGAGTCTTGCTCTGTCATCAGGCTGGAGTGCAGTGGCATGATCTTAGCTCGCTGCAATCTCCACCTCCCAGGTTCAAGCAATTCTCCTGCCTCAGCCTCCTGAGTAGCTGGGACTACAGGTGAGTGCCACCACACCGAGCTAATTTTTGTATTTTTAGTGGAGATGGGGTTTCACCATGTCGGCCAGGATGATCTTGATCTCTTGACCTCGTGATCCTCCCCCTTAGGCCTCCCAAAGTGCTGGGATTACAGGCATGAGACACCAAGCCCGGCACACCTGCTTCTTCTTTTTTTTTTTTTTTGAGACAAGTCTTGCTCTGTTGCCCAGGCTGGAGTGCAGTGGCACGATCTTGGCTCACTGCAAGCTCTGCCTCCTGGGTTCATGCCATCCTCCTGCCTCAGCCTCCTGAGTAGCTGGGACTACAGGCGCCGGCCACCATGCCCGGTGAATTTTTTTTTGTATTTTTAGTAGAGACAGGGTTTCACCGTGTTAGCCAGAATGGTTTCGATCTCCTGACCTTGTGATCCGCCTGCCTCAGCCTCCCAAAGTGCTGGGATTACAGGCGTGAACCACCGCACCCGGCCCACACCTGCTTCTTAAAGGACCAAGTCCTGGCTGGGCTCAGTGGCTCATGCCTATAATCCCAGCACTTTGGGAGGCCGAGGTGGGCAGATCTCTTGAGTCCAAGAGTTTAAGACCAGCCTGGGCATAGTGAAATCTCATCTCTACAAACCATTAAAAAATGTTTTGGCCAGGCATGGTGGCTCACATTTGTAATCCCAGCACTTTGGGAGGCCGAGGCATGTGGATCACCTGAGGTCAGGAGTTTGAGACCAATAGGCCAATATGGTGAAACCCCATCTCTATTAAAAATACAAAATTTAGCTGGGTGTGGTGGTGGACGCCTGTAATCCCAGCTACTCGGGAGGCTGAGGCAGGAGAATCACTTGAACCTGGGAGGTGGAGGTTGCAGTGAGCCAAGACCGTGCCATTGCACTCTAGCCTGGGTGACAAAAGTGAAACTCCATCTCAAAAAAAAAAATGTTTTAAAGGGACCAAGTCCTTTTAGGGGAGCTTCTGATCATTTAAATCTCCAATAACAGAAGAGGTTTTCAAATGTTACCCCGGGGATTCCTCATTGCCCGCTCCCAGTATTTTCCAAGAAAGACCTGAGGCTCCTTTCTGAGCTTCATTCCCTTGTTCTCCTCCCAGCCCCTCAGCTGTCTTTTGTACCAATTGGGTAGTTATTAATTGCTCCCTAATTGCAAATTGGCTGCCTCCTTACTGGCTCCCACCCATGCTGGCTGGCTGACCCAGGGGTCACATGCATCCTTCAGGGAAAGCTGTTTTGTGAATCCAGTGGTTCAGTTGTTCCACACATGTGTGTTGAGCCCCTTCGTTGATGCCAGATCCTTTCTAGGTCCTGGGGACCCTGTTGAGCGAGACAAACCCAAGTCCCTGGCTTCTCAGAGCTCACAGTCTAGCAGGAGACAACAAAAAAATTAATCATTTCCGATCGTCAGTGCTGTGATGGGGAGTAATTACAGTACAGAGTAATTTTGGGGAGCTTCAGATACGTGCTCTGGGAAGACTTTTCTAAGGAGGTGACGTGTGAGTTAAGATCTGAATGGTAATCCGGAGCCAGCCAGAGTGAAGATGAGGTCGAAGAGCACAGTCCCGGGGGAGAAGAAAGCAAAGGCAGAGGCCAGGTGAGAGGAAGCAGCATGGCCTCTCTCAGGGGCATTCATTTCATCTATGAAGCCCTAAGGGATTCTGAAGTCAAACATCAGGTTGGGGCTAGTTGTAAGGTTTAGGGCAAAACACCCCTCCTACTCCCTGTTGTTAGAGACCAGAGGCGGCGTTTGCCCCCACCTGGCCCCGCTCCAGAAGGAGGGGTTATTATACGTCTGATTGAATCAGCTTCCAGCATCCTTATTGGTCCTTGGAGGTAATTAGGGCACTGTCGCTTCAAAGTCCCAAATTCAGGCGCCCCACTGGGGACTACAGTGACCGCTCCCCACCCCACCCACCGCAAGCTCAGAGGTTGGAGAGAACTGCCTCCCCGAAGGAACCCAGACCCAGGCTTGAGACTTTGCAAAGAGACACAAGATGCGGGTTGCCATGTGAAGTTTCCGGATTTTTTAAAATGTTAGAACGATGAATTGGAAAAGCTTTAAAACACTGCACAGGCCAAACAACATGTCTATGGGCAGGACCTGGCCAGCTGGCCTGGGTGCGGTGGGGCTTGGTGAATGCCTAGAGGTAGGGATGAGGGAGAGAAGGAGTCAGGAAGGATGCTAACTGCATCCTGGACTCTGGGACACCCATGCCCTGGCAGAGATGTGCCCTAAGAGGAACGAACTCACGGCCACAGGCACAGATTGAGCATCTACTGTGTGCATGGCTCTGTGCTAGGATGGGGGATACAAAACACTTCAGAGGACTGCACCTTCGCTCAGGGCTGGATGGGCCAACCTCAGGAAACCTGGGTTCCAGCCTTGACTTGCTCTCCTATAATTGCTGTGTGAACTTGGGTTGAGTCATCATCTCTCTGGGATTCAGCACACAGCCTTTGTTGACATTAGATTAACTAAATCCAGTAAGGGAAGATTTTGAAGGGCCTCTGGGTGTCTGGATAGGGAATCTGGGCTGGGTCTAATAGGAAGTAGGAACCACCCCAGGTTCTTGAGCAGGGGAGTGACATGTTTAAGAGGAAAGTGAAGCAGGCCACCTGTGCAGAGACACACATCATCCAGGTGTGGGGTAGTGACGACAGCAACTAAAGCGTATGCAAATCAGATCTCATCACCTCTAGCTCAAAAACCTTCCATGGGTCCCTGCAGCCCTCACATGAAAGTCCTTTCCTCTTACTATGGTCCATGAGCAGGGCCAGCTTCATGCAATGAAGGGTCAGTGTAATGCTCTGCTGTCACTATCTTGAAATACTTAATAATTTTTGAACAAGGAGCTCCTTTTTCTCATTTTGCACCAGGTCCTGCAAATTATGAAGGTTCCCACAGGGGCCTTTCAGTCTGGGCCTTTTCCCCTCTCCCCATCCAAACCCCACTTCTCCCTTACCCTTCATACTTCACTCACGTTGGTCTTCCATCAGTTTCTGGAGATTGTTCCTGCCTTGGGACATTTGCGTAGTCTGTTCCCCTTGCCTGGAACACCCCCACCCCCACGTCGAGACCAACTTAGTTTTTTGTTCAACAATTTCTTATCTTCCAGACTTGAGCATAATTATCTCCTGAGAGATAACTCCTCTGGCCTCCCAGAACTACCTGTTCAAAACAAAACTTTAAAAATTATTTAAGCCAGCCAGGCACGATGGCTCATGCCTGTAATCCCAGCACTTTGGGAGGCCCAGGTGGGCGGATCACTTGAGGTCAGGGGTTCAAGACCAGCCTGGCCAACATCATGAAACCCCGTCTCTACTAAAAATACAAAAATTAACCGGGTGTGGTGGAATGCACCTGTAGTCCCAGCTACTTGGGAGGCTGAGGCAGGAGGATTGCTTGAACCCGGGAAGCAGAGGTTGCAGGGAGCTGAGATCACGCCACTGCACTCCAGCCTGGGCGACAGAGTAAAACTCTGTCTCAAAAAAAAAAAAAAAAGAAAAAAAGATTTAAGCCTGAGTGCAGTGGGTCACTCCTGTAATCCCAATACTTTGGGAGGCAAGGCAGGAGTATTGCTGAGGCCAGGAGTTCCAGACCAGTCTGGGCAACACAGCAAGATCTCATCTGTACAAAAAATAAGAAAATTAGCCAGACATGGTGGTGTGTGCCTGTAGTCCCAGCTACTTCGGTGGCTGAGGCAGGAGGATTGCTTGCACCCAGGAGTTCAAGGCTTCAGTGAGCCATGATTGCGCCACTGCACTCCTACCTGTGCAACAGAGCTAGACCCTGTCTCAAAAAAAAATGCAGTAATGGAGGCATTTCAGACATCTGTCAGCAGCCATAGGTGTTCAGGGGCTTTGTGCTTATAAAGGTTTATTCAGTAACAAATATTCAGCTGGAGCGGGCATCATGGCTCACACCTGTAATCCTAGCACTTTGGGAGGCTGAGGCAGGAGGATTGCTTGAGCCCAGGAGTTTGAGACCAGCTGGGCAACAAAGTGAGACCTGATCTCTACCAAAAACAAAATACATAAAATTAGCTGGGCATAGTGGCATGCACCGGCTGAGGTGGGAGTATCGCTTGAGCCCAGGAGGTCGAGGCTGCAGTGAGCTGTGATCACACCATTGCACTCCAGCCTGAGAGACAGAGTGAGACCCTGTCTCAAAAAATTAAAAACTTAATTAATTAAAAAAAATTCAACTGGGGAAATAGTTCTAGCTCTCTCTTTCTCTCTCTCTCTTTTTTTTTTTTTGGAGGCAGAGTTTCACTCCGATACCCAATCTGGAGTGCAGTGGCATGATCTCAGCTCACTGCAACCTCCACCTTCCAGGCTCAAGGGATTCTCCCACCTCAGCCTCCCAAGTGGCTGGGACTATAGGTGGGTGCCACCACACCCAGCTCATTTTTGTACTTTTTGTAGAGATGGGGTTTTGCCATGTTGCCCAGGCTGGTCTTGAACTCCTGGACTCAAGCGATCCTCCCACCTCAGCCCCCCAAAGTGCTGGGATTACAGGCATGAGCCACCACACTTAGCCAAATTGCCATCTCTTAATGAAGTAAATAAAACCATTTACACCACAAGAGACAGAGGGAAGGGATAGGATTTATCGAAAACATAATAAATCCCCTTGGCCAAATTCATGGACCCTGGCAGGGTAAGATCAGAGATAGCATCATTTCTGCCTATGTGGCTGACATTCATTATGTAAGGCCCATGTACCAGGATCCCCATCCCATGCAAGCTCTGTGAATGATCACTCCCAACCTTATAAGGTTGGAAGTATTAGCTCCCCACTTTGTGGATGAGGAAACTGAGGCCTAGAGAAATTAAGTAACTTGCCAAATGTCACACAGTGAAGAATTGACAGAGTTGGGATTTGTACCTAGATCTGTCCAACTCCAGATCTCCCTGAGCCCTTCACTACCGCAAAATAGCTACTCAACTGGCTTGCTGTATGATTTGGGGCAAGTTCCTCAACCTTTCTGAGTCTCAGATTCTTTTTTTCTTTTTCTTTTTTTGAGATGGAATTTCCCTCTTTTCACCCAGGCTGGAGCGCAATGGCATGATCTCAGTTCACTGCAACCTCCGCCTTCCAGGTTCAAACCATTTTCCTGCCTCAGCCTCCCAAGTAGCTGGGATTACAGGTGCCCACCACCACGCCTGGCTAATTTTTGTATTTTTAGTACAGACCGGGTTTCACCATCTTGGCCAGGCTTGTCTCGAACTCCTGACCTCTGGTGATCTGCCCGCCTCAGCCCCCCAGAGTGCTGGGATTACAGGCATGAGCCACTGTGCCCAGCCTCTTTCTTTTTTTTAAGACAAGGTCTTATTCTGCCACCCAGGCTGGAATGCAGTGGGCAATCTCTGCTTACTGCAGCCTCAACCTCCTAGGGTCAAGTGATCCTCCCACTTCAGCCTCCCAAGTAGCTGGGACTACAGGCATGCGGCACCAGGCCCAGTTAAGCTGAGCCTCAAATTCTTTACCTATAACTTGTCCCTTATTTAAGCTAACACATGGTAGGTGCTGAAGTTGATTCTCTCTCTCTCTCTCTCTTTTTTTTTTTTTTCTTGAGACACGGTCTTGCTCTGTCACCCAGGCTGGAGTGCAATGGCATGATCTCAGTTCAGTGCAGCCTCAACCTCCTGAGCTCAAGCAATCCTCCTGCCTCAGCTCCCCAGAGTAGTGGGATTACAGGCATGCACCACTGTTGATTCTTTATAGATGTTAATTCTCTACTTAACACACACGCCCCTCCAACTCCCACCACACATACAGACACAGACACACACACACACACACACACACACACGCATGCATGCACGCACACCAGCCCCACAACAGGAGGAATGTAACAGAAGCAATGCTTTGTGTTCTGTAACCTGTTTCCTTTTCCTGGACACACAGGAAGGTCATGTTCTCATTTTTCCTGCAGTTAGTAGAGTCATGTGACTACATAAAGGCCAATGAAATTATACGTGACCCCTGCGCAAAGGCAGTTAAGTGTGGATGTGCCTCCTTTGATTTTCTGATTCCCTTTCCACATGCAGAGGATTCAGGAATAGATTCCATGGAGAGCCTGGGGTGGAGGCAGGATTGGGGGGCAAGGTCACTGCTTGGAAAAGAGCTCCCTGGGAGAGCCCCAACCTATATCAGACTTTGCAGGAGTGAGAAATAAACTCTGATTGGGTTAAACCACTGAGATATTTTGTTTGTTACAGCAGCCAGCATTAATTACACTGAATAAAACTGTGTATCAGTTATCAATTGCCACAACAATGCTACATAACAAACCACCCCAAAACTTAGTGCCTTAAAACAGCAACCATTTTTTTAGCTCAAGATTTCATGGACTGGCACTTTAGCCTGGGCTCAGCTAAAGATTTTTCTGGTCTCAGTTGGGCTTACTCATGTATCTGTGGTCAGCTATTGGATTAGATGGTGACTGACTAGGACAGCTTCAGCTAGGATAACTAGTCCCTGTTCCAGTGGTCTCTTAGGCAGGATAGCCCAGGCTTGTTCACATAACAGCTGCGAGAGTTCCAAGAGAATGAGTGGAATCTCTTAAGGCCCAATCTCTTAACACCCAGGCTTCGAACTGGCAATGCCACTTCCATATATTCTATTGGCCAAAAATAGTCACATGCCTGGCTGGGAATGGTGGCTCACACCTGTGTAATTCCAGCACTTTGGGAGGCTGAGGTGGACGGATTACTTGAAACTAGGAGTTTGAGACCAGCCTGGACAACATGGGGAAACTCCATCTCTATAAAAATTTGTCAGGTGTGGTGGTGAGTGCCTGTAGTCCCAGCTACTCGGGAGGCTGAGGTGAGAGGATCACCTGAGCCCAGACAGGTCAAGGCTGTAGTGTGCCATGATCACACCACTGCACTCCAGCTTGGGTGACAGAGATCCTGTCTTAAAAAATAAAAAAGAGCTCAGCCTCTAGAACCACAGCCCTGGGCTTAAGTCCTGACTCACTTGCTATTGATTTTGGGCAAGTGCCGCTCCTCTCTGAGACTCACATTTCCCTTCTATAAAACAGGTGCTGGGGCCGGGCATGGTGGCTCTCACCTGTAATCCCAGCACTTTGGGAGGCCAAGGCAGGCGAATCACCTGAGTTCAGGAGTTCAAGACTAGCCTGGACAACATGGTGAAATCCCGTCTCTACTAAAAATATAAAACTTAGCCAGGCGTGGTGGCGCACGCCAGTAATCCTAGCTACTCACTACTCAGGAGGCTGAGGCAGGAGAATCGCTTGAACCCAGGAAGCGGAGGTTGCAGTGAGCTGAGATTGTGCCATTGCACTCCAGCCTGGGCAACAAGAGTGAAACTGTCTAAAAAAAAAAACAAACAAAAAAACACAACAACCAAAAAACACAGGTGCTGGAAGAGAGGAGTCCTAACATTGGGGGCTATTGTGAGAATTGACTGAGGGAATGCACCATGGAAATGTGTGCTGTAAATTACCTATTTTATTACACCCAACGTGGGCTTAATAGCTGTCAGGGAGTGTTAGTATTATCTCCCCCAAACCCTCAATTTACAGAGGAGAAAACAGAGGCTCAGGCAGGTGATGTGACTTGCCAAGGCTGCATAGCTAAGGAGCAGTGATGAACCCACCGTACTTAAGTTTGTCTGTTTCCAGAATCTAAGGTCTTAGCCTCGCTACAGTTAGAAAGTCCTAGGTTTGAGTCTCGACTCTGTCCATTATAGCTGTGTGACCTTGGGCAAGTCACTTTTCTCTCTGGGCCTCATTTTTTTCTTCGTCTAAAGAAATTAGCATCTGTCTCATAATGCCATGGGGAATCAATGGGAAAATACAAAGAAAGTGCTTAGCAGAGTGCCAAGGAGGGACAGTATGCATGCTCAGCAATTGAAGGCTGCCAAGTTCCTGTTATCATCAGGGGCAGTGTTCCATCCATCAAAAGGGCTAAGAATAGTCTTAGCCTGGCCAGGCACAGTGGCTCATGCCTGTAATCCCAGCATTTTGGGAGGCCGAGGCAGATGGATCACCTCAGTTCAGGAGTTCAAGACCAGCCTGGCCAACATGTCGAAACCCCGTCTCTACTGAAAATACAAAAATTAGCCAGGCGTGGTGACGGGCCCCTGTAATCCCAGCTAATTGGGAGGCTGAGGCAGGAGAATCACTTGAAGCCAGGAGGCAGGGGTTTCAGTGAGCCGAGATTGCGCCACTGCACTCTAGCCTGGGTGACAGAGTGAGACTCTGTCTTAAAAAAAAAAAAAAAAGAAATAGTCTTAGCCAGTGGGGGTAGGGTGAGGAATAAGT
The DNA here is from genome assembly GCF_000001405.40 of Homo sapiens. NCBI lineage: Eukaryota > Metazoa > Chordata > Mammalia > Primates > Hominidae > Homo > Homo sapiens. Next base: position 2,799,312 of record NW_021160017.1, read on the forward strand.
AAGTTACTGTGGGCTATGCTTTAGCACAGTGCCCAGCACATATTATAAACTTCATAAGCAGTTGCTATTTTAAAGGGTTTTTGTTTTGTTTTGTTTTTGTTTTTGAGACAAGACCTCACTCTGTCGCCCAGGCTGGAGTGCAGTACTTTTAAAGTTCTGAACCCTGTTGGAGGCCAACATGAGACCATGGGGGACCCCAGGCTCCAACTGGCAGTGGCTCCAGGCACTGCCTCTGCTGCCGTTTGGCTATTATTAGGCCCGGCGTCCTCATCTCAAATCCAGGTGGGGAGCGAGAAGGGTGGTAGGGCAGGGCCTGGCTGGCGGAAGGCTGGGAACACGGCTTGGAGGCTGGGTTAGGGTTTGGGCCCCACCCTGCCTGCCTTCCCTTGTTTGCAGCTGGTCCAGCCACCATGTCTACACTTGGCTCTGAGGTTGGTGCAGAGCACTGCCTCCCACCATGGCCGCCTCCTCTGGGAAGATTCAGAGCCCTTCTGCAGCCTCAGCACTTTTCTGCCTGCCCCAGAGAGGCCAGGCCTGCGTGGAAACTCTGAATTGGACACTGCGCGCCTTCAGAACCAGCAAAGGAGCCATCCACCCTGCTGTCTACAGGTCTTCATGCCTCCAGTGAGGCTTACTGGATCTGCTGAGGGGGAAGGGCCTATATACCTGGGTTCAAATCCCTTCCCTACCACCAACATGCAGTGTCAACTTGGACAAATGACTTCCCCTCTCTGAGCCTCAGTTTCTTTGCCCATAAAAGGGACAGACTATTAGCATCTGCTTTATAGGGCTGTGGTGATGGTTACATGAGTGCATGGTATGCCATAGGCACTCAATATGTGTCAGTTATTTCATGCTTAAGTGTGCCAGGACCTGAGGAGGAAACAAAGTTTTGGGAGGTTGAGAATCTGGGATGCAGAATGGCTCTGCTCCTGATTTGCTACACTACCTGAAGCCTGTCCCTTGTCCTCTCTGGGACTCAGTTACCTATTTGAACCATAAGGTGGGTATCCAGGACTCTGTGATGCCAAGATTCAGGTGCTATGTTCAGAAGTAGAGAGAAGGGTTTGCTGGGATCCCACACTGACAGGTTGGTAAAATATTCATTCTCGGACTGGACTCTGGAGCCAAAATACCCTCGGCCCCTGAGCTGCTCCAGATACTCCCTACTCTGCCAGTCCAGGGCTGAACCTGGAAGAATCTAGACCCTTCTTGTTACAGTTTTTTGCCCTAGGAGGGCCTGAAGGAAGCCAGTCAAACCCCCTCATTTTACAGATGGGCAGACTGAGGCCCAGGTCTCCCCAGTGCTCAGGCTTCATCCAAGCGGAGCTTCCAAATGGTGGATGGTAGAATATGGTGATTAAGAACAAATGTTCTGGCCAGGCGCAGTGGCTCACGCCTGTAATCTTAGCACTTCAGAAGGTCAAGGCAGGAGGATTGCTTGAACCCAGGAGTTCAAGACTAGCCCTGGCAACACAGGGAGACCCTTGTCTCTACAAAAAATAAAAAAAATTAGCCGGGCATGGTGGCATGTGTCTGTAGTCCCACTGTGAGCCTGGGAGGTCAAGGCTGCAGTAAGCCATGGTTGTGCCACTCCACTCTCCAGCCTGGGCGACAGAGTGAGACTCTGTCTCAAAGACAAAACAAAACAAAAAAAAACAACAAAAGAACGAGGGTTCTGAGTCTGTCTCCTTATCTGTATAATGGTGGTCCTACCTCACAGGACTCAAGCTGTGAAGGTCATAGTGGTAACAAAATTGCCACACATGTAGTATAAGCATGATCAGGAGCCAGTGTCCAACCCATCAGGTAGCAATTACATAGTGTCCCACCATGAGCCTAGACCCCCACTCCCTGCGCCCAGGCATCAGGGACTCCCAGAAGTCTAAAGAGGTCCAGGCTGGCACATCCAGAACTCTCTCCTTCCTGTTCCAGCCCCTTGCCTCTCCTTTGTCTGTGAGGCTGGGTCTCCTGGAATTCATTGCTGCCCAGTGGGCATCTGAGGCCCTTTCTCCTCCTGCAGGGCCAGAAGTTTGCCTGGCACTATTGCCCAGAGAACACAGTGGCTGGATGACATCATGGAGATGATGGCCTTGCCAAACTGGTTTCCCAACAGGTCCTCAGTCCCACTCCGAGGGCTGCTGGCCATGACCTAGGGCTCACCCAGTTCTGCACATAAGGAGGAAGGTCATACCCCTTGGATCCAGCCAACCCCAACAAGAACCATCCACTTCTAGGGACTCCATTCTCCAGCCTCACCTGCCTGTCTGTTGCCCAACAAGGTCCTCACAATCCTACTTCCGTTCCTTTGCTAATGCTGTTCCCATCTCCAGAATGACAGTGCTGTCCTGGGGAGAGAGGCTTAGAGAGCCCAAGGCACAGCTCCTCCATTGTGCATATGAGCAAGTTGAGGCTCCAAGAGGGCCAACCCTTACCTAGGGTGGAGCCAGGGGTAAGACACCCATCACCCTTCTTGCCTCCTGACCCAAGGCCTGGGTTTTCCCTGCAGGACCCTGACTGGGTGGAGGGTTAGCCAGGGTGACTTAGGGATGCAATGCAGACAGCTTGGTAAAATAGTCATTCTCAGACTTGGGCTCTGGAGCAAAATATTACCCCTAGCCTCTGAGCTGCTCCAGCCACTTCCCATTCTGCCTTTCTGGGGTTGAACCTGGAAGAACCTAGAGTAGACCCTTTCTGTGACAGCCCCTTGCCCTAGGAAGGCCTGAAGCAGACCAGTCTAATCACCTCATTTTACAGGGGCAGGCTGAGGCCCAGGCCTCTCTGGCGCCCACAAGATACATTCGTCCTGCTCACCTGGCATTCAGAATCCTTTGCCAAGAGAAGCACCCACATTTCCTGCTCCACCCACAGCCTATCCTCCTCCTTTTCCCAGACTATTGGTCTTTGCTCACACTGTTCCTCTGCCACAAATGCCCTTTCATGCCTTTCCCCCTCTTCTACGTGGGATGAATTTTAAAAATTAGTTGGGCGTGGTGGTGTTTGCCTGTAGTCCTAGCCTCTTGGGAGGCTGAGATGGGAGGATTGCTTGAGCCAGGAGTTTGAGGCCATGGTAAGCTGTGATCATGCGACTGCACTCCAGCCTGTGGGACACAGCAAGACCCTGTCTCCAAAAAAAAAAAAAAAAAACAACAACAAGTATGACACACAGTTTATATGCCACTTCCCTAAGAAGTCTTCCAGAGCTTCCCCCATCCGAGTGGCAGCAAAGTAGAGGGAAGGGGCTGGAGTGCAGTGGCACCATCATGGCGTGAACCTTGAGAACCTCATGCTTTTTGTCACAATAAGAAAAAAAAACTTTAAAATTACTAAGTTCTCTCTCTCTCTCTTTTTTTTTGAGACCGAGTTTTGCTCTGTCACCCAGGCTGGAGTGCAGTGGCACGATCTCGGCTCACTGAAAGCTCCGCTTCCTGGGTTCACGCCACATTCTCCTGCCTCAGCCTCCCGAGTAGCTGGGACTACAGGTGCCCGCCACCACACCCGGCTAATTTTTTTTTGTAGTTTTAGTAGAGACAGGTTTTCACCATGTTAGCCAGGACAGTCTCGATCTCCTGACCTCGTGATCTGCCCACCTGGGCCTCCCAAAGTGCTGGGATTACAGGCGTGAGCCACTGCGCCCAGCCTTTTTTTTTTTTTTTTTTTGACATGGCGTCTTGCTCTGTCATCAGGCTGGAGTGCAGTGGTGTGACCTCGGCTCACTGAAACCTCTGACTCCCTGGTTCAAGTGATTCTCCTGCATCAGCCTGGCAAGTAGCTGGGATTACAGGCATGTGCCACCACGCACAGTTAATTTTTGTATTTTTAGTAGAGATGGGGTTTTACTATGTTGACCAGGATTGTCTCAGTCTCCTCAGCTGAGGTCAGGAGTTCGAGACCAGCCTGGCCAATATGGTGAAACCCTGTCTCTACCAAAAATACAAAAATTAGCTGGGTGTGGTGGCGCATGCCTGTAATCCCAGCTACTGAGGAGACTGAGGCAGGAGAATTTATTGAACCCAACTGGCAGAGGTTGCAGTGAGCCAAGATTGCACCACTGCACTCCAACCTGAGCAACAGAGCAAGACTCCGTCTTAAAAAAATAGGTCAGGTGCAGTGGCTCATGCCTGTAATCCCAGCACTTTGGGAGGCTGAGGTGGGCAGATCACAATGTCAGGAGTTCGAGACCAGCCTGGCCAACTTGGTGAAACCCCATCTCTACTAAAATACAAAAACTAGCCAGGTGTGGTGGCGGGTGCCTGTAGTCCCAGCTACTCGGGAGGCTGAGGTAAAAGAATGGCATGAACCTGGGAAGCGGAGCTTGTGGTGAGCCGAAATTGCGTCACTGCACTCCAGCCTGGGCGAAAGAGCAAAACTCCATCTCAAAAATAAAATAAAATAATGTAAAATAAAATAAAATAAAATATACAAAAACTAGCCAGGCTTGTGGTACATGCCTGTAATCATAGCTACTCGGGGGGCTGAAGCAGGAGAATCACTTGAACCAGGAGGTGGAGGTCACAGTGAACTGAGATCGTGCCACTGCACTCCAGGCTGGGTGAGGGAGTGAGACTCTGTCTCAAAAAAAAAAAAAAAAAAAAAAAAAAAAAGAAAGAAACAAAAATTAGCTGTGCATGGTGGTGTGTGGCTGTAGTCCCAGATGCTTGGGAGGCTGAGGCAGGAGAATCACTTGAACTAGGAGGCGGAGGTTGCAGTGAGCAGAGATTGCGCCACTGCACTCCAGCCTGGGAGGCAGAGTGAGACACTGTCTAAAAAAAAGAAAAGTTTCCTGTCCTCTCCAAGCCCTGACCTTACCTATCACCCCAAATCCCCCAAATGAATCTTCAGGCCTCCTTCTAATGCCTTCCTTCCTCTTATACTACAAACATGCATTCCTTCCTCTTATACTACAGAGTCTCCCTCTGTCACCCAGGCTGCAGTGCAATGGCTCAATCTTGGCTCACTGCAACCTCTCCCGGAATCAGGCGATTTTCCTGCCTCAGCCTCCCAAGTATCTGGGAATACAGGTGCGCACAACCAAGTCTGGCTAATTTTTTTTGTATTTTTAATAGAGACGGGGTTTCACCATGTTGGCCAGGCTGGTCTCGGAACACCTGACCTTATTATCCACCCACCTCAGTCCCCCAAAGTGCTGGGATTATGGGTGTGACCCACTGTGCCCGGCTGACACTTTCAAACTCATTCATTGAGGCCAATATTTTCCTGGTACCAAAACCAAAGGCATCATGAGAAAAGAAAAATAATAACCAATATTTCTCATAAAGACCAAAAAAAAAAAAAACTGCAACAAAATACTAGCAAGCCAAGTCCAGTAATACATAAAAAGATTCTATAACATGACCAAGTAGGATTCATGCCTGCTTGGAGTAACACCCAAAAATCAACTGATATAATGCACCATAAAAGTAGAATAAAAAGCAAAAACCACATGATCTTCTCAATAAACACAAAAATTTTCTGACAAAATCCAACACCCTTTCATGATAGAAACAGTCCACAAGCTAGGAATAGAAAGAAACTTTCTTTACTTGCTAAAGGCATCTATGAAAAACCCACAGCTAACAATGTATTAAATGGGGAAAACAAAGCTTTCCCCCTAAGATCAGGAACTAGGCAAGTACATCTACTCTTGTCACTTATAATCTACATTATATTGAAAGTTCCAGTCCGGGCACGGTGGCTCATGCCTATAATCCCAGCACTTTGGGAGGCCAAGGTGGGTGGATCACCTGAGGTCAGTGGTTCGAGACCTGCCTGACTAACATGGTGAAACCCAGTCTCTACTAAAAATACAAAAATTAGCCAGATGTGATGGTGCATGCCTATAATCCCAGCTACTCGGGAGGCTGAGGCAGGAGAGTCACTTGAACTTGGGAGGTGGACGTTGCAGTGAGCCAAGATCATGCCACTGCACCTCAGAGCCTGGGCAACAAGAGAAAAACTCGGTCTCAAAAAAAAAGAGGAAGTTCCAGCCAGGACAATTAGGCACACAAAAAAAAATAAAATAAATGGCATCTATATTAGAAATGAAAAAGTAAAACTATATTTCCAGACGATGTGATCTTTTTATTTGTTTATTTACTTTTGAGACGGAGTTTTGCTCTTGTTGCCCAGGCCGGAGTGTGGTGGCGCGATCTTGCCTCACTGCAACCTCTGCCTCCTGGATTCAAGTGATTCTCCTGCCTCAGCTTCCTGAGTAGCTGGGATACAGGCACCCACCATTATGCCCAGCCAATTGTATTTTTTTTAGTAGAGACAGGGTTTCATCATGTTGGCCAGGCTGGTCTCGAACTCCTGACTTCAGGTGACCCATCCACCTCGGCCTCCCAAAGTGCTGAGATTACAGGCGTGAGCCACTGTGCCCGGCAGATGTGATCTTGTATATAGAAAGCCTAAGAAAGTTTCCCCCACCCACACACACACTAGAGACAGAGAGAGAAAGAGAAAACACATGCTAATAAACAAGTTCAGCAAGGTCAAAGGCACAAGATCCATACACAAAGATCAATTATATTTCATACACTAGTAATGAACTATCCAAAAATGAAATTAAGAAATTCCATTTGTAATAACATCTGAAAGAATAAAACACATAGGAAATAATTCAAAAAAAGAGGTCTGAGACTCATATACTGAAAACTCTGAAACATTGTTGAAAAAAATTAAAGAACACCTGACCAGGCCCAGTGGCTCATGCTTTTAAGCTCAGCACTTTGGGAGGCTGAGGCGGGTGGATTGCTTTGAGATCAGGAGCTCAAGACCATCCTGGGCAACATGGTAAAACCTCATCCCTACAAAAAATACAAAAATTAGCCAGGTGGGGTGGTGCATGACTGTAGTCCCAGCTACTAAGGAGGCTGAGGTAGGAGGATGGCTTGAGCCCAGGAGGCAGAGGTTGCAGTGAGCTGAGATCATGCACTTCAGCCTGGGTAACAGAGGGAGACCTCATCTCACCACCACCAACAAAAAAAAAAATTAAAGAAGACCTAAATCAAGACATCTCATATTCATGGATTGGAAGACTAAACATGGTTATGACAACAATAATCCCCAAACTAATCTACAGATTCAATGCAACCTCTATCAAAATCCCAGCTGCCTTTCTGGCAGAAATGGAGAAGCTGATCCTAAAATTCATATAGCAATGCAAAGAACCCAGATTAGACAAAACAATCTTGAAAGAGGAGAACAAAGTTGGAGAATTTATACTTTCCAATCTTAAAACCTACTAAGCTACAATAATCAAGACTGTGATGTGACTTCAGTTTACCAGTAAGAAGAAAGGAAAAAAAAGGCTCTGGTACTGGCCTATAGGTAGAGGTACAGTCCAGTGTAACAGAAATGAGAGTCCGGATATAAATCAAAATATCTACGATTAATTGATTTTTGACAAGAACAGAGACCCGGTGCAGTGGCTCACGCCTGTAATCCCAGCACAGGATCACTTGAGGCCAGGAGTTCAAGACAAGCCCAGTCAACATGCCAAAACCCTGTCTCTACCAAAAATACCTAAATTAACCAGGCGTGGTGGCACCCGCCTGTAGTCCCAGCTCCTTGGGAGGCTGAGGCAGGAGAATTGCTTGAACCCGGGAGGCGGAGGTTGTAGTGAGCCAAGATGGTGCTATTGCACTCCAACCTGGGCAACAGAGCAAGACTCCATCTCTCTCTCTCTCACACACACACACACACACACACACACACACACAAATTATTTCTTTTAAAAAATAATTTTTAAATTTTTATGTTTTAAAAAAATTACCTATTCTGGGTGAATATGCCATACAAATGGCCAAAAAAGCATATGAAAAGATGGTCACCATCACTAATCAGAGAAATAAACCACAGTGAGCTATCACCTCATACCCATTAGGTTGGCTACCATCAAAAACAATAAGTGGACCAGGCATAGTGACTCACACCTGTAATCCCAGCCCTCCCCGCTTTCCCCACCCGTGAGACAGAGTCTTGCTATGTCACCCAGGCTGGAGTGCAATGGTGCAATCTCAGCTCTCTGCAACCTCTGCCTCCCAGGTTCAAGTAATTCTCCTGCCTCACCCTCCCAAGTAGCTGGGATTACAGGCACGCTCTACCATGCCTGGCTAATTTTTGTATTTTTAGTAGAGACGGGGCTTCAACATATTGTCCAGGCTGGTCTCAAACTCCTGACTTCGGGATCTGCCCGACTCAGCCTCCCAAAGTGCTGGGATTACAGGTATGAGCCACCACACCCGGCCAATCCCAGCACTTTGAGCAGCCCAGGCAAGAGGATCACTTGAAGCTACGTGTTTGGGGCCAGCCTGGGCAACATAATGAAATACTGTCTCTACAAAAGAATTTAAAATTAGCCTCATTTGGCTCGTCATGGTGGTTCACGCCTGTAATCCCAGCACATTGGGAGGCTGAGGCAGGTGGATCATCTGAGGCCAAGAGTTGGAGACCAACCTGGGCAACATGGCAAAACCCTGTTGCTACCAAAAATACAAAAATTAGCTGGGTGTGGTGGTGCATGCCTGTAGTCCAGCTACTCAGGAGGCTGAAGCAGGTGGATCCCTTGAGCCCAGGAGCTCCAGGCTGCAATAAACTATGATCATGTCACTGTGCTCCAGCCTGGGCATCAGGATAAGCCTCTGTCTCAAAAAAAAAAAAAAGAAAAAGAAAAAAACACAAACAAGCATTTTTGAGGATGTAGAGAAACCAGAAGCTTTGTGTGCCGTTAGTGGGATTGTAAAATGATGCAGCTATTATGGTTATGGGAAACAGTACGGAGGGTCCTCAAAAAATGAAACATAGAACTACCATATGATCTAGCAATCCCACTTCTGGATATATAATCAAAGAATTAAAAGCAGGGTCTCAAAGAGATTGTTTGCACATCCACGTTCACAGCACCATTGTTCACAATCACAAGAGATAGAAGCAACCCAAAGGCCATGAATGGATGAATGGATACACAAAATGTGATTTATACATACAATGGAGTAGTATTCAGCCTTAAAAAGGAAGAAAATCTTGTCACGTGCTGTAACATACGTAAGCCTTGACGACATTATGTTAAGGGAAATAAGCCAGTCACAAACAATAAATACTGCATGATTCCACTATATAAGGTATCTAAAGTAGTCAAATTCATAGAAACAGAAAGTGGAATGATAGTTACCAGTGGCTGGGAGAAGGGGAACTGGGGAATCGCTGTTTAATGGGTACAGGGATTCCGTTTCACAAGATGAAAAGGTCCCGGAGATGTTTCACAGCAATGTCAATATACATAATTCTACTGAATAGTACATTTACAAATGGTTAAGACAGTTAATCTTATATGCTTTTTGTCACAATAAGAAAAAAAAACTTAAGGGACCGGCTGTGGATGGCCGAGGCGGCAGCTGCGCGGCGGCACCGGGGCGGCTGCGGCGCGCTCGGAGCCCCGAGGGCACGCGGCCCGGGCAGCTCGGTGTGTGCCCCCACGGGAGCCGGGGCCCCAGGCCCGCCGGACACCATGAACCACCTGAATGTGCTGGCCAAAGCCCTCTATGACAATGTGGCCGAGTCCCCGGATGAGCTCTCCTTCCGCAAGGGCGACATCATGACGGTGCTGGAGCAGGACACGCAGGGCCTGGATGGCTGGTGGCTCTGCTCGCTGCACGGGCGCCAGGGCATCATGCCTGGGAACCACCTCAAGATCTTGGTGGGTATGTATGATAAGAAGCCAGCAGGGCCTGGCCCCGGCCCTCCCGCCACCCCGGCCCAGCCTCAGCCTGGCCTCCATGCCCCAGTGCCTCCGGCCTCCCAGTACACGCCCATGCTCCCCAACACCTACCAGCCCCAGCCCGACAGCGTCTACCTGGTGCCCACTCCCAGCAAGGCTCAGCAAGGCCTCTACCAAGTCCCGGGTCCCAGCCCTCAGTTCCAGTCGCCCCCAGCCAAGCAGACATCCACCTTCTCGAAGCAGACGCCCCATCACCCGTTTCCCAGCCCGGCCACAGACCTGTACCAGGTGTCCCCAGGGCCTGGAGGCCCTGCCCAGGATATTTACCAGGTGCCACCTTCTGCCGGGATGGGGCATGACATCTACCAGGTCCCCTCGTCCATGGACACACGCAGCTGGGAGGGCACGAAGCCCCCAGCAAAGGTAAGGCTGTCCTGGCACAGTCGTGCAGCCCCACAGGTATAGCCCAGGCCCTGCTTTGTGGGCACAGAAGGGCCCAGCCACCCTCAGTCACCGGCACTCCAGGAGTGGCTGTGTGTTTGGTCTGGGGTCAAAGTGGCAAGTGAGTGTTTGGGGAGTGTTCATTTGTCCAGGGAAGATGGATGTGAATGGACCTAGAGGGGAGATGCTCCGCTGGCCTCAGCCAAGCCGACCCGAGTGGTGGTGTCACCACAGGGAGCAGTCTGTTGAGGCTTTCCAGCGGGCAGGCGGGGCTTGGCACATGGAGTCAGCAGTTGCTGGGCCCCCGCGAGGGAGAGGCCAGCCACTTCATGCTCAGGCTCCCCTGTGCCATTTGGGTTTAGGTGTCAGCCTGTAGATGGGGTTCCGGCACATATTCTGGCCACCCCTGCCTCCACAGGCCAACCCCTCTCCACTTATGGGACATGCTAGGGGCCAGCAGGTACGTATGGTGATCTGGATGTGACTCCTGGGAGGACGCTGCCCCTGAGATTGCTAGAGGAGTGCTGCCCTGAGAGCCTCCTGGGCTCTTGCTGATGGGATGCCGGGCCTGGGGACAAGGCCTCTGGCCTCCAGACCCTGAGCCCGCTCCCCAAGTCCACAGGGTCCCTGCCTCCCAAGCTCACCTGCCTGTAGGAAGGACTCAGCACTGGACACTCAGCCCAGGGCTGAGGTGGAGACCTCATTGGTGCCAGCTGAGCAGTGAGTCAGCAGGGAGTTACCCCCACCCCCACCCATGGGTGGCCTGGTACCCAGGAGACATGGCTGGAGGTCATTGGCAGGTGGGGGACTCCATGGACATGGGCCACCAAGCCTGGCCACCAGGGGAACCTGGGTCACTGGCTCACACTTCCTGCTCTACCTGCTCCTTCAGCCATCTGGTCAGAGGCGAGCCTGGTTGGCTTGGGGCTGCCTGGGTGGGGCTGCTCCCAAACTGGCTTTAGCAAGAGGAGCAGGGTCCTGTTAGCCCCTGGGGAGGCGGCAGGGAGCAGTGTCCTGTGGGGGAGCCTCAGGCCACGGTCCACGTATACCCACACCCCACACAGATGAACACACGTGCATGATACCTGTACCCCACAGATACGAACACCCATGCACTCACCATATGCTGTAACACACACATGCGCTACATGAATGTGCATGAATACATGCACATATCTGCATCCCATACCCCATAAATGGACACATGTATATGCCCACACATGCGCACATCATATGTATGAACACGTGCACACCCAAACCCCATATGTGTAAACACACGTGCATACACACCCCACACACAGACACATGTACGTCCACACATACAAAGCTTGTGCACCCACCAGTATCCCACAAACGTACAAATGTATGTGCATATGCACACGCACACACAGTCCACACTGCACACGCCCCAAGGTAAGGCACATCCCCTCCCCTCCTCTCCCGCCTTTGCAGTGAAGCTTGTCCTGGTGCGGCTGGAAGCCCTGTGGGCTGGGGAGCAGCAGCGAGACCCCCAGACAGAGCCTGGCCTCAAGGCTGTGTTTTGGCAGCTGTTCTGTCTCCCTCTCCGGCAAGGGGCCTGCCCTCAATTGCATCAGGGGCTCAACCAGCTGGGTCCTTCTCTGCCCATGCCCACTGGTAGAGCTGCCCAGACCTGTGCCTCAAGGGCCCTGACCTGGCTGATGTCCCAGGAAGGAGAGCCCTGCATCCTGGGCCTGGCTGCTCTCCCCCAGGAAACCTCCCCCAGTCTTGATTGTGTCTGCTTGTATTTTATGATCACAAAAGCAATGCTTGTTTGCTGTAGAAAATGCATAATGTATGGAAAAGTCTGGAGATGAAATTTTCCAATCGAGGTAATCACTGGGAAATTCTGGCATATTTTGTCTAGCATCTGCCCTGTGTTTCACAGATTTGTACATGTAGTTTTGCATTTCAAAGTTGTAAATCCAACATTAGATATCAAAAGAAAGGAAAAAAACCTTTAAAATCACTAAGTTCTCTCTCTCTCTTTTTTTTTTGAGACCGAGTTTCGCTCTGTCACCCAGGCTGGAGTGCAGTGGCATGATCTCGGCTCACTGAAAGCTCCGCCTCCTGGGTTCATGCCACATTCTCCTGCCTCAGCCTCCCGAGTAGCTGGGACTACAGGTGCCCGCCACCACACCCGGCTAATTTTTTTTTGTAGTTTTAGTAGAGACAGGTTTTCACCATGTTAGCCAGGACAGTCTCGATCTCCTGACCTCGTGATCTGCCCACCTCAGCCTCCCAAAGTGCTGGGATTACAGGCGTGAGCCACCGCGCCCAGCCCTTTTTTTTTTTTTTTTTTTTTTTTTTTTTTGACACGGAGTCTTGCTCTGTCATCAGGCTGGAGTGCAGTGGTGTGACCTCGGCTCACTGAAACCTCTGACTCCCTGGTTCAAGTGATTCTCCTGCATCAGCCTGGCAAGTAGCTGGGATTACAGGCATGTGCCACCACGCACAGTTAATTTTTGTATTTTTAGTAGAGATGGGGTTTTACTATGTTGACCAGGATTGTCTCAGTCTCCTCAGCTGAGGTCAGGAGTTCGAGACCAGCCTGGCCAATATGGTGAAACCCTGTCTCTACCAAAAATACAAAAATTAGCTGGGTGTGGTGGCACATGCCTGTAATCCCAGCTACTGAGGAGACTGAGGCAGGAGAATTGATTGAACCCAAGTGGCAGAGGTTGCAGTGAGCCGAGATTGCACCACTGCACTCCAACCTGAGCAACAGAGCAAGATTCTGTCTTAAAAAAATAGGTCAGGTGCAGTGGCTCATGCCTGTAATCCCAGCACTTTGGGAGGCTGAGGTGGGCAGATCACGATGTCAGGAGTTCAAGACCAGCCTGGCCAACTTGGTGAAACCCTGTCTCTACTAAAATACAAAAACTAGCCAGGTGTGGTGGCGGGTGCCTGTAGTCTCAGCTACTCAGGAGGCTGAGGCAGGAGAATTGCTTGAACCTGGGAGACGGAGGTTGCAGTGAGCTGAGATCATGCCATTGCCTCCAGCCTGGGCAATAGAGTGAGACTCCATCTCCAAATAAATAAATAAATAAATGAATAAATGAATGAATGAATAAGTAAATGGAAAAAGAGTGGCCAGTAGGGGAAGGCAAAAGGAAAAACAAGCGGGAAGAGAGAGCATATTGAAAAGCCAAGCATTTGTGTTCCTTTTAGTCTTTGATCAGCATTCATGGAACCCACATTTTACATGCGGAAAGAAAAGGGTGGAGGAATAGTCAATTATGTATTCATCTTGCACTCAGTGAATCTGCATTTTTACAGAAGAAAAATACACATAGACTACAGGAAACAGTCAGATATGCTTTTGTCTCCAGTGTGCAGATGGATGACTTTTAAATCTGTCCTTTGTCCCTTACCTGTGAAGACAAGTTTTTCATTTATGTTGTCAGGGTGAGATTCAACATAACTGTTTTGGCTGGGTATGGTGGCTCATGCCTGTAATCCCAGTTCTTTAGGAGGCTGAGGTAGGTGAATTGCATGAGGCTAGGAGTTGGAGACCAGCCTGGCCAATATGGTGAAACCCTGTCTCTACTACAAATACAAAAATTACCCGAGTATGGTGGTGCATGCCTGTAATACTAGCTACTGAGGAGGCTGAGGCAGGAGAATTGCTTGAACCAGGAGGCAGAGGTTGCAGTGAGCCAAGATCACACCATTGCACTCTAGCCTGGGCAATAGAGCAAGACTCTGTCTCAAAAACTAAACAAAACAAAACCCAGAACTGTTTTAGATGAAATTCAAAAAATTCAACAGAGCTGTTTGTTTTCCTTTCACACATTCAATGTCAGTAACTCATCTTTCTGGGTTTGAGATACTGAATGAGCAATGTATGGTCTCATCCAAACCCTGGTAGATTTCTCGCCTAAGAAATTTTGAGTATCAAGACCATACCCTCTTCCCTGAATAATGACTGCTAAAGGCAAAGAAATCTCAGGACCACCAACTCACTAAGCCAAAAGCAAAAGTCAAGCTGGAAACTGGATCATGCAAACCTGCCTCCCCCATTTTGTTCCTAAATAGATACCTACAAAGATTTTTTTAAAAAGCTACATACTTCCCTCACAATTTGCCCATGAAGAAATTCCTCGTGGGCCTCAAGATTTTGACCTTAGAACAGTTCTGTTGAATTTCCCTGACAATGTAAATTGATAGCTTATCCTTGCAGGACAAAGGACAGAACTCAAGGTCATCCCTCTGCTCACCTGGGACAAATGCATATCTGACTGCTTCCTCTGCCCCATGTTTACTTTATCTTTTTTTTTAATTAAAAAAAAATAGAGACAGAATCTCACTATGTTGCCTAAGCTGGTCTCAAACTCCTGACCTCAAGTGATCTGCCTGCCTTGGCCTCCCAAAGTGCAGGGATTACAGGCATGAGCCACTATGCCCGGCCGCTGTCCTGAGTTTCATGACTTCATGACATAGGCATGATTTGGTTTTTAGTTTGTTTTTTGTTTCGTTTCATTTTGTTTTGTTTTTGAGACGGGGTCTAGCTCTGTCACCCAAGCTGGCATGCAGTGCTGCAATCATAGCTGGCTGCAGCCTTGATCTCCTGGACTCAATTGATCATCCCACCTCTGCCTCCTGAGTAGCTGGACCACAGGCATGCACTACCATGCCTGGCTATTTTTTTTTTATTTGTAGAGATGAATTCTCAGTATGTTGCCCAGGCTGGTCTCAAACTCCTGGCCTCAAGTGATCTTCCCGCCTTGGCCTCCCAAAATGCTGGGATTTCAGACATGAGCCACCCACGATGGCCACATAAGCACGACTGATTAAATCATTGACCACTGGTGATCAACTCAACCTTCAGCTCCTCCCCATCCCTGGAAATCAGGGGATAGGGGGCTGAAAAGTTTAACCCCGTAATCACGAGGTTGGTTCCCCTGGCCACCAGTCCTTTGGGAGTCCCCAGAAATCAGTCGTCTCATTAGCATCCATAAAGACACATCACTTGGGAGATTCCAAGGGTTTCAGGAGCTGTGCACCAGGAGACAGGGACAGAGACCATATATGTGTGTTTGTGTGTATGTGTGTGTGTGCGAGTGTGTGTATTCTTTTTCTGTGTTATTTTCTTTTACACTGTAGCTCTCAGATCTTACAAATATACATTTCTTATTATTTCATGTTTATATTATAAAAGAAAAATAAAATCTTGGGATCTCAGACTCACTACGCTACAGGGAAAAGGCTAGCTGGGAACTGTGTCACACAAACCTGTCTCTCATTTTTTTTTTTTTCCTAAATACATAACTATAAAGATAAAAGGCTACATACCTCCCACAGAATTTGCTCAAAGGAAATTCCTTGTGGGTCTCAAGATATTGACCCTAAAAGAGTTGTGTTGAGGCTGGTGCAGTGGCTAGCACCTACAATCCCAGCACTTTGGGAGGCTGAGACAGGTGGATCACCTGAGGTCAGGAGTTCGAGACCAGCCTGACCACCATGGTGAACGGTGAAACCCCATCTCTACTAAAAATACAAAAAAATTAGCCAGGCGTGGTGGCAGGTGCCTGTAATTCCAGGTACTCAGGAGGCTGAGGCAGGAGAATGGCTTGAACCTGGGAAGCAGGTGCTTACACCCACCTGCTAACACAGGGAGAGTCATCATCATAGTCAAGTCTTTCAGTGGTCAGTGTGAGCATTCCGTGAGCATAGCTCATTTCTCAGAGGTGAGAGGGTGGTCCTGACTGGCTTGCTCCCTCCCAGTGCGCCTCTGTCTCCTCTCCACGCTGCCTGCCTCCCCGGGGCCTGGGCAGCCCCTCCTTCCTGCTGATTTACCTCAGCCCAGCTCCTGCTCGGGGGGAGCCCTGCAGAGCCCTCACTGGGCACCTCTCTCAGAGGCACTGGGCCCCACAGGTAACTGAGCAGGTGCAGCCATCGCTCAGTACAGCTCCTGGGGACAGGTCAGGTGGGTTAGGCTGGGGCTCTGGTGAGGTCAGGCCACACCAACCAGGGGAGACAAGAGCTGAGACACCTCACTTCCCATGTCTCTCTTTTCACGTCTTTTAGGGCCGTCTTCCCCCAGCTGTGTAGCTCAGGAAGAACTCTCAGGATTCATGTGGAGAAAGAGGCTGTGACCACCCCAGAGGCCTCTTCTCCAGTGAGAAGCAGGGGGACACCCCGGAGTAGCAGGCATTCTAAAGCTGCCCATGAGCCCTGCGACTGGCTCTGTTCCCAGCAGGGAGGTGGAGAGGATGCCACTCAGAAATCACCTCGGAGCCCCGAGAAGAGGGAGGTCTAGAAGTTGATTTCTTGGGAAAGGGCTGTGAGCTCAAAGATGGGCTTAGGAATATGGAACACAGAAAAAAATTTGATGTGCAAAAATGAAAAAAATATGACTTTTATTAAATCATAAAACTATGATGAAACAGGTGACATCAGTGGAGCAGCCTGCACCTTTTCCATCCAGGCATCGTTGAGTCTAGACACGTGTCCCAATTATAGACCATTCAGGCATCTTTGAGTCTAGACACGGTTCCCAATTATAGGCCATCCAGGCATCTTTGAGTCTAGACACATGTCCCAAATTATAGACCATCCAGGCATCTTTGAGTCTAGACACGTGTCCCAATTATAGACCATCCAGCCATCTTTGAGTCTAGACACATGTCCCAATTATAGACCATCCAGGCATCTTTGAGTCTAGACACGTGTCCCAATTATAGACCATTCCCACACAGGTGCAAATAATCCATAATGTCTGTGTGCCAACTGGGGCATATCAGACAATGCTTGGCCAGTGTAAGGACAAGACATCAGATCCTTCTAGCAGATGAAGGTCTAAGGAACTCCATCTTTGTGGAAAGCAGAGAGTGGGGTTTCAGTGCAGGGCACGTGTCTCTGACAAGTGATGCAGTCATGAGAATGCTCAGGCAAAATAACAATAGTAACAGCAAGAAATGAATCCTGTGGATATGAAAGCTGTTTGGAAACTGGGATGCTAACAGCCTGCAGGAGCTCCCCTGTGCAGCTGTGTGAGCAGGAGGGAAGGGAGCAGGTCTTGTCCAGCCCCTCAGGCAGCTCTGGGAAAGGCTGGGGACACACACGTGGTGGCTGGCTCAGGCTATGGACTGGAAACTCCAGTTCTCCTCCTTGATTTTGGGAAAAGGGAAAGAATTTGGGGATAGAGGGACCACGGGACATGGAATCGTTTGCTGTAATTTCCTATGTGCTGGAGGCAGATGTTTGCATTCTCATTTCTTGGACATCAACTGGGTCTTTCACAGCTGTGCTGGGCACAGCCAGTGGAGTCCAGGGTTCCTCACAGGATTTCTCCCTGGTGTGACTCTTCCCAGCACAGTGCAGCCACGAATGCATCCCTCATGATGGTTACCATATTTTAGAAATTTCCTGCACAGCACACAGTGCCAGTAGGATGACAGTTCTCTTCACAGTTTCAGTGAAATCCGAGAGATGAGGAAAAAGAACTGTGATGTCACATATGCTCATACAGAATCTTAAACATCTCCATTGTGCTTGCATCTCAGGTGCCTCAGGCCACTCCGTAGCCCAGATATAAAGCAGAGGTTCCATGGCTCAGATGCTGTTCATTAAGGAAAGGAAACCCTGGGTGATGATTCCCTCCCCATATGCCCTCCTTGGTTGCATATGCCCTGAGGCTGGGCCCTGGGGGCCCCTGCCATCCAGGTCCCAGGCACCCCTGCAGTGAGGTTTGTGTCTGGGCCCACACTGGGATCTCCTCTCTGTGTCTCTTACACAGTCATACAGGGCTGTGTCCTCAGTAGTCACAAAACTCAGCTGCAAGGAGAACCGGATGTATCCTGAATGCATCTCTGGAGATGGATACTCAACTTTGATGGTAGGGATAAACTATATGCTCCCTCCATAACAGAGGTGAGCAATCCATTGCATTCCAACCTTTCCCTGCAGGTCGGGGGATCCACCCCCGCTGAGTAACCCCTGGTAACAGAGCAGCGGGAAGCAGCATGGGACACGGAGATTGCCTGCGAGGGCTTTGCCCCTCCTACGGCTGCACCTGGGACAGGACACCTGGGAACAGAGAGGATTGCAGGGAGCTGTGTGCTCAGATGCAGCACCCCCATATCGTCACGTCTGACTCTTTGAGGCTTTCCCATCTGGAAGCTGCCACAGATCCAACGTGCAACATGAGGAAGTTAATAAGGGTGCATTGCATCCAGGACTTTGCTAACTGAGGTTATAGCTGTTCTTGCCAAATGGGGGAGGTGGGTAAATCTGTAAGTTGAGGGCTGCATTAATTTATTTCACTATAGTCATCATTTTACTGTATATATTTATTCCATATCATGTTGTATGTCTTAGATATACATAATACAATTTATTTTTTGAAAAAGAAAATGTAATTGTCAATCTCTACAATGAAATAACAGAATGTCACAAAAATAATATGTCATCTTAAAAAGTATTCTTGTTTTCAGCCATTGCTTACAAATCCCAAAATAATAAAAATAACCATTCCCCATATATTTGGATTCATCTCAGGCAAAACATTAGAAAACAGCCAGATTCATCCATGTAATCTTATCCTTCCTACCACGGATGTGTGTCTCTCTGAAGATGTGACACAGCTCTAGTCATGAGGACAGGAGAGTTGGTCGATTGAGGCATTTCTGATCCTTCCGAAGAGCATTTCAGAGGGAATGCCCTCTCTTCATCCAGCCCATCACTATGTCGGAATGTGACTTTTAAAACTGCTGTCATCATGCCCATAAATAAAGCCTCATAAATAAAGGCAATAAAAGTTGCCTTTCCTTCAATTTGTACTGAAATAGCCACATATAATAATGGAAATAATCTTGAAGTAAAAATTAAATTAAACCAAACAGATTGAAACATTAACCTGAACTTCATGTGAGTTCAAATTTAGTGTGTAGTGAGTAGTGAGACAGGCAGGAGGCGTGGCAGAATATCAAGCTGTGCTCACCCCGTCTCATCTTAGTGAGGAAACTGCCTGCATATTGCTTAGGTGTATTACAGACTCCCATTGGTAATGTGAGCCTCACAATATGTGCTGATGGATCACATCTCAAAACTGAAACTGCATGTTATGGAGAAGGAGGTACCATCACCATCAGCTGAAGTAAACCCACGCTGAATAGTAGAATTTAAGCCAGTGACTAGAATGTGTAAGCTAGCCAAATCTCAAAAATAGACAAAGAGACTGATATCTAGAAGGTAAGTGTTGAAATAGTGCATGATTTGGGGATGTTTTCAGGGAAAAAGAAGACTTGATGAAACATACCCCAATACTGGACAAGAAGGAAGGAGATCGACTGTCATTTACAACAACATGGATAGATCCAGAGGACGTAGTGCTAAGTGAAATGAGCCAGACACAAGATAAAAATACAGCAAGTTCTCACTTACATGTAAAATCTTTAAAAATATCAAATCCATAGAAACAGAGAGTGAAATGATGGCTACCAGGGGTGTGGAGAGGTAGGAAATGGGGAGAAATAGGTGAAAGTTAACACATTTGCAGTCACGCAGAAGCTACAGAAGTTAGAGTTTGCAGTTATGCAGACGCTACACAAGAAAGAGCTTGCAGTTATAAAATCAAGAGCTCTTGTGTGCAGCAGGTAGGCTGTAGTTATATTTTATTGTATACTGAACATTTGCTAAAAGAGTAGAATTTAGTTTCTCCTGCTACAAAACGGTAACCATAAAAGGAAATTGATTGGTTAATTTGCTGCTAGGTTGTGGTAACCTTTTTACTATGCATGTGTATATCTAAACACCATGTTGTACACTCTTAATGTACACAGCAGAAAACATTGAAAACAAGTAGAACATAATCATCACCAAAAAAGATGGACAATGTTAAGGAACCTTTAAATACACACCTCCTTTCCCTGTGCTGGCTGATGTGAAGATTGGCACCCACACAAATTAGGTAGTAAGGAAGTGAAAGAGCATACTCCAGCAGATTATTATTCAAAACTAGTCGCTGTAACCTAGGTTATAATCCTATTTAAACATTCAAGTGATCAAGCTCTGGAGGCATTCAGAAAGCCATTACAGAATATGAATGTTTAACTCCTGATTTTAAATTTAAAATAATAGAAAAATCTGGTTGTGTAACTAACTCTGATAATTTCTTTGTTTTTCTTTTTTCTTTTATTTTTATTATACTTTAAGTTCTAGGGTATACGTGCACAATGTGCAGGTTTGTTACATATGTATACATGTGCCACATTGGTGTGCTGCACCCATTAACTCGTCATTTACATTAGGTATATCTCCTAGTGCTATCCCCCCCCCTCCCCCCACACCACTACAGGCCCCAGTGTGTGACGTTCCCCTTCCTGTGTCCAAGTGGTCTCTTTGTTCAATTCCCACCTCTGAGCGAGAACACGTGGTGTTTGATTTTTTGTCCTTGCGATAGTTTGCTGAGAATGTTGGTTTCCAGTCTCATCCATGTCCCTACAAAGGACATGAACTCATCCTTTTTTATGGCTGCATAGTATTCCATGGTGTATATGTGCCACATTTTCTTAATCCAGTCTATCATTGCTGGACATTTAGGTTGGTTCCAAGTCTTTGCTATTGTGAACAGTGCCACAATAAACATACGTGTGCATGTGTCTTTATAGCAGCGTGATTTATAGTCCTTTGGGTATATACCCAGTAATGGGATGGCTGGGCCAAATGGTATTTCTAGTCCTAGATCCCTAAGGAATCGCCACACTGACTTCCACAATGGTTGAACTAGTTTACAGTCCCACCAGCAGTGTAAAAGTGTTCCTATTTCTCCACATCCTCTCCAACACCTGTTGTTTCCTGACTTTTTAATGATCGCCATTCTAACTGGTGTGAGATGGTATCTCATTGTGGTTTTGATCTGCATTTCTCTGATGGCTAGTGATGAGGAGCATTTTTTCATGTGTCTTTTGGCTGCATAAATGTCTTCTTTTGAGAAGTGTCTATTCATATCCTTCGCCCACTTTTTGATGGCGTTGTTTTTTTCTTGTAAATTTGTTTGCTAACTCTGGTAATTTATGAAGCTCTCAAGATACATGCTTGGTGGGACCAGATGAGCTCAAGTAGATGTTATCTTGATTTCTCCATGAAACCATGATTTCTCCACGAATCTTGAGGTGTATGGTAATTGGTTATTGTCTCCAATCAACATCTGATGGTAAAATCTAAAGTCACAGCTGTGGTTGTCGTTGCATCAGTTGTGACCAGTCAACAACATCGTGCTGGTAAAAGAGTGATGGTAACCCTGGGGAGAAACCAAAGCTCAAAAATACTTTGAACACAGTTAAAATGATTTAACCCAAGAATTATCCACTTGGAGTTTGGGTATGTGTTATTTATGGTGTGACTACATTCAGAATGGCTTGAAGCATCTCCTTGCCAAAAGGCTACAGGTGTTTGTTTGTTTGTTTGTTTGTTTGTTTGTTTGTTTGTTTGTTTTTGAGATGGAGTTGCCCAGGCTGGAGTGCAATGGCAAGATCTCTGCTCACTGCAACCTCAGCCTCCCTGGTTCAAGCTGTTCTCCTGCCTTAGCCCTCCAAGTAGCTGTGATTACAGGCATGCGCCACCACACTCTGCCAATGTTGTATTTTTAGTAGAGACAGGGTTTCTCCATGTTGGTCAGGCTGGTCTCGAACTCCCGACTTCAGGTGATCCGCCCACGCTGGCCTCCCAAAGTGCTGGGATTACAGGTTTGAGCCACCGTGCCAGGCCAGGCTACAGCTCTTAGAGTTACTACAAAGATGTTTGATTTTGTGTTTCAAACAGGAACATCTCAGAGATGTATCCCACTTTATCATGCATTTCTGGTGGTGGGATAGGTTCCTTTTATTGTGCTGTTGAATTTGATTTGCTGGGTTTTGTTGAATTTTGTACCTATACAAATTAGGGATATGAACTGTAGTTCTCTTTTCTTAAATGGCCTTTGCCTGTCTTTGGTATCAGACTGAGAGTGCTCACATAAAAATATTTTGAAAGTGTTCCTTTAACTTTCTAGGAGAGTTTAGAGTTATTAGTTTTAGTTCTTCTTTAAACATTTGGTAGAATTCACTGGAGAAACCACTTGAACTTGATTTTCAAATCTTCTTGATTGGGAGATTTTTGATTGCTGTTTCAATCTCCTTGTTCATTTTTGGTCTCTTCAGGTTTTCTATTTCTTTATGATTCAGTCTTGGTAGAATGTATGTTTTGAGGAATTTACCCATTTCTTCTAGGTTATCCAGTGTGTTGGTGTTTATTCAATAATGATTTATAGTCGTCTCCATGTATGAGTCTGTTTTTGCCCTACTATTAATACCTGAGTCAGGGTAATTTATGAAAAAAAAAAAAGAAGTTCTGCAGGCTGTACAGAAAGCATGGCAAGATCTGCATCTGGGGAGGCCTCAGGAAACTCAGTCACGGTGGAAGGTAAAGGAGAACCTCTTCCATGGCTGAAGCAGGAGCAAGAGAGAGAACCGGAGGTGCTGCATGCTTTATTTATTTATTTATTTTTTCTATTATTTAATTAATTATTTATTTTTTCTATTATTTATTTATTTATTTTATTTTTTTCTATTATTTATTTATTTATTTTTTAGACACAGTCTCACTCTGTGGCCCAGGCTGGAGTGCAGTGGCACGATTTCAGCTCACTGCAAACTCTGCCTACCGGCTTCACGCCATTCTCCTGCCTCAGCCTCCTGACTAGCTGGGACTACAGGCACTCCCCACCACGCCTGGCTAATTTTTTGTATTTCTTCGTGGAGACAGGGTTTCACCGTGTTAGCCAGGATGGTCTCCTCCTGACCTCGCGATCCGCCCACCACGGCCTCCCAGAGTGCTGGGATTACAGGCGTGAACCACCGCATCCGGCCACGCTACATGCTTTTAAACAACCAGATCTCAGGAGAACTCACTATTGGACGACAGCACCAAGGGGCATGGTGTTAAACCATGAGAAACCAACCTTCTCCCATGATCCAATCACCTCCCGCTGAGCCCCAACCTCCAACACTGAGGATTACAACTGAACATGACATTTGGTTGGGGACACAGATCCAGATCATATCACATCATGATCATTTTTATTTCTGTAGCATCAGTTGTAATGTCTCCTTGATCAGTTCTGATGCTATTTATTTGAGTATTCTTTTTTTGTAGTCTAGCTAAAGTTTTGTCAATTTTGTCTTTTTTTTCAAAAGCCCTTAGTTTGTTGATTTTTCCTATTATTTTTCTGTTTTGTATTTCATTAATTTCTACTCTAATCTTTATTATTTCATTCTAACTTAGGACTTACTTATTCTTTCTCTAAATCCGGAGGTGTAAGATTAATAAGATTAATTTAGGTTCTTTCTCTTCTTTTTTTTTATTTTTCTATTTAATGCTAGATGACACATTAGTGGGTGCAGCGCACCAGCATGGCACATGTATACATATGTAACTAACCTGCACAATGTGCACATGTACCCTAAAACTTAGAGTATAAAAAAAAAAAAAAACAAAAAAACTTTGGATCTTTACCAGTCTAGTAATGAATAATAGTTATCTTGGTATCCTTGTCTTTGTATTATTATGAGTGAACGTGGACATTGTTTCATTCATTTAAGAGACATATTTATTTCTCTAATGTAAATTAAGTGCTTATATATTTTTGTCAATTGCATAATGTGTTATTAGACTTTTGAAACTGATTTGTAGATACTCTTTATGTTTGAAATGGGAGATAAACTCTTAATGACAAAAAAAAAAGATTAATAAGATTAATTTAGGTTCTTTCTCTTCTTTTTTTTATTTTTCTATTATTTTTTTCAAACTCTTTTTTTTATACTTTAAGTTCTAGGGTACATGTGCACAACGTGCAGGTTTGTTACAAATGTATACATGCACCATGTTGGTGTGCTGCACCCATTAACTCATCATTTACATTAGGTATATCTCCTAAGGCTATCCCTCCCCCCTCCCCCCACCCCATGACAGGCCCTGGTGTGTGATGTTCCCCACCCTATGTCCAAGTGTTCTCATTGTTCAATTCCCACCCATGAGTGAGAACATGCGGTTTTTGGTTTTTTATCCTTGTGATAGTTTGCTGAGAATGATGGTTTCCAGCTTCATCCATGTCCCTACAAAGGACATGAACTCATCCTTTTCTATGGCTGCATAGTATTCCATGGTGTATATGTGCCACATTTTCTTAAGCCAGTCTATCATTGCTGGACATTTGGGTTGGTTCCAAGTCTTTGCTGTTGTGAATAGTGCCGCAATAAACATCGAGTGCAGTGGTGCAATGTCGGCTCACCACAACCTCCACCTCCTGAGTAGTTTGGATTATAGGCATGAGTCACCACACCCAGGTAATTTTTGTATTTTTGTATTTTTAGTAGAGACAGGGCTTCACCATGTTGGCCAGGCTGGTCTTGAGCTCCTGACCTCAAATTATCCACCAACCTCAGCCTCTCAAAGTGCTAGGATTACAGGTGAGAGCCACCATGTCCAGCCCCTTTCTTCTCTTTTAATGTAGGTGGGCATCATTATGAATTTCCCTCTTAGTACTGCTTTTGCAGTATCCCATGTTTCAATGTAGTGCGTTTTCACTGTCATTTATTTCAAAATATTTTCTACCTTATCTTTTAAGTTTGCTTAGCTTATACTTCTTTGTAAATTTTCAACTTTTTCCCTATTAGTGATTTCTAGTTTCAATCCATTGTCAGAAATGATACTTGATGCGATTCAGTCTTCTTAATTTTGTTGAGTCTTCTTTGTGACCTAACATGTGAGGTAATCATTCCTCAGCCTTTTGGCTAAGGTCATGTGTAGTACCTAGCACGTGATCTATCCTGAAGAATGTTCCCTGTGCATTTGGGGAGAATGCATGCTCTGCTGGACTTGAATTGAATGTTCTGTATCTATCTGTTAGGTCAATTTGGTCTCTAGTGCTATTCAGGTCTGCTGTTTCCCTACTGATTTTCTGTCTGTATGTTCTATCTATTGATGAACGTGGGGTGTTGAAATCTCCTAATTGTATTGTATTGCTTTCTGTGTCTCCTCTCTGATCTGTAAATGATAGTTTTATATGTCTAGGTACTTCGATGTTGGATGCATGTGTGTGTGTGCATAACTGTATCTTTCTGATAAGTGAAACTTTGTATCACATATAATAATTATATAAGACAAAGATCTTTGTCTTTTGTGAGAGCTTTTTACTTAAAATCTATTTTTTTCTGATATATATGTAGATACTCCCACCTCACTCTCTTTTGGTTAACATTTACATGAAATGTCTTCTTTCATTCCTTCTTTTCAGTTTCAGTGTATGTGTGTCCTTTAGTCTGACAGTCTTGAGTGATCATCCAGGAGCAAGATGGCGGAATAGGACTCTCCAGTGATGGTTCCCTGCCGGAACATTAATCTGAACAACTATCCACGTCCAAAAATCCTTCACAAGAGCTAAGGAAGCCAAGTGAGAGATCCCCATACCTGGTTACAGCCTAAAAGTAAGAAACGACACACTGAAGAGAATAAGAACAACAGTTCAGCATGACCTGTGTCACTCCTGTCCCAACGCCAGGTAGCATAGTGTGAGGAGCGATGCCGTCTAGTTGGGGGAAAAGAGAAGGAAGGAGCAACCACTGCCATTTTGTTGCCCATTTTCTGGCAGTTTTGAGACTCCTGTCTCCCTTCCTTCCTTTCTTCCTTCCTTCCTTCCTTCCTTCCTTCCTTCCTTCCTTCCTTCCTTCTTCCCTCCCTCCCTCCCTCTTTCTTTCTTTCTTTCTTTCTCTTTCTTTCTTTCTTTCTTCCTTCCTTCCTTCCTTCCTTCCTTCCTTCCTTCTTTCTTTCTTTTTCTTGTTTTTGTGGTTCAGTGATTTTCTTCAGTAGAATTTGTTGCTTCTGATTTTTAGTGAATCAGTTATAGGTTTTTGTGCTGTGGTCATCATGAGTCTTAAAAGAAACACCTTATAGATATGAGAAGTTATTTAAAGGAGACGACAACTCAAATGAAAGAACAGAAACAAGCAAAGGCAAAAAAGACACAGAAAAATTCTACATTTTGACTCCATCCGCTGGGTTTCTCCATGTACCTAATTTTACCAGTGGGTTTTATATTTATAAAAGTTTTGTTTTATTCTTTAGCATTTTTTTCTTTGAGATTTAAGAACTCCCTTTAGCATTTCTTGTAAGATGGGCCCGAGGGTGGTGAATCCTCTCATCTTTTTTCTGTTTAGGAAAGTCTTTATCTCTCCTTTCAATTGGAGGGGTAATTTGCTGAAGAATATATTCTTGGATGGCAGGTTTTTTTTCTTTTGAGCACTTAAAAAATGTCAATCCATTCCCTCCTGGCCTGTGTAATCTGCATTGAGAAGCCTGTTGCCAGAGGAATTGGAATGCCTTCATATGTTATTTGTTTCTTTCCTCTTGCTGGTTTTAGGATCCATTTTTTGTCCTTGTCTTTGAAAGTGTGATTAGTATATGTCTTGTAGTAGTCTTATTTTTGTTGATTCTGTTTGGTGTTGTCATGCCTTCCTGTACCTGGATATTTATATCTTTCTCAAGTTTTGGAAATTTATCTGTTATTATTTCTTTAAGTAAGCTTTCTACACCTTACTCTTGCTCAGCTCCCTGTTAAACAGCAAGAATTCTTTTGAGTTCTTCCTTGTCTGATGGAGAATAGTACTGATTTTTTCCAGCTGGATTACACACTTGTGCCACCCACTCCAGTCTGCTGGACACAGCTCAAGCTATTGTTAGCGAAGGTGAAACCAGAGTCTTTGCAGAAGGCTCAGAGAATGCCCAGGGCAGCCTCATGTGTCCTCGACCTCCCCCAGCTGAAGTTCACAAGGGAGTCCTGGAAGCACAGAGAAAACACACTGAGAGCAGCCCTGTGTGGGGCAGCCACAAGTGAGCCTGCTGCAGGAGGGATGCTCCCTCAACAGTGATGAGCAGGCACAGGCTCCATGGTGGGGATGCTGAGGAGGGACCCAAACATGGGCTGGCTCCTCACCAGGGCCTGCAGGACAGCGGATGAGCTGCTTCTCATGAGAGGGAGCAGAGCTGCATTTCTGTGACATTCTCTCTGCGGACATGTGTGCACTGCTCAGCGGGGCTCCTCCCTTCCCTGCCTCTGGATGTTAGGAAGGGCAGCTGGCAAAGGTACCCTGGGACTGGATGCTCAGGGCGTCTCTGCCCATCAGCCTTTGTTTTCCTTTCATGTGGACACTGTCTTGGAATCTGTCTGGATGAACGCTTACTACCAATGAAATCCAGTAAAGTCACAGAAAGGAAACTTGCACAAAGAAAGTGGCTATTCGACTCTAGTCAGCTCTAGCACACTGTGGAGGGCTGTAGAACACTGTCCTCAACCAGAAGGCAAAGTGCCTGAGTAAAAGGAAAAGAATTGTAGGTCTGTATATAGCCAAGACTGGAGCATGTAATTCCAGGAGTCATGAGCTCAGGCTGTCTCCTTTTCCATAACATCCCAGGGTCAGGTCACTGCAAGATGCCTCTTTGTACACCCCCTGTGGAGTGTGGGAAGAGGGTGACAAGGTTCACTGCGTCTGGGAGAAGAATATGGGGACTCCTGGTGACAATGCTGTGACCTACCCTTGGTGCTGCTACTGTGGTTTCTCCTTCTGTGGGGACAAGTGGTCCTAGGGATAGAGTCCCCATGTGCCCTGGACAGATCACTTGGAATGACCACCACAGATGAAAGAATCACTGCTCAATCTTATTTGAGTGTATGGTGAAAATAACACTCAGACACTACCAGGAGGGCTCAGGATGCAGAAGGGGGGGCTCAAAACCAGGGGGCTCAGACACCACCAAAGGGGCTCAGGACCCACCAGTAGGGCTCAGACACTAATAGAGGGGCTCAGGACATCACAAGCGGGGTTCAGACACCACCAGGGTGGCTCAGACCACGAGGGGGAGCTGAGGGCAGGCAGAGGGGCTCAGACACCAGTAGAGCGGCTCAGACACCACCAGGGAAGCTGAGGGAACCAGAGGAGATCAGACACCAGGGGACGATCAGCGCCAGCAGGGGGTGCTCAGGACCTGGCTCGGGAGCAGATGCAAGGTGAAGCTGACATTTCCTTTTTCTCCTTGGTAATTCCTTGGCCTGCCCTGCAAAAATCTTGCTCAGCAGATATTATTGTTTCTTCCCTGTAACTTCTTAGTTCCTCTCATCTGAAAAGGACTAACTTGGAACAGAAATCCCATTTAACTTTTCATACTTCATTTTCAGTCTCCTTCTAGCAATATTTCACTAAAATGTTAATAAGAAACAATGAAGCCACAGTCCAAATGTTAGCACCATGCAAAGATTTGTATGTTTTCTCCACTTTGTCGATTACGACTTAGGAAACTCTTCCCTCAATCCACTGTCTGGTATACACTATGGCGTTGTGTTTCACTTTCTTTCATTGGTTTTGCAAGGAGATGAAGCACCATTTAATGGGATGTGTCCTCTTTTTCTGGTTGGCTCCCCGTGGTGTCCACCTCAGATGGTTTTGCCACCACGATTAATCCGTTAATGCCTTCAGTCACCCTCACTATCCATGTAATGAAGCAATGAGTCCCTTTACTTCATCTACTTGTGTCTCCATGAGTCAGTTCACTCCTCTCCATTCTCACAAAGGACAGCCACCCTCAGGCCACTGCTTCAGAGCCTCATGTAGCCTTGGGTGGTAAACCTATAAAAAGCTCTGGCTATTTAGAAAGAATGTATATTGGAAACTTAATCCCAAATTCCATAGTGTCCAGAGGTAAGAACTTTCAGGAATGATTAGGTCGTGAGGGCTCTGCCCTCATGAAGCAATTAATGCCATTATTGGCAGAGTGGGTTACTCATAGAGGGAGTAGATTAGTTACTACAGGCCTGGGGTCCTCATTAAAAGATGAATTTAGCCCCATTTCTCTCCTTCGCACATGCTTTCCTGCCTCCCACATAGGTGTCACAGCAAGAAGGCCCCTGCAAGATGCTAGCACCTTGATATTGGACTTCCCAGGCTCTAGAACTGTGAGAACACAAATTTCTTTTACTTATACTTAGTCAGTCTGTCGTATTGCCTCATTGCACCACAAAGTGGACTAAGACAAAAAAATCAGTATCAAGAGGTGGGGCTTTTGTGATTACAAATACTCCAAAATGTAGAAGTGGATGTAGTAATGCACAAAGTCTGGAATAATTTGGAGGATCAGACTATAAAAAGTCTAGATTGCCCTGAATAGAACACTAGAGGTGATTCTTTTGAGGACTCAGAAGAAGAGAGTTGCGAGGAAATTCTGAAACTTCTTAGAGATTATTCAAGTGATGACCATTAGAATGTTGGTAGAACCATGGACAATAAAGGCCGTTCTGATGACGTCTCAGGAGAAAAAGAAGAATAGCTCATCAGAAAATGGAGCAAAGGCCATCCTTGCCATAAAGTGGCAAAGAATGTGGCTGAATTGTGCTCATCCCTAGGTCTTTCTGTAAAGTGGAAGTTCAGAGCCATAAACGAGGATATATGATGGAAGAAATTTGAAGCAAATCTATGGCCTCACTTCTAGCAGGCACTTTAGGACTCTGTTCCCTGTGTCCAGGCACAGCACTCCTTGGCTGCCCATGCTGTGGCTCAGGAGGACCTAGGTGTGGCTCAAGCCATCACTTCAATGGTACAAGTCATCAACTTCCATGGCATCCATGTGTTGTTAATTCTGCAGGTGTGCAGAATAGAAGAACCACGAGGGCATGGCTTTCTCCACGTAGATTTCAAAGAATGCTGTGGACAGCCTAAGGTCTCGGGCAGTGAGTTGTTGCAGAGACAGAGTCACCACACTGAGCCCTCAGCACAATGCCAAGCAGAAATATGGGTTTGGAGGCACCACAAAGGGTATCCAGTCCACCTAGGAGAGCTAGAGGCTTGACAGTCCCACCTGTGAGAGAGGCTGAGTGGACTGAACCCAGAAAATCCATAGAGGCAAGACTGCCGGAGGCCTTGGGGGCCCATCCCCCTCCCCAGTGTGCACAGGATGCAGTCAAGGAGGATTTTTTCCAGCTTTAAGGCTTAATGTTGTTTCCCATGTTGGGTTTTGGACTATGCACCCCTTCTCCTTGCCTCTCTCTGAGCTTTGAAATGGGAATTTCTATCCCATACCTGCCTCATCATTCACTGTATTTGAAAGTAGATAACTTATTTTGATTTTATAGGCTCACAGATGGAAACAATTTATATCAGACTAAATTGTGCCTTCAGTGTCACTCATATCTGATTTAGATGAGACTTTGGACTTCATACTTTTGCATTGATGCTGGATGAGTTAAGACTTTGAAGACAGTTGGGATGGAATGTATGTAGTTTACATTGTAATTGGGACATACATTTTAGTATTAGGAATGGAATGCTATGGTTTAAATGTGTCACCCAAAGTTTATGATTTGGAAAAAATCTTTAATGCAACAGTGTTGAGAGGTGGGACTTTATTATGTGATCAGGTCATGAAGTCTCTGTCCTCATGAATGGATTACTGTCACTATCATGGGAGTGGGCTAGTTATTACAGGAGCGAGTTTCTAATAAAAGATGGCCTCTTTTTTTCTCACAGACAAGTGGTCTCTTGCTCATCCTCCTCTGCTGTTAGATGATGCAGTGAGAAGGCCTTTTTCAGATGCCAGCCCCTTGATATTGGGCTTCTCTGACTCAAGTACCGTTAAGTATAAATTCCTTTTCTTTAAAAATTGCCCAGTCTCCATGTTGTGGGTGCCTGTAGTCCCAGCTACTCGGGAGGCTGAGGCAGGAGAATGGGGTGAACCCGGGAGACGGAGCTGGCAGTGAACGGAGATCATGCCACTGACCTTCAGCCTGGGAAACAGAGCGAGGCTCTGTCTCAAAAAAAAGAAATGCCCAGTCTCTGGTATTCTGTTATAGCAACACAAAAACAGACTCAGACTAAGCCATTGTAAGATGTGTGAGGTGATATCTCATCCCAGTTTTAATTTGCATTTCCCTGATGATTAGTGAGTGATGTTGAGCGTTTAAATGTCTTTATGTTGAGTGAAATAAGCCTGGTATAAAAATTACTCCATGATCTCACTTACACATGCAATCTAAAAATGTTGAACTCAGAGAAGTAGAGAGTAGAATGTTGCCTACCAGGAGCTGGCGTTAGGAGGATGTAAAAGCTGAGGCCCTGGTGAAAGGGTACAGAGTTTTGGTTAGACAGAAGGAATTCGTTTGAAGATCTATTGCACACCATGGTCAGACCTCAGTGATACTAATGTACTATATATACTTGAAAACTGATAAGAGAGTAGATTTTACACATTTACACCATAAAAAAAGCAGTATGTGAGGTGACAGACATGTTTATTTACTTGATTTAATAATTTCACAATGCACGCATATATCAAAACATCACGTTGTATGCCCATAATATATGAAATACAATATATTTTTCTAGTAAGTGTGATGCCTCTGTTTCTTCAACAACAGTTTCTGGAGATTGTTTTTTCCTTGGTGTGGACAATGTTTCCTCTCTGCTGTCTTTATACAGTTTTCCTTTCCCATGGGTTGATTTAAGACAGTGACAATTTATTTATTCTATATCTGGTAATTTCACTGAGAAACCTAATGAATAGCCACTTGAAACCATCTGGTGCCACCGAGAAACCATCTGAAGGACACAGATTTTCTGAGTGTAGGCCACAACCATATTTTAACACTTTTTAAATTCAAAATCAGGGTTTAAATTTTGATATTTTACAATGGCTTCTTTGATTCCCTCCCAAGATCCAACCGTTGAGCGTGTGAAAAGGGCTGGAACCCAGGTTACGGCTGTGCTTGGCATGATGATGTCCTGCAGAAATTCCTTTGGCTTTCTACATGTAGCTCAGCCTCCATATCAGCCAGCTCACTTGGAGGTCAGAGTACTTCTCAAAGATCCTCAGTGTGTTGTTTCATTTTGAGAGGTTTCCAGCCCTTGTGAGACACCCCTTGGTTTTACAATCACCACGAAGTTGTTTATGATTCCAAAAACATACCTGCCATCTGTCCATATGTTTGTTCTGCAGCTTTTGATTTCCTAAAATGCTGTAGTAACTGCAATAAGTTCTACCATCTGGATTAATTTTCACCTCAGTTGGAAGAGTGTATTTTAAGATAAAGATAAAATAGTAATAGTATATCCTCCTTGGTAATATCCAGTTCTATACTTTGGGCTATGGTCTGTCAATAAATAATGTTATGTCAGGGTCCTCAATGGAGTGCCTGAACATCTAAGGAAGGTACAGAAGTTTCCCTAACTAAGATAGAAACCATGGTGAGCACAAGTTTGCTATGCACCCATGTCTCCGGTCTGTCTCACTATGCACCTGACACTCATTTTAACCTCACCAGGAAGTCAGTTAACTTCCAAATCAGTTTATTGTAATGCTTCTAGGTAATTATATGTGGCAATTTCTGGCAGAGATGAATAAAAATATTCACCAGAGAATCTAATACAGAAGAAAGCAAGAGGCCCTGGGCTTGTTTTCATAAAAGCATCATACACCAGGCAGTTGATTCTTTCGGCTGTCGGCACTGGCACACCCAGCATTCCGGCTTCATCCCTTAAGTAAGCTTCATCGTGCATGGATAGGCTGGAACCTTTCCCGAGGCCATATGCCGATGGATATGCAGCATTGTACCACATGTCCACAGAGATACAAAATCCCCTATGGGAAGAACGAGGCTGGATCAACGGGACTGGCAGTTTCTCACTGAGAAAATGTGAGGTCAGCTTCTATGGCGGGCAATTCAGGAAATTACGCAGCAGTTTTGTAATTGATGGTTATGGAAAAATGAACCATTGAGATGACTAATGACTTACATTCCATTATTCCAAGTAAGAAATGGACATCACAGTTCGCCGCAACTAAATTTTCATAACCTAAATGGATTACTTTAAACTTCTTCCTACATCTTCTCTTAATAATTTTTAATAACGAATGTGTCTTACCTATATTCCCAATATTTAAAACTGGGCTGCCAAGAGAGTCTAGAGAATTTGAGAACTAAGAACAGTGAAACTTCTGTATGTTCAGCAGCTGCCAAAGCAACACAATATTCCCCAGGAACACTGTTCTGTGCTTCAGCACAAATCATGCTTGTGTATTTCCTAATGGCTCCAATAGTGACCCTCCATTCCCATCAAACATTTGGCCTCCCCTTTCTCCACGTCCCCTCCATTCACACATTATACTCTCAGCTCTGTCTAGGTATCGTAAAAGCCAGCAAATGGACCCTCCTGATCTCCTGAACATGAAACCCAACACTATCATGTGATCAGCTTTCTTGGCATGGTGACTTTCAAAGGCATCTCATTTAAATAATCACCATTTTTTTCCTTCTGTAACAAACTGTTTCTTTCCATTGTGCCTTCCCATAAGCATTTTAACATAATTTACTGTCCGACCGCAGTTATTAATACACACAAATGCCACAACCTCTTTCTAGCCCAAGAGACCTGATTAATTTTTCTTTGGGGATGAGCACACCCTAGAAACACATCCCATTCACATAAACACGGGCACACCGATGACTTGTTCTTTTGTGTAAGCAAGAGTTTACACCATTCTCTGTCCAACTCCATGAGCCCCCGAAGACCAAGACACACTCTTTCACACCAGTGCAAGCTCCGGCCCAGGGACAGCCTGCTGAGGAATGGGCTCAGCTGGGTCTGGGTGCTGGGTTCATCTCTTCCCCTCTCCTGTCCCATAGCAGGTCCATCACCCTGCTCAGGTCTGAACAGGAGTGTCTAGGTTTGTCTGGCCATCCGACTTTTTCAATTTTTAGAAGATCTCCTATTACCTACTGTATTCATTTTATAGGGCTTTTATAATGAAATACCACAGATTGGATGGCTTACAATACAAAACCAATTTCCTCACACTTATGGAGGATGAAAGCCTAAGATCAAGCTGCCAGCTGGGTGGGTTTCCTCTGAAGTCTCACTCCCTGGTGTGCAGATGGCGCCTTCTCGCTGTTCTGTGGTAACATGGCCGTCCCTCAGGGCGTGTGCACCCTCCCTCCTGCTTCCCCTTCTTATAACAACAGTCAGATTGCATTAGGGCCCCACTCCAGGAATCTCACTTTAACTTATTCACCTCTTTAAAAGACACTGATCCAAGTATGATTTCATTCTGAAGGACCAAGGGTTGGGACTTCAGCACAAAAATTTAGGAGGGACACAGTCTACCCTAGCAGCCTCCTTCAGGGATGTCAAATATTTTCCTTCGCTCCCTGTGAAAACCCTAAAGGGGTAGGGAAAGGGCGTCCAACCTGCACGCTCGTAGAGGGGAAACCAGCTTCATTAGTAATCGTACATTTGTGGTAAAAAGGCAGGATTTGAAGCGGTGGAAGATGGGAGTACGGGGCATTGGAACACAAAGTGCCACACAACGCAGCCTTCGAAACACACTATGGTCATGTTAAGTTTAAATGGAGTGACCACATTCGCCAGGAAAGGGAAATATTTACACTTTTGAGGAAACAGTAATTTGTGTTTCTGATTATGATCTGGCATTGGATTTTCCCTCCCCTCATAAGCAATGACAGAATCAGCAGAAATATGTGAAACATTAGTTCTCAGACATGAGACACCCGGAGAGGGCCCCCTCTGTCCTTCCCTGAGAGCTGATCAGCTCCTGCATCTGAAGAAATGACCAAAGACCAGGAGAGAACCACACAGAAGCATCGGAGGGACAGCACCTGGGGCTCTCATGGGGTCAGGAATAGTGTCTGCTCCCAATAGATGGACTAAGTAAAAAGTATCATAATTCACAAGGGTTTTACATAGCACAGAAGAAAAAGTTACCCTATATCAACTGTTGATCTTGTGAATCCAGGAACTCTGGATTCAAGGTGGTCGGGCACATCTTGATTTAGGCATTTCAGGGACACATGAGACATCAATCAATATAAGTAAGAAGGACACTAGTTCCATCCAGAAAGGCTGAGACAACTCAAAGCAAGTCCTCCCCACTTAGGGCTTCCAGGTCACAGGTAGGTGAGAGACAGATGGTTGCATTCTTTTGAGTTTCTGATAAGTGTTTGCAAAGGAGGTCATGAGAATATTCATCTGTCTCTGTGAGCAGAGGGACAACTTTAAATAGACTGGGAGGCAGATTTGCCCTGAGTGGTTCTCAGCTTGATGGGGCCCAAGATATTTTCCTTTCACAATCTGGTAACTTCAAACAAAACTTCAAAGCCACAACAAAACAATACAACAACAAAAAGAATAAGACATGGGTACTTATTAAGAGTAGAAAAACATTCAGTCCCCAAGGAAAATATTGGCAGTGCCCACCTCCACATGACAAAGGAGTAAGCAGTGTAAGCCACAGAAAGGAGCATATTAACCCACAGAGTGACCGAGAATAACACGGGTGATGCGAGGGCATTGAACACACATCATTGCATTTTGTAGATTCAGAAAGCAACAGAAAAGATTGACGGTGGTAAAAGAGACAGCCCTGCTTCCCTCTCCCTTTTCCCTTCCCAATGAGCCCTCACAGCCGTGACCCTCAGCCTCATCCCGCAGTGCAGCAGCTGCCGTCCTGTCCAGACCCACCTCCTGCCCCTCCCTGGGACTGTTACCTCATTCCCTCCCAGAGTCCAGGTGCCCCGCGGTGTGGTGCGGGAGCCTGGGGAGGCCCTTTGTTCTCTGTCAGGGTCTCCCTGGGAGGGACGCAGCCACCGCAGCTGGTTGGGGCCTGGCTTCACCGAGGACAGTCCTTTCCTTTCCCATTGTCGTTGGGTAATTATTGCTGGGCTGGGACATGAGGCAGGCAGAGGTGCGGGTCACCCTTAGGGCCCCCCTCTTCCTGCTGGGGCTCTGGGCGCTCCTGGCTCCAGTCCGGTGTTCTCAAGGCCGTCCCTTGTGGCACTACGCCTCCTCCGAGGTGGTGATTCCCAGGAAGGAGACGCACCACGGCAAAGGCCTTCAGTTTCCCGGCTGGCTGTCCCACAGCCTGCGTTTTGGGGGTCAAAGACACGTCATTCACATGCGGAGGAAACACCTTCTTTGGCCCAGACATCTGCTGGTGACAACTCAGGATGACCAAGGAGCCTTGCCGATGGATGGCCCCTACATTCCACCAGACTGCTACTACCTCGGCTACCTGGAGGAGGTGCCTCAGTCCATGGTCACCATCGACACGTGCTATGGGGGCCTCAGAGGCATCATGAAGCTGGACGACCTTGCCTACGAAATCAAACCCCTCCAGGATTCCCGCAGGTTTGAACATGTTGTTTCTCAGATAGTGGCTGAGCCCAATGCAACGGTGCCCACATTTAGAGATGGTGACAATGAGGAGACAGACCCCCTGTTCTCTGAAGCAAATAACAGCATGAATCCCAGGATATCTAATTCGCTGTATAGTTCTCATAGAGGCAATATAAAGGGCCACGTTCAATGTTCCAATTCATATTATCATATATATGGCAATATTACCACCTGTTCCAAAGAGGTGGTCCAGATGTTCAGTCTCATTGACAGCATTGTTCAAAATATTGATCTGTGGTACTATATTTATCTTTTGACCATATATAATAATCGTGACCCAGCCCCTGTGAATCAATATCGAATTCAGAGTGCAATGTTTACCTATTTTAAAACAACCTTTTTTGATACTTTTCATGTTCATTCATCCACACTACTTATTAAAGACGCACCACATGAATCCAACTATGAACCTGAAAGGTATAGCTTCTGTACACATTTAGGCCTATTACACATTGGTACTCTAGGCAGACATTATTTATTGGTAGCCATCATAATAACCCAGACACAGATGAGAAGTATTGGTCTGGAGTATGATGATAACTACTGCACATGTTAGAGAAGGGCCTCCTGCATTATGCAGAGATTTCCTGGGATGACAGATGCATTCAGTAACTGTTCTTATGGACATGCACGAAATTGTTTTATACGTCCAGGCCGGTGTGTTTTCAAAACACTTTCTCCTGTGTATAATGAAACCATGACAACGGTTCGCTGTGGAAACCTCATAGTGGAGGGGAGGGAGGAATGTGACTGTGGCTCCTTCAAGCAGTGTTATGCCAGTTATTGCTGCCAAAGTGACTGTCACTTAACACCGGGGAGCACCTGTCATATAGGAGAGTGCTGTACAAACTTCAGCTTCTCCCCACCAGGGACTCTCTGCAGACCTATCCAAAATATATGTGACCTTCCAGAGTACTGTCACGGGACCACCGTGACATGCCCAGCAAACTTTTATATGCAAGATGGAACCCTGTGCATGGAAGAAGGCTACTGTTATCATGGGAACTGCACTGACCGCAATGTGCTCTGCAAGGCGATGTTTGGTGTCAGTGCTGAGGATGCTCCTAAGGTCTGCTATGACATAAATCTTGAAAGCTACCGATTTGGACATTGTATTAGACAACAAACATATCTCAGCTACCAGGCTTGTACAGGAATAGATAAGTTTTGTGGAGGACTGCAGTGTACCAATGTGACCCATCTTCCCCAGCTGCAGGAACATGTTTCATTCCATCACTCAGTGAGAGGAGGGTTTCAGTGTTTTAGACTGGATGAACACCATGCAACAGACATGACTGATGTTGGGCGTGTGATAGATGGCACTCCTTGTGTTCATGGAAACTTCTGTAATAACACCCGGTGCAATGCAACTATCACTTCACTGGGCTACGACTGTCGCCTTGAGAAGTGCAGTCATAGAGGGGTCTGCAACAACAGAAGGAACTGCCATTGCCATATAGGCTGGGATCCTCCACTGTGCCTAAGAAGAGGTGCTGGTGGGAGTGTCGACAGCGGGCCACCTCCAAAAAGAACATGTTCTCTCAGACAAAGCCAACAATCAGAGATGTATCTGAGAGTGGTCTTTGGTCGTATTTACGCCTTCATAATTGCACTGCTCTTTGGGACAGCCACAAATGTGCAAACTTATCAGGACCACCACCGGTTAGGAAGAGACAGTTACTAACCCTGAATAAGACTAATTCAGCCTCCCGATCCCTGTAAAGATACAGAGAATATAACAGCAAAATCTATGAAATAGGATCAGGCGAAGGGATGGCAAAGCTCAAGTCCACATTTCTTGAAGTCCACAGGAGGCACATGGTCCTGTCTCACGTCACAGGGAAAGGGGAGGCATTGGCTTCTATCCCAGGTTCTTGTAGGTCGCTGATGTTCACTCTGAAATAAATCTTCAAAAACACACATTGGTGCCTTCCACATTTTCTTAGACTCCTCTGGGAGCCCAAACTTGGCCAGAACCTCTGGCCTGGAGAGACATGAATGAGCATCTGGCTCTTGACCTGAGGTCGCTGGTCCCGGAATTAACGGAAGTTGCCACCAGCTCCTTACAGGGCACGTTCATGACATTTCTCCAGAAGAGAGCTCCAGAGCAATAAGCTTCCTCATTCCCCAGGTAATCAGTCCTTCTCTAAACCCGAAGTCAGTTTAGGGTGATCCAGGGCTACTCCCTGTTCCCTGTCTGTTCCTTACAGGGGTGCTGTGGGCTTTGCAGTGAGAGGGACTTGGGTTCAAATCCCCCACCAAGCAAATCCCCCTACCTGGGGCCGAGCTTCCCGTATGTGGGAAAATGAATCCCTCAGGTTGATTGCTGCAAGCAATGAAATTCAACTAGAAAAATAGGTAGACGTGAGGGCAAGCTGTCTGTCATTTAGTGTGAGCTCTGTGAGTGGCAGCTGCCCCCTTTCTTCTTGCCCCCACATTTTCTTGAACTGAAACAGGAAGGGAAGCTGAGTAAGTCATGATGAGGAAGAGAAACCAGGCTTGTAGCAGCACAGGCTGGTCTGGGTGGAAAACAGGGCTAGGTGTGTCGCTAAGTTGTTGTAAAGGAAAATGGAAGTTAAATGTATAAATAACTGAATGAGATAACATTTTATTTTAACTTACAATTCACAATAATATTGACGTTTAAAATGCAGTGTAGATATGTCACAGAGAATGTCAAAGGCAAAGCCCACCAACGGAAGATATCACCCTTCCCATACCATCAACAGAAAACTGCTGGTATTCTAGAGTAGTACTGAGATCTAGCATTTTTCTGAATACATCTGTGGTTCTAGATGTCCTGCTTCCACAGATATTGTTTAGAATTCCCACCCCTTTCTCCAAACACAGCTTGATATCCTTTCTCTGAACCTGCTTAGAAATTTCCTCCATTCAGCTGTCATAAAAATGCGAGTAATGCATTCCTGTGCCTCTCTCAGGGTGTTCTATTATTTTGTGGGTGAACGCTAATGGACAGTGAAGTGTGAGGTCAGTGAATACAATGCCCTCGCCCTGTGTGTCCTTCGGGTGTGAGGGGTTTTGCTGATAGAACAGCAGGCCCCGTCCCACCCTTTATGCATCTCCACCCTCCACCTCATGCACCCAGCTGACCTCTTCCCTGTGGCCTGGGGGGTTCCCTGGGGGAATGACCTCCCCTCTCTCCAGGGCCCACCCACTCAGTGCCCGTGCAAGACCACCAAGCTTGGCACAGCCCCACATTGTGTCAGGGCCTGTGTCCCCTTCCTCACCCCCTAAACAGATGGACCCACTGGGACACTGCTCAGCGCAGGGGGCGGTGGTATGTGCAGAAGGAAGGCAAATGTGCACTCTGTTGGAGAAATATTATAGGTAGTTTGAGCAAAAAATCTAATGCCATGTGAACTTTTAGAATGATACATATTTTAACAAAGAACATGACCAATAGAGTTTGTATTGAAGCCAGGTAAACACTATTTAGAGCAACAACAATATCAAAAACAAGCCAACAGTTCACCAAGAAAAACCACAATTAACCCCATGGAAATGGTCTTCCAAGAGCATCAGCACTTAAATCCTCGAAATCTGCCTGCCTCAGCACCTGTTGTCCTGACCTGCCCTCCTGTGTGTCCTAATCACTCCTATACACGGGGCCTGCACTGTGGGAGATTCGAGCTGTGCCAGGTGGAGGGAGCAGGACAACTGCTACCGGGTTGTTGGTGTGGATGCCGAGGCTACCCAAGCAGGTGTAAACTCCCACCTGTGGGCCAGGGAAGAGTACACAGGAGACATGTCCTGGGAATAGGGTGAGGGAGAGCTGTGGGGGCTCTGGGTTCTGAAGAGGGTTCTGGCCTGGCAGGGATAAGACCAACCAGCATGTGAGGCCAGGCTGGAGTCTGGACTTCTGAAGCTGCAAGGGTCGTGGGTTGCTTGGCCCAAGGGGCTGTCCTGGTTCTCTATGGAGCACTTTCAAACATTCCTTCTTCCTCCCACCCCCTCCTTCTCTCTTTCTGGGGTGGGTCCTCTGCCAGAGCCTGCAACTCCCAAATCCTCTTTGCCGGGTCCTCGGCTTCACTCTGCATCCGTCCTGAGCATCGATCTTCCAATTCCATCCTCTTCTCTTCTGCTGTGTCTAAGCTGCTGTGAAGCCACCTGCTGTAATTTACTGTTTTATATTTAATATTGTACCGTACATCTGTTCTGTTTCCTTCATCATAAACGCTTCATTTCACACTCAGCATCTGGGAACACAAGGCCTTGTCAGCTGTCACCTCCTTCCATTCTCTGTTTCCTTCCTCCTCTCCCCATGTTTGCTCATCATGGCCAGTCTCCTGCCATCCTGAATGCTTCTGATGGAAGGTCCAAGATGTCTCATGAGCATTGTGAAGATTCTTTGTAATGCGACCTTGTTCCAGGCAGGAATTCTCCCTCACCCACCCCTGGAAGCCAAGTATAGGGAGATTGCCATGTTTAATCAAAGACTGAGCTAACTTAACACTGGCTTTGGTTTTAAGGTTTCTCCAATCCCCAGGGCACAGGATTTCAGGGAGTTCAGGTGACAGTCTGGGTGTTACCCTTCAGGAGGTTGTAAAGACCATTTCACATAGTTTACACCACAGACTATGGAAACTATATATATATATATCTAGTGCTGTCCCTCTAGAGAACCCTAGTATGTATATATATAATATATAATATGTATTATATATTATATATATGTAGGAGTTTATTGAGGAGTATTAAACTCACACAACTGCAAGGTCCCACAGTAGGCCACCTGCAAGCTGAGGAGCAAGGAAGCCAGTCCGAATCCCAAAGCTGAAGAATTTGAAGTCTGATGTTCGAGGGCAGGAAGCATCCAGCACAGGAGAAAGATGTAGGCTGGGAGGCTAAGCCAGTCTAGTCTTTTCATGTTTTCTGCCTGCTTTATACCCTGGCCACACTGGCAGCTGATTAGATGGTGCCCACCAAGATTAAGGGTAGGTCTGCCTTTCCCAGCTCACTGGCTCAAATGTTAATCTCCTTTGGCAACACCCTCACAGACACACCCAGGATCAATACTTTGCATGCTTCAATCCAATCAAGTTGACACTCAGTATTAACCATCACAAGTCCAACCCTTGTCAACTTGAACCCATACGAATCTCCTGAGATCATACATAATCTTCAAATAAAGACAATAATAAGGTCATAATTACACCTAATGTAATACAACTATCTTTTGTACAACCAGAAATGCACCAATCCCCAACCCAAGTGCTATTATGTAAAGTTAAGAACACTTAAATGCTGATATGAAGTCAATAAATTTTATGTCACATGATAAAGGAAAAAAGAAATAAAATGAAGGAATTTTCTTAGTACAAGTGTGTACATGCACAAACATGTTTTTAACAAAAGAAGAAGGAAATACTGATGACAATTACAGTCCTCATTTCTGCAACAGATCACGTGGTTGTAGCTGGTATTGATGACTACTTCTTCTACTACCGATT
This sequence comes from Homo sapiens, assembly GCF_000001405.40. Lineage (NCBI taxonomy): Eukaryota > Metazoa > Chordata > Mammalia > Primates > Hominidae > Homo > Homo sapiens. Next base: position 2,841,230 of record NW_021160017.1, read on the forward strand.
CTGTATTCCCTTTGCCTTCAGCAAGCATCACAGCAGGTAGAGTTTTTTCTCCTAGTGGAGTGATGCAAACCTTCATTCCTGAAGGGTCTGGGCCATTTGTAGTCCTGCCTGGATTGGGCTGTTGTAGTTTCCCGTTGACCTTAATGACAGGGCAGGGTAATGTTAAGAGATGCCCTAATGGATCTCCTGTATTCCATACATATTCTTCCTTACCTCCATTGTGGAGTAATAGACTGATTGCATCTTGATAGTTCAGGTCAATCAGCCCAGTCAACACTGTAACTCCCTTCTTAGCCTGTGGACTTGAAGGTAGGAGCGGCCCAAAGTGGCCAGGTGGAAATCTTAACTTCCAGTTTAATGGAATTGTTGTTGTTTCTCCTGATGGCAGCATTATTCCCACTGGAATTAAGACCTCTAGGCCAACAGAATGTAATGTCATGGGACCAGGAAGCAAAAATTTTGCTAGGGGATCACTAGGGGTGATGGTGAATGGTGCCATTTCCACTCCCACCCCTTGATTCCTGGATCCATGAATTATGGCTATGGGAGAAACAGTACCATATGTTGGATGCTAATTTGGAGCATACATGGCCTTTTGGATAGCTTTGCCCCAGCTCTGCAAAGTATTGGAGCCTAGTTGGCATTGTAATTGTGATTTTGAAAGGCCATTCCATTCTTCTATCAATCCAGCTGCTTCAGGATGATGGGGAACATGGTAAGACAAGTGAATCCCATGAGCATGAGCCCACTGCCACACTTCTTTAGCCGTAAAGGGAGTGCCTTGGTCAGAGGCAATGCTATATGGAATACTGTGACAGTGGATAAGGCATTCCATGACTCCACAGATGGTAGTCTTGGCAGAAGCATTGCATGCATATCTGCAGTAAGTGTCTATTTCAGTGAGGACAAACCTCTGCCCTTTCCAGGATGGAAGAGGTCCAATATAATCCAACCTGCCATCAGGTAGCTCGCTGATCACCCTGAGGAATGGTGTCATTTGGGTAGAGACCCACAGCCAAACCAGATCACGCCACCCCAACCCCTCCCAAATCTCATGTCCTCTTTGCATTTCAAAACCAATCGTGCCTTCCCAACAGTCCCCCAACATCTTAACTCATTTCAGCATTAACTCAAAAGTCCAAATCCAAAGTCACATTGGAGACAAGGCAAGTCCCTTTCATCTATGAACCTGTAAAATGAAAAACAAGTCAGTTACTTCCAAGACAAAATGGGGGTACAGGCATTAGATACATGCTCCCATTTCAGTTGGGAGAAATGGGCCAGAATAAAGGGGCTACAGGTCACATGCAAGCCCAAACTCCAGTGGGGCAGTCATGAAATCTTAAAGCTTCAAAATAATCTCCTTTGACTCCATTCCTCACATTCAGGGCATGCTTATGCAAAGTGGGGGCTCCCACAACCTTGGGAAGCTCTCACCCTGTGGCTTTGCAGCTCTGATCCCATGGCTGCTCTCATGGGCTTTGCAGAGTTCAGCCCTCCTGGCTGCTCTCATTGAGTGCCTGCAGCTTTTCCAGGTGCACAGTGCAAGCTGTTAATAGATCTACCATTCTGGGGTCTGAAGGATGGTGGCCCTCTTCTCACAACCCCATTAGTCACTGTCTCCGGTGGGGACTCTGTGTGGGGGTTCCAACCCCACATTTCCCTTCTGCACTGCCCTAGCAGAGGCTCTCCATGAGGGCTTTGCCCCTGGCACAGACTTCTGGCTGGACATCCAGTCATTTCTATAAATCCTCTGAGATCTAGGCAGAGGATCACAAAGCTGAACTCTTCTCTTCTGCACACCCATAGGCCCAACATCATGTAGAAGCCACCAATGATTGGGGCTTTCTGAAGCAATGGCCTGAGCTGTACATTGGACTTTTTTAGCCACAGCTAGACCTGGAGCAGCTGGGACACAGGGCACCAAGTCCCAAGGCTCCAAAGAGCAGCTGGGCCCTGGACCCAGCCCATGAAACCATTTTTCCCTGATAGGCCTCCAGGCCTGTGATTGGAAGGGCTGCTGCAAAGATCTCTGACATGGCCTGGAAACATTTTCCCCATTGTCTTGGTTATTAATATTCATCTCTTCATTATTTATGCAAATTTCTGCAGCCAACTTGAATTTCTCCCTAGCAAATGTGTTTTTCTTTACTACCACATGGCCAGGCTGCAAACTTTCCAAACTTTTATGCTCTGTTTCCCTTTTAAACATAAGTTCCTATTTCAGATCATCTCTCTCAAGGGCAAAGTTCCACAGATTTCTAGGGCAGGGAAAAATTCCATCAAGCTTGGTTTTATACAGGCATGAGACATCAATCAAATACATTTAAGAGATACATTGGTTTGGTCCAGAAAGGTGGAACAACTCAAAGCGAGGGCTTCCAGGCTATTGGTGAATTTAAACATTTTCTGGTTGACAATTGGTTGAGTTTGTCTAAAGACCTGGGATAGATAGAAAGGTAATGTTCAGGTTAAGATAAAGATTCTAGAGTCCAAAGTTCTTTTGAAGTCTTATAGTGGCTGCCCTTAGAGATAATAGGTGACAAATGTTTCCTATTCAGATCTTAGTTCAACTCTTTAGGATTGGGAGGTTCTAGAAGAAAAAGATCTAGCCATGTTAATAGAGATTCTTTACAGATGCAAATTTTCCCCCACAAAGAACAGCTTTGCAGGGCCCTTTCTTTCTTTCTTTCTTTCTTTCTTTCTTTCTTTCTTTCTTTCTTTCTTTCTTTTCTTTCTCTTTCCTTCCTTCCTTCCTTCCTTCCTTCCTTCCTTCCTTCCTTCCTTCCTTCCTTCCTTCCTTCCTTCTCTCTCTCTCTCTCTCTCTTTCTTTCTTTCTTTTTAGAGGGAGTTTTGCTCTTGTTGCCCAGGCTGGAGTACAATGGCACGATCTTGTCTCACCACAACCTCCACTGCCTGGGTTCAAGCAATTCTCCTGCCTCAGTCTCCTGAGTAGCTACGATTACAGGCATGCACCACCACACCCGGCTAATTCTGTATTTTCAGTAGACACAGGGTTTCTCCATGTTGGTGAGGCTGGTCTCGAACTCCCAACCTCAGGTGATCCGCCCACCTCAGCCTCTCAAAGTGCTGGGATTACAGGCATGAGCCACCATGCCCGGCCTGCAGGGCCATCTCAGAGTATGGCAAAGAAACATGTTTTGGGGTAAAATATTTTGATTTTCTTATTTGTCTCATAATGTTATGCCAGAGTCAGTTTGGAAAGTAAATCATGATATATAGGTTTAAATAAAACCTATCTGATGAGAATTTATGATTTGTAGAGCATGCCTCCCCAGACTCTTTAGATAGGAATTTGGGCAAGATAAAAAAAAAATCAGAGTTTAGTCCTCACCATCTAAGACCAGCTCAGCTTGGACTTCGCTGTTCATGTCACTATCAGCATTTTAGTCAAAACCACTCAATAAGTCTCTAGGAAGTTCCAAACTTTCCCACATCTTCCCCTCTTCTTTCAAGTTCTCCAAACTGTTCCAACCTCTGTCAGGAGGTACCCGGTTCCAAAGTTGCTTCCAGATTTTCAGTTATCTTTATAACAGTTCCCCACTCCTGGTACCAATTTACTATATTAGTCTGTTTTCACAGTGCTATAAAGAACTGCCCAAAAGTGGATAATTTGTAAAGAAAAGAGGTTTAATTGACTCACAGTTCTGTGTGGTTAGGGTCGGGGGCTCAGGAAACTTGCAATCATGGTGGAAGTGGAAGCAGGCATGTGACACATGGCAGCAGGTGAGAGACAGAGAGAGAGAGAGAAAGAGAGAGAGAGGGAATGAAGGAGGAACCACCATACATTGATAAAACCATCAGATCACATGAGCACTCACTCACTATCAGGAGACCATGAGGACAGCATGGGGGAAATCACCCCCATGACCAAGTCACCTCCCACCAGGTCCATCCCTTGACACATGAGGATTACTATTTTTTTTTTTTTTTTGAGATGGAGTCTCGCTCTGACGCCCAGGCTGGAGTGCAGTGGCGGGATCTCGGCTCACTGCAAGCTCCGCCTCCCGGGTTCACGCCATTCTCCTGCCTCAGCCTCCCAAGTAGCTGGGACTACAGGCGCCCGCCAGTACGCCCGGCTAATTTTTTGTATTTTTAGTAGAGACGGGGTTTCACCGTTTTAGCCGGGATGGTCTCGATCTCCTGACCTCGTGATCCGCCCGCCTCAGCCTCCCAAAGTGCCGGGATTACAGGCGTGAGCCACCGCGCCCGGCCGAGGATTACTATTTGAGATGAGATTTGTTTAATGACACAGAGCAAAACCACATCAGCATGTGACAAAGGTCTAATATCAAGAATCTATGAGGGGGCAGTTCCAAGATGGCTGAATAGGAACAGCTCCAGTCTGCAGCTCCCAGCATGAGCTATGCAGAAGACGGGTGATTTCTGCATTTCCAACTGAGGTTCTGGGTTCATCTCATGGGGGCTTGTTGGACAGTGGGGGCAGGACAGTGTGTGCAGACCACCAAGAGTGAGCTGAAGCAGGGTGAGGCATTGCCTAACCCAGGAAGTGCAAGGGGTCAGGGAATTCCCATTCCTAGCCAAGGGAAGTGGTGATGGACGGCACCTGGAAAATCCAGTCACTCCCACCCTAATACTGCACTTTTCCAATGGTCTTAGCAAACGGCACACCAGGAGATTATATCCCATGCCTGTCTTGGAGGGTCCCACACCCACAGAGCCTCGCTCATTGCTAGCACAGCAGTCTGAGATCAAACTGCAAGGTGGCAGCGAGGCTGGGGGAGGGGTGCCCATCATTGCTGAGGCTTGAGTAGGTAAACAAAGTGGCCCAGAAGCTCAAACTGGGTGGAGTCCACTGCAGCTCAAGGAGGCCTGTCTGCCTCTGTAGACTCCACCTCTGGGGGCAGGGCATAGCTGAACAAAAGGCAGCAGAAACCTCTGCAGACTTAAAGGTCCCTGTCTGACAGCTTTGAAGAGAGTAGTGGTTCTCCCACATGGACTTTGAGATCTGAGAATGGACAGACTGTCTCAAGTGGGTCCCTGACACCCAAGTAGCCTAACTGGGAGGCACCCTCCAGTAGGGGCAGACTGACACCTCACACGGCCGGGTGCCTCTCTGAGATGAAGCTTCCAGAGGAATTATCAGGCAGCAACATTTGCTGTTCAGCAATACTCGCTGTTCTGCAGCCTCTGCTGCTGATACCCAGCAAAATAGGGTCTGCAGTAGAGCTCCAGCAAACTCCAACAGACCTGCAGCTGAGGGTCCTGACTGTTAGAAGGAAAACTAACAAACAGAAAGGACATCCACATGAAAACCCCATCTGTACGTCACCATCATCAAAGACCAAAGGTAGATAAAACCACAAAGATGGGGGAAAAACAGAGCAGAAAAGCTGAAAATTCTAAAAATCAAAGTGCCTTTCCCCCTCCAAAGGAACGCAGCTCCTCGCCCGCAATGGAACAAAGCTGGATGGAGAAAGACTTTGACGAGTTGAGAGAAGAAGGCTTCAGATGATCAAACTACTCCGAGCTAAAGGAGGAAGTTGGAACCCATTGCAAAGAAGCTAAAAACCTTGAAAAAAGATCAGATGAATAGCTAACTAGAATAACCAGTGTAGAGAAGTCCTTAAATGACCTGATGGAGCTGAAAACCATGGCACAAGAACTACGTGATGAATGCACAAGCTTCAGTAGCTGATTCGATCAACTGGGAGAAAGGGTATCAGTGATTGAAGATCAAATGAAAGAAATGAAGGGAGAAGAGAAGTTTAGAGAAAAAAGAGTAAAAAGAAAGAAACAAACCCTCCAAGAAATATCAGACTATGTGAAAAGACCAAATCTATGTCTGATTGGTGTACCTGAAAGTGACAGGGAGAATGGAACCAATTTGGAAAACACTCTGCAGGATATTATCCAGGAGAACTTCCCCAACCTAGCAAGACAGGCCAACATTCAAATTCAGGAAATACAGAGAATGTCACAAAGATACTCCTCGAGAAGAGCAACTCCAAGACACATAATTGTCAGATTCACCAAAGTTGAAATGAAAAAAAAATATTAAGGGCAGCCAGAGAGAAAGGTTGGGTTACCCACAAAGGGAGGCCCATCAGACTAATAGCTGATCTCTCAGCAGAAACTCTACAAGCCAGAAGAGAATGGGGGCCAATATCCAACATTCTTAAAGAAAAGAAATTTCAACCCAGAATTTCATATCCAGCCAAACTAAGCTTCATAAGTGAAGGAGAAATAAAATCCTTTACAGACAAACAAATGCTGATACACTTTGTCATCACCAGGCCTGCCCTACAGGAGCTCCTGAAGGAAGCACTAAAAGTGGAAAGGAACAACTTGTACCAGCCACTGCAAAAACATGCCAAATTGTAAAGACCACCAAGGCTAGGAAGAAACTGCATCAACTAATGAGCCAAATGACCAACTAACATCATAATGACAGGATCAAATTCACACATAACAATATTAACGTTAAATGTAAATGGGCTAAATGCTCCAATTAAAAGACACAGACTGGCAAATTGGATAAAGAGTCAAGACCCATCAGCGTGCTGTTTTCAGGAGACCGATCTCACATGCAGAGACACACATAGGCTCAAAATAAAGGGATGGAGGAAGATCTACCAAGCAAATGGAAAACAAAAATAGGCAGGAGATGCAATCCTAGTCTCTGATAAAACAGACTTCAAACCAACAAAGATCAAAAGAGACAAGGAAGACCATTACATAATGGTAAAGGGATAAATTCAACAAGAAGAGCTAACTATCCTAAATATATATGCACCCAATACAGGAGCGCCCAGATTCATAAAGCAAGTCCTTAGAGATCTACAAAGAGACTTAGACTCCCACACAATAATCATAGGAGACTTTAACACCCCACTGTCAACATTAGACAGATCAACGAGACAGAAAGTTAACAAGGATATCCAGGAACTGAACTCGGCTCTGCACCAAGCAGACCTAATAGACATCTACAGAACTCTCCACGCCAAATCAACAGAATATACATTCTTTTCAGCACCACACCACACCTATTCCAAAATTGACCACATAGTTGGAAGTAAAGCACTCCTCAGCAAATGTAAAAGAATAGAAATTATAACAAACTGTCTCTCAGACCACAGTGCAATCAAACTAGAACTCAGGATTAAGAAACTCACTCAAAACGGCTCAACTACATGGAAACTGAACAACCTGCTCCTGAATGACTACTGGGTACACAACGAAATGAAGGCAGAAATAAAGATGTTCTTTGAAACCAATGAGAACAAAGACACAACATACTAGAATATCTGAGACACATTCAAAGCAGTGTGTAGAGGGAAATTTATAGCACTAAATGCCCACAAGAGAAAGCAGGAAAGATCTAAAATTGACACCCTAACATCACAATTAAAAGAGCTACAGAAGCAAGAGCAAACACATTCAAAAGCCCGCAGAAGGCAAGAAATAACTAAGATCAGAGCAGAACTGAAAGAAACAGAGACACAAAACACCCTTCAAAAAATCAATGAATCCAGGAGTTGGTTTTTTTTAAAAGATCAACAAAATTGATAGACCGCTAGCAAGACTAATAAAGAAGAAAAGAGAGAAGAATCAAATAGATGCAATAAAAAATGATAAAGGGGATATCACCACTGATCCCACAGAAATACAAACTACCATCAGAGAATACTATAAACACCTCTATGCAAATAAACTAGAAAATATGGAAGAAATGGATAAATTCCTCGACACATTCACCATCCCAAGACTAAACCAGGAAGAAGTTGAATCTCTGAATAGACCAATAACAGGCTCTGAAATTGAGGCAGTAATTAATAGCTTACCAACCAAAAAAAGTCCAGGACCAGATGGATTCACAGCCGAATTCTACCAGAGGTACAAGGAGGAGCTGGTACCACTCCTTCTGAAACTATTCCAATCAATAGAAAAAGAGGGAATCCTCCCTAACTCATTTTATGAGGCCAGCATCATCCTGATACCAAAGCCTGGCAGAGACACAACAAAAAAAAGAGAATTTTAGACGAATAACCCTGATGAACATAGATGCAAAAATCCTCAATAAAATACTGGCAAACTGAATCCAGCAGCACATCAAAAAGCTTATCCACCATGATCAAGTGGGCTTCATACCTGGGATGCAAGGCTGGTTCAACATACACAAATCAATAAACGTAATCCAGCGTATAAACAGAACCAACAACAAAAAACACATGATATCTCAATAGATGCAGAAAAGGCCTTTGACAAAATTCAACAACGCTTCATGCTAAAAACTCTCAATAAATTAGGTATTGATGGGATGTATCTCAAAATAATAACAGCTATCTATGACAAACCCACAGCCAATATCATACTGAATGGGCAAAAACTACAAGCATTCCCTTTGAAAGCTGGCACAACACAGCGACACCCTCTCTCACCACTCCTATTCAACATAGTGTTGGAAGTTCTGGCCAGGGCAATCAAACAGGAGAAGGAAATAAAGGGTATTCAATTCGGAAAAGAGGAAGTCAAATTGTCGCTGTTTGCAGATAACATGATTGTATATCTAGAAAACCCCATCGTCTCAGCCCAAAATCTCCTTAAGCTGATAAGCAACTTCAGCAAAGTCTCAGGATACAAAATCAATGTGCAAAAATCACAAGCATTTCTATAACCCAATAACAGAAAAACAGAAAGCCAAATCAGGAGTGAACTCCCATTCACAATTGCTTCAAAGAGAATAAAATACCTTGGAATCCAACTTACAAGGGACGTGAAGGACCTCTTCAAGGAGAACTACAAACCACTGCTCAATGAAATAAGAGGATACAAACAAATGGAAAAACATTCCATGATTATGGGTAGGAAGGATCAATATCCTGAAAATGGCCATACTGCCCAATGTAATTTATAGATTCATTGCCATCCCCATCAAGCTACCAATGACTTTCTTCACAGAATTGGAAAAAATTATTTTAAAGTTCATATGGAACCCAAAAAGAGCCCACATTGCCAAGTCAATCCTAAGCCAAAAGAACAAAGCTGGAGGCATCAAGCTACCTGACTTCAAACTATACTACAAAGCTACAGTAACCAAAACAGCATGGTACTGGTACCAAAACAGAGATATAGACCAATGGAACAGAACAGAGCCCTCAGAAATAATGCCGCATATCTACAACTATCTGATTTTTGACAAACCTGACAAAAATAAGAAATGGGGAAATGATTAGCTATTTAATAAATGGTGCTGGGAAAACAGGCTAGCCATATGTAGAAAGCTGAAACTGGATCCCTTCCTTACACCTTATACAAAAATTAATTCACGATGGATTAAAGACTTAAATGTTAGGCCTAAAACCATGAAAACCCTAGAAGAAAACCTAGGCATTATCATTCAGGACATAGGCATGGGCAAGGACTTCATGTCTAAAACACCAAAAGCAATGACAACCAAAGCCAAAATTGACAAATGGGATCTAATTAAACTAAAGAGCTTCTGCACAGCAAAAGAAACTACCATCAGAGTAAACAGGCAACCTACAGAATGGGAGAAAATTTTTGCAATCTACTCATCTGACAAAGGGCTAATATCCAGAATCTACAATGAACTCAAACAAATTTACAAGAAAAACAAACAACCCCATTAAAAGTGGGCAAAGGATATGAATAGACACTTCTCAAAAGAAGACATTTATGCAGCCAAAAGACACATGAAAAAATGCTCATCATCACTAGCCATCAGAGAAATGCAAATCAAAACCGCAATGAGATACCATCTCACACCAGTTAGAATGGCAATCATTAAAAAGTCAGGAAACAACAGGTGCTGGAGAAGATGTGTAGAAATAGGAACACTTTTACACTGTTGGTGGGACTGTAAACTAGTTCAACCATTGTGGAAGTCAGTGTGGCGATTCCTCAGGGATCTAGAACTAGAAATACCATTTGACCCAGCCATCCCATTACTGGGTATATACCCAAAGGATTATAAATCATGCTGCTATAAAGACACATGCACACATATGTTTATTGCGGCACTATTCACAATAGCAAAGACTTGGAACCAACCCATATGTCCAACAATGATAGACTGGATTAAGAAACTGTGGCACATATACACCATGGAATACTACACAGCCATAAAAAAGGATGAGTTCATGTCCTTTGTAGGGACATGGATGAAGCTGGAAACCATCATTCTCACCGAACTATCGCAAGGACAAAAAGCAAACACCACATGTTCTCACTCATTGGTGGGAATTGAACAATGAGAACACTTGGACACAGGAAGGGGAACATCATACACCGGGGCCTGTTGTGGGGTGGGGGGAGGGGGGAGGGATAGCATTAGGAGATATACCTAATGTTAAATGATGAGTTAATGGGTGTAGCACACAAACATGGCACATATATACATATGTAACAAACCTGCACGTTGTGCACATGTACCCTAAAACTTAAAGTATAATAAAAAAATTAAAAAAAAAGAAACACCTGCTTTTTCCTGTTTTCCATTTGCTTTGTTGATTTTTCTCCATTTTTTTACTTTGAGCCTGTGGATGTCACTGCATGTGAGATGGGTCTCTTGAAGACAGCATACATTTGGGTCTTGCTTCTTTATCCAACTTGGCAATTCTGTGCCCTTTAATTGGGGCATTTAGTCCATTTACATTCAAGATTAATATTGATATGTGCATATTTCATCCTGTTATCATGTTGTTAGCTGCTCAATATGCAGATTTGATTGTATAGTTGATTTATAGTGGCAATCGTTATGTACTTAAGTGTGTTTTTGTGGTGGTCAGTAACATTCTTCCATTATCATATTTAGCAATCCCTTAAGGACCTCTTGTAAGGGAAATATAGTGGTGATGAATACCCTTAGCATTTGCTTGTCTGAAAAGGATCTTATTTCTCCTTCACTTGTGAAGCTTAGTTTGGCTAGATATGAAATTCTTGCTTGGAATTTCTTTTCTTTAAGAATGCTGAATATAGGCCCCTAATCTCTTCTGGATTGTACAGTTTCTGGTGAAACATCCACTGTTAGCCTCATTGGGTTCCCTTTGTATGCGACCTGAACCTTCTTTCTAGCTGCCTCTAACATTTTTTTTCCTTTCAACCTTTAAGAGTCTGATGGCTATATGTCTTAGGGATGGTTGTCATGTATAATATCTTGCAGAGGTTCTTTGCATTTCTTGAATTTGAATGTTGGCCTCTCTGGTGAGGTTGGAGAAATTTTCATGGAGGATAGCCTGAAATGTTTTTCAAGTTGCTTTGTTTCTCTTTCTCTTTTTAAGGGATACCAATGTGTCATAGATCTGATCTTTTTACATAATCACCCATTTCTCTGAGGTTTTATGCCTTCTTTTTTGTTCTCTTTTCCTTTATTTTTGTCTGACTGAGTTAATTCAGAGAATCAGTTTTTAAGCTCTGTGATTCTTTCCTCAGCTTGGTCTATTCTGCGGTTAATACTTGTAGTTGTATTCTGAAATTCTTGAAGTGAGTTTTTTAGCTCTATCAAATCATTTTGATTCTTTCTTAAAATGGCCACTTCATCTTTCAGCTTCTGTATCATTTTACTTTATTTCTTAGCTCCCTTGGATTGGGTTTCAACATTCTCCTGAATCTCAGTTATCTTCTTTCCTATCCATATTCTGAATTCTATGTCTGTCATTTCAGCCATTTCAGTCAGGTTAAGAACCATTGCTGGGAAACCAGTGTGGTCGTTTGGAGGTAAGAAGACACTCTGGATTTTAGAGTTGCAGAGTTTCTTGCATTAATTCTTTCTCATCTTTGTGGGCTGTTTCTTTAATCTTTGAAGTGGCTGTCCTTTGGATGTTTTTTTCTTTTTTGTTGTTTTTTGGTGTGTGTTTTTGTTTGTTTGTTCATTTGTTTGTTTTTTGCTCTTATCTTCTTTGATACTCTTGCAGGTTTGATTGTGGTATAAAGTGGGTTCAGTTAGCTGTGTTTCTTGAAAATCTTAGGGGGTCCAGGCTGACCTCAGCACTCTTGTGGTGTGTTCTCTGCTCTGGGACTGGGCCCCTGGCTTTATTCTCTGGCCCCTTGAGTTTAGAAACTTGCTGCATTGGAGGGGCTGAGTTTTTCCCAGTCCACTGGCCACAACACTATAGTAGGTGGTGCCGGCCAAAGCACTTCATTAGAGTGGTGGCAGTGGGATCCATTCTCACTCATAGGTGCCAGCAGTTGTGGTGTCATGGCAGGGTGCACATGCCTCTGCTGGGGTGGGGGTACTGGCAGGAGCAGGGTGGCAGCATCCCTACATAGGTTCCTGCTGGCAGTCACAGGACAGTGAGGTGCCTGTGTGTTGGCAGGGACAGGGTGGCGGGGTGCACATGCACATGCTTGCTGGTGGTAGAGGGAGTTGTGATCCGCTGTGCACTCATGCCAGCAAAGCAGTTGGGAGGTGCTATGGGTGGACTGGTGCACATCAGCAGAGGCTGGCTTGCTGGAGGTCCCCAATGGTTAGGCATGGTCTGCTGGCAAAGGAGCTATGATGAGGGCCCCCAGGAAACACCCTGGTTGGGCTTCCAAGGCTGTACTGCAAGCAGGCACAGCCAGCCTGGGGCCCCAGGAGAGGCCAGAAGGCAAGGAAATGCTCATTTCAGATGGGCCCTGTCCCATGGACAAGACCACCCTGCTATATTCAGCTCCAATAGTCACTCTAAGGTTAAAATCTCCTAGAGGAGGTTGGTGAGCCTTGGGGGATGGGTGTCACCTGGCTGTGCTCCACTACAGCCATTCTCATGTCAAACACTCTGGGCTTTACACAGACTGGAGTCCTACCCTTGGTATCCCTCTAAGCAGCTGTCCCTGCCAGCACAAGTGTCCATGGGGGTCATGGGGTCTCCTGCTGCTAGGATTCTGGAGGCCCATGGCAACAGCAGGCCACTCCTCACCTGTTCAACTCAACCTTTCCCCAGGAGTTGCTGGGAGCCAGGAATGAGTCCTGGTGCTCGGCATCCCCATGCAGGGTTCCCATCTTCCTCCACCTTCAGCCCGGCATCTCTCAGTCCACTCTCAATGCCTTCCCTTTAAAGATCTGCTTGGAAAGCACCAGTCTTCCTGATGTCTCACTCCCTCCATGGCAGATGTTCCTCCTGGCTGCATCTAGTCAGCCATCTTGACTCACCTCCAAAGTCTTTTTAATTACCACTTTGGTTAAATTAGTAACTATCATTTTACAATGGCCTGTGATTCTGTTTTGATCAAATATTTTGAGCCTTTTAGCATCTATAACAAATGTTCTCAAAAATCAAAATTCTAAATCAAGTCTCTGAGACCCTTGAAAGGGTGTGAGAGACAACATGGTTTCACCTGCCTTCATGTGTCCCAACCCATCCCTGTGGATGCCTCTGTCCACCTCAGCTTGCCCACTGTCTTTCCTTCCGAAATGTATGCCCTGCTGACTTCTGGCCTCAGTGACAGATGCAAAGACAAGGCGACAGCCCCACATAGACCATTTAACCAGCCCCACATTTGCATAGGCTAAATGGTCATGTCACAGTCTGTTGCTCAGACTGGTCTCAAATCCTGGGCTCAAGTGATCCACCCACCTTGACCCCCAAGGTGCTGGGATTACAGGCTTGAGCCACAGTGCCCAGCCAAGAACCCGTTTTTGACTGGGCACCTTGGCACACACCTGTAAATGCAACACTTTGGGAGGCCAAGGTGGGAGGGTGGCTTGAGGCCAGGAGGTTGAGGTTGCACTGAGCTATGATGGCACCACCTCACTTCAGTGTGGGTGGCAGGCAGAGTGAGATCCTTTCGAAAAAATAAAAAACAAAACTTGTTTTCTCTGCAGCCGGGCTCCGTAAGCAAACACAAACACAAACTTCCTCTCCAGAGGGTCCAGGAGTTGCTGGGCTGCAGGAGGTGCTTAGGGCCTCTTAGGGAATGGTAAGTGACCACCCAACGCAGGAACTCAGTCCCAGGGGCATATGCAAAGAAAGGCTGGGAGGACACTTTCAGTGACTGGGGTTACAAACCCCAACCATAAGCCATTGCTGGCTCTGTGAGCTGAAACCTCCAGAAATCTCCCACTTAGTTCTTAGCACTAATCCACTCTTCCTTTTTCCTACTCTCAATCCCTAGAGGATGCCCTCCTTTCTCAGGCTCAGACCAAGCTACCAGCTCCACTCTAGACCTGAACACATAACTCCTCCCTCTGTCTCCACCTGGAAATCTCATCAGTGCCTCACATTTACACTCCTGAAAATCAGGTCCTGCCCACCCACCCTCTTGCTCCACCTGATTCCTGCCCTGTTTCACCCAGAGGCCTTGCAGTCTCCTTTAACTCTCAAACCCACCCATGTCATGTGAGCATACTGACTGTGTTCTATGTAAGAAAGAGCAGTTTCTTGGTTGTCCTGCGGTTTTATTAGTCTATAGGCAAAGTGTTGGCAGAGCTGGTTCCTTCTGAACCCTGGGAGGGAGATTCTGTTTTCATGCCTTTTCCAGATTCTAGAACCCATATTCCTTGCTCTGTGTCCCCTTCTTCCATCTTCAAAGGCCATCCTCTCATTTCTGTGTCCATCATCACATCACCCTTCCCCTGACTCTGGCTCTCCTGCTTCCACTTATAAGCACCCTTGTGATTATGTCATACCCACCCAGAAAATGCAGGGTCATATTCTCCCCTCTCGAGATTAATTTAATCACATCTACAAAGTTCCTCGTGCCATATGAGGTCACAAATCCACATGTTCTGGGAGTTTGAATGTAAACATTTGGGGGATGCATTATTCAGCCACCCACAAGCACTGCTCCCCACTGGCCACACACTATGCACAGCTGAGATCGTGCAAGTGAAGCACATTCATCAACAGCAGCTTCAGCAAGAAACTGTATGCTCCACTTTCCTGCCATTTGTATCTGGATTTTTTTTTGCTATCATTGTAGAAAGAGTGGTATTGTAAAATTAAAGATGGATTATTTTCTTCCTAGAGCACTTTGGCAATCTGTCCAACATTATTTATCCCCTTCTGAGTGTCAAGTGTGAGGTCATTCTTTCATTGAGAGCTCAATGCCTACAATTATGATAATGCATATTGGGTACTTTCACACATCAGAAAGTTCTTCTTTCTTAAAATCTGTTCTTGAATTATTCATTCTTCTCTAGCTTTTTGTTGATCTATTTTATAATTTTAGAAAAATCAGAAAGTAACTTGAAGTATCTGTCATCTCTAGAGGTTTACCTCCCTCTTTGTGGTCTTCAGAATGCCATAACAGGCTTTTCCCATGCTCATCACATGGTTTCTATGTATGAGACCTCACCACAGGAGCTGTGGTCCGCCGGGAGCAGGCATCTGTGGATGGCGCCTTATTCCGGGCTGCTGGGACCTGTGCGCTGCCAGTGGCACTCCACGGCGGTGATTTCCTAGCTCAGTGTTGCAGCTCCAGATGGTGGGTGAGACACTAGGACCACTTTGTGAACAGCGAGGGCTTGGGGTTTGCTTTTCTACCATGTCCAGGGCTGCTCTTCATGGGGAATGTTTCTCACCTGACGTCATGGCTGAAGCCAACTTAGAACCTCTCTAGCCGTATGGGGAGTATGTGAGTGATACAGATGTTAATTAGCTCAGTGGAGCCACTCCCCTATGTAGACATGTTACAAAACATTATGCTGTACAGAATAAATATAGGTCATTTTTATGTGTCAATCAAAAGAGAAACTAATTATTAAAAAAAAAACCTCTCTACTAAAGCAGAAACCTCAGCTCCAGTCCCAGAAGACACACAAGGCTGCTCCTGTCCTGTGTATGTTAAACCTACCTCAGAAATGCAAGGGGCATTCAGGTTTCATTCTCAATTCAAATGCCCTTTTTAATTTTGTCTATTCCTAGCACCTGGCAACATCCAGCTCTTTTTTTGGGGCTCATTCATTATTTAAACCATGTATAATTTTTCACCCAACATTCTAACACATGTAGTACTGTAGAGAATCCTTCCCTAGGAGGATCTGCAGCATTAGAAAAGAATTAAGAAGTCCAACATTTACAAGAAGGAAAAAGCAAAGAAGAGATCAAAAAATGGGCAACTTCTAGAAATAGAAAACCCTCATGAGTATGATGATAAATCGCTGGCACACATGTGAATAGTTACTTGATGCTTATAGTGATGTCTGGGAAAATGACATGAAATACTTATAATCTGTTTCTCACACATGTAATTCAAAAGAATAAAGAGAAGATGATTTGAAATATTCTTGAGTTTGCAGGAAAAAAGCTACTTCCATATGCATAATTGCATGTATTTTGATACTGCCATTATTAATAACTATCTAAGAGGGTCCATTAAAAATAAAATTTCTTGGCTGGGCATGATGGCTCATGCCTGTATCCCGGCACTTTGGAAGGCTGAGGCAGGTGGATCACCTGAGGTCAGAAGTTCAAAACCAGCCTGGCCAACATGGTGAAACCCTGTCTCTACCAAAAATACAAAAATTAGCTGGGCGTGGTGGCGTGCACCTGTAGTCCGAGCTACTTGGGGGGCTGAGGCAGGATAATCGTTTGAACCCAAGAGGTGTAGGTTGCAGTGAGCTAAGATCACATCACCGCACTCCAGCCTGAGAGACAAAGTAAGACTCTGTCTCAAAAATATTAAAATAAAATTTCTCATTCCTATTACAGAGTAATTTAATTCATTAATGCCCTGCCCTGTTACAAAACTCATTTGTAAAATACTAATTGTAATTGTGAAAAAATGGCAATTGATACTAATTTTAAATTCTAAAAACAGGGCACCCATATTAAAGATTATTCTGCAGTAAGAGAATTAGCTATAACATTTTGTAATAAGGTGGAGAAAACATTCTCCAACTTACAATGGTTGGTGAGAAGAAAGTTTCCAGCACAGTAGATGGACCCTAAGAGACTTTGTTGAAATAATAAGACAAAAAGATATACAGAGAGATGGGCCAGATGAAGGGAGACAGAGAGAGAGAGAGAGAGGCAGAAATGAGAGATACAAAGTGAAAGAGGGCAACCTGTGGGGTCATCAGGGATTTGTTTTCTGTTTTGTTTATTCTAACATAAAGGCAATGGTGAGTCATCAATGTATTTAGAGTTTGCACAATCACTGTGGAACACAGACAGACACGGGGGAAGAGGAGAAACACAGGGCGGTAGCTTGCCCTTGGACTGTTCTAAGTTCCTCAAAACATAGCAGTTTTGCCCAACCTAAGGGAACTTTCAGCAGCTGCTCTTCTGCCATAGGCCTCTTTCCTGCCTTGTTTTCATGTGGCTGTTTCTGTTCCTGCAGGTCTTAGCTCATCAGACAGGCATTTATTACCTCTGTGTCAACAGTGGGAGCTTCCATTACTCTCTAGCATTACACTCCCCTTCCTCTTTCAGGAAACTTAACATGGAAGTGAGTTTGCCATCGGCCTTCTCCCCACAGTGTTAATAGTGGTGAGGAAGCCAGCCTGTTCCACCTTGCCCCTCCCATGATTCCAACACTGAGTTCAGACTTGTCACATGGAACTTATCCTTGCATGTTTGCCGCACAGACAGATGGACCCAACCATGGATTAGTGGATGGATGGATGGATGGATGGATGGATGGATGGATGGATGAATGGCTGAGTAGGTGTGTGGATGGAAGAGTGGAAAGATAGATGGATGCATGTATGGGTGGATGGGTAGGTTGATGGATGCATGGGTGGGTGGATGAATGAGTGGGTAGGTGGGTGGCTACATGCATGGATGAGTACTTGGATAGATAAGTGAGTGGATGGTTGGATGGATGGATGGATGGATGAATGGGTATGTGAAGGGATGGATGTATTAGAGTGGGTAGTTAGGCAGGCATGAGCTGATAGTCAAGTGATTGTTAAACTGCCTCTCTAAAATAATAATTGGTCTCGGCTGGACATGGTGGCTCACGCCTGTAATACCAACACTTTGGGAGGCTGAGGCGGGTGGATCACAAGGTCAAGAGATCGAAACCATCCTGGCCAACATGGCGAAACCCTGTCTTTACTAAAAATACAAAAATTAGCTGGGCGTGGTGGCGTGCATCTATAGTTCCAGCTACTCGGGAGGCTGAGGCAGGAGAATTGCTTGAACCTGGGAGGCAGAGGCTGCAGTGAGCTGAGATTGCGCCACCACACTCCAGCCTGGTGGTAGAGCAAAGCCCTGTCTCAAATAATAATAATAATAATAAATAATAATAATTGATCTCAGCGGGCACCAAGAAAAGGCAGTCTCCCAATAGATAGAAAACACCCGAAACTGGTCATCAGCAGCTTCCCGATAAGATCTCAGGAGTTGGATGAGTGGGCTCAAGCATATGCACTAAGAGGCAAAGTGGCAGAGTTTAACTGGCACATAATCTTCCTCTAGGAACACTCTAAAAGTAAGAGAAAAACACCTCAAATGAGCATGTGCACATTTCATTAAACCCATTGTGTACGCGGCCCCTCCGAAGCACTGGCAGGCCACTGTACATGTGGACATCCCACCCCAAAGGAAAAATCAAGGGAGAAGAAATACAAATCCCAGAACCATGCCAATGTATAAAACCCCAAGTCAAGGGCCAGGCAGAGCACTTAGATCTCTCAAGTCACCCACTTAGCCATCTTCCAAGTGTACTTTACTTCCTTTCGTTCCCACTCTAAAACTTTAATAAACATTTACTCCTGCTCTAAAACTTGCTTGGGTCTCTCACTCTTCTGCATGCCCCTTGGCCAAATTCTTTCCTCCAAGGAGGCGAGAATCAAGTTGCTGCAGACCTGTATGGATTCGCTCCTGCTAACAGATGGCTGGATGGGTGGACAGATGCATGAATTAGTGGATGGATGTTTGGATGTGTGGGTGGGTGGGTGGATTGTGGGATGGCTGGATGAATGCATGGCTGGGTGGGTGGATGGATGCATGGATAAGTGATGGATGGATGGATGGGTGAGTGGATGGGTGGATGTGTGTGTGGATGGGTGGATGGGAAAACCCTTTAATTGATTACAGGGTTCAGTGTGTGCTTCAACATCATGATGGCATCATCACATTGGTCTCTGTATGAAGCAGTGGGGGAGGAGAGTGTACCAGGGGAGCAGGAATGACTTTTCTCCAGAATCAACCTCTCCCACCCTGCAGCCTGGGCTGTGCAGGCCACATTGGAGAAGGTGGGCTCGACTACTCCTAAATGTTGTTGTGTTCAATGGCTTGTTGACGTTGATGTAGGAATGAGCCTACACCTCCACCATAGATGGAACTGTTTGGGTCCCCAAAGCAGAAAGCCTCTTCTGTTGCAGGTGCTGAAGTTTCCATCTTCTTCTGCTTATACGGAAGCTCACGCATCCCTTGGGTGGCAGGCGTCAGGTTCCTGTGCGCACTGAGCTCCTCCCTTACGTGCTTTGGACAGAAGTGTGAGGCATGCAAGATTGCTGCAGGAAGTCCACCTGTGGGGATGCTGTGACTTCTCCAGCAAGAACACAAGTCTGCTCATTGACCGTCACCACACATAACAAATTAAGTATCCCTTTTTTGATAACATGTCATTGTTTCACAGAGTATTCTTTTAAAGTGTATAAGTTGACTGCAGTTATTATTTTTTGCTTCTGTTACTAATTTACACATGATTAGGCACAATTTACACTTAAGAAATTTCTTAATAGTTTTTTCCTCCTTAAGGTGAGCTATAGTCAGATAACATACTTATCAATTGTCTCTAGCTCTTGTCAGAAAAAAATATAGGGGTGTGTGTGTGTGTGTGTGTTTTGGCCTTTCCAATGATGAATTAAGATGTGCATTGAGAAGGCGTTCACTTTATTTGACGTTAAGGAAGTACCAAGAAGACGCTCTCCACAGGCCCTGGGAAAGCCAGCAGCTGCACCCCGAGGCTGTGCCAAGCAGGGAACAAGGAGGCAGCACCACCTGCTGGGCAGGGAAAAAGCCCTCCCAGTCCCTGCCGCTTCTCTGCAGAGGCACAAAGAGCTGACCCTTCTCCTGGGCCTTCTCCTGGGCTGATGAGATTGCTCCCTGATATGCCAAATTAGGGTTGTGCATCTGAGGCTCTCTCTAGACTCTCAGCTCCTTCCTACTCCTGCGAAGTGAAGAAAACAATGCCAAGGGTTCCTGGAGGCGTCTCTTCCCCTGGAGAGTTTTGACTCCTTTCAATAGTCTCCACTAACCAGCCCTCACTCCATGTCCTCCGTTTCTCCCTAAAGCGGTGCCCAGTCTGATTCCACCGTGGCAGGGATAACAAGGGGCCAGGACATCAGGGGAGAGAAGTTTCTACCTGAGTCACAGCAGCGGCTGCCCTGCAGACTCCTGAAGACACAAGACACATTTCCATCCCAGAGACTCGGCGAAATGCAACCTCAGGCTAGAGAGAGCCAGTTATTTTTTCTTGTTCTGTCCTGGAGAGGCCACTGGGAAAGTCGTGCCCCTTGTTGAGGAAAATATGAGATCTCTCTGCGTCGTCCTCTGCCTGATGGCTATACTTCCATGTGAGTGTCTCAGAGATTTCAGAACTGGGGCTGTGGGCTGTGGTGTCCGTTTGCGACTCATGTCTTTGCTTCTTGGCCCTGAGTGTCCTGCATCAAGTGCAGCTACTAGAGTCATGCCCAGGGCTGGTGAGGTCCTCACAGACCTCTGGGCCTGGACCCAGCAGCACTCTGGGAAGGCACTGGGGCACCTCAGCTCCAGGGGCAGCACACACTTCAGCCCACCCTTCTGGGCCAACTGTCCATCTGCAGAGACACATCCAAGGCCCAGTTATCCCTGCAGCTGAGCTCCGTGATGGCCAAGGGCAGGGCCACACATTCCCGTGGGAGACAGAATGGGTACCTCAGTGTGAGCCCAGACACAAACCTCCCTGCAGGGAAGCACAAGACCACCAGGCGGCGCTCCAGACCACAGAGAAGAAAATCTGTGTCTATATATAGACAGCCTAGGATGCATGAGGCCTCTCACCCCTGGGAACGCTGAGCAGCCACCAGGAGCCCACACTTTGAGGTACAGCAGGAGCCATGCGCTCTCACTCTTGCTCACTCACGCTCCTGCACACAGCCACTGACACATGCCCTCATGCACGTTGCAGATTAACTCCACTGGCCTTGCACTTGCAACGCTGGAGGCTGAGAGGTATCCACAGGTTCTTTTCTCATGAGAGGGGAGGGCTGACTTTCACTTGTGGAGAGGCAGCTCCACGAACACTGGCTGTCCTGAGTGGATGCACCTGGCTCTGGAATTCCTGTCATTTTTTTTGGATCCAGGAGCCCCTGCCTCATGTAGCTACTTAACAGAAAGGAGGAATCCACCCAGGACATGCCCAGACAGGAGCCTCACAGGACGGACAGTGGTGTCTGGGGTCACGGGCAGCCCTGACCCAGCAGCACCAGCACCAGCACACCCAGTGGGGAAGGCAGGGAGGCCGAAATGCCACCCACGGTTTGTTATTTCACTGGGTGGGACCTGGCACCCCTGCCTTCCTGACACCCTGGAATCCCTGCCTCCTCCTAGAGCCTCCAAGCCCGTCTCCCTCAGAGCCTCCAGAGACAGACCTGGGGAGCCATTTCCTCAGGCCCTGGACAAGGAAACGGAATTCCAGGTTATGGGTGCCTGGGGCAGGTCTCAGGCAGGTGCTGGGAACCAGAGACAGCAGTCACCACGAGGCCTTAGGCCTGGCACCAGCACTTTGAGCCTCAGTTTACCAGCCCACGAGGTGCTGAGTCTGGACTGGATGACCTTCCCACCCCCAGTGACCTCTGACCTTTCCCGAGCATGTCAGCTCTGCACCAGCATCCTGGTGTGAGCCCAATGCCACTTTTTTTTCTCAACAAATAAGAAAGGAGGAAGGTGCCCCCAGGGCCCTGTGCCCTGAGGATGCCTGTGTGGAGGGGTCCATTTCATCACTGGTGTCACTCACAGGAAGGGACGAAGCCACCTGCCTTGACGGAGCTTACTCCACCTCCGCGGAAGGCCGGGGAGGTCCCTCACAGCGAACCTGAGGCCCAGCAGGCTGCAGAGGTGCTGACAGGGAATGACTGCTCAGACGCCGGGGGCCGGCAGAGAGGACGGATATGGGGATGCACACTGAGGAGCCTCTCCTTGGAGATGGAGACACGTGGACCACATGGACCAGGACACACTCCATGAAGCCTCACACTCCCCTGAGCTGCAGCTCAAGGGCCTCTCTCTGAGCCCACGGTCCCACCCCTGGGAGGCAGCTGCCCCAGCTCTGAGGGAGGAGGGCATCCACCAGACCCTCCATCTCCTGGGGGCACCAGCCCAGCCCAGCGGCTCTGCAGGACTCTGCACCCCCAATTCATGGCCAGGACTTTCTGGATGTATCTTAAGGACTGAGGACTCCACATCAGGGACCACACAAGACCGGGGTCCCGGACATGGGGGTTGGGGGTGAGCATGTCACCGGGATGGGCTGTGGCATCACTCTGGTGCTTCATCCGGACAGCCAGGGACCAAAGCCACGCCCTCAGCCCCACCCCACCCCTGCCTCACATGGCAACCCAGGGTCTGCAGATGCAGGAGAATGAGAAGCATGGTAGCCAGGCAGACTAGAGGACCCGAGCTGGGGTTGAGCACATCCCTGTCTACCCAGGGCATGGCCTGTGAGGCTGCAGGTGGCCTAGTGTGTGCTGCAGGCTCAAGGTCCTGCCCCAGGGAGCATGACATTCAGGCCAAGAAATTGCATCATGCTGCACACGGCCCAAGGGGATAACCCTGTGATGTTCAGGTCACCAGCAGGCTTGGGGTCAAGACCGAACTGCAGAGGACAGGTTTCTGGAAGGCACAACATCATGGGTGGAGGGACTTGGAGCAAGGTCCTTAGCCCCGGGACCAGTGAATGTGTGCCCTTATAGGGAAAGGGGGTCTTTGCAGAAGGAAGTTAGCTGAAAATCATGAAGTGGAGAGGTGCTCCTGGATTAAAGAGGTGAGCCCTAATATAATCACAGGTGTCCTTCTAGGAGGATGGCAGAGGGAGACTGACATAGACAGAAGCCAGATGAGGTCGGAAGCAGAGGCAGAGGCTGAGAGAGCAGATGCTATGCCCTGGCCCTGAAGACGGAGGAGGAGCCGAGAGCTCAGGGATGCAGAGACTAGAAGAGGCAGGGAAGTTCTCCCCGCAAGCCTGGAGGGAGCATGGCCTCCAGCACACCTAGACCTTGGCCCTGTAGGATTCATCTGGACCTGTGGTATAAATGTGTGGTGTTTAAGCCACTGGGCTGTGCAAATTGTCATAGCAGCCATGGCGCATTCCTAGAGGGAGCCCTGGTGGGGACCCAGCAGGCAGCGATGGGGCCCTCACAAGCCTGTGAGCCACTCAGAGCGGTGAGAGTGGCTAGGCTTGGTGAGGTGCAGGCCACGCACAACTCCACTAAGGCAGCCTTAGAGCCCACACCTCCTCTCTCTCTCTCTCTCTCTCTGTCTCTTTCCCTCCCTCCTTCCCTCCCTCCCTCTCTCTCAGTTGGACAGCTCTCCATCATGCCCCGGGACATGACCGCCTCCCAAGGCCAAGCTGGGGCACTTTGCTCGAGGTGAGCACTGACATCCTGGGGGTGTGAGGGGCACCTACCCAGCAGTCCTGTGTGAAGGATGGGCGGTGGGCCCTAGCTGGCACTGGGCATGTGGCCCGGCTGGTGCCCGCAGGCTGCAGCCTTTCTGGGTGGCCAGGATCAGTGAAGGCCTGCAGAGTCTGGGCCTGGGATCCCTGCAGCACTGGCTGAGGACAGGCAGGGTTGGGCAGTGAGGGCACTGGGTCACTGTCACCACCCACGGTTTGTTACTTCACTGGGTTCCCTGCAGTGCTGGCTGGGGACAGGCAGGGCTGGGCAGCGAGGGCGCTGGGTCACTGTCACCACCCACGGCTTGTTAATTCACTGGGTGGGACCTTGCACCCCTGCCTTCCTAACACCCTGGAATCCCTGCCTCCTCCTAGAGCCCCCAAGCCCATCTCCCTCAGAGCCTCCAGAGACAGACCTGGGGAGGCATTTCTTCTGTCCCCAGCAGAAGCCCAGGAGGCCCGGAAGGCGCAGTGGGTCTAAAGGAGAGGATCCTGCCACTGCCTGAGGGGTGACTCTGACAAGACAAGCATGGAGCCCACTAGAAGTGGGGTGGGAGCCCCACCAGGGATGGGCTAGTTCCTCATGAAGGACCAGGGCCCAGGAAGGACAAGGGGGCCTGCTGGGGCAGGGTCTGCTATGGCGGAGTCCCTGTGAGCCTGGCCCAGACCTGCGTCTCTCTTTCCTCATTGGTCCCCACAGGTCCGTGGCGGTTGCCGTATTGGGAGGCCCCGTGGTGGCAGGGGTGGGACACCCGGTATACGTTGCCAGGTGTGTCCGATAGGCTCATGCTCACACCTTCGCCTGGCACCTGGGCAGAGCTGGAGCACCCGGGCACTGAAGTGAGTGCAAGGTCTCGGGGCCCCACAGGGTGGCTGAGGAGACAGCTGCAGGGTACCTGGGACCCCTGGACTCAGGAAGTAGAAGGATACAGCCTAAAAATGCACACCACAGGCTCACCAGCCGGTGCAGGCCCACAGAACTCGAGGAGGCAGCCCTGAGCCTCCCAGGGAGAGATGCTCTGTGCACGCCAGCACAGGCCCTGGGTTACAAACCCTAGGCACAGCCCAGGAGAGGCCCAGGCCCCAGGCCAGCAAGGGGTTGCAGGAAGCAAGAGGCCCCAGCCACAGCATGAGATGAGCCCATCAAGCCAGGGCCAGGTGGGCAATGGGAGGCAGGCAGGGCTTGGGGGTGGGTCCCTGCTGCAGCACCTTCCACTGTCGACCGGAGGAGTTTCTTCACTGTGCGGAGTCCACGGGCCTCCTGTGAGTGTGTGCATGGGCCCAAGTGTGTGTGTGCCTCTGCTGTGTGTCTGTACACAAGTATGTTTTGGGGTTTTTTTGTGTCTCAGACCACAGAGTCTGCCCCTCTCACCAAAGCCCAGGCAGAAGGATGAACTCACGCCCCTGGGGCCCAGGCCTCAGCAGCCTCTGTGGGATCATTGTTCCCGGTTGTCACTTGCCTTTGGCACAGCCCTATTTCTCCACAATTCCTTAAAGTCCTCAACATGCTTTAAGGCACAAAGGTGAAA
Source organism: Homo sapiens (assembly GCF_000001405.40). NCBI lineage: Eukaryota > Metazoa > Chordata > Mammalia > Primates > Hominidae > Homo > Homo sapiens. The sequence continues at coordinate 2,866,291 of NW_021160017.1, forward strand.
GTACCCAGAAACATCTGACTCTGCCGTGGAACCCAGGAGTAAGCTGGGTTAGCTAAGGAGCGGGGCCGTTGGCAGAGGCTGGGGTCCAGGCTGAACTTTGGAGGAGGCATGTCCCAGCATGGGCTCCTGACTATGTCCTCCTGGGACAAACCCAAACCCGCTCTTTGAATATGGGAGGGACTTTGCTGGCCCTGGCCCTGACCGCAGCACTTGGAAACTAAGGAGTGGTCGCCTCCCCCGTGTCACAGCTGCCCGTTCACCATCATAGAAGCAACTCTGTCACCTCCATGGGCCCCTCTGTGGCTGCTGCCTGGGTCCAAGCTGAGCCCAGCTGCCCAGGCCCAGAAGGAAAGCCCAGGCCAGGCGCCCAGCACAGAGGCAGTCACGTACCCCAGGGAGAGCCACAGCAAGCAGCCAATGTTGCCCAGGAGAGGAGTAGCTGACAAGGCAGAACGTGAGCTGCCATCGGCTTGAGAGGCTTTGCTGGTCCTCCTGGGCTGTGGACATGACCTGGAGGAGCGAGGGAAGAAGTCGTATGGTGGTCCCATCCCAGGGCCTGATGGCAGCTGGCCACCCGTCCCAGAGTGGCAGCCAGATGCCAGCGCCATTCCCACAGTCACATCATTGGTCACAGACTGCAGGACATAGAGCGTCTTCTTTCCATCACAGTGCTGTCCAAACCCATAGCCTAGGGTAGACCTGGAAGATTCAATGTCCACACCCGGGGCTGGAGCACAGCCATGAGCCAGGCCCGCTGCCCGTGCATGGAAAGCCAGCCCAAGCCCTGCTCCATCCCTAGCCAATGTCAGTGTCCTTTCCCCTTCTCCCAAGTGAGCTCTAGCCACCTGCCTACCCTGCCATCTGAGGATGACAACCTTCATTCCATTGGAATCTGGCTCTGCCACCAGCAGGCTTGCAGTCTTGGGCAGACTCCGTCACCTCTCTATGCCTCAGCTTTTCCATCTGCACAGGAGGATGATGATGATGGTGGTGATGAAGATGGCAATGGCTTCCTTTTGCATTTGAGGCAAGGACTAATTGAGATGATACACATCAGGCACTGGGTATGATGCTGGTCCTTCCTGAGCACTCAATCTATGTGAGCTGTCCTTGTGAAATGGATGTCACCACATTTCCCCATGCAGAACATCCTTTGTTTGCCATACTTGAAACGTCTGCCCCAATACTAACAGCTCCTCGTGGAAGATGTGCACAAACCCACCCGCCCTCATACTCCCAAAGGTACCCATGCCTTATCAAGCCAAAGTCCAGCCAGGAACTTTATAGCAGCATCCCTTTCCCTCTCCATGCACCAAGGAGCAAGGCAAAGCACTGCATCTTCTATCTGGAGGCAATACCACCCTCTTCTCCCATTTTCACTGCCATTCCTAAGAGGCAGTGCTTCCCCCGCAAGGTTCCATGGTGGCCTGCCTACAGCAACTCTGTTCACATGAGTTTCAGCATCCTTGCAGTGGCTCCCCTGCCATGCTCTGGCTCTTCATTCACCCTCATCTCCTGCTCCCCGTGACAGGCATAGATTCTGAGTGATCTGGATACATTGCTTTGTTTAATAACATTACAGCTTCTGTGCTGGGGAAGACACAGCAGATACAGAAGGCAATTGTTGAACACAAAATAGTGACGGCAGAGATGACGGCAAGTTGGCATTTTTCTTTTCTAGCAATAAAACTTAAAACTGACTCAAGAAGAAATGGAAATCGTAGTTGGAACAATAATCCTCAAGAAAGCATTAAGATTATTAAATAATTGCCCTCACAGATGACTTCAGGCCAAGATGGCTTTATGGGTGAAGTTTAGACTTTCACAAAACTAATCAGTTCCCATAAGAACTGCTCCAGGATTTGGAGAAACATGGAAAAGTCTATGAACGGGATCACACTCCACAGTCCCCAGAGTAAAACATGGGTTACTTGCATTTTGGCAAAGAGCCAAATGTTATAAATGACATCCTAGAAGGCCAAATTCTGTCCATCTCATTGAACAAGGACTTACACCGGGAATTAAGAACTATTTATAGCTCATCCCACCACTCAGGCCAATGATGACCCATGATCATCTCACCAGAAATGGAAAGACTCACTTGATTAATAGAGTCTCAATTCCTCTGAGACATCTAAGAGCCCAGCCCAAGCCCAGACCCAGGAGGGCACCCAGGCCTGGAGAGAGAACACTATCACACCAGCCCTCCAGAGGGAAGCAGAGACTCCTTCAAGCTCTGGAAACACAGGCCCAGACAGCTGCCCAAAGTTGGGCAGGCTTCACCGCATACCCAAATCATGAAGCTAGGTAACACCTTTACAGATTCTTTACATTTAAAAATCATCAAAACTTAACAGTAAATAATAAACTCAAATAATATTAATCTAATATGTAAAGGTCTTGTACCATTATTAGGCAAACAACATACATAAGCTAATAAGAAAAAGAACAAATCCCTTAAGAAATCAGCAAAGGATATAACACAATTTCCAAAAGAAAACAAGTGGCTAGCACACATGAGGAAAACACTTTGTGAACAGACATTCTTCAGAGCATTATTTATAATTATAAAATAGTTGAAAGCAAGATAGTGCCTGAAGAAATTATGGTGCATACATTAATGGGACTATTCTGCAAACATTCCCAATTATACTTGTCACATATCTGTGATAACGTGACAGCCAGCATTCATGGGGTGACCTCATTTGATAAAAGGGTGCAAAGCTCAACACACACTGTGAGATGACTGTGGTGTAAATACAAAGACCAAACCGTGAAAAGGAGTCCATCAATTAACTGATGCTTACCTTCAGTTTTGGGCTGATTTTTAAAGTATGCTATAAGCATATGCTCCTGTTATAACAGAATGGAGGGATTATGAGAGATGATGTAGGTGTGTCCTGGGCCTCCCCGGCCCACTGGGCCCTACAGATGCCTTCCCAGGCACTGCTGTCAGGGCTTCCCTCAGAGGGAGTCCTGTATTGACCTCACCACTAAGATCTGGAGCAGGGGATCCTTAGATATGGGTAGGGGTTATCTCACCTTAGGTCTGAATACGGGGTTGTCTTAGACTGTTTTGTGATGTTGTAATAGAACACCCAAGACTGGGAAGTTTATACTGAACGGAAATTTATTTCTCACAGTTCTAGAGGCTGTGAAGTCCAAGAGCAAGGTGCCAGAGCAAGTCCAAGAGCAAGGGAAAGTCCAAAGCAAGTCCAGGAGCATCTGGCGAGGACCTTCTTGCTGTGTCATCATATGGCAGAAGGCAAGAAAGAGAGCAAGAGGGGGCCGAACTCACCCTTTTATAACAGTGCCAATCCCACCCATGAGGTGGGGACCTTATGACCTAATCACTCTTCATACTGTTACAATGGCAATGAAATTTCAACATGAGTTTTGGAGGAGAGAAGCATTCAAACCACAGCAAGCGTGCTCCTACCTCCTCTCTCAGGGCATCTGCAGAAAGAGCTGCAACTGCACGTCCTTCCTCCGTCCATCCTCCGTCCCTTCCCGATGTCTGTGCATTTCCTGTGACCCAGGAGGTCTGGTGTAGGGGGTGCTCCTGCCTTAGGTCTGAGGCCCTGTCTGAAGAGGGGTAGGTGAGGAGGCCACCTGATTGTCTGGGCCAAGACAGTCACAGGATGAATCATTCATCATCAAGGAGGCTGAGGGTTGAGTCTCCAGGTCCAGGGAACTCCCCACAAAGTGCGAACCCTGCCCAGCTCCACACAGCCTCTGCTGGGGGACCCTGCTCTGGCACAGAGCCTGGGAACAGGTCTTGAGCTCAGCCAGAGTCTGCCTCCCTGTCATTTAGGAACTAAACCTAGCGGCAGGATGCTGGAGCCCAGCCCCCATCTGACCTTACAGGGCCAAGCCTGGGGCCCTGGGTTCCCCTCAAGGCGCAGCAGGACTGGAGCCCCAGGCAGTGCAGGAGTGGCCAAAGCTGGGGCTTCCTCCAGAGCCACCAAGCATCACGGCATCATGAAGGGTAGGACCCTGGCCTCAGAAATTGGCACCAAAGCCCCAGAAGCTACCCTGGACACCATGGAGAGAGGCCTGGAGGGGAAGCACCAGGCACTGCCCCCCCTTCTGATCCCACCTGAGGTGGCTGCCAAGCCCAGAGAGCAGCTCTGATGTCCCCCAGCCCTGCAGCCCAGGGACACCTGTACTGTGCCCCTGTGGGACCCCTGGCCAGTCTGTGCAAAGAAGTCACCACCCTATACTCAGAGACAGTGGGGGTCCTCTTCCCACATCCTCAGAGCATGGCCCGGCTGCTGCAGGGATGGTCTCCTGGAGGCCCCCCAGTGCTCTATTGTCAGGGCTCCCTCCACCCCCCTGCACCAAGAGAGAGCCAGACCCCAGCAAGGCTTCCAGTGGCTTCAGGTCACACCCCTAGGCTGACCCCAGCCCCATCAACACCTGCCTGAGAAAGCTCAATGCACCAGAACTGACCGTTTGCTCCAACTCTCGACCTCCCATTCTCAGAGCATCTGCTGAAAAGGCTGCAACTGCACATCCTTCCTCTGTCTCTTCCTGATGTCTGTGTGTCTCCTGTGGCCAGGAAGGTCTTTCTCGGGACCTGAGAGCCACTCCCTGAAGTGTCCCCATTGGGAAGGATGGGGCCTGTGTCTCCGGGCTCTGGGAGGACAGAATCCTGACCTCAACAGTGGCCAGCACGGACACAGCGGGCCCCATCCCAGGGACGCTGACCAGCACTGGGCAAATTTTCCCTTCCCCGACGACTGAGCCCCGAGCACCCTCCCTGCTCCCTCTACCCCCTCCCTTTTCAAGGCTGTGGCCTCTGCACAGATGACAATGGAGCTTGGCTCATTCCCCTAGAGTCGGTAGAGAGTTAATGACAAAACTGTTTCCTCTGCCTGAACTCAGGTCTGCCTGTGTTTACCTGATCACAGCTGGTGGACAGTTTGGACAAACTTGCACACTCAGAGACACAGACCCTTCTAGAAATCATTATCTCCCCGCGCCTGGGACCCCTCTCCCGTGGAAGTCTGCTAGGCACTGGCCTGGGCCCTCCTGCTGTCCTAGGAGGCTGCTGACCTCCTGCCTGGCTCCTGTCCCCAGGTCCAGAGTCAGAGCAGACTCCAGGGATGCTGCAGGCTAGGAAGCTGCCCCTCCAGGCCGGGGTCTAGTGCAGGTGCCCAGGACAAGAAAGATTGTGAATACAGGAATGACTGGGCCACACCCCTCCCATGCATGCCCCCTCCTGCCCTGCACCCCACAGCCCAGCCCCCCATGCTAGATGCCCCCCACAGCAGAGGTGCTGTTCTGTGATCCCCTGGGAAAGACGCCCTCAACCTCCACCCTGTCCCATGGCCCAAGGAAGACAAGACACAGGCCCTCTCCTCACAGTCTCCCCACCTGGCTCCTGTTGGGATCTTCAAGGTGTGAACAGGGAGGATGGTTGTCTGCGTGGCCCCTAGGAACCCAGATCTTTGCTCCACAGACCCCAACCCAAGCACCCCCTTCTGCAGGGCCCAGCTCATCTGCCCCTTCCTCCCTTTGCTCTCCTCTCTTCGCCTCTGTGGGAAATCCGGGACTCAGCAGTAACCCTCAGGAAGCAGGGCCGAGGAGCCGTTTAATAGGAGGCTTCGTCACAATGAAACTCTTAGAAAGACTTGACTACGATGATGACCGTGGCGTGGCTGTGAACACTGTCAGCTCCCACAGTTGCCGCAGCAAAAAATGTCCATAGACAGGGTGGGGGCCCGGGGTCGTCTGCTGTCCTGCTCAGCCCACAGCATGCATGGAAAATCTGAGGTGCCACACCTGACACCCAGACCAGAACATGCCTCCCTCCAGGGTGACCTGCCATGTCCTGCATTGCTGGAGGGACAGGGGCAGCCTGTGAGGATCTGGGGCCAGGAGATGAATCCCATTAACCAGAGGAAAACAAGCAGGACCTGAGCACCCTCCCCATTGAAGCTGACCTGCACAGAGGGGCCTGGGCCCACCCCACACACTGGGGCGGAATGTGTGCAGGCCCCAGTCTCTGTGGGTGTTCTGCTAGCTGGGGCTTCCAGTGCTCACCCCACAACTAAAGTGAGCCACAGCCTCCAGAGCCCCCAAAGGAGATCCTGCCCACAAGCCCAGCCCCCACCCAGGAGGCCCCAGAGCTCAGGGCACCTGGGCAGATTCTGAACAGCCCCGAGTCACAGTGGGTATAACTGGAACAACCACTGTGAGAAAAGCTTTGTCCAAAACCGTCTCCTGGCCACTGCCGGAGGCCATGCCAGAGAGGGGAACAGCCGCCCCGAACCTAGGTCCTACTCAGCTCACATGACCCCCAGCAGCCAGAGCACAACGGAGTCCCCACTGAATGGTGAGGATGGGGACCAGGGCTCCAGGGGGTCATGGAAGGGGCTGGACCCCATCCTACTGCTATGGCCCCGTGCCCCTGGCCAGAACTGACCCTACCACCGACAAGAGTCCCTCAGGGAAACGGGTCACTGGCACCTCCCAACATCAACCCCAGGCAGCACAGGCATAAACCCCACATCCAGAGCAGACTCCAGGAGCACATTCACCCCAATACCCTGGGGGACACCGACCCTGATGACTCCCCACTGGAATCCACCCCAGAGTCCACCAGGATCAGAAACCCCTCCCCGTCTCTGTCCCTCACTCAGGACCTGCTGCGGGGCGGGCCCTGAGAGCAGACTGGGGCTTAGGGAACACCACTGTGGCCCCAACCTCGACCAGGACACAGGCCCTTCCTTCCTGCCCTGTGGCGGCACAGACTTTGGGGTCTGCGCAGGGAGGAAGCACAGAAGCCCCAGGCTGAGGTGGTGGGGGTGGAAGACCCCCAGGAGGTGGCCCACTTCCCTTCCTCCCAGCTGGAACACACCATGTCCTTCTTAAAATAGGGGCGTCATCCGAGGCAGGTCCTCCATGGAGCTCCCTTCAGGCTCCTCCTGGTACTCACTAGGCCTCAGTCCCAGATATGGGAATGCAGCCACCACAGGCACACCAGGCAGCCCAGACCCAGCCAGCCTGCAGTCCCCAAGCCCACATTCTGGAGCAGAGCAGGCTGTGTCTGGGAGAGTCTGGGCTCCCCACTCCCCACCTGCACACAGCCACCCACCCCTGTCCAGGCCCTATGCAGGAGGGTCAGAGCCCCCCATAGGGTACGGACTTAGGGTCACACTCACGTGCCTCCCCTCCTGGGTGAAGGGGTCTCATGACCAGATCCCCGCAGCAGCGCTGGTCAAAGGTGGAGGCAGTGTCCCCAGGGCTACCCTGACCTGGCCCCTCAGGCTCCTCTAGCCCTGGCTGCCCTGCTATCCCTGGGAGGCCTGGACTCCACCAGACCACAGGTCCAGGGCACCGCCCATAGGTGCCGCCCACACTCAGTTCACAGGAAGAAGATAAGCTCCAGACCCCCAAGACCAGGACCTGCCTTCCTGCCACCGCTTGTAGCTCCAGACCTCCATGTCTCCCCTGACCGCTTACACATGGGCCAGGGAGCTATTCCACACAGATCAACCCCAAACCGGGACCGCCTGGCATGCGGGTCGCTGCCACTTCCCGCTCCATTTGCTCCCAGCACCTCTGTGCTCCTTCCCTCCTCCCTCCTTCAGGGGGACAGCCTGTGCAGCCCCTCCTTGCACCCCACACCCTGGGGAGGCCCAACCCTGCCTCCAGCCCTTTCTACCCCGCTGCTCTTCCTGCCCATCCAGACAACCCTGGGGTCCCATCCCTGCAGCCCACACCCTGAGAAGACTGGACCCTGCCTTGGGCCCTTTCTGCCCTGCTGCTCTTGCCGCCCACCCAGACAATCCTGGGGTCCTGTCCCTGCAGTCACCACCCTGGTCTCCACCCAGACCCCTGTCTCTCCCTCCAGACACCCCTCCCAGGCCAACACTGCACATGCAGGCCCTCCCCTCTTCTGCTGCCAGAGCCTCAGTTTCTCCCCCCTGTGCCTACCCACTGCCTCCTCCTGCCCACAACTTGAGCTCTTCCTCTCCTGGGGCCTCTGAGCCATGGCACTGACCATGCACTCCCACACACACACTGCCCTCACCTTCCTCCTGGACACTTTGGCCCCACTCCCCTCTTGGACACGGCCCTGGTATTTCCAGGACGAAGGCTCACCCAAGTCTTCCCCACACAGACCCTTGCCCTCACTCCCCATTTACAGGGAAATCTCCTGTGCACAGAAGCAGGGAGCTCAGCTCTTCCACAGGCAGAAGGCAATGAAAGAAATCAGCCTCCAGCGCCCTGATGCACATCCGCCTGTGTCTCTCACTGCCCACACCTGCAGGGAGGCTCGGCACTCCCTTTAAAGATGAGGGATCCAGGCAGCAACATCACGGGAGAATGCAGGGCTCCCAGACATCCCAACCCTCTTGCAGGCCTCTCCTGGGAAGAGACCTGCAGCCACCACCAAACAGCCATGGAGCCCGCTGTATAGTAACTGAGTCAGTGACCGACCTGGAGGGCAGGGGAGCAGTGAGCCGGAGCCCAGACCATAGGGACCGAGACCAGCTGCTGACATCCCAAGCCCCTCACTGGTGGCCCCAGAAAACTCATGGAAACAGGACGGACCCACATTCCCAGCTGGACCAGGGCGGAGACTGCTGAGCCCCGAGCACCAGCCCCAAGAAACACCAGGCAAAATCATCAGAGGAGGCTCCTGAGAAAGAGAGGAGGGGAGGTCTCCCTCACCAGCAAATGCTTCCCTTAACCAAACACAGGGTCGATGCAACTCCCCCAGGACAAAGGAGGAGCCCCCTGTACAGCACTGGGCTCAGAGTCCTCTCCAAGACACCCTGAGTTTCAGACAAAAACCCCCTGGAAATCACAGTATCAGCAGGAGAACTGGCCAGAGACAGCAAGGGGGGACTCTGTGACACCCGTGGGGACAGGAGGATTTTGTGGGGGCTCGTGTCACTGTGAGAATATTGTAATAGTACTACTTTCTATGCCCACAGTGACACAGCCCCAGTCCCAAAGCCCTGCTGTAAATGCTTCCACTTCTGGAGCTGAGGGGGAGCGTCTGGGAAGTAGGGCCTAGGGGTGTCCACCAATGCCAAAGCACACCAGACTTCCCCCCAGACATCACCCCCACCAGCCAGCGAGCAGAGTAAACAGAAAATGAGAAGCAAGCTGGGGAAGTTGGCACAGGCCCCAAGGAAAGAGCTTTGGTGGGTGTGCAAGAGAGGATGCAGGCAGAGCCTGAGCAGGGCCTTTTACTGTTTCTGCTTTCCTGGGCAGAGAATTCCATAAACTGGTGTTTGAGATAAATGGCTGGGAGTGAGCCCAGGAGGACAGTGTGGGAAGGGCACAGGGAAGGAGGAGCAGCCTCTATCCTACACTGTCATCTTTCGAAAGTTTGCCCTGTGCCCACACTGCTGCTTCATGGGATGCTTAACAGCTGATGTAGACACAGCTAAAGAGAGAATCAGTGAGAAGGATTTGCAGCACAGATCTGAATAAATTCTCCAGAATGTGGAGCCACACAGAAGCAAGCAAAGAGAAAGTGCCTGATGCAAGGGCAAAGTACAGTGTGTACCTTCAGGCATTGCTGCTGGGCACAGACACTCTGAAAAGCCCTGGCAGGAACTCCCTGCAACAAAGCAGAGCCCTGCAGGCAATGCCAGCCCCAGAGCCCTCCCTGAGAACCTCATGGGCAAAGATGTGCAGAACATATGTTTGTCATAGCCCCAAACTGAGAATGAAACAAACATCCATCTGAAGGAAAACAGGCAAATAAACGATGGCAGGTTCATGAAATGCAAACCCAGACAGCCACGAGGACAACAGTACAGGGTTACGGGCAACTCTGCGGTTGAGTTCATGACAATGCTGAGTAATTGGAGTAACAAAGGAAACTCCAAAAAATACTTTCAATATGATTTCTTCTAAATAAAATTTACACCCGGCAAAATGAACTATCTTCTTAAGGGATAAACTTTCCACTAGAAAAACTATAAGGAAAATCAAGAAAACGATGATCACATAAACACAGTTGTGGTTACTTCTACGGGGGAAGGAAGAGGGTGTGAACAGAGACACACAGGTTTGGCAAGTCTCCTAACAAGAACAGAACAAATACATTACAGTACCTTGAAAACAGCAGTTAAACTTCTAAATCGCAAGAAGAGGAAAATGTACACAGCTGTGTTTAGAAAATTCTCACTCCGGCACTGTTCATAATAGCAAAGACATTAACCCAGGTTGGATAAATAAACGATGACACAGGCAATTGCACAGTGATACAGACATACATTCAGTATATGAGACATCGATGATGTATCCCCAAAGAAATGACTTTAAAGAGAAAAGGCCTGATGTGTGGTAGCACTCACCTCCCTGGGCATCCCCGGACAGGATGCAGGCTCACTGTGTGGCAGGGCAGGCCGGTACCTGCTGGCAGCTCCTGGGGCCAGATGTGGAGCAGGCACAGAGCCGTATCCCCCCGAGGACATATACCCCCAAGGATGGCACAGTCGGCACATTCCAGAGAGAAGCAACTGAGCCACACTCCCAGACCAGAGCCCGAGAGGGACGCCCATGCACAGGGAAGCAGAGCCCAGCTCCTCCACAGCCAGCACCACCTGTGCAGGGGCCGCCATCTGGCAGGCACAGAGCGTAGGCTGGGAGGAGGGGCAGGGACACCAGGCAGGGTTGGCACCGACTGAAAATTACAGAAGTCTCATACATCTACCTCAGCCTTGCCTGACCTGGGCCACACCTGACCTGGACCTCACCTGGCCTAAGCCTCACCTGGCCTGGACCTCACCTCTGGGCTTCACCTGACCTCGGCCTCACCTGACTTGGACCTTGCCTGTCCCGAGCTCACATGATCTGGGCCTCACCTGACCTGGGTTTCACCTGACCTGGGCTTCACCTGACCTGGGCCTCATCTGACCTGGGCATCACTGGCCTGGATCTCACCTGGCCTGGGTTTCACCTGGCCTCGGGCCTCACCTGCACCTGCTCCAGGTGTTGCTGGAACCTCAGTAGCACTGAGGCTGCAAGGGCTCATCCAGGGTTGCAGAATGACTCTGGAACTCTCCCACATCTCACCTTTCTGGGTGGAGGCACCTGGTGGCCCAGGGAATATAAAAAGCCTGAGTGATGCCTGCGTGATTTGGGGGCAATTTATAAACCCAAAAGGACATGGCTATGGAATGGGTAGGGACAGTACAGACAGATATCAGCCTGAAATGGAGCCTCAGGACACAGGTGGGCACAGACACTGTCCACCTAAGCGAGGGGCAGACCCGAGTGTCCCCGCAGCAGGCCTGAGAGCGCTGGGCCCACAGCCTCCCCTCGGTGCCCTGCTACCTCCTCAGGTCAGCCCTGGACATCCCGAGTTTCCCCGGACCTGGCAGTAGGTTTGGGGTGAGGTCTGTGTCACTGTGGTATTATGATTTTTGGACTGGTTATTATACCCACAGTGTCACAGAGTCCATCAAAAACCCATCCCTGGGAGCCTTCTGCCATAGCCCTCCCCACGGTGGACCACCACATGCCGCGTTAGGATTTTGATCGAGGCCACAGCACCATGGGTGTAGTGGCTACCACAGCAGTGCAACCTGTGTCCCAAACACACAGGGCAGCAGGCACAATGGACAAGCCCAAGAGTGACCACCCTGAGCTCCTGCCCGCCAGCCCCGGAGACCATGAAACAGATGGCCAGGATTATCCCATAGGTCAGCCAGACCTGAGTCCAACAGGTCTGCATCACTGCTGCCCTCCAGTGCCAGTCCAGATGGGGACAGGCACCCAGCAGTCCCGGAAGCCCCTCCCTCAAGGCTGAGCCACATGTGTGGACCCTGAGAACCCCCCAGGTCCGAGTAGGGGCAGGAGGGCGGGGCTGGTCCTGTGCGCTGTCCCTGCCCCTGTGGTCCCTGGCCTGCCTGGCTCTGACACCTGAGCCTCTCCTGGGTCATTTCCAAGACAGAAGGCATTCCCGGGACAGCCGGAGCTGGGAGTCGCTCATCCTGCCTGGCCGTCCTGAGTCCTGCTCCTTTCCAAACCTCACCCGGGAAGCCAACAGAGGACTCACCTCTCACAGTCAGAGACAAAGAACCTTCCAGAAATCCCTGCCTCTCTCCCCAGTGGGCACCCTCTTCCAGGACAGTCCTCAGTGATATCACATCGGGAACCCACATCTGGATCAGGACGGCACCCAGAACACAAGATGGCCCATGGGGACAGCCCCACAGCCCAGCCCTTCCCAGACCCCTAAAAGTTGTCCCACCCCCTGCACCTACCCCAGGACTAAAAATCCAGGAGGCCTGACTCCTGCACATGCTCTGACCGGATGTCACCTTGGCCCCTCCTGGAGGGGACAGGAGCCCTGGAGGGTGAGTCAGACCCTCCTGCCCTCGACGGCAGGCGGGGAAGATTCAGACCGGTCTGAGATCCCCAGGATGCAGCACCACTGTCAATGGGGGCCCCAGACGCCTGGACCAGCACCTGCGTGGGAAATGCCTCTGGGCTCACTGAGGGGCTTTTTGTGAAAGGCCCTCCTGCTATGTGACTATGGTGCTAACTACCACAGTGATGAACCCAGCAGCAAAAACTGACTGGACTCCCAGGGTTTATGCACACTTCTCGGCTCAGAGTTCTCCAGGATAAGAAGAGCCAGGCCCAAGGATTTCTGCCCAGACCCTCGGCCTCTAGGGACATCTTGGCCATGAAAGCCCATGGGCTGGTGCCCCACACTTCGTCTGCCTTCAAACAAGGGCTTCAGAGGGCTCTGAGGTGACCTCACTCATGACCACAGGTGCCTGCCAGCTGCACCGAACCCTGTCCCAACAGCTGCCACAGTTCCAACAGCCAATTCCTAGGGCCGGGAATTGCTGTAGACACCAGCCTTGTTCCAGCACCTCCTGCCAATTGCCTGGATTCCCATCCTGGCTGGAATCAAGAGGGTAGCATCCACCAGGCTCCCAATAGGCAGGACTCCCACACACCCTCCTCTGAGAGGCCACTGTGTTTCGTAGGGCCAGGCCCTGGACAGTCTCCCTCACCTGCCACTAGAGAAACACCTGCCTTGGACGTCCCCATATGGCAAAGACCACTCATGGAACCCCCAGCCCCAGGTACAGCTGTAGAGACAGTCCCCGAGGGATCTAAGAAGGAGCCATGCCCAGTTCTGCCCGGACCCTCGGCCAGGCTGACAGGAGCGGACGCTGGAGCTGGGCCCACACTGGGCCACATAGGAGCTCACCAGTGAGGGCAGGAGAGCACATGTCAGGGAGCACCCAGCCTCCTGCTGACTGGAGGCCCGTCCCAGAGCCCAGGAGGCTGCAGAGGCCTCTCCAGGGGGACACTGTGCATGTCTGGTCCCTGAGCAGCCCCCCACGTCCCCAGTCCTGGGGGCCCCTGGCACAGCTGTCTGGACCCTCCTTGCTCCCTGGGAAGCTCCTCCTGACAGCCCCGCCTCCAGTTCCAGGTGTGGTTATTGTCAGGGGGTGTCAGACTGTGGTGGATATAGTGTCTACGATTACCACAGTGGTGCCACCCATAGCAGCAACCAGGCCAAGTAGATGAGCCACTGCCATGCAGCCCCAGGCCTCCAGCTCACCTGCTTCTCTTGGGGCTTTCAAGGTCACTGTTGTCTGCACTCTGCCCTCTGTGGGGAGGGTTCCCTCAGTGGGAGGTCTGTTCTCAGCTTCCCAGGGCCTCATGACTGCATGGAAGGTCAAGGGCTGGGCCTGCCAGGGGCACGGCACCCTCACATGCCACACCTAAGATAGGGTGGGCAGTCTGGTGGGGACAGGACATACTGCTGGGGTGTCTGTCACTGTGCCTAGTGGGGCACTGGCTCCCAAACAATTCGGTCCTTGCCAAAATCCCCACTGCCTCCCCTGCTAGGGGCTGGCCTGGTCCCCTGCTGTCCTAGGCAGCTGCTGACCTCCAGAATGGCTCCATCCCCAGTTCCAGGGCCAGAGCAGATCCCAGGCAGGCTGCTGTCTGGGAGGCCACCCCCTCCTTGCCAGGGTTCACTGCAGGTGACCAGGGCAGGAAATGGCCTGAACACAGGGATGACTGCACCATCCCCCAACAGAATCTGCCCCCTCCTGCTCTGCACCCCGCACCCCCCAGGCCAGTCCACGAAAACCAGGCCCCACATCAGAGTCACTGCCTGGCCCTGCCCTGGGGTGGACCCCTCAGCCCCCACCCTGTCTAGAGGACTGGGGAGGACAGGACACAAGCCCTCTCCTTATGGTTCCCCACCTGGCTCCGGCTGGGACCCTCGGGGTGTGGACAGAAAAGACGCCTGCCTGATTGGCCCCCAGGAACCCAGAACTTCTCTCCAGGGACCCCAGCCCGAGCACCGCCTTACCCAGGACCCAACCCTGCCCCTCCTCCCCTCTGCTCTCCTCTCATCACCCCATGGGAATCCAGAATCCAGATTCCTCACGAATGGCTTAGTGCCATCCACTTGGTAATGAGTGAGTTCTCACATAGTTAGATCACTCAGGATCTGATTTTTTAAGAGAGACTTGGATCTCCCCCTTTCCTTCTTCCCCCTGCTCACCATGTGACACTCCTTCTTCCCCTGTGCCTTTTACCATAAATATAAGGTTTTTGAAGCCCTCACCAGAAGCAGATAGCAGAACCACACTTCCTGTACAGCCTTCAAAACCGTCAGCCAAATTAGATTTTTTATAAATTACTCATCCCCAGGAATACTTTTATAGCAATTAAGGAATTTCTTTTTTTTTTATTTTATGAATGTTTCATTGCCACTTAAAAAAGAATGAGTTGTTATGTTCAGACATACACACACATATTTCTACCTTATCAATTACGATATTTAGGTATTTTTTAGTCTTGCTTAATTTTGGTCCTCTTGATGTTTAATGAACTAAAACACATGAATTAAATAATTAAGATGCTGTGTTTTCTATATTTTTTCTTGTTTCCCCTATAGCTCTTCTCTGTGAATGCTGATGCTCTGTTACCTGGTGCACAGTTATTCATAACTTTTTTTTTTGAGACAGACTCTTGCTCTGTCACCCTGGCTGGAGTGCAGCGGCACAATTTCGGCTCACCACAGCCTCTGCCTCCCAGGTTCAAGTGATTCTCATACCTCCGCCTCTCTACATATAGATAGTTATGTATCTATTCTATTATCAAGGTTTACAACTCCAACATTTAATTTTCAAATCAAAATCCCTATATTAGTCTTGGCCTCCTATAGGTAATTAGATTCAATGCTTACTGCCATTTTTGGTTGTTTTTCTCATTAATCTCCTAGTTATCTGAGTTTATCTTCTAACAGTATTCAGAAGTAATCACTATGCTAACTTTTGACACTGGTCTTGATTGCTGTTTTTGAAATTTTGAAATGGAATGTACAACCTCTGCCTTGAGTCTTTCATTCAACATTGTTTGTGAGATTCATATAGGTAATACATGTCAGTGGTTAATTGATTTTCATTACTGAAAATCAGTAATATGTTTAGATAATTAGTAATATGTTTAGATATTTTTCTAGTCTTTATTCTGTTCAGTTGTTCTGCCTATATCTTTATATTAATATTAAACTACTGTAGCTGTAGAGCAGGGTGTCCAATCTTTTGGCTTCCCTGGGCTACATTGAAAGAACAATTGACTTGGGCCACACATAAAATACACTAACACTAAAAATAGCTGATGAGCTAAAAAATAATAATAATAAAAATCACAAAGGAAGTTTGCAAATTTCTGTCGGGCTGCTTTCTATAAGAAAGAAAGTACTGAATTTTAAAGGAGATGATGAGGGTGAAACATCAGAATGAAATTACTGACCTCATAAGTAAAGACACCAGACAGCCTCTCTCTCTCTCTATTTCTCTCTCTCTCTCTCTCTCTCACACACATGCACACACACACACATGCCCTACAATGAAATGATCATATGAAAAAGTAACAATATGATGGCTGCTCTGAGCCAAAAGTGGAAGCCTCAAAATAAAACCTATCTTGTCAGCATCTTGATCTTGGAGTTCACAGCACTGATAAATGAAATAAAATTAATGTTGCATGAGTCACCAAATATGATAGTTTGTAATGGCATCTTAAACTGACAAAAGAAAATTTGGGGTTAGGAAGTGGAAATCTGATGTTACAATTATTTGAAAATTGTGAAAGTAGCTTGGAATTGGGTTATGTGTAAAAGGATGGGTACCTTTGACATATATGAAGAAATTTGTATGTTGAGGGTCATGCTGATAGACAGAAATGAGTAGAGTGGTTTTGGAAAATGGAGCAATAGTCATCCTTATCATAAAGTTTTTAAAAAAATCTTGGCTGGACAGTGATACAATATTTAGTGAAAGAGAAGTTGCGAGTAGTGAGAACTTGTGAGTAGCTGAGAATAGTTCTAAGTAAAGTGTTGAAGATATTTTGCTTGGTTCCTCCTGAGTGCTTATAACAAGTGAGGTAGATAAATTAAAATCAGAAAAAAATATAAACGAAAAAGAATAAAAAACCTGAGCACTTAGAAAATTCTCAACCTATCCATATTGCCAAAATCAGAAACTGTATTCTACAAAGAACACTGAGTATATGACTGAAATATCACTCAGTAAGAAGCCTAAGATACTCTATGAAAAGAAATATTTCAGGTTTTAAAGAATGAGAATTGACCTGAGACAAATCTGATGAAAACTGTTAGATTTTTCAGATTTAATGGCCTGGAATAATAGAGCTACTTGGCAGCAAATGTACATGATTCTTCTGGAAGGGAGAAAAAATAAGCTTTAAATTTATTTAGAAACTATCAGACCACTGCCTTTATTTCAACAGACCAGAAAGCCTGTTTCTAAAATCTTGAGGAAGAAACCACCCAACAGAGGCTTGGGCTTGGGAGCAACCAGCCAGCCCTGTGTGTAGGGCTGCATGAGGCCTTTGACATGGGAGCTGGGCCTAGCAGTGCTTCAGGAGCGGTGCCTCTGCCTGCAGCCTTGGAGCTGACTCTGCCACCCAAATAAGCTGAGAAGGAAAAAGATTGTTTCAGAGATGATTGCAGGGGAGCCTTAAAGCATATGACAATTTGTTTTCCTATGCATTGTATTTGCTGGAGACATACCACCCATTTTACCCCCTACTTTTTTTCTTTGGCAATGAAGCTGTCTATTCTATGCCTAACTCAACAGGACACAGCCGAGACTGTATCCAGTTTGACAAGATTCAGCACGAAAGGTTCCTATTACCTGAGCCAGATGCATCACTGATATGCGGCCACCAGTTCCTTAGGTTCATATCACTTTAAGGGACCAAATACAAATGTCAGTAGCGTATGTCATTCTTAAGCTGCAGATATGGTGTCAAAGAAGAATGTGGAGATAAGAGAGCAGGAGGAATTATGAAAATCCAGACAGCATCTTCTCTTCTAGAGTGGAAGGTACACTAGTAATTTTATGAAACAATAACATAAATGAAATGTGTCATCATCATGGAGTGTCTCACAGTGGCAGTGCACAAATAAATTTCTAAAAATTCCATAAGGTAGGTGTGATGGATGCGGCTTATTTCCACCCAGGGAGCCCATAAATACCCAGATAGGTAAAAAATCCAACACCTGGAAAGAAAAACACCTCATCTTGACATCACAAACACATCTCAGTAAGTCCAAGGAGTAATGTGGAAATGAAATGGAAAATTCACAGACACATTTATTGTGAAATTTTTAGCACATGCTTGAACATCAAAACAGAATTGTCCACAATTTTAGGAAAACCACCCCATGACCACGAATCACTACACTCATAGAAACACCACTGAGTCAACAGAGTTCTAACTGTGAGCAGGTCACTACTGAGGCCTCAGGAGAATCAAGGCTCTAGGGTACATTTTACAGAACCCAGAATTGAGCCACACAATCTATAGCCAAATGATCTTTGACAAACTTAACAAAAACATACACCAGAAAAAGGACACCCCATTCAATAAATGGTGCTGGGGAAATTGGAAATGAACATGCAGAAGAACAAAACTAGACCCCTACCCTCAACACATACATACTCAACACAAAATGAATTAAAGACTTAGATATGAGACCTCAAACTATAAATGTACTCAAATAAAATATGAGGACAACTCTTCTGGGCACTGGGCGAGGTGAAGAATTTATGACTAACACCACAAAACACACCCAAGAAAAAAATAGACAAGTGAGAATTAAACTATAGAGGTATTTCACAGCAACAGACTGAACAGGCAAGTTGCAGAATGACAGAAAATTTTCGCACACCTTGCCTGTGACAAGGAACTAACATGAAAAATTTACAAGGAATTAAACTATACAACAACAGGAAGAAGAACCAAATAACCCTATTAAAATGAGCAAAGGACGTGAGTAGACATTTCCAAAGAACACATACAAATGGATAATAAATATATAAACAATGCTCAACATCACTAACCATCAGGGAAATGCAAATTAAAACTACAGTAAGATATTATCTTACAAAAGCCACAGTGACTATTATTAAAAACTCAAAAGTATCAGATGTTGGTGAGGATGGAAAGTAACAGGAACTCATCGACACTGTAGATGAGGATGTGGACTAGGACAACCTCTATGGAAAATGGTATGGAGTCTTCCCAAAACACTGGAAATAGAACTGCCATTTGATCCAGCAATCCGACTACGGGGTAACTACCCAAAGGAAAATAAATCATTACTTCAAAAAGATATCCATGCTTCTATGTTTACCACAAAACTATTCTTAATAACACACATGTCAACCTGAGTGTCCACCAACAGATGATTTTATAAAAGAACACAGCACATATGCACAATTCAATACTAGTCAACCACAATAAGAAATGAAACTGTGTCTTTTGCAGCAAGATGCCTAGAACTGGGGACAATATAATTAGTGAACTAACTCACAAACAGAAAGTCATATGCCACACATTATTATTTGTAAGTGGGAGGTAACAATGTGTCCACAAGGATATGGAGAGAGAAATGATGGACACCGGAGACTTAGAAGGATGGGAGGTGGAAGGTGGGAGCATGAGGAGACATTACCTAGTGGGTACAATGTACATTATTTGGGTGATATTACACTAAAAGCCAAGACCACTATGGAATATATCCATGTGCAAAAGTTGCACTCATAGCCCTTAAATTTATCAAATAAATGTACACACAAAAAAGTTAAAAATATAAAATAATTAACAGTTGACCAATGATCTTAAAATTAAAATTTAGACCGGGCATAGTGTCTCACGCTTGTAATCCCAGCACTTTGGGAGGTCGAAGCAGGTGGATCATGAGGTCAGGAGTTTGAGACCAGCCTGGCCAACATGGTGAAACCCCATCTACTAAAAATACAAAAATTAACCAGATGTGGTGGCAGGCACCTGTAATCCCAGCTACTCGGGAGGCTGAGGCAGGAGAATTGCTTGAACCCAGGAGGCAGAGTTTGCAATGAGCCAAGATCGTGCCACTGCACTCTAGTCTGGGTGACACAGCAAGACGCCATCTCAAATAAAATAAAATAAAATAATATAATATAATATAATATGTAAAAAATGATCAATAAATGAAATTACTATCAGTTGAAACTCATTAAATTTAAAGACGTTTTCTACTCAAGTAACTATAAGAACATGAATGTCAAGTTTCAGATGGGAAACTATTTTCAAATCACATAACCACCAATTTAATTAGAATAAGAACTCTCAGGACTCAACTGTGAAAAAGAAATAAGAAAGAAACAACCCATGGATAAAATAGGCAAAGGTTTGTGCAGACATTTCATCAAATGAGATGTGCAGATGACACATAAACATATAAACAGGCTGTTAACAGGATTTTCCATTAAAGGAATTCAAATCAAGCCCACAATGAGACACCACTATACACTTTTTAGAATGGCTGAAATTAAGAAGAAATACAGGTAATACCAATGCTGATGAGCATACCAAGTTCCTAGTGTCTACGACATTGTTAATGGGAATGCAAAATGAAACAGCTACTCGGGAAAATAATTTTTAGTTTTTTCTGCAATCAAACATGCCCTTAACACATGACCTAAATATCCCACTCTTGAATTTTGCTCCAGAGAAATACAATCTTATTTTCACACAAAACCTCTATTCAAATATTCAAGATATTACATGTGTGTGTGTTAGAAATGAAAAATAACATAAATGTCTCAAAATTTGAGTAGGTGAAAAAACTAGGAAGCATCTATAAATTGAATCCATCAGCAATAAAAAATATCAAATGATCGATTCACAAACCATTACAGTTGAACTCCAGGCATTATGCTAAGTGAGAGAAACCAGTCTCAAAGATCAAAGGAACACATCTGTAAGCAGCACTGTCAACCCCAGGTGTCAGTGGTTTGGGCTGGGCTCTCTCTGTCTCTCTCCTGACCAGACCCAGATGTTGAGCTCTGCCACTTGCAGATGGAAAATTGTACTATTTTCAATCATGCACTGAGGTTTGAATTACTTCACAGACTGAACCAAACAAACATGGGCTCCATTGAAGAGTGTCTGGCATTTGTTTCAACCACAAGAGAACTTTCCCCAGCTCTCCCTCGTCCTCGGTTCTCTCCTGCAAGCCAGCAGCCCTGCAGTGTAGCCTGCATCTCCCATGCATCCACCCGTCTCCTTCCAAGGGCTTTCCACCACACCATCCACTGTTTTTGAGAGCACTGGCAGGCTTTCAATTTGTCCACATTCTGCTGTTACTGAAGTTAGGATTTTTAGGACTAATTAAGGATCATATTTTATGACTGAATTCCATTGCCCCCTCTCTCCTGGGACAGAGCTCCTAAACAAGGTTCTGCAGGTGTAGAAAAAGTTGAGCTGTTTTATTCCTCAGCCTAGGAGCTGAGCTCTCAGTGGAGGGTCGGGCAGGAGCTTCCCACCTTCTCAGCACTTCGGTTATTGTGGGGTGGAACCTCTGCCATAGGACAGAGCTAGAAACCAGAGACCCAGTGTTCCCAGTGGCACTGGACCCGGGACAGAGCCTCCATCCATGAGTGGGGCTCCATGGAAGAAGTGAGTCTCTGGCTCTCAGTAGCTCTTGTTCAGCACTGAACCTCAGCATCATGTGCTGTGTGCAGGGTCAGAGGGCCAACGTACTGGGTCCTGGGGAAGAGTTTCCTCTGGTGGGAGTTGGTAGAAGGTGACCTGTCTTCTTGGCTGCATCTGTCCGCAGTGGAGTTTACATCATGCTGAGCTGGGATGTGGAAGGAAGGAAGAGCATCTTAGATCAAGTATGATGACTGGCCTTACCGAGTTTTCTAGATTTTCTTGAATAAATATTTCTTCACTTGCTTTATGTTGTTAGAGCCTTTCCAAACCCTGTAATTTTTCAAAATAATTTTCACTGGTCTCATGAGGGCCTGGATTCACTGAAACCCTCATGCTGTCAAAGAGAAATAGAATTTTTTTTCACTTTTTAGAGAACACCCATGCGTTATAAAATAATGGGTTGACTTTTCATCCAACACTTTACAGATACCATCAACTTTCCTCTTGCTTGTAAGGTTTTAACCAGAAGAATGCTGTCATCATCTTTTCTGTTCTTTTGGAAGGAATGCCCCCTCTGCTCACCTCCACTTGCCTGCGTATATTTCTATTTGTCTTTCCTTTTCAGCAGTTTTAATAAGATTTACCTAAATGTGTGTGGGGGGGATCAGTGGGTGTAATTCTGCTGTTCTCTGTTCTCTGAGATGCATGGATTCACGGTTTACTCTGTCTCCATTTTGGGGAACACAATTAGAAAAAATGTCAGTATGAGCCCAGAAACAAGCCTCCCTGAAGAGGGAACAGGACCAGCTGGGGGCACTCAGGACCCACTGAGCACAAAAGCCAGCCTCAGGGCAGGTGCAGAGGGAGGCTAAGGTCTGGTTTCCTGTCAGCCCTGTGGCTTCCTCTCCATGAAACAGTTTCCTCTGGGGCACTTCTCTGGATTCCTTATCCTGTTCTTCCTGAAGAAGAAACATTTGTGGTGACAAGAGAAAAATTTTCTCACATGCACCAAAGGCAGAGTCACCTACAATCACTCCTGTTTCTCAATGTGAATAAATTATCAATGCTTCTGAATTCAATCAGCTAAATCTATAAAAGGTGTGGTGTTTAACTCAACACTGCAGCCCAGCTCAACAGAACTCCAAGGGTCAGTGAGCAGCAGGCAGGATAAAGTGCATGCTGGGCACTGGGGCAGAGGGAGTTAGCATCCAGTGCAAAACAAGAAAGGCCCCGTGGTGGTCACTGTCAGGACTCCAAACCCATAGTTCCAATTGTAGGTGACCCCATGCAAAAGAAGAGAGAGCCCGCCAATTGTTAGTGTGGATGTCAGGTCTGATAGTGCCACACTCACACCTCAGGTGGTTATGAAAAGATTTACCAACTCTATTATTGTCTGCTGAGAGCAGCACAGGCCTCTCAAGAAATTCCAAACTGGAATTTCTTCAATGGAACAGGAAAGGAGGCTGGCTCAGGGCTTTATAATGATTTGGTGGTGGGGTTGGGGGTAGGGGCACGTTTCTACTCAGGAGAAGGAGCTTGTGTGATTTAAACCTCACACTGGCATCAGATAAGGGAGCTTCTACGATTTCTTACTAGATTTCCCATATGTGGGGGACAAGGAAGAAGAAGAATAAACCTTAATTCATCAGCAGTGAGCACCAAAATAGGACCTGACACTTTATTCTCCCTAGCAGTTTAAGAAAATGAGTGAAAAAGAGAGATAAGAGTCCACTATGTGTGAAAAGCAAACAGATCTAAAGACAATAAAAATTTTTATTATGGTAAGCACATAATAAAAAGAAAGAGAAGAAGGAATGAGACAGGCAGGGGTGCTCAATCAATGTCCTGGGTGGGGCCTTTTCATTATCCACAGTGATCAGTTTATTCTGAAGGTCTCAGGTCAGCTTCCTGCTTCAAAATATCACAGGCCCTTATAGGGTATATAAAAATTATTATAGGATATCCACAGTTTGTCATACTTTACTAAAGTAGTCTAATAATTAGATGAAGTTCTGAATTTAATATTCAGTTGTATTAAATATTTAAAAATACCACAATCTACAAATTAGGAAACTGAGACTATATTTTTATCAAGGGTTACAGCCATCCTATACACTGGAAAGCATAGATTTGGTAAAAATGAGAGACAGGCACTCCCAAGAAGAAGGGGTTGGGCAGAAGCTTTATGCTGAACTGTTTGGTTAAACAGACTTAATCAACAGGTTACAGGAGGGGCTATGGATGTTCATGGAGGTTGTCCTGACACACGCATACTGAACAAACACACATGAAGCTTATGAGCCCTGTTCACTCACCAGTGGTGACTTAGCATTTAAATCCATTACAGTCAGGCCCTATGTGCAAATAGCAGAAGCAGAGACACAAAGGCACTCAGGGTGCACATTCTGTAAACGGCCAGAGCCAGGCCATGGTCAGTGGCCTCTGATCAGGAAAAAGATCCTGATAGCAAATGTTCAATCAAAGCTGGGGTTATGGCTTGTGGAACAGGGGGTCAGTTCATCAGGGGATGGGCTGCAATTGTCTTCATAGTGCTTGTCTCAGTGCCAGTGCTTACTGAGCCACTAGAGAAAAGGAATAACCTATTGGCAGTTAAAACATAGTTTATCTTTTAAGTGTAGAAGTGAGTGGCAAAATCCTTGCCTGGCAAGGCCTTAGGTCTTGTTTATAATTTGACATCTTACTGCCACTCTTCTGTCAGTCTTAAGATCTCTATTTTAACATGAGTGTTGGTCACTGCTGTGACTAAACCACAAAGGGGAGTAGGTATAACGAGGCGTGTCTGATCTCTTGTTTAGTCATGGTTGGAAAAAGTTTTTAGATTTTTAGGGGG
Organism: Homo sapiens; assembly: GCF_000001405.40. Classification (NCBI taxonomy): domain Eukaryota; kingdom Metazoa; phylum Chordata; class Mammalia; order Primates; family Hominidae; genus Homo; species Homo sapiens. The sequence goes on from NW_021160017.1 coordinate 2,890,112, forward strand.
TTCCTTAGGCCAAGAGATGGACTATTTAATCAGTGGTGGGTTTTAGGGATTTATTTTTAGGTTACAGTTTATAAATATGAACCCAACTATTGACTTTCTGCAATTTCACTGCTGTGTTGTGGTTAAAAGTACCTGGTAAAATTCCTTCCAAAGTGGTTCAAGAGCAATTTTCTACCCTGATAAATAAAATAAATAAAATATTTTAGCCTAATGACATCCAAACATTACTTCCTTCTGAGCCCCTAAAGGGCAGATTCTAATTCCATCTATAGTAATATCAGTCAAAATATTCACAAATGCATTCTTCTAAATGCCTAATATTTTTACCTAAATAAGGTATCACCAAAAACGTGATGGGTCAATTTATTGAGTTTTAGATAATAGAATATCTCCCCCTAAAAATTGGACAGGGCAATGGTGTACTTGTGGATACACTGCTTAAGTTCAAAAAATAAAATCAATGGCAGTTCATTGTCATTTGTTGCTAAAAGAATGTGAAAATAACATGAAGGAAAATTTTTAAAGGAAAAAAGCATTTATAGTTCAATTGCTCTAATGTATCTATTTTTGTTAATATGTCTGTTTCATGTGATTTAATGTTGAACTTGCTCCCATTTATAGCAAGTTTTCATAATTATCATTCTTAGAAAGCATAATATTTTATTGAACTAACATGCCATGAATTGTGAATTTTTATGTGGGGAGATGAACATTGTCCTAGACGAAGGGCCTTCTTTCCAAGAAGCTAAGAGCTGACTAGCAAAAGGGAATTTTCAGAAGGGATATTAGGAGAAAAATGAATGCCTCTACTACACAAGAATGACTTCTCACAGAATTTGTACTGTGGCATTCTGGGGTAAGGTTACTGAACACTCCAACACCTTCCTTCCTTCTACCACCAATTTTTTTGATGAACATTACAGTTATCCCATTTTTTGTTATAAAATAATATCTCAATAAAATCTCCATAAAGATTTGCCTTGATAATATTTTGCAAACCTGAATTAGGACTCATCATCTAATCTGAAACAGACTGTCCCAGAAAATACAGAATATAAGAATATGATGTATGTGCAACAATTTTCCTTTCAGATTTTTTGTCTTATAACAGTTTATTGGGAAAGAGATCATTATTCAGTTCAAAAGGTAGGAATGCATTTGTGAATTGGGGCCTGGACATTCCAGGTAGAACAATTATTTGCTCCTTTGATGTAAGACAGTATCAAGCTTTTAGTCAATCTTATTAGAACTCTGCCATATCTCTCACTTGTATAGCCGCTGAGGATCTTTCCTGTTTCCATACTCCTTTCCAGGGTATATGACTTTTAAGTTACCTGAGTTCTGATCAGCAAATGGACTCAGGAAGAACAGGTAGTCAAGGCAGGCAATATTTCCACCACAGTTTCAGAACTCCCTACTTTGTGGTACTAAGTTAATACATTTGTGCAGCCACTACCTTTTCAAAGGTTTCTTCTTACAACCTCAAATACTATGACTGGTTCACAACCTTTTCCATAGTGCTAAATTATTTGACCAAACACCGCATATATACCATATTTTTTCAAATCCAAACTGTATCCCAAAGAGAGAGAAGGAGAGAGAAAGAATAGCAGTAAAAATACAGTGTTATTTCAGGTTGATATTTAAAAACAATTGTGCTGGTTAATGGTTTCCTCGGGGGAAATGACAATTGAAAGTCGGTATTTTCTACTTTCAAATACAAGTCATGGTGTTTATTCGCTGCCTTTACAACTGAATAGATGGAATTCGCTGAACAAACTTTGATTCTACCCTCAATTACAACTAATTCCCTCACAAAGCAAAATTTATTTCACAACTAAACATTATGTACATTCAAGATTACTAGAAAACTTAGGACATAAGGTGCAAGTGCGACAATATTAGGAGAAAAGAAAGAGTGTGTATCAGTTTAACAGGTTTTCACATGCAAATTCACCACCACAGGGTTCGCTGTCTTGGCAACATTGAAAATAATAATAATTAACGTTTTAAGACACCTATTTTGTGTCAGGCAATGTTCCAAGTCTTTTCTATGTATTATTTTATTTCCTACTTATGAAACCCAAAGAAATTGGGTTGGTATTATTGTATCTCTAATTTTTGAAGAGTGAAACAGGCAGAAAAGGTAACTTGCCTAGTTGGAGATGGCATCTGATCTCAGGCAGGCTAACAATGGAGCCCACAGTTTTTACTACTATTAGGGGAAAAGACCAACACTATCGAATGAAATAGATTGGATCAAATCTAAGTCACTGATTGTGTGAGCTTATGCAAATTATTTGACCTTTCTGCCTAGATTTGTTTAGACTATAAAATAGAACTAATGATAATACTTTTGTCAGACAGTGGATTTGATGATTAAATGCGGTAAATCAAGGTAGGATCTTACACATAGTATTTATGGAATCTATTTCAGTTAATATTATTAATGTCTTTCATTTGTAGGGCTCTTCAGCATTTCCCAAACACTTTTCTATAGTTGTTCAGTTCATCCTCACAAATTCTGTCATCACACAGTTAAGGTAGACATTCCCATACTCATTTCACTGATGAGATTCAAAGAAATCAAGTATACTGTCCAAGGTCACCCATAGTAAGTGAAGGAACCAGTTCTTCTGACTTCAAGTTCAGTAAGAATTCTGCTGTACCATACATCCTATTCTGGGAAATGTGGCTAAGTCCTGTGTAGCTAACTTCAGAACTACATGGCCATGCAAGCCAAAGAGCTGGATTTACCCCAGAAATGAATACTGTAGAGAAGAAATGAGTGAAGTAGAAGAACTAAGGGATTTCTTTCCAGTAGTTTTAAGGTAATAACTAGTCAAATTATACAAATATTTATGTAAAACGTATTTCACGTGCAAAATATGTCACTGAGTGAAAATGGCAGATCATGAAACAATAGTATTATATAATCTTACACAAACATGAAGTCATGGGATTATGGGTAATTAAGATTCGTTGTTTCCTCTTTTATGCTAATATTTATTTCCTAATTTTTCCATGACAAATATGCATTTTTTGTTCAATTTACAAACAACATGGAGTTAACAAAAAATTAGTGTTTACAAATGGATGCATAATTTAAAGCAATGCTTTTAGACACACCACTTACCCACACTTCCCCTCCACTTTGTGTGTAAGGGAAAGGATAATGCTACTGTCTTTGGTAAGCTTTTACCATGTCTTTACAGAGCTTCTCAAGTACTTTTCCATGTGGGGTCACTTTGTGGAGAGGAGTTAATTTGGCACCCTAGTCCTTCTATTTCACTCAGAACCAGCTTTTTCTGCAAAGGAAAGAGTGGTCCTTGATAGCAAACCCTGGCCTTGTGGTTTTCATTCTAGATGCTTCGAACAACAACAACAACAAAAACAAAAGACAGAGACAGAGAGAATGGAGGAACATGTCATACAATCAAATGAACCTTCCCAATCAAGAACTTTACCTGGGAACCTCCCATCTACACTTGTACACATCTCTCCCCCCAAGCTCCCTGCTTACTACTAATACAAGAACCAACTTTAATTAAAAGAGGGTTTGAATTGTTATGTTTTTGATACCTACCTTTTTTTTATTATACTTTGTTTTAGGGTACATGTGCACAACCTGCAGGTGTGTTCCATATGTATACATGTGCCATGTTGGTGTGCTGCACCCATTAACTTGTCATTTAGCATTAGGTATATCTCCTAATGCTATCCCTCCCCACTCCCCCCACCCCACAACAGGCCCCGGTGTGTGATGTTCCCCTTCCTGTGTCCATGTGTTCTCATTGTTCAATTCCCACCTATGAGTGAGAACATGCGGTGTTTGGTTTTTTGTCCTTGCGATAGTTTGCTGAGAATGATGGTTTCCAGCTTCATCCATGTCTCTACAAAGGACATGAACTCATCATTTTTTATGGCTGCATAGTATTCCATGGTGTATATGTGCCACATGAACTCAAACAAATTTACAAGAAAAAAACTAACAACCCCATCAAAAAGTGGGCAAAGGATATGAACAGACACTTCTCAAAAGAAGACATTTATGCAGCCAAAAGAAACATGAAAACATGCTCATCATCACTGGCCATCAGAGAAATGCAAATCAAAGCCACAATGAGATACCATCTCACACCAGTTAGAATGGCGATCATTAAAAAGTCAGGAAACAACAGGTGCTGGAGAGGATGTGGAGAAATGGGAACACTTTTACACTGTTGGTGGGACTGTAAACTAGTTGAATCATTGTGGAAGTCAGTGTGGCGATTCCTCAGGGATCTAGAACTAGAATTACCATTTGACCCAGCCATCGCATTACTGGTTATATACTCAAAGGATTATAAATCATGCTGCTATAAAGACACATGCACATGTATGTTTACTGCAGCACTATTCACAATAGCAAAGACTTGGAACCAACCCAAATGGCCAATAATTATAGACTGGATTAAGAAAATGTGGCACATGTACACCATGGATACCTACGTTTTATTTATCTGTGTTTATTATAAGAACATATTTTAAACGTTTATCTCTTCCGAGTTTTTATTATGAGCAAACTGGGCACTCATCTCTTTTAAAGAACATAAGCCATTTATCTATCAAAAGTATATACTACTAGTCATCTTAATAAAAACAGAACCATTTTTAAAAGATAATAATTCAACTATGGCCAAAGAAGCAAAGTATCTATGGTTGGAATAAATAATTATTACTTTTTATTAAGTAGTTCAATTACTCCACATTTTACTTAAGTGTTGGAAACTCAAGATCTATCCAGGGACTCAAATTTGCTGCACATAGTAGACTTAGATTCAGCTGCATATAATAGAAACTCAAGCTACAGTAATTTATGCAACATAAAGGTTTAGTTTTCTTCTCTCATGCGTGCTTCTAAAGATAATCAGTCCACTGCAGTCCAGAGGTGGGCAGTGCCAAGATATCATCAGGGACCTAGGCTTCCCTGCCTTTTTGACAAATCTTTTGTAGTATGTGTTTCTTTCCTTAAGTTCACCTTATTACCTGAAGATGGCTGCTGAAGTGTCAGACAGCGGCAAAACTATATTCCGTTTATATATCGGAACATAAGCATGTCAAATGATAATCATCATAAACAGAAGAGACTGCAACATCTAATTTTTTAAACTGGGCACATTCTCAAATTGAATAAAATTGAGGTTGTATTAGTTAGGAAGATAATAAAATTGGGTGTTAAATATGTAGCTAACAAACTTTGCCACACATGTATTGGGTATAAAATTAAGAAAATGGACATAAGTGATAGAAGTTTAGAAGTAGCCCCTCTTCTCAAAAGCCTCACTCTAGGAGGTTGATACACCTCTTAAGCAAAACTTTATACCCAAATGAACTGCAAAAGAGACAGAGTTGGTGGATAGAAAAGTTTTTAAAAAACAAAAATGTTGATAAGCCAAAAAAAAAAAAAAAGACACTACAAAAACTCTTGCAAATGTGTATGGAAAAAAATAAATTTAAATTTATTTCCCCTATTCTCCACAGAACAAAAGGCCCACATACGGTGCTTGAAAAATAAATGCTTGGAATGGTGCTGGGAAAACTGGCTAGCCATATGTAGAAAGCTGAAACTGGATCCCTTCCTTACACCTTATACAAAAATCAATTCAAGATGGATTAAAGACTTAAACGTTAGACCTAAAACCATAAAAACCCTAGAAGAAAACCTAGGCATTACCATTCAGGACATAGGCATGGGCAAGGACTTCATGTCTAAAACACCAAAAGCAATGGCAACAAAAGACAAAATTGACAAATGGGATCTAATTAAACTAAAGAGCTTCTGCTCAGCAAAAGAAACTACCATCAGAGTGAACAGGCAACATACAAAATGGGAGAAAATTTTCACAATCTACTCATCTGACAAAGGGCTAATATCCAGAATCTACAATGAACTCAAACAAATTTACAAGAAAAAAACTAACAACCCCATCAAAAAGTGGGTGAAGGACATGAATAGACACTTCTCAAAAGAAGACATTTATGCAGCCAAAAAACACATGAAAAAATGCTCACCATCACTGGCCATCAGAGAAATGCAAATCAAAACCACAATGAGATACCATCTCATACCAGTTAGAATGGCAATCATTAAAAAGTCAGGAAACAACAGGTGCTGGAGAGGATATGGAGAAATAGGAACATTTTTACACTGTTGGTGGGACTGTAAACTAATTCAACCATTGTGGAAGTCAGTGTGGCGATTCCTCAGGGATCTAGAACTAGAAATACCATTTGACCCAGCCATCCCATTACCGGGTATATACCCAAAGGACTATAAATCATGCTGCTATAAAGACACACACACACGTATGTTTATTGCGGCATTATTCACAATAGCAAAGACTTGGAACCAACCCAAATGTCCAACAATGATAGACTGGATTAAGAAAATGTGGCACATATACACCATGGAATACTATGCAGCCATAAAAAATGATGAGTTCATGTCCTTTGTAGGGACATGGATGAAATTGGAAATCATCATTCTCAGTAAACTATCGCAAGAACAAAAAACCAAACACCACATATTTTCACTCATAGGTGAGAACAATGAGAACAAATGGACACAGGAAGGGGAACATCACACTCGGGGGACTGTTGTGGGTTGGGGGAGCGGGGAGGGATAGCATTGGGAGATATACCTAATGCTAGATGACGAGTTAGTGGGTGCAGCGCACCAGCATGGCACATGTATACATATGTAACTAACCTGCACATTGTGCACATGTACCCTAAAACTTAAAGTACAGTAATAATAAATAAATAAATAAATAAATACGCCAAAAAAATAAAATAAAATAAATGCTTGGAACAAGAGATGAGAAAACTATTTTAATGTCTCCAAAGGCAAACTTATGTCATTGTTATTGCAAGAACAGAACAGAAGCAGAAAAAATATTCAAAAGGGCTTCAGTCAAGTCAAACAAAATATGAATTAGAGTATGGGGACTTTTCTCTCTTTGGGAGATTAAATTACCAAAACCCTGTTCTGGCTTTGATTTTTTGACTTCCTTCCCAAAAGTTTCCCATTGGCCTGTGTCCTCTGGAAAACAAGATCCGACCATTCAGATAAACATCCATCTTTCCTCTTCTCCCTCTATTCCGTAATCCCAACTTCAGTAGGAAGGTCATGTTCCTTCAGCAAGACTGTGGGTCCCTCTTCAATTGTACTGCCATAAAGGGAGCACTGGGATGGGGAGGTAGAAATGGAGAGATGATGGGGTGCTCTTACTGCAAGGAAAAAAACTCTCCTGGAAAATGGAGATGGAACTTGTTCTTTCAGAGATAGGAGGATATTATACAAAGTTAGTGGGAACTGAAATCCCCAAATCAGACTGAAAAAGGGGAAATCAAAAATAGAAAAGGTAACTGGGAGGGGAAAGGGAGAGAATATGATGCAATTTGGGGAGATGTTAAGAGGTTAACAAAGCACTCTCCTTCTTCCCTAGAAATTCCCACCTGACAGTTAATAACAAGGGAGTCACACCTGTGTGTGACAGAGGGCAGCCAATGGCCATTGTGGAGGAAAGAATCACCGAAAAAAAGGCTTTACTCTTGCTGCACGATAAAGTGGAAAAAAAAAATCCTTCCTGAGAAATTTCAACCTTGTCTCTGCTGACTTCCATTTTCTCTGCTCAGAGGTAAACAGCCGCTAGATAAGCCTTGTGGACAAGGTGGAAGAGCAAGTAAGTAGAAACTGACAGGGCAGAAAGCAGAAATGAAGAATCTCTCACACAGAGAGACTCTGCCCCTCTCCAAGGGAAGCCAGAGGCTTGAAGCCAGGCAGGCATTAGGTGGCATTTAAGAGGAATCTGTGTGTTAAGACTTGCCACAATTTAACTGCTCAAGTAAGGAGCTGTCATTTGTGGATAATGTAAGTATGCTTCAGGTGATACTATCAAACTTGATTTCCTGAAAGCAAAGGACCACTGCATAGCTCAGAATTCTATATTCCTAGGATCTCTACCTCAAAACCATTGCGTCTTCTTGGTCTGAGATTTACCCCAGCCTCTGAAATCTCCCTGAATACTAGAACAGAGAGGGAAGCCCAAGAATAACAGGGCATGCTATTTGACACAGTCAGGGCTCAAGAAACAGACTTTGAAAAATGTGAGGAAATAGCCATGGAAATAGGATGATGGAGCACCAAATGTATTGAATGATATCCACAATGAGGTGGATGGCTTTGCAAGGTTGAGTCATCTAGATGATTCATTCCCAGGACCTTCTTCTCAGGCCTCCTCTGAACTTTTCACTGAAATCTGAGGCATGTACACTACTCATGCTCCAGCTCCCTTTGAAGAGACATTATTACTCAAGGAAAGGCAGCTTCTGTGCTTCCAGAGCCAGCTTTCTGTGGTCACCCAGCAATGTTATCTCAAGAGAAAGACACAGAAATCCATGTCCTTTGATAGAAAATCCTCCTTTGCTCAAGGGCATGAGTTACTGAATAAGTCCAAGGAGGGTGACACTTTTCATTCTTGTTTGATGTCTGTCATTCTCAGAGCACCAGCCTGATCTGCCTCTTTCCATCTTTTCAGGGACCCAGACAGGGGACACATGATTATTGCTGATTTCATAATAGGCAACTGGAGGCTTTACCATGAAAGATGAATAAGTAAACAGTGCAACTTGGAGGTAGGGCTGGCCACCTACCACTTGGTGGCCAACGCAGGGACTGCTCACCTCCTGCTGCTGTTTCTGGAGCCTGTTGATCAGCAGCAGCTGCACAGCTACCACCGTTTTACCCGGTAGCTTCAGAAGGAGGACTATTTTGATTTACCCCAAGGTGAGGTTGAGTGGGATGCCTTCTGTGAGTGACTTTGGAGAAGGCTAAGGAAAGCCAGATGAGAAAGAGAGGATTAGAAGCTGTGAGAGGTTTAACCAGGCAGAAATCTCTCCCAGCAGGGGCCTGGATTGCCATCACATCACTGAAAGGAGGGCTCACAAAAGTGGTCTGCAGGCAGTGCTTACTCCAAGCCCGCTTTTTACACTGAAAATGATAGTTGAAGACAACATATTTGAAAGCACCTGCAAACAAAGTTCTTTCAAAAAACAGTTCTGATACCCTGCTAGTCCTCTCACACAAGGCATTCCCTTAAAAAAGAATATGCAAAAATGGGTTGGAGAATGCTATGTGCATTTTTCAAAATGAATTCCTTCTGCCTCCACTGAAAGCAATGTGTTCACTTGTTTGATAAAAAGCTACTTTATTCCAGAGGAATGAGGCAAGAATCAATGAGCTACTTGTCAGTGTTCTAAAGCTAAATTGCAAATTCAGAGTTTCTCTAATTCATGAGGTTCTCACAATAGTAGTATTGCATGAGTGAGAACAATAGTTGTGATCCTGTATTACATATGAGGAATCCAAGCACATAAAGGTTAGGTGACTTACCACTGTGGCACAGCAAACTGGATCTGGTGCTCATCCTCTGAGTCACAGTCCAGGGCTCTGTACTCTCTACTGTCTTCCGCTTACCTCCAACTGATGACAGCTTACCTTGCTATGGAGTTAAATGGGCAAAAACGAGGTAAACATCTTAAAAATACACACACGTTATCTATTTCTGAGAATATTTTCACAAATTTACAGAGATTTTGCATAAAATTATAAGTGCCCCCAGACAGAAGGATAAAGTACATTGATAAAAATGGACTATAATGTCCTCATTAAGAATCATGTTTCAAAGAACACGTAATGCTATGGGGAAAGACACATGATATATTAAACAAAAGTATTAACAAAACTGCATGCACTACGATTCCAATTTTGAAAATAATTACATAGATATCTAATATACGAAATACAGAGAAACAGAGGAGGCTAGAAATGGTCTTAGAAATGGTATTGTGGATGATTTAAACTTCCTATACTTTCCTGTGTTATTATTTTTTTCTAAAATAAGCACATGTTGTTTTCATAATATTAAAATAAATTCTCTTTTGTAATTGGAAACCTTAGTGTAGACTAATTAGTTTAATTCTCTACTTTTTGTTGGCATGACATGAGCTTGAGAGAAAGTATAAATGTCTAAATCTGGAAAAACACAGCAAAAAAAAAAAAGGTAAAAAGTCACTGCAAACAATTTCAGAGACCATCTGTTAGACAAATGGGCCAAAGAGGGCTTCTTTATATAGCCCCCTAGGGTGTTTACTTCTTTACAGTAAGCTGAATCCTGTTAACTCAAATGCCATAGATAAGATAAATTCTGGGGCTGTAAAGACCCCAAGTTGCTGCTGTACTTTGGAGCTCTCTGACACAGAGTCCACACTGGGCTACTCAGCAACATCACCTAGACAAGCAAATCTCTCTCTTATCGCCCTCTCCCCTGAGCGCTCTCTAGTCCTCCTCCCCTTCTGGATAGAGGCCTGATGCCATAGCCTCTGAAAGGTAATGCATTGAGGGACTATCCCTGCATGAAAAGCTATCTAAGCAGCTCCCCCAGGAAAACTGCCACCTCAGGGTCAGCTCCTCAAGTTTTGGCTCAGAAAGTGAAAGACTTCCACACACATTGCTTCAGGGAAAAAAAAAAAATTAGCAATTTCTTCCTTAATAGAGTTGGAGTACTTGTAGTCCTGTGGCATAACCCTGGGGCTTTGCTGACCACAATTCCAGTATTTCATCCCCCCTCCCTTTGTCTGCTGTCAACTAGTGTTCCTTAGAAAATATTATTATTGTTATCAATGTTAATAAAACTTCACGTTCTAATTAGCCTTAATATTTTCCATTACAGTTTTTTATGTTGTTGAAATCAACCTGAATGGTTTTTTTCTTGAAATATCTTAGATCGTATCATGGAATTTCAAGATTGAAAGAAATTTGCATCTGATGCTTAGATACCCTCTCCCACTTTCCCAACCTATATCTGACAAAAGCAACTGATAGAAAGTATTGTTCTTCAGCTCGTTCCATCATTGCATATATTTCTCTGTTAAAAAGTAAGTCTCCATGATGAATTAAAATGTGTCACCCTATAGAATTATAGTAATTCTGTACTTTAGAGATTAAATGGGACAAATTCAATTGCTTTATTAATTACCCTTCATTTGTTTCAAGAAAACTTTTTGTTCTCCAATTTAAATATCCCAATTCCTTCTACTGTTACTCATTTTCCGTACTTCTAAGTCCCCTCTAGTTGTTCTTCGCCAAATTCACTATAGTTTGACAATGTACTTCTTAAGTGAAACTAAAATGACAAATTCATGAAACAAGTGGGCAAATAGTTTAAAGTTAAGTGCCACTAAAACAGATATTGATCCAAAAATCTCAACATAAGTACAGAATCCTTGGGGCTGGCACATGTGCAGAATTGTAGAAAGAAGGGAAGAGATAGATAAGCCTTTGAAGCGTTTTGTAAATTCTTTGCCATAACTGACTTCTGTCTTTATATCCTTGGACTTCATAGAACCCCTTGCTCTTACATTTTCAGTCCTAAATCCAGTATCATCTATTTTGTGGGAAAACATAGCTATGTTAGTATAAAAACATATATCAAGGCTTCCAATTATATTTGATATTCTGATTCAGGCTTAAGGTCAACTGATTATTCAGATTAGACCCAGGCCTCATCATCTTTCCCTTTTTCCCTAAAGGCTGAACCAATTAAGATCTCAGTTAAAGAAACACTTTTTGAGATCTTCCCAAAACTTTCTCACTGTTATCCCTAGATGAGTCCACTTGGAAATGTTGGATGATCCAGAAGGGTCAAAAATAAACCTTGGCACATTTATTTAAAAATGAAGCAGGTGGAGACTGGAGGTCAGCAGTGAAGACTGAGTGTACACACAGCGTGCTCTTAGTCACCACTCCTCCAAGAGGAGCTGTCCAGGGTATGATAGCCATGGCTCAAAATGTGTCTGCTACATACTCTCCTAAAGAGTCAGGTGTAATCGGTGCTTCCTAAATCAGGAAAGACTGCAGTGCCCTTTACATCTGCTTGTAACCACAATATGGTTATTGGGTGGGCTCCAAATAACTGCTGTACTTGATAATGTTACCTTCCAACACTGACCCTTTTAAAGGCCTTCTAAGAAATTTTGGATGTGAGCGCCACTGTGTTCCTCTTTGCTGAACACTTTCTCAAATGGGAGACCAAGGAGGATGAGGTTGACTCATGTATTCCAGCAGACAGAAACCTAACTTTAGATGTCTACTCTCTACATGTTTCTATAATTCTCACACAACAGCTTCAGGTAAGGCACAGCTCAGAATTTTTTCATGTCTTTTCCACTTTCCTTTAACCCTGTGTTGCATTTGGAATCAATCACAATCTTGAAAGACACAGTTCCAAACACCATAATCGAATGTTGAAAATCAAAAGAACAAAATCCTTAAAGTCTAAAATTCCAAAAATCGCCATCCCAAAAGACTGAAATCCTGAAAATTTAATTCTGGAAATAATAGTTTTAAAAATTCTTTAAGATATATTTATTTACATTTTTAAAAGGTATTTATTTGAGTAACATATAAAAACACAAAAATAAAAACACAGCAGAACACTTCAAAGATCACCTTACACAATAAAATAAGCGATAACACACATTTTTGCAAGCATAAACATTCAGGCCTTCTATCAACAGTCACACAAGTATAAGAGTTATAAACAGATGAACTATATTCATGAAGAAATAGGTCAAAAGGTGAAATATGTAAATGCATATCATTGTGGTTGGTAATTGTATGCACCCAGCTCTATAACTGTAGTCTTCTGAAATACCATGATAGACAACATAAGTATTTTCATGATACTGATTAATCACCACCACAACAGTCACCTAAAGAACCAAGATCTCAAGAAATAATGTTTTAAATGTTTCTGTAGTACTGTAAGGTGAATATAGTTAACTATAATTTATTGTGCATTTTTACAAAGCTAGAAGAGAGGATTTTGAATGTTCACAAGACAAAGAAGTGCTAAATGCATGAGGCGATGTGCTAATTACCTTGATTTGATCATCCCGTATTGTCTATGTGTATTGGACTAGTACTCTATATCTCATAAATATAATTATTACATGTCAACTAAAAATAAAAGGAAAAATATATTTTTAAAATGTTAACTCAAAAATCTTAGCTTAATAGTTGTAAAGAAAGTAGACTCTCCCATCAGAGTGAAGTGGGAGGGATCTTGCTTCAGGAAATGAAGCTGCATCAGCATAACAGGACTTTGACCTGAAGTCCTAGCTGCTGGCTGAAGCAGCCACTGAGGAGCCTTTGACAGCAAAATCTGTAAAAAACATTGCGTGATAGGCATACCTAATCGTTAAAGATAAAAACAATACATAGGTACACGAAGACATTCGTTGTATCTCATATTTTCTATAAATGTTCTAAGGAAATGTACTTGTTGCCTAGAGCTCATTTAAGAAACAAGGTTCTCTTCAGTGCAGCATGTGCTGTTTTAGGGACCCTGCCAGTGTCCTTCCAATAGGACCAATGCTCTAAAATCATCACATAAATAAAGTGTGACAAGAGTTTCAGCTTCTTGGTTTCGTACTCCTCCCTCAGACATACTCTACTTTGTACATTTACATTTCTTCTTATCTATCTCAATTCTTCAAGCTTCCTCATTGAAAAATAAGCCCTGGAGAATGAATGGAATATGTAAATAAATGAAACATCCACCAGTAGATTATTGTTAAGAACTGTAGTATGTGTACATGATAGAATGCTTCCCCGTATTAAAGTAAATATTTTTAAAGATTATCCCAAAATATGGGTAAAGACTTAAGATAGGCTATTAAAGTGATAAAAATAGAATAAAAAGTAGAATTCAAAATTAGTCATAATATGATTCGAAGTAGAAAAAATAGGAGTAATGCAGCAAAGTATTAGTAACAATTTGATGTAAATGAACTGTGCCATTAATAATTTTTCTATATTTTTCATATTTGTCCATTTTTTGTTTCATTTTCTAAATAGTTACTTAAATTGTGCAAAATTTTCTCTACAGTATAAATATCTACCAACAACTCAGAGAGAAAATGTCCTACAGTGGCATGTAACTTCAAATGATCCAGACCTTTACATAAGTGCTAAAAAGTGTTAATGGTGTCATTTCTGGGAAGGAGGTGCCCTAGAAGAGGGAAACAGACTGGATTCTCAGGCCTTTAAGGTTGTCTTCTTGAGACAGTCTCAGTGTCCTAACTATCAGCACCGTGTATGGAGCCGAGACCCAATTTGCATATTTCAACAAGCTTAATTTTCTCAACAGTTATGGCTTTCACTTTCCCCCATCTTCTTCCAGCCATCTCTATTTATACACCCAAGAAACTTTCAGATTTTCCTTACTTTCCTCTCATAACACAAACGTGCCTGAGATGTTATCAGGCATATTTATCATTCACATGTCTCTTGAAGGCGTTCAGAAGAAATGAATGGTATCCTTTCTCCTGGAACTGCATCCCACCCTGGAAAGCAAATGCTGTTTACATTACTCTTATAGGATTTTTCCAGACATATGATAAAAGAAAAAACTTCAGCTGAATTAAATTTAAAGGAGTTGAATTGAGCAATGAATGATTCACAAATCAGGCAGCCCCCAGAATCACAGCAGATTCACAGAGGCTCCAGCACAGCCATGTGGTGGTAAATTTATAGACAAACAAAAGGGAAATGACATACAGAAATCAGCAGTGAGTTACAGGAACAGCTGCATTGGTTACAGATTGGCATTTGCCTCATCAGTGTATTAATGATTGAAGTATGGCCACTGAGATTGGCTAAGACTTAGCTATTTGTTGCAGGTGCATACTCGTAAGTTAGGTTTTCAATTTTGTCTGCCTATTAAGCTAGGTTACAGTTCATCCACAAGGATTCAAATATGGAAGTACAAGTCCTTCTCAGGCCATATTTAGTTTGCTTTAACACCTATGAGCTTAATACCGACAAAGTGAACACTATTTCCTCATATCATACAAAACCAAAAGTGTTGAAACTAAATTGTCAGGATCTAATACTCAAATATCATAGTATGATATATTTTCACTTTCCCATGGTGTTCTTTCCCTCCTTTCATATATTCCTTCACTCTTATTTTTTAGCATATTCATTCATCACCCAAAACTTCATCTTATGTGCTAGGTGTTGGGCCAAGGCTTGGAGGAACAAAGTGATGCAAAATACTGATAGACTTTTAAAAATGCTTATTGAGTCAGAGGGGCATGAGATTCTGCATTTCTTTTTATAGATATATATACTTTAGGTTCTGGGATACATGTGCAGAACGTGCAGGTTTGTTACATAGGTATACACGTGCCATGGTGATTTGCTGCACCCATCAACCAATCATCTACATTAGGTATTTCTCCCAATGCTATCCCTCCCCTAGCCCCCCACCCCTGAAAAGCCCCCAGTGTGCAATGTTGCCCTCCATGTGTCCATGTGTTCTCATTGTTCAACTCCCACTGATGAGTGAGCCAACATGCGGTGTTTGGTTTTTTGTTCTTGTGTTAGTTTGCTGAGAATGATGGTTTCCAGCCTCATCTATGTCCCTGAAAAGGACATGAACTCATCCTTTTTTATGGCTGCATAGTATTCCATGGTGTATATGTGCCACATTTTCTGTATTCAGTCTATCATTGATGGGCATTTGGTTTAGTTCCAAGTCTTTGCTATTTTGAACAGTGCTGCAATAAACATACTTGTGCATGTGTCTTTATAGTAGAATGATGTATAATCCTTTGGGTGTATACCCAGTAATGGGATCACTGGGTCAAATGGTATTTCTAGTTCTAGATCCTTGAGGAATCACCACACTGTCTTCCACAATGGTGGAACTAATTTACACTCCCACCAACAGTGTAAAAGCATTCCTATTTCTCCACATCCTCTCCAGCATCTGTTGTTTTCTGACTTTTTAGTGATCACATATGCAGAAAGCTGAAACTGGATCCCTTCCTTACATCTTACACAAAAATTAACTCAAGATAGATTAAAAACTTAAGTGTAAGACCTAAGCCCATACAAACCCTAAAAGAAAACCTAGGCGATGCCATTCAGGACATTGGCATGGGCAAAGACTTCATGACTAAAACACCAAAAGCAATGGCAACAGAAGTCAAAATAGACAAATGGGATCTTATTAAACTAAAGAGCTTCTGCACAGCAAAAGAAACTATCATCAGAGTGAACAGGCAACCTACAGAATGGGAGAAAATTTTTGCAATCTATCCATCTGACAAAGGACTAATATCCAGAATCTACAAAAAACTTAAACAGATTTACAAGAAAAAAACAAACAACCCCATCAAAAAATGGGCAAAGGATGCGAATGGACACTTCTCAAAGAAGACATTTATGCAGCCAACAAACATGAAAAAAAAGCTCGTCGTCACTGGTCATTAGAGAAATGCAAATCAAAACCACAATGAGCTATCATCTCACACCAGTCAGAATGGAGATTCTGCATTTCTAAAAGTCTCCAGCTGACACTGATGTTGCTGGTCAATAGACCATACCTCATGTAGCAATGATCTAGTGATGACCTAGTTAAAATGTCCAAGGAGACAAGTTCCTGAACAAAAAAGCCTCAGAAATATCTCTACCTCACCCACATAATGATGAGAAAAAGTCAGAATTGGGAGTGATTCTTAAAAATCAGTGTTTCTCTCTCAAAGTCAGGTTAAGGAGTAGACATTGCCTGATTTCTATTAAATCCTACTAAGATTCTGCCAGATAGTAGAAAACATTGTAATACAAATTGAAAAACATCTTTGTTCCTGTCATTTATTGATTTATATAACATGTTATTTGTTGAGAACCATGCTGCACTGGGATGTGTGGTACTAATCAGGGATACATGGTGACTTAAACTAGACCTGGAACACTCTTGAGGAGCTTACAATCTAGTATAAATCCTAAACACTGAATAAAATAGCCAGGTAAATAAATGCCAAATTAATCATTCAGTAAGTGTTATAAAGGAAAGGTACATTAAGGCCTAACATGATTCAATGGAGGTGGCGCAGGGAACTCTGTCTCACTCTTCATACCATAAAAGGCTTCTTGAGAAAGGAATGCTTGAGTTGAGACCCTAGAAAAATGAATAACATACTTTAAATAAAGGGAGATGAGGGTGAAAAGTGGATTTCAGGCACAGAGAATAGAATATGACATGATTTCATCTCCCTTTTTGAAACAGTAACTGTGGCCACGGTAGTGAAGAGTTTAGAGAAGGACAAGGGTAAATGTGAAACTAATTATGAGGCAAGTATATTTGTTTTTGTATTTTTGTGTATTTTTGCAAGACAGGATGAATTTTATTCTGTTTTTAAAATAAGTAAATTTATCTTTGTTCTTTGGAAGACCTCTAGTAAAGAATAAATGTCATGACATGTTAATCCTTAAAATTGTTATAGTTGCTCAAAAAAGAAACTCAAGAACTAAAATTGGATCCTATCAACCCAGATAAAACACTGAAAATTATGAAACTTTCACTCAAAATACAGTGATAACTGCAGAAAAGCAGCAACTATTTAATCATGCCCACCAACAATGTGCAGTGTCCTCCATGGGCCAAACACACTCCAGGTGGCGGCCATGGATGGAGGGGAAGAGGACTGGGGTTTTCTATGGGGTGATGGCAGTGTTTTGGAGCTCAAAAGAGGTGGTGGTTGCACAATGTGAATGTGCTGAATGAGGCAAGTATATTTGAAAAAGATGGAGGCAGTCAGTAGAGGTGGTGGTAGAAATTGAAGGAAATGCATATTATTACATATTTGGGAAGTAAAATGTATTTAAAGATTGGAAATGGAGGTGAACGGTTAGAAAGATGGTCAGATACCTTGCCATGGCGCCTCACCCTAATACTTCAGTGCATGCCAGCCTGACTTCCAGCATTCACCCCTGCATTTCCTTACCTGAGGGCTTTCTCTGATCACAGAAGCCGCTTTTGCTGTCCCTGCTGCAGGTTGGGCATGCTGAGGAATCAATGCCGCTAGGAGACAGTCCATAACTAATGACTATCAGAAACTGTTGTACGAATACCCTTTATCTCTCAGCATGTTTCTGAGATGAGTTATCTACACTGGATCTCAGAGTTATTCCAAGTTTAATCCACAGTTATCCATTCTGGTAACTGCTTCATAGTTCACTCTTTATAAGGGTCTTTGCCCCACTTCCCAGTTCTCCTACCAGAGATTCTGATACCTACCAAATGAATCACCTGCAGGTGAATCTTAGTCTCTGGATCTGCTTTCAGGGTAGCACTGTAGTCAGATGAATGGGAATCCATTCTCTCAGAAATGCAAGAAGGGAATGTGGTTTGGGAAAGTTCATTAGATCAATTTTGGAGTTGAGTTTGAGGTGCCCCTGAAACATTCAAGTAAAACTATCATCCAGCAGTCAAATATTAATACCATGTAGCAGTTGTCATCTGGAACTCTGAGGATGCAATTTGTATTAACAATTTGATATACTCATTGGCAAATAAGTAATAACCAAAGCTTTGGAGAAGAAAATGACCTAGACAATAGTATAGCATTGAAAGATGTGAAGGCCTGGAACTCAGCCTCACAGAGCTTCAGAATTTAATGGCCAAATAAAGGAAAAGAAGCCCACAAATCAAATAGAGGAGTTGTAGCCAGAAATGTGGGAGTTTTCTGGGCAATCAGGAGGCAAAGTAGAATAGAGTTGACACTGAAGCCAAAGGAAAAAATGTGTTGGAACAGCAGTGCTGAATTCTGCTGAGAAGAGATACGTCTTGAAAAAAAAATGTCCATAAGACTTAGACACATGAATGTTATTGGTGATTTCTGCAATGGCCATTGCAGGGTTATGATGGGGAAGGAACCATATTTAAATATATTGAATGTGAGGCAGGCATGAAGAAGAGATGAGGCTTTCTTGCTGTGTGTTAAGCATGCCAGCCATCCCCCTGCCTTGTGGCGCCTATACATACCATCTCCTCTGCCTGTAATGCTCTTTTGCTAGATATTTATATTTCTTGCCCCAACACTTCCTTCAAGTCTTTTCTCAAATATCACCTTCTCAGTGAGGCCTTCCCTGACTAGCTATTGAAAATTACACCCAGTGGGGATGGGGAGATATTGGTTAAAGAGTTCAAAGTCTCAGCTAAACAAGATCAATAAGATCTGGAGATGTACTGTATAGCATGGTGACTGTAATTAATAACATATTGTTCAGTTGTCTCTTTATATCTAGGGGAGACTAGTTCCAGCTCACCCTGGAGACAACAAAATCAGCAGATGCTCAACCGCCTCATATAAAATGGTGCAGTATTTGCATATAACTTACACACATCCTTCCATGTAGTTTAAATAATGTCTACATTTCTTATAGTAGCTAAGACAATGTAAATGCTACGTAAATAGTTGTTATACTATATATTTGAATTATTTTTTGTCATATTGTTATTTTTATTTTTTTCTAAATATTTTCCATCTGTGATTGATTGAATCTGCAGATGCAGAACCACAGATACTAAGGGCCAAAAGAATACTTGAAAATTGCTAAGAGAGTTGATCTTAAATGTTCTCACAACAATAAAATGGCAAGCATGTGAGGTGACAGATATGTTAATCAGTTTGATTTAATCATTTTGCAATGTACACATATATCAAAATATCACCTTGTATACCATAAATATGTACAATGTTTTCAAATTAAACCTTAATTAAGCTGAGGGAAAAATGTACACCTGCCACCTGTCACCTCCAACACACACTTCCTATTGACCTGAACCTTCTAATTTTTCTCCATCTTTACTCATCGCCCCCCAAGCATGCCACATAGTTTATTTACCCCGTCTTCCCCCATTACAATATAACTTCCACAAGTCAGGAATTTTTATCCATTTTGTTCACTGCTGTATTCATGAGTATTTATAGTAGTGTCTGGAATGTTAACAATTATTATTGTTGAATTAACTAATCAATTATTAATATTTTAAAAATATAAATAAACATGTATATTACATTTTGCATTTAAATGCCATTAGAGCCCAACTATAAATATAAGTATAGATGGAAGGGGAAACCTTAAATGGTTTTATCCTTATATTCTTTTTGCCAATATGTTTTCCCACATTTCTCTACAATAAACTTCTACACCTTTATAATATTGAGAGTAAATATTTCTTAAGAAAAATTAACCTTAAGAGAGAGCTCAAAAAAACAAATAATTCACAAAAAACTGCTGTGAAGGCTATGCATGGAAAGGGCAGAAGGGAGATGGAGGGATTGCAGAGACCTGTGGGCTGAGTCTGAGCCTCAAGGCTTTTTCAGCATGAAACTCAGCAAAGACAGGTGTTAAAAAGGCCTGCCTCCCACCGCCCCTGCTGTTCACTAAGCTTAGGCAATCAAAGTGTACCAGTGTTTTTTCACTGCCCAGCATATACTGATTTAAGGACTCAACACTCTGACTTGAGAAAACCTAAAACATGAAGTTATCTCAAAGGTGGGTGAGATTCTAAGGAGGCTCAAATATATAGTCCTCAATTAATTCTCACCTCAACTTAGTTACAATCTGATACAACATATTAGGAGACAGGAACAGCACAGTGGTAAAAATCAAACCTCACCTCAAAAGATCATAAATTATTGCTCTCAGATTAGTATTAACTGACACAATATGTGCAGTGAGTATCTTCTCTTCCTCCTCCCGAATTACAGAAGAGAACGTGAAAGACTAGGAGCCATACACATTACCCCAGGGAAAGCAGAGTGAAAGGGCAGTCTGGGTGTCCTTAACTGCACCACTCACAGAGGGGGCCTGTCCCACAACCAGCCAGGTTATTTCAACCTATTCTTACCTGACAAAAAGGATCTGGGGGCCTTGGCTCCACTGTAGGTGGGTAATTTTATTCCAACTGGTTTTGGGTGCTAGTTTTCTGCCTAGTGGTCAAATTCAGAAACCCAATCAGGACCTAGGTCTCCACCTGGAGCTCTTAGGTTAGCTAATCAATGTCTTCTTGGTCCTCAAGGAAGGGTTTATTGTTTTTGTTTGCTTGTTTGATTGGTTGTTTGCCATTGCATTAAAATTCTTTCTTACCCAGCAATTGATGAGTTCAAGGCTATCCTGTCACATTTCGTGATGTGGCCTGAGCCCTCCCAGAGTGTTACTGACTGGGACCAACTACTAACTAAAGTTTAGTGAAGAGAAGACAATGAGCTTGCTGGAACGTCACAGAGGCTTGGTTGCCATGGTAGTGATTGTCAGATGAGATCACAGAGAAGGGTGTAAGAGAAAAGAAAGAAAAACATGCAGGAAAAGCTGAAGCATAATATTATACTAAAATATATATATATTATATATATATATTTTATACATATTTATACTGTCTAAACTTACAGTGGAGTAATGTGTTGAAACTTGAGGGGAAAACTACTTTTTGAGAAAGACTGACTTTCCAGCATCTTCTTAGAGAGATGTGGTTTCATGGAAGAATGGTGTCTGAGCTACATTTTGTCTTATTCTAAAAGTAAAAGGAATGGGACTGATCTGGAAGCACATAGATTCCAGATCAATACTAATACCAGACTATTGTAATGCCAATTTATAAAAGGAAGCTAGGTATCCATTAAAATGACAGAAAATCAACAGGTATTTTTTGTAACAGATCATTGAGTTGGATGTGAAATGGTTTAAAGCTTTAACTATTCCAGGGGCTCCTGCAAAGTGTAAACTTAGTGTTTCCTTGAGTTAGCACTGAAAGGAGAGCAGGATTGAGGGACAAAAGAAGCAATCCAGTCATCTAGTAATATGACTCTGGATGATGTTTGCTCTAAATTGCTCCCAGCATCAGTATGTGGAAGGTGGACAGTGTGTGTGAACTTCAAAGCCCCCGCAGGGCTTCAGTTGGCTTGAATAAAATGTTACTGGTTATCCTGCCACCTTGTGGCTATGGGCCAACATGCCAGGGTGTGGAGGAGGAAGGGAGGAAATTAATGAATCACAGAGTTGCCTGACTGAAGAAGGAAAGCTCAGAAACACATCCTCTTCTCTCTTCCCTATAGATGTCAACTTGCCCATCACTTGATTAGCTAAAAGTGAATAGGGCTTAAAGTTCAGTCCTTGAGTGAGATTTTGCTTATATAGCCCTCCTAGGACTTTTGTCCTATCAGAGTAGCTTGTTGCACAGTGTGCTCCTTGTGATCAACGGTTAGTTAATCTTGGCTCTCCAAAATCTAAAGTTTAAATCCTTATTCATTAAATCAGACTGTTTATCAAGTATAGTGCTTTACTAACGAGATTATTTCAGAAATAAGCGAACAAAACAATAAGACGTATGCTGTTTGTTTTTTGAGACAGGGTCTTGCTCTGTTTTCCAGGCTAGAGTGCAGTGACACAATCACGGCTCACTGGAGCATTGACCTTGTGGCTCAAGCAATCCTCCTACCTCAGCTTCCCAAGTAGCTGGGACCAAAGGTGTATACCAACACGCCCAGCTAGGTGTTTTTATGTCTGTCTGTTTGTTTGTTTTATTTTGCAGAGATGGAGGTCTCCCCAGGTTGTCCAGGCTGGTCTCAAACTCCTGGGCTCAAGTGAACCTCCCGCCTTGGCTTCTCAAAGTGCTGAGATTATGGGCGTGAGCCACTACACCTGCCCAATATTGTTGATCAGAGTAAAGAAATGACATAAACACCCAGTAACAGTTAGAAGCCATATTCAGATTAGCTATAATTTTCACTAGAACCATCCCAATCTCTTGAAAGATAAAACATCAAATTAAATGTAGCCAAATCTAATTGCTTCACCTCTGATTTTTTTTTAATCACTTGAAAAGGGTAATGGTTCCCTCACATTTTGTATATAAAATCTACTGGCTAGGGGAAGGCTCAGAAACTTGAATGTTAAATAGGATCCCAGGTGATTCTTACACACACTGAAGTATAAAGGTCACTGGACCATTCTAGTGGCCATGGGTCCCCTCTGGTTGGCCTGTAGTTGAAATCTATGGGAACAACTTTCAAACTACCACATCTGAGGAATCAGTGGAGGTTAGGAGGTTACTTTTAGAAGGTGATTGGGAATGTACTCGAATTTGAGATTTGTTAAAGTTCATTATAGTTATCACATATGAAAGAAGCAGCACACATGAGGAAAGGAGAGCTCTGGGGCTCCATGATAATTCAGCATGCCACAAGAGAACACTGAGACACAAATGAAATCACAACAATGATAGATGAGCAAGATAAAAATATTGAAGTAAAGATATAGAAATTTTACAAGAAACAATTAGAAATTCTGGAGCTAAGAATTCTATGACGGAAATAAAAAAAATCACTAGGGGGTGTTCACAAGTAGACTTGATCAAACAGAAGAAGGAATCAGCTAATCCAGACACCAGTCATTTCAAATTATATAGACAAAGGAGCAAAAGAAAAAAGAATAAAAAAGAGCAAATGAACCTACGGACTTAAGGGACATCATAAAGTGAAATAATATACTGATCACAAAAGTTCCAGATGGAGAAGAGAAAAATAAGAAGGAAAGTACAGTGCTGGCTAAAAACTTGCCAAATCTGTAGAAGAAAAAGGACATACAGATACATGAGGCCAAATGGAACTGAAATAAAACAAATTCAAGGGAAGTCCACACAAAGACATATTATAATTATATGTCAAAAGTCAAAAAGAGTGAATTTTGAAGAAGCAAGACAATGCTGAAAGAGAGAAATTCTCAACCAAGAATGCAATTTCTGGAAAAAAATTTTCTTCAAAAATGAAGAATAGATAAAGACTTTCTCAAGCAAAAGCTGAGAGAGACAACTTCATCACCACTAGATTTGTCATAAAATAAATGACAGGTGAGCCCTTTAACTCAAACAAAATAATACTAAATAGCAAAACTAAGCATAACTAAGCATATTAAAATATAAAACTTACTGGAAAAGCTAATTATTTAAACAAATACAAAATTGTGCAACATTGTAATGGTGGTGCACCTTTTTCTAATATGAAAGTCAAAAGACAACAAAGTAGAAATTACTATAACTACAGAAGTATAATAGTAGATATACACATATAAAAGATGTAATTGTGACATCAATAACAAAGTGGGAGAAGTGCATAATTTTTTATGTGATTAAAGTTGAGTTGTTATTAGCTTAGAATAAACTTTGCCTCCATATATATGATGTTTTACATAAGCCCCAAGGTAACCAAAAAAATAAAATACTACAGAAAATATACAAAAGAAAAAGAAAAGGAAATAAATACATATCAATACAAAAATATCAATGAACACAAAAGAAAACAGCAAGAGAAAAAAGAAAGAAGAATTATAACACAGAAAAAATAAAATGAAGTGCCATAGCAAGTCCTTACTTATTAATACAACTTTGTAAATACAGTTGTCCCACAGTATCCATGAAAGATGGGTTTCAAGATCGCCTGTGGATTCCAAAATTTATGGATGCTAAAGTCCTTTATATTAAGTGATATAGTATTTGCATATAACCCATGCACACCATCCCCTATACTTTAAACCATCTCTAGATTACTTATCATATCTAATAGAATGTAAACAGTATATAAATACCT
This sequence comes from Homo sapiens, assembly GCF_000001405.40. NCBI lineage: Eukaryota > Metazoa > Chordata > Mammalia > Primates > Hominidae > Homo > Homo sapiens. The sequence continues at coordinate 2,914,658 of NW_021160017.1, forward strand.
GTTACACCATCTAGTTTGCATTACTTTTATTATTCCATTTTTTATCATTGTTATTTTTATGGGGGTGTGTGATTTTTTTTATGCATGGTTGGTTGACTCTGTGGATGTGGAACCTACATCCAGCTGACTGTAAATGGATTAAAAATTCCCCAGTCAAAAGACAAAGAACGTCCAAATGCATTAAAAAATAAAATCAAACTATAGGCTGTCAACAAGAGACTATAGATTCAAGGATGCCCAAAGGCTGAAAGTGAAGGGAGGGAAAAAAATATTCCATGCAAATCATAACGAAAAGACAGCAGGAGTGGCTAAATTTATACCAGGCCAAATAGACTTTAGGTTAAAAACTGTCACATGAAATAAAAAAGGTCATTATATAATGATAAAAAGGTCAATTATCAGGATGTTAGAACAACTATAAATGTATAGGCACCCAAGATCAGAGTACCTAACTATATATAAGGCAAACATTGACAGATTTGAAGGGAGAAATAGACAGCAATAAAATAACAATGAGACACAACATTACGCCACTTTCAATAATGGGAATGAATCTCTAGCAGAAAACCAGTAGGGAAATAGCAATCTTAAACATCCTATAAAACAAAAGGACCTCATAGACATGTACAGAACTATCCAGTGACAGCAGAATACACATTCTTCTCAAGTGACTATATAACATTTTTCAGGATAGGTCATCTGTTAGGCCACATAACAAGCACAAGTAAATTTAAGAATATAGAAATTATGTAAGTAGGAAAAGTATCTTTTCTATCTATAATGATATAAAACTAAGATCAATAACAAGCAAAACTAGAAAATTCACAAATATGTGGAAATCAATACACTCTTGAAAAACCATTATGTCAAAAAGATATCGAGGGAAATTAGAATGTATCTACCTATAAAAAAAGACCAAAAACGCAAAATAACAAAACTTATGGATGCAGCTAAAGTGGTATTGAGGCAGTATAGCAATAAACATCTACTCTAAACATAAGAAAAATGTCCAAAAACAAACCCACCTTACTTTAAACTTCAAGGAAGTAAAAAGGAACAAATTAAGCCCAAATTTACCAAAGGAATTAAATAACAGAGATTAGAACAGAAATTAAATAAATCAAATACAGAATAGGAAAACAATAGAAATAATCGATGAAATATAAAATAATGTTGGCAAATCTTAGCTAGACTAACCAAGAAAAAATAGAGAAGACTCAAATAAATAAAATCAGAAATGAAAGAAGAAACAATACAACTCATGCCATAAAAATACAAATGATCATAAGGGATTACTATAAACAATTATTTGACAATAAATTGGAAGGCCAAGAAGAAATGATAAATTTCTGGAAATGTACACCCTCCTATGACTGAATCATGAAGAAACCGAAAATTTAAACAGACCAATAGTGAATAAGAAGATTGAATCACCAATAAAAAACTGATTAAAAACCTCTCAGCAAAGAAGCTCAGGAAGAGATGGCTTTGTTAATAAATGCCACCAAACATTTTTTAAAAATACCAGTTCTTTATATACTCTTCCAAATTATTGAAGAAAAACCACATTTCCAAACTCATTAAATGAGGCTAGTATTTCTGTGATATCAAAGCCAAAGACTTTATAAGATAAGAAAATTACAGGTCAATATTCTTGATGAATAAAGATGCAAAAATTCTCAACAAACTTAAATACTCACAAACAGAATTCAACAGCACATTAAAAGTATCACACCTCATGATCAAGAGAGATTTATCCTTGAGATGCAGGGATGATTCAACATATGCAAATCAATAAATGTAGTACACCACATTAACAAAAATACTAAAAACATATAATCTCCATAGATTCAGAAAAAGCATTTGGGGCCGGGTGCAGTGGTTCACGCCTGTAATCTCAGCACTTTGGGAGGCCAAAGTGGGCAGATCACGATGTCAAGAGATCGAGACCATCCTGGCCAACATGGTGAAACGCCATGTCTAATAAAAATACAAAAATTGGCTGGGTGTGGTGGTGTGCACCTGTAACCCCAGCTACTCAGGAGGCTAAGGCAAGAGAATTGCTTGAACCTGGGAGGTGGAGGATGCAGTGAGCGGAGATTGCACCACTGCACTCCAGCCTCGTGACAGAGTGAGACTCCATCTCAAAAATAAATAAATAAGAAAAAGAAAAAGCATTTGGAAGTGGCTGGAACAAAATGGTGGAATAGAAGGCTCCATCAATTGTCCTCCCACAGGAACACCAAATGTACCAACTGTCTACACAAACACAGCACCTTCATAAGAACCAAAAATAATATGAGCACTCACAATACCTGGTTTTATCTCCGTATCATTGAAAGAGGCACTAAAGAGAGTCAGAAAGAGAGCCGTGAATTGTTGATGCCAACTCTCCCTCATCCCCACTACAGCAGCCACATGGCACAGAGAAATGTGTGTTTGGGAGAGGGAAAGTGCAGCAATCATGAGACTTTGCATTGAACTCAGTGCTGCCCTATCACAGTGGAAAGCAAAACTGTGCTGAACTCAGCTGACACAGACCCACAGAGGGAGCCTTTAGACAAGGTCCAGCCAGAGGGCAATTTGCCCACTCCAGCAGATGGAGCTTGAGTTCTGGCAAGCCTTGCCGCCATGAGCTGGAGTACTCTAGGGTCCTAAATAAATTTGACAGGCAGTCTAGGCCACAAGGACAGCAAGTCCTGGTGCTGAGCTGGGCTTGGAGCCAATGGACTTGGGAACACATGACTTACTGAAACAACAGCTGGGGCAGCTAAGAGAGTCCTTGCCCACACCTCCCCTAACCCCAGCAGCACAGCTCGTGGCTCCAAAAGAGATCCTTTACTTCTGCTTGAATAAAAGAAAGCGAAGAGTAAAGATGATGTTTGTCTTGCATCTTAGATCCCAGCTCATTACAGTAAGAAAGAATATTGGTCCGTCATGAGGCACCATTCCAGGCCCTAGCTCCGAGATGACATTTCTAGACACACCCTGGGCTAGAAGGGAACCTGCTGCCTTGAAGGAAAGAACCAGTCCTGGCAAGACCCATCACCTATTGACTAAAGAGCCCTTGGGCCCTGAATAATGAGAAGCAACACCCAAATAGTATGCCATATGCCTTGGGTGAGACTCGAGACATACTAGCTTCAGGTGAGACCTAGCACATTCCCAGCTGTGGTGACTACAGTGACAGACTCCTTCTGCTTGAGAGAAGCAAAGAGAAAGGTCAAGGGGACTTTGTCTTGTACCTTAAGTACCAGCACAGTCAAATGGGCATAGTGCATCAAGGGGGCTCTTGAGGTTCCCTATTCTAGCCCATGGCTCTTTTATGGCATTTCTGGAGCTTCTCTGGGCCAGAGGGGAGCCCATGTCCATGAAAGGTGATTCCCAGGCATAGCAGCATTCACCACAAGCTGACTGAAGAGCCTGTGGGCCTTAAGTACACACAGGTGGGAGTGTGGCAGTTACTCACCATAGGCCTGTGATGGTGGTGGCCACAGGGTCATTCTCCTCTGCCTGTGGAAAGAAGAGGGAAGAGTGGGAAGGGCTGTGTCTTGTGGCTTGAGGGCCAGCTCAGTTGCAGTATAATAGAATACCAGGTAGACGTCTAAGGTTTTTGACTCCAGTCCCTGGGTACCAGACAACACCTCTAGACCTACCTGGGGCCTGGAGGACTCGCTGCATGGAAGGGAAGGACACAAACCTGGCCTCAGGTGATGTATCTAATGTAAACTACATAATCTATAAGAAATATGTAAATAATATTTTCCTATGATATATAACCTCAGTTCCTAACACAGATGTCCAGAGGCAAATCTTTCAAATTCACAAGCAAAAATTAGATAGAAGCAAGTTACATGTGAACAAATGGAATCAGATGCAATGAGAGAAAACAGCTAGCACATTATATACATAGCTGAAAGCTGGACAGAATAAAAACTTGAATTTTAGATTCAATGTATTTAGAAGCACAATAGAATTCAAATGGTACATTTAAACATGTGAGAGTGTTTTTCTACTCTAAAACTGGAAAGGAGAGGGGAGGAGGATTTAATGAGATAATGAACATTATGTAACTGTCACAATAAACATTTAATACATGACAGTGGTTGTTGTTATGCTTACTATCTTAGAAGTCAAATGTTCTTTAAAGAAAGTGTCCAAAAGTAGATTTATGCCATAAATGATGCCAAGAATTAGGGCAAAGGGCAGGTCAAAGGTGAATAGGGGATATGATGTAGCAATTGTCAGCTTTGGTTAGTAACCTGGTTAATGTCCTCCTTTATTATAAATAGGGATCTAATTCAAAGGAAGGAACAGTATAATACATACACAATATACTTTTGCAACCATCTGAGCTGACAAAAAAAGCAGGGTCCCACAATAGCAGAGGCTTATGAGAAAAAGTCTGAACTGAATATATGAACACCTAAGTTTTAGGCCTCTTTCTTCTAACAGCCAACATAACTTTGGATCATTCTAACCTCTCTGGTCTCAGTTTCTGTGATACGAGGAAATTGAGCTTAATAAGACTAGAGGTCCTTTCTGACACTAACATTCTACACTGGTGTATTCCTCTCACATTTTTAAAGTTAAATTTATGGTTTATTTTTTAATATAAGATAATTCATCACCAGTATAGTAACAAGATGAGAAGGCATCTGAGCTAAGGAAATAGATGTTTTTCCATCTGCCTCTTGCTGTTTTTCTATCATAGAGCAAGATCTTCCTAGTAAAGGGTTGAAGGCAACTTTTCTGTGTCAAATTAGCTGTTGCTCAGCAAATAGAAGTTAAATGCCACTATACGGAGCAAACAAACACGTGCTAGCATGAAATCTGTGGCAGCATCCTCAGTACCCTACTTCAGTCAACAGAACTATCCAGGACAGATCTCCTAAAAACATAATTTATTGACAACATAATGAGGTTCTCTTTTTGTACTGACCTAATTCAATTTTAGATTATGTTTAAACTGATTTTTCTTAGAATTTTTCAAAATACAATACAAAATTTTCTAATAGGGAGAAATTATATGTATAAATATTTGAATATGTGTATTACAAAACATTACATCAAAGCAGAATTAATTTAAATGCAAATAGAGAAAGTCGTTTGGACCCTATGTTATGTGATGTCAATGAAACTTACACTCTGAAAAACAGAGATATGATATAGTGGAGGCTGTGGGATCACGTAGTAACATGTTGAGCCACATTCTCCCATAACCCTGATTTCATTGAACTAAGACAAAGATGGGAGGTGAGTTATTGAATTGAGAACTATATGGAACTTTTCACAAAAGTGCATTAAAAGATTGTCTTGGAGTCAAAAGAAATAAATATAACACTTTAAGAGAGAGAAAATGGCTATTGTAGTGGTCCCTATCGTTCATTTCCTTCATAGATTAGAAGAATGAGTGTCATAGAAGCCAATAACATTTCTGGGCCTGTGAGTGAATTTATCCTCCTGGGCTTCCCCTGCCTGCTGCAGGGAGACCAAGATCCTCCTCTTTGTGGTCTTCTCCCTCATCTACCTTCTGACCCTCATGGGTAACACATCCATCATCTGCGCTGTGTGGTCAAGCCAGAAACTCCACACACCTATGTACATCCTCTTGGCTAATTTCTCTTTCCTGGAGATCTGCTGCATTAGTTCTGATGTCCCAAAATGTTGGCCAATCTCATCTCCCATATCAAGAGCATCTCCTATGCTGGCTGCCTGCTCCAGTTCTTCTACTTCTCCATGTGTGCTGCAGAAGGCTACTTTCTGTCTGTGATGTCCTTTGATCGGTTCCTTACCATCTGTCGACCTTTGCATTATCCCACAGTCATGACTCACCACCTGTGTGTCCGATTAGTGGCCTTCTGCAGGGCAGGTGGTTTTCTATCCATACTGATGCCTGCAGTGCTTATGTCCCGAGTGCCTTTCTGTGGCCCTAACATCACTGACCATTTTTTCTGTAACCTGGGACCATTGCTGGCACTGTCCTGTGCCCCAGTTCCCAAAACTACTCTGACTTGTGCTACAGTAAGCTCTCTCATCATCTTCATCACCTTCCTCTACATTCTTGGGTCCCATATCTTAGTTTTGCGAGCTGTTCTGTGGGTCCCAGCTGGCTCAGGCAGGAACAAAGCTTTCTCTACATGTGCTTCCCATTTCTTGGTTGTTTCTTTCTTCTATGGCTCAGTCATGGTGATGTATGTGAGTCCAGGCTCCAGGAGCCGCCCTGGGACACAGAAATTTGTGACATTGTTTTACTGCACAGCAAACCCATTCTTTAATCCCCTGACCTACAGTCTCTGGAACAAAGATATGACAGATGCCCTTAAAAAAGTGCTGGGAGTGCCATCAAAAGAAATATCTTGGAACACACTGAAATGATATACATTCTTCTACAATTATTCCATAAGAAATGCAAAATTTCTCTCATTTTAAAAAAAACTATTTTCTGGTGATGTCTGAGCACTTGGCTTCTTACTCATAAAAGCGTGACTCATTACACACAAAGAGCCCTGATCCTATCTCAAAGCAAAAAGTATACAAAGTCCTAAGTTTCATCGTAGGTAAGATCTGTACAATTTTTATTCATCTATGTATCATTTTTCCATTTTGGAGATTTTTTAAGTCCTAAAACTATATGTAATTCAGTTGGTATGTACAAAGCTAAGACCCATGTTTCTAATTTGTATTTTGGCTTTATCCTAATGCAACTTTATGTATCTTAAATGTGTTTTAAATTTATCAACTGTTTTTTCCTTGCCAACTATAGGTTTTTCTATAATGAAAAACAGCATCTACTCACTGTACTCACAAAAATTAAATTGCTTTATCTATAATATCAAAGAACGAGAATCCGTCACTGAAACAAGAATGTTTTTTAATTTGTATTTTCCTTATTACTAAGTCTTGGTAAGGTGTTCATGGTGCGCAGCAAATAAAAACTAGAAATGGTATAGATTCTTAAGGGAAATTCCTGTTCCAGCTCTGAAGAGAATGCATAGAAGGGCATGCATACATTCAAATATGCCAAATAATTAAATATTTCTTACTCAAACCTGGGCTTCTATACTTTCTGAGCTTATAGTGAAGAAACATCTACCGTTACAGAAAATAAACATAGGATACCAGGGAATCAACTCTATCAACCAAAATATAAGCTACCTTAAAGCAGTCACCACCTGGATTAAGAAAATGTGGTGCATATACACCATGGAATACTATGCAGCCATAAAAAATGTTTGAGTTCATGTCATCATGTAGGGACATGGATGAAGCTGTAAACCATCATTCTCAGCAAACTATCTCAAGGACAAAAAAACAAACACCGCATGTTCTCACTCGTAGGTGGGAATTGAACAATGAGAACACTTGGACACAGGAAGGGGAACATCACACACCGGGGCCTGTTGTGGGGTGGGGAGAGGAGGGAGGGATAGCTTTAGGAGATATACCTAATGTAAATGACGAGTTAATGGGTGCAGCACACCAACATGGCACATGCATACATATGTAACAAACCTGCACATTGTGCACATGTACCCTAGAACTTAAAGTATAATAAAAAATACATATAAATAAAAAATAAATAAATAAAAAATTTAAAAAAGTCACCACTTAACATAAACTTCTTTACTTAACCTGATCACCTGCCAACACTCTGAAATTTTCATATTTTTAACTAAGGCACAAAAATTAGGGGGATAGGAAAGAGAGGTGTTTGTGATGTTGTCTCCAATATGTTGAAGAGAAAGTTAATGATTTGACTAAAAATATCCAGTCTACATTAGACTTCATATTCAAGTTTTTTCTGTGAACATATACCTCTTTTATTATTTGTTAAATTTTATTTCTAATGAACACATGATAATTATATATTTATGGGATACAATGTGATGTTTTGATAATCATTTACATTGTGAAATGATTAAATCAAGCTAATTAATAAATTCATCATCTCCTATACTTATTTTTTGTGGTTAAAACATTTGAAATCCACTCTTTTAGTAGTTTCTAAATATGTGGTGCATTATTATTTATTATAGTCACCATTCTATGAAACAGATCACTAAATCTTATTCCTTCCATCAAACTGAATTGTTGTATCCTTTGATCAACATCTCTCCTCCCCTCAGCTGCCTCTTCCCTCCAGCCTTAGTTAACCACCATTCTACTCTCTACTTTTAAGAGTTCAACTGAATGAAGTATCACCTCATATCTGTTAGAATGGCTATCACCAAAAAGATGAAAGATAAGTATTGCTGAGGGTGCAGAGAAAAGTAAACATTTGTGCACTGTTGGTGGAAATGTAAATTAATATAACCGTGGAAAACAGTATAGAAGTTCCACAAAACACTTAAAATAGAATTACCATATGATTAAGCAATTTCCCTTCTGGGCATATATCCAAAGAAATTGAAATCAATATGTCAAAGAGATATCTGTACTTCCAAATTCATTGCAGCATTATTCACAATAACCAAGACACGGAAGCAACCTAGGTATTTGTCATCAGATGAGTAGATACACAAAATGTGATATATACACACAGTGGAATACTATTTGGCCCTTAAAAAATAGAGAAATTCTTCCATTAGTGACGATGTGGATGAACCTGTAGAACATTATGCTAAGTGAAAAAAATCCAGACACACACAGACATCTTAAAACCCTCTTCCAAGTTATTTTGACTTTTGGAATATTTTCTTCAATAAAATATGTTAAGGGATAAAGCTTCATAGACCACTGTGGAGCTAAGGGAGAATTCAGAGCAACCTGCAATGCCAAAGCGTTAGTTCTTCTTGCCCTCTGCAGATTGTAGAGACTATACCCACCTGAGATAACTCTATTAGAGTATAATTCTGCCAGTGTTCTCACTTACATCCAATAAAAGCTGACTCTAGCTGATTATGTAAATGAAAAAGGATTTATTGATGGAGTAGCAGGAATCTCACAGAACCAATGAAAGCTGAAGAGCCAGAGTTGAGGCTCAAATTCAAAGATACATATGCAAACCACCATGCAGAACTGATGATGAAAAATCATGACTGCAGTCATGGCTGTGCTATAGGCCACCAAGATGCTACATGAGCACCACTGTCATTCTGTTCTAGGAACTTGTCTTTTCTGCAACAAGTGTGCTACCTTCTTGTCTTTTTTTTTTTTTTTTTTTTTTTTAATTGAGACGGAGTCTTGCTCCGTCTCAGGCTGGAGTGCAGCAGTGCGATCTCGCCTCACTGCAAGCTCCGCCTCCCAGTTCACACCTTTCTCCTGCCTCAGCCTCCTGAGTAGCTGGGACTACGGGTGCCAGCCACCACGCCCGGCTAATTTTTTTGTATTTTTACTAGAGACGGGGTTTCGCCGTGTTAGCCAGGATGGTCTTGGTCTCTTGACTTCGTGATCCGCCCACCTTGGCCTCCCAAAGTGCTGGGATTACAGGCGCAAGCCACTGCGCCCAGCCTGTTCATTGTCATTTCTTATGCCAATATTTCAACATTGTTGCTCTTCCTACTTCTGCTTCTTGATTCAAAGCCTGGTATAGCTGTATCTGGTAAAGGCAAGAGTACATTCCTACAACTTTAAGTGCAAGGGAAGCTAGGAGAGCTAATATCTGGCAATATAAACAACAATTACATAAATAGAAGCTCCAAGCCTGATAATATTGGGATTACCTCAAACATAAAAAGGGATGGAGATACTGGACAGCAAACACACACACACACACACACACACACACAGAGAGAGCGAGAGAGAGAGAGAAATAACTCAAACAACCCATTCATTTTGACTATTCCATATCTCTGAGCTATGTTTCCTCTAGAGATTACACAGGGTGGAAATCAAATTATCCACCTATGCAACAGCAGTGAAAGGGGAGCAGGATGAGTAAGGGGTAAAACACTGTCTCGGGTAGTTGAGGACTTGTCTATCTCATGATGAATGCTGTTAGAAGATACTGTGCTGCTTATAAGTTACTACTGCATTATCTGGAGTTCTGAGAGAAAAAGTTAAACTAAAGGTAAATAAATTATCATCTGGAAAATCTCTGTAAGCTGCAGTGAGATTTAGTGTTGTGCACTTGCCTTTCATCCTTCTTAGAACTAGTGAAGAATGGATATAGAGGATTCTTCACTTACTCTTTCTCTTTAAGCCAAAAATTCTTAGACTTGGGGGAGGGGGCCAACGAACCATAATTAACTGAATAACTAAAATCCTCACTTGTATCTAAGCTCTCATTGTGCTTTAAAAAGATGTTCATATATAAAATTGAAATATTTTAAAGTATGTTTTTAGTCTAAATGTGTACATAAAAACATAAAAGTTTTACTAACTGGGGCTTGCTTAGCTACACTGAAATGAATTGTATTCCATTTTGTCTACTTTTTAATTATACAAATAAATCATATATTTTATAGTGAATAGTCGTTGTAAAGAAAAAAACTATAAAATAGTGAAAATTTTCACATCTCCACACCTCTACACACACACATGCCTCCTCAGCAACGTGTTTAGTTTGGTGGATGTATTTCTAAGTCCTCTTTCTGTACATATAGAAGCAAAATCTCTGGGTTTTGAGTGGGTATATAAATTGGATTATACCTAAGTATTGTTCTACAACTGATTGACCCTCCCAACCACTCTGTACTCTCACCTAAACAGCAATGTCTGAAAGGGAAATTTTAGCCAGCTCTGCAGGTACTTCTGTCAGTTTGGGACAAATCAGGACAAACAGACTGAAGATACAATTCTTCAGGAAAGACTTTCCCAGGAGATGGAGCATGGATGTGTAAGGTCACTAGTTCCAACATGTAGCACACTCAGTGGGTTCTTTCCCCTGCCAAAATCAGGATTTCAATTAGGAAAATACGTGAAATAAGAGCATGCTTGTTCTCTCCAGGCAAAGAAACTTCATTCTGAAAAATAAAGTCAATTTAGTATTTGTTTAACCTCAATATTATTTGAGGTCTGTATTTAGTCCTTAGACCTCTCTTTAACCTGTACTGTCCAATACAATAGCCACGACCCACATGTGGTTACTGAGCACCTGCAAAGTGACTAGTCCTAATTAAGATGTGCTCCAAGTATAAAATCAAATACCAGTTTTGAACACTTGGTGGGATGAAAGAATGTAAACATCTCATTAATAGTGTTTATACTAATTCCATGTTGAAATACTATTTTGGGTGAGTTGGGTTAAATAAAAATATTATTAAAAATTTCACGGCTGCTCTTCAGCAAGGTGGAGTGGGCGCGCCACATGCCCTTCTTCCCCAAGCTGCCGGTGGCCGACCAGGTGGCTTCGCTCTGAACGCGGGTTAGGTGGCATTGTCCCTGCGCACTGCTGCTATTTTTCAATGGTGCATCTTCAGGCACATTTTTAAACCAAACTTCTTGCCTTTCTTAATAGCCACCATTTGGATTTGGATCTCTAAGTGTACTTGTTAGAGCATTTCCACACTCATTTTGATGATTGCCTTGCTTTCCTGCTCACCGTAAACTTGAAATAGGAAGGACAGAACTCCCTCACTTCCTATAGGTCTCCTCAAAATTTAGCTTAAATGAAACCTTCCCAGACTATTCTATTTAAAAGAGCATCCCCACTCTCACTAGTATCTATTCCCATCATCTGCTTTGCCCTTCTTCAAAGAATGTATCACCACAGGAAATATTGTATCCTACATATTTATTTCTCTATTTCTTGATCCCTGTCTTCCCATACTGTAATATAAACTGCATGGGAATAGGTATCACTGCTATAGCTTCAGTGCTCAGATAATGCCTAATACATAATAGGAGCTCAATAAATGTTTGTCGAATAACCTTGTTAACTCAATAATTGAGCTATTACTATTGCAGAAGCCATTCAGGAGCAGTAAAAAGATCATATTTCCTGCCCTAAAGAAACTTATATTCTAACTGGTAGGAAAGTAAAAAATAGCACAAACAATGCTGTAATAGATACCCAAAAGGCAGACCAATTTTGAGTAAATATTTGGCAAAACTCAAAAGACAATGAACTTAGAAAATAACATTATGATATACTGTAGTGGGCAAGGAAAGTTTCGTATGAGGCATCTAAACATGGGCAAGGTATGAATAGAACAATTTTAAGCTCAGGTTGTAAAACTAAGATTATACTCTGTGAATTAGAGAGAGTGAGTCAAATGGGAGTGATGAGACATATATTAAGGTAAAAATAAAGTTTAAGAAGAAATTCAGAACCTAAAAACATTTACAAGCTAAAGAATTTGGGATTTTTTCCTGTGTTTAGGTAGAGAGAAAATAAGTGATGGAGGTTCAAGAACATAATTCTGGAATTTGACATGGGAAATAACAGAGACAGACCATTTATGAAGTGATTATGCCATCACAGATATGGAGTGCTAGGAACCTGCACAGAAAAGACGAGCGTAAAGATGACAAATGATCCCAGGGAAGATGCCTAATCTGTTTAATGACAGATTAGAAGTGGGAATGAGATGGTAAGGAATTCTACTGTCAAGATTTCAAGTTCATGCTATAAATCAACAGATCCATGAGAAAATAAGGATGGCTAGAGCTAATTTAAAAGGAGATTAACAAATTTAGGATTAGACATTTGAATTTGAAATAGATCGTCATGTAAAAATATCCAGCAGAATGCTGCAAATATTTAACTACACTTTGGTAGTAAAGTCAGTGCTGGAGTTACCCCAGAATCAAGATTTAGCACAAGATTTCCTCATGGAGTGCAGTACTGCAAATTAATAAATTGCTACTCAAAAAAATAAATTAGAGGGTAGAACTTACCCGAGGAACACTTTTCCAGAGTTTAATGAAGAACTACACACACACAAAAGTGCTTAGTAGGCCTAGATTGTCAGCGATCTCACAGATTCTATGGCTCTTTGGTTTGCACTGGGCATCACCTGACCTTCTTGTGTCTACATATGCCAAAGTGTTAGCATTGGCAAAATGTGAGGTGTCAATCAAGTCAACATAATATTATTGAAGGCCCTTGTTAGCCCCAGAAGTTATACTTCAAATTATAAAGAATAAAAAGGCAGAGCTTAAAATTGTCCCTGAATTGTTGAGAGTTTTGGGGGTGTGTATGTGTGTGTGTGTTTTAATCTGGTAATTTGAAGGATCAGTGGAAAACTATTTGTATAGTTGCAATACATTCAACCATTGCTATGCTCTCAAAAAAAATGAAACAACTTGCTTCAATGAAGGCAGAATCTGAGGATGTTGAAACATACCAAACAGTATGTACTGAAAACCAAAAGAGTAAGCAGAAGCTCAGTTTTAGAGAAATAGATGAAAATATTAAGTAGAATTGCAAAAATAAAAAAATCTATTTAAGGTACAAACATATCTGGACCATAATAGTAATAACTTCCTAAGACTGAAACCATGGGTCCAATTAATTCTTTCAAATTATCTTCCCAATATATAAAAGTAGAATAAAATGGAAAAAAGCATGATCTCATTGGTCTCATCATCTTTCATCCTTCTAAACATTAATGATGAATTATATTAAATTTGCCTCTTGGATCCTTTAGAAATTTCCTACTATAACACATACATAAATTTTTTTTGCTATCCCTCCCCCCCCAAACCCACAACAGGCCCGAGTGTGTGAAGTCCCCCTTCCTGTGTCCAAGTGTTCTCATTATTCAATTCCCACCTATGAGTGAGAACATGCGATGTTTGGTTTTTGTCCTTGCGATAGTTTGCTGAGAATGATGGTTTCCAGCTTCATCCATGTCCCTACAAAGGATATGAACTCATCATTTTTTATGGCTGCATACTATTCCATGGTGTATATGTGCCACATTTTCTTAATCCAGTCTATCGTTGTTGGACATTTGGGTTGGTTCCAAGTCTTTGCTATTGTGAATAGTGCTGCGATAAACATATGTGTGCATGTGTCTTTATAGCAGCATGATTTATAGTCCTTTGGGTATATACCCAGTAATGGGATGGCTGGGTCAAATGGTATTTCTAGTTCTAGATCCCTGAGGAATCGCCACACTGGTTCAATCGACAGTGTGGCGATTCCTCAGAAATTTCTTTAGTGCCTCTTTCATATCCTTGTTCCGGAAACTGTAGATCAGAGGATTAAAGAATGGAGTTGACAAAGTATAGAACAAGGTCGCAAATTTCTTTATCCCATGATAGTCCCCAGAACCTGGGCTAACATACATCACCATAAGAGAACCATAGAAGAGAGACACTACAGCAAGGTGACAGCCACAAGTTGAGAAAGCCTTATGCCTTCCTAAGCCTGAAGGCACCTGTAGCACTGTGCTTAGAACACAGAAATAAGTCCCAAGGATATACAAGAAGGTAAGAAAGATGATGAGAGCACTAATGATACCACAAGTCAGAGTAATTCCAGGTATTGGAGCACAAGACAGTGCCAGCAAAGGTGCCAGATCACAGAAAAAATGGTCGATAGTGTTTGGACCACAAAAGAGCACCTGAGATATTAGTGTCAAAGGGGTCAATAACCAGAGACAGCCACCCACCCAGCAGAAGATCACAAAAATGAGCACAAACGTGATGGGTCATTAAGGTGGGATAGTGCAAAGGTCTACAAATGGCAGGAAACCTATCAAAAGACATCACTGACAGAAATAAGCACTCTGCAGCACACATGGAGAAGAAGTAGAACCGGAGCAGGCAGCCAGCACAGGAGATGCTCTGTGTCTGGGAGATGAGATTGGCTGCCATTATGGGCACGTCAGAACTGACACAGCAGATCTCCAGGAAGGAGAAATTGGCCAGTAGGATGTACATAGGTGTGTGGAGTTTCTGGCTTGACCACACAGCACAGATGATGGATGTGTTACCTAGGAGGGTCAGAAGGTAGATGAGAGAGAAGACCACAAAAAGGAGGATCTGGATCTCCCAGCGGCAGGGGAAGCCCAAGAGGATGAACTCATTCACAAATCCAGTGATATTAGTAGTCTCCAAGGTCCTCACTGGTTTGGCCTGTAGAGGTGACAGAGATAGTAAGAACCACAGAAATTCTGCCCTGTCTCCCTTCTATCTCTTCTGGTGAATAGATATATGTTTATTTTCTTCAATTTGGATTTGGGATACTGCTCTCTTCCCCTTGGAAGGATGAGCTGTTCTTTCCTTTTCACCTCCGTCCTAGTTTATTCAATAAATAGTCATTTTGCAAATTATTGCTCTAGAAGATAAAGAACAATGAATAAAATAAAAAAGAGTCCCTGATCTTATAGAGCTTATGTCAAATACCTTTTGTTCAAAGCAACCTCAAGCAGTACGTTGATGGCTCCAAAAGTTCTACATAGAGCAGGCCTTGGAGCATACATGTACTGGAAGGGATCTGAGGAGATTTACCTTGGAACATCATTTGGATAGCGAAGATACTGTTTTTACTTAAATTGTATGCTTCTGATAACTTCAGGAGAAGCTGACACAAATTATGGGGTTGATGTGAGCATCCCTCCACCTATATCAAAATGCTGCCATTGACACAGTAGCAGTAGAATGTGACAAAAACAAAACTTTCTGTGGTTGTCTGAGACACACATAATATTCATTTGGAAATAATAACAAAAGGCTTTTGAGAAGAAAATGAACGTTGACAAAATATAGAATTTTCCATAACGATGGCGGGAAAATATTATTTGCATATAATAAAAATGTAGAAAGATTTGGATACAAAAAATTATACCCAGAGAAGAGTATAAAATAGTACAAGTGTACTTGCAAAAAGTTGTGAGACATAAGGTATAAATATACGGTAATCACATGGCAGAGGACTTGCTGCCAGCCAGTCTAACTAGTTCAAGCTTAATTTGCTAGTCAAGGAAAAACAAGATGTATTAAGTAGAAGAATGAAATAATTGAAGCTTTATGAAAACAGCATTTTTCAAGACCATTTGGTGCAGGTTAATAAAATTAGCAGAAAAATTTGGAAATTATTTCAATAGCCCAAGGAAAAAGTGTAAAAAGCTTGACCTGGGGCAATTACATACAAACAAATACCAGGGAAGGGACAGAGGTAATTAAATTCTGCCCAAGAGGCAGAGGACGAGAACAAGGAAAAAAAAAAAAAAAAAAAAAAAAGCAAGGTTTCACTTTCCATTTGCCACAGATAGTCCTCTGCATGGGGTATCTCACAGGCGAGATCCACTTTCAGCACAGTAATTGTGCATTGAGGACCTTTCTGTACCAAAAGATTAGCCTACTGAAGGGTCATGTTGGATATCTCTTAGATTCCCCAGTCCTTTTTTCTTTTGACTCTTTTGAATCAGAATGTTAAATTTCATGAAATAAATTAGCTACCACCTACAAAGTTTTCTCTCCAAATCACACACAATGAGTGAATATGTGCTACGCTGTATCTGTGTGAAAGAGAATAAACAAGAGAGCTAGTCCAAATTATTGCCCAAACCTGCACCAAATGGTCTTGCAAAATGCTGTTTCCATAAAGCTTTGAACATTTCATTCTTCTAGTACATCTTGTTTTTCATTGACTAGCAAATTAAGCCTGAACTAGTTAGACAGGCAGCAATGACTCCCATTTTCCTGTCTTCTAAGAATATAATCCTTTTGAAGATAATCTGCAAGGACAAAATTACTATTTGACAAAAAAATTCTTAATTCTGTGTCTAATAAGCCTAATAATAAAGCTGTTTGTGAAGGAAAATAGTCATGAAAATTTATGCTCCTTTTTATACCAACATCTGAAACAAAGTGGACTTCGAGATACAGAAAAGTTACTGCTCCACCTGCCCATAATTCCATATCCTAAATGTTGCCCGGGAGTCAAATAGCCTCTAAGTAAGGCACCTTTTGATTCTTTTCTTTACAAAGGCCCCTTTCAGGCTTTACTCAGATGTAGAACATGCCACAAATCTCCCCATTCCTCATTACTTATCCCTTCCAGAGTCTGAGGCTCTGTCTCTGGAGATCTCAATCCTGGGACCAGTGGGGGCAATTAACGTGCATTATGCAGGCTTGAGTATGTTTCATCTTCAGAGATAATCATATTGGAGACAAAAACTACATAATATGCATACACGCTCATGTGCAGTCACACACACACTTACACACACACAGATCAGGCTGTTAACATAGCAGTATTCCTTCCAGAGTTTCCTCTCCTAATCTTAATAAATTATCTTTGCACTAACAAACTTTTTCTGCCATGAGAGGCACCATTACCTTCAAATTTTGTTAATCTCAGAAACTGAGAAGAAAAAAAAAATTCTGGGTCTAAACAGTTTAATAACAAATAAACAAAGGTACCACACTTGGCAGATAAAAAATGACTTTTTGTCTATGTGTCTGTGCAATTAAAACAGATTTAGATTCCCCATTGGGACAAAAGGAAAAACACACAAAAAAAGGAAGGAGGTTCTTTTGAAAAACATACTCCCTTGCTCCAAATATGTAACAATTTTTTTTCTCTTTTTAAATTCACTACACAAACTCTGTGATGAGGTAAGAAAAGCGACGAGGGCTCTTCTTGCTTTTTTTCTTAAACCATTAAAGTAAAACCCGTAATTTTCTACAGAGTACAACACAAGTTCACACAAAAAAGACATTTTCTTTTGCAAATCAAAACAGGAAAGAAAGGAAAAGCTCAAACAAGGTGAAGGAAAAGCATTTCTACAGCTGAATCACGACTGAGTTGATCGAAGCCCATTGTTGCTGCACAACAGACTGTGCGTTTGGTCACAGCGGCAATTTTTTTTTCTCTTCACATTGTGAAATCACTTTACATTGTTTTCTAGTAGAAAAGGCAAAAAATTGTACAAAACCCCTAGTGTTAAATACGTTTGTACCAATAAAACACTCACACAGGTTTGTCTCCAAAATGTCAAGTTTCTTTTTCTTTGCTTTTTAAATTATTCACAAGACCCAAAATTTTTCATCCATGTTGCCCAATTGGCAGTTTGAAGATCTTGCCCACTAAATCCAGAAGGATCTTATGCCCAGAAATCCACAGAGCTACCCATCTTTATTTCTTATAAACTCTTTTTCTCCACATATAGATCAAACAAGGTAGATGTTAGTCAACTCAGAAGTTAAGATATCAATTGTGTGAAAAAGACAAATCCATTTCCTCTTTTTCAAGTGTAGATCACATTTCTGGGTCCCCTTTGGAGTTAGGTGTGGTCATGTGACCGAGTTCTAGTTCAGAGAAAACAATGAAAACTGCTGTGCAACACTTCAGGCCCTACCCATACAAGGGCCTTGATGATTTTTGATACCATTGAGCACAATGACATTGAAAGACATTTATGAAGATGATGAAGTCAAAGAGAAGTCCTGAATTCCAGAATCAGCACTTGAAGAACCTGCCAATCAGGAGCACCCATTCAGATTTTAAGTGAGCAATAAACTTCTTTTGGCCCAGCATGCTGGCTCATGCCTGTAATCTCAGCACTCTGGGAGGCCGAGGTGTGTGGATCATTTAAGGTCAGGAGTTTGAGACCAGCCTGGCCAACATAGCAAAACCCTGTCTCTACTAAAAAATACAAAAATTAGCTGGGTGTGGTGGCACACACCTGTAATCCCAGCTACTCGGGAGGCTGAGGCAGGAGACTTGCTCGAACCCAGGAGGCAGAGGTTGCAATGAGCCAAGATTGCGCCACTGCACTCCAACCTGGGTGACAGCGAGACTCCGTCTCAAAAAAATAAAGAAAGAAATAAACTTATTTCATGTTTGATCCACTTTAAAAAAATTGTTTGGAGAAGAAAGTGACCAATTGAAACCAACATTTTTACATTTTGAAGAATGTATTAAAAAAGCAATTTGTGAATGGCTGTATCAACATATAATTCAGTGGGCTTATTCCCTTCAAAGACTCAATTCTGAAACAACAGGAATAAATTACGGAAATAATTTCTGGAGACTGAACAATTACTAGGAAGGAATAGAAAGTGAGTGTTAGTGGATACATTTACCACAAGATCACCATTAGGTTGTATTTGAATTTGAGTATGATTTCCTTTGAAATATATGATCTTGTGCCTATCTACATTCACGGCAAGCACAATCCTTCCTTTAGCTTGAGCCAAAACCTGTGGGGCAGAAATAAGAAAAACCTTTAGCAGTAGGAAGCAGTGTGGAGTTTTTTAGTTTTTTGAATGCAAAGGTTTACAGAGACCTGAGGACCTTGAATTAAGTGAACATAGTTACAGGGGGAAAAAATAGTAAGAACTATCCCTACCATCAGCATTCAATTAACAGTAGTGAGAAAATACAGCTGTAAACCCAGTTGCAGAAAGTTGAGGATAGGACAAATTCAGAAGCTCTTAAAATCCTGGTAAGTAGAATTAAATTTAATTTAAAGCCAGCCATGGAAATTAAAAGATATAATTAAAGTTTAATTAAAATGTAGAGCGTTTAAGACTTTATGTGAGTGGTATATCACTTTCTTAGATGCTATAAAATTAAATTAGAAATATTGATAGAAAACATGTTCTTGAAAATATTATTTTGCTGCCCTGTTTCAGGTATCTCTATGTCTATAAATTCAATCCCTGTCTTCCATGGGTTTGCTAATGCTGGTCTTTCTGCCCATATGCCCTCACTTTCTATCTCTGCAGTAAAATGTCACCATCCTTCTTAGGCAAATCACACACTAGCTCTTACAACTTCCATCTGAAAATTGCATGCCATTACATCTATTCAGAAATCGATAGGCAAATCAGGGTAGTCTTTTGGTCACACCTAATTTCCAAGTGTCAGGGAGGTACAATTCTATCATGCACTCAGGAGGAAAAACAAAATACTGGTGAACAGAGTAACAACTACAACATTTAAGCTTCCTTTGTTCTTCATGTAAGCATATGATTAAACCTTTATTAAAAGAATGTAAAACAACTATATGTTTAAATTAACTATAATACTTTAAGCTCTTTGATGCAAAGATCTTTTCTTGCCTTTTGTCTTTTTACCTTAGAAAGCCCACAGGACCATGGGTTCTTACTTTGTATCTAATAAATTTTTTAAAAATTTTCCTTCAGTCAAAAATTCACTGAGTGAAGATGAGTACTATATACAACCTCTTCCAGGATACCCCTTTCTGGATATTGGTCATGCATACACTGCATACACTCAACACCATTGCCAAAATTTTGACAACTTGCCCTCAGAAAGATTAGCTACTTTGTTAAATTTTGATTCTTCCCTTTTTTTAATTTAGTTTCTACCCTTGAATCACAGGATTTCACACATACATTGCTATACATATCAGAGTTCAGTACAAGATAGAAAAACAACTCCAAATATTTTAAGCAGAAAGAAATTTAACAGGGAATTAATGCTTGATTAACTCTTTTTCCTTGTTATTCATAGTCATCCTTAGAGAGGTAGCATAATTTTACCACATTAGGATAATCTGCACTTTCGGTATCTTGTCTTTCAATATTTTAAATGTTTCAAAATGTTCTGTACTATACATTTGATGATATTTATCATACATGGTATCATTAATTGATTCAATCCTTGAGTCAATAAATATTTGTGAAATAACTACTATTCACCAGACACTTTTTTCACTCACTCTTGATATCACAGTAAGGAAATCTGCCTCCAAAAAGTAATTAATTTGTGACATAGCAAACCCCAGAAGGGAAAATTTGAGGTAACACAATGAGTTCACTTGTACACATGGTCAACTATGTGTCACTGAGATATCCAAGTAAAGACAACCAGTCAGCGATTGGACAGAAAAGTCTCAAGCTCAGGAGAGGGTAATAGATATATTAGATATTAGAAGCTGTTAACACAGAAAGGGCATTTGGACCTGAAGTGGGTATATACTTCCTAAGAAATACTGCCTAAGAAATATGTATGAGAAAAGAGCAGAGAGTCTAACGTCAAGCCACCAGCAATGCCATAATAAGCACAAATAAATATATAGTGGATAGGTGGAGAAGCAAAATACCAAAAAAGAAACAGGAAAAGTAAATAAAGAGGGAAAAAAAAAAAACAGAAGAAAATAAGCAAAGAAAATGGGATTTTCTTTGAATTTTCATTTAGAGAGTTGTCAGTCTGGTCAAACACTGCTAAAAAGTCAAACAATTCACGAACTTACAAGTAACCATTTGATTTAGGTACATAGAAATCACTGGTGACTTTGGCAAAATTTCAGAGACATTGTGGAGAAGGAAACCAGATTGCTGTAGGCTGAGGAGTGAAGTGACAATGAGAGATACAGAGAACCGGTATAGACATGGGGCTTGGCTAAAGAAGAGGAGAGAGATGAAAACTGAAGGGGGATGTTAGATCAAGGAAGAATTATGTTTTTGTTTTTGTAAGGTAAGGTTGAGCAGGGAAAGGAGAGAAAGGTGGTAAGCAAAGGTACTCGCTCCCTGTAACTGTGGTAGAGGATGGAATACAGAATGTGAAGGGGGAGATTTCAATTTGAACAAAAGGGTAAGAATCTCTTTTATTGTTTATAGGAAGAAATGAAAAGAATGTGAGAACAGATTTTTTTACTTTAGTATGTTCCAATCATCAATAACAATCTTCCTGTGTCAAACTATTGGTTTGTCTTAAGTGATGTCCTAAGTGAAACACACAGTACACTAGCTTTGCCTTCAAAGCTTTCTTTTACTTAAGTAATCCAGCCACATAGAAAAAAATAACTATTGAATAGTATTTTTAGACAGTAAGATAGCTCTCCCACCCAAGACCCTCAGTTCTTCTAAAAGAAAACTGCTATTCCTAAGTCACATATAGATAATCAGTGCATTTACAAATATGTGTATAAACACATGGCTTTGGGCATTTAATTTTTAATTTACATAATGCATAATATTAACAGGTAATAGTTTTACATATTTACAAGGTACACGTGTTATTTTGATACAGGTATATAGTATGTAGTGACCAAATCAAGGTAATTGGGATATCTGTCACCTCAATCATTTATCATTACTTTGTAAGCACGTTTTTAAATAAATTATAGCGTACTAATCACACATTTCTGTACTTTATTTCACTTAGAACTACTTCTTGGACATATTGCTTCTTATCAAAATGTATACATCTATCTTAATTCTTAATGGCTGTGTAGTTTTTCATTCTCTAAATGTAACATGATTTATTGATTCAGTCACCTATTAATAGACGTATTTGTTTCCAAGATTCAGCTATGACAAATAATGCTGAAAGCTTATTAATTTATGTAGAAATTTGCAAAATACACAATATCTGAAAGAAATATTCTGAAAGTGAAAATGCTGAGTCATAAACTGTGCACTTTTTTTTTTTTTTTTGAGACAGAGTCTCTCTCTGCCACCCAGGCTGGAATACAGTGGCATGATTTCAGCTCACTGCAACCTCCACCTCCCGGGTTCAAGCGATTCTCCTGCCTCAGCCTCCTGAATAGCTGGGACTACAGGCACCTGCCATCACACCCGGCTCATTTTTGTATTTTTAGTAGAGATGGGATTTCACCATGTTGGCCAGGCGGGCCTCAAACTCCTGACCTGAAGTGATCCACCCACCTCGGCCTCCCAAAGTGCAGGGATTATAGGCGTGAGCCACCACACCTGGCCTAAGTGTGCACACTTTAAATTTTGGTCAATATGGCCACATTTTCCTCCAAAGAGGTGTCAGTGCTTTCCTCATTACTGTTGCTTTTCTCTCTATCCTTGGCACCAAGGCCTAGCTTTTCACAAGATCTTCAAAATGAGCTTCACAAATTATTTTAGCCACAATGTTTTATGGCTTCATTATGGTGATATGAATACTGTCCACATCAGTGACATTAATTACTGTCAGTTGAGAGAATACGGTACATATTCTTGAAGTAAGACTCTTTCATCAAAGGTGACCCAATGTCTACCCTTTAAATCTATATTGTACACACTTAATAATATAAGGTCAGTGACCACATGAAATAAAGATATGGAGTAGGAGAAGGCTGCAACAGCTACCCACAATGCATTATAGAACAAACCTAGCACTGCCACTATTTCAATATGGGCATAGATGGGATATATGATTCTTCAGAACTCACTAGATCTGTTACCAGGCTAACCAGTTATTCCCCATAAAACTCATGACTTCTTACAAATCATTTGCTGGAAAATTTTTATATCCTAATTTCCTGAGATGGGCTCTACATTGTGGCAGATGGCTTTTTGACCTCTTAACTGTACACTCAAATTTTATCTGGCTTGTAAAAGCTCTATGACATTTAGCACAGACTGTATCATACATTCTATATGCAATAGAAAAAAGGTTCCCAAGGATATAAGCTATAAACAAAGCGCTTGTAGTAGTGTAATATAAGGGAGTAATAGTTGTTGCTATCGTTATTTTTTAATTTTAATTGACATACTAATTATACATATTTATGGGATAAAATATGATGCTTCAATACATGTATACATTGTGTAATGATCAAATGAAGGTAATTAGCATATCCATCACCTCAAACATTTATAATTTTTGCTGTGAGAACAGCAAAGAGATACATTCTGGTTGAACTTGCTACAGAATAGTAACAACTGATGTGCTTCTGCTAGTCTTTTTTTTTTTTTTTTTTTTTTTGAGACAGAGTCTCACTCTGTTGCCTAGGCTGGAGTGCAGTGGCACGATCTCAGCTCACTGCAACCTCTGCCTCCTGGGTTCAAGCAATTCTCCTGCCTCAGCCTCCTGAGTAGCTGGGATTACAGGTGCCAGCCACCATGCCTGGTTAATTTATATTTTTGTAGAGACAGGGTTTCATCAAGTTGGACAGGCTGGTCTTGAACTCCTGACCTCATGATCCACCTGCCTTGGCCTCCCAAAGTGCTGGGATTACAGGCGTGAGCCACTATGCCTGGCCAACTTCTGCTAGTCTTTTTGCAGTTTGCCTGCTATTTAGTTATCTATGATCTCCTCTACTTGCATAACTTACCATGAACTAACTTAAGAGCATTCTATGTCAACTAACCTTAGTAACTTTCCCTTGTCTGATGCGTTAAATTTCCTTTCCAATCAATGTGATTGACTCAACATCACACGGTTCAGCAGTTACTAAAATGCACCAAAGAGTTACTACAAGACTGTAATTTAAACCCAGGCAGGCAATTTCAAAAAGCTGTACCTGGTAGCTTTTCTGCAAAGTGGTTGTAACCCAGATGTTCTATCTATGTGAAGGCAGCTCAACAATATTTCTATGAAAAAGGCATTAGCGAACAACCTGACACGTTATCTCAAGAGATACACTATCATTCTACTGCTATACTGGGTACACTTTTGCATTGTCAATAGCTCCCATGATTAAAAGAATTAATGACAGACATCTTGATTCATACTTTATTTCAATCATCTCACTTGATCCTTCAAACCCTATGGTATTATGTATTTTTTCATTGTAGAAATTAATGCTCAGAAATAAATAGCGCACTACAAAATGCCATAATTGAAACCCAAGCTTGCCAGCGTCTAAAGCCCATTCTTCTACCATGATACCATGGTGCTTTTTTCAAGTGATATGGCTTTTCCCTCTCCTCTAATGACTTTTTCATTCACCTCTCCACCTTGGCTTTATGGCGTGCGCGCACTCACACACATACACACACACACACACACACACACACAGAGCTTAGGTTAGCTCATCATTATTTCTTTAGTACCTGTTATTTGATTTTTTGCCAACCAGGCACCAGACTTAATTTTTTATATTGCATATAGTTTGCTAAATAAGGGACATGTAGTAATAAAATAATATCCCAGAGGACATTTTCACATTTTACTTGCTGTTTCTCTTTCAAAATTTCCAACGTTAAAAGAGGCAAACAGCCATAGGCTCTGGATATAATAGCTTCAGCTGCAAATAAAAAAATTGTCTTTCTGGATGGAAGGTGTGAAAAGGACTATTATTGCATCAGTCTCTCAGCTACTCTCCCACAGAACATTGCGGTCTGTTCAAACGAATGAGGACAGTAGTGAATAAACCAGTCTTTTAAACTTGTGTAAGATTTTCCATACCTGGGTTTCAGATCATTTTAGAGGCAAGTATTAATTTATTCTTTTTTCTCCTAATTTTTCATATGGACAAATTTAGGCACAGAGGAGATAATGAACTTGGCAGAGAATCAGGAGCAAAACACTGATGGAAAATGATGCTGATTTAAATGTTTCCTGCTTGCATTTCTCATAATGAAAGCACAGCCATATTGTGACACTTGTTATTTTATGGTTCACTGAAGAGCCGCAATAACAAATTTTAAATACCTATCAAATGTCATAAAATGTCATTTAATATTGTTCTTCGTTTGTTAAAGGGAAAATGAAAACTGATAAAGTTCATGTATATTTTGTGCTAGTTCAATAAACTAAATACCATACTATAAGACTTTCAGCAAACATACAGTCAATTGTAATATGGTAATATTAAATAAGAGGGTACTACACTTTTTCAAGAGAAAGTGGTCTTATTAAAAAGGTTATTTTAATGATGCTCTAAACAATTTCTTTGGCTGCATCACAGCATAGGTTCAGTTCATAATAAAAGTTGCCTTTGAACGAAGTATTCTAAATTTTTACAAGACTCCAATTCTCCTGTGCAATTACGGAATTTGAAATGTAATTCTCCTGGAACCATAAAAGAATTAAGACCAGAGAACTGCTGTTAAGAATAAAGCAAGATAAAAAGGAATTGCTTCAAAGACCCTTTTTATTCTTCTATTTTTTAGTGCCACGTTATATTCCAAGTCACTATGTTGTTATGGAAAAGGACAATGAGAAAATCCACTCTAGACAATTGAACATTTCTAGAATGTTGACTCAGGGCTATTTTTCTCTTGATAATTATGTATTAATTCAATATGGACATCTGTATGTGAAATCCTCAAAGAATTTCCAGAAGAATGGATGATATATCAATGCACAACTGTTTGGCATTGGTTTATTGTGGACTCAGCACTGTGTTAGGCACAATGGCTCAGGCAAATTGTTTGGGAACATGGCCCCTGCTCTAGATCTGCATGGCATTTGTTTATCATTTGAACTGAGATGTGGTTATTACAACTTAACTTCTATCTCTATTTCACATTCCATTAATCATCAAGTACTATAGATTCTATCACCTTCATAATCTTTCAAATCTGCCCATTTTACTACATGTGCAATACCACTGTTAATGATGATCACAATAAGCTCCTAACCATCCTCTTTGTCTTCAATCCTATCCACTTTAATTCATTCTGAACAACAGTTTGGAAATAAAATTGTGAGTGTATCACCCCTCCATTTTAAACTGTTCCAGAGTATTTTCATTTAACTCCTGCCACAGTTTAAGCCCATCAGCATAACCAGGCAAGGTCCTCCGTAAGCTGACCCTTCTTAAACTTCTAGCTTAGAATTTTTACTCCTTCTGCAAATATTTCATCCAAATTAAATATCATGTAGTTTCCTAAGAGAGATTCTTCTCTCTTCTTCTCCCAAGTCCTTTTTTATTTCCTCCTTTTAAAGCGTACTTCCTCTCACCTTTCACCTGACTCATGTTACCAGTCTGTTGAGACTTAGTTCAGAAATCACATCTTTCATTTTGTCTTTCCCTACCCTCTCCTCTCCTATGAATTAAGTCTTGCTTCTATGTAAACAATTAGCTTAGATATTTATAACTGATGCTGTACTTATATGGTTCTGTTGTCTTCCATGAACATGTGTTAGATCTTTGAAGACAAATATATGTTATTCATCTTATGAAATTTGTCCTACACAGAATTTGGCACATGGTTATCCATTCAAATGTTTGTGGAATAAATATGAATAAACTCAAAATAAAGAGAACATATATTAATTTTGTCCTAATTTGCAAAATTCTCCATTTTATTTCCCTCACTGCAAACTATCCCCACTGACAGAATTGGTATCTGATTTCATAGTGTTGATTTCTAACATTTTTAAACAAAAAACTATGTTTCAATTATAAATCATGTATTTAGGTAAGAATCCTTGCTTCATCAACTATAAGAACATAAATTCTAAGACATTTTCTCTACTGAGATGTTAAAATGTAGGGAGAAATGTGTGTTTTATAATTAACGAAATAAAATTCCTTAAGGTCTTACCATATGCTTGGCCCCATGCTGTGTTTTATATTAATTAGTTCTCTTAATCTTCACCACAGTCCTATGAGGAGGGTATTTTTATTATTCTCATTCTAAAAGTTAATAAAATAAGTTCAAAAGAAAGGTAATTTTCCCAAAGTTACCCAGATTATAAGTGGCAATTGTAGGATTTATCTCTATCTTACTCTACTGTCTGAAACATTCTCGATATTCCTTTTTTGGGTTCAGTACTAAGAAAAAACTATAGAAAATAACATTACTGGTCCTCATTTTAGAATATTCTTTCCTTGGGTTCATCATACACACACGTGCACACATAAACACAAACATACACAGTAATTGTAAACGGTGTGGTAATTTCTTTAAATTTTGTTAAAATACCTCCCGAGAAAAATGGAGACAAGTAGGGGAGAGAATCTCAGAGCTTGAAGACTATCTTTCTGAAATAAAACAGGCAGGAAACAATAGAGATAAAAGAATAAAAAAGACTAAACAAAATCTCCAAGAAATATGGGATTATGTAAAGAGACAGAACCTACGACTGATTGGGGTACCTCAAAGAGATGGGGAGAATGGAATCGAGTTGGAAAACATACTTTAGGATATCATCCAGGAGAACTTCCCCAACCTAGCAAGACAGGCCAACATTTAAATTCAAGAAATTCAGAGAACTCCAGTAGGACACTCCATGAGAAGATCAATCCCAGGACACATAATGATCAGATTCTCCAAGGTTGAAATGAAAGAAAGAATGTTAAGGGCAGCCAGAGAGAAAGTCCAGGTCACCTACAAAGGGAAAGCCATAAGAGTAACAGTGGACCTCTCAGTGGAAACCCTCCAAGCCAGAAGAGATTGGGGGCCAATATTCAACATTCTTGAAGAAAATAATTTCCAGCCTAGAGCTTCATATCTGGTCAAACTAAGCTTCCTAAGCTAAAGAGAAATAAGATCCTTTACAAACAAGCAAATCCTGAGGGAATTTGTCACCCTCAGGCCTGCCTTGTAAGAGCTCCTGAAAGAAGCACTGAAAATTGAAAGAAAAAATTGTTACCAGCCACTACAAAAACACACTGAAATACACAGACCAGGGACACTATGAAGCAACCACATGCACAATTCTGCAAAATGACCAGCTAGCATCATGATGACAGGATCAAATTCACACATAACAATACTAACTTTAAATGTAAATGGGCTTAATGCCTCAATTAAAAGACACAGAAAGGCAAGCTGGATAAAAGGCCAAGACCCATCACTATGCTGTCTTGAAAAGAGCCATCTGACGTGCAAATACACACATAGGCTCAAAATAAAGGGAAGGAGGAAAATTTACCAAGCAAATAGAAATCAAAGAAGGGGTTGCAATCCTAGTTTCTGACAAAACAGACTTTAAACCAAAAAGATCAGAAAAGACAAGGGCATTACATAATGGTGAAGGGTTCAATTAAGCAAAAAGAGCTAACTCTATTAATCTACATATGCACCCAACATAGGAGCACCCAGATTCATAAAGCAAAGAGTCACAAAGAGACTTAGACTCCCACACAATAATAGTGGAAGACTTTAATACCTCACTGACAATATTAGACAGATCATTGAGACAGAATACTAACAAAGATATTCAGGACCTGAACTCAGCTCTGGATCAAGCAGACCTGATAGATACCTACAGAGCTCTCCAGCTCAAAACAACAGAGTATACATTCTTTTCATCACCACGTGGCACCTTAAAATTGATCATGTAATCAGAAGTAAAACACTCCTCAGCAAATGCAAAAGAATTAAAATCATAACAAACAGTCTCTTAGACGGCAGCACAACCAAATTAGAACTCAAGATTGAGAAATTCACTCAAAGCCACACCATCAAATGGAAATTGAACAACCTGCTCCTGAATGACTCCTAGAAAAATAACGAAATTAAGGCAGAAGTCAAGAAATTCTTTGAAACCAATGAGAACAAAGAGACAATGTACCAGAATCTCTGGGACACAACTACAGCAGTGTTAAGAGCGAAATTTATAGCACTAAATGCCCACATCAGAAAGTGGGAAAGATCTAAAATTGACATTCTAACATCACAATTAAAAGAGCTGGAAAGGCAAGAACAAACAAATTCAAAAGCTAACAGAAAAAAAGAACTAAGATCAGAGCAGAACTGAAGGAGATGCAGAAATAAAAACTCTCCAAAAAATCAATGAATCCAGGAGCTCGTGTTTTGAAAAAAATACACAATCAATAGACCACTAG
The DNA here is from genome assembly GCF_000001405.40 of Homo sapiens. Classification (NCBI taxonomy): domain Eukaryota; kingdom Metazoa; phylum Chordata; class Mammalia; order Primates; family Hominidae; genus Homo; species Homo sapiens. Next base: position 2,943,952 of record NW_021160017.1, read on the forward strand.
CTAGACTAATAAAGAAGAAATGAGGGAAGAATCAAATAGACACACAAAAAAATGATTAACTCCACCGAAATACAAACTACCATCAGAGAATACTATAAACACCTCTATGCACATAAACTAGAAAATCTAGAAGAAATGAACAAATTCCTGGACACACACACCTTCCCAAGACTAATTCAAGAAGAAGTTGAATTCCAGAATCGACCAATAACAAGTTCTGAAATTGAGGCAGTAATTAATAGCCTACTGATCAAAAAAAGCCCAAGACCAGGTGGATTCTAGGACGCAAGGCTGGTTCAACATTTGCAAATCAATAAACACAATACATCACATAACCAAAACCAAAGACAAAAACCACATGATTATCTCAATAGATGCAGAAAAGGCCTTTGATAAAATTCAACATCCCTTTATGTTAAAAACTCTCAAACTAGGTATTGGTGAAACACCGCAAAATAATAAGAGCTATTTATGACAAACCCATAGCCAATATATTGAATAGACAGAAATGGTACGATGGACATAATACTATTGCACCCCTACTAGACTACAGTGTAGTATAAACATAAACTTTAGATGCACTGGGAAACCAAACACTTCCGTCTGACTTGCTTTATTGCAGTGGCCTGGAACTGAATCCACGATATCTGAGGTATACCACTATTTGAACTGAATAAAACTGGTAGCTTTCACTTTGTTTTTACTTCTTCAGCAATCATAACAAATTTTGGTGTATTTAAAGTACAGCAAGGTAATTATTATCTTCAAAGAGCCCCTAAATTAGTAGAGAAGAGAATACCTATAAAAATGTAAAAACAATGCTGGTAAATAATGACAAATGGCATAATAAGGGAATAGATCCAATGGTTAAGAATTGCACAAAAATAAAAATCACTCTATTTAGAATTGGAAAAAGCACCAGGAATGGTATCTTATTTTAACAAAATTTGTAAAACTCAAAAGGCTGACATAAGTGATGGGCTCTGGGTATATGAACAGGCTGAGCAAGAGTGGAGTGTAGAAATTTCCCAGAGAATTGAGAAATACTTTTATGACTTGTATGTCAGAGAGTACACAGCAAACATAGCGCAATGTTAAGACTATAGATCTGGAGTGGTTTCTAGCCTCCACTCCTGGTTATTTCCTACTGATTAGCTGTGGGGCATTAATGAAGTCACTTAACATCCCTGAACTGGAGTTTTCTCATAGATGGAATGGGACTAGTGATACAACTGATTTACAACTATTGAGATAGAATTTTTTGTTAGTGGAAGAAAGAGATGGATAGATAAAAAGATGAGATAAGTCTGGGGAAAGAAATCAGGTCTTTTAGAGATGTACATTAGGGATTTAGAACTTCTTGCCATAGGGCATGTAAAATTTAACTTGGATTACATGAACTGGTTAATGCACATGATACAATTATTTAAATTAATTAAATTCAGAAAAATTATTAACTTTTGCTTACTAGATTACCTATGACAATGAACTTTCTGACATTGAAAACGCAAAGATAAGTAATAGCTACAATGTATTTTCAGGTCCCTATATAGTTGATATTTTATTAGATTCTACATGCTACTAGAACATTCAAATAGATACAGTTAAGATAGAGCAATGAGAATAAAACATTTCAAAATCTAATTTCCCTTAACATATTAATTTAACGTGATGTTAAAATATTTTATATAATCAATATCATATAACAAATTTTATAATAAAATATTCTTCGTTATGACAAAACTATTTTTCCTTGACTGGATTTACAAATGGTTGAGAGCAGTTATTTGCCTTTGACTCTTGTGGAGACCACAATCTGCTGGTTTACATTATTTATTTGTTTAGAGACTCATTTCCCTAATTAACTGAACAGAGGCAAACTTCACAGGTTCCAGAAATTAATGATATTTTATTGGCCTAGTAGTCCAGATAAAAAGGGAATTTCTGACAGGATGATTTAGATAATTGTCTCAATTTGCTTCATAGCTTTCTACTTATTGATACATCATTAGAGTTTACCTCGTGTATTCTCACAGGCACAGGTAATCAGTTGAATATATCTATAGGTGATTCAGCCTGTGTTAAGTGCCTCCTCAGTAAAGTATGTGCACATGATTGCATTGTTGAAGGTACATTACCAATAAAGATACCATGAAATTGCAAATCAATTCATAGATTTGTTAAAAACACTCAAACTTTTTCTTAAGAAAAATAGCTTTTTCTGTGTTTTAATTTTTTTCTCAATGATAATGTCAGCGTTAAAAAGATACACTCAGGTGCCTCGATGCTTCCTCTCTGTAAGTTGTATCTTGGTAAGTATTCAGAACAAAAAATAAGCATACAGATTTCTTAAACTTCGTTTTGGTAAAAGCTAACACACAAATACACACACACTAGCCTAGGCCTACACTGGGTCAGGATCATCAACATCAGTCTTCCATCTCCACATCTCGTCCCACTGGAAGGTCTTCCGAAGCAATACCACACATGGAGCTGTCATCTCCCATGGTAACAATGCCTTCTTCTGAAATAGCTCCTGAAGGACCTGCCTCAGGCTATTTTAGTTAACTTTTTGGTTTGTAAGTAGAAGGAATGCATTCTAAAATAATGTCAAAAATCATAGTATACTAAACACATAAACCAGTAACATAGTTGTTCTTTATCAACTTTTATGTACTATGTATACTTAAATGTGCTATACTTTTTTTTTTTTTTGAGACAGACTCTCGCTCTGTCGCCAAGTCTCGAGTGCAGTGGCGCGATCTCGGCTCACTGCAAGCTCCACCTTCCGGGTTCACCCCATTCTCCTGCCTCAGCCTCCCGAGTAGCTGGGACTACAGGGGCCTGCCACCACCCCTAGCTAATTTTTTCTCTTTTTAGTAGAAACGGGGTTTCACCGTGTTAGCCAGGATGGTGTCGATCTCCTGACCTCGTGATCTGCCCGCCTTGGCCCCCCGAAGTGCTGGGATTACAGGTGTGAATCACCACGCCTGGCCTATATGCGCTATACTTTCATAGAACCAGGAGCTCAGTAGGTTTGTTTACGCCATCATCACTACAAACACGTGAGTATTGCGTTGTATTACAAGGTTAAGACGGCTATGCTGTCAGTAGACAATGAGGATTTTTCAGTTTCATTATAATTTTATAGAACTACCCTGATACATGCAGGCCATCACTGGTGAAACCTTGTTATGCAGTGCATGACTGTATTATATTGGAAGAAAGAGTGAGATAATATGCTGACACTCACACCGGGCTCATGCGCCAGTAGGAGGAGGTCGCCCTCCAGAGACTGCAGGAGAAGGGGGAGAACTCCTCCTTGCCCTGGCTGTTCCTCCACCACTTCCACCGAGCCTGTGGTACAGCACCCGAAGCTTCCTACCCACCCTAGGCCTGGCCGGGCAGGCCCCGCAGCGCTCCTACTCCCTCTTCCCGGCCCCTGGACTTGCGGCTGCTGCCACAACTAGCGCAGATGTCACTATAACCATCGCTGCTGTTGCCCTCAATGCACTGGCCCACCCTACAAAGCTCCTACTACCTGGCCACCGCCGCAGCCCTGCCCCTGCCATGGCCACAGCTGGCCGTCCTCCTACCGCTCTGGTGCGAGGTAGTCTCGGTAGCTGCCACCAACCGCAGCAAGGCGAGCAGCAGCCCAAGGCTATCTGCAAGCTTCCAGCATGTAACTCCTCCTCCTCCTGGCATGGAACAGCTGGACACACACAGCCAAAAAAGCCTAGAGGAGAATGCAAAGACTGATAGCGTTAGAGCCTCACCTTGTCATCCTGGCCACTGGGTGGCAGGGGCCAGTCTCAGTGAAGGCACTCATATCCACCCTCCAAAGTCCAGCCTCTCCTTTTGGCCCAAGCGGGCCAGGAACTGGGACCTGGAGTGGTGACTGGTAACATCACACTGCCTGGCTCCAATCCACAGGAACCGCTGGGCCCACCAGGACTGCGCTCCTTGGGGAACAAAATCAGCAGGAACTCAGACACAGCCAGCCCTCCCACCCAAATGCCGGTTCCCCATCCCGATGCCTCCACCCACAGAGCCCTGTCTCCCCGTGGTGTCCCCGCCACTCCGTGTCCAGCGTGCCTAGGGGTGCCAGGTGGTCTCCGCAACACAGAGCGAAAAGGGCATGGCCCCGGGAACCCCGGCGGGTAAGGGGTCCTTGCCGTGCTCAGGATTACTGCGGAAACGCCGTGCGCTCGCTGCGCTCTAGCAGGAGCAGGAGGAGATCGCCTTTTAGAGTCTGAAATCCAGAAAGAGGAAGAAGGCTCCTTCCTTGGAGACCCTGTTGCTGCAAGCTCTGCCGCCACCAGCAAGGCAGCCCCTGATGGCGCCCCTAATCCGCTGCCTGATGTTGGCTCTGGGATAGCGCCCCCAACACCGCCCCTCGCCACTGCAATGTAAAACCCAATAGCGCCCCCAACCCATCCCTGCCTCGGACGTCGCAGCACCAGATAACTCCCCCATCCTACCGTCTGCCGTCGGCCATGCAGCCACGGATAGGACCTCCAACTAACCCCCGGCTGCGGGCAGTGATGCCCCGGAGAGCACGGCCACCTGCTCCATGCCGTCAATAGTGCAGCCATGGATCCTTAAGGTCCCCAACCCCCTCCCCACGACGAGCAGTGCAGCCCTACATAGCAGATAGCACCCCCAACTGTCCCCCACCCAGGGGGAATGATGCCCTGGATAGTGCACCCCACCCGCACCCCGCCATGGGCAGTGCAGCCTCCGACAGCACCCCTAACCTGTATACCGCTGCCAAAAATATGGTCCCCGATAGCACACCAAACCCAGCCCCCACCACAAACAGTGCAGCAGCTGATAGAGCACCTAACTCGCCCCACCGCCACTGACCACAGTGCAGCCCCCGAACGGTGCCCACAACCCACCCCACCACCCCGCCTGCCACCGGCCGGGTATCACCCCCAAACCGCCCCTTGCTGTGAGGAGTGTATCCCCTAGTAGCGCACCCAAACCTGCCCTCTATCATGGGCAGTCTGGCCCGATAGACCCCGAAACCGCACCCTCCAAGCACCTACCCGCACCCACCGCTGCCCCGCCCCACCACCAGCAGTGTAGCACCTGATACTGCCTCTAACCTCTCCCCTGCCATGGACATTGCAACCCCACATAGCGCCCCCAACAAGCCCCCACCATGGGCAGTGCAGCCCCAGATAGCATCCCCACCCCGCTGTCGGCAATGAAGCCCGACCAGTAAGCACCCCCACCAGTCCGCACCCTAACCAGCCCTCCCACCACCATGCCGCCGGCAGTGCAACCACAATAGCAGCCCCAACCCGGCCCCTGTCGCGGGCAGTGCAGCACCCAATAGCACCCCCAACCAGCCCTACTGCTGCCATCAATACAGCCCAAGATAGTGACCCCAACCCGCCCCCCACCAACCCCCCCCCCCACCCGCTGCTGAGGGCAGTGCAGCCCCGGATAGCACACCTAAAAGCAGTGACGCCCAAAATAACACTCTAGTACACCCAAAGTAGTGACACCTGGAATAATACCCCAACCAGCCCCCGCCGCGGGCAGCCCTGGATAGCTTACCTACCCCATTGCCTTTCTACACTCTGGCCAGCTGCAGTATCTGTCGCTGCCACCAACCACAGCGAGGCCAGCCAGGGAGGCGAGCCAGGGAGGCGAGCCAGCGAGGCCAGCCGCAGTCCTGCAGGCTCTAGCCTCCAGCCTATGGTAGGTGCTTTCTCCTTCTTTCCTTCCTGTAGCCAAGCACGGAGCAGCTGTCACTGCCAGCTGCCTCTCTCCATTGCCACCACACACCATTCAAGGCTCCAGGGCTCCAGGTTCCAGGCTCCAGCCTGCGGCAGCACAATCTGCTGCCGCTTTCTCCAAACTCTGCGGCAGAAGTACAGGTTAACACACGATAGCCTGCAACAGCGCGACGCCCCCTTAGCATACCTTATATACTGGGGGGTTGTGCAGGCCTGGTTCTCGGACTTCACGTTCTGATTGGATGAGAGAAACATCTACGCCTACTCTGATTGGACGTTATTTTCATGTTCTGATTGGATCAGAACAAGTCTTAGGCTAACCAATCAGAACGTGACAATAAAGTCCAATCAGAGTAGGCCTAGTGTTTTCCTCTCATCCAATCAGAACATGTAGTTTATAATCTCGGTATATAAAGCATGTTAAGAGATAGAGTTGCACTAGTCCAGCCTCGTCGGCATCTGACTTCATAGCTGCTCCATTGCCAGCTTGGAGTAGGAGGTGCCAGCCACTGCATGCTGGAGGCTGCAGCCTACCGGGCTGTGGCTGGCCTCCCTGGCTCACCACCTCGCCGGCTTGCCTCGCCTTGCCTCGCCTTGCCTCGCTGGCTTGCCTTGCCCGCTGCGGTTGGTGGCAGCGATGGACACTGTAACCGGCCAGAGTGTAGAAAAGCGTCGGGGTAAGTGCGCTATCCAGGGCTGCACTGCCCTTGGCCTGGGACGGGTTGGGGGCCCTATCTCAGGCGTCACTGCCCACCTTGGGTGGCTGGTTAGGTGTGCTATCTGGGGCTGTGCTGCCTGCACCCGGGGGTGGTTTGGGGGCCCTAACCGGGGCTGCACTGCCCTCGGCGGGGAGCCTGTTGGGGAAACTATCCCAGACTGTATTGCTGGCAACAGTGAGGTGGGCTAAGTGTCCTATCCAGGGCTGCACTGCACGGCTGTTGCGGGGGGGTGGTGGTTTCAGGTTGAGGGTGCTATGGGGTGCTGCAATGCCCGTGGTTCGGGGAGGCGGGGCGGTTTGGGTGTGTTGGGTGTGCTATTGCGGGGGGGCTACACTGCTGGTGGCAGGGGGCAGGGTGGGTTGGGGGCCATATCAGGGGCTGCACTGATTGCTTTAGCTAGGGTTTCCAGTACTATGTTAAATAACAGTGGTGACAGTGGGCATCCTTATCATGTTCCAGATCTTAGAGGAAAAGCTTTCCATTTTTCCCCATTCCATATGATTCTAGCTGTGGGGGTCTCTCATGTGGTTTTTATTGTGTTGCAGTATGTTTCTTCTGTACCCGTTTTTTGAGGATTTGTAGCATGTTCCCCAAATTGAATATACCATTTTTTAAAAAGAGACTGAGTCTTGCTGTTATGTTGCCCAGGCTGGTCTCAAACTTCTGGACTTACGCGATCCTCTTCTGCCTCAGCCTTCAGATAGCTGCAGCTATAAGCATGCACCACCGCACCCAGCTTGAAGATACTGTATTTTTAATTCCATATTGTCAAGCATTTAAGTTACTTTTCTTTAAAAAATTAATATTAATTCAAAGGAAGAAATTAGCAGAGTGAAAAGACAACCTACAGAATGAGAGAAAATATTTGCAAAGTATGTATCCAGCAGAGGATTAATATCCAGAATATACAAGGAACTCTTGACATCTCAATAGCAAAAAAAAAAAAAAAAAGAATCCAACTGAAAAATGGGCAAATGACCTGAATAGATATTTCTTAAAAGATGACAGACACATGACCAACAAATATGTTTTCCTAAAAAGCTCAACATCACTAGTCATCAGGGAAATGCAAATCAAAACCACAATGAGGTGTCATCTCACCCCACTTAGAATGGCTACTATCAAAAAGACAAAAAATAGCAAATGCTGGCAAAGATGTGGAGAAAAGTGAACACTTAAATGGGGCTAGTGGAAATGTAAACTAGTACAGCCACCATGGAGAACAGTGTGGAGGTTCCTCAAAAAACTGCAAATAGAACTATTATATGGTCCAACAATATATTATTGGACATTTATCCAAAGAAAAGGAAATCAGTATATTGACGAGACATCGGCACCCCCGTGTTTATTGCAGCACTATTCACAATAGCCAAGATATGGAATCATCCTAAGTATCTAACAACAGATGAATGCATAAAGAAAATATGGTATACATACACAATGGAATACTATTTAGCCATAAGCAAGAATGAAATCCTGTAGTTTGAGGCACATGGATTGAACTGGAGGACATCATATTAAGTGAAGTAAGCCAGGGACAGAACATTAAGTACTGTGTGTTCTCATTCATTTGTGGAAGCTAAAAAAACGTTGATCTCATAGAGGTAAAAAGTAGAACAGAATACTACAGGCTGGGAAGCATAGGGTGCAGGGATGGTAGAAAGCAATTTGTTAAAGGTTTCAAAATTACAGCTAGATAGGAAGAGCAAGTTCTAGTGTTGTATAGCACTGTAAGATGACTGTAATTAACAACAATATGTTACACAGTTTCAAAGAGTTAGGAGGAGGATGTTGAATGTTCCCAGCACAAAGAAATGATAAATGAGATTATGGATATGCTAATTACCTCGATTTGATCTCTGCAAATCTATGGGAATGTTACTATGTTATTCATAAATACTAATAAATACATCAAAAATTTTAAAATTAATAATGAACAAAAGATAAGGGGCCCTGAACTCTAGCTTTAGGGCTGAATTGTATCCAGTCAGATGGTTTATATGTTATTTAAACTTTCACTTTAAATTTGGAGTGGAAATATGTTTGGAAATCCTTACTTTTAGTATGTTGATTTGTGTGTGTGCGTGAGGTAAATTTGGTTGGCTATTGGCAAATGTACTGGGTAGCTACTTAATGAAACATTTCCTTCCAGTGTTTCAGCTTTCTGATTCTTAGAACATGTGTATATTTAACATAATATGCATTATCACTTTTGAAAGTAGTTATTCTAACACTTATTTGTGCTAAATTAGAATATGAATTTGGGAACTATTACTCTTTTCTATGGTCTGGAATAATTTAAGTAATAGAAATTATCTGATTAGATAGAAATTCATTGTAAAATCATCAAGTTTAGAAGCTCTTAAGATTTCCTTTGACTTTTGCTTATTAGTTTTAAAGAAAAAAATAAATTGACATAATGGAAATTTTCACTATACATCAGGAAGGGAATTCAGTGGAAAAGTAAGCTTCCTACTCCCTCTTGACCTTCAGTTTATACTTTTCTTCCTAAGTCAAGTACTGCTACTGGTTTCTTATGCTGTTTCTAGAACTAGCTTATCTATTGTCTACTTAAAATAACTCTTTAATCCTTTTATTTGAGCTGCCTTATGGATCTATGTAGTTTTTCTGTCTTTAAAATTTTTTATGCGGTAGAATACACATAACATAAAATTTACCATCTTAGCCATTTTTAAGTACACAGTTTAGTAGCACTATCTTTCACATTGTTGTGCAACCAATCTCCAAAACCTTTTCATCGTGCAAAACAAATTCTGTGTCTATTCAACTGCTCTCCATTCTTTCCTACCTGCAACTCCTGCAACCATCCTTCTACTTTCTGTCTCTCTGAATTTCACTATGTCACATAAGTGGAATCATACAGTATTTGTCTTTTTGACATGGGCTTATTTTACTTAGCATAATGTCCTCCAGTTCCATTCATGTTGCCTTGAAAGGCAGGATTTCATTCTTTATGGCTGAAATAGTGTTCATCTTGTTGTAGCATGTCAGGATTTCCTTCCTCTTGAAAGCTGAATGATATCGTATGTATATACCAACATTTTGTTGATCTAAATGTATCTGCCAATGGATTTTTCGGTTGTTTCCACCTTTTGACTATTATAAATAATGCTACTATGAACATGGGTGTGCCAGTAACTTCAAGGCCCTGCTTTCATTCTTCCGAATATACATCCAGAAGCGGAATTGCTGGATCATATGGTTATTCTATTTTTAATTTTTTGAAGAATTTCTATTATTTTTAAAGTCACTTTTCATGGTTTGTTCTTTCCTACAAAACATGTTTTTCAATTTTATCAGTGCAGAGTTGTATATAATATTTATATATTTTACTTGTACAATTAAAGGCTGTATTTTATTTCTATATTATCATATAATTACCTTCAGTATCTATGTTTGTAACTGTTTCCTCATTTCTTTTTTTCCTCGTTCATGTTTACTATTTTATTGGTCTTTAAAACCTAGGCTTTCTTTTTTTTTTTTTTTTTTTTTTTTTGAGACAGAGTCTTACTCTGTCGCCCAGGCTGGAGTGCAGTGGCGCGATCTCCGCTCACTGCAAGTTCCGCCTCCCAGGTTCACACCATTCTCCTGACTCAGCCTCTCCTGAGTAACTGGGACTACAGGTGCCCGCCACCACGGCCGGCTAATTGTTTTTTTATGTTTTTAGTAGAGACGGGGTTTCACCATGTTAGCCCAGGATGGTCTCGATCTCCCAACCTCGTGATCCGCCCACCTCGGCCTCCCAAAGTGCTAGGATTACAGGCATGAGCCACCATGCCCGGCTTACTTCTTTTTTTGTCATTTCTAATTGACTGGTAAGTACATTATATCATTACTGCAGCAGATTTATGTTACAGTGTTTTACCTGTTTATGTTAGAATCAGTTTATGTTTCTGGAATCTGGAATAGGATAATACCTATTTGATTTGAAATTGGACAGAGAGTAGCTTTATGTTGGTCCAGATAATCTCATTTCTCATTTGGACAAGATATTTGAGGGTTTGAAAAATTCCTGTGATGATTAAAGGAGAAAACTCTTGTGAGTTATTGTATGCTGAGACACACACACACACACACACACACGCAGTTTATTGCATTGTTGGGTTTTATACATAAAATTACCCAAGTTGCAAATATATGTCTTACAACTTTGACTCTCAGGATAGTGCAGCAGGATGAAGCGCAACCGCCCCCGCCCCCCCTTCCCCGATTTGCCAACAAGGGCAGACCAAACTAGAAGTGTGGCGCTGTACATGTTTCTGTGGAACCCTGACAGTGAAGCTGTTCTGGTTGCCATGTCCTGTTTCCGCCACCTCTGTGAGGAAGCAGATACCTGGTGTGGGGTGGATGAAGTGTCAGTGCATCACCTCTTGCCCAACTGTAGCACATTCATGGAGTTTGCCTCTGTCAGCAATGTGATGTCAACAGGTAAATGTGAATAGTGGTTTTTTTACTCAACCTGCCTGAAGCACGTGGCATCTAATTGTGAGAATGTATTTAAGGTTACTACTTTGTAAGTTTACAGGGGAGATTCAAGTAGCTTACTTGAAATCCTTTTCTGAACAAAGAAATGAAACAAAGATGAAAAGAAAAAGCATTTGAAATAGTCTCCCAGTGAGTTTTTAATATGCTATATGTTTTAAAAATAACTGGCAGTATATGTTACTATCAGTTGTGATCATATAATTTACCCCACCTAAGTTGTAGATAGTGAAGTTTTACGCACATTGGCATATGTTTTGAGTAAATTATAGGTGGGAATAGCTATTTTGTGCTGTGGACATTGTAGAGTTTAAGATAAGTACCTTTCCTGTGAGGTTAGTGAAAGGAAGTTTTTGGCTTTATCATTTGAGGCATTTGCTCTGCTCCTCCTACTCTGCCTTTTGGGTAGGGCTTATGAGGTTCTCCATGGGCAGGCAGGGCTCTAAGTGCAGTGACTTGATTGGCTGTTGTATTTGCTTAGGAACAGCAGCACTTCAGAAAGAGTGATGGCACTGCGGAGGCGCACTTAGCATCCCACTGCAGGAAACACTGAGGTGTGCTCTTAGCAAGAGAAACACCCCTCCTAGGCGCCCACCCTCAATTTTGGAAACCTATTGTTACATATGTGTAATCAGGAATAGCTTTTGAAGTAAATCCAAGATATGTGCGTGTTAGAAGTGTAATATCTGAGTACTTATTATACATCAAGTTTGAAACTTGGCCATTGCTGATTGACGTTTAGCTCTAGACTTAAAGTTGCTTTCAAGTGATAATTGCCTTCATTTTAGGCTTGGGAAGATACACATGCAAAATGGGAACAAGCAACAAAACTAATCTTTAACTATCCAAAAGCCAAAATGGATGACAGCCAGGTAAGTCTGTAAAGTTGACTTTTGTCTATTAACTGATCTGCTAAATATATGTCCTTCTCTTTGGTAATCTCTCACGAGTCACTCAGTAAAGTAAGCATATAGTTGTCTGAAGACTGATATTTAGTTGTGGTTTATCTAGACCTGTACTTCGTAATATGGTAGCCACTAGCTACGTGTGACTATTTAAATTTTAACATAATGAAAATTAAATACAATTTAGTTCCTCAATCATATAGTAGCCACATTGCAAGTACCCAGTAGCCACATATGACAGTCTGGACAGCAGAGAGAGAAAATGTTTCCATCATCACAGAAATACTGGGCAGCACTGCTAGAGACTGTTGCAGAGACCATTTATCTTTTCTTGCTCTTTATCCCTTCATCAGGGTGTTTCACAGAATTTTCAGAAAAGGAGCAACAGAGGTAGAGAAAAAAAACATGGAAACAATTCATTTTGCTATTTTGTTAAGTATTCTAATTAAGGAATGTCTTGGGCAAAAGATTGAACCCATAGATTAAATGAGATTTTAAAATGTGGACAGTTCATTCAACTATTACTATTGACTATATTATCTGTTACTCTGGAAATTGATGAGTTGGTGTTTGTGTGTAATTGATTTGTAATGTTCATATTCCTCCCATTATTAGGCAATTTATATAAACTGGTTATTCCCCCATGTTTTTTTCTGTCATACTTAATTACAATAAGAAAAATGTTATGTTTTTATGAAGCAAAATTGTGTACCTAATAGCTTTATTTGGAGGGGACATGTAGCTTTAGAATGAAAGCTTTTGGGGGGATAACAGTTTAATATACCATACAATTCACCCATTTAAAGTGTCCAATTCAGTGGCTGTTTTTAGTATATTCCCAGAGTTGTGCAACCATTACCACAGTCCGTTTTAGAACAATTTCATCAATTGAGGAAAAAAACCCCTGTATCCTTTAGCTATTTCTGCCTCTAACACCCTACCCCACCTCCCCGCCACTTTCTTGTCTCTCTTCCCCCGGCTTCTCCAGCCCTAGGCAACCTTGAATCTACTTTCTGTCTCTGCAGATTTGTCTCTGCTGGATCTTTTCTGTAAATGGAATTTTAGAATATGTGGGCTTTTGTGATTAGCTTCTTTCACTTAGCATAACGTTTCCAAGGTTCATCCATGTGAAATCAAAGCTTTTTAAAAGAAATTTGATACTTGGGCGATTATATTAGTGTATGACAAAAATAAATCAGTGGCTCTTTAAAAATGTATATGGTAATTTTTGGGGTTGATTTTAATGTGTTTTTTACATTTTTTGTACTTTTGTCATGGAAGAAATGTTGGATAAAGAGTAATTTGTCAAGTCTCAACTAATTTAGGTTTAATTCATGCTTTGCCCAAAAATTTTGTGTTTAGGCTGCTGAAAGTTTCACATGACCATTGTTAGGAGTCGAATGTCCCATCTGAGTGGAGGAGGATGCGCAGATTTGTCTGACACAGACTCCCTACAGGAATGGATCAACATGACTGGCTTCCTTTGTGCCCTTGGGGGAGTGTGCCTCCAGCAGAGAAGTAATTCTGGCCTGGCAACCTATAGCCCACCCATGGGTCCAGTCAGTGAATGTCAGGGTTCCATGATTTCAGTGATGTCCTCAGAGGGAAACGCAGGTACACCTGTCAGCAAATGTATGGATCAGCTGTTGTCCTTAATGGTGTGTAACCATGAGAAAGTGGGACTTCAAATACGGGCCAATGTTAAGGAACTGGTGGGTCTAGAATTGAGTCCTGCTCTTTATCTGATGCTATTTAACAAACTGAAGAATGCCATCAGCAAGTTTTTTGACTCCCAAGGACAGGTAAAGTGTGCTCTTTTTTATTTTTCACCTTGTTTGAAATAAGGAAGGCTTTTTCTTTCCAATTATTTAAATTAGGTGCTCACAGTTTTTAAAAATTGCCAAAAAATTGCAGAAAGAAGAGTCATCTCAATGTAGGGGTCAGCTTGCTTCTTAGGAACTCTGGTGTGTATGTGTGCCTGAGGGTATACCTGCCTTGTGTATGGGTATGAGTGTCTGCATGTATCTGTATGCTTGTTTGGCTGTGTGCCTGTGGGTGCACTTCTGTGTTTGTGTGTTTAGATCAGTCGGTTGCATCTCTCTAGAGGTCTGTCTTCTGGGCATTGATGGCAAATGATTAATATATTTGTTCTTTCTATAGGTTTTATTGACGGATACCAACACTCAATTTGTAGAGCAAACCATAGCTATAATGAAGAACTTGCTAGATAATCATACTGAAGGCAGCTCTGAACATCTAGGGCAAGCTAGCATTGAACCAATGATGTTATATCTGGTCAGGTAAGCGTTCTACTGAAATGTAGCAGAAACATACTTTAAGAGATCAGAAAAACCTCTTACACATTGATATTGGTAGTAATTGATAAAATAATTTGCCATTCTTTACTGCACACAAACTAGGGTGTGACAGTCAGGTAACCAGAAGGTGTGTATGTTCTCATAAAAATAAATATTGTTTTCAGACTTACATGTAGTTCATTTTATTTGATGACTAAAGTACTTTGAATGCTTTCTCTTTTGTCTATATCTGATAATTTTTTTATCGTCTCTGTGTCTGTATAGGTATGTTCGTGTGCTTGGGAATATGGTCCATGCAATTCAAATAAAAACGAAACTGTGTCAGTTGGTTGAAGTAACGATGGCAAGGAGAGATGACCTCTTATTTTGCCAAGAGATGAAATTTAGGTGAGTTCTCAAAAGAGCAATGTAGGGTCTTGTAAATCTTAATTTGTTGAATGAAGTACAGAAATAGAGTAGATATCTGGTTATTGGTAGGAAGGAAGACATAAAAAGAGAGCAATTTACACGTTTGTGTTTCTCTACGTCTCTCCTCAAATTTCCGTAAGCTTTGTGCCTGTGGCAAGCCTCCCTTTTTCTAAAACTGTGCTGTACTTGAGCTAAGAATTTGATTCTGTTTCCAATTTGATACCATAAATAAGGGCCATGTTGGAGGTTAAATATCCACGTTGCTTGTTCCCTTCTGGCTTTTACGTCTGTGACATCAGTATCTCTTTTATAAAGTCGTCATGTCACCTGGGTTATCTGCCAAATTATTTGCACTGTAAGAAATCTTACACAATTAAAGGTGTGTGTGTGTGTGGCTTCAAAAAAATTGTTGGCTGTTTCTCTTTTCTCCGCCATTCTTTAGGAATAAGATTGTAGAATACCTGACAGTCTGGGTTATGGGAACATCAAACCAAGCAGCAGATGATGATGTAAAATGTATTACAAGGTAAAAAAGAGAATGACCTTCAAGTATTAGTGGGTTTTCCTGTAAGAATTATAATTACTTCATTACAGCTTTATACTTGTATTTTATGTGTATTTAAATTTTTTAGATGTCAAACTTTTGTGGTTGAAATATGTAAAGATACTAATCTTTATTACTACTTTTTTTTGACTGATAGACTTTCTGTAAAAATAAATGTGCGAGAGCGGTATGTTTGGGAAGTTAGTGTTGTCAGTTTATGAAGAATAGTCTACCGTTATTGGGAAATAAGGTACATAAAGCCTCAGATTGCATTTATGTTATGATTAGATAGAAAAAGGTATTATTTGAGGAACTCATTGTGTTGGTCTTTCTAAAAAATAATTGATTTCCTGATTCAGGCACCAGAGACAGAAAAAAAAGGAAGTAATTAAGTGTAATTAAGTCTGCTTTAATGATAAATGCTTATTGACACATATCAGAAAGTGATTAAACACTATGGACTGTATAATAAGCCTTTACATATGTTTCTTTGACCAAGCCTAGCTTTATAATATGGTCGTCTCTCAGTATCTGTCAGGAATTGGTTCCAGGAACCACCCCCCAAACTCCTGCCCACATCTCACTTCCATGAACACTAAAATCCACAGACTGAAGTCCCTGATACAAAATGTCATAGTATTTGCATATAAACTATGCACATCCTCCCATATATTTTAAATTATCATTAGATTACTTATAATATCTAATAAATATAAATCTTATATAAACACAAGTTGTTATACCATATTGTTTAGGGAATAACAACAAAGAAAAATCTTTACATGTTGAGTACAGATGAAACCCTACTTTTTTTTCCCCCAAATAGTTTCAATCCATGGTTGGTTGAATCCGTGGATACAGAACTCGCTGAGACAGAGGGCCAATTGTACATGCTTCTGATTGAAGATAGTCATTTTGCCAAGATTACTTTGTAGAAAGTTACTATTGTCTTCTCCTCATTTGAGATGATTTTGTATTCTAGGATCTGCATATTAATTCAAATTATTTGGGTTGTGCTAATAATTTGTTTAATGAAACAGGTAGTTCCTAAAGTTTATATCTGTTAATAAGAGGTTTATTTGAGAGGAAGTGAAATAACCTGAAAGATTTATGGTCTCTAATTTTTTTTTTTCAGAGATTTGGACCAGGCAAGCATGGAAGCAGTAGTTTCACTTCTAGCTGGTCTCCCTGTGCAGCCTGAGGAAGGAGATGGTGTGGAATTGATGGAAGCCAAAGGGGACACAGTTATTTCTTAAGTAAATTTCAGTCACCAAAAAACACAAAGCAAAAGCAAATAAAGCCCCCCGCCGCCACACACACACACACACACACACACACACACACTCAAAGACAAAACAAAACAAAAACAAAAAAACAAAAAAGAAAACAAAGAAATGTTCCCCATGCAGGACTAGGATTAGGAAAATAACTGTGTTTTATGATTTTTAAAGAAAATAATATGATCCCTGAAATTTTGCTTATAATAAAACCCAGATTGCTTCACTAAGTCATTTACAAAAGTGACATTGTGTAAGCTGTTTGGACCACTAATTTTATATACTAAACATTAAAAATGACACATTTACCAGGAAACATTGCATCTATTTGATGCTTATGTTATGAAAGGTATGCTAGGCTATATCAGGTATAATCATGCCCAACACAGCATGCTTCATAATGAGTCACCCTGGCTGATTATCCTGAGAGAGGAGAGAAGCAGTTAATCCAGGGCCAGTCACACCGTGCACATGTGATAGTTTTGGAATGTCTGGTTAGCTTTCTAGTTGATACGGCCTTTGCTATGTAAAGGTCAGTCTTTTTATTTCTCAGATACTTCACACTATTTATGAACCTTTTGAGTGACTGCAGTGAAGCTGAAGATGAAAGTGCACAAACAGGTGGCAGGAAACGTGGCATGTCTCGGAGGTTGGCATCACGGAGGCACTGTGCAGTCCTTGCAATGTCAAACTTACTCAGTGCCAGCATAGACGGTGGTCTCATGCACTCCATAGGTGAGATCAAATGAAAGTTTCATATAGAAATACACAGCCTAGAGAACTGGCTTGTAAGATAAGCAAAAATTACTTCAGTAAGGCCATGTTAGTAAATTTGCATCCATTTGTCCACATCAGGTTTAGGGTACTACAAGGATCTCCAGACAGCTACATTTATGGAAGTTCTGATGAAAATCCCTCAACAAGGCACAGAATTTGACACACTTCAGAAACGGTATTGGCTGATGGGTTTGAGCAATTGGTGGAACTGGTCACAGTGATGGGTGATCAAGGAGAGCTCCCTATAGCGATGGCTCTGGCCAGTGTGGTTCCTTGTTCTCAGTGGGTAAGTGCATAGAGTAAGTGGGGAAGAAAAGTGCCTGGCACATAGCAAATCCTTCAGAACATATTTGTTCAATAAATGTTTGTTGAATGAATTGATAAAATTTTAGAGCCAGAAGAAATCTTAGATGTTTAGTTAGGTGACTTTTCAGCTGTAGGGAAGTGGTTGGCACTGCTAGACCTGAATAGTGTCCTATATCATTTCATCCCACTGAAAAATTCCATTTAAACACTGATTAAAAATCACTGATCTACTCCGCTGTCTTCATATATTTGAGAAGGTAATTAAGTTAAACCTAATTTCAGTCAGTTGTTGCAACGCTGGAATTGGAATCCACGATTTGTGCCTGTTTACTACCTCCAGTTTGCTGTTCTTTTCCCCATAATATCTTACACAATTTTTAAAAATGTAAGCACTGTATTTGCATTTGATATTATGATATTGTTTGTTTTAAACACTGAAAACATCATATGGCTATTAGGTCTCTCTCTTAATTTAATGAAAAATTTTCCTCAAATCACATCATTCCTAATACATGTGAAAACGTTGAGAAGGGTGGTGGTTCCTTTCCAGTGTTAAAAGGCTATTTCCTTTTTAGTGTACCAAAAATGGTTTCACTTATAGTAAAGTATAACTAATAAGGTAATCTGTCATTGTAGATTTGTTTCTGCTTAAAGCTGTAGGATATTTGTTACACCTGTACTTAAAGTAAAATTCAAACTCCTTATCCTGTCCTACAAGGCTCCACCTGATTTGGGCCCTGCCTCATCTCTAACATCATCTTATGCCATTTTCCTTCTTGTTCACCAAAGCCACACCAGCTACCTTTCTGTCCCTCCTTGTTAGACTTGTTTCTGCCTTAAGCACCCTTGCTGCTGCTACCACCTGAAATGCTTCTCCTCTGGTATTTTATTTTGGTGAGAACGCCTAGCATGAGATCTACCCTCTAACATATTTTTAAGTGTAGAATACAGTATTGCTATCTGTAGGCAGAATGCTGCACCACAGATCTCTAGAACTTACCTTGTATAACTGAAATTTTATACTGATTGATTAGCAACAGCCCCAAATCATTGAAATCTTCCTAAAGCCTAAAATTACTTCACAAACGTTCAAATGTTTTGAAAATGACTATTGTGAATTATCTTATTAGGATCTACCTATGATTAGCACTGAAAATACTCAGTAATTTTTTAAATAAAGAATCAGTTAAATTCAAGTAGCTTTAATTTGTTGTTGAGTTTTATATTAAATGACTTTGAGAAGGAATTTTCTATTAGGCCAGATCTCACCTATCACATTATTGTAATCCTGGGACCAGGCAAGAATTAGAGAGCTATGGGCCATGATCCTGGCCATTGTTGTTACTGCTTGAGGATTGAGGCATCTTTTTATGGCTACCCCTATTCTCTATAAATTTCTTCTTGTGATTAAACAGTGATTTACCAGTAGATCATTTTTCTTGAGTGTACCCCAAACTGCTTTACTACAGGGAGTTACAAGGATGTCATTTAGGTAATTGGAATTTCAGCCCTCATCCCTGTCCCCCTTGCTTTGTATGTAAATCTGGCTGATCTCTGGGTTCTGAACGCCCAGTTCCTTTTCTTCCTGATTTCTCAAAAATCCTATAGTCTTTCTGTTTTTGTCATGTCTCTACCTAGTCTATGTTCAGCATTCACTGAGTTCCCCTGACTGTATGAGAAGAGAGTAGAACTCTTCTGATCATCAGTCTTATTTCTGCTCTGTGCAAATGCTTGTACAAATCAAACTAAAGTATTTGCTGTCATCTTCTGTTTCTGTTCTCTTTCATTTTGTGATGTAATTTGAACTGAATCTTGGAGATTTTGTCTCCTGGTAAAGCCTAGGCCTCTCTTAATAGCTTTCACCGGTTAATCCTTGGAATTAACAGCTATCGTAGACATCGTATATAGTCATCTATCATAAACAATATACGCAGATAAATCTCAGGAGAAATATTAATCAGTCACCTTTGCCTTAATTTAGCAAGTAGTTGTCAACTTTGGGTTTATGTTTTTGCCACTCTTCAGCTATCTACCTGAGAACAAAAATGCACTAACCTGATTTTGTTTTGTTCTCAGGATGAACTGGCTTGAGTTCTGGTTACTCTATTTGGTTCTTGGCATTTACTCTACCAA
Organism: Homo sapiens; assembly: GCF_000001405.40. Classification (NCBI taxonomy): domain Eukaryota; kingdom Metazoa; phylum Chordata; class Mammalia; order Primates; family Hominidae; genus Homo; species Homo sapiens. The sequence continues at coordinate 2,963,592 of NW_021160017.1, forward strand.
CTGCTCTGGAACATGTTTTGTAAAGAAGTAGAATTGGCAGACTGACTCCATTCAGACTCTCCTCTGAGGCAACAGTTTGGCCAGTAAAATAATGACACTCTGTTTCAAGGTTTGTATCATTCATTTTGTGTGTGTGTGTGCTGAGGTATGTCAAGTAATGATTATGTACAGAATGTGCAGAGCTGATTGTCTTCTTTTAAGGTAAAATGTATGGAGCAGGCATAATGAAGTCCTACTCATGCATTTCTATAGGTATATGGTGCTACCTATCTATAAAAACTCCTGGATGCTTTATTACAAATTGAGATCACATCCTCTGATGGGCAACATGTTAGCTTTGAAGTGGATCCTACCAGTTTTATCATCTTTTCACATAAAAGTGCTCTTTTTTTTTTTTTGCTAACACTGCATGAAGCAAGGCCCTCATAACTTCTCCTCTTGATCATTAAAATTTGTTTTTAATTATAAAAGTTATATACAAATATGCTTTTCTTTAATGATATCTGTAATTTTTTTTAAGTTATCCTTCTTTTTATCTGCCTTAGATCCGGGGACAGACAGGAGAAGGATGTCTTTGACTTCTACCTCCACAGACCGTTACTAGTTAAGGCTCTTTCCTTTTTCCATGACTTTACATATCACTTTACACAGTCACTTGCATGCTCTGTCACCCAGACTGGAGTGCAGTGGCACGATGGCTCACCGCAACCTCCACCTCCTGGGTTCAAGCGATTCTCGTGCCTCAGCCTCCCAAGTAGCTGAGATTACAGGCGTGCACCACCACGTCCAGCTAATTTTTCTATTTTTAGTAGAGATGGAGTTTCACCATGTTTGCCAGGCTGGTCTGGAACTCCTAACCTCAATTGATCCACCAGCCTCAGTCTCCCAGAATGCTGGGATTACAGGCGTGAGCCACCATGCCCAACCAGAGAATTGTCTGTTTTGAGATTAAAATTTGGGAGTTTTAAGAGAACCACTCAGTAGCAGTGATGGTCTATGAATATTCTAAAATTATGTGAAGAAATTTGTGTGAAAGCATACATCCATTTTTCTAACCTTTATCAGATTTCAAAGAGGTTCCTCATCCCCAGAAGGTTGAACACTATACTGGAATAGTCAAAGCACTCAAATTTTTTCTTAATTCTTTATCTTTTTATAGTTTTAGCTAAAACTTCTATATCTAATTCTAAATTTATATATTTCAGCTAAAAATAAATGGTATTTAGGTTTTAAAGCCATTCTAATAAAGCAGCTATATTTAGCCACCTTCACCAGTTTCCCCTTATTGAAGGGTTAAGGTTGTTCTTCATGCAATAAACACTGTAACATAAAGAAAGCTTCCTGAACTGTGTGTAGTGTAACTGAAGGTGGGACTATATTGTTACACCTCACCGCTTACAAATACTTTATTCTCTAAAATCTAATTTTTACTAACTTCCTATTAGAGATTACAGAAAGCTATTTTGAGATTATAAGCAGTGATAAGAATGCATTTAAAATGTGGACTTCATGAAGCACTGCGTTGAACAGGATGAAGTGAAATAATCCCGATTCCAGAGTTAATCTGGAGTCAGCCATGTGAATTTAGGACAGGAAATATTAATTTATTGAGGCATTGTGCAAAAAATAGTTAAGTGATATTCTGCATGTAAATCTGGGTCCCCCACACCAATATCCTTTGAAAGGAAGGTTTATCCTCGGAATCACAAAACATTGAGTGGAATGCTACAGTTTTGTAATCACTGCTACTTTAAACAGCAGTTAGCCACACTAAGCAAGAATAGCTGTAGAGATTAAAATGTTACATTAAGTGTTCTTTAAAAATGAATATATATGGTATATATAAAAATGTAAATTCCAAAATAATATAATTTTCATCTATAACATGATTTAAAGCAGGGGACACTGGGAAGGGATGGGGGCTGAACCCATTTTATGGCACTCTTCCCAGTCTAAGGTACCTTTTACTTTATCTTAATGTAGAATGTTTTATAAAGAGAAAATCAATCCACTTTAAATATTGGGTTCACATTACTTTTCAGGCTGGACAACCATTTCTTGAATTCTTAAATTATTTTTATTTGACAGAATTATACATTGAGGTAGACATAGGGGTTCGCTGTTCTGCTGAGATCCTTTTTTCTTTTAGGTGCCCAAGAATTCCCATCCCTCCATGGTTCAAATAATAGGTAGGTTGTTATAAAGGAAGCTGGCAACAGGCAATAACATTACTTGTAAGTAAGTTTTTTTTCCTCAATAGGAATCTAAGATTTTGTTTTTTTATAGCAAGCATTTTTTTCTTCAATTCAGTTGTAACTGGTACACAACAAAACATAAATATGTACTATCAGGTATAGGATGTTTTGGGGGTGTGTTGTTGAAAATTTAGTTTCACCTTATAATGTTGACCACACTTTCATGTCTGTTAATCTTAAAAAATTATGATCATCTTTGTGTGAAAATTTGGTCTGTTTTCATGACTCCTCAAACTTGCAGTATAGGTGATGATACAGTGAAGATCTGTTTTCAGGTTTCTTCTACCCATCTCATCCATGAGGTTTTTCTTTCCTCTGAGATACCTAAATTGTACTTTAATATGATACAAGACTAGAATTGAGAGGAAACTTTATTTTCTCATGTTTTGGGAGAAGAAAAAATAGAAATGTGTCATTCATGAGGACTGATTGACTCAGAGTTGTTGTGCAAATTTTGACCTTTGAACTCTTTGTTCCCATGCCCCTATTTTAATTCAAACCTTATACTCAAGTCTCAACTTGTTTTTAGGGGGTTAGCCAACGTTTCCCTCAGAACAGTATCAGTGCAGCAGGAAGTGCCATGTTCCTCAGATTTATGAATCCTGACATTGTCTCACTGTATGAAGCAGGGATTTTAGATAAAAAGCCACCACCTAGAATCGGAAGGGGCTTGAAGTTAATGTCAAAGGTGAATTATTTTGATAATCTAGCTATCTTAAATTCCCCTTTCAACTAAATTTTCAGCTTTTCTTACAGTACTTCCTCTTACATTTATATTGGAAATACCCTACGGTTTTCAGTTATGTGTTTTTATTTTGTTTATATTACAAAGGAATTCATTAGTTAGGTACCTGATGGACCTTATTTTCATGAGAATACGTTTTATTATAGCAGATGTCTTGTGTCATGAGGATCATTTTTTGCGTAATCATTCTAGACATTCTGAAACAGACTACGGTGAAGGCTGTAGGATTTTTTATTTTAAGACATTAAACATTTTTAATATGTATTTGTACATGTAAATATAATTATAATTAGGAAGAATAGAAACACTACCTAAAATATAGAATGAGAAATGATTGATTTTAACTACTAGCAGAAATTATATCAAGAAAATTCATATTTTTAAAGAATATATTAATGTATAAACTTCATACAATAAATAATCTGATTATTTATAACCCTGTTTTATTGTGTAAATACTTCAGAGTATTGCCAATCATGTTCTCTTCACAAAAGAAGAGCATATGCGGCCTTTCAATGATTTTGTGAAAAGCAGCTTTGATGCAGCTTGAAGGTAAGCTACTTGCCACTTATTCACTTGCTCTGTTTGAATCAAATATTTTCAGTTTCACATAAATCCATGTACCTGTTTTACATGAAGTTCCGTGTAGGTTTTTTTCTCTTCCTGCTCTAGGTCAAGACATAGCTTGCCTTATTTTATTTTACTATAAAAGACAGTCTTGAAATAAATTAATATTTTTTATAATTTGGTAGTGATTTTCATATTTGAAAACCAAGAGGCATTTTGGACATGTCTAGTTAAATAAAGGATTTGAGGATGGTACAATATGGGGATAAGGAAGAAATAGGATTCCTTTTATTTAAAACTAAAACCAAATTGGTATTGATAATGCATAAGAATGTTTAATAAGGTTTTTATTAGTATCAGAATATTTGTGATACTTAAATTTGGAAGTGTATCTAAACTAAAATGTTATTCTTTAAACCAAGTAATGCAAACACGTAAGATTTTGTTCATGAGTAACTGAACTTTATGATTTTAGAAAACTTTTCTGCTGGATTTCCATAACCAGTTATTTCACTTTATTTCTCTGAGTTATTGGTTTATCTGTAAAGTGGGGATAAACTCTTTGCCTGAGTTGTTTTTAGAGAGAAAAAATGAGATAATTCATAAGAAAGTGCTTTGTAAATTTATGTCTGGAATTCTGCTTTTCATGCAGTGTGAATCTAATTGATCCTTATCATCTAAGCTAGCCTTGTACAACTCTCTCTTCCAGTTTATCATCATTGTAATTGTTACTGACTTTTATTCTTTTAGGAAAATTGGAGTTTAAAAGGTATATTGCTGAATGACAAGCCATGTTGGAAAGAGAGTGAATGTCAGCACAGGATTCATATTCTGGCAGACTGAGGGCCCAAAGAAAGTTAAAAGGAACAAAGTTTTAATACTGGCTTTGACCTAACAGGCTATATATCTTTGGGGAGGTCTTTTGTCTGGACCTTCATTTCCTTATCTGTAAAATACCAGCCTCTTTCCAAAGTTTCATCCATCTCAATTTTGCTGTTCTTTAACTACAGAAGCTGAAGCCAGGTATCAGAAATGGAAAGCCAACTTTCTCCTTGTCCTTTTTACTTTGTCTAATGACAAATCACGTTGTGGGAACAAGCCCTCCATATTTGTAATTGTCATCTCAGTTGCTTCACAAAGTTACTTCGTATAAATTTAATTCAAACATAAGTATGGTGTGTCTCTGGTGTTGAAAATTCTAGTGACTTTGCATTTTCTAATGTTTTTTCTTGATATGGCATCTGATTGTCCTACAAGTGATGCAGTAAATCATAGCCTTTCCTTCAGCAGTGACGGCAATGTGCTCGCTTTACATCATCTACTCCGGAACAATCAGGAGAAAATTGGCCAGTGTCTTTCTAGCAACAGGTAAGATTTCCCAGTCATGAGGATAGTGAACATTCTCCATTTTAATTTAGATCAATAAAATTATTGGTCATGAATAGTGCTTTTTAAAAACTTTGCATCTTCTTGGACTAAGAATTATGGTTTAGAAAGAGAAAGTCTTTTTTTTTTTTTTTTTTTTTTTTTTTTCAAAAAAATACAAACAAAAGGTTAAGTCATGTTAAATAATCAACAAACCTATGTAGGTTCCAGTGGTGGTTATTATTATTATTTTCTCAAGTTAAGAAATCACAGATTAGCTCTTTGGGTTTGTATGGCTTGCAAACTGTCATAGACCCAAAGAAGTTCAAATTAGTGTTGGCATTTGAATCTGAAGAACAGCTAATTCATAGGAATTCAGTAATTAAAATATTGTCAGTGTTTCAATTCTATGATAAACTCATTTGTGATACTCTAAGTATATGCAAATAAAGCTTTATATAGAAAATACTGGCCTGGCACTGTGGCTGATGCCTGTAATCTCAGCACTTTGGGTGGCCGAGGTGGGTGGATCACCTGAGGTCAGGAGTTCGAGATCAGCCTAGCCAACATGGTGAAACCCCATCTCTACTAAAAATTCAAAAATTAGCTGTGCATGGTGTCAGGCGCCTGTAATCCCGGCTACTTGGGAGGCTGAGGCAGGAGAATTACTTGAACCTGGGAGGCGGAGGTTGCAGTGAGCCGAGGTTGTGCCATTGCACTCCAGCCTGGGCCATAAGAGCAAAACTCCATCTCAGGGGAAAAAAAAAAAAAAGAAAAAATACTTAAAAATTGAAATTATTAATTTGGGCATTGTTTCATTAGCTCTTATTAGTCTCTTGTGTTAACATAAATTACTTGCTGTCCCATCTAGTTATATAAACTTGTAAAGGGACAAAATTCCTAAGTATGAGGAGTTCCTTACAAAGGAAAAATGAGTCCAAATTATTTTTAAATGCCAATAAAAGTGGTTAGCACATTCACAGGAAAAGTAGTGGACTATGAAGCTAAGGGTAAGCAATTGGGAGATGGGAGTTTAAACCACAGAGCATTTTAATCTTTTATGCATTATTAATGGATTGAAGTAGACATGGGCCTGAGGTCTTTTGGGTGCTGTTTACAAATCAACAGGGACCACCAGCTGACAGTTAAAGGAAAAGCAACAGTTACAAGTTAAAGAAATGTGTACTGCTAAATGTGAACTGCTACTTTTTTCTAAGTAGTTTGCTATATCTAGGGATCATAAAGCTGTTGGAAGATGACCTTTTGATAAATGGCAACACTTCTTGTATACCTCGGTCCTCCAGAGCACAAACCTGTGGCAGATACATACCGGTCCAGCCTTAACCTTACCAGTTAAAAGTTTGAGGAATTTATGATGAGGTAAAGTACAACCTTGAAATGTAGATTGCTTTCTTTTTGGTTGAGAAGCAGAGTTTACCACTAGGCCACTTGTTAGATATGATAGAAGACTATGAGGAAAGATGCATCTAATAATCACATTGCCATGTTTGGGGACCCAACTTTTCTCCTATTCTATATATTATTTATATATATATATATATATATATATAGAATATGTTTTATATGTTGATTGCCATAATAGTAGTAACAAATCATATTTTATCATCTCGCTTTCATAAGTTTTCACATTTAATACCTACCAGGGAATGAAGAAAACATTATTTTCAGATGATAGTTAAGGAAAATGCAACTCAGTGTGAATAACTGGCTTGTGTGAGATCCCACACCTGATTCATAGGTCTTTTTGTTTTAAGTGCAGAACTTTTCTACTACACTATAACACTTTTCAGAACCCTCATAAAGATGAATGGTTTTAACTTCTTTTAGATTAAGGCTCAGAAAATATAGTCTACTTCAGTATTGCTATAAAATTTCTGTGGACATTTGTTTTGAATCCCATTTCATGGCATTTAGCTTGTGAACAAAAAGATCTTCATGGTTAGACACTGACTCTATGATGATATAGTGAGAGTAGTTTGCTGAATCTTTTAAAGTACATTTCACAGTACCTTATGCTTAGTAAGGTCTCCATAGTGTCTGTGAGTTGAATGTTGTGTTCACAGTATCTGCCAAAACAGAAAGAAAAAAACAAAATCTGATGATGAGAAGTTAAAGCTTTGTATATCATATGCCTTGAATTGTAAGTGCCTGTTGTTAGTTGTATTACATATAGGTCATGGTTTTGTACACATAACTCCAAACCATTGATACTGTTAAAAGAATATATGAATATATGAAAGAATGTATAAACATAAGAATGTATGGGTATATAATGTACTTTCCAAATTAATTTTTATTTTTAGCTTTGTTAGATTTTTCTTAGTGTAGCAAACGTTTATTCCTATGTAATTAAGGGCATATTTTCTGTACAGAATATTCATATTACCTAATTGAAAATTATATAATACAAAAATATAATACTATTTTTAGGCCAGGCATGGTGGGTCATACCTGTAATCCCAACATTTTGAGAGGCCAAGGTTGGAGAATCACTTGAGACCAGGAGTTCAAGACCAGCCTGGGCAACATGGTGAGACCTTGTCTTAAATAAATAAATAAATAGGTTGGGCACTGTGGCTCATGTCTGTAATCCCAGAATTTTGGGATGCCAAGGCAGGAGGATTGCTTGAGCCAGGAGTTTGAGACCAGCCTGGGCAACATAGCAAGACTCCATCTCTACAAATAATAAGATATTAACCAGGTGTGGTGGTGCGTACCTGTGGTCCCAGCTACCTGGGAGGCTGAGGTGGGAGGTTTGCTCAAGGCTGAAGTGAACTGTGAATGCACCACTGCATTCCAGCCTAGGCTACAGAATGAGACTTGTCTATAAATAAAGAAATAAGTAAAAATATAAATTAAAAGAAGTAAAAAAATAAGTAAATAGAAATACATATAAAGATGAGTACATCAAAACAAACAATTTTTAAATTTAACATCACTGAGGGCATCCTGGCCATTTTTCTATTTTTCTAGGAAAATGTTTTTATTACTCCTTTTTTTCTAAGATCCTACCTTTCCTTACAAAGCAGTCTTTTGTGCTTTTGAAGATTATGTAATCTAATATATATAGTATACTTAGGACAGTATCTGGTACTTGTAAAGTGTTTAATAAATGTTAGATCTTATTTTTGTTCTAAATTCCCACTGATGCTTTTGGAGACCCATTTTCTGTTTTAAAAAAATGAAGGTAGCTTTATAATAGCCTCAGTTTTTTTTTTTTTTTTTTTTTGAGACAGAATCTCGCTCTGCTGCCCAGACTGGAGTGCAGTGGCATGATCTCGGCTCACTGCAAGCTCTGCCTCCTGGGTTCACGCCATTCTCCTGCCTCAGCCTCCCAAGTAGCTGGGACTACAGGCGCTCGCCAGCACGCCTGGCTAATTTTTTGTATTTTTTGTAGAGACAGGGTTTCACCGTTTTAGCCAGGATGGCCTCGATCTCCTGACCTCAGGTGATCCACCGACCTCAGCCTCCCAAAGTGCTGGGATTACAGGCATGAGCCACCATGCCCAGCCAATATTCTGTTATTTAAAAAAAATTATTGGATTACTCAATATAGAAATCTAAAGAAAGTAAAAAAAAATTAAAAATTGTTTATCCTCCTGCTCAGAAATAATTCAGTTAACGTATGGTGTATAGTCTCCCAGTCATTTATCTATGCACATGTATATGTTTTTCTCCTATCAAATGATATCTAGGTTGTTTCCATTAATATTTTTAAAATGCTGACCTGGTACCAGCAGCATGATGGGCTGAGTTAATACAGTCTCCTTCCCAAATCACAATACTCATAGATACACTAAGTGTAAAAGAAAACATGTATACTTAAAAAAAATTAGGAAGAGTGCAGTAGCTTACGCCTATAATCCCAGCACTTTGGGAGGCTGAGGCAGGTGGATCACATGAGGTTTGGAGTTTGAGAGAAGCCTGGCCAACATGGCGAAACCCCATCTCTACTAAAAAAAAAATAAAAATAAAAATTAGCCAGGCATGTGACGGGTGCTTGTAATCCCAGCTACTTGGGAGGCTGAGGCAGGAGAATCATTTGAACCTGGGAGGCAGAGGTTGCAGTGAGCTGAGATCGTGCCACTGCACTCCAGCCTGGGCGACAAGAGCAAAACTCCATCTGTTAATTAATTAATTAATTAAGTTTATAGCTGAAGGTAGTTTCTAAGCAAATTACCTAGCATACAGTCATTACAGACAAAGAAATGGAAAATATGAAAGAGATTAAGAGATGCAGAAGATAGAATGAGAAGTTCCAAAATATGTCTAGTAGGTGTTCCCTAGAAATTGAGCTCAGTGAGAATGGGAAGAAGTAATATTTGAAAGGGTAAAGGATGAATGTTTTCTAGAGTTGATGAATGACATTAATCTTGAAGTTAAAGAAGCACACTGAGTCTTGAGCAGACTATATATAAAGTAAACCAGGCTTTAATACATATGGGAACATAATATATGATAAAAGTGGTATTTGAAATCAAGATTAGGATGGACTTTCAATAAATGGTGTTGATAAAACTGAGTAATGATCTGAAAAAATATTTTCATACCATTTATGAGGATAGACTCCCATAAATCAGAAAGAAAAAAAAAACATGAGCAAAGCAAGGCCTTTTTCATCCATTCAAAATCCATAAACTAGAAAGGAAAAGATTAATAAAATGAATTCGTTAAAAAATCATAAACTTCTGTCTGACACAAAGAAGTCATGAGTAAAAACAATCCTATGGTTAATATCCTCATCCAGTAGTTCTCTTAGAATAGTCCTAAAAGTGCTTTTGTGGTTCAAAGAGTAATATCTTGAGATTTTTTGTGCATGTTGTCAAATTACCCTTTAGAATGCCTGTTGCTTTTAAAATAATTTTTCATTTTAGCATTTTATTGTTTATCCAATTATGGACTGTTTTACATACTCAGTAGACAACACAAAGCCTCACAGTTACCCTGTTCTTTTTCTTTTAGGCATCAGGTATGTGAAAAAGAAGAGATCAAGGCTTTGAAAACATTAAGTATTTTTTACCAAGCTGGGAATTCCAAAGCTGGGAAGCCAATTTTTTATGTTGCAAGGAGGTACGAAATACTATGTTTTGGTGTCTCTTAACAGAATTTTTTAAATGATAGTAAATATAGAGAGATGGCAAGTTTGGTTTTTCCCGTTTGACTTAACAGGAATTGAAGACAAGTTTACCTGGGAGCATATAGTGGGGTAAATAGCCTGCCTTTCCTAAAATGATGGTCAATATCTAATAACTGCTTTTCAGACTACCCATTTCATATTGGTTTCCCTGTCCTACATCATTTTTTTAAGACTGCCTAAAATGGATTAATTACCAAGAGTTAAAAAACCACAAAGAATCTTTTGTTTTCAAGTATATTCTGATTAAGTAGTACTCAACAACATGATAACCGGGAACTTTTTTCAATTTTATTTTATTTTATGATTTTATTTTTGAGATGAAGTCTCGCTCTTGTCCCCCAGCCTGGAGTGCAATGGCACGATCTTGGCTCACTGCAACCTCCACCTCCCGGGTTCCAGCAATTCTCCTGCCTCAGCCTCCTGAGCCCTCCCCTGCCAAATCCTTCCCAGCTTCTGGTAATCATCAGTTTATTCTCTGTCTTCATAAGATCCACTTTTTCAGCTCTCACATATGACTAAGAACATGTAATATTTTTCTTTCTGTGCCTGGATTATTTCACTTAACACAATGATCCCCAGTTATGCCTTGTAGCTGCAAATGACAGGATCCCATTCTTTTTTATGGCTGAATAGTATTCCATTGTGTATACATACCACATTTCTTTATGCATTCATCTGTTATGGGCACTTAGGTTGACTCCATATATTGGCTGTTGTGAATAGGGCTGAGATAAACATGGGAGTGCAGATATCTTTTTGATATATTGTTTTTTGTTTCTTTTGGATGTATACCCATCAGTGGGATTGTGGGCATATAGTAACTCTAGTTTTAGTTTTCTGAGGATCCTCCATGCTGATCCCCATCATGGCTCCTTTATGGAGAGTGTGTGAGGGTTCTCCTTTCTCAGTATGTTCACTGGCCTGCTGCCTTAGACATTAAATCAGGTGCTACTGCGGTATTCCGAGTTGTAATTAGTTTTTTATTTTGACATCTATAAATCTTCAGGCAGCCAGACAGCTTGATAAAGTTAAGCCAAATACAGTTTTTCTAGGAGTGGTGAATTAATGGGAGAAGTGGCCAGATCATCCTTGTGTGTAGGTGTGAGCATGTCTGAGTGTGGCGAGGGAAGGTGGTTGGGTAGAGAGTGCTGTGAGGGAGTGAGGTGGGAATCCCCCTAGCTAGGATTGAGTCATTTTTTTCTTCTTCCATGCAAAATGCATATTCCCCATTGTGGATTTCTGAGTGTGTGAGTGATGAAGAAATAGGGCATGTGCCTTGACCCAGTTGCAGCTATTGCCTCCATGTGCCTGAGGTGCCTTCCTCATACTCTAGCATGTTACTGGGCAGACAGTCAGTATTAGCACATGCTGCTGGTCCTTGTGAGCACAGCACGAAGACGAGAAATGGCTGGCAGAATTTTGGCTTGAGGGCCAATAGATGTAATAAATGTAATACAGTTAGTTTTAGAACATAATTCCATAATTTGATTCGGGTCAAATAAATCATTTTAACCAAAATTTCTATTGTGGAAGAAAATCTTTCAAGAATTATGAAATTTGTGTCTCAGAATTGGCTCATTTAAGAAAAATAATACTGTTCAAATGTGCGAAGGCTGTCAAAGGGTTTGTTGTATAGCTTTGCATTGGCTGAGTTTTCAATGTTTAGACATTTGAGTATAAGAAAACTGCTACACTAAAAGTAATAGACATAAAAATAAAAAATAAACAGCTGTGTAATGTTATCAGGCTAGCTAGATGTTATGCATCTGTGATTCTGAGGCTTCTTTGCAGCATTTGGTTCATGGAGGTTCTGGTAAGACCAGCTTGTGAGCGTTGATGTTTCAGAGCAGGTTATTTTCTATGGTGTGAAAGATGCAGTCATTGCCAAGAGTCACAAAAAGTGAGGCTGGGAAGAGGATACACTGAATAAAGTTTTAAGGAAGTTTAAGAAAGCACACACCACATTGCCATTTGCTTTCTTAAAGTTTCAAGGAAAATTTCTAAAAAATACGTTCGTATGGTTTGTAAGGTTCACATGAGATAAGGAAGTAAATAGAGCACTTAGCATAGGAATTGGAAAAAAAATACTTATACTTTCAGACATAGAAGACATACAGTTAACAGATTTCAGAGTCAAGCACTGGTTAGATAAAGTCAAATGCTCTCTTTAGATGTGTACTGCAAGGCATTAGCCAGGTGCAGTGGCTCATGCCTGTAATCTCAGCACTTTGGGAGTCCAAGGTGGGTGGGTCACCTGAGGTCAGGAGTTTGAGACCAGCCTGGCAAACATGGTGAAACCCCGTCTGGACTAAAAATACAGAAAATTAGCTGGGCATGGTGGCACACACCTGTACTCCCAGCTACTTGAAAGGTTGAGGCAGGAGAATTGCTTGAACCCAGGAAACGGGGATTGAAGTGAGCTGAGATCACGCCAGTGGACTCCAGCCTGGGTGACAGAGAAAGACGCCGTCTCAAAAAAAAAAAAAAAAAGAAAAAGAAAGACAATATTGGTGTTTTAGATTATAAGAATACAATTTTGATCATAATCATTTACTGTTCTTTGTCACGAAGAACTACTGATCTGTCTTTGTAAACCTGCAAACCTGATCATTGAGAAGTCTGCATCACTATTGATGACAACTTATGGTTCTTCATTAAGTGACCCAGTTCATTTGCTGGAAGATTGGCTGCCTGTTAGCCCAGAAAAAGATCCTTTTTCTAGTGAATATCATTGCAAAGTGAAACAGGAAGAGTGGAAAGGTACAGTCTGTAGGCTAGCATGCGATGCACCATGAAACTCATCATGAAAAAGACATGTGTGTCATTAATCATGGCCACATTGATCACGGCCCCACTCTCTAGGGAAGAAGCCAGTTTTTTCCCTTCCCTGAGAGATACCATAACTGAGCCGCCATCAGTATCTTCAGCCTTCCCTTGGAGGAGGATGAACTCGACCTCGATGGTAAGTGATTGATGGTTGACTTAAGAGAATTTGGCTGGCCAGGAATTTGGCTGGCCAGAGAGATGTCCTTCCTCCCTCACTGCTTCCTCATGGAAATGTTAATGAAGATTAAACAAATTAATATATGAAAGTAATACCTGGAACTTAGTAAATCTCAGTGAATTTTAGTCACTATTACTGCTCCTGTGGACCTCAAGTATCAAGCAATGTGACTACGATCAGTAGTGAACTAGCCTTTCTGTAGGCATATTCCTTTGTTTCTCTTGGGTAAATACCTGGTAGTAGAATGCCTAGTGCATATGGTAAGTGCATGCTCAACTTTTTAATACACTGCCAAGTTGTTTCCCAAAGCAGTTGAACCATTTTCCATTTTCAGCAGTAGTGTATGAGAGTTTCAGTGGCTCTATATCTTGACCAGCTTTGGTATGGTCCATCTTTAATATTAGCCATTCTGATACATATGCAGTGCTATATCATTATGTATATCCTTTTTTGAGACTGAGTCTTGCTCTGTCGCCCAGGCTGGAGTGCTGTGGCGCGATCTTCGTTCACTGCAAGCTCCACCTCCCAGGTTCAAGCGATTCTCCTGCCTCAGCCTCCCAAGTAGCTGGGAGTACAGGCACCTGCCACCATGCTCAGATAATTTTTTGTATTTTTAGTAGACACAGGGTTTCACCATGTTGGCCAGGCTGGTCTCGAACTCCTGAGCTCAGGTGATCCACCCGCCTTGGCCTCCCAAAGTGCTGGGATTATAGGCGTGAGCCACGGCGCCCAATCTAGAGCATCTTTTCTTGTGCTTGCTTCTGTCTGTATGTCTTCTTTGGTGAAGCATCTGTTTAAACCATTGCCTATTTTTTATTAGGGTGATTTATTGTCTTACTATTGAACAGTAAGAGCTCTTGTATATTTTGGTTACAGATCTTTTGTTGGATGTATGTTTTGCAAGTGTTTTCTTCCAGGTGAGCACTGCCACTTCATTTCATTAACAATGATGTTGAAATAGGAAAATGTGTATTTTGGGGGAGTCAACTACTCTTCTCAAATCTGCCTGAATAGATTTATCCTTTAGGCCTCTTTTGTGGCAAGACAAATTCATAGCTGAGAAATTTATATGGGAGGAACAAAAAAGTAACTGTACCACTATCTAATATTGAGTACCAGTATTAGTGCAATTATTTAATAATGTAACTTCTTGTTAGTATAACATTAGTGAAAAATAATTATGAAATCTTTAGTATGTTTATCTTCTTCCATAAAATAAATTCATGGCCAGTGGGGTGTCTCACGCCTGTGGTCCCAGCACTTTCGGAGGCTGAGGTGGACAGATCACGAGGTCAGGAGTTCGAGACCAGCCTGGCCAACGTGGTGAAACCCCATCTCTACTAAAAATACAAAAGTTATCTGGGCTTGGTGGTGGGTGCCTGTAATCCCAGCTGCTCGGGAGGCTGAGGCAGAAGAATCGCTTGAGCTTGGGAGGCGGAGGTTGCAGTGAGCTGAGATCACGCCACTGCACTCCATCTTGGGCAACAGAGCAAGACTCTGTCTCAAAAAAATACATTAATTAATTTAAAAAATAAATTCATCAAATAACGACAATCACGAGAGTGACTACAAAAGATGGGCGTGTCCTCAGAGTCTGGCCTCAGTGAGTTTGGAGTGGTGCATACCAGGAGCAGCAGAGGTTCCAGGGAAAATTGTAGACAGAGGAAACAAACCACCATGAAGGAGAGTCAGTGGCAATAATCATTACCAATGAAGAACTGTAGAGTCGTATTTCAAGAATGAAGGTGAGAGCCGGGTGTGGTGGCTCATGCCTGTAATCCTAGCACTTTGAGAGGCCAAGGCAGGCAGATCACCTGAGGTCAGGAGTTTGAGACCAGCCTGGCCAACATGGTGAAACCCTGTGTCTACTAAAAATACAAAAATTAGCCGGGCGTGGTGGCAGGTGCCTCTAATCCCAGCTACTTGAGAGGCAGAGGCAGGAGAATCACTTGAGCCTGGGAGGCAGAGGTTGCAGTGAGCCGAGGTCACGCCACTGCAGTCCAGCCTGGCGACAGAGTGAGACTCTGTCTCAAAAATAAATAAATAAATAAAATTGAGGTAGTCATTTACAGAAAAATATAATCTTTAAGACTTAAGAGCATTTAAGACCAACAAAGTTTCAATAAAGAAATGTTAATAGAGAAGGTTAGCAGGAAAGGAAAAGATTAAGGAGTGCAGTTATGAATAGTTAGAATCTAGTAGCTAGTAAGCAGATGACACATCTGAAACTCTAATCACGTATTTGCAACAATAAGAAAGCTGTATGTAAAACAACTTCTGTTTGTGGTTGGTGGAATTAAAGGAAACAAGACAGAATAAGCGAACAACTGAAAATAAATACAAAAATGAGGTGATCAGAGTGAAGGCATTCTACAGTGTTTGCATTATTTTGTGGAGGGAGTTAAAATTAGCTTAATTTTAGCCTTTGTTAAATTGTAATGCAAAATGCAGTGTAAAATTTCAAGGAAAACAACTAAAAGAATAGTAAAGATTCCAAACCAATAGAGGTTTAATTTCCAAACCAATCAAAGGAAAAAAGATGGAATTGGTGGGTGAGGGTAGAAGGATTTAAATTATTCAAAAGAGACTGGAGAGAGTGGTTCACACCTGTATTCCCAGCAATTTGGGAGGCCAAGGCAGGTGGATCACCTGGGGTCAGGAGTTCAAGACCAGCCTGGCCAACATGGTGAAACTCCTTCTATTCTAAAAATACAAAGAAAAAAATTAGCTGGGCGTGGTGGCTTACACCTGTTGTCCCAGCTACTCAGGAGGCAGAGGCACGAGAATCACTTGAATCCGGGAGGCAGAGGTTGCAGTAAGCCGAAATCATGCCGCTGCACTCCAGCCTGGGGAACAGAGTGAGACTCAGTCTCAATAAATAAATAAATAAATTCAAAAGAAAAGCAGGAAGAGAGAGGGAAAAAAACTAGATAAAATGGACAAGTAGAACACATAAAATAAAGTGAAAGGATAAGGATATAGAAGATTCGAATAGATTATTTCCCACTTTGATTTTAATGGACATATATCGTGATTAGAGAATATTATGCAGCCATTTAAATTGCATATGTAATAGTTACCACTTTACTTGGCATAAAGCCAGTTTTAATAAATTTCAAAGAATTAGTAACAAAAATAATTGAGAAAAACTTCCAGAAACTGGAAAAGGATAATGTGCTTTTGTTATAAAAGTTCATGTTATGTTGAAATGGATAAATGGAAAACAACAAAAACAAAAAGCATACCCAGAAACATGAAGGTCACATTTTATATCACCAGAATGATATAAACTGATTTGCTTCAAAGGAATGAGAGAGACTTTGATTTGATCAGGGTGGTGACATCAGAAGCAAAAAGAAGTGCAGAAATCAATAGTGAGTTCTCACAGAAAAGAACATTGGAAATAGAAATTTACAGTCAGCCAAACTATCACTGAAACCAACCTAAGACAGAATTTATTCAGAAGTATATACTACTGACTACCTGTAAACTCTGTGAGGGGAAAAAAAACCAAAAAAACAAAACTGGAGGATGCACTCCATAAAGAAGAGAAAATGAATTCAAAGAAATGCATTAAAAATACTAATCAGGCTGGGTGTGGTGGCTCACACCTGTAATCCCAGCACTTTGGGAGGCCGAGGTGGGTGGATCACCTGAGGTCAGGAGTTTGAGACCAGCGTGGCCAACATGGTGAAACTCCGTCTATACTAAAAATACAAAAATTAGCCAGGTGTGGTGGTGTGCACCTGCAATCCCAGCTACTCGGGAGACTGAGGCAGGAGAATCACTTGAACCGAGGAGGCAGAGGTTATAGTGAGCTGAGATTGTGCCACTGCACTCAAGCCTGGGCCACAGAGTGAGACTGTCTTAAAAAAATAATAATAATAATCAATAGTCGGCAAAAACAAAGAAGTAAAAATAATAGTAAAATTTGATTAAATCTGAATTGGTGCAAATATTTAAATAAATCAGCTACATGAGACATCTCAAATGTTATCAACATAGGGAGTAATATAGGATGGAGCAGGTGAAGTTTGCTATTGTATTTTATTTTCTAAGTATGGATAGAATTTAGGAATATTAATAGTGTTTTGTACAGTTAAGCTAACAGCTAGTCAGTTACATTTGGATTTTCTACCTACACAGTCACCTCTTATGGAGGTAATGACAGTTGCTTTTTTGTTTTCATTGAATTATTTTGCTTTTATTCATTTTTAAATTTTCTCCTGTGTACTGATAGGACTTGCAGTGAGCAGAGGGATGACTGAATAGAATGAGAAGCAGATTTGCCCTAAGCAGTTCCCAACTTGACTTTTCCCTTTAGCTTAGTGATTTTGGGGTCCAAAGATTTGTTTTCCTTTCACACAGCATTGTTTACATTAGCCAAGATTTAGAAGCAACATGTCAACAGATGAATGGATAAAGCAAATGTACATACACACCCCCAGGAGTACTTTTCACTTATAAAGAATAAGATCCTGTTATTTGCAACAACATGGATGGAACTGGAGATCATATGGTAAGACAAATAAGCCAGGCACATAAAGGCAAAATTTTTTCTTACAAGAACTTTGGCTATTCTGAGTCTTTCGTGGTTCTGTCTGCATTATAGGATTGTTTTTCCTGTTTCTGTGAAGAGTATCGATGTTTTGATAGGGTTGCATTAAGTCTGTAGATTGCATTGGTTAATATAGACACTAAAAATACTGATTCTTATTCATGAACATAAAATACATATTTTTGTCTTTTTAAATTTCTTGCATCAATGTTTTATAGTATTCATTGTAGAGATCTTTAACGTCTTTGGTTAATTCCTAGGTATTTAATTTTAATTTGAGGCTATCGTAAATGGGACCACTCTCTTGATTTCTTTTTCACATTGTTCACTGTTGGCATATAAAAATGCTGCTAACTTTTTAATCCTATATCTTGACTAAAATTGTGAGTTCTAATAGTGTTTTAGTGAATTAGGATTTTCCAAATATAAGACCACATCATCTGCAAACAAACATAATTTGACTTCTTCCTTTCCAATTTGCTTGCCCTTTATTTTTTCTCTTGCTAATTGCTCTAGCTGCCATGTGTTGAATAACAGTAGTGAAAGTGTGCATCTCTGTCATGTTGTCAATCTTAGAGGAAAAGCTTTTCATTTTTCCCCATTTAGTATCATACTATATGTGATATCTATATATCTATATATAACTTTTATATGCTGAGGTATGTTTCTTTTTTTATTATACTTTAAGTTTTAGGGTACATGTGCACAATGTGCAGGTTAGTTACATATGTATACATGTGGTATGCTGGTGTGCTGCACCCATTAACTCGTCATTTAGCATTAGGTATATCTCCTAAAGCTATCCCTCCCCCCTCCCCCCACCCCACAACAGTCCCCAGAGTGTGATGTTCCCCTTCCTGGGTCCATGTGTTCTCATTGTTCAACTCCCACCTATGAGTGAGAATATGTGGTGTTTGGTTTTTTGTTCTTGCGATAGTTTACTGAGAATGATGATTTCCAATTTCATCCATGTCCCTACAAAGGACATGAACTCATCATTTTTTATGGCTGCATAGTATTCCGTGGTGTATATGTGCCACATTTTCTTAATCCAGTCTATCATTGTTGGACATTTGGGTTGGTTCCAAGTCTTTGCTATTGTGAATAGTGCTGCAATAAACATACATGTGCATGTGTCTTTATAGCAGCATGATTTATAGTCCTTTGGGTATATACCCAGTAATGGGATGGCTGGGTCAAATGGTATTTCTAGTTCTAGATCCCTGAGGAATCGCCACACTGACTTCCACAAAGGTTGAACTAGTTTACAGTCCCACCAACAGTATAAAAGTGTTCCTATTTCTCCACATCCTCTCCAGCACCTGTTGTTTCCTGACTTTTTAATGATTGCCATTCTAACTGGTGTGAGATGGTATCTCATTGTGGTTTTGATTTGCATTTCTCTGATGGCCAGTGATGGTGAGCATTTTTTCATGTGTTTTTTGGCTGCATGTATGTTTCTTCTATAGTTTTGAGGGTTTCTTTCATGAGGAGATATTAAATTTTGTCAAATGATTTTCAGGATCAATTAAAATGATCATGTGGTTTTTGTTCTTTCTTTTGTTGATATGGTATATTACATTAATTGATTTGCATATGTTGAAGTATCTTTGCATCCATGAGATAAATCCTACTTGATGATGAGGAATAATAAACTTTTAATCTGTTGCTGAATTTTACTTGCCAGTATTTTTATGAGAAATTTTGCATCTATTGCTGATATTGGCCTATAGATTTTTTTGATATGCATTTGTCTGATTTTAGTATGAGAGTAATGCTTGCCTTACAGAACGAGGTTGAAAGTATTTCCTCCTCCTCTGTTTTGAAATAGTTTAAGTGGGATTGCTATTAGTTTTATACATGTTTTGTCAAATTCAGTGAAACCATCAGATTTCAGGCTTTTCTTTGATGGGAGGCTTTGTATTATGGATCTCATCACGTCTTGTTTGTGTATTCAGGTTGTGGATTTCTTAATAATTCAATCTTCTTAGGTTCTATGTGTCTAGAAATTTATCCATTTGTTCTAGATTTTCCAATTTATGGCATCTATCTGCTCATAGTACTCACTAATGATCTTTTGAATTCCTGCAGTATAAGTTGTAGAGTTGAAATGTCTCCTTTTTCATCTTTGATATTATTTGAGTCTTTTCCTTTTATTCTTTTATTTATTTTTTTATTTTTGAGATGGAGACTTGCTCTGTTGCCCAGGCTGGAGTGCAGTGGCTCGATCTCAGCTTACTGCAACCTCCGCCTCCCGAGTTCAAGCAATTCTACCTGCCTCAGCCTCCTGAGTAGGTGAGATTACAGGCGCCCACCACCACGCCTGGCTAATTTTTGTGTTTTTTAATAGAGACGGGGTTTTGCCATGTTGGCCAGGCTGATCTTGAACTCCTGACCTCAGGTGATCCAGCCGCCCGCCTCAGCCTCCTAAAGTCCTGGGATTACAGGCATGAGCCACTGCCTGCTGAGTTTTTTTTTTTTTTTTTCTTAGTCTGAGTAAAGGTCTGTCAGGTTTCTTTTTTTTTTTTTCCAGAAAACAACTTTGCATTTTATTGACCTTTTGTATTTTATTTCAAATTCATTTATTTCTGCTTTGATCTTTATTATTTCTTTTCTTCTAATTTTGGTTTGGTTTGCTCTTGTTTTTCTAGCTCTCTAAGATACGTCATTAGGTTTTTTTTTTTTAAAGTGTCAATTGTTTTGGAAATACAGGTGGTTTTTCATGACATGGATAAGTTCTTTAGTGTGTTTTCTGAGATTTCAGTGCACTTGTCACCTGAGCAGTGCACACTGCACTTAATATGTAGTTTTTTATCCCTCACCCGCCTCCCAGCCTTCCCCCTCGAGTCCCCAAAGTCTTTTACATTATTCTTATGCCTTTGCATCCTCATAGATTAGCTCCCACTTATATGTAAGAACATACGATATCTAGTTTTCCATTTCTGAGTTATTTCACTTAGAATAATGACCTTCGGCTCCATCCAAGTTGCTGCAAATGACATTATTTTGTTAAGTGTTCCCATTTCACCACATCCAATGCCAACATCTGTTGTTTTCTTGACTTTTTTTGGCCTACAAAAAATGGCCATTTTTGTAGGAGTTATTTGATATCTAACTGTGGTTTTCATTTGTATTTCCTTGATTATTGATGTTGAGCATTTTTAGGTTGTTATTAGCTGTTTGTATATCTTCTTTTGAAAAAATATATATTCATTTTCTTTGCCTACTTTTTGATGGAATTATTATTTTGCTAATTTATTTGAGTTCCTTATAGATTCTGGATACTAGCTTTTTGTCAGATGTGTAGTTTGCAAATATATTCTGCTACTCTGTGGGTTGTCTGTGTACTCTGCTGCTTATTTCCTTTGCAGTGCAGAAGCTTTTTAGTTAAATTAGGTCCCATTTATTTATGTTTGTTTTTGTTGCATTTGCTTTTGGGGTCTTAATCATGAATTCTTTGCCTAAATCAATGTCGAGAAGAGTTTTTTTTCTTATGTTATCATTTAGAATTCGTATGCTTTCAGGCCTTAGATTGAAATATTTGATCCATCTTGAATTGATTTTTGTATAAGGTCAGAGATGGGGATCCAGTTTTATTCCTCTGCGTGTGGCTTGCCAGTATTTCCTAGCACCATTTATTGAATAGGGTGTTCTTTCCCCAATTTGTGTCTTTATATGCCTTGTTGATGATTAGTTTAGTTGCCTGTGTTTGGCTTAATTTCTGGATTCTGTATTTTGCTTCATTGGTCTGTGTGTAAATTTTAATACCAATACCATGTTGTTTTGATAACTATAGCCTTGTAGTATAATTTGAAGTAGGGTAATGTGATGACCCCATATTTTTTATTTATTTGTTTGGTTAGTATTACTTTGGCTATGTAGGCACTTTTTTGATCCATATTAATTTTAGGGGTTTTTTTCTAGTTCTGTGAAGAATACTGGTGGTATTTTCATGGAAATTGCATTAAATCTGTCATGAAGTTGTTCATTTGAATTTTTTTATGTAGACACTTTTAGTTATAAACTTTTAGTACTGCTTTTACTGTAAATCCTAAGTATTTCCATTGTGACATATTACAGAAATATTTCAATTTATTTATTAATATCCCCATTGACCCACTGGCCTTTCAGGAGCATATTGTTTAAATTCTATGTGTTTGTATAGTTTCAAAAATTTGTCTTGTTATTGATTTCTAGGTTTTTTTATTGTAGTCACAAAAGATGCTTGATATTATTTTAATTTTTAAAATGTGTTAAGACTTGTTTTGTGACCTAACATATGGTCTATCCATGAGAATGATTCATGCACTGCAGAGCAAAATGTGTATTCTGAAGCCATTGGATAAAATGTTCTGTAAATATCCATTGTGTCCATTTGGTTTATAGTGCAGATTAGGCCTGAGATTTCTTTGTTGGTTTTCTGTCTGGAAGATTTATCCAATGCTGAAAGTGTGATGTTGCATTCTCCAGGTATTATTATATTGGAGCCTGTCTCTCTCTTTAGCTCTAATAATACTGGCTTAATATATCTGAGTACTTCAGTGTTGGATGCATATGTATGTAACATTCTTACATCCTCATGCTGAATTAAACTCATTATTATTATAGAGTGACCATCTTTGTGTCTTCTTATAGTTTTGTCTTGAAATCTATTTTGTCTGACATAAGTGTAGCAACTACTGCTATTTTTGTTTGTTTTCTTTGACATGGAATTTTTTTAAATCTTTTTAATCTATGTGTTTATAGGTGAAGTGTGTTTCTTGTAGGCAACAAATCGCTGGGTCTTAATTTTTGTATCCATTTAGCCATCTGTGTCTTTTGATTGGAGAATTTAGTCCATTTACATTCAGTGTTGTTATTGATTATATAAAGACTTACTCTTGCCATTTTGTTCTTTGTTTTCTGGTCTTGCTATCAGCAGCAAGAGGGAACCTGAAAGTAGGTAGCCATCTGTGAGGCTGAATCTGGGATTTTTATGGGTTTAAAACAGGAGAATGCATGCTGATTGGTTCATGGGTGGGCTTGGAAAAGACACCATTCAATTGGTTAAAAGGCATCATTCTCAAAGAACCAATAGAGAGCAGGTTAGACAGGGATGGAAGTTCTCACTCTAGTCCATGAATTCTTTCTGGAACTGGTAGCTCAGTTTTCAGGCTTTTTAGACTGTTGTTTCCTTGAAGGTCGAGTTTCACCAGTGCACCCATCCCTGTCTGCCTAGGAGTTTGTCTTCTGTTGCTATCAGTAGGACTGCAGTGGGTCAGACCTGAAACCAGCACAGCACTTGATCACACCCATGGTGAGCTGTAACCCTACCTGGTACCACCAGTAATTGCTCAAGGTCTTGGGGCTTTATAATCTGTAGGTGGTAAGCCAGCCAGGTTTGTATCCTTTCCTTCAGAGTAGTGAGTTCCCTCAGGTTCTGGGCAAGCCCAGTGGTGCCATCCAGGAGCCAGGGGCTGGAGTCAATAACCTTAGGAGTCTACTTTGTGTTCTATTGTACTGTGGTAGAGCTAGCAATTAAACCATGAAATTCGGTTCTTCCCATTTTTCCCTCCTTACTCAACAGGCAGAGGGGCCTCATCCTATTGCTGCCATCACCACAGGCCCATCGGGAATACTGCCAGGCTTCCACCAATGTTCTCTTAAGGTTCAAGGCTCTTTAGTTCACTTATAGTGAATGATGCTTGGCCTGCTACTCATCCTTTTGGTCAGTGGTGTCCCTTCTGTCCCAGTACAGGTCCAGAAGTGCCATCCAAGTGCCAAGACCTGGAATAAGGGACCCCAAGAGCCCACTGGTGCTCTTCCTCTCTTTGGCCATGCTGGGACCTAAGTTGCAAGATGAAGTTCTCTAGTTTTTCCTCTACCTTTTTCAGTGTCTCCCTGTAGCCACCACAGTTGTGAATGTGCCGAGTCTCACCTGATTCTAGCAAGCCTCAGAGTCTCAATGAAAGCTCACAGCAAACTACCTGGTTATCACTGCAGGTTATTCCAGGCCAAGGGCCCTTTACTTAGCAGTTGATGGGTCTTGTTAGTACCGGATTTCTTCATTCAAGGCAGCAGATTTCCTTATAGTCCAGTATGTACCTAGAAATTTTAATTAGGAGCTAGTGGCTGAGAAGGGTGTTTTATAACTCTGACTGGTGGCCTTGCTGATATCCAAAATACAAGACAAAGTCCTGTTTACTCTTTCTGTCTTCTTAAGTAGATGGAAGTGGTCTCTTGAATCTGTGAGCTGTGCAGCCTCAGTTTGGAGGAGGGGTGGTATAAGAACTCTCTTAGCTGCCCCAGCTTGTATCTTAGTAGGTAATGTGGCCCCCAAGTCCACTGGCTCTAAGCCCAGTTCAGCATGACACCTGGGAGTTGCTGTCCTTGTGACCTAGACTGTTTTAAGTTTCTTTAGGGCCCCAGAGCATTTTAGACTATGGTGGTGAAGCTTGCCAGAACTCAAGTTCCAATCACTGGGAGGGTGATTCCCCTCTGTCCAGGGCCAGTTGAAACGCACCCTCTGTGGGCAGGCATCAGCTGAGTTCATTCCAGTTTTGCTTTCTGCTATGATAGGGCAGCACTGAGTTCAATGCTCACAATCCCAGTGCTCTCCCTCTCCCAAGTGTACAGATTCTGTCTACATAGCATGTGACTACTGCCAGGGCATGAGTGAGGAGTGGCATTAGTGATTCAAGACTGTCTTTCCTACCCTGTTTTAGTGCCTCTTTGTGTACTGCAGGGTTAAAACCAGGTAGTGTGAGTGCTCGCCTTTATTCTTATGAAGGTTTTTGTTTGTTTTTTAATAGATAGTTGTTATATTGGTGTCCTTCCAGGGGAAATGATCACTGGAGCCTTCTATCTAGCCATCTTGCTCTGTCCTCTGTTGGTTTTCTACTATGGCATTGTGCTCATGTTCTCAGCTTGGTAAAATTTCATATTAGATTTGTAAAGTATATTCAGCTAAATTCAGTATGTAGAATAATTAGTTATTTTTACTACTTTGAGCTATATATTCTTATTACAACCAAGGCATTTTACCAGAGCAAGGCATAGAAGAGTCATTCAAAAAAGCAACACTAGGAAAAGCAACACTGGGAAGATATGGGAGCTGTGGCCTTGAAAATTTATGCTTATGGAAAAACTGGGAAAGTATAGGTGAAGGACAAAAAGAATGTTATAATTTATGTAGCCAATATTTGACAACTTCTCATAACAAAAATTTAACTGTGAAAGGAGATGAAGAACATAGAATATTTCTGAAGAAGCCTCAGTTTCTGCCAGCTACTCCTACAGAACCATGTATTCCTGTGAGTAAATATCAACATCAATTTTTGGAATCTGTCTTTTGTAATAAAAATCAGATAAATTTTAGCCATGACTCAAATATTAGTAAACATCAGAATACTCATTTTCTAGAAAACTATTACAAATGTAATGAATGTGAGAAAGTGTTTTATCAATCCTCAAAGTATCCATATTCAAGAAAAGCCTTACAACCCTAATGAATGTGGTGAAACTTCTAACCCATCCTCAAAACTTACTCAACATCGAAGAACTTATATTGGAGAGAGCTCACAAAGATGTAATAAAAAATGTATAATAGTCTTTAGTCAGTCACATCTGAAGAGACATAAGATAATTAACACTGGAGAGAAATCAGTAAAATGTAAAGAACGTGGCAAAGCTTTTACCAGGGGCTTACAACTTGGACATCAGAAAATTCATACTGGAGAGAAACCTTACAAATGTGAAAAATGTGACAAAGCCTTTAAGAAGAGCTCACACCTTGCTCAACATCAGAGAATCCATACTGGAAAGAAACCTATCAAGTGTAAGGAATGTGGCAAAGCTTTTAACAGAGGCTCATACCTTACTTAACATCAGAGAATCCATACTGGAGAGAAAGCCTTCAAATGTAAAGAATGTGGCAAAGCCTTTAATAGAAGCTCATACATTACTCAGCATCAGAGAATTCACACTGGAGGGAAACCTTTCAAGTGTCAAAAAATGTGGCAAAGCTTTTAACAGAGCTTCACACCTTACTCAACATCAGAGAATACATACTGGAGAGAAACACTTCACACATAAAGAATGTGGCAAAGCCTTTAACAGGGGCTCACACCTTACTCGACATCAGAGAATCCACACTGGAGAGAAGTCTTTCAAATGTAAAGAATGCAGCAAAGCTTTTATCTAGGGCTCACACCTTACTCAACATCAGAGAATCTACACTGGAGAGAAATTCTTCAAATGTAAAGAATGTGGCAAAGCTTTTACCAGGAGCTCACACCTTTCTCAATATCAGAGAATTCATACTGGAAAGAAACCTTTCAAATGTGAAGAATGTGGCAAAGCTTTTAACAGACACTCAACCCATACTCAACATCAAATAATTCATACCAGATAGAAACTCTTCAAGTGTAAAGAATGTGCCAAAACCCTAAACTGGTGCTCACACCATACTCAACAATTCTATCTTTTATACAATAAATTACGGTTAACTATAGTTGTCCTATTGTGTTACGAAACACTAGATCTTATTTCTTCTATTTTTCTTAATGTTTAATTAAAATATTATTTCAGGCTGGACATGGTGGCTGATGCCTGTAATCCCAGCACTTTGGGTCAGTGAGGGAGGATCACTTGAGCTCAGTACATTGAGGCTGCCTTCAGCTATGATTACGCCACAGCACTTGAGCTGAGGACAGAATGAGACCCTGTCTTTAGAAAAAAATAGGCTGGGTGTGGTGGCTCACACCTGTAATCCCAGCCCTTTGGGAGGCCTAGGCAGGAGAATCTCATGAGCGCAGGAGTTTGAGACAAGCCCATGCAACATAATGAGACCCCATCTATACACAAAATTTAAAAATTAGTTGGGCATGGTGGTGTGCAGCTGTGGTCCCAGATACTTGGTAGCCTGAGGTGGGAAGACTACTTGAGCCTAGGAGGTAGAATCTGCAGTAAGCCATGATCATGTTACTTCACTCCAGCCATGGTGATAGAATAAGATCTGTCTCAAAGAAACCAAAAAAAATAAAATATTTGCTTATTTTTTGAAAAAAATGCACAACATTGAGAAATATGGAAGTTATTTTAAAAGTTTTTTATTCTCTTCTAAATGCATTTTCTAAAATATACAAAAAATTAGTAAAAAAAAAAATGACATAACTGACCTCACATGCATTAAGTGAAATAAACCAGACACAAAACATAATACAGTGTATCATTCCATTTATACAAAATAGTAATCATACCACAATAATAAAGAGGTAATAAAAATGGACCAGGCATGGTGGCTCACACGTTTAATTCTAGCACTTTGGGAGGCTGAGGCAGGTGGATTGCCTGAGGTTAGGAGTTCGAGAGCAGCCTGGCCAACATGGTGAAACCATGTCTCTACTAAAAACAAAATTAGCCAGGTGCAGTGGTGGGCGCCTGTAATCCCAGGTACTCAGGAAGCTGAGTCAGGAGAATCTATTGAACCCGCGAGGCAGGCAGAGGTTGCAGTGAGCTGAGATCGCACCACTGCACTCAAGCCTGCATGACAGAGACTCCATCTCAAAAACGAAACCAAACCAAACAATAAAGGTGATAAAATGGAATGTCCATAAAAGGGAAATCAGTAATGATTGTCTAGTCCTGATAGTGGAAATATTTTAAAGTTATACCATGGCTATAGTTGCATAATTATAAATATACCAGAAACTTTGTATTGAGTATGATGTTATGCATATTTCATCATAACTTTTTTTAAAAAAATAAGCATGCCATAAAATAGCAAGGTGGTTAAATTGCTTGCTTGAAAACAATCTGAAAATGCAATCAATTTTTGCTCATTTCAAGGTTTTTGATTAGGTGTTTCTGAATTTGTCCGTTAGGTCTAGTTGGTATATTAAAGTCAGCAGTTCACATTGAGAATTTTCTACTTCTACCATTCTGCCATTTGTGCTTCATATATTGGGGTCTTTGTTAGGTACATGCATATTTAAAACTATTTTATCTTCTTGATAGATTTATAATTTTTTAACATAAAATTTCCTGTGTCAATTAATTATAGCAATGTTGTCTTAATGCCTATCTTGTCTAAGGGTAACCACCCCAGCTTATTTTGCTTACTATTTGTGTGGAATCTTTTTACCCATCCTTTCACTTTCAACCTATTTGTGAGCTTAGGACTAAAGAGATTCTCCTGTAGATAACATAAAGTTAGTTCATGTTTTTGTTTATTTTTAAACCATCTGCCAATCTTTGCATTGTAATTGTAGATGTTAATTTCTATTTAAACTATTTATAAGGAAGGGCACACTTCTGCCATTTTTCTAGTTGTTTTCTAAAGTCTTGTATATTTTTGTTAATTAACTCTTATATTACTGACATCTTTAATGTTCTAGTATTTTTCCAAAACAGTTTTGATTCTCTTCTCATTTCCTCTTTCACTTCTTTCTTTAGTTGTATTTTTAGTGGCTACCTTAAGGATGACAATTAATCTCATCACTGTGTAACTGTACTTTAAATTAATACCGCTCGTAATTCAGTTTTATTTTAAAAGCTGTTTCAATAGAGATCTGCTCCTCCAATGTTATGTTGTTTTGTCACATATTACATCTTTATGCATTGTATGACATTAACAAAAATTTATAATTATTTTATGCATTAGTATTTTAAATTACATGTAAAAAAGAACAATAGATAAAAGTTACAAAATATTCTTTAATAGTGGCATTTATATTTTGCCATGTACTCATTTTTACTGGCATTCTTTATTTTTTCATATGGCCTTGCATTATTACCTAGTTTGTCATTTCATTTCAACCCAAAAGATAACCTTTGTCATTTAATGCATACCAGGTCTACTAGTGACAAGCTGTTAAATTTGTTTTAATCTATATAGCTCTTAGTGTCTTCAAAGGTCTTCAAGGATGTCCTTCATCTTTGAAGAGCAGTTTTGCTGAAAATAGAGTTCTTTGTTGGCTTTTTTTTTTCTTTCTACACTTTAAATATATTGTCCTATCATATTCTGGACTCCGTAGTTTTTAGTGAGAAATTATATTCTGGACTCTAGTTTTTAGTGAGTTGTTAATGTCAGTGTAGATGCATTGCAAATAGTAGTCTTTTCTCCATAACTTTCTTCAAAGTTGTCTCTTTAGCTTTTGAAAGTTTTATTGTAATTTGTCTTGGTGTAGAGTTCTTTGAGTTTATACTATGAATTCAATGAGATTTTGGAATGTGTAGATTCACGTATTTCATCATGCTTGGGAACTTTTTAGCCATTATTTCTTCAGATGTTCTTTCTGCCCCATTTTATCTTTCTCCCTTCTTTCGGGAGTTTTCATAATGCTTGTAATGGCACATTTTATAGTATCCCATTGTTATCTTAGGCTCTGTTCATCTTTATTCATTATTTTTTATTTCTGCTAGTTGGGATAATACGAATTGAAGTGACCTCAAGCTTGCTGGTTGTGTCTTTCGTCTACTTAAATCTTTTGTTGAACCTTTGTGGTGAATTTTTTATTTTAGTTATCTTAATTTTCAACTTTAGAGTTTGGCTTCAGTTTATAATCTCTATCTCTATTAATATTTTCTATTTGATGAGACAATATTCTTCTGAAATGTTTTTCCTTTTGATGTTATTTATCTTTGCAGCACATTTAAGACAGGTAATTTAAAGACTTTTTCTAGATTTTTCAATGCCTACGATTCCTCTAGGACTGTTTCTGTTAATATCTGTTATCTTATTAGTGGGCCATTATTTTTTCATTAATTTATTTGCACGCTTTGTATTTCATTGCTGTTGCTGAAAACTAGACTTTTTCTATTACAACAACCCTGAAATAATATTCTCTCTCATCCCGTTGGGTTTTTTTGTTGCTTATTGTAAATTTTACTTGTTTGTTTGGTGAGTTTTCAAAATTATTTTTAAAATATCATCCTTTTGTCGTGTTTAGCAATAAAAATCTCTGCTTTATTAGCTTCATGTGAGCTAGCTATTTGACAGAGATTTTCTCAAATGCCTGCTCACATCAAATATAAATCTACTAGTTCTTGCAGTTGGGTTTACTTAGCCAGAAAGATTACAACTTTGCTGTTTTCTTTTCTTCCTGCTTGTGCAGTGCTTGGAGGTAAAGCAGACATGAGAGATAACAGCTTCGTAGGTCTTTGTGAGCATTTGCCTGTCCCTTGATTGACCCTGAACATGCTTATGGGCTTCTGGATTCTCAGGAATATGTGGATAATTTTCAAAGCCCGAATCCCCCAGGCACCTCACTCCTCAGTTTTTTCTCTTAGATATTCTACATGACTTTTGCTTGCCGCACTGATATTCTTTCTCCAAGGTGTGATGAGTAGTTAATTAGCCCTTAACTATTTTTGCCAAACATTAGGTTATTAATTTAGAATTGTTTATTTTTAATGTAGGTGTTTACTGCTGTGAATTTCTCTCAGTAGTTTGCTGCATCTCATGTTTTGATGTTTTTTTGAGACAAGTTCACACTCTGACACCCAGGAATGAGTGCAGTGGTTTGATCAGGGGTCTCAGAAGCCTTGACCGTGTAGGCTCAAGTGAACTTGCTGCCTCAGCCTCACAAGTAGCCAGAGCTACAGGCAGGTGGTACAATGCCTGGCTAATTTTTGAAATTTTTTTGTGAAGATGGGTTCTCATTATGTTGCCCAGGCAGGTCTCAAACTCTTGGGCTCAGTCCTCCCACTGCTGCCTCCTAAAATGCTTAAATTACAGGCATAAGTCACAGCACTCAGCCTTTATAAAACCTTTGATATTTTTTCTTTTATTCTGTTTTCCCATGTTTGTAACATGTTGTCCCAAATTATACAATAGTTCTATGGTAGTTGTGGCACATTTGTGACATAAAATAGAGAAAACATAAGTTACATTTAAATTTGGGGTAAACAACAAATAACTTTTTAGTATAGCTATGCAATGTTTTTATATCTGTGTATAATATGTGTAAGCAATTACTGGAGTATATACAAATAACAATTCATCATTTACCTGAAATTCAAATATAACCAAGTGTGTTACATTTGTCAACCCTTGTTCATGGGAGCCACTGTTCTTTTCTCCAGACTCAGCATTAATGACCTGAAAACCTTCATTAGAGAAAAATAAAGTTTGATAATTAGCAGATACATTCTTTTGCGGTATGTAGTAGTCATTAGAGAGGGTGTGGCCTGAATTAAAGTGTGTGATCTGGATACCTTATGGGGAGAAAAAAATAGAATTCTTACGTATGTTGTTTTATCTAATTGTATTACCTCTTTCTGTGATATAACTTTTAATACACACAGTATATTTAGTAAAAGTGATTTCTACATAAGTAGTAAGTAGTTATTTGTATATTAATTGTCCATGTTTATTTTCTGGAACTAGACTGCAGTATTTAATATATGGAGATTATTATGGCTTTAATCTGATACTATCCTGGAGCTTCTTTTAGGTTTAACATGACAAAAGAACCATATCATGTTGATGGCATCAGTATATTTTGGTGGCAACTATCCATTGTTTGGTTCTGGACATTGAGATAAATGTGTACTTATACTAGATTATGTGTTAGGAGAAAAAAATAAAAACTGATATATAAACTATGCAATTTCCTTTTTGTAAACTCATCCATATCAGGTGGTTTAAAATTGGTTAGCAGTTTTCTAACTCAGATGTTAATTTCTGAGTATGAGGTAAAAAATACTGTCAAATCATCTTCATTGCCTTGCACATTTATATTTGTGGTTTGTGCATTAGTACCATCACAACTCACTGGCTCACTATAGCCTCAAGATCCTATGCTCAAGTGATCCTTCCATGTCAGCTTCCCATGTAACTGGGACCACAGGTACGTGCCACCATGCCTAGCTAATTTCTTTATTTTTGATAGACACAGGGTGTCACTGTGTTGCTCAAGCTAATTTCAAACTGTTTATCTGAAGCAATGTCCCTGCCTCAGCCTCTCAAAGCGGTGGAATTATAGGCATGAGCCAGAGCTCTATTATTCTAAGCTGCGGGCTGAATTAGTTGGATACAATAGTGATGACTGTATTCAGGGCAAAGAAGAAAGTAATTGCAGAATTATTCAATAAAATTTTATGAAGGGTTCTCATACAGAGATATCATGATTAAGAGATGGAGAATTATCTTTACTATTAGTGACCTTGGTGTTTTTCCAAGGCTTGGAAAGGCATCTTTCCATGGAAGGGTATCTCTGTATAAAGTGAAGCATCAAGAAAATTATCACTTAATGCAAATTCATGGATCCCATAAAGTAGAAAAAGGTAGTCCATGTACTTGTAGCATTGAAAACTGGATTTTAGCAATTTCCTCCTGAGATGAAATAAAGCTTTCATGAGATTTCTCTGGGATAAAAACAAAACTTGAACAGAGCCAGAATTATTTTAAGGGATTCGTTTAATAGGACTTGTGGTAAGTGGAATAATGCCATGCAAAGGTCCCCATGTCTAACCACCAGGTTCTAGGCATGTATTATGGTATATGAGAAATGGGAATTCAGGCTGCAGATGAAATCAAGGTTGATAACCAGCTGACTCTAAAACAAAAACATTAACTTGAATTACAGATTTGGGCCTAATGTAATTATAAGCATTCTTAAAAGTGAAAGAAATAATAAGAGAAACTGAGTGCTGTGATGTGAGTCAGTTAAACTTTTTTTTCAACTTTTTCTTTAGGTGATTATTTTCCCTTAACATAAAATTTACTTTAGCTCAACTATACAAACATGTGAGTTATTGTTATGTAACCATCACTCTTCATTAAGAAATGCTTTGTAAAAAGTGAGCCAGTTTTTCATATACATTCTTCAAAATACATTCTCAACATTATACATCAAATTATATATACATACATGCACACATACACTATATATATCAAGGATTTATATGATAGGATTAATTAAGAAAAAAATTAGTGGAATACAAATAATGTTTATGATAATTTTGGCCATAGAATATATAATACAGATGATGTGAAGTACAAAATGTTTTTTATACTTCATATTTTGATGTACAAAGTATGTTTGTCTTTGTAATTCAGATGATTACTTTGCACTTGTGTTCCCATGAAAAATGCCTTTCATTTCTAAGCTGGTATTGGCATCTCAGCCAACACTTTTCTCCTTCTTTTCTGCATCTTCTCCTTTTCTGCTTTTTCTGGATCTCAGGCCAGAGCGCACTTACCTACCAGTCTGTCATGTGGCCCTCATCCACATGGTGGTCCTTCTCACCATGGTGTTCTTGTCTCCACAGCTCTTTGAATCACTGAATTTTCAGAATGACTTCAAATATGAGGCATCTTTCTACCTGAGGAGGGTGATCAGGGTCCTCTCCATTTGTACCACCTGCCTCCTGGGCATGCTGCAGGTCGTCAACATCAGCCCCAGCATTTCCTGGTTGGTGAGGTTTAAATGGAAATCCACAATTTTTACCTTCCATTTGTTCTCATGGTCTCTCAGTTTTCCTGTTAGTAGTAGCCTGATCTTTTACACTGTGGCTTCTTCCAATGTGACCCAGATCAATTTGCATGTCAGTAAATACTGTTCACTTTTCCCAATAAACTCCATAATCAGAGGACTGTTTTTCACTCTGTCATTATTCAGAGATGTTTTTCTTAAACAAATAATGCTGTTCTCAAGTGTCTACATGATGACTCTCATTCAGGAACTACAGGAGATCCTGGTACCTTCACAGCCCCAGCCTCTACCTAAGGATCTTTGCAGAGGCAAGAGCCATCAGCACATCCTGCTGCCGGTGAGTTTCTCGGTGGGCATGTACAAGATGGACTTCATCATCTCAACCTCCTCAACGTTGCCATGGGCATATGACCGTGGTGTCTAGAGGCTAGTGGGCAGTGTCTATACCATTGTCAGGTTTTTGGTGCTACTGAGATCTGATAAAAGGGTAATCAATGTGATGTAAACTATAAGACAAATGTTTAAAAGGTTAATTGTATGAATCCTGTCATGAGTTAAATTATTCAGAGTGTTCATTATAGAGAATAATCCAAAGTTAAAATAATTGGATAATTTATTTGTATGTAGGATAAAAGTAGTAGGAGATTGCTTCTTGAAGATTTAAAATTATATTGAGTGTAATTATTTGCATTAAAATAATTTTAAATGTTTTGAATAGCAAGTATTGATATAATTAAACTTTCGAATAACTTAGTGCTTTGCCTTTATTCCTAATGTTTATATGGAAGCATGTGGTCAATGTTTGATGCATTACAGCTCTGAGCGGTCCTTCTGTATTAGGTGGTCATCATTTATATACTTCTCCATAAAAGATTAAGGACCTGGAAATGTAAGATACATGAAGAAAATCTAAGTGGAGAGGCTGTTTGTGGTTAAGTGATAACAGTGTTGTAAGCGATGCATGAGGTAGGTGTTCAGTGCATATCCTCTGCATTTTATTAATAAACACTGTAAAATTTAGAAGAAAATTGTTTCACCAAATGCACATAAAACTAATAAAATAGAGTGGATTTTGATATGTCTCAGATTATTTGTAAACTTTATTTGTTTTAACAAATAAAAAATATTTTTAATATGTTAAGGGTCTTGTGCATTGATTGAAGTGTCATCCTGCTGTCAACATTAACTTATTCTACCTTACTCAGGCTTGTAGGTAAAACATGGTAAGACTATACCATTAAGTAATATGGTGGAATAACATCTGTAGTGATTCTTTTTCCCAGTGGCCTTATACTTCAAATAATTTAGAGAATATTGTTCCCACGTATTACATTTTTATTTATTTTGTAACTGTGAAGTTATTGTGATGGTTATACTGAAGATTATATAGGAGTATAATCAAAAGCCCTACATTTCTGAATTCTGAATAACTATTTAGAAAATTCAGCCTACATTTTTTTGAACATGTTATCTCTGGTTCTACAAACACAAAATTTTAGTTTTAATTTACATGGTGTAAAATTTCTAAATATATTACTCTAAAGATAAACTTTAGATATAAAAGAATTGGAGAAGTAATTGTTTTTATGTGAGTGTGGACCTATTCTGAGTAGGAAAATATATCAGAACAAAGCAGATGATTTCATGAGTGTTTATGATATACTAGCAAACTAAAACCTCACAGATTCTGAAAGCAAATTTATTTCCTCTGCTTTCCATTCATCTCTAAAATCTTGTGGTTCAGAATCTCCCCATCCAAACCCTTTGTTCTAGCTTGCCTTCTATTCATGCTAGACCTAATATACAATTTTCTTCTTTCAAAGTTCATGAAGTATTCTTTACGTGACCTGCCTAATGATTATAGCTCTTTCGGTAAAATGTAATGGTGCTAACTAAATAATTTGAAGATCTGAGTAATTTTGCAGTGAGTATATTATTAAATTTTATTATTTAATTAGTATATTTAATCTTTTCAATTAGACAATTCTATTTAAGCAAAATGTTTTTATTACTGTTTCTTTCATGTTTTATAGTAGACATATTTGATATAATTATTGAATTTATTGAGCCATGCTTTTAAGGTAAAAACTCGGGAGGCTTCATAAGCCATGGGATTTTCTTGCCATTTGTATGAAGTAAACAAACACAAGACGGTGCTAGGTGTGTAACAAATGCTTTACAATTATCAGGAAATATTTCTGCTCGAGTGAGTTTGTATCTTCATATAAGAGATTAAAAACACCCAGAGTGAAGAAGTGGCATTGGTTTTGCATGGTGAGAGAGGAAATCTGTAGTCAGGCTGCACAACTAACTCTAAATTTAGACAGATAAATTCTGCTTCTTTTATTTTCTAATTATCTTCAGTTTTTCTTTCACTGTCTTTTTATCTTCACCCCCAAATACATGTGCATTACAGCCCTTCTCTTTCTTTGCCTGTCTTATGGCAACAGCTTGCTCACTGTTCTCCCCACCCCATGTTATTTCACACAGTACTCTGCAGGTTCTGAGGACAAGTTAGAATTATTTTTAATGTGCCTAAAAATTCTTTGTAGCTGGAGAATTTGAGGTCATTTATAGATTACAAATGCAACATTCTTGTCACTTAATTTAGATAAGATAACGCAGTATCCATGGATTAGATCATTGGACAGATAGCATTGTTAAACATTATTATAACACAAAGAATGGTAAATATCAAATTAGACTAAGTGAAGTATTAATACCAGTGGGCCATGTATTATTAGTGCTACATAAGAAAACAAATCAAAATTTGGATATCTCATTAGAGACATGTCTTAGAAATAAAATTGTATTAAGGAGAGTTAGTGGTAAGTAAAATATTTTAAATTCAAATTTCTATGAAATATTTATCCCACCGCTTATGTTTCCATGCAGAATCTTCTGTTGTTGAGTGGGTATAATAAGTTTTGGACAAAAATAAAATAACCTTTGTGGGTTTAAAATTTGGAATAATCATTTTTGTGGATTCGTATTGCCATCTTGGGAAATTTCTCACTCATATTATTATAACTTCTTTTATTTGAATGGGCACAGTTACAGTCCACAGTTTTTATTCTCAGACACCTAATTACAGCCAAATTCTAGGTCATTCTCTTTAGAGAAATCTCAAAGACAATGGCAGGCTTTTGGATTAAAACATTTTCTCAGTGATTTTGGATGCAAACTTGTTTTCAGTGTTTACAGAAGGGCCAGAGGTGAAACCATTAGCAGCACCTGCCTTTTTAGTGTCTTCTATACCAGGAATTCCAGGTACCTGGAGCTCAAAGTAAAAGCTCTAAAGTACATAGGATTCTCCCAGGCACTGTGCTGGTTCTTGCACATGCTGGTAAATATCTGAGTTTCTATGCTTATGACTGACAAATGAAATGACAAAAACATCACAAAAACTATATATTTTGATACTACTCTGCTAAGCTTATGAATAAGACACAGACTGATTATTTGAAACACTACCTTTTCATGTTTCTAAATTTTTTAAATTGACAGATAAAATTATATGTATTGTCATGTAAAATGTGGTTTAAAGCATGCATACATTGTGTAATATTAAATTCTGGCTAATTAACAAGTGCTTTACCTCATATAGTTATCATTTTTGTGATGGAGAACACTTAACATTGACTATATCAGTATTTTTAAAACATAACAGTATGTCATCATTAACTATAGTCACCAGGCTTTACAACAGATTTTTTAAATATATTCCTAACTATATATTCTTTGAAAGACATCTACCCAATCCCCTTCCAAAATATCTTAGCCTCTCGCTCCACTATTTTAGTCTCTACTTCAATGCGATCAATTTTTTAAAATTCCACATATGAGCAAAATCATGAGGTATTTGTCTTTCTGTGTCTGGATTATTTCAATTAACATAATCTCCTTCATGTTCATCCATGTAATTGAAAATGACAGTATTTTCTATTTTAAGGCTGAATAATAATCCATTCGTACAGAATGGATGTATGCCACATGTTCTTTATCATTTTATTTGATAATAAACCCTGAGTTTGATTTTATATCTTGGCTATTGTGAATAGTGCTGCAATAAACATAACAGCACAGATGTCTCTTTCACATACTTGATTTTTTTGATATGTGCCCAATAATGATATTGCTGTATCATATGATAGTTCAGCTTTTAACGTTTGAGAAATCTCCATACTGTTTTGTATAATGGCTACGCTGATTTACATTCAGTGCGCAAGCATTCCCTTTGCTCCACATCTTTGCCAATAATTATTTTTTTGGCTTTTTATTAATAGTCATTCTAACAGTAGTGAGTTGTTATCTAATAGAGGTTTAGATTAGTCCTAACCTTAGATTAGCCTTAACCTTAGATTAGCCTTATGATAATTTACCTCGCATTTTTTTCATATATTTTTTACCATTTGTATGTCTTCCTTTAAGAAATGTTTATTTACATCTTTCACCCATTTTAATAGTTACTTGTTTATTGTTCTATAGTTGTTTGAGTTTCCTGTCTATTTTGGATAGTAACCCTTTGTCAGATATATAACTCATAAATATTTTCTCTTATTTATACGTTATTTTTCTTCTGTTGGTTGTACCTAGTGCTGTGTAGAAGCTTTTCAGTTTTCAAGTAATCTCATTTGTCTACTTCCACTTTTGTTTGCTGGGATTTTGAGGTGAAATAAATAAGAAAAAATTATTGTCCCCACCAATGTCATGGAGCTTTCACTCTGTTTTTTGTAGCAGTTCCAGAGTTTTGAGTCTTTGATTTATGTTGGTGGAGGGTCTCATTTCATTGTTCTGCCTGGAGATACTCAGTTTTCATAACACCACTTTTGAAGTAACTGTCCTTTCCCCACTGTGTGTTCTTGTCACCTTTGTGTAAGATCCTGAAATTTTATGAATTTGTTTCTGGGCTCTGCATTCTGCTTTATTCACCTATGTTTCTCTTTTTAAACCAGTTATCATACTGTATCAATTCCTAAAGCTTTGTAGTGTATTTCAAAGGTAGTGTAATGCTTCCAGCTGTATTATTTGTGCTTAATTTCTGTTGCTGTTTAGTGTTTTTGTGATGCCATATGAACTTTAGAATTTTTGAAATATTCTAAATAATTTCATTTGTATACAGATAAGAGACTGCTTTGAATCTGTAGATTGTTTTGCTCAGTGTAGACATTTTAACAGTATTAATTCTGCCAATCAATGAACCAGAAATATCTTTCCATTAATTTGTGATTTAGAAAGTTTTTCTACTCAGTGTTTTTTAATTTTAATATAGAAATCTTTCACCATTTTGGTTACATTTATGAGTAAACTTTTTGTAGTTATTATAAATAAAATTGTTTACTTGACTTTTTCAGGTAGTTTATAGTTAATGTATAGAAATTCTGGCATTTTGAATTGGTTTAAATTTTTTATTTTTGTGGGTACTTAGTTGGAGATATATTGATGTGATATATGAGATACTTTAATACAGGCATAGAAAGCAATAATCACATCATGGAAAATGGGGTATCCATCATCCCCTCAGGCATTTATTCTTTGTGTTACAACCAATCTAATTTTACTTTTTTCGTTATTATAAAATGTACAATTAAAATTATTATTGACTATAGTCACCCAGATGTACTATCAAACACTAGGTCTTACTAATTCTTTCTTTTTTTTTGTACTCATTAACCATCCCTACCGTCCCCTACATTCCCCACTGCCCTTCCCAGCCTCTGGCAACTACCTCTACCTACATGAGTTATATTGTTTTGATTTTTAGCTCCGACAAATAAGTGAGAACATGGAAAGTTTGTTTTTCTGTGCCTGGCTTATTTCACTTAATCTATGGTTCCATCAATGTTGTTGCAAATAATAGGATCTTATTTTTTATGGCTAAATAGTATTCCATTGTGTATATGTGCCATGTTTTCTTTATCCAGTCATTTCTTGATGGACATCAGGTTACTTCCAAATATTGGCTGGAGCACACTGCTGTAACAAACATGGGAGGGTAGATATCTCTTCAATGTATGGATTTCCTTTCTAGTAAGTGAATCCTCAGGAGTGGCATTCCTGAATTATATGGTAGCTTTATTTTTAGTTGTTTTGAAGAATTTTCAAAATGTTACATTCCTGTCAACAGCATACAAGGGCTCCCTTTCTCCACTTCTCTCCAGCATTTGTTACTGCCTACCTTTTGGATATAAGCCATTTAACTGAGTCACATAATATCTCATTGTAGTTTTGATTTGCATTTGTCTGATGATCAAAAATGTTGAGCACCTTTTCGTATGCCTGTCTGCCCTTTGTACGTCTTATGAAAAATGCCTATTCAAATATTTTGTTTATTGTTTATCAGATTACTAAATTTTGTACATTGAAAGATTTTACTGTGAATAGTTGACGAAAATTGGTTAAGTCCATTAAGACATGCTTCCTGCCCCTCACAACTCACCCACGCTGTTCTAGTCTCTCCGTAAGTGTCAATTCTGAAGGCCACAACTTCCATAACTTCCATATCTTCTCAGTATTACATTTCAAGATGAATATATTGTGCTTTACTCTGGCAACATGTCTTCCATAAAATGAGAATACACATCTGGGAAAAGGGAAAATAAATTACCTCACTTATTAGATTCAGGTGAGTACGTGTTAGAAACCTAATGTATAAAGTTATGTCAAGCACATTAGCAAAATGGCACAATAAAAATCATAGGCCCTAATTTCTTCATATACATATACACTTAACAAAAATATCCTGAACAAAATTCCATTGTGATAAGTTTAAAAATCAAGAGTTTGCAGCACCCCAGGCAAGCAGAATGCCAAAAGCCAAATAGTAGAGGAAGGAAAATTTGTTGCATTTACCCACCACAGCCCTTCTTCCTCTCCAATGCAGCATGATGCTTATAGAAGTAAACTTCTGACTTCTTTCTGAAGAAAGAAAATAAACACACAATCCCAGAGTAGACACAGCCTGAGAACAGGCTTTAGAAACCTCCAGAATCTCTAGCCTGGTCAATTGGTGTCAGACTCCAAACCACTTTATAAAGACTGTGACAGCTTTCTGTTAATGCTCAAATCACAATGAAAGATGACAACAGAGTACCAGAGTAACATGGCCAAAAAAACACAATAAATTTCCAGATATGAACCCTAAAAAATTGAGATATACAAATTACTTGAAAATATTCAAAATAACCATCTAAATGATGCTCAGTGTATGAAATGGGAACATAGACAACTAAATGAAAGCAGCAAAATGAGAATATCACAAAAAATTATAAAAACCTTCAAAAATTATGGAGCTGAAGACTACAGTAAGTCATAAAGACAGAAATTCTCAAACAAAATACTTGTAAAATATCAAGAAGCTTAAATTACTTTGGCTAAGATAAACACAAAGTTACTCGTAACAAGACAGATTATAAGCAAAATTTTAAAAGTCGTAGGCAAAAGGAATCTTGGAAGCAAGCAGTAAGATAAACCTGTTGTGTCATCTATAGCATGCTTCATTGAGATTTGCAGTGGATTTATCAACACAGTCCTTGCAGGCCAGAAAAAAAGTTAAGTGATACAGTCAAAGTGCTGAAACAAAAACTTTCAAAGCAAGAATACTATAACTAGGAAAATTCTTCAAAAAAAATTCCAAAGTAACAAAATGCAGTAAAAGTACATCACTAGTATATCTGCCTTACTGAAAATGCTTAGGGGTGTCTCTTCCACTGAAAATAAAATTCTAGAAAAAACCTACATTATATAAAAAACACATAACTCTCTAATAAAGACATGCACATAACAGGAAATTGTATTGAAATTATAATACAGAAAACAATTCTATTTTCAAAATTTGTTAGACAAAAACATGAAAGTAGTTATAAACACAATATGACAATATAATTTGTGACTTACAAAGTTGAGAGCAGACATACTGAAAAAAACTATGCATCTGAATATCTTACCAATTCAAAATATATTGTAATTTTAAGAAGATTTTTGTAATCTTCATGATAACCACAAATATTAGAGAAATACAACATAGAAATTGAGAAAGAAATCAGACCATATCACCAGGGAAATCAGTGAGACAGCAAGAAAGATGAAAAAGGAACAAAATGGCTACAATAATAAAACAATGATTAATATAATAATAGTAAGTTCCATTTCAGAATACTTTAAAAATATTAATGGACTAACTTTCCCAATCAAAAGACATATTTCATGAAGAGATTCTAAAAATTGTATTAACAGCATCAACTATATTCTGTGTACAAGAGAATCACTGGATCCAATCACAAAGATAGACTAAAAGCAGGATGGAAAAAGATATTCCATGCAAATGTTAGCCAAATGAGAGCAGAAGTAGTCACTGTGACAAAAGACTTTAAGTCAATCATTATCATATTTTATAAAATTTAATTCAAAACTACAGGATAAAAAAGACATTAAATAATACAAAGGTTCATTCATTGGAAACCTATAAAAATTGTATATGTTGTTTGTGTGTGGATTCCTGTGTGTGTGCTTATACCTGTATCTACATCTACATCACACATCAGGGTTTCCAATTATACATTTATATCATACATCAGGGTTTCCAGTTTATAAAGCAAACATTGATGACATTGAAGCAAGAAATACACAGTGAACAGAAGACTTGAATACACTATAAAAATCAAATTCAACATGCGTAGAGAACACCTCATCCAACAAAATACACAATGTTTTCAATATTTCAGAAAATATTCTTGATAGAAGACGTTAGGCCATGAAACAAGTCTTAACACCTTTTTTTAAATTGAAATATTACTGCTTATTCTTTATAACCAAAATTGAATAAAATAGAAAATGAAACATTCACAAATATATGGGAGTTAAACAATACACCCTCGAACATGCTTTTCTTCAAGGGTGGGAATACTTAATATTATGAAGATGTCCAGACTACATAAAGTGGTCTACAGATTCAATACAGTCCTTTCCAAATTCTCAGTTTATTTTTGCAGAAATAAAAAAGCAACCCCAGAATTATACAGACTACAAAGAGACCAAGAAGACTCAACAATCTTGAAATATCAAGAACAATATCGGGGGTGTCACACCTCCTGATTTTGGAATACATTGTGAAGCTACAGTAGCTAAAGGAATTTGGTGCTGGCATAAATGCACACAACAAGAACAATAAAACAATAGAAAACTTAGAAATACAGCTACACATGTGTGGTCAAATGAGTTGTTTGCACACCCATGCAGCATTATTGACAAAAGCTGATAGGCTAAAGCAGCTTAAACTTTCTTAAATGAATAAATAAAATTTGGAATATAAAAATAGAATATTGCTCAGCTTTGCAAAATCAGCATATGTAACATATAAAATCAAAATCTTAACATGCTAAATAAAGGCAGTCACAACAAGACAGGTTGTCTGAATACACTTATATGGGATATCTAGAAACAAAAAATAATACTATATTTGACGGGCTGGGCGCGGTGGCTCACGCCTGTAATCCCAGCACTTTGGGAGGCTGAGGCAGGCCAATCACCTGAGGTCAGGAGTTCAAGACCCAGGCCTGGCCAACATGGTGAAACCCTGTCTACTAAAAATTTAAAAATTAGCTGGGCATGGTGGTGCACGCCTGAAATCCCAGCTACTTGGGAGGCTATGGCAGGAGAATCGCTTGAACCTGGGAGGCAGAGGTTGCAGTGAGCCGAGATCATACCAC
This sequence comes from Homo sapiens, assembly GCF_000001405.40. NCBI lineage: Eukaryota > Metazoa > Chordata > Mammalia > Primates > Hominidae > Homo > Homo sapiens. The sequence goes on from NW_021160017.1 coordinate 3,006,370, forward strand.
TGCACTCCAGCCTGACAACAGAGCCAGACTCCGTCGAAAAAAAAAAAAAAAAAATCAGCCAAGAGGAGAAATACACAAGATGAACCATAAACAAAGTTGGTGTTATATTTATAGAGACAACCATGCACATACATATGTATAATTTAACAGTGATAGACAGCTGGTTAATTCATCTTTGAATTAAACCCCACCTTGATTTAAAGTGTATATACAGAGTTGCAAATTGTCATTCAAAATTATAATACATAGGTAAAACAGAAACACAATAAACTGCCTATAAATGTATCCTTACTAAAAACACAGTAATTAGGAATTGCAAGACAAGATAAACATTTACCTATAAAATTCTGTATGCAACATTGATATATCATTATAACACCTTTTTCTAGGTAACTACCGAGTTCACCTGTGATTGTGCACCTATGGAGCGCACATACTTGGAATCATTGATGTCTACTGTATGGCAGTAAAATTTTACAGAAAATGCACTACAGACATTAAGAAAATGCTCTAGTAAAATTTTTTTAATGATTATGTAAAGACAGTAAAGATAATGTGTTACTATTAATATATTGATGCTATTTTCACAGAAAATAAAAAGGCTGCAATTCACTCTTTAGAAGCAAAGAAAAGCATTAGACTTTGAAATAAAGTAAAACCATGTATGTTGTAAAATATGAGTTATATACAATGCAAATATTTTGAAATAATTTTTTGTAATTTATCATTTAGATGTAGGTTGAGAAAACAAAAATGTTAATGATTCCTACATGATTTCAGTTAACTGTAATGTACAAATGAACATTTTAATAAATAGGGAGTGCCTGTCTGATTTACTTCTTACATGGTGTGGAAATTATAGCATATTGTTCTGAATGAATCTAAAATAACAGACAAATTTGTAATACAGCAAAATACAAAGTGAAACCATATAAGGAGAGTGACATCAGCAAGGATGTTGGAATAAGGGGATCACTCTTGTTTATCTTCCCACAGCTACAATACTTTTGCAGCCATCCATGGACAAAAGTGCCTTTATGGGAGCTTTGGGATTAGAGAGGGCATTATGATACCCTGTGAAAAACAAAGACTGAGGAGGGCTGTTTTGGGAAGGCAGGCCCTCATTCAGGGGGCAAATCTGAGAACCCCTGATCTTGTCTACAGACTAGGAATTGACCCATCCTACTCAGTCACACTGAGAATCCTGAAGTGACTCTGTAACCATCTCCAATGCCTCCCAGTTATGGTCTGGAATTAGTCCTTCCCATACAGAGAACTGGGGAGAGACATTCATGATAATGGAGGCAGACCTACAGAATTTAACCTTTCACCTTTACTGTGGCCTCTGAAGCAGGTCTGTGACTCAGTTTCAGCCCTCTTCACCATAGTTTATAGACAGTTCTGCCCACCTAGAGACCCACAAAGGGAGAGAAAACCCTCTCAGGTACTCAGCAGAAGTCACACTTCATCCACACACCTACTATCAGGGCCGCCATATGCAAACCCAGCTTCAGAACCCTGGCCCTGGCATCTGCCCTACAGATCAAAGTTCTGAAAGCAGTTGAGTCTGCTCAAAATAAGAGGAGTCACAATGAAGCCATCTTGTGCCCAATTTTAATGCTTCTATTTTAACATACTAGTAGTCCTAAGTAGAACAATTTGGGGAAAAATATTTTAAAGCCATCTAAATTGAAAAAATGTCACTTTTTGTAGATGACATGATCTTATATACAAAAACCATAAATAGTACACCAAAAACCTATTTAAACTAATAAATGCACTCAATGAATTTTCAGAATATAAAAACAGCATACAAATCTCAATTGTGTTTTTATACCCTAACAACAAACTATCCAATTAAAAGGAAGAAAATGATTTCATTTAAAATAAAATAAAAAACAATAAATTTCTTAGGAACAAATTTAACAACTAAGGTGAAAGATCTTTATGCTGAAAAATAAAATATTGATAAAGGAAACTGGAGAAGACAAAAAATATAAAGCTATCATAGATTGGAGGAGTAAATATTGTTAAAATTCTACATTATCCAAAATGATCTATAGATTTAATAAACTCCCTATAAAAATTCCAATAACTTGTTTCACAGTAATAGAAAATACAAGCTTAAAATTTATGTGAAATTACAACAGACTTTGAATAGCTAAAGCAATCTTGAGGAAGAAGAAAGCTAAGGATATTATAGTTTCTGATATTTTTTTTTTTTTTTTTGAGATGGAGTCTCACTCTGTCACCCAGGTTGGAGTGCAATGGTACGATCTCAGCTCACTGCAACCTCTGCCTCCCAGGTTCAAGTGATTCTCCTACATCAGTCTCCTGAGTAGCTGGGATTACAGGTGCTCGCCACCATGCCCGGCTAATTTTTATATTTTTAGTAGAGACGAGATTTCACCATGTTGGTCAGGCTGGTCTCGAACTCCTGACCTCATGATCCACCCACCTCGGCCTCCCAAAGTACTGGGATTACAGGTGTGTGAGCCACCGCACCCGCCCCTATAGTTTCTGATTTTAAATTATATTCAATACTATAGTAATAAAAACAAGACAGCATGTGCATAAAAATGAACACGAAAACCTACAGAACAAAGTAGAGATCCTAGAAAAAAAAAACCTATGCCTATAAAATCAATTAATCTTGAACAAGGATATTGAAAATGCACAATGCAGTAAGTGAAATCCCTTTATTATTTGGAGCTAAGAAAATTGGGTATCCACAAGCAAAAGAATAAAATTAGATGATTTTTCTTACATCATATCCCAAAATTAACTCAAAATAAGGACAAATAAAACACATGAATTCTTAAAAATCCTAAAAGAAAACAAAATGTGGTCAACCTCCTTTATATTGGTCTTGACAGTATTTTTTTGGATCTGACACAAAAAGTGCGCCACAAAGGCAAATATAAAAAAGTTGGACTACATCAAACTAAAAAACTTATAAACAGAAAACAATAAGAAAACTTACAGGTTGGGAGAAAATATTTGCAAACCACTGTTAAGTGGTTAATATCCAAAATATGTAAGGAACTCATACAAATAAAAAACCAAAACAACAATAATAATGACAGTAATGATAACATGATTAAAAGACAGGTAAAGAAATATTTTTTTAGTGAAGACGTAAACTAAGAGTATTTGAAAAGCTGCTCAACATCTTCAATCATGAGGCAAATACAAATAGAAACAATGATGACATATCATTTCACACTTGTTAGGATGGCTAATATCAAAATTCAGAGACATGTATGTTATTCTGATGATGGATACCCTAAAAGCCCTGACTTCACCACCATGCAGTCTATCCATGTCACAGCCCTTGAACTGGGACACATTTACCTGAAAACCAGCCATTTCATCTTCTTTCTCTTTCTTCTCTGAGTTTTTGTCAGGTGAGATTCTCTGGACAAGTCATGGCTGTATGTTGATAATATGCCTTAAAAAGCATCAGTACAACCCCTTTACTTGCTACGACTACAGCTACAGGGAGAAGGAACTAGAAGTGCAAAAAAGTCCACTCTTCCCTGTCCTTTATCCCAGGAGAGAGTCAGGAACAATGAGCTCCTACATAAAGATCAAAATGTGTTTCTCATTTCCTGCTTTCAAGTGTCCTCTCCTATCAAAGACTCAAGCAACTTTTGCTGCAGCAACTGGACTATGGGCTGCACTAACCACCGTATCAAATCCAAGCAGAGCAGATCCTGTGACCTGGAGAAAGGAGCCGGCTGTCCTTCCCTGCTGTAACCTAGAGAAAGGAAGCTGGCTGTCCTTCCCTGGCACAGCTGCACGCAAGGAATTTTCCACCACGCTCACCGGGCAGTAAGTTGAAACATAAAAAGATTAACAAGTTGGCTTATTTTTACTTCTACTCAGAGTGCAGAGTCATCGTAATTTATTGTTTTCTATGTCTCAAATACTCTGCTTTATTTTATTTTATTTTATTTTATTTTATTTTTGAGATGGAGTCTCGTTCTGTTGCCAGGCTGGAGTGCAATGGTGCAATCTCAGCTCACTGCAGCCTCCGCCTCCCGGGTTCAAGCAATTCTGCCTCAGCCTCCCGAGTAGCTGGGACTACAGGCGCACGCCAGCACGTCCAGCTAATTTTGGCATTTTTAGTAGAGATGGGGTTTCAACATGTTGGCCAGGATGGTCTCGATCTCTTGATCTCGTAATCCGCCGCCTTGGCCTCCCAAAGTGCTGGGATTACAGGCGTGAGCACTGCGCCCAACCTCTGTTTTATTTTTTAGTATGTTATCAAATGAAACATTAGTCCAATTATTAAAATAAATGCTTTAGTTGTCTGAGCAACTGTATTTTGTATCTGTCAAATCCACAAGCCTAACAATTTTACCTTTCTGAAATATCTACCACGTGTTCAAAGTCAGCACGCTACTCCTAGTTCTGCAAGGCACTGAAAGTACATAGAAAGAAAGAAGGGGGAAGCACATTTAAGAAACAGGTTTTCTGCAGGATCACAAGGGTATAACAATTGCCTATAACGGTGTGGCTACTTTCTCCGCATTCAGTCCCCGTGACTAAATAACTACTGCATTTGTGGAAGTCTCTAGGCTGGGTGCTGGACCCTAATTAATGCATTTGAAATCCAGGCCTACACTGTCCCTGGGCTCAGCGACTAACCTTAGTAGAAGCACACATTTCTCAATATGCACATAAGGCAAATAGGTGCTCACGGCAGCCAAACAGAATGCTTTGAAAAGCATTTTCCCAATGAGCCCCCCGCCAGCCCAAACCCCCTCAAACTCCGGAATTAGGAGACATAACAGGTACTTCCACCTCAGAAGCCAAAGCCCTCTGCGACTCCTGCCAAGAAGGGCAGGTTGCCATGCGTGGGTCGGCTGGGCGCGTCCTGGGGCTGGTCTGCCTGACCCGGACAAAACCAGGCGGCGAGCACGCGGCGCTGCATGCGGAAAACCGGAGCTGCGCCTCCTGCCGCCCCTCAGTCGCTAGGCAGGAACCCCAGGAGAGGCTACGGTCCCCTGACCTCCACAGAGGCTCGCCAGGGCCGGCGCGCAGGGGCAGGTGGGCGCGGGGGGTGCCCTGCGGCGCCGCAGCCTGGGCCTCCCCTGGCACCCGTGGTCGGCCATCCGCCGCGTCCGCAGCAGCGCGCCGAGCCTCTCCAGTTCGCGGGCCCTCCCCGGCTCGCTCCCGGCTTTCGCAGACCTCCCCCGCTCCTGCCCTGAGTCCGAGCAGAGCGCAACGCCAGCCGGCGCCTTCCTCCTGGGCTGGGAGCGAGTGGTGCAGCGGCGGCTCGAAGTCCCCCGGCCTCAAGCAGCCCCCGCGACTAGCGCGACACCCTCGCGGGATCCGAGTCCACCCTGCCACCAGCGCCGGGACGCCGCGTGCCTCAGAGCCCAAGGGCTGACCCGGGCCTTCCAGGTGGTCCATCTCGCTCCTACGGCTCCCGACGGTGGCGCTGGGTGTACCCCATCCCGCAATTCCTACCGGCTGACCCATGTGCGCTGCGCCCAGGTACCCCGCCGGGCAGGGCTGAGCAGCCCGGACCCCGCGCTCTCCTGCGCCCAGATTCAGCGCTGCAGTCGCCAGGGAAAGTTTGCGCTCCGGACTGGCCGCGGCGCCCCGCCTGCTCTGCACCTCTCCTGGCCCACCACGCAGCCCGCGATTCGGGATCCCAGAGGAGAGGGGTGCGGGCTGAGCCGGGGCCACGAGTCCTCTCCCGCGCTCCCGCCCTTTTACCTCACTGTCCCGCCGGGCGCACGCAGAGCTCACCTTGCGTGCCGGCCGGTGGAGGCGAGCCATAGGTGACGGTGCATCCTCCTTCTCCGCCTGCTCTCGCCCGGCTGGCAGGGGCTGGAGGCTGCCAGCGCCAACCTTCCCGGCGCTCCGGGGCGGAGCAGCTCCTGCGCCCTGCGCTACCGCAGCGGCCCTTCAGTCAGCTCCGCGCCGTCCCCCGCAGAGCCCCCGGCGCACCAGCGCCTGCTTTTCCTTCCCCGAGCGCCTCAAGCAGTCTCTGGGCCGCAGGAACAGCCCTCTGAAGAGGCGCTTGGGTAGAGGCCACCAGACACTCAGCAAACGCGCCCTCGGCCCCGCTCGGCTGAGCGGGAGGGCGCAGGGCCCGCGGCTGGACCTGCAAGGGGAGTTCCGGTTCTGCTGAAGTTTCTTTAGGGCCTTCAGCAGCGTCTTCGGCGCCTCCTGTAGTCGCCGCTGTCCTCTTGTAGTGCAGGGATGGGAGGGCAGGGTCAGGAGCCCGGCAACAGAGGCCAGTTTCAAGAGCTTTGCTCCCCTAGGGCCGGCCCCCCCTCCCTGCCCAGGCCTGGGTCCCTCCCGGGTGCTCTGAGGCACCCCCGGACATGCGCATGTCTTAGTCGCTCCTGAAAGAAATTGGCTTGTTGTGGGCACTCTTTTCATCTCATTCATAGACAGGAGTGCATTGCTGCCGGACGGAAAGCCAGGGTCACATGGGACTCCATTAGAATGAAACCCTTACCTAATGCAGTATATATTTGGGGGTTTTCTGAAGTTCCATTTCTTAGCAAGAAGCCTCGGTGACAACGGGAAAGGGCCAGGGGCCAGGGGCCGCAGGTCCGAGAGCAGGTCTGGGGTGGCGCATCTGGGGTGGCGGGGCGGGATTTCCCTAGCAGGGCTTCCACGCCACGTTGGGCACTGCCTCATTAGCCACGCACATGGGGTCTTACTATGGTCATTACATAGGTGTCTTGTCCGTCCGAGTGATGCAGTTCCTGGGAGGTGAGGGTGGCGTTAATGACAGCTGGGTGGCAGCAGGGCCCCTTCAAACAACACAAGCAAGATGGGGCCAAAGCAGCACAGCCCATCGTCTCGGGGTTTCGGGGTCTTGCTTCCTCAGGAGGTGGGGGCCTCTCGACTGTAACACCCAGTGGAAAACGTTCAAGACTTACAGGAAAGCCACCAGAACATGATGGGGAGGTTTATTTACACCACTGTCCCCTTCCTTTTGTGAAACTGCATTGTTTATATTCTCTTTTAACAGAGTCATGGTAAGAAAAGGCAAATTCTTAACTCTCCTCCAGGAAAGATCTTTGACCTTCCAGTGTAGGAAGCCTCTCAGTTTTCCAGTTACACCTAATACAGTGTATTCCAAATCTAAGTTACCCACTAGTACTTCGGCACATTCCAGAAATTCTGAAATTTTCTGAAAAGGAAACTGGTAAGTCTATTCCAGGAGCGGGACATAAGTGTATAAATGTGCAAATATACAGGAAGCATTACTCTGAATACGCGTTTAGCCACATTATTAAATAACTGTTTCCAGTGGTTCTTCACAATATATGAATAAGATGCTCATTTGAAAGACTTTTTAAATTCTAAAATGGATCATTGAACACGTGCATTTCTTCATTTTCTAATCTCTCAAAAGATGTATCACTAAGGTGAAATTCCTTGGTAGTCATTAAATTTTAAAAAGTTAACAACATGGTTTTATGATCAGCCTACTATAATTTTCACCTATTAGGTGGTGGAATTCTAGGCTTAGAATTACCAGCGACAGCTGCTCGCCTCTCAGGATTAAACAGCATAATGCAAATCAAAGAGTTTGAAGAATTGGTAAAACTTCACAGCTTGTCACACAAAGTCATTCAGTGTGTGTTTGCAAAGAAAAAAAATGTAGACAAATGGGATGACTTTTGTCTTAGTGAGGGTTATGGACATTCATTCTTAATAATGAAAGAAACGTCGACTGTGAGTATGTTCTTTTGGTGGATTATGTTTAAAACTTCCATGTTTTTTGGTACACTTTCTATCAGTTTTATGTCAACACAACACATATCGTCTTGGTAAGAATTTCATTTTCAGTGTCAGAGCCTAAAATAGCTGGAGGTGGAGAAGCATGAGTGGAACATGTGCCAGAGAGCGCCCACCCTGTCCCCCAGTCAGGGGCAGGAACTGAGATGGGTGGGTGTGTTTGCATGGGTGGGTGTGGCAGAGGTGGCTGAAACGTGAATGCAGTGTCATCCTATAAGTGAGACAATGTGTTATTCGTCTTTCTGTGCTTGGCTTATTTCACCAAGCATGTTCTCCAAGTCCATCCATGCTGTCAAAAATGGCAGGATTTTTTTATTCATTAATGCTAAATAATATCCCACTGTGTGTGTGTGTGTGTGTGTGTGTGTGTGTGTGTGTGTGTGTGTATTTTTTTTCATTTCTTTATCCATTTATCCATTGACAGACATTTAGGTTGTTTCTATTACTTGGCTATTGTTAAAAATGCCCAAATGGACATAACAGTGCAGGTATCTTTTCCAGATATTGATTTTATTTCCTTTGGCTATATCCCCAAAGAAATGGGATTGCTGGGTATAGAGTGGTTGCCAGGGGCTGGGGGAAGGAGAGATGGGCAGATGTTGGTCAAAGGGTATAAAATTTCAGTTATGCAAGATGAATAAGTTCTGGAGATCTACTGTTCAACATTGTGAATATAGCTAACAACACTGCGATGTATACTTGACATTTGCTGAGGAGGTAGATCTTATTGTTCTCACCACACACATGAAAGAGGGCAGCTCTGCGAGGTGATGGGAATGTGAATGAGTTTGATTTTGATGGCAAAGTATACATATATTAGTCATCAAACTGAACACCTTAGAAACCAGATTTTACATCAATGAATGGTTGAATGAATAGATCTGCACTTCTGGATTTCTTTAAAAACGGGAAGACACTCCATAGCTTTAGCAACGCTGGGCACCCACCCATTCCCACCCTCCTGCACCGCCTGCATTCCACAGATACCTGACATGGGTCCTTAGAGGAACGTGATCTATCCTTTTTCACACTTTCCTCCTTTGTGTAATTAGGAAAATCGAGGCAAATGGGGCTTTTTAAAGGATTTTAATTTTTTTCTAATTTCATTGTATCTATTTTGTCTTCACTAGTGGCTTATTTACTGTATCTGTATTTTACCTTATTTTATTTTGTGATGGCTCTAGGGTTACAGCCAGCATCTTTAACTTAGTATAGCCTACCTTTATTTTGTTTATTTATTTATTTATTTATTTTTGAGAAAGAGTCTTGCTCTGTCACCCAGGCTGGAGTGCAGTGGTGCGATCTCGGCTCACTGCAAGCTCCGCCTGCTGAGTTCAAGCCATTCTCCCCCTCAGCCTCCCCAGTAGCTGGGACTACAGGCACTCACCACCATGCCCAGCTAATTTATTTTATTTTATTTTATTTTATTTTTATTTTTATTTTTATTTTTATTTTTAGTAGAGTTGGGTTTCACCGTGTTAGCCAGGACAGTCTCGATCTCCTGACCTCATGATCCGCCCGCCTCAGCCTCCCAAATTGCTGGGATTACAGGCACTAGCCACTGCACCTGGCTGAGGACATGTCTTTGAAAAGGTAGCATAACTCCTATTTCTAGCTGCTCTTGCAACTAAAAGTGGCTGTGTACAGAATAACTCTATTCCTCTATATCCAGTTTGGACAAACCAACTTTCCATTGATTTAAGCACACTTTCAGAATAAAGCGTAATTTCTTATCTCAGGAATTCCAAAGTCTAATGGAAGAAGCAAGCTTATACTGAATAATTTAGCAAAGCAGATTGTGCTTGGCAATAATAAAGTAATTCAATATCTGAAACATAAGAAAAGAAGGAAATATCTGTTTCATAGTTGTAATTAATTAGAACTTTACCATGCAGAATAGGTAGAGAGGCATTCCTCAAAAGATTAAGAGAGGTATAAAGTAAATGTAAATGTCAACCATAGGGGTTTTCTTAGGCAGAGAATCATGCTTTAGGGTAAATGAAGGTGATGCTGGTATTCAGGTTCCTTTGGAGAAGGCAACAATAAAAGTAGAGTTATCATTTATGAGATCCAAGAAGCCCAAGAAAAGATAATAAGAGCCCAAGCCACAGCAGGCTCAGCCTTTTTTTCCTAAATAAAAAGGAACGAATAGCTAAATGTGACAAAAGTCAAGGTATCTTTTAAGAAAGTTACACTTCCTCTGAACCACAACAGAAATCAAAGATAGTCACTCTACAGCACTCCTTGCCTCTCTTCCAAGGATACAGCTATGTATTGTTTTTTAAAAAAGGTAAAGGTAAAGAGACATGGTCACTTGACCATGTCTCTATCCAAGGTGAATTTCTCCAAAAGCACAACTTTGGGACACTTGTATGAGATATAGTTTAAACCCCACTGAATTTGATTTCTCACCCTCCCAGACACTTACCTTTATTATTTTCTCATATTTGTTTGCTTTTGTTTCCTTAATATAGTCTAGGAAATGTATCTGTGGGCTGTCCTACAGGAGAAGTTACAATGAATGGAAAAATGTGAAGAACCTTCTATTCTCCCAAGAGTATATGGCAAAGAGGGTGCAATTGCACCCAAAATATCCGTGTGGAAGGGTCACATAACTGATACTATAAAGTAACACATTGTCTTACAGAATTCTCATTCTTAGGCTAAAATATTATCTTCTTCATCAAACTTACTTGACTGCATGTTTGATGTTGTTTGAGTAAAATATAATACTCTTTTATTTCCCAAATGCACACACACACACACACACACACACACACACACACACACATATTATATTATGTTTTGGGAAATATATGTGCTATAGTATCTATATTTATTCACTTCTTAAATTTGAACTTAATTAAAATGACAAAATGAATTTGCTGAAAGGAGTTGGTAAAATGATCAGCTGTATTCAGTCACATAACTATTGTTTAGTCTTAGTAATGAAAATAGAAAAAAAAAACCAACCAGGTGCAGTGGCTCACGCCTGTAATCCCAGCACTCTGGGAGGCCAAGGTGGGTGGATCGCCTGAGGTCGGGAGTTCGAGACCAGCCTGGCCAACATGGTGAAACCTCATCTCTACCAACAATACAAAAATTAGCTGGGCGTGGTGGCACGCACCTGTAACCAGCTACTTGAGAAGCTCAGGTAAGAGAATCTCTTGAACCTGGGAGGCGGTGCTTGCAGTAAGCCGAGATTGCGCTACTGCACTCCAGCCTGGGTGACAGAGTGAGACGCCACCTCAGTCAAAAAAAAAAAGAAAAATGAATATAGAAAAAAACGACAGACGCTAAAAGCTAAGAAAATAGTGTGTTCATTTTGGAATCTAATTCAAAATTCATTATAATGAATTTTAACGGGCCACCAAAGGTATGTGTTGAAGTTCACTGAATATTATTCAATGTTTGAGAATTACTGACAGCACATATATTTCATTTGTAGCAATGTTTGATTTGTTTTGCATCCATATATTTGCATTTATTTAAAACAAAAAACATCAAAGTATATTTCATCTGTTATTTGGAAAAAACATTGAGTAACTAATTGTCCAAATATAGCTATTTTCTAATTTTTAATTAAAAATGCTTCCTGTTTAAAAAAATAACTTATTTCAAAATAACTGACATTTAATGTATTTACATTTTTTAAAGTGTTCACGCACATCTATTTAATTTCTAGATGTCTTGAAGGAATCGTCACTGTATCTGGAAGCCAGATGCCAAAGATGTTCAGTTATTATCAATGCATCTATGCATAAAGGATTGAAAATGATTCTTCATGCCATAATTTATCTAAATGTTCATTCCTTTGGAAAACTGTTTTCCACCAATAGTAACAAGACTTGGAACAAAATAAAATAGCAATATCATATGCATTTTCTATTTCTGCACTTTTCCACTTCTGGAAATAGTCATAGAATCATCTTGTGACAGATTAATATCATCCATGATCCTAAGCCACTAAGAATAAGTGTTAGATTCTTTGGGTTAAATTGCCATAAGGACTAAATTTATTTTTTTAACCAATTCCCTAAAGAATCAACTGATATTTCTGACATAGTTTTACAGCATATGTATCACCTCTCCATCCATTTTGCCTTAATTCTATTTCTTTTTATCCTTCACTGGTGAGGATGAGAAAACCTGGATGCATATGGGTATGGTTGATTTGAAAAGTACTTTTTAAACATTTGGAAGTTTTTCAAAACCAAAAACATATTTGCCAAGTGATCTTTTTCCCCTATATTTTAAATCCATATGCAACTTAAAAGAAACTTAGACCATATGCTAGTTCAGATTCACTTATATTAAAATCATGAAAATTCTATTTAATAGCTCTTTGACACACAGGGAGTGTTTAAATTAAGCTTCTCTAAATTTTACATTTCTCAAAATACACTCTCTTTCCTATCTACCCTCAACTACTCCTCACTACTCTCCAAGAAAATATCAGGTTTAATTCAGGAGATGTAAGTTGGATGTTGTCAGTCCATCAACAACGATTAAGTAATTTAAAAAGCATTCTTTTCTTCACTTCTTCCCTAGATTTTTTGTTTCTTTGTTCGTTTAAATATCTCTGTGCAAGTTCTGAACAGTTTTATTTATATCAGGATCAATAATCTGAGGAATGAAATAAATTGTTGCATTTGTTGCAATAAATGAGTTTATGCTTCCTTTACAGAACATTAAGGACATGAACTTTTAAGAACATTTTAATGTTTCACTATAAATGATACTTGAGCCTTGCATTAGAATACATAAGGTAAACTTATATAAAGAAAAAATAAAAATCTTCTCCTTCTCATCTGCATTTGCAATCCCACATGCACTGAAGTAATCAATGTTAATGGTTTTCTGTCCATTCGGCCACACCTCTAATGGATGGAATTTATGTAGTGTAATTCTTTGTCAGGTACAACTACACATGAGTAAAACTAGGTGTGATTTAGAACTCAAGATTAGGATTTTTATCTAGTAGTGAAATGGGAAGGGAAAAGCAAAAGTAAAATATACATCAACTAATGGCAGAATGGTGTATAGAAGGGAATCATCTGTATATATGACATCTGATGGCCCCGCCACTCAGCTAACCCATCCACACATGAAATAATATAAGTAGACAAGTGCATTGAAAATTGTAAGTGTGACAGAAAGGTCACCACTTGATTGCTACTATTATATCGTTTTATTATTTTGTTCTCCCAACAATGTATAGCTCAAATTTATACTACAGGCTGTTCATATCCCTTAACAAAATATCCATTAATTTATGAATTTGATAAAATTCTAACTTACTGCAGTGCCCTACAAATAATAGTTTGGCCCATCTGTGGTGATGACTGTTCTGGAAGATCTTTCTGATGTTGAATAACTAATATTGTGTTTCAATGTTACTATTAGGTTGGTGCAAAAATAATTGCGATTTTTGCCATTAATCACAACTACATTTGCGTGAACCTAATAGTAATTTAACATTCTGTATCTAACATTTGTGGACACTGATCGAATATGCAATATTCTGGGGAGAAGTTGGTGGAAGAGATGTGTGTTGTTTTGTGAAAGATAGTATTCTGAGGGAAGGCAGAAAAGGGATATACATATAAGAAAATAGTGGATCTTGATCAGATGCACACTTGTTCCTATTTACAAGAAGTCTACTCTGTGTTACTGAACAAATCAACTTACATGAAGTCAACTAATTCCAAAGAATTTACCGTCTAGAGAAATTCACATTTGTAATAATAAATACTTTTCTTAATGACAGAAATTTTATAATATGTCTTTTTTACTTTATAGCTATAACCGTAGAGTTATAAAATCTAAATACAGACAAGCCCACCCAGTGTTTGATTATATTCAATGATGTTTAAAAGTAATGGCCTCTCTTTTGTTCTTACTGGGAAAATTATCATTAGCACAGTGCTTCATGCAGGCTCTTATTACTTCTATCTCCCATTGTTATGATTGGCAAAGCACAAAGCCATACTCAAATTGGAATGCTTGGGCACATTGCAGTATTTATCACAGGGTGGACTGGATACTGAGTTTCTTAATTTATAAATATTTCTTTCCAATGCAAAATTCATGAAGGCTTAATGTTGGGAAATGTCTGAATGGCTATAAATTCCCTTCCTAATTCCCTCCCCTCAATGCATACCCATTTTTTTTTTGGCTCATTCTTAGAACTGTAGCTGTTCTTGAATCTTTGATGAGTTGAAGCTAATCCACATTCGGATTTTACAATCTCATATAATTGCCAAAATTCTACCCTTCAAAACACTTGTTTCTTTCTTTTTTTTCTCTTACATTTCCTCAAAGAAAATTAGTGAAAAAACAATTTTTTATTTGGTCTGAAACTTTATGGTGGAAATCTGAGGACAGGAAGAAATTTAGGGACTTGTTCATGCACTTTTGATTTGGTGAATGCCTGGAATATATTTTTTTCTCTCTGCACAATGCAAAGTAGTTGCACTCACAAAGTATCAATTAGAAAAAGAAATTCTTTCCACATTTCATCAGAGTTTTAAGTGGTTACACCACAATAATCCCCAGCTATTTGGGAAATGGTAAAAAAAAAAAAAAAAAAACAACTTTGAAGATCAAGCCATCATTATTATTTTCACTAAAACCTAAAAATTCAGCCACAATATGTCAAACCAGTTGGGACAGGACTTCCTTCCACTAATTTAGTTTTTACTGCTGGATACCTGATGGGCTACTTACTATATCAGGTGTCTCATAGGGCAAATTGTACCTGGAGATAAAAAAAAGAAGAAAAAAACAGGCTCCAACCCCTAGCAGCAGAATACAGCAGAACATTTAGGTACCCACAGAACATAAACCAAAATGGACTGTATCCTGGATTTTAACAAACATTAAGAATTTTTTAAAAACTGAAATCCTGTAGAATGTATCCTCCAGCCAAAATGGCATCAAATTAAAAATAAAAAAGTAAAGTAACAGCAGAATCTTAAATACTTGAAAAATAAACAGCATACTTTTTTAGTTCTTTTTTTTTACATTTTTATTTATTTTAAGTTCTGGGGTAGGTGTGAAGGATGTGCAGGTTTGTTACATAGGTAAATTTGTGCCATGGTGGTTTTCCCTACCTATCAACCCATCACCTCGGTTTAAGCCCAGCATGCATTAGAGATTTTTCCCAATGCTCTCCCTCTCCCTCCCCCATCCACAGGCCCCAGTGTGTGTTGCTTACTTCCCTGTGTCCATGTGTTCTCATTGTTCAGCTCCTACTTATAAGTGAGAACATTAGATGTTTGGCTTTCTGTTTCTGCATTAGTTTCCTGAGGATAATGGCTTCCTGTTCCATCCATGTCCCTGCAATGGACATGATCTCCTTCATTTTTATGGGTGCATAGTATTCCATGTTGTATGGGTACTGCATTTTCTTCATCCAGTCTATTACCAATGGGCATTTAGGTTGATTCCATGTCTTTGCTATTGTGAATAGTGCTAAACAGCAAGCACACTTCTAAGGAGAACGTCTCAAGGGAAACAATTAAATATATTAAACTGAATAAAAATTAAAATACAACATATCAAACTTGATTTAACACAGTTGACGTCAGTGCTGAGAGGAAAATGTATTTCACTAAATATATATAATAGAAAAGTAGAAATCTCTCAAATAAAAATTCAAGCTATCACATCAAGAAAGTAGAAAATAGTAGCAAAATAAAATCAAAACAAATATAAGAAAGAATATAATAAGGATAAGAGCAGAAATAAATGAAACAGCCAAAAGAAAACAGCAAAGAAAAGCAAAGAAATAAAGCTGGATCTTTGAAAATATCTATAAAATTGACAAACCTTAACTAATAATGATAAAGAAAAAAGGGATGTCATAAATTACCAATTTCATGAATGAAATGGGCTAACATTAGCAGTAGAACTCAGCAATGTACACAAAGAATTACACAGCATGTCCCAGTGACGTTTACTCCAGTGACTGCACACCTAGACATTCATCCCACTGAAATAAAAACTTTTTTTTTGCATTTGCAATTGGCTTCCCCTCTGCTTTTGTTGGCAAGAGCAGGTCGGTGTCCCAGGCTTAGAATCCATTTTTCTCTCTCTCCGTCTGTCTCTCTGTCTCCGTCTCTGTCTTTGTCTCTGTCTCTCTCTCTCTCTCTTTTTTTGACAGAGTCTTGCTTTGTCACCCAGGTTGCAGTGATGCGATCTCGGGCTCACTGCAAGCTCCGCCTCCCAGGTTCACGCCATTCTCCTGCCTCCCGAGTAGCTGGGACTACAGGCGCCCACCACCATGCCCGCTAGTATTTTGTATTTTTAGTAGAGATGAGGTTTCACTGTGTTAGCCAGGATGGTCTTTATCTCCTGACCTTATGATCCGCCCGCCTCAGCCTCCCAAAGTGCTGGGATTACACGCGTGAGCCACAGTGCCCGGCCAGAATGCATTTTTCCTCCCACACCAAAGCACCTGCAGTATGGGTGAAGCAGCCTGGAGCCTGGCTGCATAAGCCTGCACAGCAGGAGGGTCCCAGCAGGAGGGTAGAGGTGCCACTGCCTGGGTCCAGCTCACAGGCTGCCAGGGAGGCTCCGATCTGGCTCCCTGGTGCTGGCAGTGTCCTGTTCCCAGGATCTGCACGTGGGGGTGCCTTCCTGCATCTCCCCATCAGTGGTAGGTGCTCCTCCCAGCCCCCTCTTGCAGGCCTGGAGACAGCGGCCTGCACCTCAACCCTACTGCATGCCAGTGAAGCGAAGCACCCCGGGCCAGAAGCCCCACAGCTGTTGGCCCTGGTTTGGACACCAGGCAGGGGGCACCACAGCAGGAGCTAGCAGCCCAGCCCCGATTCTGTGGCCCCGAGCGCCCCGTTGCTGATGGCCCTGTGTTCTGGGTGCGGACCAAGGAGGAGCAGGTGTGGAAGGCGCCTCAGGCAGGCCCTGGGCTCCGTGGGCGTCTTGTGCTCGGAGATTTTGAGGCCATTTGCATCCAGCTCCGCCAACCAGAGCTCTAAGCTGCAGCGGCGGCCACCCGCAACAGCGCCACCACTAGTGTCTTGGGGGCTTTCTTCAGAGGAGGCTGTCAGCATCCTCGAGTTCCAGGCGCTCTAGCCCCAGTCCTGCTTCAAGAGGCTTTTTCCCACCACAGGCTTCTCTCCTCAGTGGCCAGAAAGCTGGGCCAACTCCCATGAACTTTGCCAGTAACGCAAGGCTGTCACTGACATTTGTGGCGCCAAGACTTGCGCACGCGGATTGCACACATCGGCCACTTCCTGGACCACGTGCAATGACACGCGCACGCCTCACGCACACGCCGCATAACGTCTGAGGCGCGCGCCCCGCACGCGCATAACGGCTTGGCTTACCTGTAACGGGTACGCTTCGCTTCGCGTTCCTCGCTTGGCCTTGCGTTCCTAGCTTGGCTTGGCTGTTAGTAGCTTTGCCTGGTGTTTCTTGCTTGGATTGGCGTTTCCTCCCTCGCATTCCTTTGCTGGACTTGACCTTTTCTCTGCTGGGTTTGGCATTCCCTTGACTGGGCTGGGTGTTTCCTTGGGAGGGGGGGCTTGGCCTTTCCTGGGGTGGGCGTGGGGTCCCCCTGGTGGGCGTGGGCTTTCCCCGGGTGGGTGTGGGTTTTCCCTGGGTGGGGTGGGCTGGGCTCCCTTGCTGGGCTTGGCAAGTTTTGGCTGGGATTGACCTTTCTCTTCAAACAGATTGGAAACCCAGGGTTTCCTGCTAGTTGGTGAAACTGGTTGGTAGACGCGATCTGTTCGCTACTACCGGCCTCCCCTGGCTGTTAAAAGCAGATGGTGGCTGAGGTTTGTTCAATGCCCGCTGCCTCTGCTGTGAAGAAGCCATTTGATCTCAGGAGCAAGATGGGCAAGTGGTGCCACCACCGCTTCCCCTGCTGCAGGGGGAGCGGCAAGAGCAACGTGGGCACTTCTGGAGACCACGACGACTCCTTTATGAAGACACTCAGGAGCAAGATGGGCAAGTGGTGCTGTCACTGCTTCCCCTGCTGCAGGGGGAGCGGCAAGAGCAACGTGGGCACTTGGGGAGACTACGACGACAGCGCCTTCATGGAGCCGAGGTACCACGTCCGTCGAGAAGATCTGGACAAGCTCCACAGAGCTGCCTGGTGGGGTAAAGTCCCCAGAAAGGATCTCATCGTCATGCTCAGGGACACTGACATGAACAAGAGGGACAAGCAAAAGAGGTAACCGGACCTGGGATGGGAGGAGGCGGGACATGGGGGGATGATGGGGACATACCCTCCTGGCGCAGGGAGGGAGGAGCCAGGCTTTCTCTTCCTCCGCAGGCCCCACACCACCCTGGGTGTGGAAACCTCAGAGATGTCAGGGCCCAGGTCCCTTTATAAACAGCAACACAAAAACAAAACTTTAGCTGATTTCCAATCCAATTATAATTTCCCTTATAGAACACTAATAGACGGTTTTAAAGTGATTTAACTCGCAAAATTAAGTCGATGCAGCAGATTATTTTTAATGTACACATTTTAAAACAATGTTCTATACACTATAGAAAGGTGTATATTGAGAACTAAGTCCCATAATATATCAACTTCTGGGCTAAATATTTTTCAAATAAAATCCAATATGGATTTTATATCGATGTGTACCCTATGTAAACACGTTCTTTACTGAGTAACCTTAAAAGGAAACTGAAATGGGAAGTATGGTTCATATCTTTGAATAGGAAGGTTCGTTTTTCTTAAGATGTGAGCTTTTTCTGTGTTTATCACTTTTACATAAGCCAAATAAAAATAGCAAAGTCTTAGTGTCTTTAAATTGCACATGATGTATTTTATCATTGTGATAAATTGATTTTTTGTAACAGAATGGAAAAAGACTTGCTTTTCCAGATATCAAAATGTGCGTGTGTTATTTCCACAAATTGTTTACTAACAGCTGAAAAGACATAAGTGAACAGAACAGAATAGGAAATCCAGAAATACCCAAATATATGTAAGAATTTAGCACTTGATAATGGTGATGTTTCATATTGGTAAAACAAGGTGAATTATTCATAAATTAAATGCATGCTGTTTGGAGAAAACTACCTAGATTTTTATGTCACAAAAATAAGTTCCTGGAGTATAGATTAAAAATTTTAAAGATACAAAAGGAGAAAAGTACCAGAAGAAAACACAAATGCCTATTTATATGTGCAAATATTTATTTATTTTTCTGAGACAGACTCTCACTCCATAGCCCAGGCTGGAGTGCAGTGGTGCAATATCAGCTCACTACAACCTCTGGTTCCTGGTTCAAGTAATTCTTTGCCTCAGCCTACCAAGTAGCTGGGATTACAGGCACCCACCACCATGCCTGGCTAATTTTTTGTGTTCTTAATCAAGACGGGATTTCACCATCTTTGCCAGGCTGGTCTTGAACTCCTGTCCTTGTGATCCACCCACCTCAGCCTCCCAAAGTGCTGAGATTACAGTCATGAGCCACTGAAACCGGCATATATATGCAGATATAATAAAATAAGCTCAATTTAAAATTGGGCAAGGTACTTTTTTGCATGTCTACCAGTGACCTGTGTACATAGGAAAACATAGCATTCCTGCTAAGAGAAGGAATTTAAGTTAGAAGAGGAATGAAAGACTATTTTCTGTTTAAGTTAGAAGAGGAATGAAAGGCCAGCCATGGTGGCTCATGCCTGTAATCCCAGCACTTTGGGAGGCCAAGGCAGGTGGATCACGAGGTCAGGAGTTTGATACTAGCCTGGCCAGCACGGTGAAACCCATTTCTACTAAAAATACAAAGAATTAGCTGGGCATGGTGGCATGCACCTGTAATCCTAGCTACTCAGGAGGCTGAGGCAGGAGAATTGCTTGAACCAGGGAGACGGAGGTTGCAGTGAGCTGAGATTGCACCACTACACTCCAGCCTGGGTGATGGAGTGAGACTCCATCTCAAAAAAATAAATAAATAAATATAAAGGAATGAAATACTGTTTTGTGTCCACAAAGTTTGTGAGGGTGAAGAACAGTGGTACTTATATACCTGCTGAAAGTTTAAGTTGCTGCGGCTTTTCAAATAGACACTTTGATGGTAAGAACCACATTTTTAAAATGTGTATGCCTTTTACCCATCTGTTCCATTATACTGAAATATCTATATGAAACAGACACAGCTGTTTTTCTTAGTATTGCTTAAAATAGCCATGTATTTAGAAGAACTCATATAAAGATTTTATGAACAAATTTCAGTGCATCCATAGGATGGAATAATATGTAACCATTGAGGGTGTCAGTAGATACAGAGATATGTCGGCATGCAGAGATGTACTTTGCTGTATCAAGTGAGAAAAAATCAGTTTGTTATACATATACACAAATAGAATCTGCTCTTGTGTTAGCTGGAAATATGTGGAAAATATAATCAAACTTATTTCTGGGGATTTGTAAGTGAAGTTTTTCCCTTTCTCTTATCTGTGATTTCTGCAATGAACATCTGCAAAGTTTTAGTTAAGTTTCATTAGTAATGAAATAATCCTTGGGAAGAGAAGGAATATGCTACTTGCATAGATACAAATAATTTCTTACATTCTATTATTTATTTTTATACCTGTGGATGGCTATCTTCTGTGAACTTTTACCCTCTTCAGAAGTAGAGGGCTTCTGTTTACCTCTTCTGGTAGATTTTATTGTGTATACATCTTATTATATATAGATTGATGTGTAAATAGTATGGATTAATTATTTTAGTTTAGTTATATATTTATGAAAACTAAAATAGCAAATATAAATGATCGTTACTATCGCAAATGTATTGCTCTACTCAACAGGAGTTTTCTTTAAAAAATATTGAACTTCCAACCTATGTTTATCCATTCTTTCAATCCGTTTAGTCATCAAACATAAGCCAGACACCTATTATATGGCAGGCATATTCTGCTATCTCTCAGGATCCTTCCACCTTTGAAAACTTCATGTTTACCTGCTGCACCTGAGCAAGCTGAGAGAATCAAAATTGGGGCATTAGGACTTAATCTCAATTGAAGCTTTTCCTCCCTCCTTTCAAACAAAAGCACTTCTGAAGGTGGAAAATAGTAAAAGATAACCCTTAACTGCCCTTTTGAAAATGTATAAGACTTGGGTAAACACTGTTTTAGCTGTTTTAAGAACTTAAATGTGGTAGATAAACAGCATGGAATACTATGTAGCCATAAAAGAAAGAACAAGAGCCTGTCCTTTGCAGGGACATGGATGGTGTTGAAGGCCATTATCCTTAGCAAACTAACATAGGAAGAGAAAACCAAATACTGCATGGTCTCACTTATAGGTGGGAGCTAAATGAGGAGAACACACAGACACCTAGAGGGAAGCAACACACACTGGGGCCTATCAGAGGGTGGAGGGTGGGAGGAAGGAAAGAAGCAGGAAATAGAACTAACGGGTACTAGGCTTAACACCTGAGTAATGAAATAATCTGTACAGCCAACCCTCTTGGAACACGTTTACCTATGTTAACCAACCTGCACATCCTGCACCTGTATCCCCGAATGTAAAAGTTGAAAAAAGCTCCACAAATAGTTTCATAAATCCATTTTAAAAAGAGAAAATTTATAACAGTCTTAAATCCTAATATGAATGATTGGAAATATCTGATGTACATACGTTGTATAAATCTAAGTATTGAAAAAAATGAGCCCATGCTATTCATTTGAATTTCAAGATTTCTTTGGCTTAAAGTTTTTGAAAACCAAAGTAAGAAATAGATTATTTTAGAAAATTGTTTTTGTTTTCACCTCAGCC
Organism: Homo sapiens; assembly: GCF_000001405.40. Taxonomy (NCBI): domain Eukaryota; kingdom Metazoa; phylum Chordata; class Mammalia; order Primates; family Hominidae; genus Homo; species Homo sapiens. The sequence goes on from NW_021160017.1 coordinate 3,027,914, forward strand.
CTCTTATTCCATAGTTCTTTTAAGAACTAAAATTTATCTAAATGCTAGTCATCTGACTGGAACTGCCCCAGACCTGTTATATTATAACATATTCTACTTAATGTAAGGCACCAGGGATTGTATGATGCCCCATTATTTTATGTCTCACTAAGAAAATTATTTAAATGCTGCCAATTATAATTATAGTAAATCATGAATTAATAAGTGGTATTTCAGTGTAAGAAATGTTAAAACATGGAGACAATGATCATCTTAGACTCAATAAAATACAGTACAACGCTACCTGTAATCTTTAAAATGTACCTGAAAGTGTAGGTATAATTGTATCGTTTCACTTAATTCAAATGTTGTCTTTAGTGGTATTAGTAAAAATTATAATATCTTACAAGTTTTGAGCTGTTATTTGTGTTAGGAACTATTCTATATTTTGTGTAGAGTCTTATTTAAGCATTACAGTGGTTTCCTCTGAGAAACTGACTATTTTCATTCCCATTTTATTGATGAGGAAATTGAGACACAAAAAGGCTAAGCAACAGCTAGGAAGCGACAGAGCTTCAAGTAGGATTCCAGCCCAAGTTGAATGTCATCCAAGAGCTATGCTCTTTCTATTCAAATAGGCTGCTCTTTCATTAATACAGTGACTAATGAGAGGTAATAAGTAGTGTGCTTTCTTCAAAGGAAAATTGAGTTTGTTTTGAAGGCAGAGTAATAGGCTATTCAGTGTTTGCAACTACATGAATCATTAATGTGGCATTAGCTAGTGCACTACAATTTCCTGAAGTCTTCTCACTCTCATAGGACTGCTCTACATTTGGCCTCTGCCAATGGAAATTCAGAAGTAGTACAACTCCTGCTGGACAGACGATGTCAACTTAACGTCCTTGACAACAAAAAAAGGACAGCTCTGATAAAGGTATGCAGTAGTCAACTATATCAGCGTGAGATGGGTTTGATTTCAATAGATAGCATAAAAATGAGTTTTCTCATTTAAATATAACTAGTTGGTGAAAGCTGTGGAATGTTATTTTGAATTCCTAGGACTTATAATTTGTTTTTGGTCTAATACTGACAGGCCGTACAATGCCAGGAAGATGAATGTGTGTTAATGTTGCTGGAACATGGCGCTGATGGAAATATTCAAGATGAGTATGGAAATACCGCTCTACACTATGCTATCTACAATGGAGATAAATTAATGGCCAAAGCACTGCTCTTATATGGTGCTGATATTGAATCAAAAAACAAGGTATAGATCTACCAATTTTATCTTCAAAATACTGAAATGCATTCGTGTTAACATTGACCTGTGTAAGGGCCAGTTTTCCGTATTTGGAAGCTCAAGCATAACCTGAATGAAAATATTTTGAAATGACTTAATTATCTAAGACTTTATTTTAAATATTGTTACTTTTAAAGAAGCATTAGAGGGTACAGTTTTTTTCAGTGCACTTGTGGTTAATGCTTTTTAAAAAAAAAAACACTGAATTTGTAAAAGGTAATACTTTTTTTTTTTCAATTTTTCCCTGCCAAGTTTTTTTTTCCCTAACAAATGTAAAATGACAAAATTTGCCCTGGAAATAGGTTTTACATTAAAACTCCAAGAAAACTTAAACATGTTTCAGTGAATAGTAATCCTGCTACTTTGGCAAATTCCTAAAAAAACACTAATAGATATGAGGTGATGTATCTCTCAGTGGCAAGGCTTAAGATATTTCTGATTGCTCATGAGGCAGAATTGGAAAGGGAAAAATGCAGCAATCAGAAATACCAAGGCCAACTTGGAAATTAGGTAATGGGGGAAAAGACCATGAAGAGGTTTTTTTTTGTTTTTGTTTTTGTTTTTTTTTTTTTGTGTGTGTGTGTGTGTGTGTGTGTGTGTGTGTTGTTATTGTTGTTCATTCATTTGTTTCCTTTATATGGTGAGACAGGGTTCTTTTCCATTTTAGAGAATGACAGTTTTCAGTTTGGGAGAGGGAGTTAGTGGGTTGTAAACTGCCTAGAGATCAATTTTAGGAGGCCTCTGAGGAACCGGATTGGCAGTGAATATGTGGTAATGTAGTGGGAAACCCTTGAGTAGAAGGAATAACAAGTAATTAACCAACTTAGTATCCTATTCTGGTAGAAATGGCCAATTAGAGTCTCAACTCTGCTTTCAATTCTAGAATGTCTTGATGGGAAGGTGGGAGATAAGGGGCTTATAAGTAAAAAGATCAGGTTGGATTTTGAGTTTACTAGACCTTGTTCTACTCTTACCGGGGAAAATTTTGTGGTGTTTTCAGCAAATGAGTCTCTCTCCTACTCTTTCCTCTTTTTGGCCAAATCCTCAAATGATAAAGGGAATTGTTTATGTGATGAGAGATGAGACTGAAATAATTGTCTATTGCACTAGCTTCCAGCTAGAGTTGTGCATTCCAGTTACCTCAGGAAAATTTTTAAATAATCTTCAGGTCTAGGTTTTCCCCTGAAGATTTTGATAGAGTAAGTCTAATAAAGCCTGGATATGTATGTTTAAAAATGTTTCCTTGAAGCCAGGCATGGTGGTGCATGGCTGTAGTCCCAGCTGCTAGGGAGGCTGAGGTGGGAGGATTGCCTGAGCTTAGGAGTTCTACTCTAGCCTGGTCAACATAATGAGACCCTGTCTCTAACAACAACAACAACAAATTTCTCAAAATCCGGATACACTCCTGCTTAACCACTGAATACAGAAGTGTAATATGTAAATTCTTATATCTCAGAAACTTCAGATATTTCTAGAAGAGTTGGAGTTGGATATGTGCTAATTCCTTTAAATCTTTCCTTTCCAATAACATTAATCTAAATTTTTGTTTGTTTGTTTTTGAGATGGGGTCTCACTCTGTTCCCCAGGCTGGAGTGCAGTGGTGCGGTCACAGATCACCACAGCCTTGACGTCCCTAAGCTCTGGTGGTCCTCCAATCTGTTTTTGTATTTTTTTTTTTTTTAGTAGAGATGAGGTTTTTGCCATGTTTCTCAGGCTGATCTTGAACTCCTGGGCTCAAGTGAATCACCCACCTCAGGCTCCCAAAATGCTAAGATTACAGGTGTGAGCCACCATTCCTGGCCTAGTCTGACTTATCTCTGTCGTTGGGACATTAAAATAAATATTATTGGCACTATCTATCAGCTTACAGAATAATACCTTTTCCTTTCTACCATCAGTTATTCACTGCCATTCAGAAGGTCTTTAGAAATTTGCAGTGAGTAGTCTTCCAATAAATAGAGGATGGCTCTCTCAGGACTTTGTGTCCCTTTGTTCAATCATTCAAGTGCTTAGGTCAGTAAGTCGTTTTTAAGAGCAGAGTTTTCTCAGAATTGTAGCAAATTCTAAACCTTTTTTGTCAATTGAAGCTATATTGTGGGCTATCCAGTATGTCTCTTAAGTTTGTAGAGCTTTGGCTTAATCAGGATGGCAGGTTTAAACACTCAAAACCATGGAGTTATTAAGAATACAGATAGGAAATCTCTTAGTTTCAGTAATCCTATGAACTGATTATCTATCTAGTTAACAATCTGGAAAAATTAAATACAAATAGATTTTAAATGAATAAATGTTGGAAAAAATTCTTGAAATGGGCAGTGTGAGTATTAATAGCAATATTTATTGCATGTTGGAGCTTGAACTTTGGTAAAACATGTGAAACTAAAGAAATATTTTACATTCAAATTCTTGCTTTATACACAACAATTTTGTCTTAGGATTGGATAATAATAGAGATAAAAGATACAGCCCCTGCCCTCAAGAAGCTTTTTGTTTAAATGAAAAAAAAAATCATCCAAAAGTGCCATGCCAAATGCTCATTTAGAAACAAAGAGTCTTGGAAACAGTAAATGTTTAAAGTGAGTTTTTGAGATGATCAGATTTAATGTGGTGAGGCAGAGAAGGGATGTTTCCAAGGGAAGGAGTGGCATGTGGGAAAGTACAGAAGAGTGAGAAGGAAGCGACCAAATTTTATTTACTTTCTGTGAGTGTAAGTCCATAAGCTTCCAGTTCAGTTGAGAGATACATAATTTTTTGAATTACATATTGTTTTTGTTTTATATTGTTTTACAGTGTGGGCTCACACCACTTTTGCTTGGCGTACATGAACAAAAACAGCAAGTGGTGAAATTTTTAATCAAGAAAAAAGCTAATTTAAATGCACTTGATAGATATGGAAGGTATGGTTATTTCGTTTAATCTGTGTGTTGTTCTAGATTGATAGCAGTCACTCAAGTCATAAATAATAAATTAATAAGATCAAATTATACTTATTGGGACATAGTGATCAGTATCAACACAAATCAGTTAAGTAGAAAAGCAATTATTTGGACTGGGCAACATAAAGAACTGTTTTAGTAGGATTCATCTTCTCTTATTATATTGACTGATGTTATTTGTTGTATGATGTTTTTGGTTACATGATCTTATGTTAGCTAAAGGGATTTCATATTAATTTTATGAAGTTTGAACTTTAACTTTCAGTTTACTTTATGACTCAGTATTGAACTTTTTAACCCTTTCTAGTAGGTTTTAACCTCTGTATCTTATATGCTTTTCCACTAAATATGCTGTATTAAACATAAATAGGAGTTGAAAATCCTTTTGTCTTTTCAATGACTCTGCTTTAAGTTGCTTTCTTTGAAGAATATTAATGTTAGCTTATCCCTACATGACAATTAATTGCTATTCCCACATACTGTGGGTTCAACAGCTTTTTTCCTTTTTTATTTCCAGTGTATTTTGATGTTTTTATTTTTAGTTGGTATGGAGAGAGGGAGTGAAGATAGTTTTAAGTGGATACACTATTCCTTTAATGAAGGCAAGCTGTAGGTGGGTGATAAAGAGAAAAGAGCTATGCTTTGGATTCACACAAGACTGGGTTTAATTCCTAACTTTCTTACTTGCTACGTGTGTGACATTGGGAACGTGATTTACCACCCAATATGTTGTCATATGTGAAAAGTAGGAGAATGTATCCTTCAAAGTTGGCTGTGCATAAGCAAGAAAGATACATGTGGCATTTAATTCAGTGCGTAGCACATGCTTATTGGCATCATTAACTGAAACTCCTGTGACTACTATTCTTACCATTATTATTAATATTACTGCTTTCAGCATGCAGAGAGCTCTTATTTATCTTAGCCCCTAGCTAATTTTCTATTACAGCATATCAGTCTAGGGAAGCTGTGACAAAATCTTCACTTAAATCTTTGTCCACTTCAGATAAGTGGCCCTAGCATTGTTTCTTGCCCATCAAAGGACTTTAAATTAGTAGCTTCTGCTATGCAATACCCCACTGAGATAAGAGGTTTCCTTTTTGTCCCTTCCTTTTAACCTTGGTGGTATTTTACAAAGATGAACTCTTGAGCACCCAAGATGTTTATGTCTTTTAGCGCATGTAAATGTTTGATTCTGCATGGACAGGCAAGATGTCAAATTGGTAAAGTATATCAAATTAGCTTTTAAAATAACTTTATTACAGTTCCTAAAGGAGAAATTATCTCTGTAATTTTAGAACTGCCCTCATACTTGCTGTATGTTGTGGATCAGCAAGTATAGTCAATCTTCTACTTGAGCAAAATGTTGATGTATCTTCTCAAGATCTATCTGGACAGACGGCCAGAGAGTATGCTGTTTCTAGTCATCATCATGTGTAAGTGTTTACATGAAAAGGCTAGTTAATGCTAAATTGAGGTTTAAAATAATTATAACAATTGCATCTTACATATCAGGTGAGATGTCATAGTTTGGTTCAGGTAGTTTTAGAGTGGCAGTGAGTTAGTCCCCTGCATCAGCCAGAAATCAGACAAAAAGCAAGACAAGTTAGAAGTACCAATGGGTGCAGGATTCTTTACCTCAGGACTTTTAAGACCTTTATCCTTAGAGATCCCAATATTGTTCATTTCATCCAAGTATAACACCTATGCATGGCATAAAAAAGAGTATCACATCTTTGATTTTTCTGATTAGTTATTTGGGTCTTGAAATGTCCAGTTTAGCAGAAAGCCTTGTACTGTCTTCTGGGGACTGTCTCCTACATACTCCTTGAATTTTTCAAGAACCAAAGGGGTTCACTAAATCCAAGGAAGACAGTCCCTTTTATCAAGTCAGAAGGAGGAGAGAAAAAAGGACATTCCAATCATTCTGTTGTTTCCATTGTTTCTGTTGCTGCATTGTTGCCACTCAAACTGCTTCTGCTGCCTGGTAATTGTTGACCTTTGACACCAAGGTGCCCTTACTGATTCAGATCCCTCAAGTCTTCATGGGGATTCACACAGTGACTTTGAAGTTACAACATTTTTTAGTTCCCTTACCTATGCTTATATGCTCAGCCATTGTTCCCAAAGCACCAGCACCCTGCTCTGGCCGCTGGGCATCCTGACTTTATCCGCACACAAAGTGAGCAAATTGACCCTTCCTCCTGTATTCAGAACCTAATGTGGAACCCACATCTTAGCTAAGAATTAGCTGAGACCTTCATGGTAAGAGATCCTTTCAGGCCGTTGTTGGTCTTTTCTCTAGCAGATATGAGGTGGGCTTGTTATAAAGGGTCAGAGGGGTTCAAATAATGTGGCAGAAAGAGATCAGTGTTTGCTTCTTCTTCTTTGCTACCAGATCTACACAGTGAGGCACCTTTATATCCTGTGTAGAACCTTAGGCAGTAGAAAGTCCCATATGAGCCTTCCCCAAGCAGTGGCTCCCAGCTGTGGTTGGCCCCTTGAGTGATCTGATTTACATGATAATGAAAATCATCCAAGCTACTTCCATCTCTAGCTCAAGATTTTAAAATATTTTCAAATTGTACCTCACAGGAAGCCATTGAAGAGAATTCTCAGAATCTCACGTGGGTTAAGTAAGTAGTGATGAGTCATGGACAAGAGCCAAGCCTTGCCCATGACTCATCACAAATCATGTATAAAAGTAGGGCTTTGTGCCTGCTTTGGCGGCACATATCCTAAAATTGGAACAATACAGAGAAAGTTAGCACGGCTTCTGCATAAGGAGGCAGCACAACTCTTTGAAGCATTCCATATTTTGTGCAGTCACTGGAAGATCATTTCACTATTTGCTGACTAGCTCTAAGGAAACAGTGTGAATCAAAGCAAAATGGGTGCCACCAAAATATCGAAATGTGATTTGTGCTGCAAAAATAGTCATGGAAGATGGTCTGTGAGATGATTTAGAGCTGAATAATGTGTTCAGTGCAAAATATATTATAAGTATGTACGTCAAAAATTAGAGAATGTCAATTTGCAGCTTCTTCATGAAAACTGAAAAAAAATAAAAGTAGAGTTTTGGTCTCCCATGTCAGCTGGAATTGAACATCAATATAAAGCATTATCCTAACAAACATCTGCTGGCTCAGAGTTTGAGTCTGTAGAGAAGGATCATTGCTCCAAGCCAGGTCTTAACATCCATTGGTTTTTCTGCCCTTAGCACAACAAATTGGTCAACTCCGTAATAGTGGACAATCACATTATCTACTTTAATGAGAGATTTATGAAAAAATTTAGTTACAAACTATGACACAGTTGAGATGCCCTGAATGATAAGCCATAAGGAGTAGGACAACTAAGAAGCAAAATTAGGACTTAATAACATTTTCTGAAAACTACAGCATTTGCATATTAGAACCTATGAACAAAACACACATGGGGTTTTATTTGGGATTCCAAGATAATTTTAGTCATAAAGTTTAGGAACAGATTATTCCATTGCTTTACTATTTCTCTGAGCATTTAAAAAATGTTACCTTGTTAAATCTTTATAACAACCTAGTGAAATAAGGCAGCAAAGTCCTCACTTTGTAGAAGAAGACATTGAGCCTAAGAGAAGAAAGTTGTCCAAGAACAAATAGCTGTTCATTATGGAGCTAGGACTTATGCAGAGTTGGGACACTTTCTATTATGTCATGCTAATGCCTGCTGATTTACTGGGTCACAGTGCCCTTGATTTATGAGCATTTCACCTAATTTTTTTTCTTCTTTAATTAGAAGCTTAAAGAAAAGTTTGTAGAATGTACTCATAAGTGTATGGGATAATACTGTTAAATTCTGATATTATGATATTGTTTGAAATACTCTAAGAATTTTACATTTGGTAAGTATTTTTTATATCAGTATTAAAATAGTAATTTGGTTTATTACATTTTTATACATAGAATTTGTGAATTACTTTCTGACTATAAAGAAAAACAGATGCTAAAAATCTCTTCTGAAAACAGCAATCCAGGTAAGACTTGTGATAATGAATTACTTTAGGTCAGTTGTCCACAATGTTTTTGGCATCAGGGACCGGTTTTGTGGAAGACAGTCTTTCCATGGGCTGGGGGAAGGTGGGGATGGTTTCAGGATTATTCAGCCATGTTTCATTTATTGTGCTACTTTATATTATTATTACATTGTAATATATAATGAAATAATTATACAACTTACCATAATGTAGAATCCGTGGAAACTCTGAGCTTATTTTTCTGCAACTAGATGGTCTCATCTGGGGGCAAAGTGAGACAGTGACAGATCATCAGGCATTAGTTTCTCATATGAAGCACACAACCTAGATCCCTCAGATGAGCAGTTCACAATAGGGTTCATGCTCCAATGAGTATCTAGTGCTATCACTGATCTGACTGGAGGCAGAGTTCAGGCGGTAATATGAGCCATGGGGTGTGGCTGTAAGTACAGGTGAAGCTTCCCTGGTTTGCCTGCTGCTCACCTCCTCCTGTGTGGTGTGGTTCATAATAGTCCATGGACTGGTACCAGTCTGTGACCTGGGAGTTGTGGACCCCTGCTCTGGGTGGTCCTACCGTAGATAAAAAATAAAAGTAAGGAATTTTTGATCACAAAAGAACGCCAAAGCACAAGTCATGTTACATATCCTTGTCCCAACAAGGTCTCACTCTTACTGACTTCATTCCTCCTCATTTGAAGTTGGAAAGAGATACATTTACTTTGTTGGAACAAGATGTGTTCTCTACCTGCTGGTCAATTGTCTTGATAACAGTAATTTTGTTAGAACAAGATGCTCTGCTACCATTTACCAAAAGATTGTCATAATAAATATACAAATTGCCCAACTCTAGGCTCAGCAGATTATAATAAAAGTAGAAAAATGCTTCACATTAACAAAAATACTAGTATGCCACCTGGTTGTGGACACCTAATACATTGTATAATCCAAACTGGATGAGGACACCTTTAATTTAGCCATCTATTTATCAAAAAGCTTCTGTAAGTTAGGTTTTATAAGTTGCAGAAGACAAAGATGGAATAGATGTAGTTTTGATCTTTAAGGTGCTCATAATAGAGGTGTCTCTATTTCATTTCTGTGCTTTTTCAACAGAATTTACAAAGAAAACATTTCTATGTTTTCACTTGTCCACTTAACAAATAACTATCAAATGTCTTTTAGATACTAATCATTTTTCTAATGCTACAGAACGCACACAATTAAAAATACAGACAGGAGCTTGTTATTATCATTGTCATTTTTATTATTTTACTACTTTATTCAGTGCTTACTGTGTGCTAGATGCCAACTGGAAGCTTATAATTATGATTTATTATGTATTAATTATGTGCCAGACATACGTGATGAGGAATGAAAGTTTTGAAAAAAAGTAGGTATGATTCAAAGTAAGCATGCAGAGTGAGAAGAATTTTTCTAGGTAAAGAAGCAGAAGAATAATTTTTGGCAGAAGGAACATGCAACAAGTTTGTGTGTTTGCCAGAAGAACATCTGATGAGATTGCCTGTTTGGCAGGAAGAGCAACAACTGCAAAAGACAAGATGCCGAGTGAACTTTGCAGGGTTTCTGAGCAGTTCACTTTTGCTAGTACCAAAAGTGTGAGACACCAGAGTTTGGGAATGAGGTGAATACTTAGCTAAGGCAAGTTTATGATAGACTTTTTTAATACTATAGAAATGAGTAGGTCTTACCCTGTGGGCCATGGGAAATTTACCAGGTAGAATGCTTTGGACTGTAAATACTAGATGAGCAGTGGCTAAAACAGTAGGAACCAGAGTTGTTTTGGTTGTTCAGTGATATCCTAGGATCCCATTTGTCCCTCTTTCAGCTGTGCTGTTGGCAGTGTTTTCTTCATGTTTCCTTTCATGGTTGGCTAATCCGCAGCAGCTCCAAACATCTTGTTCTCACAACACAACATTTCAAGGGCTGCTTTTCTTCACATGTGTCTTTTAAACAGGGAGAAAACTTAGAAACATGCAAGGGGCTTCCTGTAACATTTCATTGGCTGGGTCACACCACATGCTCATTCCCAAACCAGGCAATGGGATGGCAAATACATGATTAGCTTAGAATAAACATTTCTCTTTCTGAGGCTGAGGAGGGGGATTGGGATAATAAATATCCCAATAGACTTGTGTTTCTTCTGCAAGAAAGAATAAGGAATGGCTATTGATAGGAGCCAACAATGTGTGCTGCAGGGACTCATTGGAGAAATTTGAGCAGGGGAGTTACAAGATTAAATTTGAATATTAAGGCATATTCTGCTTATGGTGTAAAATGGGTTAGCAAGCTTTTTCTGTAAAGGACCAGGTGGGAAATATTTTAGACTATGTGGTCTCTGTCATATCTACTTAACCAGGCTGTTGTCTGTTGTTGTAGTGTGAAAGCCACCATGATTATATGTAAGCAAACAGGCATGACTGAGCTCCTATAAAACTTTATTTACAAAGCCAAAAGGCAGATTGGATTTGTCCTGTGGCCTATAGTTTGCTGGGATTGATGGAAGATAACCATGTAAAGAAACCAGGAGACAAAGGAAGCTTTTGCAGTAGTCAGCTATAGTTTCCATGTCACACATCCTTGGACTAGTATCAGTGTATTCTAAGGTTTTCACCTGCCCATGGTGAAATAAAGTTTGGAATCCCCATTACTCATTTTAATGTGTTGGCCTTTTTTTGGTGTTATGCTTTTTTCATTTGTTTTGCTTAATTTTTTTCATGTAAGAAATAACATTAATAGTTGGAAGGCTTTTTTGTAATAAAAGCCATTTTGTAAATGTTTATGTTCTCAGTGGAAGTGGTAATATAAAGCAGAGGCAGAAGAGAGGTATAGTCAATATGATTTAGTGATAATTGAATGAGAAAGGTTTGGAGGACAGAGAGAAATGTCAGATAATTTACAGGTTTCCACGTTGTACACTAGTATTTAAGCTGGGCATGAGGAAGGAGTACGAAATTTTCTCCATGACCTGTGTGAGTCACAGCTTCCAGAAAAGAAAGAGAGCAAGGAGCATATTAAGGAAGCACAGCAAAGTCAGTCCTAGAGTGCCCTGCTTGACTTCATGTCATAGTTCTGACTTCTAAAAAATCATTTTCTGTAAAATGTGCTTTGTGTTTTTCCCCTCTTGCAGCCTGCAGCCAAACAGAATCCCTTTAGCAGGGCATTTTTGTGTTCTTCCTTTAAACAAAGCAACATATAAATAACAAAAAAGAAGTAAGAGAAAGAGTATTTTTTGTATAGGCTAGCATTTAACTTAAACTTGAGAGCGAGTACTAGGATTATACTTAGAATTTATGGACTGGGTAGGAAGACTAGATAGAAATCTAAAGATTGCTGACTCAAACACAGTGTGATTTTTTTGCTTTATTCTCACAGCTCTGAATTCACAACTATTAGTTATATTCATATACACTATAACTTTATAAAGCACCTTCCCAAACAAATATTAAGTGATTTATTATAATTTCTATGACTTATTATAGAATTGACTTTCCAAGTGTTCATGAGAATTATTGGGAATTTGCTACATAGTATCATCTCAGCTGTGTCCACATGAGCTAGCTGTCACCTTGTCTTAATGAATAATGGCTCACTAGGAATATTGGTTTTGGCATTAAAATGATCTACATCTTAATACAGATAGGACCAGGGACCACTCTTGAACGTTAATGTCTAAGCATCTTAAAGGTACACATAAGGCTTTCATAATCTGACTTCTGCCCTATTCTACATCTTTAGCCCTTTTCCCTGTGTGCCCTTTCTCTGGCATTACTGAGTGGCTCTTAATGCCCTACTCACTCCTCCTTCTATTGCAGGCAAATACTTTCACTCTTTCAGGCCTCGCTCCTGCTCTTGCTGCTGTGTGGCATGCTGTCACCCTTTCTTGCCCTCTACCACTTTTAATCTAGCTAGCCTCAATATTTAAGTCTCTGCTTGGGCAGGTGTTCTAGAAAAGCCATCCCTGACAGGCTTTATTTTCATTCTTTTTAAACCCTAACACCTAGCATGTATGTAGCAGGACTCAATAAGAAATTTCTGAGTAAAATAAAGACTGTTTTTACAAAGATGATGTGCAAGACTGTCCTCTGCAGTCTTGGAGCAGAGGGGACAGACATGTGGAGGAATAGTGTACAGTTCAGGTGGTAAAGGTGCAGTAGAAAAATCAGTGAGGTCCTAAGGCAACCTCAAGGAAGGAGTTACCTGTTTATCTGGGGAAAGATCTGCAGAATCAAGGAAGACTTCCCATAGCATTGTTTTAAAAGATGAAAACAAGGCTGGGTGTGGTGGCTCACACCTGTAATTGCAGCATTTTGGGAGGCTGGAGCAGGTGGATCACAAGGTCAAAAGATCAAGACCATCCTGGCCAATGGTGAAACCCCATCTCTACTAAAAATACAAAAATTAGCTGGGCATGATGGTGTGTGCCTGTAATCACAGCTTCTCAGGAGACTGAGACAGGAGAATCATTTGAACCAGGGAGTCAGAGGTTGCAGTGAGCTGAGATTGTGCCACTGCACTCCAGCCTGGTGACAGAGCAAGACCCCAGCTAAAACAAAAAAAAAAGAAAAATGAAAATAAATTTGTCATAATAGTGGATGGAAACATTTTAGATGTTAAGAAGACATTGTACACTAATAAAGGTGTCAGTAGTAATTTTGGAAATCGTTTGTAAGGTACTATTTTTGCAGAAAACAGGAGGCAGGAGAGACCCAGTGGGTCAAACAAGAGGATTTTGTTTAGGTGCACACCAGCTCAGCGGATTTGCATCAAAAAGCTGAGCCCTGAACAAAGACAGGGCTTGGCTTATATAGGCAAACTTATAGAAGCAGAACAAAGGCAGTTAATCATATAGTGACAGTTTTGCAACCACTGCATAGCTTGCGACCTTGCAGCTGCATTGAGGGAAAACAAGAATTTGCAAAATATATGCATTTGTAAAAATAGCTATGAATAAATGCTGAGGGGGAGGGGAGATGGTAAAGGAATTTGTTTTCTTAACCTTGCTCTGGGATGTCTGGAGCCCATACCTGTGGGCTCTGGCTTCTCAGACAGGGTCACCATGACCTTTCCTGGGCCTGCTTGTTACTATCCTTAGAGTCAGACTAGCTAAGTGCAGGAAAACTTGTTTCTCTTTAAAACTAAATTTCCTTTTCTTTACATTTACTGCTTCACTATTAGGAAGTGAACAACATACTGAGTTACCTTATATGTTTCTACTGTATTTTAAAGTTGTGTTTCTGGTGGTTTTGTTCATTTATGTTGGGTGGATGAATTTGTGAGTGAATCACATCAGGTGTCTCCCCAAGTGGTTTGTTGAAGTTTTGGAGAATTATTTCCTAAGTAACTATTTCATGAAAGACTAAACACTCAGTTTATGAAATAAAATAAAATGTTGTCTTCAATCTATTTTTATAAAGGCAATAGTTTTTAACTGTTCTAAGTGGTTCATTTTAACTGAATATATGGATTTCTCAACAGAACAAGACTTAAAGCTGACATCAGAGGAAGAGTCACAAAGGCTTAAAGTCAGTGAAAATAGCCAGCCAGAGGCATGGAAAATTTTAAGTTTAAATTTTTGATTTAATGTTGTTTTCTTTGCTTGAATAATATTAGATAGTCCAAATGAAATTACCTTTCAGACTAGGTTTTAAGAATCAATAGATTCTTTTTTTAAGAATTTTTTAATAGATTCTTAAAATTTATTTTAATAAATTCAGCAATCTCATTAACAGAAGAATTAATAAATTCTAACTTGACATTTGATATTTAGCTTAAAAACGTAACCACTATAAAATTTAAAATACTCTTATTTTATGGTATTCTTATTTAAAATATTCTTATCTGCCTTTTTGATTAGCTTATAGCTAATCTTTCCTTTTGGAATAGAGGCAAAAACATATTCCAGACCTTTGTTTGTTCTTTTATTTTTACAACACCCTAACATGATAAAGTACCATCAATTATTGGATTATATTATTAAGCAATAGAACTGTGAACAATGTAACACTGAAGGTCCCTGAGCTGGATTCATGGTTAAAGAATAATCACGGCCAGTGATTGAAAATCTGCAGTTTTATATTGTCAGTCACTGATACCAAGGTTAAAGACATATTCTGCCTTGTGGTCTCTCACTGACCTCAGCATTTCTGTTCAGGGAGGGAACCAGGTCATAAAAGCAACCCAACTGCCTATTACAAGAATCATATCTTGCAGAATGGGACATTTGGTGTTAGTGCACAAACACAATAACCTTCTACCTTATTTTAGTTGCAGAAAATCAGTACAGATTATTAAAAAATTTTTATCCACTGTAATTAGTACACCTTAGAATATATTAGAACTGGACTTAAGCAGATCATCTAGATACATAACACTATCATATTACAGCATATAATTTCAATTAAAATTTAAGAATTTGCATTTCTTCCTGTTTGGTGTTGATTTCAGCTCCTAATAATTTAAAGCGTGCCTACAATCCAATTAGGAATCTTTTTAAAAAGCACTTCAGTGCACTATAGGGGCTCACTAGTTAGGGTTTCATGAGATATACTCTTTTCAAGTGAGGAAGCCCTTGGAACACTACAAATCATCTGCTAATTCATTTTTGGTAGATTTAACACATAACAAATTAAGTTTAGTCCAAACAAATGGTGACAAAGTTAAGTTTGCTGGTTCATGTTTTTATTCTCCCTTTGTCTAAGGTGAATTATTTTCCCATGTTAGTCAGAAGCCAATGATGTGGCAGTAGCTAAACATAGATTAAAAAGTTAATTCTTAATTTTAATTATTTATTTATTTAATTATTTTAACAGTTAAATTTTATTTTATTTTCTAATTTTTCATGTCCATACTTGATTACTTAAGAATAAAATTATTTTAACATGCATTCCAAAAGAGGAGACATACACGGAAATACAACAAGCAAATTAACCTTCTATTTTTGCATCTGCAGAAAATGTCTCAAGAACCAGAAATAAATAAGGACTGTGATAGAGAGGTATACCTTTATGTTCAAATGTTTCTGTGGAATTAGATTTTTATGTTATGCTGTTTAACAAAGTGTAGTAAGTGTACGCATACATGATCCTATCATGTAAGTAGCATAAATCACCAGTGAAAAATTTAATATTTAACTCAGAAAGAATTCTGTACATTGAGTTTTCAAGAGATACAAACCCTAGAGAGATTCTTTCATTATTATGGAACAATCCTGAATGGTGCCATAAAATGCTAGGTAATGCCACTTTAGGAGATTTGGACCAATCCTTTTATCTTTCTTGGTTTTAGTCTGATTATCACTAGATAATGTGGCTAAAGAAGATAATTACTTATTCTTTGTAATTTCCAGCTGGAAAATTGTATAGCTATTGAATGTGAAATTTGGGGAGCATCTAATTTTCTGGAATTCCATGCTTGCACCTCAGCAGTTTCACTCTGCTCCTTGTGTTGTGGCAAACTTTGGTTTTCATGTTTCAGTGAGCACCATCATGTTTTTGATATCCAGGAACCAAATGAAAAAAGAACGATCAAAGGCAGTGGGGGAGGAGAATATCTTAGTGCAGAAAAGGGCCATCTTCCTTTCTATTCCTGAAGCCCCCCAGTGTCTCATCCTCTACATCTGAGTGTTTAATGTAAAATCTAGGTGGTAAAGACAGAAGACACATTTTGTGTCTATGTCGTTTTATTTTTGTGTTCCCACGAGTCAAATGGGGTAAATTCATATATAAGATTCTGAAGAGTTTTTGGGAATAAAAGCACAAAATGAAGGAGGGCCCTTTTTGAATTTTGGAAAATTCTGTTTTATTCAGTCAAACAGCTGGAATCAAGCAAACTTTACAAAAATTTCAGTGATATACTAATGACATGATAATTACATCTTAAAATTATACGGTTATAGTTCTGTATATATGATCAAATTTAAGTGTGAAATATTTTTAATGACTAAAATAATGGCAAACTGAGTCAATTGATAAAATCAATTAAAAAGGTTATTTTTATTCAATAAAGTGATAACCATCCTTAATATCAAACTTCCACTCAAGGTTGAAGAAGAAATAAAGAAGCATGGAAGTAATCCTGTGGGATTACCAGAAAACCTGACTAATGGTGCCAGTGCTGGCAATGGTGATGATGGATTAATTCCACAAAGGAAGAGCAGAAAACCTGAAAATCAGCAATTTCCTGACACTGAGAATGAAGAGTATCACAGGTAAGCCTATGGCAACATTTAATAGGAGATAACTATATGCTGTCAAACTAATCCTAATTTGGGCTTTCATGATGAACAAATTTTATACTTTTACTAGAATATTCAGCCTTGCCTGTTAATCAGAAAAATGAAAATCAGTAAACAATGAGTTACCGTTTTTTCCAGTCATTAATTTATTTGAAAAATAACCGGCATTGGCAAATGTGAGGGAAAAGGCATTTCCTTTTCTTTTTAATGAACTTTTATTTTAGCTTCAGAAGTTCATGTGTAGGTTTATTATATAGGTAAACTGTGTCATGGAGGTTTGGACTACAGATTATTTCATCAGCCACATAATAAGCAAAATACTCGAGAGGTAGTTTTTTGGTCATCTCCCTCCTGCCACACTCCACCCTCAAGTAGACCCTGGTGTCTGTTATTCTCCTCTTTGTGTCCATGAGTTTTCATTGTTTAGTTCCCACAAATGAGTAAGAATATGTGGCATTTGATTTTCTGTTCCTGCATTAGTTTGCTTAGGATAATGGCCTCCAGCTCCATGTGTGTTGCTGCAAAGGAAACGGTCTCATTGAAAAAGACAATTCATACACTGTTGGTAAATATATTTTGAACATTAATTTATTAGCATATTTGCACACACACATATATAACATAGTAAGTATATATATGTATGTTAAGGATATTTGTATAGATTTGTCACATATATACTTATGTATAAGGACATTTCTTACAGCGTTATTATATCAAAAAGATGGATCCTTATCAATAGGAATTTATCATTATCAAAAGTAAATCCTTACCAATAGGAAATGGCTCAATTTTCATACCCAGAAAATAATACGGTATGCAAACATTTTTTACAAATGAGGTTAGATCTAGAGTATACTGATTATTTCACAATTAAAATGTATTTAAAGCATTTAGTTTGGTAACACATCTTAAGATAATTTTGTTAGAATTCTTGTAATATCTGCTGTGTTGCAAATGGAAGCTACACGCTACATTGACACTGTACCTTGTTAGCAACGAGATTGGTAGTTATTAAATTTTTGTTGTCAGTGCCTGAGTGCCAAAATATTGGACCTTCAATCTGAATATTGCCAAGGGATTGTACATGGGGACCTATATTTAATATAAACATTTGAGTATATTGGGTAAAACTTTTATTAAAATATATCAAAGTATCTTTCATCTGCTAAACCAGGAGCTGGCCAGCTTTTTCTGCAAAGAGCCATTTAGTAAATATTTTAGGCTTTGTGGACTATATATATTTATTTTTTTTGAGACAGGGTCTCTGTTGCCCAGGCTGGAGTGCAATTGTGTGATCACAGCTCACTGCAGCCTTGACTTTCTGGGCTCTAGTGATCCTCCTCCCACCTCAGCCTCTCTATTAGCTGGGACCCCAAGTGTGCAACATCACACCCAGCTAATTGACTCTATGGACTGTAAAGTGAATAAGCATGGCTGTGTTCCAAGATTCTTTACTTACAAAAACAGTCAGTGGCCTGGATTTGGCCCACAGGTGCTAATTTGCTGACCCTTGTGCTAAAAGGAAGGTGCTGCTAATGCAGTAACACTTATTTATAAAAGTGCCCAGCATGTGTGACAGTATCTTTCCTTTGAGAAAAAGATATATTTTGGTATTCACCTCACCATATTTTTCCACAGTGACTTCATATATTTTTAAAAATTTCATTTGTAAAATAAGATTATTTTCTGCATTTCTGCCACTTTATTCCTGTTAATAGAATTCAGTATTTTATGGTGACCAATTACTTTGTATATTCGATGAGCATCAACTGTCCTAGAATTGGCTGATTTTTATCAAGCAAGAAATACTCTCCTTGAAACTTTTAGTTTTTCTTGGTCTTTATGTATAAGCATGAACAAAATGATAATTAGCTTATGTAATCTAGAAATGGTCAAGGCAACTTTTAGTTCTATAGTTTTAAGATTTAACACCTTGGTCTGGCATTTTTAATGCCACATGTGTATAATTTTTATAAGCTTTAAAATATATAATTGTTATATAAAATTTGAAAACTACACCTTTTATGTAAAATTTGAAACTATTTGTCTATTACTTTTCCATGACTGTGGAAGAAAATTACAACATTCTCAGCCATGACTCCTAAGTATGATGTCCTTAAAAGAACTGTCTACACTCACGAACTCAAATTTTCTTTTCATTCACTCTTGATCTCATGCCAGTAAGTCTTCAATTTCAGCAGTCCTCCAGCATTGTTTTTCCTCAAGATTATCACTAATTTTTTTCTGTAATAAACCTAGGCACTTTTCTTCCACCTCATTTTATTTAATCTGTCAGCAATATTTGAGCTAATGGAGGGCATCTCCTCCCTAACGGCATCTTCACTTGGCTTTCAGGACCTCACTCCCTCAGGCTTTTCCTCCTGCCTTTCTAGTCCATTCATCATGGTCTGTTTTGCTTGCTCCTCCTCATCTTTCTCCTTTTGGACATTGTTGTTTCCCAGGGCTCACTCCTCAGTCTTCTTTCTTGTGACTTTTTCTTTTTCTTTTTTGGAGACAGAGTTTCACTCTGTCTCCCAGGCTGGAGTTCAGTGGTGTGATCTCGGCTCACTACAACCTCTGCCTCCTGGGTTCAAGCAATTCTCCTGCTTCGGCCTCCTGAGTAGCTGGCATTACAGGTGCATGCCACCGTGCCCAGCTGATTTTTGTATTTTTAGTAGACACAGCATTTCCCCATGTTGGCCACCCTGGTCTCAAACTCCTGACCTCAGGGGATCTGTCTGCCTTGGTCTCACAAACTGTTGGGATTACAGGTGTAAGCCACTGCACCTGGCCCCTCGTGACTTTTTCTACTGTGTATATGCTAGTGATTTCTGAATGTATGTCTCCAGCTCAGATCTTTCTCCTTAATTCCAGATTTCTATATCAGCCTGCCTACTTGACGTCTCTATTTGGTTAGTTATTGGGTATCACACACTTGTCAGATCCAAAATTGGGCTACTGATGTCCTTCCTGAAATCTGCACCTCATGTAGTCTTTCCTATTTTTGGTTAAGGGCAACTCTTCCAGTTGCTCTGCCAAATATCTCGGTGTCATTCTTGACTCATCTCTCTCTCTCTCTGACACCTCACATCTAATCTCTCAGTAAATCTTGTCAGGTCTACCTGAAGAATATGTCCAGAAGTCAGTCATATCTTGTACATCTGAGCCACCCTCATCTGCAGTCTAGATGAGTGTCATAGACTGGGAATTGATAGTCCTGGTTTTTAAAAACTTCCCTTTTCATCAATTCTTAACTCAGTGGATGTATTTAAAACATAAGTCAAATTGTGTCATTCCTCTGCCCCAGCCCTTCTGATTATCTCCCATTTCACTCGGAGTATGTGTCAAAGTTCCTCCTAATTATCTCCCTTGCTCTGCTTCAGCCAAACTGAATTCTTGCCGTCCCTTATCTACCCCTAGTGCTTAAAGATGCCAGGCACACCTCTGTGATTCGCAGTTCCCTGTGTCTGGAATGCTTTTTCCCCAGTTATCCTCCTAGCTTTCTCTTTCCATTCCTTCAGTTCTTTATTTAAAACCCCCTTTCTAAGAAGAAGAGGAAAAAGGGTAAAAAGAAAGACATTAAGGAACAACCACTTTCTGAGGAAGAACAGCGTGCTACCTAGACACGTCATGCTTGAGGTTCAATTGGGTGCCTACCAGGGATGCTCTCTAACGTAATGAAGGGAAGGTTCAGTGAAACAAAGTGATTTAACATCTCTAACTTCAAACCCATTTGTATCTTGACATCAATGCCGTTAACCTTATGTCGTCATTTCTTAGAGTCTTTGATATACAAATAAAAGGTTTTTTGTATTAGAAAAAAAAATCCCCTTTCTCAGCAGGGACTTTTCTGACCACCCCAACTTTCCCACCACCCTCCCCATGAAACACATAAACATTTCATTTTCCTGCTTTAGTTTTTCTCCTCTAACATACTGTATATTTTGCCTTATCTGTCTGTTGTTATTGTGTGTTTTTCTCACTCTCATGAATGGGGTTTTTATTTTTCACTACCATATCCTCACTGCCTAGAAAAAGGCCTAGCATATTGGATGAAGCTACCTAATAAATACTTATTAAATGAGTGAATGGAGTTTATCCTGGATATATTGTTTGATTAATTCTCACTTTAAAAATGTTTGACATGGTTCATTCTAACAGTTTTGCCCGGTAATTACATGCATTTTAAAAATTGTTTTGGCTCTTTATAATAAGCTACATCCTTTATATTATTTTTTTATTTAGAGAGAAAAGCCCAATATTGTGGTTATTCACTATTTATTCTTTTACTAGTAAACATAATTGTAATTATGGTAAACTGAGTCAGAGGAATTGTAAACTTTACTGGTATTTTATTTTATTTTGAGATGGAGTCTTGCTGTATCCCCCAGGCTGGAGTTCAGTGGTATGATCTCAGTTCACTGCAACCTCCGCCTTCTGGTTCATGCATTTCTCCTCCCTCAGCCGCCCAAGGAGCTGGGATTACGGGGGCATGCCACCACGCCTGGCTAATATTTGTATTTTTAATAGAGATGGGGTTTCACCCTGTTGGTCAGGCTGGTCTCAAACTCTGTACCTCAGGTGATCCACCCACTTCGGCCTTTCAAAGTGCTGGGATTACAGGCATGAGCCACTGTGCCTGGCCACTAGTATTTTATTTAAAAAAAAATTAGGGTGGCACATTTAATGGACTTACAAATTCTTTTCAAGGGATTATGAACCTTTGGTATTTGAAATAAAGATACAGAGTTGGAATTTTTTGCTTCCTATAGTAAGAGGAATACTGGTCAGGCACTGTCTATTCTGGTGGAGCAGGTGCTGCTGCGTGGCTGTATTTCAGAAGCAAGCTGCTCACATTGATATTGGTTGGTGAGCAAGAGCAGTGGTCATTGATTGATTGACTAGATTTCAAACTGGCTTTTGGGTGGCTTGTTGTTACCATTGGTACAAGTCATTTCTTTCCTAAGTTAGAGTCAACTTTAACCAAAAATTTTCTGTATAAAAGTTGCCTTCAATTAACTATGTTCAAAATGAAAGTACTTTATATTCCAGAATTGTAGACTTCATTTTAAAATTTTGGTCAAGATGAATTGGTTAATAATAGCTCTCAGGAAGATCTGTTTTCCTTTTTTAAAATACATATTTCTCTGTATAATTTATTCCTTAAAATTAATTATTTTCTTTCTGTTTTTGGTATTTTTAGAAGCTTTTGCTCAAGTCCTAACATAATCTCCAGTAGGAGATTTTAGTCTCTTTGTCAGTTCATGTATGTATATGGTAGTGATACTCTCTTTTTAAATTCCTTTTCTCATTCACTTTCTTCTCAGTACAATAACAGTGATATTCTTATACATCTTTACCTCATTTAAAAGTAATTACAGTTTTCTGCTGGCAAATTCAGCTTTTTATATTTTGACTAAATACTAGGCTAAAATTGAAGAAAATTTACCAGGTCATTTTATTTTCAAACAAAATCATTACTAATAAAAATTGCTATTTTTGAAATATAAATAATGACATTTTGATATTTTAAAAGTAAGGATACACCCCCCCCAATAGTTTCGCTTTGTGTTTCCACCCAAATCTCATGTCAAATTGTAATTCCCAGGTGTTGAGAGAAAGACCAGCTGGGAGGTATTGGATCATGGGGTCGGTTTCCTCCATGCTGTTCTCTTGATAGTGAGTTCTCACAAGAGCAGATAATTCTATAATGGGCTCTTTCCCTTTCACTTCTCTCTCTCCTGCCACCTTTTGAAGAAGTTGCCTGCTTCCCCTTTACCTTCTGCCATGATTGTAAGTTTCCTGAGGCCTTCCCAGCCATGTGTAACTGTGAATCAATTAAGCCTCTTTCCTTTATGAATTACCCAGTCTCAGGTATACATACATACATATATATATATATATATATAATTTTCTTTATTCCACTCATCAGTTGATGGACACTGGCTGATAACATATCTTTGCATATGTGAATTGTGCTGCAGTAAACATATGTATATAGGTGTCTTTTTGAGAGTATGATTTCTTTTATTTTGGGTAGGTATCCAGAAATGAGAATGCTGGATAGAATGGTAAGATCTACTTTAACAGAACTCTCCATAATGTTTTCCATAGATTTGTACTAATTTGTATCCCCACCAGCAGTGTATAAATCTTCTTTTTTCACCACATCCACACCAACATCTGCTGTTTTTTTTATTTTAGTAGTGACCATTCTGGCTGAAGTGAGGTGATATCTCACTGTTGTTTTATTGTACATTTCCCTGATGATTAGTAATATTTAGCATGTTTTTATATTCTTGTTCACCATTTGTACATCTTCTTTTGAAAAATGTCTATTCATGTCATGTGCCCACTTTTTAATGGATTTGTTTGTATTTTTCCTGCTGATTTGTTTGAGCTTCTGGTAGGTTATGGACATTAATCCTTTGTTAGATTCATAATTTGCCCATATTTTCCCCATTGTATAAGTGGTTGGCTCACTTTGATGATTATTTCTTTTGCTGTGCTGAAGCTTTTTAGTTTAATTAGGTCTTTATTTATTTATTTATTTATTTATTTATTTATTTATTTTTATTTTTGTTGCTTTTGCTTTCAGGGTCCTCATCATAAATTATTTGCCTAGGCTAATGTCTTCTGGTCTTAGGTTTAGGCCATTAATCCATCTTGAATTAATTTTTTACATGGTGAGAGATAGAGATCCAATTTTATTCTTCTATATGTGACTATCTTTTTTTCCCAGCACCATTTGTTGAATAACGTGTACTTTCTCCAGTGTATGTTTTTGTATCCTTTCTCAGAGATCATTTGGTTGTAAGTGGCCTTTTTTCTGAGTTGTCTATTCTGTTCCATTGATCTGTGTATCTACTTTTATACCAGTACCATGATGTTTGTTACTGTGGCCTTAGAGTTGAAGTCAGGTAATTTGATGCCAACATGTTTGTTCCTTTTTCTTGGTATGTCTGTTGCTATTCAGGCTCTTTTGTGGTTCTACATGAATGACAGCTTTTTAAAATAACTCTGTGAAGAATGACATTGGTACTTTGGTAGAAACTGTATTGACTCTGTAGACTACTTTGGGCACTATGGCATTTTCACAATATCAATGCTTTCAGTCCAGGAACATAGAATGTATGTTCATTTATTTGTATGATCTATGATTTTCTTCAGTGGCGTTTTCCAGTTATCCTTTGATAGATCACTCACCTCCTTCATTAAGTATATTCCTAGGTATTTTACTATTTTGCAGCCATTGTAAAAAGGATTGGATTCTTGATATGACTCTCAGCTTGGTTGTAGTTGGTGTATAGTGGTACTATTCATTGGTATTTGTATATTTTGTAACCTCTGAGACTTTACTAAATTCATTTATCAAATCTAGGAGTGTTTTGTAGGAGTCTGTAGGGTTTTCTAGGCATAAGATCATATCATTGGTGAAGAGAGAGTTTGACTTTCTCTTTTCCAATTTGGATGCCCTTTATTTCTCTTGCCCAATTGCTCTGCCTAGGGCTTCCCAGTTTTCTTCTTAATATGCATGAAATAAAAGTGAAATTGAAAGCGATTAATGATCAGTTTATTTCACATCTCTCTCTCATACACAGATAAAATTAATTCAAAGTTCTATGTTAAAAACACAATATTAGACCCTGTCTTGTTCCAAAGGGAATTTCTAATTTGTCTATAAATTACAGAGGAATAAAGAATATAAGTGGAAACTGTTTCCAAAAAATAAACATAAAAAGTTTGAGTTAACACAGGGGTTTCCAATCCCCAGGCCACAGACCAGTACCAGTCCCTGGCCTGTTAGGACCTGGGCCACACAGCAAGAAGTTAGTGGTAGATGAGCAAGTGAAGCTTCATCTGTTTACAGCCACTCTCTGTCACATTACCACCTGAGCTGCTCCTCCTGTCAGATCAGCGGTGACATTAGATTCTCATAAGAGTGTGACTTGAACCCTATTGCAAGCTGCTCATGCATGGGATCTAGGTTGTTCACTCCTGATGAGAATCTAATGCTTTATGATCTGTCACCATCTCCTGTCACCCCTAGATGAGACCATCTAGTTGCAGGAAAATAAGCTGAGGGCTCCCACTGATTCTACATGATGGTGAGTTATATAATTATTTCATTATATATTAGTAATAATAGAAATGAAGTGCACAATGTATGTAATGTGCTTGAATCATCCTGGAACCATCCCCCACCTCAGGTCCATGGAAAAATTATCTTCCACAAAACTAGTCCCTGGTGCCAACATGACTGGGAGAGCAGGGTTAACAGATGTGAGGCCCCTTTGCCTTGTCTTGGATTAATGTGCAGATATACATTGTGTGAATGACATCTGATGGTGCCATCTTGCCCTGTAGATCATTTTAGGGACACCTCCAGTATTTCATGAAAATTAAAATTTCTTCTAGTGACGAACAAAATGATACCCAGAAACAACTTTCTGAAGAACAGAACACTGGAATATCACAAGATGAGATTCTGACTAATAAACAAAAGCAGATAGAAGTGGCTGAAAAGGAAATGAATTCTGAGGTATTTTCTTTAGTCATTATCAAATGTTTTCATATGTGTGTATATTTTTAAAAAGCTTTATTTTGGAAGGTATAAAGGATTTTTAAATCATATATATACACACACCCTGTATATCCTTGGTCATATATCTATATATGTACACATAGGATAAAGCCATGTTCTTAATTCAACTGCATTTGCCTGCAACAGTCGAGTAGTGACCTTCACAATGGCCTCAATCCAAAGGAAAAGCATTTGATATTTTTCATAAGAATTGATTATCTTTCCAATATCAAAAATAAGTTTTGCTACTAACAACAGATTTGCTAGTTTTGGGACATTAGTTCTTTTTAAAATATTAATAGAGAAGTCAGTTTGTTATTTTCACTAATAGGAAAGTAGGAAATGTACAGCTGGGTCAGAGGCCACATTGTGGATGTCATTATCCTTGCTTTTGAGGAGAGGAACAGTTTGCTCCGAGTAGTTTCTCAATTCAATGCAAAGAGCTTTGAAAACAATGACATGCCATGATACACATTTAGTGATAATTTATTGATAAGTATTTTGTTCCCAGATGAATAGTTCAGTACGTTTCCCGTATTTCACACTTACTACTATAATGTTTCAAACATTATGAAGAGGAAAGAAAAGTTATTGCAATGGCAAATAATCTCATGATTTCTAAGAAAAGCCTTGTAAGTTATATCTTATTTACCATTTGTATTTTGAAATAAAAGGCTTCTTTTGTATTTATATATTTACACCACAGAAGCAACTGATTTTGTGGAGGATCACTAACAGTAGCATCAGAAGACCTGGCAAAAATCTTGCACGTTGCATATATATATGTGTGTGTGTGTGTGTGTGTGTGTGTGTTGTATTCTAGATGGAGTCTTGCACTGTCACCCACGCTGGAGTGCAATGGCACAAACTCAGTTCACTGCAACCTCTGCCTCCCAGGTTCACATGATTCTCCTGCCTCAGCCTCCTGAAGTGCTGGGATTACAGGTGTGAGCCACTGGTCCTGGCTGCATATATTTTTTGACCTCTCCTTTTAAGAATCGTGATCTTAAATGAGTTGAGTGTTGTATGTAGAAGTGCAATGCTTAGATGCCGGTGTGTACATTGTAGAAGGGTACAATGCTTAGATTTAACAGTTATGAATAAATGTAATTCTTATAACTGACTGTAAAAATATTAGAAAAGCAGTATATTGATAAAACATTCCTCAGAAAAAGGAACTTAAAGAACTTTGAGGAATTGCTTCTGTCCTAATATATGCATAGCTGAGGCTCTTATGATGGTGTGGTTTGTAGGTTAGATATCAGAGTGTAAACCCAATTTAAAAAATGTAGCCAAATGTATTAATCTTCTATTTTATGCCTCTGGGTTTTTTGTAATTCAGAGAAAGGCTTTTCCAATTCTGAAATTCTTAAAAATCCTCTAGTGATTTATTTTTCATGGTCTTTAGATAAATATTTCAACTTTTTGGAATTTACACTCTTCTAGATTTGAAGTTTTGTCCAACTTTTTTCCAGTTAAATATCCACTATGGGAATTATTTCATTATACAAATATAAATGTCATTCTTTGATTTTAGAAGAAATCATGATATGTCATTCTATTGAGTGCTAACTAAAAGTTCCCTTTGTTTACTTAGCTTTCTCTTAGTCATAAGAAAGAAGAAGATCTCTTGCGTGAAAACAGCATGTTGCGGGAAGAAATTGCCAAGCTAAGACTGGAACTAGATGAAACAAAACATCAGAACCAGCTAAGGGAAAATAAAATTTTGGAGGAAATTGAAAGTGTAAAAGAAAAACTTCTAAAGACTATACAACTGAATGAAGAAGCATTAACGAAAACCAGTATTTAAGTACAGTGGACAGCTTAGGATTTTGACAACTGAGAATGCTCAGTTCTGAACTGGAGAATGTAAGACACAACTAGGAAACACTGGAAATGGAAATTCAATCATGTCATTGTAGACTGACTACTGCTCTACATGATTGTGATCAAAGTCAGATAGCTGAAAGGGACTTCTTTCCAGAGAACAAACATCAACAGGTTTATTTACAGGAGAAAATGAATTCTTATATATCTCACCTAAAAGATAACAGTGAGATTCTTTCTGAACAACTCTAACGCTGACAGTAAAATTAACAACCTAAAAATTAAGCTCCATCACACAGGATAAATTCTGAGAGAAAAGATGAGGCAGGCCACCATCTTTCCTGTTTGGGCAACTTAGTCATTCCAGCGTGCGGGCTTTGGAGAGTACAAACTCACCAGGGACAGAAGAGATCCTGTGGCATAGCACAGCTGCTTTACCAAATCATGGCCAGAATGCTTCTGTAAGCAGGCCCCTGATCCTGTTCCTCGTCACTGGACAGGATCTCCCACCTGAGGCCTCCAGCTACACCCACCAGTGTTCCCTGGCCAATGGAGATTTGAAACCTTCCTGGGACAGAGTTCCCAGAGAGAGGGGTGGGCCATGATGGGCAGGTCTTCCTGGCCTGGGTCTCCAGCCAGCCCCCCACTTGAGCCTTCAAGCCAGTAGCAACTCAGCAACTCCCTGGACAGAGCTTCCAGGAGCAACAGAAATCCTCTCTGCCACTGCCTCTGCAGTGGAACTGCCCTTGCTACCCTCAGAATATCAAGGGAGCAAAGACCCTAAGTGCCATATTGACACCTCCAACAAGCTGCAGTTGACACAAGGAACAAGTCAGTCCATCTTCCACGGGTACAACACACCCCTTACTGCTCATCACCAGACAAGGAACCCTGGCTTGGGCCCACAGCACAGACCCTCCATCCTGGGGTGATTACATTAAGTAACTCCTAACTTACACCTCTCTGGGGTGGAGCCCCCAGGAGACAAGGAAAGTGGTGGAGCAGCAAGTCAGCTGATGTGGAGCCCGGAGGGCAGGGACATCTATGTCTCTAGGCTCCACTTGCTCTTATGAGACACTTTATCCCAGCACTTAAGGAGTGCTGAGGTCAGACCAGCCCCATCTCACGTGCAAGATTGCCCAGCACAGATCAGGTCTAAGAGTTC
This sequence comes from Homo sapiens, assembly GCF_000001405.40. Taxonomy (NCBI): domain Eukaryota; kingdom Metazoa; phylum Chordata; class Mammalia; order Primates; family Hominidae; genus Homo; species Homo sapiens. The sequence continues at coordinate 3,055,971 of NW_021160017.1, forward strand.
TCTTCCTAAAAAGGGGGACTTGCTTAAAAAAGAAGTCTGGCCGCGTTTGTGTAGAGCAGTTGTGCTGTGCTGAGGATTCACTTTTGAGAGAGTTCTCCTCTGAGACCTGATCTCTGCTGGGCAGTCTTGCACATGAGATGGGGCTGGTCTGACCTCAGCACCCCTTAGTCTGCTTGCCTCTCCCAGGACCCCAGCCAGGCCACACCTGCTTAGAGGGCACTTCTGGGTGCCCACACCATAGCTTCTGTACAAGCGGACCGTGGCTGATCAGTGGAGAGCTGCAGCAAGGTGACCTCTACAGCCACGTACCAGCCTGCACATTACCTCTCCATACTGCAGCCCTTTATATGGAAACTTTCTACATCACTTAGCTGTGTGTGTTTACACAGGTGGGTTTTGTTGTACTTGCCCTAACAGCATATGGGAATGCAGCACACACCCCAACCCACACCAACTGCCACTGAAGATGAAGCCATGGTGGGCACAGAACCAAAAACCCCACCCCTGCTAGCATCTCACCCTTGAGGTAATGCTGTGCAGAGGAAAAGGGACCTTCTTATACCCTGAGTGACCACTGTTGCTTGGGGGGGATCAGAGAAGGCACCTTCACTGGCCAGCCACCCACCCCAAACCAGAACTACCTCCAGTGCAACAGCACACACAGTCAGCAGGGGCCCCCTGGCCCACACCCCAGCTGTTTTGCCTCCACCACTAGGTGAATGCCCACAGGGAGGCAGGGACTTTTGCATCTGCTAGCATTCTGCCACAGCTGCCGCACTTTGGTCCCCTCAGTGCGGTGGACTCCAAACCTCGAGGAGCCAGAGAACAAAGTTGTGGCCCAATACAAGTTCCCCAGAGTTAAAGCACACAGTCCAAGAATTGGGAGCTGCATGTTGGCCCCTTAAAATCCTCCAAAGACAAAACCTGTTGGCTGAATCCACCTTACACCACAATCAAATCCTCAAGGTCATCAGATATAATAAAGGAAAAATACCCTGTCCAAAGGTCAGCAGCCTCAAAGATTGAAGGTGGATAAGCCCATAAAGATGAGAAAAAGACTCTGTGCAAGAACACTGAAAACTCAAAAATTCAGCATGCTTTCTTTTCTCCAAATGACTGCATCAACTCTCCAGCAAGTGTTCAGAACTGGGCTGAGGCTGAGATGTCTGAAATGATACAAGCAGAGTTCAGGATATGGGTAGGAACAAAGTTCCCTGAGTGAAAGAGGTATGTTGTAATCCAATACAAGGAAGCTAAAAATCATTGTAAAACTTTGCAGGAACTAACAGACAAAATAGCAAGTATAAAGAAGAAAATAACTGACCTGACAGAGCTGTAAATCACACTAGAAGAATTTTCATAATGCAGTCACACGGTGATTGTGTGTGATTGCATTATGAAAATTATTGTATGTGTGGGCACCTGAGAGTGCCCTGTAAGCAGATGTGGCCAGGCTGGGGTCCTGGGAGAGGCAAGCAGACTAGGGAGGGCTGAGGTCAGACCAGCTCCATCTCATGTGCAAGACCATCCAACAGAATAGACCAAGAAGAGGAAAGAATCCCAGAACCTGGAAACTGGCTTTCTGAAATAAAACAGGCAAACAAGAATGGGGGGAAAAAGAATGAAAGGGAATGAACAAAACATCCGAGAAATATGGGATTATATAAACGACTAAATCTATGACTGATTAATGTACCTGAAAGAGATGAGGAGAATGGAACCAACTTGGAAAACACATTTCAGAATATCATTCATGAGAATGTCCCCAACCTAGCCAGACAGGCCAACACTCAACTTCAGGAAATCCAGAGAACCTCAGTAAGATATGCCATGAGAAGATCATCCCCAAGACACATAATCATCAGATTCTCTGCGGTCAAAATGAAAGAAAAAGTGTTAAAGGCAGCTAGGGAGAAAGGCAACATCACCTGCAAAGGAAATTCCATCAGACTTAGCAGACCTCTCAACTGAAACTGTACAAGCCAGAAAAGATATTCAACATCTTAAAGAAAAGAAATTTCAACCCAGAATTTCATGTCCAGCAAAATTAAGCATCATAAGTGAAGGAGAAACAAGATCCTTTTCAGACAAGCAAATGCTGAGGGAATTCATTATCACCAGACCTACCTTACAAGAGCTCCTGAAGGAAGCACTAAATATGGAAAGAAAAGACCACCACCAGCCACTACAAAAACACACTGAAGTACACAGACAAGTGATGCTAAAAACCAACCACATACATAAGTCTGCAAAAAAGCCAGCTGACAGCATGACGAGAGGATCAAATCCACACATACCATTACTAACCTTAAATGGAAATGGGCTAAATGCTCCAATTGAAAGACACAGGGGGCAAGCTGGATAAAGAACCAAGACCCATTGGAGTATGCCGTCTTCAAGAAACCCATCTCACATGCAGTGCCCTACATAGGCTCAAAATAAAGGAATGGAGAAAAATATTTCAAGGAAATGGAAAATAGAAAAAAGCAGGTGTTGCACTCCTAGTTTCTGACAAAGCAGACTATACCAATAAAGATTAAAAAGAAAAAAAAAAAGACAGAGGGCTGGGCGCGGTGGTTCACGCCTGTAATCCCAGCACTTTCGGAGGCTGAGACAGATGGATCACAAGGTCAGGAGATCGAGACCATCCTGGCTAACACGGTGAAACCCCGTCTCTACGAAAAATACAAAAAATTAGCTGGGCATGGTGGCGGGTGCCTGTAGTCCCAGCTACTTGGGAGGCTGAGGCAGGAGAATGGTGTGAACCTGGGAAGTGGAGCTTGCAGTGAGCCAAGATCGTGCCACTGCACTGCAGCCCAGGCGAGACAGTGAGACTCCGTCTCAAAAAAAAAAAAAAAAAAAAAAAAAAAAGAGAGAAGGAGATTACAAAGGTGGTCCTGACCTTTGATAAATCTCATTATTGCTTGATACCAACCTGGGCTATCTTTATTGCCCAAACCAATAGGATAATGTGCTGAGGTTAGGGAGCTTCTCCCCTGCAGAGAATCCCTGATCTCCCAAAATTTGGTTGAGATCTAAGGTTGATTTTGCTATACAACTCCTTTTCTGAAGTTTTACTTATTTCCAACAAGGCAAGTTTTCCTGCTTCCGTGATGATGGAGAGCAGGCACCTCCTTTCTTGAGTTTCAGCTTGCTTCTGACAGGGAAGGTGAGTGTAAGTTTTTTCCAGCTTCTAAGATGGCAGAGAACAATCACCAGCCTGAGACTTATTTCCAGGTAAGTAGCTGAATTAGAGTTTTGTCTTAAAATTTTTCCTTAATGACTAAAATTTAAGATTACTCACCAGCTGCTTTTAATTTCTCGTTACCATTAGAACACTCAGTAATCATATGAATTGTGCATTTGTTTGTTTTGCTTAACTCTTTTTGTTTGTTTATGTTTGGGGTTTTGTTGTTGTTGTTTCACTTTTCTCCCATCTCTTCCTGACTTGGTCAAATCCAAAGAATGCTCCAAATTGTGGGGAACAAGGCTTCTGAATTGGCTAAAACTCATGTGGCTGCAAAAAAAAAAAAATTCCAGTTAGCAGAAATGATTTTTTTAACTTTTTTATTTTTATTTTTTACATAAGTGGTTGCATCTTTTGCTAGCCAAGGCCAAACTGAGGGAGTAGTGGTGGCGACCCAAAGTTAAGATTCTGCCCTGTTCACTACAGAAACCTGAGTTTGGTTCCTAAGTCTAGTTCTTTCTGTTTGATATTTGTGTTACTTTTAAAATATCAGCAGTTTGTCCCAGCTATGATGTGGTAGTAAAAGATTCAGAAGTATTTTCTTTACAAGTTCTATGTTGAAAAGCTTAATTAAAAGCAAATTTATTTTTTTTTAATTATACTTTAAGTTCTGGGGTACATGTGCAGAACATGCAGGTTTGTTACATACGTATACACATGCTATGGTGGCTTGCTGCATGCACCAACCCATGATCTAATGCCATCCCTTTTCTAGCCCCCCACCCTGACAGGCCCTTGTGTGTGATGTTTCCCTTCCTGTGTCCATGTGTTCTCATTGTTCAGGTCCTACTTATGAGTGAGATCATGTGGTGTTTGGTTTTCTGTTCTTGTGTTAGTTTGCTGAGAATGACAGTTTCCAGCTTCATCCATGTCCCTGCAAAGGATATGAACTCATCCTTTTTTATGACTGCATAGTATTCCATGGTGTATATATGCCACATTTTCTTTATCCAGTCTATCATTGGTGGGCATTTGGGTTGGTTCCAAGTCTTTCCTGTTGTGAACACTGCCGCAATAAGCATACGTGTGCATGTGTCTTTATATTGGAATGATTTATATTTTTTTGAGTATATACACTGTAATGGGATTGCTGGGTCAAATGGTATTTCTAGTTGTAGATCCTTGAGGAATCATCACACTGTCTTCCACGATGGTTGAACTGATTTATACTCCCACCAACAGTGTAAAAGCATTCCTATTTCTCCACATCCTCTCCAGCTTCTGTTGTTTCTTGATTTTTTAATGATGGCCATTCCAAGTGGCGTAAGATTGTATCTCATTATGGTTTTGAATTCCATTTCTCTAATGACCAGTGCTTTGCTTCACATGTTCATTGGCTGCGTAAATGTCTCCTTTGGGAAGTGTCTGTTCATATCCTTTGCCCACTTTTTGATGGGGTTGTTTGTTTTTTTCTTGTAAATTTGTTTAAGTTTTTATAGATTCTGCATATTAGCCCTTTGTCAGATGGATAGATTGCAACAATTTTCTCCCTTTCTGAGGGTTGCCTGTTCACTCTGATGATAGTTTCTTTTGCTGTGCAGACACTCTTTAGTTTAATTAGATCCCATTTGTCAATTTTGGCTTTTGTTGCCATCGCTTTTGGTGTTCTAGTGATGAAGTCTTCGCCTATGCCTATGTCCTGAATGGTATTGCCTAACACAAGGACATTTCTGTGCCTGAATGCCATATCTCCCAAAGTAATTTATAGAATCAGTGCCATCTCCATGAAGCTACCATTGACTTTCTTCCCACAATTAGAAACACTACTTTAAATTTCATATGGAGCCAAAAAAGAGCTCGTGTAGCCAAGACAATCTAAGCAAAAACAACAAAGCTGGAGGCATCATGGTACCTGACTTCAAACTATTCTACAAGGCTACAGTAACCAAAACAGCATGGTACTGGTACCAAACCAGATATATAGACAAATGGAACAGAACAGAGGCCTCAGAAATGACACAACACATCTAAAACCATCTGATCTTTGACAAACCTGACAAAAACAAGCAATGGGGAAAGGATTCCTTATTCAATAAATGGTGTTAGGAAAACTGGCTAGCCATATGCAGAAAACTGAAACTGGGCCACTTCCTTACACTTTATACAAAAATTAACTTACGATGGATTGAAGAGTTAAACTTAAGACCTAAAACCATAAAAAACCTAGAAGAAAACCTAGGCCACCAAACTCAGGAGAAATGTACTTGTAGTGCAATGCATGGTACAAACACACATTCCCTGCTTCCTTAAGTGGGTGAGGTTGGTGGCTGGTCCACCTGCTCCAGGTGGATCCTTGCAGAGGTGGCTGGTTGCTCTTTGAGCCAGCTTGGCCTTGCCTGGCATTCACAAGCCTCAGTGCAACAACTGTGCTACAAATGGAGCCACACAGAAAATGACCAGCAGGCTCAGGAGCAGGGTGTACACTGCCTTTGGGGCTCCAGTCCATGCCTCAGGGCTCATATGGCACCGTGGGCTTCTTGGTTGCCAAGAGGCAGATCACAGGCCATCTTGTGGAGGACTTTATGTTCAAGTGCAGAAAGCAGCCAGGATTACAACCTAGGGGACTCAGCCTTTTGTGACCCTGGCCAGACTTAGAATTTGGCCCCAGGCATGACACGCTCACTCAGAGTAGCGTGTCAGTACCTGGGGCCTGTGCATGCCAGGCAAAGCCAAGCTGGCTCAAAGAGCAACCAGCCACCTCTGCAAGGGTGTGCCTAGAGCAGTTGGACCAGCCACCAATCTCACCCCCTCAACAAAGCCGGGATGGCCAGGTTCCCACAGCCTGAGTGGCTGCCACCTGATGGCTGATGGAGCAGAGGCCTGAGGAAAAGCAGATGGCACTGGGGCCCTACCTTTAGGGTAGAAGAACTGAGGTACCATGTCTGGCAGCAAGTGATGTTGGTGGCTGGTCCACCTGCTCCTGGCACACCCTTGCAGAGGTGGCTGGTTGCTCTTTGAGCCAGCTTGGCCTTGCCCAGCATGCACAAGTCTCAGTGCAACAACTGTTCTACAAATGGAACCACACAGAGGACATTAGAGGCAGGCTCAGGAGCAGGGTGTACACTGCCTTTGGTGCTCCAGTCCATGGCTCAGGGCTCATATGTCACTGCGGGCTTCTTGGTTGCCAAGAGGCAGACCACAGGCTGTCTTGAGGAGGACTTTATGTTCGAGTATAGAAAGCAGCAGGATTACCACCCAGGGGACTTGGCGTTCTGTGGCCCTGACCAGACTTAGAATTTGGGCCAAGGCAGGACAAGCTCACTCACAGCAGCATGTCAGTAGCTGGAGACTATGCATGCCAGGCAAGGCCAAGCTGACTCAAATAGGAACCAGTCACCTCTGCAAGGGTGCACCTGGGACATGTGGAGCAGCCACCAACCTCAGCTACTCAAGGAAGTAGGGATGGCCAAGTTCCCACAGCCTGAATGGCTGCCTCCTGATGGCTGATGGAGCAAAGGCCTGAGGAAAAGCGGATGGCACTGGGGCCCTACCTCTAGGGTAGAAGAACTGATGTGCCCTGACCTGCAACAAGTGAGTTTGGTGGCTGCTCCACCGGCTCCTGGCACACGCTTGCAGAGGTGGCTGGTTGCTCTTTGAGCCAGCTTGGCCTTGCCTGGCATACACAAGCCTCAGTGCAACATCTGTGCTAGGTATGGAGTCACAGAGAGGAAATGAGCAGCAGGCTCAGGAGCAGGGTGTGCGCTGCCTTTGGGGCTCCAGTCCATGCCTCAGGGCTCGTGTGGCACTGCGGGCTTCTTCGTTGCAAAGAGGCAGACCACAGGCCATCCTGAGGAGGACTTGATATTCAAGTGCAGAAAGTAGGCAGGATTACCACCCAGGGGACTCTGCCCTGGACAGAGATAAAATTTGGGCCAAAGCAGAACAAGCTCACTCAGAGCAGCATGTCGGTAGCTGGGGCCTGTGTATGCCAGGCAAGGCCAAGCTGGCTCAAAGAGCAACCAGCCACCTCTGCAAGGGTGCACCTGGAGCAGGTGGAGCAGCCACCAACCTCACCCACTCAAGGAAGTAGGGATGGCCAGGTTCCCACAGCCTGCATGGCTGCATCCTGATGGCTGATGGAGCAGAGGCCTGAGGAAAAGCAGATGGCATTGGGGCTCTACCTCTTGGGTAGAAGAAGTGATGTACACCGACCAGCTGTGAGTGAGGTTGGTGGCTGGTCCACCTGCTCCTGGCACACCCTTGCAGAGGTGGCTGGTTTCTCTTTGCGCCAGCTTGGCCTTGCCCAGCATGCACAAGCCTCAGTGCAACAGCTGTGCTACAAATGGAACCACACAGAGAAAACAGAGCAGCAGGCTCAGGAGCAGGGTGTGTGCTGCATTTGGGGCTCCAGTCAATGCCTCCGGGCTAGTATGGCTCTGTGGGCTTCTTGGTTGCAAAGAGGCAGACCACAGGCCATCTTGAGGAGGACTTTATGTTCAAGTGCAGAAAGCAGCCAGGATTACCACCCAGGGGACTCTGCCTTCTGTGGCCCTGACCGGACTTAGAATTTGGCCTAACTCAGGACAAGCACACTCAGAGCAGCGTGTCAGTAGCTGGAGCCTGTGCATGAAAGGCATGGCCAAGCTGTCTCAAAGAGCAACAAGCCACCTCTGCAAGGGTGCTCCAGGAGCAGGTGGAGCAGCCACCAACATCACCCACTCAAGGAAGCAGGGATGGCCAGATTCCAACAACCTGAGTGGCTGCCTCCTGATGGCTGATGGAGCAGAGGCCTGAGGAAAAGCAGATGGCACTGGGACCCTACATCTAGGGTAGAAGAAGTGATGTACCCTGACCGGCAGTGAGTGAGGTTGGTGGCTGGTCCATCTGCTCCTGGCATACCCTTGCAGAGGTGGCTGGTTACTCTTCGAGCCAGCTTGGCCTTGCCTGGCATGCACAAGCCTCAGTGCGACAACTGTGCTACATATGGAGCCACATAGAGGAAACGAGCAGCAGGCTCAGGAGCAGGGTGTGTGCTGCCTTTGGGGCTCCAGTCCATGCCTCAGGGCTCGTGTGGCACTGTGGGCTTCTTCGTTGCCAAGATGCAGACCACAGGCCATCTTGAGGAGGACTTTATGTTCAAATGCAGAAAGCAGCCAGTATTACCACCCAGGGGCTCTGCCTTCTGTGGCCCTGGCCAGACTTAGAATTTGGCCCCAGGCAGGGCAAGCTCACTCAGAGCAGTGTATCAGTAGCTGGGGCCTGTGCATGCCAGGCAAGGCCAAGGTGGCTCGAAGAGCAACCAGCCACCTCTGCAAGGGTGCACCTGGAGCAGGTGGAGCAGCCACCAACCTCACCCACTCAAGGAAGTAGGGATGGCCAGGTTCCCACAGCCTGCATGTCTGCGTCCTGATGGCTGATGGAGCAGAGGCCTGAGGAAAAGCAGATGGCACTGGGGCTCTACCTCTTGGGTAGAAGAAGTGATGTACACCGACCGGCTGTGAGCGAGGTTGGTGGCTGGTCCACCTGCTCCTGGCACACCCTTGCAGAGGTGGCTGGTTTCTCTTTGCGCCAGCTTGGCCTTGCCCAGCATGCACAAGCCTCAGTACAACAACTGTGCTACAAATGGGGCCACACAGAGAAAACAGAGCAGCAGGCTCAGGAGCAGGGTGTGTGCTGCATTTGGGGCTCCAGTCAATGCCTCCGGGCTAGTATGGCTCTGTGGGCTTCTTGGTTGCAAAGAGGCAGACCACAGGCCATCTTGAGGAGGACTTTATGTTCAAGTGCAGAAAGCAGCCAGGATTACCACCCAGGGGACTCTGCCTTCTGTGGCCCTGACCGGACTTAGAATTTTGCCTAATGCAGGACAAGCTCACTCAGAGCAGCGTATCGGTAGCTGGAGCCTGTGCATGCCAGGCAAGGCCAAGCTGTCTCAAAGAGCAACCAGCCACCTCTGCAAGGGTGTGCCTGGAGCAGATGTAGCAGCCATCAAACTGACCCACACAAGGAAGCATGGATGGCCAGGTTCCAACAGTCTGAGTGGCTGCCACCTGGAGACTGATGGAGCAGAGGCCTGAGGAAAAGCAGATGGCACTGGGGCCCGACCTCTATGGGAGAAGAACTGATGTGCCCCAACCGGCAGCGAGTGAGTTTAGTGTCTGCTCCACCGGCTCCTGGCACACCCTTGCAGAGGTGGCTGGTTCCTCTTTGAGCCAGCTTGGCTTCGCTCGGCATGCACAAGCCTCAGTGCAACAACTGTGCTACAAATGGAGCCACAGAGAGGAAATGAGCAGCAGGCTCAGGAGCACGGTGTGCACTGCCTTTGGGGCTCCAGTCCATGCCTCAGGGCTCATATGGCACTGCGGGCTTCTTCATTGCCAAGGGGCAGACCACAGGTCGTCTGGAGGAGGACTTTGTGTTCAAATGCAGAAAGCAGCCAGCATTACCACCCAGGGGACTCTGCCTTCTGTGGACCTGACCAGACTTAGAATTTGGGCCAAGGCAGGACAAGCTCACTCAGAGGAGCATGTCAGTAGCTGGGGCCTCTGCATGTCAGGCAAGGCCAAGCTGGCTCAAAGAGCAACCAGCCACCTTTGCAGGGGTGCACCGGGAGCAGGTAGAGCAGCCACCAACCTCTGCTACTCAAGGAAGCAAGGATAGGCAGGTTCCCACAGCCTGTGTGGCTGCCACCTGATGGCTGATGGAGCAGAGGCCTCAGAAAAAGCAGATGGCACTGGGGCCCTACCTCTAGGGTAGAAGAACTGATGTGCCATGTCTGGCAGGCAGTGAGTGAGGTTGGTGGCTGGTCTACCTGCTCCTGGCACACCCTTGCAGAAGTGGCTGGTTCCTCTTTGAGCCAGCTTGTCCTTGCCCAGCATGCACAAGCCTCAGTACAACAACTGTGCTACAAATGGAGCCACACAGAGGAAATGAGCAGCAGGCTCAGGAGCAGGGTGTTCACTGCCTTTGGGGCTCTAGTCCATGCCTCCGAGCTTATATGGCACTGCAGGCTTCTTGGTTGCCAAGAGGCAGACCACAGGCCGTCTTGAGGAGGACTTTATGTTCAAGTGCAGAAAAAAGTCAGGATTACCACCCAGGGGACTTGCCCTTCTGTGGCCCTGGCCAGACTTAGAATTTGGCCCCAGGCAGGACAAGCTCACTCAGAGCAGCGTGTCAGTAGCTGGGGCCTGTGCATGCCAGGCAAGGCCAAGCTGGCTCAAAGAGCAAGCAGCCACCTCTGCAAGCATGCTCCTGGTGCAGTTGGACCAGCCTTTAATCTCACCCACTCAAAGAAGCATGGATGGCCAGGTTCCAACAGCCTGAATGGCTGCCACCTGATGGCTGATGGAGCAGAGTCCTGAGGAAAAGCAGATGGCACTGCTTTGTAATGCCCTTTGTCTCTTTTGATCTTTTCCATTTAAAGTCTGTTTTATCGGAGACTAGGATTGCAACCCCTGCTTTTTTTTTTTTTTTTTTTTTTTTTTTTTTTTGCTTTTCATTTGCTTGGTAAATATTCCTCCGTCCCTTTATTTTGAGCCTGTGTGTGTCTTTGCATGTGAGATGGGTCTCCTGAATACAGCACACCAATGGGTCTTGAGTCTTTTTCCAACTTGCCAGTCTGTGTCTTTTTACTGGGGCATTTAGCCCAGTTACATTTAAGGTTAATATTGTTACATGTGAAATTTATCCTGTCATGATGTTGTTAGCTGTTTATTTTTCCCATTAGTTAATGCAGTTTCTTTATAGTGTCGATGGTCGTTACAATTTGGTATGTTTTCCCAGTGGCTCATACTGTTTGTCCCTTTCCATGTTTAGTGCTTCCTTCAGGAGCTCTTGTAAGGCAAGAATGTGGATTTATTTCTTGTAAGGCAAATATGTGGATTTATATCTGGGTGCTGTATTCTATGGCCTCTACCCCAAGAGTCATTACTTTTAAAAATGCAATTCAAATTAGCATAAAACATTTACAGCCTAGGGAAAGGCTTATGGCATTAGAATCCTTATTTATAGGATTATTTTGTGTTTTTTTGAGATATGGTCTCTGTCTGTCATCCAGGCAGAAGTGGAGTGGCTTGGTCATAATTCACTGCAGCCATGAACTCTGAGTCCAAGCCATCCTTGTGCCTTAGTCTCCCAACTAGTTGGATCTACAAGCATAAGTCACCATGCCTGGTTAATTTTAAATAAAATTTTTTGTCGAGATTATGTTATCACTATGTTGCTCTGGCTGGTTTCAAATTCCTGGCCTCAAGTAATCTTTCTGCCACAGCCTCCTATAGTGCTGGGATTACAGGCATGAGCCACCATGCCTAGCATAGAGTATTACATTATTTTCAAAGTCTTATTCTAAGAGCCATTTATTGACTTTGGCCTAAATAACTCAATATTATATCTCTGAAACTTTTTTTGACAAATTTTGGGGCACGATGATGAGAGAAAGGGGTTTGAAACTTTCTAATAAGAGTTAACATAGAGCCATTTAAGGAGGAAAAAACACAAATTATCAGAAAAGTAAAAGAAAGATCAAGTGCAAAAGTTCTGTGGCAAAGATGATAGTAAAGAATATATGTGACTTATGGTGGCTTTTACTTTGTTCTTGAATTTCTGAGTAATTTAAGGGTTAACATTTAAAGAATCTACATTATAGATAACATTTTATTGCAAGTAAATGTATTTCAAAATTTGTTACTGGTTTTGTATGAGATTATTCTCAGCCTACTTCATTTTCAAGTTATATTATTTTATTAATGTAGTTTGATGATCTTACAGCAGAGCTGGAAGCTGTATCTTCAAAATATGTCTGTTTGACTCAAAACAATCAAGGTATTCAACAGGAGTTATTATGTATGAAAAAATACAACAGGAATGTAAAAATCTTGAGGAGGCTAAAAAGATGTTGGAAAAAGTAATATTAAATCTTAAAAAACGTATGGAAAGTACACATTGGTGAAGACACATTGGTGAAGTACAAAAATATAAATTGGATCTAGAAGAAAGGGCAATGCAGGCAATGGAAAAATTAGTACAAATCCCTTTACAGGTTAGTTTGTAAAATCAGGTAAGTTTATTTATAATGTGCTTTCACTTATTTCACTGCAATGGCTCTCTTATAGTAATTTGCCTTGTAGAGTTCTAGCAAAGAGGTGGCATCTGTTTTTACTTTTATATGTTTAAATTTCTATCATTATAACAAAATCGATTTTTCACAGTAATGATTCTCAGTGTGGAGTCATTTGATTATTAAGACCCATTGACATGAGATTACATCCTCTGCCTATAAAAATCCTGGAAGAAAACCTAGGAAATATTCACCTGGACATTGCACTTGGCAATGAATTTATGGGTAAGTCCTCAAAAGCAATTGCCAGAAAAATAAAAATTGACAAGTATGATTTAATTAAACTAAAGAGCTTCTTCTGCACAGCATGAGAAACTCTCAAGGGATTGAACAGACAGCCTACCGAGTGGAAGAAAATATTCACACACTATGCATACAGCAAAGGCCTATTATCCAGAAGCCATAAGAGACTTAGGCAAATCAACGAGCAAAAAATAAATAACCCCATTAAAAAATGGGCAAAGAACGTGAACAGTTTTCAGAAGAACACATATGTGGCCAACAAACATATTAACACATGCATACCATCACTAATCATCAGAGAAATGCAAAACAAAACATCAGTGAAATACCATCTCACACCAGTTAGAATGACTTCTGTTAAAAAGGAAAAGTAATAAAAATATTTAAATATTTAATATTAAAATGTCATTTAGATTGAGATAAATTAACTTGTCATTATCATTAATTCTCAAAACATGGATATTTAAGAATAACCTTACTTCACATGTAATAACACAACAACTACCTTAAAAACTAAAAGCTGGGGCCTGGCACGGTGTCTCAAGTCTGTAATCCCAGCACTTTGGGAAGCTGAGGTGGGCCGATCATGAGGCCAGGAGTTTGAGACAAGCCTGGCCAACATGGTGAAACCCCGTCTCTACTAAAAATACAAAAATTAGCTGGGCATGGTGGTGGGCACCTGTAATCCCAGCTACTCAGGAGGCTGAGGCAGGAGAATCATTGGAACCTGGGAGGCGGAGGTGGTTGCAGTGAGCTGAGATCACACCATTGCACTGCAGCCTGGGCAACAGGGCGAGACTCCATCTCAAAAAAAATAAATAAAATTAAATGAATACAAACAAATAAATAAAAGCTGGAAGTTCTATGAAAACATTAATGCACATACCATTTTTTAAAAATGTTCATGGTTTCTCTAGAGATTTCAATACCTATTCTAGCTTATTACAGTAACCTATAATTTGTACTATACCAACTATGGTATAAAAACCTTAAAATGTATATTTCTGTTTCCTCTCTCCTTTATACTATTTATGTCATGCATTATAGTCTCAAATATTATGAATTCCATAATATAAAGTTACTCTTTTTTTAAAAAATTAGACAATCAATTATCTTTAGAGCAATGTAAAATAATTGGGTTATATATCTTTATATCTTCTCTGGCATTATTTATTTCTTTGTGTAGTTTCAACTTTCACCTGCTTCCATATTCCTTTTGCCTCAAGAAATGATTTTGACATTTATTTTAGTGCATACCTGTTAGCAAGGGACTCTTCCAGTGTTAATCTGCAAATGTCATTTAATTGTTATTTTTGCTGTATTACAGTTAATGGATATAAGATTGGGGGTTGACTTTTCTTCAGTTATTTAAGAATTTTGTATCATTGGTTTCTGACTTGTAGAGTTACTGACAAGCAGTTCATTACAATGTTTGTTTCTGTTTATCTCTCTACACAGTGTTCTTATTTTTTCTGTGACTGAATTCAAGATTTATGCTAATCGTTGGTTTTCAGCAGTTTCACTAGTGTGATTATTCTAGCGTTCTTTAAATTTTGTATTAATCTTTCTTGTATATTTTGAGGTTATTTGGTCTCCTCAGTCATCTTTTTCAAATTTTTCTTCTCTCACATTCTGTTTTTACTCTCCTTCTGTAATTCCAATTAATTGTATTTTGGTTAATTTCATATTACCAGAAAATTCTTTGATTCACTGGAGTATTTTATTTGCTTGGTTCATTGGTTTATTTGGTTTTTCTCTTTCCTCCCTTTGTGCTACCATTCAAATGATTTGTATTGACCTAGTATAAAATTTACTGCTTCTTTCTTTAACTCTGATGACCAGTCTGCTAATCAGCTTGCTGATGTAATACTTCATCTCTGTTCTCATGCTTTCACTTATTTCTAGATTTTGCCTTTTACTGTTCCCATCTTTGCTGAAATTCCTCATTTTTCCATACATGTTGTCTTTTTTTAACTAGATCCTTTAACATTTTGATCATTATTATTTTAAATTACTTTCATTTAGTTCCAACATCTGAATTATCTCTGAATTTGATTCTGTTGACTTTTTATCCTTTGAAAATATTATAACTCATAACTCAAATTTCTAACTTGCTTTTATGTGTCTCCCAATTTCTAAAAAATGCAAATCATCTGATGTAGAAAAACAGTAGATCATGAGATAATTATTTATGTCGAGATTGTTTTATATTTCTGTTTCATTTTTGTTTGTGTCATGCTATTAGTGTGGGCAGGAACAAAGGTTGCTTTTTGCTGCGGTGTCTGAAACATTCAGTGAACAATGTAACTCAGATTTCTCCAGCAGTAGACTGCTATATGATGTGCCTTGTGTGGGGCCTTAGACTCTGGAGAGCATATGCCAATGATCCTGTTCCACAGTTAGCTTTCGGTAGTCCTTACAACCTATGTTATAGAGAGGGTCTCTCTCCACTTTCTTGTTCTTCTCTAACTGTAGAACATCATTTTGTGTGTGTGTGTGTGACTAGGCAAAAAATTCAGGTTGGGGACAGAGGGATGTTTTGTGTTGTTTTTGAGCCAGTTTCATCATTGGACACTCAGAGATGGGGTATTTTTAACACTTCTTGACTCTTTTTCTAGTGGGAGTCAAACTGTCACTTACCTGTGTTGTTTTTTGCAGAAGAAATAATACCTTACCCTCCTCCCACCTCAGTAGTAGAAAACCCCTGATTTATATCATTGCAAGTTTTCAACCCCACAATAAGGGCAAACTCTTTTATTTCTCCTTCCATAGGAACAATGTACCTTTGTCTGTGGTCACTGGATGGAGACTTTCCAAACCTTTACCACAGTAGCACGACTCTGCATTAGTGCAAAATCCTGGGCCCCAAAACAATCCTTGTTCCTCTCCTGATGGAGGAGTATTTTTCTTGCATCCCTCTCCCAGAAGCAGTGATCCTTTGCCTGGTGTCAGGTGGGGTAGGGTAGGGTATGAGAGGTTTCTTAACCTTCTCTGGAAGCTGATGTGTTTTGCTTCTTCTTATCTCCCAGAAACAGTAGACTTTTGCATGGGTTCATGGACCCAGATGCTTTTTTGCCACAGCAAATTAAGGGTTTTGATTCTTAGGAGAGAAGCAAATGTTCACGTAGTCAATTTTTTTCTTATTTATTTTTTGCTTTGTTTTCTTATTTCAGTAATGATGAGTTCAATATGATCATTATTTTCCACTTACACTGCTTGCAACTCTAATATTTTGTTTTTGTTAGTCCCCCTTTGACAGTTCAGCACTAAATCAAATGCAGATAATCATCAGTTGTGTGAATAAAGTGTTTTTAATTGAGAACAAAATTATTGATATAGACACAAATTTGGATATTATCCTACTTAGCACAATATGTCGCTGGTTCAAAATGTAAAAACCTCTTTAGGCTGAGCAAATAATGGTTCTTGGAACTATTGTCCCATTTTGACAAATAAAACCCAATGCTTTTTATCTCATGGATAGATTATTAAAATAACTACATACCTGATCTTCATTTTATGTTCTCTCTCTTCAAGATATTCCTTCAAAACCACTTTGACTGATTAGTCTCTTTTGAATTATGTTAGACTCTGTATTTTCTCCACAAGCTCATCAGTGTAAATCCTGCCTTTACATTTTTTATAAAAATTCTCTTTTTTTTTCAAATCTTAGTTGAGCTGAAAGATTTCCACCAAATGTCTCCTATGCCACAAAGCCTTATTTTACTTATCTCCCCTGTCCTCCTTGCTCAAGCTCATTTAGGAATATTTTAATTAAAACATTCATGCAATACTGTTTTTTAAAAAATCTGAACATATAGTATTTTCAATCTGAATACAAAATAGTGCTCTAATTTGAAAACAAGTTTTAGAAACAAATGTTTCTAGAAGGAGAATCAACAGTGTCATAAATATCATAATCCAATTTTCCTGTTTGTACTAAAACATTAGCAAATATT
Organism: Homo sapiens; assembly: GCF_000001405.40. Taxonomy (NCBI): domain Eukaryota; kingdom Metazoa; phylum Chordata; class Mammalia; order Primates; family Hominidae; genus Homo; species Homo sapiens. The sequence goes on from NW_021160017.1 coordinate 3,072,475, forward strand.
TATTGAGGAATTGCCATCTGCCTGAAAGTATAATGCTTTTGATGCACATTATATCATAAAAACTAGGTACTATTATTAGTAGTATCTTAAGAGTATAAATATCGAGTCTTAGAGATGTTAAGCAACGTGCCCAAATAGCATGGGGAAAGTTGGAATTCTGAAATTCTGACTATGCTGTGCGTAGGATAGGAGAATCAAGGCTTGTCAAATGTAACTGTTAAGTCATTGTGGGGATACGGAGGCCTCTGATTGCTAGGGTCAATACACTTAAGCAGATCATGTCACTACTTAGTTAAATCTATTTCATTAAAGCAAAATTCCATAAAGATTATTGCCACCAAAACTATTAATTTTCCTTCCTTCCTTTCTCTCTTTATCTTTCTTTCTTTCTTTCTTTTCTTTCTTTCTTTCTTTCTTTCTTTTCTTTCTTGTCTTTCTTGTCTTTCTTGTCTTTCTTGTCTTTCTTTCTGTCTTTCTTTGAGACAGGGTCTCAGTCTGTTGCCCAAGCTGGAGTGCAGTGGCACAATCATGGCTCACTGCAGCCCCAGCTTCCCCAGGCTCCGGTGATCCTCCCACCTCATCCTCCTGAGTAGCTGGGACTACAGGCAGGCAAGCCACTACGCCTGGCTAAAATTTTTTTTTTTTTTTGGTAAAGATTGGGTTTCACCATGTTGCCGAGCCTGGTCTGCAACTACTCAGCTCAAGCAATCCACCTGCCTTTGCCTCCCAAAGTATTGGGATTCCAGATGTAAGCCACATGCCTGGCCAAAAATATTATTTAACAAGTTCAATTTAACTATTAGATTTTGGACAATGAGGGATAGAATTTTCTACATCATAAATCATCTTGTGTTCTTTATTTAAAGTAATATGTAAGGATTTCAATTCAATTCAAATATATTTATTAGGAAATTAAATGTCTTTTTCAGGATTCCAAACTTTTGTTGAAGACATAAATGTTAAATGATGTCACTAATTTTAATTAGATTAACAGAAAGGTATTCTGGTGTTTAATAACAGTGACAGAATGGGCTATTAATTTTATTTTCTTTCCCTTTCTCCCTTTCCCCTTTTTAAAATATTTTACTTTTTAGGCTGTTTGGAATCCTGTAGATAGAGTTTTGGAGAATTAGACAAAACACTCACAGAAACTGCCAACCCTTGGATGAAATATATTGTTACTGTGCTTTGGGATTAAAATAAGTAACTACAGTTTATAGAACTTTTATACTGATACACAGACACTAAAAAGGGAAAGGGTTTGGATGAGAAGCTCTGCTCTGCAACCAGGAATCTCAGCCACTCATTTCTGTTGGAGCTGCAGGAGCTCCCTGTAAAGAGAGATTATGGAGTCTGTAGCTTCAGGAAAGATACTTAAAACCCTTCAGAGTTTCTCCATTTTTCCCAGAGTTTCCCCAAAAAGGTTATGACATTTTATAAGAATGCTTCACTTGTGAAAAACTAATACCAAGTCTTCTTGTAATTTATATTTAAGGATAAATCTTTATTCCATGTTTAATTTATTTCACTTATCCTGTAACTAATATTTCATGCTGAACACATTTTAAATGCTGTAAATGTAGATAATATAATTTATGGATCATTAATGCCTCTTTAGTAGTTTAATGTCAAAAGAAATGACCCCAGAATAAGCTTCTTGATTTGTAAAATTCTATGTCATTGACTCAAGTTTGTATGGCATCTCAAAATATAAATATAGACATCTCAGATAATATATTTGAAATAGCAAATTCCTGTTAGAAAAGAATAGTACTTAACTAGATAAGAATAACAGGTCACCATTATTTGAATTGTCTCCTATTAATTTTTGTTCTGTTGTGTTACTCATGTTTTACTTATGGGGGATATACATAACTTCTGCTGTTTTCAGAATTATTGTATGCAGTCAGTATGAGAATGCAATTTTAGTTTCCTTGATGCTTTCTCACACCTCTATTACTAGAAATAAGAATACAGTAATATTGGCAAAGAAAATTGACCAGTTCAATAAATTTTTTTAGTAAATCTGATTGAAAATAAACATTTCTTACGGCTTTCTTACATCAATATTGTTATGTCTTAGACTACCGTATCTGAAATTAAGGCTTTGAAATTCTAATTATGTGCAAATGTGTAAAATATCATCACCTAACGCTATATAATATATTCTATTTCTATACTGTGATGGCAGGTTTATAATTCTGGAAAGATATACACAACATAAAATTTACCTTTTTAATCACTTTAAGTGCACAGTTTTGTGGCATTAAGTATATTTGCACTATTGTGCAACAGTCACCACCATAGACCTCCAAAACTTGTCTTCTTCTCCAACTAAAATGCTTTACTCATTGAACACCAACTTCCCATTCCTCTCCCTCTCCTTCCCCCTAGCAATCACCATTCTACTTTCTGTCTCTACAAATTTCACTAAGTAACTCATAGAAGTGGCATGATAGAATGTTTGAATTTTTCTGACTGGCTTATTTCACTTAGCATGTCTTCAAGTTTCATCTATTTTGTAGCATGTGTGAGAATATATTTTAAGGCTGAATATTATTATGTTGCCGTATATACCACATTTTGTTTAACCACTCATCCATCAATATTCACATGGGCTGCTCCCTCCCTTTGATTATTGTGAATAATATTGCTAACGGACACGCTGCACAAACATCTTTTTGGTCCCTCCGCTCATTTATTTTGGATATGGATTTGCATTTTAATACAAAGGAGAAATTACACAGCTTTTTAAAAGTGTCCAAATAAAAAGGAGCACAACATCAGTAAAATATTAGAAAGTAGATTGGGGGGAAAACAGGGAAGGAATTGAACCAAAAGTCAATAAGCTGCATAAGAGAGTTGCAAGAGGAGGAAAAAATTGACAATATTAACATAGAATTAAAGAGCGATAGGTCGATATTTAGAAAATTGTCGCATGTACTCATATGTCGCCTGTGAACTGACATTTACATTATTTTATTATTCCAGGTTTCCAAAAGTAAGTGCAATATGAGAGTTTCATGATGCTAAGTAAACTGAAACATGCTATATATTTTGATATATTGTCCTTGAGAGGAGGCTGAGTGGTAATTAGTGCAATTTTAAATTATGATATGATAATGCAGTCAATCTGCCAAACTGAAAAAAAGTATATATACAATATGTATACATTTCTCGCAAAATTCAGTTTTATCATACAATTAAATTATGATTTAAAACTACCTGACAATTAATGGAGGAAAAAATAAAACAACATTTGCATTAATATTACCATAATTTTGATATTATTGTAAATATCAAAATATGTAGTACTTAGAGATAAACCAGCAAAAAAGAGAAACATTTGAAAACTACAAAACTACAAAATATTGCTAAAATAAACGAGACCTAAATAAATGGAATTTATGAGTCATAAATCTCAATATTGTTAAGATGTCTACTCTTTCCACATTGATCTATAACAATTCCAATCAAATCACAGCTGGATTTCTTATTTTAGAAATTGAGAAACTAAAATTCTGAACTGTACATCGATGGGTAGAGGACCTATAATGGCAAATTACTTTGAAAGGAAACAGTTACTTTGAAACCAGGTGCTGCTGGAGAATTAACAGCACCTGGATTCAAGACTTATAACATTACAGTAATACTTAAGACAATGTAGTACAAATATAGATATACACATGTATATCATCTATCAGCTAATTTTTGATAAAGTTCTTAGACCATTCATGGACATAACATTTTCAACAAATGCTTCTGAAACAATTAGATATCCCAGTATATATTTGTGTGTGTGTGTGTGTGTGAAGCTCAATACTTCACACCTGAGAGGTATGAGTGTGCATTACAAAAGAGAACTGGGAAGCTTTGAGAGTATTGGATATGCTCATTGTCCCCTTCATGGTGATTAATGGGCACATGTACATATCAAATTCATCTCATTTACACTTTAAATATTGGAAGTGTGTTTTATGTTCGTTAGACATGAATAAAGCTGCAAAATGTTATCAAAATATTCACTTACTATGCTTTTATTCATTTTCATCTCTCTATAAACTTTCAGATAGAAAATGCAGTTGAAAGATATTTCATAAAGGAAGAAAAAGTAAGAATACAGGTGAGAGATATTACTGAGATTTTCTTTCAGTGCAATTCTGGTCTTTTCTGACTAGCAATATTTTTATGTGCAGAAGTAGTAGAAAAGATAAATATTTTGTACAGTAGAAAAACGCATCATTTCTGTGCCATGGAAGAGAGAACTCACAAAGATGACAGCTTCTGGCTATGTTGGATACTAACCAGTACTGTAAGTACCCAGCGATCTGACGTTAACATTGGCTGTAAAGCTCCTTTAATGTTCCTTGCAATGATTTGAACCTGTTACTGGAACCCTCATCGCTTATTGAGTTGAAAAACATTGTTGATATGTGTTTATCTTATATTTGCAGTAGAGTCATAATTTTACTTCTTAGAAAATTATACATTAAACAAAAAAGACACATGAAATTGTATATTGTTTAATGTTTCAACTGTGATAATCACTCCATATGCATATTTAAATTCCTATTTGATAAAGGATAGAAAATACAGAAAGAATTCTTGTGATAATAGAGAACACAGAACTGTTGAAAGGTGTTGAAGCTGAGCTGGAGAGAGTCACCAAGGCTGGCGCCAAAGCTGGCAAGGTCGGAGGGTTTCCTGCCTGGGTGGCACAGCTTGAGCTCGCCCTGCATCACGAGTGGTGGAAACTGCAGACCCAGCTGGGCCCGGAGGCCTCTGCCTCAGCCTCCCGCCCACTAGGAGCTGCGCTGAGGTCCCAGATAGGCGACCCTGGCAGGGCGCCCCTGAGCGAAGGGGGGACAGCAGCAGGAGACCAGGGTCCAGGGACCCACCTCCCACCGAGGGAACCTCGAGCCTCCCCTGGCACCCCTAGCTTGGTCCGCCTGGCCTCCGGAGCCCGGTGTGCATCCTGGTCATGGGGACACCCACCAGGTGCCCGGGAGTCCCCCTCCGCCACAGCCTGCGGCTCCGCCGGCCCTCAAGCCTGGTGCGGGGACTCCAGCCCCGTCGCCTCTGCTCCTGCCAGGCCGGGACCTGTCCTCCTCCTGGGCGCCCGGCAGTAGGGGCGATGCACACTGCCCGCTGCCCTGCACAGCCTTTCGCCGCACATCACCTCTGGCCCCTCCGCCCCGGGCCAGGACCTTCCTGGCCACACAGAACCCCCCTTCCTTCCCGCTGCAGAGCTGCTGCGCTTCCCCCACCCACAGGGAAAAACGGCCGATCTCCAACCAAACAGAAATCTGTGTGTGACTCCTCTGGTTGGATACTGCCAGTCCCCACATTTTCTTCCGGGAGTTTTCTTGGCAGAAGGTGCCCAATGTTTGATGTTTCGCCAGCCATGAGGCTGAAAAGTGACAGCAATAGAGAAACACATCAGGCTTTCCGCGACAAAGATGACCTTCCCTTCTTCAAAACTCAGCAATCTCCACGGCACACAAAGGACTTAGGACAAGATGACCGAGCTGGAGTGCTCGCCCCAAAATGCAGGCCCGGAGTGGGTCACCTCCTTAGGGCAGGCCCAGGCTTGTCCTGGCTGCCCGGGCACCTTTCTCCTCACTCCCACCCAATGCAGGGGACCCCAAAACTCGGCTGTTGGGGCTCCCTGCGCCTCCCTCCACAGAAGCCACCTCCTGCCCTCCAAGCTGGGGGTCTCCTGGGGCGTCCTGGGCTGAGAGGGAAAGACGCCAGCTCCGCAAGCCGGGAAGGGAACACCGCCACATTGTTACACGCACACACCACCACACTGTCACATGTACAGACACACGGAGACATTACCACACGGAGACACCGTCACATGGACACACTGGCACATTCACATGGACGGACACACAGACATACGGAGAAATCCACACGGACACACCACCACACTATCACAGGGACACACAGACACACGGAGACGTCACCACATGGACACACCACCACACTATCACAGGGACACACACAAGAGACATCACTACACTGTCACATGGACACACCATCACACTCACACGAACACAAAAACACACTGCCACATGGACACTGCCACACACACACACACCGCCTCACTGTCACATGGACACACCTCCACACTGTCAGACACCACCACACAGACACTGCCATGTGGAAACAAGGACACACAGACACTGTCACACGGATACACAAACACACTGTCACACGGAGACATCACCATGCAGATACATGAACACACCACCACATGGACATAGCACCACACAGACACTCTGCCACACGGACACACCACCACACAGAAATGCGGACACACCACCACACAGACACACCACCACGCTGCCACACAGAGACACCACCACATCGTTGCCACACTTTCATGTGTCAGCTGGCGGTGTGGGCCCCACGACTCTGGGCTCTAATAGAGAAATTACTTAGGCATATAGTGAAGGCAAAATAATTTTTTTTTTCCTGAGGCGTAGTCTCGCTCTGTCCCCCAGGCTGGACTGCAGTGGTGCAATCTCGGCTCACTGTAAGCTCCGCCTCCCGGGTTCACGCCACTCTCCCGCCTCAGCCTCCCGAGTAGCTGGGACTACAGGAGCCCGCCACCAAGCCCGGCCACCTTTTGGGTGTTTTTAATACAGACGGGGTTTCACCTTGCTAGCCAGGATGGTCTCGATCTCCTGACCTCGTGATCTGCCCGCCTTGGCCTCCCAAAGTGCTGGGACTACAGGCGTGAGCCACCGCGCCTGGCCAAGAATTTCTTTCCATCTCCTGTGTCATTGCTTTGGCAGTGGAAATGCGCGTGGCCTCTAGAGTGGGTCCCAAGGTCAGGAAGGCCTGTAAGGTGGAGGGCAAGGTCTCTCTTTCCAGGCTGGAATGGAGGAAGATGTGGTGGCTGAGGGGCTGCATGTCCTCCTCACAGCAGGCCCCTGAGAACATTTATCCTCCTGAGCCGCCAGTGTCCCTCAGGGGTGTCTAAAGCGCTGGGTGGGGCCTTTATAGGCCTTAGGAGCTCTGGCCCATTAGTGGTGCGTAAAACGCAGAGGTGAACACCATAGAACAACAGGTCCAGGAGAATTTTGTAAAAGCTCTGAGGATGCCCTTTTTTGTTCTCCCACTGCAAAATTGTTTTAAAAAGGAAAAAATCCATCAATGTCCGGGGAAAGTCAATACTGAGTGTCAGCGCGGGATGCTGCCGCTGATACGATCCCGGCGTCCTGGCCGAAAGTGGCCTCCTCGGGGACCGCATCTCCGCGCACCATGGCAGCAAACGCCAGCGGTTTGTGGGCAGATGGTGTCCCTGTGGCCATCCCCGCTCCTGAGTGCGGAAGGACAGACAGGAGCGGGGACTTCTGGGTGTTCCTGGTGTCAGCCAGCTTGACGCCGTTGTTCCTCCTGGACGTCCGGGATTTGGAGAAGCACCTGGTTCCTGATGGAGGCCGTGGGCCTCTTGGTCCCCGCTTACCAGGCAGCGGCGCCGGCCTAGTTCTCAGCCCCGCCCCCGATGGGCGCCGCCTTCCATCAGGCCAAAGACTTTCCTCCAAACTGCCCTTCTTGGGGCGGGGAAGCAGCATCCTGGGCCTCCCCTGGGGCCTGTGGCGCTGGCAGCAGCTCCACGTTGAGGTCGCCTGCAGCCTGCACCGCGGAGCGCTGGAGGTCCCTGAACCCGGCGTGGGGAGGCCAATCCGCAGGTGCCTGGTGCCCGGTGCCGGTCGCAGTCTCAAAAGCGCCTGGAGGTGACATCCAGGAGCACCACCGCGCCGCCCGCAGGGAGACGCATGGCAAGGCGCGCCCCCTAAAGCGGCCAAGGAAGAAGCAGAAGGACAGGAAGGCACCCAGAGCTTGGGGTGATCTCAGGCCGCGCGCCCCAAGTTCCTGGTCTCTGGGAGGTTTTTTTTAAATTTCTTCCATATTATTATTTTTATTATTATTAACTTTTCAAGATGGATTAAAGACTTAAATGTTAGACCTAAAACCATAAAAACCCTAGAAGAAAACCTAGGCAATACCATTCAGGACATAGGCATGGGCAAGGACTTCATGTCTAAATCACCAAAAACAATGGCAACAAAAGCCAAAATTGACAAATGGGATCTAACTAAACTAAAGACCTTCTGCACAGCAAAAGAAACTACCATCAGAGTGAACAGGCAACTTACAGAATGGCAGAAAAATTTTGCAATCTACCCATCTGACAAAGGGCTAATATCCAGAATCTACAAAGAACTTAAACAAATGTACCAGAAAAAATCAAACAATCCCATCAAAAAGTGGGCGAAGGATATGAACAGACACTTCTCAAAAGAAGACATTTATGCAGCCAACAGACACATGAAAAAATGTTCATCATCACTGGCCATCAGAGAAATGCAAATCAAAACCACAATCCGGGAGGTCTTGCCAAAGACGATGTGGGCTTTCTGGGCAATGTCCAGCCTGAGCTGGAGCTTCTGGGACGCGGTCAAGTGGTCCTTTGGAGATTCCACGGCTTCGGATCCCTACTGCAGGATGCTCCGCTGTGTCTGCCAGCCTCTGGCGTTTTGCTGAGGGGTAACCTCGGAATGTATAGAAATAAGAACACTGGGATGGCCCAGTCATGCCCCAGGCATTCCTGCACACAGTGGTGGCAAAGGCAGGCGCTCAGACAAAGTGCCCGGTCGGCTTGGTGAGAGTACTTTACAGGTTAGTGACAGACTTGGTCCCGTGCTTGTGTCCTCTCATGTTTTCAGTTAACCTGCGGACGCCCAGGGGCTCCTCCATCTCCACCGTGTTCTCCTCGGGCTGAAGCCCAAAGTCCCCCATTTTCTCCTCAAACGGCTCACAGAGCCACTTCTGCAGGCAGGAGGACAGCGGTGGGCTCAGTGGCTGACCTGGGAAGCCACATCTGAAGGAACTGCTGGGTGACTATGGCCGTAAGTCAATCAAAGCAGACTTTCCCTGGCTTGCTGCGCTACATTGATTTTGTTTTCATATTTTAAAAGACGCAGAAGGGAGGTCCTAGGAAATTTGCCCAATGCAGATGCTGACAAGAGTGGTGACATGAAAAAGATTACCCAGAAGGAAAACAAGAGCTATTTTCTAAACATCTGAAATCTGTGTAGGCTTTTGGAAAAGTGAAACTAGATGCAAAGCAGCATGATATAATTCTGGCAATTTCCACTGACACAGAACTCAGTCAATCTGAATTAATCTAAGGGTTACAAGGAAAATGGCACTCCAAGAGGTACCTATTAACATCACTCAGCTGCTGTGAAATAGGCTTACAGACAACACGGAGTGTCAATTATCCAATGTTTAAAGTCAGTGATACAGATTGGACTACAATCTCTATGGCTCATAAAGTCTTCTTTAAAGGATTGATAGATGATTTATCTCATATGTAGACAATGATTCTCAGCAGTTAGCTAGCACAACTTGCTAATATCAATTGCTTGAGAAAATCAGATAATTGCTTGAGAAAATTAGGACATTGCTTGAGGATGTTAGGTAATTAAATAAATTACTTTTTTTAAGAATAGTTTAATGTTTTGGCAAGTAGACTTTAAAATAGATTGGTAATATTTTAAAGGCTACTTTTAAAGAAGTAGCAATATAACATGTTTAATTATGAAAAATAATGTTGGAAACAATTCAATTTTCTATCAGATAATTTCACAAATATAGAAATACCATCTCAATAATTAGAAGAAGTAGCAGCAATTTCTGTCATTTTTATGCAAGTTACTCCTAGTCCATTTATCTGGTCTTAAATAGTGTTTTTAAAATTTGTTTTCAAACAAGGCAAATCATAAATAATAGAATATATTTTACAATAATTGAAGTTAACAAAAAATAAGAGCCATTTAAAAAATTGTATTAGATTGTTTAAAAATGTTGTGGGTACATAGTATGTGTATGTATCTGTGGGGTCCCTGAGATGTTTTGATACAGGCATGCAAGGTGAAATAAGCACATCTTGGGGAATGGGGTATCCCTCCCCTCAAGCATTTATCCTTCAAGTTATAAAAAATTCAATTACAGTCTTAGTTATTTCAAAATGTACAACGAAATTATTATTGGATATAGTCACCCTATTGTGCTATAAAATAGTAGGTCTTATTAACTCTCTATTTTTATACCCATTAACCATCCCCACCTTCCCACAAAATCCCCCCCCAACTACCTTTCCCAGCCTCTGATAACCATCCTTATACTCTCTATGTCCATGAGTTTGTTTTGATTTTAGATCCCACAAATAAGTAAGAACATGTAACATTTGTCTTTCTGCGCCTGGCTTATTTCACTTAATATAATGATCCATAATGTTCCATCAGTGTTACTGACAATGACTGGATCTTGTTCTTTGTTACAGCTGAATAGTCCTCCATTGTGTATATGTACCACATTTTCTTTATCCATTCATCTGTTGATGGACACTAAGGTTTCTTCCAAATCTTAGTTTTGTAAACAGTGCTGCAACAAATATGGGAGTGCAGATATGTATTTGACATACTGATTTCCTTTATTTTTGGTATAGACCCAGCAGTAGGATTGCTAGATCATATGCTAGCTCAACTTTTAGTTTATTGAGAAACATCCAAACTGTTCACCTTGGTGGTTTTATTAATTTACATTCCCAGGAGCAATGTACAAGTGTTCCGTTTTCTCTGCTTCCCTGCTAGCATTTGTTACTGCCTGTCTTTTGCATACAAGTCTTATAAACTGTGGTGAGATGATATCTCATTGTAGTTTTGATTTGCATTTCTCTGATGATCAGTGATATTGAGCACCTTTTCTTATACCTGTTTGCCATTTGTAGGTCTTCTTTTGAGAAATATCTATTCGAATCTTTTGCCCCCTTTTTTTAACCAGGTTATTAGATTGTTTCTTAAAGAGTTGTTTGAGCTTTTTATATATTCTGATTATTAATCCTTTGTTGGATGAGTAGTTTGCAAATATTTTCTCTCATTCTGTGGATTATCTCTTAACTTTGTTGCTTGTATCATTTTCCGTGCAGAAGCTTTTAACTTAATGTGATCCATTTGTCCATTTTTGCTTTGGTTGCCTGTGCTTGTGGGGTATTGCTCAAGATATTTTTGCCCAGACCAATATCCTGGAGATTTCCCCCAAAGTTTTTTTGTACTAGTTTTATAGTTTGAGGTCTTAGCTTTACATCTTTAATCAACTTTGATTTTACTTTTGTATTCAGTGATAGATACTAGTCTGTTTTCATTCTTCTGCATATGGATATCCAGTTTTTTCAACACCATTTCCCACCAGTGTATGTTCTTGGCACCTTTGTCAAAAATGAGTTCACTGTAGGTATGTAGATTTGTTACTGGGTTCTCTATTGTGTTTCATTGATCTATGGGCCTCTTTTTATGTCAGTACCCTACTCTTTTGGTTACTGTAATTCTGTAGTATAATATGAAGTTAGATAATATAATTCCTCCAGTTTTATTTATTTATTTATTTTTGCTTAGGATAGTATTATTTCTTATACTGAAAGCATTCTATGTTATTATTAGTCTAATTTTGCAGTTTTACAATGCTATCCTCTTTTACAAAGCTGTGATCAACTCAAAGTCCAGATCAGGGTCAATTGTAGCTATTTGCAAAAGTAGCAATATTCTGGCCAGGGGTGGTGGCTCATGCCTATAATCCCAGCACTTTGGGAGGCCAAGACAGGCAGGTCACCTGAGGTCAGAGGTTCAAGACCAGCCTGGCCAACATGGTGAAACCCTGTCTCCAATAAAAATACAAAAATTAGCCGGGGATGAAGGCAGATGCCTGTAATCCCAGCTACTCAGGAGGCTGAGGCAGGAAAATCACTTGAACCCGTGAGGTGGAGGTTGCAGTGAGCCCAGAATGCACCATTGCACTTCAGCCTGGGTAACCAAGTGTGACTCCGTCTCAAAAAAAAAAAAAAAAAAAAAAAAAAATTACTATACTGTGTAATTATTGAGAGCATAATTCACTATTATGTGGATCAGAGAGCAGAGCATTCTGAATGCATGAACATATCTTTAACATTTCAATACATTACTCATAATTACTAATGAACTAAAGAGAAACCAAGAAATTATGGTGATAGTTATATTGACTTGGTGAAATGTAGACACAAAATAACGGTAAGATGAGAAATGTGTTAACACAGGCTATAAGGGCATGCAAGAATAAAAATAGGGGAGAAAACAGGAGAGTTTTTCAAGAGCTTTCTGGTCATGTAAGTCAATTTGTATCGGTTAATTTTTAAAAGGTTTATTTACATGCAATAAACTGCACATACTTCAATTGTACATTTTGATAATTCTTGGCATTTGTAGCTCTACAAAACCAACAACATATGAAAATAGCAAACATATCCATTACCTTTACCACCAAAGTTTCCTTGTGCTTTTTCTACTCACTTTTTCCTGCCTATCCCCATTCCATCCACAGGCAACCACTGATCCACTTCTAGTCACTATCCGTGAGTTTTTATTTCCAAATACATAAAATCATAGGGTATGTATACTTTCTGATCACTCAGCATCACTATTTTTGAGATTTATTCATGTTGCTACATCTATCAATTGTTCTGTTCTTACTAGGGAGTATTATTTCATTATATACAGATACCATAGTAAGTTTATAAGTCACAAATTCACCTGTCCATGGATATTTGGACTATTTTCAGGTTTTGGCTGTTGCAAGTAAAGCTGCTATGAAGATTCATGTAAAATCCTTTGAATGGGCATATGCTCTTAGGTTTTCATCTCTACTGGAATAGATAGCTATATGGCTATCATGTCTGTAATATGCAAACACAAAGCCTGACAAAACTGATTTCTAAAGTGGAAATTCCACTGGAGAACCTTGACTCCAACCTGGCTTTTGAGATTATCTCCTATGTCTGGTGCAATGATTGGTCCTGGGGTAGCCACATGACCCAAGGGGGACCATGTTTAAACTTCTGAGTTTTCACCGAGGTTAACATGCATTTGTTGAAAGAGAAACCCCTTTTCCCCTACTCCCCCAGCTGCAAATGCCTTCAGGGATTATATCATGTTGGAACATTTGGTTACAGTGTTTCCTAAACTTTGGGGGTAAAAATTGTTCAAGTAGGTAAAAATGGAGCACACACAAAGAAAAAAGGAGTCCAGAAATATCAAATAAAGAAAGGGCCTCCATAAAATCATTTGAACTTATGATTAATTCATTAGTCATTAAAATAAGTTTAGTGTACAAAGAATCATCCCTCCAACCACCCTTTATTCCTTCACCAGGTTTAAGTTACATTTTTAAACTTGCAAACAAAAGATTTGTCATTAACTTAGACATCAAAATCCCTTGTCTCCAAGAGCAATCATTCAACTCTGTCCCTCTCATTATTACAATAATATGTTCACTTTATTCTACATACACCTGCTCGTTGCCCTTGTCTCCCTATTCTATTCTGTTAAAGTTATATCCAGACATTTATTTCATTTTATATCAAAGAAACTGTATACACGTTTTTAATCTTAGAAAAATTTCTGAGTAATCTTTTGTCTCATATTCGATTTTAAGCCACCCAAGAAGCATTATTTTTTCATTTAGCATTTTAACTTTTCTAACCCAGGACTTTTATAGTAGATATTATGTCTTTTTCTAAATGTTCTGCTTCAATTTACATTTTAAATCTAATTTTTAAAAAGTGTATGTTTTGAATATTAGCATCATGCATCTCAGGCCTAAATATCCCTTGATAACTAATATTGTCCTTTTTTCTCTACATTTTTCACATATTTCAATAGGGAGCTATATTGCCTGCCACAATAAAAGTTTTTGTCAATATAACATAACACATAGGCAAAATATTGTTTCCAAGTGATTGATGATGTGGTGCCTTCAGTCTAGTCCCAACCCCTCAATGTAATCATCATCCCTAAATCTAATGAAATAGGAAATAAATATTTCATTTTGTTTCTAAAATTCAGCAGAAAAATATACAGCCTGTCACATATAGCCTGTAACACCAACATATAAAAATTAAAGCAGTTCCTTCTCCACTCCCACTGCTTCACTTGACTAGCCTTAAAAAATAATAATAATAATAAATAAAAGCAAAATTGTTCCTTTACTTATCTTTGAAATCTAATGGATATACTATCAGAAAAGCTCTTATGTATATGGAGGGCCTCTATAAAATATAAACTGTTAACTAGAAAAGTAGATTTATATGATAGTTAAATTTAAAACACAATTATATATAGTACCTTCCCAAATGCACCAGTACTTATTTCAGAATGCATGATGTAATTGACTAAACCATTTAGGGCTAGACCTCTGAAATAAAAGGCATTCACACTTTGTGATTCCTGGGGAAATATTCAAAATAGAAACTTGCAGAATCTTTACCTGATCATGATAAAAAAAATGTTCCTACTTGTTAATATGCCACAGCTTTTACAAGGTCAGCAAAAAGAGATTATCCCACAATAAAAGCTGATGGCCAAAATTATCTGCCTTACTTTAGTTACCATAATATCTATTAAGTGTAAATTTCTTCTGAAGGAAAACAGATACACTTTTCTCAGAAATGTCTTTAGATGAAGATCTAGCACATCTGTGTTCCTCACTTTTTAAAATGTTGATTTTATTGATAAATAAATATATATAGGGTACAATGTGGTACGATACATGTAGATATTGTGAAATGGACTAATTAGGCTAAATAACGTATCCTTCACCTCAGATATGTATTACATTATGGTGAAACATTTAAAATGTACTATTTTAGCACTTTTAAGATATGCACTACATTATGAGTAACTGCAGTCACTTTGCTGTGCACCATATCACCAGAATGTCTTTCTCCTAACTGAAGCATTATCCCATTCAATATTTCCCCTTTTTCCACCCCTGCCCCCCACCCTGCTCAGCCTCTGATAAACCACCATTCTATTCTTAACTTCTATGAGTGCACAGTTTTGGATTTCACATATAAGTGATACTATGAGATATTTGTCTTTCTGTGTCTGGCTTATTTTACTTAGCATAATGTCCTCTAAATTCATCCATGTTTTTGCAAATGACAGATTTTCATTCATTTATAAAGATAAGTAGTATTTTTGTATGCATCCTACATATACTTTTAACTTTCCACAGCTTTATTGAGATATAATTTATACATTGTGTAATTCACTCATTTAAAGTACAAACTTCAAATTCTTTTAGTATATTAACTGGATGGACAAATAATCATCATAATATAATTTTAGAACATTTTATTTTCCTTAAAAGAGACTTGCGCCCATTAGCAATCTTTCCCCATTTTCTCCAGTCTTTTTTAAACCCCTCCTAGTCTAGGCAACCACTCGTCTACTTTCTGACTATGAATTTGCCTATTCTGGACATTTCACATAAATGGAATTATAATAACACATAGTCACTTTTTACTCACATCTTTCACCTAACATATTTTTAATGTTCATCCATTTTGGAGCATGCATTAACAGTTTTTTACCTTTTCTTGCTAAATAAGATTCTATTTTATGGACACACCACATTTTATTTATCCACTCCTCAGCTGATGAACATTTCTGTTGTTTTCTACTTTGTGTTGCTATAAACATTTGTGTACTACTGTTTGTGTAGCATTTGTTTTATTTTCTTTTTGGTAAACACATAGGAGTGGAATTGCTGGGTCACGTGATAACTCTATGTTTAACCATTTGAAGAACTGCGAGACTGCTTTACATTTTAAAGTCTCACCAGTGGTGTAGAAGGGTTCCAATTTTTCCACATATTTTTATCTAGTCTTCAGTTGATAAGCACTTAGGTTGTTTCTAATTCATGGGTATTATGAATAATGCTGCAATGAACATGAAATTGCAGATGTCTGTTTTTGACATACTGATTAAAATTCCTTTGGACACGTATCCAGAAGTGGGATTGATGGATCATAGGGTAAATATATTTATAATTTCTTGAGGAAGCTTCATACTGTTTTCCAAGATGGCTGTGCTAATTTCCATTCTTACCAACAGTGCACAGGGTTTCTTTTTCTCCACATCCTCATCAACACTTATCTTCCATCTTTTTTTATAATAGCCCTAGTAAAATGTGTGAGGTGATATCTCATTGTGGCTTTGATTTGCATTTCTCTGATAATTAGAAATGTTTATGATTTTTTCATGTACCTGTTGGCCTTTTGTATGCCTTACGAAATGTCTATTCTGGTTCTTTGCTTATTTTTTTTAATAAGCATAGTTTTATTCTTATGTTTGAGTAGGTTGAGTTACTTATATATTATTATATGAGCCCCTTATCTGATGTATGGTTTAAAAATGTTATCCCATTTGTGGGTTCTCTTCATTCTATTATCACTTCTTTTCCTGTGGAAAAGCTTTTTAGTTTTATGCAATCTCATTCATGTGTTTTTGCTTTTGTTGCCTGTGCTTTTGGAATAATCTACAGAAAATCATAGCTCAGGCCAATGTCATACAGTCTTCTTCTATATTTCCTTGTAGTAGTTTTACATTTAAGTCTTTAATTTTGATTTCATGCTTGTATAAAGAGCAAAAGAAAAGTCAAATTTTATTCTTCTGTATGTGGATAGTCAGTTTTTTCTACACCATTTATTGAAAATAATTTTCTTTCTTCATTGTGTATTTTTAGTTATTTTATCAAAAAGTCAATTGACCACAGACATACGGATTTATTTACGGGTTCTATATCCCTTTGCACTGTTCTACATGTCTGTTTTTATGCCACTGCTATGTTGTTTTAATTACTATAGCTTTGTAATATAGTTTGGAATCGGGTAGTCTGATGCCTCCAGCTTTATTCTTTTTGTTCAAGATTGCTTTGGTTAGTCAGGGTCTTTTGTGGTTTCATACAAATTTTAGCAGTAATTTTTCTATTTCTGGGAATTTGATAGTGGTTGCATTTAATCTGTAGATTGCTTTGGGTAGCATTGACACTTTTACAATACTAATTTTTGAATCAATCAATAAAGGATGTTTCTCCATTTATTTATGCCATTTTAACTTTTTTCATCAATGTGCTATAGTTTTCAGTGTGCAAATCTTTCACATTCTTGATTAAATTTACTCCTAAGTCTTTTACATATTTTTATATCTGTTTTGATTCTATTATAAATTGAATTGCCTTATTAATTTATTTTTCAGGTAATAGTTTGTCATTAATGTATAGAAACAATAATGCTATCTGTATGATTTTGTAACTATTAACTTTATTGAATTTCTTTATCAGCTTTAACCGTTTATTGTGGTGGAGTCTTTAAGATTTTCTCTACCTTGAGTGCGCCAGGCGCGGGGAGCCTAGGACCTGGAGCGAGAGCCGCCTACCTGCAGCCGCCGCCCACGGCACGGCAGCCACCATGGCGCTCCTGCTGCGCTTCGTGCTCCTGTGCAGAGCCGCGGATTTCATCAGAGGTTGGAGTATCACTACTCCTGAGCAGATGATTGAAAAAGCCAAAGGGGAAACTGCCTATCTGCCATGCAAATTTACGCTTAGTCCTGAAGACCAGGGACCACTGGACATCGAGTGGCTGATATCACCAGCTGATAATCAGAAGGTGGATCAAGTGATTATTTTATATTCTGGAGACAAAATTTATGATGACTACTATCCAGATCTGAAAGGCCGAGTACATTTTAAGAGTAATGATCTCAAATCTGGTGATGCATCAATAAATGTAACGAATTTTCAGCTGTCAGATATTGGCACAGATCAGTGCAAAGTGAAAAGAGCTCCTGGTGTTGCAAATAGGAAGATTCAGCTGGTAGTTCTTGGTAAGCCTTCAGGTACAAGATGTTACGTTGATGGATCAGAAGAAATTGGAAGTGACTTTAAATTAAAATGTGAACCAAAAGAAGGTTCACTTCCATTACAGTATGAGTGGCAAAAATTGTCTGACTCACAGAAAATGCCCACTTCATGGTTAGCAGAAATGACTTCATCTGTTATATCTGTAAAAATGCTTCTTCTGAGTACTCTGGGACATACAGCTGTACATCAGAAACAGAGTGGGCTCTGATCAGTGCCTGTTGCGTGTAAACGTTGTCCCTCCTTCAAATAAAGCTGGACTAATTGCAGGAGCCATTATAGGAACTTTGCTTGCTCTAGTGCTCATTGGTCTTATCATCTTTTGCTGTCGTAAAAAGCGCAGAGAAGAAAAATATGAAAAGGAAGTTCATCACGATATCAAGGAAGATGTGCCGCCTCCAAAGAGCCGCACGTCCACTGCCAGAAGCTACATAGGCAGTAATCATTCATCCCTGGGATCCATATCTCCTTCCAACATGGAAGGATATTCCAAGACTCAGTATAAACAAGTACCAAGTGAAGACTTTGAACGCACTCCTCAGAGTCCGACTCTCCCACCTGCTAAGGTAGCTGCCCCTAATCTAAGTCGAATGGGCGCGATTCCTGTGATGATTCCCGCACAGAGCAAGGATGGGTCTATAGTATAGAGCCTCCATACGTCTCATCTGTGCTCTCCGTGTTCCTTTCCTTTTTTTGATATATGAAAACCTATTCTGGTCTAAATTTTGTTACTAGCCTCAGAATGTATCAAAAAATAAGTTAATCAGGAGCTGTAAGGAATATATTTTTAAAAATTTTTGTTTGGTTATATCGAAATAGTTACGGGCATTAAAGTTAGTAAAGACAAGTTTACCATCTGAAAAGGCTGGATTTTCTTTAAGAGGCTGATTATAAAGGTTTCTAAATGTTATCAGTACCTAAGTAAGATGTAGCACTTTGAGTATGAAATCATAGGTGAAGAAATCGGTGAACTTACTTGCATACCAAGTTGATACTTGAGTAACCATCTGAAAGTGGTACTTGATAATTTTTACCATTATTTTTAGGATGTGTATCTCATTTATTTATGGCCCACAAGTCTCCCCCAAATTAGTACAGAAACATCCCTGACAAAATTACTTATGTACGTTTGTACTTGTTTTCACAGCTCCTCGGAAAACTCTGTGTTAGGAATATCTCTAAAAACATAGAAAACACTACAGTGGTTTAGAAATTACTAATTTTACTTCTAAGTCATTCATAAACCTTGCCTATGAAATGACTTCTTAAATATTTAGTTGATAGACTGCTACAGGTAATAGGGACTTAGCAAGCTCTTTTATATGCTAAAGGAGCATCTATCAGATTAAGTTAGAACATTTGCTGTCTGCCACATATTGAGATGGCACTAGGTGCAATAGCAGGGATAGATTTTGTTGGTGAGAGGTCTCATGCCTTGAGATCTGTGGTGGTCTTTAAAATGGTGGCCAGCCAGACCAAGGATGTAGTATCTCATAGTCCCCAACTAAATGCTGGCTTTCCACTTTAGGTGATATTTTTCTAATTAGAAAACTATTATAACTCACTTATTGTTTGACAATTATAGATTGAAATTTCCTAATTCTAAATTTTAAGTGGCTCTTCGGTTTCAGTGCTCTATGTTGTTTGTTGTTGGTTTTGGATGGCATTACATATTATATGTTCTAGAAACATGTAATCCTAAATTTACCCTCTTGAATATGATCCCTGGATGATATTTTTATCATAAATGCAGAATAATCAAATACATTTTAAGCAAGTAAGTGTCCTCCATCAGTTCCGTATTCCAGACTTGGGAGGATGTACAGTTGCTGTTGTGTGATCAAACATGTCTCTGTGTAGTTCCAGCAAATCAAGGTGAGCTTCAAAAAAGTTTGAGTCTCAGTTTTGTGAAAGTGATTTATTCTTAAAAAAAAAAAAAAAGAAAGAAAGAAAAAAAGAAAAAGAAAAAAAGATAAGAAAAAGGAATAAAGCAACCACTCCTCCTTGTCAAATGTGCTAAATATCATTTTAGGAGAAGAGAGTGGACTTATTGTATCTCCCTTAAGATTGTGAGGGAGTGTGGATACAGTAGAATGAGCCAATAGTTTCTTTATAATAAATACGGTCTGCAATAAATTATTTCACTAGCTCTAAAACCTTTCCCTAGATTTTAGTGGGGAGTTGGTTTCTGTTAATATCTTTGGGTGCTGTGGTGGTAAATGCTACATTATAAACGGTGGCATGTATTTACAGTTACAGTATTGTGTGTACACTTTTTAATGGTAAACTTAAGCTGAATGTGTAATGGACTTGTGTATAGTTTTACATATTTGGAAGCATTTTAAAAATAGGTTTTAACCTTACATAAAATTACTTTTATACTTGTGTTAACATTTTCTTCTGTGCCTTTTGGGTAATTTAATTTCTGTTATGAATTTCTGGTGCCTATGAGCTAGCTATCACCTACCTGAAAGTTGCTTAGAGGTGAAGGTACTGTTTCTAAAAACACATCACTGTGACATCTTTCTATCCTCATATTTTCAAGCTTGCCTCTTTTCTGTTCTTTGTGGATATAACTTAAGTGATTGTGTTATTCATAAAGATTTAGAAATTTCAATATTCCCAACACTCTGACTATGTTTCTGATTTTATAACAGTAGCCATTTTTGAATGTCAGATGTTTGGCCTGTTTTATATGAATAAAGTTTATTTATAAAATATTATAAAAATAAGTAAATAGAACATTAATAATAAAAAAAGATTTTCTGTATCTTAAGATTATATTTTCAGAAAACAGAAACAATCTTACCTCTTCCTTCCCTATATGGATTTCTTTTATTTCTTTGTCTTGTGTAATTGATCTGGCTAGGCAATTACACATAATGTTTTCAGCATTTGTAATTTTACATCAAATCCATCCATTGTAGCACATTGACTGCTACTTTTCAACTTGTAAACCTGGACATTTATCACCACTCTTCCTCCAGTACAGGAGTCCATGGCCCGGTGTGGGCCCTACTGTGCCACAGTCCAGGGCACGGCTGGGCGCAGGTTCTCTCGTGCAAGAGTCCGCAGCTCTGCGGAGCAAGAGTTCTCCAGTGCCTTAGACCAGGGTGAGGCAGGGGTGAGGCTCCTTCAGTAGCTCAGTCCAGGACGCAGCCCTGCGAGGGTCCTCCTGTGCAGGAGTACACGATGCTGCGGGGTCCTACTGTGCCTTAGTCCAAGACGCCAGGGGGCTGGGTCCTCTGGTGCCATAGTCCAGGGTGCAGTGGAACAGGAGTCCTGTGGAGCAGCAGTCCAGGGCGCGATGGGGCATGGATTCTCAGGTGCCGCAGTCCAGAACACTGCAGGGCGGGATTCCTGCCTTGCTATATCCAGGGTGCCGCGGGGCGGGGGTTCTCTTGTGCAGGAGTCCAGGACGTGGCGGAGCAGGAGTCCTCCGTGTAGGTGTCCTCCGGTGCTGGAGTCCAGAGCTCAGTGAGGCTGGGTCCTCCCGTGCCATAGTGTAGGGCATGGCGGGACAGGGATCCAGCCCTGCGATAGTCCAGTGCTTGAGTCCGCAGTAAGGCAATGGTCCTCCAGTGCTGGAGTTCACGGTGTGGTGGGGTCGGGGTCCTTCGGTGACTTAGTCCAGGGCGTACCAGGGCGGGGTTCCACAGTTGCCATAGTGAGGATCCTGGAGGAGGGTGGTTCCTGCCTTGCTGTAGTCCGGGGAGCAGGGGGCAGGGGTTCTCTCTTGTCAGAGTCTCTGGCGCGATGGGGGTGGGCTGGGGGTTTTCCTATGCGATAGCCCACTGGGCGGTGAAGCCGGGTCCTCCCGTGCCTTTGTCCAGGGTGCAGGGGGGCGAGGGTCTTCAGTGGTGGAGTCCGTGGAGCAGCAGGGCGGGGGTCCTGCAGTGCCATATTCCAGGCCGCTGCGGAGTGGGGGACCTGTCCTGCAGTGGTCCAGGGCATGCGGGAATGGTGGTCCTCCTGTGCCATAGTCCAACGCGCAGCGGGGCGGGGGGTCACCTCGTCCTGCGGTCCACCAACCACGAGGCCCGGGTGCTGCTGTGCCTCAGTCCAGTGCGCGGTGGGACGGCGGTCCTGCTGTGCTGTAGTGCAGGACGCGGTGGCGCAGGGGTAGTCCAGAGAGCGCCGTGGCAGGGGGTCCTCCAGTGCTGGAATCCAGTGCAAGGCGGGTCAGGGGTCTTACCGTGCCGAAGTCGGTGGCAGGGGTCCTCCCGTGCCATAGTCTAGGGGGCGACGGGGCAGGGTTCTCTAGTGCAGGTGTCCAGGGTGTGGCAGGGCAGGAGTCCTCTGGTGCAGGAGTCCAGAACCTAGCCGAGGAGTCCTCCAATGCCAGAGTCCAGGGCTCTGCGGGGCCGGGTTCCCCCATGCCAGAGTGTAGGGCGTGTTCAGGCGAGGGTCTTGGCGTGCAGTAGTCCAGGGTGCGGTGGGGCAGGGGTAGTCCAGACCTCCATGGCGGGGGTCCCTCTGTGCAGGAGCCCAGTGCCCGGCGGATCGGGGGTCCTTCCGTGCTGTAGTCCGGGGCACGGCAAGGTGTGGGTCCTCTGGTGCCCTAGTTCGGGGGCGGCGAGTCAGAGGTTCTCCCGTGTCTTGGTCTAGGGCGTGGAAGGACTGGGGTCCTGGAGTCCACGCGGTAGCACAAGTTGCCCCAGGACCAGGTCCTCTGGAACCACAGTCCAGGGCGCTGAGGGGCAGGAGTAGTTCAGGGCGAGCCGGGGCCAAGGTCCTCGGGAGCCAGAGTCCAGGGTGTGGAAGGGTGGGGGTTCTGCAGTGCACAGTCCAGGACACCGCGGGGCGGGGCAGGGCGGGGATCCTCCGGTGCCTTAGTCCAGGGCTGAGCCGCGGTAGAGGTCCTTCAGTAGCATAGTCTAGCGCACGGCGTTGCAGGTGTCCTCCAGTGCCTGAGACCACGGCAGGTCGCGGGTCCCACTGTGCTCTAGTTCAGGATGGAGCAGTTCTGAGGTCTTCTGTTGCCTCAGTCTAGGGCGCTGGAGAGCGGGGATCCTCTGGTGCCAGAGTCAATGGATCCACCGGTCGGGGTCCTCCCATGTCTTAGCCCCGGGAGGGGAGAGGCGGGGGTCCTCCTTTGCCCTAGTCCAAGGCATTGTGAGGCCCCGCTCCTGCATTCTTAACTGTCTGTGCCTCTGCCGCCGCGGGGGAAAACTGCACCATCTCAGGCAAGCCTAACAGAGCAGCTGTCCTTAAAAGATTCCCAGTTGAGTGTGGTTCGGAGCAGGCCTGAGAAGTGTGCCCTTAGATGGCTTCAAGGGCTCTGGGCAATGTTTAAGGAATCCAGCTGACCTCAGTTACTCCGAGCCCTTTTCCACTCAGCAGAACTTCTGGCCACCGGGTCCTCTATCTGCGGAGCCCTTCTATCATCCCAGATCCCCACAGGGTGGACTCCGTCTCATCCTCACAATCTCAGCTCAGGCCTTATTCATCACAGCATTCCTGGCACCAGGCCTGGCCCATGAGAAATTGGTCAGATTAAGAGCTAAATGTGTTTCCATGGTCACTTGTTTTCTTCAGGCCTCCTTTCTTTGTGCCAGCATCTTTGGGTTTTGGTTAAAGTTTTCAGCAGCTGCATGAAGTTCCATTTTTCTTACCAGGTAAGAGACATAGCTTCATGAAAACAAAGGCAGAACGCTTGTGACCAGAGAACTCCCAGTCCTCTCCCTGCATAGGAAAACTGGACTTCTCCGGAGGGCTCCAGCTCCTGGGCAAATCTCTAGGGCCACTTAATTGGGCTGTCCCCCACCTTTGTTTCTGGTTTTGAAGGGGCGGAAGTTGGGAATCCTTTCTAAGTCTCTACACATGGAGCCCTTCTTTGGTGGGAAAGTCTTGACATATACCAGGATTGTCACTGACCTTTCAGAGCCTTCAAGAATCCTGAGCTGCTTTGGCTTCTGTTCCTGGAAGAGAGGCCACTGAACTGCTCTGGAGCTGGAGTTCAAGTTCAAATATTCATCACTGTTACTAAGCCTTTACATAGCATGTGATTTCTTTCCGGCAGGCTCATGGTCACTTAGGTTTGCTTGTATGTAGATGGAGTGGTCTGCATCCTCATTCAGGTAACACCCCCAGCCTTTCATGCTGAGATTGGCCATTTTATTTGTAACTCACTGTACAATCCATTTGCTCTTCCAGTGTCCCTTAGAAGGATGCAGAGTGTACTGTAGAATGCCATAGAGACCTGGGTTTAGGGAAAATATTTGACCCAAAGTCCGCCAACTCACATGAGTATCTCCCCACAACTTGTACCGTGCTAGTCTCTGGGTATATAGCAAATGAAACCGTGCCTGAACAGATGTTACAAACACCCTCCCCTGAGAGACTCCAGGGCTGCTTTATTCATGCAAAACGGTGGGCTCTAATAAGCTCAGAGCTGAGAGGAACAAGTTTTCATTCCAGCGTTCTCAAAAACTCCCTTTGTGACTTTAGGCCTAATAATAATAACACTACCTAGGTAGTGAACACCTCTGTGCCAAGAAATATCATGATCATTGCCTGAGTTGTAATTCTCACAGTAGTCCTGCAGGACAGCTGCTATTACTGCTTATTATGCAGATGGGCAACCTGAGGCTCAGATGGAGTTAAGTGGCTTAATTGGTAGCAATAGAGCCAGGATTTGAACCCAGGGCTGCCTGATCACCAAATAAAATTGTACTCAACATGATGCACTTAACTTTTCTGGCCTCATTTCTCTCACCTGTAAAAATGCATATTTCAGATGTTTGTAATATTTTACCTGTGGTTGAAAGAGTTACCAGCCCTTCCTTGATCACCCATGGTAAGACCCATGAGCCTCTGAATATAATTATAGAAAACATTTGGAGAGGGATAGAGAGAAACAAGCTCATGCCTCCTTTGATAATGTCAAATTTTCAGTGCACGAAGCCATACATAGTGCAGTTTTCTAGCTTCCCTTTCACACATGGCGTTGAAGAAAGTAAATTAAGCAACTCAGCTAACACTGGGAATGCAGCAGAAGTCATCGAGTTCAGTGCTGGGAGACAGTTGCCATGATATTCCAACATGGACACCAGGATCACAGTCGATGACTATGCCCTCCCTTGAAGATGGTGGCTTGCCTCTCTTTCTGTAAGCACATGTCATGTCATAACAATATTAAACAATTAAAAGTAATGTCCCCATCTTCTTCTACACTGCCTTTGAATTATTATTTTAGATCTGCCAAAATAAATTGCAAACTCATTACCAAGAAATGGGGGTGCCTGCATCCCTGCCTTCCTGAGTAGTCTATTCACCCAAAGACAAAAGGGTGACCAGCCTCCATCTGGGATATTCAAAGACACAGTCACCCTGCCATGCAGCCTGAGGCTGGCGAAGGTCCAATCCCCTTTTTAAGAAGCTTGTTGGATGAGCTTCATAAACATACAACCACAAAGGAAAGGCACAGCTGATGTGAGCGAGGCTGATAAGATGGGCATTTTGTCTGCTTCAAGGTTAGAATGCAACTTGTCTGTCAAAATGTGGTTATCTGACCTCCACAATGCTGCAGTCCAGCTAAATCCTGCAAATATTCATCCACCATTTACTATGGATAAAACAATAATGTGCTGTGGGGAATCCAATTACACACACACACACACACACACACACACACAAAAGTGCACACACACATGCATGCACACACACTGCTCCTGCTGTCTCAGAGGTTCCATGCTGGCAAGGCAGAAGTGCAAACATTAGCAGGTAAGTCCACTAGCAGGAGGAATGTGATAAGTAGATCCAACAGGGTACAACACAGTATGATAGAAGCAAACAAGGTAGAAATGAGTTCTGACTCCCTTTCACTTATGAAACTGATTATGGAATAGTGTATGAAAGGCTTGCCTGAATGAATCTCATATTTTCCAAGTGTTTTCTATCCCAGTGATTGGAACTTTTATTCATTTATACCATTGTCCAAAAGGAAAATACAGGAGATTTTCCTAAGACCATCCTCTGTCTTATCGCTCATATCATATCCCCAAACATCACCAAGCCCTGCCCACTTTTACCTACTCGGTTTCTCTCCAGTTGCTCTGTTTTCTCCATATGCACTAGTGATACCTTGGCTACATGAAGACCACCAGCAGCAGCCGGGACAACCAGCACCCTGTGGAACTGCATAGAGTGCATAGAATACGTCCTCCCTTCAGTCGGCTTGGGTCAGCTTAGGTCATGGGCCACCTGGACTGACAGCAGTTTCCACAGAAATGCCTCAAGATGATAGAATAATCCAAATCTCTTTGCATGGGGCATGGTGTGGCTATCTGAGAAAATCCTGGCTTTTATAGGAAGGAGAAAGAAGAATGCTTCTTGAGGGGAAGAAACCAACAGGAATGTGCCTCAGGGAAATGTCACCAGAGGAGAGTGAGCTGTAATGAGTATTTTGGCAGATTGCATGTTTCTTGTGGTTCTTGTGTTCCTCGGCCCTGCACAGAGCTACCATTTACTCATTTGACAAATATTTGAGTAGTAGACTCCAGGGTTCAATAGTGAGCAAAAATGCACAGAATTTCTTCTCTAGTGGAGCTGAGAGTCTAACAGAAAGAGGTGATGTTAGTCACAGAATTATGTAACAAGGGAAAGTTCAGCAGACCCAGGGGTGCTGCAAGAGCCTGGGAAGGTGGACTGACCCCAAGAGGGAGGCAGGAAAGGTTGCCCCCAGGAAGCAGCACTTGAGCTAAAATCAGGGAGAAAACTAGGCAAAGACACAGCATTCAGGAGGAGGTAGAAGCTGGCCCATGAGGATGGTGGTGTGGAGAGGTGAACCAATACCCAGGTCTTGGATTTATTGTTGAGCTGCTGAATTAACCAGTGCTGGCTCTCTCCCAACCTCTGCACTTCTTGTTTTGCAAGGTTTTTTTTTTTTTTATTTAAAAGCTAGTATGAGTTGGGATCTGTTGCTTTTCTGAGACCCCATCATGTGAGGTAGACAGGGGGCCTCACTGTACTCTGGGGGAGCTAAAGATGGAGAAGAGTTTTAGAGTGCCTGGAGAAGAGGCCCTTTAATAGATCATTTAAGAAGAGGGTGCTACCGCTAGACTGCCCAGATTCACTTTCTGGCTTTGTGACCTTGGGCTCTCTGTGTCTGTTTTCCAATCTGAACAATGGAATAATGATAGTATCTGCCTCTGCCTGCAAGACCCTGTCCTATCAGACCAACTACCTTTTCACTAGAACTCTCTTCCTGCACTGTACCCCAACTGGACCCTCATTAACACTTAAAATGGGCATGTTTCCCTTTTCTAGATTTTGCTCAAGACATTTCCCTCATCAGAATTAACTTTGGTCCATCTCCCTCTATTGGAATTCAACCCATTCTCCAGAAATCAGTTCAAATTTTATCACCAGAATGCCTCTGTCAATTACACCAAGCCTCTTTTATACTTTGTGCCATTTCTGCCATGATTTCTTATGTTTTCCTTTTTCACTACATATTGGTACAGGTACATATGATCTCCACTTCCACTCAAATGTGAGGTTACTGCGGGCAGTCCCTATGGGTATAGTCATATCCCAAGAGTCCTGGGCAGAGGGTCCCCCTCTTGCACCCAGGTTGGAGTGCAGTGGTGCAACCAGAGCTTACTGCAGCCTTGACCTCCTGGGTTCAAATGATCCTCTCACCTTAGCTTTTCCAGTAGGTGGTATAAAAAGGCGAGCACCACCATGCTTGGCTAATTTTCATATTTTTCGTAGAGATAGGGTTCCACCATGTTGCCTTGCTTGGTCTCAAAGTTCTGAGCTCAAGCAATCCACCTGCCTCAGCCTCTCAACATCCTGGAATGACAGCATGAGCTACCACACCTGGCCAAATGCCGAATACTTTAGTCATATATGCCTGACACTTCAGGGCGTGCAGAACTGCCTCGCTTACTTTTCTTTTGACTCAGTTTATAAATTTTCTTAATTTAAATTTTAATTTCAACATGTGTACATCTTTGAAATAAATAAAATAATCTCTTTGAATGTTTGGCATAATGTAGAAGAAATTGACAAATGGATATCTTTACTTCATTTTCCATCTCAAAATGTGGTAGAAATATGCTCCCCTAAAGTGATCCCAATTATTACATAGCCATCTTGCTGTGGTTAATGTAGAATCTTTTTGCAATATCACATGCATGACAGGGCACATCCAAAAAACATTTAAGTGAGGATAATACTAGATTCTTGAAAGTATCTAGACACTTAAGAGCAGGCAGTGATGATGTTAATTAACAGTAACAATGTCGAGGGACTGGCTTTTGCCCTTCCCTAATAAACATAAAGAGCATAGAAACTCAGCAAATTTGCTCTTATTTTCTTCATTATTTGGTTGTTGAATCAGTAAATGCTTTCCACAGGGGTCATCTTGTTAGTCATCTTGTCATTTTGCTGTGTCCCTTCTTCATCCTTGCACTTTTTCCTTTCTCCCATTTTGGAATGTATTGAGAGGAGTGTTATGTTGATGGAATGCCATGTCCTGACTTGCCATTTGATTAGAACTTCCCTCAATTTTTAACATGCTTCTTGATATGGTTTGGATTTGTGCACCCCTGCATCCCCAATCTGATGTGGAATTGTAATTGCCAGTGTTGGAGGAGAGGCTTAGTAGAAGGTGTTTGCATCATGGAGGTGGTTTCTAATGGTTTAGCCTCATCCCCCTAGTGCTGTCTGATGATAAAGTTATCCTAAGATCTGCTTGTTTAAAAAGTTAAAAAGCACCTCCCCTGACTCGTTTCAGCCATGTGAATATGTGCTTGCTTCCTTTTCACCTTCTGCCATGATTGTAAGTTTCCTGAGGCTTCCCTATAAGCATAAGTCTGTACAGCCCACAGAACTGTGAGCCAATTCAATCTCTTTTCTTTTTCAATTACCCATTCTCAGGTATGTCTTTATAGCATGTGAGACAGACTAATACACTCATCCTCAGAAAGCATTCAATTTAGCTGTGTCTAAAGGTATGCCAGCTGTCCTGGGACATTATCTTAGCCAATCATTCTTCCTCTTCAGCAAGATCTATTTGCCTATCACAGCTTGACCACACTTCCTATCATACCTGTCTGTAACAAGTAGCCTATAACATCTGGAGGGATTTCATTGAAATCACAGAGGTTCCTTGGTTCTTTACTTTATTAGCAGGCATTAGGAAAGCACATCAACTTTCTTATTTAATAAAGTGCCTGTTGCTTTGAAAAATTGCCCAAAAGAAGAAAAGAGAGGGTTACTTAAAGGTATCACTATAGGCATGGCATGCTGGTTCACACCTGTAATCCCAGTACTTTGGGAGGCTGAGGAGACAGGATCACCTGAGTCCAGAAGTTCAATACCAGCCTAGGTGACATGGCAAAACCCCATCTCTACAAAACGAAACAAAACAAATAAAACAAAACAAAATAGAAAAAATATTCAGGCATGGTGGCATGTGCTTGTATTCCCAGTTACTCAGGAGACTGAGGTGGGAGAATCACTGAGCCCAGGGAGGTTGAGGCTGCAGTGAGCCATGATCATGCTACTCCACTCCAATCTGAGTGACAGAGCAAGACCCTGTCTCAAAAAAAAAAAAAAAAAAGCTATCACTATACTATCTGTAACTGTTCTTAATTAAGATAACTAGGTTTTTTCCAACAGTGGAAACTCCAAACAGACTAAATTGTTGTACATCAAGGTGAATTGTCATAGTTAATTCCTTTGCTTGCAACTGCCCAATAAATGGATGAGGACTCACTTCACCAATAAATAAGAAAGGTGAACAGCACATGGGGCCTGTAGATGCCTTTTGCAGGGCCCTCTTTTAATCTTCCTAAAGTTGCAATTTGCATATTTCTGTAGATGGGCACATCATAGAAGCTGTCATCCTAGATCAGAGCCTGGAGAGAGAGATACAAGTGTCATGCTTAAATCTGCAGAGTAGGAACAAGCCCAGAGAAATCAAGATGATTAAGCAGAGAGTTTCCATACTGGAGATAAACCAGCTGTGTAAAAAGTCATGCTTATTGAACAAAAAAGCATTGCACCGCCGAAATAACTGCTTTAACTAAGAAGTAAAGAACTGACACCCCAACAGAGCACAGAGAGCCACATAGACAGGAGCTGCATTTCAAACAAGGTCATTGCTGTTTTCCCCACTCTGAGTTAAGTGTCTCTGCTTCACCCTTCCTTACCAAAGTTCTGCTTGATCATCCTTTTGTTTTGTTTTGTTTTGTTTTGTTTTTTGTACTTCCCTTCTTTGAGAAAATATAAACCAAAATTTTACATAAAACAGGAATTCAGCTTTTGACAATGTTAGCCATTGAAACAACAACAAAAAAGGTTTCTATTATTTCTCATCTCTGTGCTATCCAGTGCAGTAGCCAATAGCCACAGGTGACTATTAAAATTAAAATTAATTCAAATAAAACAAAATTTAACATTAGCTGGTCAGTTGTACTAGCCACATCTCAATTACTCAATAGCCACATGTGGCTAGTGGCTACTGAACTAGGCAGCATGAATGTAGAACATTTTCATCATCATAATTTTCTAGGTCATGGAAAAATTACAGAACTCAATTTCCAGTGTGCACATTTATTTGCATACCTAGGAGCTTTCTGACCCTGTGTTGAGCTGCCTAACCAGCTTCCTGATTGACCTCCTGATATTTCTGCAAATGTGGACTAAGAGGCCAGGATTCCTCAGGGCCCAGGTGACTCAGGTTATTCAGAAACTATGTTTGGACTAGCAGGCCTCTACTTGATTTGGGATGCGAAATGGGACTTCTCTTCCTAATTGCTAAAATAGATTTCAAGGTTCACCTCTCATCGCGGTAAGAGTCTCATTTCCTGAGACTCTTATTTCTTTCCATGACTTATGGTATATTCTGGAGAGAGTGGATTCACACAGAAGAGCTGGCTCTGTGCTGGTTTTCCAGGGGTCAGCCCCCTTGTCAGTGACAAGCCTGCCTATCTACATGATGTACATTATGTCCCACTACTGGTAATAGAAGCTCAGCAATTGATTGACTGTTAGGTTATTTTCAAAGCTCAGTATTCACAATAATCTAACAGACACCCACACAACCACAAGGACAGACAAGGCTCTCATAACCTGCAAAAGACAAGGTGCACATTTCTTCTTTCCATCCCAGCAACAAATTGCCAAACCAGCCAGCACTTAAGTTGGGGTAAAAATTAATTAAAAGAAGAACCTACCAATGTAGATAAAAGAACAGAAAAGCTATTGCAGCTGTCTTCTCCATAACAGAGGCCTGTGATTTGAATTTTAATGTTTCAATCTACTTTCTGCTCTTGTGTTTATTTTATTATTTATTTTTTGTCACTATCTCTTATTTGTAGATACAAATTTTTCATATTTAAAAGCTATTTTAAATATAATCTTTAAAAGGAGAAACATTATTTTTTTTAATTGCACAAAATACTGAAGGTGAGATCCACTGATTGGAAAGCAAAATGGGACAATATCTCTGGAAGCAATTTTATCCAGATAAATCAATAGCTTTAAAACAATTCAAAACCTTGGACCTAATACCTCTACTTCTAGGAAGCTAGCCTATGAAGGTTTCTGCTGAAGGATGTTTATCACAGTATTATTAATAATGCGAAAAAGCCAAAGAAGAGACCTGAAATGTTTCAAAGATGAAAATGGTTTGATAAACAACATTTTTTTTAGATGGGGTCTCACTCTGTTGCTCAGACTGGGGTGCAGTGCCACGATCTCAGCTCACTGCAAAATCCTTCTCCCAGGTTCAAGCAATGCTCCTGTTTCAGCCTCCCAAGTAGCTGGGAATACAGGCACACCAACCACGCCTCACTATTTTTTTGTATTTTAGTAGAGATGGGGTTTCACCGTGTTGCCTAGGCTGGACTCAAACTCCTGAGCTCAGGCAATCCATCTGTCTCGAACTCCCAAAATGCTGGGATTACAGGCATGAGCCACCACACCTGGCAATAAGCAACATATTTAAACACTAGAATATTATGCAAACATCCCAGGCATGCTTTGGAAAAACTATTAATCCCACAAAAGATGCTTATGTTATTATACAGACTAACAGACCAAGATTCTCCAGGACACTTACTATGTTACATGTCTGAAGTACAATATAATGCCATATATAAAATGTAACCTCAACTCAGGCCCCAGTCTTTTCATCTGGAAAATTCTATTAATTATACTGCCCTTCCCCTTTTTAGGTTTTCTGTAGGAGTTAAATACAATACACTTTGTCAATTGCTTAACACCATGCTCAACACTGGTCGGGAAGATATAAATGTCAGCTATTGTACTATGTGCCAAAAAAACAAACAAAAAACCACACAGACAGACACACACACACAAAGACACACACGGAGGGAGAGGAAGTAAAGATTAAGAAGCAGCACATAATGTTACGGTAGGCAATGGGACCACTAGTGATTTTCATATCCTTTTTTATTTTCTTCTTTATACTGCTTACATTTTTCAGTGTATACAATGAGCACGTATTACTTCTGTAACCAGAAGAATGTGGTATAAACCTCACCTTAATATAATAAAACAAAATTACTGGCCAGGAACGGTGTCTCGTGCCTGTAATCCTAGCACTTTGGAAGGCTGAGACTAGTAAATCTCTTGAGCTCAAGAATTTGAAACCAGCCTGAGCAATACAGTGAGACCTTGTCTCTGCAAAAAATACAAAAATTAGCCAACCATAGTGGTATACAACTGTAGTCCTAAGTTACTTAGGAGGCTAAGGTGGGAGGGTGGCTTGAGACCAGGAGGTGGCTGCAGTGAGCTGTGATTGCACCACTGCACTCCAGCCTGGGTGAAAAAGCCAGACCCAGTCTTGTACAAAAATAAAAAAAATAAAAAAAATAAAAAGTTATTACTTAGATCCCACATGCTGTCTTGGAGCCATTGTAGTGTTGCGGGATTCAAGAGACTGGAGAGACCAATGGATGAGACAGGAGGATTTTATTAAAGTGGCCACTGGCCTAGTAGATTCGCATCCAAAAGGCTGAGCCTGGAACAAAGATGGGGCCTGGTTTTTAAGCATGCAGCTGCGTGAAACTCACAGGGTGGGCTTAGCAAGCTTACAGAAGCAGAACAAAGGCAGTTAATCAAACAGTGACAGGTGTATGACTCAAACATGCCTGGTGACCTCTGCTGGGCCGTCCAGCAGGCCCTCAGCAGATGGTTACTATTTTAGGCTTGCTCAGACATGTCTTGTGACCTTCTCAGTGTTGCACAGATGGAAAACAGGAACTTACAAAATCCTTACAAACTTACAGAAATAGTTACAAAAATAGTTATGAGAGCAGAGCAAAGAGATACTGGCCTAGGAAAGAATCTCAAAGGGGGAAGCTGATAAGAAGAACTTGTTCTTCTCATCCCTGTTCCTGGAGTCCATTCCTTCTGGGCTCTGCTTGGCCTTGTATATAAAGTTAGCTTAGTCCTAGCAGGGCCTTGATGTGAGTCAGCCTGGTACAGGCAGGAATTTAGGTTTTTCTCCTTTTAATTTCGGCTTTAGTAGGCTAGGGTTCTGGTTGCCACTGCTGAGAAAGTAAAGTGTGTTCAGGCTGTCCATGGTTCTGGGCTCCCCCGGGTCTCTGAGGAGGGCTGTCCCCTCTATCACAGAGAATATCAGGACACTAGCCTGTTCCTAGTTATACTTACACACTCCTCTCATGTTGTCTATGGAGTGGAGGCTGCAGGGAGGGTGACATCCTAGTTAGTCCCAAGTGCCAGACTGCCTGAAGCTCACTGTTAACAAGTCCTGCCTTGGAGAAGAAGGAAGGTTGTCTCTGTGAATCTCCCACCTGGGCCAAAGGGAGGCCACTCTCTCCTCTGCCTCTCCCCAACCTTGGTCTTCTGCACTCCTAGTGAACCTCTCTCCCCCTGCCTACAGGCCTGGAATCTCAAGACCATGATGACCTAGTCACCCCTGAATCCAGGGCTTTCCCTTTACAAAGGGGAAACTGAGACCTGGAGCAGGGCCGATGTTCAGCCAGCCGATAAGGGAATAGCCGAATTGGTGGTAAAATACTGAAATAGTTCCAGTGTGGATGGAAAGGGGCCACTGCCCTGAACATCTCTACCCCGCCGCCTCAGCCCATCCTCCAGGACCCTGGGTCAGCACCAGGAGCATCAAAGTGGCCAGGATTGGCTGAAGCCCATGCTAATGGCTCTGCCAGCCCTTCTCCCCACCAGAGAAGGCAGGGGAAATCAGGCTATCTGGGGGTAGCACTGTGACCGTGTATGCAGTAGTCAAACCTTGTGTGCCACCATCCCTGACTTTGTTGATAAGGGCATCAGGCTACATCCCTCTGGTACTCAGTGGTAAGCATCTAAAATCTTAAAGAAAAAATTTAAAAAGCTTTCAAAATATAGGACTTAACATATGAGGCTGCACAAACATCTCTTTAGCAGTTGTCCAACTGGTGCTTCTGGTTCTGCCTCCCCAGAGAGTGGATGACCTGGGCCACCCTCCACCACTGCCCTGTAAGGCCATGGGACACACAGCCCATCAGTTCTCTTCACGTGGTCATCCCCCTTTAGATGGGAGAAAATATACCTGCCTCATTTTTGTACCTTCTGTTTGGACATTCCATGACAGAGCTTCACTAAATGTGTGATGAAGAACTGAATGAATGAATGAATGAATGAATATGAGAGCAAATGAATGAATGGTTTAGATCCTGGGCTGGAAGTCTGTATGAGGATGGTGGGTAGAGGAGAGTGTGTTTTTCTTGCCTTTAAGTCATTACTTGTCATTTTGGGGCAGGAGCACAGGCTTTGAATGCAGACTGACTGGACTTTAATCCTGGCTTTACTAGTTGTGATTGTGTGACCTTGTACATGTTACTTAAACCCTCTGTGCCTGTTTCTTTATCTGTAAAATGGAGATAATAAGATGACAAAGGACTGTGGTAAGAATTAAATGCTTAAAAAAATCACAGTTTGTATTAAGTCCTCAATAGATTGGGTTTAGCATCATGAGTGCATGTGTTTCTGGAACAATGCTCATCTTGGGCTGGATGGTGCCTACACAGAGAAAGACTCTGGCCTCTTCTCACTCACATGTATCTGTCTTATGCCTGGTTCCCATTCCCAGATCCTTGGAAGATCCATATTGCTGAAACGGTGAAGGGTGATGGGCACCTCAGGACAACTAAGTTGCTCCCCAAACATCTTCCCCCGCTCAAACTCTCCTGTGGTCTTTAGCATTTAACAGGAATCTCTGGACACTCCAAGGGGTGATCCTCTCATGGAAGCCCAGTGGGGAGGAGGCTGCAGGAAAGGTCAGGCACTGTGCACTTCCCTGACAGCTGCAAATGGTTCTGTTTCCAAGCCCACGGGTCACTACAAATAAGGCAAGTTATATGACATAATAATGTGATTCTTTGGTGCCTCGGTCCACACTGGCACTTTAATACTCCTAGAGTGGATTGCATGGTGGTCTATCAAAAGATATGTCTACCTGGAACATGTGAATGTACCTTTATTTGGAAAACAATCTGCAGATGTAATTAAATCCAGCACCTCGAGATGAGGGCATCTCATCTTGGATTAGGATGGGCCCTAAATCCAATGACAAGTATCCTTATAAGAAAGCGGCAGGTAGGGCACAGTGGCTCACACATATAATCCCACCACCACCACTGAGGAAGGTCAAGTTGGGAGAATCGCTTGAACTCCAGGCGTTCAAGACCTGCTGGGCAACATGGTGAGACACTGTCTCTCCAAAATGTATATAAAATATAATAGCCAGACATGATGGCACCCGCCTGCAGTCCCAGCTACCAGCTACTCAGGAGGCTGAGGTGAGACGATAGCTTGAAACTGGGAGGTTGAGGCTTCAGTGAGCTGTGATCATGACACTGCCCTCCAGTCTGGGTGGCCCCTGGCCCCTCCACAACCTGCGCTAGAAGAGCTGGGCCCTGGCTCTGGGCATCATGCAGCCTCTGAGGTGGGGCTGAGTGCCAGTTCCTGCCCTCCTGCAGCTGGGGACCAACACCCTGACTTAGGCGCTGTGGAGGCTTCTGGCCCAAGGGTCCGCACTGCTGGTGGCACTGGCAGGGTCGGAGTTTGCCACAGCTGCTGCTGCGCGCCTTGTGCAGGTTACCACTGCAGCTGAACCTACATCAGAGGCAGGCAGGGCTGGTCCCAGACAGCCTGGGGGTCTCTGAGTGCAGGGCCCTTTCACCCTAGAGTCAGCTCTTTCTTGCCGGAGCCCACAGCGGGGTGTGCAAGCGCTGGGTACAGGGCAGCAGCCAGGAAATGGCTGAGCGGCCGGCTCCCGCCCTCCTGCAGCTGGGGTCTGACCAGCTGAATTAGCCGGTGGGCGGCGTCTGGCCCTGGGATCCGCCTGGCTGGTGTAGGAGCCTGGTCTGGGGTTGCCTCCAAGGCTGCTGCGCGCGCCATGTGCAGCTGGCTGCTGCAGCTGGGCCCATCACCTGACAAGGAGTTTCCCAGACAGCCTCAGGGTCATGGAGTGGACCACTGTCCCAGCCTAGTGTACGCTCTTCTTTTGCCTGCGCCCAGAGTTCCGGGTCGCGGGCACCGGGAACTGTGCAGCCAAGGTGCTTCGGCCGAGGGCAAAGGTTGCTGCCCTGCTGCAGCTGCTGGGCTGAGTGCCTGAATTAGGCGCTGAGGCGGCGTTGTCCCCGGTGTCCTGGCTCTTAGTGGTGCAGGCAAAGTGCCCGGTTGCTCTGCTGCTGCGGCGCCCTTGTACAGGTGGCAGCTGTAGCTGAGTTCTCAGTAGACGCCGGCAGGGTTGGTCCTAGAAAGCGTGAGGATCGCCGAGTGCACCGCCCTCCCAGCCTAGGGTCCACTCTTCCTTGGCCCGAGCCCAGAGCCCGGGGTTTCAGGCGCTGGGCCCTGTGCAGCTGCCCAGAATATGCTGAGCGGCAGGTTCCCGCCCTGGCAAGGGATCCAGCCGTGGTATCCTCACTGCTGTTGGCTGGCAAGGTCAGCGGGGTTTCCACCGCTGCTGCCGGGAGCCACCTGGCGGTGGTAGCTGCAGCTGAGCGCGTGGCAGAGACCGGCAGGGCTGGTCCCAGACACCCTGAGGGTCTCTGGGTGCATCGCCCTACCACCCTAGGGTCTGCTCTTCCTTAGCCTGCTCCCAGGACGCGGTGTACGAGCGCTAGACTCTGAGCAGCCTCCAGGATGGGGCTGAGCGGCGGAGTCCTGCCCTGCTGCAGCTACAGTCTGAATTAGGCGCCACCGCAGTATCTGACCCTGGGGTACGTGCTACTGGTGGCATGGACAGAGATGAGGGCTGCCACAGCTGCTATGGGGCTGAGCAGCCGATTTCCGCCCCGCTGCAGCGGGCGACCGCTGCAATCCCCAGCGCTATGGGACCGACCACCTGACTTAGATGCCTTGGAGGCATCCGGCCCTAGGGTCTTTGCTGCTGGTGTCTGAGGGCAGGGTCAGGGCTGCCACTACTACTGCCGTGCGCCATGCGCAGGTGCCAGCTGCAGCTGAGTCCCAGGCAGATGCTGTCAGGGCTGGTATGAGGTTGCCTAAGGGTGGCTGAGTGCACCGCCCTTCCACCCCAGGGTCCGTTATTCCTAGGCCGGCGCCCAAATTGCAGGGTCGTGGGCGTTGGACACTGTGCAGCCATGAGGATCTGGTTGGGTGCAGATTCCCGCCCTCCTGCAGCTGAGAGGCCAACCTCCTAACAGGCGCCGCAGTGACCTCTGGCTCGGCGGTCCGCGCTGCTGCTGGAGCTGGCAGAGACCAGAGCTGCCACCGCTGCTGCTTCCAGGAGTGTGCAGCTGGCAGCTGCAGCTGAACCCGCAGCGGAGGCTGGAAGGGCTTATTCCAGAAGCCTTGAGGGTCCCCGAATGCACCGCCCTCCCACCCTAAGGTCCAGTCTTCCTTGCCCGCTCCCAGAGAGTGGGATTGCAGGCGCTGAGCACAGTGCAGGCGCTGGGATGGGCTAAGCTGCAAGTTTCCGCCCTCTGGCTGCTGGGGGGCCGACCGCCTGAGTTATGCGCCGCGGCGGCTTTTGGTCATGGGGTCCGCACTGCCGGTGGCTTGCACAGGGTCGGGGGCTGCCACAGCTGCTATAGTTCACCATGTGCACGTGGCAGTCGCCCCTGAGCCCACCGCTGAGGCTGCAGGGCTGGTCCGGTCTCAGACGGCCTGAGGGTCATTTGCCCGCGCCCAGATCCGGGTGGCTGGCGCTGGGCACTGTGCAGCCTCCAGGAATCCGCTGAAGGGCAGGTTCCCGCTCTCCTACAGCTGTGGGCCGACTGCCTGATTTTGGCCACTAGGTGGAGTCTGTCTCTAGGGTTTCGAGGCCGCTGGTGTCGGCGGGCGGAGTCCGGGTTTGCCACCGCTGCGCGCCATGAGCAGGTAGCAGTTGCAGCGTAGCTTTAGACAGAGGCTGGCAGGGCTGGCCCCAGACGGCCTGAGGGTCAGGGAGTGCAGGGTCCTCCCACCCTAGGTCCGCTCTTCCTTTGCCCTTACCAAGAGCGGGTTGTGCGGGCGCTGGGCTCTGTGCAGCCGCCGAGGTGGGGCTGAGCAGCGGATTTCCGCCCTGCTGCAGCTGGAGGACGATTACCTGAATTAGCCGCTGAGGCGGCATCTGGCCCTGGGTTACTGCTGCTGGTGACGCGGGCAGGGTCAGGGTTGGTTGCAGTTGGCAGCTGCTGCTAAACCCATTGCGAGCCTCAGGGTCACCAAGTTCACCGTCCTTTCATCGTAGTGTCTGATCTTTGGCCCGCGCCCAGAGTGAGGACTCGCCTGCGCTGGGGATTGCATAGCTTCTGGGGGGCGGTCAGCGCCCGTTTCACGTCCTCCTGCAGCTGCGTGGCCTAAGGTCTTAGGCGCCGCGGCGCTATCTGGCCCTGCTGTCCGTGCTGCTGGTGGCGGGGACAGGGTCGAGGGTTGCCGCTGCTGCTCCCGTGCACCATCGGCAGGTGGCAGTTGCAGCTGAGCCCACAACTGAGGCTGTTGGGGCTGCTCCCAGGTTGTCAGAGGGTCGCCGAGTTCACCGACATGCCACCCTAGGTTACGCTCTTTCTTGGCCCGCAACCAGAGCGCCGGGTTACGAGTCCTGGGCCCTGTGCAGCCACGGGGATGGTGCTGAGTGCAGGTTCCCGTCTTCCTGAGATGCGGGGCGACCACTGGAATTAGCCTCTGTGGTGGTATCTGACCCTAGGGTCCGAGCTGCTGATGGCGTGGGCGGGGTCGAAGTCGCCTCTGTTGCTGTGGCGTGCCATTTGCACTGTCCTCTGGAACAGGCTGGTCTGTGCTGTGTATGGTCAGTGGAGTCTTCTCTGGGCATGCTTCACTGATATCTGCTGACATGGCTCATCTTCTCTTTGATTTTGCATGTATTGGCACTCAGTGATGAAGTTTCTGGTCACCCACTGCCATTTTCCTCTAGCCTCCAAGACCTCACATTCTGAGGCCAGCATGTCCCACCAGGGGCCTCCACTGGTCCTGTCAAACCAGGTGTGAGTCCCCCTTCCACCAAGCTTGGAGAGACTGGCTTTTCAGACAGCACTCACAGGCTGAGAGTAAGGGAACTGATCTCTCAGGCACTTCCCCCTGTCCTGCCACTCTGTCATTCCTGGGACACCCTATGTGCACTAGAGAAGTAAGACACCAGCCTGCATATTTTCTCATCTTTCTTTAACTGTCTATTTTTTCCTATCCATCTGTTTGAGCGAGTCCCAGGAGGATGTTGGGGCTGAATACCTGATCAGAGACACAGGCAGAGCCATAGTCACATCTCCTGGGAACTTTCTTCTTCCTGTGTAGTTAAAAGCTCTTCTCTTCCTCTTCTTCATAGAAATTCCCCTTACACTAAACCTTTGACTAAAGCCATCCCCTCAGTTTGATAAAATTTTAGACAGGATTATTTCTGATTCTTGGCTCCTCACCTCTTTTTTTCTTTAGCATATTTTAGAAATGTTATCATTGTAAATTCTTTCTCTGCCTCTTTGATAAATCTTTCTAAGAGCCCACGTGCCAGTTTTACACTTCAGAAATGTCCATTTCAAGGACCTCAGAGCCATCCCTTTGAAATGTAATTCTCAAAAAAGATAACACCATTATCTCCCAGACTCCATGAGAGAGTAAGAGCCAAATTTTGGTGGGCATATTCCTCTAATTTGTAAAATCACCTTCTGTCATAAAGATAAAAGATAGTTTAATATTCCTTTGGAAAAAGACAACTATCAAAGACAAGTGGTCTATGATCTCCCCCTCATCCTGGCTCTTAAAATCTCTACTGCTGTTTGTTTCAGCGGAGCTGAGTTCAGACTAAGTTCTGGCCTCTTTGCCCTTTTGCAATAGTCTTCAATAACAGCTTTTTTATGTGTTTAACTTTGTCTGGTGCAACTGTTTTCTTTGACACTTTCCACCCTAACTAGAACTTCCATTAAAGTCATAATAGGATTCAAGGCAGCCAAACTTGACTCACATACGTAAAAAAACTTGTTAGGATTTAGAAACCCATATTCTCTTCAATAAATTGTTTCTTCAGACTGTTGCCTTATTAAAAGTTTCTAGTTCTTATTTTGGCATTGAAAAGGAGAATACCAATTTTTAAATAAGTCTCTGCTCACTTTTAATTTCTGCTATCACAATTTTATTGCTTTCCACGGCTGAACAATGAGAAGACCAGAACACAATTTTAAGTTAAATTTTATTTAATTTTTACCATTACAATTTTATTGCTTTCTCTGACTGAAAAGAGAAAACTCAAACAAAGTAGTCTAGTCTATGAAGTGGACTAGAACAAAGAATCACGTCTCATTAATACATTTCAGAAAGTTACCTCCATTTAACATCAATGGTGTCATTTAATATTCTTAACTTTCCTATCAAGTAGATGCTATTATTACCTCTATTTTATAGGATATTAAGTCTTATATATTATACATAACCAGCTGAAGGTCATGTAGCATGTAGATATGATAGGCATACAAAGAAGCAATGACATTAGAAGCAGAGGAGGGAGAAGGATTAAAAGGCTATACCTAGGTCGGTTAAGAGAAAAAGAAAAACTAGGAGGAGACAAATTCTTGTTAGAAAAAAATAATGATCGAGGCAGAGCAAGACAGTGGTGCAGACCTCTCCAGCTATCATACCCCTATAGAAACATCAATATGAACAACTGTCCACATGTGAAATTACCATTACAAGAGCCAACAGAACCTCAATACATGAACAAGGTTATGAAGCACCTTTGGCCTGTGAAGATGGGTAAAACCATGGCTTACAGAGTGAGAGAACCAATACTCTGTGACTGTGATACTCCTCCCTCAGGCCATTATGGTACCATCTGCAGAAACTCCCATAGGGCTTATAGTTTTTACACTGAAAAAAGTCAGCAGGAGGTTGATATTTGTTTTTTCCACTATACTGAGTGCCTTCACAGTAGACTCACTCCTGTATCAGCCCACAAGTGGCACCATGAGTGCCAAAAGGGATGAACCACCTGAGGCATGTTAAGGACGTAAGAGGAGGTGGGGCCAGCAACAGCCACCATGTGAAACATAATACACAGACTACACGCTTGACGGCCTGACTTGTTCTCCCCCATAGCCAGGGGCTCCCTGTGGATCACCCATGGGCCCATCCAGCAAATGTTGCAGCAGTGGTGGAGCCATTGGAAGACTTATGTCTAACGTGGGATTTGGACTCTCTCTAATGCTAAAATGGAATACGATGGTAAGTCCGCTCAACATTTCCTAATAAGCCCACTTAAAAGTAGTCACAAACAAACCCAGACTGAGAAGACACAAATAAATATCTAATTCATCAATGTGTAGACAGAGATGTATATCTACATATAATAATGATAGCTTAGGAAAAGTTGCCTCTCCAAATGGACAAAACAAGGTGTCAGCAACTGAACTTAAAGACATACAGATGAATGATCTGGCAGGCAAAGAATTCAAAATGGCTGTTTTAAGAAGAGCCTGAACACTGAGAAAGCAGAGACATAATTCAGAAATTTACCAGAGAAATTCAACAAAGAAATCAAAATAATGGGAAAAATCACATGTAAATCCTGAAGCAGGAAAGTTCAATTAACACATTGAAAATCCAACGGAAGGCATCAACCGAAGAACTGATCAAGCAGAAGAAAGAAACAGTGAGCTCAAAGACAGGCTCTTTGAAAATACATGGTCAGAGTAGAATGAAAAAAAGAATGAAAAGAAACAAAGAAAGTTTATGAGATTTGTGGGACACCAACAAAAGAGCAAATCTACATATCATTGGTGTTAAAGGGGAACTAAGAATGAAAAGGAGATAGTTTATTCGAAGAAATAACAGAAAACTTTTTAAACCTGGAGAAAGATTAAAATGTTTAGGATGGTCAAAGTGCCCAATCATATTTAATCTGAATAAGACAACCAAAGACATTTTATAATTAAACTCTCAAATGTCAAACACAAAGAGAAGACCCTGAAAGGACTAAGAAAAGGGAAACAACACATAAGAGAATTCCAATATGCCTGGCAGCAGACTTCTCAGCAGAAGCACTACAGGCCAGGAGAGAGTAGGATAATAGATTCAAGTGCTGAATTAAAAAAACTGTCAACCATGAATAAAGTATCCAGCATAGCTATCATTTAGAAATAAAGGAGAGATTGAAACATTCTCAGACAAACAAAAAGCAAAGGAATTCATTGTAATCAAACCAGCCTTACAAGAAACGCTAAATATTGTTCTCCAAACTGAAAGAAAATGGCAGCAATATGTAACACAAAAAATCTGAAGGTATAAACCCACAGGTAGAAGTGAGGGTTCAGACAAATTTGGAATGCTCTAATATGGTAATAATTGGATGTAAAGCACTTATATATCCTTAGTAGGAAGGTTAAAAAACAATACAAATAAAATAATAATAATTACAATAATTTGTTAAGGACT
This sequence comes from Homo sapiens, assembly GCF_000001405.40. Taxonomy (NCBI): domain Eukaryota; kingdom Metazoa; phylum Chordata; class Mammalia; order Primates; family Hominidae; genus Homo; species Homo sapiens. The sequence goes on from NW_021160017.1 coordinate 3,115,168, forward strand.
AGCAATATACAAAGATGTAAATTAAGACATCAAAAATGCAAAATGTGAGGGAGTGATGGAGTTAAAGAGTAGAGTGGTTTCTTTTCCCCTCTTTTTGAATCAAAATTAAGTTGCTATCTCTTTAAAATAACTTATTGTAACCATAAAATGTTCTTTGCATGCCTTGTGGTAACCACAAAGCAAAAACTTTTAAAAGATACTCTAAAAATTAAAAAAAAAAAAACCGAAACACACTGATAGAGTAAAGCACTTAATCACAAAGGAAGATAGAGAAATCAATCAATCAAAGTACAAATTAAAAAAAACATGAAAACAAGTAATAATATGGCAGAACCAAGTCCTTGCCTATCAATAATTATCTTGTATGTAAATGGATTATCCCATTTAAGACATATAATGGCTACACTGATTAAAAACAAGACCTAACTATAAACTTTCTACAGGAAATTCACTTCATCTGTAAATACACACATAAATTGAAAGTGATCAGATGGAAAAATATATTTTATAAATATGGAAACTGAAAGAAAGCCAGTATAGATATATTTATATCAGATAACATATACTTCAAACAAAATCCTATAAAAACAGACAAATACAGCCATTATATAATGATAAAGGGATCAATATCACAAGATAATATAATTGTAAATATATATGCCCTCTATATTGAAGGACCTAAATATATAAAACAAACGTTAATAGATCTAACAGGAGAAACAGCAAGCAATAAAATAATAGTAACATTCTACTTTCAGCAATAAACAGATTATCAAGACATAAAATCAACAAAGAAACATCATATTTAAAGTGAACTCTAGACCAAATAACTTAGCAGTCATTTACAGAACATGTTATCCAACAATTGCATAATTCACAGTCTTCTCTACTGCGCATGGAACATTTTCCATGATAGATCATATACTAGGCACAAAATGAGCCTTAGCAAATTCAAAAAAAAATCAAAATTATATCACATCTTTTCTGACAATATAGAATAAAACTAGAAATAAACAACAAGAACTTCAGAAATTGTGCAAATACATACAAATTAAACAACGTGCCCCTAAACAAACAATGGGTTAAAAAATAAATTGTTTCATTTTAAAAATTCTTAAGACAAATGAAAATGAAATCAGAACATATAAAAACTTACGAAATACAGCAGAAAAAGTCCTCAGAGGGAAGTTTGTAGAAATAAATTTCTATATGAAAGAAAGAAAACTCTCATTAATAATTTAAGAATGCATTTCAAGGAATTATAGAAACGTGAACAAACTTAGCCCCAAATTGGTAAAAGAATATAGATAATGAAGACCAGAGCACAAATAAACAAAATGGAGACAAAAATATGAAAGATCAATGAAATAAAAAGTTATTTTTTGAAAAGATAAACGCAATTGATATATCTTTAGTCAGATTAAGAAAAAAGAGAGAAGATTCACATAAATAAAATGAGAGATGAAAAAAGACATTAAAATGGTTACTACAGAAATACAAAGAATCATGAGAAAGTACTAAAATTATATGCCAATAAATTAGAAAACCTAGAAGAAATAAATACGTTTCTGAACACATATAACCTATCAAAATTGAAGAATTAAGAAATACAAAATGCGAACAGACCAATAACAAATAAAGAGATTGAAGCATTGTCTCTCAATACAAGAAAATCTGGAGGGCTGGCACAGTGTCTCACACATGTCATCTCACACTTTGGAGGCCAAGGCAGGAGGATTACTTGAAGCCAGAATTTCCAGATTAGCCTGGGGAACATAGTGAGACCCAGTCTTTACAAAAATAAAAATAAAAATTATCCAGGTTTAGTGGTGTGCACTTGCAGTCCTAACAACTTGGGAGGCTGAGGCAGGAGGATCACTTAAGACCAGGAATTTGAGGCTGCAGTGAGCTATGATTGCACCACTGTACTCCAGCCTGAGTGACAAAGAAAGACCATGTCTCTAAACCAAAAATATTTAAGAAGAAGAAGAAAAAGAAAGAAAGAAAGAAAGAAAGAAAGAAAGAAAGAGGAAAAGAGAGACAGAGGGAGGGAGGGAGGGAGGAAGGAAGGAAGGGAGGGAAGGAGAAGAAAATAAAAATCGAGGATCCAATGCTTATACTGCTGAATTCTTCAAAACATTTAAAGAGGAACATATACTAATTATTTACAAACTGTTCCAAAAAAAGTGAAAAGGAGGAAACTCTTCCAAACTCATTCTATGAAGACAGAATTACCTTATTCCAAAATGCGACAAGAACAGTGAAAAACTAAACTACAGGCCAATATCAGTGATGAACATAAATGCAAAAATTCAAAACCAGCAATGCTAGCAATCATAATTTGAAAGCACATTAAAAAGATGATTCACCATAATCAGGCTGTATTTGTTCCAGGGAGGCAAGGAGGGCTTATGATATATAAATCAATAAATGTGATACACCACATTCGATAAGGTAAGATAAAAATCATATAATCATTTAAATAGATACAGAAAAAGCATTTGACAAAATTCAATGTTTTTTGTAAACATAAGATCTCTTAACAAATCAGTTATAAAAAGAGTATAACTCAATAAAATAAAGGCCATATGTGATAACCCACAGCCAACATGATACTGAATAAGGAAAAATTGAAAACTGTGTCTCTAAGATCAAGAACAAGACAAGGATGTTCACTTTAATAACTTCTCTTCAACATAGCACTGGAAGTCCTAGCTAGAGCAATTAGAAAAGAGAAAGAAAAGACATCCAAATTGAAAAACAAAAAGAAAGTCAAATTGTCCCTGTTTGCAGATGACATAGATCATGTCATATGTATAAAAGACCCTATACTGAAAAACAGAAACAGTAAATGAATACAGTAAAGTTTTAGAATACAAAATCAGCATAGAAAAATCAGATGCATTTCTATACCCAACAGCATACTATCTGAAAAAGGAATCCCCATTGAAAATAGCTATAAAAAAAATGCCTGGCAAAATAAAGACGTCTAAAATGAAAACTATAAAACATTGATAAAAATCAATTGAAAAGATACAAGTAAAGACAAGGTTATCCCATTTTTTGAATTAGAAGTGTTAATACTGTTAAAATGACCATCATACTCAAATCAATCTATAGGTCCAATACAATCTCTAACCAATTTCCAATGTAATTCTTCACGTTCTGCGGATGTTAAAAAGATTTTTAAAACCGTTTTTTTGGTTCTGCAGGCGAAGGCTGTGGCCGCGCTCCCGCCGGCCAGTTCCCAGCAGCAGCTCATCGCCCCTGCTCCGCGCCTTCGCTCCAGGCCCGCACGGTCGCAGCCCCGCGAGAATCAGCACTGAGCCGGTCCCGCCGCCGCCGCCCCAGTGTCGGGCTGCTGCTGCGGGAAGCCAATCGCCCACCGCCTGGAGGAGGGCGACGAGGCCTTCCGCGCGAGCAAGTACCAGAAAGCGCCGGGCTCTTCCGCTCCATGCTGGCCCTGCTGGCGCAGCCCGACCGCGGCCGGTGCCTGAGGCTGGGGGACGCGCTGGCCCGCGCCGGCCGCCTCCCGGTGGCCCTGGGCGCGTTCCATGTAGCCGGGAGGTTGGAGGCGCTGAGTCCGGAGGAGCTGGGGGAGCTGGCGGGCGGCCTGGTGTGTCCCGGCCTGCGCGAACGGCCACTGTTGGCGGGGAAGCCTGGCGGCGAGCTCAGGGCTAGGGAGGGCCGGCCCTGGCGCCCGGCGCGCCCCGCGACCTGCTTGGCTGCCCACGGCTGCTGCACAAGCCTGTGACGCTGCCCTGCGGGCTCACGGTCTGTGAGCGCTAAGTGGAGCTGGGGCCCGCGCGGCCACAGGCGCGGGCGCGTGAACGTGGTGCTGAGCCGCCTGCTGGAGAGGTGCTTCCCGGCCGAGTGCCCGCTGCGCAGGCTGGAGGGTCAGGCGCGGATCCTGCAGCGCCAGCAGCAGCCCGAGGCCGCGCTGCTCAGGTGCGACCAGGCCCTGGAGCTGTGACTTGGCTGTGGGGCTGGCCCGCCTCCCTGGCCCCTGTCAAGCCGAGCGGCTGGAGCTAACCCGCGGGCCTGGGCTTTTGAGCGCTTTGTCCAGGCGTAGGGGGTCACTTTGCTTACTAATGATGGGAAGGTGAAAGGTGGGGGAGGCCACTCCCTGCAGTCAGGGTGGCAGGTGTCAGAGGCCACATGCAACCCACTGGTTTTGTCTTTTCTAGGATGCTGATAAGTTTCCCGCGGCCCCCGGAGCAGCTCTGTAAGGCCCTGTAGTTGCCTTTCATTCCCTTCTGCTCTATTGAGGAGTGGGAGGATGACAAAGTGTTTTTGCTCAACCCGAAGGAAAATGCACATGGGAGGACACACCGGGTTACTATTTGAGTAGCCCAGGCAAGAGACCAGCGGCTGCTTCAGCCATGAGACCACCTCAGGCCAAAATAGCCTTGTGGTTGTTTTACTTCTTTTCACCAAATGGGTCTTTTTGGGGTTTGTGGCATGTCCCATGTAATGATGATCTCTTGGTTCCCCTTTCTCATTCACACCCGGGAGCTGAGGTGGGGTGGGGGAGTGGGGGGGGGAAGGGGAGTGGCCACCTGCGCCAGGTATGAGAGAAGCCACACCTGAGACCAGCCCCTCTGTCCTCCTGCCTCTGCATGCAGCGTCCCTGCAGGAGGCAGAAGGGGTGAAAAGTAGCCTCGATGTGAAAGTCCTTGTGTGTCCCTGAGGGGGGAAGTAAGTCACAGTCGGGACACTGGTTCCTGTCACTGGGTGCAGCACAAAGAAGGACCCCAGGACATGCGGTGCAGACGGGAGCACAGAGAGGGTGAGTGCTACTGGGGTGCACAGGCAGCTTGAGGAGGATGGAGATGGCAAACTTCCCTTTGTCACACCAGGTCCACGTTCAGGGCCGGAGGACCACCAGATCCCCAAAGCCTCCGGTGCTTCCGAGGCAGAGGAGAGGCAAAGCCGGTGGCCCCCGGCGTCCAGGGACCTGGCAGCCACCACTGAGGCCCACCTGCTTGTCCCTCAGCCGGGTGCCCACTGGCAGCCACACTCCAGGTCTCTGGGCTCTGCCCAGGACGTGTGTTTGGGCTTCTCTCCCCAGCAGAAGTCATCAGCGTACCCTCTGCATCCCACGGATTTGCTTTGTTTCTGAGGGAATAATTAAGGAATGTTAGTATGATATCAGAAAATAGCTAATTATGGTGAAGAGCTAACAGGGCAATCTGGGAAGCTGTGGAGCTCTAGTTAGTGATGACAGAAGAGGAACATATTTGACTGTTTTGTGCTACACCCAGGTTCTCAGGAGGTGGCCAGGGAGGAGACTTGGCACTGTGCCATGCTCAGAGCCCCTAGTCCCAGGGACTGTTTCCCTGTGGGAGTTTGGATGAGAGGCAGTTGGCTGGGAAGCTCAGGATGGAGTGAGGAAGGAGAACGACTTGAGGTGCTTGGGTTGGAAAGATCTAGTACCCCAGGAGGGACTGGCTGTGGCCTGCACACACCCCAAACTCACACACTCTGTCATGCTCACACAGACACGCACACACACTCATGGACCCAAGCTCACACACCACACTCACATGGCTTATTCACACACTTACACACATTAACACACATATGCACTCATATTTACACATCCGCACACAGTTATATTCCACATACACACTCATACTGCCAAGTTCAAACACCACTATCACACATTTCTTCACAAACATTCACACAACTCACATACACACTCTCACACACGTACACACTCACCTACCCACTCTCCATTACACACATTTACCTGTCCGTTCTCACACACATGCACAAACACAAAGCCAAATTAGAGCCATTTTCCTGGTCCCACACAAACAAAAATGATACCTCAGTTTCTTGATCTTGACCAGAATTGGGCACATGATTCCATCCAACCACAAGGTGGGGCGGGAATGAAATCCTATCACGTCCTCAGGCCGTGGAGAAAAAAAACTATGTCAGGCCTCTCTAATGCCTCCCACAAATGGGCAGGAGGGATTGAAACAGAAAAGGGGTTCCTCCTGACATGTGGCATTGATGGAGCCCGGTTCTGCCTCATGCCAAGCCCTGCCTTGCCCCTCGATGATGGAAAATGGTTGTGTGTCTTGTTTCCTGGCCTCCATCTCTGTCTTGGTACAGAGTAGAGACTTGAGTCTCAGTTCCAAAGACAGGAGTCCCGCTGAGCTGACCCGCCCACTGACAGATGAAGTCTTGCCATCTGCTGACCAAGTTCCCCAAGGCCCCTTGAGACTCAACTTCTGAAGAGGGTCTGCTCAGAATTCCCCGTCCCCATGATCTGCCCGGCTGTCGGGACACTGGTGAGCCTGCTCAGTGGGGAGTCCCTTTTCAGCTCAGTCAGCAAGTGGCTCTTCTCTATAAAGAGGCAGGGGATGAACCTCCTCTCTAGTTTTAGCAGAAGAGGCCATGAGACCCATGGCAGAGGCCAGAGCTGTGCAGGCTGTAGGAGGTACCACGTCAGGGATTTCAAATGGAGGAAGGTACTTTCCAGAGAGTACTGCAGGGAACCAAGCCATATCCACCGTAGCTGCAATAAAAACTCTGAGGCTCAGCTTAAACTCAATCCTAGAAATGATGTCCCAGCACAAACTTTGCAGGATAAGCAAAATCTAGAGAAGAGAAAATGCAGACCCAGGCAACGATAAACACAAGTCATCGGGACCACCACGGAGCAGATACAGTGCCTTCTCCACGTGCGGTGAATGAGGTTCTCACGTCTGTTAGTGTGTGGAATTGAACATCAATATCAGAATCATTCTGTGTTACCTACAACTGGTTTTATGTTGTTATGCCTGTCTCCTGATGACTGTGTATCTTTAGCCAACCTTTTCACCCCAAAGCTCCTGCCCCAACCCCTCCTCCTGGAAGTGCCCATCTCTGGTCTCGGCAGGAGGCTGTTCTTCCCAGCCTGTGGGGTGGCCACCTTGCAGGCTGTAACCCTCTACAAGAAATAAAGTCTTCTCTCCTTTTCTAAATTTCGATATTTGCTTAATCCTTAGCTTCTATTTTTTCAAGCTTTTAAACTGCTTTTAGGTCATGGCCTCTTCTCTGTAGGGTCTGGAGGCTGAGAGATGTCCAGCAGGAAAGAACTGCTAACTAATTCCAGTAGCACTGCTCTTCTGCCTAACGGAGGTGTTTAAATGTTGATTTTGGCAAAATCTATGAGCAGGTTGCTCCCCCTCTCCCGAGATCTCTCACAATACTTTGTAAAACCCAATTTAGCGCATTGTCTGGGAGGGCAGCTTTTACTGGTTCTGCAGCGATCTTCCTTACTCATAATCTATTGAAATATTGTAAAGCGATGCAGATTTGTGGCATGTGAGGAGAGCATGTAGACACACACTCCGCTGTGATTCAAAGTGCCCTAACACCTTCCTCTCCCCTACAGGCTGTGATAGGAGGGTGCTCTGGGTCACTGAGGAAGGGGAGTCATAAAGGAGCAGAGGCCCCCCCGTCGTGAGTGCCATCTCTCCTTGAGTGTGGCCTCTTGTTCTAGCCCACAGGCCCACCATGCCCTGACTAAATGCTCGCACTGCTCATACATCCACTTTTAAAAATTGAGTTGAACATGAGAACATGATCATTCATATTTTATCCATTTGCATGTATTCAATACCATCCTTTCCTCATCTCTGCTTTACCGCCTTTTCCTTTAAAGAATGAATGTTTCCATGTTTTATATCCACAGAATTTCTGGTCTTTCCCTTTGGAGCCCAAGGAGCAAGGGCAGAATGAGGAACATGATGTTCCTTACAGACAGTTACTCATGAGGCCACAGCACAGAAACTGCAAGAAATGTCAGTCATGAAGTGTCCCAGTGCATTTTAAATTGATGGTTATTAAAATCCTTCTTTATCTATAGGGGATCTAAAAAAATTAAACAACTCATAATTTAAACACAGTTGCCAGGTAACCTGAGTCAAAAATCAGGAGAGGCTCCGTGGTCTGAAGTCTCCTAGTGCTCACCTTGGTGACGTTCTAGTTGCCTAACGGGTTGGTGTAATGACGTCATTCAACACAAGCAAAACACAACTCCCTTGGAGTTGTTCAAAAAATCAGGAAATAGAAAAAAAAATAAGGGAGAATAAAATATTGACAGGAGAGAAAAATGAAGAGTTACTTGGAGATTTGAAGGAGGTGAAATGGGCAAAAAGTAAATTTAGCAATTAGAATTTAAAGTCAGTGGATAATTAAGTCGAATAATTTATTCTTATGTCCATGTATTTTGGTTTTAAAGTTTTGATTAATACTCACTCAACACTAATTTCTAACAAATTAGAATATTCCCATATTGACTATTTTTACCAGTGAGCTTGTAATAAAGATCCACCAGTAATTTTAGTACACCATAACCTTTCAAAAGAAGCCCATAGAATAAACTAATTTTTAAAGAGCCACATTTTATTCAATGTCTATTTATACATGTTACTAGCAATAAACTCTTTTATCTTTAATTTTGAGAAGCTTTGCAAATACAGAAAAGTAGAATGACTAATAGAGCCGGTAGCCAGGACTCAGATCGGAAAAATAGGTCTAATCGGTTGTTACACTGTGTTTATGTCATACATTTCACTTATTTTTATCAAATAAAAATTAGAATTTATAAAATGTTGATTAAAAGGAAAACATTCTGACTAAAGTTTAGTCCTGTGTTTCTTCCTCCAAATCTCTTTGTTCTACACTAACAAGTCAGGATAAGTATGGATGGGGAGGCTGGAAAAGGGGCATCCTTCCCCATGAGGTCCCCAGAGCCACCTTCTCCAAGCAGAACTTGGGGAACATCCTTCTCCATCCAGGACCTAGGGGGCATCTTTTCTCCATCCAGGACCTGAGGGGTGTCCTTCTCCACCCAGGACTTGGGAGGTGTCTTATCCACCCAGGACTTGAAGGGGATCCTATTCCATTCAGGAGTGGGGGAAATTCTTCTTCATCTGGACTTTGGAGGCATCCTTCTCCATTTAGGACTTGGGGGGCATCCTTCTCTATCCAGGACTGGGGTTTGTCCTTCTCCATATAGGACTTGGGGGGCATCCTTCTCCATCCAGGACTGGGGTTTGTCCTTCTCCATATAGGACTTGGGGGGCATCCTTCTTCATCCAGGACTGGGGGGTTATCCTTCTCCATTCAGGACTGGGTTTGTCCTTCTCCATGTAGAACTAGGGGGCATCCTTCTCCATTCAGGAATTGGGGAGCATCCTTCTCCATCCAGGACTTGGGGGACATCTTTTTCCATCCAGTAACTAGGGGGCATCCTTCTCCATCCAGGACTGAGGGGGGCATCCTTCTCCATCCAGGACTTGGACGACCATCTTTCTCTATCGAGGACTTGGGGGACCATCCTTCTCCATCCAGGACTCAGGGGACATCATTCTCCATCTAGTAACTAGGGGGCATCCTTCTCCATCAAGGACTAGGGGGCATCCTTTTCCATCCAGGACTGGGGGGCATCCTTCTCCATCCCAGAATTGGAGGGCATCTTTCTCTATCCAGTATTGGGGGTCATCCTCCTCCATCCAGGACCTAAGGGGTGTCCTTTTCTGCGCTTCCATGGATGGCAGCCTTGCCTGTGCAGTCATTCAGAAAGTCAGGCTGACACATGTTGTCGTCTTGAACTCTGGCATCTCATCTCTATTCTAGGTGAATGCCTTCATGTTTATAGTGATTTACCATTAAATCACTGTGCTGTTTTTCCCTAAAATATATGGGGCGTGTTTTTTGTTCTGACTTCTTTTAGTCCTTTGGTCCCTATCTCCGGGTTTTTGTAATTTCTTTTGCAACCTAATATGGGTCCCATTTGGTAAGTATTACATATACTAGAAAGTGATGTACATTCAGCATTTGTTGTGATTTAAAACCTTTTATAAACACATAACATCTTTGTCTATTTCCCATTTAAATTCAGAAGTATGAGTTCCAGTGTCCCTCTCTAGACCTGCTCTATCCTGTTAGTTTCTTTGTATGTCCTGGAGGTGAGGCCAGCATTGGACTTGACGTTGGTTCACCTACCCGGTTCTATGGTCCCTCCATGTGCAGTGTCAATCTTGTTGTTTATTATTTCTTCCTTAAATTTTATTTAAACTAAAATTAATTTTGTGATAGCAGCTTGCTTTCTGTGAATATTTACTTAAAATTTTTATAAACTATTTAATTTTTAATTTCTTTAATTTGAAAGTGCTGCTTAGTTATTGATAATTTTGTATTTTAATATATGAGGTTAATCCCTCTATGTTTGGTAGGAAAAAGTGATATATTTGAACTTATTTCTATCATTTGATTTTTGGATTTTGTATTTGCAAAGCTTTATCCTCAATTCTCTTTTCCTTTTTTCAGATTTCTTTTCTTTTCTTCTTTTTTTTGGGGGACAGAGTTTCGCTCCTGTTGCCAAGGCTGGAGTGCAATGGGGAGATCTTGGCTCACGACAACCTCTGCCTCTCGGGTTCAAGCAATTCTTCTACGACAGCCTCCAAGTAGCTGGGGTTACAGGCATGCACCACCATACCCAGCTAATTTTGTATTTTTAGTACAGACAGAGTTTCTCCATGTTGGTCAGGCTGGTCTCGAACTCCCAACCTCAGGTGATCCACCCATCTTGGCCTCCCAAAGTGCTGGGATTACAGGCATGAGCCACTGCGCCCGGACTTCCAGATTTATTTTCAATCAATGTTTCATTTTCCACTTCCTTCCTATGCTGGCTTGTAGGTTTTCCAGGCTATTTACCTTTATTTGGTGTCAAAAATTCTTTTGGGAACTTTTGAGTTGTCAACCAATAGTTGTAAGCATATTGGATATTGCTGTTTTTCTCCCAGTGCTCTGGTTATAATCTCTCCTATTAATACCTTGTAGTCTTATTGTTGTAGTTTTTTTTCTATTAATTTCTGAGATATAAGAATTAGAATTGTCAAATTGTGGATTTATGCATTTATCATTTTAATTCAATAACTTTTGCTTCATGTATTTTGTTATTTTTCTTAGGTGTATGCATGCTTATGCTTATTAGGTTTTCTAAGCAAATGGACTTATTAGTATAAAACATCCTTCTTTATCCCTGGTGAAGCTTGTCTTTCTTGTAGTCTGTCTTATCTGCCATTAATACACTGGCTGCAGTTTTTGATAACAAAGATTTGCATAGTGTATATTTGTCCATCTTTTCAGTTCAAATCTATTTATATCTTTATCTCATAAGTGTATTTCGTTTTAAAAGTGGTTATTGAGGTTTCCTTTTTACTTATTTTGACAGTCTCTGTTCCGCCTTCCTCATCTTCTTCTGGATTATGGTAGTTTTGGTTTGTTTGTTTGTTTTATGGGGTTTTCTTTTTGTTTTTTTTTAGTATGGATTTTGTACCTTGTTTTTTTTTTAACTATGACTCTTTGTTTCATTTATTTATTTTTGGTGAGTTGTTCAGAAATTAAAATATAAATACTTAATGTATATTAAATATCATAACACTGTATATAAAATATAAAAACCTTACCTTACCATCCTCTCATCTTTTGTGCCATGTTGTCATAGATTTTTCTTTTGTACATGTTGTAATTCCTGGAGGATGTCATTAAAACAGTAATTTCCCCTCCACATATTTACTATTTTTGGCACACTTTCATCTTTTCTGTGAAGTAGAATTTCCAACTGTTATTTTTCTTCATCCTGAACAAGTTTATTTATTGGGGTTTGGGTGTGATGGCAACACGGTCTCTCAGACTTTCTTTAACTGAAAATACTGGGTATATACCCAAAGGACTATAAATCATGCTGCTATAAAGACACATGCACACGTATGTTTATTGCGGCACTATTCACGATAGCAAAGACTTGGAACCAACAATGTCCAACAATGATAGACTGAATTAAGAAAATGTGGCACATATACACCATGGAATGCTATGCAGCCATAAAAAATGATGAGTTCATGTCCTTTGTAGGGACATGGATGAAATTGGAAATCATCATTCTCAGCAAACTATCGCAAGAACAAAAAATCAAACACCGCATATTCTCACTCATAGGTGGGAATTGAACAATGAGAACACATGGACACAGGAAGGGGAACATCACACTCTGGGGACTGTTGTGGGGTGGGGGGAGGGTGGAGGGTTAGCATTGGGAGATATACCTAATGCTAGATGACGGGTTAGTGGGTGCAGCGCACCAGCATGGCACATGTATACATATGTAACTAACCTGCACATTGTGCACATGTACCCTAAAACTTAAAGTATAATAATAATAAAAAAAAAAAGAAAATGTACTTTTCTCAACTTCAGTTCTGAAGGCTGCTTCAGCAGGTTCAGAATTCTAGGGACACTTTCGACTTAGAATAGCATGAAGTCTCTGCTTAGCAATGATCTGGGCACCATCGAACATATTACTATATCCAGCTGTGTCAAATCTGTCATCGGCCATAGAACGCTTTGACAGGTGCTTCTTGTTGCTTAAGTTCTAAGTATTTCATAGTCTTCAGAGACATGGAGAAGTAGCAGTGCTAGTAACAGTACCAGTAAAACCAGGTTAAGCCCTAAAATAATTAAGAAGCCATTGCATGCACACACGTGAACGTTTGACTTCAGCTACAATGCTTTCAAATGTACTATTTTAACTTTATACAAGGTCATAACACAAATTAAAATTTTAAAAATACTTTCACTTTACATATGTGAAAACTGCAGCTCAAAGAATTTAAAAGACGTGACTGAAATCCCATAACTAGGTAAAGATGGTCTAATCTGGAGCCCGCATGTCTTGGTCCCCCCACGCCCTGTTACAGAGAGTGCGAGGCTTCACCAGGAAGCTCTTTTGGCTCAAGGATTAGCTCTGGGGAGGTGCAGCAGGCAGGCCTGCTTTGCATCCTCTTTACAGCAGAAATCCAATGTTTGTTCATGTTTCTAGTTCTTTTTGTTTTGTTTTGTTTCTTACCAGCATGGCTCTGGGAGTTATTTACACAATTCAATTTTAAAAGAGACAGTCCCCATCATTAGGATTCCTTGGAAACTTATGCAAAAAATAAATAAATAAATACTGATAGATGAGCAACTTCTGCAAAATTGTGATATGTGTAATATATCTAATTGTAATGAAAGAAACATGTGTATCACAGTAATAATTTAATTTATTACTGTCATTTTCTTGCCAGATTTGAGGGCAATTTTTTTAAGCTCTCCACATGTGGTTTACTGTGGACCAAACACTGGCAGCTTCAGGCTTACAATCTGCTGACAAACCCTTCTCAGTTCCTTCATTTGAAAAATGTGAGCATGCACTGCTCATGTGCCTGGCAAGCACGTAACTCACTCAGGAGAAGGACAGTGGCCACTCAGGTCATCAGGTGAACTTGTGACGAGGCCATCAAGAGGCTGCACGTGAGCTCCAGAAAATGAAATTCCCACTATCAACCTATTCCCCATTTCCACCCAATGCCCCCGCCCCTGCTCCAAAGCAAAGTCTCCACCTCTTAGGAATGCTTGATTTTCAGTATTGCTGAACAGGGGTCAAAGAAAACAAACTGAACAAAGACACAAATGAAGCCTTTAACACAGGGAGCAAAGACACAGCACCTCCCCACTCCACAACAGCTCCAGAGCTGCACAGCTGCTGCCAGAGCCTGAGCACAGGCTGAGCTCTGGCCCGTGGATCTCACCAATGCCTTTCTTCCCTCTGTGTCAAAAAAAGTATCCATAAATGGGATTCATTTACTCGGGACATAAAATAATGTATACCTACAGTTTCGTCCCAGAACTGTGTAAACCGGCATGCTGTCTGCCACAATACAGTCCTCACCCTGCATCAGGAGCTCAGATGGGGGAAGCTGGCAGGGCTGGAAGCCTGGGAGTCACAGGTGCTTGGAGGAGACAGAAAAGCACCACAGAGAGCCAGGCCCTGCCTACAAGTCACATGTTTAGGGGTCTGGTTGTCTGGGCAGGCTGGGAGATGCTCTCTAAAGGAAACGCAAGAAATATTGCCCCACATCTCCCACCACCAAACAGAAAGTGCAGGTGGTCAGCCCCAGGGCTCACCTGCTCTTTGCCAGGGTCACGAGTCAGACCCAGGCTGCGCCCTCCACACAATCCTCAAGGGGACTTCCTGCCAGGCTGGGACAACTGCACGGGGCCCTGATGCCCTGGGAAGGACAGGGTTGCATTTAACAGAAACAGCTAAACCTGAAGGGATGAGCTTGCCTTTCCCCGGGGCCATGGGATGGTTTATAGAAAGTTCTACCCATCAGGACAAGACCTCACATGACACCATCAGAGGAACTGATTTCACACCACAGAGGGAGGAAGAGGGCACATGCCATAGGTCTGCTGGTCACAGCACACACACACTCCTGGGAGCTTCAGACCCAGCAGTGGTGGCTCAGGTGCCAGGTCAGGATGTGGGAGGACACAGTGTCTGGGTGAATCTGTCACCTTTGCTAGCTGCCTTGTCCCACCAGGTAGAAGATGTGGCAATGGGAGCACAGCAGTAGGAAGCCCAGTGTCCCCCAACCTTCCACCTCACAGCCAGGACCTCTGAGGGGCATCTATATCCTGCATATCTAGGCTCTGAAAAGCAGGAGGCCCTGGTTTCCACAGTTGTGGGGCTTCTAGCCAGGGCTGGGCCAGGTTCTCTGAAAAAACAAGCTCCGGGTGCTGCTTTGTCCTCAGGCTACTCCTCCATGGGACCTGCAGGCAGAAAAATGGGTACCACCTGGACCGTGGTGTTAGCAGAAGCAGGGCTGTGCTGCCTGGGGAAGGAGGGGCTCCACGCAAGTACCTCCCGGTACACAGCATTTGATGGCATGTGGACAAGTGCGGGAGCCCTAGACCAAGGACTCTGTGGTGAGCAAGGCTCAGGACCCCTTAGGGGTGAGGGCCTGGGTTACACCACCAGGGGGTCACCAGGACCCTCAGCAGAAGGTGGAGGGGGTGGCAATCATTACCTGTGCGACCCTGAGATGGGTGGCAGCCACAGAACCTAGGGTTCATTGAACCCACCTTTTGTAACTAGTGCCCAGGAAAAGGCCTAGAATTTAATAAAGACGAGGCCCCTGTCAGTGGAGTGCTGGATGGGGCGCACCCCCTGGGGTACACCTGAACCTCCCCCAGGGCCTTGGCTGTGAGCTTTGATTGTAGACATACTTATGCCACGGCCCCTTCAGACTGCTCCCTTCACCTCTGAAAAATCAGACAGGATGCTTCTGTTCCTGGAAACATGAATGCCCTTCATGTGTTTTTTACTTTGACTAGAAACTCATCTGCAACTGAAATATATGCAGAGAACTCATGTGCTCCCAAGGTTTCCAGGCATCTCTGAGAGTTTGCTTCTCAGTTCCCAGGTGTGACAGCTCCAAAGCAGGTGCTGCTGGTTTCTCATCTCAGTGTATTTTAGTTCCCTGTGGACAGCATGTTTCTAACCCCTTGCACACGCTTGGCTCAGATTTTTGAAAAAGCCAAGGGTGGGAGGCAGAATGATGTGGAATGGGCAGAAACTATGAGTAAAGGCTGGCCTCACCCCAGGAGGAGACAGAAGGCATTAGCCCAGTGACAGTGCCAGGGAACCCATGCGGCAGCCTAGGGAAGGTCAGGGAATGGAGCTGGGGTTTCGGCTGTCGCCATCCCAGGGTTAGACTCAGCCAGGTAAACGGCTGATTCTCCTTCATAGAACCCTTGGGCTGGCACAAAACATGTGATTCACAGCGAGAGAAAGACCACTCATGTCCACCCCCTGTAGCCTCCACACACCTGAGCCGGTACCTGACATATCCCAGAACAAGACTCCACAGCTATGCATCTGTTCTCTCCAGGGCATTTCATGATGAGAGAGGGATTTACTTAACATGATGAAAATAGAAGAGGAAATGACCTTGATGAGAACATAGTTCCACACCCGCCATCCAGGGCCTAGGAATAGTGCTCAGCCAGGGCCCGGCCCTTCTAGGGCTCTTGGAAGCTGCAGTGGAGGTGGTGTTGGGACAAGCAAGAGTGACCATTTGCAGGCAGTGTGGGCACCAGGCCATCTGCAGGGGAAAAGCCCAGTGGGAGGATGAGAGGACAGCAGAAACCTGGCAGGGGCTATGCACCCCCTCCCCGTGGGAAGGGGATACACTCCCAGGTGGAGCCACTGTTTACATTGAAATCACTCAAGTCCATCACCAGGAAACACAAAGAGGATTGTCTCACCAGAGATTAGTGACATGGGACTTAAACAAAATGCCAGTCAGCAAATGAGAGGATTCTTACTTCCACAGACCTCATGTCTACAGTTGCAGTAAGCAAGACTGAACTCAGCCATGCTCACCTGCAGACACTGAGATGCTTGCTAGGAGGCTGTGGGGTGGAATACAAGACACGAGGGCTGACAAGGATGGGAAGAGCATCCCTTTCCTTGCTGTGGGGGGCCTTGGCCAGTTCAAAAATAGATAACATGGGTCTCAGAGCTCCTGAGGCAAGAGCTACGTTGGCATTCAGAGATACTTGGATGATGGCATTGTCTTCAGTAGAACCTCGAAAAAGCACCAAGGACTCCCAGGCAACTTAGCTTAAATCTCTCTCGAGTAGAGCTGGTCTTCGGGATCTCCATCAAGTGAGTGATGCCTTTACCACCATGACAGCACATTATAAAGATGGCCTTGCTACCAGCAGGGACAGGCCTGATGATACTGATCCTGAGGAGGAATCTTATAAACCCATATAATTTAATTTTGGGTAGGCTCAAGCTCATCACTGAGATCATCCTTTGTATGACGATCCATGAGGCCACCGTGAAGAGCATGGATGCACCCATGCCACAGAGGGGCCCTCTTCATCCTGGATGAGGAGCCCACAGTGGCCATTGCCCCTCAGTCAGAATAAAATCAAGACAAAAGCAATCAGAAGACCCATACACTATGAGGCTGAGCCATTTTTCAAAGATGTCAAAATAGGAAAATAATAAAATGGAAGAAAACCCAGAATTTAATCCCCTGACTTGCTCCAGAGGCCTCCCCAACTCCAGGCCACCAGAAGCGGGGACCCTGCAGAGGAACTCTCCCTGGGTAGAAATTCACTGGTTTTTGCCTTCCACCAGATGTTGACAACTTCAATTTCATCTTTTTTGACATCATAGCTAATGTTAAAAGGACTCAGATCAAAAAAAAGTGATGTGGCTGCAGCCCTGACAATGCTCCCAGTGAGAATTTGTGCAAAACTCTTCCCTCGACTTGCAAAACCGGGTCCAGGCAGGGTCTTAGGGCCGTGACGACTGCATCTCTGCCTCCTCTTCTCTGCAGTGCGGCCTCTTCACAGGCAGAGCATTCATTCCTCTTTAGCTTCTCACCAGCCCAGGATGCAGGGAAGAAGTAGCTTATCAGCACAGTCTTGGAATATTTTTACTTTACCAGCTGGGCTCCTATGAACAATGTGTCCAGCTATAGGTAAACAATGTGTGCAAATAATGTGAGAGTGACAGCACCGTGTCAGGACCATGCGAGAAGCTGGCCAGAGGCACTAGCAGCAGATGGGATGCCGATGGGGGTGACCAAAATACAATATGGGGCAGTTGCATGCCATGATCAATCCGCAGGGGTAGGGGAAACAATAACCCTGGGCCTGGCTAACATTTGCATGTGAGAACATTGACCCAAGTCCCCAGGAGAACGTTGAAGAGAACCGCGGCTTATTGTCAAAGGGAAAAGTAACCGCAGAGTTTTCTTTCTGCTTCTAAGCAGATGGGAGGGGTGTAGCCTGCAGAACCAAGGGTGTGGGGGTCCTAGAATGTTGGTGGTGGTTGTTCAGCAGAGGGCTTCGCTTCTCAGCCTGCAGAACTTTCCGCCTATGAGTGTGGGTTACGTCTATACATACACAGGAAATCATATACTCCCACTCAGCCACCCACATCTAAACATGGTAGTATTAGGAAAAATAGGAAAGCAACATCCTACTAGATTACATTGTTTACAGTGAAACCATTTAAACCCCTGAGCCTCTGTGTCACCAATTAACACTGCGTGTAAGGAGAATGCCTGCCCCGTGGGGGTTTGTAAAGACAAAATGTAAAAATAAAATGTAGGCTGGGCGCGGTGGCTCAAGCCTGTAATCCCAGCACTTTAGGAGGCCGAGGAGCGTGGATCACGAGGTCAGGAGATCGAGACCATCCTGGCTAACTCGGTGAAACCCTGTCTCTACTAAAAAAAATAAACAAATAAATAATAAAATAAAATGTAGAGTGCTTGGTAAACTAAAGTTCTAAATAAATATTACTTGTTCTATTACTATGTCAGAAGTACAAGTCACAAGACCGGAATACTTCACTTGAATAAGAACTCAGTGCAAAGAAGTTGGATAAATCGGTGAGTTTGAAACTGCAACAGGACTAAAACGATGCCAATTAATTTATTAATGTATTCATATTCATTAACTTATTTATATTCAAATGAATTAAATATTTAGTGCATGCTTGGAGCTGGGAACACACAGCCATCAGGGCCGCACGAACTCCGTCCTCACTGCGGTTGTTTTCAGATGACCTCAGAGGAAAATAAGAGGGAAACACTGGCAATTTCCTCCCGTTGATACCTTAGCTGACTGCATAGCTCGTGTTAGGTCGGTCTTAATGAGGAAATCAGAATATTCGGGGCTTCAGTATTAAAACTACAAATCTCTATGGCAAGCATTCAGAGCTCTTTGTATTAGACATCAGTGGCTGCAGTAACGTTACCTGAGAAACCCGCACGCTTTCTGAACACTGGCATGAGTTTCCTTTCCTTTCGGGCCACTATATGTGGAAAAACACTTTCACCCATGACCCTAAGTGTCCCAAACTGCAGAAGAGGCAGATAGTAGCCAGCTAGTCCCTGTCAAAGGCCCATTGCCCTCTTCTGGGTCAGCCTGGTCCACCCAGCCCGAGGTGCTCTCTGAGACAGCCTAGCCACCACGCCACAAGCCCCTCAGCCTAATCAGAGCATCAGGATGCTGTGCACAGCCATTAGCTGGGGTGACTCAGAATTATCTGCTGTAGAACAGGGCTCCAAGTGAAGGATGTGGTCACTCAGACCACGTAGATGGTTCAAGCTCTTACTCCTCTGTCAGCTCAGTGCCTGCACAGTGGAAAGGAAGTGCATCTATTGATTTCTTGGCCAAAAGAACAAGTTAATACATTTTTTAAAACTTTGACACTTTGTCTTAAAGCAACAGTGGGCCTTGTTTAACTAAAATCTCATTTCTTCAGCCTAATATTGCTGGAAAGGCCCCCAACCAAGGCAAGCCCCTGGGGGAGAGAGAGCAGCTAGGATGCTGGCACCAGATGGCTTTGTTCCCCAGCCTTCAATATACTCAGTTACAAAATAACCACATCAGAGGTTTGATAAGATTATCCCCCAGGCCATTTTTCAGGTCTAAATGTTACCATATTTTACGAGAATACAGTATTTGAATCAACTCTCAGGGGACCCAGCCTTCAGGAGACACTGAAGGAATACAGCCATTTTTCTAGCCTCAAAAGCATGGTTTGCAAACTGGCTTGTTCTTTGCAGGAGAAAACCACACACGTGGCCATTGATGCCCTTGGTTGACAGAGTTGACGGGATTTTCTCTGGCTCTCACCTTGAGGGCATCATCAGCATCCTGAAGTCACTAGCGGGCCTCTGTGCAGATGTCCTTTCGAGGGGCTTCAGGCTGTGGAAGTGACCAGTGAACACAGGACCTGCCTGGACTCCCAGCCTCACAGCACAGCACCACAGCCTGGACTGCCCCCTGCCTGATACTTGCTTGGTTTGGAACTTTACTCCATCAAAACATCCAAATAAAAATATGTAGACTCCCCACCCTATCCCATCTGCTATAGGGTTCTAATTCCCCCACAGACATCCCATCACAGTGCTTTCCCCCATGACGGGGGACTCCTGAGCTGGACTCCATCCCTCCCCTACCAGAAAAGCACAGGTGCTGTGGCATGAGTTCAACCACCTGAAATTCCCTGATCTTCAGAGTAATAATTCTAAAATAGGGCAATAATACCCCTGTCAGTGTTCTTGGAAGAACTTCTCATTACTTGAGGCCCCAGAAATGCAAACACTCCTCCGGTTTTCCAGCATGCTGTCAACCCTGGCATCAGAGCTCTTCCTGCCGTGGGCACTGGTAATTGACTTACTGGAGAAAGTCAAGCTTTTAAGTCCCAGGAATAAAGGATTCCTATTTCCTTAAGCTGTGTTTATTTGTACGCTATTGCTGGTAGAGTCAATGTGTACTGAGTGAAGATGAGGCAAGAGTGTCAAAGAGTGATTTCCAATAAGATGAAAAGTGATCTGCAGTTTCTACTTCCTTAACCAGCAGGAAACGTTTCTCCTGTAGCATCGGACAGTGGAGGCAGTGGCGCTCAGTGTGGGGCCTCCTGGCTGAAGGAGGGGACAACACGGTGTCCCATCTCCCTAGATGCTGTATGCACCTCACCTGGCTGGTGATTTACTTGACAGAAACCCATGTGTGGAGTAGGGAGTGCTGCCTTTGGCATCTACCCAGTTTCTGCTCTGGACTCTGCCTCTTAGCAAGGGTGACTTGTGGGCCCAAATCACCTGGTGGCTGTGAGCCACTCCACTCCAGCCTGGGCAAGAGTGAGACCTTGTGTGAAAATAAAATAAAATATAAAAATAAAAATAAGCCGGGAATGGCGGCTCACAGCTGTAATCCCAGCACTTTGGGAAACCGAGACGGGCGGATCACATGTGGTCGGGAGTTCGAGACTAGCCTGACCAACATGGAGAAACGCTGTCTCTACTAAAAATACAAAAAATTAACCGGCTGTTGTGGCTCATGCCTGTAATCCCAGCTACTCAGGAGGCTGAGGCAGGAGAGTCACTTGAACCCAGGAGGCAGGCGTTGCAGTGAGCCAAGTTCCTGCCATTGCACTCCAGCCTGGGCAACAAGAGCGAAACTCTGTCTCAAAAATAAAATAAAAGTCTTTAAGTCATTCATCAATTTTATGTGTTTACTATTTCTTCTCCCATTCCATAAAGCCTACAGTCATATAACACAAAGGGAAAATCAGGACAGCCACATATAAATAAAGGTGCAAAGTCGAGGCAAGAGTGGACCTTAGGGGCCAAGCAAGGGTCATTGCTGAGCTTCACATTTAGCCCTGGGCTTTCTGGAAGCCAGAGTGAAAAGAGAGACACAACCAGCTGCATAAGAGTTATCAAAAAGCAGGAAGCGCACTGGTTTTTCTGGTAGTAAAGCAAGGGCTTTCCAAGAATTTACCTCTAAAGTAATTTCTTTCATTCTTTCTTTTTTCTCGCTCTGACACCCAGTTGGAGTGCAGTGGCACAATCAGGGCTCACTACAACGTCTGCCTCCCAGGCTCAAGCCATCCTCCCACCTCAGCCTCTCAAATAGCTGGGACTACAGGCACGCACCACCATGCCTGGCCAGTTTTTTGGTATTTTTTGTAAAGGTGGGATTTCACCATGTTGCCTAGGCTGGTCTGGAACTCCTGAGCTCAAGCAATCCACCTGCCTTGGCCTCCTAAAGTGCTGGGATTTCCGGCATGAGACACTGTGCCCGGCCTAAAGTAATTTCTTACTTGAGATTTTATTTCAGGCTACTGTGTCATGCACTGGGCAGTACAGCCTGGTGGGTGAGAGTACAGTGGTTTTTTGTGTGTTTGTGTGTTTGTTTGTTTGTTGTCTGCTGGGTTTGGGTTTGAATTTTGTTTTAATACATGCAATTTATTCTGTGCTTCACTTTCTTCATGTGTAACATGGAGATAACGGCGTCTACCTATTAAAGTTGTGAAGATTCAATTAGATTAGTTGTATGAATAAATGTTAGCCATTTTTTTTTTTTTTTTTTTTTTTTTGAGATGGAGTCTCGCTCTGTCACCCAGGCTGGAGTGCAGTGACGCAATCTTGGCTCATGGCAACCTCTGCCTCCCAGGTTCAAGCTATTCTCCTGCCTCAGCCTCCCAATTAGCTGCGATTACAGGCACCCGCCACCATGCACGGCTAATTTTTGCATTTTTAGTAGATCCGCGTTTTCACCATGCTGGCCAGGCTGGTCTCGAACACCTGACCTCAGGTGTTCCACCCGCCTCAGCCTCTCAAAGTGCTGGGATTACAGCCGTGAGCCACCGCGCCCAGCCAGCTATCAAGAAATTCGACTGCCTACTACTTAGCCTGCACAGTTCTAGGTGCTGGGGAAATAGTGATGAACAAGACAAACAAGATCCTTATCTTCAAGTAGCTTTTACCTTCTAAGTGGAGTGAAAAAACAATAAACATTGAAAATAAATTTCAGAAAGTGCTGTGGAAAAACTTTACAACAGACGCAGGAATAGATTTCATTTGACTAGCTCTCCCAGACAGTTTCCAGAAAAGTCAAGGATAGAATGTTAAAAGGCAACTCAGAGGAGGTGAATCTGTTAGGGCCTGCGGTAATGCAATCCTGGTTTGTGGAATTCTGCAGGCTAATGTGGGTAGGTTACAATTTTGGGGGGAGGGGTTTATTTTGTTTGAAAATTCACTTCTTCCCGCTAAACTTTTGATTAGGAGCTGAAGTTGAATCAGCTTGAAATTGTATTCTGGACCGGGTGCGGCGGTCCATGCCTTTAATCCCAGCGCTTTGGGAGGCCGAGGTGGGTGGATTGCTTGAGCCCAGGAGTTCGAGACCAGCCTGGACAAAATGGCAGAAACTCCGTGTCTACAAAAAATACAAAAATTGGCGGGGCATGATGTTCTGCGCCTGTAGTCCCAGCTACTCAGGAGGCTGAGGTGGGAGGATCACTTGAGCCCGGGAGGCGGAGTTTGCAGTGAGCTGAGATGTCACTGCATTCCAGCCTGGGCGACAGAAAAAAAAAAAGAAATGAAAAAAAGAAATTGTATCCTGAATACATCTTCTAAAACACTACATTTACTTGCACTATATTAAACTGGTTTTATCCTGACCACAATTGCAGGTGAAAGATAACCACTGTTGTTCTATTTTTCTGGTAAGTAGAGTGAGCCATGTCTTGCCCAGGGAAAGACGCCTCCTAAAAATTTGTAGGACCACCTTTGGTTATCTTCCAGATTTTTTTTTGTCATCGCTTTTCCTGCGCCCAATTCCCATCTGTCTAGCCCTTCTGCCTCCGCTGGTCTTTTTCGCGAGCCTCTCCCCAGCCGCTGGTATTCGTCTGGGCTGCAGCCCCGCCTATCTCCTGGGGCGTGACCACCTGTCCAGGCCCCGCCCCCGTCCACCAGGCGGAGACCCGCCCCCTTTCCCGGAGACCCGCCCCCTTTCCCGGACACCCGGTTCAGCGCCCGAGCGTGCGCGCGCGTCTCCGCTCGTCGCCCGGCTCGGCGTCGGGAGTGCACTCTGTGTGGCCGCTGCTGCAGTGTTGTTGTGGTTGTGAGAAGGCGGCGGCGGCGGCGGAGTAGCAGCCGGACCAGACGCCCTAGTAGCTCAGTCGCTGCCCTGCGCCGGGCCTGGCAGGGAGCCTGGTGAGATGGTGGAGGAGGAGGCTGTGCCGTGGCGGGCCTTGCCATGTCCTGCTGCCTGGTAAGAACCCCATCCCCGTCCCCTGTCTCCTCCCGGGGTGAGGAGGAGCTGGAGGAGGGGCCGGCCTCTGTACGGCCCCGGCCAGGCGGCTGTCACCCTCTGAGGAGGCAGCGCCAGGGGAGGGGCGTCCCGGGCGGCCGCCGCCGCCAGGGGGAGGCGCTGGGAGTGGGAGTGGGAACGGGACCTCAGCGGTCGAGCTCGGCCGGGACCCTAGGTGCGGGGGAGGCGGGGTCCCGGGCTCCGGCTGCCTGCCCAGACCTGGCGGGGATGGGCCCGTGCGGCTCCGGGTGTGGGACGTATCCTGGGAGCGCCCGGGGTTATTCCCACTGACTCCCGGGAGGTGGGTGTGCGCCCTTCGCCCCCTGCCTGGTCTGTGGGGATCCATCGTTGCTGGAGACTGGAGGTCGGGGGCCATGGGAGCCCCGGGGCGAACGGTGCGGGCCTGGGTCTTGTGGAAAGGAGGAGCGACCGCCTGAGCGTGCAGCAGGACGTCCTCCTGACCTGGTAATAATTAGGTGGGAAGGATGGTTGGGGGCGGTTGGCGTAACTCAGGGAACACTGGTCAGACTGCTCCCCAAACGATTACAGTGTTATTTCTCCGGTAGAAATTTTCCTTGATGTATGGTATTTCCGGACCCATAAGATGATGTCAGTCGTATTTTGGGCTGGAAAAGTTATGTCAAAATTATGGGGTAGATTTTATGG
This sequence comes from Homo sapiens, assembly GCF_000001405.40. Classification (NCBI taxonomy): domain Eukaryota; kingdom Metazoa; phylum Chordata; class Mammalia; order Primates; family Hominidae; genus Homo; species Homo sapiens. The sequence continues at coordinate 3,139,351 of NW_021160017.1, forward strand.
CCACATTAATAGACTCCCCTGGAGTTTGATAATCTCACTTGTGAGTTTTGGACATGAACTACTATTACATATTGATGTTCAAATGTCGTTTGCAGACCGAGGCCTAAATTCTTACTGTTCTAGTATCTTGATATCCACTTTGTTTTCTGACATCTGTTTTTCCACAACCCAAACAAACAAAACAACATCCCCAAACCATATACTTTTCCAGTTGAGGTTCAACTTTCTCTTATGTGAATGGTAATGCCATGAGAGGCCTGGGTTGAATTACAGGAGATGATTTTTTTTAAATGTTAAATGTTTATGATTTGTCCATGGAGAGGTGGTGGGGGACCATCCCCTTTCAAATTCAGGGCTGTTCAGTAGGACAGGAGACATTGATGGCATGCAGAAAGTCTTCCCTTTATAGGGCCTATGACTTGGGCAGGCTAGAAGAGCTTACAGAATGACACTTTTTTTTTTTTTTTTTTGAGACGTTATCTCGCTCTGCCGCCCAGGCCGGAGTGCAGTAGTGTGATGTCTGCTCACTGCAACCTCCGCCTCTCGGATTCTAGCAATACTCCCACCTTAGCCTCCCAAGTAGTTGGGATTACAAGTGTGCGCCACCACGGCTGGCTAATTTTTGTATTTTCAGTAGAGACAGGGATTTCTCCGTGTTGGCTAGGCTGGTCTGGAACTCCTGACCTCAAGTGATCCACCTGCCTCGGCCTTCCAAAGTGTTGGGATTACAGGCGTGAGCCACCACCCCCAGCCAGAATGACACTGTTTTGAGTAACCCAGTATAGTATGTGATATTAAACTAAATTTGGAGGATTCTAGAATTCTAGATTGGCTGCCTATGACGACAGACCTCTTTTGGCTCCAATTACTCCCTCATTTTCAGGTGACTCAGAGAACTTCAAGTGACCAGCACAGTGGTACAGCCCCACTTGTCGTTAATGGCCAGCCATAAAAGAACCCAAGTTTCTCAGCTCATAGGCCAGGTTCTTCAGTGGTTGTCTAGTTTAAGGCTGGTCATTAGCAATATTATGGACGACCTAAGTTCCTCGAACTTATGCAGTTTATAGCTTTTTAAGAATTTAAGAAGTGGAGAAGGGGAAGCATGAGAAACTTAAAGGATGCAAATTGAGCATCTCTTAAAATATAATGGATTTGTGTAGGTGAAACAGATTTGTTGCCAAAAGTTAATTTGTGCACAAGTTATCAGGAACACACTTGATAAAATTAGATGCTGATTAATTGGAGATACATTGTATCCAGAGATACACAAGAATCCAGAGGAAATAAACAGAGAAGGAGAGGAAGTAAGTCAGCTTCTGGCTCATAAAGGGGTCCACTGAAGATGCTCCCTAACATGGTTGCTCCTAAACCATCTGACTCAGATTTCTAGTGGAGGGTAGGATGGGTGTGTTAGCAGTCATTTGAGATCAGGGTTGTGAACCAGGAAGGGTTACTACAGATTGTGAAAAGTTCTTGAAATTTGCCGCAGGCCGTGAGGAGTGGTAAAGTCAGTTTAAAAATCTGCTGTAGTTCTAGTTAACACGTTCACACCTTCTTTAGTGAAGTAGAATGCTGAGTTACCAAAGGACGTATTCACGTTTTAGAGGGGGTGTGGTGAAGGTTATTATAAGTTTGGAAGAGGTGGAAGAAAATGTTGTTATAGTTGTGTAGAGTAGTGAAGGACTTTGGCAAATATCCTGTCAAATCATGAAGTAGTATTTTTAGAGAGTTGCACCCAGCTGTCCATTAGAAGAGCCAGAGGCCTCGTCTGTTTTGTTCCCTGGTGTCGCCAATACCCAGCACAGTTATCAGCATATTCTATACCCTCAGATTTTTTTTTTAGTAAGTGAATAGTATTGATATGGAAAAAAGAACAGTTATGGTGGTTTATAGCCGTGTTAGTTATTAAAAGCTACTTGATAATTTGCAATGGATTAAAGAGCCAGTTTTTGATCAAGTAGGGCTCTGGATAGGAAAGAAAATAAAAAAAATAAAGAGCCAGCTTTCAGTGCTTGTTGTTTGGAATTTTTGAGATTCCTTTAAGAAATTGTTTTCTGAAGACTGTCGTGAACATTGTTGTGTCCCCTGGTTTTTGAGTCTTAATGTGTCTTAAGTGTTTTAGATGTTAGTGACTTTTTTAAGAGCACATTAAATGCAGAGGTAATATAGAATAATGGGAAGTTCTGGATTGACAGATAGACATATATTCTGATTCCATCTGTGTCATTAATTGCTGTTGGGAATGTCACTTAACTTCTCTGGGCATCAATTTTCTCATCTATACAATTAAGGGCCTATAGTCTTTGACCTCAAGTAGTTTCTCTAGCCTGATTCTGTAAATTTTTAATAAGTTCTAATTATGTTATTTGGTATTCATCTCATATAGGTAGACTAACCTTTGCCATTTAAAAGAAACAAGATTCTGTGTTGGGTTCTGCTTTTAGCTTATGGATTTTAGACATTGTCCAAAAGTGCTTCGGAAATTGAATGTATGTTGCAAGTATTATGTAGTAAGAACATGCTTATGCTGTTGTAATTCGCTTAGTGTTGAAATCAAATCAGGTTTTACATTGGGAACTTCATAATTTAGTGTGAAGCCACAAGACTTGAGAATGATTTGGGGGAGTATGTGCAATTTATATAGCTAGTTGTTTCTTACCACCCAATTCTGTAATTTTCTATGGTGAATATATACATAAATTTATAATCATGTAACATTGATTGAAGATATAAGATGATATCAGATTCATATTGGATTGAACTAGGACTGCCAGTAACTTTAGAGGCCTCCAAAATTATTAACATGTCATTGCTATTTTTAATCTTAATTTTTTGGTATCATCAATATTGATATCATGCTTTCACCTTTGCTTTTGTATCTAGAAACAATATACTTTTTAAGTTCATACTTGTATCAGATATTAAAAATGAAAATTGTAGCATAAAAGTGGATAGATGAGTAAATCTTGGGTTCAAGCCTGCGTTGTATTCTTCATTAGCCGTGTTGTTTCTGGCAAGCCACGTAACCCCTCTGAGCTCCAATTCCTTCATTAGTGAAAGGAAGAAGAGCAGCTTCTCTACTTTTCTAACAGACTGCCAGGGGGAGAATGCAACGGAATAATGTGTATGAAAAGTATTCAAAAAATGTAAGGGTCTGGTATTAGAATCCTATTATATTGGAATCCTGTTTTATTTCTTGGAAGAATTGGCTTGTGGAGCAGTAGTAAACCTGGTCCACATTGTCAAGTGCAGAATTTAGCAATATCACTGATAAGGCAACAGAAAAGGTTTCTGCTTCTGTAGTCTGGCTGGAGAAACCTTTCAGCAAATGTATCCTGTCTGCCAGTTGGAATAATCACAATGTTGCAGGGACTTCAGAGGAACCTGGGGTGTCTCACATTTATGCCAAGGTCTGTACTTAGAATAGACTTGCTAGATTTTACCCATTTTCTTATGTTGGAGTCGTGGGAGAAGGTGGTAGGAGCAAGGAGTTTAGCACACTCTGCATAAAGTTTTAAGGCTACATTTTTAAGTAGCAGGTGGCAGTGTCATAGGGTAATGAAATCAATGTACTTATTTTAAAAAGCATTTTAAAAAAGAATATATCAGTACATTGTGTAAAGTAAAAGTAAATATTGATTTGGGAAACTTTTCTTTCTTTTTAAAAGATATGTTTATGTATGTATACTTGGTTGCCGTGTAAAATGTATTTTTTCTTTTTAAAAATTATTATTTTCATTTTTTGTAGAGACAGGGTTTTGCTACATTGCCCAGGCTGGTCTTGAACTCCTGGGCTTGAGTAGTCCTGCCTTGGTCTCCCAAAGTGCTGGGATTATAGACATGAGCCACTGCACCTGGCCTAGAAAGTTATTTTTTCTTTTGGGTCGTGATAAAACTTGGTCGTAGTTGTTTAGGGACATAGTACTTGTGCAATGCCGATAGAATGACTGTCTATAAAATAGTAAGGCATGAAACAAATGAAAACAAAGAGAAAATTGTGAAGATGGGTTACCTTAAAGCTATTCTGTTAGCGGTGAAATACCTCATAGCTTTGTTCTAAATTGTTGAATTAATGAACAAAGCACATAAACTTATGCTATAATAATCTTCTTAAGTACTCTTTTCCCTTAAGATGGAGTGTGGAGTACTTGTTAACCACACAGGTATTGTCTTGATCTGATAACTATAGATATTCAGAATGATTCTGTTGTGACAGATGGTAGCAAGCTTTTCTGATTTCACTTATCTGGGGTCTAAATCTAATTTCTTTAGTAGTTAATACATATATATATATTTTTTGAGACAGAGTCTTGCTCTGTCACCCAGACTGGAGTGCAATGGCATGATCTCACCTCACTGCAACCTCCGCCTCCCAGGTTCAAGTGATTCTCCCTGCCTCAGCCTCCCGAAGTAGTTAATACTTTTGTAACTTAGTTGCAGAAGAGAGATAGAAATTTCTGAATAATTTTCAGAATTATTCATAGATTTATAATCTGGCAGAATATAAGGAAGTTATAAGTATATTGATAAATCATGACATAACTGGCAAGAATTGGTATAAAGACAAGATGGTTAACTTGAAACAGGGTTGTTGTTTATTATATGCCTATCATTTTTCCATGAGATAAACCAAATATTAGATTAAGTATTTGGACTGATCCACAAATGACATGGGAAGACAGAGTGTTTACAAAGAGTTTTAGAAGTGATACAGGACAATAATTTGGAGTTTTAACTTAATCTCATTTTAAATTTCAAAGTGAAATTATTTCTGATTATGAAAGCTACAGAACTTTTTTTTAGATGGAGTCTCATTGTGTCACCCAGGCTGGAGTGCAGTGGCGTTTTCTCAGCTCACTGCAACCTCTGCCTCCTGGGTTCCAGCAATTCTGCTGCCTCAGCCTCCCGAGTAGCTGGGATTACAGGTACCCGCCACCATACCTGGCTAATTTTTGTATTTTTAGTAGAGACAGGGTTTCACCATGTTGGCCAGGCTGGTTTCTAACTCCTGACCTCAGGTGATTCACCTGCCTTGGCCTCCTAAAGTGCTAGGATTACAGGCGTGAGCCAATGCATCTGGCCCAGAACAGTTTTAATGTTTTTCTTTTTTAAAAAAAGTAGAGATAACCTGTAATCCCATCTGGATGTGATGTTTGGTGTTTTCATTTTTTTTCTTATGCATACCTATTGAAATACCTTAAAAAAGAACAACTTTCCATGTAAAATTGATATCCCCTTAATGAGTAAATGAGTATTTAGTGTTCTATAATATGGATGCATCATAGTTTATAGCAGTTCTGTGTTGTTAATGGATATTGCCAATTTTTCTCTTAAAGTAGTACTGTGATGAACTTGTTTGGGCATTGAATTGTCCTATTATTTCCTTAGGATAATTTTTTTTTTTTTGAGACAGAGTCACTCTGTCACCCAGGCTGGAGTGCAGTGGTATGATCTTGGCTCACTGCAGCCTCTGCCTCCCAGGTTCAAGTGATTCTCCTGCCTCAGCCTCCTGAGTAGCTGGGAGTACAGCCGTGCACCGCCACGCCCAGCTAATTTTTTGCATTTTCAGTAGAGATGGGGTTTTACCATGTTGGCCAGGCTGGTCTCGATCTCCTGACCTCGTGATCCGGCCGTCTTGGCCTCCCAAAGTGCTAGAATTACAGGCCTGAGCCACCGCGCCTGGCCCAGGATAAATTCTTAAAAGCGGATTTATTAGCCAGGCATGGTGGCTCATGCCTGTAATCCCAGCACTTTGGGAGGCCAAGGCGGGTGGGTGGATCACCTGAGGTCAGCAGTTCAAGACCAGCCTGGCCAAAATGGTGAAACCCCATCTCTACTAAAATACAAAAATTAGTCTGGTGTGGTGGCGAGGGTCTATAATTCCAGCTACTTGGAAGGCTGACGCACAGAGAATCACTTGAACCCGGGAGGCGGAGGCTGCAGTGAGCCGAGATTAAGCTACTGCACTCCAGCCTGGGCGACAGAGTGAGACTCATTCTAAAAAAAAAAAAAAAAAAAAAAAAAAAAAAGGGCTTATTAGGTCAAAAGGTATGTGTGTTTTAAATGTGGATATACTCAAGATGCCCTTTAGATAGGATGTCTATTTGAAATTCCCGTCAACAGCATATTAGTATTCAATTCCATATATTCTTGCTAGTGATTTGTCATCTTTAGCTTGTTGGGAGTTCAAAATAGTTTGAAACAGTTTTTCTTCTGTTTCTTTTTCAGCATCAGGACTTACTTCCATAGATTAACTCTTGGGAGGGAGCTGATAAAAATGAAAGTTCAGTGACAATGAGTCGTGTAGACCAGTGGTCTCCAAACTTTGGTTGCTTACCCCATCACCAAAAACTTTTGAGCATTAAGCAGGTGTGGTACCTGGTCCTGTGGTCCCAGCTACGTAGTTGGCTTAGGCAGGAGGATATTTGAGGTCAGGAGTTCAAGGCTAAAGTTCACTGTGATTGTGCTTATGAATACAGCCACTGTACTCCAGCCTGGGCAACATAGTGAGACCCTGTCTCTTTAAAAAAAAAACAAAAAACTGATGGGATGGGAAGAATGAAGTCAGAAAAAAAAATTGATACAACTTCATGTTGTTGCTTTGAAAAAAGAGAAAAAGAAAAATATTGAGCATCAGTTCTTAATCCTTAGATATTTAATTTACAAGTAATAAACATATAGTAACTGATTATTGTGGACTTTAAAATACAAACAAAAAATTAACAAGGATGATAATTAAAAATAAAGTTCAAATATTTTCCTTTTTTACCCTGGGGCTTCTTGGGTACTCCTGGAGGTGTGTGTGTGTGCACGCATGTGTATATGTATGTGTGTGTGTATATGTATAATATATATGTATATATAATAATATATGATCTATATACATATTTTTGAGACAAGAGTCTTGCTCTGTTACCCAGACTGGTGTGCAGTGGTGTAATCTTGGCTCACTACAACCTCCGCCTCCTGGGTTCAAGTGATTCTTGTGCCTCAGCCACTTGAGCAGTTGGGATTACAGGTGTCTGCCACCATGCCTGGTTAATTTTTGTATTCTCTGGTAGAGATGGGTTTTCACCATGTTGGTCAGGCTGGTCTTGAACTCCTGGGCTCAAGTGATCCGCCAGCCTCAGCCTCCCAAAGTGCTGGGATTCCAGGTGTGAGCCACCATGCCCGATCTCCTGGAGGTATGTTATACTTGCTTTGGATACTACTGCTTTAGACCCTTGAGGTTTAATATTGGGCATTTATAGATGTTTGTTTTTGGGCATTTCACTAGTTTTGCAGGTGGTCCTGTTTAGTTGGATTATGAATGCCTTTAAAATGTCCCATGCTAGGCCGGGCATGGTGGCTCACGCCAGTAATCCCAGCACTTTGGGAGACCGAGGCGGGTGGATCATGAAGTCAGGAGATTGAGACCATCCTGGCTAACACGGTGAAACCCCATCTCTACAAAACTACAAAAAGCTAGCTGGGCGTGGTGGCACACGCCTGTAGTTCCAGCTACGCGGGAGGCTGAGGCAGGATAATCTCTTGAACCCAGGAGGTGGAGGTTGCAGTGAGCCGAGATTGCACCACGGCACTCCAACGTCTGTGACAGAGCGAGACTCCATCTCAAAAAAAAAAAAAAAAAAAAAACTCCCCATGCTCTTTAGAGTCGTATCTGCAATAAGGGCAAAAATAAATTTAAAGCATCAGTTTGATACTTTTTTGCATCGTTGAGGTGGCTGAATTTGAAAAGGATAAATCGTAGGATAAAAAGCAATGTAAATAGTCTATTTCTTTTAGATACAAACAGTTGATACTGTGTAGAGCATATTTTTAAAAATTATGTTTTTTGGAAAGCAATTTGGCTATAATATATATCTCCCTGTTTTTTAAGAGGTTAGGTGTTAGAGACTGAGTGAAGGGAAGAATAATTGCTACTTGCTCTCCTTTGCTTTCAAAGTACCACAATTAACCTGTCACTAACTATTTGGATTAGCCTGAGCCTATAACAAACTTTCCATGGTGATTCTTAGATTAAAAGATAATTTTTTTCTTGAGTTTGAATAAGTTGCTTTTGATCTGTGGCTGCCTGCCCCCTAACCCCTATAAATTATGAAATCAGGAAATAAAGCTTTTTGTATTAGAAAAAAGTGAATCTTTTCTCCCCCATCATGGGAAAATTAATTTCAGTTACTTCATATGGGTCATTGGCAGAGAAAGATAATATCAAAATCTTAGAGACTGTCAAAAGAGATTATATTAAGCAACTTGAGTGATTATTTTTTGCCAGTTAAAAGAAATGAGAGGCCGGGCGCGGTGGCTCACACCTGCCATCCCAGCACTTTGGGAGGCCAAGGTGGGCGGATCACAAGGTCAGGAGATGGAGACCATCCTGGCTAACACAGTTGAAACCCCATCTCTACTAAAAATACAAAAAATTAGCCAGTCGTGGTGGTGGGTGCCTGTAGTCCCAGCTACTTAGGAGGCTGAGGCAGGAGAATGGCCTAAACCCCAGAGGCAGAGGTGGCAGTGAGCCGAGATCACGCCACTGCACTCCAGCCTGGGTGACAGAGCAAGTCTCCATCTCAAAAAATAAATAAATAAATAAAGATAATTTCTATTGAAGATGATTGCTATAAACAGTGCTTTGCACAAATGGCTACATATCTCTTTTTACTTTAGGTAACATGATTTATAAGCTACTTTCACATATATCTTCTTAGATCATCACAAGGATTTGAGATCATCATTTAATCAGGACTGTTGTGACTTGCTTGAGGCCACATGCCTAGTGTTTGACATCATACTTCAAGAGACAGATTGAAAGTTCTGCAGAAATAGGGACTGGTGGCTGTTCTCTCCCTTACTCCCTAGCAGTTAATACATTGCCTGGTACAGAGTAAGCTATCAATATTTGTGGACTAACTGTTTAAACTCCTGCATATTTATTTATACGTGTAAATAAGTTATAGCATTATAAAATCAACAGTTACGTTTTCCGTAGTTAGATTGTTCCTTCATCTTATGTGCACAGAAACTATTTTTGTGGAAGAGGTCATGAATTTTAGATCAACCTTTCACATATCCCTTTACTGTCTCTTAAGATACTTTCATGGTGACAAAAAACATACTCTTGTTCTAGATCCCTGAGGAATTACCACACTGACTTCCACAATGGTTGAACTAGTTTACAGTCCCACCACCAGTGTAAAAGTGTTCCTGTTTCTCCACATCCTCTCCAGCACCTGTTGTTTCCTGACTTTTTAATGATCGCCATTCTAACTGGTGTGAGATGGTATCTTATTGCGGTTTTGATTTGCATTTCTCTGATGGCCAGTGATGATGAGCATTTTCTCATGTGTCTTTTGGCTGCATAAATGTCTTCTTCTGAGAAGTGTCTGTCCATATCCTTCGCCCACTTTTTGATGGGGTTGTTTGTCTTTTTCTTGTAAATCTGTTTGAGTTCATTGTAGATTCTGGATATTAGCCCTTTGTCAGATGAGTAGATTGCAAAAATTTTCTCCCATTCTGTATGTTGCCTGTTCACTCTGATGGTAGTTTCTTTTGCTGTGCAGAAGCTCTTTAGTTTAATTAGATCCCATTTATTTGACCCAGCAATCCCATTACTGGGTATATACCCAAAGGATTATAAATCATGCTGCTATAAAGACACATGCACACGTATGTTTATTGCGGCACTATTCACAATAGCAAAGACTTGGAACCAATCCAAATGTCCAACAATGATAGACTGGATTAAGAAAATGTGGCACATATACACCATGGAATACTATGCAGCCATAAAAAATGATGAGTTCATGTCCTTTGTACGGACATGGATGAGGCCGGAAACCATCATTCTCAGCAAACTATCGCAAGGACAAAAACAAACACCGCATGTTCTCACTCATAGGTGGGAATTGAACAAAGAGAACACATGGACACAGGAAGGAGAACATCACACACACCAGGGCCTGTTGTGGGGTGGGGGGAGCAGGGAGGGATAGTATTAGGAGATATACCTAATGTTAAATGACGAGTTAATGGGTGCAGCACACCAACATGGCACATGTATACATATGTAACTAACCTGCACGTTGTGTACATGTACCCTAAAACTTAAAGTATAATAATTTTAAAAATACTCTTAATGTCATTCCTTTCACTGTGTGTGTAACTCCTGTGGCAAGACTGTATATTCGTATATATGTATGTATGTATTTGTTTATTTAGTAGGCTGCTATTTATAAAGGAAACATACTCATTAGTTGGTCTTTGCATACATAATGGTTCCCAAAACATGGACTCCATGGTTTGCTGTGAGTGAATGAAGAAAACGCAGGCATGATTTCCCTCACCTTTGTCATTCTCTCCAGTTTCCTGTACATATGGTTGACTTACTCAGCAGTAAGTGTAACTTCTTTACACTGAAGAAAATTAGTCTTCCAAAGAATTAGTATGCTACTTCCCCCTTGTTCTGCAGTACTTAAAATCCTGTTTGGTAAATGAACTAATACACTTTGATATACAGAAGAGACCCTGGATTGCCATGAATGGAAATATTAGTAGTGATTAATTTCTGTCTCGGTGGGATAATGTGGCTTTTTTGCTTCTTATTCTTCTATAGTTTCCCATTTTTCTACAATGAGCATGTATTACTTTTATAAGTAGGAAAAATTGCTATTTTATTTTTATTTTTTAAGACAGAGTCTCACTCTGTCACCCAGGCTGGAGTGAAATGGTGCGATCTCAGCTCACTATAACCTCTGCCTCCCAAGTTCAAGCGATTCTCATGTCTCGACCTCCCAAGCAGATGAGACTACAGGCACAAGCTGGCCACAGCCAGCTAATTTTTGTATTTTTTAGTAGAGATGGGATTTCACCATGTTGGCCAGGCTGGTCTTGAACTCCTGACCTCAGGTGATCCGCCCATGGCCTTCCAAAGTGCTGGGATTACAGGTCTGAGCCACCACGCTCAGCCAAAAACTGCTATTTTAAAGTCTTTATTTTTCACTGGATGTCTTGTGAAGGTTTAGGTCACAGTCACCATTGAGAAAGTGGGTGGTTAACTGGCTCCAGTTCCTAAGACGAGTGGCAGCTGTAGGAAGTAGTATGGGAGGAATGGGGCAGGTAAGCTTATTTGAACTTTATCATTGTGAACTCTACTATGACTGAAGACATTGTGGGATTTGATCACAGTTAAACACAAGAGGACTGAGCCATCTAGTTTTTCTCTTTTTAATAAGCTGATTGAGAATTATGAAAGATACCTTAAGAAAAATTGGTTTCTATGAACTCTGTAAATGCAGAACTCAGCCTGAACTCCCAAGTTCTGTATCCGTGTATGTGTGTTTGTGTGCTTGTGTGTTGTGGTGTGTTTTAAATATCAAGTGGAGTTGTAGCAACTCAGGTAGGATATGGTTTATATTAATACATCTAATATGAATTGGAAGAGATTTAGGCAAATGATTTTTATTATGACAGTATAGGCTTATTGGAGATTTGGTGTTAATATACAGCTGGGAGTTAAGCCGTTCTACGTTTATATACCCATCTGGTGATATTTTAGGAAGAGCTGTGTCATATATTCTCTAGAGTTTAAGTGATTAGAGCTTGTTGGCTTTTGCTGTTTACTGCACACTTGTAGTGTTTTAAATGCTTCTGTGAATGGAGAACATCATTCAAAAAGGTGAGATTTCTGGGTTAAGACATTCGTTATTGTCTGCCCTTACTTTATTCTTTTAAAGAGTAAGATTAGGCTGAACGCCGTGGCTCATGTCTATAATCCCAGCACTTTGGGAGGCCAAGGTGGACAGATGAGATCAGGAGTTTGAGACCAGCGTGGCCAACATGGCAAAACCCCGTCTCTATTAAAAATACAAAAATTAGCCGGGCGTGGTGGTGGACGTCTGTAATCCCAGCTACTCAGGAGGCTGAGGCAGGAGAATCACTTGACCCCTGGAGGTGGAGGTTGCAGTGAGCTGAGATTTGTGCCACTGCCCTCCAGCCTGGGTGACAGAGGGATACTCTGTCTCAAAAAAAGAAAGTTGAAGAGCAGTTGAGGTAATAAATGTAGGTACTGTTAGGTTGGTACAAAATTAATGGTGGTTTTGGATTACGAATTTTAAATTATTATAACTAGGCCCAAACACATCTTTATCAAAATAGGAAACGTTACAATCAACACATTTTTTGCCAATGAGAAATAAGTTTGTTTATTCCTGTAGCATAAAAATCCATGCTTCGGGATTCGATGAACTCTTGGAAAGCATTTTCTGCATCCTGATGGTTGTGGAAGCATTTTCCCTGCAAAAAATTTTCTAGATGCTTGGAAAAGTGGTAGTCGGTTGGTGAGAGGTCAGTTCAATATGGTGGATGAGGCAAAACTTTGTAGCCCAATTCATTCAACTTTTGAAATGTTGGTTGTGCAACATGTTGTCGGGTGTTGTCGTGGAGAAGAACTGGACCCTTTCTGTGGACCAGTGCCAGCTGCAGGCCTCGCAGTTTTCGGTGCATCTCATCGATTTGCTGAGCATACTTCTCAGATGTATTGGTTTTACTATGATTCAGAAAGCTGTAGCGGATCAGACCAGGAGCAGACCACCAAACAGTGACCCTGACCTCTTTTTGATGAAAGTTTGGCTTCAGGAAGTGCTTTGGAGCATCTTCTCGGTCCAACCACTGAGCTGGTCATCACTGTTGTTGTATAAAATACACTTTTTGTCAAACGTCACAATCCAACTAAGAAATGGTTCGTCGTCGTTATGTAGAATAAGAGAAGACAACACTTCAAAACGACGATTTTTAAAATTTTTGGTCAGCTCATGAGGCACCCACTTATCAAGCTTTTTCACCTTTTGGCAGGGCGTGGTGGCTCACGCCTGTAATCCCAGTACTTTCGGAGGCTGAGGCGGGCAGATCACTTGAGGCCAGGAGTTCACGACCAGCCTGGCCAACATGGTGAAACCCCAGCTCTACTAAAAATACAAAAAGTAATCGGGTGTGGTGGTGGGTGCCTGTAATCCCAGCAACTAGGGAGGCTGAGGCACGAGAATCACTTTAACCCGGGAAGTAGAGGTTACAGTGAGCCCAGATGGTGCCACTGCATTCCAGCCTAGGTGATAGAGTGAGACTCCATCTCAAAAAAAAAAAAAAAAAAAAAAAAGAAGCTTTTGCACCTTTCCAACTTGCTTAAATTGCCAAACAAGCGTAGAATGGTTGACATTGAGTTCTTCGGCAATTTCTCGTGTAGTTGTAAGAGGATCAGCTTCGATGATTGCTCTCAATTGGTCAGTGCCAACTTCTTCTGGCCGGCTACTACACTCCTCATCTTCAAGGCTCTCGTCTCCTTTGCAACACTTCTTGAACCACCATTGCACAGTTCCTGGGCCAAGTGTGTAGTTGATGTTGCAAGTTGTCTCCACTGCTTTGCGACCCATTTTGAACTCAAGAAAATCGCTTGAATTTGCTTTTTTTTATAATATAATTTCCACTGTCTAAAAGAATAAAACAGCAAATAATATGTTATTAGCAAAAAAGGTGAGAAATGTGCATTAAAATGGTATATAAATAACCACATATATTTAAGAATGTATTCCAGTATCAAATAGCAAGTTTCAACAATACGAAAACTGCAACTACATTTGCACCAACCTAATATAATTTTTTTTTAGTTAGAAATTTTATAGTACAGAATAACAGGCTTATCTGACACACACACACACACACACACACACACACACATCCTGTACTGAATCTACAAAGCCTGTCTCTGAATTCCAAAATCTCGACTTTTTTAGAGCAAAGTTTAAATATTTCAAAAATTTAGAAAAATATGGAGAATAATTTAACAAACACCAGGTACTAATTCAGTAGATTTTTTTTCTTTTTTCCTTTCCTTTTTTTTTTTTTTTTTTTTTTTGAGATGGAGTCTCGCTCTGTCGCTCAGGCTGGAGTGCACTGGTGCAATTTCAGCTCACTGCAACCTCTGCCTCCTGGGTTCAAGTGATTCTCCTGTCTCAGCCTCCTGAGTAGCTGGGATTACAGGCACACGCCACCACACCCAGCTAATTTTTGTATTTTTAGTAGAGACTGGGTTTCACCATGTTGGCCAGGATGGTCTCTTATCTCTTCACTTCGTGATCTGCCCACCTTGGCCTCCCAAAGTGTTGGTATTACAGGCGTGAGCCACCGCACCCAGCCCATTCAGTAGATTTCATAGATGCTGACATCTTATCAGATTTGCTTCAAAAGTGTATTTATATATGTTTTTATTTATTATTTTTGAGATGGGGTCTCACTCTGTTGCCCAGCCTGGTGTATAGTGGTAAAATCCCTGCTCACTGCAACCGCCACCTCCCAAGTTCAAGCAATTCTCGTGCCTTGGCCTTTTGAGTAGCTGGGATTATAGGAGCTTGTCACTACTCCCGGCTAATTTTTGTATTTGTAGTAGAGACGGGGTTTCACTATGTTGTCCAGGCTGGTCTCCAACCGACCTCAAGTGATCTGCCCGTCTTGGCCCCCTAAAATACTGGGATTACAGGGGTGAGCCACTGTGCCTGGCCTATATTTGTTTTTAAAAATAAAATATGCATACGGTTGGAGTCCCTTTTGTCATCCTCTTAGATCCTATTTTCTTATGCAGAAGTTATTTATCTTTTTAGCTCATGCACTTATATTCTCCCTACAAATATCTACATATATTTAACATGTAGTACTATTGTGTTTCAAATTTATGTGATATTTTGGTACATACATTCTGTAATTGGAAAGTTACATTTATTTATGCTGATATATGTGTATTATTAGTAGTATTATTATTATGATTATTTTGAAACAGAGTCTTACTCTGTCACCCAGGTTGTAGAGCAGTGGCACAATCTTGGCTCACGGCAACCTCCATCTCCCAGTTTCAAGTGATTCTCGAGCCTCAGCCTCCCGAGTAGCTGGGATTACAAGTGTGAGCCACTGCACCTGCCTTACTTCATTAATTTTAATAGCTGTGTAGTATTCAGTCATATGAATGAATAGTATGCAATTTTAGTTCTTTATTGATAGTTGTTTTCAACAAATATACAAATGTAAAATTTTTCCTCAAATTGGGTCAAGCTATATATATTGTTCTAAATTAGCTCTGTTTCTCGCAATAATAATAGTGTGCAGGTTTGTTACATGGGTATATTGCATGAGGTTTGGGGTACAATTGATCCCATCACCCAGGTAGTAAGCATAGCACCCAGCATGTAGTTTTGTTTAAGTTTTTTGAGACAAGGTAGGTCTCTGTCCCCCAGGCTGGATTGCAATATTGCAATCACTGGTCACTGCAGTTTTGACCTCTTGGGCTCAGCCGATCCTCCCAGCTCAGCCTCCGGGGTAGCTGGGACTACAGTGGTGGGCCACCATACCCTGCTATTTTTTTGTATTTTTTTGTAGAGACTGGGTTTCGCCCTGTTACCCAGGCTGGTCTTGAACTCCTGGACTCAAGCAATCCACCCACCTTGGCCTCCCAAAGTGCTGGGATTATAGGCGTGAGCTACTGTACCCAGCCGCCAGTAGGCAGTTTTGAGCTTTCGCCCCTTCCCATCCTCTCCTCTCTGTTAGTTCCCTGTATCTATTGTTCCCATGTTTATGTCCATGTTTACCCAATGTTTAGCTTAGGATGATGATCTCCAGCTGCATCATGTTGCTGCAAAGGATATGATTTTGTTCTTTTTTATGGCTGCAGTGAACCTTTGGGTAAAGAAAATTTACAAAAATATCTCACATCAGTGTTTTTTTAATCAAAGTAAGTAGTAGTAATCCATAGTTCAGATCTACTTTGTAAGTGAGACACAAATAAAGACAGTAGTTACATTACACATTTTATAACATTACCTTGATGTGGCAAATTTTTCTTGTTTTGTTTTTGTTTTACATGAGTTAATTTGGATGAAACTTTCTTGAATTACTTACTTTTATAGCATTTACCTCCAGTGGGGTTGAGATGAGGAGCCTTCAATCCAACAAAGTTGTATACATGCATTCATGGAGATGACACTTAGGTTATTTAATCAGGAAACACTCCTGCTTGTCCACATGTAGATGCTACACGTGGAGTTAGTCCTATTCTTTGGAAGTTTCACTATGTTGCCCACACTGGTCTTGAACTCCTGAGCTCCAGTGATCCTCCCACCTTGGCCTCCCAGAGTGCTGGGGTTATAGATGTGAGCCACTGTGCCCAGCCAGAAATGTGATTTTAATTCCATAATATATGTTACTGTGAATACAGTATATGTTTATTCCATAAGTAGCAAATTGACTCCTTTAACAGTTTTAGTAGTTTTCCAGTTGTTTTGTCTTTAGTTTCCCAGGCAAATAATGCTATTGTCTTCAATCACAGTATTAATTAGTTCATCCCATTCTTCATATTGATCATTTTTTTGGATATGAAATAATACAGACTACTGTAATAATAAAAAGATGGAAAGCCTCACCAATTTGCATGTCATCCTTGTGCAGGGACCACGCTAATGTTCTCTGTATTGTTCCAATTTTAGTATATTTGCTGCCGAAGCGAGCACTCCATTTCTGTAAAGCTTAAAAAACAGACAAAACTAACAGATGGGAATGGAATCAGAATAATGGTTATCTTTGGTGATGAGGACAAGGGAGATTGTAGGTGTGCTGGTAATGTTCTCTGTCTTGATCTGGGTCATGATTTCATGGTTGTGTTCAGTTTATGAGAATCATTGAATAGTAGACTTAGGAAGTGTGCACTTCTTTGTACATGTATTATATACCTCAGTTAAAAACTTTTGCCTCTCACAAAATTTTAAAGAACATAATCTGCTTAGTTTGTCACCTTTTAGCTTTTAATGTAACTTTTCCACTACTTCTCTTCATATGTGAATACAAGTGAATACTAGTGTATTAGGTAATAAGCCACTTAACCTTTCTATTATGATATAAAACATACAGAAGAGTGCACAAATCAAATGTATAGCTTAATGAAATTTTTAAATTATTAAATTGGAGGTTTTTGGGGGTGCATTATACCCGTATCTTTGTTAGGAGGGAAGGAATTCATGGAGGGCTAAAAATTTTGGAGAGGACAAAGTTTTAAGGAGTCTCAATACCAAATCCTCATCTTGGCTCTGCCTTCAAGTTACTGTTTCTTTGGGTAAGTCATTTAACTTATTTATAGTTCACTTTTTTATATATAAGAGGTATAATACTTAACCTTTCTTTTGCAAACTGAATTAGGTAGGTGCAATTCAGGTAAAATAATAGGAATATAGAGTAGTATTACTAGATAGGTCTTTATTTAGGCCATTGAATTTAGGCCACTTACCTTACAGGGCAGAATTGTGGTATGCAAAGACTACACAGCTGGTGATTATTGGTGTCATTCATTTATGTTAGGTTGGTATTGAGACTTAGTTAACTATGCCAGGCATTACCCTGTGATTTATTATAATACATGTATTAACTCATGTAATAGTCTAGGATTATTCCTAGAGGTAGGTAAAATTATCCCAATTTTACTGATGATACAATCGATGGAAAATTATGTTAAATAACTTGCCTAGGTGGGTTGAGTTCTTGAGCCTGTGCTTTAAAAAAAATTTTTTTTTGAGAAAGGGTCCCACTCTATCACCCAGAGTGGAGTGAGTGGCGTGATCTTGGCTCACTGCAGCCTCTGTCTCTAAGGCTCAAGCCATGCTCCTGCCTCATCCCCTGAAGTAGCTGGGACTACAGGTATGGGCCACGTTTTAATGTATTTTATAGAGACGGGGTTTTGCCACATTTCCCAGACTGGTCTCAAACTGCTGGACTCAAGCGATCTGCCTTGGCCTCCCAAAATGCTAGGATTACAGGTGTGAGCCACTGCATCCAGCCTAAGCCTGTGCTCTTTTTTTGTTATACTGCCTAGTTATGTGAAAATACTTAAAGACTTTTAGGCAAATGTTAAGATTTTATAATAATCTGTTAGAGAGTTTTTGAAGTAAAAATTTTGGTATTTTGAACCAAAATTAGGAGAAGAGTCTCATTGTTTTGACCATCATGATTCTGGAAAAGATGGATGTTAATATTTATTACTTGGGCTTTATTCCCTTCTTAACAAAGCTAATTTTCTCCTAAAATGACTTGGTTGCAAGCACTAGGTAGTTTTCTTTAAGAATATATGTATATTTTAATCTTAAAGGATTTTGTGACTAATTTACAAATATTGTTTAATTTTTAGGCAAAATGTTAATGGAAGGGAGTTTTCAAACTTGGAGGCAGATCAGACCAAGGTTTAGTGTTCTTGCCTCAGTGGTTTAAGCAGCATCTATTTGGTCTTAGTATAAGAGTAATAATTATGATTCTATCATATGTATGGTTGAAAATTATCTTTATTAAGGTGTATTTGAATATGGTTCTGTAAGACTGGGAAACACATCTAGTTGTGCAACCACCATGATGATCAAGATATAGAGTTAGTTTCTCAAAAAATTTCCTCATGACCCTTTCCATAGTCAGCCCATTTCCTTACCTCTAGTCTCTGGCCACCACTGATCTGTTTTTTTCTCTGTCTTGTCTTTTTTTTTTTTTTCTTTTCAGAATTCCGTGTAAACAAAATCACGCAGTATTTAGCCTTTTTGTTTTAATTTTTGTTTGTTTAATAGAAATGGGAGGCCTTGTTATATTGCCTATGCTGGCCTCAAGCTCCTGGTCTCAAGGGATCCCCCTGCTTGACTCAGTATGTGGCTTCTTGAGACGGACGTCTTTTATTTAACCTAATGTATTTTGAGATTCATCCATGTTTTTATGTATCAGTAATTACTTTCTGTTGCTTAGTAGCATTGCGTTGTATGGATGTACAACAGGTTCTGTATTCATTCCCCAGTTCATTTGGGTTGTTTCCAGTTTTTGGTAATTACGAATAAAACTGCCATAAAAGCATTCATGCATACATACATACACACATGTGCCCTCGTATTTTCTTATGGTTTAAAAAGATATGGTGCCTAGAACTTTTATAACTTTACTACAGAACCTGAAAAAGCTGATGATTTTCACAGAACATTGTAAATTGCTTAGTAAACTTCATCCCCCAAAAAGCCCACTCTGGAATGAGAATAATCTGTTTGTATAAATAATCTTGTGGTATAAACTGTAAGTCATTAGAATTTTTTAAATTAAAGAAGTACATACACATATTTATTTAATGGGTAAATTTATATATAAAACTCCTTAGTGCATAGTTTTATATTTTATGTTTTTAGTAGCTTTTAAATCGTGAATTATTGACTTTTTTGTTCCTCTAAGTAGTAGAATGGTTATATAATTGGTTATGAAAGTTTTTGTTTTTTTTTTTTGACAGGGTCTGGCTATGTCATCCAGGCTGGAGTGCAGTGGCGTGATCTCGGCTCACTGTAACCTCTGCCTTCTGGGCTTAAGCTATCCTCAACTTCAGCCTCCTGAGTAGGTGGGACTACAGGCATGTGCCACCACACCTGGCTAATTTTTGTAAACATGGGGTTTTGTCTTGTTGCCCAGGCTGGTCTCAAACTCCTGAGCTCAAATGATCAGCCCACTTCAGTCTCCCAAAAGGCTGGGATTACAGGTGTGAGCCACCATGCCCACCCAAAAACTCTTACTTATAAATTTGAGATGAAAAATACACAGAACATGATTAATAGCAGATTAAACATTGCCAAATACAAGACATAGCAATAAAAACTATCCAAAAGGAAATAGAGTAAAAGGATTTTAAGAAACTAAACTGTGGAACACCTTCAAGCAGCCAATAATACATGTAATTTGAGTCCTAGAAGGACTGAAAAGAGGAGGGACAGAAAAAATAATACAAAAAAATGGCCAAAATGTTTTCAAATTTGATATAAACTATAAATCTCTTATCCAAGAAACTCAGTAAAGCCCACCTATAAGAAATATGAAGAACTCCACAAAGGTTCATAGTAATCAAAGTATTGAACCCTAGTGATACAGACATAGAGGGATGGGACACACCATACATAAAGATTAACAAAGGATGCTGCCAGAGTTCTCATCACAGATACCAGAATCTGGGAGGATATAGAAAAAATATTTTAAATTCTAAAAGAGGACATACTGTTAACTCTGAATTCTGTAACCAGTGTAAATAACTTTCCAAAATGAAGGGGAAATAAAGATATATCCAGGCAGAAAAAAACTGTAAGAATGTATCACCAGCAGACCTGCTGCACAGGAAATAAAATAGGAACTCCTCAGGCAGAAGAAAGATGATATCAGATGGAAATATTGATCTGTAATAAAGGATGAAGAGCTCTGGAAAGTAACTGTGTAGGAAGATGTATAAGACCCCTCCATTAAAAAATCTTGAAATAATAATTGAATTTTATACAGAAATAACAACAGTGTTTTGTGTAGTTTGTAATTTATGTGTAAGTGAAATGCAGGACAACAATAGCGAAAGGCCAGGAAAGGAAAAATGAAAGCATGTTACTGGAAGGTTCTTACACCACACATGAAGTAAGATAACATGTGAAAGTAGGCTGCAGTAACTTAGAGTTGTAAAGCAACCACTGAAATAACAAAACAAAAAGTTTTGTTATCATATAAGCCAACAAAGAAGATGAGATGGAATAACAACAACAACAACAAAATCCAAAACAGGGCACTAAACAGGAAAGGGGAGCAAAGAACAGATGGATTGAGTAAAAGATGAATAACAAGATCACAGGTGTAACATAACCATTTCAAAAATCTTGTTAAATGTTCTAAGCATCCCAATTAAAAGGTAGAGGTTGTCAGCTTTGATGAAAAAAATGAAGACCCAAGTACATGCTGCCTGTGAGAAAGACATTTTAAATGTAAAGATACAAACATATTAAAAGTAAAAGATTGAAAAAGAGTTACCATGAATCAAATGAAAGCTGGAGTGGCTATATTCATATCAGATAAAGTAGACATCAGATAAGAGAATATTATCAGGGATGAAGAATGTCGTTTTATAAGGAGAACAGGGTCCGCTTCTCAGGAGGACGTGATAATTCTAAGAATAACAAGCACTACGTATGTCATCACAGAGCTTCAACACAAATGAAACAAACACCAATAGAACTCAAAAGAGAAATAGACAATTCCACAATTATAGTTGGGGATTACATTACTCACTATCAATAATTAGTAGAACAAGTAGAAAAAAAATCAGTGAAGATACAGCAGACTTAAAAAAATAAAACTATCAAATAACTTGATTTTATTGATATTTATAAATCAGTCCACCTGACAGTCACATAATATAAACTCTTCTCAAGCAAACACAGAATATTTATCAAGATAGAGTACATTCTGTGCCAGAAAGCAAGTCTCAGAATATTTGGAGTGATTTAAGTCATATGAAGTATGTTCTTGGACCACATTGGAAATAAATTAGAAGTTAATAATAATAACTTTTCTGGAAAAACGTCAAGTATTAGGATGATGAATTACACATGTCTACATATTGCAAGGGCTAAAGAAGATTTCAAAAGAGAAACCAATGCATTTTCAGCTAAGTGAGAGTGAAAACAATATTTCAAAATGTGTGGAATGCTGATAAGGCAATATTTGTGTGTAAAATTATGGGATTAAACACTATAGTAGAAAAGAGAATAGATTTTAGATTAATTAACTACCCCAGCTTCTGCCTTAATAATTGGAAAAACAAGAGCAAATTAAACACAAAAAACAATTTTGGAAATACTAGAGATCAGAGTGAACATCAATAAAACAAAAAAAAAAAATAGAGAAAAATCTATGAAACCAAATATTTATAAACTTCTAGCAGGCTGATCATCAAAACAAAAAAGAGACAAATTCCTAATATCAGGTATGAAAGAAACTATATCAGCACAGATTTTGTAAAAATTAAAAATGGAGTAAGGGAATACTGTGTACAGCATTACCTAATAAATTTTGTAACTGAGATGAAATGAGAATTTTTTTGAAAGATACAAATTGCTATAGCTCACTCAAGAAGAATCAGATAATTGAATAACTCTATATTTATTGAAGTAATTGAATTTTAATTAAATGCTCATCCTACAAAGGAAACTCTAACCCCAGATTGCTTCTCTGAAGTTTTTTGTTCAAACCTCTAAGGAAGAAATATTACCAATTATACTTAAACTCTTTCAGAAAATTGAAGAGTAGGAACTAGTTACCAACTTATTTTATAAGGCTAGTATCACCTTGATACCAAAGCTAGACTAAGATATTACAAAAAAACTATAAACAAATATTCTTTTTGAATTTAGATATAAAAGTTCTTTACAAAATGTTAGCAAATCAGTTCCAACAATACATAAAAATTATATTGTACCGTGGACAAATATAATGTATCTCAGAAAGGTTGGTTGGTTGAACATCCTCAAATCAATCAATGTATTGCACCATATTAATAAATGATCATGTCAATAGATGCAGTAAACACATTTGATGAAGTCATATATTTACATTTGGAACATTTAGAAGGGAGCTTCCTCATCCTGATAAAAGGCATCTGTGAAAAATCCTACAGCTAACATCATTGTTAGTAACGAAACACTCAATGCTTTCTTGTTTGTCTTATCAGGAACAAGATGGGATGTTTGCTCTCACCACGCTTACATTTAACATTGTTGTGGAAATCCTAGCCAGACAAGAAGCTGAGATAGAATACGTCCAGGATAGAAAGAAAGAAGCAAAACTGCACACAGACAAAATGAACATCTATGTAGAAAATTCAATATAAAATACAAAAAAAGCTATTAGAACTAATAAATGAGTTTAGCAAGGTTGCAGGATACATGAACAATATACAAAAACCAATTGCATTTTATACTAGCAACAAATAACCAGAAATTGGAATTTTAAAAGCAATGCCATTTAAAGTAGCATCAAAATATATTAAACTCTTAGGAATAAATCTGACAAAAGATGTGCATGACCTGTACACTGAAAACTGTGGAATACTGAGAAACATTAAAGATAACCCAAATACATGGAGAGATACACTGTCTTCATGCCCTGGAAACCAATATTTAGAACATAAATGTTCCCCAAATTGATAGATAGTTTCAACACAATCCTAGTCAAAATTCTAGCAGGATTTTAATATTTTTTGGTAGATATTGACAAGCTGATTCTGAAATTCATAAGAAAATGCAAACGATCTAGAAGAGCCAAAATAACTGAAAAAAGAACAAATTTGATAAATTAACTTTACCTGATTTCAACAATAAAACTATAATATATATGATATGAAATTCAGAACTGTATATACAGATACAAAAATATTTTGTGTATATCCATCTCTATATCTATGTATCTGTTTATACATTTGCTGATATATATTGCAGGATCCTCTATTCTGTTGCTTTAATATATGCAGTATTTCCAACAAGCTGCAAAAGCTGTCAACAAATTGTGCTAGAACCTCAGATAACCATATGCAAAAAAATCAACTTTTGTCTATATTTCTTAGCATATATGAGAGTTAATTCAAAATAGGTCATGTAACTAAATGTAAACCTAAAACTAGGAAGTGCCTAAAAGTAAACAATGAAGAAAATCTTTCTGATTTTGGATAAGGCAAACAATTCTTTGATACAACATCAAAGCACAATGTATAAAACTTTTTAAAATGTGATAAAAGTTTGGGGCCAGCCACGTTGATTCATGCCTGTAATCCCCGCACTTTGGAAGGCAGAAGCAGGTGGATCACAAGGTCAAGAGATTGAGACCATCCTGACCAACATGGTGAAACCCCTTCTCTACTAAAAATACTAAAATTAGCTGGGCGTGCTGGCTATACGAGCTGGGACCTGTAGTCCCAGCTACTCGGGAGGCTGAGGCAGGAGAATTGCTCGAACCTGGGAGGCGGAGGTTTCAGTGAGCCGAGATCGCACCACTGCACTCCAGCCTGGCGACAGAGTGAGACTCTGTCTCAAAATAAAAATAAAAATAAAAAATTGATAAAATTAAAAATTTCTGTTCTTTGAAATTTACTGCTAAGAGAAGTAAACAAGCCACAGATTTGGAGAAAATATTTGCAAATCAGATATGACAAAAAAAACCTTGTATCCAGAATGTATGAAGAATTTTAAAAACTCAATAATAAGAAAATAAATAACCCAAATTTTATTTTTTTCAGATGGAGTCTTGCTCTGCTGCCTAGGCTGGTGTGCAACGGCACAATCTCGGCTCACTGTGACCTCAGCTTCCCAGATTCAAGCGATTCTCCCCCCTCAGCCTCCCAATCCCCCACCCCCACCCCTGCGAGTAGCTGGGATTACAGGCACCCGCCATCATGCCTGGCTAATTTTTGTATTTTTGTAGAGACGAGGTTTCACCATGTTGGCCAGGCTGGTCTTGAACTGACCTCAGGTGATCCACCCACCTTGGCCTCCCAAGTGGTGAAATAACAGGTGTGAGCCACCGCTCCCCAACTCAACCCAAATTTTTTAAATGGGCAGAGTATTTGAACAGGTTCCTCAACAAAGAAGATACATGTGGCAAATAAGCGCACAAATGAATGCTCCACACCACTAGTAATTAAGGGAATTCAATTACTACTTACTGGAGGCTAAGAGACCAGTTAGGGGGTTACGGGAGAAATTGTGAATTAAAATTATGTATGATAGTAGCGGTGGGGATGGAGAGGAGAGGATATGAGGAATATTGAGGAGATAAAATTGCAAAAGCTTCACACTTGGTTGGAAGTGGAAGCTGACGTGTAAGAGAATCAGCAATGATTCTCAGGTTTCCAACTTGAGCAAAGGGGCGGAGGCCACTGATAGACTCTGAGGTCATAAAACACAAGGTGGAGCAGATCTAGGCGGGTATGGAGGAAGAGATGTGACCATTGAAGTATTTTCTTTGTTGTTGTGTTGTTGGAATATTTCAAGTCAAATCCCTGACATCATGTTGTTCCATCTCTACACACTTCAACATGTATCACTAAAAGTAGGGACACTTTCTCCCATAATCACATTGCTGTGATCGCTCCTGAAGATGTGCTCAATGATTCTGATTATCATCCCATACATAGTCCACAGTCATACATACTTGATTATCACAAGTATTTCTCTTTTTGCAGTCTGTCTATTGGAATCAGAATCCTGACAAGGTCCACCCTGCACACCACTTTCTCACAAAGGTCCTCTCATCCTGAGCAGTCCTCCCTGCCACTGATTTGTTGTCCTTCATAATGTCCCACAATCTGCACCTGTCTTTGTTCTCCCTCATGATACTGCTTCACTTCTATGCCCTGAATTTCCTATAATGGGGAAGGAGCTCTGAAGCCTGGTTGTAGGAACACTTCATGAACAGTACTGTGCATGGCACACAATCTCTAGCCATCCCACTTGTCACGCTAAAATCGATGACTCGCTTCTGGTAGTGTCAGCCTGACTCTTTGGACATGCTGAGTAAGCAGAGCGAGAAAGGAAGAGGGCTTCGACCAGAGGAAGAGGAGCAGAGAAAACAGGGAAGGAGAATTCAGGGAAGTGGGGAAAATCGAGGGAGCAGCAGCGTGGGGGCTGAAGAAAGAAGGGTCAGGTGTCGCTGGGCAGCCAAGAAGAGACAAACAGGTCAGATGGTTTTCACAACTGATGGCTGATAACTTGTATGAGAGCAGCTTTAATGGAGTGATTAAGGTGTAAGTCAGATTGCCCTGGATGGAGGTGTGAATAGGGGTGGGAAGTGGAGGGCAAGGAATATCAATAACAATTTCAGGAATTTGGCTGTAAGACAAGGGAAAAAGATGGGAGACGTGAGCATAGGAAGAGGGATGTTGAAAAAAGAGGTTGTGTTTATTCTGTGGCTCTTTTGATGGGAGACACATTCATGCTGGGAGGTTGAATATTTAGGAACCATAAGGAACTATTACTAACAAAGAAAGTTCCAAAAACATTCCTGGTTGGAAGGTTTCACTGTTTTGTTCACTAATTTCATATATTTTTCTAACTCTCTACAATTGCTTTTTGTTGTGAGCTCAACTGGTCTAGGAGACACAGATTTTGAAACGTGATGAAATTATTCAATAAAGCTGGTGTTAGATGCAGGTGTTAGAATGCATTTTTGTCAGACTTGGACCATATGAATTGAAGTTACTCTATCATCTGACTGATGGGCATCACTTGTTTTTGTCTATTTATTTGAACTGTATATATTCCAAAAATTTTTTGATGTAGCTGCTATATGATAAGAATATTGCAATGGGATTCTCCTGGGTTTCTAATCCAAAGTTTGTTTTTTTTAGAAAAATAAATTTGGACTTAGCAGATTAATCATGAATACTATATAACGCCATTTGTTAGACAGTTTTGAAATGATAAAATTTTAGAAATGGAGGTTACTGATTGCCAGGGGTTAGGAAAGCGGAAGGAGGTGGGAGGGAGGGGGAGTGATTATAAAAGGGCTCTTGAGGGACCCACTGTGGTGCTGGAGCCATTCAGTATATTGACTAGTGGTGGATACATGAACTCACGCAGGTGGTAGAATTATACAGACATTAATACACACACAGTGAAAGTAAAACTAGGAAAATCTGCCTAAGGTAAGTAGATGGAGTTACTGTCAATGTCCTTGTTTTGCAAAACATCACCATTGTGAAATCCTATTGAGAATCTGAAACACAGCCTTGGTTATATGCTTTTTTCTTTTTTTACCCTGTAAAAATGTTCCTTTTACCCTGTAAAGTGTTCCTTTTTATACTGGTAAGTATAAAAGGAACAAATTATACTGGTAAGTAAAAATTACTGATAAAGTAATTACTGATAAACAAAGTAACTTTAAACTGAATATGGGAAATAACTGCTGTGCTGTATGGTATAAATAAATAATATATTTATCTATAACAATACTACTTTATATAATGGAACTAGATGTCACAAATGGCTCTAGTACTAGTAATGCAATTAATCAATATAATGTTTTGTAGGGTTTTGTTTTTTATACTCTTTGTTAAGCCTCCAAACTAGCAAGTACCCATTACAGTAAATGTACAATGGATTATTTCTGTTTCCGCGTTTCAGTCATTAACTCCTTAGTTGCATAATCTTAAAGTCAAATTACCTTGTTGAAGGGGACAGTCTGGATCCATTCCATGGAGCTCACATCAAAAACGTCTGCTGCATTTTCACTGTGCACTGAGAGGCACGGGGCATTGTAACCTGGGAGGAGCAAAGACGGTAACAGCAAACATGGGCTCCGTGATACCTTTTTCAGTGAATTTTTGATGAGATAATTATAGATTCACATGTAGTTGTAAAAATAATACAGAGAGATCCCTTGTACACTCTGCCCAGATTCAATTCACAACAAAATAAAACTTCAGTGTCTGGATTACAAATAATTTAAAACATAGCTAAAAATGTAAAAGTAAAAACCTGCCGTTTTGCTAAGACCAGACCATCAAATATTTAAGAGCATTTAACTTCCAGGACTTGTGGAGTATGCATGACATGAGCCACCAAAAAGAAGTTTTTAAAGGAAGAGTTAAAATAAGTGAAATTTTTTTCTACCTTCATCAGTATAAGCAGTGGAAAACACTTTTGAAAGGGCTGTCCCACCACATAAAACGTTACATTTGTGCTTTTCCAGCATTCTTTTTTTTGTTTGGTTGTATGTTTTTATTTTTTATTATACTTTAAGTTTTAGGGTACATGTGCACAACGTGCAGGTTTGTTACATGTGTATACATGTGCCATGTTGGTGTGCTCCACCCATTAACTCATCATTTAACATTAGGCATATCTCCTAATGCTATCCCTCCCCCCTCCCCCCACCCCACAACAGGCCCCAGTGTGTGATGTTCCCCTTCCTGTGTCCATGTGTTCTCATTGTTCAGTTCCCACCTATGAGTGAGAACATGCGGTGTTTGTTTTTTTTGTCCTTTCGATAGTTTGCTGAGAATGATGGTTTCCAGCTTCATCCATGTCCCTGCAAGGGACATGAACTCATCATTTTTTATGGCTGCATAGTATTCCATGGTGTATATGTGCCACATTTTCTTAATCCAGTTTATCATTGTTGGACATTTGGGTTAGTTCCAAGTCTTTGCTACTGTGAATAGTGCCGCAATAAACATATGTGTGCATGTGTCTTTATAGCAGCATGATTTATAGTCCTTTGTGTACATACCCAGCAATGGGATGACTGGGTCAAATGGTATTTCTAGTTCTAGATCCCTGAGGAATCGCCACACTGACTTCCACAATGGTTGAACTAGTTTACAGTCCCACCAACAGTGTAAAAGTGTTCCTATTTCTCCACATCCTCTCTAGCACTTGTTGTTTCCTGACTTTTTAATGATCACCATTCTAACTGGTGTGAGATGGTATCTCATTGCGGTTTTGATTTGCATTTCTCTGATGGCCAGTGATGATGAGCATTTTTTCATGTGTCTTTTGGCTGCATAAATGTCTTCTTTTGAGAAGTGTCTGTTCATGTCCTTCACCCACTTTTTGATGGGGTTGTTTTTTTCTTGTAAATTTGTTTGAGTTCATTATAGATTCTGGGTATTAGCCCTTTGTCAGATGAGTAGATTGCAAAAATTTTTCTCATTCTGTATGTTGCCTGTTCACTCTGATGCTAGTTTCTTTTGCTGTGCAGAAGCTCTTTAGTTTAATTAGATCCCATTTGTCAATTTTGGCTTTTGTTGCCATTGCTTTTGGTGTTTTAGACATGCAGCCCTTGCCCATGCCTATGTCCTGAATGGTATTGCCTAGGTTTTCTTCTAGGGTTTTTATGGTTTTAGGTCTAACATGTAAGTCTTTAATCCATCTTGAATTAATTTTTGTATAAGGTGTAAGGAAGGGGTCCAGTTTCAGCTTTCTACATATGGCTAGCCAGTTTTCCCAGCACCATTTATTAAATCGGGAATCCTTTCCTCATTTCTTGTTTTTGTCAGGTTTGTCAAAGATCAGATGGTTGTAGATGTGTGGTATTATTTCTGAGGGCTCTGTTCTGTTCCATTGGTCTATATCTCTGTTTTGGTACCAGGCGCCTCCGCAACCTCCCAGGAGCTCTGACCAAGGCGCCTCACTGGGGTGGGGACCTTGCCTCACCTGGGGCCATTTCATAATTCTGAATCATGTGTGATAACGGAGAACTGGAAGACAAGCCTCCAGCACCTCCCGTGCGAATGAGCAGGACCATCTTTAGCACTGGAGGCAAAGACCCTTTGTCAGCCAATCACAGTTTGAAACCTTTGCCTTCTGTTCCAGAGGAGAAAAAGCCCAGGCATAAAATCATCTCCATATTCTCAGGCACAGAGAAAGGAAGTAAAAAGAAAGAAAAGGAACGGCCAGAAATTTCTCCTCCATCTGATTTTGAACACACCATCCATGTTGGCTTTGATGCTGTTACTGGAGAATTCACTGGCATGCCAGAACACTGGGCTCGATTACTACAGACCTCAAATATCACCAAACTAGAGCAAAAGAAGAATCCTCAGGCTGTGCTGGATGTCTTAAAGTTCTACGACTCCAACACAGTGAAGCAGAAGTATCTGAGTTTTACTCCTCCTGAGAAAGATGGCTTCCCTTCTGGAACACCAGCACTGAATGCCGAGGGAACAGAAGCACCTGCAGTAGTGACAGAGGAGGAGGACGATGATGAAGAGACTGCCCCTCCCGTTATTGCCCCACCACCGGATCATATGAAATCAATTTACACACGGTCTGTAATTGACCCTGTTCCTGCACCAGTTGGTGATTCAAATGTTGATGGTGGTGCCAAGTCTTTAGACAAACAGAAAAAGAAGACTAAGATGACAGATGAAGAGATTATGGAGAAACTAAGAACTATTGTGAGCATAGGTGACCCTAAGAAAAAAATATACAAGATATGAAAAAATTGGACAAGGGGCTTCTGGTACAGTTTTCACTGCTACCGACGTTGCACTGGGACAGAAGGTTGCTATCAAACAAATTAATTTACAGAAACAGCCAAAGAAGGAATTGATCATTAATGAGATTCTGGTAATGAAAGAATTAAAAAATCCCAACATAGTTAACTTCTTGGACAGTTACCTGGTAGGAGATGAATTGTTTGTGGTCGTGGAATACCTTGCTAGGGGGTCACTCACTGATGTGGTAACAGAAACCTGCATGGATGAAGCACAGATTGCTGCTGTATGCAGAGAGAGTTTACAGGCATTGGAGTTTTTACATGCTAATCAAGTGATCCACAGAGACATCAAAAGTGACAGTGTACTTTTGGGAATGGAAGGATCAGTTAAGCTCACTGACTTTGGTTTCTGTGCCCAGATCACCCCTGAGCAGAGCAAACGCAGTACCGTGGTCAGAACGCCACACTGGATGGCACCAGAAGTGGTTACACGGAAGGCTTATGGCCCTAAAGTCAATGTATGGTCTCTGGGTATCATGGCTACTGAGATGGTAGAAGGAGAGCCTCCATACCTCAATGAAAATCCCTTGAGGGCCTTGTGCCTAATAGCAACTAATGGAATCCCAGAACTTCAGAATCCAGAGACACTTTCCCCAATATTTCGGGATTTCTTAAATCGATGTTTGGAAACAGATGTGGAAAAAAGGGGTTCAGCCAAAGAATTATTACAGCATCTTTTCCTGAAACTAGCCAAACTGTTATCTAGCTTGACACCACTGATCATGGCAGCTAAAGAAGCAATGAAGAGTAACCGTTAACATCACTGCTGTGGCCTCATATTCTTTTTTCCATTTTCTACAAGAAGCCTTTTAGTATATGAAAATTATTACTCTTTTGGGGGTTTAAAGAAATGGTCTGCATAACCTGAATGAAAGAAGCAAATGACTATTCTCTGAAGACAACCAAGAGAAAATTGCAAAAAGAAAAGTATGACTTTTATATGAACCCCTTCTTTAGGGTCCAAAAGGAATTGTGGACTGAATCACTAGCCTTAGGTCTTTCAGCAAACCGCCTATCAGGGCC
The DNA here is from genome assembly GCF_000001405.40 of Homo sapiens. Taxonomy (NCBI): domain Eukaryota; kingdom Metazoa; phylum Chordata; class Mammalia; order Primates; family Hominidae; genus Homo; species Homo sapiens. Next base: position 3,170,266 of record NW_021160017.1, read on the forward strand.
ATTTATCATATGTGAGATTTGCATTTTACTTTGCTGACTTTGTTGTAATAGATCCCATTCATTGTCCCCTTTGGGGTATTTCCAATACTTGAATGGCAGATTGGAGTTTTTCAGAGTATTTGTTTCATCTGCTAGTCTTTCTCTCCTTCATAGCTTTCCTTTTCCTGGACTTGCTCCTTTTGAGTTGCTTTTGAGTTTCTCATGCCTAGGTAGTGTAATAGAAATTATGTAGCTCCTTATGTTGGCAAAGGAGCTCTATATAGTTTCACTTTTTATAAAAGTTAGGACCAGCTGTTGTTACATGTAATATTTTAGTTCAGAACTTGACCTGAAGGAAGGGAAGAAAAGTATTTGATTTTTACCTTTTTTAACAAATGTGAAAAAGTCAGTTTTAGAAATTTTGTGGTAGTAAGTTTGGCATTTGTTACATGTATAGAGAGAAGACTAATAATCTCTATTTATAACTAAATCATTGAGATAGAAAAAGATTCCCATTGACCGTATATTTCTTCCCATTTCGTCTTCCCTTCTGCCTGTTTCCCCTTCAGGCTTGGCTCTAGGAACCAAAGTGATTTGTTCTTGTTCCAACCTGGGCTTTGTGACTTTGGTTAGTGCCACTACCTTCTTCCCTCCTTTCCCCCTTCAATTTGGAAATAAATTTCTGTATATGTTGCAATTTTAGGTTTATTTTTGTTCTTTTTGTTTTTCATTAATCCTCTCTCACCTCACAGATACCCCCCTCCCATGGCAAATAATATAATAACCAGTGAATTTTCGGGAATTTAAAATTAGCTTTTTTCCACTTAAAGGAGAAAAATATTTGGGACTAGCAGGCGCAGAGTGAGAGACGTGAACCTTGGTGATCTCTGATATAGTGAGAAGAGATTATACTCATGAAAGAGAATGTTAGTGTTACAGAGAAGCAGCCGATAGGAAATCAACTGTAGAGACTTGGAGGTGGCGGCATCGCTCCAGGTCATCATCAGTGTGGTGTTATCTATGAGAACTTGAGCGACAGAGTATTTCTTGATGAATTTATAGATCATTTGAGATGTTGAGTTACTTTTGTTTTCAAATAGGTAGAGACTATTAATTTAAAAAAACAAGAAAGGAAAATGAAATGTGCGTGTTGAGAGCAATAATTTGTTTCTTTTAAAGATTCTGAAAGATCTGAGACCTGTAGCATTAATTATTTGAGTGCCCTCCCTTCTCCCCTCCCCTCCCTTTCTCTTCTCTTCTTTCATCTCCTCTCCTTCTCCTTTATTCATTGTTTTGCTTTGGAGTAGGTTGTTCAAGTATTTGGTTTGGTTCTGGCATTTTGATCCCACCATCCCCTTCCCCCATTAACTTCCCCGCTGCTTGCCATCCTGCAGTAGTATAAATCATGAATAAAAAATAATTTTGCTGTTGTAGTATACATTGGGGAAACTAGCAGGGTTTTATTTCCATTATTTTATTCCCACTATATCTATGATAAGATACAATTATAAGGAGAGAAGTGACTGTTTTTTATTGATAAGGCAAGATTTTCAGAAAAATGAGTAAAATAATTAATGAAACATATTTAGGGCACTTAATGGTCTCTGTTTTCAATATAATTCTTGATTTCATTTTTCTCTGGAATATATTGGCCTTCTACAGCTATTACTGAATTACAGAAACTGGTTTATTTCTGTCAGAAAGCTGCAGTGCCACCTGAGTTCCAAATTTTAACATTCTTTGTAAACGGATGGATTATGATAAAGAAGATGCTACCAATGAAATAGAAAACCAACGAGATGAGAAGACTGTGATCCTCATGCACTCAGAGGCACTTCCCTTCTAAGTCAAAGACCATTCTCACTGACTATGTGCCAAGGCCTCACTTCAGGCTTGTGACTCAACAAAGGGCTTTTCCATTGATAGAAGCAGTTTGGGATTTGTAGCTACAACTTCTTCGATAGTTACCTGCATGTCCATTGCTGGCAGCTGACTTCAGTCATTAAAACCTGGCTCTTTGGTTAAGGGAGCTACACTGTGGTTTATTCTTAAGTTACATGGATAAACTAACCTCTAGCAGAAATATAGTTTGGTTAATTTTGAGATGTGTCATTTTTAAACAAAATCTTAAAAGCAATACAGAATTGTGATTTATTAATTTTAAATTAAAACATTGAGAACTTGTTGAAAGAAAAATTATATCTGAATCAAGATTCATGTTTTTTATTTTTTATTTTTATTTTTATTTTTTTGATACAGAGTCTCACTCTGTCACTTAGGCTGGAGCACAGTGGCATGATCTCAGCTCACTGCAACCTCCGCTTCCTGGGTTCAAGCAATTCTCATGCCTCAGCCTCCTGAGTAGCTGAGACCACAGGTGCGTGCCACCACACCCAGCTAATTTTTTGTATTTTTAGTAGAGACAGAGTCTCACCATGTTGCCCAGGCTTGTCTCCAACTCCTGAGCTCAGGCAATCTGCCCACCTTGGCCTCCCAAAGTGCTACAATTACAGGCACGAGCCACTACACCTGGCCTCATGTTTTTTAAATAATTGCCTTTTATATTTACCCTTTTTGTCATCACTTTAGAATGAAAATTCCCATTTAAATCTAAAAGTTACTTTAATAGTCCTCTTGTGTTATTGGGACAGTGTTACTATAGTACTTATTTATTATATTTTAGACTTTTTCTTTTTTCTTCTGCTGCTTTTAGGGACAGTTAAAACTGGGAAACTATGAAACATGGAACATTTTATCCTACCTAGAATAGTAAATGAGTAATTGTGAAGCGTAAGACACCGAGGCTAATACAACTCTGTCTTCATGTGTCGAGTGCCTGGCACATAGTACTAATTCTCTTCCCTTTAACATATAAATGTTAAGCTGCTTAGAGTCTAGTAACCACCAACTGTAAATGAGCCTGTGCCTTTAACAAGAAATTTTAAACTACCTATGAGTATTTCTTTATAGGGCTCACTTAAATACGTTTGTATATACTGTATTCTAGCCAGAATAATTTTAGATCTGATCAGGTAGTAGCTAAAATTAGAAAAAAACAAAATAGGTGCTTAAAGAATTTGCATCCATTTTTGAGTCTAAATCTTTTTAAATATACTGAGATCCACATCTAGTGAAATGTCAGTGTCAAAATATTATAGATTATAGCTAAAATCCAGATTAATACTCATTTGGGGTTTTTTATAGTGGAACTTCATAGTAATACAAGAAGCAGATTGTCTTCCTGTCTCCGCTGCTCCCACAGTAGGTATTGAAACTGGTGAAATCAGTTTTTTGATAGTGTGTGTATATAAGAAAAAATATATACACACATTCTTTTTTCTCAGTCAACACACTGATTGAACACTCTGGCAAAGATGCTGTGGTAGACGAGGTTGGAGCTAGAAAGAAGAAGCAAGCACTGGCCTGGCCTTGAAAGAACGGAAGTCTTTCCCATTCACTTCTCTAGAATGCTGCCAAGACAGAGGCAGAAAGAAATGGATGATAATTCTGTCAAGCACACGTCTATTCTTTATTAAGAGAAACAATTATGTTTGGAATTCAGCATCTTTGGTTGGAACGCATTGGCTTTTTTTTCTTGTTGTGATAGAAATGGAATTAAGTAAAATTATAGTTTGTCTTTTCTGTTGTCTTCAAATTTTATAATGTCTTTTATTTTTAATTTAATCCCATTCAATTATTTAATTGTTATACATTGACATTAACTGCTGTATTTTATGACTTTGTTCAATAATTTTGTTCTTTCAGGGCTAGAAATAAACTTTTTTAAGAAATGTGCATTTTTCCCTTTCCTAAACTTTTATTCTTTCTTTTGATCAGAATAGCATAAAAGAATAGTTAAATGTCTTAATAGGTTTTCAAAGAACATTCTAGTATCTTTAGTGATAAATGTTTTAAACCTTTAAAAAAAATAGAATAGTATAGCACTGGCACATGAATAAGCAAATCTAGAGAATAGAGCACGGAATCTAGAATTACATCCAAGTACACATAAGAGCTTTATATATGACAAAATGAGCTTTTAATTCAGTACATCTCCATTAAAAACCGCATGTAAAAATACAAATTTAGACTATTTATATATTTTTTAAAGTTTAGGTGAATTAAATATTTTTGTTTTGTTTTGTTTTTTGAGACAGAGTCTCACTCTGTTGCCCAGGCTGGAGTGCAGTGGCACGATCTCGGCTCACTGCAACCTCCATCTCTGGGGTTCACGCCATTCTCCTGCCTCAGCCTCTCGAGAAGCTAGGACTACAGGCGCCCGCCACCACGCCTGGCTAATTTTTTGTATTTTTAGTAGAGATGGGTTTTCACCGTGTTAGCCAGGACGGTCTCGATCTCCTGACCTCGTGATCCGCCCGCCTCGGCCTCCCAAAGTGTTGGGATTACAGGTGTGAGCTACTGCGCCCGGCCAATATTTTTAAATAAACCTATAAAAATTCCAGAAGGAAGCCCTTGGTGAAGATCTTCTCACTTAAGAACGACAGAAAACAAACCACCTATTTTATAAAAAACAAGTATATCTCGCTATGTAAACCATAGCAGAAAGACAAACTAAAGACTGGAAAAAATATTTACAGTATATATAATATCTAAAAGTTGATCATATTAAAATGGACATATGCAAAGGCTACGAATTGCCAATTCATAGTAGACGGTATGCAGACCCATCATTTGAAGAGATGCAAGTAGAATTCTTTTTTCTTGTTCCAACAAAATCTAGATAATTCAAATTAAACTAAAATGGCATCATTTTTAGCCTTCAGGTGAGCAGCAATAGAAAACAAAATATTAACTCAGTGCTGGCAATTGGCACTGTTACCATTCTAAATCACCACAAATATTTTAGAAATAAATTAGCAATTATCTATTAAAATGAAAACTGCATATACCTTTGACCCAAAAATCCTATTTTCAAAAATGTATCTGACAGAAAAAAAACAAAAGCATCAGCATATAGTGATACTTCTACAATGGTGTTTACTGAAATATTATTTATAGTGACAAAAATAAAAACTGAAGACATTCAGATGTCTATTAGCAGGGAAACACATCTGAATAATGTATATTTTATTTTACTTTTTTCAGGCAAGAAAGCTTACATACATTTATTTTTGTTTATATATGTTTGTGTGTACCAAAAAGGATGATAGAAGGATGTTCTGTGCATATTAAATTGGTTACTCAGGAGGGTGAGGGGGTAAGGGGATACTACTAGTTTTTCCTATATTTATCCTGGTAATGTCTCACTTCTTAAAAGGAACATATACTGCAGAATCATGAAAATTCATGCCTAGAATAGACTTTAAAGATATCTGGTCCACTCATCTCTTTTGCAAACCAGTAAACTAAGCCCAATATTAAAATACCCAAGGTTATGCATCCATGGCTCAAAATTAAGAGTTTTTGACTCCCAGATCGGCATTCTTCCAATTCAAAATATAAAATCAAATTCTGAAAATAAGTAGCAGCTAACTCTATAGTAACCTCCTACTTGAGCCTAATAATTTATGTACTGAATGCTTCTCTTTCAGTCTGTGTGGTTTACATGCACGTATATACATATTCTTTCCCTAAGAGTTTTGTCTAGCATATGCTGTGTTTAAATTCAAATGAATTAATTTTTAAAATCAGTACCCCTTTAGGTAAATGAAGCTATCTCTGTTGTCAAAAGATCAAAGACAAGCTACATATTTAAACATTATATATTCAAATTATTTAACAACTGTTATGATACAGGCACCACACAGCCGTCAGACACTGGCGCAATCAAACCGGGCAACAGCCATTCTGGTGTAAACATCTGTGGGAAACAAAAATAGCCCAGGCCGGGCGCAGTGGCTCACGCCTGTCATCCCAGTACTTTGGAAGTCCAAGGCGGGCAGATCACCTGAGATTGGGAGTCTGAGACCAGCCTGACCAACATGGAGAAACCCCATCTCTACTAAAAATACAAAATTAGCCGGGCGTGGTGCCGCATGCCTGTAATCCCAGCTACTCGGGAGGCTGAGTCAGAAGAATTGCTTGATCCCGGGAGGCGGAGGTTGCGGAAAGCCGAGATCGTACCGTTGCCCTCCAGCCTGGGCAACGAGTGAAAATCTGTCTCAAAAAAAAAAAAAAAAAAAAAAAAAAGTCTGCCTTGCCCAAAGCTTAAATATGCTGTCATATCTTCAAAAAGATAAGAATATCTTACCTGAAAATTTCATCTATACTAAACTCAATTTCCTACTAATGAACAGTTTGTCAAATACATTTTTGTTTTTACTATGGGTCTCGTTGTTAATGAATATGACATTATAATAATCTGACATAATACTGACATCATAGTTTAACTGTATGAATAAATGGTGTTTTCACATATAGAGCAAGAATATATACATTCACTCCACAAGTATTTACTGAATGCCTTCTACTTCAGGTATTTCCCTAAATGCTGGGAGTGCTTCAAAACAGATTTGATTCTTGCTTTCATGGAGTTCACGATCTATGAGTGAGACAGACATTAATCAAGTAAACAGGTGATAATACAATTTTAAATTGTGAACAGAACAAGGTGCTATAAAGTAGAATGACAGGGTGAGGGGTGTTCAGTCTATAAATTAGATGGTCAGAAATGGCCTTTCTGGTGAACATGACATTTTCATTTGATCGGATTAAGAAGTCAACCTTGTGAAAGTAGGGAACAAGTTCTCCAGCCAGAGTGAGCTGTTTCTTACTAATGTGACTGGCTTTGTTTTATCAAAATGAATCATAATGTTTAGTTGGTACTTCATCAGTACTCAATACATATTTACTTATTGAATCTAATGATTAGATTCTGCATGCTCTTCCATCTCTCTTATAAAAGGGCTTCGTGTTGGACTATGGTACAATTAGGCACTTTAAGAAACAACAAAATATTTTGAAGTAAGTTCTACGTATTTATTTGCCACTAACACACTGACTGTAAAAGATATGAAGCATATATACAGAAATTACCATAACCACATATATATGCAATTAACCTTTTATATAGCTGTGTCTTTATGGTTTCCATCTTTTCTCCCCCCACCTCTGAAAATGTTTACAATTTGTAATCTCCCTCTCAGTACTGCCTGTAATGATATGGAATGATACCCATCCAGAGGAAGGGGTTGTAAGGGGTCACAGAGGTTTGCATTAGAAGGAGTAAAGTTTGAAAACCTTCCCCACACATTCAGTTATGCCCTCTTCTAGGGCATATCCTTCCGCTTTTCACTTAGGAATTATTCTGGTCTTTTTAGATGTCATACTTCCATAAATCTGCACAGTATATTCATTCATCTCCACTAGCGAAAAGTTCCACATTTTATATTAATTTTTTTTTTGGAGACAGGGTCTTGTTTTGTCACCCAGTCTGGAGTGCAGTGGTACAATCACAGCTCACTGTAACCTCAAACTCCTGGGGCCAAAAATGATCCTCCCATCTCAGCCTCCCAAGGAGTTGGGACTACAGGTGCACACTACCATGCCCGGCTAATTTTCTAACTTTTTATAGAGACAGGGTCTTCCTATGTTGCCCAGGCTGGTCTCAAACTTCTCGCCTCGAGGGGTCCTCCCATCTTGGCCTCCCAAAGCACTGGGATTACAGGTGTGAGCCACCACACACAGCTTACGTTAATTTCTTCAAATAAAATATTTTCTCATAGGAAAAAAATTATCGTGGGGTTTTGTTGATATAAGAGTTAAGAAGAAATTAGTTAGGCAGATAGTGAGGGTACAGGAGTCCTTGGTAAGTTTTACCTTTTAATTAAAAGCAGCCCTCAAATCATTTATTTTCCTAACAAAGAGCAGACTGTAAAATGAAGTTGCAGACGTAGGCAAGCGAGGTGGAAGCCTGCACAGGCAAATGCGTGAAGTTGTGCCAATAGGAAAATACTACCTGGAACTACATGTTCAAAACGAGAGCTCTATCTTCCCTTCTCTTTGCCAGCCACGTGTACAGTAAAGAGTAGACGAGATGGCGCTGAGCAAGTGGAAAGCCCATTTGCGTAAGATTAGGGTGGGGCAACCAGCCTTCCCAGCGCCCTGTAAACTTCACACCTGATCAAACCCATCTGTGGCCCCCACGTAAATCAGACACCAACTCCTCAAGCCTGCCTCCCTGCTGCTGCCAGCTGTTCCCTTTTGGTCTCTCTCTGTCTCTGACTCTGTCTCTGTGTCTCTCTCCCCTCCCCCCTCGCCTTTCTCTTCTGTCTCTCTCTCCTCTCACTTCTCTCTCTCTTTCTCCTCTCTCTCACAAGAGAGAGATTGCATTATCATCCAATGTCGTTCAAGAAATAGAACGTTTATTGTGTACGTTTTACAAGTTCAGCACTGTGCTAGCCTCTGTGGGGATTCCCAAAGCAGAAAGTAGACGGGTGCCATAGGATGCGCAGAAGGAAGCGCTGGTGTAGGTGTGGTCCACCGATGATGGGAAAGGAAACGGAGCTTGCCTTGGTGTCATTACCAACAGGTTTGTGATATGTATACATTTCTGGATGCAGTATGGTTAAACAGGGGCATTTAAAAGAGCCCCCACCGCAGAGGGTGAAAATGTAGACCAAAAAAAAAAAGTTCATTAAAAAGCAAATTTTCACTAGTGGCTCTGTAACTATGAATTTAAATTTTAAATTTCCTGATAACTTTTCAACCATGAAGACTGAGAGCCTGGCCGAATTATTTGGTTCTCTGCCCAAAGACTGGTAATAGAGTCGCATGGAATAATTTTTTCTCCTCTTTAAAGATGAATCAGAGGAGGCTGGGTTTCACTGAACATTTCTGAAGATTTTCCACACCACAAAGCCCTCCAGGCACAGCTCAGCATTTTGTAGACCAGCATTAAATCTTAAAAGAAGTAAAATGCTGCCCTCTCGTGGCCCATGTACAAAACTGATGAAAACAGTATTGTTCCTTCCTGTTATTGAAAAGCAGCCAAGTCCAAAGCAGAGAGCAGCAGTATTTAGATTTTAAATGAGTTTGCAAATAAAAAGACGAGAGTACCTTAATATGACATGAGTAAACCTTTCAGGAAATAAAATTTTGAACCAGATCAGATCAAAGTGTTCCAAAATGGGGCTTAATACTGTAATTACCACCATGACTCTGCATATATGCAGATTTTCCCCCAGGGAGCTCAAACTTTGACTCAAAATCCAGTAATCTTGAATCCTGGTCTAATCCTTACCATCTAAAGAAAGCACACTTATTTAGAGTAATTGTTCAATAGAAAATTTATCAGGTCCTTCCTCATCCTGCCCCCAGCCAGATGTGTTCTCTTCCTGCTCTGAATTCCAGTAAGACATAATGCTACATGTATATGGGTCTCTTTTTCTGTCCACAAGTAATAGTTTTAGAACCTTTGTGGCCTCTAAGATGGGCATGACACATGGTGCATGCTTAAGAAGTGTTTGAATAAATTAATGAATAAATAAATGGGAATTAAATGATGAATAAATGTATAGCTGTGATAAATATTCCCTATTTCCCTTATTTAAGCAAAAAAAAAAAAAATACTATTTGTTGTGCAAATACCAATGCCTGTAAGGCTTGTTGCACTGGCTCAGAGGCCATGTGACATATCTTTGAAAACAGTCAGGAAGGCAAGAGTGGCTCCAAATCAAGCCTGGGTGCATTGCTGTACTTTGTGGACATCAGGAATGGGCACTCTGGCTCTGCCTACTCCTGGATAGGCCCTACAAGGATTATACAGGTTCTGACACATAAAAGCAGGGGAGAAGAATACCTGAGAAACAGATTAAGGCAGGGTTCCTCACCCCACTGCCCACAGGAAATTCTCTTCAGTGGGCCACAGAGCTAAATGTACAAGCCAAATGCTTCCTGAAAGGTGGGTGCAGATGTAGTAAACAATAGCCTATGTAAGCACCACTGAACCACATCAGTCTAGAAGTTTCTGTTTCTGATTCAGGCACTGATCCCAGGTCAGGTGCTCTGTGAGTGCTAGCTGGGAGTGGTGGTGATGGTGGTGGTTGAGATATGACAACACATAACAATATTAGATGCCTATTAGGTTCAGGCTGTAAATGACTCCTGCTTGCCCTTGGACAAGCAAGCTGGGAATGTGTGAATGTCAGCAGTGGGTATTTATACTTGGCTCCAGACTTCTCCAGACAAGTTCTTACTTGTTCCCCTCCACCAGTGGTTGCTTGAGCCTTTCTGCTGTTTAGCCTCATTCCTTTAAGCTGTGAACCAGACTCCTATTTTGAGTACTTTTATGGATAACTTGATTCAGTCACAATGCAACAGACTCCAGGACAGCTTTTTTTGTCTCTGTCTCTGGCTCCCAGCACCACAGCGTAAATTTAAAAAAAAAAAAAAAGACTCCCTGCTGTGCACTTCTTGGGCACTGTGACAGCTGAAGGACAAGCCTGCCTTTCAGCCAGGATTCCATTTCCCTAGAGAATATTAGGTATTGGACGAGATAGGAGATGAGAGGTAAAAATGAACACTGGCGTGCGCGCACGCGCGCGCGCGCACACACACACACACACACACACACACACACACACACTTCTAATTGCCAAACTTCTCTAAAGGATGCTTGAGACCTGTCCCACTTTCTTTAGCATTTACTAATTCCTTGACTTCCTCTGACCACAATACCCAGGCCTCTCTCTTATGGAGTTCTAGTGGCCCCCTTGCTGAACATCATGGTCTTCTCTCAGTTCTTATTCTCTTTGACATCTTGCCAACATCTCACTTTTCTGACAACCTCAATTGCCTGTTCCTGGAACAGTCTTCTAATTTTCCTCCCAAGACTAATCACAAGTTAGTAAGAATCCAAGCAACTTTCATTTCTTTCATTCATTTATTTATTTTTTGAGGCAGAGTCTTGCTCTGTTGCTCAGGCTGCAGTGCAGTGGTGTGATCATGACTCACTGCAGCCTCAAATCCCTGGGCTCCAGCAATCCTCCCATCTCAGCCTCCCAAGTAGCTGGGACTATGGGTATGCGCCACCATACCCAACTTTTTTTTTTTTTTGTAAAGGCAGGGTCTTAATATGTTGCCTAGGCTGGTCTCAAACTCCTGGGCTCAATCAGTCCTCCCACCTCAGCCTCCCAAAGCACTGGGATTACAGGTGTGACCACTACACACAGCCCATTTCTTTTACAGTGTCCCAACATTTCAGTATGTTTTAAATATTTATTGCTTCTAAATTAAACGTTTAATACATATTCACAAAATATAGAGACATGATCTCATTTAGAGATCCAAATGTGAAGCCTGTGTGACTGTGAAGGCCCCCTGTGATGGGGCCGTTGTAATAGGTTTCTCTTACCTCTCTACCTGGCTTTCACATCTCCTTCAGTAACTCTCTTCCTCTTCTTGCTGCAAGACTGGGTCCTCAATCCCCATCTCTCTCCACTTACTTCCCCTTTGCCTACAAATCCTGCCTTCTAGCTCCAGTTGTCTTTTTTTTTTTTTTTTTTTTTGAGATGGTGTTTCACTCTTTTGCCCAGGCTGAAGTGAAGTGGTGCAATCTCAGCTCACTGCAAACTCCACCCCCCGGGTTCAAGCAATTCTCCTGCATCATTCCCCCGATTAGCTGGGATTACAGGCACCCACCACCAAGCCCAGCTAATTTTTTGTATTTTTAGTAGAGATGGGGTTTCATCATGTTGGCCAGGCTGGTCTCGAACTCCTGACCTCAGGTGATCCACCTGCCTTGGCCTCCCAAAGTGCTAGGATTACAAGCATGAGCCACCGCGCCCGGCCCAGTTGTAATTTTTATACTAATGACTACTCAATTGATGTACCAAACCAAACCTCTCATCCAAGCCTGGATTCCAATACTTCTAGTTGTCTACAGAACATCTAAATCTTACCATTTGCAAACTGAACACATCATCCTCCCTCTGGTTGGCAAACTAGCTTTTCTCTTTCTCCTATCTCAAATCTTATCTCAGCAGAAGCCAAGGGTTCCATATAGGGCTATCTGTAGAGAAGAGGGTGCTCATCCTATTTCAGCTTTCAGAATTGTGATGGGTTATGGTGTTCTGAGACAGAGAAATCAATTTGAAGGAATTTGACAGAATATTATAGCTAGTTATAATGGGTTGGATAGTAAGCTGTTAGACCTTCCCAGAAAAGAAGTTCTCGAAGTAAAAGGCAGAGTTCTGACCTTTTATATAGAAACCGGTGCAATGGTTATGGGTGGAGGGGCAGCTGTTAAGGATGTCCAGTTTAGACATCTCTTAGCAAACTGGAAAGCTATCTCCTTCATGCCTATACCCAAGACCCATTTGTTAATTACATGCATGTTGTCTTAGTCCATTCGTGCTCCTATAACAAAATACCACAGACTATTTTATAAAGAAAAAAAAATTACTTTCTCACAGTTTCAGTGGCTGGAAAATACAAGGTCAAGGCTCTAGGCATTTGATCTAGTGAGGGCCTTCTTGCTGCATCCTCACATGGCATAAGGTGGAAGGGCAACTAGCCAAGCATTGCGGGACGCCTCTTTTGTAAGGGCTTTTTAACTCCATTAGCCAGGAAGAGACTGTAAGGCCTAATCACCTCTTAAAGACCATCTTAATACCTATCTTAATCACTTCTTAATACCATCATATTGGCAATGATTGAACTTTGGAGGGGACACATTCAAATCATAACATATGTTGTAATAAGCTGCAAAATGTAAGTTTTAATAGAATAAACTTTTGTTTACCTCTATCATTCATTCACTCTATGAGATTTTTGCAGTAAAGTTTTATCCCAATATTATAACGATCTCTCAGGAAATCTCTTTATGTTCTGAGATCATCTGACAGCACCATGTACAATCTGTCCTTCTCATAGGAGCAGATGAAATCAACCAGTGGTATTGATGGTTATCTTTTCTTAAGCCGGTTATTGCAGGCATCTGTCTGTCTCTTTGTGGAAGACTCCATGCACACTACCACAGGAAGGAGATCTTGTGATGTAGGCAACTTCCTGGTTAAAGCTCTTGTCAGTTTAAACATGATTACTTACTTTCTGACGTTTGCACTAAGTAGAAAAATATGCTCCTTAGAGTCCTAATGAGTATCTACTTTAACCTACCCCAAATGAGGTAAGATCATTGGATATCAGAATTGGAACACAATTTATGTCCTGAAAAAAATAATGAGAAAGATCAAATAAGAGTTATGTAATCTTACTGCAAAAACCTAGCTGTAGGAAATAGATACCTTCTATCATCTGTCCCAAAAGATGGAGTTGTCTGAGCCACTAATCCAATTCTAGGGATCCAGATGATTCAGGTAATTCATGAATCCCATCTTCAGACAGAAGGCAAGAGCAGTGCATGAGATATCTCAGTAGCATGACATTCCATTTTATAGGAGCTAAGGGGAAACTGAAACTCTGTGTAGAGTCTCTGTCTCTTAGTTTACTGAAATTTATCTTTCATTGTAATAAAAAAGATCTGACCCAAAGGAAAAAAAACATTGTCAAAAATTTTGGTATTTCTCAAGGCACCTGAACAAATATACCATAGCCATCTAGGGTTATATTGTCACCACCAGTTGTGTAATTAAAACAAAAAAAAACTTTAAAATTAAGTATCAGCAAGATATAATTAAGAAGAAGAATGTCCTTTTATGTGTGACAAATCATAAATAAATGTATGTAAATACTTAAAGACTAAAGCTAAGTTATTTGTAAACTATTCATTTTTAAATGATTTGTACAAACATTCCTCTAGGATATGACATTTAAAAATAAAATGTGATTCTATTTATAAAGTCTGTATTAAGCGGAATACTGTATTAAATAAATATATCTAATATGAATGGAATTAGAACTAAATTTTAGTTTGCACAATAGATATCTGTCCAAAAAACTTAAGATTACAGAAAAGGCTACAATGGCTGACTTCCTTTGGCAAATGGTGGCATACTGCAAGAAAATTTTATCAGAAAATTTTTGTTTTGTCCTTATTTTAACCTGAGAAAGCTTATAATTCAATTCCCCTTACAAATATATCATAATAAAGATTAGGTGAATTTACCTTGTAAGAGGAAAATTGGAAAAGAGGAAATATCATATAATTTGTAACAACATTTGCAAGGAAAATTCTATAATATGTGTCAAATATATTTAGTAAAACCAGAGTTTATTGTTTACCATGTAGCTAGAAGTCCTAATATATTTCTTTGCTCTTTTTTCCTATTTTTAATATTAATATAATCTGTTCCTAAAAACTGCCCAAGTCTTCACCAGCCAACTTAAGGTGATTTTGTGACACCCCATTAAGTTATCATTTATCCTCATTGATCTCATCACCTGCAAACTTTTCAAAGATACTGATACTCTACCTGTCCTTCCTAAATTACTACAGTTCCCTTCATCCCAGTTTCTACTACTACTAGTCGTTTGAAACCTGCTTATGAAGATTGTCACTAATAACCTAATCCCCAAATCAAACCACCTTTCTCTCTCCCTTTATCTCAGTCAAGTTTAATCAAATTTAGCCCTATTAATGTTCCTCTTTTTCCTTGAAATTTATTCTTTAGGTGTTTTATTCTAGCTTATCCCCCGCATTTCTTTTTGACAGCTCATTTTCAATCTCTACCTCTTCTGCACACTAAGGGCTTTTCTTTGGTTCTGACTTTTCCTCTTATTCACAATTGACGGTTCACATGACCTCGTTCTGTATTTCCTCTCTCTCATTTTCCCAGGCTTAAACACTTGGAGAGATTTTCTCTTAACACTCCTATAAAAATGTGAGTTTATCTAATGGAGATTTAATAAAGCAAATGCTCTCTCCACAAAGAGATATCGCTGGACCACTAAAAATTCAACAATGTTCTCAACTAAATTTTCTCCATTTGTATTATTAAGGGAGACTAACTAAACCCACAGTTCTCCACAATGACAACTGCCCTTACAGATTTGCTTAAAAAAAGTAGTCCATATATTCGCTAAAATCTAGAGGGTATTTAATAATATGAGTGCAACTCTTTTCTCCTTTAGGGTATGGACAGGAACGTTCATTCGAAGTCAAGGCAGATGCCTAAAATATTGCAGTAAGACAATCTTCTCATTGTCTGTAGCAGATACAGACACTGGTTACTTCTCCCCCAAATTCACTCATACGATACTGAACTAATGCTATGTTAAAGCAGAAATATGCAAGAATGTACTCAATAAATAAGGTCCCTTAGTTGTGGTGGTAAAATGTGAAGGGAAACTCAGGCAGTAAACAAGATCAGAGAAAAAAAGGAGGCAAGACAATCATAGTTGACAATAGATCTGTTCTTAGTTTCAGTTTTGTCACCAATATCTCAGAAACCCAGAAGCAAAGGATGTATGGCTAATTCTACCTGAGAACTTCAGTGTGACTCCATTTTGATGCAATCAAAACTTGAACTCATCTTCCAAGATTGAAAGCAATGGTCCCCCTACATACTACATACCACTGTCATTATCATTGTCATTTCTCCTTAAAATCATTTCATCCCCCATTGTATGTTCTATTTGTGAATATCTTCCTTGGTCCATGAATCTGCCTTCACTCTCCGTATTCTTCTTCAGACCTAGACAGTATGCTCTTAAGAACTGAGTAACTTCATTCAGGATATGGCCACTACTATGAAGATGACTTTTGGACAAAGGACTGGTTTTAGGAATCCTGAAAGTTTCTGGGAGACTTTACCAGTCTTATTTCTGCAAGTCATGATTACCACACATTTTGTAGCTAAACAATTGCTGTTCCTACACTGTAAGATCATCATCTTGGTAAGTGACATTTTCATCAGTATGGGTTATTCTTTCATTCCATAATATCCTATGACCCAGACTAGGCCTTTGGGTTCTAGTTCACCCTTAGATATTTATGTTTTATGTTCTCCTATGATGGTTAATTTATCTTAAGCATATCTCAGTCCCCAAAAAAATGCTTAATTTTTTTTATATTTTTAAATGACTGTCACAGCAGCATTATTCAGAATAGTTAAAAAGTAGAAGCAACCCAGGTATCCATCAGCGAATTCAGATTAAAAAATTCTGCAGGCAACCAAACTTTTAGTCAAGTGAGAGGACATCAGAAAATGCAAGTATCCATTTACCATTCATGGGGGAAATAATTCTTTGATACTTGAGAAAATACCACAGCTGACTAAAAGAATAAATAAAACTGTTACATCTCAAGAGGTAATATGATATTAAAAATTGATTATGTGTACTGCACCCATTAAAATTCACATTAATAAATAATTACTAGTTTTTAACATCAATATGTTACATAATTCTTGTATCAAATATATTTCTTGGGAAAGAAAATAAACAAAATAAAAAATAATATTTTTAATACCAGGAATTTGACCTAAAAAACTAATTAATTAATACATGTTGAGCAGGAGTAGAGAAGAGGAAAGTAAAAGTGTGATAAGTCTCTTATATAGGAGAACCAGTAATAGTCTTCCATTCTTATAATTGGTTGAAAATTACATATATATGCTAATCTCTGTGTATATGTATATTTTTATATACATATAATGTGCATATGTGAATATATATATAACTGTAGAACAAAAATGTGCATTCTACAAATGGGAATATAGAATAAAATTTGTAGAAAAAATAACTAATAGGAAGAAAGAGGAGCTACAATGACATATAATGTATAGGGAAGAAGAAAACAGTAAGTATAAACCACAAAGAATAAAATAAAATGCCAAATAAGACTATACCTGACTTGGCATAGTGAATATAAATGGCTTAAAAGATAACAATAAAAGGCAAATAAAATCAGATTATATCAAAAGGTAAAAATCTAAATTTACTAATTATAAGAAGCACATGTATAAACAAATTGACAAAGAAATGTTGAAAATAAAGGGATTCAAAAGTTTCCCTGGTCAAAAGGAACATAGAAAAGTTAGAGGAATAGACAGGTAGAAATATTAGAATCAGACACAGCATCATGTATCATGGCAAAAAATATGAAATGGATAAAATGATTATTATACACCTGTAAAAGTTACAATGCACAGTGCAAACATAAGCATCACAAACAATCCATACACTGAGGAAATACATAAAATAAAAACTGTTAGGAAGGAAAGGAAACCTTACATAAAACTTTAACATAACTGTAACATACATCTAGGAGATAAAACAGAATTTCCGGAATGACAAAATATCTTTAATAGGCATGACTAAGCTTTACACTATACAGAGAATATGCCTTTTTCTGTAACATCCACAAAACAAACAGTAAAATTCACTATAATGGTTTTAATAAAGTGTGAGTATTTTGACTCATCCACCCCAAAAGGGCGTATTCTTTCTACACTAATTGTATAGCCCAGGATGTTAGGAATTAACCAATATTCTTTAGTCCTTGAAAGATCTTAACCTTGAAAACACTCAGAGACAACATACAAATAAAACCCACACCAGCTTTTCTGTGTGCTTTATCTGACTGTAGTAGGCTGAATAAAGGCCTCCAAAGATGTCCCCATTCTAAGCCCTGGAACCTGTGAATGTTACTTTACATAGCAAAAGGGACTATGCAGATGTGACTAAGAATCTTGAGACAGGGAGATTTTCCTGGGGATTATCCAGGTGGGCCCTAAATGCAATTTCAAGTCTCTTTATAAGAGAGATTTAGAAGGAAACTTCATCAAAGAACAGGAAAAAATCAGTGTGACCATAGAAGCAGAGATTGAAGCGATGTGGTCACAAGGCAAGGAATGCTGGCAGCCACCAGACACCGGAAGAGGTCAGGAACAGATTCTCCCCCGGAACCTCCAGAGGGGAGACAGCCCTGCTGTCACCTTGATTTTAAGCCAGTGATGTTGATTTCAGACTCTGGCCTCTGGAACTGAGTAAATAAATGTGTGTTGTTTTATCCACTAAATGTCTGTTTTAAGCCACCTACCACAGGAAAGTAATACTCTAACCTCCAGCTAGTTTCTCTCTCTGGGACTCTCCCTGTATCAGCAATGGTACTATCACTTTCCTTGTCACCCAATCACCATGAACTTCTCCTCTCTCGCACCCATACCCAAAGTAAGGGGTAGTGGGAATGGGTGGATTTTCATCCCACCTCTTTTTTTAATGAATAAATTAAATAAAAGAGTATCTCCACAAGTTTGCCTACCTATCATTTTAAAGTAAAACCACCGTAAGTTTGATTGTTGACCTCTCTGGTGAAATTGCTAGAAATAAAGAAAGTATCTTACCAACCTAAAGGAAATGGAGATAAAAGAGTTGGAGAAGAAGCAGGATGCCTAAGACTCGTCTTTAAAAAAGAGGTTTTTTACGTATCTTTCTCTTACCAAACTTTAGGTTGCTAATACATTTATCACTATAATTTTATTTTTAATTAACATTCCTGGTGAAAAATGGACACATTTGATAGATTCAGAGGCTGTAATAAAGTCATCTGTCCTAAGAACCAGGAAGCACACAGAGTGATGTAGTTCACTAAAGGTTTCCCCCACCTCGATTTACATGGGCCTTAACTTTCAAGAGATTCAACATGGCAGCTTTAATAATAATAATAATAATCATAATAATAATAAAAGAGAATCTTGTGTGTCCTTCAATAGTTGACTGAAAGTGTGGCAGGCCAGGTCTCACTAACAGCTGAATAGGCAGGCCTCCATGACAACTGTTTCAGCACTGACTGAGTGGTTAAGATAAATATTAAAAACTGATGGGGCCAATGTCCTCATACAAAGGCTGGAATGTAACAAAGCCCACCAAGAGTTTTGCCTAGGTCTTCCCTGGGCCTTGAAGCATGACAAGATAACGAAGGAATTCCTAACAGGACCCATTTAGGATTAAACAAGTTTTATTGGGGGTCTAAAGGAACTCCCTAGACCTCCACAAACAAGCTTTATTGGGGACTAAAGGAACCTCCATGATTTAGCAGGAGACAAGATAAGGGTAATCACCCTGGCACCTGGACCCATTTAGATTAAGAAAATTTACTAAGGCTCCAGAGGAAGGTCTTCAGTACTCAGATTTTAGTTATAGGTTAGAAGTTGATTACTTGGCCGGACGGGGTGGCTCACGCCTATAATCCCAACACTTTGGAAGGCCGAGGCAGGTGGATCACCTGAGGTCGGGAGTTTGAGACCAGCCTGACCAACATGGAGAAACCCCATCTCTACTAAAAATACAAAATTAGCCTGGCATGGTGGTGCACACCTGTAATCCCAGCTACTTGGAAGGCTGAGGCAAGAGAATCACTTGAACCCAGGAGGCAGAGGTTGCAGTGAGCCGAGATCGCGCCATTGCACTCCAGCCTGGGCAACAAGAGCAAAACTCCGTCTCAAGAAAAAAAAAAAAAGTTTATTACTTATGTCTTTAGATGAATGCACACTTACATACTTACACATAGACATATAGCTTAGAAGGTGTATAAGCTCTGGAAAACTTTATAATTTTGAGTTGGTCTGGCAATATTTCCCAGCCTTCTCTCTGTACCTAGTTATATAAATAAACTCCCTTCTATCCAGTTCATCTGCATCTCGTTATTGGGCCATGAGAATAAGCATAAAACAAACCTTCCTTTGATGCTGGTATCTAAGCACCAAAAAATAGATACCAGCATCAAAAGAAGGTTTGGATACAACCTTCTTTCATTTTGTTTGGATACAAGGAGCTAGTTTGGGTCTGCTCCTTTAATGTATCTATGCTCATATTTTCCTTCCTCAATTATAAAATAAATTAGAGGTGAACACTGTGGTTAGCCATAGATTAACCAAGAAAGCAGAAATCATCTCAAATGTTCACAGCAGAAGGAATGGAAAGCAGTGGTGGGTCCATGAAGAGTGGAGAGGCTGAGAATTAAACAGAGGGCTCTAAAATAATCCTGGGAGATTGACGATAGCAGGAAGTCTTTATCATTCTTGGGCGGGAGAGACAAAAGGAAAACATGGAATTACTGGCACCAAGAGGACCACTCTGGGAGACTGGATCTCTGGTGGCCTCGATACAAAGGGGGCTGGAGTCACAGAGAAGATAAAGCCACTGGAGAGGCCACCTTAGGCTGAAAACAGGAGGGAGTGTCTTGATAGCTCCCTCCCCCAAAAACCACTCCTCACCCTGCTCTCTAATTTTCCATGGTTGATATATTCCTGCTGCCCGTTGACTCAGTCCTTTCAGAAATTCTCTGGAGCCTGAAAAAGTCACCCTGCCGAGGATCAACTTCTTCACCCCAGAACAAGGCAGAGCAGAAGGATGGATCTGAGTGCAAACAGGTCCAGGACCAGCACACCATATGGTAAAGTGTTTTTATGGTGTTATATAATAGAATATATCATTGAATTCAACTCCTTCATTTTACAGAGAGGAGCTAGGGTCCAGAGAGATGAAACTGTTTACCTAAATGCACACACACAGCAAGCTTTTAGGTCTGAACACACAGCATGCTTTTATTAGGATTGTATTAGTTATGACACTGCTTAAGCCCTATTATAAAGTTGTTGGGAGCTGAGTCATTTCATAGTCATCCCTAGTACCTGATACAGCATCTGGTGCTTAGAAAACTCTCATTAAAACATTTATTGAATTCATACAGATTGAAAGAGAAAACATAGCCTATCAACTGATCTAAGGTAGCTTTAGAAAATTTCCAGTCATATAAGAGTTACTGAGCAAAGACTGTCAAAACAAAGCAAAGTCTTTGTTAAACAAAGACTGTCAAAATTATGCCTCTTAAATGTTTCAAAAGGGAATCATACATTCTCACTGGCCTGTGACGGTTTAAATTTTCTATGATTCAGAACAAGAACAAAGATATGTTTCTTTTAACTCTCATACTAAACTATTATTTGAAATAATAAAAAGGATGTCAGCAATGAAAAGCTGTACAGGTTGTACAGAACAGATTGATACAAATAAAAAGCTAATAAATATTTATGTGGCCGCGTGTGGGAGGTGTTGCCTGGAGTGTTTCCCCCACATCCCCGACTATGGAGTGAAAAAGGAAACTTAGGAAAAAATATACCCAAAGAGGGAGATTTAAATAGCACAGTGGGCAGTGGGGGAAGTGATGACTAATATTGCTGTTAGTAGTGGTTTAGGAACAAAAGAGACAAGTCAGCTGGAAACCTTCTGGTGTCTTCTGCTAGGGCTCCTTGCTAAAGCTGATGCTGGAAAGGAGGAAGGAAGGAAAGAAGGAAGGAAAAGAGGGAGAGAGGGAGCGAGGAAGGAAGGAAGGGAAGTCATTAGAATGTAAGCTGAACACCCATTTGGTGCTTTTGGCCAAACAATAATACACATGTTTAAAAGTTCATTATGGTGGGAACCCAACTTAAGTAGAATTAATGAAATTGATACAGAACTTGAAATTCACTACCTAAAATTATTCATTAAAAATGCAACATGCATTGAATTAATGTAGCAGCACCTGAAGGAAGTCAAAGAAACTCCAGTTTGAATTTTGGGAGAAAAGAAAGTATCATTTAATTTGAAATAAATGAAAAGAACCTAAAAGAGCAAATGGCTAAATAAGTAGAAGAGGTTTTTTGCAACCTATAATTACTGGGGGATTTTTTTCAGGAAGCTTCAGGAAAGAAGCTCCGACCCTCAGATTAGTCATTCGTCACCCAATCACTGGCTGCTAAATTAGAGGCCAGGAAAAAGAGATCAGACATGTGCAAGAAGGAAGAAGAAGAAGGAAGAGGAGAAGGAGGAGGAGGGTGGGGGAGAGGGAAGAGGAAGGGAAGGAAGGGGAAGCAGCTGTCACTTTTTTGTTTCAGTGAAACTATACAGGGCAAAATCCCATTAGAGCTTTCTGAGAAGTTATGTCTGGGACAGATCTGATGGTAGGCTTGAAACTTCGAACAGAGTCCAAGAAAAATCCCCCCCTTTTTTTTTTTTTTTGGTTTTGTAGAATTTAGAACTATTTTTCTAGGTGTCTGAAATAAAATAAAATTTTAAGTAGTTGAAATGTTAAGTAAATTGTTTTCAACAATTTGCAGATTTATGTCAGAATATATGTTATGGGATTAAGCAGATAAAATAATAATATTAAACATCAAAGTAAGAATAGTGTGAGAGATGAATAATTTAAGGCAATTTCAGTTGCATGAGGTTTTTTTTCTTTTTCTTATGAATAAAAATATAATATAATTTTATTACTCTGTAGAGAGGTTAGTAAACTAGGAGAAACTCAAGAGGGGAAATGCAAAACATAATAAAATAGAATACATTCGATTTTAAAAGAATGTCTGTATTTCATTTGAGTGCTGGCCAAAAGATAATGGCATTTCTTGGAAGAAAAGCAGTTATCAGAATTTAAAATTTCAAAAACCTGTATTAGGAAGACACATCACTTATGTAGTATGTAGTATTCTTGTCAACAATATTTTGTCTAAATCTAATCATGATGAAACAATCAGAAAAATCCAAATTGAGAATAATCTGTAAAAGGAATGGTCTTTGTTTTGTTACATGTATACATATATGTAAATATATATCCCCAAAGCCGACCTTGAGAAGGAAATTCACTGAGCCATTCCTTACGAGTGTTCCCAGGAGAAACAGGAAAGTGAGAAGTCAAGTCAGTCCAAGAAGAATAAAGAGGCCAAGCCCAGTTGCATATCAGCAATCTCACAGAGAGAGCTGCCTCAGTCCCTCGAGGGTAAGTAGATGACCTCAGAGTTGTCCCATCAGTTGCTGCTTCAGAGCCACACTTTCAGCTCATCCTTGCACTTCATGCAATCTGTGAGCCCCACAGGCAGAGCAGGTCCTGGCTGCCTGAGGTTATTCCCTATGAAAGAAGCAGATCTAGGTTCCCACAGCAGTCTCTGCTGTAACTAAACAGAAGGCTTCATTCATGATTGGATTAAGGATGGGGGAAGGGCAGGTGGCTATGAAGGTTATTACTTGGACCACAAGGACAATTTTTAAATGAGCTGTACATTACATATTTAATTTTATTGTTGTTAAATTTTGAGTGTGATAATTATGTCACGCTTATGTGGAAGAATATCCATGTACTTATAAGATACATACTGAAGTATTTAGGACAAAAATGCTGTGTCTAAATTTATTCTCTAATAGCCTCACAAAAGAAAAGTAATATTGATGTGTATGTGTGAGTATATGAATGTATATACACACATACGTGTATACATATACATTTAGTATGTTTATGTATACGTTTGTAGACAGATTAAAATAGAGGAAAATATGGAAAAATGTAAACAAATGGTGACTCTAAGTAAAAAGATATATAGATATTTATTGTACTATTATTTTAACCTGTAAGTTTAAAATTTTTCAAAACAAATAGTAGGAGAAAAAAATTAGCACTTGTCATGGTAACTTTTTTTCAAGAAAAGTTGTGTTTAAGATCAAACCAGGTGCGGTGGTTCATGCCTGTAATCCGAGTACTTTGGGAGGCCAAGACAGGAGGATCACTTGACCCCAGGAATTTGAGACCAGCCCTGATAACATAGTGAAACCTGTCGCTACAGAAAATTTAAAAATTAGCTTGGCATGGTAAGCTGTAGTCCCAGCTACACAGGAGGCTGAGGTGGGAGGGTCGCTTGAGCCTGAGAGGTCGAGGCTGCAGTGAGCCATGGTCATGCCACTGCACTCCAGCCTCAATGCTTTTATAAGTGTTCTTATATAAGCAATAAGTAAATTGCTTATATAAACTCTTATATAGCTATTTATTTATTTTTTTGAGATAGGGTAGGCAATACTCTGGTAACAAACCATCCACAAATCTCAGTGGATAAAAACATAAAATCATTGCATATTGCATTAAGCTGCATTGAAAACCCAGTAAGAAATTTGGTGTAAATAAAATGAAATAAAAATGGGAAAAATAAAGTCCTTAAGATCATTGTGTTAGGAAAAATTGTCTACTGACTTCTTGACAACAGGACTTATTTATTTATTTTATTTATTTATTTAATTATTTTGAGACAGCGTCTCTTTCTGCAGCCCATGCTGGAGTGCACTGGCGCCATCTTGGCTCACTGCAGCCTTGACCTCTGGAGCTCAAGTGATCCTCTCATTTCGGCCTCCAAGTAGCTGGGACCACAGGTGCGCCACCCAACCTGGTTAATTTTTGTATTTTGTGTAGAGACAGGGTTTTGCCAGGTTGCCGAATCTAGTCTCGAACTCCTGGGCTCAAGCCATCCATCCACCTGGGCCTTACAAAGTGCTGGGATTATAGGTGTGAGCCGCTGCGTCCAGCCAGGACTTCTGATTTCTTTACTGTTTATTAGAGGATGGACCCTATTCCCTCCAATCATAACTCACTTTTTAAAGCAGTGATTCTCAGCCCTTTTGGTTTCAAATTTTTGGTAGCCTATTTAAGGAGGAGGTTAAGATACCCAAAATATCGCCAGTCAAGTCCTGAATCATTACAGTGCATACTTCCACCGTAAAATTCTGTCCCAGAGTGTCTGAAAAGCATCCATAACAACTCATCAGCTCCATGTAACTAACTGCTTCAGTGAAAATGATTATTGTCTTGACCTCATTTCTTTATACTTAAAAGGACAAATTTCTCATATGTTCCAGAAAGTATGCCATCTTTATTTAGCACTATGCAGCTCATCTCTTACTTGCAGCAAGTTGTACCCAGTCTACATAATTTCTGTAACCTACTACTCCATCCAGCAGTTATTTTTGACCAGCACTGCTGCAATAATACATATACTTGTTTAAGCAGAAGTTAATCTTACACATTGGTTTTGACAATACCACTGTTTCACAGATATTTCCTGTTCTGTCTCCTTACATCCATATGGTAAGATTGTACATGCTGGTCCCCTTGTGGTGGGGTTAGGTGACCAGTTCTAGCACTTGTCACCCGTAAGTGATGAGTAGAAGTGACAATCCACTTCTGGGCCAGAGTACTTAAATGTTGATGGTAAACCCACCACATTTCTCTCTTTTGCTTCCAGCACAGTGACCCATGATATTCAAGGTGGTGGCTCCTTTGTCAGATGAATTCCTGAGTGACCATAAGCAGAGATCTCCTAACGACCCATGATGGGTAGTGTGAGCAAGTATGAACCATCTAGTGGAGCAAGAAATAGTGCCTATATAAGCACTGAGATTTGAGGATGGTTTGTTACCAGAGAATTGCCTACCTTATCCTGACTGATAATCAGATGTAATAATATACCTCTGACTGGTGTTGGCTCCATCATACACCAGGGAAACAGCTGTTGTCTAGTACTTATAACATGTAACTCAAAACCCCTGGTTTAAATGAATTCCTGAGTGCATTATGCATAACATTTGTATAATTGGCTTTTGTAAACAAGACATTGCTATAGTTCTTCACAGAATTATGCTAATATCGATAGATTATTCTTCATTTATCTTTATCTGTTCTGAGCCACTGAAAGAGGAAAGATTTGTTATGAGAACACATAAATACAGTATCATGAAAGGGAAAGAAAAAGTTCTGTTTTGCGGAAGGCATTAGTCCCCTTTGTTAGTCAAATGAAGAGAGACTATTCATTATACTTTAATCTTAAGGAATCCAAGATTGCTAAACTAATGGATGACATGTGACTAAGGAATGAATTAGTTGAACTTTATTCTATGAGTTGCCACCATGAACTGTGCAATTATAGCCAGGTCCTTTAAATGCTTTGAATGTTTTTCATGTGCGGATAAGATTATTTCAGACCTACCAGGCCTTGAAGAAGGATCAAAGTCTTGTCAGAGCTTTTGCCTAAAATTGAAAATATCATGTTACTTGGACTATTTATTTATCCCTGCACCTTGTTGCAAAAAGGATTTTAAGTAGATGGCATATTATTATTTTATTAACACATTAAAAAAAACCCATAAGAGGATTATAGAGTTTTTCCCTAACCTACTTCTCAGAGTGTTTTAAGCACACTGTAGAATTTATTCACTCATGAATTTGATACAAACTAAAGTGAAAATCTCTTCTCTGGAACCTCATAATGCTTAGAAAGCATAGTAACACGTTCGGAGAAAGAGGAAGATCAAATTTAGAGGAAGCTCTTGTTTGAGTTTCTGCCACAATGAGTTTCCCATTCTAGATATTAAAATAATAGTATATACCCCAAATAAAATACTCAAGTTTCTGTAAATTAAGGATTATGACTTGATTATACATATTTTAGATTTAGAGCATGCATAAAAAAATATCTTTTTCACCAACTAGTAGAAAAAAATTCAAAATAATGTGATGATTTTAATCTTCCATGATATGTAATCTAAAATATCAAAACATCACTGACTTTGCATTATAATTAAATATAAAAGGTGACTGACTTAAGCCAAATTTAAAAAAAAAAATTGAGACAAGGTCTGTGTCATCAGAGGTGGTAAGCAGTAGTGCAAACACAGCTCACTGCAGCATTGACCTCCTGGGCTCAAACTCTCCTCCCATCTCAGCCTCCCAGGCAGCTGAGATCACAGATACACACCACCACACCCAGATAATTTTTTTTTTTAAGTAAGGACAAAATCTCACTATGTTGTCCAGGTTCCAAATAAATTTTAAGAGCCTAATTTTAACTATTCAAAAACTAAGCAAATACCTGAAAATTATTTCTTCTGAAAAACACATACTAAATAAAAATCTATTATACTTATGGATTTTCAGAGGTCTTCATAAGTATTAACTCATAAATTCTTGTGGCTTTCCCAATTGTCACATGTCTCCTTTCATGAAATATTTTGTAAATTTTTACTATGGTATTGGACAGAGCATGAACCTCAGAATTGCCCAAATCTGAGTTCACCGACTTAATCAAGCACATATTATTAATATATAATCTTGGATAATTTATCAATTTAAACTGAAGAGCTTTATCTTCAACATTTCTAAATTATGCGTGTTATAAACAATAAATCAGGTTATTCCATTACATTTAATAACTAGCAACCCACACTGTGATAAGTGTCAGTAATGCAACAGCACGGTAATATATAGGCAAAGCACCAACCAGAAATTAAGTATCTGTTGAATTTCTCTCTACTCTCCTTTTCCCTCAACCAATTCCTGAATAAATATAGGGAGAAACAGGAATGTTTTAAGAAATCTTCTTCAACTAATATGAAATAGGATATCTGAAGACTCATCCTTCTGTCTTCCTAGTCTGTAGTTTGTTCCACAGCTATTTTTGTGACTAAAGATACTAAAATTAGACATTACTTTTATCTCTAAATTTCAAGGCAGTTGTTAAGAACTATGACTAAACTACCAAAATAAAGAAACATAGAGGAATAATGAACATTGACTACAAACTAAACTGATTGTCACATATTCTATGTGGTGATTTGAGACACTGCTTCTCATACACTGTAATTCAATGAAAAAATAGCATATACAAAATGATTACTTAGTAAGAAAAATTCAAACTTAAAACGAGTTGTCAATGTGACATGCCATGTTAGAAATGAATAATAAAATGTGTGCCAAGGGCTAAGTAAGGCATTTTTCCCTTTTTTTCTCTTTTAAAAAGGACTACAAAAGAGCAGTTTTTTTGGTTAAAAGAATTAATGAAAATTGCTAAATCAATGACGCTTTCAGAAGTTCCCTGTTTTTGACATCAGAGTCATATTATAATGCTCTATTTCCTGTTTCCTCACCTAAACAGAATTTTGCTTCAGGCAATTTTTTATCTGAACTTCTGTTTGTAGAAACCAGGGACATTTATTGAATTGTTTCTGGCTGGCTATTTGATCGTAACAAAGCATTTAAATGATACTGATGCCCTGGCTTGAGCAACGGAGCATCCCAGACTTTCAGTTAGTTGCACACAGCACACATACAACTCATTTGAGTTACAGCTAAATGCAATTACAGGCCTCAGAGCTAATATATAGATCACTTCTTATTTAAGGCAATTCACCTTTGAATTGGTTAACCTTTAATTGTTCATAAAATAATAAGATGGGAAACAAAGTTGCCACCCAATATGTTAGTTTCCCCAAATAAACACTTATTTAAAGGTTCATTTGTTAATCAAGTATCTGGAAGCTGAAATACATTTTTATGAAAGGAAATAAATTTTAGGTGATGATTAGGTTTTTATCAAGAGCTGAAGTTTTTAATAACGAACAGGGAGAGATACTATGGCAAAACAGTAATTGAATAAAACATAAATTCAATAAAATGATATGAAAAATCAATGTTTGACATTTATTGTGCAGTGCTGGCTGGGTGCAGTGGTATGAGCCATACCACTGTGTACATCCTCATCTGTCTACCAAATATGGCCCCCAGGCAGTTTGCTCAAGGTCACATACTGGTGGAACAATAATTAGAAACATTTTATCATCCTCAATTTAATTCTCTTTATATTTGACTCAGGATAAATGTCAAACATTGATTTTTCATATCATTTTATTGAATTTATGTTTTATTCAATTACTGTTTTGCCATAGTATCTCTCCCTGTTCATTATTGGTATGAGCCATATCACTGCACCCAGCCAGCACTGCACATTTTAAGTGTATGTTCTATGAGTTTTGAGAAAGGTATACATGCATGTAACCACCTTGCTAATCAGGATATAGACTATTTCATCACCTTCAAGGAGTTCCCTTTTGCATTTTGCAGTCCATCAATCTTCCTCTACCCCTTAGCTCAGACAACCATGAATCTACTTTTTGCCATTATAGATTAGATTTTCCTGTTATAAATTTTTATGCAAATAAAATAATATACAAAATACTTATTTGTGTCTGGCTTCATTAACATAGGATAATGATTTTGAGATTATTGATGTCAATCAGTGTTATCGTTCATTATTTATTTCATTGTTGGATGGTATCCCATTAAATTGATATACCACAATTTGCTCATCAATTTACTTTTCTGTTTTTGAGTTGTTTCCAGTTTTTAGCTATGATGAATAAAGCTACGGTGAACATTCATGTACAAGTCTTTGTGTAGACAATTGTTTTCTCTTGGTAAATACTTAGTGGTATTATTGGGTAGTATAGTAAATATATGTTTAGCTTTACAAAGTGCTGCACCATTTTAATCTCCCACTGGCAATGTATGAGTGTTCCAGCTGCTCCACATTTTTCCCAATATTTAATACTGACAACTTTAAAATATTAGACAATCCAGTGGATATATAGTGATATCTCATTTAGATTTTAATTTGCAATTCACTGATGATATACTATTGAGCATCACATCTTTCATAATGTACTTTATTTTGCGAAGACACATACCCAGCATATGGAAGACCCTCAATAAATATTTGTTGAACTTACACAAATTGAATACAGAAAATGCAGCTCATCAAAGGATTTGAGTTAATTTCCTGGCATTTATGAAATACCGAGCAAGTTATCAAATGATAGCACTTAAGCTAATTCTCAAGTATTTAAAAGAAAGTGTACATCCTCATCTGTCTACCAAATATGGCCCCCAGGCAGTTTGCTCAAGGTCAAATACTGGTGGAACAATGATTAGAAACATTTTATCATCCTCAATTTAATTCTCTTTATATTTGACTCAGGATAAATGTCATTGATTTTTCATATCATTTTATTGAATTTATGTTTTATTCAATTACTGTTTTGCCATAGTATCTCTCCCTGTTCGTTATTAAAAACTTCAGCTCTTGATAAAAACCTAATCATCACCTAAAATTTATTTCCTTTCATAAAAATGTATTTCAACTTCCAGATACTTGATTAACAAATGAACCTTTAAATAAGTGTTTATTTGGGGAAACTAACATATTGGGTAGCAACTTTGTTTCCCATCTTATTATTTTATAAACAATTAAAGGTTAACCAATTCAAAGGTGAATTGCCTTAAATAAGAAGTGATCTATATATTAGCTCTGAGGCCTGTAATTGCATTTAGCTGTAACTCAAATGAGTTGTATGTGTGCTATGTGCAACTAACTGAAAGTCTGGGATGCTCCGTTGCTCAAGCCAGGGCATCAGTATCATTTAAATGCTTTGTTAAGATCAAATAGCCAGCCAGAAACAATTCAATAAATGTCCCTGGTTTCTACAAACAGAAGTTCAGATAAAAAATTACCTCAAGCAAAATTCTATTTAGGTGAGGAAACAGAAAATAGAGCATTATAATATGACTCTGATGTCAAAAACAGGGAACTTCTGAAAGCGTCATTGATTTAGCAATTTTCATTAATTTTTTTTAGTCCTCTACGACGGGCAGCTAGCAACTCGACAGGAAAATACAGGAACCTGAATAAACCTGACCTGTCTTCAGCATCATTTATATACTGCGGTTATGCCCACGGAGGTTCCTGGACTGCATGTTTTGATTGGATGAGAAAAAACCTCCAGGCTTACTCTGATTGGACTTTATTATCATGTTCTGATTGGTTGAGAGTAAGTCTTAACACAACCAATCACAGCATGAAAACAAAGTCCAATCAGAGTAGGCCTAGAGGTTTTTTCTCTCATCCAATCAGAACATGTAGTCCAGGAAACGCATTTGCATAACCTCGGTATATAAAGCATGCTGAGGTCGTATCAGGTCATTTCAAGCTCTTCTGTGTCTAGAGGAAGAGCTACCCCGTGACCGGCTTAGAGAACTGGAAGAGGCCGCAACCTTTCTCCTGCTTGAAGCTGGAGGATGGATGGAGTCTGGAGCCCTGGAGCGTGGGACACTGTTTCGCTGTGGTTGGTGGTGGCGACAGAGCAGTAGGAGAGCGCCCGGCAGCGGGAGCTTCTCCTGCTGGGCTGGAGGACTAGGAGAAGGAAGAGGCACTGCCACATGCTGGAGGCTGGAGCCTGTGCCACCGTGGCTGGCCTGGCTCTGGTTGGTTCGCCTCGCTGTGGTTGGTGGTGACGTCGGAGACTGCAGCTCGGCCACAGTGGTAGAAATGTGATGGGGTAGGTGAGTTTCCCGGGGCTGCCCTGCACGCCTCTGGGGGCAAGGGTTGGGTGTCCTACTGGGGCTCACTGCTAGAGGCTACCCTGCCTGTGGCAGTGGCCTGGTTGGGGGCACTCTCCGGGGTGGCATTGCTGGTGGTGGGGCAGGTTGGCTGGCTATCTGGGGCTATACTGCCTGCGGTGGCAGGGGTGGTCGGGGAAAGCAGATTGTGTACACTAGCGTATACTGCCGGTGGCTGGGGAAGGATTAGGGGCGCTATCTTCTGCTGCACTGCCAGCGGCAGGGGGTGGGTTGGGTGGAGTTATCCAGGGCTACAATGCTGGCAGTCGGGGGTGGTTTAGGGACGTTGTTGGATGCTGCACTGCCTGGGGCGTTGTTGGGTGCTGACTCGGGGTGGTGCGCCATCAAGAGCTGAACTGTCCGTGGCGGGGTGGGAGGAGGTGGGTTTGGGATGGTATCTAGTGCAGCAACTCCCGTGGCTGGGTCAGATTTGGGGCACTGTTGGGTGGTACACTCCCTGCAGTGTGGGGGGAGTGCTTTGGGGGAGGTATTGGGGTTACATTGCCTGAAACTAGGGTGTGTTGGGTGTGCTATCCGGGGGCTACACTGCTAGTGGCAGGGGTCAGATTAGGGGTGCTGTGGGGGCTACACTGCCAGCGGTGTTGGCGAGCTGAGGTGGCGGCAGCGGCAGCGACAGTAGTGGCCGCCTCTTTCCTTCTGGTGGTCTCCAGGTAAGGGATCGTTCTTCTATTCCCGGACTCCAGACTCTAGAAGGCGATCTTCTCCTGCTCGTGCTAGATTGCACGGCAGGGCTCCCACACCCACTGTGGTTTCCCGGCACGCCCTCATGCTCTGTGTTGCGGAGACCACCTGGGACTACCGGGCAGGGAGTAATAGGCACCCACGGGGGAAGCAGGGAACAGGGCACTGTGGGTGGAGGCGTCAGGAATGGGAACCAGCCCTTGGGTGGGGAGGGCTGGCTGGTTCTGAGTTTCTCCTACTCGGGCTCCCTGAGGAGGGCAGCCCTTGTGGGCCCAGCAATTCCTGGTCAGCTGGAGTTGGCCAGGGGCCGGTTTCAGTGAAGGCATTCACTCCCACCCCAGACCCCAGTTCCTGGCCAGCTTTTGCCAGAAGGAGAGGCTGGACTTTGGAAGGTGGATGTGAGTGCCTTCAATGAAACTGATGCCTGCCACCCAGTCACCAGCGTGACAAGGTGAGGCTCTAACGGTTCCACTGTCTGAATCCTGATTTGGGCTTTTCTGGCTTTGCCTGCCCAGCTACTCCAAGCCAGGCTGAAGGAGGAGAAGGCGAGGAGTCGCCTGTGGTAGGGTCGAGCCTGCAGATGACGTGGTTCTGCAGCTTGCCTCATGCGGTTGGTGGTGGCGATGGAGACCACAGATCGACCGGAGCGGGAGGAGGGCACCCACGGGGGCCAGGTGGTAGGAGCTGGTAGGGTGGGCTGGTACATTGAGGGCGACAGTGGTTGTATTGGCATTGGCGCTAGTGGTGGTAGCAGTAGGAAGTCTGGGGGCCGGGAAGGGGGAATAGGAGCACTGCAGGGCCCATCCCACTCTGGGGTGGGGAGGAACCTGTGGGTGCTGTAACACAGGCTTCGGTGGCAGTGGTGGTGATATACCTAGGGCAAAGAAGAGTTCTCCCCCTTCTCCTGCAATCTCTGGAGGGTGCCCTCCTGCTGGTGCCTGAGCTAGGCGTGAGTGGCAGCATTGTCTCATTCTTAACAAAATTTAGGGGATGACTATTTGTGTATCCTTTTGCTTGTTTTTTGTTGTGATAGTCTTTGAGTTACTCAAATTTTATGAATCGAGAAGGGGATAAAAGGTATTATAGGCCTTCTAATTCCCATACCTGTTCTTTTTCCTTTCTTCCGCTGTGTGTTTTCTTCTCATTTTCTTGTTCCTCTTCATTTTCTTTTGCTACTGCTTCTATTTCATGTTTGTATTCTTGTTTCTTCTCCTGTTTTTGTTTTCTTTCTCCTCACTGTAATCACCATGATTTATAATTCTACACTTGTTTAATTGTGTCATATGTATTTCTTTTATAGCTCATAATTTCTAGGAGAACTAGTCAGCCTTGGGTATCTGCAGTGCCTGGCACAATGTAAATTTTAAATGAATGAACATAAATAAATTGTATTTCCACAATTTTGAATCTTGGTATAGTGGAAAGAATATCACTCTGGAGGTCAAGGGGCTGTAGTTCTTGTCTTCTCCATGAATATTCTTTATGTGCCGCTTCTACCATCTGTGAAATGAGGGATGGGAGGGGGAGCTTGAGGAAGTGGTATTAGATGATCATTAATAGTTCTGTCAGCATATTCTTCTAGGGTTTTATGAATGTTATAATTGCATTTTAGACCGTAATAACCAAACATTACATATTGATATAATTTTTTATGTAAGTGGTACATGATCAGCATTGTCCACATTTACAATCGATGGAGGAACAATGAAATTCAGTGTTACGTTAATGGACAACTGGTATCTTATGGTGATATGGCTTGGCATGTTAACACAAATGATGTAAGTCTATTTTTCTGTCTGTGGTTTAATTTGAGAGTATGAGCTATCATTACAATATGAATTGAATAATAAAATAGTTTGGTAGAAACTTAAAACTTTGAAAGTTTTTTTTTATTAAACGAATCTTTCATTGTTAAATTTAGTATAAGAAAATTGTTAAAAGACATGATTAGTGATACAAAAACAGGAACATTTGGCCAAAGTTTTAAGTTTTTTAGATTAAAAAAACCGTGAATCCTGTATTCTATTTATTCCAGCATCAAGCACTAAAAAATGTGGTTTACCCCTTATTTAGATACAGAAAGAAGACCCTAAACAGAAGGATAACATATAGTCACTATTATTAATTACATCGTGATAAATGCTATGGAGAAAATAAATTGGGGATACAGAAAGTGTAGTTGTAGGGAAGGGAGGAGCCGGATGGTCCAGAGATGATTTTAGTAGGAAGAGTTGAGCAAGCGAGGTATGTGGGGAACTTCTTCTATTCAGTGGGAACAGTGAGTGCAAAGGCTTTGAGGCGGAATAGGAGAGTTCAAGGAAAAGGCAGTTTGTCTGGAGCAGAGGGAGGTAGAGGCAGAATAATAAGAGATGAGGTTAGGCAGAAATCATTTTGGCCTTCATAAGCAAACGTAAGGCCTGGGCTTTCGCATCTTACTCAGCTTAAAAATCCTTGGAAGGTTTTCAGCAGACAAGTGATGTGTGCTTATATTTTAAAAACATCAGTCTGCCTGCAGTATTGAGAATATTTTGAAGGGAAATTACAGAAGCAGGAAGATCACTTAAATGGCTTATTGCAATAAAATAAAGAGATTATATGAGTTTCTACCAGTATGTTAGCAGTGGAAGAAGTGACACAGTTGGATTCTAGGTAGAGAACAACTTGAATTAAAACCTCAAGGGTCCTTACGGTTTCTCTACTTGGGGCTTTCCATTGTCTACATTCTGGCCTGTCAGAGTCAAAGTAAAAGGTTTGTTTTAATGCTGAAAGTACTTCCAAGCTCAATAATATACAACCCTTCAAGCATACCTGGTTTTATAAGAACTTACCTCTTAAACACAATTCATTTCTCAGTTTTGTTTGCATCTCTCTCTAGGCTTTAATTTCCCAAAGGGCAGGGATTTGCTTATCGTGTCTTGTATTCGTTTAACTGGCACTGTGTGTATGGTCCACAGTTTGTCCCCTAGATCGGGGCTTGGCAGACTACACCCTATGAGCCAAATCTGACCCTCCCCCTGTTTCTGGTTTTGTGTAAGCTGGGGCCTAAGAATCTTGGCTTTTAATTTTTAAAGGTTTTTTGTTTGTTTGTTTCTTGAGACACAAACAGAATCAAAGAAGAATGGGACAGAAACCAGGTGTGGCAAGCAAAGTTTAAAATATTTTCTGTCTGTCCCTTTATAGAAAAAGTTGCTTTTCCCTGCCGTAGAAACTCATGGTTGTGCCACAACCAATTAATATTTAATAGAATGTTGTTTTCAGAATTAGAATAGACAGATGAAATTCTGCTTTTTATCTTCTCTCCAGAGGAGATCTCTGCAGAGTCTTTTTATTATAGAGTGGAAGAAATCCCAGTGGTCGTCTTGACTCATTCAATGAGAAGACAGTATCTTGGAAAGAAAAGACTTCGTTTTTTGGTTATTTGTAATAGTGCCCTAAGAAGTGGAGAATTCTAGATAATGACACATACTTTATGCAGTTAAAGTTTAAGTTCCTATACTTCTAATTAAAGATTGGGTATTTAATGACGACAGTTCTTTTTGCCTTTGTATGCATTCACAATTCTTTTTGTTACTTTATTGAAGGACCAAAAGTACTTGTTACATATATGATTCTTGCTTATTCATTCTAAGGTGTGAAATAGCCTTTGAGGATAGGGGAAGGGAACTGAGCCATGACTGCTTTCCCTGGTTTGGGTGGGTGGGGTGTAAGATGTAGAGGCTGGAAAGATCTTAAGCTTTTGGCTTCTTCAGTGCTGAATTCCTCAATGTGGAGAGCACTGTACCATCTGCTTTAAGCAGCAGATTATAGTCTTATTGTGTGTTTCGTTCTGTGTAGTTCCTACTCACACACGAGCGGGGATTTATTTTCTTTGTGTGTTTTACTAAATATGGAGGAATAGAGGAATAGATTCATAATTTCAAAAATAAAGTTGAATTTAAAAAATTAGACCCTATGTTTTCATGATTACATTTTGGAATAGTCATTCCCTTGATTCAGATCAATCTCTCTATATATGGATCATTATACATCATGACAGTTTTAAATTATTTTAACGTTTGTAAATAAATAAATATAAGCTCTTTTGCCTTTAACTATAATATTTGAAAAGTAAGTCGGAAGACTGAGTAGGTGGCTATTGTTTTGTTTGCTTAAATGTAAGTGTAAAACATGTAATTGGTCATTTTTCCCAAAAAACTTGACTGGCATTTATTATTTAAATAATAAAGTCTTAATTGATGCTTTCTTCTATTATTATTGTTATATTTTAAAATATTCCTAAAGGCCGATTTAAGGATTTAAACCTTTTCATCATTAAAAATAATGCATTTTTAATGACTTTTAAAAATAGAGCTATGACAAGTGCTTTCGTGGTTCATCAGAAACTGCTGATGCAAATAGCGTATTCTGTGCTAAACCTGTTGCCATTCAGTGAAGCACTCAACCCAGCACAGATATTTGCAATTCATCAGTTAGGACCTAGATATAAGGTAGTAATAACTGTAATTTTATAAATTCTAGAGAGCGTTTTAGATGTAAAATGTGATGTAATATAACTTTTAGTGAAAATCTTTCTTTAATACAGTTTAAGAGTCATTTCTATTTTTTGGAATGTAGTCAGTTTTTATTATATGTTTCTTTTCGGTTCAAAGGTGCTTTTTTCTCAACTTTTTTTATAAACTTTTTTATTCTTCAGAATATTTTCTAATATTGATAGCATGCCTTTTAACAATTCTGAAATAATCTTATAAAACTGTTTTGCTTAATGTAGTATTTAAAATACAAAAATTTGAAATATATATTACATAATGAACATAATAAAGAACTTGTTAATATTACTGGTAACTTGGAAAGAAGAGTTAAAGATTTAGAAGGAATCTAAGATAATATATTTCATGGGCCTGAAATTATTTAATTTTAGTTTATATTTTTGCTTTAATTGCAGTGAGGAAGTAGGTACAGTAGTGAGTAAACTAATTTAGCAAAACTAATTAATGTAATTTATCATTCTTTCTGTTTTTTAAACTTTAAGAACAAAGACTAGGTAAGATACAGCATGCACGTATATGAGTTAGTTTTAAATGTGCGGTACACCTGGCTAGGGGAACATATAAGGGTTCTGTTTAAATCACACTGGGAATTGTGAAGTCTCAAACTACTTAGAGCTGAAAGAGAATTACACATTATAGTCAAAGTGTTTATAATTCTGAAGGAGTACTTGTCTTGTACGGAAGTGTGGTTTTTTTATTGAACTCAATTTAATTAATGTGAAGATTGTGTAATGGAAAGGAAAAACATAAAAAAATTCCCTCTTTGGCCTCTGTATTTTTGCATTGGTATTTCTGTTTTTATTTTTGTCATATATATATATACACATATATACACACACACACACACACACACACACACACACACACGGATATATATATATAGAGCGAGGGAGGAAAGTTTGAATTTACCCATATTAAAAGATCTTTTTTTCTCAGTGACTTTAATAACCATGATAATATTGAAGGATAATAATGCTATTATTTTTATGTCAAGGTAACAATACTTGTTATCATATATTTTCCATATCATTTTTGTTTTTGTCCTACTAGCTCTAGAAATGAATTTGTGCTTGTCCAGCTACTTTTTCTTTCATGGGTCTTTTTGTCGAATTTGCATCCTGGTTCTGCCATTGCTGATCTTGCATAGGAACATTTTTGTAATTCACATTTTTTATTAATATGCTGCCTGCTTTTCTTTTCTACTTCTTTGAGTTGTTTCATAAAATGCTTGCAGTATCTTTTTAAGCTCTAATAGAATGATATTAAATAGAGTGACAAGCAAACAAATGAAATATAAAAAGGTAGAGTATCAAGAAAATACAAATCCAATATGATTGCTAATGTGAAATTTCAGAATTGATGGGAGCTTCCTGGCAACATCAAGGAAAAGGGCTGAATATAAGCAATTTTGTAATTCTTCTATTCACAGAGAAGCAAACTTTGTCCTGAACAGCTTTGCAATCTCTGTAGTTTGTAGTATTCTTTTCACACGTCTTTCTCGTCATTCTTTTTAACAACAGTGATAATGAGCAGTAACCCGGTCATCATACGTGCACAGCTCATGTGACGTAGTGTATCCTTAATATCCTAACACACAGTGTAGAGTACTTAAAGTCAGAACTTTTAAGAGATATACCTGTAAATTTGGGCATTACATAAGAGAGTATTTTTTTAAGTTTTGAAAGTTCTCAGCTTACTGCACCCCTTGTTGTTAGTGGGGGTTGATAAAGCCACAGGTACATGCATTTCCTCAATTTGTAAATAGTATAAGTACAATTGCACCATGACAGGCATCAGCAAAAATTTTTTATATTAAAAACCTTTTTTTTTTTTTAGAAATTCAGAGAACATAGAGAAGGAGGAATGCAAATGATCAGATTGTGTTTTGACAGAAGAAAAGCTGAGTAGTTCACACATAGTCAAAATTATCTTGCTAAAGTCACTCTCTGTGAGTGAAGCGGGGTAGAGGGCTACAGCGGAACTTTTAAGGTGTAGAGAATATAATTAACTAATGGACATTTGGATAAATCACAAAGTGGAGTTTAAGTTACTTAGTGTTGTATAATAACTTAGTATTTATATTTATTGCCTTCAGTTATATGGAACTTTCAGTGTAATGGTCAGACAATATTTATGATTCTGAGCTTAGTGTAGATAGCATGTCAACATATGGGCTTCAAAATTAATAAAATAAGTTAATTCTACCTTCAAATAATGCCATCAAACTATATATTCAATGGAGCCTGTCAAATGATTTTGACTTGTTGGTCACTGTAGTGCTAGGTAAATTTTTTTCTGTTGATATTTGGTTTTGAGCATTGCAGCTTATCAGTATATATTCTGTACTTGGTTATTTTCTGGAAACAGTAAATAAGTTAGGGTATCACTTATTAACTAAATAAACCGTTCATTTTGGAAAATACAGAAATACAGAAAATATTTAAAATAACAGAAAATCTCACTGTAGATTTGTCTAGTATAGTAAAATTTACTGCCAGATAAGTTTACAGTGGCTATTTGGGGTTATTTAATGTCTTCAAGATTGTGTATGAGGTGGCCCTTTGACATAAGCTTGCAAATCAGATTTTAACAAAGTTTTTATATTTTATAATTATTACTAGACATTTTCTCATTGTTCTGTTAATCCCGTGTGGCAAGCAGTTAGTCTTCATGGCCAGATATTTGAAAATTTAGCTTTGAGTTCTCTCCTTCATTTATGAATATGATAGTATAATAGTTTTTATAATTTGCTATATCATAAAGAAGTTCTAACTGATAAGAGAAAAAGTATAACACAACCTCAAATTAAAAATCACTTCAGAGGATTTCTGATACTTGTATAGAGGGGTGAGCTCCTAACAAACTGATCTTCTCAAAAATAACCATTTGTAAACTCTGCACATAATATAGATAACATCTATCTGAGGATTGTGAAGATTGAATAAAAGCAGGCGAGGGTAGTCAAAATATGGAACAGTCAGTCTTCATGGACTGATATCCCCATTTTTTGCTTTTATAGGAAACTTTCTGGCCAGAAAGTTTCTCTACAGTATTGTACAGAGTAATAGTCACACTATTTAGCATATAATCCAAAAGTACTTATTCTAAAAATGGTCAGGAAAATGTGACTTATTCTCAAGGGAAGAGAAAATCATCATAGACCAACTCTAAGATAACCCACATGTTGGAAATATCACATGAGGTCTATTGTAGCATATGGTTTAGCCCTTTCTAATGTTGAACTGTGAAGGAAATTAACTCTTAGAACTTACTGTGAGTTTTTTTGTGTCACTGAAAATTATCTTGGATGCAAAATTGTTTTGGGTGTGGAATTGAATTGATTAATGTACAGTGAAGTCAATTTCTGCTATGATCACTCTTATTTAGGAAGAGTTTTGTAGTGAGAGAAATACTATAGAAACTGTGATATTAAATATTTTACGTAATTTTAATCATCTTTTAAAATATTTCACTGTAATTCAGTCCTAAATTAGGCTTAAGAGATGAAACGTTTTGAAAATGTCAAAAGATTTTTCCCCCTTACTGATAACCGTAAATCCGATTTGAAACTTAATCTACTTGATTACTTTGCAACATTCTTTTAAAAGTGGAGGAGGTATTGGATTTTAGGGGGGGAATCTTTACTTTTTACGTAAGTTATTTCCAGTCTTCTTAATAAAAAGATCTTTATTTAAAAAGCCAATCTAGCTGTGGTACTTTGCTTTTTCAGTAAAAACCAAATTGAATAGCCAGTTTATGTCTTCAGAGAGCTACCTTTGAACAGAACTTAGGTTTATATATTCACTCTTAATCATTTTAGTTATGAATTAGGTGTATCTTTATGATATATTGAATTCTAAATAATAAAAGTACCTCAAAAATAATAAAACTTCATGGATCACATTACATGAGTTATATCTACATTAGTTATTTAAAAAAATTAAATACAAATTGAAATGGATAAAGTTATAGTAAAATAAGTCAAAATCTATATTTAAATTTTAATGGCATATAAATATATGTATATTATAAACAGGTTAGTTATGTTTTTATACATAGTTAATAAATATTCTCAGGTATTTGTGGGCCAAGACTGTTGTGGCATTCTTTATCAATAAAGGCCAAAAAGCTCTGGAGAAATAATAAATATGCTAATTTACAAGAGGTATTATTATGCTATTTCTTTCATTTTTTTCCCATGGTCTAACCCTTTACGATCTGATACTTGAAATAAACATTATTTTCTAACTTAAATTAAGCTTATTAAGAATTACAAGATGGTAATTATTTTTAAGAAAAAACACCCACTAGATTATTAGCATCATTTTCCTTAAAGAGATACAGGATTACAAACTCTCATCCATTCCTGAAGTAGAATTGCTACTTATAGAACATGTGTTATAGTACTGTCTGTTGAAAAGTTGAGCAATTACATATCATGACATAATAATCAGCATACTTTTGGTCTATAAAATAAAATACTCCTCTGAAAATCTTTTCCTAGGTATTGATATAGTTTTCAAGAGAGTGTTCTATGTTGTATTAGTTTTGGCTGACACCGGTACTTGCTTTTTGGTTTATCCTAGAGTATATATTTAGATCCTCTGCAGATGAACTGATGCGTTCTAGACAGGAAGTTGTATGTAGGAGATATAGGAATGGGCTGAAGTATCTTTTATATTTGCCTTTGTATCTAGGGAAGTTGGAAATAGGCAAGAATGGAGAGAAATTTTGTATGGCAGTACACAGAATTTTGCAAGTTTATTGTGAGCCCTGCAACAATCCGATGCATTTTAGTTCCTGGTAAGTTTGTTGAATTATGTTTGAAAATGTACCTCTTCGAAGATGGCCATCTATTTACTATTACGTCCACCATGTCAATTATACCTTATTGTAAAGTTTTTTTTTTTTTTTTTTGCAAAGATGTGGTATTGCTATTGCATTGGGTTTTAGGTATAAATTGAAACTACCTTTGTTAGTGAATGCATTTGACATTTCAATTGGTGTCCTAGTTAATGTTGAAGTGAAATTAATACTTCATGGATAGCAGAGTCTTGTTAAGATTTTGGAATAATAATATTAATATTTCAGTTTTTATAATAGAGCTCCACTGTGTTTAGAGGTCTGAGTTAACTCATTAGATATTTGAGAATGAGTAGTTATTCTGACATAAAAGAATGAGAAAATCTGTGTCATCCTTGCAATTGTATATGGTTCTATATAGTAGGGTGATTTACTGTAAAATACTTTTTTGCCTTTTTTCATGGATCATAAGGACCACTGTGAGGCATTTCTAGTCTGTCTTTTTGGCAGTGCTCATGTTTAGGAATCCATTTTCCCTCAATCACTAACTTTGGTGTATGTAAGAATTCTATGAACAGATTAGGAAATTGTGTAATCTCTATGCATGGTTTTCTTTATTCTTTTTACACATCTAGGCAGATGTGTTATGTGTAATATAGTACTTAGCAATTATTTGTGAAGTGGCCTTGACTATTCAATTCATTTAAAATGGACTAGATTGCTTAATAGCTGTGCTTCTTTACAGAAACGTTTTTTAAAATCCCAAGAGACTCATTGGTAGTTGTAGTTTTCTTGTAAGTGTCTATCTTTGGCTTAAGGACAAAGTAAAAAAAATCATTGATATGTGATAGTTTACATTTTTTGTGGTTTAAGGATATAGGGTCAGTTAATATAATTGAATTTTAATTTCCTATAATGAAGTGCTTTATTTCTGGATACTATATTTTGTCTAGCTGATATGTAATTCATTAAACTATCAATTTTTATAATAATGACAATGATAATTTTGCTGTTGGTTCTTGTTATGAGAACATTTCTGATTTGAACAAAAGTAGCCACATTATGAGAAAAATACATTATCCCTATTGAAACTGGAAGAGCTAGAATAATTCAAAAATTAGAATAACTTCAGATTCCTTTCGGGCTTTAATAATTTTCAAGTTTTCCTTATTACCAAATTGTCTGAATTACTTGTAAGAATGAGTACTTCTGCATTTAAAATATGTTTAGAAATTTGTGGTTTTACCCTTTCTTATGAATATAAATAGGTAATTTAGGGTATATTATAAAACATTGTAAATTGATATTCTTTTAATTGTTGATAAAATCTGGTATATAACAATTTATTATGAGCTACATTAAGCATATACAGTGAAGGAATATGTATTTCCATTATTCAGAATACTATATTCATATATCAGTGTTGCTGGTTAAAATCATTATATGTAACTATGAAGTAATATATTATCAAAGCTTAATTCAATGCAGTCATTTTCTATT
Source organism: Homo sapiens (assembly GCF_000001405.40). Taxonomy (NCBI): domain Eukaryota; kingdom Metazoa; phylum Chordata; class Mammalia; order Primates; family Hominidae; genus Homo; species Homo sapiens. Next base: position 3,212,683 of record NW_021160017.1, read on the forward strand.
TTGTTTCTTCATTCATTCCAAAGACATACCAAGTGCTAAATCTTTGACGCCTCTGTCTGCCTTTATGTATTTGTTTATATACTGTGTAATTGTCACTTTTCATTTCAATATTACATAAATCATTTCTTTGCTCTCATGAGCTTTTCTTAGGGCATACCTGGACATAAGTGACATGTTACATATTCCTCTGGATTTTTTTTAACAAAGTGTTTTTGAAGAATAGTTCTAAATGAAAAGTTTATTTAAAAATAGGGCTTGTTCTTACAAAGCAATATTGCATCTATATTTAAAATTCTCTACAATAGCTTGTTATTCAAAATAATAGTATGATACAGTCTTTATTATGGAAAATGATGTGTGTATGTTTCTTAGGTTTACTTGAAGCCAGACCTATAAATATATGTAGAGATAAACTTTGATGTTTTACTTTGGAATGTAAAAAAACTACACAGTTATGATTCAGTTTATTATATTTAATTTGTAAAGGACAATAGTTTTCTCATGCTTATCAGGAAATATATTCTTTCATAATATAAGGCATAATAGTCATTGTCAATAAAATAGAGATTAGATTTGAATATGGTTATCTCTTGGCATAATAAAATACTGAAATTGGAACACTGTGTTTAGAATAAACGTGATGATTACATAATGATATCTGTACTTTACATGCAGTGCTACTCTTTCGGCATTCCTGGTTGAACTACTTAAAAGTTCAGTAGCCATGCAAGAACAGGTGCTGGGTGGAAAAGGCTTTTTAGTTATTGGCTAATTACTTGAAAAGGTAGGTGATGTGTTGATGGTTTTATTGTGTAGCCTCACAGTTGGACAGCTGACAATCACTAATTATATTTTTTCTATAATTTCACTTTCCATTGACTGTGTAGAGATTATACTATTTGCTAATTCACAAACACCTTAGATTTAAGTGTAGACATGGAATTAACTGGGTATTGGAAGCATAATTAAATTTTGAATTAAAAAACTAAAGAAAAAAATTTCATCTATATCTATTCAAGCAATAAGTATCATTTCTCTTAAGTTTTTCTATAGTAGTACCCCTTTATTTCTACTCTCTCTTTCTAAGGTGTCACTTACCCATGGACAACTGCAGTTCAAAAATATTAAATGGAATAAACAATTTATAACTTTTAAATTGTGTGCTGTTCTGAGTAGAGTGATGAAATCTCGTACTGTCCCTCTTCATCAAGTCCGGACATGAATCCTCCTTTTGCTCAGCTTTTTCATGCAGTATACACTGTCTTCCTATTAGTCATTTAGTAGCTATCTCAGTTCTCAGACTGAAAATCGTATATATCATCCACTAGGGGTCTTGGAAGCATCGCCTCCGGATAAGAAGTGAGTACTGTAGTTGTTTCTTTGCTATCTTTTCACTTAGACTTTTTTTTTATTTTTTATTTTTTTTGAGACAGTGTCTCACTCTGTCTCCCACACTAGAGTGCAGTGGTGCGATCTTGGCTCACTGCAACCCCCACCTCCCGAGTTCAATCAAGCAATTCTCCTGCCTAAGCCTCCCTAGTATCTGGGATCACAGGTGCGTACCACCATGCCTAGCTAAAGTTTTGTATTTTTAGTAGAAACAGGGTTTTCCCCACGTTGGCCAGGCTGGTCTTGAACTCCTGATCTCAAGTGATCTGCCCACCTCGGCCTCCCAAAGTGCTGGGATTACAAGCATGAACCACTGCGCCTGGCCTTAGACTGTTTCTTGAAAGTCTTTTTTATTAAGATAAAAATCTTTATATTTAGTATACATGGATTTACCTGTTAGGTTTTGTGTTATTTTTTAATTATGCGGTCAAAATTTTTATTTTGTAGTAATAGAAACATTATTTTGTGCTCTTTTTCCCTACTCTTAATATATATGACTATTTAAAGTAGTTTTTCTCATCTATACATAGTATAAACAATAAAAATTAGATGGGTTTACATTTTCCTATTTTGTGTCATTTATGTTGTTTTATGACCTCTTTTGCTTTAGTCACAGCTGTGCTTTTATGAGTGCTGAATTTCTGATTATGATCTCACAAGAGTTTAGTTGTATCATGTGATTTCCTTTAAAAATTAGTGAGATTTCATGAATAAGCGTTTTTTTATTTTTTATTTTTTTAGTATTTATTTATTTTTTTGAGACAGAGTCTCGCTGTCGCCTGGGCTGGAGTGCAGTGGCGCGATCTCGGCTCACTGCAACCTCCGCCTTCCGGGTTCACGCCATTCTCCTGCCTCAGCCTCCCGAGTAGCTGGGACTACAGGCGCCTGCCACCACGCCCAGCTAATTTTTTTGTGTTTTTAGTAGAAACAGGGTTTCACCCTGTTAGCCAGGATAGTCTCGATCTCCGGACCTCGTGATCCGCCCGCCTCAGCCTCCCAAAGTGCTGGGATTACAGGCGTGAGCCACTGCGTCCAGCCAGCATGTTGTTGTTTTTTTTAATGACAAATACCTGTGCCCTTTATTAGCACTCTCAAACCTCTTATCAGTTAGTTAACTCTATAATATTCAGCTGCTCTGAAAATGAGACTATTTGAAAAGTAATAGAAGTGAGATCTCAACTAAGGGATAAACATACATTTCCTCTGGAAAAAAATTGAGAACATACTTTGAAGCAGTTTTAATTTTACCTCCAATTGTTTTACATTTGAAATGTTATCAGTTGATTAATGGACAAACAAAATGTAGTGTATACATGCAATTGAATATTATTTAGTCACAAAAAGAGTCAAGTTCTAAAATATGCTATATTTTATATATTACATGTCTTTATACATATATATGTTATATATATAAAAAATATGTCTTTGAAACTAGTGCTGACCTTTCCTTAAGGATTAAGCATTGAAGAGTGGTAGATTGTTAAGATTGATCATTGGTAGCATTTCTTTATTGAGATGATTTTTTCCATAACATTATTAAGAACTTAAGGCTCTTTGGTTTATTTTTTAAAATAAGAGAATACTCTTTTTCTGTATCTAGAGTATTAAGAATTGTTTAGAAGATGTATGATAAGCTACATTTAACATGAATTCGATAACATATGAAATGCCTTTGTAAGATTACTGTGTGTGACAGGATTTCTGTGAGGACTTACCCCTTTAAATGTGCTTTCATTTGTTTACTTGAGAATGTATCAGAAAATCCTAAATTAAACATTCTTTTACTTAAAACTTAGCTTATAATTAGAAATATTTGTAAAAGCCTTCAAATAAAAATGTATGTTAATATTTCATATTATAATGTCAATTTAGTGGATGCAAAATATTATTTCATTGTGGTTTTAATTTGCACTTTTCCTAGATTTTGAATAAGATTAGACATTTTCATATATAATTATGGAAAATGAATATTTTATCTTCTTTGTTATTCATTTCCTTTACCAATTTTCCCTATATCTCTTCATGATTCCCACCCCTAGTCAATCCATAATTCACTTTTTGGCTTTATGAATTGCTTATTCTAAATATTTCATGTAAGTGGGATCATACAATATTTGTCTTTTTGTATTTGGTCCATTTTGCTTAGCATAATGTTTTCAGTGTGCATCCATGTTATAGCATATTTTTTTCATTCCTTTTTATTGCTAAGTAATATTCCAACAGTATTTTAATTTGTATAGCTTTTTAGTGCAGCCTGATATTTAAGAGTATGTCATCTAGCTTTACTGTTGTTCTTGACGATTGCCTTGGCCATTTCTGAGTCTTTGCATTTCCATATATGTCAGCTTATCAACTTCCACCAAAAAACATGAGGATTTTTATTGTATTATATTGACATCTTTCCTATATTGAATCTTTCAAGTCATATACTTGGTATATTCTTTTATTAATTTAGATTTTCTTTTGTAGTTTTCTGTATAGAACAGTTTCTGTCTTTTTGATGGATTTATTTCCAGATATTTGATATTATTTGATGCCCTTAAAATTTTAATTCTTTGCACTTGATCTTACCCAAAAGGCCAAGAAGCAATTAAAAGTTTTGATTTTTAATTTGTTACTGGTACATAGTATTATAATTGATATTTATGTTGAACTTTTATATACCAATCTTTCTATTCCTCTATTAAATCTAGTCATTTGTAGATTTTTTTCAAAAAAAATTTTGTAGACAATAATAACATCGGAGAATGATAGTTTTGTTTTTTCCTTTCTAATATTTATTTTTTTATTTTTTTCCTTGCCTTGTTATGCCACCTAAAGACTGCCAGTACAGTGTTGAATAAAAGTTGTGATAGTGGCCATCCCTGTCTTATTCCTGATCTCATGGGCAATGCTGTTAATAATTAGACACTAAGTATGATCTTTTTAATAATTAGTTTTTGTAGATTTTTTAGTTAAATTAAGGAATTATCTATTTCTATTTTTCTAAGAGTTTTCTTTATTATAAACAGGATTTTATCAAACATCTTTTCTGCAGTATTTGAGATGAGTATGATGTTTCTCATTTTTCTTAGTGAATTACATTGATTATTTTTCAGATTTTAAACCTTCCTTATATTCCTGGACACTCACTTACTCCTAAATCTATTCCTATTCCAACCTGTCTTTCGTTCTTCCATGTCCTTTCAGATGGCTCATGTCTTTGTCACCAGTGGCCTTCACAGTCTGTCCTGTGATTATTTCTCAGTCCTTATCTTATTCGACCTGTGAATATTTCGGTTGAACAGTCTTTCCTTCTTGAAATGCTTTCTTGCATTGTGTTTTGCCATGGTTTGCTTTGTTTTTCTCTTACTTATTCTCTCTCATTAGTTCTCCTTCATCTTTATAAACTCTGATGACTCTTCTTTCCCAGTGATTAATCCTGGAAAGCATTTCACTTTTCCATCTACACAGTACCTTACTCTAATTGAGATTATCCACTTCTACAGCTCCCGTGACCCTGTAAATACTAATTACCCTCAATTGTTTCTCCTATTTTTAGTTCCACTTGGATTTCTAGTAATCTTCTTGACTAAATTATCCAAACTGATTTTTCTCTCAAATTTTTCATCCTTCAGAGTTGTTTGTCTTATTTAGTGGCATTACCATTCAACAAGTAGTTGAAACCAAAAAGTTAATTGTTTTTGACTCTACTTTTGTTGCACTCTAGATCCAAACTCTCAGGAAATTATGTTGTTTTACTCTCAAAACATATCCAGAATCAATTACTACTTCCTCTTTATTTCTCAACTCCTTACTATGTCCGTTGATACCATTTTAGTTCAAATCATGATCGTCCTTCACCATTGGTTACCTACAGTCCGTTTTTCACTTGCAGTTAGACTAGTTGTCCTAAAATGTGCCAAATCTTATTCAAGTCTTCATCCTTCTCATAATGAAGTCATAAGCCTTACACCTCACATCATCTCTCCCCACTCTCTTGCTTTCTCTGTTTTAGGCAAAGGTCTTTTTGCCTTTCCCTTAAGAACTAAAATGATAAGAATTTACCCAAGGACTTTTGCATTTACTTCCCCCATTGTTTCCATCACTTTTTCTTCAGATACTCACAGAATTTGATTCTATGCTTCATTCAGGATTTTGCTTGTATGATGCCTTATCACAGAAATATTCTCCGATCATTCTAAATAAATTAGTATCCCTTCCATAACCATCAGTGTTTACCTACTCTGCTAATTTTACAGCACCATTCTGGCGTGTTTTATATTTTTTACCAATTTTCTGCCTCCTCCTGCTAGAATGTAGGCTTCATGAAAGCAGGGGCAATATATATATATGTATGTGTATATATATATATGTATGTATATATATTTTTTTGTCTCCTCTTATTGTTATATCTTCAGCACCTAGCACAGTGCTGGGCTCAGTAAATAGTTGTTGAATTGAGTATATGAAATGTCCTTGCATGCTTGTCTGATTACCTAAGAAACAGTAACTTTTTTACCTTTCTCAGAGGAATGCTCATATTGTGTTATTTTTAAATAATCAGTGGCCAGGTTAGTATTAATAGTATAGGTAATAGAAGTTTGATTTTTTAATTTCTTAACTTAATAACAGGTTACTGGTTAATGCCACTTAGCTTTTATATCTCCTTGTCATAGAAGATATCTTAGGAAGATAGTATATGCGAGGCCTTTTATTAATAACAATTTTACTGTTCCATGAAAAAATTTTAAGGTGTTTTTGTTTTGTTTTGCCAAAATATGATCTTGTGGAAAACTTAGAGGTTATCCAGTATATTCAATAGGATATTTTTGATTGTGGTTAGTAGAAAATTTGATTCAAAGTATCTTAAACATTAAGAAAATATACTAACTAATGTAACAAAGTCTAGTGTTAGATAGCATATCAGTTATATTCTTGGCAGGAAACAGATGGCGTACTCAACCTAGGTTTTTGAGAAGAGTTTAATGCAAGGGTATTTAAAAAGTTGAAAGCAGGGAGCTTGGGAAGATTTGAAGAGATGAGGGGAATAAGTGTTTAGCATAACCCAAAGAGAAAGTTATTGTAGCTGTAGAAGGGTACCTGATGGGACTGTGGTCTTCAAGAAAGGAGTATAGTGTAAGTGTACTGAAGGGGTAAAATCTGGAAAATGTATACCCAACTTCATTTTCTTTCTGTCCCTTAATTTCTTGCTAATGTCTTCAATTAGTCAAACTCAGCTGGAAACCAGTAGGCAAGGGAGCATCCCAAGCATTAAAACAGGACAGGGAGGTTGGAAAGGCAGCAAAAGGTTGGAAAAGCAGCAAACATAAGTTGTGTTTCAGGGCTGGGTTATCTGAGTCTCAATAATGTCATCAGAGACCCAGGTTTTATCTATATCTCTGCTGTACCAGCTACAGTGTTGATTTTATGCTAAAGCTGATACTGTTTGAGGTCACAAGGCTGCCAGAGAGAATTAGTGCTATAGACCTTCACATCCAGGTGAAGAAAGCAAGCTCCTTTCTGTCAATTACTGAGCAAGATTCTTCTCTCCAATTTGATTGGTTAGCTTAGAGCTTGGCTGGCCTTCTTTTGAATCAATTGTTGCTATGCTACACTTTGATACTGAGTCTCTGAACTAATCATTGCCTGCCACCCTCCCCATCACTCCACCAAAACAACAACAAATGATTAATCTGGTTGGATTAGGCTATTTGGAGCACAACCTTGGAGTCCTGGGAGGAGCAGAATGGATAATAGACTATGGTGTACCTCTACAATTAAAATAGTTTTACACAATTTATTGAATATATAATCATACATGTTATGGGTATATGTGTGTGTATGTATAATGCTTTCTACAATAAAAATGAACATTTCTGATAACCTGTTCCATTATAGGCTAATCTAAATGTTGGAACAATCTCTCTTTATTGAACAGAAGTTTCTCTTTGTAACTGCCAGTGCTCCTATTTGGTTTAGTTAATTCTGGATTGGATGCTACAATGCAACTATTTTTATAACTTCTCAGGTATTATTTCCAAATATGGTTAGCCATGTCACATTATAGTACTTCTTAAAAATTATGTATTCTGTCACCACATAAAATTAATATATAGATCAAATTCCAGGGCTTGCATTTTCTATGAGATTTAAATTGTTCCATCTAAAGGTTACAGATTTATAACTATAAATTATCCAAGTATAGATCTGTTTTTAAAGTAGTTTTACTTGAGAAAATGAAAACAAATACCAAAATATAAAAATATTTTGAAACTGTTAATCAAATGAAATACATTTAAAAGCAGAGTTAGAATCTTCTTTCTTCTCTTCCCAGGCTTTGTTTTTTCCTACCTATTCTATTCTTACTCCATTTTTGAATTTGACATTAATTCAGTTAAATGTTCCCTGAGAAATTAGGGTAGGGATCAGGAAGACAAAAGATGAATAAGATAATATTCTTTCTTATATTACGAAAGAGAGATTTTTTTTTACTAACAATAATACAAGGAAGGAGGAATAAGTACTTCTAAGAGGTAAAGGTAACATGCTGTTGAAGAGAATATTCATTTATACATTTATACACTATTTATAATCCAGAATAGTAGGATTTTGAGGAGATCAATAAAAAGACAATAAAATATTTTCTAAACAATAATTTTAGAATGAAAATCTGCCACCCAACAGCATTAATTGTTATGTGAAAACAGCAGGCCCCCCCATTTTTTTTTAAGTAATGTGGAAGGCCTTGTGATGCTTTTAGTATACCTTTTAATATCATGGTCCAAGTTCCAAACTTGTTTCTATATTATGAATTCATCAAGTGGCTATGTTTATAATGGTCAGCCTGATTTTATAATACAGGTTAATGTTCTTTATAAGGACATGATGAATAATTTTTATGAGCTACAGTCTGGTCACATAGTATGTTTATTAACAGGATCTGACTGTATTTTATTTTAGAGTTTTAAGTGTGAGAGTAGAATGTTATCAGATCATGTTCTTGAAATCATTACTACTGAATAAAAATAGAATGTATAAGATAAGCTATGTGAAATTATATTTAGTGAAGGAGCTGGCTGAAGTTTTAAATAACTATTGATCTCTTATTTTAATTTTATTCCTTTACAAATAAAATATTTTTAATTTAAAGTACTATATTATTTTCACTGATACTCCTTTAAATATGAATACTCAATCTTTACTTTTTAAACTCAAATGTTTGTTTTGGTTCCCCTCCTTTATTAACTCAGCTATTTATTTAGATTAATTTCCACCATCTTTCATAAAATTTTCAGTGAAAATTATGTACTAAGGTTTGCTTTGAATTTTGTAGGCTATTGCTTATGTAAGCACCATTGGTAATTTTGTCAGACAAAGAATTCTATTATATTAATACTAAATTGTTTGAACCAATTAAATGCCCCCTTCTTAGTAAAACCTGTTCACCATTCTTCTACAAATGTTTTATCTGCTCCATAGTTTCTTTCATTGAACTTAGTAACCTCTAACATGTTACATATTGTACCTTTTTATTTTATTTACTCTGTGTTCCTGCCTTATCATCTCTTAGAATATGTTCTGTGAGACAGAGTTTTTACTTCAATTTTGTTAGCTGCTTTTTTGACAGTGCCAGGGAGTGTATTTGACTGACAGTGAGCAATCAGCATGTATATTTTCTAAATGACTAAAATAAAAGTCTTGAGCTCTACCTTTAAGGTAAAGGAAATGTATGCAAGGGTGTTACAAACTGGGGGAGCAAGACAGAGAAAGCAGGGGAAGAAAATGTGTCCTGTGGGTGAAACTGGCCCATGGTAATATTCTGTGGGACTCAACAAAAAGGTTTAGTTTTGTTCCTCACCACTCTTTTTTGTCTCCTACACTGGTTTACACATTGTTGTTATTTGCAATCATTTTAGTTTGTGACCTTTTATGTAGAAGTGTGAAAATTCATGATGTGCTTAAGTCAAATTTATTGAGTTGTCCTTATGATCATGAGAAATGTAGCTAAATCATATGGGAGGTAAAATTGGTAAGACAGTTTCATCCCTTTTAAATTTTGATAATCTTAAACTGACATTCAGACTTCAGTCAGTGAAGAATAGGAAGGAAAGATGTGTTGTGTGATGTGTGCTTTAGGGTTGAGTGGTACATGATTCTTTACCCTATGACTGAAAGGATAGTGATACTAGAAAACTGTATCACTAGATGAGGAAGAAAAGATTTGTGTCGGAAGATATATTTTTTGAAGTTTGAGTTTGAATTATCAGCTTTTGTGAAGAGCATTTTTTAATATAGCATTTTTATCTGAAATTGTATTCTAGGATAGCATTGTCCAATTAAAATACAATTCAAACCTCAGGTGCAATTTAATATTTTCCAGTAAAAAATTACAGGGTATATTAATCTTAATAATGTCTTTAGTCTAGTATTTTATTTTGATAATATGCAAAATATTATTTCAACATCTATTCAATAAGAAAATACGATTTTTAAAAATATTCTGAGCTGGAAAAACCCAGTGTTTTCATACTCACAACACATCTCACTTTCAATTGCAACATTCCAGCAGCTCAGTTGCCACATAGGGCTTCTGGCTACTGTATGAGATGGTGCAGCTTTAAGGTTCGGTTTCAATTTTGGAGAGTCTGTTGTTTAAATACCATTGGTAATAGGTATATGGTGATAGCAGTTGAAAATTCTTGAAGTGAGTACTCAGCATAGACATAGTGTTATATGAAGCTGTGAAAGCATAATATATCCAGGGATACGGTATTTATGAAGAGCAGACCAAGGAAATAATATTTTAAGCAATATTTTACATATTTTTAAGCAATATTTTTACATGTTTTAAACAATCTCTATTTTTATGTCTAAGATTTCTTCTTATATGTCAATTTCTACAAAAAATGAAATGAAGCCATTCTTATAACATTTCATTTCTTTAGCTTTAGCTAATAGTAGCATTATTTAACTTGAATTATGTATCTGTAATTGTCTTAGATTAGGCTTCAAATAACAAGCTATCACTCAAAGAAATAGCTAAAATTTTAGATCTCTTAATAAAATTATATTTTAATAGCAAATAATATAAATGTATTTCATATTTATTAGTGATAGCATATGAAAAATTCATGTGTGCTTATGCTAAGTCAGAAATTATACAATTTAATATTCTGGATATTTCAAGCTAGAATTTCTGTTTTCTTTCTTAGTCATCAAGAGTTCATATAACTAGACCTGTCTTGGAGCAATTTTTATCTTTTGCAAAATACCTTGATGGTTTATCTCATGGAGCACCTTTGCTGAAGCAGCTTTGTGATCATATTTTGTTTATTAACCCAGCCATCTGGATACATACACCTGCAAAGGTATGAGTTTTATACTTATTCAGTTTGTTTTAGTGTAATGTTATACATTATAGTTGCTGGATCTAAAGTATCCAGTGGAAAACATTTGAACATTTTAGCTTATTTTATAGTTAATCTGCAGCAATTGTGTTAGGCAGTATCAGGAGATCAAAATATTTATAAGTAGTAAAATAAATGAAACTATAGGTAAAAAAGAATCTTTGTGTAACACTGCATTCTAACATCTTTAGATGTGATACATACTTTTCCAATGAAGAGAATTTGCTATACCAATTTTTGAAAGACTAGGAAAGAGAACAGATAACTAATTGTATTATGACTGTAATCATTTTGCTGGAAAATTGCTTTCATTTTGAAGGCAGAATTTATATCATTACATGTAAATAATACTCACTTAAAAATAAATATATACATGAAATAAATATTTTTCCAGATAATAACAGAAAATTCTTATTATTTTGTATACCAGAATTTAGTCTTAGTGGAAATCAATAATGAGGGATATTTTGATTTTGAGCTATCTTTTACAGTTTAATAATATCTCCCTGAGTTATTAATTATTGCCTAAGCCCAAATCTTAATTTTGAGAACTCTTTTAAGCAAGATGTCCGACATGCCATCTCTGTGCTCACATGGTCAGATTGTGAAAGCAAACTATATATATTATGGCCACAGGGGAGGAGAATTTGAAATTGCATGAACTTTTAGGATATATGACAAAAATATATAGGTTTTTAGATAGGCTTTAGCTGACTGATGTTCTGTTGCTATGAAGAAATTTATACACTGAAAGCTACTGAAATATACTTTAAGAGCTTTAGTTGACTTTTAAAATATTTTAATCTTTTTATCAGATTAATTTCAATAAATTAATCATTTTAAAATTATTTAATTGCCACAGCTGTTAGACTACCTTATTATAATAAGTTTATTAGAAAACGTTAATTGCAGATTTTATATATATATATATATATATTTTTTTTTTTTTTGAGACGGAGTCTCGCTGTCGCCCAGGCTGGAGTGCAGTGGCGCGATCTCGGCTCACTGCAGGCTCCGCCCCCTGGGGTTCACGCCATTCTCCTGCCTCAGCCTCCCGAGTAGCTGGGACTACAGGCGCCCGCCACCTCGCCCGGCTAATTTTTTGTATTTTTAGTAGAGACGGGGTTTCACCGTGTTAGCCAGGATGGTCTCGATCTCCTGACCTCGTGATCCGCCCGCCTCGGCCTCCCAAAGTGCTGGGATTACAGGCGTGAGCCACCGCGCCCGGCCTTTTTTTTTTTTTTTTTTTTTTTTTTGTTTGTTTGAGACGGAGTTTCACTCTCATTGCCCAGGCTGGAGTGCAATGGCGCGATCTTGGCTCACCGCAATCTCCGCCTCCCTGGTTCAGCCCATTCTCCTCCGTCAGCCTCCCGAGTAGCTGGGATTACAGGCATGTGCCACCGTGCCTGGCTAATTTTTTTGTATTTTTAGTAGAGATGGAGTTTCTCCATGTTGGTCAGGCTGCTTTCAAACTCCCGACCTCAGGTGATGCACCCGCCTCAGCCTCCCAAAGTGCTGGGATTACAGGCCTGAGCCACCGCGCCTGGCTATATATTTTTAAAATACAAATAATATTGAAGAAGAAAGTTATCTTTAACCTCTTAATAAATGATCATTTCTTGGCCTTTACTAATTTCCGTTTAAATTAAAACAATGCATATTTATAATATAAGCACTTGAGGCATTTTAAGTTCATTTTAATGATCTGTTAATATTCTGTATTAGGTTCAACTTTCCCTATATACATATTTGTCTGCTGAATTTATTGGAACTGCTACCATCTACACCACCATACGCAGAATAGGAACAGTTATTAAAGATAATGCACACCTTAAAATATTACTATTGGGTTATTAATCCTGCTGACAGTAGTGGCATTACACCTAAAGGATTAGGTATGTATAACACTTCCACTGTATTTACATTTGCCTATGAATATTCTGTATTCTGAGTACTGTTAAAGTGTGAGCAGTGTACATGACTATGAAATCACTGAAATGTTTTCTTTCTTATGTAGCAAACTGGCATATTGAGAATTGTTTGTGGTAAAGAAGTTTAGGGCTTTTCAATATTAAATTATTTTGGAATAAAATCAGGTAAAAAGCAACAATAGTCTTTATTTTAGCCTGTATGCCTTTTTCCATTCAGGAAGACACATTTATAATATTAAAAACAGTTAAATGATATTGGTTAGTGTGTTCTAGTACATCAGTTGCTTTCAACATTTTCAGATTGTTACATGTTTTCATATTTTTATTCCAGATTTATCCTTTGTTCTGACTGTAGTGGAAACTAATTTAATTCTTCACTGTGATATCTTTTTTGTTTTGAAAATATAGCCAGTTTTTCTAATTATACAAAAAAAAGAAAATAAATAATACAGAAGAAAATATATATTTATGGCCCAAACCCCAAGAATAATTACTGATACGATTTTGGCATGTTTTCTTCCAGTGTTTCTCATTGCATACATATATAAAAATATTTAAACTTCTTAATTATAAATTGAGATTTTCTCAATTTTTCTATCTTGTCCTTTTCTCAGCTCAATGTAGTAATGTAAGGGGATGTACCATTTACATTGTTTCTAAAGTTTTGATTTTATACATATTAGAGGATTCTCTCATATATATATGTGTTTACCTCCATCTTGATTTGTTTAAAATTACTGAAAAAGGGGCTAATGACAAATATTTTAAATTTTTTTCAGGAATGTCATATTATTTTAGTTTTACCAGTAGTATGTTAGAGTACTTCCTTTAGCGTGCTCACAATAACATTGAATATTATAGTTTTATAATAATCCCTTTGATAAGGAAAAATAGCATTTTCCAATTTTTTTTTTTTTTTTGAAATGGAGTCTCCCTCTGTCACCCAGGCTGGAGTGCAGTGGTGCTATCTGGGCTCATTGCAAGCTCTGCCTCCCGGGTTCATGCCATTCTGCTACCTCAGCCTCCCGAGTAGCTGGGACTACAGGCCCCCGCCACCACGCCTGGCTAATTTTTTGTATTTTTAGTAGAGGGGTTTCACCGTATTAGCCAGGATGGTCTCGATCTCCTGACCTCGTGATCTGCCCAACTCGGCTTCCCATTTTACTATTTTAATATTTATACAAGCTTACTTTTATCTCTTTTTATTTTATTAATGGGGCTTTAGAAGTTATTTATATTCAGATCTGTTATTTTGTCCTTCTATGGCTTCTTCCATTGCTTTTAAGTTGGTAATGCCTAAAATGTATTGGATTTTTCTGCCAAGCACTCTACCTGTTAATTTGTTTAGTAATATATATATATAAAAAACATAATATAATTATAGATAAATAGACATATTCATATCCATACATAAGACTGCATCTATATGTAACTTTGTTTTTGATATCCATACATAAGACTGCATCTATATGTAACTTTGTTTTTGATATCATCCTCATTTTAAAGATTAGGAAACTGAAAGTTGGTGCAAACCAACCAGCACCAAAATTTGGATCATATCTATCTGACTCAGAGATCTCATTCTTAAATGCTACTCTATGATAGAGTTTTCTCTAGTCTAAACAAATCATATATTCACACATCATAATTTCTGCCTTAAAATATTAATTTCTAATTTACAGAAGAGTTACAAAGTTGCAAACATTGCACAAAGAATTCTCATATGTCCCTCAGTAGATTCTCAATATTTTACATCTTACCACTTTAGGCTTTACTATTCTCTCATGCTCTTTTTATATATATATAAACACACCTACAGACACATGCCCATATTTTTTTCTGAATCAATTGATAATAAATTGTAGACATGATACCCTCTCACCTCTAAATACTTTATTGTGTATTTCCTGAAAGGTAAAGGCACTTTGTTAAATAACCAGAGGATACCCATTAATATCAGGAAGTTAGCATTAATACAATACTATCATCTAATTCAAAGACCCCCACTCAAATTTCACTAATTACAGTAATAAGATCCTTTCTAGGAAAAAAATTCTTTTGTCCTAAGTCTGTTGAGGACCATATGTTGTGCTTAGTTGCCTTGTTACTTTTAATGTTCTTCAATGTAGAATAGTTTTTTACTATTTCCTTGTCTTTCAGGACCTTGACATTTTTGAAGAATACAGACCAGTTATTTTTTCGAATACCCTTAAATTTGAATTTTCTATTTGTTCATGATGATGCAGGTTTTTCATTTTTACAAGAAATAACACAGAAGTCATATTGTCTGTCTCCTTGTATCATGTCAAGGAGACACATGATGTTGAGTTGTGCTTTTACAAGTGATGTCAACTTTAAACATTTGATTAAGGTATTATCTTCCAGGTTTCTTCATTATAAAAATCACTTCTTTCTCTTTGGTAGTTAAGAAGTATTTGATGGAGAAATACATTGAAACTATATAAATATCCTGTTCCTCAACAAAGTTTCACCTGCCTGTTTTAGTGTGCTGATGATTCTTACTAAAAATTATCTTTATTATGATGACTGACAAATGATGTTTTCTAAGACATTGATTAAGTTGGCATATCTACTGTAAGGAAGAACTTGTTTTACTACTCCACTCTATCTATCTGTCTATATCTATCTATCGATCTGTCTGTTTATTGATCTATCTGTCTATCATCTTTTATATCAGTATGGACTCATGTATTCAATGTGTTATATCAACAGTTGGCATACTTTCTTTGCAAAGGGCCAGGTAGTGTTTTAGGCTTACGGAGCCATAAGGTCTCTGTTGCACATAGTCAGCTCTGACATTGTATTGCAGAAATAACCACAGACTGTATGTAAATGAATAGGTGTGGCTTGTTCTAGTGAAACGTACAAAAACAAGTGGCCTGATTGGTTTAGTCCTAGGGCTGTGGTTTATCTGTCTCCTGGGTTGTATCATTATTTTGATGCTCGAGATTTGGCCAGTAGGACCCTTCACATGGATTATGGGACAAATGCCCATAAGTTTATAATACTTTCTTACTTTCTGAAACAAGATGTTTTTGACTTTTCTTACACTTTCCTTATCCCAGCCCTGAAATTAGCCATTTTTCCAAGAAGCCCTGGTTTGCTTGGTGGATATGGTTTTTAGAAACCAAGATCTGGATGTGAGGTGTGCTTCTTGGTTTTTGAATGTCATTGCTTCTACATTCTCTTAGTGGACAGATCTAGGAAATGATGTTTGAATCTATGTATATAGGTACATCTCAACTGATTTATGTATATTAAAACCATGAGTTCACAGCAGTACCTTCAATTCCAGTCACATGGCTCGACCTAGCCTCAAACTTCTTAAATGTGTAGCTTTCTTCTTCAATAGTGAGAAGTCTTGCTCCTATTGTCTTTAATATATTTATATGTTTTCTTATTCTACTTTACAAAACCAATATTTTGATACACATGCCATAACCTTCTCAGCTTTAACATTGCTAGTCATCTCTAATCATACCCTCAGATTTGACTCTGAATGGTCCTTGTTGTCTCTTCAGCCCCAGTTGTTTCTTTGGCACTGGCC
Source organism: Homo sapiens (assembly GCF_000001405.40). Lineage (NCBI taxonomy): Eukaryota > Metazoa > Chordata > Mammalia > Primates > Hominidae > Homo > Homo sapiens. The sequence continues at coordinate 3,228,960 of NW_021160017.1, forward strand.
GTCCTCCTGACCTCTACTGTCTCCTTGGCCCTCACCCTGAAAGTCCTTCCAGACTCACTTGCCTCTGGCTCTATAAGATCCTGGGTATCACCAGGGCCTCTGCTCCCTCCATAGAACCCGTGTCCCTGAGGCCTCACTGGCTCTAGCTACATCAAAGAGAGGGAAAGGAAGAGAACCAGTAGTACATATATTTTAAGTGAAAGTGACAGGAAAGTGGAATGAGCACTTATTTTTCTTTATCATTTAAATTATTACTTTAACATTTTAATACTTTGAAATTAATTTTGTTATATAGTAGAATGTAAGGTTCTGACTTGAAGTGTATCATTTTCTAAATGACAGCATTTTTCAATACCATTTTAAACAAATGCTTTCTTTTAAGGACACTCTAAAGATAATGTGCACTACACTAGTTTTCGTAGAACTATTCATGTGTAGGCACTCACCTTGAGAAGTAGGATTTTTTTTTTACTTAACGCTTTTGTCTCTTAAAGTATTATTATATATAGTTAACTGTAAAAACATTGAGATATATTAAAAATATTATAGGACAGGTAATACATATTCATGGTAGCAAGTGAAATAATACAAAGGTTTATGAATAAAAAGTTACTACTCTCCTAGGTAGCCAATGTTACCAGTCTTGCATATCCTTCTGCTGCTTTTTCTCTGCTCATACAAACATGAACTTACTCATGCATACACATAGGTGTTTCAAAGTTTTATTCTGAATACATCACGAACACAAAGTGGTATAATTACATATATCAATGTAATATATAAACATGTTATAAATATGAATATAAATGTAAAATGAACCCTATTTAAACATCACTAAGCCTAAGACACAGAACATTACCAATGAGCCTGAATATTCTCATGCGTGGCCACATCTCTTTTCTATTCCCCGTCATAGAAATCACTCCATCCCAAATTTTACGTTATTTCTTTTCTTTACTTGGGTGCTTATTATTTTTTACTATGCTTTACTCTTTTGCTATTTATGTATGTATTATTAATTTATTGTTTAGCTTCTATATTTACATAAATAGTATTATTTTGGGATTTGTTTTTTCATTGAGTTTCATATTTGTTAGATAAATCGGTTTGTATTTTATTTTGCAGAAATGGATTTATATCATACACAAAGCACACAAATATATATATTTCTTTGCAACATGCTGTTTATATTGTGCAGTATACAATAAAAGTAATTATTGCTAACATTTGAGTGATTATGATTAAAATGGGCCTGGTACTAGTCTAATTTCTTTACATACGCTGATCCATTTAATCCTCACAAGACATCCTATGACAAGCAGTATTATTATTCTTACCCTAACAATAAAGAAGAAAACAAATCTTAGGTACAGAGATGTTATAAAACTTGTCCAATTTTATTAAGTGGTGGCAGAAATAGTAAGATTAAGGAAATTATTACTAAGACAGAATCTGTCTTTTCTTGGATGGAGTGGGGATGTGATCAGGAACAGGAATGTGGCACAGAGCTGAGGTCTGGAGCATGGTGAGGGCTTTGGCATGCAGGGCAGGATGGGGACACAATCAGTTGTTAGATATTCAGGAATTTTATGAGCTGGTTGTTAAACCATTGGTAACTTGAACTTGAAATCAGATTATTATTAATATGATAGAAATCAGAAATACGTAAATGCTCAAAATCAGGACCTCATCCCTCCACTCTGCAGATAATTCCTTTACCAGCACACCAATAGTTGACAGGTTTCCCTGTCAGGCTACTGTCAGTGTTCAATTTCTTGGTCAAAGAACTGTTTATACAGGTGTTCATTTTATGATAATTCATTAAGTTGATCATGTATGTTTTCTGTACATAGGCAATATTTTACAATGAAAAGTTTTTTTTAAGTAATACCCAGTGTCAGTAGGAGGGGAAGAGTACTCTGTGCATCTTAGTGGGAGTGGGGCAATAAAAGGTGGAGAGCAGTCTGGGAAATAGGGAAAATATTTCTTTTATTATAATAGGCAGGATGGATTTTTTGGATAATAACTTGCTTGCAGATGTAATAATCTTCATGTAAATATTAAGTGAATAAGCAGATGGTATAGATTATACATGAAGGGATTATGCTTTTAAAACTTGTAAAGCAGTAGATAAATACTGGTTGCTACAAGAAAGGCTTAATGTTAAAGGATTTTTATGAATCTAGCTACATTTCTTAAAAGTATACTTTATTGTATATTATGCATATTATATATTATTTTATATTTTCATTTTATTAGTAATTAGATATTTTGAAATTACTTTAAAATTTGTACATTATGATAGAACTGATATGTACATTTGAATATTTTATGCTCATTTTCACTTATTGACACAGCATTTATTAAATGCCCACCATAATATGTATTTTCTTTATACAAGTGCCATAGAAGAAATAGGCTGCAAAACAAATAATTAAAATAAAACAGTGTCACTTTTTCTGAGCTTTATTAAATAATGTGTGGGGTGAAAATGGAGACAGTCCTTAAATGAAGACAAGTTTAATTGAGAATGGAAGACATATTGGGAAACCTATTAATGTAATAAAAACAGAAAAAAGTATTCAAGTATTAATGTAAATACTTGGGGATTATACATTTGTAAATGGATACTAATATATTACAACTTTTTTAAAAGTTCTTTTTTCCACAAAATCAGACATTGAGTAAATAATTTGAAATTGCCAAAAATTTGAAAGTTAATTTTTGGATACCCATATATTATTAAAATTTTATAGCATTAATGTAAATATTGTAATTTTAATAAATATAATTATTCAAGAATGCCATAGTATCCCAACATAACTGCATTAAGCTTATTTAATATCTTGTATTTTTTATTTTTACTTTTTTTTCTGTTTTGTTCTTGATGGTCCCCAGCCATCACAAAAAGAAATTATATCACTGAGGGCATTTATGCTACTTTTTCTGAAACAGCTCATACTAAAAGTAAAATAATTTTATATAATTTAGAATTACAGTATATAGGTAGAAAGGAATTTCTGGCATGTTTTAAAATTATTATTGTTAAATTAGTAATAGCTACCTTTAATTAATGAATTGCTTCCAAAATTCTGCACATCTTAATATTAACTTTATTGAACTTAACTAACTTCTGGTTAAATGCTCTCTGAAATCTTCCCTATTAAGGGATGTGACAGAAATGGACAAGGAACATATGAATAAGAATTGAGCCCTTATTCTTATAGTAATTGACCATTATTCTAGAAAATGGTCTGTGTGCCAGTTTAAGAAGGCTTACATAATGTATTTTATTGTAGTAGGATTTTTTAAATGTTAAGATGAAAACAAAGTGAAAATAAATATAAATTTTGAGGTAATACACAAAAATTGATACTGTATAGTCTTGCACTTGTATTCAAGAAAGAATGATTAGAAAATAGTCATAAGAATACTTCGATGGTCAAAATAGGCTAACTTTTTATAGTGAATGTCAATCAAATATTAATGACTTAAAAATTGATATGATTTTCTAAATATTTACTTAATTAACTTGAAATAATATAGTCTATAAATTGTGAAATGTGTGGGGATTTTAATTCAAATATCACTACATTAAACTTACTCTTATTTTCTTTTAAAATGATTATTTTGGTGTCTTTTAAATTAAAATTTTAATTTTAGATGTAAAATAATAAAATATTTTTTAAAAATTAAGATCAAAGGGTCAAAGAAGATGAACTTCAGAGTATATTAAATTACCTTCTTACAATACATGAGGTAGGACATGTTATGGACCTTTTATTTTAATTATTTAAGCCAATCTTTAGAGTAAAATTTAAATCAATATTGGTGATTTATGCAGGATGAAAATATTCATGATGTGCTACAGTTACTGGTGGCTTTAATGTCAGAACACCCAGCCTCAATGATACCAGTATTTAATCAAAGAAATGGAATAAGGTATGATTATAATATTAGTATTACTATTAGACGTCAATGGAGCACAGTTGTTCCTCCTAGAATAATTCCTATTCTATGAATATTTGAATAAATATAGCATCTTACACATAAGAGAGTATAAATGGAGAATGCTGCTGTTGATCCTCCAATACTCAGGAAACTGATGAAGTGTATAAACAGTAGTCTCAGGAATCAAGAAGAGTAAATTGTTTTTGCTATAGTAAGGACATTACAAATTGTGAATAGAGCAATTTTTTTTTCAAGAAGACACGAAAAAGCAAGGTATGTTTTACCAAAAGAGGATACAATGAAATTTTATGATATTAGGCCTGAGACAGAGATTACAGCCAGTTTTGGAAGGTTCATAGGATGGTAGTAACTTTAGTGTTTCGTTTTTTTTTCAGTTGGTGATGAAAATTAAAGAATTTTAAATAGGGGAAATGTGCTCAGATTGCTATTTTGTTAGATTTACAATCACCAGTGTGAAACATGAGTTGAAGGACAAACTGATGTAGCAATATCCGTAGGGAGATTATTTTATTCATCAGTATTAAAAATGATGACCTGAGACAGTAGCAGTGCAATGGAAATAATAGAGATGAAAGATGTTCTGGAGTTAAGAGGCCAAAGCCTAAAGAAATTCAAAACCAACTTTTGTTGTGGCAATTGAAAAGTAACTTGGTAGACAGGTGAAATATAATTTCTTAGTTAGTATTTTTATGAACTTAACCCTATAATTTAGCTTCTTAAGGAATTCTTCCTTTTTATTTTTCTGGAGTTTTAATTAGTGGGATGAGCAGGATATCAAGGTTATGCCGTGTATAACTCAGTGAATTTCTACAGATTTATTGTGAAAAAGAGTTTGGAAAGAATATATCAGTGACTGTCAAGGGCTTTTTTAAGTGCTTTTTTTACTTGGCCATTTATATCAATGGATAACAACTTTCTAGACTTGAAGAACTCCTTTTCAAATTAGAGAAGCGATCACTATCTCTATATGCATATCTCCCTTGTGACATCACTATTACCTTTGAGTTTATAATTCAAAGGCCTGCCAATCTATTTGAAAAAGATTATACATTTAGTGATTAAAAACTGTTATAATTTTTTACTCTTGAGTTTGAACTATATGAAACTGTTGATACTTAACTGATTTTACCAAATAATGGCAATTTCATATGGTTTGATCTAATAAGGTAGTACAATTACACTCACTCTTCTGAACTTATATTTAGATTCAATAATTAGTGTCCTTGTCCTGAGATTTTGCTTTGTTTATTATATTATCTGATAAATTTAGTGAACCAGTTGAAGATATCCCCGTTACCCTTGTGGAAGATACTAAACTTAGATTGTCTAATATGATGAAATGCAGAAATATAATTCTATTGTTTTGACACATTGGAAATACGATCCTACATATGAGAGTGCTATTTGGTAAGATCTTTAGGATTGACATAGTGTTTTAAATGTATGGTATGAAACAATTGATTAAGCACAACAGATTAAAAGGCTTTGTGCTCATGGCTGACCATGAGCAGAACATTTCAGATTGTTGCCACTATGTTAAAAACAATCACAAAGATTAAAAAACGGCCTTTCCTTGACACTTCAGCTTTTCTACTTCAAAAATGGGGAGAAAGCTGGTTCAGAATAGTATAAAAGGTGAAAAAAAAGGCTTATTAGATAGAAAATATTGAAAGTGTCTAAAGCATTTATATGTCTTTATTCTAGAAAATAGCCATTAAAGGCTAACAGTTGTATATGAAGTATTTTGGGAGGAAAATTCTGGTCTGTTCTAATTCATACAATGGAATTCAGTATAACATCTGAACAAAAAGAATGAACTGAGTTTAGTTCTGATGGTATGCTAATTCAGCTTAAGGAAGCCCTTGTGATAACACTGAACTAAGCAGCTAAAAATGTGATATTTTTATATCTTGAAATGTTTAAAGAAAAGAATAGACAACTACCTGTCTTATATAGCTTAGATCATTTGCTGGCTGAATATAGTGAGCTTAAGCAGATGAATTAGGATTATTATTAATTAGTAACAATGTATATTACAAGTAAACATTCATTAACAAATTTCTTATTCATACTGTATCACATCTTTACATATATACATGTATGATGGCCTTAGACATTTTCATGTTTCAACATTAGTCGTAATTTCTCTTGACCCAGGGTGGAGTCTAATAACTTTTTTCCTCCTACTCAAAGTCATTCCTAGGCAGTAGAAACTCTGTGAGAACTTCCAATTCTATATTTGAGTGTAACCACATTTTTAGGCTGTGAGTGTTGTGTTTTGTTTTGTTTTGCTTTGCTTTGTTTTTTTTGAGACAGAGTCTTGCTCTGTTGTCTAGGCTGGAGTGCAGTGGCACCATCTCGGCTCACGGCAGCCTCCACCTCCTGGGCTCAAGCAATTTTCATGCCTTAGCGTCCCCAGTAGCTGGCACTACAGCCATGTGCCACCACACCCGACTAATTTTTTTTGTGTCTAGCAGCGACGGGGTTTCACCCTGTTGCCCAGGCTGCTCTTGAACTTCTGCACTCAGGCAGTCTGCCACCTTGGCCTCCTAAAGTGTTAGGATTACGGGCGTGAGCCACCATGCCTGGCCCAGACTGTGAGTTTTACTTTGGTTCTCAAGACTATTTTTGCTGTTTAATGTTGCTTCTTATGATTTCTTGAATGTATTTTTTTGACATGTCTGACTTTGCTATTCTCAAACTTGTCTTTTTTCATTACTGATCTTGGTTCCTAAAAGTTTTGAAAATGGATTTCAGTGTAAACCCATACATATTTATGAATGTGGGATTTGAAAAAAAAATCTTCCAAAGGAAATAATCACTTTTCTTGTAGTTTATTCTTTAATAGATGAAATGCAAAGCATAAAAGAAAAAAAGAGAAAAAGAAACAGTACCAATAACATCTTTTCTTTTTTAATAGTATAAGCTGTTGGTAAAACTAAAAATAATGACATTATGTTTAAGCTATTTGTGCCCCCTTGTAAGTATCACTGAAATTATGAAAATTATATTGCATCTTTTACTAGATTCTCTTCTTCAGCTGAGTACTTTACCTCAAAATATACCATGGCATTTTATTTTTTAAGAAACAATATTTAATAAAATAAAGCAAACTATAATTTTATAGCCCCTAAAGAACCTTATATTCTAGAATTAGTTGCCAGTGTATATAGTTGTCATTGTCCCTTCTACTTTATGGAAACAAATAATTTTTTTAAATAGAAAAAATATGGAATAAAATTTCTAAACACTTACGAATATTATAATGAATATCGCCCTACTTTTATGTAGTACTTGAAGTGATTGTATAGGTTAGGTTGTATATTAGTGGAGGCTATTTTGCTCCAAGTAACAGAAAACCTCTCAAGCTTTTAAAGTAAAAACTGAATAATATGTTTGTTTAAAAAATCTTAGAGTAGGAACCAGGAATTGTAGGGCTATTAGGAAACAAGTTTGCTTTCTCTGCTGCTTTCTGTAAGCTGTTTAATCCTTCCTTCTGTATGTTGACTAGCCTTTCTGAGCAGAAACAAAACATTGCTGTTCTAGTTTCTGTTTTAAACAATTTTCGAATCCAAGAGCCCAGCAAAGAGGAGATATTGTTTCTTAGACCTCATTCCAAATTCTCAAAAAAGAGCACTAACTAGGCAGGTGCCTACCTATTATCTAATCAGTCATACCAAGACAAGAGGGTTAGGGTGCAGTGGCGCACGCCTGTAATTCCAGCACTTTGGGAGTCCGAGGTGGTTGGATTGTTTGAACTCAGGAATTCCAGACTAGCCTGGGCAATATGGCAAAACCTCACCTCTATATTAAAATTAAGAACAAAAAATTTAAAAAAAAGAAAGAAAATAGGGTTATCAAGTTTAAATGTTGGGGCCAATTCTTAGAAGAGATGTGGCCTAAACAAGCATGTGTCTTAAAACTGAAAATCGTGTTTAGTATGTTGGGAGGCAGTACTTATGAATACCAGTCACATTGCCCTTTTGAGTATATGGTTGAAGGACATGTTTAAAGAAAAATTATTAAAGCATGCCAGTTTTTAATTTTTCCAAGGAATTATAATCCTGAGAATAAAATCTTCAGAGAAGTTTTATATTTCACATATGTATAATTTATTTGTAAAGTATGTAGTGTATTTTTGTTTTTAATATTAGTAAGTTTTTAAACATTATTTATATATTTTTTAGGGTGATCTACAATTTATTGGCTTCTAAAAGTGAAAGTATTTGGGTTCAAGCTTTGAAGGTTCTGGGATACTTTCTGAAGCATTTAGGTCAGAAGTAAATTGATATTTGTTGTAATGCATTCTAGAAATAACTATTGAGATTATGTTTTTATGAGTTTTATATGTAATGTAACATGAAATTTGACTTGAATAATCTAACACTGGAAAATAATAGCTTTATGTGGTAGAAGTAGTAAGAGTGTTTTATAAAATTTATTAATAGTAGATTATGGAACAAGATTACAATTTAAGTAACAAGGTTTTATTTCTATATGCTTCCTGAAAAGAAAGCATTATCTATAGATGTAATAAAATATTTTGTCAAGATATAATGATGCACATATGACTATGATTTCAAGGAAAGCTTCCTTGACAAGGAAATATCATGTATATGTTGAGGTCTTTCTGAGAGTTGATCTTATGCTTACATGCTGAGTCAGTATTTTGTTATTAGTTTCTAACAGTAGGGCTTATTAATTAATTTTGTGACTTCAAGATGCTAGAATACTTCATTTCTTTCCCCAAATACAGAATTTGAATACTTTCTAAGAACAGTTTTTGCGTAAGAAACTACTGCTGGCTTAGTGATTGCAGTTCGTACTACACTATCCAGTGTATGAATATAGTTTTAAGAGTAGATTTCCTTACAAATGAAGCCAAGGAAGTAGTGCAACTGTAATTTAAATGTTACTAGATGGGGTTCCTATGAAAACCTCAGTGTTGCCCTTTTTTTTTGGTGCTTGCTTAAATATGCAACGCGCTTATTTGTAATAATCATGAAAACTGCACAAAATTCAGACAAGACATGTCTAACAAGCTGTATAGCCTAGAAGTTTAAATATTTTTAAAATTTTGGTACCAAACAATGATTAAGGGAGACTAGATATACTATGGATATAAGGAATAGTTCAAACAAAGCCAGGATTGTAGAGAAGGATATATTTATCTATATATATATGGATCATATATATATATATAGATATATATAAGTTCACTTGGTGATAGAGTACTGGGAGTGAAGAAGCATATGCCCTTTTTATTTTAAGAGATAAAGATCACTTACTTAACTTCAGTTAATTAAAATAAATTGATTGGAGAAAGTTAAAGGATTGTAGCCCAAGATGCAACCTCCTCAAATATCAAGAAAGCACATTAAAAAATGTACAAAAAAATGAAAACTCAGTTAATACAAAATTAAAAATACAAGCAGGCAATTTCCTGTGTAAACATGGTGTTTAAGATGTCCTATTTTCCCCTTTTCCTGTAGAATGTATAAATGATACAACAAGAAGTAAAAAACTGTACTCTCTTATCAAGATAGATGCAAATGTATGAACTCCAGAATATGGGTATCAGCTGCTTAAAGTTGCTAAGGTTGGGTAAAAGCTGTTAAGGCTAAAGAGAAGAGAAAATACAAAGAGCATGGTGAGAGAGTTCAATTATAGCAAATAGGAACTGTCAGTGAAAGTACAGTTTCTGAAGATGAGAGGCCCACCTTAAATTTCAAAAATAGATCATTTCTAAAACAAATAACCCCATCAAAAAGTGGGCGAAGGACATGAACAGACACTTCTCAAAAGAAGACATTTATGCAGCCAAAAAACACATGAAAAAATGCTCACCATCACTGGCCATCAGAGAAATGCAAATCAAAACCACAATGAGATACCATCTCACACCAGTTAGAATGGCGATCATTAAAAAGTCAGGAAACAACAGGTGCTGGAGAGGATGTGGAGAAATAGGAACACTTTTACACAGTTGGTGGGACTGTAAACTAGTTCAACCATTGTGGAAGTCAGTGTGGCGATTCCTCAGGGATCTAGAACTAGAAATACCATTTGACCCAGCCATCCCATTACTGGGTATATACCCAAAGGACTATAAATCATGCTGCTATAAAGACACATGCACACATGTTTATTGCAGCACTATTCACAATAGCAAAGACTTGGAACCAACCCAAATGTCCAACAATGATAGACTGGATTAAGAAAATGCGGCACATATACACCATGGAATACTATGCAGCCATAAAAAATGATGAGTTCATATCCTTTGTAGGGACATGGATGAAATTGGAAATCATCATTCTCAGTAAACTATCGCAAGGACAAAAAACCAAACACCGCATATTCTCACTCATAGGTGGGAATTGAACAATGAGAACACATGGACACAGGAAGGGGAACATCACACTCTGGGGACTGTTGTGGGGTGGGGGTAGGGGGGAGGGATAGCATTGGGAGATATACCTAATGCTAGATGACGAGTTAGTGGGGGCAGCGCACCAGCATGGCACATGTATACATATGTAACTAACTTGCACATTGTGCACATGTACCCTAAAACTTAAAGTATAATAATAAATAAAAAAATAGATCATTTCTTTGAAATAATAGATACACATATATCATGCCTGATAGCAGAGTTTTTTTGAATCAGATTGGTTTCAGAAAAGGAGAAGATATCACAAAGAATTACACAGATGAGCTGTATTTGTGGCAAGCAGTCTATCTCTGTGGCTATAGAGAAAGAGAAAGTTTTTGGATTATGAAAGCAAAAAGGTTACCCTTGTCCCTTCTTTTACACATATGCATGGAAGCATCCTGTAGACTGATGGGCCAGGCAAATTAGACTGTATCAAAGAATTGGCACATCATCAGTGCATGTATCAGATAAAAAACACGGAAAAAAAAAGTTAAGGTAACCAGTACATGAATAGCACTTAGCATAAAAATATTGCTATGGAATATATAGAATTTTGATTTAAAAATTTACTGTCATAAGTTAAAAATAAATAAGTAGCTTCTGAGAAAGAACCACTAAACATAATTTGGAGAAGTAATCCTACTACTCAGGAGGCTTATGCAGGAAGGTTGCTTGAGCCCAGGAGTTTGAATCCAGCCTGGACAATGTAGCAACATCCCCATCTGAAAAAAAAAAGTTGTTAGAAATGTTAACATAGTGAAATGGTTTGGTTGTGTTCCCCCACCTAAAATCTCATCTTGAATTGTAATCCCCACGTGTGAAGGGAGGGACCAGGGGAACATAATTGGATCATGGGGGCAGTTTCTTTTCTGCTGTTCTTGTAACAGTGAGTCGCATGAGATCTGATGGTTTTATAAGCATTTGGCATTTCCCCTCCTTTCCCTTATTCCGTCTTGCCACCCTGTGAAGAAGGTGGCTGCTTCTCCTTGCCTTCCACCATGATTGTAAGTTTCCTGAGGCCTCCCCAGCAATGCAGGACTGTGAGTCAATTAAACCTCTTTCCTTTATAAATTAGCCAATCTTGGGTATTTCTTCATACCAGCGTGAGAACAGACTAAAACAGATAGCATGGAAGTATTTAATTATGAGCTAATAAAACATTGGACAAGTATTGGAGGAAAAGAACTATACACAAAAAAATAAAATTGGAGATTGCTCAAAGGCAAAACCCTGGCTAGTATCATAGTGAAATACACAGAAGATAAAACTGAAAAAAGCAAATAATATGAATAGGTGAAAATGTGAGTTTAGGATTAGAAAGAAAATGAGTGACATGAGAGAAAAACAAATTACAATAATGGCATAAATCGGCTGGGTGAGGTGGCTCACACCTGTAATCCCAGCACTTTGGGAGGCTGAGGCGGGCACATCACGAGGTCAGCAGTTTGAGACCAGCCTGGCCAACATGGTGAAACCCCGTCTCTTAAAAATACAAAAATTAGCCAGGCATGGTGGCGAGCGCCTGTCATCCCAGGTACTCAGGAGGCTGAGGCAAAAGAATTGCTTGAACCCAGGAGGCGGAGGTTGCAGTGAGCTGAGACTGCACCACTGCATTCCAGAGCCTGGGCAGCAGAGGGAGACTGTTTCAAAATTAAATAAATAAATAAATAAATAAATAAATAAATAAATAATGGCATAAATGGAGTTCCCAAATAAAAGCAGAACAATGGAACTAGACAAATATTTAAATCTATAATTTAATGAAGTCTTGATGTTAGATTTTGCCATTCTTATTTAGAGGACATATTGTGTGCTAGGGAAAATTGACCTAGAGTGGCTAGCATCAAGGTGTATTACTGGACTTAAATATAAGAATACTTTGTATAACAGTGCACAAAATAAGGAGAAAAATGAGTCTGGCTTTAGACTCTAAAATAACCTTCAGTACAAAAAACTACCACAATCATCAGATACTTAAATGAAGAAAGTGGGAGCCAAACTATCCTTTAAGTAAAAAAAATGCCATCAAATATTTTTTAGCCATACAGCAAATTATTTCTGTGACTAAATCTTGAGGAAATTGCTGGGGATGAAGTCCAACCAACTACGAATGACTGGAGAAACTATTGCTAAGGACAGCTGGTGAGCACTGAATAAATTTAACCATAAGACGAAGAATAAAATACACGTTCATATTACTGTGACAGACCAGAATTTACTTTTTATATATGCTAATAATGTAGAAATGACTCAACTGTAATGAATTGGGAGAGGATTGAGAAAAGAAGGAAAGTAGAGCAAGTGCAAAGAGTCAGAATTTCCATGTAAGCGGAAAGATGAAATATTACAAATGTAGGCCTGTTGACTAAAATTTGATGATGTAGATGAAAGGAAAAAATTAAGAGTAAATATGCTGACATTTACATTTCTCATAGTAAGGAAATACCCTTTTTAAGCCGATGGAAGATTACTTATTCTTTCATAGTTAAAAAGATAAGCAGTTCTATAAAATTATAGAGCTTCCAAAATATTAAAGATCTGTATGGATAAAACTAAGAACAATATATGTAATGGAACCTTAAAAAATCTGTAAAGATCAGTAAGCATAACATAAAATATGACATATCTTAAGACCAGTCATGCTGTCATAAAAAATAAATGTAGAAGCTTTTATAAATCACCTGTTAAGAAAAATATCACAATTGATCACAGTAATAAAACCCAGTTCTATATGCAAGAAACATACAAAAAAACGAAAGTGGTTTTGAAAGGTTGAAAGTAAAAGGATGAGTAAAGATTTATTATGTAAGTACAAAGAAAGCAAAAAGTAGGAATCATGATCTTAATATTGGACAAATTAGAATACAAGCCAAAAAGCAATAACCGTTAGATAAAGAAGAATTCTTCATAATGATAAAATAGAAACATTCATAAAATAGAAATTACAGGAGAAACGGACAGTCACTTAAAGTTTAAAACTTTAAGACAAACTTTAATTGACCTATTTCAGTCCACAAAAAGCCAAGAAGTATCTGAAATGGTGGGATAAATCTTCTTGTCCTTAAACTTTTGTGGGTCGGTGTGTAGGAAGATTGGAGTGCTACGATGCTGGCTTCAGGGGCTCATGGTGCAGGACTTACAGCTTGCTAAGTTTTATACTACAAGTCAGTAAGTTTAGAGGGTGCTTTGCCTGACACCACCTGTGGGGATCTCATCATTTAAAATTCACAGCCATGAGATTTGACCTTGACTCTGTGGATAGTGAAAAATAGCAACTCATCTAAAGGGGCCTACTAGCCAGAAGCAGGATGAGAGAATCATCAAACTATGTACCCAATGAAGTAGAACTATGGTAGAGGCTATTGTGGAACATTTAAATTTCATTTATACAAAGAGCTTTTGAGATTCAAATAGAGCACGAAAGATAATAATCTACTCTTTTAGCTGATGATTTTTTAACCAGTTCACCCTGATGAGTGGACTGGAAGATCTCAAAGCATGGGTGAAAAATAGAGAGTGAGAGAAAAGATAAAGCCTTACAAAATAAGAGACTTCACATGTGACTATTAAGAGTTCTTAGAAGAGAAAACTGATGGGTGTAAAAACTAGATATCCTGAAACACTTTGAACTACTAAAAACTTACAAATGTTGGATAAAAATATGTCAAAAATCCTATTAAACATATAGGTGTGCACACAAAAGTAAAGGAAATTTTCATATGCCAGAAATGAAAATCAAGCATATTAAAAGAAACAAGATTTTAAAAACAAGGTAATTTTAAAATAAACCATGTAATTTAAAAATCGTAAGTAACTTGTGGAAATGAAAAGGTAATAATTACAATGAACACCTATATGGAAACAGTAAACAGATTCAACAAAGCTTCAGAAAGAATTGGTGAACTGAGAAATAGAACTGAAGAAATTACCTAGAATTCAATGCCAATAAACAAGATTACAAACATGAAATTCAGAGAGATGGAGAAAGAAGGAAAGGAAATATGAATAATAGGAGTTACAGAAAAGAGGAAGAGAGAATGAAGAAGAGGCAATATTCAAAGTAAATTACTGAAGTTTTACAAAATTGATGAAAGAGCTGATTTCTCAGATTTTGGAAGTAAAATCAATCAGGGAAAATTAGCATGGAATCTTATCACAAAGTGAAACTCCAGAACACAAGGTCAAGGGGAACAACAAAGGGAAGTTAGCTGTATAATATTAAAAGAAATATAATATTTAATAAAAACAATATAGTACATATTTGTGAATAAACAGAGCAAAGTGCAGTCCACAGAGTGACCCAAATACTTAGCAGATTTTAGTGCTAATAAAGGTGCCATGTCTGATGAATAGAGTGATGATACACTTAAAAAAATATGCTGTCTGTTAAAGAAATGGAACAAATGATGTATTTTTATTTGCATTTAAAAAGTCAATAGGCAGTTATAACAAATATACTACTCTGGTGAGGGATGTTGACAGTGGGGAAACCTGTGTGTATGTAGGGGTAGGGACATATGGGACTCCCTGCTTTCTGCTCAGTTTTACTGTGAGCCTAAAACTGCTCTAAAAATGAAGTGCGTTTAAAAGAGAAGGGGAAAGTGGTATGGAAATGAGAAATCATAAAGTGTTCACTTGTATGGGGGAGCTGTGAGTGATGTGTAAATGTAACGGATGAGTTGTAAAATCTCTCTGTGTATCTTTTTATGTCATCATATATTTTTAACTAAGTAAATGTACTACTTATTCTAAAAATTAAATGATAAAAGCTGGTATTGCATTATTTAAATATATAAAAATAAACTTTAAGGCAAAAAAATTAATGAGGATGAAGGGGGCACCATATTATGAAAAAGGTATAATTCACTAGGAACGTAAAACAGTTTCAAATGCATATACACTTAGTGTAGGTGAGTTATAGAAATCTATTATTGACTAAATTTGGAAGAGTATTTTACACATTTTAACATATTTTTCTCCTTAAAAGATCAGTTACAAAAAATCTCAAAAGTATAATTTGAAAAAAAAAAATCCATTGGCTTGAGTATCATACACATTCTTTTTAAGCACACAGAACTATAGAAATTATTTAAATGAGGCCATAAAGGAGGCTTAATAAATTTAAATAAATTGTCATGCAGATGACTTTCTCTGCAAACAGTGCAATTAAACAAGAAATCAATGACAAAAATTGAAGTTAGAAAATAGAAATATGTGTCTTCTAAATAACTATAACAAGAAGTTATTCATTATGCAAATTATAAAATGCAGTAAAAACGTTAAAAAATATGTATATTTACACTTGTGAGATTAGGTCTAAATGATATTAGAGAAAATTCATAGTTGTAAACATTTATATTGAAAGCAGAAAGGTACTTAGATTTTCATTTTTCTAGGTTCTCAGTTATGCTTACCTCATTAATTGTCAGCCTAAGAAGGCAAAAGAAATAATGAAGGGCAGAAGGGAATGAAACACAAAGCGAGACTATTAAACAGAGTAACGGCAAGGCCAAAAATCTGTATTTTCACTTATAATTTCCCATGCCTAGCTAGATAAAGAAGGAATCAGCCACTGTTTCACCTAATAAAATTAGATGAAATTTTATTCACCAAAATTGGATATGGATTATCCAATTACAAGGGAATTATAAGGGAAATTTATGGTCAATCTCCCCTATGAACATGAGTCTATCGGTTACTTTTTAAAAGTATACAGCTTAACCAAGTTGAGGGTAGTGATAGAATGTAAAGGTGGTTTAACATCAGGACAACATTTCATCTATTTATTAACAGGAGAATGGCTATATAATTATGATGTGTGCAAAAAATTTTATAAAATTCAGTATCATTCATCATAAAAATTTTTAGCAAACCACAAATAGAAAATAATTTCTTAAATCTGGTAACATACATCTACTGAAAACTTTCCACAGTCCAGTTTAGTAATGAAATGTTAGAAGCATCCCCTTTGAATAACTAACAAATAATGAAAGCCTGGTTTCACCACCCCTGTTCGACATCCTATTGGGCAATATTTTGGCATTTATAAAACACTCCACCTAAAGCTAGCAAAATTGTTTTCAAGTGCACATGCAGCTTTCTCCAAAATGTATTGAGTTGGGCTATAAAACATAAAACAAGTCTCAGTAAATTTAAAAACTAATAAATCAAAGTATATTACCTGACCACACAATTAAATTTGAATGAAAGAGGTTTGAGAAATTGCAAGGTATTTGGAGGTAAAGAACATAACTAATTCTTGAGTCAAAAAAGAAATAAAGAACATTAGACGTTAGTTAGAACTGAATGGAAACAAAACCACAGCACAGACTACTTATTGAATGCTTATGTATTGCTGATGGAATGCAAAATCCTGCAGCCATGTTCCAAAAGGATTTCCTAATTTCTTAAAAAGTATTACAATACTTAGGAATGTATCCAAAAGAAGTGATAACATGTTCATAGCCAGACTTTGCATGAATATTCTTAGTACTATTATTATTATTATTATTATTATTATTATTATTATTTTGAGATGGAGTCTCACTCTGTTACCCAGGCTGGAGTATGGTGGTACAATCTCCGCTCACTGAAACCTCCGCCTCCAATGTTCAAGTGATTCTCCTGCCTCAGTCTCCCATGTAGCTGGGACTACAGGTGTGCGCCACCACACTCAGCTAATTTTTTTGTGTATTTAGTAGAGACGGGGTTTCACTATGTTGGTCAGGCTGGTCTCGAACTCCTGACCTCAGATGATCCGCCCACCTCAGCCTCCCACAGTGCTGGGATTACAGGCATGAGCCAGTGTGCCCAGCCAGTACTATTATTAATAATAGCTCCAAACTAGAAACAATCCAAAAGTCAATCAGCTGATGAATGGATAAACCAAATGTTTTATGGCCATACATGGAATACTATTGTGCAATTAAAAGGAAACAAACTGCCGATGCATACTATGGCATAATGAGTCCTAAAACTATTAATGCTAAGTGAAAGAAGCCAGATGCAAAAAAACTGTATACTGTATGCTTCTGTTTATATTAAATGTCCAGAATGCAAATAAGTGGTTAAATGGGGCTAGCAATGGGAGTGGGAATTAACTGCCAGTGGGCACAGGGAACTTTTTAGGATGATAAAAATGATCTACAACTCTATTGTAATGATAGTGGCATGACTCTATGTAATTCTTTAAAGTCAATTGTTCATTTACAAAGTGTGTGAATTTTGCGGTATGTGTAGTATACCTCAGTAAAGCTAGTAAAAATGTGAAAGCAAAATTTAAAACTCTTCGAAAGTGCAGGATAATAGTATTATCACCTTGGATTAAGGAAGGATTTCTAAAACAATAAGTACACATAAATCATACAGGAAAAAGATAAATTTGACCATTAGAATAAAAAGTACTTTAAAAGATACCATAAAAAGTGAAAAGACAAGGCACAAAGTGAAAGAAGATATTTGCAGTTTATCTAGGATACAATGGATTTGTATCCTAAACATATGCAAAATCGTGCAAATAAATTAGAAAAAGAATATCTGTTAGGATCATGAAGAATATAAACAGATGATTCACTGAAGAGGAAACTTGAGTTAGCAGTAAACATATGGGTAATATACTCAACTTCAGTAGTAATCAAGAAAGTGCAAATAAAACATGCATTTAATGCTCATCAGGATGGTAAATTTTAAAACTTGACAGTATCAGGTGTTTGACAAAGAATGTACATCAGTGGAAATTCTCTCCAACCACTGGTGGAATTATATACTGGTACAATCAGATTGAAGAATAATTTACAATTTTTAAAAAGGATAAAGATACTTACACTCTATGACTAAGGAACTCTCTCCTTGACATAGAGAAACTCTCATGTGTATGAACAATGTTCAATATAACATTGTTAATATTAATTAAAAGTTGGAAACAACACAGAACAGGAGAACAGATAAATAAGATACATTCATACAGTTGGATATATTCGGAACTGAAAATGAATGATGTAAACTCCCCTTCCACAAACCAAACATAAAGCAAGTTGCAGAAGGATACATAATATTGATGCAATTTATTTAAATTTCAAAAATATGTAAAGACAAAATTGTAGATTGTGTATGAATATTCATCTAATTAATTTTCATCTTCTGTGAAAATTAACCTCTTTTTGCACTAAAATCCAAGTTTATATTAGTCATGTATCTAGAATGTAGAAATGTGTCTTAAAGTTCCTTTATTTTTTAAAAGTTTATGGGGTTTCCAGAAGATGTGAGAGCCTTCCTTCCTTATAAAATACCTCATTCCACATTGTTCAATAGTTTCCTCTTTGATTTATCTATCTCCTCTCATTATATTAAGCAAGGAGAAATCAAAACACACCATCCACACTTTGCTTAGAAATCCCCTCAGCTAAGTTTTAAGTGTCACCTACTAATTCTAATTTTATCCAATATAACCTAATTAAGATACATTCTATAACCAGGTACACATGTTTTCCAGTATCCAATACAATGTTAGTGACAGAAACAAAGCAGGTGTGCTCTCTGCAATGTGGTCATCTGAGGCCTGAGATGACAGGTCACACAGGTATTTTTCCGGTTTCTAAGGGTGGAGGCAGCAACGGTGGTTAACGATTCTGAACAGCACTGGCTCCTACCTAAAACGTTACAGGTAAAGTTACTGCTGCTATTTTACATTAACACCTTATTAGAATAAAGCTCTGAGGAAGAGACCACATCCTAGGTCACACAGTGTGGAGGAGTGGAGCTGTGCTCAGCTCTCCACACTAGCTACAAGATCCCAGGCACAAGCCCATGTCCCACAGATGCATGGCATCCAGAGGGCAGGACTCGGGATGATCTCAGGGCATCTGCTTCCTGGGGTAGAGTACTTGCGACCGTCAATTGTGAACTTGCTGCTCCTGCAGGCTCTGAAGTGAGCACTTGTATTGCCATGAATTATACATGTTCTCTCCCCTAACATGGAAAGAAAACATATTTATTTAATTTTCCATTTTACTGTCTCTGAAGCACGTTGGGTGAGAGAAAGAAAGAAATCACATCCTTTATCCTCCCACACAGCCAAAGATTCCTGAAGACAGAGCTGATGCCATGTACTCAAGTGGGTCTCTGCCTCTCAGAGGTGGCCTTGGTCTTCAAGTTTCAGCAATTCTGGGAAGCCAAGGACACCTCCATCTCCTCCTGCCTGATCTGCAACTCATCTGAGAGCAGCTTTCTCATTGGAATGTCTTGTGTTTAAGGAACAAGAATCCCTGTTTCCGGTTTGGGTGCCCAAGTGCACCTACTGGATCCAACCCAGGATTGGAGATACTTTGCAGAACACAACATCATCTGGCACATGACCAGCCATGGTGTTTCACTTTCACAATTTCAGCTTCCTTCACTGATGGCAGCATAATCGTGGTTCAGCAGCCTCCAAGACCAGGGCTGGTGTGGGCGGCTACAGGGAGAAATTCAAGAGGAAGTTCTTGGTGGTGCCCTCCATGAGTACAAAGAAGCCTCAGTCCCCAGGACACCCTTCCGTGCATGGTGTCACTGACATCTTTATTTCTTTTGTCACGTTCTGTAAATCACAATGAATGGGGTATTCTTCTTCTATTATATATTTGTTAAGTCTTTTTTGGCATCTTTAAAAAAAAGTGGTAACTTTATCCTATGTAATATCCCTGTTAAGTCCTAAAAGTCTTTTCTGATGTCTATTTTGTCTGAAATTTGCACAGCTACTATAGCTTTATTTCGGTTCATATTTTCATAATCCATGTTTTCTCATCCTTTTATATTTGTGAATGTGTAAAGTAACTTTCTTGTGCATAGCTAAGAGTTTGGTCTTGCTTTTTTAAATCGACTATAAGTTCTATTTTTAAACTAATATTTTCTCTTATTTTTTGTTTAAGATAGCATTTCATAATGATGTTTATTTCTCCATTAACATATTACCTAATTCACTTTTTATAAATATTATATTTGTTACCATAAGGTTTGCAAAAGGAGCGATTCTTCATTTTGGAACCCTTTCTTATTTTCTGGGTACCATGAGAAATTGTAGACTTTACTTCTATATTCTCTTTCCAAGCCCTAGGATTAGCCATTTTTCCAAGAAATGTTGCATACCATTCTGCTATGAAAGGAACCAAAACTCAAATCTTGATTCTGGGTGTATTTTTTGTTAATTTGCTGTCTTTTCTTGTAGAACCTCTCAGGTAATGACTCTAGGAGGTATGTGTTGTGTATTAACCCATATATACACACACATCTAAACTATTTTTATTTAATTTTTATACCTATATTATGCTAAACTTGCAAATATATTGACACATCTGCCCTGTTAATACCACATGAATGTTTATTACCTGCCTTCTATTCCTGTCCCTAACCTCGCACTCCAACCGTGAGGAACCCCCTCCTGCCACACCCTGTCTATTCCCTTTGTAGTCCAGTTCCAGGATTTCTGTAGAGTGGAACCAGATTGTGTATGTTTTGCTCTTTTGTGGAACATCATCAGCTGGGGTACAGTTCTGACGTGCACTTTCTTTTATTGACTACACTATTTCTGAGGTCACTTGGCACCTCTTCTGATTTCATACATTTGTAATGACATTAGATATTTTCTATATTGTCTGCATTCTATCCTGGAATTCCTAATCTCCTATTTATTTATATTTTTGTGAATTGGAATTAACCCTTTATGCTGTATATTCTGTTGATTTCAACAAATTCATATCACATATTTACCATTATAATATTATACATAATACTTTCATCACCCTTTTAAATCTATTTTTTACCCATTTTCATCATCTCCTTAAATTTCTCACAAATACAGAATCACTTTGTGTGTTTGGACTTCTCCAGAATATCAAATAAATAACATATTATGTAGCTTTTTCAGACTTGTTTCTTTCACTTAACAATATGCATTTAAAATTCATTTATGTATTTTTATGGTTTGATAGCTCTTGTTTATAATTGCTGAATATTATTCTATGAATTTGCCGCCGACTGTTTATCTACTCACCTACAGAACTTCTTGAGTGTTCCTAGTTTTGACAAATATGAATGAACTTACTGTGATTATTCATGTGTAGTTTTCTTTGTGGTCATACACTGAAAGTCAGATAGATAAATACCTAGGAGCATGGGTGCTGGATTGCATGCCAAAACTATGTTGAGATTTGACTGAATTTGCCTCCTAGAATTTCTGTGAAGTGGAGGCGCTCAGCTGACCCTGTCTCCTTGCTGGGAGGAAGCTCAGTGCTCAGGGTGGGGCCACCTGGGTGGATCCAGGCCAAGCTCCCTCTCAACAATTAGGGACAGCAGCCTGCCCTGTGGATGCACATCTAGGAAACAGATGCCCCAGACATGCATTGTCCAGGACCACAGAGATGCTTAGGAGTCAGACAGGAAGGGGCACACTGAGGAGCAGGTGCTGGGATAGACCAGGAGGGGAGCTTCTAGCAAAATCCTTGGTTCTCCTTCAGCGAAACTATATCTAACTCCCAGGAAAACTTCCACTCCATCATTTGTAACCCATGCCCTGAAATTTCCATGCTCAAACTCAGTAAACTCAGTGGATTTAGCTGGCAGTGTGAAAAAAAACTAAAATGAAAATGACTCGTTAATTCTGTGATAATTGGTCATTTTCTAGGGAACACCCCAATAATATTGATGATCATAATGTTAATGTCAAAAGCAACATACACCGTCAGCATGATGGCAGTGTGTCTCCTGGTAGAATATATTTATTACTTGAAAATTATGCTCAAAACAGTCTTTTCCCACAGAAAATCCCACTTTCTCTTCTCACACAGTCAATTTCAGTATCCTGATCCTCAGAGTTGGAAGCACCGTGTCCTCAGGAGATAGGAGGGAAAGTCACTAGCATGGCCCTGGAGTCTTGGTGCCAGATTCTTCATCTTTGTGGCAATCAAAAGGCAAATATTCTGTACCTACTTGAAGGACTTCATAAGCAAATTACGATTTAATTTACAACAACACTATGTCACACGTATACACACAGGTTTTTTATATTTGTTATCTTTTCCGTGATTATCTCTTACAGTGTTGTATATTTAATATATTCATTTTATTTTAATTTTATGTAGGTTCCTCATTCCTTCATATGTGTATTACATTTCCCTGGAACTATCACGTATTTTATATACTTAGCAATGGAAAGCTCCTGGTTTCAGTTGTCTGTGCAGCAGGCAGGGGGAGGAGAAGAAAATGGGTCACACTCCTGACCCTGCCTGCATAGCCACAGGTTCCCAAAAGCAGAGGTCCCTGCTGTGCACCTTCCCTGGGACAACTTTCTTATTGATGGGTCTTGTGTTTAATTAATGAGAGTTTGTTTTAGGGGTATGGGCCCAGGTGCAGCTACTGAATCCAGTGCAAGAGTGGAAATAAGCTTCCAAAACAGTATCACCTGAGAGAGAACTGAGTCCATCCCTGTAGTACCATCTGAGTTACAGCTTCCTGGGCAAAGGCTCAGAATCATAAAAACTTTACATATGTGTCATGTGCTGTGATTCTTCTGTGTCACTGTATGTTGAGCTATATCTGTGTGGTGCCACTTACACTTAATGAGATGAGATTCCTTCTACTTGTTTCATGTCACTCGTGATCTCTGAAGCTACTTCAGATTTCTGCTTCAATATGTAAAGAGCATGTCAATCATCACCCACATTCTTACCATAATAAAAGTCTGGAAAATTGATTATCAATGATTTCTTGGATCTATTGAAGAAATGAAATTGCAGGGAAAACCAGGACCCAAAAACTAGAAAGACATTAAAATAGAGATCATAACACTGACGGGACAAACTTTCTGTGGCAATAAGATACCCAATTATAAACAAGACCTAAGGCCATGCCAGGCAGGGATTAAGTCACTCACCCCTACACTTAAAAAATAGACTATGTTGTAACTGCCACAGGGCTTTTTGTTTTTCTCTAACAGCTAAACAAGCACTGGTCCTGAGATAAGCAATACTAAAACATTTGCAGTTCATGGAACTTCAGACATGGAGTAATTGTGACCTTGTTTCACAAGCCATAAATAGAGCTTTGATTGGACAAGAGATGGATTTCAGTAACTTTCTCCTGAAAAGAGACCACTGACCATAGACTTGGCCTCACCAATTTCCAGAGGCTGTGCACTGTGTTTTTTTCCGCCCCTGCACAAAGCCCTTTTGATGTGCAGGGCCCAACTGTAATTCAGTTAGTTCTTAAGTCCTCACCCCAAAGCAAACATGAAGTGCATGTAGCGTGTCTGTCTGATTATTAGACCTGAGAGCATGCCTGCCGTGTGAATATCCACAGCTCCTATAGACTGCTGAGTGTGTATACTTGGCCAACGCATTCACATGAATTCATTTCTCGTCTTTCCCTGTCTTGAAGTACCTGCTCAATGTCTCTGTGGGAGGCTTTGCTTCCCAGCCTGTTAAGATGGCCGTCCTGCAGCTTCAATCCTTTCTCAGAAATAAAGTCCCCTTTCTAAATCAATAAATTGGGTGATTCTTCAGTTGACAGCACAAGCTGGCGGAAACATGGTAATTCCATAAATGTCTGGAGGACAGGTGTGGACAGGGATGGGGTAAGAACTCCTGGGGGGCCACACACCCCACACTATCATGGAATTTCCCTCCAGAAAATTCTGGGTTCTCAAGATGAGAGTCCAAACAGAATCACTCGTAGCTCTGTCGTCAGGAGAACTATTCTGTGATAAATATGCCCAGAACTTTCTCCTAACAGATGCTACAGAGACAAAATACTTTTCAAGATCTTTATTCTATGTGAGAGGAAGGGATTCTTTTCCATCCCAGACAGCTTCATCTTAGCCTTCCCGTGTCATGAAAAGGGGTATAATTAATAAACAACTGGGGTCAGATTCAAGAAAATAATCTGTGGATGCTGCAGCCAGGAGGGGGAGTGGAGGATGGAGGAAAATCCGCTGTACCACTGGAGACTCCTTGTAAAGGGTGCAGCCTAGAGAAAACACAGCAAGAAAACATTGGAAGTCAATTTCCAGAACATATACTGCTCCCCTGTCCACTGCATCACCTCCCCTCCTCACCAATAGGATTAATCTGGATTAAAGAGAAAAGTGTGATAATGCACAGACTCTGTCCAAACACTACAACTTAGGGAAACCAAAGGCAGTGGGAGAGAACAACTCAAGGACAGTGAAATGATTCAAAGCCTCTGAGAACAACAGCTTCAGGACCAAGGTCACAGCCTCTCCCTCAATGGCCTTAGATTTACTTCTCATGGGGCATCT
Source organism: Homo sapiens (assembly GCF_000001405.40). Lineage (NCBI taxonomy): Eukaryota > Metazoa > Chordata > Mammalia > Primates > Hominidae > Homo > Homo sapiens. The sequence continues at coordinate 3,253,655 of NW_021160017.1, forward strand.
GCAGGGTTCCCAGGTGAGAACTGGCAAAGAGAACATGAAGGCACTTTCCAAATCTCCAGTAATACTGAGCTTGCTTTAGCTCTGTCTGGAAAAAATAACAACAACAAACACAAGCAGGACTATGGCCAGTGTTGGAAGCACTTTTCATTGACAAGACACTTGGAAGGAGGGCAAATCTGAGTCTCGTTACTGTGCAAATGTGCCACTGTGAGTGTATGTGTGTGTGTGTGGGGGGGGGGTGCTTTGAGACATAGGGTCTTTGTGTAAAGTTACAATCTGATGTGATCGTCAACCACAGAATCCTAAAAAAAAATAGAGGCTGCCCCAAAGTTCCCATCGGTTCCTAGACTTGCCATGTGTCCAGACCCTATCAGTGCACCTAGAACTCCAGGGAAGGGGCTCCCTGGTGGCTTTAGTGATTCCTTGTTGCTGTGCTGAGGTCTCCCGGTAGATTATGTCGGGTGTTCTAAGGCCTATTTGCTACTGTAAGAGATGGTGGGAGAAGCAATTGCTGCCATTGAAAGAGCATTCTGAGTCAGGGCAAGGCCACTTCATACTGTGCTTGAGACGCTGGGAGGAGAATTCTCTATGAGCCCAGACAGGAACTTTCCTGCAGGGCAGGAGCTGAGCTGCAGGGGGCGCTCAGGGCGCACCCAGCACAGGATCCAGCCCTGGAGCAGGTGCACAGGAGGCTGGGGAGGGGTTTTCTCTCAGGAATTGAATGTTCTTTATTTCAAAGCAATAATAACCTAAAATCTAAATAAGAATGTAGTAAGTACTGGTGTGTCTTTAAGTATTCTATTATATATGTAGCCTATACCTAACCAAGTAATTGAATGCAAACAGCATTTAAAAGGAGAAATGTCTAGTCTTTTCAAATGTATTTATAGTTAGGAATTGAAGAGTGGTTTTATTAATTCAATGGGTGTTACTGTCGGAAGATACACTCATCCCAGAATTTAGATGTGCAGAGGTCAAGGCCCAGGAAAAGTTCAGGTTGTCAGGGTGCCATATGAACAAGAAATGACATTGAGGACAATGTCCTGGGAGATTCTGGTTTTCTGTAAAACGAGTTCTGTCTTCATGGACTTCTGAGCATAACAGAGGGCAAATATCATTAAACAAAGTTCAGGGCAGGGAGCTCTGCATCCCACTGTGGCGTGGTCCGTGTGTCACCTATCTTCTTCCTCAGGTTGAGGTGCCTTGAGCTATGAAATACCTGCCTCGTGAATATGCAAATGCACTGCTGTCTACCGAGGTACATACAGATCTGTCCTTGCCCAGAGAGCATCACACAACAACCACATCCCTCCCCTACAGAAGCCCCCAGAGCACGGCACCTCACCATGGACTGGACCGGGAGGATCCTCCTCTTGGTGGCAGCAGCCACAGGGAAGAGAATCCTAAGTTCCAGGGCTGATGAGGGGACTGGGTCCAGTTAAGTGGAGTCTCAACCACTTCTCTGTCCTCTCCACAGGTGCCCATTCCCAGGTCCAATCGGTGCAGTCTGGGGCTGAGGTGAGGAAACCTGGGTCCTCAGTGAAGGTGATCCCAGATACACCTTCACCTTCCACTACATACACTGGGGGCGACAGGCCCCTGGAAAAGGGCTTGAGTGGATGGAACGTGTTGATCCTGAAGATGGTGAAACAATATATGCACAGAATTCCAGGGCAGAGTCACCACGACCTGGGACACGTCTACAGACACAGCCTACATGGAGCTGAGCAGCCTGAGATCTGAGGACACAGCCGTATATTAATGTGCAAGACACGCAGTGTGAAAACCCACATCCTGAGAGTGTCAGAAACCTTGAGGAAGGAGGCAGCTGTGCTGGGGGTGAGAAGATGACAGGATTTATGAGGTTTAAACGTGTTTAGAAAATGGGTTAAGTAATTGAGGAAAAGAAGCAATAGAAAGATGTATACACTCTAATTATATAGGAAATAGTCTTTTCAACTTTCACCCTGTAAGTAAAATTCACAGAGTGGGAAAGGCAGCAATCAATCAGGCTGATGCAAACACTCCCATGGAAGCCTTGTGGGGACATAACATTTTAAAATCGAATGGATAAATCATTTGGAGCAGGATTGCTTTATCACGTGGTAAGACTAAACATAATTTCTAAGAAGTGGCCAACATTTCTTCCAAAATGTCTTTGCCACTTTTTTTACATTACGTTTATTTTAAAACACTTTTAGGATCACAGCAAATTTGAGTAGAAGAAACAGAGTTCCCATGTATTCCTGCCCAAGATACGCACAGACTTCTCCATGATCAATACCCTGCACTGAAGTAATAACTTGCAACTGACAAACCCGCATGGACACATTAATTGTTTCCTTTTCTGGCGTCCCCTAGTATAACAAGCCTAAACTATCTTGAAACACCCCGGGTTCCTCAAGCGGATTACTGGGAATGATGCCAGGTAGAGGGAAAGTGGGTGGGGACGTTCCTCTTTGCACTCTTTCCTCAAGAATCCATAAAATGTACATTGATTTGGAGCTCATCTGACTTGTTTTTCTATGCCCCTTCCCAGAGGGTAAGGTCTCCAAGCATTTACAGCAGAGGTCCCCAACCCCTAGGCAGTGAACCAGAACTGGTCAGCAGCCTGTTAGAAACCAGGCAGCACAGCAGGTGAGCGGCGGGTGAGCATCACTGCCTGAGCTCCGCCTCTTGTCAGATCAGCTGTGCACTAGATTCTCCTAGGATCCAAATTCTATTGTGAACTGGGCATGGAAAGGACCTAGTTTGAGTGCTCCCTATGAGAATCTAATGCTTGATGAATGCAGGTGGAGTAAGTTCATCCCATAATCACTCACCGCCATCATCCATGGAAAAATTGTCTGCCACGAAACCGTTCCCTGGTGCCAAAAATGTTGGGGACCACTGGTGTAGAGGAAGGTCTGTGCCTGTGAAAGGCCAGCAGCTTCTGGTGAATCCCATAATCAATGTCCTTTAATGAGAAGTGAAGACTTTGGCCATGAGGGCTTTCATGAATAATGCCCTTCAGTTGAATTCAAAACACTATAAGCTCTTGGGGGGTGTTTCTGGATAAAGGCCTTTGTGAAGAAAATACAAACACATGCATGGGATCCAGGCAGGAAAAAAGCTTCCCTTAGAAAGTGGTTTGGTACCTGGAAGGAGCTCTCAGGGTTGGGCACTGGACCCCTTGCTGGCTGCACTTTAGCCAGAGGCCTGAGCCTGATTGATCTTGCAGCGAGAGAGCCTCACTGGGGTCACAGGTTACCAAAATGCCTGTCATCTTCCAGCTGAGCAAGCCCATCTGCATGCTTGTCACTGTCAACCCCATGAGGGGTGCACTCTGGAAGATGACAAGATGCACACAAACCTCCTCCCCCCACTTATCCACTACCACACAATCGAAACCAATTTATATTCCAGAAAGGGACAGGTGCCTGCAGGGATAAACAGAATGGAAGTATTATCTTACCTGGGAAAGACACTGCCAAATACCACATGTTTCAGGAAGATCAACTCATAAGTGTTCAGGAAGTGACTGAAGGGCAACGGTGGGTGAAGTGACGTGGCAGCCTCAGGGCTGCATGTGAGGAGGGCTCCCTCCCCCATGCAGGCTTTGCCTCCAGGAGCTGCACCAGGAACTCACAGAGGATCAGGAATTATTCTGAGAACATACTTCTGAGTGCTGCCTACAGGGAGAAAATAAATTATAAAAAATAAATCAATTCTAAACAAAATATGACATTTGTTATTAGAAACTATTTCTGGAACCTGTGGGAAACAAACCAACCCTGTGGCTGACAGCAACCACCGGCAGCCACCATCCCCTCCACAGCCCTGTGTTTGGAACATCACCTGAGTGATTGTATAAGGAACTGTCTTTCAGAATCATCTTAAAAACTTATGTGTCCCATTTCACATGGAGAGGTCATCTATCCATTTTGTCTTCATAGAGAAATAGAAGGAGGTGAATACCAAATACACTTCATATCTCCGGATTATTCAAATCTAATTGCCCCTTTATCACCTTCTGATTTCTGGTCTACACAGAACAATCTGCAAATTTTTCTCACTGGTGTTATACTAAAACTTGTGAAGGGCCAGATACTGGAATAATTTCAACTTACATTATTATTCTAATAATTCTAAGAATTTAGAATTAAGATTATCCTCTTTTCATAGATGGACAAACTAACCTAGATATTTGAAAATAAACCCTTAACTGAGACTGAAAAGATCAGCCATAGATTTGGAGAATTTGCTTGCAAATCCAATATTTGGAAAAGGGCTTTTATCACAAATATATAAATTGACTTATAATTGAACAACAACAAAACCACAAAATTTATTTTTAAAATGGGCAAAGACCTGAAGAGAAACCACATCTAAAAGTAAAGATAAAAAGTGATCAGTTTGATTTTTATTAGGTAAATGTACATTTAATATTCAAAAAATACTGCTAACCTGCTAAAATGGGTAAAATAAACAATATAGACAATACCAAATGGTGAAGAGAAAGCTGAAAATCAGGAACTTTCACTTACTGCTGTTGGGAATGCTAAAATGGTACATAGACAACTACAGTTAATAATTTATTGTATATTTGAAAATAGCTAGAAGAGAAAATTTAGAATGTCCTTAACACAAAGAAATAATCAATGATTGAGATGAAGGATATCCCGGTTATCCAGGTTTGATCACTGCACATATTATTTTATCAAAATATCACATGTACCACATAAAGGTTTTGAACTGTTATGTATCTGTATAAATTCAACATTTAAAAATCAAATGCAGGGGAATCCAGCTAATTGCAGATTCCCATTAGATGGGATGCTCTATGTAATCTGTAAACTAATCAGAATCTGTGGGTTTGTAAAAGGACTTTAGAAATCAACTAGATTACTTGTTTCTAAAGATAAGTCTTGCAAGTTTAATTATTTTCCTAATGGGGGGCAATTTTGAACACAGAAGAAATGTTAACATTTGTTTCTTGTAACTTTTCTTCTAGTATCAGGAGAGAAGGTTTGCAGGGAGGAATCTGGGACCATCTTTCATGTCTCAACTTTAAAGTGATTACCTCAATGAATATTTTCTGATACCCCTGATTAGGATAAGTCTCATATATGTCCTATAAACTAAAAACAGAATTCTAAGCAACCCAACTGGCTGAATGGACCCTTCCTCTTCAAAAAGGAGTTCCAGAGATACTTGAAAAGCTAGTTTAGGCCATGTTAGCAAGAAAGGATCAGAAATGCCTCATTATGCACTCCTGCCTTTGGAATTCAAGCACAACTAACCAGCATTTTCATTCAAACAGATCTTAAGGCTCAGAAAATAGATTCTTTGTAGCAGTAAGATACCAAATTCTAACCTGACTCAAGAATAGCATCACATGACAGCAGGCCTTGAGAGGAATCAAAGTCTTTTGCCCTAAAGTATATTTTTGACATATTTTAAATTGCCCTGCACAGTTATATTTTGTGAGAGAAATTTACATTCTGTAGAGAATCGCTTTACCTTTCCAGGTGTTTTTGTTATATGGAGGAGATTAACTGAGAGTCTAGCATCTTTTAAAGGTCTTAATAGAAAACACTTGCCATCTATTGCCTCTAAGGGTGGCCACATAAGAGACTTCATCTGCATAATAAGAATATTGTTCTCCAAAGCCCGCTCTCTAAATCTAGAAACTTTTTCAACTGATTTCAGGTCTTTAGATAAAACCTTAAGTCTTTTAATCAATTGCCAATAAGAAAAACTTTGAATCCACCTGTAAGCTGTAATCCCCTCCCCACACTGCCTCACTTCTTGCTGTTTTGTCTTTATAGACCAAATCAACACATATCTCACATGTATTGATTGATGTCAAATGTCTCTCTAAGACATTAGATATAAGAGCAATCAAACCACTTTGGGCACATGTTCTCAAGGTCTTCTAAGGTGTGTCACAGGGCATGGTCCTCACATTTGGCTCAGAATAAATCTCTCTAAATATTTTGCAAAGTTACCTTTTTTTAATTATACTTTAAGTGATGGGATACATGTGCAGAACGTGCAGGTTTGTTACATAGCTATACATATGCCATGGTGGTTTGCTGCACCCATCAACCCGTCATCTATATTAGGTGTTTCTCCTAATGTTATTCCTCCCCTAGCCCCTCACCCCCCAACAGGCCCTGTTGTGTGATGTTCCCCTCCCTGTGTCCATGTGTTCTCATTGTTCAACTCTCCCTCATGAGGGAGAACATGCAGTGTTTGGTTTTCTGTTCCTGTGTTAGTTTGCTGAGGATGATGGTTTCCAGATTCATCCATGTCCTTGCAAAGAACATGAACTCATTCTTTTTTATGGCTGCATAGTATTCCGTAATGTATATGTGACATATTTTCTTTATCCGGTCTATCACTGATGGGCATTCGGGTTGGTTCCAAGTCTTTGCTATTGTCAACGGTGCTGCAATAAACATACACGTGCATGTGTCTTTATAGTGGATTAATTGTTCATCCTTTGGGTATATACCCAGTAATGGGATTGCTGGGACAAATGGTATCTCTAGGCCTAGATCCTTGAGGAATTGCCACAGTGTCTTCCACAATGGTTGAACTAATTTACCCTCCCACCAATAGTGTAAAAGCATTCCTATTTCTCTACATCCTCTCCAGCATCTGTTGTTTCCTGACTTTTTAATGATTGCCATTCTAACTGGCATGAGATGCTATCTCACTGTGGTTTTGATTTGCATTTCTCTAATGACCAGCGATGATGACCTTTTTTTCATATGTTTGTTGGTCTCATAAATGTTTTCTTTTGAGAAGTGTCTGCTCATATCCTTCACCCACTTTTTGATGGCGTTGTTTGTTTTTTTTCTTTTAAATTTGTCTAAGTTCCTTAGAGATTCTGGATATTAGCTCTTTGTCAGATGGATAGATTGCAAAAATTTTCTCCCATTCTGTAGGTTGCCTGTTCACTCCAATGACAGTTTCTTTTGCTGTGCAGAAGCTCTTTAGTTTAATTAGATCCCATTTGTCAATTTTGGCTTTTGTTGCCATTGCTTTTGGTGTTTTAGTCATGAAGTCCTTGCCCATGCCTATGTCCTGAATGGTATTGCCTAGGTTTTCTTCTAGGGTTTTTATGGTTTTAGGTCTTACATTTAAGTCTTTAATCCATCTTGAGTTAATTTTTGTGTAAAGTGTAAGGAAGGGGTCCAGTTTTAGTTTTCTGCATATGTCTAGCCAGTTTTCCATACACCATTTATTAAATAGGAAATCCTTTCCCCATTGCTTGTTTTTGTCAGGTTTGTCAGAGATCAGATGTTCTAGATGTGTGGGATTATTTCTGAGGCCCCTGTTCTGTTCCATTAGTCTATATATCTGTTTTGGTGTCAGCATCATGCTGTTTTGGTTACTGTAGCCTTATAGTATAGTTTGAAATCAGGTAGCATGATGCCTCCAGCTTTGTTTGTTTGTTTGTTTTTGCTTAGGATTGTCTTCGCTTTACAGTCTCTTTTTTGGTTCCATATGAAATGTAAAGTAGTTTTTTTTCTAATTCTGAGAAGAAAGTCAATGGTAGCTTGATGGGGATAGCATTAAATCCATAAATTACTTTGGGCAGTATGGCCGTTTTTACAATATTGATTCTTCCTTTCCATGTCCATGAAATATTTTTCCATTTGTTTGTGTCCTCTCTTATTTCCTTGGGCAGTGGTTTGTAGTTCTCCTTGAAGAGATCCTTCACATCCCTTGTAAGTTGTATTCCTAGGTATTTTATTCTCTTTGTAGCAATTGTGAATGGGAGTTCACTCATTATTTGGTTCTCTGGTTGTCTATTATTGGTGTATAGGAATTGTTGTGATTTTTGCACATTGATTTTGTATCCTGAGACTTTGCTGAAGTCGCTTATCAGCTTAAGGAGATTTTGGGCTGAGAGGAGGAGGTTTTCTAAATATACAATCATGTCATCTGCAAACAGAGATAATTTGACTTCCTCTCTTTCTATTTGAATACCTTTATTTCTTTCTCTGGCCTGATTGCTCTGGCCAGAGCTTCCAATACTATGTTGAATAGGAGGAGTGGTGAGGGAGGGCATCTTTGTCTTTTGCTGGTTTTCAAAGAGAATGCTTCCAGTTTATGCCCATTCAGTATGATATTGGCCGTGGATTTGTCATGAATAGCTCTTATTATTTTGAAATATGTTCCATCAATACCTAGTTTATTGAAAGTTTTTAGCATGAAGTGGTGTTGAATTTTATTGACGGCCTTTTCTGCTTCTATTGAGATAATTGTGTGTTTTTTTCCATTGGTTCTGTTTATGTGATGGATTATGTTTATTGATTTGTGTATGTTGAACCAGCCTTGCATCCCAGGGATGAAGCCGACTTGATCATGGTGGATCAGCTTCTTTATGTGCTGCTGGATTTGGTTGGCCAGTATTTTATTGAGGATTTTTGCATCAATGTTTATCAGGGATATAGGCTTGAAATTTTTTTGGTGTTGTGTCTCTGACAGGTTTTGGTATCAGGATGATGCTGGCTTCATAAAATGAGTTAGGGTGGAGTCCCTCTTTTTCTGTTGTTTGGAATAGTTTCAGAAGGAATGGTACCAGCACCTCTTTGTACCTCTGGAAGAATTCATCTGTGAATCTGTCTTGACCTGGGCTTTTTTTGGTTGGTAGGCAATTAATTACTGCCTCAATTTCAGAACTTGTTATTGGTCTCTTCAGAGATTCGACCTCTTCCTGGTTTAGTTTTGGGAGGGTGTATGTGTCCAGGAAGTTATCCATTTCCTCTGATTTTCTAGTTTATTTGTATAGAGGTGCTTATAGTATTCTCTAATGGTAGTTTGTATTTCTGTGGGATGAGTGACGATATGCCTTTCCTCATTTTTTATTGTGTCTATTTGATTCTTCTCTCTTTTCTTCTTTATTAGTCTGGCTAGCAGTCTATCTATTTTGTTAATCTTTTCAAAAAATCACCTACTGGATTCACTGATTTTTTGAAGGGATTTTTGTGTCTCTATCTCTTTCAGTTCTGCTCTGATCTTAGTTATTTCTTGTCTTCTGCTAGCTTTTGAATTAGTTTGCTCTCGCTTCTCTAGTTCTTTAATTGTGATGTTAGTGTGTTGATTTTAGATCTTTCATGCTTCCTCTTGTGGGCATTTAGTGCTATAAATTTCCCTCTAAACACTGCTTTAGCTGGGTCCCAGAGATTCTGGTACATTGTATCTTTGTTCTCATTGGTTTCAAAGAACTTATTTATTTCTGCCTTAATTTCATTATTTACCCAGTAGTCATTCAGGAGCAGCTTGTTCAGTTTTCATGTACTTGAGCAGTTTTGAAGAATTTCTTAATCCTGAGTTCTAATTTGATTGCACTGTGGTCTGGGAGACTGTTTGTTCTGATTTCCATTCTTTTGTATTTGCTGAAGAGTGTTTTACTTCCAATAATATGGTCAGTTTTAGAATAAGTGTGATGTGGTGCTGAGAAGAATGTATATTCTGTTGATTTGGGGTGGAGATTTATGTAGATGTCCATTAGATCCACTTGGTCCAGAGCTGAGTTCAAGTTCTGAATATCCTTGTTAATTTTCTGTCTCATTGATCTGTCAAATATTGACAGTGAGGTGTTAAAGTCTCCAGCTATTATTGTGCGGGAGTCTAAGTCTCTTTGTAGGTCTCTAAGAACTTGCTTTATGAATCTGGGTGCTCCTGTATTGGGTGAATATATATTTAGGATAGTTAGCTCTTCTCGTTGCATTGATACCTTTACCATTAGGTAATCCTCTTCTTTGTCTTTTTTGATGTTTGTTGGTTTAAAGTCTGTTTTATAACACACTAGGGGTGCAACCACTATTTTTTTTTCTTTCCATTTGATTGGTAAATATTCCTGCATCCCTTTATTTTGAGACCTTGGTGAGTCTTTGCACATGAGATGCATCTCCTGACTACAGCACACCAATGGGTCTTGAGTCTTGATCTAATTTGTCAGTCTCTGTGTTTTAATTGGGGCATTTAGCCTGTTTACATTTAAGGTTAACATTGTTATGTATAAATTTGATCCTGTCATTATGATGTTAGCTGATTGTTGTGCCCATTAGTTGATGTAGTTTCTTCATACTGTTGATGATCTTTACAATTTGGTATGTTTTTGCAGTGGCTGGTACTGGTTTTTCCTTTCCATATTTAGTGCTTCCCTCAGAAGCTCTTGTAAGGCAGGCCTGGTGGTGCAAAAAATCTCAGTATTTGCTTGTCTGTAAAGGTTTTTATTTATCCTTTGCTTATGAAGTTTAGTTTGGCTGGATATGAAATTCTGGGTTGAAAATTCTTTTCTTTAAGAATATTGAATATTGGCCCCCACTCTCTTCTGGCTTGTAGGGTTTCTGCAGAGAGATCTGCTGATAGTCTGATGGGCTTCCCTTTACGGGTAAACCGACCTTTCTCTCTGGCTGCCCTTAACATTTTTTCATTCATTTCAACCTTGGTGAATCTGAAGATTATGTGTCTTGCAGTTGCTCTTCCCGAGGAGTATCTCTGTATTTCCTGAATTTGAATGTTGGCCTGTCTTGCTAGGTTGGGAAAGTTCTCCTGGATAATATCCTGAAGAGTGTTTTCCAACTTGGTTCCATTCTCCCCATCACTTTCAGGTACACCAGTCAAACGAAGGTTTGGTCTTATCACATACTCCAATATTTCTTGGAGGCTTTGTTCATTCCTTTCATTCTTTTTTCTCTAATCTTGTGTTCACACTTTATTTCATTAAATTGGTCTTGAATCTCTGATATCCTTTCTTCCACTTGTTCAATTCAACTATTGATATTTGTGTATGCGTCACGAAGTTGTTGTGCTGTGTTTTACAGCTCCATCAGGTAATTTATGTTCTTCTTTAAACTGGTTATTCTAGTTAGCAATTCGTCTAACCTTTTTTCAAGGTTCTTAGCTTCCCTGCATTGGGTTAGAACACGCTCCTTTGCCTCAGAGGAGTTTGTTATTACCCACCTTCTGATGCCTCCTTCTGTCAGTTCGTCAAACTCATTTTCCGTCCAGTTTTGTTCCCCTTGCTGATGAGGAGTTGTGATCCTTTAGAGGAGAAGAGGTGTTCTGGTTTTGGGAATTTTAAGCCCTTTTGAACTGGTTTATCCTCATCTTTGTGGATTTATCTACCTTTGGTCTTTGATGTTGGTGACCTTCAGATGGGGTTTCTGTGTGGACGTCCTTTTTGTTGATGTTGATACTATTCCTTTCTGTTTGTTAGTTTTCCTTCTAAAAGTCAGGCCTCTCAGCTGCAGGTCTGCTGAGTTTGCTGGAGATCCACTCTAGATCCTATTTGCCTGGGTATCACCAGCAGAGACTGCAGAACAGCAAAGATTGCTGCCTGCTTCTTCTTCTGATTCGTCCTAGAGGGGCACCTGCCAGATGCCTGCTGGAGCACTCCTGTATGAGGAGTCTGTCAACCCCTGTTGGGAGGTGTCTCCCAGTCAGGAGGCATGGGGGCCAGGGACCCACTGGAAGAGGCGGTCTGTCCCTTAGCAGCGTGGAGCGCTGTGTTGGGAGATCTGCTCATCTCTTCAGAGCCAGCAGGCAGGAATGTTTAAGTCTGCTGAAGCTGTGTCCACAGCCACCCCTTCCCCCAAGTGCTCTGTCCCAGGGAGATGGGGGTTTTATCTATAAGCCCCTGACTGGGACAGTTGCCTTTTTTTCCGAGATGCCCTGCATAGCGAGGAGGAATCTAGAAAGGCAGTCTAGCTACAGCAGCTTTGCTGAGCTGTGGTGGGCTCCGGCCAGTTTGAACTTCCAGGTGACTCTGTTTACACTGTGAGGGGAAAACTGCCTTCTCAAGCCTCAGTAATGGCAAACGCCCATCCGCCCACCAAGCTCGAGCATCCCAGGTCAACTTCAGACTGCTGTCCGGGCAGCAAGAATCTCAAGCCAGTGGATTTTAGCTTGCTGGGCTCCGTAGGGGGGGATCCATTGAGCTAGACCACTTGGCTCCCTGCCTTCAGCCCCCTTTCCAGGGGAGTGAAAGGTGCTCTCTCGCTGGCGTTCCAGGTGCCACAGGAGTATAAAAAAAAAAAAAAACAACTCTTGCAGCTAGCTTGGTGTCTGCCCAAATGGCCCGGTTTTGTGGTTGAAACCCAGGGTCCTGGTGGTGTAGGAACCTGAGGGAATCTCCTGGTCTGCGGGTTTTGAAGACCGTGGGAAAAGTGTAGTATCTGGGCCAGAGTGCACCTTTCCTCAGGGCACAGTCTCTCACCGGGCACAGTCCCTCACGGCCTCCCTTGGCTAGGGGAGGGAGTTCCCTGACCCACTGGACTTCCTGGGGGAGGTGACACCCCACCCTGCTTCAACTCGCCCTCCGTGGGCTGCACCCACTGTCTAACCAGTCCCAATGAGATGACCCTCAGTTCGAAATGCTGACATCGGCAAATGCAGGAGGCCATGGCCGCCACCGCCACTGCCTCCGAGGCCGGGCGCAGAAGAGCCGCCGCTGTGAGCGGCGCAGTCCCGGCCCCCGCCGCCGCCCGAGGAGAACGGGAGGGCGGGCGAGAGAGCCGGGGAGTTGCGGAGCCCGCCCGCCGCTGGCAGCACCGCTCCCCAGGGAGGGAGTCCACAGCCTGAGGTTATATCTTAAGTGTGGTGCTGCTAACATTGCCCAGGCAACATCTGGTTCAGCTTTATCTATATTTTTTGACTGCTCTGCTCTTCTATGCTGGACATCAAATTTCCAGGGACTACGTTCGGAGCGAACTGCAGTTTGCCTATGAGGGACCAATGTATTTAGAACCTCTCTCTATGAATCGGTTTACCACAGCCTTAATAGGTCAGTTGGTGGTGTGTACTTTATGCTCCTGTGTCATGAAAACAAAGCAGATTTGGCTGTTTTCAGCTCACGTGCTTCCTCTGCTAGCACGACTCTGCCTTGTTCCTTTGGAGACAATTGTTATCATCAATAAATTTGCTATGATTTTTACTGGATTGGAAGTTCTCTATTTTCTTGGGTCTAATCTTTTGCTACCTTATAACCTTGCTAAATCTGCATACAGAGAATTGGTTCAGGTAGTGGAGGTATATGGCCTTCTCACCTTGGGAATGTCCTTGTGGAATCAACTGGTAGTCCCTGTTCTTTTCATGGTTTTCTGGCTCATCTTATTTGCTCTTCAGATTTACTCCTATTTCAGTACTCGAGATCAACCGGCATCACGTGAGAGGCTTCTTTTCCTTTTTCTGACAAGTATTGCAGAATGCTGCAGCACTCCTTACTCTCTTTTGGGTTTGGTCTTCACGGTTTCTTTTGTTGCCTTGGGTGTTCTCACACTCTGCGAGTTTTACTTGCAGGGTTATCGAGCTTTCAGGAATGATCCTGCCATGAATTGGAGCATGACAGAAGGAGTAACGCTGTTAATCCTGGCAGTGCAGACTGGGCTGATAGAACTGCAGGTTGTTCATCGGGCATTCCTGCTCAGTATTATCCTTTTCATTGTTGCAGCTTCTATCCTACAGTCTATGTTAGAAATTGCAGATCCTATTGTTTTGGCACTGGGAGCATCCAGAGACAAGAGCTTGTGGAAACACTTCCGTGCTGTGCGACTTTGTTTATTTTTATTGGTATTCCCTGCTCATATGGCTTATATGATTTGCCAGTTTTTCCACCTGGATTTTTGGCTTCTTATCATTATTTCCAGCAGCATTCTTACCTCTCTTCAGGTTCTGGGAACACTTTTTATTTATGTCTGATTTATGGTTGAGGAATTCAGAAAAGAGCCGGTGGAAAACATGGATGATGTCATCTACTATGTGAATGGCACTTACCACCTGCTGGAGTTTCTTGCGGCCGTCTGTATGGTGGCCTATTGCGTCTCAGAGACCATCTTTGGAGAATGGACAGTGATGGGCTCAATGATCATCCATTCATTCCTACTATAACGTGTGGCTTCAGGCCCAGCTGGGGTGGAAGAGCTTTCTTCTCCACAGGGATGCTGTGAATAAGATTAAATCATTACCCATTGCTACGAAAGAGCAGCTTGAGAAACACAATGATATTTGTGCCATCTGTTATCAGGTAACTCCTTCGATAAGAATCTGTTTGGGACATGAAATCTGCTGTGATCACGCCTTGCGTTCATTTTTTCCATGCAGGCTGTCTTAAGAAATGGCTGTATGTCCAGGAGACCTGCCCTCTGTGCCACTACCACCTGAAAAACTCCTCCCAGCTTCCAGGATTAGGAACTGAGCCAGTTCTACAGCCTCATGCTGGAGCTGAGCAAAACATCATGTTTCAGGAAGGAACTGAACCCCCAGGCCAAGAGCATACTCCAGGGACCAGGATACAGGAAGGTTCTAGGGACAATAATGAGCGCATCGCCAGACAACCAGATAGCCAGGAAGGGGCTTTTGACCCCAAAGAATATCTTCACAGTGCAAAAGATGAAGCACATCCTGTTGAATCAGCCTAGAGGAGAAGCAGCAGGAATGATGCTTTCATACTCTGGAGGAGAAGTTAACTCAAGATGGAATTCATGTTCTGATTTGAGGAATGAAAATGAGATGATCAGGCAGGAAACTGACATTCCAAGGATCTAATCCAGGAAGTACTCTCAGTGGGGACCACCTGCTTTCATCCCCTGACATTGTGGGAGAAAGACAAATAGGAAGCTCTTCTATTAGGGCAATGTAGAGCTTGTGCTTTACTTATGTGACAGATATAGATATTTTGAATATTTTAAAATTAGGTATGATATTCTACCAAACACTATATATAGTGTTTATATATATATAACAAAATAAACACTATATATATATTATATATAATAAAATAAACACTATATATACCAAACACTATATATAGTGTTTATATATATAACAAAATAAACACTATATATATTATATATAATAAACACTATATATATACCAAACACTATATATAATGTTTATATATATATAAAACAAAATAACACTATATAATTCTATTGGTATAATTAATATATATGTAAGACAAAATAAACACTATATATAGAGTATATATATATATGTAACAAAATTTTGTGATACCTTGAAATTTAAGGTTGAATATTTGTATACATTCCAAGATAAATCTTGGTGAACATCATAAAATTAATTCTAATATTTTTTGTGCAAGATGATCACTTTCAAACTAGGTTTGACAACAGAGACCAGATGTATCTTTCCACCAGAAATACTTGTAAAACATAGTGAAATTTCTTAAATTCAATTTTATGATGTGTGACAACAGGTAACAAGGACAGTAATTGCTGAGAGGTGGGAAATAAACAAAAGGAGTCCTCTGATGAATGCACGCTCAGATGCTTCCTTAAGGGAGTTTCCAGGCACAGTGCTGAAGTGGAACCAGGTAGAACTGAAGTTGAGGAAAAAGAGCTGAGACTGACCATGGACTTGTCCTGGCCAATTTCCGGAGGCTGTGCACTGTGTGTCTTTCTGCCCCTGCACAAAGCCGTTTTCGTGTACAGAGCCAGATTGTAATTCGTCTAGTTCTCATGTCCTCACCCAAAAGCAAATATGAAATGCATGTAACGTTTGTGTTTGCTTATTACACATGAGAGCCTGCCTGTCATGTGACTATCAATAGGTCCTTCTATAGCCTGCTGAGTGTGTACGCTTGGCCAATCCATTCGCATGAATTCATTTCTTGTCTTTCCCTCTCTTGAAGTGCCTGCTCACAGTCTCTGTGGGAGGCTTTGCTTTCCAGCCTGTTAAGATGGCCGTCCTGCAGCTCCAACCCTTTTTCAGAAATAAAATCTCCTTTCTAAATTGATAGATTGGGTGATTCTTCCATTGAAAGCACAAGCTGGTGCGAAGAGTTACATGGTAATTCCATAAATGCCTGGAGGAGAAGCAGGGAAAGGGTAGGGTAAGAACTGGGGGCCACACACCTCACACTTTTATGGAATTTCCCTCCAAAAGCTTCTGGGTTCTCAAGACGAGAATTCAAACAGATGCCCTCATGGCTCTGTCATCAGGAGAACTATTTTCTGATAAATATGCCCAGAACTTTCTCCAGACAGACCCTACAAAGAAAAAATACTTTTCAAGATCTTTATTCTATGTGAGAGGAAGGGATTCTTTTCCATCCCAGACAGCTTCATCTTAGCCTTCCCGTGTCATGAAAAGGGGTATAATTAATAAACAACTGGGGTCAGATTCAAGACAATAATCTGTGTATGCTACAGCCAGGAGGTGGAGTAGAGGACGGAGGAAAATCAGCTGTATGACTGGTGACTCCTTGTAAAGGGTACAGCCTAAAGAAAGCACAGCAAGAAATCATTGAACATATACTGCTCCCCTGCCCACCATATCACCTGCTCACTAGGATTAAGATGGATTAAAGAGAAAAGTTTTGCAAGGCACATGCTCTGTCTAAGGACTAGAACTTAGGGAAACCAAAGGCACTGGGAGAGAACAAGTCAAGTACAGTGAAGTGATTTAAAGCCTCTGAAAGCAACAGCTTCAGGACCAAGATCACGGCCCCTCCCTCAATGACCTTAGATTTTCCTCTCGTGGGGCGTCTGCAGGGCTCTCAGGTGAGAATTGGCAAAGAATGTGAAGGCACTTTCCAAATCTCCAGTAGTACTGAGCTTGCTTTAGCTCTGCTTGGAAAAAACAAACAACAAAACAACAAACATAAGCAGGACTAGGGTCAGAGTCGGAAGCACTTTTCATTGGCAAGACACTAGGAAGGAGGGCAAATTTGAGGTTTGTTACTGTGCAAATATTCCACTGTGAGTGTGGGGGCAGGGGCTTTGAGAAACAGGGTCTGTGCATAAAGTTCTAATCTGATACAATCTTCAACCACAGAATCCTAAAAAAAAGAGGCTGCCCCAAAGTCCCCATCAGTTCCTGCACTTGCCATGTGTCTGGAGGTATCAGTGCATATGGAGCTCCAGGGGAGGGGCCCCCTGGTGGCTTTAGTGATTCCTTGCTTGCTGCGCTGAAGTATCCCAATAGATTGCTGGGTTTTCTAAGGCCTATTCCTATTGTAAGAGGTGGTGTGAGAAGCAATTGCTGTCACTGAGGGAACATTCTGAGCCAGGACACATCCACTTCATACTGGGCTTGAGATGCTTGGAGAAAAATGCTCTGTGAGCCAGCTGGGATTACAAGTGTGTGGTGTCACACCCGGCTCACTTTGTATTTTTAGTAGAGATGGGGTTTCACCATGCTGGCCAGGCTGGTTTCGAACTCCTGACCTCAGGTGATCCACCCGCCTCTGCATCCCAATGCGCTGGGATTACAGGCGTGAGCCATCAGGCTTGGCCTGGAATAGTTAATATTTGCTATGTAAACCTCCACGTGATGCAAATATGAAACAAATGCCCACGTGCAATGTCTGTCCCATAATCATTCTGTGAACACATGAATAGCACTGAGTATGCACAGGGCTTGATTCCTTCTTGACCCTGGGTCTGGTTTCCTTTAAGGTAACCTTGAGTCAATGAGCCATTAGTAGAGGGTGGTATTCTACAGCCGAGTAGGCAGAAAAATAGACTGATCTTCTTTTGAGTTACAAATAAATACACTTTGAAATAGTAGAAATTCTTATAAATGAGCCGTAATCATATGAAAAAATGATGTGGTAGAACTTCTTTGGTGTCTGTGGCTGTTAAAGACAACGTGATTTTTACTAAAAACCAAGATAATTTTAAAAAATCTGTGAGGGATGAATATTCTTCACCATTCACCAAGTTTGTAATCGGACGTCTTCCATAAGCTGCCCTTGAAAAAGTCACCAGTACAATTTTGTCTTTGTCAAAGTTGATTGCAGTAGCATGCTATTTGCTTATTCATATCTAGAGTCAAAATAAAGTAGCAATTCCCAAAGTGCAACAGAAGCTCTTCTAATTTCAACATGAAAATTACTGAAGTATTTGTTTAAACTGATGTCTTCTATTGTTTTCCTTTTCCATCTTCAAAGAAGACCCAGGGCTGAAGCCAGCAGCCCTGCCTGTGCCCTGCCTGCACCCTGCCCTTCCTCATGCCCAAGGCTGACAATGCCTTTGTTTCCCAGCATCTATGTTATGTTGAGGTATTTCTATGCATATAATACCTTGTTCAGAAGCTTTTGAATTCTTTTCTATGAAAATTTCCTGGTTTTACCTTAATAATAAAAATAGTAACATGAACACCTCAAGTCTGTTGTAAGCCTCAATTAGGATAAGGTGGTCCTAGGGAAATGGAGGCTTTAGAGAAATGTGCGTATGGGTAATGTAGTCACCATCTGGGACAGTGCTTCTCAAAGTGAGGTCCTTGCATCGACAGCATCTACATCATCTAGAAATAGGTTAGACACAGAAACCAGGAACTCCGGGGGAAGGCTCAGGTGTAGGCAGCTTCACAAGCTCCTTCGGGGATTCTTTGCAGGCTCTAGTTTAAGAACCATTGATCTAAGAAAATGGAGACTGGTTTTGGTGTAATATCAGCCTTACTAGTAATTTAAGCCTTATTTGGGGCAGTGGCTCTCAACTGTGAGCAATTTTGCCCAGTAAGGGTCATGGGCAAGGACTGGAGATGAATTTGTTTGCCACAGTTGGGCAGGTGGGCAGAGGCTCCCCAAACCGAGGAGTCAAAGAATTCTCCAGCCCAAACTGTCAATAATGAGAGGGCTAAGAAACCCTGATCTAGAATAATGTGGGTGTAGGATAATTTAAGCCCCATCAGGTCCTAGGTAGGGTAAATGAGGCCGTAGTTAAGGTAACATAGGCCTCATCTAGTTTGACGTAGATTTCTTCACAGTAACTTGTGCCTTACTGTGTAGGTACTGGGTCTTCCTTCAAAGCTTATCTAGGAAGACCCCTCTTTAGGGAAATTCACAAGGTGAGAGGTTCCTGTCTAGTCTCGGTGCCCTCTGTGAGGCCTCCTCTGCTTCTGGAAGCCTGGCTGCTCCAATCTCTTTCTAGGTGGCTGGGGCAGCCGCTCGACATTCACGCCACCTTGTGGCCACCGGTGCCACAGCGGGTACATCGCCTTCTTTGGGTCCCCTCATCATAATTGTTTATCAATAATGATTGATAAGAGTAACACCCGACCCTTGTAGGATCCATGTGTTTCTTGGCAAGTGTTTTATAGAGAGTGGTTATTTATGAAAGGAAGTCACCGGTAGAATGATTTTGAGACTTTTATAAGTAAATGACCTGCCGTTGCTCCCTTTTTTAAAAATGTATAAATAGAATGATAATAAAACTCATTGCATTATATTTCCACCAGGAATGTGTGATAGTTTCCATTAAATATATGACATCCTTGCTTCTCTCATACAGAAATGTATGCTTGCCAATATTTGGTATTTTTCTGGGTGGTTATTTGGGTAATTTTGGCTATGTTAATGGGTATGTAGTAGTATCTCATTATGATTTTAATTTGCATTTCCAGAGAACTAATTATGCTGAGAATCTTTCATGTGCTTATTGGCCTTTTCTTATCTTCTTTTGTGAAATGTCTGTTCAAAAAGACTATTTTATCTAGTTTTTTACAACTAAAATTGTGTGTATAATTATAGATTCATTTCACATGCAGTTGTAAGAAATTTCCCTTTGTATAAACTTTGGACCCCTATCTCTCTCTACCTCCTTGTAAGGCCAATAACTCTTGGATTTGCCACTTGAAGGGTATTTTCTAGATCTTCTAGGCCTGCTTCATTCTATTTCATTTTTTTCCTTTTGTCTCCTTTGACTAGGAGGTATTTTCAATTAGCCTGTCTTCAAGGTCACTAAATCTTTTTTTTTTTTTTCTAAAGACAAAGTCTTGCTCTGTCACCCAGGCTAGAGAACAGTGGCCCAATCTCAGCTCACTGCAACGTCCGCCATCTGGGTTCAAGTGATTCTCGTGTTTCAGCCTCCCTAGTACCTGGGATTACAGGTGCCCATCACCATACCTGGCTAATTTTTGTATTTGTAGTAGAGATGAGGTTTCACCATGTTGGCCAGGGAAGTCTTGAACTCCTGACCTCAGGTGATCTGCTAGCCTCAGCCTCCCAAAATGCTGGTATTACATGCGTGAGTCACCAGGCCTGGCCCCAAGCTCACTAATTCCTTCTTCTTCATGATCAATTCTGCTATTAAGAGATTCAGATGCATTCTTTAGTATGTCAGTTGCATTTTTTAACTCCAGAATTTCTGCTTGATTTTTAAAAATTATTTCAATCTCTTTGTTAAATGTGTTTGCTAGGATCCTAAATTGCTTCCCTGTGTTATATTGAATTTCATTGAGTTTCCTCAAAACAGCTATTTTGAATTCTCTGAAAGATCACATACCTCTGTCTTTCTGGAATTGGCTCCTGGTGACTTATTTATTTGACGAGGCCATATTTTCCTGGAGAGTCTTGATGCTTGTGGATGTTTGGTAGTGTCTGGGCATTGAAGAGTTAGGCAGTGTCATCTTTGCAGTTGGGCTTGTTTGTACCCATCCTTTCTGGGAAAGCTTTCCAGGTATTCCAAGGGACTTGGGTGTTGCAGTCTAAGCCATATCTGTATTAGGGGGCACCCCAAACCCAGTAACACTGTGATTCTTGCAGACTCAGAGAAGTACTGCCTTGATGGTCTTGGATAAGGGCCAGAAGAATTCTCTGGATTTATATTTTGCAATTTAAACTTATCACCATTTAATTTCATATAATATGATACCCATTCACGTATATTGTAAAAACCTTGCAACAATATATTTCTATCTCCTCCTCCCATCTTTTGTGCTACTGTCATTCTTAGGAAAAACCCGAACTGTTTCTCCTCTGCGTCCACACCAACACAACAGCAATCTACACAGCAGACTTCTGAGACCCTGAGTATGTGGGGGCTTTCTCCTCACCAGCAAGCAGGCAGTCACCTCTGCAGTGGGCACCAGCTGGACGTCCTCCAGTTCAATTCCAACTCTATCTACCCAGAGCTGGCATCAGATCCCACAAAGAGAGGGCCCGTTCTGCAAGGCTGCCACTTCCCCACCCCCAGACACCAGTCATAAGTCCAGGCTTCTGGAATTTCTAATCAACTGGCTTCAAGCTGGGCTTCCCACAATCCCCTCTATGGGTTTGATTAATTTGCTGGAGTGGCTCACAGAACTCAGGGAAATGCTTATGTTGTTTACCAGTTTATTATGAAGGACATTTTAAAGGATACGGATGGACAGCCATATGAAGAGATACACACAGGATGAGGTCTGGAAGATTTTGAAGGGTCCCAGGTGCAGGAGCTTGTGTCCATGTGGATTCAGGGAGCACCACCCTCTCAGCACGTGAATGAGTTCTTCACCTTTTAGTCACCCTTCATGTGTTCAGCTCTCCAGAAGCTTCCAAACCCTGTCCTCTTGGGTCTTTATATGGGGAATTTGTTGGATAGGCCTGATTGAAGCATGGGTGACTGTGGAAATGTGATTGGACAAAATGGGTTCTAAACCCAGCAAGGCCTGTGTGTTCAGATTCTTCTTGGCCTCTCTGTGTAGCCTTCCTTCCTCCAGGTTATGAGACAAAACCCTCTTTGGAATGAGGGTCTCATGACCCACAGAATCCAGCCATGGGCGGGGGAAAGAAGGGCAGGAGAAGGTGTGAGAGAGAGATTCTGTTTACTGTCACAAGGGCTATGAGAGTTATGAACAAGGAACTGTGGATGAAAACATATATGTATATGTTTCAATGACATGCCACAGCCATACTTTCATACAGTTTGTTTCTACATACGTCCTAAACACCATCATGCTTTGTTATTTTTGCTTAAACTGTAAATTATTTCATAAAAAATTATGAAAAGCAAGATAAAAGTATTTTATATTTACCTGTATGTTTACCTTTTCCAGGATTAATTCTTTAGTGTTTGGTAACGTGTTTTCCTTGTCTAGTGATTTACATCGATTTTTGAAGGGATAAGACCAGTTGCCTGGGTAAAAATTTCACTTTCTGGATTTGCTTAATAATTTTGATATTCTTATTCCTCTATTGACTATTCTAGAGCTGGGAGAATACATCAGACATCTGTTGTACATAGAGTCATCATGAAATAGTAATTTATGTGCAAATGCCAGCTTTTCAAAAGTTGATGCCAATTTGTGTAAGTTTATGGTAGAATTTGCTAATCTATTTGTTTCAGAAAGATTTGGGAAATCAGATAGTGATCTCATTAAATCTTAGTATAGCATGACATATATTAGACCCTAAATAAATGCCGCTAAGATCAGTTTTATGATGAGAAGAAACAACGGCTTGGTTGGGCTCCATAAGGAATTTTGATTTTGTTCCCCATCATTGACATTCCCACCTGTAGAATAAGTGCTTAGCTTTCACACCTGTTTCCTTTTAGCATTCTAAATCAGAACCTCAGAAGCAAAATTAGGCTCCAGTTTTGGTTTAGAGTTTATCTTAGTAAACACAAAATATTGGTGTCAACATCACCATAAAGGAACATGTTTTAATTGCCATTAACATGAGAGAATAAGATGAATTCAGTTCCTTCTTTGAACAAACTTTCCCCAGGTGTGTGCCTTGCTAGGATCTACCCCAGACAAGGAGGGCACAAAGAAGCCATGATCTCTGCCATTTCTCCTGGACACTCATAGGCCAGTGCAAAGAAAGACACTTGCAAGCAAAAGACTCCAGTATAGTGAGATGAGCTTGATTTTAGAGGTATTACAAAGAATGCTGGCTTCACCAGGAAAATAAGGATTAGCTCTGGCTGTGCCTGAGCAAGGAGGTTACCAGAGAAGAAGAGATGACTGGGTTGACTTTTGAAGCTTTGAAGATGACTGGGTTGAAGTTTCGAAGAGATGACTGGGTAGGAGTTCAGTATGAAGGGAAGGTTATTCCAGGTAAAAGGACCAGCATTTGTAAAAGCAAAGAGCAACTGCTTTCAACTGGGGATGATTTTTCAGGGCACATTTGGTAATGTCCAAAGGTGTTTTGTTATCAAAACTGGGGGGTGGGTATGCTATTGGCACGTGGTGGGTAGAGGCCAGGTTTGCTGCTAACATCCTACAGCACACAGGCCAGGCCCCTACAACACAGCTCTCCAGCCCCGAGCATAAATAATACGGAGATTGAGAGACCCCGATGGGAGGCATGAAGCAGTGTGGCTTGTTCTGAAAACTGTGTTTTGTGTGGTTGGAGTGAAGTGTGCGGTGGATTGGTGAGGAAGGAGAATCCAAGGAAAACTGGAGGACCTGAGACCCAACAAATGGACTGGATGCTGAAGCTGCTGCTCCATGGCTCGAATCTCACCCCGAAGGAGACAGGAGCCACAGCAGTCCTTTTGGAGAACCAATATCAGCAGCACTCACATACGGAAAGATTACCCTGGCAGTAATGCCCAGATGGATGGCAGAGCAGGGAGGCGGCTGCAGTAATTCAGGGCAGAAATGGGGAGGGCTTTAAAGAAGAACAGTGAGACTTAGTGATCCTCTGACTGCAAGGAAGATGAAGGCACAGATGGCCGCTGAGTTCCTCGCGTGATGGCTGGGTGACTGTCCTCACTCACTGAGGCCAGAAACACAGCACAGAGGAGCAGGCTTCTGGAGAAAGGTGCTGAGCTTGAAAGGTGAAAGACATCTTGAGAATGAATAATATATCTAAGATAGCCCATGTGTGGACAACAGGGCCAGGAGGAAAATTCAGGGCTCTGCTGTTCTCTCTGTCGCAGTAAATGACCAGAAACTTCATAACAAAAGATTCACTGGGAAAACCCAGAGGAAGTTACAGCCAAGCAAAATGCAGCTTGCTTTCGGCTTCCTCATCCCCTTTTCAGAGACTTGCCTGGTGCTCCCAAGTCTCAACAGCGCTAGTGGGAATGCAGCCAAACAATAAGGCTATTTTTTCTATACCATGTTGTTTCATTCTTTGGCTACTGTAATCTATATTATCAATTCTCTGAATTTTTTCCGTGCAAAGGAGAAATAAGTTGTTAATAAGTCAATGGACAACAAAGTTGACATTAACTCTCTGCAAAACTACAAATGTGAGTCCACATACTCATGAGCGTTGTGGGTGGACAGGCTGTGCTGCCTCTACGGGGCCCTCCTGCTTCGGCTCAAGGGCCAAGGAAGAGTACACCCCAGGGAAGACTTCACCTGGCCCAGGGTCCAGGGTTTCAGGCATGTGGATGCGATGTAGGAGCGGTAAGACCATTCAGGTCTCACTCAACTCCACTTCTCCTTCCTCCCCGCTCTGTGACACCTTCCTGTCCTCCTCACTCCTTCCAGAACAACAGAAAATGAGAAGGTTTCAGGTGATCTGTTTAGGAACCAACCACCTTGCTTTACAATGGCTTCTGTAGGGGGGTTCAAGGTCTGTGTGTCTAAATGTAGTCCAATGGTCCAATTAACCAGAGAAAACATAGAACTGATCAATTGCAAGGCAAAGTTGGCATGTAGACATACACAGTTACTCTTGGTACAAAGCTATTTCTGAGCATAATGATAGCCAAGGCCATGAGGGATACTATGTGTTTAAATATGTGCATTGATAAGAAGCATAAAGCTAACTGATTCCTCGTGAGAGAAAAAGAAAAGTGAAATCTGAAAAATGTCTTTGTGTAAGTCATGTAGCAACCACCTTGCAGTGACAACCCTGAGCTCACACAGGCTGCTGTCCCTGCTGGCTCTTCAATGGAAGAGGAAGGCAGTGTGGCAAGCCAGAGCTCAGTACTGGCTTCCAGAAGTGGAGGTCGATGTCTTTATGATGTTCTTGCCTCTGGCGGGGATAAAGTCTGGAATACCTGGAGGGAGAATGGATGTCCATTAAGATAGTAATACTTGTGATCTGCAAGTCTCTTGACAGCTTACGATCCTGCTCTCTGCAAAATGTTTCCACGCTTATCATTCATGTTCCAAATCCCTGTTTGGTGGTGCATTTTCTCTCATGGAAATTCCATTATCACAAATGGAAACCATTTGCCTATGGCTTCCACCCACCAGTGACTTGACTACAGACAAATACGTTACCCATGTTTTTATTTATTTCTGTGTTCTTGGTGCTCTGGCATCTGGGGCCTCTCTGGCTGGGGAAAGACTGCTCCTCCCAGGGCCAGCTAATTCTTAGAGGTGATAAACACGCCTTTCACAAGCAAATTAACTGCTCCTATAGGCTCCCCCCTCCACTACCTTCTTTATGTGGCTCTTATCCTGCAGGAATATTGATTCCCTCACCTGGTCACCCCAGGGCCAGGCACCGGACGGCTTGGGGTGGCTCCCACATCACACCCATCCCCCTGCTCCCTGGGGACAATGTCACCCTAACCCACCCTCCCGCCCTCTCAGCTCCTGCCACATCCAGTTGGGCATTGGGTCTTTCTAGTTTTGCTGTTTTTAGGTCAAAACTATCAGTTTTTTATATCCTTTTTTTTTTTTTTTTCTGAGACGGAGTCTTACTCTGTCACCCAGGCTGGAGTGCAGTGGCATGATCTTGGCTCACTGCAACCTCTGCCATCCAAATTCAAGCAATTCTCCCGCCTCAGCCTCCCGAGTAGCTGGGATTACAGGCACCTGCACTGAGTCCGGCTAATTTTTTGTATTTTTAGTAGAGACGGGGTTTCATCATCTCAGCCAGGCTGGTCTGGAACTGCTGACCTCGTGATCCACCCGCCTTGGCCTCCCAAAGTGCTGGGATTATAGGCATGAGCCACCGCACCCGGCCAGTTTTTTATATTCTTAAATATATTTCAAAGTTTTGTTTTCTCTCCTGAACCAGGTCACCTGTCTCTTGCCCTGCTCAGCACATCTTTCGTCTGAACTCAGATAATGCCTCCTCCCTCTGGAAAGTCTGTCACCCCCTCCTTATACCGAAGTGAGTAGCTTCTCAGTACCAAATAGAGGACTTTGGGGACATGACTTCTTCCCATGTCTCCTTTTGAAACTCCTAGTGTTCTTCTATCCAACAAAGATTTCCTTATATCGACATAGTCCTCACTTCGCATAGTAGTCTGTGACTATAAGAACGACCATGCAAGCCAAAACTATAAAGTGATCTTAATAATCAGTGGAGAAAATCATGAGTGTTCTGCAACCTTTGAATTTTTTTATCCACACGTTAACATGTCTCTTACCATTGCATATTGTCTTCATATGAACACATGAAAACGAAACTCAGGAAAACTGATATTTATTTCATATATTGTAATTTAAAATCTTTAGACACACTGATAGTTCAAGCTTATTTCTTTATAAAAATGTATTAAAAGCCAGGCTTGGTGGCCCCTAGCCTGGCTTGGTGCACCTCCTGACCAGTGCAATGTCAGCACCCACAGAGGCAGCACCACAGTGCCCTTTCCTGGAGGTCTGAATGGTACTTCCGAGGCTGTCACTCTTCCTTTCTTTCCTGCACTTTCCTCTTTGTTGGCCAATCCACTCTTCCAGTTTTTATCTTTGTAACATTCCGAGTGGTTTTATTACTAGGAATCTAAGAAGCAAGATGACTACACGTGGTGTTGTCTGTACAGGAACCGAGCTGTGCATGCGGAGGGAAGGGCCCTGCAGATTCTGAAGGGAGTGGTGTGGTTGGTCACTGATCGCCACGTGCTCCTGGTGTTCATGTAGAGGCTGGTGGGCAGAGGTGCTAGGAGCGACGTGTGCACTTTGAAGGCACAGTGATAACTGGAGTTTGAACTGTTATGTAAATAAACTGTGAGCATTCAGTGCAGTGAAATCTCTCTAAGAATCCCCTTCATGTCCAACCAACAGCCCCCGGGCTGCATGCAGCCCAGGACAGCTTTGAATGAGGCCCAACAAACATTTGTAAGCTTTCTTAAAACATTATGAGGTATTTTTTGTCATTTTTTTTCTTTAGCTCATCAGCTTTTGTTAGTGTTAATGTATTTTATGTGCAGTCCAAGACAGTTCTTCTTCCAGTGTGGCCCAGGAAAGCCAAAAGATTGGACACTCCTGATAAAGTGTTTTGCTGGCATCACTGGGCGCTGTGAGAATCGGAGCCTGCAGAGTGAGGACTGCCCAGGGGTGTGGCATCTGCACAGTTACAGCTGAAAATGCCGTTTCCCACAGTGGGGTTTACTGTCCACTGGGGAAAGTGATGAGAAAAGTTCACCATGTAACTTTATTCTCAGGTGCGACTAAATCCCGGACACATCCTGCTGTTCTGACACAGCTTCACCTCATGCTCTCACTGGGGCTGCATGGACCTTGAACCCTGCCCCGTCAGCTTCTCCATTCCTCCTGGTTTGTCATGAGTCAAGTCTGATGGCCTCATCCACAAAACCGATCCTCTTCTCTTTCCACTTGTCCTTCCTCATCTCAGTCCTCAGAGCCCGTGCTGCCCCTGCCTCTGCACTTCGCAGATTAGTGAAAACTGCCATTTCTGGATCTTTCCAGTTAGACATAAAGTTCCACAAGGTCCAGAACTGCCGTAGAATCCTCATTTATAGACTCTGACTTTGCCATCTTTCCCTTAATACTATAGATGGCACCAGCATTGACCCAGCTACTCATTCAGGGAAGCCACTCAAGAAATGGATGACAAATTCCGTTGCAGCTTCTGCCATGGGACTAGTCCCCGATTCCTTTCCCCATTGCTGTTGCTTTAGTGAAGGCGGTCATCTCTTTTTCAGGTCTCTGGTTCTGGCTTCCCCTTCAGCCACCGTCCACTCTTCTGAAGCATTGCTTCTTTGACATAAGTCTGATACAGCACATTCAGGCCTTACATGGATCACTTTACAGACTCCCCAGTAGCCACAGCAGGATCTTCAAGGAGGGTGTGTACAGCCCAGGGAATGCCCAAGATGATCTTTTAAAGTGTGGAAAGGAAATTGTGAAAACTCTAATTACACTGATTTTCACCTAAATAAGAATTTTTTAAAACAATACTAGTGTTAGCTTAGTACATGATAGTATATGTATCTAATGCACGCTCATGTACAAATGAGTTACGATGTTCAAAATATGTTTACTGCTTGAGTTACCCCAAAAGCGTAAGGCAAAACTAGAACTAAAATAGGCATACCTTACAGTAACTTGTTTAGATTTGCAACAATAAACATAGTAGGAATCACATCCCAAATGTGTTTTCCATGTCCCTGTTTCCGAACCCCCAAAGTGCTGAGAAATGCACAATTACAGGTATCAGTGTCATTCAAGGACGTGGCTGGGGGTCCGCCAGGAGGATTGGCAGTGCTTGGGCCCTGTTCAGAGGACCCTGTACCGCGATGTGATGCTGGACAACTGGAGACACCTCATCTCGGCACGAGCGGACTTGACGGCATGCATTTTCTTTTTTTTCGAGACACAGTCTCACTCTGTCACCCAGGCTGGAGTGCAGTGGTGTGATCTCAGCTCACTGCAATCTCTGCCCCCCAGGTTGAAGTGGTTCTCATGCCTCAGCCTCCCGAATACCTGGGATAACAGGCATGCACCATCACACATGGCTAATTTTTTTGTGTTTTTAGTTGAGACGGGGTTTCTCCGTGTTGGCCAGGCTGGTCTCAAACTCCTGACCTCAGGTGACCCGTCCACCTCGGCCTCCCAAAGTGCTGGGATTACAGGCATGAGCTACCACACCCGGCTGCATTTCCTTTTTAATTGCAATGCATGTAGACCCTCTCCTGAGCTCAGGGCTGTTCAGTCCCGCGGATTCCCCCTGCATGGCCTGGGGTTCTCCTCCTCGGGGTATGAGTCTGTCTATGTGGCTAATAAGCCAGTGCTCATCTCCTCTGTCAAGTGTCGTGCGTGTGTGTGCAGCCATCCCCCTAGGCCTAGGGCAGAAACCCTGCTGACCCAGTGGGGTAAAGGGGAGGCACCTAAAACACTCTTCCCACAGTAGCCACAGTGAGTCTGAAAAACCTCACACCATGCGCTCTCCTGAAAGCCCTCCTGTGGCTGTTCCTCTCACACGGCAGAGACAACTCCCTCGCCCACATCCAGGGGGCTGCACACAGGCTGGCCCTGTTACCCCGACTTCAGCCCTCTCCGCTCACTTTCATTGACACTTGAGCCACAGGTCCTTCCTCCTGGGAAATAGCGGGCCACTCTGCTCTCCAGGCATTTATCCCTGCTGTCACCCCGGCCTGACATTCCCTTTCCACACACAGCCATGCTCTCCAGGCATTTATCCCTGCTGTCACCCCCGCCTGACATTCCCTTTCCACACACAGCCACGTCACCATCCTCACTCCCTTCAGAACCATATCCCAATGTCAGCCTTACATAGCTCTTGCCATCACTTTCTCGAGCCCCTAGCTGGCACTCCATGTCCCTCGTCCTGCCCTTCACCTGCTCCACTTTCCTCCATGGAACTCCCTGATGATGTGCCACGTGCTCTACTCATTCATTTTGCTTTTTTCCTCTGTCTGCCCAGCTGGAGAGAATTTTGTGCTCAGCAAAAATGTTTGTGGCTCGCAAAGGGTGTGGCCGTGTTCTAGCCTCCCTGCCCCACTGGGACCGCGTGTCTCCCTTTGCCCCTCCCCTGTCTGCTGTGGGTGCAGAAGGCTGTCCTTCGTGTGTTGACTCAGTCTGCCCTGGGGCTGGGCCCAGAAAGCCCCAAGCCCAGAAGCCATTTTCACTGCCAGTGTGGACTTGGTGGATGAGCTCAGCTACCAGAACCCTGCTGGATCATCTCCAAGAGCCAATCATCTCAGGGACCCTGAAGTCGACTGTGGAACAGCTGCCAACACAGCTTTGAAATGCTCAGCAATATGAAGAGTGCTGACAGCCCCTGCCTGCTGAGGCACACGGGGCTATGGTATTTCACTTCTATTACAGTAACATGACTTTAGTTGAGGATGGGATGAAAGAATAAAGATGCAGCCTGGGCAATATAGTGAGCCCCCATTTCTACAAAGAATAAAAAATTTATCCAGGCAAGGTGCACCTGTAGTCCCAGCAACTCTGGAGACTGATGGAGGATGGCTTGAACTTGGGAGGTCAAGGATGTAGTGAGCTGTGATCATGCCACTGCACTCCAACCTGGGTGCCAGAGAAAGACTGTCTCAAAAAAAAAAAAAAGAGAAAGAGAGAATAAAAAAAGATTAATTCATCATCTTGGACATAAACAATATTTTCTTGAGTGTTACTCAGATGTGTTTTTACTTCCTGCCCTTCCAAGAAAAATACTGGTAATGGCTCTGCCTCTTTCAGCTTGGAGAAGACAGCCAGGCCAGTGAATATGGAACTGTTAGGCCTGAGCAGGCATAAAGGAAATCTCCATTGTGCAGTGTTTTCAGCATAGTTAGTTTGGGATGAGTAAAGGTGTGTGGGGTAATTGCCATGCTTTTTGGCAATCGGGCATGCAAATGGGAAGGTCACAAATCACCCAGTCATACCACTTTGGACAAAGAAATCGGGAGTGTGCATTTCTTTTTCTTCTTATTTTTGCTTTGTTAGAAGTGAGTGTTCACTTTATCTCTGAAGGCATGTGATTGTTATGAAGTCAGCAGTGATGATAGCTCTTTACCCCAAACTGCCAAGGCCAGCGATTACGTCAGTCATCTATATCCTGAACATGGTGCCTAGCATTCGGCTGGAGCTCAGCGAGTATTTGTTGAATGAATGAATCAATCCCATTTCGCCTTCTTGCCAGCTCTGGTCTGGGTGGTCGGTACTTTCCTTTTTGAGTACTGCACGGACCCAGGTTTCTGGAGTCTGGACTCAATGGCTTATGTGGGAGCAGCCTCTTCCATTCTGCAGTGGGGATTACTATCCAGAGCCAGGTACAGGCCCCAGAGGAGGGTGCACTGGGGCCACAGGCCCAAGGCCATCCAGTTCCCTTTGCCCAGCTGGGGTCTTGTGGAAGAAGAAAGCCAGTGTCCTGAAATTATTCCTTCCTCACTGCCATCTATACTGGAAATAATCCCAAGGGATTTAGAATAAGCAAAATCAAATTCTGTCATTTCTAAATTTTCTAAGATGAACACGTATAGCTTTTATACACAGAAAAACCATATTAAAACACAAACACACGGCCGGGCGTGGTGGCTGATGCCTGTAATCCCAGCACTTTGGGAGGCCGAGGCGGGTGGATCAGGAGGTCAGGAGATCGAGACCATCCTGGCTAACACGGTAAAACCCCGTTTCTACTAAAAAATACAAAAAAGTTAGCCGGGTGTGGTGGCGGGCGCCTGTAGTCCCAGCTACTCGAGAGGCTGAGGCAGGAGAATGGCGTGAACCCAGGAGGCAGAGCTTGCAGTGAGCCGAGATGGCGCCACTGCACTCCAGCCTGGGCGACAGAGCGAGACTCCGTCTCAAAACAAAAACAAAAACAAAAACAAAACACAAACACACATACAACCTCGCTGGGTCTTGAGAAAGCTTGTCACTGGGGAGGTTAATGGAAATTGTACACTTTTCTCTGTTAGCTAGTTAAAAGTCTTTAAAAATCCTGCCTCAATTTAACCTTGGGAAATGGAACTTTATAGGTGGTTCAGGAATGTGAAGATTCACACATCACAAAATATTTAAATGTATTTGACGTGTGATAAACATGTAAATATCATAGTGCTGTGACTTTGCTTATGAGTTATATATTTCTAATCATTTTAATGTTATCACGATTTTTTAAAAAGTTCTTTTATATGATAGTTATTATTTGGGGTTACTGTGTAAGAAAGCCATTTAGCCACCAGAGGGCGATGTGACACAGCAGAAAGTAGGTCTCCGTTCGGCTGAAACCTTTACTTTTCAAAACGGGAAATCACCAGCCTGGCCAACATGGTGAAACCTAAAAAAAATACAAACATTAGCCGGGCGCGGTGGCAGACGCCTGTAATCCCAGCTACTCAGGAGGCTGAGGCAAGAGAATCGCTTGAACTGGGGAGGCGAAGGTTGCAGTGAGCCGAGATTGTGCCACTGCACTCCAGCCTGGGCGACAGAGCGAGACTCCGTCTCAAAACAAACCAAAACAAAACCAAAACAAAACCAAATAAAACACAACAAAACGAGAACTCAAAATGGAATTCTAAGGAAGTGGTCACTTTTATATATGTCCATGTTAAAGTTCTAGAGCTGTTGATAAATATAAAAACAATAATGGTAAGTTATTCCAGTAGGAGATGTTCATTATTTTCTTTATTAATGCTTAATGTTTTTCAGTTCATATTTCAAATATATGTATTCTATATGAAATTTTCATAAAATGGAGAATGGCATGCTATCTAAAATGTAAAAAACACATATACATGTATATATACCCAGATATCTAGATTTTGCTGTTGCAATTATAGAAGAAAACAATGACCTCTGTGCCATTAAAAAAGCGTTTGATTTTTCCACATTTTTTTCTCTTTTCCTTAGGGACTCAGAGTTGCAATGAAGTGGTTTTTGAAGGTTCTGTCTTGTAATATTGTTCTGCTGTATAGAAACTCAAAAAGACTTTGTAACAATAGACCTTATTAGAATTAACTTACCTGTATTTTTACTTTATTTTTGCGGAAGACCAGAGTTTCATTATTATTCAAATCAGACTTCTTGAGCATTTGTTTTGTTTTGTTTTAAGATGGAGCCTCGCACTATTGCCTGGGCTGGAGTGCAATGGTGTGATCTCAGCTCACTGCAACTTCTGCCTCCAGGGTTCAAGCGATTCTCCTGCCTCAGCCTTCCAAGTAGCTGGGATTACAGGTGCCCGCCACCACGCTTAGCTGTTTTTTTGTATTTTTAGTAGAGACGGTGTTTCATTATGTTGGCCAGGCTGCTCTCCAAATCCTCACCTCGTGATCCGCCCGCCTCGGCCTCCCAAAGTGCTGGAATTACAGGCGTAAGCCACCGTGCTCAGCTTAAGTTTTTAGAGACAATTTGACGGGTAGGGGCTAGAGAAGTGGGGAGTGCTGATTGATCAAGTTGGAGATGGAATCATAGGGGGTCGAAGTGAGGTTTCCTTGCTATCTTCTGTTCCTGGGTAGGATCTCAGAACTGATTGAGCCAGATTACCAGTCTAGGCGGTGTCAGCTGATCCATCGAGTGCAGGGTCTGCAAATTCCTTCCCGAGGTTAGTTCGGCCTATGCCCAGGAATGAACAAGGACAGCTTAAAGGTTAGAAGCAAGATGGAGTCGGTTAGGTCTGATCTCTTTCACTGTCATTATTTTCTCAGTTATAATTTTTGCAAAGGCTGTTTCAATCCCTCCCTTAGGGTTTCATAGCACCTTATTCTTAAGGTGTGGGCTATGAAGATGGGAAAAGGCCGTCGATCACTCTGGATTCTTCCTGCAGACAGGGGGCATAGTGGGGTAGGTGTTGACCCCAAGGTGAGAGGAGTGGAACTGCTTTGCAGCTGTCTGAGCTGTTTGAGTGTACTCACGCAGGCCAGGCTGAGCTTCCAAGGCTTTCATGACAAAGGCATTCGTATTCTCATCTACAGTTTTAGTACGACATTTACACAAACAGTGTACAATAAGGTAAGTAATGAGTTCCGGAACAAGGAGTGCCATTCCCAGTTTTAAAAGTAAAGACTTAAAAGCATTAGTTTGAGCACTTGTAGCCTCCCAAAATTTAGGATTCAGTCTAAATGGCAGAAAAAAACATCCTCAAAAACAACTAACAACAGGTGTACTGTAGTTTTTGAAACAATTTTTTCTCTCTTCAGTTCTTATTTTTATTAAAAACAAATCCTGATAGGACTGATTTTGTTTGTGAAATAAACTTTAATTTTATTATACTTGGCATGATTATTTGCAAAGAGCACAGCAAGAATAATTATTTTTCACATGGACCTTTTAAGTTGGCTTTGATGGAACTCTGCATAAAGAGTCTTAGATAGACTTTTTTTAAAGCCCATCCCAGCCATGGGTTTGTACCCTCAAATGCCTATGAGTTGGGTACATTCCCCTCTTCTTGAGATCCCAAGATAACTTAAGATTCCGGGGCCTTTTGGAAAGTGACATTCTTTACTTACCATACGTTAGGAACCCTGTACAGGGACTGCGTAGACAAGGTATGAGGCCAGTTTACCCTAGGGGTTTTTATTGGCTTTGTAAATCAAGTTTGATTCCTTAAACAAAAGCATGCCATCCCAGTCAAAACCTTAGTAAAATAAACAGTTTCTCCAATTGTGTCCTGTTGCAAAAGAAAACATTCTTATTGCACTTATGCAAATAATTATGTTGCCATAAATTAAGAATACTTGCAAATAGCTTCCAGATTCTTGAGAAATCAGGTAGAGAGAAACAAACATGCTCCAAATTTTGTTCACAGGAGTATATTTTTCTCAGTTGTTAAAAGCTGTAATCAAAAGAAAAGTTTTCTTGGCTCTCTGAAAAATGAAAAGGAACAGCCACATTTTAAGCAAAAAAAAAAAAGGAAAAGATTAGTTCAGTTTTCTATTAGTTCATTCCATTCAGTAAACTCTTGTTCTGCTTAATGTTCCTGAACAAGTCAGCTCTCCATGAGAGTCCTGAACGTTTTTTCCTTTATTCTAATGTTGCAATCTCCAAAGCTATCAGAAACTTGCATTCAAGAGCACCCATCCAAGTTTCATAGCTGATTATAAAACAAGAAAATTTTTAACCTCTGTGGCACACAATAATTTAATGTATCAATTATAATTATTACTGATAACATATGCTAAGGCATATCAAACTTATAAGAATCTTATACAGTTTTGAAACACATGCTAATAACGTATTTATATGAATATAACCCAAAGAAAGTTAAACATCATTTTATATTTGGCCATGTTTTCTGCATGATTTTAATACATTAAATAAGCAGATTATATCTTTTTGGACTGTAGGGGACCTATTTTTGTTTAACTTCTAATTTGATCTTGTCAGGTTTGTCAAATATGGTTTAAAACACTGGATGTCACAAAATAGAATGCCAGGTCACCATAAGTCAGTTATTTAGCCAAAATGATAACTCACAAAGTTTTAAAAAGGAAAAAACCTTTAGTTTGATAGAAAAGAGACTCAGCTTCTCAAACTACAAGACCCAGTGAAGCCGTCCCCTGAATTGGTCACTTCTCTCTCCCCTCCCTTAAAAGGCAAACAAAATTTTTTCATTGCTTCTCAATATTACACAAGAATCTTTTTCAAAAGAGAAAACCAAATTTCATGTTTGCATTATTGCACCTTTAATGCTAAAGCTAGTTTTTATTAAAATTTTATAAATCTATCCAGTTTTAATTAGTTTGACCATAAGTTAATGTTCTTATAAACCTTTTATAACCCTTTACAATTTAGTTGTTGTTGTTACAGAGCAGAACCATGTTTTAAGAAAACTCTGTTATGCTTTTATTCCAATGTTCAACTTATGGAAACATTGACTAATACCCCTTTAACTTTAGCCAATATGTTTACACACAGAATCTCTTTTACAATTAATTTTTTATAAACTTTTCACAACTTGCTTAAACCTTTAGGCCGGGCGCGGTGGCTCACGCCTGTAATCCCAGCACTTTGGGAGGCCGAGGCGGGCGGATCACGAGGTCAGGAGATCGAGACCATCCCGGCTAAAATGGTGAAACCCCGTCTCTACTAAAAATACAAAAAATTAGCCAGGCGTAGTGGCGGGCGCCTGTAGTCCCAGCTACTTGGGAGGCTGAGGCAGGAGAATGGCGTGAACCTGGGAGGCGGAGCTTGCAGTGAGCCGAGATTGCGCCACTGCACTCCAGCCTGGGCGACAGAGCGAGACTCCATCTCAAAAAACAAAAAACAAACAAACAAAAAAAAAACCTTTAGACTTTTCCTGTCTCACTTAAAACAATAACCCTCTAAACTTGGGAAAGAAATCCATATTCCCAGGTCTTCTTATAATCTTTTACCAAAAGTACATTCTACTTTTCTTACATGCCTTGAATGTGGAAATGTTTCTTCAGTAGCCTCAATACATGTTACACTGTTAACTCTGTGCAACTTCTATTTTTGGTGAAAAACCTGGTTAGTAGGACATTTTAATTATGTACCAAGTGTGGAGCTTAGGACAGACAAAGGACAGAAGTGCAGATCAAGTCTGACTTTTTCCAGCATAGCTATGGGATGTGGCTATCTCCACATATGCCCAGCACTTACCTAGCAGTAACGCAGGTAAGTGTATAGTTAAGAGTCACAGTGGCGTTTGTGAAGCATTTAGGCAGCCTAATAACCTTTAAATTGTACAACGTTTCTTGCATAAATTCCCTTTCATGAATCCTTTCATGGCTTAGACCATCTATTACATGCTTGGACAACGGTCATTTCAACAACCAGTCATTTCACTTTAGGACAAAAATTTACCATACAAGATCCTTTCTTATACAAAATCTCTTTTCTTTTTAACCTTCTTTGAGCAGCTAGGGGGCTAATTTCACATGTCACCGGGCCTTATCTAGAAAGTAATGACTCCAAGCTAGGTAAATTGAACAATTTTTAAAAGTTAAAGAAGCAGTTTATGATCTTAAAGCATTTAGCAAACCTAACATCAGACCCAATTTAGACCAAATGTCTAAATTTTGAAGACATTTTATTTTACCAATTTTTTTTTTTAGACGAAATCTCACTCTGTCACCCGGGCTGAAGTGCAGTGGCGCAGTCTCAGCTCACTGCAAGCTCCGCCTCCAGGGTTCACGTCATTCTCCTGCCTCAGCCTCCCGAGTAGCTGGGAATACAGGTGCTCACCACCACACCTGGCTAATTTTTTTGTATTTTTAGTAGATATGGGGTTTCACCGTGTTAGCCAGGATGGCCTTGATCTCCTGACCTCATGATCTGCCCAGCTCAGCCTCCCAAAGTGCTGGGATTACAGGTGTGAGCCACTGTGCCCAGCCTATTTTATCAATAATTTTTAATCTGTCTTTATTACCAAAAGATTACTAAAGTTAGGTGAACTAAAGGGCATTAGTTTTAATTTTACTGACAAAATATTTGACTTAAGTGCCTACTTTTCTTTAAACCAATTAATTAGAGCTTTTATGTAAACATCACACACAAAACATATATAAATACATAGACAGACAGAAGATCCAGTAGTTGTAAGATTTTTCATTTGCCAGTTCTTAAGTTTCCTAGTGGGATTACTAGATTCAGGCTGGAGCCCTTTGAAAAATAGGGCTGGGAAAGCATGCAATTTCTAGGGCCTAATAAGCAGGCACAGCTGGAAGGCAAAAACAGATCCCCCAAATTAAGGTTGCCATTTTATATGGGATCCTGGATTCCCCCCAAAAAGAGGGAAATACTACAGAAGAAGCTAGTGCAGTGCTTCTACCCTGCATTTTATTGCAAGACAATCCAAAGCCAATCAGCCCATTTTGTAATCAGCCCATCCCCCATGGGATTCTCATCTCTCAGTGGGGGATAGGGATGTTTTCATACCTTCTAGGTGGTCAAGAGTGTGCTTCTCTGATCCAAGCATGCAAGGAGCCAAGTATTCCTCCTAATTGCCATTAGCAGTCCCTTATAGTGTATTTCCTATCTGGTTATTATAAACCATGGCTAAAAGCTCTCCCATAATGTGAAGCAATTTCTGATATACCCAAAAGTAAAAAAAAAAAAACAAAAAAAGTCAGGTAACATAATGTAAAATTGAAAATTGAACCGAGACTTAGATTTTGAGGGAGATCTATCAACTTTCAGCTCCTGGGGTTTCATGAGGAAAATGGAGGTTTTTCCCAGAATGGGGTCTGTGATGCCTCCTCTGTTTTTCCCTATGAGTCCCAGGCTGTTAGAATTTATCTAGGTTCTCTCAGGTGTGCTTTAAGCATGGCAAGAAGAAAAAATGGAGAAAATCAATTCAGAAGAAAAGAACTTATTCCAGAAAGACATGAATCTAGAAGAGGAAAAGATAAAGGCCTTTTAAATAGATATAGTTTGGGTACTTTTATTTATTTATTTATTTAATTTTAAGATGTGGTCTATGTTTTCCAGGCTTGTCTCAAACTCCTGCTGAAGCAATCCTCCTGCTTTGGCCTCCTGAAGTACTGGGATTACAGGCATGAAAATAGATATCTAGGGTTACCCCACCCAACCCTGGATGTCTATTTTTAATTAAGCCACTTTTAACCATAGAGCTCTGCTGTTTAAAAAAAAAAAAAAAAACTTTCAAAATCCCTTATTACCAGGCTCTAGTGAGGACACCCCACATTTCTGGCTTTTGAATTCTATACCAGGTAACCTCTCACATGAAATTAATAAGTTTTAACTAAGGTTATAACTTAACCATGAACTCATGATGTGTTTCAAAGAGATGGTAAGTAGTTTTTTTTAAACAAGAGTTAGAATTTCCCCAGGGTAGTTCACAGAAAGGAAAATTCAAGACAGGAAATCAGAAATTATCCATAGAAAGGGGGGAATCCCTCAAAAAATGGCAGTTACACAAATAACAAACAAGAAGGGAATCATTCCCAAAGCCAAGAATTGAACCTGGGGCAGCCACTGTCAAAAGACAAAAGCCTTGGTTATTGAGCTACATCATTCAGCAGGTTCTGTTGCTCTTCCCAGAAGGAGCCTAGAGGTGCCAATTTTGACCTTGCAAAAGCTTCTACCTGCTCAAGATAATTTTTAGTGCTATGACATGAATCCCCAAATTCCTGTCCGCTGAATGGCAGACACCAAGAGAAAGTATCCCCACATGGTCACAAGGTTAAGCTCTCAAGGGCATAAAACGAAAAGATGGAAACTTTATATGGCACTGGTCTTGGGGACCCCCAGCAAAGTTTGTAAATGACCAGCTGCCAGGCTGGCTTGAAAGGCAGGCTTATAGGGGTCCTAAGCCCACCTTCTCTCCTGTGATACCTCTCTCTCCATTAAAGAACAAAGCAGAAAGATAAATTCTTAGCACAAAGTGCTCCAGATTTGCTACAGCCTAAGACTAGTCTCACAAATCCTTTTTTCTATTTGTAGAAAAGAGAAAACAGAGGAGAGAAGACAAACAGTGATATTTACCATTTGCATTCACACGCACACACACAAACACACAGAGGGAGAGGGAGGGAGAGAGACAGGGAGAGAGAGAGAAATATGAGAAACTTGGTTGGTAAGAATTTCTTACCCTTTTTTCGCCAGCATACCAGGTTTCTGGGTTCCCTTTCTCTGCAGCTTTCAGAAGAACAGAGCAGCTTTGATGACCTTGCTCAGTGTAACATAGCTATGGGAGCCAAGTTCCATTACAAAATAAAATTATGCTTTTCTGTTTGATGGAACCATAGGCATAAGCTTCCCAATTTTGCAAGATGCTGCTCAACAGGCTGCATGGGGAATCAAATTAATATTTTCCATCCCAGCCAAAGCAAAATACATGTAGCAAAACAGACGCAAGTCACTTTGTTCAGCACCAGTGTTGACCTGGCAAGGCTCAAACTTTCTCCTGTTGGCCCCTGTTATCTTTGATCCACACCAGGTGGGAATGGATGATCTCCAAATGGTAATTCAGTGTGTAACCTCTAGGCAAGACAACAAACCTGACAAAAACAAGCAATGGGGAAAGGATTTCCTATTTAATAAATGGTGTGAAAACTGGCTAGCTATACACAGAAAACTGAAACTGGATCTTTTCCTTACACCCTGTACAAAAACTAACTCAAGATAAAGTAAAGTCTTAAATGTAAAAGCCAAAACTATAAAAACCCTAGAAAAAAATGTAGGCAATACCATTCAGGTCATAGTCATGGGCATATATTTTATGTTGAAATCGCCAAAAGCAATTGTAATAAAAGCAAAAATTGACAAATGGGAACTAATTAAACTAAAGAGTTTCACGCAGCAAAGAAACTATCATCAGAGTGAACAGACAACCTACAGAATGGGAGAAAATTTTTGCAATGTATCCATCTGACAAAGGTCCAATATCCAGAATCTACAGGGAATTTAAGGAAATTTACAAGAAGAAAACAAAAGACCCCATTAAAAAGTGGGCAAAGGACATGAACAAACACTTCTCAAAAGAAGACATAGATGCAGCCAACAAACATAAGGAAAAAAGCTCAACATCACTGATTGTTAGACAAATGGAAATCAAAACCACAATGAGATACCATCACATGCCAGTCAAAATGGCAATTATTAAAAAGTCAAGAAACAACTGATGCTGGTGAGGTTGGGGAGAAATAGAAACAATTTTACACTGTTGGCAGGAATGTAAATTAGTTCAACCATTGTGGCAGACATTGTGGCGATTCCTCAAAGATTTAGAATGGGAAATACTATTTGACCCAGCAATCCCATTACTGGGTATGTACCCAAAGAATATAAATTATTCTGTTATAAAGATGAATGCACTTATATATTCATTGCAGCACTATTCACAGAAGCAAAGACATGGAATCAACCCAAATGCCCATCAGTGATAGACTGGATAAAGAAAATGTGGTGCATAGACAACATGGAATATTATGCAGCCATAAAAAAGAATGAGATTATGTCCTTTGCAGGGACATGAATGAAGCTGGAAGCCATTATCCTCAGCAAACTAACACAGGAACAGAAAACCAAACACCACACGTTCTCACTTATAAGTGGGAGCTGACCAAAGGGAACACATGCACACAGGTAGGGGAACAACACACTGTGGGGCCTGTCAGAAGCAGGAGAGAGCATCAGGAAAAATAACTAATGCATACGGGGCTTAATACCTATGTGATGGGTTGATAGGTACAGCAAACCACCATGGCACACATTTACCTATGTAACAAACCTGCACATCCTGCACATGTACCCCGGAAGTTAAAATAAAATAATAAAAAATACACAAAAGATGTGAACAGACATTTCTCAAAAGAAGACATATGAATGGCAAACAGGTATATGAAAAGGTGCTCAACATCAATGATATCAGAGAAAGGTAATCAAAACTACAAGGAGATCTCATCTCGCCCCAGTTAAAATGGCTTTCATCCAAAAGACAGACAATGGCAAATGCTGGCGAGGATGTGAAGGGAACCCTCATACACTGTTGGTGGAAATGTGAGTCAGTACAACTTCTATGGAGAACAGTTAGGAGGTTCCTCAAAAACTAAAACTAGAGCTACCGCATGATCCAGCAATCCCACTGCTGGGTACACACCCAGAAGAAAGGAAATCAGTATATTGAAGGGATACTTGCACTCCCATGTTCCTTCTAGCACTGTTCACAATAGCCAAGATTAGGAATCAACCTAGTGAGTGTCCATCAACAGATGAAAGGATAAAGAAAAGGTGGTACATATAAGCAGTGGAGTGCTCTTCAGCCATAAAAAAACAATGAGAGCCTATCATTTGCAATAGCATGGATAGAACTGGAGGTCATTAAGTGAAATCAGGCAAAGAAAGACTAACAAACATCACATGTTCTCTCTTGTGAGAGCTAAAAATTAAACAGTCAAACTCATGGAGATACAGAGTAGAAGGATGGTTACTAGAGGCTGGGAAGGCACAGGGGGAGAGAGACGGGGATGGTTAATGGATAAAGAAGGTAATTAGAAAGAATGAATAAAACTGGGTATTTGTAGTATTTGACAGCAATAGAATGCCTATAGTCAATAATAATTTAATTGTTCATTTAAAAAATAAGGAGTATAATTGGATGGTTTGTAACACAAAGGAAAAAGGCTTGAGGTGATGGACACCCCATTTACCATGCTGTGATTATTACACACTGCATGCCTGTATGAAAGTATCTCATGTGCCCCATTAACATATACACCTACTGTGTGCCCACAAAAATAAATATTAAACTTTTAAAAAACTATGAAAATTGTAATCAAAATTCACAACGATCAATAAGTACAAAAAATGTAAATTCTATGTCTGAGTTGATGCAGGGCAAGAACATATTAAGGGGGAAAGTTAGAACTGCAAACAAATGAGTTCCTAAGAGCAAGAAACTGGAGAAATAACAGAAACTCCAGGGAGAAGTCTAGATTTAAAGATGCAGGAGATTGAGGGACTGGCACAGAGATCTCCACAAAACCAGGTAACATCTGTGTTCCAGGGAACAGAATAGAAAATGGACCCAGGGCTGTCTCTGACAGGGTGAGCAACTGGAGTGGGAAGGAAAGATCTGGGGGACCCAGGAGGGTGGAGGGACTGGAACTGGGACCTGAAGGAGGGGCTGCGCTTCAGCCTCCTCCTCCCACTGCCCCTCCCCTGCCCCCAGGAGCCCTTGGTGAGGAGGAGGCCCCAGCTCTGTGATGCAGGCCTGGGCTCCAGTCCCTAGTCCCAAAAGCGATGCCCAGGGCTCAGTTGCTTGAAGGCAACATTGCACTTCAGATGGAAAAAATGCTCTTTCCTCTGAAGAGCCCTAGTGCCACGTGGCTGGGCCCCAGCTCCACTCCCTGGATTGTGGATTTCATCCTCACCTCAGTGTGGAGCCTGGGCTTCCTCTTCCTATTAGCCCCCTACCTCCCCAGTGTCCCACCCTCACCCCCGCATGGGAGGAAGAGGAGCAGCAGGAAGGTAAGGAGCCCTCAGCCCAGCCCCACAGAGAAAGATTCTCT
The DNA here is from genome assembly GCF_000001405.40 of Homo sapiens. Lineage (NCBI taxonomy): Eukaryota > Metazoa > Chordata > Mammalia > Primates > Hominidae > Homo > Homo sapiens. The sequence continues at coordinate 3,295,939 of NW_021160017.1, forward strand.
CTTCTTTTCCTCCCCTCATTTCCACTTTTCCTAAGTAATGAGAGACTCTCCTGCGATGGGAAATCTCATCATCCCTCTAGGGAAGGGCAGAGCAGGCAGGGGTGGGAGTGGGCAGAGGATTCCATCCTCAGCTCCCAGACTATCTGTGACATGCGCGGGAGGCATCAGGGCAAAACCCAACACTGGACTCAGTGGCGAGGACCAGATCAGGAGAGGGGTGAGGTCTCTGTGGGAGGACAGGCCCCAGCTCTGGCTCATCAGCCCCTTTCCAAGGCAGGTGCCTGGGGGTCCAGGCTCCTCTGTGTGGGGTGATCTGGGAGCTGTGCTGAACCCCTGAGAGCCTCCCGCTAGAGCCTGGATTCACGTCTGGCCTCCTCTGAAGCAGAATCCTACTGGCAGCTCAGAGGTGCCTGTAGGCCTGAGCCTGGGTATGCCTTCAGCGGAGGAGCAGGGACTGGGGATATCCAGGGTGGAGTCACACAGAAAACCCCTGCTTGCATTTCCCTAAGAAGGAAAACAGAAAACATTTCATCAATGGTAAACATGAGTAAAAGAAACGCACGCAGAGCTCCCTGAGCTACAGGCAGAAAGCCGTGTCCTTCAAGAGCACTGCGTGTGTGCAGCTGGTCTGGGAAGAGGAGACTGAGAACTGGTCCCAGCCCCTCACCCTTGCTTGCCTCTCAGCATCAAAGGAAGAGAGAGGGGAGGCCCAGGAGCAGGAAGAAGATCCCAGCTCTGAATTGTGAGGCCCTACTAATCCCTGAGACTCCCCAGAGGTGACTGAGCATCGTCTGTCCCTGAGGGAATCATTTGCAGAGGCCTGAGAGGGAAGCTCCTGGGAGGGAAATCAGAACCCGGGGCCTCCTCATATTCCCTGTGGGAATGAAGCCATGGGCCCGGGAACCGGTATTGCCCATAAGGGGGTGCTGTGGGGAAGGGACCAAGGCCTGCCAGGATATGGGGGGAGGTCAGGGAGACCCCAGGTCCATGTGGACAGCTGTTCTCCTCGGCCATGGCTGACTCTTCTTAGAGACCACCCCATCCACTCTCCCCACAAGATGGTTGTGACACCCATGAGGGGTTGTACATGGAAGCACTTTTTGCAAATGACAAAGTTCTGCACAATGCACACCTTGCTGTCACCATTGGGGCCATGTGGCCTTGGACACAGATGCATGGGCTTCAGGGTCTAGTTCCCCATGGTGTCCCCTAAAGAGACATCCACCACTCAGCCTCCCATGAGGTTCGCTGGCACCGCCCTCCCCGCCATAACTCTGTCTCCTTACTTCCAGCTTGCAGAATCCTCCTGAGGGAGCTGGAGGAGACTCAGGACCTGACCAACCTTCTGGAAAGATGAGATTCCCCTTCTCTCCATGTCGTCCTTTCTACCAGGGCCTCTGAGGCAGCCCCAGGGTCCAGTGTTGACCTGGGAGGGGAGGTCCTGGGAAGAGGCGGGAGTGGACTGAAGCCCTGGGCAGGCACAGACAGAGCTCTGTGAAGCCAGCAGTGGGGGAGGTGGAGGAGCTGTGGGCACCAGGTGCCCAGCCCTCCCGACCTCCCAACCCCACCTGCCCCTGGCTGCAGCTTGTGCCTTGTGCAGCCACCTGAGAAAGCTCACTGGGGAGGGTGGCTCCCATCTGCCCTTAGGTGGAGAGCCCTGGGTGATATGTACAAACCAGCTCCTGCTAAGGCCCACCAGCCGCATAGGAAATGCATGCAAGATCCATCTCCTGACAGCTTGTCCCCAAGGACTCCCCCAGTTCCTCTGGCCTCCAACCTGTCACCAGACACAATGACCTTCTCAGAGCCTTTTGGACCACGCTCAACCCTGAGTGCCTCCAGGCCTCCAGAGCCCTTGCTTCCCCTAAAATGCCCTGCAGTCCGGCCACATATGCTTTTCCTTCTTCACCACAGCCCCATGTTCCCGTGGCCTCCTCTCCACCTCCACCCGAACACAGCCTGGCTGGACTTCAGTGTGGCTCCACAATATGCCCTGTCCCCCAGAGCTCCCCTCTACACAACCAGGGGCCACCTTCTCCAACCAGGGTGATCTCTGGCCTTGGGTGCTCCAGCGGTCCCATCCGGGACCTCTCCCGCTGGAGGGAGGCTGCCACCACCTGGGGCCTCTCCACCTGCTCACAGGGCAAATCCCAGCAACAGCATCTTCCCAACCACCCCCCAGAGGCTTCCTTCTGGGGAGACCCCACACCCAGGCAGATGGAGGCAGGTGGACGCACATTCTTCCATCCCAACGTGCAGAAGCTGCTGGAGACTCATCTCCAAGAGAGCAGTGATGAAGATGTGGCAGGAGAAAGAATGGGGGTGGGCAGACTACCCGCAGATGACATCACTGGGGAAGGAGTGGGACATCACGACTCTAAATCCCTTCTGGAACGTGGCAAACCTACCACAGAAGCTGCCCCATCCTCAGCAGGTCTCTGACGCCATGGCCATGTGGGACCACTTAGAGCAGAAATGCAGCCATCTCTTCTGGGATCTCCCCTCTTTCAATAGCGAGTCCCTGGTGACCATGGCCTGGGTTTCTAGGAACATTTCCTCACAGAATGAGCACTCTGTACCATCGGATAAAGCCTCCACTTCCCTTCCAGGTGAAACTGAGGTTGAGACACCCTCACAGCTTTCCCAGGCACGGCCCCAGCCCCACCACGTGGCCCAGCCCCAACCTTTCACTCCAACCTGGCCCCAGTCCCAGCCCCCGCCTCTAGCTGGGATCCAGACACAGTGGGGCAAATCTCCACCCCTGTCCCAACCTCTTCTCCACCCCAGATTAGGGTCTGTGGAGCATCTTGCCCTACATCCCAGAAGAGGGCACAGTCTGTCATCCCCACTGGAAAAAAGTATCTTGAGTGGCCCTTGCAGAAATGACCAAAGTGGAAGAGGGTTTTGCCCTCTCTCCTCAAAAAGTCTCAGGCTGTCCTGAGCCAGCCCACTTCCCACCTTCCCCAGGAGAGGCCAGCCTCCCAGAACCCTAAGTCAGCCCCCATCCTTCCCGGGATTGCCACCAGCCCTGAGCTCCCAGAGCACCGGTGGCAAGGAAGGAGTGCCATCCACCAGGAGCAGTCCCGTGGCCTCCCAGCAGATTCAAGGCACCTGGAGACCTGCTGCAGCCTAAGGGGGAATTCCCAGGGAGGCCCCAGAGTCAGGCAGAAGCCACGCAGGGGGCCCTCTTGCCCTCCCGGGATTCTGAATTTGTAGGAAAGGGCACGAAGGATGTGCAGAAAGCAGGGCTCAGGAGCTCTGGAAGGTTCTCTGGGAAGGGGTGCTTAGGGTCCAAACTAGAGCCAGAACCAGGATCAAGGCTCAGGAAGGACTTCAGTGAAGGTTCTGGAGAAAGACAAGGAGGAAGCAGAAGGTGATTTCAGGAGGCCCTGGAAGTACCAATCAGTAAGTTCTGCACCCAGGGACCCAGAAAAGCAGCATCTGGAAAACAAGCCACAGGTCCATCTGGACAGGAAGGTGGGGGAGATCAAGGAGGGCTGGATCCCTGTGTCTGTGCATCGCTCCTAATTCATGGCCAAACATGCCATTCCCAAGTCTGACACCCACAGGAAATCGAGAAAGGTGACATCCTGGAGGGGTGGGAAAGCCCACGTGAACACCTCCCAGGAGCTGTCCTTCCTCCATCCCTGCACCCAGCAGATGCTGGAAGCACATCTTTTCAAGTTCTGTGTGAGGCACAGGTGGGGTCCAGAACTTCAGTCCTTAGAGCCCATAAATGTCTAGTCAGGGGAGGCTCAGCCTCCACCCCTCCCACACTCCACCATTCTCCCCTGGGCCTCCTGGGAATCTCTGGCTGAATCTGTAGCCAAGGTTGCCATTTTGTCGGGAAAACCTCCCCAGAATGGTCCAGGAGACAATAGAACAACAAGCAAGTCAGCCCCCACCATGAGTGGCCCTGTCCCTGCCCCACCAACTGAGCAGGAGGAAGTCCAGAGGGTCCCAAGAGGGTCCCAGTCAGCTGACACCCATGAGCAATCAGAGGCCTCTCTGACTGGACAGGAGGGCAGGGCATCTTCTCAGTCCCCCATATGCAACCTTGTAGGCAGAACCTGGCAGAGAGGGACTGTCCTGGGGTCCGGGAAACCCAGACTCGAGGGGAGTGTGGGTTCAGAAATGGCTGGGAATGAGGCATGGCTTGAGACTGAGAGCATGTCCCCAGGAGACCCCTGTCATAGCAGAGCCCTGCAAGAGCTCAGCATGGGGTCCCAGTGGGCAAGGGCCAGAGATGCCCTGGAGGCACTGGAGGCCAAGGAGGAAAAGCCCCCTGATTGGAAAGTCACCTTGGGAGCCAGTGTGAGGGCAAGATCAGGAAGTGTTCAGGTGGATCTGAGGAGCACAGGGACTCTGGGGACCACTAGTAACCCCTCAGTGTCTACAATCTGTGTTGCTCAGGATCCAGGGCAGCTGTGCCTGAAAGCACAGGTTGTCAGTGAGATTGCGCTCATAGTGCAGGTGGACTCAGAGGAGCAGCTGCCAGGCCGTGTTTCCAGCATCCTCCTCCAGGAGGGCGCCACAGGCCTGTGCCTTCCAGGCCGCCATGTGGACATGCTCCCAGCCACATACAGGCCACCCACTTAGGCCCCTCTGTCCACCTCCCAGAGTGTGCTCAGTAGGAGGAACACGACAGCTTCCCAGGGGCCATGTGCCCTCCTATGGAAGGGAGGGGACAGACTGGGGCAGCAGGAACCTGGGAGCCCAAAAGTGAAGGCCCCACAGAAGAGTCAGAAGATGCTGGGCTCTTTGGACAAGGGCAAGGCCCACAGGAGGCCCAGACCAGGGGAGCAGGGACACAGGTCCAAAGGACCCAGGACCTCCCAAGCCAGTGGGAGGAGCCACCCTGCCCACACGAGGGAAATAGGAGACAAACAAGAAAGGAAATACAATCAGCCTCAGCCAGAGAAGGGACAGGCACCACCAGAAAGCAACTTCCAGAGAAAGATCAGTCACCGTCCACAGGGTCTACATCCCAGGAAGAGGGGCTCAGGGCAGGAAGACGTCCTGCAGAAAGGCAAGCCTGGGCAGATGCTGTCCAGAGCTGGGGGTCTGGCCCAGCAAGGTTGTTTATGGACAGCATGGCTGATGAAGCCCAGACCATCATCAGAGTTATGGGGCAAATCCTGGTGGACAAACTGGGGATTCAGCAGGGACGTGGTCCCTCAGAGGTCAGTCGCCACAAAGGCGACCTCCACGCCCAGGAGAATGTGCCTTCCTGCTGCCACAGGAGTCACTACTACCAGGAACATAGCAGAGAGATGGGGCTGGTCTGCAGCCCCAAAGCCACCCCCAAGGGCCACAAATGTCCTGTCAAAAACAAGGGCATCAGAGACAGAGACAGCAGTTGGGCCCCCACCTCCCAGGGAGCTTGTGTCCCCAGCTGGTCCCCACCACCACAGGCCATGAGTGGCAAGCACCTCGGGCAGCCCCATCCACAGCTGCAGGAACTGAGGTCTACACAGAGGTGTCTTGCCTCCTGAACCAGACCAGGCTTCCCACACCTCTCCTGGAGGAGACAGGGGGTTCTATCCAAATAACACTGGACGCCTACACAACAAACCTGTCCTGCGTGGGTGACAACAGTCCCCATGTGTTCCTGACTTCCACGGAGAAGTTCCCAATATACCTGTTTTCCCTGCAGAGGTGGTGGCTTCTGTCTGTTCCATGCTAGGCTGCAGGCAAGGGCTCAGTGTCAGCTCCTCCTGAGTGCGGCTTCCAGAATGGCTGGGCCTAGAGGAAGCTGACAGGGACCTGGAGGACCCCCTTTTCTCCCTGTCCCCACACTGTGTCTGGTTTCCAAACTGGATCATGACCCAGAGCCTTCAGGATATGTAAGGACAGCAAACTTACGGAGATCCCACCCGGGCTCTGGCTCACTGCATTCCCTGTTCTAAGGCGACTTCTGTGCTGCTGTAGGGGATGGGTCTACAGGGGCGTCACGGACTGGGGGGTGGTAGGCTCCCCTCAGGCTGGAGGAGTGATGGATCCCAGCAGCCTCCCTGCCTCACAGTAGCCTGGGAATGTAGGGGGTGTCTTGTGCTGGCCCTGGGTCAGAGGGGGGACTGCTCTTTCTGGGATCTCCTGGTGGGGAAGAGATGACACCCTCCCCAGACCCTTTCCTGACTGCTGAGTTCCGGATCTGGGATGGACCTGGGCCCCTCCAGCACTTGGCTCAGGCTTGATAACACCCCTGGGTTCATGTCTGGTGTCCCCTGCCTCACTCTCCAGGGCAGTCTCCCAGCCCACTAGTGTGGGGTGTCTGTTTCAGGAGGCACCTAGGGCTGCTGCCTGCCCCTCTGGCAGGACTCTGTGGTCAGGAATCACAGGAGGAGACCTTGGGGCCCAGGGTGAGAGGTGGGAGAAGAATCAGGGAAGACGAGCATAAGTTTGCAAGTGCAGGATCCACAAGCTGCCCACAGCTGTAACCAGGGTCCTTGCAGTCTGGTGACCATTACAAGCAAAAGTGGTCAGTGCCACTGCCAGGGGAGGGGGACCCAGAAGGCAAGGGCTGGCCTGGGTTACAAAGCACATCTATGGTTCCAGGCCCAGGTGCTGGCAAGGGACACATTGGGGCTCAGAGAATCTGGTCACATGGTTGGCAGGGACAGTCCCCACAGGGCCCAGTCCTGCACTCCCTTCGTCCTGGTACTGGGTCCTTCCTGGCCATCCCCAGGGAAGGCAGGAGCAAGGGCAGGGCAGGCAGGAGCCAGTTCCTCAGAGGGCTCTGCCCAGGGGCCTTCTGCCCAGGGAGAGCTCTGCACCTGCAGGGGCTGCAGAGGCTGAGGACAAGGTGTCAGGTCTGTACCCAGGCCTGGCGGGACCCACACCGGGGACCTGTTTCGAACACGCCCTGGTGTCACTTTGGGTGTCCAGGCTACTGTTGGAGCCAAGTCCTGTCTGGGGTGGTGACCTGGGCAGCTCCAGTGTGGGCCCAACATCTATGGGACCCAGGATCCTGTGACCTGCAGCAGAGGAACCCCACAGGGACCCCCGGTAGACCCCAACACGCAAAGATTCCCACAAAGACCCCACATTCATTGAGATTTCAGAGATTCCCCACAGTGACCCCCAGAGACCCCAACACTGAGACCCCCCCCCATGAAGACCCCCCAGAGGGACCCCCCCACAGAAACCTCTGACAGAGACGCACACGGAGACCCTTCAAAACCAACACAGAGATCCCCACAGAGACACTCACAGTGACTCTAACAGAGACCTGCACAGAGAAAAGATATCAAGGTCACTTTGCCACCCGCTAAAATCCCTAGCACTGCACTTGGTGAAAATGAGCAGCATCTTCCTCATTACCAGCAGCGGCTTTCTCCTGGCGGCCCTCTGCCCTCTTCTAGATAAGATTCCTTGAGATATGAGATGCCGAACAATAGAAAAGCCTCCTCTATCAGACAGCGTCCAACTTAGAGCGACCCCCCGACCCGCTGACAGACCCTTCCCAAGATCACCCAATCACAACTCCCATGCTGATGTCAAACTGTAAGTGTTCATGATAGAAACGGTGAGAGTTCCTCTGATGCCGTCCTTCGGAGACCGCGCTCAGCTCCTCAGGCCATGCTCCCCCTCAATGCCAAGGGAATCCACCCGGCTGGTCTAGGTTGGCCTTGCTCACAGGGCTCCTCCTGCAGGCCTTGTGCTGGAGCACATGGAGCGGGAAGGATCTCGGCTTGGACACAGCTTCCTCAGAAAACCTTGTCCGACTCCCCTGTGAGGGCAGGCCCCCTGTGCTGGGTTCCCCACCCTGGCCCTTCCTCCCTTGTGACAATCTCTGCATGCCTGGGTATGTTTCTCCTAGAACCCTGAAATCTTCTGGTGGGCCCAATGAGGAGGGAGGCGTGCCTCACCACCTGACCACACTCCCGGTACTGACTGTGGCCCCTGTTAAAAATTGTTTCATAAAATCTTCTTAGTTAATGGGCACAGGAAGTAAAGCTTCCTAATCTACCTCATATATAAGTTGCATCACTAAAATCATATTTTCATAAAGGGTATTAGCTCTTTCCAGTAGCCAATATAATGTTTCAAGGAAAATTTGTAAAAATAAATGTGGCATTGATACTTCAAATTTAGTGGTATAAAGAAATTTCCAAATTCAAATTATTCCATCTAAGTTACTTATTTTATAGATCAAATATGAATATTCTTGTAAGTTTTGAAATACTTCAGAGTAAAATTCTGAAGTTTAGATAATACAAATTAAAAAGCAATTTTTCTTAAAAACATTCTAATGTGCCACAAATTTATTTTTAAAAACTCTTACCAAAGAAGATGTATTTTTAAGTAATTTAAATATACAACTTGCATCAGACACATATATTGTAAATACACCCTTCCAAAAATGAGGAGCAGCTATGTGTTTACTTTAACATCTAAGATGCTGAAATATCTATATAACAGGTCACGTACTTAAAGCCACATGTAAAACAGGGGATTGAGAAATAATTCAGCATGCATATTTGTTCTGTTTGAAATTTTTTTAATTATTGAAAATAATTGAAAATCTTACAAAACATCATCTGTTTGAAAGATGTTAGAAAAGAGAGGGTAGAAAAATAGGACTGCATTCTTATTGCCTAACAGTTTAACCTCAGTTATAAATACACACATATTACACATATCTATGTGTGTATATGTGCATAGGTCTGTATACACATACAGACATGGGTGTGTTGTAACATCATTTGGTTAGTATCACTTGTCCTATTTTTTTTCTTGAATACTCCGTTTTTATTATTCTACAGAGAAGGGCACAACGCAATTGGTCTCTAGACTTGCCCAAGTAACTTTCTCTCTCCAGCAGTTTCTGTCAGTTCTTGGGTTTGGAAATTTCCTTCCTGCTCACCTCCACTGGCAGCGTGTTCACCTCACGTTAGGCCCTCTGGTTCAATGCTCCAAAAGTGTGATGAGCATAAAGAGAATTTTCCTCTCAGGAAAACAATAATGGCTGGATCACTGATACACTATGGGTTCATAAAGAAAGGTGAGTCTATTTGATTTGTCTATTAACCTGGAAGAGCACATTGAACATTTTTTCTTTTTTAGAATAAGTACACGTACACATTGATCTTTTACTGAAAATAAAAAAAAATTAAAAGATACATGTAAATAAGAACAAAGGACTTTTATCTAGCCCTAGATCCCAATAACTTCTTTAGAACTCTTTTCCTAAAAGGTTTATAGTACAACCTTTTATATTTAAGTTTGCAAACCATTTCTAGTTAATTAGTGTATAAAGTGCAAGGTTTACACTGAGATTTTGAGCCTGTGTTTATTTTCTCCAGTAACATTTGTTAAAAAGACTATTCTTTCTCTTTCAATTACTTTTGTACCATTGTCAAAAATGAGAAATGAGTTGGGCATATTTACTTGTGTCAATTTCTGAGTTCTTCATTCTGTTCTGCTGACCTATGTGTCCATCTCTCCACCAGTATCATGTGCCTTTTCATATAAACTTAAAATAGGTTTATCTATATGCATAAAAATATGTAGCTGGTGTTTTGATATGACTGTCATTAAGTCTACCCATCAATTTGAAGAGAGTTGACATATTTGCTATCGTGAGTCTTCCAAACCATTAATAAGGTATGTTTGAATTTTAGTTCTTCTCTCAATTCATGCACATTTTGTAATTTTTGCCATCTTGATTCTGCATGTCTTGTCAGATTTATGCCTAAGTATTTTCTTTAGAGCAATTGTAAAGGTATATTCAGTTTCCACACATTCATTTTTAGTTCATAGAAATATGATGAATTTTGGAGGATGGATCATTTATCCTGTGAACTTGCTAAATATTATTTCTACAAGACTTTTTTTAGTTTCTCTGAGACTTTACAAAGACAATCATGTAATCTGCAATAGAGGCCACTTTCCTTCTTTCTCTTTTTTTTCAATCAGTATGCCTTGTTTCTTGCCCAATTGTGCCGACTAGAACTTTCGGTGCTCTGTCAAATAGCATTGTTGAGAGCAGGTGTCTCTGCCTTGTTTCCACCCTGAGGGGAAAACCATTCATTCTTTCATCATTAAGCATGACATAGCTGTTTGTTTTTGATAAATACTCTTGATAAAGTTCAGGAAGTTTCCTTGTATTTCTAGGTTTCTGAAAGTTTTTATCATAAAACTGTGCTATATTTTGGCAAATGCTCTTTCTGCATCAATTGAGATAAGTAACGTACGTATTTTTGTATCGTGTTTCCGTGTTCAGGTTGATATTCCTTGTGTTTTAATTGACACATGTACACAATTTATATTTAAGATAACTGTAGGCCGGGCGCAGTGGCTCAGGCCTGTAATCCCAGCACTTTGGGAGGCTGAGGCAGGTGGATCACGAGGTCAGGAGATCGAGACCATCCTGGCTAACACGGTGAAACCCCGTCTCTACTAAAAATACAAAAACATTAGCCGGGTGTGGTGGCGGGCGCCTGTGGTCCCAGATACTCGGGACACTGAGGCAGGAGAATGGCGTGAACCCGGGAGGTGGAACTTGCAGTGAGCTGAGATCGCGCCACTGCACTCCAGGCTGGGCGACAGAGCGAGACTCCGTCTCAAAAAAAAAAAAAAAAAAAAATGGAAATACCAGAATGCCACCTTCTTTTGCAATGTGGGAGACAGAAGATTTATCTCCCTTCTTGGCCCCACTGACACCATCCGGCAAGGGAATCAGAGCACTGCTGATTCCTTCCACTCTGTGTAAGTGAAGTGGATCATCAGCTCCACACTTGATTTCACTGAACTATGGTGTTCGCAGAGGGGGTTTCCATTGATGTTTGGCTACACTCAGGTGGGTATTCCTTGCTAGGCCATTATTTTCCAGGTTCTTTGGCTGAGACAGCTGGGGTTTTATTAGGTTTGGTTTTGTTGGGTGTGGTTTCTGGTTGGAGGCTTCTGCAGCACTCTCTCCAGGGCAGATGAGAAGAACAGGAGACCCAAGGAACATACCACTGTGTCATTCCCCAGGGAGTCTGTCTTCCTTATTATATTTTTCCAACACTTCCCATGCTCCTTTGTTGTTTTACGTGCAGACTTTCATTTAGAACACAAAGGATGTGATAGTAATGAGGCTTCTCCAACTGGGCTGAAAACACATGTGTTTTTGTCTTAAAATCATAAGTATTTTAAAATATACTTGAATAGGTTGGTGAGAATCCTGGGGAGAATTAACACATGATTGGGAAAAAAAAAGAAACATTCTCAACACTACAAGAAAAAGTCATTTCATAACAGTAAAAACTCTAGCTCACATTATCTGCAACTTACTTACTTATTTTTTCTAGCCTGGTGTCAAAATTATCATTTGCCCCTGTGATAAACAAAATTACCAACCAAAGTGGAGTGTTTCTATGCAGCTTGTTTGGTCTTAACCTTAGAGTATCCAATCAAAATACCATTTTCCAAAGTGTCTTTGATCAGTTTCTTTTTCCTCTTGGAATCCTCTGACTTCCTGGTGGATTTTTTTATTATTATTTTTATTTTGCAAAAAATAAGAAAGAGGTTTTGTAGTGTAGCATTTGGTAGGGTTTGAGAAACCATAGAGACACGTGTCCACCCTCCAGCACTGCACAGAACAGCCGCATCACCCTAAAATTCTGTGTGTGATGCCTTTGTGATCAACCCTTCCCTTTCTCCCAATTGTGGGCAAACTCTGATCTGTTTTCTTGACCTATAATTTTGCCTTCTCCGGAATGTTATACGAATGAAATCATACAATATGTAGACATTTGGGGCTGACTTCTTTCACACAGCAAAACACATGTAAGTTCATCTGTACTGTTGTGTAAGTGAATAGTCTGTTCCTTTGTATTGCTGAATAGCAGTTGATGGTATTGATGCAATAGTCTATCTGTTCACCTGTTGTAAGATGTGTTGGTTAGGCTGGGTGTGGTGGCTCATGCCTATAATCCCAGCACTTTGGGAGGCCAAGGCGGGCAGATCATGAGGTCAGGAGTTCGAGACCAGCCTGGCCAACATAGTGAAACCCTGTCTCTATTAAAAATACAAAAAATTAGCCAGGCATGGTGGTGGGTGCCTGTATTCCCAGCTACTTGGGAAGCTGAGGCAGAAGAATTCCTTGAACCTGGGAGGCGGAGGTTGCAGTGAGCCAAGATCGTGACATTGCACTCCAGCCTGGGTGACAGTGCGAGACTCCGTCTCAAAAAAGAAAAAAAAAAAAAGAAAGATGTCTTGGTTGTTTCCAGGTTTTGGAGATTATAAGTAAAGCTGCTAAAACATTTGCCTAGACTACGGGCTTTTATGTGAATTTGTTTTCATTACACATTGATAAATATATAGGAGTGGAATGGCTGAACCTCACACTGGACATATGTTTTACTTTATAAAAAGCTGCCAAATTATCTCCTAAAGTGACCATGTCATTTTACATTCCCAACAGTAATGAAAGAGAATCTTTGTTGCTACACATCTTCAGGAGCACTTGATATTTTAATTTTTTATTTCTATTCTAATGGCATGTAGTAGTATCCCATTGTAGTTATGTTTTGCATTCCCTTATTAATAACAATAACCATGTTTTCATATGCTTATTTGCCATATGTCTGTCTTCTTTTGAGATGTACGTGCTCAAGATTTTTGCTTGTTTTAAATTGGATTGTTTGTTTTGTATTGTTGAGTTTTAAGGGTTCTTTATTCATTTTGGATAAAAGCTTGTATAAGATACGTGACTGATATGGTCTGACTGTGTCCCCACCCAAATCTCATTTTGAATTGTAGTTCTCATAATCCCTATGTGTTGTGGGAGGGACCTGGCAGAAGGTAGTAGAATCATGGAGGCAGGTTACCCCCATGCTGCTGTTCTCAGATAGTGAGTGAGTTCTCATAAAATCTGATGGTTTTATATAGGGCTTTTCTTCCTTTGCTAAGCACTTCTCTCTCCTGCCACCATGTGAAGAACAACATGTTTGTTTGCCTTCTGCCATGATTGTAAGTTTCCTGAGGCTTTGCCAGCCTCATGGAACTGTGAGTCAATTAAACCTCTTTCCTGGTAAATTACCCAGCCTCAAGCAGTTCTTTATAGCAGCAGCAGAACAGACTAATACAGTGACTTAATATTTTTCCCTGATTGTTTTAGCTTTTTGCTCTTGTAATGGTTCTTTCACAGAATGAGCATTTTTAGATATAACAAAGTCTGCTTTTTCATTTTTTCTTTTATGGATCATGTGTATGGTGTTTTATCTAAAAACTCATCAATGACCCCAAAGTCATACCTAATTTCCCCTGTTTTATGATAGTATTTTATTGCTGTATACTTTACACTTTTATATGGTCTATTTCAGTCCACTTTTGTAAAAGGTGTAAAATACGCATTAAGTTTCGTTTTTTTTTTACATGGGGAGATCCCATTATTACATCCCCATTTACAGAATAGATTATACTTTCCCCTTTTCCTCTGCATCTTTTTCAAAATGCAGTTGAATATATTTGTGTGGGTCTATTTCTGGGGTCTGTATTCATTCCATTGGTCTACGTATCTAGTGTTTTAACAATATTTTAACAAAACCACAATATTTTGAGAACTGTAGCATAATAGTAAGCCTTGTAATCAGTAGTTTATGTCCTCTAACTTTTTTTCAGAAGTGTTTTGACAATTCTAGTTATTTTGTTTTCCATGTAAATTTTAGAATCTCCTTGGTGATATCTACAAAAAAAAAAAAACTTACAGGAATTTTCATTGTTAATGAAGGAACTCTACAAGCAGAAATGGAAAAGACTGGCATCTTAACTATATTGAGACTCTGAATTCATAAATATTTCATTCCCCTCTTTTTAAATTTTCTATTTATTGCATTTATATTTTGTAGTTTTCAGCATACAGATCCTGCACTTCTATTGTTACATTAATACCTAAGCACTTAATTTTTGCTTCTATTTTAAATAGTAATTTAATTTTTTCAACTGTTAATTACTCACACATAGGAAAATTATTGACATTCTATATTGACCTTTGATAATAAAACACTTAATTTCACGTATTTATTTTAGAAGCTTTTCATAAATACTGTAGACTGTGTATATAAAGATTAGTTTTATCAGCAAATAGAGGCAGTTTTACTTCTTCCTTTGCAATATGTATGTTATTTATTTCTTATTCCTGTCTTATTGCACTTTGCAAATTTTCTAATACAATATCGAATAGGACCTGTCCCCAGTCTTAAGGAAAAATCATTCAGTCATCACCATATAGTATACAGATATAAACATATATCCTAAGTTCTTTTATTCCTAATTTTATGAGTTTTGGTCAGAAATAGATGTTGGATTTCATCGAATGCTCTTCCTGCATCTCTTGAGAAGAATATTTTAAAAATATTCTATAGCAGATTACTTGGATTGGATTTTAATAGTGAATCAGCCTTGTTTTTATTGGACATAATGAATCATCCTACATGGGGAGATGTTCAATTTGATGTCACAATATTTTGTTGATATTTTTTCATATATGTCCATGACTGATATTTGTCTATAGTCTTCTTTTCTCTCCATATCATTTTTTGGTTTTGGTGTTATTGTAATGCTGGCCTTATAAAATGAGTTGGGAGTGCTCCCATCTCATCTATTTTCTCTAAAAGATTGTGTACAGTCAAAATTATTTATCCTTCAAATATTTGATAGAAATCAGTAGTGAAAGAACATGTGACTAGATTTTTTGGTAGGTTTTATTTACAAATGCAATTTCTTAATTAATACAGGACTATTTGTTACCTGTTTCTTCTTCAGTGAGACTTGGTAGTATGTGTTGTGTCTCTAGAGGAATTTATTTTTTTCATCTCATCTATTAGATTTGTGTGCATAAAATTATTTTTAGCTTTACTTATTTATGGTATAGTGTGTATTGATAGCTTGTCTTTCAGTCCTGCTGTTAGTAATCTGTAGTCTCTCTTCTCTTTCCCTTTTTCTCTCTTTGGTTTTGAATTTCACTTATTTCTGCCCTAATTGTTATTAGCTCCTTTCTTTAGTTCCTTAGATTTAAGTTGTTGTTCTTTCTCTACGTTCCTAAAGAAGAATCTTAGGCTACTGAGGTGAGATTACTCTTTTCAAAGAACCAACTTTTAGCTACGTTTATTTCTTCTACTGCTTTCCAACCTTCTATTTTATTGATTTATGCTCTAATCTTTATTATTTCTTTACTTCTGCTAGCTTCAGATTTAGTTTTCTCTGGTTTTTATACTGCCTTTTAGGTGTAGAGTGAGGTTACTGATTTGAGCTTTTTTTAAATGTAGTTGTTTATGTCCATACATTTTCCTTCAAACTCTACTTTCACTGCAGTCACTAAGTTTTGGTATGTTTTGTTTTTATTTGTCTTAAGATACTTTATAATTTCACTTATGATTTATTCTTTCACTGGTAGTTTAAGAGTGTAGTGTTTAATTTCTACATATTTGTGAATTTTTCAGGTTTCATTTTTTATTTATGTTTCCTCCATTGTGGTTGTAAATTATATTTTGTATGATTTAAAACTTTTGTAAATGATTAGGACATATTTTTGTGGACGAAGATATGACCTATCCTAGAGAAAGTTCCATATCCACTTAAAAGGAATGTATATTCTGCTGTTTTGGGGTGGACTGTTCTGTATATGTGTATTAGCTCTAAATGGCTTATACTGTTGTTCAAGTCTTCTATTTCTCATGAAGCTTCTGTCTGGTTTTTCTATCCATTAATTAAAATGAGGTATTGAAGTGTCCAACTACTATTATAGAACTGTGTGCTTATCCTTTCAATCCTGTTCATTTTTTTTCAGCTTTACTGAGGTATATTTGAGAAATAAATATTGTACATATTCAAAGTTTACAATGTGATGTTTCTATCTACATGCGCATTTTGAAATGATTACCAAAATGAAGTCAATTAACATATTAATTACCTCGCATAATAGTTACCTTTTTTGTGTGCATGCATGGGATAAGAATACTTAACCATAACCCTGCAGAGTGGCCATTCCAGCTGCTCCAGGCTCCTGCAGAGGAGGAGCGGGGCGGGTGGCACCACCAGGGGGGCCCTCAGGCCTGGCGCGCACGCATTTC
Source organism: Homo sapiens (assembly GCF_000001405.40). Lineage (NCBI taxonomy): Eukaryota > Metazoa > Chordata > Mammalia > Primates > Hominidae > Homo > Homo sapiens. The sequence continues at coordinate 3,312,000 of NW_021160017.1, forward strand.
GGAGGCTGCCCAGGCCAAGGTGCAGCTGCCCTCTGCCCTGTGTGTGCAGGTAGCAGCCGCCTGTCAACTCCCGAGCCCGGTCGCGCTGCCAGCGTCGCAGAACCGGGGTCAGATGTCCCGGCGGCTGCACAGGAGTGAGAACTGAGAACCTGCCGCTCAAAGCCATCACAGGTGACTGCGGAGTCCCCATGCCAGCAGCTCCTGTCTCCCTGTGGTGGAAGAGCCGGGCGGGATGCGCGGCTTGGGGCTTCTCAGCCTGGGCGCCCTGGCGATCCGCAGGCCTCCCGGGCCAGGCCCCTCCAGCCCGCCTGGGCACCCAAGCTGCAGCCACCCTCTGTGTGCAGGCAGCAGCCTCTGGGGAACCTCTAAGCCCGCCTGCACTCGTAACATCTCAGAACCGGGGACAGATGTCCCGGTGGCTAGAGCCAAGCCAGATGGTCTGCCCGATGGCGGCTACACAGGGGCGAGAACCTGCCACTTAATCCCATCCCCGGTGGCTGCGGAGGGCCCCTGGCCAGCGGTCCTGAGCTCTGGCAGAGGCGGGGGCAGGGCCTGGCGGGCTCTCAGGCTCGGTGTACTCGCGATCCAGAGGCCGCCCAGGCCATGTTCCACTGCCTGGACACCCAAGCTGTAGCCGCCCTCCGCCTGCAAGCAGTAGCTGCCTGGCAACTCCCAAGCTCGCTCGCGCTCCCAGCATCGCAGAACCAGGGCCAAATGTCACCGTGGCTGCGGCCAAGCCAGGCGGTCTGCCCGGCGGCGGCTGCAGAGGGGCGAGAACTGAGAACCTGCCGCTCAACCCCATCTCTGTAGGCTGCGGAGTGGGGTCCGGACTCCCTCGGACGGCCTGGCCAGCAGTTCTGAGGTCCGGCAGAGGAGGAGGGCAGGAGGCACGGCGAAGGGTACGGACTCTCAGGCCGCGCGCGCTCGCAATCCCAAGACTGCCCAGGCCATGCCCCGCTAGCCCTGGGCGCCCAAGCTGCAGCTGCTTTTTTGTTTGTTTTTCTTTTTGCAGGCAGCAGCTGCCAGGCAACCTCCAAGCCCGCCAGCACCCCCAGCCTCGCAGAACTCGGGCCAGTGTCGCCGTGGCTGCAGCCAAGCCCGGCGGTCGGCCTGGCGGCGGCTGCACTAAAAACAAAAACTGGCCTCAGCCCCATCCCCGGTGGCTGCGGAGGGCCCCTGCCAGCGGCCCTATCTTTCTTCAAAGGAGGAGCAGGGCGGCCAGAGCGGCCGGGAGGGCTGCGCGCCTGCGATCCTACGGCGTCCCAGGGGAGCCCAAGAGAACCGGTGAGCCAGCGGCGCCTGCGCCCAAGCTGTAGCCGCCCCTTGCGGACCGCGCCACTTGGGAGAGGCTTCCGGAGTCCCCGCGGGCGCTGAGCTGCAAGCGTGCGCCTACAGGCTTCGCTTGGCTTACTCGGTCTGAGAGGTCGGAGGCTGCCAGTGTCGCTGCTGAAGGCTGTTAAAACCAGCTACACAACCATCTGAAAGCCATTTTCCTCCCTCTGGTTAAAAACAGTCATATGTCGCTGGGCGCGGTGGCTCACGCCTGTAATCCCAGCACTCTGGGAGGCCGAGGCAGGCGGATCACGAGGTCAGGAGATCCAGACCATCCTGGCTAATACGGTGAAACTCCGTCTCTGCTAAAAAATACAAAAAATTAGCCGGCCGTGGTGGCGGGCGCCTGTAGTCCCAGCTACTCGGGAGGCTGAGGCAGGAGAATGGCGTGAATCCAGGAGGTGGAGGTTGCAGTGAGCTGAGATCACGCCACTGCACTCCAGCCTGGGCGACAGAGCGAGACTCCGTCTCAAAACAAACAAACAAACAAACAAACAAAGAAAACCAGTCATGTGTCTACTGATGATGTAGTTAAGGCTGTGTCTAGATCTATCTCTCAGCAGGGACGTGGTTTCTCAAATGCGAATGTTTGACCGGCAAAAGTTTTGCAGCCAGAGCCTGTGCAAGTATTGGCAGATTGAAAATACAAAATCAAGGCACTTCTCACGCCTAGCTTTTTTTTTTTCTTTTTTGAGACAGAGTCTCACTGTGTTGCCCCAGGCTGCAATGCAATGGTGCGATCTTGGCTCACTGCAACCTCCGCCTCCTGGGTTCAAGCGGTTCTCCTGTCTCAGCCTCCTGAGTAGCTGGGATTACAGGCATGAGCCACCATGCCCAGCTAATTTTTGTATTTTTAGTAGAGATGGGGTTTCACCACGTTGGCCAGGCTGGTCTGGAACTCCTGACCTCAGATGATGCGCCACCTTGGACTCCCAAAGTGTTGAGATTTCAGGCGTGAACCACCGCGCCTGGCTGGAAACTATTTTTGTTTTGTTTTGAGACACGAACTCACTCTGCCGCCCAGGCTAGAGTGTAGTGGCATGATCAAACTCACTAAAGCCTCGACCTCCTGGGCTCAAATAGTCCTCCCCCACCAGCCCCAGAGTAGCTGGGACTACAGGTGTGTGGTACCATGGCTGGTTAATTTTTTTTTTTTTTTTTTAATTTTGAGACAGAGTCTCACTCTGTTGTCCAGGCTGGAGTGGAATGCTGTGATCTCGGCTCACTGCAACCTCCACCTCCTGGGTTCAAGCGATTCTCCTGTCTCAGCCTCCTGAGTAGCTGGGATTACAGGTGTGTGCCACCATGCCCGGCTAATTTTTGTATTTTCAACAGAGACGTGGTTTCACCTCGTTGGCCAGGCTGGTCTTGAACTCCTCGGCTCAAGCGATTCACCTGCCTTGGCCTCCCAAAGTGCTGGGATTACAGGTGTGAGCCACTGAGCATCTGATGTCAAAAAGATTAATAAATGGTGCCTCCTGAGTGGCTGGGATTGCAGGCATGTGCCACCATACCCCATTAGTTGTTTAGTTTTTATTTTTTTTGGTAGAGACAGGGTTTCTCCATGTTGGTCGGGGTGGTCTGGAGCTCCTCCCTCAGGTAATCCGCCGGCCTCGGCCTCCCGGGGTGCTGGGATTGCAGGCGTGAGTCACTGAGCCTGGCCCGAAACCCGGTCCCATAACGGAAAAACAAAACAAAAACCACAAAGATTAGCCGCCCCACAGGTAGTCCCAGCTGCTCCCAAGGCTGACCTAGGAGGATTGCTTGAGCCCGGGGGTGGAGGTGGCAGTGAGCCATGATGGCGCTGCTGCAGTCCAGACAGAGCAACAGAGAGGGACTGTGTCTCAGGAAACGGGAGAGGAAAAAAAAAAGTATACAAAAGTGCTAAATCAAGGAACAGCTTGACAGTATATTATTGAGAGACAAAGAGGCAAAGGTTAGCAGACACCGATGTTCGCTTAGTGGAACTGCAGGTGTCCCCCACAGGAGGGTGCCACTTTTCCAAAAGAAATGTATTATTGACAAAAAAAAAAAAGTTGTAGGTTTGTTACAATATACAAATAGCTAAACTTTATATAGCCACGACCCTCTTCTAGCACTGCTCTAAGCCTTTTCCTGCTCTGGAATAGCTACTATTGTTACCTCCATTGTAGAGAAAACAGATGGGGGAGGTTGTTGTGGAAGGACCAGGGAAACTGACTATGAAATTGACTTGTAAGTTGAGGACTTAAAGGTTCTTCCTGCTTTGCTCCTTACATTGCCACATTTTAGTTAACATACCTCTTAAAATACTGATCCTTTCTGTATTTGGAGGGACTCCTCTTGCAGTTTGAAGTTTTTTCTTACACTAAGCATCTGGTTAGAAGATCATCTCCATTTTATGTCAGTTTAAGTTTAGACATTGTTCAGTAAGGAATGTAAATATGAGCAAACAGTTATCTGATTGAAATAGATAAACTAGAAAAAAAATCACCTATGAGAAAGTCAACAAAATGTCAACTCTGGATTTGTGGCTATTTTCAGAATATTAATTTTTTGATATTTAATGGCATTGTGAATATATTTATTTTTAAGAATTCCTTGTCTTCTACAGATACATATAAGGTAATTAAAAATGATAGGATGTATAGGTTTTACTTCAAAATAATTCAGAGGAAGAAGGAATGTATATAAATGAAGTGGGAATGTAAATGAAACAAAACTGGCTGTGGCCAGGTGTGGTGGCTCACGCCTGTAGTCTCAGCACTTTGGGAGACCGAGGCAGGTGGATCACCTGAGGTCAGGAGTTCAAGACCAGCCTGGCCAACGTGGTGAAACACCATCTCTACTAAAAATACAACAATTAGCCGGATGTGGTGCCGGGTGCCTGTAATCCCAGCTACTCGGGAAGCTGAGGCAGGAGAATCGCTTGAACCTGGGAGGTGGAAGTTGCAGTGAGCCAAGATCATGCCACTGCACTCCAGCCTGGGCAACCACAGCAAAATCCCACCTTTAAAAACAAACAAACAAACAAAAAACAACCAAAAAAAAAAAAACTGTCCATACCATGAATGAAAAATTGTTGATGATGTGTATATGTAGGGCAATTATATCATTTATTATATATAATATATATATTATTTTTCTCAACTTTTTTTTACATCTGAAACTTTCTATTGAACACATGGACATGTCCCTTGATAACTGGGGCTGCTTCCCCATTATTCTCTCAGCAGCCCTTCTGATTTTCACTCCATCTTCATTCTTAGAGATTCTGGATTTTATTTTTTTTTTGGGGAAGTTCAAGTATGTCTTTGCAAGGATTATCCAGCATGTCTACCTACTCAATCATATTATCAGAAACAGAAAAAGTGTCCAGATTCTTGTCTTGTCCTGTTCAGATTTTTTAAATTCCAAGAACAGTCACCTTCTACCAGACACTCTGATGTTGGAAGACAAAGCATATTTGGTAAGTGGCATGATTTCTGGGCTCCGATTTAGAACAGTCACAGCTTTCAACAATCCAAAAATAGCTGACTGTGACTCACCATATTTAGAAAGATGGAGATTATTAAAAAAAGAAAACCTTAATTTATTATGTGACCGCTAAGTGTCTCGGCTGAAAATTGTAAAGATAGAAAGGTAAATCAAAAGATACAGAGACTGTAATCATGCACTTAATAAAGCGCTAAATCAAAATATATTTGGCATATGTGAAAGAGTTTAATTTTATCCCATTTTCTACTGGCACTATAGGTATTTGTAAGTACATATAAAACTACAGTGTTACATATAAACTACCAAAAAGGAACTTAAGAAACGAGACTAATCTAGCAACTTTATTTAAAAGTTTATCTTAAGGGAATAATTAAGGATGTCCATACAAAAGGATTTAGCCATGACACGAGAATGTTCTTCCTGGCAAATCAATGGAAATTATTAAATGTGCAAAAGGGAACTGTTGGAATAAATTCTAATGCCTTCATATGATCGTATGTCGTAACCTTTTAAAATGATATTAAAGAGTTGCATACATTGACTTAAACAGATATTCATAACACATCACTGAATAGGAGAAATACGGGCCAGCAAAGAACATAGAGTTGGTCCAATTTCTACAAAAAAAAGAAGACTAATAGCATGACAGCAGGGAAGGGGGAATATGTCAATGTATGTGTGTATATATATGTATGCATAGCAAGTATGAACTTGAAAGGATATATATCAAATTGTTTACACAGATTACCTCAGAGAGGTAAATAACTGGCCTTTGGTGTTCTGTGTTCCATAGATTCTGAATTTTCTTTTTTTATTTAAATAGAGATGGGATCTTAGCCAGGAGCAGTGGCTCACACCTGTAATCCCAGCACTTTGGGAGGCTGAGGAGGGCGGATTGCTTAAGGCCAGGAGTTCAAGACCAATCTGGCCAACATGGCAAAACTCTGTCTCTACTAAAAATCCAAAAATTAGCCAGGCGCAGTGGCTTATGCCTATAACCCCAGGTACTCGGGAGGCTGAGGCATAAGAATTGCTTGAACCAGGAGGCAGAGGTTGCAGTGAGCAGAGATTGCACCACTGCACTCCAGCTTAGGCAACAGACCGAGACTCTGTCAAAAAATAAAAACAAAACAAAACACCACCACCAACAACAAAACAGTAATAAAGAGAAAATCTTATGGACAGGAGCAATGTCTCATGCCTGTAACCCCAGTGCTTTGGGAGGCCAAGATGGGAGAATCGCTTGAGCCCAGGAGTTCAAGACCAGCATGGGCAACATAGCAAGACCTTTTCTCTACAAAAAATTTAAAAATTAGCCAGGCATAGTAGTGCATGCTTATACTCCCAGCTACCTGGGAGGCTGAGGTGGGAGGATCACTTGAGCATGAGAGTTGGAGGTTGCAGTGAACTGTGATCACACCACTGGGAAGCCATGACCCCATCCCTGCCTTCTTCCTCTGTCCTATGCTAGCAATAAGTAAGTTTCCCAGCCACAAATAATTATTAGAACCTCCTCCCCATGTGCCACCTCCAACCACCGCTAGGTATGATACAGGGGTGGCCCTACCCTCTGGAATATACAAAACCTTACACAGACACAATATATACACCGGGGAAGGGGGGCCACCCCAGCAGCCCATGCCTTCGCCTGGTCCACAGTTAGCCCCACTGTCCTGCCTCAGCTACCTCTCTGAATAAGAAGATTGGAGCCCCCACTGAGGGAAAAGTTGCTATGGTGAGAGTAAGGAGGCCATGAGGCCTCCTCCAAACAAACCAACTCCACCAGCCTCTGGCTCTTAAATAACAATATCATCCAGAAATTTAAGGACTCAGCTCTGGTCAAGGTGGCAAAGGGTCTGTTTGTCTTTCCTCGTTAGACAGTGGTCTTGTCTTGCTACCCTAATTGTAAAGGGGTGACTGGGAAGGGGAGATAGGGACAGTGTGGTGGTGGAGAGACCCCAGCCCCACTTCTCCAGGCTTTGCTGACAGGGGCCTGCTTTTAATTTTAATTTTTATTTTTATCCCATGCCTTTTTTTTTAAATCCCATAACTTCTTTTTCATAACTATTTTTGGTAACTTTTCATAAAACTTTTTTCTACTTTTTGGTCACAAGATTTTTTTGCCACAACTTTTTTACATTTTTTATCCCATAACTTTTTCACCCCATAACTTTTGTTAATCCCATAACTTTTTTATTTTGTGTTCTTTTAATAAACTCTTGCATAGTTATATTACAATTTTGTAAAAATGAAACATTATCTCATGCCAAGCATGCTCAGCATTTGCACAGTATCAATACCTTTAATACTATATTTTTCAAGACACACAGAATAAAATTTTAAGGCAAAAACAGCACTTTGCAACAACTTAATAATTTATTACATTACAGTAGCATCACACCAGCAGTCAATAATGCCACTTTAGGCAAAAGTCTTTCAGTATTTCCGTTTTACATTCCGCTTACAAGAATTCATAAATTGGTAAAATTCATTCTAAGAAAACTTGGCAAATAAAGCTTTGGACTGGAATTGGCATTTCTTTCTCTACTTTTCCTTCCCACCATTTATTTCCTTTACAGTATTCATATTTTAAAATGTTTTAACTTATTTCAGAACATTAAGATAGCAGTTACATTGTTTAATAGTTATTTTAAAATGACTCTTTCAGATAAAGTTTTAGAGAAACTATAGTATGGATAGGGCTGATTTACATTTTCAAATTTTCTAAAAATCAGCTTTGGTTTTAGAGCTGATTTTTGTTCATTTCTGGAAAACCTATCAGATTTAATCCAATACTTTAAAAATGATTATTATATATTGCACTCTTTAAATCGGTGATTTGATTCTTCCTACAGAAATTCAAATTTATTGAATTGAACTCACATTTTAGAATTCTGTTTCTGATGAACTCTAACCTTCCAATGTTGCCTTCTAAGCAAATTGAAAGCTGCCTTATACCGAATGAGGAAGAATACCAATACTTGGCTGAATGAGGTATCGCAAAAGACTGCATGCACTTTGAAGAAAGACTTAAGTTATAGTCATGCGATTTCCATTCTTTTTAGCTTTTTCTTAAATATATGACAAATATCTACACAAAGAGTGGTATTTCTGTTAATACAGTCAATTTATTTTCCAGATTGACATTCAGCTTAAATATGCCAGTATGTGATTTAATCCATAGGCACCTGATGAACACATTATTGTCAGATTGGTTACAGATGCTCGTAGTTGTCTTTAAACTGAACTCAAAGAATGCAAAAACATCAAGTTCAGAAAATAAAAGGCAAGGACAGGACTTTAAGTGCATTTTAAAGCCACGGGCTAGAAATCGTACCACTGTTAACTAGCCGCATTATTTGGTCTAACATTTTTTCTTTATCATTCTGAAACTGGGTTTATCTAATACATTGATACATTCATACAATTTGGAAGAGTCCGTTGAAGTCACAAGGACCCGATATTTGCACTCTTTCAGTGATTGCCGGCAAATCTGTTATTCCATCGGCAAAATCGTACTGCTGCTCTCCTGTTAATGTCGTATTTATAAAAGTATCATGAGGATGCCAAATGCTAAAAATGGAGATGGTCTAGTAACTAGAAATCCCCACCCCAGGGAGCACACATACATATCTCCCTACATCCTAATAATGTGATGTGTTTTGGAACACAGACATTAGAACTTCATGAAGTTTTAACTGTTGAGTCTTTCCCAAGCATCATCAAGTTATGATTTAGGCAATGTACAACTGAAATTCATTCATTCATCATGCATAGGCACAATCACATAAATACTGCACAAAATATGCCCGTAAGTGAAACCCAGAGGTACAGAAACACATTTCACTCTTCACAAAGAAGTTTGTGAGGAAATATAACTCTGTGATTGTATAGACATGTTTCCTGATAATACACTGACATTCACCAACAGTAGATTGCACTGCAGTTTGTACACATTTTAAGTTGCATAAACTTCTCCTTGATTTTCAAAGATAGTATAATACTGTCTACTAAAACTCCTTTTTGTTTCAACTAAGCACTCTCACATATATTAGTTTATAACAATGTTTATTATTATTTCAAAGTGTTTTCCATTCAAGGAAAAGAAGTCAATTCCTATGTCAAAGTAACCAAGGTGGTTGAAGAATAGGCAGAGTGGTCTAGATGGTAAAATCAATCTTCAAGCCTCAAAGAAGCTCCATGAACAGAGGAATGCCAGGTGTCACACAGCTTTCCTTCACTCTAATTCATTCTTGACTAGAGCCTGTATGCGTGTTCCAGGGACATTTAAACTCTTAAAGGATTTCTTCTGATCTTTACTAAATACATTAAGAAGAATGCCAACCAGTGCCCTTTTGTGTACTGGGACATGCAGTCATGTGATTAAAACAGGTAACATGAACTCTGACTTTAAAATATAGATACAAATGCTCTAAGCTAGGAAAGGTTTTCCACATCCATAGTCAATGATGGGAACCTTTCATTCCTCAGAAATAAGCCCTTTTTAGGTCATCAAAAAAGAGTACAACTGCTGCAGCTCATGATGCAATATCTTCATGAGCCCAGAGCACATACAAATCCTAAAGGAACTACAATAGTACAGCACTAATTCTTGGCAACAGAACAAATGAAACACACTCTATCTTGCACATACCTGCCAGAGCAGGCAACTTTCCTCTTCTGTGAAATTTAAAAAGCTCCCCCAAAATGTTATTACTCCCATCACCAATACACAGAAAATGAGGGAAAGGCTGTTTCCAGTTCTCGGCCTTTAAACAACTCTAAATGTCAGTACTCTTGGTGGCATATTACAAAGTATTAAATAGTGCACACTTGGGGCAAACCACATATTGTGCTAATGAAGAGCTCACTGTGATTAAGATTAGATCAAACAATAGCAGAACATAGGCAAATTTTATCTGAATTCTGTAATGAATATACATGCTTCAATAACATTAAAAACACATGGCAGCCTATTCCAAACCAGCAAGAATAGTTTTGTGCAAATAGTGGGTCTTTGTGTGTTTGAACTCCCACCACGTAAGGGCAAACTCAATATGCATGCTAATGACCTACAATCATGAAATTGAAAAAGAAAATTGCGAAAGTATGCCAGAGTGAACATCAGTGAAAGCCACAGAGACCCACTCTCTTTTAACTATTTACAAATAAACTTAAACTATAAATTAGAAACACAAATAATCATAAGTGGCTATAACATTCAAACGAAGTAAATGAATTGTGTAGGAGATTAACCCCATAACTTTGTTTCTTTTTTAAAAATTTCTTGAGCAGGTCTTTGACGATGGTCATGTTTATCTCCTTCTTCTTGGCAGCCAAGCCCAGCAAAAGAATGGCACACAGCAGTTGCTGCCCAAGCCTGGGTGCTCCTGGTGGTCCTGCACGATCGGCTGTGCAGTAGGGTTGTCGTGGGGAGAACCCTCCCTGGCCTCTCCTTGCACAGGCTCCACGCTGTCAGTGAGGCTCACCTCACAAAGATCTTTGGAGAGAGGGAGGCGGGGATCTGAGCTCAGTGAGAGCCCCCCTGCTCCTGCCTGCCCACCCCGCCTGAGGGCTCTACTCACCACCATGCTTGTGGGCAGCCCCAAGCTCCTGGGGGGCTGGGGCTCCTGGACTGGGCTCATGAGCAGGGTTCTGGGCAGTCACCAAGAATTTGCTGTGTCCCTTGTAGTCGCCACCAGCTGCAACACCATCTCCTGCAGCTCCAGCAGCTTCACCTGGAGGGAGGGGTGCTCAGCTGTCACGCTGCTGCCAGCGCTCACCGTCACAGCCACCCCCACCCCCGCAGAGATGTTGCACACTCTACCTTCATCTCCTCCCTGTCCAGGGCCAGCCTGATGGTGTCCTCCTCCCGGTGCTGCATCTTTGGCACTGCCCCCTGGCTTTGTTATAGGGTGATAAACTTTCCTGCGGGAGGACAGGGCTCAGACGCTGGGGCCCCTCCAACAGCCCTGCAGCTCCCCCTGCCACGCCCTGGCCTCCCACTCACTGATGGCATCTCTCTCTGTAGTACTGGAAGAATCCAAGTTCTTCTTTCTCCACCAGCTCACTCAGGTCTGCCTTCTCCTCCAGGTGGTCCATAAAGCCGCTCTGGAGCCAAAATAATGGGGTCACATCTCGGCAGCGACCTGCCCTCAGGTGGCATTTTCAAGTCATGGAGAAGGCGGAGGTGAGTTCCGGCATGGGCCAGCTTCTCCATGACTTCCTGCAGGGCCCGGTGGGTCTCCCCACTCACAGACTCGCCCCCAGGCCCTGGGGCTGGGACCGCTGCCTCTGGCTCCTTCTGGGCCGAGGCCACCGGGTGAGCCAGGCGCTGGCAGCACACCCTCTGCTCTTTCACCTGCTCTTGTAACTGTGCCTGCTTCTCCTGGGCACTAGCTCCAGCGGACTTGAAAAATGCCACCTGAGGGCAAGATGTGAGCATTCTTCTAGGGGCATACACAGAAGAAATGGGGCAGAGAGGTGGAGCGCAGCCCCTTCCCTTGGGGCCTCAGAGAGTGCACCTGTTGGCCACAGGTGAAATGGTGTCTGACCACTGGCTCTCGGAAGGGGTGAGGGTCCAGAGAAACCAGAAGGCAGGGAAACGAAGAGCATAAAGGGGTCTTGGAGGGACCACAGAGAAAGGTGGCAAAATGGGTGCAGGGGGAGTCAGGCTCACCATGGCCTCCCTGCTCTCCAGGTCCTCTGGGACACTCGGCATGGGCCGAGGTGCCTCCTCCCCCTCACTGTCCAGATGTTCTCCTCCGTGTCCTGTTGGGGGTGGCCAGAGGGGTCTTCAGACAACTCAACAAGGGAAGTATTGTGGGCCCACCTCTGCCTCCACCCTCATTGTGTAACCCTGAGCCAGGCCCTCCCCAGAGAGGAATGAGCTGCTGTTATTTATTTTTACTTTGAAGAACCAAGATCTTGCTATACTGCCCAGGCACATTCCCACTACTGGTCGGTGTGGGAGTTCTGACCTGCTCCCTTTCTGACCTCGGCCAGTTCAGCCATCCTTAGGCAACTTGGTGGCCCCCCGCTCCCAGGAGGTCACCATATTGATGCTGAACTTAGTGCAGGCACCCGGTTAGTATAATGACCAGCTGTTCTAAAGGTCTCTTCCAACTCCTCAATCCTATGCTGCTAGCAGTCCCCCCTTCCTCCTGGGGCTCTCTCCTCTTCCTCTGAGCGGTCTCCCGTACCTTCCCCAGGGAGAGCCATGAGGCTCAGCTGGGCCGTTAGCTGCTGTTTCTGCTGGCTGGCAGCTTCCAGGCGCTCCTAAGGGGCCAGGAAAGAGTGAGAAGGCACAGAGTTTGTCAGGTCGTCCCCCTCACGGCCCCATCCTCGGCAGCTCCCTCCCCTGGGCCTCCTGCAACTTTTGGCAGGCCATCTCGGCCACCGCTTTGCCCCAAGCTTCCTGCTGCTGCAGCTGGTTCATTAGCTGGGTCTGCTGCAGTCACTGCCTGTACAGCGCCTCCTTCTCACAGGTCAGCTGCTGATAGGCGGCCACCTGCTGCTGATAGGTGGCCACGTACTGCTGCAGGTGACCCAGGTAATGGTCTGGCTGCTGCTGCAGACTCTGAGCCTCTTGGCTCTTCAGCTCCACCTGCAGGAAGACCCTGGGTGTGAGGGCACGTGGTGGCTGGTTTCCAGATTCTGGGCCCATTAATAGGGTAGCGAGGGCACTGTGGGGCTCTGTCGCCTGCCCAGGCCCCTGGCCCCTTACTCCAGGCCTAAGTGACTGCCTCCCTTTCCTAGAACCCCATGCCTCCTTCCCCAGCCTCAAATCTCATGTCCTCTTCCCACCATTTCAACTGTAGGCCACAGAATGGTAGAAAAGTAGTGGGAGCCAACCACCATCTGCTAAATGTGCTACAGGCCTAATGCTTCCCATGTATTATCTCATTTAATCCTCAGCACCTCTGTAAGGAAAATGCTAACTTCCTTTTGAAGTTAAAGAAACAGAGACTTAGAGATGTGAAGTACTTGAATGGTGACCAGTGGAACTGAGGCTGGAATCCAGTTTTAATCTAAGGAGTCTTTTTGTTTTGTTTTGAGACAGAGTGTCACTCTGTGGCCCAGGCCGGAGTGCAGTGGTGCAATCTCAGCTCACTGCAACCTCCACCTCCTGGGCTCAAGCAATTCTCGTGCCTCAGCCTCCTGAGTAGGTGGGATTACAGGCATGCGCCACCACCATGCCCCACTAATTTTTCTTCCTTTTTTTGTTTTTTGTTTTTGTAATTTTAGTAGAGATGAGGTTTTACCATGTTGGCCAGGCTGATCTCAAACTCCAAACCTCAAGTGATTCTCCTGCCTCAGCCTCCCAAAGTGTTGGCACTATAGGCGTAAGCCACCGCGTCTGGCATAAGAAGACTGTTATACCACTCTGTCTCTTCCCCTGTGATTGGCGGTGCTCCATGTCTCTAGCTGGAATGATGATGTCCAGACCTGGGAGGAGCCCAGGGCTACCCACCTCTAAAATCAGAGGGCAGGAAGCAAGAAACAGCCACAGGACTGCCCTGGAGGGTGCTGGGGTCACCTGCCCCCGGGCTGGAGCTGCCTCTGGCCTGGCACCTCCCCTCCCCAGAGGCTGGTGCCCACCTCCCAGACCTTCTTGGATGGGGTGGAGGTTACCGTCTCCTTCACCTTGCCTAGCTTCTCCTGCAGCTCCTTTACTTGCTGCTCCAACTGTAGTACGCTCTTGTTCTCATTGTTCTGGACAGAGAGAAGCAATCAGCAGCCACCCACTGCAGCTGGAGACCCCAGAACTTGGTGACTGCCTCCCATGGCACCGGGAAGGGTGGAGGCAGGTTAGAAAAATCATCCCCTGTCTCCCACAGCCACCAGAGCAGGGCTCTGGCTCACAGGTGCCTTTAGGAGTAACATTTCACTTGAGGGCTACACTGCCACATTTTATAGGTGGGGAAACAAAGGCCTGGAGGGCTAGGGAGGAGGGCAGGCTCCCCAGCTGGGGCAACGCACCAGCTCCTTGAAGCTGTTCTGTGGCTCGGCCAGCTGCTGAAGCCTCTCCTCCTGCTCCCGAAGCCTCTCCTGCTGCTCCTGAAGCCTCTCCTCCTGCTCCCGAAGTCTCTCCTTTTGCCCCTCATTCAGGAGACTTATGCGCTGATTGTACTCCACCTGGGCCTGGAGCGCTCCTGCCACTCTCTCTAGTTCCTTCCTCAGGTGCTGCAGCTCCACCTCAGAGGGCACTGCTGGGGGCTCCGGGGGCAAGGGTTCAGCTGAGAAAGGAAGCAGATAATAAGGGCCTCTGGATTCTCGGAAAAGAAAAACCCTCCTCTTGGCGCACAGCTCCTCTCAGGCTCCTCAAACTTGGCCTCACTGCTAATGATTCCTCGCACCCAGATGGTAGCCAGTCTTCCAAACCACTTTCAGAGAAAGAGCACTGCGGGTGGCTGACAACGGGCCCTCTTTGCTGATGGGGACACTGAGGCTCATTGAGATGACAAGACTTGCCGTCTCCTGGAACAGACCTCTTTCCCTCTGCCTCAAAGCCCTTCCCATCCACCCACCTCGCTGGGGCACTCCAAGCCACCCTCACAGCCCTCTGATGCCAGTCCTGCTGTCAGGTCACGCCAGCCCCATCTTACCCATCTGGTGTTTGAGTTTGGACAAGCTCCTCTCCAGCGTCTCTACCCGATATTTATCATGCTTCTTCTCCTTCTTCAACGAGCAAACCTGCCCAAAGCACAGGGGGAAAGGGCCCTGGAGAGAGGGGCTGGAGGCTGGACATGCTACCATCTCCCTCTCTGCCCCCACCTCCACAAAGCCCAGTCCCAGGACCACCTCTGGCTCTACTATTCCCATTTTACAGGTGCCCAGAAAGATCCAGTGACCTATCTAATGTGGGGGGGCTGAAGGGTCAGATCTCACCTCCTGCGACATTTTTCTCATCCTCTGCTGCCACCGGGCCCTCTCTCCTTTTAGATGTTCAGCATATTCATCCCTCTCTAGCTGGACTTCTTTAAGTGACTCCTTCAACTGCAAGAATGGGCACAGAAATTAGGAAGGGCTGTCACTGGTCCTCACCTGCTCCTGGTTACCTGGGGTCATCTTCCTTCCACATCCCTCCCTCTGAACACCTCACCTGTGTCAGCTGCGCTTTCAGCAGTGCCTGCTCCCGCATGGACTGCTCTAACTTCCACTCCATACGTGCTTTACTGCGGCTGGAGAACTGCTGAAGAGTGAGAAGTTTCAATCTGGGGAGGCCGGGCCATTCCACACAGTGCCCCTTAAAAGGGCCAGGGCTAGGCCCAATATACAACTCGGTCAGTAAAGATCAAGGCATTTCCAAGCCCGTGGTTTGGTTTTTAAAGAACTCAGTAAAGTTGGAAGGGACAGGGAAAGAGATCGAATTTATAGCTGGCTAACAGAGGCCCAGAGAGATCAGATAATATTGCTGTTGTTATTACTGTTATTATTACCACTGTTTGAACTTTTATGGAGTGCTTCACCAGATACCATGCTAGCAATCCCATTTAATCCTCGCAACCACCATGGGAGACAGTTACTATGATGACCTCTATTGTGTAGATGAAAAAACATGGAGTATTTGAGGTTAAGTGCTTGCCTAAGATCACTTAGGCAGAGCTGGGATTTAAACACCCAGATCTATCCAATTCTCTAAGCCCATTTTTCTTGCTGGGGGTGGGGGCACAGCTAGGAAGGGGAAAATTAATCTTTTGTTCACTTTTTGAAAGGATAATACATTCACATAGTCCCAAACTCAGAAGGTACAGAAGGGAAGTATCTCCCAGCCACCCTGTTGCTCTCTCCTGAGTTTTTATGAACACTTGCAAACATATTTTATGTATATTATCATAATATGTACACACACACACACGTTTCCTCTCTCTACAGAAATGGTAACATACTAAAGGTACTCTTCTGTACCTTCACAGTACAAGTACCCAATACCCACTGAGGACTTGGCCAAGACCACAGCCAGGTAAAGGCATGGCAGGCACTTGGCCTCCAAGCTCTACGTCCTGTGCTGTGTCCCCAGAGTGCCCCCCAACTCACCCACAGCAGCTGACTCAGTCCCAAGCTGCCGCTAACAACCATACAAAAAAGCAGTGAGAAATGGCCATGCTGCCTTCTGGGCAGGACACTCCATCCTGCAGAAGGGACCTTTAGGCTCACTCCTCTGTCTGCGAAGCCAGGCTCCCAGGGGACGCGGCAGGTGGTTGGACTCACCCTCTCCGCCTTCTTCTTCTGTGTGGCGGTGACAGCAGAGAGAGCCCGCTCTAACTCTCCTTTACGCTGCAATGAATGTTGCAGACGGACGGCCAGATCCTTGGACTCTTCTGTAATGAGAGAGTTGAGATGGGGCCCAAAGGACTCCCCCTGAAGACCTGTCAAAGTCCCAGGTTGAAGGATGACAGGGTACCCAGATTCCCACCTTCAAAGTATCTGAGAGAACGTTTCGTGTGGTACAGGTCCGTATTTAGTTTCCCTTTCTGTATGTTCAATCTCTGGATTTGAACCTTTGGGAGAAAAGCCAAGCAAGTGCTGAAAGAGAAGGAAAGAAACATTCTCCGGAGGACAGGAGAAAACTGCACACTGTCCACTCACCTCTAGCCCCCTTTCAGCTTTCTGTTTCTCGTTGTTTGCTTTCTTTTCCTGTAGGAAGAGGAAGACAGAGATCTAACCAGGCAGAGGCAGAGATGGTACTGCAAGAGACATGTCCCCAGAATGCCACCACTGCCCCTGCCCCGGGACAGGCCCACCCATGGGACCGGGTTATCAGGGACCCTGTGGGGGATGGGGTGGACTCTGGGGGGTGAGCCTTCTTCCCCAGGCTGGGAGTGGGTGAGACGAGACTCGGGGCCTCTACATCTGAGTGTCCCCCAAACCGAGCAGTCATGTCGCGAGCAAACAAAGAAATCATGTTACTTCTTCCAGCTGATGTTCCACTTGTTTCTTCTGTTGTTTCTGTGGGGAGAGTCACATTAAGGTGATGGAGGGTGGCCCCCTCAACTCTATTCCCCAGAGCAGGAAGTGGTAGGCAGGGACCAGGAATGGATTTTAAAGGCAAAGTTCTCAGACCCAGTGGGAACACGAACTGGTAAACTCTCCTCAAGCTCCCAAGGACAGAGGATTTGGGTCTTTGTTGGCTTTTGTCCACAGCCACAGAACTCAAGGTCTGAATCTGGAATCTCTTGACAGGACAGTAACATAAACCTCTAGAGATGGAGTTTGAGAAAGGCCCCCCCTTCTGCCAGCTTGTGATTTAGAAAAGTGCATTCATTCAATAAACATTTACTGAGCACGTACGGGCCAAGTACGGTTCTTCACAGCAGATTTAGGGCGGAAAAGGACAGACAGGAGACTTTGGCCCTGAGGTTTCCATTCTAGGAGGCCTTTAAATCTCAGACTCTCAGAGCTAACAGAGACCTATGATACTCACTACTTCCTCTGGAAACACGAGCCCAAAAAGGAGAGGTGGCTTGTCCAGAATCAAAGAGCAAATTAGGGACTGAGTCATGGCAGAAATACAGGGCCCCTGACAACCAGTCAGGCTAGCACTTCCCCAAGAGGCAACAATCCCAGGGCGTGTGTAGCAAGGACTCGAGCAGGGGCGTCTGGAGAGGGGAGAGTCAGCAAACAGGGCAGCAAAAGAAGAGCCATGCTGCATGCTCCGGGGTCCCTCCAGGTGAGGCCTGGGCGCCCCAGCTCCCTATTCGCCCTTGGCACCAGGGGCCCCTGTCCCCTTTCTTCAGGGCCCCAAGGGGAAACTAGAGCCCAGGATTGGCAGCGTGGAATCAGGGGACACCAGTGGACTCTTACCAAAGATTTGATGGTGTTCTTCAGTTGACTGACTTTTACGGACCTCGAGTCTGGGACTACTGCTAGTTCTTGGCACGGGCTCTGAGGCGCATGCAGAGAGGAGGAGGTGGAGGAGGAGTGGGGGGAGAGGTAGAGAGAGCAATCATTAGGGCTGGGGTGTGTGTGGACTGTCTCAGCTGGCAGAGGGGCACCCCGTCCCACCTGGAGGAGGAGGTTGGAGGGCTGCCCTGCAGGGTCACTGCACCTCTGCCCAGAGCCTCTTACCTCCAGATCCTTCAGGGTAGCAGATGATGTAGGGCTCTCCCCGTGGATACCTGTTGCTGACTACAAGAGATGAGAGTGCACATGAAGATGTTCTGTCCCACTCAGTATCTAAGCCCTCTGACTTCTTTTCTTCCCCATCAACTGGCACAATTTTCTTTTCTGCCTATCTTGGACCCTTTGTCCCATAACTCCTTTGTGCCAACTTCTCTCATGGTTCTTATCTCCCCACCACAGCACCCTGCGGCCCTTTCAGTGACTCCTGTGCCAAGTGACTGTTCTCATTGTCCTGGCTTCCCCTTGAGACTGGGGATGAGGAAAATCGAACAGCAATGACCATATCCTGGGTGTTCTGGGTGTTTACAGCAGGCCATGTACTAGGGATTAACATAAAAACAACAATAACAAATCTCATTTAAACTTCACAAATGGAAGTGAAACAATACCACCTCTATTATACAGATGTGAAAAGAGAGGCCCGATGAGGTCAAGCAACTTGCCCTAATTCATATCCCTAGCAGACAAAGAGGCAGGATTCAAACCCAGAATTCTTCACAGGTACCCAACAGTCCATCCACAATCTTAACAATTACCCTCTAGTGCCCCTTGGGTCCCCTGTCCCCAGGAACCTAGTCAGCCAAGACTCACATCTCCAGGTGAGTGGCAACCACCAGAAGTGGCTGTCTCATGGATGCTGCCGTTTGTTTTCCTGTTCCTCTTGGCTCCTGCTGGAACACCAGGGCTGTTTCTCTGCCAATATTCTTTTAACTGTCAGAAACAAGAGCAGTAATACTCATGAGAACTATCAGCCCCTGCAGCCACATCCTCCTTTACAGTTTTTATAAAATACTCTTATACACCATCTGATTTAATGATACCAACAACTGTACAAGGTGTTGTCACAATCATTTAGTGACTCAAAGAGATTGATATCATGGCTAGAAAAAAAAAGAAGAAAAGAAAAAGGCGACAGACGAACTTTGAAACTCAGTCTTCTGACTCCAAACTCTGGGGTATTACCAAGAATCAGCAGCTGCCAGGGACCAAAACCAGAGGCAGAGGTAGAAAAGTAAACATTAAGTAGGCAGGAACTGTATGCCGTGTGGTTTAGAGTCATACATCCTCACACGTCTGTTAGTGTGAAGAAGTGCACCAGTACCTCTCAAACTCTTATATCAATGTATCCTCATGGCAGAAGGCAGCCTTTCTGTTAAATCTGGGAATTTATCAGAAAGAGGACAACCCAAGCCTCATTTCAGAGAGAGGTCTGGTATACTCTTAGAAACCTATGTGACTGTCATCCCTAAGTACATTAATGTTTTTTCTCTTGATCTCAAGAGAATCAATGGAAACTGATGCTTCAGAAAGATGTCCCATATGTATCCTGTGGCACTCAAAGTACCCCAGGTTTACATAATATGAGGAAGATTCAAGCTGTCAAGTTCAGTTTCCCAAGATCTATTCCACAGAAGATGAGCAAATCTCACTTCACAGACCACTGACTGAAGGGCAGTCTGGTCCCAGAACCATGGAGAATTAGAATGTGAGGTGGAGAACTCACAAAAAATTTGTTAAAATCTCTCTGGAAAGTAGAAGCCTGGGAGAAAACCAAACCAAGTCAAACCCATTCTCCAGTTGCCATCCAGAGGTACTGTCAATGTTTTGAGCTCACAGGGGAAGTGTAGGCTTTTCCCGCTGTCAATGTTTATGTTAAGGGAGTGAGGCAGCCTGAAACCTCTTGCTCCTAGGTCCCAATCTCCATTCCCCTTCCAGCTGGAAATTTGTGCTGTGACAAGAGGAACCAGAAATGGGGTGGCAATGCTTAGGGGACTGGGTCATAAGATCAAAGGCCAGTCTTGCAGTAATGACAGTTACTGGATGGACCGTGACATCACTACATTCCACTCTTCCTGGTGAGGGGGAGGGACCACATCAGCATGATGTCCGAGTCACTGCTCCATGATAGGGGAGGGAAAAACAGAGCTGGGACCCAGGTCCTTGGAGACACCAGTGCACACAGCCTAGGGAGGTCCACCTTGAGGCAGCAGGAGGGAAGGGAAGAGTCAGCAGCAGGGAGCCCCAGGATTCACCAGCCTAAAGTCAGCCAGGGATGACTGGTGAGGGTGGGGTCTGGGGCTGTGGGACCCAGGTCCTTGGAGATGTGAGCCCAAAAAGCCCTGGGAGGTCAAGCTTGGGGTGGCAGGAGATGAGGGCCCAGTAAAGGAGCGGGGAGCCCCAGGATTCACCTGCCCAAAGTCACCCTGGGGTGATTGGTGAGGGCAGAGACTGGGCTGCTTGCTGAAGGGGTGGGGCTGACTGGCAAAACTTTGGTGGGGGTAGCCCAGAGGCACCGGTGTGGGGGTCCCAGTCCGGTGAACCTCGGGAGTGGTATGGACTCTGGCAGCAGTCTTGTCGTTGGAGAGGATCTATGGCTGGGTTGGGGGTCCGTGACCTGGTGTGTTTTTACCTTTCTCTTGGCTGCTGCCAATTTACTTTGTCGAGTTTCTTCTGCCATCGCAGGGTGGGGAGGGAGGCGGGCTTGGGGCCACATCAGCAAAATCCCACCAAGCACTGATCAACACCTCCAGTCACCTACCAGGTAGCTGTGCGACTGAGCCAGAGGAGGCGTAACCAGGGATGCAGTAGAAGGCAGAATAGGGGCGTGGCCTTAATGCTCCAAGCCCATTGGTTAATGAGAAAGATGAAAGGGAAAGGGGGCGTGGCCAGGCATCATGTGTCCAGAGGGACCTTTGGCTCACAAGGAAAGCTGCCCATGCAACCACTGTCCCTACCCACCCTAAGAGAGGGGAGAGGCCGCCAACTCTGGGAGAGGGGCAGGGCCGGCTTTTGCTTTAAAAGCTTTTAAAAAATATATATGTGTATACTTTATATATATGTGTGTCTGTGTGTGTGTACCTGTGTGTTCCTCCAGAGCTGTCTTCATGATCCAGCTTCTATGCAAGGTCTATGATTTTGGCCTATATTTTTCATAGAGTACAAAAATTACCAGTATTACCTTAACCGAGATACAGATCCTATGAAAATGGAAAATCCATAGCATGCTTGATGATTACTGAAGCAGACTATATTATCCAACATTCCAATAAGATAAAATAATCACAATGACTTCTCTTTTTTGGAAAAATGTTTCTCTTATTCTCCTACGTTATTGTGAAGACTTTTTTTCTTAAACAAGAAACGTGTAATATTTGTAAAAACACAAAGCTTTTGAGCCGGGTGCAGTGGCTTATGCGTATAATTCCAGCACTTTAGGAGCCTGAGGCTGGTGGATCATGAGGTCAGGAGATTGAGACCATCCTGACTAAAAAGGTGAAACCACATCTCTACTAAAAATACAAAAAATTAGCCAGGCGTGGTGGTGGGTGCCTGTAGTCCCAGCTACTTGGGAAGCTGAGGCAGGAGAATGGCGTGAACCCAGGAGGTGGAGCTTGCAGTGAGCTCAGATCGTGCCACTGCACTCGAGCCTGGGCTACAGAGCGAGACTCCTTCTCAAAATAAATAAATAAATAAATAAATAAAACTTCTATTTCTTTCACTTTCTAATATAATTTTAATATCTCCTCCTGGGATTTCACTAAGACACATTTTGGACCTCATTCTGATCTTCCTCTCCCCTCCAAGCCCACCAACTTCTGCCCTATCATCTATCCTCATGTCTCTCTGTGTGACATGCTGACTTACTTTTTGGAGAGAATCGTCTAAACAATTAATTCTTTCTTCTCGTGTCTAATCCATCCACTAGTTTCTTATTTCAACAATTACATTTTTATTTCCTTATTTCATTTTATTCTGAGACTGAGTCTCATTCTGTCACACAGGCTGAATTGCAGTGGTACGAACCTGCAGACTCGGCCTCCTGGGCTCAAGTGATCCTCCCACCTCAGCCTCTTGAGTAGCTGGGACTATAGGCAGGTGCCCCATACCCAGCTAATACCATACCCACACAGCAGAGACATAAAAGATTTCCATCCTCAAAGAAGGTTCCATTGAACAGCACTGCTCTAATTCAATAAAAAATACCACTGAGCACAACATAGTAATAGAAAAGATTGAAGAGGCAGTGCTGATACTTAAAAACCTGGTATTTTCAGCCAGGAATGGTGGCTCATGCCTGTAATCCTGGCACTTTGGGAGGCTGAGGTGGGAAGATCGCTTAAGCCCAGGAGTTCTAGACCAGCCTGGGCAACATGGTGAAACCCTGTCTCTACAAAAAATACAAAAAATTAGCTGGGCATGGTGGCATGTGCCTGTAGTCCCAGCTACTTGGGAGGCTGAGGTGGGAGATCACCCGAGCCTGGGAGGTCAAGGCTGCAATGAGGTGAGATGGCACCACCACACTCCAGCCTGGGTGACAGAGTGAGACCCTGTCTCAAAAACAAAAAACAAAAAACAAAACAAAAACACCTGATATTTATTTTTAAGTACACTATTTTCAAACATTCAGAAGTTATTTCATCCTACCTTCATGGTTTCCATTCTATGCCTGGTTTAGAATTGGGATCTGATAAAATAAACGTGTTCAACAGAACCACTTCTCATGGCTGTATAACAGATGATCAATATGTATTTGCTGAGGAAATCATACAATTTTCTTAATTTTTTTTAACAAAAATTGTGCTTTCAAGGGACCAAACTTGAATACTACACCTTCATGTTCTAAGAATCAGGGGACTTATATAAAACCTCAGTTGCCTGATAAGGACTACATCAAAGTGAAAAGCCATGGGAAAGAACTAGAAAGTATACTTTTGACCCTAGTTCTGTAAAGTTTCCTTATGCCACAGGTAATACACATCGCAATTCCTGCCAAATTCTTTCCCTCACCTCTGTTTATGGTCTCGATTCCATAAATAGGAGAAGGGCATGAATTTGCTTTAGTTAGATAGACAGATAGATGGATAGATAGATGGATGGATGGATGGATGGATAGATAGATAGACAGAGATAAAGATAGAGACAAAGATGGAGACAGAGATGGACATAGAGACAGATTTGCAGAAGATAAGTTCTAGGTGAACTAGTGTCAACATTAAAGTGGTATGCCTACATCTAACTATTCTGGAGAGAAAAACATACCTCAAAGAAATTGACTTAAATATATACAGAGAAAAAGTTTAAGCTGAAAGCTACTGCCTTTTTATATGAGACACTTTAGGAAATTACTTGGGGGGCAAGAGAGAAAATGGGTGGACATAGCTCAGAGGTTACACAGTAGCAGATATGTAGGATGAACAAGCCTAGAAATATAATGTACAACGCGAGAAATATAGGTAATAAAATTGTGCTGTATTGGGATTCACGCTAAATGAGATTTTAAGCTCCTCTTGCCACCAAACAAAAAGAAAACGGGTAACTATCTGAGTTGAAGGATACGTTAATTTGCTTCACTGTAGTAATTTTTTTAACCATCTATATGCATCCCACAAAATCATGTTGTATACCTTAAATACACAGAATACAATTTATTTAACATAAAAAACTACTCCAATATTTTCTGCATTTTTAATATGCTCACCCAAAGAAAGCATTAATTTGCATCTTTGATGTTAAACAGATAGCCTAATCAAGTCACTATCAAGATCAAGACTAAAAGTTACAGCTTTTTTCTTTTGATGCCTTTCAGATATATCTATTTATATATAAAAATATATATACACACACACATACATACACACACACATCTATATGTAGTTATGTGTGTGTGTATATATAGTTACAGTTTTGGCCAGGTGCAATGGCTGACACCTGTAATCTCAGCACTTTGGGAGACCAAGGCTGAAGGCTTGCTTGAGGCCAGGAGTTTGAGACCAGCCTGGGCAACGAAGCAAGACCCTATCTCTACAATTTTTTTTTTTAAACAAAATTAGCCAGGGATGATGGCATGCACTTGTAGTCCCAGATACTTGGGAGGCTGAGGCGGAGGATCCCTTGAGCCCAGGAGTTCAAAGCTGCAATGGGCTGTTACTGTGCCACTGGATCCCAGTCTGAGCAACAGAGCAAGACTTTGTCTCAAAAACAAAATTTATAGTTATAGTTTTATGAACCTTGACTGCAACTGAGGGAAAATCCCGTAATTGGCAAAATGAATTCTGCCTGCTTGCAAAACTTCTGACTAATACGGAATGAATAATAGGAAGCCCATATTAGAGGATCCACATCAGTTAAAAAGTTTCCAAATAAGAGTGACTCTGAGTTCTGCAGAGTGAAAAGATTGGGTTCAAACCAAACACTTGCAAGATCTTGAGTAAGATACTTAATCCCTCTGTGACTCACTGTTCTCAAATGTAAGTGAAGATAATTTGTAACTCAAAAAAAATGAAAAAGTTTTCTCTAAGATTGCAAATCCTAAGGATAATTTCATTTTAATATCAGTTATTTAGTCTGGATACACCATAATGCAGACTAATTTTCCCTCTGCTTAAAGACCACACAAAAACATTACCAATAAAATTTACTTGTGTATCAACTTTTACTCCTGAGACTTCATCGTTTGTTTGGTTAAAAAAAAAAAAAAAAAAGCGCACTAGACCGGGCACAGTGGCCCATGTCTGTGATCTCACTTGCGGAGGCCAAGGCAGGTGGATGAGTTTGAGAACAACCTGGGCAACATGGAAAAACCCCGTCTCTACAAAAAAAATATATAAAAATTAGTCAGGTGTGGTGGCACATAACTGTGGTCCCAGCTACTCCAGAGAGTGAGGCGGGAGGATTGCTTGAGCCCACGCAGAGGTTGCAGTGAACCAAGATGGCACCACTGCACTCCAGCCTGGGTGGCAGAGCAAGACCCTGTCTCAAAAAAAAAAAAAAAATCACTATAAAATTGAAATTCACAACAAAATGTGCATACTTAACCTTCTTTTTATTTATTTATTTATTTATTTATTTATTTTTAATATTTTGAGACAACATCTTGCTATGTTGCCTAGGCTGGTCTTGAACTCCTGGGTTCAAACCATCCTCCAGTCTTGACTTCCCAAAGTACTGGGACTACAGGTGTGAGCCACCAGCCCCGCCAGCCCTGTTACACTATTCTTGGCCCCTCAAGTGACTGTATGAATTTTAGGATCAGCCTCTCGAGTTCCACAAAAAAATTCTATTGGGATTTGTGTAGGAATTTCTTGAATTTATAGATTAATTTGTTGAGAAGTAGTATGTTTATAGCATTGAGTCCTACGATTCATAATATATATGGCATATATTTCAGTTTAGTCAGTTCTTCCTTTAAGTCCCTGGGTAATTTTTATATTTGTCTTAGTCCCTTCATAGTGCCATAACAAAACACCTGAGACTGGGTAATTTACACAGAGCAGAAGTTTATTTTCTCAGTTCTGGAGGTTGGGAAGAACAAGATCAAGACTCCAGCAGACACAGTGTCTAGTGAGGGCCTGGTCTCTGCTTCCAAGATGGTACGTTGAATGCTGCTTCCTCTGGAGCAGGCAAATGCTATGTTCTCATGAGGCAGAAGGGACAGATTTACCACCACCCACAAGCCCTTTTATAAGGAAGGCACTAATCTCATGCATGAGGGCTCACCCTTATGTCTTAATCACTTCTTAAAGGCCCCACTTCTTAGTACTATCATCTTGGGAATTAAGTTTTAATACATGAATTTTGGGAGACACATTCAGGCTATGGCAATACTCTTCATGAAAGGCCTGTGTATACTTTGCTAGATATATTCTCAGGGTTTTGTTGCTATTGTGAATAGAATCTCTTTTTTTTTTTTTTTTTTTTTGCCACGGAGTCTGGCTCCTTTGCCCAGGCTGGAGTGCAGTGGCGCGATCTCGGCTCACTGCAAGCTCTGCCCCTCCAGGTTTAAGCAGCCTGTTGCCCAGGCTGGAATGCAGTAGCATAGTCATAGTTCAATACAGCCTCAAACTCCTGGGCCCAAATGATTCTCTAAGCTAATATTTTTAATTTTTTAGAGATGGAGTTTCATTCAAGGATCACTAAAGGCCAGTGATCCTCCCGCCTCAGCTTCTGAAATTGCTGGGATTACAGGTGTGATTGAGCCATGGAGCCTGGCCAGACATGGGCTATTGATTCTCGCTGTTACTCTTTTCCCTTTCCTTCTAATCCTTGTATTGGGAAGAAAACAGTATGGAAATTTTATTTCTTCATTTTATTGATACGTAGATCTCTGCTTAGAAGACAATTTTAGTTTTAAATTATAAATGTTTCGTTCATTATTCATAGAAAACTAGATTTGCCATGGGATATTTATAAGTGTTGCACGAATGAAGGGTTTTCTAGTCAAATAAGTTGAAACACATTACGTTAAACAAACTTGGACAGTTTTGTTTCCGGTCATTTTTAGAGTTCTAAATTATGATTCTACTCAAGAGGATATTGTATGCGGTATTTTCAAACCAACTCATCCTGCGTCAGGTTGTGGTTACGCTTTGGGAGAGGAAGCTATAATCTTATACTGAGACTGTAATGAATGTATTAAGGTAATTTTCGTAGCTTTCTCTTTTTGGAGTTACCTGAGAAATTATGACACCCTTTTCCAAACAGGCCAACCTGCTTTGCAAACACGATTTCCATAATTTTAACAATGGTGAGGCCAGGCACGGTGGCTCATACCTGTAATTCCTTCCAGCACTTTGGGAAGCCTAGGCAGGAGGATCACTTAAGCCAGGAGTTCAATACCAGCCTGGGCAACATGGCAAAAACTCATCTCTACAAAAAATACACATATTAGCCAGGCGTGGTGGCACACACCTATAGTCTCAGCTACTCAGAGGTTGAGGTGGGAAAATTGCTTCAGCTCAGGAGCTCGAGGCTGCAGTGAACGGTGATCACGCCACTGCACTCCAGCCTGGGTGACAGAGCAAGACCCTGTCTCAAAAACAAACAAAACAAAACACAAACCAAGGGTGAGAGAGATGTTAGATGTTTTTGTCCTTGTTACAGATGTAAATGCTCAGTTGGAAAGAGGGAAGTATTTAGAGTGAAAAAGTTTCGGTGGAACACACACAAAAATAGGAAGATCAGGTATAACTGTTCCAAAAAAAAGAGTATGGCAGTATAGAAGAAAAGGTCTCCATGAAAATGCAGAAGAACAATTTCACAGCTGGTGCTGGCATTTCAGAGACCTTGAGCTGGGAATCAAAAGATGGGAATTTCAGTCTCGGATGTGCCACTCCTTAGAGGTTTAATATCTACTAAACCCGGCGGGCTCCACTTGGTGGTGGTTGCTATTTAAAAAAACAAAAACATGTGGCAATGATCTTCCACGTGATTCTGACTTGAGCCCCACCCGAGTCTGCAGACTTACCCTTCCACTGCTTTGCCCTTCAAGTTTGTGCCCATTAGCAAAGAGAAATTTTCTCTTTGGGATCACTGCTGTGTTGATCTCAGGAATATTTGGCGTTGAATTTAACATATTTTTCATATGTGTGTGCAATAGGGAGGCTGAGAAACTTGTCTTTTTTTTAAGGTGTTCATTTTTGGGGTACAGGTAGCAGCCTGCTCTACAATCCACACAGAAGCTGGAAATAGCCTCTAGAGAATTTCCACGTTTAGAGAAGATAAATTTATACATTTGTATCTAATCAACATTTTTTAGCTAACATAGTAGTCTAATTATACTATGTATAATTATACTATGTATAATTATGGGTACTGAAATGACTCCTGGCATATGCTGTATGCTGTGTTATATATACATATATATTTACACATATACATATATATTACACATATACATATATATTTACACATATATATTTACACATATACATATATATTTACACATATATATTTACACATATACATATATTTACATATTTTACATTTACATTTTACATTTATTTTACATTTTACATTTATTTTACATTTTACATTTACATTTGACATTCTACATTTATTTTACATTTACATATTTTACATTTACAAATATTTACATATTTTACATTTATATATACATATATTTACATACATATATTTACGTACATATTTTTACATACATATTTACATGTGTATATATTTACATACATTCACATACATATTTACATATATATTTACATACATACATATTTACATGATATTTACATACACATATTACATACATATATGTACACATATACATATATTTACACATATACATATACTATGTATAATTATGGGTACTGAAATGACACCTGGCATATGCTGTATTTAAAAATGTGAGGTTCAGTGAGAACACATGGACACAGGAAGGGAAACAACACATACTGGGGCCTGTCAGGGTGGGTGGGGGAGGAGCATCAGGAAAAATAGCTAATGCGTGCTGGGCTTAACACTGAGGTGATGAGTTGATAGGTGGACCAAACCACCATGGCACACGTTTCCCTACGTAACACTCCTGCACATGTACCCTAGAACTTAAAACAAAATTTTAAAAATAATAAAAAATAAAAATGTGAAATTCAGCACATAAACTGTTGGTTTTATTCTTCATATTTTCTTAATTCAGAAATTATTTTCTGAACTATGGTTTATTAGATAATTTTGACATAACAATTTTTTAAGAGGAAATTTAAGTTTTACTTTTTAATTGGGGCTCTTGGTTCTTTTTAAGAAAGACAGAGATAAATCATTTATACATTTAATTAGAAGAGACTGGGCTTGAATTTTTAAAAAGTACTAGAAATCGTAGCCACTATATATGTTATCTTTGAAATGTTTTAGACACTAATTACCTAAACAAGGAGCAAATAAGTTAAACCTCTTGGATTTTAATAAGAACTAAAATGTACAGTTGTATTTTCTGGTTTTTTAAATTGTTACAGTCTAAATTTATTCTTCCTAATGAAGAAATGTATGTGCCGTCAATATCAGGTTCTTTGTGGGTACTCACAGTTCCCTTTGCCTTTTACGCAGTGAATGTGGGCAACATGCGTGGAACAGAAATGATGTCGTTTTCTTTCTTTTGAATATCACTATGAATCTAATAATTCAAAGATTCCTAACTTTCTGAATGCCATTATTAATTGGATTCACAATGACTTACCAGGTACAGAGTTGTCCCGTGTGTCTTGGGGTGAACTACTGAGAGTGGTATGAGGGAAGCGATTCTCAGCTAGCGCTGAGTGGGGCCACTTCCAAAGAGGTGATGGGGTAAGAAGCACACACAATGTGGCATTTTCACTGCAAAGGGAGGTTTGTGCTGCCTCTCCTCCTGTGGCAGGTCTGCTCGCAGGGGAGGCTCCAAAGTTTGGCTTTGCTGGGTTTGGCATGTGAGAACTGATGAAATATCTGTATGTAGTATCTTTCAAGGATTTATATCGGTTGGATTTCTGTGTAAATTTGCATATCCCTTTGACTGCTTTACCCCATAGAAGCTTTGTATGCTTAACAAAATCTGTAACTTTTCTGTCACTTTCTCATTTAGCATCTGCCTTTCTGGCTTTTTACTTTATCTTTTTATTATTGTTTTTAGTTTAATGAGATTATGGTTAGAGAGAAAGATGGGTGCATGATTCCGCTTCTTTGGAATTTGTTGAGATTTTCCTTATGGCTCAGTACATATGTACTTGGGGGGGTGAATGCTGTCACTTTGGAGAGATATGTTTTTTCTGTACATTAAGTCAAGCTTGTTAATTTTCTAGAGAGATGTAAATCTTCTATGTCTATGCTGATTGTTTTTTGTCTCTTTTATCAGATACTGAGATATGTATTTAAATTGCCCTCTGAGGGTTGCAATTTTGTCATATTTTGCTTTCATGTATTTTGAGTGCTAGTTATTAGATACATTAACATTTTAGATTACCTTCTCCCTTGGTTTATTAGAATTTTTATCATTATATTGTGGCCTTAAAAAATCTCCCATATTGCTTTTTGCCCAAAGCCTATTTTATCTGATAATAATATAGCTTCCAACCCTTCTTTGGGTTAGGTACATATGACAGGTGTATCTTTTTTCAATCTCTCTCAGTCTTTCTGTGACTTTATGTTTTAGATGTCTTTTCATACTGTTTATTTTCTGTTTTTTGTGTTTTTTTGTGTGTTTTTTTTTTTTTGATACGGAGTCTTGCTCTGTTGCCCAGGCTGGAGTGTAATGGTGTGATCTCGGCACTGCAACCTCTGCCTCCTGGATTCAAGCGATTCTCCTGCCTCAGCCTCCTGAGTAACTGGGATTACAGATGTTCACCACCACGCCGGCTAATTTTTGTATTAGCAGAGATGGGGTTTCACCATGTTGGTCAGGCTGCTCTCGAACTCCTGACCTTGTGATCCCTCCGCCTGCCTCATCCTCCCAAAGTGCTGGGATTACAGGCATGAGCCACCACGCGTGCCCTAATTCTGTTTTATAGTCATTTTCTCTTAATTATTCAGTCTATTTACATTTATTGTGATTGTTGGCATAGTTTCTTTTATAACTTTCATCGTATTTTGTGCTATTTGTTCCATCTGTTTTTATTTCTTCATGTCTTTTTTGTTTCGTTTTTGCTAATTCCTTTTATATTCATGGTTATTCTGCTCTTGAAATGTATGCTATGTGAATATATTTGTGAGTTGACAATACTTTATTAGCAATTAAATATACTATTTCTCTTTTTTTTAGAACTTGCTCAAATGTTACATAACCTCAATATCCTTAGTATCTAAATTAAACTGACTTTCTGAACAATCATCATTTTAAGGCAGTTACCACGATCTACTAAAAAATAAAAAAAAAATTAGCCGGGTGTGGTGGTGGGCGCCTGTAATCCCAGCTACTCAGGAGGCTGAGGCAGGAGAATCCCTTGACCCTGGGAGGCAGAGGCTGCAGTGAGCCGAGATAGCGCCACTGCACTCCAGCCTGGGCGACAGAGAGACTCCGTCTCAAAAAATAATAATAATAATAATAATAAAGGAATTTAAAAAAAGACTGGGTTTAACCATGTTGCCCAGGCCGGTCTGGAACTCCTAGGCTCAAGCAATCCCCCACGCTTGGCCAGTCCAAAGTCCTGGAATCAAAAGCGTGAGCCACCACGCCAGGCCGATCACGCCTGTCATCCCAGCACTTGGGGAGGCGGAGGTGGGTGGATCACCGGAGGTCAGGAATTTGAGACCAGCCTGGCCAACATGATGAAAACCCGTCTCTACTAAAAATACAAAAAAAAAAATTAGCCGGGTGTGGCGGCAGGCGCCTGTAATCCCAGCTACTCAGGAGGCTGAGGCAGGAGAACCACCAAAACCCGGGATGCAGAATTTGCCGCGAGCGGAGACCCAGCCACTGCACTCCAGCCTGGGCAACAAGAGGGAAACTCCGCCTCAAAAAAAAAAAATAATAATAAGAGACAGATTTTCACCATGTTGCCCAGGCAGGTCTGGAACTCTTAGGCTCAAGCAATTCCCCACGCTCGGTTGTCCAAAGTCCTGGGATCAAAAGCGTGAGCCACCACGCCAGGCCGATCTATTTCTTTCTGATTAATAAATTGGGCCGGGAGCGGTGGCTCACGCCTGCAGTCCCAGCACCCC
This sequence comes from Homo sapiens, assembly GCF_000001405.40. Taxonomy (NCBI): domain Eukaryota; kingdom Metazoa; phylum Chordata; class Mammalia; order Primates; family Hominidae; genus Homo; species Homo sapiens. The sequence continues at coordinate 3,343,347 of NW_021160017.1, forward strand.
GGGAGGCCGTGGCGGGCGGATCACCTGAGGTCGGGAGTTTGAGACCAGCCTGACCAACATGGAGAGACCTGTCTCTACCAGAAAAAAAAAAAAAAAAAAAAAAGAGCTGGGCATGGTGGCTCCCGCCTGCAATCCCAGTCACTCGGAGGCTGAGGCAGGAGAACCACCCAAACCCAGAGGCAGAGGCCGCGGGGAGCCGACACCGCACCACTGCACTCCAGCCCTGCAACAAGAGGGAAACTACGCCTCAAAAAAAAAAAAGGAGAGAGAGAGAGAGAGACCGGTTTTCACCATGTTGCCCAGGCTGGTCTAGAACTCCTAGGATCAAGGGATCCGCCACGCTCGGCCCGTCCAAACTCCTGGGATCAAAAGCGTGAGCCACCACGCCAGGCCGATCCTTCCTGTCATCCCAGAACTTTGGGAGGCCGAGGTGGGTTTACCTGAGGTCCAGAGTTCGAGACCAGCCTGGCCAACATGATGAAAACCCATCTCTACTAAAAATACAAAAAAAAAAAAAAAAAATTAGATGGGTGTGCTAGCGGGCGCCTGTAATCTCAGCTACTCAGGCGGCTGAGGCAGGAGAATCGCTTGAACCTGGGAGGCAGAGGTTGCAGTGAGCCGAGACAGCGCACCACTGCACTCCAGCCTGGGTGACAAAGTGAGACTCCGTCTCAAAAGTATATATATATAAAAATAAAAAATGAAATAAAAATAAATTGGGTGTGTGCGCTGGCTCACGCCTGCAATTCCAGCATCCCCGGAGGCCGAGGTGGGCGGATAACCTGAGGTCTGGAGTTTGAGATCAGCTTGCCCAGCATGGAGAAACCCCGTCTCTACCAAAAACAAATAAAAAAAAATTAGCAGAGCAATGTTGGTCAGGCCTGCAATCCCAGCCACTCCGGAGACTGAGGCAGGAGAACTACTAAAACCCTGGAGGCAGAAGTCGCTGCGAGCGGAGACCCAGCCACTGCACTCCACCCTGGGCAACAAGAGCGAAACTCCGCCTCAAAAAAAAAAGAGAGAGAGAGAGAGAGACCGGGTTTCACCATGTTGCCCAGGCAGGTCTGGAACTCCTAGGCTCAAGGGATACCCCGCGCTGGGCCATCCGAAGTACTGGGATCACAAGCGTGAGCCACCACACCAGGACGATCTATTCCTTTCTGATTAATAAGTTGGGCCGGGAGCGGTGGCTCAAGCCTGCAATCCTAGCACCTCGGGAGGCCTAGGCAGGTGGATCACCTGAGGTCGGGAGTTTGAGACCAGCCTGACCAACAGGGAGAAACCCCATCTGTACCAAAATAAAAATAAAAAAAAAATACAAAATTAGCCGGGCTTGGTGGCTTATGCCTGCAATCCCAGCCACTCTGGAGGCTGATGCAGGACAACGACCGAAACCCGGGAGGCGGAAGTCGCGGCAAGCAGAGACCCAGCCACTGCATTCCAGCCTGGGCAACAAGAGCGAAACTCCGTCTCAAAACAACACAAAACAAAAAGACCAGGTTTCACCATGTTGCCCAGGCCTGTCTGGAACTCCAAGGCACAAGCGATCCACCCTACTTGGCCGTCCAAAGTCCTGGGATCACAAGAGTGAGCCACCACGCCAGGCAGATCAAAGCGTTGAGCTGAATAAAGAGTTATCTTTTAGCATTTTGTGGAGCCCGGGTAGATCTGTGCAGGGGGAAGCATATTACAGAAGCGAGAAACAGAGAGTTATTTAATTGAAGCACGCATTATGTTTTTTTTTTTTTTTACGTTTTTAGGAAAAATATGTTTTGTGACTTGCATTTGTTTGTTTAGTGACCTTGCAGTTGCACAGTTAGGGAATTAGGGTTTTGATAATGCCTGGGAAGGGAGCGATAAGGCTCACTAGCCATAGGAAAACAGGTAGTTTTTTTAAAGGACTAAGGCTCTTTCTCATTCTCAGGGGGAATTGGGTTTTTTTTACATACAGCTGAGTTTTTGCTTACACATTTTTTCATTTCTTTTAATTCCTGTTCCAATGCCAGCATCCTTGCGGTGCGGTTTCCCAGCGGCTCTCTTGCCTTGCAGCTTGTGTCGGGAGTTGCACAGCCATGGCCCATGGGCCTGGCGCTGACGGACCCTGGAGCGGTGTCTGAGGGAGGTGGGCAAAGCCACTGGCTGGCCCGAGTGCATCCTCACGTAAGTGCACAGATCCCGGGCTCGGGTGCGACTGCGGTCGCACGTGGACACGGGTTGCAGACCCCTGGCAAATTGTGGAGCTGGGGGAAGGTAAGGGGAAATGTAAATCACTTTTCCCCACATTTCAGAGGACCTAGGCTATCAAAATTTTAAAAATTGTTAAAACTTTTACAGTATGGATCTCTCAGTTGAATGTTATTGAAATCAACCTAACCTCAGTTATTCACGCCTATAAGCTCCCCTTGAGGCTTATTACGGCCCCCATCCCCCTACACACAACTGTGTTGGTTTCTCCTTCCGCCTGTGCTCCTAAAGCACTCAGTGTTTACCTGCCATCATACTTTATTGAAAGCACAAACTTGTCACTTGTCTGTCTACCCCACTAAGCTTCTTGAGAATTAGAACTTTCATGTCTGTTCCCAACACAAACGTTTTATGTGTATTTTGTTGAAGAACTTCAAATATGACCTATAAAATTATGACTCATTTATGTTTCAAACTCCAACCTCTCCCTTGAGTTCCTTGCTCACAAGCAACTCCAGACTGAGCTTAGTTGGAATTCAGTAGCGCACAACTGGGATATCCGCACCGTACGGCTTTTAACAATTTTTTAAATTTTGGTCCTCTCAGCATCACAAATTCACTGTGTCCAAAATACAGTAGAATGTTGTTTCTACCCACCTACACTCTGCCATCCGCTGAAGTCCTTTCCCCTTGCTCCACCACTCAAGCCTTGCCTATCGCAGTAAATGGCAGTTCTGTCTCTCCAGTTGCTCGCACATAAAACTAGGCTGCTATTTTGATGTCTTCACTTTTCTCTATTCTGTATCTAATTCCTTAGCAATCCTGTCAGTTCTACCTCCAAACTGTACTCAGCATATTCACTGCTCTAACTCCAGCTTAAATCACCATCATCCTTTGCCTGGAATGCTGCATCAACCTTCTAATCACTCTACTTTCCTCCTCCTCCTTCCTCCCTTTCTTCTTCCTTCGTATAAATCATCATTTCATCCTTCTGCTTAAAATCTTCTCACATTTTCTTATTACACTTAAAACGGCAAACTCTTACCCTTGAGCCCTGCAGAATTTGGCTCCCATCAGTCTCTCCAACTTCACCTTCTGCCTCCTTCACGCTATAGCCATGCTCACTTTTTTATTCCTCAGGCTTACCAAGCTCAACTGCATCTTAGAGAATTTGTTCTTGCTGTTTCTTCCGCCTGGAATACATGTTTCCCAATCTTTATAAGACTATACTTGTCTGTAAGTTTCATCTCAGATGTCACATCTAGGAGAGGTTTTCCTTGACCACTGTAGCCAAAGCAAATGTTGATCATTGAGTGAATAAGGGAATGAATGAATGGAGTGGTATATAATGTAGCAGAGTAGATAATTTAAGGCTAATTCACTATATATCTCCAAGCAAATAGATTTGTAATGCTTTTCCTGCCAACAATCTATACAGCTGATTCACAAATACTTGGTTGACAGGTTTTATATATCATTGTGGCTCATCAGCTTATATATTGTTGGGGCCAGAATCTATACTTACACTTTATTCAAATTTGATTTTACAGAAGAGTTGAGGTTTATATTTTTCTTTTAATTAAGAGGGCTGTGAAATTATTATCTATAATTCTAAATCTCATTTAATTCCTCCCAATAGGTTTCAAGATGGATTGGAACCAAAGTTCACTTCTTTAACGAAAGTGCTTTATGACTTTAATAAAACAGTAGAGAATGGTAGAATCCATGGCAGCTCTTTACAAAAACTTGTGATAGAAAGTTTTGATGATGAGCAGACTTTGCAACAACTGGAATTGCAAAATGAAGCAATTTTACAGTGCTTCCAGAATGCGGTTAGTGAAAGAAAGATGAAGATATCAGTCTTCTCCCAGAGAGTGAAGAACAGGAGCATGAAGAGGCTGGTTCAGAAACAGAGGCTGATGGCCAGGAGGACCTAGAAGATTTAGAGGAGGAGGAGGACGTGTCAGATATGGGTGGTGACAATCCTGAAATGGGTGAGAGAGCTAAAACCTCAAGCAAATTCAGGGCCAGGCGCGGTGGCTCACGCCTGTAATCCCAGCACTTTGGGAGGCCGAGGCAGGCGGATCACGAGGTCAGGAGATCGAGACCATCCTGGCTAACAAGGTGAAACCCCATCTCTACTAAACATACAAAAAATTAGCCAGGCGTGGTGGCAGGTGCCTGTAGTCCCAGCTACTCGGGAGGCTGAGGCAGGAGAATGCCATGAACCCGGGAGGTGGAGCTTGCAGTGAGCCTAGATCACGCCACTGCAGTCCAGCTGGGCGGCAGAGTGAGAGACTGCATCTCAAAAACAAAAACAACAATTACTTAACTTTAGGATGCTCCAATAATCAAAATTGATAGTGGCTTGTGAACAGATAGATTACTTGAATAGAATAGAGCCCAGAAATAAACCCAAATGCTTCTGGGGGAGTTTGGTACATTATAAACATGACATTTTAAATCAATGAGGAAAAGAAATCATTTGCAGCTCACCCCACCATACACAGCAGGAATAGGAAGTCATTGGCAGAATAAAAAGATGGTAAGAACAGAACAGAATTGTAGAACAGTACATTTCTTGCTTCCCCACTTTTCAAAGTATTTTTTGCTTTTTCACAAATGTAAGTGTAATTTTATTTTCTAAATGTATACTAATTCTTTTCTTCTCTTTCTTAGATGAATGACAAAAATTACATCTTTAGAAAAAGAGTTGTTAGAAAAAAGCCTTGGCTGCATGTGGGGGAAGTGACAGCACAGAAGAGACCAGAGAAGAGCCTCCTGGAGGAGAGCCTGCACTTTGACCATGCTGTCCGGATGGGTGCAGTGCTCTTTTCTGCAAAGTGTTCACTTCTCTGCTTTTTCTGTGGTCCCATTTCATAGACAGATTTGGGGTGATGTTTCTTTCCCTCAACTTTTATTTTGAAAACTTGCAAACACAGAAAAGTTGATAAAATCATACAGTGAACATCTGTATGCTATTCAACTGGATTCACTAGTTAATGTTTTGTCACACTTGTTTTCTGTCTTCTGCGTATGGAAGATTGTATATGTGCCCTTTTTCCCTCTGAATCATTTCAAAGTAAGTTGGCAGTATCAGAGCATTTCACTGTTAAGTACTTTCGCAGATATCTTCTAGGAACCAGGACTTCTCCTATATAATCACAATACCATTAATCCACCCCCAAAATTTAACATCAATACACTAATGATACCTACTGTATAGATTATAATCAGCTTCCTTGCAGCAATCTGTTTAGAAGGCTTGCATCCTGTCACTGTCCACTGATTAAATTTTGAACTCTAACTTGAAACCCTGGTCATCTCATTGCCTTCTTTCTTATACCCATTAAGTCAAAAGGAGCTCTCATTTTATTTCAACAGAAAAGAGAATGGAAAAGAGGGGAAGAGTCCCTAGTACCTTGGATAAAGTATGAGCACTTACTACCATATGTATTCTAGTTCTGTAGTTTTCAAACTTCAGGGAGCATCTCAAGGCTTATTAAAGCACAGATAGCTGTCCTTCCCCACTTTCTGATTCAGGAGGTGTGGGGCTGGCCCAGGAATTTGCATGTCTAACAAGTTCCCACGTGTTTCTGATGCTGAGGGTCTAAGGACTACAATGCATGAATCCGTGGTTTAGTGGATATCCACCTAATGAATACATGTTGTATTTCCTTTGGCACCCGTGATTACAGAGGAAACACCTTTCAACTGGAAGGTATCATTAAACAGAGGATAAGAGATCAGGTCAGTAAGAATTAAATTTCACTTAATTGAAATGTCACTCAAATGTTTAGAAATAATATGACAGGCCAGGCACAGTGGCTCATGCCTGTAATCCCAGCACTTTGGGAGGCCAAGGCAGACGGATCACTTGAGGTCAGGAGTTCGAGACCAGCCTGTCCAAGATGGTAAAACTTCCTCTCTACTAAAAATACAAAAATTAGCTGGGCATGGTGGTGCATGCCTATAGTCCCAGGTACTCGGGAGGCTGAGGCAGGGGAATCGCTTGATCTCGGGATATGGAGGTTGCAGTGAGCTGAGATGCGCCACCGCACTCCAGCCTGGGCAACAGAGTGAGACTCCATCTCAACCTAAATAAATAAATAAATAAATAAATAAATAAATAAATAAATAAGATAAAAATAAAAATAAAGGGAAGATGGGGCAGCTTTGTGTATTGCATGTCCTGAAAATGGGCTGATTTCTCTCAAGAGGCAGGGATTTAAGCTCTGTAGCCTATGTGGGATACATACAGGAGAAAAAAGAAGAAAAAGAAAAGAAATGTAAATATAAATAAATGAAAATAACACTTTTCCATGATTATAAAGGAAATCACATTGTTTTTGTAATAATTTGGATGACAAAATGTAAAGAAAAATCTTTAATTTTGCCACTCAAAACATTCCGGTTTGTTGCTTTTCACACTTTTTATGCTGTAAACATTTTAAAAAGTAGAATCACAATACATGGTCTTTTGTCACTTACTATATTTTAAGCATGTTTCTATGGGAGAAATATATCCTGGCATCATCACTTTCAACAGCTGGATGTATGTTAAGTGAATCATTGCCACCCCAGAGGTGGATTTCCTTCTATATATATTTTAATGGACTCGAGTGAGGATTTTTGCACTGAATTCATAGAAGTAGAATTTCTAGAAGAAAATAATATAAAACAGTTTTAGGATTTTTAAAACAAATGTTCAAATCATCCTATAGGAAAATTGGTTGAGTTTACGCTCCCACCAACAGGGACAGAGCTCCAGGTTCCGCCTTCCATTTGTCGTCTTCGCTGGTCTTTAAGCAGAAAATCTCATTGTTTTCATTACCTTTCTTTGATTTCTAGTGCTTTTGAATCTTTTTCATTTGCTCATTGGCCATTTTTATTCTTGTGGGAAGTGCTGGTTTCTCCATTGCCCATTTTCTGCTGCAAATCATTCATTTTTTTTTCTGAGTAATTTTAAAGATTTCTTTATAGGCTAAGGATACAAACCTTTAATCTGTCATTGAGGTTACAAAGATCTTCTCCCAGTAAGTAATTTGTCATTTCACTTTATTTATTTATTTTTTGCTAGCAAAGCACCAAAGTCAAATTTCACTTAATTTTTATCCTGCTGAATGAACACATTTTAAGTTAGTGATTTTAGTGGAAACAGGAGCAGGACAGAATGTAATAATTAGATCTCGCTCTGTCACCCCAACTGGAGTGCAGTGGCATGATCATAGCTACTGCAGCCTCAAACTTCTGGGCTCAAGTGATTTTCCCACCTCAGCCTCCCAAGTAGCTCTAGGACTACAGGTGTGTGCCGCCAAGCCCAGCTAATTTTTAAATTTTCTTTGTAGAGATATGAATTCGCTATGCTGCCCAGGCTGGTCTTTAACTCCTGACTTACCCCACCTTAGCTTGCCAATATGCTGGGAGTACGGGCGTGAACTACTGCTCCCGGCCAAGAGCTTACTTTGGCTTGCTAGCAAGGTTCTTGGTATCTTTTTATATTTGAGGCTTTCGTGCTAGTGCTGAAGTATTACACTCACCATCTGAGGTTTACAGGACTTTTGTTTTAATATTGAACCGAGGGAACTGTTTAGTTTTGCATCTTTGCAGGTATACAAAATGTGCCTACCAGGACTCTGCTTTATATCCATTGAAAAGCAAGAAGTAATACAGTAAAAGTTTGCCTGGCTACAGGCTTTGGAAGAATGGAGTATTCTGGTTTAATTCTATTAACTTGGAAGGATGAAGGTGGAAAAAATTCAAAACTTTAATTTCCTGTTGAATGCAATTTGAAAATATAGCCAATGAGTCCACTTTTCTTCTCTAGTAAGTTTGGACATTCAGATCTACTTGGTCTTTTATCATAGAACTCCTAGTGCGCCTGAGTCTTACGTTGTGAAAATCCTTTTCTAAAACTTTAGATGTAAGAGGATAGAAATGATATTGGATGAGATCAGGCTGGATGAGAACTGATACCTGTAGATATATTTTTTAGATGAAATCTCTGATTGCCACACGTTTTCTTATTGAACTCATAAAAATAAAACACACTGGCTGGAGGGTGGAAGTAGGAAGGAGATTTATGTCTTTTAATTGCATGTCATTGTTTCATATTGAGACAGAACATATAGTATCCCTGGCTTTGGACCTACAGAAGGAAACACATTTTTCTACCTGCTGTATGGCAGAGGTTCCTGAGCACCTGGAGGGATTATTGCAGCACGGATTGCTGGGCCCTACTGCAGAGTTTCTGATTCATTCATGTCTAGGGTGGGGCCTGAGAATTTACATTTATAAGAAGTTCCCAGGTGCTCCTGGTCCGGAGACTACATGTTTGAGAGCCACCCTTACATACTAACTGTAAATTGTAGAACTCTAGAAAAAAGCGTAGTTTGGACTGGGAGAAGAAGCACACATGTAATGGAGCAAATCATGAAAAAGTCAACCCTTGATTCCAGGTAACAAGCAATACACAGTGACATAACACAATTCTTGGTTTTCATGATTGCAAGTCATAGCCAAGTATCGAGTGAGAAATTCAGTTTCATTTTCAGGGCTTAGAGGCCAGGTGATTCTAGAAAAATCGGATTTAGTGATTAACTCATGAGAGTAGGAGTTATTTATGTCCTTTTTCTCTCCCCCATCACTTAGCATTTAGCCTTACTTTAGAAGGGTCCTGTATTTGCTTTAACCTTGTAAAGAACTTTGAGTGCTTATTAAATGGAAAGCCTTGTGTGTGTGTGTGTGTGTGTGTGTGTGTGTCTGTGCGTGTGTGTGTCTGTGCGTGTGTGTGTGTGTGTGTGTATTTAGAGACAGAGTCACATTCTGTAGCAGCCCAGGCTGAAGTGCAGTGGCATGATTTTGGCTCACTGCAACCTCTGCCTCACAGGTTCAAGGGATTCTCCTGCCTCAGCCTCCCAAGTAGCTAGGATTACAGGCACCTGCCACCATGCCCAGCTACTTTTGTATTTTTAGTAGAGACAGGATTTCATCATGTTGGCCAGGCTGGTCTTGAACTCCTGAATTCGGGTGATCCACCCGCCCCAGCCTCCCAAAGTGCTGGGATTACAGGCATGAGCCATCACGCCTGGCTCAAAGCTTTGCATTTTTAAAGATATTAGACATGTTTCTTGTTTGTTTGTTTTTTTTAAAAAAACTAAACGCTAATGTAGGAGAATAAGAGAAAGTTTTTCCAAAAAAGAGAAAACATTGTGATTATCTTATTGGAATGTTGGATAATAAAGTCTGCTTTATCAATCATCAAGCACACTATAAAATTTCCATTTTAATAGGACTTGTACCTCAATTGAGGTAATAAAGTTTTAAAGTTTTTAAAGTGAAAGCCAGCCCCGCCCCTCTCCTGGAGTGGGCGGGGACAGCGGTTGCATAGGCAGCTTTCCTTGTGACAACACAGGTCCTTGATGACACGCTGCTGTCTGGCCACACCTCCTTTTCCTTTCATCTTTCTCATTGACCAATGGGCTTCAAGCATGAAGGCCACACCCCTATTCTGCATTCTAGTGCAGCCCTGGTTACGCCTCCTCTGGCTCAGTCACACAGCGACGTAGAGGTGACTGGAGGTATATACTTGTCCTCACCTGGATCATGCTGATGTGGCCCCAACCCCACCTCCCTACCCATCCCCACCTCCCTACCCATCCCCACCTCCCTACCCATCCCCACCTCCCTACCCATCCCCACCTCCCTACCCATCCTATGATGTCCAAAGAAACCAGACAGAGCAAATTGGCCGAGGCCAAGGAACAGGTAAACGCACCAACACCCCAACCCAACCCGAGGCCCCCTCTGACAGCCGAACTGCTGCCAGAGTCTGTGCCACTCCTGAGGGACACCAGGCTGGGCCCCCCACCCCAGTGCCTCTGGGCTCCCCACACCAAAATCTTGTCAGCCAGCCCAACCCCCTCATAAGTCCTGCCCCTGCTCTGCCCGGCACACCAGGGTGACTTTGAGCAGGTGACTCCTGGGGCTTCCAACTCCATACTCCGCCCTTACCTCCTGCTACCCCAAACCCGACCTCCCTGGGCTCCTTGAGCTCACATCTCCAAGGACCTGGGTGCCCCAGAACCTGCCCTCACCAGTTGCCACAGGGTGACTTTGGGGATGTGACTCCTGGAGCTCCTTGCTCCTTAATTGGCCCTCACCTCCTGCCGCCCCAAGCCTGACCTCCCGGGGCTCTTTGGGGTCACGTCTCCAAGGACCTGGCTCCCAATTTTGTGACCCCCTCCCCAGTCTCAAAGCGGCAACTTGGGCATTGCACTCATGTGTCCCCCCCAACAACTCCACCGAGGAGTAGAATGTAGTGATGTCACAGTCCCGCTACAAACTGTCATTACTACCACAAGACCGGCCTTTGGTCTTAGGACCCAGTCCCCTAAGTGTTCTTGCCCACTTCTGTTTCCTCTGGTTGCAGCACAGGTTTCCAGCTGGAAGGGGAATGGGGACTGTGGGACCTAGAAGAGAGAGGTTTCAGGCTGCCTGACTTCCTTACCACAGACCTTGACAGTGTGAAAAGCCTACACCTCCCCCATGAGCTCAACACGTTGACAGTGTCTCTGGGTGGCAATGGGAGAACGGGTTTGGTTTGGTTTTCTCCCAGGCTTCTACTCTCCAGAGAGATTTTAACATTTTTTCTCAGTTCTGCACCTCAGATTTGAATTCTCCATTGTTCTGGGACCAGAGTGCCCCTCAGTCACTGGTTCTGGAGTGAGATCTGCTTATCTTCTGTGGAACAGATCTTGGGAAACTGAACTTAGCTTGAGTCTTCCTCATCTCATCTCAACCTGGGGTACTTTGAGTGCCACAGGATAAATATGGGGCATCTTTCTGAAGCATCAGTTTCCCTTGATTCTATTGAGAGGCAAAACATTAATGTACTTAGGGATGAAAGTCACGTAGATTTATAAGCGTATACAAGACTTCTCTCTGAAATGAGGCTTGGGTTGTCCTCTTTCTGTTAAATTCCCAGATTTAGCAGAAAGGCTGCCTTCTGCCATGAGGAGACATTGATGTAAAGGTTTGAGAGGTACTGGTGTACTTTTTAACACTAACAGACGTGTGAGGGTGAATAACCCTAAACCACATAGTGCACAGTTCCTGCCTACTTAATATTTGCTTTTCTACCTCTGCCTCTGGTTTTGGTCCCTGGCAGCTGCTGATTTAGGGCAAAATCCCAGAGCTCAGAGTCAGAAGACTGAGTTTAAGTTCCATTACTGCCTTTTTTTTCAGCCATGGTATCAATCTCTCTCAGTCACTAAGTGATTGTGACAACATTTCCTACAGTTGGTGGCATTAAATCAGATGGTCTATAAGAGTATTTAGTATAAACTGTAAAGCAGGATGTGACTGTAGGAGCTTGTAGTTCTCATGAGTATCACTGCTCTTCCTTTCCACAGTTGACAGACCATCATCCCCAGACCAACCCTAGTGTTGGTACAGCAGCAAGCGACACCAAAAAGAAGAAAATAAATAATGGCACTAACCCTGAGACAACCACTTCTGGTGGTTGCCACTCGCCTGAGGATGTGAGTCTTGGCTGGCCGGGCTCCTGGGGACAGAGGGCCCAAGGGGTGGTGGAGGGTAATTGTTAAGATTGTGGAAGAACTGCCAGGTACTGGCTAAGAATTCTGGGTTTGAATCCTACCCCTCCATCTGCTAGGGACATGATTTAGCGCAAATTGCTTGAGCTCTTTGGGCCTCTCTTTTCACATCCGTAAAATACGAGTGGTATTGTTTTCCTTACGTTTGTGAAGTTTAAATGAGATTTGTCATTGTGTTTTTATGTTAATCCCTCGTCCAGGACCTGCTGTAAACTCTCCTTCTTGGGCTTGCGTTTCCTGAGGTAGAGTTAGAGAGTATCAGAGGTTTCTGTTAGCTCTGAGAGCCCGAGAGTTAAAGGCCCACTAGAATGGAAACCTCGGGGCCAAGGGCTCCTGTCTGCCTTTTCTGACCTCTATTCCCGCTGTGAAGAACCGTCCCTGGCCCGTATGTGCTCAACGTTTGCTGAGTGAATGCACCTTTCTAAATCACAAGCTGGCGGAAGGGTGGGCTTTTCTCGCACTCCACCTCTGAAGGTTTCTGTTACTGTCTTTTCAAGAGAATCTAGTTTCAGACTTTGAGTTCTGTGGCTGTGGGCAAAAACCAAAAAGACCCAAATCCTTCTTCTTTGGGAGTTGAGGAGAGTTGACCAGTTCATGTTCCCATTGGGTCTGAGAACTGTGCCTTTTAAATCCATTCCTGGCCCCTGCCTATCGCTTCCTGGCCTGGGGAATAGAGTCAAGGGGGCCACCCTCAGTCACCTTCCTTTGACTCTCCCCACAGAAACAATAGAACCGAGCTCAGCTGGAAGAAGTAGTGTGATTTCTTTGCTCACGACATGACCGCTGGGTTTGGGGGCACTCAGATGTAGAGGCCCCAGGCTCATCTCACCCACTCCCAGCCTGGGGAAGAAGGCTCACCCCCAAGATTCCACCCCATCCCCACAGGGTCCCTGATAAACTGGTCCCATGGGTGGGCCTGTTCTGGGGCAGTGGTGCCATTCTGGGGGCATGTCTCTTGCTGTGGATCTCTGCCTCCCCCTAGTAAGAGCTCTGTTTTCCTCTTTCTATAGGAACAGAAGGCAAGCCACCAACATCAGGAAGCCCTAAGGAGGGAGCTAGAGGTGAGTGGAGGGTGTGAAGTTCCCTCCTGCCCTCTGGAGAATGTTTCTTTGCTTCTCTTTCAGCATTTGCTTGTCTTTTCTCCCAAAGGCCCAGGTTCATACCATACGAATCCTTACATGTCAGAAAACTGAGCTTCAGATGGCACTCTACTACAGCCAGCATGCTGTCAAGCAGTTGGAAGGTGGGAATCTGGCACCCCATCATCCTTCAACCTGGCACTTTGACAGGCCTTTAGGGGGAGTCCTTTGGGCCACATCTGAATGTCTCTCATTCCAGGAGAGGCCAGGGATCTGATCAGCCGCCTGCATGATTCATGGAAGTTTGCAGGAGAGTTAGAGCAGGCTCTCTCTGCTGTCGCTACACAGAAGAAGAAGGCGGATAGGGTGAGTCCAAACACGGCCCCGTCCCTTGGGAGCCCAGCTTCGCAGATGGAGGAGTGAGCCTAAAGGTCCCTTCTGTAGGATGGAGTGTCCTGCCCAGAAGGCAGCATGGCCATTTCTTGCTGCTTTTGTGTGTGGTTGTTAGAGGCAGACTGGGGCTGAGTCGGCTGTTGTGGGTGAGTTGGGGAGCACTGTGAGGAGCGAGCACTGGACATAGAGCTCAGAGGCCAAGTGCCCGCCCTGCCCATATTTGGCTGTGGCCTTGGCCAAGTCCTAAGTGGCGGTTAGGGTACTTGTACCATAAAGGTACAGAAGAGTATCTTGAGTATGTTATTATTTGTGTGGAGAGAGGGGGCAGGTGTATATGTGTGTGTGTGTACGTATTATGGTAACATACATAAAACACGTTTGTAAGGATTCATTAAAAAACTCAGGATAGAGGCACAGTGTTGGGGGGAGATATTTCCCTTCTGGACTTTCTGAGTTTTGGACTATGCGAACGTATCATCCTTTCAAAAATTCAACAAAGGATTAATTTCCTCCTTCTTAACTGTGCCCCTACCTCCAGCGGAAGAATGGGCTTAGAGAATCAGATATACCTGGGTGTTGAAATCCCAGCTCCAAGTGATCTTAGGCAGCACTTAACCTTTAATACCGCATGTTTTTCATCTACACAATAGAGGTAATAATGGTAACCGTCTCCTATGGAGGTTGTGAGGATTAAATGGGATTGTTAGCATAGTGCCTGGTGAAGCACTCAAGAAAGGTTCGAACAATGGTAGTACTAACAGTAATAACAATAACAATATTATCTGATCGCTCTGGGCCCCTGTTAGCCAGCTCTAAATTCAATCTCTTTCCCTGTCCCTTCCACATCCACTGAGTTCTTTGAAAAACAAATGAGGGCCAGGTGCTCTCGCTCACGCCTGTAATGCCAGCACTTTGGGAGGCTGAGGTGGGCGGATCACCTGCGGTCAGGAGTTCAAGACTAGACTGACCAACACGAAGAAACCCCGTCTCTACTAAAAATACAAAATTAGCCCGGTGTGGTGGCACATGCCTGTAATCCCAACTACTCGGGAAGCTGAGGCAGGAGAATTGCTTGAACCCAGGAGGTGTAGGTTGTGGTGAGCTGAGATTGTGCCATTGCACTCCAGTGAGGGCAACAAGAATGAAACTCTGCCAAAAAAAAAAAAAAAAAGAAAGAAAGAAAGAAAGAAAAACAAATGAGACCATGGGCTTGGAAATGCCTTGAGAACACGTCAGGTGTGATTGAGAGTGAGGAAGTGTTACTGTGGAGTAGTCACTGTAGCAGTTGTTCCTGGTCGTCCAGCTACTGCTGTGCCTGCTCTATCCTGACTTAACCTTTCTCTATTTGCAGTACATTGAGGAGTTAACAAAGGAGAGGGACGCCCTGAGTCTGGAACTGTACAGGAACACGTAGGATGGGGGAAGGTGGAATGGGAGGTCTGGGGGCCCTTAGCATGGGTGGTGTGCTGGGAGGTGGGGGGTCCAGGTGAGTGTGGGGAGTGGCTCATACATGTTTTCATGTGTGCACACGGAAGCTCTAGTGCTGGCTGTGCCACTGACTCATGGGGTAGCCTCAGGCAACTCATGTCTTCTCTCTGGCCTGCCACCTGGGACTTTTAATTCCTGGGGTCCCTTCCAGCGCCACGGTTCTGTGGTTGTGGGGCGAGGGTAGGGGGTCAATCACCAAAGTGGTCTTTTATGTTCTTCATTCATTCCTGCCTCTGGCCATAGCATAACTGATGAGGAGCTGAAGGAGAAAAATGCCAAACTACAAGAAAAACTTCAACTTGTAGAATCTGAAAAGTCTGAGATCCAGCTCAACGTAAAGGAGCTAAAAAGGAAACTGGAGAGGGCCAAGCTCCTGCTGCCACAGGTGAGCAGCTGCAGCCCCGGGGGTTGTGGGAGACCCATCCAGCTGGGACCATGGTCTAGGGATCATGCAGGGTATGGGGAGGCTCCAGCCAAGAGCTGGAAAATTTGGGTCCTTGTTCTGGTCCCGCCATAGAATCCTCTAGAGTGTACTAAAAATGTACAAATTGGGGCCCTGCCTGGGGAATCAGAATCTCAAGAGTTAGGGCTTAAAAATATTTTTTTAAAGGATCATGGATGAAAACCATTATTTTATAGATTACATTTATTTATTTATTTATTTATTTATTTATTTATTTATTTGAGAAGTAGTCTCACTCTGTCACCCAGGCCAGAGTGCAGTGGCGCAATCTCGGCTCACTGCAAGCTCCACCCCCCGGCTTCACGCCATTCTCCTGCCTCAGCCTCCCAAGTAGCTGGGACTACAGGTGCCCACCACCACACCCGGCTAATTTTTTTGTATTTTTAGTAGAGACGGGGTTTCACTGTGTTAACCAGGATGGTCTCGATCTCCTGACCTCGTGATCCGCCCACCTCGGCCTCCCAAAGTGCTGGGATTACAGGCGTGAGCCACCGCTCCCAGCCTATAGATTACATTTATGTGGCTAGCTCATGATTCTGCTTCCTTCTGAGGTTCAAAAAAACACTTTCACTATTCCAGCAGCAGCTGCAGGCGGAGGCTGACCACCTGGGTAAGGAGCTGCAGAGTGTGTCAGCAAAGCTCCAAGCCCAGGTGGAAGAGAACGAGTTGTGGAACCGCCTGAACCAGCAACAGGAGGAGAAGATGTGGAGGCAGGAGGAGAAGATACAGGAGTGGGAGGAGAAGATACAGGAGCAGGAGGAGAAGATACGGGAGCAGGAGGAGAAGATACGGGAGCAGGAGGAGAAGATGCGGAGGCAGGAGGAGATGATGTGGGAGAAGGAGGAGAAGATGCGGAGGCAGGAGGAGATGATGTGGGAGAAGGAGGAGAAGATGCGGAGGCTGGAGGAGATGATGTGGGAGAAGGAGGAGAAGATACGGGAGCTGGAAGAGAAGATGCACGAGCAGGAGAAGATACGGGAGCAGGAAGAGAAGAGGCAGGAGGAGGAGAAGATACGCGAGCAGGAGAAGAGGCAGGAGCAGGAGGCGAAGATGTGGAGGCAGGAGGAGAAGATACGGGAGCAGGAAGAGAAGATACGGGAGCAGGAGAAAAAGATGTGGAGGCAGGAGGAGAAGATTCACGAGCAGGAGAAGATACGGGAGGAGGAGAAGAGGCAGGAGCAGGAGGAGATGTGGAGGCAGGAGGAGAAGATAAGGGAGCAGGAGGAGATATGGAGGCAAAAGGAGAAGATGCACGAGCAGGAGAAGATACGGAAGCAGGAGGAGAAGGTGTGGAGGCAGGAGGAGAAGATGCACGACCAGGAGGAGAAGATACGGGAGCAGGAGGAGAAGATGTGGAGGCAGGAGGAGAAGATAAGGGAGCAGGAGGAGAAGATACGGGAGCAGGAGGAGAAGATACGGGAGCAGGAGGAGAAGATACGAGAGCAGGAGGAGATGATGCAGGAACAGGAAGAGAAGATGGGGGAGCAGGAAGAGAAGATGCAAGAACAGGAGAAGATGCGGAGGCAGGAGGAGAAGATAAGGGAGCAGGAGGAGAAGATACGGGAGCAGAAGGAGAAGATACGAGAGCAGGAGGAGAAGATATGGGAGCAGGAGGAGAAGATACGAGAGCAGGAGGAGATGATGCAGGAACAGGAAGAGAAGATGTGGGAGCAGGAGGAGAAGATGTGTGAGCAGGAAGAGAAGATGCAAGAACAGGAGGAGAAGATGCGGAGGCAGGAGGAGAAGATGTGGGAGCAGGAAGTGAGGCTGCGGCAGCAGGAGGAGAAGATGCAGGAACACTAGGTGAGGCTGCAGGAGCTGGAGGAGAGGCTGGGGAAGCTGGGGCAGAAGGCCGAGCTCTTGGGGGGAGCAGGCGGAGGTGTGTGCAAACCCTGGAGATCATACAGAACGACCTCACCACAACTTAGCAGATGGTGGTTGGCTCCCTCTGCTTTTCCACCAGTCTGTGGCCTACAGTTTAAATGGTGGGAAGAAGGGTGTGAGATTTGAGGCTGGGGAGGGAGGCATGGGCCTCTAGGCAAGGGAGGCAGTCATTTAGGCCTGGAGGAAGGGGCCAGGGCCAGGGGCCTGGGTAGGCGACAGAGCCCCGCAGTGCCCTCACTACCCTGTTTATGGGCCCAGAATCTGGAAGCCAGCCACTACCTACCCTGACGCCTATCCTGCAGGTGGAGCTGAAGAGCCAAGAGGCTGAGTCTGCAGCAGCAGCGAGACCATTACCTGGGTCACCTGCAGCAGTACGTGGCCGCCTATCAGCAGCTGGCCTCTGAGAAGGAGGCACTGCCCAGCTGCAGCAGCAGGAAGCTCAGGGCGAAGCGGTGGCCGAGATGGCCCACCAATAGTTGCAGGAGACCCGGTTGAGGGAGTTGATGAGGGCGGGGCCCCAAGGGGGATGATCTGGCAACCTCCGTGCCTTCTCACTCTCTTTCCTGGCCCCTTAGGAGCACCTGGAAGCTGCCATCTAATGAGCACATGACAAGAAGGCAAAGACAATAAACATGTAAAAGCCGGCAGCAAGGCCTGGAGAAGAGTAAGCCGCCATGTGACTGTTTAGAATATAGTCTGAGCACAAACCTGAAAAAAAAATTTTATTTATTTTAAATTGTGGCAAAATACTGGCCAGGCATGGTAGCTCACGCCTGTAATCCTAGCAATTTGGGAGGCCGAGGTAAATGGATGACCTGAGGTCAAGAGTTCAAGACCAGCCTGGCCAATACAAAAATTAGCCGGGCATGGTGGCGCATGCCTGTAATCCCAGCTACTTGGGAGGCTGAGGCAGGAGAATCGCTTGAACCTGGGAGGCAGAGGTTGCAGTGAGCTGAGATCGTGCCACTGCACTCAAGCCTGGGTGACAGAGCGAAACTCCGTCTCAAAAAAAAAAGTTTCTTCCTTACATGTATGTTTCTATTAGTTTTCTTCTTGGTCTTTCTCATTTAGTCTTGTGTTGTCTTTTGACATTCATAGTAAACTTTTATCTGCCTCCAGAGAGTATTGACTTTGAGTTTATGGCACACAATTGGAGTAAGGGCAGATCGCCTTCATCTACTTTGGGACTAAGCTGGTTCAAAGCAGGTTTTAGGTTTTCTGATGGCTGGTCTATGTTTTATTCATCTGGACTCCCAGGGGTGGCCCTTCCAGGGTCCCCACCAAGGTCCCATCTCCTTCCTGGGACCCAAATTCTCATTAGGTCATTTCAGCCCTGTGAGAGTGCCAAACATTCAGCTAGGCTCTCCAGCCTCTTAACTACCACTTCATACTCAGTTTCTTAGCCTCTTAGCCCTCTACTGTTGACCAATCACCAAATGTGGGAAAGCACTACAGACTGTCAGGATCACCTCCTAGGCCTGGTCACTCAAGTCCTGACTGAGGTCTCCAATTACCTTCCAACAATTGTTTTTGATTGGGGGCGGGGCACATTTTTATCCAGTTTTTCTAACTGCTCTTGTGGGGAGGCGAATCTGTAACAAGCTCCTCTGCCTTTATTGAAAGTTGAAAACCTTCATCTGTCCTTTTTTTGTTGTTGTTGAGATGGAGTCTTGCGCTGTTGCCCAGGCTCTAGTGCAATGGCACGATCTCTGCTCACTGTAACCTCTGCCTCCTGGGTTCAAGCAATTCTCCTGCCTCAGCTTCCCGAGTAGCGTGTGCCACCATGCCTGGCTAATTTTTTTTTATACCTTTAATAGAGGCAGGATTTCACCATGTTTTCCAGGCTGGTCTCGAGCTCCTGACTCAGGTGATCTACCTGCCTCAGCCTCCCAAAGTGCTGGGATTACAAGTATGAGCCACTGCATCCGGCCCATCTGTCTTTTAAAACATGTTTTTAATTGGAGGTATAATTTCTATTAGTGAAATGCACAGGTCTGGTTTACATTTTGATGAGTTTTAACTCATTTAACATTACTATGGAACCCACCTCCTTTGAAGATACAGAGTATTTCTATCATCCAGAAAGTTCTCCTGTGCTTTCATGCTGTCCCGCACTCCCCCAGCCAGCTGATGAACATGCTGAGGACATTGGTACTGGATTCTGGCCGCCCCAAAAGAGCCGCTTTGACCAGGCTTACCCAGCACTAAATCCCTGCCTGCTCTCTCAAAATTTCCATCTTTAAACTGGTTGTACCTATAACCCTCCCTCATCAAGTCAATAGATAAACAAACCCTGAAAAATAAACAACTCTTCCTGGCCCAGCAGCCCACAGCCTAATATTTACTGTATTCCCAGGCTTTCAGAAATGTAACTCGCCTGCCGGTTCACCCTCACTAGGGCGGCAGCTGCACGGGAGCAGCTGGGCTCACCCATTAAGCAAGAAGCCAATAGCTGGACAGTGACACTCAGACCCCAGCCTGGGCGAGCCTGGCTGAAAGCCCCCTTCTTTCCATCCGACTGCGGAGAAAGGGGGCGGAGCACACACAACTCTACTGCCCTCCACATCCTTCACCTGTGCTTCCTCCTGGGAGAGGGAGCCGCTCATTAATTTGGCCAAAGCCTTCTTGAGGGCTGTAGGTTTCACAAGCTGGGTGTGTGGGGGCCACCGTGCTAGAGACAGAGGCTGGTGTGTCAGAAGGCAGCCACCTGACCAGAGGGGGGTCAACCCCCTTGGTGACCTCCTTCCCCCGGCTGGACACAGTGCCCTGCACTCTCTACATGTGACTGTTCCCCTCAGAGCTGCTTCCAGGGGAGGGGTTCTAATCCTGTGGGTGGGGACATTGTGTTACTTTACAGTGGGCCATGGCTCCCTCTGACATCTCCAACTCAGAGGCAGTAGAGAGAAGATGAGAAATTCCCTGCCCCTCCTCCCTCAGCACCCCCACCTCTGCACACGTCCACATGTGGAGACCCTGAAAATGGGCCCTGGGAGTGCCGCCATCTGTGCCTGCTTTCCATGCCTGCAGCAGCCATGCCCACTCTCCAGACCCTCACCCGCCTGGGTCAGTAGACGCTTCACTGCCTGTGGTCCTGCGCCTACACCTGGGCCTCTGTACCCGTCAGTTCCCCCAGTCTGGTTCTTATTCCCTGCAAAGAGTAGGGAGCCTGTAAGGTCACCTGTTGAGCAAGCTGGGGGAGAAAAGTAGGGTGGGGATGGGAGGATCAGGATGAGAAGCTCATGGTCGTGCTGGAGACTCAGCTGAGCAGAGTCTCTGCAGGCCCATTGGCTGCCTAGCCAGTGGTGATCTCGCTCCCACCCTCATTTCTTCTTTGTTAACAAAACCATGACCTCATTAAATATTGGACACCTATAAACCTCATGGACCCTCCTCCAGCCTCCCCACCGTGTACTGGTGAGTCTAAGTCAACTCTAGTCATTTCATTCCTCTGGACATTGACTGCTTAGGGCTTGGGCATGAGCTGCCTCTTCACCTGAGCCTGAGCCACAGGTACCCTCTGCACCTACCACGCTGATGCACTGGGCCAGGGAGAGCGCCGTCTGGATGGAGATGAGCTGTGAGGAGCTGGTGGCTGGGCGGATCAGGTTGTTGTAACAGGTTTTGTTCAGAAGGTCGTCCATCAGTTTCTGCTCGGCATGGGGCATGCGGCAGTCCCCTGGGTAAACACACAGACATGCTGGGCCCTTGTGCAGCTGTCTCCCACTGCAGCTGACAGCTATGAAGCAGGAGCTGAGAGGGCCAGGGAGCACAGACACCCTGAGAGCTGGCTGAAGCAGTGAAGGTGCTGGCCGGCCTGGCTTTCCCTGGGGACTTCAAATGACATTCACGACAGAGCTCAGCTACCTCCTCCCCATGCCATACCTCTTCCTCCTCCTCCTCCCTCCGTCAATGAACAGCATCCCACGCTCTACACATCTGATACAAAACTGGGTGTCTCTTCCTGACTCCTCCCTTGGTTCACCCAAGTGGCCACCAAGTCCTGTCTGTCCTCCCATCTCCACGGCTACAGCCATGTCCCTGCCTCCCCCGCCCTGCCCACCTTCTGTTCTCTCCACCTGCACTCTGCCCCTGCCATCCATGTGCCATACAGTGGCAGACTGATCTTTCTACAGCAAACTGGACGAGGGCCCTTCCCTACCCACAGCTCTCAGAGCTGGAGGTGGAGTTGAAGCTCATGTTTTGGCTTGGCATTCAGAGCTCTTTCCCCCTCAGCACTGGCTTATCCAGAGTGCTCACAGTGCAGGGCAGGAGCCTCGTGACTCAAATGTGGGTTTGGTGCAGAACTGGGTCTGAGGTGGTGCTTTCCCTATGAAGAGACAGGGCCGACATGGGGGAATTTTCTGGGTTCAAAGTTAGACCTAGAGAGTGCAAAGTTTCTCTGAGACACCAAATGGAGGGGTCCAGCTAGCAGCTGGCTCCTGGTCTGGAGCTTCAAGGAGAGGTCTCAGCTCAGAGCCACATTCAATAGCCAGCTTACATGTGGCCTCCTGCAGGGAGCCCCTGGAGCTTCCACAGCCTCCGTTCTGCCCCTCTGCATACCCCAGATCTCCTGCTAAGTGGCGTTTGGGTCTTCATGTCATCTCCCTCCCATGTCTGGGAGTAAAGGTGAGGTGCAGAGACTTGCGCTTGTGTACTCTGGTGTCTTAAAGGAGAGTGTGTCAAGTAGAGTGGAGGCGGCTTGGAAAGAGGGAGACTCAGAGGAGAGTGAAGGACACATGACCAGGCGAGCCTGGGAGCAGGAAAAGAGAGTGAGCAGAGGCAACTGCTGGGTCAGGGGAGCGGATGGGAGGATCAGGGAATGCGGGGGGGCTGGAGAGGTAGGGGTGGGGACGTTGGCGAGGGGCTGCCTGGCTCGCCAGGCTCAGGAGTCAGTTACATCCTCCCACAAGGGCCAGCTCACCTGGTCGCCCCAAAGACCTCCCTCTGTGGGTGGGACCAGAGGGCCAAGAGCACGGATAACCCAATTGAGCAGGACTGAGGCGGACTCAGGTGGGTGCTGGGCCGGACTCCTGGCTGTGGGGAGCAGCCACCACCCTGCCTATTGCATCCACTTTCCAACTCGCTGCCTATCTGAGCAGATGCGATATTGGGCACCTTGTGAAACATGCTCCTGGTGCACCTGCTGCCTGCTGCCCCTCCTGCAGAGTGCCCGGGCTCTCCAGAGGGGATTCCTATGGAGGCTTGGCCTAGATTCTGAGTCCTGCCTCTCATACCTGGGGCTGCTACCCCAGAGGCCAGCTGCTTGAGTACCCCGGAAGCCAGTCTGTAGCCCCAGGCTACAGCTGGGTCCATCCCACAGCCCTTCTCTAATGTACCTATTTGGACTGGCTGCTCATTTCATAGAGAGGGGTGTGTCTTGCCCCAGACCATCTGGCATGTCTAAGGCAGCTGTGGGGTCAGAATCTGCAGCTCCCAGCCCTCAGCCCAGCAATAGTAGGAAAGGCTGGACCCCACATCTCTGAAGTCCCACTGGGTTGGTGCGAGCGGGCTCCCGAGTACAGGGCTGCTCTGCAGGCTGTGGGGCTCATGCGCCAGCTCTGAGCCCACCTGATGTGCTCACGTTGCTCACCTTTGGGCCTGTCCGGCCTCTCAGGCATTCGGCTGACCCTGAGGGCCTCTCCCTCATCTTGACCACCAGCTACGGGCTCTGATTTAGAGGTTCCCAGAACCTTAGACCATTTGGCCGGCCCCCCATTTCTCACCTGAGGAAACTGAGACCAGAGAGGGATAGCAACTTTCTCAAGGACCCCCAGCAATTCAGAGGCAGAACCAGGTCTAGGAGCCTCTTCTCGATAGAGGTTCCCCCTGTCCCCTGAGCCTTCGTTAGTGCCTCATTAACTTCCCTGTAAGGAAACTGCCCCGCTGAGGCTGGAAATGGTGCTGTCCAGAGTGGTGTGTGCCAGTGACTGTGCTTGTGTTTGTACTTGTGAGTGTGTATGGGGGTGGGGATGAGGGGTGGGAATAAACGGCAGGGATGCTGGGGGCTGGATGCACTCCACCTCACCCCAAAAAGGGGCGCAGGAGAGCCCAGCCAAGCACAGCACATGCTTCGACTTTCCAATCTGCTGAATGCCTGTGAGGCCGGCTGGGCCCAGAAGACAAGGGACAGGCCTTTCCCCATAGATGGCAGGGGGGGCCCAGGATGGGTGGAAGCTTCTGCCGCAGCTTTGGGGGTCACAACCCAGCCCATGGGCTGACACTTAAGCAGAAAAGCCACCTCTAGGGGTCAGTCATAATCTAGTGATTCTGATGAGGAGGGCCCCACCAACCTCTGTCCAGGGTCTTGTCTGGGAAAAACTGCTCCCTGGCAGAAAGAGGCTAATAATTTGAGAGGAAGCCATAGCTGAAACCCTAAGCTGTGTGAGTGTGTGTCCAGTTTGAGAAAGCATATCCGACTTAAACATTTGTATTGAAAAAATGGAAACATATTCCCCTTGTTTTGGAATACAAACTGCAGAAAGCAGCAGTTAACAGAATCTTATCGGAAAGGTCAGATTCTGCATCTGGAAAGGCACAGTGATTTTCAACTGCGGTGTGTGTCCTTAACTGAGGAAGGGAAGGTGAGATTTATGTTTAGTAAAAGGCAGCTATGAATTTACCTTTTATAAAGAGCTTGCTATATACTATTAGTGCTTTTCAGTCATGTCAGAATCAGCCAGATGCCTGTGGAAATGCAAATTCCCAGGCTTCATTCCCAGAGATTCTGGTCCTGTGAGCCTAGGGTGGGGCCCAGAAATCTCTATGGGGTGGTGCAGCCTGCCCCAGGACCACACCAAGAAACACTGCAACTGGCCCACACACATCCCAGTCCACAAATATGTAGGCAGGCATCTTATCTCCACAGAACAGATAGGGAAACTGAGGTCAGAGTGGGGAAAGAAACGTCATGGGGCCACCCAGCAAGTAGTAGCAGAGCCACGATACACCCACTGCCTGCAGACACCATCTCTGATGACAGCTCCACCTCCCCACAGGAATCTTGCCTACCCCCACCCCTACCTCCTGCTGCCCCTATGGTGGGTCTCTGTCCAAGGAAGATGTATCCTAGGTCCTCTAGGCTGACTGCGGCTCAGAGGAAACCTTGGCCCAGAGTGTAGGAGCTAGAGGGGTCCTTGGAATTCACGTGGGGAATTTGAGGCCCAAAGAAGGCAGTCCTCACATTTGAACTCTGTCTGGAGAAGGGCTAGGTCTTCTTCCTGAGTGGTAGTTTTGACTTCACCAGCCTGGCCCTCAGTCAAGCTGGCTGTCCAGGCCCGCCACACCTCGGGGTGGGTGACCAGAGGCGGTGGTGCCATAAAAACACGTTTCCTGGGAGATCCACCCCCAAAGCTCCAAACATTCCAGGGCTGGTGATTTGGGCAAGCCCCCTTCCCTCTCAGCCCAGTTTCCCCATCTCTGCCACAGCCGTGCTGGTGGAGACTTCTGATACTGAGCTGCAGATTTTCTCCTGGGTGCCTACACAGCCCAGGTTGCCGGCTCCTCTGTGCCCACTCTTCAAGAAAGTCAGCTCTTAGGTAAGGAAGGTGCCTTGGCCCTATCAGGAGCAGGAGCCGG
Organism: Homo sapiens; assembly: GCF_000001405.40. Classification (NCBI taxonomy): domain Eukaryota; kingdom Metazoa; phylum Chordata; class Mammalia; order Primates; family Hominidae; genus Homo; species Homo sapiens. Next base: position 3,368,030 of record NW_021160017.1, read on the forward strand.
TGCACCCCCAGCTTCCCAGACCAGTGGGGATGACCCAGGCTGCCTACAAAGCTGCTGCCCAGCCCAGAGACACCCGCCTGGGAGGGTGGCCCTGGCCCTTGCAGCGGCTCTGAGAAGAGTCGGCCCCCACTCCAAAACTGGCAGAGCCACCCATGCCTTCCCTCAGCCCAAAGAGGCTTTTAGGAACATGAATCGTCTCAAGTTCAAACCCATGGGGTTGCTGAAAGACAAGACAGTGCAGGGTGAGCTGGTGCGAGGGAGCGCTGCTCAGTGCAGACTTTGCAGGGAGGGCACTTAGGAAAAAGGACTGGAGTCTGGGAGGGTTAACTAGCTTAGGGTTAAAGGGAGGGGATGGAGCTGGAGTGAGCTGGCCTCGTCCTCCCCCTTGGGCCTTCCAGCCTGGGCTCAGGTGATTCAAGGGAGCAAGCACCTCCCTCTCCCAGCCAGGGAGTTCTCGCCACATTCTGCAATCAGTACCATTCCCCTGGGGGCTGGATGACAGCCCCCACCTCTGGACCTGGCTGGAACTGCTGTCTCAATTCTAGATCCAAAAGAATCTCTGGCAGCTTCTCCATCTCCCTCTCAGTCCAGCCTCACCTCTTCGCCCGTGGAGGAGCTCCAACAGCAAATCTGGCAACTGGAGGAACAAGGCAGGAAGGGCAGGGTCTGAGGAAGGAACCACCTTCAAAAGGCAGCTCTGCCACCTTCTCTCCAGGACTCTCAGGCTTGCTTTCCTATTGCTCCCTCGACATCCTTTTGCTATAATCTGGCATGTTGACGTATAGTCTTTAAAAGCAACAATGCTGTTGACGTGGAGCAGACTTCCCATTTGGGATGGTTTGGAGAAGTTAGGTTTGAGGGCATCCTCTCTTCTGCAAACTGCAGCAGTAATAGATGAGATATACAAAGTAAATAAAGGCTGGGTGCGGTGGTCGTGCCTGTAATCCCAGCACTCTGGGAGGCTGAGGCAGGAGGATCACTTGAAGCCAGGAGTTCGAGACCAGCCTGGCCAATATGGCGACACCCTGTCTCTACTAAAAATGTAAAAATTAGCTGGGCATAGTGGTGCACACCTGTAGTCCCAGCTACTCAGGAGGCTGAGGCAGGAGAATCACTTGAACCCGGGAGGCAGAGGCTGCAGTGAAATGAGATCCCGCCACTGCATTCCAGCCTGGGCGACAGAGTGAGACTCCATCTCAAAAAATAAAAATAAAAAATAAAGTAAATAAAAAAGACATGCCTAGGCTGAAAAATAAGTTAATTATCTCCATGAACGAAAAGCAGACAAGAAATGCAAAGTGGTTGGAGGCTGAAGAGCCTGGACCCTCCTGGGCTTTGGGAACCAAAGATGGTGGCAAGTCCTTTGGGATAAAGAGGGACCAAATGACTCCTAGCTAGAAGCTGGGAGCTTGGGTGTACCCCAGTACTTGAAAGGATGCTAGCTGGGCGCGGTGGCTAATGCCTGTAATACCAGCACTTTGGGAGGCCGAGGGAAAGTAACTCTTATGTCAGTGTGAAGCAAATCAGACAGGACAGGGGAACATGGAGGGGAGGAGAGCCAAACCAGGGCCTGGTTCCAGACCCACCACACCCGCCCCGTTGAGCCAGGAGCACAGGTGGCTCTCTGCACAACATCAAGAGCGAGGACATGCTTTCAGCTCCACTTTAACTCAGGTTCCTAATGTGACAGCAGGCTTGTCAATCCCACTTGCCCCCGTGTCTCACACCAGAAAACTACCAGCAGTGTGAGTAAGGACAGAAGCAGGAGACAGAGGAGCCAGGGTTGGGGAATCCCATAGCAACCCACAGGCCCTCATCACACACGGCAAGGATGCGCCTTCACTGGGCTCACCACCACCACTCGACATCACCTTCACTACATGATACCCTGCCTGGATAACACCACTGTAACACAAGAAACAGGTCTAGAATCTAGCATGTATGCTACACCTGAAGGAGCAAGAGACGGTAATACAATACAATGAAATTTTTAGTTTATTTAATATAAAATTTAGAGCCATAATCAAAATGTGTAATTCTGATGGGATTCACTACTTATAAAAACTTCGCAGCGCTCTATTTTCAAATGTAAATGGTATTCTGTGGCTCCTCGCCAGCATGTAAATAACGATCTACTCTGAAATACATTTCACGGCTTATTTTTGGCAAGCAGCGATTTCTCCAACCCACGTTTTCCAAGGGAAAAAAGGACATGAAATGTCTCCAAAAGTCTCTTACGATCTTTAGATAAACTACTGTTCAACAACTGCATCTGCCAAGTCAACACATCAAGAATCCTTCACTCACAAACACTTAAGGTGAGAAAACAGTGTCTACCCATGCAGGAGAGGGACACATGATCCATGCTGATGAAGACAGCCTGGATATCGGCTACTGGAAAGCTGCGAATGCATTTTTCTTTTTCTACTTTCCAAAAGTTTTGTGAGGTGATACTTATTTCTATGTTTGTGTCTATTCTTTTTATTTTGTATTTTTTAGTAGGTACATCCTTACTATAAATCTGCTGTAGAACCAATGTCCCATACAGGACCCCACGTGCCACAGGAACCAAAAAGTCACACGCAGCGAAGACGAAGACACAGGAGACAACCTGTGTGGACAGCACAGAGCCACCTGCCCAGGACACCAATGGAGCCACAGGTGCAATTCAAAATGTTCTTAGTCGTATTAATAAACATGGCCAGGTGCGGTGGCTCACGCCTGTAATCCCAACACTTTGGGAGGCTGAGGTGGGCAGATTACCTGAGGTTGGGAGTTCAAGACCATCCTGGCCAACATGGTGAAACCCCATCTCTACTAAAAATACAAAAATCAGCCAGGTATGGTGGCATGCTTCTGTTAGTCCCAGCCACTCAGGAGGTTGAGGCAGGAGAATCATTTGAACCCAGGAGGCAGAGGCTGCAGTGAGCTGAGATCGTGCTACTGCACTCCAGTCCAGGCAACAGAGTGAGGATCCATCTCCGGGTGGGGAAAAAAAATTGTTCTTAGTCACATTAACAAAAGTAAAAAAAAAAAAAAAAAAACACACCAACAAGAAAAACAACAACACATAAAATTAATTGTAATAATGGCTGGTTGCAGTGGCTCATGCCTGTAATCCCAGCACTCTGGGAAGCCAAAGCGGGCAGATTACTTGAGGTCAGGAGTTCGAGACCAGCCTGGCCAACATGGTGAAACTCTGTCTCTACAAAAATACAAAAATCAGCCAGGCGTGGTGGTAGTCCCAGCTGCTCGGGAGTCTGTAGTCCTGTAGTCCCAGCTGCTCAGGAGGCTGAGGCAGGAGAATCACTTGAACACAAGAGGCGGAGGTTGCAGTGAGCCAAGATTGCACCACTGCACTCCGGTCTGGTCAACAGAGTAAGATTCCATCTTAAAAAATAAAAATAATTTTAATAATGTATCATAGTTATTCCAACAGATCAAAAATATGACCATTTCAACATGAAATCAATCTAAGAAAAATTATTGAGATATTTTACATAGGTTATTTCATATTAAGTCCTCAAAAACCATCTGAGTAGCTTACATATGTAACACATTTCAATTTGGACCGTGAAATTTGCATTGAAAACATCTGATCTCCATTTAGACTCATAAAATACACAGTTGACAAAGTAGACTCCCAAGGCCAAGTGATTCTAAACATACTTAAGTGCTTTCTAATAACAGAATCAAATTTTCAAACCTGCATTTTAATGAATAAAAATTAAACAGATAAAATATTCAGTGTCTCAGCTATGACGGACAGACTTCAAGTGCTGATCAGCAAACGGTGTTGAGTGTAGCCAGATGGGCCAGCGCAGGCTACACAGCTGCAGCTCAAACAGCACAGCTGCAGGTCAAACAGGCCAGTCTCTCTGCGCACGGGAACAGTCTGGGCAAGCAGGAGACGGGGAAAACGGGCACTGCCCTCGTGAGAACAAAGGACCCACAACAGGAACCCTGCACTCACCCCCTGCCAAAGACCAACAGCCCCACGAAGCAGCCACTTCAGAAAAGGGAGAGGCATTCAAGAACTTAGAAAAGCACCTCTGGAAAATGCTCACTTTAAAACTTTGCATGTAACTGTACATTTTAATTACAAGGTTTTTAACATCCATTTTCTCATGTATTCTTAATTAACTCTGTGAAAGTAAACACAGCTTTTATTCTTACTCCTATAGTTACTGTGTTGGAAGTCCACCTATATGAACAAACTGTTGTAACTGAAATTTTCTGAGAACAAATCCCAAGCTCTTTCCATCGACACAAACTATATTGTTTAGTTCTCTTTATTTCCATTTGTTAAAGACCAGAATGTGTGAAATATGCATTATCAGATTAGAAAAACAAAACAAACATCAGAAAAAGGTTTTGCAAAATAGCATTTACTAAAATCTATGACAGAAACTAGCTCTAAAACTTCCTGTTTCAAAATTTCACTGTGTGTGCACTAAGTTAGTTTTTCTGGCTGTGGACAGCAGGCCCACCCCATGCCGCGGGCCCACCCCACGCCGCAGGCCCACCCCACGCCACAGGCCCACCCCACGCCACAGACCCACCATGGCCCCATGAACAGGCCAGCTGAGAGCTGCAGCCACTGCCCAGGGCTCCCTGGTCTGTACTCGGCTGCCTGACCCCAGCTGCCAGGGCTCTGCTTTCTCTATGTGTAGAAACAAAAACCAGGAGCATCAGTTGACGAAAAGCAGATTTTTATTGAACAGAGGTATAAATGTGTTTCATTTTCTAATAAATCTCTTTCACAAATCACCTTGCTGTTTCGCTCTTCTTGAATGATCATTTTTACACAACACTGTCTGACTGTTTTGGCTTCTGCCAAGGTTAGCGTCTGTTCACAGGCTGAGTCTGACTTCTTCCTCCCACCTCCTCCTAGTCTGGCCTTCCAAAATAATGCTCACCATTCTATCACATTGACTTCAGTTTTGAAAAGAAAAGTTATCTTACAAAGTAGTATGTATAACTCTGTAATATATAAAGTGAGGCAATGATACAATCAGTTTTAAAAATAACCTTCCATGATGATTTTCATTTGCATCCACCTGCTTATTAGTAAGAATCTTTTTACATGTTTACTGCACGCCCCAATTTCTCTTCAGTGAAAAACTTTTGAGTATCATCACACCCTCCAACTTCTCCTCTCACCTATATTGAAAAGGGTCTGCTCTTTATCCTAACATCTATACTAGGTAATTTTCAGAATATTCCTTCAATCATCAAACAAATTTTTGAGATCCTTGCGCTAGATTTCACTATCTTAATATGAAAACCAATAATCACCTATTAAAATACAATACAGGCCAGGCACAGTGGCTAACACCTGTAATCCCAACATTTTGAGAGGCCAAGGCAGGTGGGTCACCTGACGTCAGGAATTTGAGACCAGCCTGACCAATATGGTAAAACCCCATCTCTACTAAAAATACAAAAATCAGCCAGGTGTGGTTGCAGACGCCTGTAGTCCCAGCTACTCGGGAGGCTGAGGCAGGAGAATAGCTTGAACCCAGGAGGCGGGGGTTGCAGTGAGCCAAGATCGTGACACTGCACTCCAGCCTGGACGATAGAGCAAGACTCCATCTCAAAAAAAAAAAAACAAAAAAAAACACCATTAATAAGTAAATAAATAGGCCAGGCGTGGTGGCTAATGCCTGTAATCCCAACATTTTGATAGGCCAAAGTGGATGGACCACCTGAGGTTGGGAGTTCAAGACCGGCCTGACCAACATGAAGAAACCCTGTCTCTAATAAAATTACAAAATTAGTGGGGCATGGTGGCGCATGCCTGTAATCCCAGCTGCTCGAGAGGCTGAGGCAGAGGAATTACTTGAACCTGGGAGGCGGAGGTTGCAGTGAGTCAAGATCGCACCACTGCACTCGGGCCTGGGCAACAAGAGCGAAACTCTGTCTCAAAAAACAAAAAAGTAAATAAATAAAACACAATACAATACAGCTAATATGATTTACCTAAGAAGCTGTTGTATGAGCTGAACCAGAGGCAAACACTGTTTGCCAGAAGACTCACAGATCCCCGTATTAATAAGGTCTTTATCCAATGGAGTCCTCCTTCTATGAAATGTTGAGGCATTTGCTTCCTGTTCATAAATTTCTTTTTCCTTCCGTGCTTCTTTTTTTGTATCCTGTAATTGATAAACAGAAATTGTTTACAAGTGATCTCATTACCAGGTGTGAAGGCACACAGGCTGGCTGAGCCCTGACCCCAGTGCCAAGCTATCCCAGCCTCTGTGGCTGCCACACCCATCCACCCACAGGCCCCCACCTGCCCTGTTGGAAACCCCAACTCATCTGTGCAGTTTCAAACGGTGTCTTCTTTTTACAGATCCAAGGTCTAGGCTGCCTCTGCTGATGCTCTCCAGCCTCCTTCTGTGAAGTCCCTAAAATCCTTAACCCTGCTAATGGCTCACACAAAACCCAATGTGATCGGCTCCACACACACAGCATCCAGCTGCTCTGTAAGGACAAGAAGGAGCTAGAATTCTCACACACAAAAGTCCTGGTTCAAATGCAAATGGCAAAGCCACTTTGGGAAACTATGAACACACACTAACCCCAGGACCTAACAAATTCCACTCCAAGTGTTTATCCAAAGGGAGAACATATGTTCACTAAAGTACTTGTTCACAGCACAATTGTGGCAGCTCTACACGGCCAAAAACCAGAAAGCCTGGGCGCGGTGGCTCACGCTTGTAATCCCAACACTTTGGGAGGCCAAGGTGGGGGGATCACTGGAGCCCAGGAGTTGAAGACCAGCCTTGCAACACAGTGAAACCTTGTCTCTACAAAAAAATCAAAAAACTAGCCGGGCATGGTGACATGTATGTGGTCCCTGCAACACAGGAGGCTGAGGTGGGAGGATCATTTGAACCTAGGAGTACAAGGCTGCAGTGAGCCAACATCAGGTCACTGTATACAGCCTGGGTGACAGAGCAAGACCCTGTCTCAAAAAAAAAAAAAAAAGAAAACAAAAACCAAAAACAATTACATGTCCTTCAATAGGAGAATGAACTAACAAACAGTACTACACCTATAAAATGGAAAACTTCCCAATAATAAAAACGAAGTCGCAATACACACAACAGTGAGTGAATCTGAAAATCATTCTCCAAGGCAAAGCAGGAAAGAGTGCATACTATACAGTTATATTGCTGCGACACTCAGAGCAGGAAAAATGAATCTAATCTCAGGGCAGGGGAGTATCCTGGCTGCAAGTGCCAAGGAGCACAGGGATCTTTCCGGGTGACGGGAATGGTCTACATGAGGAACAGGTTACCTGTTAACTTCACTGAAACAGACAACATGCAGTATTTTATCACAAATCATCTCAATAATTTTTAAAATTAGCACATAAAAGAATTTTAATTTAAAAAAATACTTGGATATAAGTTTAGTGTTTTACTGTTTTCAGTTATTCTTCACATGTGTGAGTGTGGTATTTCCGATCTCAGCCCACCACCAGGTCACGTGTGCCTCCAAGGCCATACCTGGATCTCTGCAGTAATGGCTGCGTGTAAGGCTGACTCCAACCCTCCATCAGCCATCAAGCTGCCCACCAGAAGATCAATCACCAATCGATGACCTGGACTTATGCTCACTTCATTGCCTGAAACTGAAATAGAAAGTGTGTGCCAATTTGAGTGAAACGCCATCCCCTCCCAGCACCCTGACCCATGCCCTCTCCTGTTCCTTCCCCGAGCCCACCTCCGCAGGACAGGAGAGCAGAGTGCCCGGGCCTGCTTCTCAGCGGTGGGCAACAGCATGGACCAGCCGCTCTGCAGCATGGCCTGGGAGGCCGACTGCACGGTGCTCAGCACGTCTGCGCTGCTTGCCAGGGTCACCACCTTCTGCTTCAGGCTGTTCAGGAAGACGCTGCCCAGACCTAAACCAAGGAATTCCAGGTCAACCTGGTGACTAATGGCAGCATGCAACTGAAAGGAGAAAAACAATTTTCACTTAGAACCCCTAAAAATGAGTGAATTTCAAAGTCTTATTAAACACTGAATAAAAGTCAATTTGAAGTATTATCTAAATAGACAAAATAACTTCTCAGTTTACGTATTTTTAAAAACTGGACTAAAAAAAATCTTACCCACAATAGTTGAAGTATTTTCTAGAGGAATTTTTTTTAACCCCACTATGAACACATATATGGAAAAGCTCAAGATGAGCAGAAGAGCTAAACAACTAGCAACAGCAACCTCCACCCCGCCCCAACAATCTGCACCAAACACAGAAATAATGGCTACAATGTAACCACAAAAGCTGCCACAGGCGGTGGCTCATGCCTGTCATCCCAGCACTTTGGGAGGCCGACGTGGAAAGCTCACTTGAGATCAGGAGTTCAAGATCAGCCTGGCCAACATGATGAAACCCCATCTCTATAAAAAAATCAGCCGGGTGTGATGGTACACACCTGTAGTCCCAGCTACTTGGGAGGCTGAGGCAGGAGAATCACTTGAACCTGGCAGGCCAAGACTGTACCACTGCATTCCAGCCTGGGTGACAAAGTGACACCCTGTCTAAAAAAAAAAAAGAGCTGCTAAAAATTAGACTGCGGAGCTGAGAGTACACAGGGAAACTCCTCAAGTGCAAAACCAAAATTCACGTGGGCACACACAGCAGGAGTCAAGAGGTTCCGGGCTCTGAAAGCAGAGCCAAGCCGCCAGGCTTCAGCACAACCTCCCACACGGGAATGCACACAAGGACCCACTGAACCCGAGCTTCCTGCAGAAGGCTGGGAGCCACTCAGGATCACCTGCCTGCCAGCCAACCGCAGCCAGGGGGCAACACACTGCCCGTCCCAGGCTCTGGGTAGCAAGAGGCCCCATGAGAAATCAGAGACCCGGCCTTGCCCTGTGAGTAGAAGTGAAATCAAAAGCACACCACTCATCTAGGTATAGATATCACAGGTCAGGAAATGACCACCGAAACTCACCTGGAGTCTGTGAAACCTACAGAACCCTCAGGACCCCGGAGAGGCAAATGCAAAACCATACGCTGGGACACCTCGACAGCCTAAGACATACGCAAGGCCACGCCCCACAGCACTGACCAGAACAGACACATCACCGCAAACCAGGAGGGGCAGCAAACACCTGGGGCGCAACCACGCAAACGCCAGGATGCCACAGATATGGTGATAAATGAGTGCTACAGAGGACTAGAGGAGAAGCATGCTCCAGACCTCTGCTCAGTTCATTACTGCAACTAAACACTACACTCAGTTCTGTACATTCTAGAAGCAGGGCAAAAAGGGGAGGGGCTGGAAGAGGGACATGACGGGTTGTTACAAGAAACCACTGTAATAAAAGGGAAAAATTACTATGTCGAGAAAACCGTGGTTCTTGTCATTAAGTTAGAGGGTTTTATTACAAAGACAAAAGATGATGATCAAACACTTCAGCTTTAGTTTTGCTAGGGAGGAAGGCTTTTGTAGCTTTTATTTTGACCCTAACCACAGCCTTCATGGTGAGGAAAGGAAGGTATTGCTTTGGGAGCCGAGCTTACTGAGTAGATCAAGCTTGTTCAACCCACGGCCCGAGGGCAGCATGTGGCCCAGGGCAGCTTTGAATGTGGCCCAAAGTAAAATTTCTTAAAACATCATGAGATATTTTTGGGATTCTTTTTTTAAGCTCATCAGCTATCATAAGTGTATTTTATGTGTAGCCCAAGACAATTCTTCTTCCAGTGTGGCCCAGGGAAACCAAAAGACTGGACCCTCCTGGAGCAGGGTTTTCACAGGACAGAGGAGAGACAGGCCAGCACTGGTCTCTCAGCTGAGCGCTGTCTCTCTCCATCACCTGTGATCTCACCCAGTCATTTCTCCACACGCAACAACAGTAAAACAGTAAGAATACCAACAAACTAATGATTATAGCAAAAATAACACAATCCATATACACTCTTCCTGCATGCCGAGGCTGACTTCCAGGACAAACATAAAATAAACAGATCAAGTTTTTTAAGCCTTGCGTCCATTATTAGTGCATTACAATCTTACTTTAAAATACTTCCCCCAGCAGGCTAAAACCTATGTCCTTCAAAATACATAAACCTTCTTACAAATCGCTAAGACACTTATAAAAGGAGCAAGAGGAAGGGAAATCACGAATACCTGAAGTCGGGGAAGATTCAGCGTTGCCACGGCCACGCACTCTTTCTCCTGGGGCAGGGGCCAGTCCGTGGAGCCATCCATCCCCTCACTCACCTGCCGAAGCAGGAGATCCAGCTGCTCAAAAGTCACTGAGCAAATATCCACCCCAAAAGGGACATGGAGGCCAATGGACCACTCAGAACACGATGACCAAGCAATGCTCTAAGAGGAAACGCAACAATCGGAAATGAATCTCCAAATGCAGCTCTTGGTCTGTCGCACAGGAGTCACCAGCTTGTGTGATGGAGCTGCCTTATATTATTACCTATCATCCCTCTAACTGCCCAGTGGAAAAGCATTCATGGGTGTCTAGCTCACACACTATCAGCTTCCAATTCTCCCACCCATTTCACTAGCCCCATCTCACTTGGCCATACCTAAAAAAGTAAAAACATTTTAAAAAATCTTTTCACTCTCAAAATGATTAATGCACATTAATGGATGGCAGTGAGGCTCTCCATCCACTTGAAGTGGTATAATAGCAACTCTAACTAGACAATGAATTGTTAGACACATATAACACACACAATATCTTTCATAGTGAGAGAACAAGTAATCGGCAAAAATCTAGGAGAACTGTAGAACACCTTCAATAAACTGGATCTAATTTATAGAACACTTCACCCAACAACAGCAAAATACATATACTTTTTTTTTTTTTTGAGACAGAGTCTCGCTCTGTCGCCCAGGCTAGAGTGCAGTGGCGGGATCTCAGCCCACTGCAAGCTCTGCCTCCTGGGTTCACGCCATTCTCCTACCTCAGCCTCCTGAGTAGCTGGGACTACAGGTGCTCACCACCACGCCTGGCTAATTATTATTATTTTTTTAATTTTTATTTTTAGTAGAGATGGGGTTTCACCATGTCAGCCAGGATGGTCTTGATTTCCTGACCTCGTGATCCACCTGCCTTGGCCTCCCAAAGTGCTGGGATTACAGGCGTGAGCCACCGTGCCCGGCCATACATACACTTTACATATACGTTTTTTAAATTTTATTTTTTTTGAGATGGAGTCTAGCTCTGTCGCCCAGGCTGGAGTGCAGTCGCATGATCTCAGTTCACTGCAAGCTCTGCTTCCCAGGCTCAAGCCAGTCTCCTGCCTCAGCCTCCCAAGTAGCTGGGACTACAGGCGCCCGCCATCATGCCCGGGTAATTTTTTTTGTATTTTTAGTAGAGACGGAGTTTCACCCTGTTAGCCAGGATGGTCTCGATCTCCTGACCTTGTGATCTGCCTGCCTCGGCCTCCCAAAGTGCTGGACCATACATATACTTTTTAAGCACATACAGACCATACATATACTTTTTACACATATATGTATACATATATGTATATACAGACCATACATATACAGACCATACATATACTTTTTAAGCACATACAGAATGTTCACTGAGAACATAACCTGACACATAAATCTTAACAAATTTAAAAGAAATGAAATCATATGCAGTTTGTTCTCCAATCACAATGGTATTAAACTAGAAATCATTAACAAAACAATCTGCAAACACTTCAAAATAAAACAACATACTTAATAATCCATGGGTCAGGCCGGGCGCACTGGCTCACGCGTGTAATCCCAACACTGTGGGAGGCCAAGTTGGGGGGATCACCTGAGGCCAGGAGTTGAAGATCAGCCTGGCCAACATGGAGAAACCCCATCTCTACTGAAAATACAAAACAATTAGCCGGGCATGGTGGCGGGTGCCCGTAGTCCCAGCTAATCAGGAGGCTGAGGCAGGAGAATCGCTTGAACCCAGGAGACAGAGGTTGCAGTGAGCCGAGATCATGTCATTGCACTCCAGCCTGGGCAACAACAGTGAAACTCCGTATTGAAGAAAAATAATAATAATAATCATCATCATCATCATCATCCATGGGTCAAAGAACAATTCTCAAAAGAAATTAGAAAATATTTTGAACATAAATGAAAATGCACCAAAATTTGTGGGGTTAATTAAAACACTGCTTAGAGGAAAATTTATAGCATCAAATCATTATATATTACAAAAAAGATAGGTCTAAATCAGCAATCTAAGTTTCCACCTTAAGAAACCAGAAAAAGAGCAAAGTGAACGCAAAACAAGCCAAAGGAACAAATGCCAAGATAAAAGCAGAAACTAATGAGATTGAAAGCAAAAAAAGAAGGGAAAAATTAATGAAACTTAAAGATCATTCTTTGAAAAGATCAACAAAATTGAAAAACTCTAGGAAAACTGACAAAGAAAAAAACAGAAAAGATACAAATTATCAGTATCAGGAATGAATGAAGGGACATCACTGCAGGCCCCACAGACTTCAGACAGTTAGCAAGAGAACACTAAGGAAAACTTGACACTTAAAAATCAGACAACTTAGATGAAATAAAGCAATGTCCGAGTGCCACAAACCAGGAAAATCCTCCTAGAAACAAACAGGTTACCTGAATAGTTCTGTATCTGTTAAATAAATTGAATTTGTAAAAATTTTTTTTTTTTTTTGAGCCGGAGTCTCACTCTGTCACCCAGGCTGGAGTGCATTGGTGCAATCTCAGCTCTCTGCAATCTCTGCCTCCCAGGTTCAAGTGATTCTCCTGCCTTAGCCTCCTGAGTAGCTGGGATTACAGGCGCACGCCACCAAGCTCGACTAATTTTTTGTATTTTTAGTAGAAACGGGGTTTCACCATGTTAGCCAGGCTGGTCTCAAACTCCTGACCTCAGGTGATCCACCTGCCTCGGCCTCCCAACGTGCTGGGATTATAGGCACGAGGCACCGTGCCCGGCGTAAAATCTTTTAGAAAGAAATGTCCAGGTTCAGATGGATTCAAAAACATTTAAAGAAGAAATAACACTAATTCTACACAATCCCTTAGAGAAAATGGAAAAGGAGGGAACACATGCCAATACTTTGTATAAGGTCAGCTTTCCCCTGACAGAAAGCCAGACGAGATAGTGTAATACAAAGAAAGAAAACTGCAAACCAACATCCCTGATGAGCATCAACAGAAAAATCCTCAAAAACGTGTTAGCAAGTCAAATTTAGCAATATAGAAACAGAATAGGGCCGGGCGCAGTGGCTCACGCCTGTAATCATAGGAATATTGGGATGCCAAGGAGGGTGGATCACTTGAGGTCAGGAGTTGGAGACCAGGCTGGCCAACATGGTGAAACCCCATCTCTACTAAAAACAAACAACAAACAAACAAAATTAGCCAGGTGTGGTGGTGCACACCTCTAATCCCAGCTACTCAGGAAGCTGAGGCAGGAGAATTGCTTGAACCCAGGAGGCAGAGGTTGCAGAGAGCTGAGATTGCACCAATGCACTCCAGCCTGGGTGACAGAGTGAGATTCTGTCTCAAAAAAAAAAAAAAAAAAAAGAAAGAGAGTAGTAAATTGTGGCCAAGTGATGCCTATCCCAGTAACACAAGGCTTGGTCAGTATTTAAAAATCAGGCTGGTATAGTGTCTCACACCTGTAATCCCAGCACTTTGGGAGCTCACTGCAACCTCAAACTCTTAAGCTCAAGCAATCCTCCTGCCTCAGCCTCCTGAGTAGCTGAGACTACAGGTGCACACCAGCATGCCACGCTAATTTTTAATTTTTTTGTAGAGATGGGATCTCGCTGTGTTGCCCAAGCTGGTCTCTAACTCCTGGGCTCAAGTGACCCTCTCGCCTATGCCTCCCGAAGTGCTGGTGTGAGCTGTTGCACCCAGCCAAAATACGGCAGATTTGTAGTACCCCAGAAGGCTCCTTCCTGACCTACACTTTCCCACAAAGGAAACTACTCTTCTGACTTCAATCATCGTCAGTTCTGCCTTCCTGCGCTTCATCTAGGTGGGCTGATACTGTGCACTGTCTCTCATACCTGGCTCCCTCTATTCACCCATGTCGTTGAGTGTTCCTACCACTTCATTTTTCTTTTTTGGCTGTGTAGTATTCCATGATGTGACTGTATCACCATTTATTCACTCTCCTGTTGATGGACATTTAGGTTGTTTTCATTTGGGGCTCTTATGAATAAAAATGGCAGTGAACATTCTTATATAAGTCTTTTTGTGGACATATGCACTCGTTTCTCTTGTGTACATGCTTAGGATGGAATTTCTGAACGTAGGCATAGATATAGCTTTAGTAGAAGCTGCCAAACAGGTTTCCAATGTGCTTATACAATTTTATGCTACTGCCAGCTTGACAGTTCTTGTAGCTCTACATCTTTACCAATACTCTGTATAACACAGCATTTAACTTTAAATAGAGATAAAACGATGGTAAGATCCAAAGAAGTGTGCATGTTCCTGAAGAACATCCAGTAAAGGGCCTATTTTATTCATCTGTTTCGGGCACTGAAAACCACTGCATGGCCGGATGAGGAAGGAGGCCTGGTACAACTCCCAAGAAGGCATGTGTCCCTCGGGTGGGCTTTGTTTCCCAGAAACTCTGGGGAAGGGGTGGAGAGGCACCTTCTGGGCCAGCTGGTCTCCTCTGGCTTTTCTTGTACCCTAGGGCTCCCTCCAAAGAGACAGAGAACAGCCTGGCCGGGGAGCAGTATCTCCTACTGCGCTTGCTGTGAGCCAGCCACTCTGCCTTCTTTCAGGAATTACAAAATCCACAGGTCCCCGGCATCCTTATTTATGTATTTATTCATTTATGAGGCATGGTTTTCCTCAGCTCTGTTGGATGGGTCTCTGTGAAGGGAGCTTGGTGGGGGCGAGTGGCCCCTCCCTGGAGGAGGCAGGCCCCTGGTCAGGATCTTTGGGGCTCCAGGTCTCATAAGTGGGGGGCCAGGCTCCCTAGAGAAACCCTTCTTGGCTAGGGCTGGGGAGCCCACCAGAGTGACCCAATCAGTTCTCAGGGCCTGTGATGGGGCCAAGTGGTTTTGAGAAGCCAGTGTTCAGCTCCATCCTAAAGAGCACTCATGCACGTTGGGGAGGAGGGCCGGGGTGCACAGCTCTGACCTGAGTCAGACCCACCTCAGGACTTACCCCAGCAGGAGGCCCAGAGTCACTGACCATAAAACGAGCAGATGCCTCCCCCGTGCTGATGGAGATGAGTCTTGGGCATCAACTCTAATAATTTCTAACTGCACCCAGAAATACTGATTCACACAGCAACTAGTGAATAATAGCCTTTTAGAGCTAAAAAAGCCTCATATATTATAAATTAACATATGCATTTTACACAAACTAGAGGCACCGTGGTGGGCCAGCAGCAGCCTGTTCAGGGGCCACAACAAGGGAGATTGGATTTCCTTAAGTGCAATGGGAGTTACTGGCAAGGCTTTAAGGTTTTAGCCACAGGAAAGATGAAAGTATTTTAGAGCAATGTGGGTGGATTCAAAGTGAGGTTTTGAACTAGATCAGTTTTTTTTTTTTTTTTTTTTAGACAGAGTCTGACTCTTATTGCCCAGGCTGGAGTGCAGTGGTGCTATCTTGGCTCCCTGCAACCTCTGCCACCCAGGTTCAAGCAATTCTCCTGCCTCAGCCTCCTGAATAGCTGGGATTACAGGCACCTGCCACCAAGCCTGGCAAATTTTTGTATTTTTACGGGGTTTCACCATCTTGGCCAGGCAGTTCTTGAACTCCTGACCTCGTGATCCACCTGCCTTGGCATCCCAAAGCATTAATTTTTTTTTTTTTTTTTTTTGAGACGAAGTCTTGCTGTGTCGCCCAGGCTGGAGTGCAGTGGCCCGATGTCGGCTCACTGCAAGCTCCGCCTCCCAGGTTCACGCCAGTCTCCTGACTCAGCCTCCCGAGTAGCTGGGACTACAGGCGCCCGCCACGATGCCCAGCTAATTTTTTGTATTTTTTTTAGTAGAGATGGGGTTTCACCGTGTTAGCCAGGGTGGTCTCAATCTCCTGACTTCCTGATCTGTCCGCCTTGGCCTCCCAAAGTGCTGGGATTACAGGGGTAAGCCACCACGCCCCTCCAAGTATTAAATTTTTTATTTAAAAAATCTCCCCTCTCCAAAGATCTCCCAGCATTTCTGCAGAGGTCTCTACCTAGGTAAGGAGAAGAAACTATTCTTGGCCGGGTACAGTGGCTCACGCCTGTAATACCAGCACTTTGGAAAGCCAAGGTTGGAGGATTCCTTGATCCCAGAAGTTCGAGACCAGCCTGGCCAACATGGTGAAACCCCATCTTTACCAAAAATACAAAAATTAGGTGGGTGTGGTGGAGTGTGCCTGTAGTCCCAGCTACTCAGGAGGCTGAGGTAGAAGGATCGCTTGGGCCTGGGAGGTCAAGTCTGCAGTGAACCAAGGTGGTGCCACTGCACTCCAGCCTGGGTAACAGAGTGAGATCCTGTCTCAAAAAAAAAAAATTATTTGTGAGGGTGAAATTTAAATACCTTTGTGCATAGCTATCAGTTATTCTTTGTTTTAATATTTAGTTTATTGTGAAATATAACACATATAGAAACATACATAAAACAACACACAGGGCCAGGCCCGGTGGGTCACGCCTTGTAATCCCAGCACTTTGGGAGGCCGAGGCGGGCGGATTACTTGAGGTGAGGAGTTTGAGACCAGCCTGGCCAACATGGTGAAACCCCATCTCTACTAAAAATACAAAAATTAGTCAGATGTGGTGGTGCATGCCTGTAATCCCAGCTACTTGGGAGGCTGAGGCAGGAGAATCGCTTGAACCTGGGAGGCAGAAGTTACAGTGAACCAAGATCGTGCTACTGCACTCCAGCCTGGGCAACGGAGTCAGACTGTGTCTAAAAAAAAAGAAAAAAAATAAAGGCTGGGTGTGGTGGCTCACGCCTGTAATCCCAGCACTTTGGGAGGCCGAGGCGGGCAGATCCCTTGAGGTCAGGAGTTCGAGACCAGCCTGACCAACATGGAGAAACCCCATCCCTACTAAAAGTACAAAATTAGCCGGGCATGGTGTTGCATGACTGAAATCCCACCTACTTTGGAGGCTGAGGCAGGAGAATCGCTTGAATCTGGGAGGTAGAGGTTGTTTTGAGCTGAGATCACGCCATTGTACTCCAGCCTGGGCAACAAGAGCGAAACTCCGTCTCAAACAAACAAAAAACAAAACAAAAACAAAAAACACAGTGTAACATGTTATTATAAAGTCACTGCTCAGGGACCAACTTGGCCGCTCCTGTGCCTCTAGAGGGAAGCTCCTTCCCACTGTTCTTTAGAGTTTTATATGTTAAGTACAGGAGTCAACAAACTAGGCCTATGCACCACATCTGGCACCCAGCCTTTATTTATTTTTTGAGATGGCGTCTCACTCTGTCACCCTGGCTGCAGTGTGGTAGCACAATCTCGGCTCACTGCATCCTCCACCTCCCAGATTCAAGCAATTCTCCTGCCTCAGCCTCCTGAGTAGCTGGGATTACAGGTGTGTGCCACCACACCCGGCTAATTTTTATATTTTTGGTAGAGACGGGGTTTCACCATGTTGGTCAGTCTGGTCTCGAACTCCTGACGTCAGGTGATCTGCCTGCGTTGCCCTCTCAAAGTGCTGGGATTACAGGCATGAGGCATGATGCCTGACCCAGCCTTTTTTAAAATGAAGGTTTCGGCTGGCGCGGTGGCTCATGTCTGTAGTCCCAGCATTTTGGGAGGCCAAGGCAGGTGGATCACCTGAGGTCAGTAGTTGGAGACCACCCTGGCCAACATGGTGAAACCCCGTCTGTATCAAAATACAAAAATTAGCTGGGCGTGATGGCAGGCACATGTAATGCCAGCTACTCGGGAGCCTGAGGCACGACAATCACTTGAACCCGGGAGGCGGAGGTTGCAGTGAGCCAAGATCACACGATTGCACTCCAGCCTGGGCAACGAGCGAAACTCCATTTCAAAATACAATAATAAAAAAAAGGATGTCCTTTTTTGTCTCTCAACCCCGTTTTTTATTTTTTTTTATTTTCAGACAGGGTCTCGCTCTGTTGCCCAGGGTGGAGTGCAGGGGCCCGATCTTAGCTCACTGCGGCCTCAACTTCCCCAGCTCACATGATCCTCCCACCTCAGCCTCCCAAATAGCTGGGACCACAGGTGGGTACCACCATGCCCGCCTAATTTTTGTATTTTTTGTAGAGATGGGATTATGCCATGTTGCTCAGGCTGATCTCGAACTTCTGGGCTCAAGTGTCTCTCTGCCTCCACCTCCCAAAGTGCTGGGATTGCAGGCCTGAGCTACCATGCCCAGCCCTGCTTTAATTTAAAGTGTATTACATTTGATATTAGTACAGCCCCTTCAGCTCTTTTTTGGTTACTATTTTAATTGTATCTTTGTATCCCTTTACTTTCAATCTGTTTCTGTATTTAAAATGTTTATCTTGTAGATAGCACATTGGTGGATCATATTTTGTTCTTCAATCCTTTCAGCCAGTCTGCTTTTCTTTCTTTCTTTTTGAGACAGAGTTTTCCTTTTGTCACCCAGGCTGGAGCGCTATGGTGCGATCTCAGCTCACTGCAACCTCTGCCTCCTGGGTTCAAGCGATTCTCCAGCCTCAGCCTCCTGAGTAGCTGGGATTACAGGTGCGTGCCACCAGGCCTGACTAATTTTTGTATTTTTAGTAGAGACAGGGGTTTCTTCATGTCGGTCAGGCTGGTCTTGAACTCCTCACCTCAGGTGATCCACCGCCTCAGCCTCCCAAAGTGCAGGCATTACACGCGTAAACCACTGCGCCCGGCCAAAGTGGTGGATTTTTTTTCTCAGAAAATCTATTCCATTCTTTTTCCAGAAACCAAATTTGTACAAGTTAACTAAAATAAATATTTATACTCTAATTTTTTTGTTCTGAGGTCTGAGTTTTTAGAATTTTATCTTTACATGTTTAGAAAAATTAGAAAATATAGATAGAACATAACCAAGAAAATAATAACAACTTTCCTTCTGTTCAAAGTTCATTACTATTAGCCGAGTGCAGTGACTCACACCTGTAATCCTAGCACTTTGGGAGACTGAGGCGGGCGGATCACTTGAGCCCAGGAGTTCGAGACCAGCCTGGGCAACATGGCAAAATCCCGTCTACAAAAACTACAAAAATTAGCCAGGTGTGGTTCCATGTGCCTGCAGTCCCAGCTAGTGGCAAGGCTGAGGTGGAGAACCACCTGAACCCGGTAAGTCAAGGCTGCAGTGGTGCAGCCTCTGTCCCCCAGGCTGGAGTGCAGTGGTGCAATGTCGGCTCACTGCAACCTCCGCCTCCCGGGTTCAAGCGATTCTCCTGCCTCGGCCTCCCGAGTAGCTGGGATTACAGTCACGTGCCACCACACCTGGCTAATCTTTGTATTTTCAGTAGAGAAGGGGTCTCATCATGTTGGCCAGGCTGGTTTTGAACTCCTGACCTCAAATGATCCACCTGCTCTGGCCTCCCAAAGTGCTGGGATTACAGGCCTGAGCCACCACGCCCGGCCGTTATTTTTCTTTCTTAGAGGCAGGATCTCACTCTGTCGCCCAGGCTGGAGTGCAGTGGCACGATCTAAGCTCACTGTAGCATTGATCTCCCAGGCTCAGGCGATTCTCCTGTCTCAGCCTCCCGAGCAGCTGGGATCACAGGTGTGTGCCACCACACCTGGCTAATTGTTAAATTTTTTTATTTTTATTTTTTAGAGATGGGGTCTTGCTATGTTGCCCAGTCTGGCAACATGGGATCCTCCCGCTTCGGCCTCCCAAAGCGCTGAGAATTACATACGTGAGCCACCACGCCCGGCCTATATTGTTTTATAGTTCTTCAATTTTGTTTTGTGGTCGCTGGAGGTGTTTCCTTCTTCGATTCCCTGCACAGTGCTTCCACAGCTGCTCCATGGAATCTGCCCAAGACTTTTGCTGCGTTCAGTTGAACACACAGGAGGAAGCTCTTCAGGCCCCAGCCAGCCGACCGCACAAAGATGCGTTCTCATACCCAGGGGAGCTGGTCTCGCCACTCGACCGGCGCCCTGGATAGCTATAGTTAGTGTGAGCGCCACCACCCGCCGCGGCGTGATCAAGAGCGCTCCGGGCCAAGCAGTCTCCCGTGGGAGTGCGGGAGTGCGTGCGTGCGGCGGAAATCCCGCCTTCCGGCGCCCGCTGTTGGCCTTGGCCGCAGCCAGGGCGCTCCAAGTAGGAAGATAAGCGGGATTGCTGGAAGCGGGAGAGTCGGGAGGAGCGGCGAAGGGCTCCTCTTCCCCATTGGCTGCGCCCACGGAGCAGCCTCGTTGCGATTGGCCGTACGCGGGGGGCGGCAGTCCCGCGTCGGCCCGCCCCTCGGGCCGCGAGAGGCGCCGGGATCGCGGGCGCCGGCTGAGCCAGCGGCTCTTGGGAGGCTGCGTCCGCGCGCCGGCGGGGCGAGGCGGCCGGGCCCTGCGCGTCAGGTCCTGGCCTGGGGCACCTGGGCGGCCGGTGGCGGGGGCGGTACGGGCGCGGGGCTGGCGGGCGGCCGAGCCCGGGAGGCGGGCGTGGGCGCGGCGGCCGCACCGGGGCCTGCGCGGACCACCCGCGGGGCAGCCTCGGGCCTCTCTCCATCTCTTAAGTGGTGGTAGCTGTGGGTTTTTCTGCAGGCGATCCTTTTGAGTAATTTGTTTCACGCACGCGCCCTGCTGTGGGGTAAAGCGGCAGATTCATGCTGCTGTCATTTGTCGTTAAAACGATGGGCTCCCTGTTATGTGTGTGTACTTCTTGGATTTGAGGGCAGGGGGATGACATTGTAACTTGGCTTCCTGTGACCGTCCATTCTCAAGGTCTCGTCAGCGTGGTGCAGAAACTCGGCACACCCTGCCTACCTTGGAAGGAGGCTTTCCCTTCCCCACCTCCCTCTCTCTCCATCTCTTCCCTCTTTCCCTCTCTCCCCTTCTCTCCCCTCCACCAGCTCTTCTCTCCCCCCTTTCTGTTCTCGCTCTCTTTTTTCTTTTCTGCATTGAACCTTTCGGGAGTGTCTTTGTAAACTATTAAAAAGCATTAGGTCTTCAGCGTATGTGTTTACTTGCAGGCCTGAGACCTGGGAGGAAGCTGGAGAAAAGATGCCCTCTGAATCTTTGTGTTTGGCTGCCCAGGCTCGCCTCGACTCCAAATGGTTGAAAACAGATATACAGGTGGGGTTTGACATGTCTTTTTCTTGGTGTGTTTCTGCTTCCATGTTTAAATTTCTCGTGTAAGGCTTTTTTTTAGGGTATGTAAGGGGAAGTCAGTTGTATCTTGCTGAATTAGAGGAGCAGGTTTATTTCCTGTAACTTAAAATGTAACAGTCTTATGGCTGTTTTTGTAGATCGTGCGCGGCTGCCTTTTAATTAGTTTCTTGCAAGTGCACGAAACTTGAGATCTATTAATAGAGAAAATTTTTTTCCTATTTATTATTACTGGTTAAGAAATCTGCCACACTCCTAACCATATCATGGTGACTGTTGTTTGTTACTGATCGTTTTTGAGCTGTTGAGTTAACTGTGGAGGGGAAAATTGGAGAAGTAAGTTGCAGTAATTATGGCCTATAGAAACTCACTCATTTTATGAGGTCTTGTGTTTGTGTTTCTGGAGAGACAAGAGTTAGTTCAGTTGAGCTGTTTGTTTTGTCTTTGTAACTCCTTATTAAGAGGAGTGCTCAGATTTTCACATCAAGAATATGAGGAAACAATGTTGGCCTTAGATCCTAATTTTTTGATTTAATGAGATAATTGCAAGCTTGTCAGGACATTATTAAATAAATAATAACGGTAATATTTCGATAGACAGTTCTTTACACCCAATCTACTTTTATTTGGAAATGGCTTGGAAAAACTACTTTTGGAACTCCTTATCAGCAGCAAAAAGAAGTGTTTGAAATATTTTGTGTGTGTCTGTATTTTCCTACTCCCTAAGGTTAACCATTTTAAGTATTAAGTAATGTGCCTTGACTGTTCATCAAAAGTCGTGTAGGCTGTTAAGCAGTAGTTGATCATGGATACTTACACTGAAGTGTTATTGCCCCTTCCTAATTTTTTTTTTCTTTTTAAACAGGTATTGAGTGTTGGTAGATATGAGAGTCCAGTGTTTAGAGCTGTGTTGTGTGGCTGGGCGCAGTGGCTCACGCCTGTAATCCCGGCAGTTTGGGAGGCCGAGGCGGGTGGATGCCCTGAGGTCAGGAGTTGGAGACCAGCCTGACCAACATGGTGAAACCCCGTCTCTACTAAAAATACAAAATGAGCCAGGCGTGGTGGTGTATGCCTGTAATCCCAGCCACTCGGGAGGCTGAGGCAGGAGAATCGCTTGAACCCGGGAGGTGGAGGTTGCAGTGGGTCAAGATTGTGCCGTTGCACTCCAGCCTGGACAATGAGAGCTTTTTTTTCAAAAAAAAAAAAAAAAAAGCTGTTGTGGATGATGGGATTGTTATTCATAGTGTAATGTTACATAAGACAGAGTACAGAGAATTGGGTCAAGAATTGGTGTAGTTACTCTTTGGGTTTGTTTCTCTTTAAACATTTCCTTTGATTTAGCTATAATGATCTGTTTTGTCATTTTAAGTGGATGGGAGACGTGAGAGATGAGTACTTTCATATTTCTGAAATCCTGAGATTCAGGCAAAGTTTTAATAGTTGTTTTTATATTAGTGTTTATGTATTTTGAGAAACTTTTTGGAGTAAAGGACTTTACGTAATGAAGTTTTTTTCTTAATAATTGTAATTTAATAACTGCTAAACATGAGTTCTAGTGTCTTGATCTAAAACCAGTTTAATGCTGAATTGAGTTCCTATGATGGGTTGGGCAGATAAACATACAGTGAAGCACCATTTATATCTTAGAGGGCCTGTTGTTTTGATTTATTAAGTTTAATACACAGTACTTGGTCCTTGTTACACATTTCCAATATGATTAGAAAGTCTTTTTTTTTTTTTTTTTTTTTTTGAGACGCAGTCTTGCTCTGTCGCCCAGGCTGGCGTGCAGTGGCGCAATCTTGGCTCACTGCAACTTCCGCCTCCCGAATGCAAGTGATTCTCCCACCTCAGCCTTCCGAGTAGCTGGGATTACAAGTGTGTGCCACCATGCATGCCCGACTAATTTTTGTATTTTTAGTAGAGATGGGGTTTCACTGTGTTGGCCTGGCTGGTCTCCTGACCTCAAAGCGATCTGCCTGCCTCGGCCTCCCAAATTGCTGGGATTACAGGCGTGAGCCACTGCACCTGGCCAAAAAAAAAAGTCATCTAAATTCCTCCTAGGAGTAAGGGAAACGACTAGGTTTTGGATAGTGTGCACCAGAGGAAAAATGTGTTACAGGTCTAAGTAGCATGAAAAAAGTGATTGCTAAGTTTTGTTTTATGTTCCACCAGCATTGGTTGTTAAACACAAGGAATGAATGGTGGTGTTTTACCGTAAGGAATAAGACATGGTTTCCCTCTTTGGGGAGCTTCCCTGCAGACAGGAATTGCAGATGGAAGCCTTGTGCTCACAGGTTTTACCCTTATCTTGTTGAGGATGGCTCTCCCAGCTGGAGTGGGAAGCGCTTCACTGCTTGAGACTTTTGTATTGGAAACAGAATTGACACCTGGGTAATGAATAATACATGGGATAGGAAGATGTTTCTTAGCCATAGGATTTAACCGATCTGTTTTCCACAGCTGTTTTTGTTTGAAATGCCCTTAAAAGTTTTAGTAACTTTAGAAAGGAAGAGTTTTTGGAGTGTGAAAACTTATAATGCTTGTGTGTTATAGAGAGCACTTATTGACTTCTTTATCATAGACATTATTTGGATACGTCAGGCCTAGGACCCTACATCCAGCAACCTCTAATGCAGGGCTCATTTTATGCCAGGCATATATATCTGGTTATTACATATAAACAGTTTAATTGTTCAACACTTTTTTTTTTTTTTTTGAGACGGAGTCTCACTCTGTCTCCCAGGCTGGAGTGCAGTGGTGCCATCTTGGCTCACTGCAAGCCTCCTGGGTTCATGCCATTCTCCTGCCTCAGCCTCCCGAGTAGCTGGGACTACAGGTGTCCACCACCACGCCTGGCTAATTTTGTGTACTTTTAGTAGAGACAGGGTTCCACCATGTGGGCCAGGCTGGTTTTGAACTCCTGACCTCAAGTGATCCACCCGCCTCGGCCTCCCAAAGTGCTGGGATTACAGGCGTGAGCCACCGCGCCCGGCCTGTTCAACACTCTTTTCTGCTTGATGTGTGGAGTGATTGAATCACCATGTTTTCCTTCACTGCTCTCGTGAAGAGTAATACATTACAGAGGTAAGAGGTGTCAGTCACATCACTTTTTATTTTTACCGTGAAAGTACTTCTAATCTGATGTGATAGGTAGTTTTTTAGCAAACCAAAAAGTCAGTTAAGCAAAGGAATCATAAAAACCAATATATGAGACCTTAAAAGCTTTTTATTCTTAAAACACATGCCTGTTCGCCAGTTTTGTTGTAAGGTAAAGGTGCATGTCTTTGAGCATAGGTCCAGAATGGAGTTATCCTGCCCCTTCTTGCATAAGCTGCACTCAGATGAATTTCCTACAGTTTCTATTTTTGGGTTCTTTTTTAAGTGGCACATGAAACTAGATATGCATGAAGCAATTTTTAAAAAAACTTTTTATTTTGAAATAATAATAGACTCTCAGGAAGTTGTAAAGAAACTAGAGAGGTCATTGTATATTTGCGCATACTGCCCCAGTGGTTACATTTTATGTAACCATAATAGAGTATAAAAACCCAGAAATTGAAGTTGGTACAATGTGTGTGCGTAGTTCTGTGCCATTCTATCAAGTGTCTGTAAATATAACTACTACTACAATTTCCTATGCAGAACTGTTTCATCACCAGAAAGATCTCTCTCCTACCTCTCTTCTGCCACCATCTCTAACTCCTGCCAACCACTGATCTGTTCTCCATCTCTATAATTTTGTTACTGTGAGATTACCAAGTGATATGTGACCTTCGGAAATGATTTTCTTTACTCAGCATAATGCCCTCAGGTCCGTCAAGGTTTGTTGAGTATATCAGTAGCTAAACTGGGACCATTTATTTGTCTCTTCATCTAATCATCAATTAAAAATGACCACACATAAATGTAAGCTTTTACAGTTAAACTTATTGTATATAAATATTGTCACTTCGGCTGGGCGCGGTGGCTCACGCCTGTAATCACAGCACTTTGGGAGGCCGAGGAGGGCGGATCACTTGAGGTCAGGAGTTCAAAACCAACCTGGCCCCCATGGTGAAACCCTGTCTCTACTAAAAATACAAATGAGCCAGGTGTGGTGGTGTGCGCTTGTAATCCCAGCTACTTGGGAGGTTGAGGCAGGAGAACTGCTTGAACCCAGAAGGTGGAGGTTGCAGTGAGCCGAGATCATGCCATTGCACTCCAGCCTGGCCAACACAGCAAGACTCCTTCTCAAAAAAAAAAAATGTCACTTCATGCTTAGAAATATCAGTAGATGGCCGGGTGTGGTGGCTTAGCCTGTAATCCTAACAGTTTGGGAGGCTGAGGTCAGGAGATTGAGGTCATCCTGGCCAACATGGTGAAACCCCATCTCTACTAAAAATACAAAAATTAGCTGGGTGTGGTGGCACGTGCCTGTAGTCCCAGCTACTTAGGAGGCTGAGGCAGGAGAATCGCTTGAACCCAGGTGGCGGAGGTTGTAGTGAGCTGAGATCGCGCCACTGCACTACAGCCTGGTGAGAGAGCGAGAATCTGTCTCAAAAAAAATAAAAAAGGGCAGTAGATAAAAAAAGTACAAACATGAGTATCTTGATAAATTCTATTCTCAGGCTTTCAGGTTCATAATCCTGTTGATAGATGACATGTAGAAATAGAAGAATTTGTAAATATAGGAATATTCATTGATGTTTTTAGGACTGGATTCTAAGGGTGGTTTTTACCTCTAATATCCAAATACTGCTGCCTCAAGAGAACAATTTTTGTTTTCAAAATTCCATGATAAAAAAGATGCAGTAACCCTGTATGTGGCATTTTGTCAGGTTAATTAAGAGCATTTTGCAGCAAAAAAAAAAGTTTTTTGTAGAGGCAGGGTCTTGCTTTGTTGTCCAGGCTGGTCTAGAACTTCTGCATTCAAGTGATCCTCCTGCCTTGGCCTCCCAAAGTGCTGTGATTAGATGTGTGAGCCACTGTGCCTGGCCTGGTGTTTTAAAGAACTAACTTTTAACTTTGGTTCTTGGAAAAGACTAGCAATACTTGTTACAAAAAAAAGGAAAAGGGTTTAGCCGTAGGACTTTGATGACAATTCCTTTTTTTTTTTTTTTTTTTTTTGAGACAGAGTCTCACTCTGTTGCCCAGGTTGGAGTACAGTGGCACTATCTCAGCTCACTGCAACCTCCACCTCCCAGGTTCAAGCCATTCTCGTGCCTCAGCCTCCTAAGTGGCTGGAATTACAAGTGTGCACCACCACACCCAGATAATTTTTTATATTTTTAGTAGAGATGGGGTTTCACCATGTTGCCCAGGCTGGTCTTGAACTCCTGAGCTCAGGCAGTCCACCTGCCTTGGCCTCCCAGAGTGGTGGGATTACAGCAGTGAGCCACTGAGCCCAGCAGATGACAATTCTTTATGAAGAAGAAATTGAGTATCCTGTTTAAGGCACTCAAGAAAAGAAAATGTGAGTAAAGCATTTTTTGTTCCAGCAAAACCGACTTTTCAGATGAAAAACACACAAACTTCTCAGTGAGCTGTAACTTAGGAAGTATTGTTCTCATGAGCCCTTCCTTAGGAATGGAGTGGAGAAAGATCTTTAGACAACTGGATGACTGTAGATCAACCTGCAACTGATGATGGGCATGAAACAGTTATTTGTTAAACCTAGACTGCATGAGTGTTAAGGGAGAGAGCATGGCATAGCCATGTGCTTAGACATTGTAGATTATGGTTGTAACTGTTATGCAGTTCTGTTAATCTCATCCATCCATTTTGTATTTTCATTTCTAGAGATTCCATTTGAGTCCTTTTTATATCTTCTGTTTCACTCCTTATAACATTCATGCTTTCCTTCTATTAGTATAGGGAGCATTTCTGTAAGAGAGCTTTTAATGTCCTTGTCTGTGAATTCTGTAATCTCTGATCACTTCTAGATCCATCTCTGTTGATTGATTCTGTCATTTCTATTGATTGATTGCCCTAGTTATGGGGGCATGGTTGTATGCCTGCTAATTTTTGATTGAATGCTAGGCATTAATTTTATCTTCTGTGCAGGATTTTGTTTTATTTTTTTAAAGAGCCTTAGTTTTCTTCTGCCATACATGTAAGTTACACGGGGTCAGTTTGATCTTTTCAAAGCTTGATTCTGAGGTTTGTTAGGCTGATCCACACAGGCTTTACTCTTGGGCTCATTTATCCATACAACGAAGGCAATACTGTTCTCAGGACTCCACCTGATGCTTGGTGTATGAGAAGATCTTTCTGTCCTTGTTTGTGGAAACACAGGCTTTTCCCAGACTGTGCATCATGGCAGTGCTGCTTATTACTTTCTAGTGCTGCTTTCCCCAGTATTCCATAGTTTTCTTAACCTATGCTCAGAGTAGTACTCAGACAGATACTCAAGGGGCCCCTCCACTCATCTCTGGAGCTTGCTGTATTCTTGTCATTTGGCCTACGTATAGCTGATCTGTCTCCTGAGCTCAGCAAGTTCTTTGGGCTCTATTTGGGTTCCCCTTTCCTGTGCTGCAGCCTGGAAGCTTCTTCTGGGCAGTGTTTCCCTTCTCTCAGGGATCCCAGCTCTGGGCTGTCTGTTGTCCAGTTTTTGGTAACAGCTTTTCGGTATATTCTGTCTGGTTTTCTAGTTGATTATAGCAAGGAAGTGA
This sequence comes from Homo sapiens, assembly GCF_000001405.40. NCBI lineage: Eukaryota > Metazoa > Chordata > Mammalia > Primates > Hominidae > Homo > Homo sapiens. Next base: position 3,395,903 of record NW_021160017.1, read on the forward strand.
TTTCTACAGAATTCATCCTTTATAGGTGGAGGAAGCACAGGCCTTCCCAATCTGTTTTTAATCAAATCCATTGAGTTTTAAATTTTACTATTATGTTTTTCTATTCCAGAATTTCCATTTTTTAAACATATCAACTTTATTGAGGTATAATTATATTAAACACATCCCTTTAAAATGTTTAGTTTGAAATGTTTGACAGTTTCTTTAACTGCCACTTTAGGTACTTTTTTCTAGTTTCAACTTCTGTGTTGAAATTGTTAATGTGATCTTTTTTTTTTTTTTTTTTGACAAGGAGTCTCGCTCTGTCGCTCAGGCTGTAGTGCAGTGGCACAATCTCGGCTCACTGCAACCTCCATCTCCTGGGTTCAAGTGATTCTCCTGCCTCAGCCTCCCGAGTAGCTGGGACTGCAGGTGCCCGCCACCACACCTGGCTAATTTTTGTATTTTTAATAGAGACGGGGTTTCACCAGATTGGCCAGGCTGGTCTTGAACTCGTGACCTCGTGATCCGCCTGCCTTGGCCTCCCAAAGTGCTGGGATTACAAGCATGAACCGTGCCCGGCTGTTAATAGGATCTTTTAATTGCTTGACTCTATTAAAGGTAGTTATTTTAAAAGTGTGTTTATAAACCTTGTCCGACCCCATAGATTCCTTAGCCGCCTCTCTCTGTCCCTCTTGGCTGACTCATGCCTGTGAGCCGCCCTTCAGCTCCAGTCTCCGCTGTGATGTCACGCAAGAGAGTTGGAGTATGGCTTCCTGACTGCCTACCAAGGAGCCAGTGACACAGCCTGGAAGGTGTGGCGAGTGTGTGTGGGTGTGAATTCCTTGTGGTATGAACGTTCACCACTTTACAAGGAGAGATGAGGGAACTCAGTGTTTTTATTCCTCCCTTTTTTCTTTCCTCTTTGGACTATTTTATGGTGTAGTTTCTTCTTGCAAACCTTCTGGAAAAGCCACATATGCCTAGTGAATGTGCTGGCTGAACAGTTGGTTGTATTTGCAGCTCATTGAGAAGAGGTGGCACTAACATAGGGGTCAGCACATTTTTTCTGTAAAGCACCAGATAGTAAATGTTTATGTGGGCCGTACGTGCTCTTTTAGAACAGCTCACCTTGGCCATTGTCCTGCGAGAAGCTGCCAAACATGTGTATGGCTATATTCCAGGAAAACTTTGTGGATACCAGAATTTGAATGTCATATAATTTTCATTTGTTGACATATGATTTTTTTTTTTTTTTTTTTTTTCTGAGAGGGAGTCTTGCTCTGTTGCCCAGGCTGGAGTGCAGTGGCGCGATCTTGGCTCACTGCAACCTCCACCTCCTGGGTTTAAGCAATTGTTCTGCCTCAGTCTCTGGAGTAGCTGGGATTACAGGCGTGTACCATCATGCCTCACTAATTTTTTTTTTTGTATTTTTAGTAGAGATGGGGTTTCATCATGTTGGCCAGGCTGGTCGTGAACTCCTTACCTCGTGATCCGCCCGCCTTGGCCTCCCAAAGTCTGAGATGACAGGTGTGAGCCACCGTGCTTGGCTGACATATGATTCTTTTGATTATGTGGCAACCATTGAAAAATATAAAATCACTCTTTTTTAATATATATTTTTCTTTTTTTAGGAAATTAAAGGAAATAAGAATGGCTCCTACATAGGCAGAGTAGGCTAAAATCACACTTAGCTGATTGTGAAGTCATATACTGCATATCGTTACTTCATTGATCTCCTTGTCTCGCTTTCCCACTTCCCTCACCCCATTGCCCCGAGCTGACATCTGCTGAGCAGAGTGTCAACACTTCAGTTCATTCCTCAGGCTCTTCTTTCATGACAGAAGTCTTTATGTTTCTGTTTTCAGGATCTACTCGGTCTGTTCTAATGACTTCTATTTTTTTTTTCATTTTTCAATGATGTGGTCTTGTATCTTTGTCATTATTATATTTGCTTGACTTTCAGATATTGTATATGCAATATTGTAGCAATAAATCGAGGCTCTAGGTAACAATATCTTCCTCCAGAGAGGATGTTCTAGGCAATCCCAGGTCACTGCAGTCCCTTTGGAAATTGAGAGAATGCGAAACTGGGCTGGTTTTCCGTGAAGGCTGGTCTACTTCTAACTCACCTGTATTTCTGGTGTGTGGCCCTTTGAGGTTCCAGCTCAGAGCATGGGATCTGCCAGGCCTCTTTCTCCTGTATGAGGGCCCTGGGAGTCTCTCAGAAGCTCCGTTTTGCTTCTCAGTCTCATCCCTGCGTGCTTAGGTTCTCTGGGCCTCTTTCCTCCTCTCGTGGGTCTTAGACTTTAGGAAGACCTCACTCCCTTGCTGCTTCTAGGATGTCTTCAAATCGACGTACTTAATGTTCCTGTCTGACCTTTCTAATTGTTCTAGGAACCTGTTCTTAACATTTTTTCATATGTTGTCCTACGTTCAGTAGGTGTTTAGTATTTTTCTGTAGGTTTAAGAAAAAAAGCCATATACCTTTACTCATCTGCAAATATTTGAAGATTACTTTTCTGTCAAATTGTAAGGACATGAAAAAGAAACATTTTCTAACCTATACATTAATCAGATATTCATTTGTTATATTATTCAGTTTTGGATTTTATTGCCTGACTCTATAGTTCTGAAGTCACTTTAATAAATGCCTTAACGGGCTGGGTGCGGTGGCTCCCGCCTGTAATCCCAGGCCGAGGCGGGTGGATCACAAGGTCAGGAGATCGAGACCATCCAGGCTAACACGGTGAAACCCTGTCTCTACTAAAAATACACAAAAAATTAGCCGGGCGTGGTGGCGTGCGCCTGTAGTCCCAGCTACTCGGGAGGCTGAGGCAGGAGAATGGCATGAACCCGGGGAGCCAAGATGGCGCCACTGCACTCCAGCCTGGGCGACAGAGCAAGACTCTGTCTCAAAAAAAAAAAAAAAAAAAAAAAATGCCTTAACTGTTTGCTTGCCTAGTCCTGATTGGTATTAAAATATTGGTGGCCTATGTATGGGAGCGTGAAGGCTTGCCCTGGCTGCCGTGCTGCAGGTGTGGGTGCATGTTATGGTGTTGGTGGGAAGCGAATAAGCCTTGGAGTTGGGCCTCTTCCCAAATCCCGCCTCTCACAGCCTCAGTGTTGTGTGGCCTTTGGTCAAGTCATTGGCCTTCTGAGCTTCAGTTTAGTAACTTACAAAAAGTGAGCCTGTTACTGCCTCTTTTGCTGGGGTCTTTTGACGATGAAAGTGCCTTTACTTGCCATGTCATTTCAGAGGTGTAAGATAGGAATGTGAGATTGGAAAAGATTGGAAAAGAGTTCTTAGCCCAAATAACCTAATTAGAAGCTTCTGGGATCTGAACCAAAAAAGTCAAAAGTTGAAAAGCTACTGGGCACGTTTAGGTAAGTCAGCTACTAATAAAAAGCTAATTGGAGACAGTTGTAGAAATAAATACTCTCACTTTGCAAATGGAAAGTCCCATTCATTTTTTTCTTTTTCTTTCTTTTTTTTTTTTTTTAAATGAATAGGGTCTCTGTCACCCAGGTTGGAATGCTGTGGTGTGATCAGAGCTTACTGTAACCTCAAACTCCTGGGTGCAGGTGACCGTCCTGCTGTAGCCTCCTGAGTAGCTGGGATTACAGGCACGTGCCATGCACTTGGGTAATTTTTACATTTCTGTAGAGACACGGTCTTACCATGTTGCCCAGGCTGATCTTGAACTCTTGGCCTCAAGCAGTTCTTCTGTCTTGGCCTCCCAAAGCTCTGGGATTATGGCGTGGGCCACCACGCCCTGCCTGTAGTCTCCATTCTTCTCAGTGCCACGGCTGTCTTCCAGTTGTTCCCAGGCTGCTGCTTCCTCAGTCAGGATCCTGTACTGTCTGTGATCTGGAGAGCTCTTCTCCTGGGCTTCACTTTTGCTTGTTCACAGTCTAACTCTCTGGAGACCTCCTCCAGTGAGGCTTGCTTTATTGCCTTAGTAATGTTCCACCTTTAAGGTGCCCAAATAGTTTTTTGAATGGTGCTTACCATTTATTTGGGTCATCAGTTCCTAGGAGGCTTCCACAGTGCATGTCCTTCCAGGAGTCCAGTGTCTACCTTCCAAAAAAGAATTCCTTGTTACTCAGAAGGACAAGGTCTGGCCTATCCTCTTCCTTCCCAGTGCTACCCAGGTAATAATCGAAAGGTGGTGGTAATTATTCTTGTTTCCATGTAAACTGGGCTTCCTCCTTGGCTTAGTCTTTAAATGTTCCATCTTTTGGCTTTTTTTTTTTAAATGGTACCTCTGTAACACTAATGTTTCTCAATCTAGGCTGTACCGCAGAACACTGATGTGTGGAGCCCAGCCAGTCTGGGGCGATCTTAGAGTGCTTTCAGGGCTGGGCAGGGGTCTCCCCTCTCTGCTTGGGTGTTGGCATCTTCTCCAGGACATCACCTACAGTCCATTTGTTGACTACTCCCAGATTTGAGTCTCTAGCCCTGAACACTCTGCTAAGATCTGGATCTATATTTACTGAGGGTTGGTGGAGTGGGGAGGAGCTCCATGTTTATGTTCAGTAGTTAGTGCAAATCTTAGTGGTTAAAACGGAACTAATTCTCATTCCTCTTCTGTTCCCTCCCTTATTTTCCCTTTCACATTTGATTTAACTTACGTGATTTGAAATAGTTTCTTTTTTTGTTTTTTAAGTCAGGGTCTCACTCTGTTGCCCAGGCTGGAATGCAGTGGCACCGTCACGGCTCACTGCAGCCTTAACCTCCCCGGGCTCAGGTGATCCTCCCACCTCAGCCCCCTGAGTAGTGGGACTACAGGTGCGTACCACCACGCCTGGTTAATTTTTGTATTTTTTGTAGAGACCGGGTTTCACCATGTTGCTCTGGCTGGTCTCGAACTCCTGGGCTCAAGCAGTCTGCCCACCTCGGCCTCCCAGACTGCTGGGATTACAAATGTGAGCCACCGTGCCCTGCCTGAAATAATCTTAAAGACTGTACTTCCCTGTGTTGACTTCTGCTGTCATCCTTTCTTTTTTGGACCCTTGGTAATAGCCTTTTTTTTTTTTTTTTTTTTTGAGATGCAGTCCCACTCTGTCACCCAGGCTGGAGTGCAGTGGTGCGATCTCCACTCACTGCAACGTCCACCTCCCAGGTTCAAGCAATTCCCTTGCCTCAGCCTCCCGAGTAGCTGGGACTATAGGTGCGTGCCACCACATCTGGCTAATTTTTTGTATTTTTAGTAGAGATGGGTTTTCGCTGTGTTAGCCAGGATGGTCTTTATCTCCTGACTTCATGATCCACCCGCTTCGGCCTCCCAAAGTGCTGGGATTACAGGCGTCAGCCACCGTGCGTGGCCAGTAATAGCTTCTTAGTTCACCTTCTCTGTTTCTGTTTTCTGAAACACTTTAAGACACGGGTCAAATGTCATATTCCCTTGAGTGCCTAAAGATAGTCTGAAACTCCTGGAGCACGGCCCACATGGAGCTGTGAGTTCTGACCACTGTTAGCCTCTTATCATGTGCATTGTGGTAGGGTTTGGACTGAACCCCAGTGCACGTATTCACTGCTCTCCTCTGACTGAAGACTAGAAGAGTCAAAGCTTTCCATTCACTCGTTAAACTTCAGGGGCCCTGAATGTTTTTGGCTCACTTTTTAATTTTATTTTTTATATTATTTTAATTTTTTAAATTTAAATTAAAAATTTTTTTTGACAGGGTCTTGCTCTATTGCCCAGGCTGGAGTACAGTGGAGTGATCTCAACTCACTGCAGCCTCTACCTCCTGGTCTCAAGCAGTTCTCCCACCTCAGCCTCCCAAGTAGCTGGGAGTACAGGCGCGCCACCACCTCTGGCTAATTTTTTGTATTTTTGGTAGAAATGCGGTTTTGCCATGTTGTTCAGGCTGGTCTTGTACTCCTGAGCTCAAACAATTCACCTGCTGTGGCCTCCCAAGTGCTGGGATTACAGGTGTGAGCCACCATGCCCAGCTTTCTGGCTAATTTTACAATTTTTTTGTAGAGACAGGGTCTTGCTATGTTGCTTAGATTGGTTTTGAACTCCTGGGCACAAGTGATTCTCTTGCCTCAGTCTTCCAAGGTGCTGGGATTAGAGATGTGAGTCACTCTACCTGGCCAGGGCTCACTTTTTAGGAAGGAGTTTACCTCTCCCCCACCAGCTGATATTTTTACCAAAAGTCATATGTTTTGGTTCCAAGTATGTTTATGGCAGTTATCCTGTTAGTGATGTGAACAGAAAAAATAACAGTGCTGAGAGAAAGCTGTTCCTTCTACAAAAACTGAAGGATGCTGGCTTGGTTTCTGTCGCTACAGAACAAGTTACCAAACACAAATTTGGCAGCTTGTAACAACAAGCATTTACACTCTCACAGTTTCTGTGGGTCAGGAGTCTGGCCATAGCTTAGTTCTATCCTCTACTTCAGGTGTCACAGGCTGTAGTCAAGGTGTTGGCTAGGGCACGCTGTCATCTGGAGCTCAGGTCCTCATTGGTAGAATTGAATCCATTGTGGTTGTGGGACTGAAACCCTGGGCTCTTGGAGGCTGCCCCTCCCCACGGGCAGTTCATTGGCTGCTTGCTTCTTCAGATTGGAGACCATCTCTTCAGGACGGTGCGGAGGGATGGAAAAAGGGAGAGGCAAATGGAAATCACAAAAGAGCATAGCGGTTATATCAGACCAAATAGATTTCAAGACCAAAACTATAAAAGGAGACCAAAAAAGTCATTATGTAATGATAAAGGGGCCAATTCAGCAAGAGGCTATAACTATTATAAATATATGTATATATGCACTCAACACTAGAGCACCCAGATACATAAAACAAATATTACAGCTAAAGAGAGAGAGAGGCGTTAATACATTAATAGATGGAGGCTTCAACACTCCACTTCAGCATTGGACAGATCAGATCATCCAGACAAAATTAATGAAGAAACATCAAACTTAATCTGCACTGTAGACCAAATGGATTTAATAGATATTTCTAGAACATTTCATCTGATGGCTGCAGAATTTACATTGTTCTCTTTAGCACATGGATCGTCCTCAAGGTTAGACCATATGTTAGGCCACAAAATAAGTCATTAAAAATTGAAACCTTGATACTAAAAGCAGACAAAGACACGTCAAAGAAAGAATACTACAGGCCAATGTCTCTGATGAATATTGATGCAAATATCCTCAACAAAATACTAGCAAACCAAATTCAGCAATACGTTAGAAAGATCGTTCATTGTGATGAAGTGGGGTTTATCCCTGGGGTACAAGGATGGTTCAACATATGCAAATCAATCGATGTGACACATCATGTCAACAGAAGGATAAAAACCATGTGATTATTTCAGTCGATGCTGAAAAGGCATTTGATAAAATTCAACATCCTTTCATGATAAAATCTCTTAAAACTGATTATGGAAGAAACATACCTCAACATAATAAAAGCCGTATATGACAGACCCACAGCTAGTATCATACTGAATGGTGAAAAACTGAAAGTCTTTCCTCTAAGATCTGGAACATGACAAGGATGCTCAGTGTGGCCACCGTTATTCAACATAGTACTGGAAGTTCTTGCTAGAGCAATCAGACAAGAGAAAGAAATAAAAGGCCTCCACATTGGAAAGGAAGAAGTCAAATTATCCTTGTTTGCAGATGATATGATCTTATATGTGGAAAAACCTAAAGACTCCACAAGAAAATGATTAGAGCTGATAAATTCAGTACAGTTGCAGTATACGAAATCAACATACAAAAATCAGTAGCATTTCTGTGTGCCAACAGTAAACAATATGAAAAAAATTAGAAAACTAATCCCATTTATAGTAGCCACACATGAAATTAAGTACCTGGGAAGTAACCAAAGAAGATAATTACAAAGATCTCTGTAATGAAAACTCTAAAACCCTGATGAAAGACATTAAAGAGGACACAAAAGATGGAAAAATATTTCATCTTCATGGATCGGAAGAATCAATATTGTTAAAATGTCCATACTACCCAAAGCAATCTACCGATTGAGTGCAATCCCTAGCAAAATACCAATGACATTCTTCACAGAAACAGAAAAAAAAAAAATCCTAAAATTCATGTTGAACCACAAAAGACCCAGAATAGCCGAAGCTCTCGTAATTAAAAAGAAACAAACTGGAGGAATCAGATTACCTGACTTCAAATTATACTACAGAGCTATAGTAACCAAAACAGCATAGTACTAGCATAAAACAGACACAGACCAATGGAACAGAATAGAGAATCCAGAAACAAATCCGCACATCTACGGTGAACTCATTTTCGACAAAGGTACCAAGAACAAACACTGGGGAAAAGACAATCTCTTCAATAAATGGTGTTGGGAAAACTTGATATTCATATGCAGAAGAATGAAGCTAGATTCCTCTTTTGCCATATTAAAGTTAAAAAAATTAAGTATCTTCTCTGATCACAATGGACTATAACTAAAAATCAATAACGAGGAATTTTGGAAACTCCACCAACACATGGGAATTAAACAATATGCTCCTGAATGACCAACAGGTCAGTGAAGAAATTAAGAATGAAATTAAACAATTTCTTGAAGCAAATGGCAATGGCAGCACAGCATACGAAACCTGTGGGATATAGTGAAAGCAATACTAAGAGGAAAATCAAAAAAGTAGAAAAACTTCAAATAAATAACCTAATGATACATCTTAAAGAACTAGAAATGAAGGAGCTAACCAAACCCATAATTTTAAGGACAGAAATAATAAAAATTAGAGCAGAAATAAAATGGAGTTGAAATGAAGAAAATAATACAAAAGATCAATGAAATGAAAAGTTGGTTTTTCTAAAAGATAAATTGACAAGCTTTCAGGCAGGCTAAGAGAAAAAGAAGACCCAAATCAGAGGTGAAAAAGTAGGCATTACAACTGATATTGCAGAAATTCAAAGGGTCATTAGAGACTATGAACAGCTATATGTCAATAAATTGGGAAACATGGAAGAAATAGATAAGTTTGCAGGCTGGGCGTGGTGGTTCATACCTGTAATCCCAGCACCTTGGGAGGCTGAGGCGGGTGGATCGCTTGAGGTCAGGAGTTTGAGAGCAGTCTGGCCAACATGGTGAAACTCCATCTCTACTAAAAATACAAAAATTAACCAGGTGTGGTTTTGCGTGCCTGTAATTCCAGCCACTTGGAAGGCTGAGGCACGAGAGTCACTTGAGCCCTGGGAGGGGGAGGTTGCAGTGTGCTGAGATCATGTTACTGCACTCCACCCTGGGTGAAAGAGTGAGACTGTGTCTTCAAAAAAAGAAGGAAAAAGAAATGGATAATTTCACAGGCACATACAGCCTTCCAAGTTTGAACCATGAAGAAATCCAGAACCTGAACATACCAATAACAGGTAATGAGATTGAAACTGTAATAATAAAAAGTCTTCCAGCAAAGAAAAACCCCAGGACCCAGTGACTTCACTGCTGAATTTTACCAAACATTTAAAGAAGAACTATTACCAATCCTAGTGAAACTATTCTGAAAAATAGAGGAGGAGGGAATACTTCCAAACTTATTGTAGAAGGCCAATATTACCCTGATACCAAAACCAGACAGACATAATCAAAAAAACAAAACAGGCCAGTATCCCAGATGAACATTGATGCAGAAATACCCAACAAAATACCAGCAAACCGAATTCAACAACACATTAGAAACGTCGTTCATCATGACCAAAGTGGGGTTTATCCCAGGGATGCCAGGATGGTTCACCATATCCAAATCAATCAGTTTGATACATCATATCAATAGAATGAAGGATAAAAAACCATATGATCATTTAAATTCATGCTGAACAGGCATTTGATAAAATTCAACATCCTTTCATGATAAAAACCCCAAAAAACTGGTTATAGAAGGAACACACCTCAACGCAATAAAAGCCATATACAACTGACACACAGCTAGTATCATACTGAAAGGTGAAAAACTGAAAGCCTTTCCTGTAAGATCTGGAACAAGACACGGATGCCCACTGTCACCACTGTTATTCAATATAATAATGGAAGCCCTTGCTAGAGGAGTCAGATAAGAGAGAGAAAGGCCGGGTGCAGTGGCTCACACCTGTAATCCCAGCACTTTGGGAGGCTGAGGTGAGTGGATCACTTGAGGTCAGGAGTTTGAAGCCTGGCCAACATGGTGATACCCTATCTCTACTAAAAATATAAAAATTAGCTAGGCGTGGTGGCGGGTGTCTGTTGTCCCAGCTACTCGGGAGGCTGAGGCAGGGAAATCACTTGAACCCCAGAGGTGGAGATTGCAGTGAGCTGAGATTGTGCCGCTATATTCCAGCCTGGGCTATGGAGCAAGACTCCATCTCAGAAAAAAAAAAAAAAGAAGAAGAAATAAAGGGCATCCAAATTGGAAATGAAGATGCCAAGTTACTCTTGTTTGCAGATGATTGTTATATTTGGAAAAACCTAAAAACTCCACCAAAAAATGATTAGAACTGATAAATTCAGTAAAATTGCAGGATACTAAATTAACATACAAAAATCAGTAGCATTTCTCTCTCTCTCTTTTTTTTTTTTTTTTTTTTTTTGAGATGGAGTCTCACTCTGTGGCCCAGGCTGGAAAGCAATGGCGCAATCTCGGCTCACTGCAACCTCTGCCTCCTGGGTTCAAGCGATCCGCCTGTGTTAGCCACCTGAGTAGCTGGGATTACAGGCGCCTGCCACCAGGCCTGGCTAATTTTTGTATTTTTAGTAGAGACAGGGTTTCACCACATTGGCCAGGCTGGTCTCGAACTCCTGACCTCAGGTGATCCGCCTGCCTCGGCCTCCCAAAGTGCTGGGATTACAGGTATGAGCCACTTTGCCCAGCCAAATCAGTAGCATTTCTATATGTCAACAGTGAACAATATGAAAAATAAATCAAGAAAAATAATTCCATTTATAATAGCTACAAATAAAGTAAAATACGTAGGAATAAACCTAACCCAAGAAGTGAAAAGATCTCTACCACGAAAACTGTAAAACATTGATGCAGAAAATTGAAGAAGACACACAGAAAAGGAAAAGATACTCTGTGTTCATGGATTGGAAGAATCAATATTGTTAAAATGTCTGTACTACCCAAAGCAATCTACAGGTTCAATGTAATCCCTATCAAAATACCAATGACATTCTTCACAGAAATAGAAAAAAAAATCCTGAAATTTGTATGGAATCACAAGAGACAGAATAGCCAAAGCCATCCTGAGCAAAAAACAAAACTGGAGAAATTGCATTACCTGACTTAAAATTATACTACAGTCACTTCCTGGTCTTTTTTGGCTTAGATCAAGTGCAAAGTTTACTAGAAAGGTATACCAAAACAGCATGGTACTGGTATAAAAACAGACACCTAGACCAATGGAACAGAATAGAGAACCCAGAAACAGATCTATACATCTACAGTGAACTCACCTTTGACAGAGGTGCCCGGAGGATACATGAGGGAAAGGATAGCCTCATTGATAAATGGTGCTGGGAAAATGGGGCACCCATATGCAGAAAAATGAAACTAGACCACTATCTCTCACCATATACGAAAATCACATCAAAATGGAGTAAAGACTTAAACCTAAGACTTCAGACTATGAAAGTGCTGAAAGAAAACATTGGGGAGACTCTCCAGGACATTGCACTGGGTAATGATTTCTTGAGTAATACTTCGTAAACACAGGCAACCAAAGCTAAAATGGACAAGTGGGATCACATTGAGTTAAAAAGCTGCACAGCAAAGGAAACAATCAACAAAATGAAGAGACAACCCACAGAATGGGAGAAAATATTTGCAAACTACCCATCTGACAAAGGATTAATAACCAGAATATATAATTAGCTTAAGCAACTCTATAGGAAAAAAATCTAATAATCCAATAAGAATGGGCAAAAGATTTGAATAGACATTTCTCAAAAGAAGATATACAAATGACAAACAGGCAATACGAACAGGTGCTCAACATGGTTGGTCATCAGAGACATGCAAATCAAAACTATAATGAGATATTATCTCACCCTAATTAAAATGGCTTATATCCAAAAGACAAGAACAAATGCTGGCAAGAATATAGAGAAAAGGGAACCCTTGTGCACTGTTGGTGGGAATGTAAATTAGCACAGCCATTATGGAGATTAGCTTGGAGGTTCCTCAAAAAACTAAAAATAGGACTATCATATGATTCAGCAATCCCACTGGTAGGTATATACCCAGAGGAAAGAATATCAGTATGTTGAAGAAATATGTACACTCTCATGTTTATTGCAGCACTATTCTCAATAGCCAAGATTTGGAAGCAACCTAAGTGTTCCCAGCAGATGAATGGATGAAGAAAATGTGGTATATATACTCAACGGAGTACTATTCAACCATGAAAAAGAATGGGATACTGCCGTTTGCAACAACATGGATAGAACTGGAGGTCGTTATGTTAAGTCAGGAACAGAATGTCATGAGCCAGACCCAGAAAATCGAACTTTGCATGTTCTCACTTATTTGTAGGTGCTAAGCAAATGAAAGTAATTGAACTCATGGAGATAGAGTAGAATGATGGTTATCAGAGACTGGGAAGGATAAAGTGGGGGTGAAGTGCGGATGGTTAATGGGTATAAAAATGGAGTTAGATAGGGCTGGGCACAGTGGCTTACGCCTGTAATCCCAGCTCTTTGGGAGGCCAAGGCAGGTGGATCATGAGGTCAAGAGACCCAGACCATCCTGGCCAACACGGTGAAACCCCATCTCTACCAAAAATACAAAAATTAGCTGGGTGTGGTGGTGTGAGCCTGTAGTCCCAGCTACTCGGGAGGCTGAGGCAGGAGAAACCCTTGAACCCAGAAGGCAAAGGTTGCAGTGAGCTGAGATCGCACAACTGCACTCCAGCTTAGTGCCAGAACGAGATCCGTCTCCAAAAAAAAAAAAGAGTTAGATAGAATATATAACCCATATATATATACATACAACTAGTGTGTATCCACAGAAGTTAAAAAAAAAAAAAAGATGGGCAAACATCTGTCTCTTTTAATTAAAAATGGCTTTTGTTTTGCCAGACAAGGGAGCTTCTGTCACATACGCAGTTTTCAGAATGGATGCCTTCCCCCAGTGTCTGAAATGCTCCCTTTTCCTGTTCTGGGAAGCCTTTTCTGACTCACAAATGTTGACAAGCAAAGGCGTTTTTGATTTTGATGCTCACAGTTATTATAATTATTATAAATTTGGCCAGGAGTCCCTATCGTCTTTGAACAGCTGCTTTTTTTTTTTTTTTTTTTTTTTTTTTTGAGATAAAGTCTTGCTCTGTCACCCAGGCTGGAGTGCAGTGGCACAGTCTTGGCCCACTGTAACCTCCACCTCCTGGGTTCAGGCTATTCTCCTGCCTCAGCCTCCCAAGTAGCTGGGATTATGGGCGCCTGCCACCATGCCCAGCTAATTTTTGTATTTTTAGAAGAGATGGGGTTTCGGCATGTTGGCTAGGCTGGTCTCGAACTCCTGACCTCAAGTGATCTGCCCGCCTCAGCCTCCCAAAATGCTAGGATTATAGGCGTGAGCCACCGCACCTGGCCATGTTTGAGGAAACAGCTTTTTCTTTGAGGAAACAGGCTCATCTTTGTCTGCCCTGGCCCTTGAATCTACTTATTTTCCCAAGAGCCCTAGCGTCTTTTATCGGGAAATGGTTCTAAGAGACCAAAATCTGGGTGCCGCTGTCAGATTGCCTTTGATTCTAGTCCTTTAAAAAACAGAGTAAGCAAATATATTCAAAAATAAAGTTCATAGATTTCCAATTTAAGTTTTTTTTCAAAATTTCTTTGATTTTTTTTCCTCTTTTCCACTGAAAACCTTAATTTTTTTTTTTTTTTTTTTTTTTTTTTTTTTGAGATGGAGTCTCGTTCTGTTTACCCAGGCTGGAGCACAGTGACATAATCTCGGCTCACTGAAACCTCTGCCTCCTGGGTTCATGCTAGTCTTCTGCTTCAGCCTCCCGAGTGACTGGGATTACAGGCATGCACCAGCACACCCGGCTAATTTTTCATATTTTTAGTAGAGATGGGGTTTCACCATGTTGGCCAGGCTGGTCATGAACTCCTGATCTCAAGTGATTTACCTGCCTTGGCCTGCCAAATGCTGGGATTACGGGTGTGAGCCACCATGGCCGGCCTAAAACCTTAATTTCTAAGAACATTTAATACTTTATCATAAACATGTTTTATTGTATTTACACTGCTTTATTGTGCAACATGAAGTAGTTCTAAAATTGTGAGAGTGTTATCAATACCGATAAATATTTTATTTTTCATTATAGTATATTCTATTAATGATATGTAGTTCAAAAGTCCCTTGACATACTTTTCTTTGTATATGCATGGGTTAATTTGCTTGTTGCCAGTTGTAGGTTTTGCTTTTTTATGATTTAATTTTAATTTTTGAGGATGAAAGTCATGTATGTTTCAGAAGTAAAGACATCTAAAGTATACTCACAATGTTGTTGCTTTTTCTGGTCCTGCTGCCTTTGTCCATGTCCCCTCCCCATTTCCCCGTAGGTAGTCATTGGTACTTGCTTTCAGTTTATCTTTTCAGAGCATATGCACGTGTGTGTGTTTGTGTGTGTGTCTTTTTTTTCTTTTTTCTTTTTTTTTTTTTTCTTTTTTTTTTTTTTAACACCGAGTCTCGCTCTTATCAACTCAGGCTGAGTGCTGTGGCGCGATCTTGGCTCACTGCAACCTCTGCCTCCTGGGTTCAAGCAATTCTCTTGCCTCGGCTTCGTGAGTAGCTGGGATTATAGGCGCCCGCCACCACGCCTGGCTAATTTTTTGTATTTTTAGTTGGGACGGCGTTTCACCGTGTTGGCCAGGCTGGTCTCAAATTCCTGATCCCCCGTGATGTGCCCCGCTCGGCCTCCCAAAGTGCTGGGATGACAAGCATGAGCCACCTCGCCCGACCACGTGTCATTTTTCTTGTATGTTACATAAGAGGTAGAATAGTATTTATACTATTATGCACCTTTTCATTTATATTTCTTGGATGACTTTCATGAAATGTAAAATGATTAAGTCACTAATTCAGTAAATCATTGATTTTATTACCGAATGATCGAATACATAAGGGGGATTGAGATTTTTTCCCATATCATTCTTTAAAAATTGCAGTGTGAGTGTGAGCTTATCTCGTTTATCATTGCCAGCTTGCATTCACAAGAGATGGGCTCTGTGGTCTGTGGAATGAAATGGTTAAAGATGGAGAAATTGTATACACTGGAACAGAATCAACCCAGAACGGATAGCTCCCTCCTGGAAAAGGTAAGGGCCTTTAACTAGTGTTTTTTATTTGGTAAAGACCATTATAAAATGCATTTTATAGAAATTTTGTAATGTGCTATAGGAACAGGAGCTTTGAGCTTAACTCTTTGAAGTTTTGCTTTTTACTTTGGAGATTGTTGTCTAAAATGGTAGTTAATACAAGCTGCCCGGATTTTATTGTTTTACGTGAATTGAAGGCATTTTTATTGCAAAACCGTCTTGCTGCATTTGTGGTGTTCTTTGGGGGTGTATTAAACACTTATTGGAAGCCTTTGGCCTGCAAGGAAATGCCATTGAACAATCTTATTTAGCGTTGTAGTTTTGCATGCTCAATAGGACTATCATTAGGTTGTTCATAACAGTGGCTGTGTTTCAGAGTCCCCATTGAGGTTTAAAAAAATGGATGCTTGTATACACCCTAAACTTGTTGAATCTGAAAAGATCCTTGGTTGAGAACCACTGTTGAAGTTCGTTGGTCCCCCTGCTTGAGAGTCATCAACGTGGATAAAGCTACCACTTTAGAAAGTATTTATTCTAAGTTGAAATAGCTCAGTTGGGAGAGCATTAGTCTGAAGAAAGTATTTCTTCTTCTTTTTTTTTTTGGGGGGAAGGAGTCTTGCTCTGTCGCTGAGGCTGGAGTGCAGTGGCGCGATCTCAGCTCACTGCAAGCTCCACCTCCTGGGTTCATGCCATTCTCCTGCCTCAGCCTCCCAAGTAGCTGGGACTACAGGTGTCCACCACCACGCCCGGCTAATTTTTTGTATTTTTTAGTAGAGACAGGGTTTCACCGTGTTAGCCAGGATGGTCTCAATCTCCTGACCTCGTGATCCGCCCGCCTCAGCCTCCCAAAGTGCTGGGATTATAGGCGTGAGCCACCGTGCCTGGCAAGTATTTATTCTTCTTTTGTGGAATGAATTGGGATGGTGTCCACTTGAAAATACTTGGGGACCGGGCGCGGTGGATCGTGCCTGTAATTCCAGCACTTTGGGAGGCTGAGGCGGGCAGATCATTTGAGGTTGGGAGTTTGAGACCAGCCTGGCCAACATGGTGAAACCCCGTCTCTACTAAAAAATACAAAAATTAGCCAGGCATAGTGGCGGGCGCCTGTAATCCCAGCTACTTGGGAGGGCACGGCAGGAGAATTGCTTGGAGCCGGGAGGTGGAGGTTGCAGTGAGCAGATATTGTGCTACTGCACTCCAGCCTGGGTGACAGAGTGAGACTCCATCTCAAAAAAAAAAAAACAAAAAACACAAAACAAACCATGGGAAAAAGTATTAGTCTCCCTCTTCAGTTTCAGTGTCAAGCAGAGTTACCTGTGTTTTTATTTTAATTTATTTTTTATATTTGTTTGAAAATATTCACACACACACACACACACACACACACACAATAACTGACAGACGTGTACAGTGAGTGGCTGCAGACCCACCTCCATGTTCTGCCACCGTATTTGGCTCCACATCCTGCTGTCTGTCCATCCACCGTTTGTCTCACCTAGCTCCTTAGACACTCATGTATGTAATTGATTCTAGTTCAACTTTGTTTTTGACTTTCAGGTAAAATTTATATATAATGAAATGTATCTATTTTGAGTTTACCATTTCACAAGTTTTGACAAATGTAACCCGTGTAACCCACATCTTTATCATGACTCTTGCTCAGAAAGTTCTCTGGTGTCCTGCCCCTTCTTCCCAGAGGCAATAGCTGGCCTGATGTTTCTCCAGCATTGACAAATTGCGCCTGTTCTAGAACTCCATACATGGAATCATGTAGTCGGGTTCTTCTGTGTCTTGGCTTCTTTCACTCTGTTTAGTGCTTTTGATTTTCATGTTTTTTTTTTTTAAACAACATAATGGGTTTATATTTAATATAGCACTTCTCATCAGGAGGTGTTACTCAGTTAATATAAAGTTTTTATTAACATTAAATCTCTTTTCCATGTCAATGTCTATAGTGTTTTTTTTTCTTTAACATTAAGTCTTTTCTCCATTTCAGTATTAGATACACTGAATACATTTTTCTAAATGATTTTTTTTCTTTCCAGAGATAAAAGTTTCCCTTTTTGGCTGACTATTGGATATCTGAATTTGGGAGATGACAAAAGTCTAATAAAAATACAGAGAACAGACTCAGTGATTTAGGAGGCAGTGATTACGACTGAACAGTGGCGATTTCCTAGGATTCTGGGCAAAATCCATTTATGTACCAATTTGTTCCCATTTCATGGAATCAACTCAGAAAGTAAAACTCTCCTACTTACTAATTCTTGGAAACTTTCAGACACCAAAGCTTACATTTAGTTTCAGTAGCACAAAGGTTTTCAGGGTGAGGTTTCATTCATTAGGCCCTTCAAAGTCACATCTGTTCATTTTTATCTTTCGTGCGTATACCCGCAAGCAAGTACAAACACCTGTAATACTGAGAACCACACCTTTTAACGAGAGAGCAGTTGCATCACTGGCTTCCACTGCCTTGACAGCAGGCAGCACCAAAAGCAGTGACATAAGGACTAAGGACAATTGTGTTGAAACTGAGGTCATGATGTTGGGATTTTGAGGGCTGAATGTTCCAAGTAAGTGGTATATATAGAATTCTCTCTGACTTGAAATTTTCCCTTTCTGGACCTCTGGATGCTGAGGCTAAGAGTGTCCATATGACAGTGTCTTCCAAGACAGGAATCAGCAACCTTTTTTTGTTTTTCTGTATCAGTAATTCATTCTGTATATTTTAAAAAGTTTTAACCTCTTCTTCCTAGCCCTCCAGTATTTGTTTATAAATTAAAACGTTTCCCAAAGTGTTTTCTGTGAAACAATAGTTCTAAAAGGTGCTCTAAGAAAAGCTAAGTACATGGCAAAATCCAAAGTATATGTTTTATTCATTACATTTGATGAATTTTTTTTGTTTTTTCCTCTCGAGAGGGAGTCTTGTTCTGTCGCTCAGGCTGGGGTGCAGCGGCATGATTTTGGCTCACTGCAACCCCTTCCTCTCGGGTTCAAGCAGTTCTCTGCCTCAGCCTCCTGAGTACTCAGCTAGGATTACAGGCGCCCTCCACCATGCCCAGCTAATTGTTGAATTTTTAGTAAAGACGGAGTTTCACCATCTTGGTCAGGCTGGTCTTGAACTCCTGACCTCATAATCTGCCCACCTCGGCCTCCCAAAGTGCTGGGTTTACAGGTGTGAGCCACCATGCCCAGCCCACATTTGATGAATTTTTTTGTCTTTTGTTCTTTTAAAAATCATGGTTGGAAAGCAGAGCATAATTGTTCTTTATGTAGATCCCAACTGATTGGGATTGTTAGGGAGATGTTTTGGCATTCAGTAAATGTTTTTGTTTTCCATTATT
This sequence comes from Homo sapiens, assembly GCF_000001405.40. Taxonomy (NCBI): domain Eukaryota; kingdom Metazoa; phylum Chordata; class Mammalia; order Primates; family Hominidae; genus Homo; species Homo sapiens. The sequence goes on from NW_021160017.1 coordinate 3,414,515, forward strand.
AAGACTATGAATATTTTATTTTATTTTCTGAGACAGGGTCTCAGAATTTGTCAAATTTGTAAAATTTATAGCCAGATGTAGGGTAGGGGTGGCCTACTTTCTGTAAAGGGCCAGATAGTAAATATTTTAAGCTCTCAGTGGACCCTATGGTCTCTGTCATAGCCATGGGACCTTGCAGCTGTAGTGCCAGAGTAGCCACAGACAATACTACGTCAGCGGGCTGGGGACGTTCATTCTGTAAACTTTATTTATGGACACGAAAAGATGAAGTCCACAGAATGTTTGCAAGTCACAAAATACTGTTTTTCTTTTGATTATTTTTCAATTATTAAAAACTATAAAATATGGTGGCTGGGCGTGGTGGCTCACACCTGTAATCCCAGCACTTTTGGAGGCTGAGGCAGGCGGATCACCTGAGGTCAGGAGTTCGAGACCAGCCTGGCCAACATGGTGAAACCCCATCTCTACTGAAAACAAAAAATTAGCCGGGCATGGTGATGCACCCCTGTAATCCCAGCTCCTCGGAGGTTGAGGCATGAGAATCACTTGAACCTGGGAGAATCGCTTGAGCCTGGGAGGCAGAGGTTGTGGTGAGCCAAGACTCCATCTCAAAAGAACAACAAAACTAAAATACTTTCTCTGTGTTCAGACCATACACAAAAAGGCTGTGGGCTGGGTTTGTCCTGTGGGCTGTGGTTAGTGACCACACACACACACACACACACACGGCAGAGTCTGGCATTCAGAGCCAGCACCTGTGTTCTCACCTGAGCCGTGTTCCTGGCTGGGTTCTACTCTGTATTCTGTGACTCGAGGTGTCTACCTTGGTAAACTGGAGGCTGTTTTAGTTTGCATTCCCGCTGACAATCTGTCACGTTTCTGTTGCTCTGTGTCTTTGTTAGCACTTGGTGTTATCAGTGATTTTTAGTTGAGCCATTCTAACAAGTCTAGTGGGATCTCATTGTGGTTTTAATTTGCAATTCTGTAATGGCTAACAATGCTGAATATCATGTTCTTTTTTGCCACTCTTGTATCGTCTGTGAGTTTCTGTTCAGATCTTTTGCACAGAAAAAGCTGTATCATGGAACCAGTAAAATAACCAAGGAGAGGTTGATTAAAGTTCTGTTTATAACCCTAGAAGATTCCTGCCCTAGGGATATGGGATGGCTGAACGTAGGACACCGACACTGGACAGATGAAATAGCAGTTTATTAGTCACGCATGCTCACAGCCCTGGGGTGGGGGACACCGCATGCCACACGGGGGCTGCACTTGGGAACAGAGCGAACCACGAGGGGCTGTGGGAGGCACATTTTGTAGTAACAGGAGGGTGAGATGACCTTGCTTCCATGGGAAGATGTGACTGGCTTGTTTGAATAACTCTGGGCCGGCAGGGATGAGCAGGCTGGGGTCGGGTTTCCGCGATAAGGAGGTTGTTTGGCTTTGGGATCTTATCCGTGAGAGCAGAGCTCAGGGGAGACCTTGTGGTTAGGCTATTTGAGGCCTTCTTGATTTTACCAATGTCAAGGCAGCACGTAATATTTAGTCTTAATTTCAGGCCACACGAGAAATTCTTCTGTATCTACTTTCCGTGGCACTTTTCAAAAGGTTTTGTCCTTAGTGTTTAGCAGTTGATTATGATGTGCCTCGTCATGGCTTCCTTTGGATTTATCTTGTGTGGGCTTTGTGCAGATTCTTCAGTCTGCCTGGGTTTATGTCATTTGCTGAACCTAGGAAGTTTTCAGCCATTATTTCTTTGGATATTTTTTTCAGCATTCACCTTTTCTCTCTTGTTATTAACCTGTGGGGTCTGTGCTAATTCTAGGTAGTTAGTTTCAGAATTGAATTGCACTGTGGGACACAAAGCTGGGTGTCGCAGAGAACTGGAGAATTGCTTGGTGCAAAAGTCCATACATTTGGTGTCAGAAGTGTTGTAAACAGAGGAACTGTTTCCTTCGAGATTTTTAGATAGTCATTATTTGTAATCTGGATGGGATATCATGTCTTTCCCCGATTGAGATACATTTTTCTAATTATCTTGTTAGACATTTAGTCACAGCCTTCTGTGATGGAATGTGTTTACACTTCAAGGTTAAGGTTAGTTCTCTCTTCTCTTCGCTTACTGTGTAAGGAGTTTTATGACAGTTGTTTTTGACTGAAACTTGACATTGTCAGTGGCCTAAAGTGATTTTTCTCAGCTTTTCCTTTGTGTCCCAGTGCTCTTGAATTATGCCAGCAGTGACAGTGCCCCTGCATAGCAGTGCTTCCCAGTTGGCAGTGGAGTAGGGCCTTGTAAAGAGTTAAAAGATTTTTGAATCATACTCTTGTTCTACACCCTCCCTTTTCCCATGGATACACAAGCACTGGGACTCACTGGATAAAAGCAATTGGTGTGAAATTGAAGTAGGTAAATATGAAAGACTTAAGTTTCTCAGTTAAGAAATGTACTAGGAAGTAGATGGAATATCATTTTGGAAGACATCCTTTAAATAATTTGTTGTATTGGTTTCTTTTTTTTTTTTTTTGAGATGGAGTCTCGCTCTGTCACCCAGGCTGGAGTGCAGTGGCATGATCTCAGCACACTGCAAGCTCTGCCTCCCAGGTTCACACCATTCTCCTGCCTCAGCCTCCCGAGTAGCTGGGAATACAGGCGCCTGCCATCATGCTCAGCTAATTTTTTGTATTTTTAGTAGAGACGAGGTTTCACCGTGTTAGCCAGGATGGTGTCGATATCCTGACCTCCTGATCCACCCGCCATGGCTTCCCAAAGTGCTGGGATTACAGGCATGAGCCACCACGCCCGGCCAATATATTGGTTTCTTTATGAAAATTATACTGGATCTGTTACAGGTATGATTGATGTATTTTATTTTTAAGTTGTCAAGCATTCAGTTAATCATGTGTGTTGTAACTTTTCGGGGAGGGACATTTGCAGAGGCTAACGGTATGACATTCTGAAAAGCGGTGACAGATTAAAAAATTTTTAATTCTGCAGATGATAGTGTCGAACCAAGTGGGACAAAGAAAGATCTGAATGACAAAGAGAAAAAAGATGAAGAAGAAACTCCTGCACCTATATATAGGGCCAAGTCAATTCTGGACAGCTGGGTATGGGGCAAGCAACCAGGTGATCTTGCGAATTTTGGCACTTTGGAAAGGTTGATCTGACACTCCCTTTCTAAATAACTTGAATGGATTCTTAGTATTTTTTTGGTAACAATTTTTTAAAAACTAATTAAAAATTTTAAATATTGTGGTAAAATATACATACCATGTAACTTACCGTTTTAACCAGTTTTATGTGTACAGTTCATTGGCATTAAATATATTGACATTGTTGCCCAGCCATCACGCTTGACTAATTAGAGACAGAATCTCACTGTGTTGCCCAGGCCGGTCTTATACTCTTGGCTTCACGGGATCTTCCTGCCTCAGACTCCTGAGTTGCTGAGATTTCAGATGTGAGCCATCGCACCTGGCACTATGTGTAACTTTTTGAGGAAGCAGTAAACTGTTTTCCACAGTGGCTACATTGTTTTACATTCTTGCAGCAGTATACTAAGGTTCCAATTTCTCCACACCCTCACCAACACTTTTTGTTTTCTGATGATAGCCATCCTAATTTGTGTGAGTAGGTACAGCATCTCATTGTTTTGATTTGTATTTCCCTGTTGATTAGTCATGCTGAGCATCTTTTTACATGCTTATTGGCCATTTGTATACATTCACTGGAGAAATGTCTATTCAAATCCTTTGCCCGTTTTTTGTTTTTTTTTTTTTTTGGGGAGATGGAGTTTGGCTCTTGTTGCCCAGGCTGGAGTGCAGTGGTGCAATCTTGGCTCATTGCAACCTCCACCTCCCAGGTTCAAGTGATTCTCCTGCCTCATCCTCCCGAGTAGCTGGGATTACAGGTGTCCGCCACCGTGCCTGGCTAATTTTTTGTATTTTTAGTAGAGACGAAGTTTCACTATGTTAGCCAGGCTGGTCTTGAACTCCTGACTTCAGGTGATCCACCCACCTTGGCCTCCTAAAGTGCTGTATTACAGGTATGAGCCACTGTGCCTGGCCCTTTTGCCCTTTTTTTTTTTTTTTTTTTTTTGGAGACAGAGTCTTGTTCTGTCACCCAGGCTGGAGTACAGTGGCATGATCTTGGCTTACTGCAACCTCCACCTTCCGGGTTCACGCCATTCTCCTGCCTCAGCCTCCCGAGTAGCTGGGACTACAGGCGGGCACCACCACACCCAGCTAATTCCATTTTTTAATTGAGTTTTTTGTTTTGGGTTATAGGAGTTCCTTATCATGGATGGACTTTCATAATCTCTTCCCTTTCTCCAACCCAGTAAAACCCATATATTTATTCTTTGCTTACTTTTTTGTGTGTAATTGAATTTTTTAAAATGTCTGATGCATTTTCGTTCCAATTAAAAATATACATCAAATAAATGTTTTCTTATAAAAATGTATCGATTATAAAAGCAGAAATTTCACCTGGCTGCCCACCCCAATTTCAGTTTTCCTCTAAGAGTTAGCCACTATTATCCCTTCAGAGTGGATATTCAGGCTTTTCTTTCCTGGCATGGACATACATATGTAAATGTACATATATAAAAATAATTAGTGACACCATGCATGGTAGCTCACGCCTGTAATCCCAGCACTTTGGGACGCTGAGGTGAGAGAATTGCTTGAGGCCATCAGTTTGAAGCTGCAGTGATCTATGATTGTGCCTCTACACTCCAGCCTGGGTGACAGGGTGAGACCCTGTCTCTTAAAAAAAAATTCGTATTTGGGGTTAGTAGTAGTACCTACCTCATAGGTTATTATGGGATCAGTACAGTAGGCCAGACAAAGTGCGTATGCTATTATTTTGCATGTAGTAAGTACCAGCATATACTACCTGTTATCCAGAAATTTGCTGAAATGTGCCTTGTATTTTCTCTCTTTCGATTTTGATCAGTCTTCCTAGAAGTCATCAGTTTGAGTTTTTTCAAAGAACCAGTTGTTGGTTTTATTGATTTTGTTTGTTTTCTTTTTCATTGATTTCTGCTTTACTCTTTATTATTTCCTTTTTTCTGCTGGCTTTGGGTTCCATTTGTTCTTCTGTCTCTTCTAGTTTCTTAAGGTAAAGGCTTAGATCATTGACTTCAGATTTTTTGTCTTTTCTAACAAGTGTTCAAAACTATAATATAAATTTCCCTCTAAGCATTGTTTAGCCACATTTCACAAATTTGGAAATGTTTATTCATTTTCATCTTCATTCAGTTGAAAATATTTTCTAATTTCCCTTTTAATTTCTTCTTTTACTCACTTATTATTTGGAAATGTGTTATTTCATTTCCAAATATTTGGGGATTTTCAAATATCTCCTGTTAACAATTTCTAAATTAGTTGTAGTCAGAGAACATATTCTGTGATTTCAATGCTGAGGCTTGTCTGAAGCCCCAGAATATGGTGCATTCTGTGGAATGTTTCATGCACATGTAATAAGAATGTGGCTGGGTGCAGTGGCTCCTGCCTGTAATCTCAACACTTTGGGAGGCTGAGGTGGGTGGATTACTTGAGGTCAGGAGTTCGAGACCAGCCTGGCCAACATAGTGAAACCCTGTCTCTACGAAACATACAAAAATTAGCTGGGTGTGGTGGTGGGTGCCTGTAATCTCGATTGCACCCCTGCACTTTAGTCTGGGTGACAAAGCAAGACTACATCTCAAAAAAAAAAAAAAAGTGTATTTTGCTGCTCTGTAAAGCTTAGTGAGATCAAGTTGATAGTGTTCAGGTATCCTTGACTTGAAATAGTTTTCTGCCTGCTTGTTCTAGTCACTGTTAGGAGAGGAGTTGAACTAACACACAAGGTTGGCTTACCACATTAGTTTGACATGAATCTCAGAGATGTTACCCGTAGCTGATTACTTAGTAACTTTAAAGATACAAGTAATATCCTCACTTGTGTGCTCAGGCAAAGTGGGGAGAGATGTGGGAGAGTCTGTGCAACCCCCGCAGGTCCATCCTCTTTGAGCCCGGCCTGCGAGATGAGACCTCTCACTGAGGCGTGTGGTCCTCTCACTGAGGTGTGTCGTCATCTCACTGCACAAGGAGCATTAAGGATGTGCAGTGTTCCCGTTTTGTAGTCAGATAGTTTATACACCTTAGGGAACCTTTTCCAGGGAGCCATGTCCCATAAGTCCATGGATTTTAGGTATGTTTACCAAACACAATCCTAAACTAACCACATCTTGCTAAAAACATTTCATAGATAAGGACACTTCTCCTAGCAAATACCAGTCATTTATTTACAGAGAAGCCAGTCTCAGTGTTCTGGGAGATCAGCCCCAGTGACTGGCTTTATTTCCCAGGAGTATCTCCATTGTGCTGGGGAGGCATGAAGAGCAATTTCACTGCTTAGTTCCTCTTTCTTCTGAGGAGAATTGAAATCTCTCATGCTAATTATGGATTATTTTCTTTCAGCTCTGCAGGTTTTGCTTCATGTATTTGAGAATGTTATAAGGTGCATGCACTTTTAGGATTTTTACGCCATATTCATAAATTTGACCCCCTTAATCTCCGGTGACATTCTTTGTTGTGAAGTCACCTTGGTCTGACTACTCTCCTTTCTTCTGATTTGGTGTTTGCGTGGTGTGTTTGCCAGGTTTAGCTTTTTTCACTTTCAAACTTTGTGTATGTGTAAAGTAGATTTCTTTCAGGTATCATTTAATTAGGTCTTGCTTCTTTATTCACCCTGACAACCTCTGTTTTTTATTTGGAATCTTTAGACTACTTGGGTTTAAATCTATCATCTCTGGCGTTTTCAGTTACATCTTTCACTTGTCACTGCCCACTCTCAAATGGTATTACACTGCCTGAGCCGCGGGGCAGTGCTCTGACTGTAGCTTCCTGCTTCTGACATGTTCTTGGTTGGTAGTGTTGCTGTGTCATGTCCAAGTGAAACATGGTATAAACCCCACAATATGATGTTTTTGTTTTTGCTTTAAATAGGCAATTACATTTTTTCCCCTCAAATTTGAAAAGAGAAAAAAAAGTCTTTTTTTTTTTGAGACGGAGTTTTGCTGTTGTTGCCCAGACTGGAGTGTAATGGCACAATCTCAGCTCACTGCAACCTCCGCCACCCAGGTTCAAGCGAGTCTCCTGCCTCAGCCTCCCTAGTAGCTGGGATTACAGACACACACCACCGTGCCTGGCTAACGTTTTTGTATTTTTAGTAGAGACAGGGTTTCACTATGTTTGCCAGGCTCGCCTCGAACTCCTGACCTTAGGTGATCCACGTGCCTCAGCCACCCTTAAGTGCTGGGATTATAGGATTATAGGTGTGAGCCACCACACCTGGCCTCTTTTTTTTTTTTTTTTTGAGGCGGAGTTTTGGTCTTGTTGCCCAGGCTGCCAGGATGGAGTGCAATGGCATGATCTTGGCTCACTGCAGCCTCTGCCTCCTGGGTTCAAACGATTCTGGCTCAGCCTCCCGAGTAGCTGGGATTACAGGCATACGCCACCACACCTGGCTAATTTTGTATTTTTGAGTAGAGACATGGTTTCGTCATGTTGGTCAGGCTGGTTTCGAACTCCTGACCTCAGGTGATCCACCCACCTCGGCCTCCCAAAGAGCCACCATGGCTGGCCAAAAAAAAGTTTTTTATGTTAACTTTCATTTTACCATTATGGGCCCTTAAGGTTTTGTTTCTGTCCCAGCTACCTTGTGTTATCATGTTCCTTCAGTTTGAAGATCTCCCTTTACCATTTCTAGATTTTCTGACAGAGAAGTTTTTCAGTCTGTCTGGGTATCAATTTTGGCTTTATCTCTGACTCTACACAAATCACTTTGTCTCACCTTGGGCCTCTCATGTATAAAATAGGAATAAGTGGCCGGGTGCAGAGGCTCATGCCTGTAATCCCAGCACTTTGGGAGGCTGAGACGGGCGGATCATGAGGTCAGGAGATCGAGACCATCCTGGCTAACGTGGTGAAACCCTGTCTCTACTAAAGATACAAAAAAATCAGCTGGGCGTGGTGGTGGGCACCTGTAGTCCCAGCTACTCGGGAAGCTCAGGCAGGAGAATGGCATGAACCCAGGAGGCGGAGCTTGCAGTGAGCCAAGATTGCACCACCACTCTAGCCTGGGTGACAGGGTGAGACTCCATCTCAAAACAAAAAAAACAAACAAAAAAAAGGAATAAGTATAATATAATGTAAATAATTAAAATTATATATAAAATAAGTGAAAGTACTTACTCAGAGAGTTGCTGTGCAAATGACATGAAATAATGCATTTGAAGCTCTTAAGTCAGTGCCTGGCACAAATGTTTGATAAAGATTTGTTGTGATTTTAAAAATCTGTTATTTTGCCTTTCTCCATGTTTCCCCTCACCTAGGTATCAAAGTACCTACAGTTATGGGTGGGTAACTAGACTAAAAATGTACCTTTCTTGCTCAGATTAAAGCCCGGCTTATTGACTCAGGGCAGCTTTAATCGGTTTATTTGGAAGCTCTGCTTGTTCACAGGTACAGAGCTTTTGCAGAACCGACTCTGTACCTGGCAGCCTTGAAGGGGCTTGGATTCAAAGCATATTCTTGAGCCACGCCATCTTTAATCAAACTGCAGGTGGAATTTGTAGCTGTTAGAATAGCTCCTATTCCTTTCATTTCTTTTTCTGTTTTTTTACTCTTCCATCTCAGCCTAAAAAGAAAAACACGTTAATTTGAGCCATAGGAATTTAGAATTTGTTTTTTCTTTTGCTTAGATATGTTTGACTAAAGCTTCCTTTTTCACAGGTTTATTTTTTCCAACATTTTATTATGAAAAAAATATATACAGAAAAGTTGAAAGAATTTTACAGCGCGCACCCACATATTCACCACCTAAGATTGTGCCGCTGGCATCATCCCACGTGCTTTATCACCGTTCTCTCCACCTTTTCATCCTTCTATTCATCCATCAGTCCCTCACATTTTTTTTGCAATGTTTCCAAGGAGACCTCTGGACACTTGCTTCTCAACATTGCAGCGTGTAGGCCCTCAGCAGGAGTTCAGAAGTGCACATTTCACAGTGAACCTTCTGAGAGTGTTGACAGATCACAGCTTTTCTTTTTGTCTAATGAAAAGGGCTTGCTGGCCATTGGGTGTTGTAATCTCTTAGGAGAGTAAACTCTTAGTAACTATCTAAATCATTCTTAATGATTCTCTCTGCTGTATAAATAGGTCTGGGAGGACCCTTTCTGACATTCTTGTTGGCATAGGTTTTAGCTTAAGGTGTTGTAAATGCTGTTTATCAAGATGATGAAGTTCCCATTTGTTGCTATTTTCTGAGAATTTTTATCATTCACGAGTATTGAATTTTGTCATTTGCTTTTTCTAAATCAATTGATATGTAATTATGTGATTTTTGTTCTTTAGTCTATTAATAGGGTGGGTTACATTGATATTTGACTGTTGAACCAGCTTTGCATTCCTGGAATGAAACTACTTGGCGATGATGTGGAATTCTTTTTATATATTGTTTACTTCTACTTGCTAATAATTCACTGAATATTTTTGTGTCTATATATATATTAAGGTATATTGTTCTGTAGTTTGTACTGTCTTTAGGTACGGTACCTAATATTAGCTTCTTAAAATGCTAATATTAGCTCTAATATTAGCTTCTTAAAATGCTAATATTAGCTCTAATATTAGCTTCTTAAAATGCTAATATTAGCTCTAATATTAGCTTCTTAAAATGCTAATATTAGCTCTAATATTAGCTTCTTAAAATGCTAATATTAGCTCTAATATTAGCTTCTTAATATGAATTGGGAAGTTTTTCCTTTTCTAGTTTCCAGAAGAGATTGTTTTGAGTCTGTGTTAATTCTTTTTTAATGTTTGATGGAATTATCCAGTGAGTTCATTTGGATCTGGTAATTTCTTTTTTTTTTTTTGGGATTCTTTGAATTATGAATTCAGTTTTCTTGATAGTGGTAGAGCTATTCAAATGATCTATTTTATATTTGGTGAGTTGTGGTAATTTGCATTATTTGAGGAATAAGTCTATTTTGCCCAAGTTGTCAAAGTTATGTGTGTAGAGTTGTTCCTAGTAATTCCTAATTATCTTTTTTCATATCTTTAGAGCCTGTTTCATCACTAATGTTGGGTAATTTATGTCTTTTTTTTTTTTTGTCAGTCTTGCTTAGAGAGGTGTGTCAGTTTTATTGATCTTTTCAAAGAACCAGCTTTTTGCTTTACTGTTTATTGTTTTTCTGTTTTCACTTTGTTTCTACTCTTACCTTAATTATTTCTTCCTTTCTGCTTACTTTTGGGTTGATTTTGCTATTTTTAATTTTCTTTTAGGTTGTCAACGTGGGCACTTATATTATTGATTTGTTTCCAAGTTTCTAATGTACCATTCATTTAGTGCTGTAAATTTGTCTCTCGTCACCCACTGTAGCTCTTTCCCATACATTTTGATGTATTGTACTTGCATTTTCTCTCAGTTCACAATATATTTTAAAATTTCCCTTGAGACTTTCTCTTTGATCCATGGGTTATGTAAAAGTTTATTGTTTAGTTTCTGAGAGTTAGGCAATTTTCCTGTAATTGTTCTCTTGTTGACTTCAGATTTGTTCCCATTGTTTGAGGGAACATATGCTGTGTGATTTTAATTTCAAAAAATTTGTTAGGTTTGTTTTATGCCTCAGAATATGTTCTAACTTAGTATTTGTTTTGTGGATACTTGAAAAGATTATGTATTCTGTTATTATTGGCTGGAGTGTTCTATAAATTTTGATTGGCTCTAGTTGATGGATGGTGATGTTGCGTTCTATATCCTGGCAGCTTTTCTGTCTCCTAATTTTATCAGCTGTAGAGAGAGATTTTGAGGTCTCCAACTATAAAAGTATAAATGTCTTTTTCTCCTTTCGGTTCTATTCATTGTTTTTTTGTTTGTTTGGTGTCTGCACGTTTCGAATTGCTGTGTCTTAATGGTGGATTGACCAAGTTCTCATTTTGTAATGTTGCCGTTGGTTCCTGGTAATTATCTTTTTTTTTTTTTTTGAGACGGAGTTTCGCTCCTTTTGCCCAGGCAGGAGTGAAGTGGCATGATCTCAGCTCACTGCAACTTCCGACCCTACCAGGTTCAAGTGATTCTCCTGCCTCAGCCTCCTGAGAAGCTGGGATTATAGGCTTCTGCCATCACACCCAGCTAATTTTTGTATTTTTAGTAGAGATGGGGTTTTGCCATATTGGCCAGGCTGGTCTCAAACTCCTGAGATCCACCCACCTTGGCCTCCCAAAGTGCTAGGAGTACAGGCGTGAGCCACTGTGCCCGGCCCTCCTGGTAATTATCTTTGTTCTGAAGTTTACTTTATTTGATATAAATATAGCCAACTCCTGCTGTCCTTTCAGTAATGTTTGCATGATCTTTTTTTTTCTATACTTCTATTTTCAGTTTGCCTGTTTGAAGTCACTTTCTTATGGACAACATATAGTTGGATCATGTTCTCTAGTCTACTCTCCTAGTGTCTTTTAATTGATGTATTTAGATTGTTTACATTTAATTTAATGTCATTGATAAATTGAGGCTTAACACTGCCATTTTGTTTTGCATTTTCTATTTCTTCTGTTTTTCATTTTTTCGGTTTGGTTCTTCCTGGCTCTCTGTGGTTTACTTGACCATTTTTAGCATTCTATTTCATCTGTAGTGTTTTAGAGTGTATCTTTTTGTATAGCTTTTTTAGTGGCTTTTCTAGGTAATATATTACATACAGATTGAGCATCTGTAAACCCAAAATCCAAAATCTGAAATGCCCCAAAATTCGAAACTTTATGGCACTCCAGCATGACGCCCCCAAATTGAAAATTCCATTCATAAGTACTTAGCATGAACTTTGTTTCATGCACAAAATTACTAAGCATGCTATATAAAATTACCTTCAGGCTCTGTGTGTAAGTTATATATAAAACATAAATGAATGTATTTAGACTTGGGTCCTATCCCCAAAATATCTCATTATTTATATGCAGATATTCCTAAATCTGATAAAAATCTGAAATTTGGAACACTTGTGCTCCTGAGCATTTTATAAGGGACACTCAGCCTGTGTATGTATGAACACTTATCAGATTTTACCTGATGTTGTCATTTACCAGCTTCAGGGATATAGAAACTACCTCCTTTGATGTTCCTTTATGTTCTTCTGTTCATAATATACTTGCCTTAAATATTTCATTTACTTACATTGATAACCACATATGACAATGTTATAATTTTTGGTTGAACCTTCAGACATAATTTAGCAAAGTCAAGAGGTGAGGGAAAAGTCTATTGTATTTATGCGTTGGTGTGCTTGTCATCTCCTCCTTCCAGAAGTTCCAGGGTTTTCTTCTTTGATGGTTGCCATTCTGCTTAGAGAACTTCCATTAGCCTTTCTTTTGGTGTGGGTCTTCTGGTGACAAATTCTGTTTCACTTCCTCTGAGAATGTTTTGCTTTCCTTTTCATTCCTGAAGGACATTTTTGCTGGATATAAGAATTCTGGGTTAATGGTTCTTTTCATCGCTTGAAAAATATTTTGTACTTTCAGCTGGGCTCCATGGTTTCTGATGAGAAATTCGCTGTCATTTGACTTGTTAATCCACGATAGTTAAGGCACTGTTTTTGTTTAGTGGCTTTTGAAATGTTTTGCCTTTTGTTTTTTGGAGTTTGATTATTATATGTCTTAGTTTGGATTTCTTTGGGTTCATCCTGTTTAGGGTTTGCTTACCTTAGATCTGTAGATTTATGTCTCTTGCCAAATTTGGGAACTTGTAAGCCATCACTTCATAGAGTACAGTTTCAGCCCCACCTTCTTTCTCCTGTCCCTTCGTGAGTTCAGTGACCGGAGTTGTTATAGTCCCATAGGTCCCCGAGACTGTTTTTTTGTTTGTTTGTTTGTTTTGCGGGTACATTGCTTTCTTTCTCCCTTCCCGTCCCGTCCTATCCCATCCCGTCCTGTCCTATCCCGTCCCATCCCGTCCCTTCCCGTCTTCGGAGTCTCTGCCTGTTTCCCAGGCTGGAGTGCAGTGCACGTTCTCGGCTCACTGCAACTGCCGCCTCCCTAGTTCGAATGATTCTCCTGTCTGAGCCTCTCGAGTAGCTGGGATTATAGGTACCCGCCACCATGCCCAGCTCAGTTTTATATTTTTAATAGAGATGAGGTTTCACCATGTTGGCCAGGGTGGTCTCAAAGTCCTAACCTTGTGATCTGCCTGCCTCGGCCTCCCAAAGTGCTGGGATTACAGGTGTGAGCCACCATGCCCAGCCTATTATTTGGCAGTCTTTAAACTAATGATAATAGGGGTCTTCTGCCTTTAGAAGAATTAGAACTGTGATTTAATTTGCAAATGAAAGTAGGTGTTCTCCAGAGTGGGCAACATTTAGATTAAAATAAAGGTTTTGGTTTTAGATTTCAAGGCCAGCTTGAGATGCTGTGCTGGGTTCCCACAGAGGTGGTTCTGCCTTTCTCCAGGGGTCCTAGGCTTGTAGAGTGGTTTGGTCATGTTAGTAATCTGTGTGGATTCAACTTACCTATGGTATCATAAATGTATACATGCACAGTCAATGTTGTGTACATGTATACAGCAGATTTAGAGATTTATACAGTTTATATGCTGCATAAATATATAGACGTATAGTATAACTGTATCATCAACATTGTCATTTGATGGGTCAAGTGAGTCAATACCAAAATATAAAGCGTGGGTAAAAAACTGTGTTACTTTAGTTTTTCCCACCAGTTCTGAATTTTTGTTTACTTTTCCTTTCTAGCTTTTGTCTGGTCCTCTGAGCCCCAGTGAGAGTTTCCTGAGGTACCTCACCCTTCCACAAGACAACAGGCTTGCCATTGATCTGCAACAAACGGCGGTTGTTGTCATGGCCCATTTAGACCGTCTGGCTACACCCTGTAGATGCCTCCTCTGTGTAGCTCTCCGACGTCTCATAAGGTGTGTGCAAGAACCGTGTTCTCCATGTGTTTTGTAGCTAGTACCACTTGTAGGTTCTCATCCTGGGCCCGTGTGGAGACTTGTTTTTTCTGGTATTGGTAGGGGGAGCTGGCCTGTGGTTTTTAAACGTGTTTGCAGTTGAAGGTGTTATCCGTGTTGAGAGTGAGTGATGAGCAAGCTGAGGCGCACAGGCCTGGCGACCCAACCTGGGGGCCCGGGTTCCAGGTTCAGGTGGCACAGCCCCAGAGAGCTCCCCTTTATCCACAGCCCCAGGCCCTCCCACCTTCTGCAGGGGGTTCCACAGCCTTCTTCATACTCTGAACGCAGGCTGTCTTAGTATGTCATGCTGGTTATAGTAGTGACAGTATAATTATGTATTATATCTCTTATGTAATAGTAATGGTAGTGATTTGCATGTGTGGAGCACCTGTAGGGTGCAGGCCCGCTGAGGACCTCATGCACGCTGTTGTATCTCATTATGTCAATGAGAAAACTGCCTTTGGGAATGGTAGTGAACTTTGCCAGTGCAGAACAGTAATCCTAGTTTTGAATCCAGATTTTTCTAACATTTTATTTCTAGTATAAAGAGTATTTATTTTGTTTTACAGTCATTAAAAAAAAAAAATACAGTCACATGGTTCAAAAATCAAACCTAGGCAGAGACACACTGTCGCTTCCCCTGCCCACCCCTTCCACCCATTTTCCCACCTGCTCCCTCTGACTTTCCAGTCTCCTCTGTAACCTCCTTGTTCTCTGGCATGAGTACGTTCGTGGTAGCATGCTTCATTACTTGTGTTGCTTGTTTTTTGTTTTTTTTTTTTAACTAACCATATATACTGGAGTACCTTATCAGAGTGTCCCTCTTTGTTTTTATAAATCAGCTTAGTCTTCAGTGTGTGGATGTGTCTTTTATCTATCTTTCTTTAGTGAGTCTCTTATTGGTGGACACTTGGGCTTATTGCCACAATGTTGCTATACAAATAGTGCTGAGGGTCGGGTGTAGTGGCTCACGCCTGTAATCCCAGCACTTTGGGAGGTCGAGGTGGGTGGATCACCTGAGGTTGGGAGTTTGAGATCAGCCTGGCCAACTTGGAGAAACCCCGTCTCTACTAAAAAATACAAAAATTAGCGGGGCGTGGTGACGGGTGCCTGTAATCCCAGCTACTTGGGAGGCTGAGGCAGGAGAATCGCTTGAACCTGGGAGGCAGAGGTTGCAGTGAGCCGAGATCGCGCCACTGCACTCCAGGCTGGGCAACAAGAGTGAAACTCCATCTCAAACAACAACAACAGAAAACACAAATAGTACTGCAAGGCCTGGCCTGGAACACGTGTCCTCCATGTGTGCACGCGTGTGTGCCTGTGCACATGCACAGGTGGGGATGGACCTCGTGTGGGCTGGTTGTCACCAGATTGCTCCTGTACATCTTGATTTCTCTCACCACCAATAGGGATGCTGGTCTCCCAGCCTTGTGTGTGGGCTTTTGGGATTTTGCCTGCTAAAGCACAAAGTGGTGACCCCGATATAGTTTGAGCATTTTAAAATATATTAGTATTTAAGGGCCATTTATACTACTTTTTAATGGGCTCTGTTGAAATGCAATGGAAATGGAAAAATAGCCTGTTCAGTTGCTTCATCATACCTGTTAAATGCAGTAATATGGCATGGTACGAGATGGGGTTTCACTGTGTTAGCCAGGATGGTCTCGATCTCCTGACTTCATGATCTGCCCGCCTCGGCCTCCCAAAGTGCTGGGATTATAGGCATGAGCCACCGCGCCCGGCTGATTGGATTATTTTAAAGCATAACTCTGTCTTTAAAACATTTTAAGGTATTTTACCTCTTAATGATAAGGATTTTAAAAAAACCCTACAATATCATTATCCTGTCTATAAGATTAACAGTGATTCCTTAATCTAACATGCAGTCCATGTTACATTTTCCTGGACTATCTCAAAAATGCCTTTTTTAGGTGGTAATTTTGAATTAAGACCTGAGCATGTTCTGCGTATTGGCATTGCTTGACATATGCTTCTAGTCTCTTTCCCCAAACAACATGGCTCCAGGCCCTCTTCTCCCTGTCTCTGATCATACCGTTTTCTTTTTCAAAGAAGCAGGTTGGTTATTTTGGAGAACTTCACATTTTCTGAACTTGGTTGATTGCATTCTCTTATTCTAGACCAACATGTTCTTCTGTTAGTTACATTAATCTGCTGGTTAGATCTAGAGGTTTGGTTGGATTTGAATTCAGTCTCGTTGGGGCGGTGTTATGTCTGGGGTCATGCTGCATGCTTTCTGTTGGCTCAGGAGGCCTGTAATGCTCGGTGGCTCCCCGCTTTAGTTCTGTGAAGCTAGACCAGGGAATTCATGTGTTGCGTATCCTCTATAAAATCCCCTACCAACCTTGCCCTCTGCTGTCTGGTTAGCAGGAGGTACAATTTGTACAGCAAGGACATAATCTAAGCTTGACTTCTTGAACTGCCACCTCCCTTTTAACTATTTTTCATAATATTGAGTTGGTATCCTAGCACTTGCATAGGTGACCACCACTCAGGTTTTCTTTTTTTTGAGTATTTTTATGAACTAACAGACTTTTATTGATTTGGTGTTTCTTTTCTTTTTTAGCTTTTTCCCCCTTTAATGTGTAAATATATACATTTAAAGGCATAAATGCCCTCAAGCATGCATTTAGTTGTATGTCACCAATTTCGATCTGCAGTATTTTGATTATTAACTGAACACATTTTCTAATTTTCATAGTCATTTTTTCTTAGAATTTTGGGTTACTTATAAGTGTATCTTGTAATTTTCAAATATGTGGATGAATATTTTTATTTTCTGTGTATACAGAGTCATTTTTATTTTATTTTGAATGAATTTTTGAAAACCTATTTGTAATTTAACTGCATTGTAGTCAGCACACATGCTCTGTAAGTTTATTTCTTTGAAATCTGTTGAGATTTACTCTATGGCCTGGCATGGCCCGATTTGGTATTCATGCTGCCTAGACTTTTTTTTAAAGCATTCTATATTTAACAGAATTTGTATGTGTGGTATTAGTTTCAGAGCTAGGTATGTATTTCTCCCATTGTGATTGTGGATTTGTTTATTTCTGCTTGTAGTTCTTTCACACAGTTTGTTCTTTTCATTTTACCTGTTGATTGATCAATGGACTGATTCTGGTTTCTGTATATACAGAGTCATTTTTTACAGGTCAGAACTGTAGAAATAATGAGAAAGTGACACTTGTACGCACAGCTGATTTGGAGAACCATAATAACGATGGAGGCTTCTGGACTGTGATTGACAGGAAAGTGTATGATATAAAGGACTTCCAGACACAGTCGTTAACAGAAAATAGTATTCTTGGTAAGATTACACTTGTTATTTCCTGGTTAAAAGTTACAGCCTGTATCATTTTAAGCAGAGTATTTGGCTTATAAATGATTCCTTTAGTTTTGTGCCAGCCCCCGCATATTTTAATGTATCTGTGGCTTTGGTGTCTGTCTTATCAACAAATTCAGCACATTCGAAGAATTTCCTTTCATTATGTATCTTTTGTTTTAATACTTGGAACTCATTTCAAGTTCCGAGTTGGCCCAGGCAACCCTGGGAGACAGTGGGAGGTCATTATATTCTGGTAACCCTCACTTTTGAGTTAAGAGCCTAACTTATTTCCTACTCACTATTTCTCCTGTAGCTCTTCAGGCAAGCTGAATTGAACTCATGTTGCTTTTTCCCTTTTTGTTTCAGCTCAGTTTGCAGGGGAAGACCCAGTGGTAGCTTTGGAAGCTGCTTTGCAGTTTGAAGACACCCGGGAATCCATGCACGCATTTTGTGTTGGCCAGTATTTGGAGGTGAGGCTGTATGCCTTGAGTGATGCAGAGGATGGCAGGGGATACCCTCTGTGTGTTTGTGATAGGAATATTTGGATCTAGAAGTACTGATATCTGGGTCTTTTGCGGGGCATTAGGGATAAATATAAAGATCCTTTAGAAGTTTTGTCATAAATGAATTTACATTTATTCATGTTAAGATCTGTGATGTACTGGTCTTGAAAGATTGTTTTTTAAATGATCAATTTGTGAGAAATATAGGCAGTGTTCCACAAGAAAAGAGGTTAAACTTTGGTCTTATGTAGAAATTTGGAATGGCTTATAATCTTGAGGTATGTATTTTTTGGGAAGAACTATGTAGAAGTGTAATTCTTTACAATAGAAATATGTCCTTCCTATGTATTCACGAACACATAGAATTTATATATTGGGATTAGCTTACTAGGTATCGACAAGTAATAAGATGTATTAAATGCCATTAGGGCAGGGCTTAAAACAGTTTATGAAGGGGAGAATTAACTTTGCTGTAAATATCTTCTGTGACTGAAAAAGTTGAACTCTTGCTTTTTTCAGAGTTTGATTTTTGTTAGAATAAATTTCATTTCCTCTACATGTGTGGTCACAGTCCACTAATACTTGTCATCGAATACTTGTCATAGTTTTGTTGCCCAGTGGGTTCTTTATGCATGTAACAATTCATTATACTTTCTGAAGCATGGTGTACAGTCACTTTGGAAACTGATTCCTAAGGAATATTCTAGCCAAATCATGTATCTGTGGTTTAGTTTTTCTACAGTAGGGCTGTGCGGTTGCTGCCTGCTTTATAGGGCATGTGGGTTTATATGGTATCTGCTGTTACTTGGGCACAGCAGCACCAACTCATTACAGGATGGAGGGGCAGAACGCCCAGAGCACCCCTGGGCTCACGTGCGGTACAGCTGCAGGAGAGAGCTGTCCTTTTGGTTTTATGTTTTTAATTAATTCTGTTTCCTCAGATTGATGATTAAATTTATTTTTCCAGCCTGACCAAGAAGGCGTCACCATACCAGATCTGGGGAGTCTCTCCTCACCTCTGATAGACACAGAGAGGAATCTGGGCCTGCTTCTCGGATTACACGCTTCCTATTTAGCAATGAGCACACCGCTGTCTCCTGTCGAGATTGAATGTGCCAGTAAGAAAATCTTTACTTTTTGCTAATTAGCAGATTTTTTTTTTTTTGAACTGTAAGTGCCATTAAGAGTGGGAGAGGGCCAGGCACAGTGGTTCATGCCTGTAATCCCAGCACTTTGGGAGGTTGTGGCACGTGGATTGCTTGAGATCAAGATTTTGAGACCAGCCTGGGCAACATGGCAAAACCCCATCTCTACAAAAAACACAAAAATTAGCCAGGCATGTTGGCACGTATTTGTAGTCCCAGATACTCAGGAGGCTGAGGTAGGAGGATTGCTTGAGCCTGGGAGGTTGAGGCTGCAGTGAGTCATGATCATACCACTGCACTCCAGCCTGGGTGACAGAGCAAGACTCTCTCTTTAAAAAAGCAGGAGATGGCCAGGCAGTGGCTCATGCCTGTAATCCCAGCACTTTGGGAGGCTGAGGCGGGTGGATCACCTGAGGTCAGGAGTTCAAGACCAGCCTGGCCAATGTGGTGAAACCCCATGTCTACTAAAAATGCAAAAATTAGCTGGGTGTGGTGACGGGTGCCTGTAATCCTAGGTACTCGGGAGGCTGAGGTAGGAGAATTGCTTGAACCCAGGAGACGGAGGTTGCAGTGAGCTGAGATCACGCCACTGCACTCCAGCCTGGGTGACAAGAGCGAGACTCGGTCTCAAAAAAAAAAAAGGAGAGGAGGATTCAACACAGTTGATGATGACAAAAAAAAAAAATAATAAGGATAGTGAGACTCAATCAGGTAGAAACAGCTGTGAGTGGTTGTCATTTGCCCTCATGGTCTGTTGCTGCAGAGGAAGCTAAAAAGTGTGCAGGAATGTCTACCCGTCTGCCCTTGGTGGTCTCACGTATTGCAGCCTCTGCCTGATGGGCCCAGCATGGCTTTTGTCTCCCTGCATGCCCAGAAATTGCACAGAATGTGGATCAGCTGTCCTCTCAGGGAAGAGCATACTATTTGAGCACTGCGTTTTTACCAGACCAGGCTCAAGTCAGTTATATTTCAGGATGGCAGCCTTTGTAACCACCTAAAATAATAAGCTTCTTTCTGTCTCCTAAGATGTGTTTCCATTTTCCTTCATGTAGTTGTGCATTTCCCATCTGTCTGTCTGTCCATCCATGTGAGCAGCTTCTGTTGAGCATTTGCCTGGTGCCGTTACCATACGAGGTGTTCAGGATACAGTGATAGATAGGACACACCTCTGCTTTCTGGTGCCGTTACCATGCGAGGTGTTCAGGATGCAGTGATGGGTAGGACACGCCTCTGCTTTCAGCTGCTGCTTGTTGATGAGCCACCATTCTAAGCAGGTCACATTACAAGGTGGTGAATGGTGAAATGGAGATGTTCATACATGGTTCTGGGAGAAGAAAGGCTTCACATTGGCAGCAGTCCTGAAATTGCGTGAGAGAGCATTCTGGGCAGAAAACACAGGAGTGTCAAGGGCACTGCTGAGAGGAGCAGGGCTTTCCTGCTGCTTGCAGGAGTGGGTGTGGCAGAGGCTTGCAGGGAAGGAGGATCTTGGTGTCCATACAGCCCCCCGTTGGGCGGACCTTTGTGCAGTGCTAGGTGCTGGGCTGCCTGTGGTGCCCTCTGAGGTGTCTGCTTCCTTCCCTCCTCCTCAAGGCTCATTGCTTGCCAGAAGATGGGCTTTGTTTAAATTGGCAAGGAGGGCAGGGCTGGCGAGCTCCAGGGCAGAGGGTGCCATGGGCCCTGGCAGGTGGGTCCGATCCACAGGAGGATCAGAGGCTTATCTTGGAGCAGTAAGGAGGGGCTGTCCTGTGCTTAAAGAGAGGGGGCCAGAGAGAGTCGGCATTGGATTAGTGTTTCAGAAGAACGAATGTGGTGTGTTGGGGAATGCTCCTGAGTGCTCTAAAATCTAAATGTCCAGTAAAAGAACACTAAGTGCATCCCGCTTTGATTGCTTGGATTTGGAGCAGTATTTGATAACACAGATCGTTAATAGAGATCTGTAGTGGTGCACTCCCTCAAGTTGCCATAAGCAGTTGTAATTAACATTCGCACTGGTTGATCCCATGCCTTGCACCACGCACAGGTCTCCTTTCCAGTCCATCGGCCCTCCCATCTCCAAGGATCTATCCTTCATTACAGATTGTGTGTTTCTTAAATATTTTCTCCTTTTCATTCCTTTATAAGTGCTCTAGGAATACATAGCCTACCCTGAGGATGTAATTCTTTGTAGAAACCCTTCAGATGTGCTGTTCCCTGCCTGGATACTCAGCGTCTGGGTCTTATTCCTCATCTTAGCTCAGTTGTTGCTTCCACAAGTCCCTCACTGACCCTCAGAATAGCGGTGGTCTGTCTTCCAGTCTCCCTGGTACCCCCATAGTCATCTGTTGCACAGTTTCGGACTTGAAATCCTGTGATTAATTGTGTCAGCGGTGCCCTTTGCTGCCTTCCCTGTTAGAATGTGCACCTCAGTCTTCACACGGTACCTGTGGAACCAGGCAGCTGCAGGCAGAGCACAGGTATCCAGAGAATGTTGGACTGGAACTACGATCCTGAGTTCTGATGCCATGCCTGAGGCGTGTGGAATCACCAGAAAGTGTGTTCACGTAGATAGAGGAATTATAAGTCAACCTGTGTAAACATGTTAGGTGGAGCTCTTTCATATGAATGATGCTGAATTTCACCTTCTAAATTGAGTGTTCAGTTGAGCATCTTTTTTTTTTTTAGTATTTATTTTGAGTTGTGCACTTGAGTTTCTCTTTCATGTTTGCGTGTGCATTTTCTAGAATGGCTTCAGTCATCCATCTTCTCTGGAGGCCTGCAGACCAGCCAGATCCACTACAGCTACAACGAGGAGAAAGATGAGGACCACTGCAGCTCCCCAGGGGGCACACCTGCCAGCAAATCTCGACTCTGCTCCCACAGACGGGCCCTGGGGGACCATTCCCAGGCATTTCTGCAAGCCATTGCAGACAACAACATTCAGGATCACAACGTGAAGGTGAGCTAGGCCTGCCCCCACTGCCACCTCAGTGCTCTGTTTATCTGAGGACTTTGACATAGGAATACTTATGTGCTCTTTGGTTAACACAGCACAGACTTTGTTTCATGTATTATTTGGAGGGTTTTGAGGTGAGAACCTGATTGTGTTAACATGCTAGCGAGGCTTCAGAAGCATTAGTGATTGCAAGTGCGTCAGAAGCTGTGGCATGTTTAAGATTTGTGAAGACTCACTGGGTTTCCCTGAAGTTACTTCCAGCTGTTCCTGTTGCAGGACTTTTTGTGTCAAATAGAAAGGTACTGTAGGCAGTGCCATTTGACCACACCGATCATGTTTCCCCCCGAGCATCCCGTGGAAGAGGTCGGTCGCTTGCTGTTATGTTGCCTCTTAAAACATGAAGATTTACGTAAGCAGCTCAATATCTTTGTACTTTAGCTACACTGCAGATTCCTCGACTAACCTGTGGTACGTATTCATTCCTTCACTGCCCTTCTTTTAAATGTCTTTTTACAGGTCATGTGGCATTATCTTTAGTTCATGCAGGTGCACTTGGTATTGAGCAAGTAAAGCACAGAACGTTGCCTAAGTCAGTGGTGGATGTTTGTAGAGTTGTCTACCAAGCAAAATGTTCGCTCATTAAGGTGATAGATTTTAGTTCTTTTTATTCTGTGCTTTGCAGACAGTTGCTGAAATATTTGTTGTTAAAGTTGTCTTTTCCTGGTTAACTTTGCAGACTCATCAAGAACAGGGCCGTTCTTACAAGGAGGTCTGCGCTCCTGTCATCGAACGTTTGAGATTCCTCTTTAATGAATTGAGACCTGCTGTTTGTAATGACCTCTCTATAATGTCTAAGTTTAAATTGTTAAGTTCTTTGCCCCATTGGAGGAGGATAGCTCAGAAGATAATTCGAGAACCAAGGAAAAAGAGAGGTAAGAATGTAAAAGGACAGAAGATACTATTAAAGCTTGTGCTTCACCCTGCCACGTTGGATCTGTGATTTCAGAGTGAAGTTTCTCTACTGTTGATTCCATGTAACATTTCTACCTGCTGCCATCATTTTTATTATAGTTAGGATTAAATACAGACATCTCGCTTATTTTTCCAAATGATCAGACAATGAGGCAGTTTAGGAATTGAGTGTGGTATGATTTGATTACTAGTAAATTGATGTTGAAAACGTAAATAATCTTTGCTAAATTGATGGGAACAAGGAAGTACTTTTATTAGTTATCCTGGTAATGAGATATAATGGGAACATTTAAACTTATTGCCATTCTTCTAAAGAAATGTTTTTTGTTTGGAAATATTGAGTATTCTGATACATGAAGAACTATAAAGGGAAGCTAAAAGAGTTACTGACATTTTCCTGGAAGTAGCTGTGTAAGGGTACAGAAAAGTCTTTTTGCATTAAATCCAAATTTGAATAAAAATGCTTAGAAATTATAAAATAGTTTAGAATTTAGTCACTTGTGATTATAAATAAACTACAGAAATTTCTGATTATATCCTTTTTTTTTTTTCTTTGAGATGGAGTCTTGGTCTGTTGCCAGGCTGGAGTGCAGTGGTGCGATCTCAGCTCACTGCAACCTCCGCCTCCCAGGTTCAAACGATTCCCCTGCCTCAGCCTTCCAAGTAGCTGGGATTACAGGCACGCGCCACCACTCCTGGCTAATTTTTATATTTTAGTAGAGACGGAGTTTCACCATGTTGGCCAAGATGGTCTTGATCTCCTGACCTCGTGATCTGCCTGCCTCGGCCTCCCAAAGTGCTGGGATTACGGGCGTGAGCCACCGCGCCTGGCCTCTGATCATATTATGACTTATACTGATTTACTCACAAAACTGCTTATTGAACAGTATTGATTACTGACTTTCTGATGGGCATTTTGAACAATAAGCTTATGAAAGACTAAAGTGTGTTAGAAGCCATCCTAATTTGATTGTTCCTGAACAAACCCTACACCATAACAGCCTGTCTGAATGCGAGGGGTGCTCTGGATCAGGAAGTCACAGCAGTCACACTGCTGCGATTCCTTTAACCCAGGCATGCAGGAACTCAGCCTGGGCCCAGGAGACAGGCTGCCTCGGAATGAGGGAGAGAGACTCCACATTTGCCATCTCATATCCGTGGGTTCTGAGCCCACACTGTCACTTTTAGAGTTTCTTGTGGGTTTATAGATTTATCGTGTGGTGTTTCAAGCTGGTTTTCTTTTTTTTTTGGAAATTAAGTAACTTGAAAAGATTAAGTGATTAATATTCCTGTTGCTGTGTCAGGGATCCCCGAGCCTTCTCTCAGGCTTGATGATTCACTAAAAGGACTCAGAAGAGCTGTTATAGTCACAGCTGTGTTTTTACTGCAAAAAGGATACAGATTAAAATTAGCAGAGGGAAGGGTGCATGGAGGGAAGTCCAGAGGAAACTAGGCACACGCTTTGGTGTCTCTCCCCAGTGGCGTCACGTGGATGTGCTTAGCTCTCCCAGCAATAGTGTCACATCATGTGTGAAGAATTGTTAACCAGGCCAGCGCACCTGAGCCTCGAGTCTAGAGATTTTGTTGGGGGCCAGTCACATACGCAGGCAGTGCCCCTGTGACTGACCTCACTCAGGCTCCAGTGCCCCAGTGCAAAAACAAGTGGTCCCTCGCAAGTCCCATCATTAGCATAAACTACCTGGCCAGACCACTGCCACAAGGTCCTGGGTGTCAGGTATACCAAAAAACTTCTCAGGCAGGATGTTCCAAGGGCTCAGAGCTCAGCTCCTAGAAGAAGGACCAATCCTGAAGGGACAGACCTTCCTTGGGAATTTGCAGGGTTTGAGCAACCCCGGCCTGCTATGTTAGCTCTTTACTGCCCAGATGTATTATCATGTTGTTTATTTTTTATATTATATGCTGAGGAGATTTAGACCAAAAATTTTAAAAGAGATAAAGTATAGGGAGGAAATTCCACATATCACAGTGAATTCAGTTGATTCAGTTACACAGTAACAGAACCACTGAACTGGACCAGGGTGGACAAGCCAGGAACTATGGGCCAAATTCTACCTCTTGCTGGCTTTGGGTTGCCCATGGACTAAGACCTTTTTTTTTTTTTTCCAGTTTGAAATTGTTATTTAAAAATTAAAAGAAGTATATTATTTTGGCACATGAAAATTACATGAAGCTAAAATTGTAGCACCATAAATAAAGTTTTACAGGAGCACAGCCACACCTGTTGCTTTATCTGTGGTTACTTTTTGTGCTACAGCAGCAGAGTTGAGTATTTGCGACAGACAGCATGGCCTGAAAGACTCAAATGTTCACTCTCTGGCACTTGAGGAAGAGCTTGCTGGCTGCCGGGCTTCCCCTGCTTCGGGGCTTCTCCCCTCGTCGCACTCTCACTTTGTCTTTTTGTTCTGCCAGGGTGATCATTTCACTCTTGTTGTTGAGCATTGCAATTTATAATGTTGTTCAGATGTTTATTTGAATGAAATATTTGTCCTTCATGTAAATCTAAATATGTCTTAATTTAAAATTAATATTTAAGTGTATGATTTTTATAGTGAATGATGTTTTAAAACACAGTTCCTAAGAAGCCAGAATCTACGGATGATGAAGAAAAAATTGGAAACGAAGAGAGTGATTTAGAAGAAGCTTGCATTTTGCCTCATAGTCCAATAAATGTGGACAAGAGACCCATTGCAATTAAATCACCCAAGGTGCGGTATTTTCTGTGATTCTGAGGTTGGCTGAATAGAATCGTAGCATGTAGCACAGGAATCCACAGTCTTGTACCTCTGTACCTGAGCATCTGGAGGGAGGGACGGGCGGTTGTTAGAAATACGGCCCCAGTGATGCTTCATGAACTTGACTTATGATGTCCTGGTCAGAGCTGTAGCTGGAGAAGGGTTTCCTTTTATTTTTGGTATTAGATTGTATCATTAATTATTCACCATTCATTCCTTAAATATATTCTTTGTTCCAGAAACAGTGCTGGGCCCTGTGGCTGTTAATATGAACCATAACTTAACTTAGTATGCCAAGCTAGCCTGTTCCAACATATAGAGATTATAAATTCACTTATATTTATAGCATAGTTTTAAAAACATGTATTACTAAATTTAACGTATTTTAACCAATTTAAACCCATAAGCATTATTTATATTTTACTTGAATAACTTTTAGAGCACAGTTTATTATTAAATAGGGTAGACTAATGATGAAAATTGTTTTCCTTTGTTAGGACAAATGGCAGCCGCTGTTGAGTACTGTTACAGGTGTTCACAAATACAAGTGGTTGAAGCAGAATGTGCAGGGTCTTTATCCGCAGTCTCCACTCCTCAGTACAATTGCTGAATTTGCCCTTAAAGAAGAGCCAGTGGATGTGGAAAAGAGAAAGTGCCTACTAAAACAGGTAACATTTGATGAGAAATGCTTCTCTGCATTGGGTAATATACATAACACTTAACTGTATGCATTGATATTTTGCAGTTGGAGAGAGCAGAGGTTCGCCTGGAAGGGATAGATACAATTTTAAAATTGTATCTGGTGAGCAAGAATTTCTTACTTCCATCTGTGCCGTATGCGATGTTTTGTGGATGGCAAAGACTTATTCCTGAGGGAATCGATATAGGGTAAAACGTTAGCATATTTTTTTCTTAATTAAGGAAGCTGTGGCAACAGAATGTTTTTCTGTAACAGTTAGAAGTCTGGCAGTGTCCCGAGTCAAATTCTTTATCTTTATTTGAAAGGCAACCTCTTACTGATTGTTTAAAGGATGTTGATTTGATCCCGCCTTTTAATCGGATGCTGCTGGAAGTCACCTTTGGCAAGCTGTACGTTTGGGCTGTTCAGAACATTGGAAATGTTTTGGTGGATGCCAGTGCCAAATTTAAAGAGCTTGGTGAGTCAATAATTGTATCAATGTTATTTTATAGTTTGCCTTTAATTATATGTTGTGGAAACTTGCAAATGCCAATTTTTGCTTTTGAGAAGACTTTAATAAGTTTGTACTTTGTACTTGTATAATCTATGCTGCTGTCAGCTTTCTCAGATTTTAAACAAAACTTTAAAATTTAGCAGGAGACACAATGTTGAAGTACTCTAGTATAACATTTTTACATTTTGACATTTTTATGTGTATCACCACATATCCTAAAGTGTCTGTGTCCTATATTGATATTTATTTCCTGGATAGTTTGAGCATCTACAGAGAGTTGATTGGATTGGTTTTGTGGAGGAAAAGTGAGACATAACTTTTATATTTGAAATGGAAGGAATGGAATAGGGCACCGGTGTATTCAGAGAGCAACATACTAAGTCCTGTAGACAGATGGAACGACCTGTGCATAGAATGCAGGGGGTAGGCCCATCGTGCAGCATGACAGAGCTGCCCACTCTGTGGAAACCACTGAAAAATAGTCAGATGTTTAGAGTAATCGCCCGTGCCTTCTGCATTACGTTTATGCTTGTATCCATGCGAGAGAAATGTCAGTGGGTGTCAAAATAGTCAGATGATTAGAGTAATTGCCCATGCTTTCTGCGTTACGTTTATTCTTGTATCCACGCACAAGAAATGTCAGTGGGTGTCAGTGCTTATTAGTCAGATGTTTAGAGTAATTGCCCGTGCTTTCTGCATTACATTTATTCTTATATCCATTACAAGAAATGTCAGTGGGTGCCAATGCTCACTAGGTATCCAGCCGGTTCCCCTGCAAACCATCACCAATGAGAACCCATCGGGACCGAGCCTGGGGACCATCCCGCGAGCCCACTTCCTCCTGGTGATGCTCAGCATGCTCACCCTGCAGCACAGCGCAAACAACCTTGACCTCCTGCTCAATTCCGGCACGCTGGCCCTCGCTCAGACGGCACTGCGCCTGATTGGTAGGTCTGCACTGGCTTGAGAGCCTTTGGGAAAACGTCAAGATTTTGCTTTGATTTATTTTCTTTCTTTTTTTTTAAAAAAGCTTTTTGTAAATTATGGTAAGACACAAATAGCAGAAAGTGTAGCATTTTAACGTCGCAATTCAGTGGTATTAAATACATTCACAATTTTCTAGAGTCATCACCACTGTCTAGTTGTAGAACTTTTTCATCACTATAAATGCACCCCATTTAGCCATCAGTCCTGACTCCCCTGCTCTCCAGCCCCTGGTAGTCACAAATCTGCTTTCTCTGTCTATGGATTTGCATATCCCGGATATTTCATATAAATGGAATCATACCATTTGTGGCCTTTGTGTCTGGGTTATTTCATTTGGTATATATCAGTACTTTATTTTTATGGCTGAAAAAGATTTCATTGTATGAATATATAACATTTTGTTTACTCATTTATCTGTTGATGGACATTTGGGTTGGTTTTGCCTTTTGACTTTTGTGAATAGTGTTGCTAGGAACATTTATATACAAGTACTTGTTTGAACACTTGTTTCTAGTTCTTTTGATTATACACCTAGGACTGGAATTACAGGGTCATATGGTACAACTATGTGTAACTTACTGAGAAACTACCAAAGTTTTCCACAGTGCCATATCATTTTTACATTCCCATCACCAGTGGGCAGGATTCCAGGGTTCCAGTTTCTCTGCTTCCCTGCCAACACTATTTTTTGTGGTTTTCTTTTTTTTTTTGGATTAAGGCCATCCTAGCGGGTGTGAAGTGGTATCTCATTGTGATTTTGGTTTGCATTTCACTAATGATGAATGACATTGAGCTTCTTTACATGTTTGTGCTTGTTGGCCATTTGTATATCTTCTTTGGAGAAGTGTCTATTCAAGTCCCTTTCTCTTTATTTTTTATTTTATTTTTTTGAGACGGAGTCTCACTCTGTGGCCCAAGCTGGAGCGCAGTGGCACGATCTCGGCTCACTGCAACCTCCGCCTCCCGGGTTCAAGCACTTCTTGTGCCTCAGCCTCCCAAGTAGCTGGGATTACAGTCACACACCACCACACCTGGCTAACTTTTGTATTTTTAGTAGAGATGGGATTTCGCCATGTTGGCCAGGCTGGTCTGGAACTCCTGACCTCAGGTGATCTGCCTGCCTTGGCCTCCCAGAGTGCTGGGATAACAGGCGTGAGCCACTGCGCCCAGCCCCTTTCTCCTTTTTAAATAGGGTTATTTGTCGTCATCTTGTTGTACCAATAAATGCACTATATAAGTGTATCAAACCTTTAAAGAAGAATTAACACCAGTCCTCAGACTCTTTAAAAAGTTCGTGTATACTAGACCTTCACAGATCTGTAGACCTTTATCAGGTATATCATTTGAGGGTATTTTCTCCTGTTCTCTGGATTGTATTCCCTTAGATAGAGAAGTTTTTTATTTTGATGAAGTTCAATTTATCTGTTTCTCTTTTGTCGTCTATGCTTTTGATATCATATCCAAAAAGCCATTTCCAAACACAAGGTTGATGAAGATTATCCTCATGTTTTCTTCTGTAAGTTTTATAGTTTCAGCTCTTATATTTAGATCTTTGGTCCATTTTTAGGTAATTTCTTTTACACAGTGTGAGGTAAGAGTCCAGCCTTTTTCTTTTGTTGATCTGATTGTTTCAATACCACTTGTTGAGGACTGTTCTTTCCCTGAAGTTCTGGGTACCCTTGGCAAAAATCAGTTGGCTGTGGATATTTAGGTTTATTTCTGGACTCTCAATTACATTATCACATTCTATATGTTGATAATTGTGCAGGTACCGCCCTGTTTTGAACATTGTAGTTTTGTACTGTTTTAAAATTGAGAAGTGTGTTTTCTTTCTCAAGATGATTTTGGCTACTTTGGGTCCCTTGCATTTTCACATGAACTTCAAGGCTGGCTTTTCCATATCTGCAAAAAAAGACCATTGGGATTTTTGCTAGGGATTGAATCTGTAGATTGTTTTGGGGAATAGTGCCATTTTAACAATGTTAACATCCATTCTCTGAATGTGGAATGTCTTTCCATTTATTTCTGTCCTCTTTAATTTCTTTCAGCAATATTTTATTGTTTTACAGTTATCAGGGTAATAATGGCCTCATAGAATGAACTAGGTAGTGTTCCCAT
The DNA here is from genome assembly GCF_000001405.40 of Homo sapiens. Taxonomy (NCBI): domain Eukaryota; kingdom Metazoa; phylum Chordata; class Mammalia; order Primates; family Hominidae; genus Homo; species Homo sapiens. The sequence goes on from NW_021160017.1 coordinate 3,444,463, forward strand.
ATATTCTGTTTTTAGAAGAGTTTGAGGATTGGTGTCAGTTCAGCTTTAAATGTTTGGTAGAGTTGACCACCTAAGCTTTTCTTTGTTGAAAGATTTTTTTTTTTTTTTCTTTGAGATGGAGTCTCACACTGTTGCCCGGGCTGGAATGCAGTGGCGTGATCTCGGCCCACTGCAAGCTCCGCCTCCCGGGTTCACGCCATTCTCCTTCCTTAGCCTCCTGAGTAGCTGGGATTATAGTCGCCAGCCACCACGCCCGGCTAATTTTTTGTATTTTTAGTAGAGACGGGGTTTCACTGTGTTAGCCAGGATGCTCTCGATTTCCTGACCTCGTGATCCACCCGCCTCGGCCTCCCAAAGTGCTGGGATTACAGGCGTGAGCCACGGCGCCTGGCCTGAAAGATTTTTAATTACCGATTCAATCTCTTTACTTGTTATGGCTCTATTCAGATTTTCTATTTCTTCTTGAGTCAGTTTGGGTAATTTATTTTTCTAGGAATGTGTCCATTTTATCTAGGCTATTTTATTTGTTGGCATACAGTTGTTCACAGTGTTCTTTTATAATCTTTTTTATTTTTATGTTGGTAGTACTGTCTCCACTTACATTTCTGATGTTAGTTATTTGCATCTTTTCTCTTTTTTTTCTTTTTTTTTTTTTTTTTTTTTGAGATGGAGTCTCACTCTGTTGCCAGGCCAGAGTGCAGTGACACAGTCTTGGCTCACTGCAACCTCCGCCTCCTGGATTCAAGTGATTCTCCTGCCTCAGCCTCCCAAGTAAGCTGGGACTACAGGCGCCTGCCGCCAGGCCTGGCTAATTTTTTTTGTATTTTTAGTGGAGATGGGGTTTCACCATGTTGACCAGGATGATCTAAATCTCTTGACCTTGTGATCCGCCCACCTCAGCTTCCCAAAGTGCTGGGATTAGAGGCGTGAGCCACCTTGACTGGCCTCTTTTTTTCTTAATTTACCAAAAGTTTGTCAGATTTTTTGTTCTTGCCAGAAACCGAACTTTTGGTTTTGTAGATTATTTTTCTATTCTCTATTTAATTTATGGCTGCTCTAATCTCTATCGTTTCCTTCTTTCTGCTTTGTATTTTTTTGTTTTTGTTTTTGTCTTTGTTTTGAGACAGGGTCTTACTTTGTCCCTCAGGCCCAAGTACAGTGGCGCACTCATGGCTCACTGCAGCCTCAACCTCCTGGGCTCAAGTTATCTACCTGCCTCAGCCTCCCAAAGTGCTGGGATTACAGGTGTGAGGCACGACACCTGGCCTAACTTTGGTTTTTATTGTGTTCTTATTTTTTTAGTTCTTCCAGATGTAGAGTTATTGATTTGAGATCATCTTTTGTAAATGCAGACTTTTATAGTATAATTGCCCCTTTTAGCCCTGCTTTTGGCCCAGCACAGAAGTTTTGGTGTGTTGTGTTTTCATTCATCTCATAGTATTTTCTAATTTCCCTTGTGATTTCTTCTTTGACCCACTGATTGTTTACCATGTGTTGTTTAATTTTCATATACTTGTGAATTTTCCACTTTTCCTTTTGTTATTAATTTCTCATCATTTCCTTTTGGTTGGAGAAGGTAACTTGTATGATTTTCGTCTGTTTAAATTTGAGACTTTGTGGCCTAACATATGGTCTGGTCAGTCTAAGAGAGTGTCCTGTGGTATACTTGAGAAGAACGTGTATTCTGCTCTTTTTGGTGAAATGTTCTGTATATGTCTATTAGATCTGATTGGTTTATGGTGGTGTTCTTTGGCTAAAACTGAGATGCTGCAGGGCCAGTTGTCAAAGTCACAGTGAAAAAGCAAGGTTTTCCCAAGCTCTTATAATCACATCAGTTTTAGAGTTCACATTAATCCATTCAAAAATATGTATCAGGCCAGGCTGTAATCGTAGCACTTTGGGAGGCTCAGGCGGGTGGATTGCTTGAGCTCAGGAGTTTGAGACCAACTTGGGCAACATAGCGAAACCCTCTCTCTACAAAAAATACGAAAATTAGCTGGGCATAGTGGTGTGTGCCTGTGGTCCCAGCTACCTGGGAGGCTGAGGTGGGAGGATTGCTTGAGCCAGGGATGCAGAGGTTGCAGTGAGCGGAGATCAAGCCACTGCACTCCAGCCTGGGCTCCAGCCTGGGTGACAGAGTGAAATCCTGTCTTGGGGGTGGGTGGAATCTTTCTATCTATCTGTCTGTCTGTCTGTCTGTCTCTCTCTCTCTCTATATATATATATAATTATTTTTTAATTTATATATTATGTTTATATGTTGTATTATGTTAAATATATATTTTAATATGTGTATTACAGCTGAAAAGAATCATCTAGTAAGGGTTATATCTGATTTCCTGAGGCCTCATTAGCAACCAAAAGTTGCATTTAAAAATTACAAAAGCATATCTCCATCGAGAAATGGCCTTTTTATGTTGTCTACTTTTCCCCCAGAGGTTCCAATAAGTAAAAATCACAGCACAAATCATTAAGTATGGGGACTTGTTCTGTTGATAATATTCATGTGTTTAAATTTCATCTGGCCCACTGGCTGCAAAAAGCAAGGAAGTTGTGTCTCATGAATATCCGTCTATATTTGCAGCTTGCCCTGATCAGGGTATCCTTCTTATCATTTAAGAAATTATAAACATATAATATTTTATACCAGCTTAATGTATACATCCACATGTAACAGCCACAAAACATAAAGCTATGTAAAATAAAAAAATTCCCCCCGGTTTTGGTTGCAAATTTATTCAAGCCCTTAGCAATAAATTCAGTCTTTACAGAGTTAACAGTATAGCTGCCCAGGGGATCCTGGGAGATCCACCTGGAATGCAACTCCTGTCCCTTCCTTGGGGCCCCTTCCTGGGGGCCCTAAAGTAGCGGCTAGGCTAAAGGAAAGGCTGTTTCTCCTGCTAGTTTATCTAAAGTTTTGCTCCAGCCCTGGGAATTGAATATCCTTTTTTGTTCTCTTGGAAGAGAGAGAAACACAAACTTTTTACATTTTTTGGTCCACCCCAGCCCACCTTTGGGACTGTTTGGATCTTTTTCCCTCCCACCTGGAGGAGAAAACTAAAATCAAGGGAGTTACCAGAACCACACTCCTACCCCCTCTCAGTTTAGCAAGTGGGAAAAGGGGGGTTAAAAATCTAGCCTACTCTCCTAGGGTTAGCGCTCCTATTTTCAGATCCATTGGGAAGTTTACTTCTCTCAGGTGACAGCAGCTCGGCTTCTGTTTTGTGCTATGGATGACTCTGTAGCCACCCAGGGCACCAATTGTCAGGGGTCTCCAAGACCACCCCCAGGTTTGATGGTTGGCCAGGAGGACTCACAAGACTCAGCATGTAGTTGTACTCAGGGCTATAGTTTATTACAGTGAAGGGACACAGAGCAAAATCATGAAAAAGGACATGGGTAAAGTCCAGAGGAAAGCAGGTACAAGCTTCCACAGGATCCACACAGGACGAGCTTAACTGCCCTGGCACCGAGCCGTGTCAAGTGCTGTCTGCCGGGAAGCTGGGTAGAGACTCCAGGCCCACGGTTTCCATCAGGACTGATCACACGGGCACCCCCTGCCTGGCGTGTACCAAGTTCCAGACTAAGGAAAGCAGGTTTCAGCACAGACCACATTGTTTGTACAGACAGTTCAGGCACAGGGAACCACACCTACCACCTAGGGAATGGGGGAGCCCTCCTGAGATCCAGACTCCAGCTGAGGGCCAGCCTGCAGCAACCCTGTCTGAGGTTGTATCTCGGGCCAGCTGTTAGCTGTCTTCTGCACAGAACCATGATTAAAGTTTGTTAGTTTCCCACTGTTAGATATTTAGGTAGTTATCTTTGTTTTTCTATTAATAAAAAATGTGATGAGGATCTTTCTAACTCAGTTATTTTGCTTTTTTCAGGGGAGTAATTCCTAGAAGTAGAGAAAGTAGCTTTACTGAGCATTTTAATATCTTTTATATCTTCCTAGGATATTTATGTATTTCATCCTTCCGTTTATCTTCTTTTTATCCTATATCAGTAAAATATTCATAATATTATATTGATAAAACATATAGTATGGATTGTTCAAAATTACGATCTTCATTAGTACTTTGTGAATGTTTTGTGTGTATTAAGGGGACACTGTAGCTACTTGTTGGCTCAGCTATTGTTTTTGACGCTCCGTCAGGCCCCAGTTGTGACAGCGTTGAGGAAGATATGAATGCTTCTGCTCAAGGTGCTTCTGCCACAGTTTTGGAAGAAACAAGGAAGGAAACGGCTCCTGTGCAGCTCCCTGTTTCAGGGCCAGAACTGGCTGCCATGATGAAGATTGGAACAAGGGTCATGAGAGGTGTGGACTGGAAATGGGGCGATCAGGTACTCAGAGATTTGATGTGAACACATTAGCCACACATTAGTTATCTTCTGCATAGTTCTGTACGATATTGGTGGGTGGAAATTGGAATAATCCAGGATGTGTCAGTTGATCGATGACACAGGTGTTGGTTCCCGAGCAGCTGAAGGGAGTGAACACAAACAGGGAATCGTAAGTAGGGCATCTGAGCAGAATCAAGTCTGGAAAGAGAGGCAGCTCTTTTCAGGAAACTCACTGGCATGAGGCTCAGTTTGATGGGTCACTGGAACAAGAGTGTGAGAGTGAGCAAGAGAGTAAATCTCATTCTGAAAGTTGGTGTAGTGAAGGCTCTGAGGCAGGAAGCCCAGATGCTGCCCCTGTGGGCTGATGGCCATGTGCTGCGAAGTGCCCTGAAGCCAGTAGTTAGGGATCTACTTCATGGGCCTGTGGCCACGTTTCCATCTTCCCTCATCGCAGATCTCTTCTAAATCTCTGCCAGGTGCCCCCAGGTGGAAGTCACTTACCACAGCCCTAGCTAAGTTAGGGCAGTGTTCACCTTCCCATGGTCTGTCTGGCTTTTCTCAGCCACGCTGGTAAGCCCTGGCTTTGTCACAGTCATCTTAGAAATAGCAGTGTCTGGAGACAGCATCCATCCTAGAAACAGCTTTCTCCTGCAGAAGTGAGAGACAGAGCTTCCCCCTGGGGCCCAGGGGAAACTGAAGCAAAGGGAATGTGGAGGTGCTGGTGCTTGTTTCAGGTTTCCGCTCTTGCAAGGCCCGTGAGGGATTGTGGGGACAGGACTTGCTGCAAAGCCCTGTCTCTGCATTGACTCAGAGGATCCTCATTGAGATGAGATTTCCCCGACTTCCTTGGTAAAGCAGCATGAGCACGTTATTTTATGCCATTTAATTTAAAATGATGCAAGCACACATTTTGTAGGAGAGGTGAAATCTGTGTCTGGGGACAGCCCCTGACAGACAGGGTGGCATATGGCGACATCTGTGTGGCAGGTCTGGTGGGAGCCATGGAAGGACCAGGGCAGGGCACGCACCCTCCTAACTGAGGTCTGGTGGGAGCCATGGAAGGACCAGGGCAGGGCAGGCACCCTCCTAACTGAGGTCTGCTGGGAGCCATGGAAGGACCAGGTCAGGGCAGGCACCCTCCTAACTGAGGTCTGGTGGGAGCTATGGAAGGACCAGGGCAGGGCACACACCCTCCTAACTGAGGTCTGCTGGGAGCCATGGAAGGACCAGGGCAGGGCATGCACCCTCCTAACTGAGGTCTGCTGGGAGCCATGGAAGGACCAGGGCAGGGCACACACCGTCCTAACTGAGGTCTGCTGGGAGCCATGGAAGGACCAGGGCAGGTTACGCACCCTCCTAACTGATCTCTACTTTGGCTTTCTCAGGATAGGCCTCCTCCAGGCCTAGGCCGAGTGATTGGTGAGCTGGGAGAGGACGGGTGGATAAGAGTCCAGTGGGACACAGGCAGCACCAACTCCTACAGGATGGGGAAAGAAGGAAATTACGACCTCAAGCTGGCAGAGCTGCCAGCCCCTGCACAGCCCTCAGCAGAGGATTCGGACACAGAGGACGACTCTGGTGGGTGACTCAGGAAGGTGTTTAGTCCAAGGCAGCCTACAAACTGTCCAGTTGCTGGGTGCTGCCACTGCCATCTGGGCCTTAGAATGGGATGTCAGGACACACCTGCAGCTGGCGCTCTGTCCTCGGAACCTGTAATTTAAATAAGCTCCCAGGCACCTCCGATGCAGGTGTGTGGAGTGACTGTGGGATCCGGCGATCTGGCTGGAACTGACTTTCTGCATTTTCCTCTCATGTGTGCACCCGCCCCTCTTTGAGAATGTGGTGGCCAGGTGGGGGCAGCTGCATCACCAGTGAGTCTCATGTGGTTGGTGCTGAGCCTGCATCTGAGCGAGTGAGCCGAGGCCTGGTGGAATTGCCCTGCGGTCTCGGTCCATCGCGTCCTCCTCCAGTGAGAGCCCCTGCCCAAGCACACCCCACCTGCCACCTGCTTTTACCTTTCCTCTGTGGTCCCTGACTCTGAACTCTTCATGTAATGTGGAGTTAGTCAGCACTTTATCGCTTCTAGGGAAGCAGAGGTGAGAATTTAGGGGTGGACCAAGAAAGCTAGATCCTATCTGTGGAGATCCAGGTTGTGGGAGGAGGTTTCGTGACATTTCTTAGCTGTTCCTAAAACACGTGAAGCTTCACATGGTTGGGCTTGGTAAGACCATCCAAGAGGCTGGGGCTGCCAATATAATTTGTAATTTTGATTATTTTTTTTAGAAGCCGAACAAACTGAAAGGAACATTCACCCCACTGCAATGATGTTTACCAGCACTATTAACTTACTGCAGACTCTTTGTCTGTCTGCTGGAGTTCATGCTGAGATCATGCAGAGTGAAGCCACCAAGACTTTATGCGGACTGCTGCAAATGTTAGTGGAAAGCGGAATGACGGACAAGACATGTATGGAATGAGAGATCGAGGGCCCAGGGAGTCAGCGCTGGGGGCCGCACGCTTGTCGTGTCTGGGTGTGCATGTGGGTGGGTGTGGATGTGTGTGGATTCCTTTCCTGTGGCTGCTGTAACAAAGTATACAAACTTAGGGACTTACACAGTAGAAATTCTCACGGTTCTGGTGGCTGGAAGGCTGAGATCAAGGGTAGTTCCTTCTGGGGCTGTGAGGGAGAAGCTGCTTCAGGGCTCTGCCCCAGCTTCTGGAGTTTACTGGTCTCTTTAGCGTTCCTCGGCTTGTAGAGGTGTCACCCCTATCTCTGCCGTCATCTTCACATGGCATTCTCCCTGTGTGTGAGTCGCCTCCAAATCTCCCCTTTTCATGAGGACATCATTCAACCTCATCAAACTGATTACATCTGCAGCGACCCTATTTCCAAACAAGGTCACCTGCCGAGGTACGGTAGGGGTTAGGGCTTCAACATACGAATTTTGCAATTCTGAATTCAACCCGTAACACTGGCTTCAAACAACAAATTTGTTCTCTCAGAGTTCTGGAGACCAGAAGTCCCAAATCCGGGTGCGGGCAGGGCCATGCTTCTTCCACAGGCTCTAGGGGAAGGTCCTTCCTTACTTTGTCCAGCTTCTGGGAGCTCCAGGCTTCCTTGGTGTTGGGACGCATTGTGCCAGTCTCTGCCTGCGTCTTCACATGGCCCCTGCCCCTGTGTTCTGCATGTCCTTTTCTGTCTCTGAAAGGACTCTTTCATTGAGTTTCTTTGACTCTAATCCAACATGATGTCACCTAAATTCTTACCTTAATGACGTCTACAGAGACCTCATTAAATAAGATCATATTCTGAGGTTCCGAATGTATGTGAAGTTGGAGGACAGGCACAGTTTAATCCATAAAGTGTTTGTGTGTGTGGAGAGTAAGTATGAGAAATGTGAGCTGAGGGAGTGGGGTGAGTGTGCATGTGACTGAGAGTGAGCACATGTGAGTGTGGGTGGGTATGTGGGCGTCCTCCAGTGTGTGTGAGAGCATGCGTGTATTAGTGGTGTGCTGGAGCGTCCGCACATATTGATGAGAGTGAGTGTGTTAGCGGTCGATGGGCAAGTGGCTGAGCGTTTGTGTTGCAAGTGTGATGGTGTGTTTGTAGCATGTGGTTGTGTGGGTGTGTGTATGTCCATGAGAGCATGTGAGTGGGCAGGTGACTACATTCAGGTGAAGTGGGAGTGAAAGCGTCGGTGCATTGAGCCAATGTGTGTGTGTGAGGGTGAGCACGAGGGAGGCATGAGTGTGAGTGTGAGGGGATTACTGGGTGTGCGAATGAGACACCCAGTGTAAGTGTAAGTCAGTGTAAGTCAGTGAGGGTTGGTGAGTGTGAGGAAGTATGAGTGGGTGGCAGGCACATGTGTAAGTGTGCGATTGAGTGTGAGCATTTGTGTAAATGTATGAGTGCCTTGTGTCAGTGTGAGCACGAGTGATGTTATTGTGAATGCGTGTGAGTGAATGTGAGCATTTTGCTTGTGTCAGTGAATGGGAGGTTATAACAGTATAGGTGTGAGTGTAAAGTGAGAAAGTGTGTGGGTAAAGGTGTGAATGGGTGAGTAATCGGTCATTACTAGTGTTGAGGAGTGTGAGTGCATATGTGAGTTTTTGTATGCATTGGGAGGGGTAAGTGTATGTGAGAGTGCATGGGAGTGTGTGTCAGCTTGCATCTGTTTGTGCATACGTGTGACTGGGATTGTGTGTTAGTGATTGCGACAGTGGTGTGAGTGCACCTGAAAGTGTGAGGGTGGGTGTATGAGTGCCCATGAGTGTGTCTGAATAACTTAGTATCAGTGTGAGTGTGAGGATGCATATGAGGGTGTGAGAGTGAGTGTGTGTGTGTGTGAGCGCATGTGAGTGTGCTGAAGGAAGGCAGGTGTCCTCATAAGCTTGGATAGCTGAGGGCAGGGTGGGGGAGGTGGGAGGGAGAGCAGGTCCTGTGGGGCTGTGGGCGGGGTCCCTCAGGGGGCCCAGCCTCCAAGCCTCAGCTTCCATTCAGGGAGTAGTGGAGTCCTGGAGCCAGGCGGAGCAGAGGTGGGCCCACTGGTGCCAGAATCCAGTGGTGTAAACCTAGTGAAAAACTCATTTTGTTAATGCAGATGCATTAAACTTGGATTGGAAACTGTCTCTACTAAAATTACAAAAAGAGTATTTAAGTGGTGCAGATTAAATATAACCAAGATTGTGGAGATATTTAAAACACGAAATTAAAAATATAATAGATGCACTGTTGCAAATTACTATTTGAATTATAGATCATTTTCCTATTGCCTAGAAACAATACATAGCTAAAATTCCCTAACTACTTTTACGACACATATTTAGAAGGTTTTAAAAATGTCTGTAGTCCCAGCTATTCGGCAGGGCAAGGCAGGAGAATCACTTGAGCCCAGGAGTTTTAGACCAGCCTGGGCAACATAGTGAGGGCCCATCTCTAAAAAAAACAAAAAAAAAGAAAACTTCGGAAATGTTTCTTGAACTAACTTAAAAGCCGCCTTCCACTTCTCACTTTGAATTAGTTTGAATTAATTTACAAACTGCAATATATTTTAAAGGAGCTTATTGTAGAAAATAAGTTGATAAAAAAATAAGGATATATCTTTAGGGATTTGTCTTTAGGGACTTGTTACCAAGCATGTCTATTTTCCCTCCCGCCGCTTCTCCAAACAGGCTGGTGTACAGGGAGCAACACCGGAGCTGGTGCACGCTGGGGTTTGTGCAGAGCATCGCTCTCACGCTGCAGGTGTGCGGCACCCTCAGCTCCCTGCAGTGGATCACGCTGCTCATGAAGGTCGTGGAAGGGCACGCACCCTTCACTGCCACCTCGCTGCAGAGGCAGGTAATGTGCTGCCAGGCAAAACCAGTTCCCTGAGAGAGGCCTCCATGTACTGAAGTTCCCTGCCCTCAGAGTCAGGGGCCTTTATTCCGTAACGAGTGCAGAAAGGGTCTAGAAGTGACAGGGTAGATTTTCTGGAGGCAAGGGGCAGAGGTCCTTGATAATTGGTAAGTTGCTAACCTTCAGTTTACCTGCTTTTCTCTTAAGTGGTAAATCCTGCAACTACTTACTCATCTGCTTCACAGAATTTGTAGTGTAATTGTCTTAAGAATTAAACTAAAAATAATTCTTTTTTAATTAAACACATGCATCTGTAATGTTGCTTTTTTCTAAAGTCCCTGACAATCCTAATCACTAATCAACTTGAGTGTAATTACCTGGCTGTAAAATAATGAATCTCAAAATTTTCACATGATTACTTGCATTATGAGAACAGAAAATAAAGAGAGGCTGGGCGCAGTGGCTCATGCCTGTAATCCCAGCACTTTGGGAGGCAGAGGCAGGTGTATCATGAGGTCAGGAGTTTGAGACCAGCCTGGCCAACATAGTGAAATCCTGTCTCTACTGAAAATCCAAAAAAAATGAGCCGGGCTTGGTGGTGAGTGCCTATAATCCCAGCTACTCAGGAAGCTGAAGCAAGGAGAATCGCTTGAACCTGGGAGGTGGTGGTTGTAGTGAGCCAAGACCGTGCCACTGCACTCCAGCCTGGGCGACAGTACGAGACTCTGTCTCAAAAAAAAAAAAAAAAAGAAAATAACAATCTGTAGTTTCCTCATCAGATTTTTTTTAATGCTTGTCATTTTAAATTTTCTTTTATCAGATCTTAGCTGTGCATTTGTTGCAAGCAGTCCTTCCGTCATGGGACAAGACCGAAAGGGCGAGGGACATGAAATGCCTCATGGAGAAGCTGTTTGACTTCTTGGGGAGCTTGCTCACTATGTGCTCCTCTGACGTGCCGTTACTCAGAGGTGGGTGGCCGTCTCCCTTCCCTGTACCCTGGTGAAGAGCGGTGCAGTGCCGTCACTCAGAGGTGGGTGGCCGTCTCCCTTCCCTGTGTCCTGGTGAAGAGCCATGTAGTGCCATCACTCAGAGGTGGGTGGCCGTCTCCCTTCCCTGTACCCTGGTGAAGAGCGGTGCAGTGCCGTCACTCAGAGGTGGGTGGCCGTCTGCCTTCCCTGTGTCCTGGTGAAGAGCCGTGTAGTGCCATCACTCAGAGGTGGGTGGCCGTCTCCCTTCCCTGTGTCCTGGTGAAGAGCGGCGCAGTGCCGTCACTCAGAGGTGAGTGGCCGTCTCCCTTCCCTGTGCCCTGGTGAAGAGTGGTGCAGCAGCTTCTCCCCTGGTTTCCTCCTCAGAGTCCACGCTGAGGCGGCGCAGGGTGTGCCCGCAGGCCTCGCTGACTGCCACCCACAGCAGCACACTGGCGGAGGAGGTGGTGGCACTGCTGCACACGCTGCACTCCCTGACTCAGTGGAATGGGCTCATCAACAAGTACATCAACTCCCAGCTCCGCTCCATCACCCACAGCTTTGCGGGAAGGCCTTCCAAAGGGGTGGGTTTGTGTTCTCAGAATTAATTTAGTTGAACAGTAAACCTGTAGGGATTGGGCAGCTCCGTGAGTGTCCCCGGTCGAGCTCGCTGTTTGGTCTGCACTAGGCCCAGTTAGAGGACTACTTCCCTGATTCCGAGAACCCTGAAGTGGGGGGCCTCATGGCGGTCCTGGCTGTGGTTGGAGGCATCGATGGTCGCCTGTGCCTGGGCGGCCAAGTTGTGCACGATGACTTTGGAGAAGTCACCATGACTCGCATCACCCTGAAGGGCAAAATCACCGTGCAGTTCTCTGACATGCGGACGTGTCACGTTTGCCCATTGAATCAGCTGAAACCAGTAGGTGAACTTGTGCTTAGTTACTGCATGATAAGGGAAATTGACTTTACACTAGAACCGAGCACCAACATCAGCACTTGAAAGAACTTGATTCTGGTACTTGAAGTTTGCCTTCCAGGAAGCTGTGTGAGCTTGTGCTTCTGTGGTAAGCAGGGCCTGTCTCACAGGGCACTTAAAGCAGTGGTTCGTGTGTATTTCAGCCTCAGAGACACGAAGAGGGCTTTAGCAACCTAGAAGGTACCGTGCATCTATGAGGTAGTTCTAATTATTTTAAAATGTGAATTTATGAAGTTTACTTTTTATTCAACAACTCAAGTTTTAAAAAAACAAACATGTTTAAACACCTTTAAAAAAACAGCCTTTCTTCATGTAGAAAATGCTTAGTAGTTTTGAGTGACGTGACTTAATGTAGCAGCTACTGTCATCTTAATCTGTGAATCAAGGATGCACAGGGAGAAGGAGCCATTTACATTATTTTCATGTAGCCCAAGTGCAATCTTACTATATATTCTTTTTCTTTTTTATTTTGAGATGGAGTCTTGCTCTTGTCACCCAGGCTGGAGTGCAATGGCACAATGTTGTCGGCCCTCTGCAACCTTTGCCTCCCGGGTTCAAGCGATTCTCCTGCCTCAGCCTCCTGAGTGGCTGGGATTACGGTGTGTGCCACCACGCCTGGCTAATTTTGTATTTTTAGTAGAGATGGGGTTTCACTATGTTGGCCGGGCTGGTCTCAAACTCCTGACCTCAGGTGATCCGCCCGCCTTGGCCTCCCAAAGTGCTGGGATTACAGGCGTGAGCCACCGTGCCCGGCCTGACTATATTTTCTATAAAGTACTCTTTTTTATTATTATAGGAATATATACATGTTGTAGAAAACTTGAAGTATATAGAAAATATCTGAGAAGATAGTAACCACCACACTGATGTAATTATTGTTGACAGGTTTGTAAAGAAAAATTAATATAGATTATACTTATTATATGTGTAAATCTCTATCCTGCCTTTAATGTCATTTTAAAAAATGATTATTCTCAGCTATAAAAAGGCTTACGGGTATGTGTGGCATTTCAGGATTAAGCCCATGGTTTTGATGACTTTCAGAACGTTTCATTTGTTAGTCATATTGGCCACACTCTGACAGCTTCTGTGTCCTCTCCAGCTCCCTGCCGTGGCCTTTAATGTGAACAACCTGCCCTTCACAGAGCCCATGCTGTCTGTCTGGGCTCAGTTGGTGAACCTCGCTGGAAGCAAGTTAGAAAAGCACAAAATAAAGAAATCGACTAAACAGGCCTTTGCAGGTCAGTACATGGCGCTTCTTGATGAAATAGCTGCCGTCTTAAACTCGTGTCGTTTGTACAGTGTTCTTTTATGAGTGAATTCACGGACGTACTAAAGTCCTGGGGTTCACGTGGGCTCACCATTTGTTGAGTTGCGGTTGGGAATGTAACCCTGTGTTCGTGGTAATGAGTATTTTCGAGTCAGCCTTTGTCGCCATGTTCGGAGCCACACTTGAAGAACCCCATGGCTCACACCCTCTTCTCCGTGTCACCCTTTATCCCGGAAGAGAAGTCTGTTCACCTCTTCCCTCCTCCCCTCCATCCCAGGGCCCTGTGGCCCCGTCACCCTGTTGGACCATGGCTCACAGCCTGTTCTCTGCCGGATCCAGGGGCCTCTGTCCCGGAAGCGCCTGGCTTGCCTGTGACATTCAGGATGGCTAAGACTGTGACTGTAGCCTGGCTTGGCTTTGCCTTCCTTCAGGTCTAGAATGCGGCTCTCCTGAGTTTGTTTCCATGTTTCTAGGGAGCTCTTCTCTCTGCTCATTCTTTATGTCCTGGAAGTCTGTGTGGCTTCACCCATAACTATGGCATATTCTGCCCAGTCTTCTTGAGTTTTCTCCCCTCTTGCTCCCACAGACCTACGATTGCTGCTTCAGCATATATGATGTAAGCACTTTCAACTCTGGATCTCCCATTCACATCTCTGGTTGGAGGTGCAGTGCATGCAAATCATCATATGTCCGAAATTCAGCTGGCTGGCTTTCTCTAGTAGCTGCCGTTTCCCATCGTGGTGAATAAAACTGTCTGCCAGTTAGTTGAGCCAGTGTCCGAGCGGCACCTGCGGCCCTCCTTCCTTCCCACCCCATGCTCTCTGTGCTGCTTCTGCGGCCTCTGCTATCAGATAAGCCTTGGGCATTGCTGCGATCTTCATCAGTTAAAGAGCTAGTGGGGCTGACAGATTCTCTCAGAGGAGTCTTAGAAGAAGAGTGGAAGCGGCTGAAACTTCAGCAACTTGGGGAACATTTGATCATATTAATAGTAGCTAACATGGTTCTAACCGTGTTAAACCCATTGAATCCTGCGTCCTATCAAGTTAGGTGCCTGGAGAGCAGGGAAGGAAGACCCAGGAGGCAGAAGATGCTTACCCAGAAGCACCGAGTGTAACTCTGGGAAAGGCAAGCCCTTCGTCACGGACAGTGTGTGCGGTCGGCAGATTCCTGAAGGGCAGAGCGTTACTCGTCGCCATGTGGCGGAGGCTTGCTGCTGGCGAGGAGGGAGTCTGAGCAGGGCACGCCCTTCTCACTGAGTCTTTCCTTCCGCAGGACAAGTGGACCTGGACCTGCTGCGGTGCCAGCAGTTGAAGCTATACATCCTGAAAGCAGGTCGGGCGCTGTTCTCCCACCAGGATAAACTGCGGCAGATCCTGTCTCAGCCAGCTGTTCAGGAGACTGGAACTGTTCACACAGGTGTCTTTTTAAAAAGTTCTTAAATCTTTATAAGAAGGGCAGTAGAAAGTAGACAAAGGAAGTGAATAATCAGTTCATAAAAATGGACATAGGTGGCTTATAAATGTACAAAACAGACACGTGGCCTGCCCAGCAACCACCAACTGTGAATAAAATTGTCATCGTCATCTTATAAGACAAGACTGAGGGCATCTGGTGGGTGGGGAGGGAAAAAGGTATTTTCATGCCTTCCCATTTAAAGTTTGCTGCATGGGTCAGCAAGATTGGTGGCACACAGGTATGTGTTAGAAATGCAGACTCCCAGGCCGCACCCCAGACCAAAGAAATAGAGCCTGTATTGTAACAAGATGAACCTAAGCTGGTTCTTCAAATGCGCGTAAAGCCGCACTCCATGAACACGCTGCTGCTGGGAATTTCAGTTGGTGTAGCCATCTAATGGGCGTCTGAGGAAATGAGTTGGACTTTGAAATGCATAGATGTATGTATGTATTTATATACTTTGGCCCAGCAAGTCATTCTGTGGGACTTTATCACACGAAAAGGCATGTAAAGATAATGTATTCACCACCTGGGCACAGTGGCTCATGCCTGTAATCCCAGCACTTTGGGAGGCCGAGGCGGGCGGATCACGAGGTCAGGAGATAGAGACCATCCTGGCTAACACGGTGAAACCCCATCTCTGCTAAAAATACAAAACATTAGCTGGGCAAGGTGGCAGACGCCTGCAGTTCTAGCTACTCGGGAGGGTGAGGCAGGAGAATGGCATGAATCTGTGAGGCGGAGCTTGCAGTGAGCCGAGATGGCGCCACTGCACTCCAGCCTGGGCAACAGAGCAAGACTCTGTCTCAAAAAAAAAAAAAAAAAAAAATTGGCGGGGCATAGTGGTGGCTGCATGTAATGCCAGCTACTTGGGAGGCTGAGGCAGGAGAATCACTTGAACCGGGGGGTGCGGAGGTTGCCGTGTGTGCGGATTGCAGGGTGCAGATTGTGCCACTGCACTCCAGCCTGGGTGACAGAGTGAGACTTCGTCTCAAAAAAAATAATAAATAAAAATAATGTATTCAACAGTGTCGTTATGGCCTCCTTTTTGGTATTGTTTTTGTATTGAAAAACTGTAGACACCAAAATACCCATTCTTATGTTGTGTATCCGTACAGTGTGATATCATGGTGCCATTCAAAATGATGGTACATGTATAGTCTTCCCTCAATATCCATGGGGATGAGTTCCAAGACCCCCAGTTATACCAGAATTCACTAATGCTTAAGGCCCTTCTATAAAATGGTGTAGTATTTGCATATAACCTATGCACATCCTCCGAAATACTTTAAAAATATAAATGATATATAGGCTGGGTGCGGTGGCTCACGCCTGTAATCCCAGCACTTTGGGAGGCTGAGGTGGGCAGATCACGAGGTCAGGAGATTGAGACCATCCTGGCTAACACGGTGAAACTCCATCTCTACTAAAAATACAAAAAATTAGCTGGGCGTGGTGACGGGTGCCAGTAGTCCCAGCTACTTGGGAGGCTGAGGCAGGAGAATGGCATGAACCCAGGAGGCGGAGCTTGCAGTGAGCCGAGATCGTGCCACTGCACTCCAGCCTGGGTGACAGAGCGAGACTCTGTCTCAAAAAAAAAAATAAATAAATAAAAATAAAATAAATGATATGTAAATAGTTGTTATTGCTATTCTTTTTAAAATTATATTTTAAAAAATTGTTTTATTCTGAATATTTTTGATGTGTGGTTTGTTGAATCTTTGGATGCAGAACCCATGGATACGGAGGGCTAGCTGTATATGTTTATTGCTGTGGAAACATGAAAACAGTAAGTGAACAGAAAAGCACACTGCTATGTATATCCGTTTATAGATATGCCATAGTTATCTGTTTAGCAAAACAGTGACCCAGTAATCTTTGGTGGAATTTTGGCTGTCTTTATTTTCTTTATATTTCTCTATATTTAGTTTTCTAGAATGAGCTTGTGTTACTTTTAATAGAAAAAAACATTTTTTGATCTCCAACTATTGAAAGACATTATGCTAAGTCTTTTGCGGAGAAGTCCTTTTCTATGATCATTGCTCTCTAGGGTTTGGATGAGGAGAGGAAGTGAATGCAGATGGCTCTCTTTGTTCTCTGGGGCCAGGGGGCGGTGAGGCATGTGAGTGGTTCCACAGGCGTCTGGAGCCAGTGGCAGCTGAGCACTGGACGGGCAGCCTTTGAAGGCTGTGGCAGACAGATGCCAGCAGACAAGCACTCTGCTGGTGGTGGAGGCAGGAGGAGAGGAGTGAACGTGGTGAGTCTTTGGAAGCACGTTGAGCAGCTCTCCTCTTCTTGGAGCTCAGGGTTTTTCGATGAGTGGTGGGGCTGAAGCTAGATGGGCAGCTGACATCCTGTTACAGAGTACCTGGGAGACCAGGGTGAAACTTGAGGCCCACTTGGAAAGCTGTGGTAGGGGCCACATGGTAAGCATTGACCTTCGGGTGATACACCTGCTAGGAAGGTATAGGAGTATCTGAAACAGGAGATGACAGAGATGGAGAATTGCTCCTGCGTCAGGTGATGAGGGGGAAGGCATGAAAAGGGAAAGAAGGTTCTGGTGGAAGGAAGGTGCCATCCACTGTGATGGTGTAGTCTTGTAGATGATAACTTTATGGGGAACCAGCAAAAAGTGGAAGGTGACTGCTGTTTCAAGCTTGAGTTGAGGGAGGAATATTGAGTAGTGTGTTTGAAACAAATAAGTCCAGTAGAATGTGGAGTGTGTGCGTTTGCTTCTTAAGAGGAGAGGATGCTATGAAATTAATTTTAAACCTGCTGAGGATGAAAGAAATCAATTGAAAGTATAGAATCAATTAATAGTAGAGGTCGTAGGGAACATGAAGATTTCCCAGTTGTAGAGATTGGGAGATTGGAGCCTGGGAATTGGATTGGCTGTTCTGTTCTGCACTCAGCCCGATGAGCAATTACAGCAGACCTGAATCAGGATGATCAAGTCTGTGCTTTGGGCCGAGCAGGGACTCCGAACAGAGCTAGATTGACAAAACTGCCGTGCACCTGTTTTTGTAAATTTTTATGGGAACACAGGCACACCACTTGTTTACACATCGTCTCTGGATGCTTTTGCTCTGCAATGGCAGAGCTGAGTAGTTGGGACAGAGACTGTACAGCCCATCAGCCTAAACTATTTACTCTCTGGCCCTTTAAGAGAAAGATTTCCAGCTCCTGGTCTAGTTAGTTGAAATTGTCACTGAAGAAAACCAGCACATGCAAATGCTGTGAGTACCTGGATGAGTACCTAGATGTGTGAAGTGGGCTTGAGCGCAGTGGATCTCCCTGGGGCTGTGTCAAACAGAGTCCTAAAGGCTGCACCTAAAGCTACTCATAACAGACAAAAAGCCATCACCCTGAGCACATGACACATTTGGAATTGGGGTCACTTAATGATCTCAACAAGGCTTAGCTGGAAAAGCTACAGCTAGAAATATGCACGTGGGATGTGTCTGTGTCAGGGGTTACTGAAGCCGTGAGTGAACATGAAAGAGAGTGTGTAGGTCAGGCATGGTGGCTTACGCCTGTAATCCCAACACTTTGGGATGCCGAGGCGGGTGGATCAGGAGTTGGAGACCAGCCTGGCCAACATGGTGAAATCTAATCAACAGCCTGGCCCCATCTATACTAAAAATACAAAAATTAGCTAGGCGTGGTAGCATGTGCCTGTAGTCCCAGCTACAGGGAAGGCTGATGCAGGAGAATCACTTGAGCCAGGAGGCAGAAGTTGCAGTTTGCCAAGATTGTGCCACTGCACTCCAGCCTGGGCAACAGAGTGAGACTCCATCTCAAGAAAAAGAGAAAGAATCAGACCAAGTGCAGAAATCTGGGAAGGAGCATTTGCTGGCTCTAAGAGACAGATGCACTAATGAAGGACAGAGACCAAAAGCAGGCAGTGAAAGTGGTTTAGAGTCTAGTTCCTTTTTTTTTTTTTTTTTGAGATGGAGTCTCGCTCTGTTGCCAGGCTGGAGTGCAGTGGCGTGATCTTGGCTCACTGCAACCTCCAACTCCCTGGTTCAAGCAATTCTCCTGCCTTAGCCTTGCGAGTAGCTGGGATTACAGGCACGCACCACCATGCCCAGCTAATTTTTTTTTTTTTTTTTTTTTTTGAGACCGAGTCTTGGTCTGTCGCCCAGGCTGGAGTGCAGTGGCGTGATCTCGGCTCACTGCAAGCTACGCCTCCCAGGTTCATGCCATTCTTCTGTGTCAGCCTCCCAAGTAGCTGGGACTACAGGTGCCCACCACCATGCCCGGCTAATTTTTTTGTGTTTTTAATAAAGATGAGGTTTCACTGTGTTAGCCAGGATGGTCTCGATCTCCTGACCTCGTGATCCACCCGCCTTGGCCTCCCAAAGTGCAGGGATTACACGCGTGAGCCACCGCACCCAACCTAGAGTCTAGTTTTTGTTCGATGTCTGAACCTTGAAGATTTTGGTTTTCTATCACATAATGAGGCAGAAGTCATACCTGATTTAACATGCTTAATGCATTTTCTTTAATAGTAAAGTGGTGTTCGCAGTTGAAAATAGAATCTTACACATATTTTGTTTTTAAATTCAGATGATGGAGCAGTGGTATCACCTGACCTTGGGGACATGTCTCCTGAAGGGCCGCAGCCCCCCATGATCCTCTTGCAGCAGCTGCTGGCCTCGGCCACCCAGCCGTCTCCTGTGAAGGCCATATTTGATAAACAGGAACTTGAGGTACAGCCATGCAGCCTTGACAGTTTTTAATCCACAGCACTAAATTGTGAACACTTTTTTTCTAGATGTATATTTTCTTAAGGATCTATTCTGAATGTTAAATGATAGTACGCAAATAATTCTAATGATTCATTGGGGTTTAACCATGTTTGTGCATAGTCTGCAGAACATTATAATACTAAAGACTGAGAGGGTTGAAGTTTAACCTTATTTTGGGTTTGTGTAAATTGTGAAAAAATATTAACTAGATGCAGCATGGGTTAAACGCTCACATCTTCATGAAGGGATCTTTTTCCAGGAAGTAGAATTATTCAAAGAGGCTCGTCAGGACTCTGGCAGCCGTTTGTCTGTTTCATTCACTCAGGAGCCTCTTGGGGGTGCTCTGGTGCCGCCAGCCTCTCCGCTCTCTCCATGCTGTGGAGCAGGTGAGGGCAGCAGCGAGGCACAGGGTCAGGGCTACGGGACGTTCGCATAGAGGAGGCGACGTGATTGAGTGTAAGAGGGATGGGAGCTTTCATGGCTGGCAACATAGAGGATTAGAGATGTTCATTCCAAAATCTTTCTTGCTGTGTAATACATTAAAAATCTGGACAAAATATCAGAGACAAAAATAAAACTATCAGTACTCAGTTTGGCAATCAGAAATTACCCTAACAGAAACCCTCAGATAGCAGGGCCCTTCTGGGAGCAAGGGTCCAGATGAGGCAGCCACTGCCTTGGACAGGTGGGAGGCCTCCCCCAATCCTAGAACGAGCTGGAAAGATGGTGGGGGTGCAAAGGGAGAAAGCAAGAAACGGGTGTGGGCAGGAAGGGAGGAGGTTGGCCATGAGCTCTTCTGAACTCCAGCTTCTTCTCAGGTCTGGGAACCTCTGAGGTGAAGGTTCATTTTAAAGGGCCTGGTTGTGTTTCCAGTCTCCCTGGCAGAGATCAAAAGAAGACGCTGAGCAACTTGAGAGCACGTGGGGCGGTGCACGTGCTCCCTGCAGTCATGCTGGGAGATGCCGAGTGTGAACAACTGGAAGGCTGTGTAGAGTTGTCCTTCAGGAACTGAGAAGGACTGTTGTACAAAAAAAGACCTTCCGCTGTTTTGTCTCCATGGATTCTGATGGAGAGTTGTTGTTCTCTTCTTTTTCATGAAATGTCTTTTTTCTGTGGTTGCTTTTCGTATTTTCTATTATCTTTGGTTTTCTGCAGTTTCCCTAAGCTGGGCTCATGTATACAATGGTGGCACACCCCGCCCACCCCACCGTCCTCCTTGAAATTTGCTGAAGCTGCTTGCATCTTTGGCTTGATTTTTGTTCCCCTACCAAATTTGGAAACTTTTGACTATTGTTTTTTCCCCCCGCCTTGCTCTTTTTGTTCTTTTCTGGAAATACTATTATACATCTGTTACACTGTTAGTGAGTTTCCTTTTACGATTTTAATAGAAAGTCTTCTCCTTGTTAGTAGCTTGGTTAGTTTGTCTTGATCTGTTTGAAAGGTCAAGATGCTTTGCTTTGTTGGGCCTAATCTGTTGTTATATCCATCCAAGACATACTTTATTTTATATTTCTCACATCTCTTATTTCCATTTGGCTCTCATTTAATAGTTTTATATCTCTTCTGACAGTTCCTTTCTTCATCCTTTAAGTCTATCTTTTTTTTTTTTTTTTTTTTTTTTTTGATGGAGTCTTGCTCTGTCACCAGGCTGGAGTGCAGTGGCGTGATCTCAGCTCACTGCAACCTCTGACTCCTGGGTTCAGGTGATTCTCCTGCCTCAGCCTCCCGAGTAGCTAGGACTACAGGTGCCTGCCACCATGCCTGGCTAATTTTTGTATATTTAGTAGAGATGGGGTTTTACCATGTTGGCCAGGCTGGTCTCGAACTCCTGACCTCATGATCTGCCCGCCTCAGCCTCCCAAAGTGCTGGGATTACAGGTGTGAGCCACCGTGCCTGGCCAAATCTATCTTTTGCTGTACATTTTAAAACATATTTCTGATAGTTATGTTGAATTTCTTGTTTGCTAATTCTAACATCTGCCCACCTGTTGGTCTGCTGCTCTTTGCAGTTTTTTTCCCTTGATTATAGTCAGTTATTGGTTGTTGTCCTTCACATATGAGAATTTTTATTTCATTCTGGATTCTTTGGACGTTACATTGTATTGGCTCTGGGTTCTGCCTCCTCTGGAGAATGGGGAGTTTTCTTCTCACAGGCAGTTCAGTACCTGGCAGTCCTCCTTGATCCTGAGGTGGCTTGGTGCCAGGCTTTCTAATGATTTTTTATTTGCCCTTAGCCCTGGTTGTGGATCCTTAATTCTCAAGGATTTAGAATCTCTTCTGGGCGTCACTGGAAGCCTTGACATTCTCCTCCCCACCTCCAGTTGGTTGAGCTTGAGCCTCAGATGCTGTCCTGGCCCTGGGCAGCTGGGGAGCCCCTGCAGCCTTCCAGCGGTCCCTTTGTGCCGAGCGCAGGCTCTTCAGTGGTGCTTCAGTTTAGATTCAGCTGTAGATTTGCGGGTAGTCCGTCCGCATATTTCGTGGTTTTCCCTCTGTGGTTTCTTTCTCAGGCGGGCTTTCCCTCACATTCTGGTTGCTCTGGCAGGCCGGGACCCCAGCCCCTGCAGTGCAGGAAGGTGTGCCGTCTGTGGTTAAATGCGCGTCTTACCTGCAGGCTTCTCGGGGTCAGGGGTTGTGCTTGTTTTATTGCTGATTGCGTCAGCTGTTCTCCAGTGCCCTCAAGCAGTTTTAAAACATATTTTATCCAGAGTTCATGATTATTATCAGCCAAGGGTTAGTCCAATGCACCCTAACTCCCCATTATCAGAACCAGAACTCTTGGCTCAATCTGGCTCTGAATTTTAAACTTTTAGGATGAAACCTGTCACTTCCAAGTTACCCAGACTTCGCTGCAAAACCCTAGGCTTTGATACTTCCTGAGCACCGGGGGGCTCCACAGTGTCCTCGGTTTCTTCCTGATTCCTTCCTCACATGCTCCGTTTAACAAAATAGCAAGTCAGTGCTATGAGAGCAGCTGGGGAGGAGGACCAGGGAGTTGCAGACAGATCAGGGAAGTGCTATTTGTGCTGTAGGTGGGGAGTTCCCAGCTGTAGAGACTGGCAGTTTAGATGTTCACTGATTCATTGCAGTGTGTTTCCCAACTAATACTCTTTTATTTCTCTTACTTTTTAATACCTTGTTTAACCTCACTGTGGTTATTTAACCCTTGAATAGTTGAGGGTTGTTTTAATGGTACATGAGAGTCCTGTGTCATTTCTGGCCTGTCTAAAACACAGGTGCCTGTGGCCGCCACCACAGTGCCTGGTTAAGGCAGGGGAAATGCCTTTCTCCCTGCTCCCTCAAGCCCCTGTGACTGCTCGCTTAGGGCTGTAATGAAGTTTTCCTTAATGGACATTGATACTTGGCTAATTTAGTAGGCTCTCTGTCTGCTGAAACAGGCAAGTTATTTTACCACCAAGTATTTTCTCTGCATTAAACTGCGAAACTTGGCTTTGTCATTTTCTAACATGTTTTAGGAACTCATTGAAAAACGCACATGTGAATGTGGGCTTTCTAGACTTGCATGATGCCCCATGTTCCTAGACTGTGTAAGCTAGCCGAGGGCACTTCCCAAACCTCCCAGGACCCTCTTGTCTGTCCAGACTGCTGCACTGGCCGTTGTGGAGTCCACTCACCCTTCGAGCCCAGGATTTGAAGACTGCAGCTCCAGTGAGGCCACCACGCCTGTCAACGTGCAGCACATCCGCCCTGCCAGAGTGAAGAGGCGCAAGCAGTCGCCCGTTCCCGCTCTGCCGATCGTGGTGCAGCTCATGGAGATGGGATTTCCCAGAAGGAACATCGAGTTTGCCCTGAAGTCTCTCACTGGTACTTCCGGGAATGCGTCCGGCTTGCCTGGTACTTCGTTTTCCTGGCCTCTGCTTGTACGTGTGTGGGTTCCCGCTTCAGGGCTGTTGACTCACAGTGGCTGGTGTGCTGTGTGTGCCTCTCTTAGGTGTGGAAGCCTTGGTCGGGTGGCTGCTGGACCACTCCGACATACAGGTCACGGAGCTCTCAGATGCAGACACGGTGTCCGACGAGTATTCTGACGAGGAGGTGGTGGAGGACATGGATGATGCCGCCTACTCCATGGTCAGTGCCTCCCATGTGACCGCCCGCACCTGGGCCGCTGTCCGTCTAGCGCTCTAACAGTCTTACACCTTGGCTTTCTCTGTCCCTTGAAAGAATTAACTATATCTACTGTGGACTGTTTCATAAAACCAACCTATGGTGTTGCCGGGCACAGAACAAAGCTGTGTTTCACTACTGAAGGGATGATTGGGTTTCTATATCATAATTACTTTTAGCTTCAGAACAGACCCTTGTTCAAACATCTCATGATCTTCGGTAGCCATTAGAGGATATTTTATTAAAATACCATGTTTTGACACATCAGTTTCTGACCTGAGTAAATTGTTCATAGGATTAATTTGGAAGTGCCTTGGAAATTTTGTATACTTGTAGCTTTTGAGATTCATTTCTGCCTACTATGCTACTGCTATTAGTCTTTTTTAAATGAAGATTTTTATAGAGAAAATAAAGGATTTCATCCTTTACTTTTTAATATTATAGATTTCACAGACATTTCTTTTTGAGTAGATTTATTGAGTTCTCCTTTTTTTTTTTCTTTGAATGTATTTATTTCTTGTAGTCTACTGGTGCTGTTGTGACGGAGAGCCAGACGTACAAAAACCGAGCTGGTTTCTTGGGTAATGATGATTATGCTGTATATGTGAGAGAGAATATTCAGGTGAGTAATTGTCTTAAGCTGGAGCCTCGATCCGTTTTTCACTCAGCAAATATTTGGGTATGTCCTATATGCCAAACATCAGTGGACAGAGGCCCCTGCCCTCAGGGAGCCTGCCTTCTGGTGCTGGAAGACATACCTGACCAGTGAGCTCATGGTACGCTAGAAGGTGCTGTGTACCCTGGAATGAGAGAGAGCAGACTACAGTAAAGGGGTGGGAGTGAGGGCACAGTCCAGGGATCGGGATCTGCAATGAGAAGGTGAGATGGGTGCAAAGCCTACAGGGTGTGAAGGGTGGCTGAAGGGTGGCTGAGCAGGATGGGCACCCAGACAGAGGCTGCTGTGGCTGCCCCGGTGTAGCCAGAGGACAGAGGGGCAGATGGGCTCAGGGGCAGCCGGAGAGCACAAGTGGCCTGTCCACGGTGGACATGGCGCAGGGATGGCTGTTTTCTACTAGCCCCACTTGTGACACTTCCTACATACCTTTCCTTGTTTTTCTTATGTAATTCTCATTGCCATCAAACTTTAAAAATCTAATTATGTTTTATATAGTCCTTTATCTACTTTAAATCATTTCTTGTCCTAATTCTCTTGTTTTAGTATATTTTAGAGAAAATCCCCCAAATCATCTCATTTCACCTGTATATATGTCAGTGAATATCACTAATAAAGAATCTTAACATAATGACATTTCTGTTTACCAGCATTACCTAACAAAATAAATAATAATTCCTTAATATCATCTCATATCTAACGCTTGCTTGTAGTTTTCCAGTTTTCTCAGAAATGGCTTTAATGGTTAGTTTTTGAACTTGGATAAACCAAGATTGTATGCCTTATCTGCATTTGGTTGATGGATCTTTGAAGTCTATTCCAAGCTAGAGTGGTTCCCCCTTGTCTTAGCTCAGTTGGCTATAACACAGTACCATAGACTGGCAGCTTCAACAACAGACATTTATTTCTCATGGTTCTGGAGGCTGGAAATCCAAGATCAAGGTACCAGCTTGGCTGGATTCTGGTGATGGCCCTCTTCCTGGCTTGTAGGTGGCTACCTTTTTTTTTTTTTTTTTTTTTTTTGAGACAGAGTCTCGCTCTGTCACCCAGGCTGGAGTGCAGTGGCGTGATCTCAGCTCACTACAAGCTCCGCCTCCCGGGTTCCTGCCATTCTCCTGCCTCAGCCTCCTGAGTAGCTGGGACTACAGGTGCCCGCCACCATGCTCAGCTAATTTTTTTGTATTTTTAGTAGAGACGGGGTTTCACCATGTTAGCCAGGATGGTCTCGATCTCCTAACCTCGTGATCTACCCGCCTTGGCCTCCCAAAGTGTTGGAATTATAGGCATGAGCCACCGTGCCTGGCCAGGTGGCTGCCTTCTTGCTGTGTCCTCCTGTGGACGTGGGGCTGGGGATGGGGGGAGCTGGAGCTAGCAGGGGAGCACTGGTGTCTTTTTTTTTTTTTTTTTTTTTGAGACGGTGTTTCGCTCTTGTTGCCTAGGCTGGAACGCAGTGGCACGATCTTGGCTCACCACAACCTCTGCCTCCCGGGTTCAAGCGATTCTCCTGTCTCAGCCTCCCAAGTATCTGGGATTACAGACATGCACCACATGCCTGGTTAATTTTATATTTTTAGTAGAGACAGGGTTTATTCATGTTGGTCAGGCTGGTCTCGAACTCTTGACCTCAGGTGATCCACCTGCCTTGGCCTCCCAAAGTGCTGGGATTATAGGCGTGAGCCACCATGCCCATCCTGGAGTCTCTTCTTATAAAGACCCTAATCCTGTTGTGTCAGAGCCCCACTCTTATGACCTGATTTTACCTTAATGACTTCCTTAGAGGCCCCATCTCCTAATACTGCCACATTAGGAGTCGGGACTTCATGAATTTTGCGGGGGGGATACAAACATTCATTTCATAGTAACCCTCCTTCTCCCTTCCTCTCCTTTCATGCTATTTATTTGTGGCTGAAACCATGTCCTCCAAATGTCTTACAGTCTGCATTTGGAGGTGGCTTCCTTGTGGCTAACATCTTCCTCTCTCCCTGTTTCTCCAATGCAGTAGGAGTTAGGGTTGGAGGGTGATTGGACCAGGCTGAATCTCAGGCAGGAAGCTTCATAGGCATGTACTCCCTCCGGCCCCATCTCAACAGGCAAGCAGGTTTGGGTGGGTTAGGTCTTGTCAGCCTGCTCCTTCCTTGATGACATTCTGTATTAATTGTCCATCTCATAGCTCCAGCAGGCATTAGTGTCATCACCTAGACCTATCATTAGGGGCTGCACCATAGTGATTTTCTAACTTCATCTTCTCTGAGTTCATTAGCTGGAATTCTCTTCTGTGAAAAAAAGCTTTGTTATTAATCTTGGTTGCTCTTGATAATACAGGGAGACTTCATCAGTTTTCACAATGATGCATTGGTGTTCTGATATGTATAAAGATGACCAGGAAGCTTTGTTTTCCTTATTGTCATGATGACCAATCCATTGGCTTTTAGGGTGTGATGTCTCCACTGTTATATTTTTGATGATCAGGGAATCCTTTTGAGTAATCTTTGAAAGCTCCCTTCCTTTATGATACAAGTTGATCCAGCCTCTTCCTGTATATTTCCTGCCTGAGACACAAAGCCAGACAGTGTTCTAAAGAGTTTCTCTTCCCTTTATCATTAAATAATACTTAGAATGCACTCTGGGTGCTAGATGAAATTCTTTTTTTTTTTTTTTTTTTTTTTGAGATAGGGTCTCACTTTGTCACTCAGGCTGGAGTGCAGTAGTATGATCTTGGCTCATTGTAACCTCCACCTTCCAGGCTCAAGCAATCCTCTCAACTCAAGTCTCCCAAGTAGCTGGGACCACAGGCATGTGCCATCACATCTGGCTAATTTTTGTATTTTTGGTAGAGGTGGGTTTCGCCATGTTGCCCAGGTTTGTCTCAAACACCTGAGCTCAAGTGATCCTCCCACCTCAGCCTCCCAAAGTGCTAGGATTACAGATGTGAGCCACCGTGCCCAGTTGAAATTCTTTATTAAGAGTAGAGTAATACTACTTATCATGGCTCATTTCACCTGTGTACATGATGGACTGGATCTCCAATTTCATTTTAATTCTAGGTGGGAATGATGGTTAGATGCTGCCGAACATAAGAAGAAGTGTGCGAAGGTGATGTGATGTTGGCAAAGTCATCAAGCTGGACAGAGATGGATTGCATGATCTCAATGTGCAGTGTGACTGGCAGCAGAAAGGGGGCATCTACTGGTTTAGGTACATTCATGTGGAACTTATAGGTGAGCACATTCTTTGTTTAGTGCTTTTACTTTTTCTTAGAGACAGAATTCCCATAAATGAATACTGATTATAATGATTTGTTATTGAAATCTGTAGGCTATCCTCCACCAAGAAGTTCTTCTCACATCAAGATTGGTGATAAAGTGCGGGTCAAAGCCTCTGTCACCACACCAAAATACAAATGGGGATCTGTGACTCATCAGAGTGTGGGGGTTGTGAAAGGTAATATCATCTGGGTAATTAAATTCCTGATGTTAACTTTTCATTAATGCATATGTACTTAGTATTTCTTTTTGTTCAAGCACACAAAACAGAAAACAAGTGTGAAGAAAGAGATAGAGTGTTCCTTTGCTTGTCAGTGCCTTCTGCCAAAGGCCACAAAGGAACTCACCTGCAGTGAAACAATCAGATTTATTAATATTAACTCATTGCAGTACAGGAGAACACACACCTTGGGGAATGGGTGTCTCCATCAGAGGGAGTGAGCGAGGACTAATGAAGTTTATGTTGGGTATTTGGGGGAGGGGTCGAGAAAGCAGGGGTAATCCTAAAACAGGATGTCTTAATAAATTTACCTAGCAGGCAGAAAGAATGGAGCCATGCTAACGTCATGATTGGTAAGGAAGCAGTCATTCATATCACCAGGATAGGGGACTGTGTGGTTGTTTGTGGTTTGGATTAGACTCAACTTTAATCACACATGGTTAAGGAGGGGTTTTGGTTGTGCCTTGATTCATCAGTCACAGAGTGGCCTTATCTGATGTTCGTGTTCTGTAAACTTGTCCTGTCATTTGTTCTGTGAAATGGCCTAACATTGACATTAACAGGCCAGCTCCTGACTGTCAGGACTGCTTTTTCTTTCTCCTCCCCTGACCAGGCTGGAGTGCAGTGGCGCCATCTTGGCTCACTGCAACCTCCGCCCCCGGGTTTAAGCAGTTCTCCAGTCTCAGCCTCCAGAGTAGCTGGGATTACAGGTGCCCACCACCGTGCCTGGCTAATTTTTGTATTTTTCATAGAGATGGCGTTTCCCCATATTGGCCAGGCTGGTCTCGAACTCCTTACCTATTGATCCGCCCACCTCGGCCTCCCAAAGTGTTGGGATTACAGGCGTGAGCCACCATGCCTGGCTCTTTTTCATGCTGTATAAAAATTTAGGACTGAATTTAAGAAATGGAAATGTGCTAATGATGGAAATTAGGAACTGGAAACAATTCTCAGATTATATTTAATATGATACTGTTGAGATTCCAAATCAAATCCGTGGCACACTTTGAAAGGCACACTATGTCCGTTTTAACAGTTGCATGAGAAATAAGTATGTGTATAGTTTTATAAACTCTTGATGCATAAAGAGATTATTTGTTTGTTCGTTTGAACCTTGTGGAAGCCTCTCTTTTCATCAGATCACTTAGAAAATGGCCACAGTTGGTGGTTCCCCAGTGGTGAGAGGTTCCTAGAGCTTCTCATGTTACATAAGAACAAGTGGATTATTTAATATTTTACTTTAAACATTTTTCTTTGCTTAAGAGATTGTTAAAATATTTGCAAATCAAAACAAGACAAATTTTAAAAATAAGAATTTGGTTTCTTTGTTTTGAGTGACACGTTGCTCTTATCAAAGGATGAAAGAAGTCTTCATGTTATTAATGTGGTTTTTATTCCCTGAGATACCAAAGGTATTGTATGGAATTGTTGACTTGGTGTAATTAGAAACCAAAATGTCCTATTTTAAACCTAATGCAAAAGTAAGGAATGTAGTTTACAATGAACCTCCATGTGCTCATTACCTGGCTTTAACGATTGTCGCCTCATGGCCAAAATTATTCATGCTCCCTTCTTGTGATTATTTTGAAACCAGGCGCTGACATCATGTATTAGTTCATCCATAAGCATTTTAGTACCTATCTCTAAAAGATAGACTCTTTGTAAAAAACAAATAACTACAATGTAGTATGACATGGCTAGGTGCAGTTTTAAGTTCAGGTTTTTATTGGTGAAGAGGAAGATGGATCAGGTGATTTCTGTTGTGTCCTGGCTTTCAGTGCCAATGGAAAAGATATCATTGTTGACTTTCCCCAGCAGTCTCACTGGACTGGGTTGCTATCAGAAATGGAGTTGGTGCCCAGTATTCATCCTGGGGTTACGTGAGTTATTTTTATGATTGCTAGATTTGCTTTGGGACGAATGGTTTTCTGTTGAATTAAGTTTAATAAATGACCTTTCTTAACTCAGTTGCTATTTTACAAATAGGTGTGATGGATGTCAGATGTTTCCTATCAATGGATCCAGATTCAAATGCAGAAACTGTGATGACTTTGATTTTTGTGAAACGTGTTTCAAGACCAAAAAACACAATACCAGGCATACATTTGGCAGAATAAATGAACCAGGTATGGCAGAATGTTTATATTCTCTCTTCCACCAAATATTAATGAAATACTTATTGTGGACCACAGTGTACTGGAATTTGTTATTTTAAGGTTCCTTTGCATATGGTAATTCTGTAGAGTGAGTACAGTGAGACGGAAGTGACGGTCCTACCCGCTGATGACTGGCTGGCTTTTTAAAAAAATCAGGATGGGGTATCGGGGAAGAATTAGAATAACTAGGCTTGTTTGCTTGTTTTTCCATAAAGAAACATTAAAAGAATCTCAAGAAACTAGTAAGTGTTTAGTTGCGTGGCATGTGGAATTGGTTAGATGGAGAGTGAGTGTTTTAATTTGTATACCTTTTATTATATTTTTCATTGTGGCAAAATATATTTAACTTAAAATTAGCCACTTAGTCATTTTCTAAGTTTATAATTCAGGGTATTAAGTACCTTAAGTACAGTGTTGCACAACCATCACAACTTTCTCTTACCAAAACTTTTCACCACTCCGATCAGAAACTCTGTACCCATTAAGCAATTTAACTGCCCTACTTCCCCTTACCCCAACCCTGGTAACCTTGAATCTAACTTTGGTCTCTACGAATATGACCACTCCAGACATCTCATCTAGATGGAACCATGTAAGATTTATCCTTTTGTGTTTAGCATAATGTCTTCAAGCTTCATCCGTATTGTAGCATGTGTCAGAACGTCATCCTTTTTAATGGCTGAATAATATTCCACTGTATGCATATATCACTTTTCTTCTTTGTGAGATAGAGTCTCACTCTGTTGCCCAGGCTGGAGTGCAGTGGCGCAATCTTGGCTCACTGCAACCTCCGCCTCCTGGGTTCAAGCAGTTCTCCTGTCTCAGCCTGCTGAGCAGCTGGGATTACAGGCCGGTGCCACCATGCTCAGCTAACTTTTCTACTTTTTTTTTTTAATTATTATTTTTTTGAGACAGAGTCTCACTCTGTCTATAAGGAGTGTATGTGTTATATACATTTTTAGTTTTAGTAGTTACTGAAGATATTAATTATAACATCTATTTTTGACTGATTTAAATCTATTATTATTTAGTAAAGTCTCCTCCTAAACAATGCAAAGACCTTAGTTCTCTTTAACATCATTTATCTTCATTCTGATTTATATGTTCTTAACATATTTTAATTTTTAATTTTTTTTTTTTTTGAGACGGAGTCTCACTCTGTCGCCCCGGCTGGAGTGCAGTGGCGCGATCCTGGCTCACTGCAACTGACACCTCCCGGGCTCAAGCGATTCTCCTGCATCAGCCTCCTGAGTAGCTGGGATTATAGGCTCCTGCCACCACGCCTGGCTAATTTTTGTATTTTTAGTGGAGGTGAGATTTCACCATGCTGGCCAGGCTGCTCTTGAACTCCTGACCTCAGGCGATCCACCCACCTCAGTCTCCCAAAGTGCTGGGGTTATGTGCATGAGCCACCACGTCCAGCCAAAATTTTATACATTTTATACAAATATATATCTAACAGAACTATCGAAGACATTCTTTTATGCACATAGAAAATGTTCATAAAATCCAGTCATATGCTAAGTGGGTCATATGCTCAAACAAAATTTCAAAAAAAGTCAAAGGATCAGCCAGGCGCAGTGACTCATGCCTGTTTTTGTTTTTGTTTTTGTTTTTGTTTTTGTTTTTTGAGACAGAGTCTCGCTCTGTCACCCAGGCTGGAGTGCAGTGGCGCGTGATCTCAGCTCACTGCAAGCTCCGCCTCCTGGGTTCTCGCCATTCCTCCCGCCTCAGCCTCCCGAGTAGCTGGGACTACAGACGCATGCCACCATGCCAAGCTAATTTTTCGTATTTTTAATAGAGATGGGGCTTCACCGTGTTAGCCAAGATGGTCTCGATCTCCTGACCTCATGATCCATGCCTGTAATCCCAGCACTTTGGGAGGCCGAGGCGGGTGAATCAGGAGTTCAGGAGATCGAGACCATCCTGGCTAACGCGGTGAAACCCTGTCTCTACTAAAAGTACAAAAAATTAGCCGGTGTGTTGGCGGGCACCTGTAGTCCCAACTACTTGGGAGGCTGAGGCGGGAGAATGGCGTGAACCCAGGAGGCGGAGCTTGCAGTGAGCCGAGATCGTGCCACTGCACTCCAGCCTGGGCGACAGAACAAGACTACGTCTCAAAAAACAAAAAAAGCAAAAAAACAAGTCAAAGGATCAAACAATACATGCAGGGCATATGACGATTTTATGTAGTCAATATTGATTTAGATTTTTCTGCATACTTTGTAATTTCTCTCCACTTTTTTCTTCTTCTTTAATTTTCCATCTATACTGTTTTTCTCCTGCCTGAAAATCCCCTTAATATTTTTAAAAATGTGTCTTTGTTGGTTACAAATTATCTATTTTTGTATGTCTGAAAATGTCTTTATTTCTCCTTTATTTTTGAAAAGTCTTTTTGCTAGGTGTTTTCTTTCAGCACTTTAAAAATAGTATTCCATTGCAATTTGGTTTATATTATTTCTCCTGAAGTTGGATGGAAGTCTAATTGTGGTTCATTTTATTTTTCCTTCGTCTGCTTTTCAGAGAGTCTTTTTGTTTTCATCTTGCACAGGTTTTACATGTGCATGGAGATGTTTATCTTTCTTGGGGTTGGTAGGGCTTCTGGGGCATGATATCTGTTGTCTGTTTTGGAAAATTCTGTCTTTCAGTATTTCTTCACATTTTGCCTCTGCTCTATTCTCTTTTCTATCTTTTTGGGGGGACTCTTCTTTCACTTGTGTTAGGCCTAACCTCTGTCCTGCAGATCTTTTACCTTCTTGTTATGTTTTCTAAACTTTTGCTCCTCAGTTCTTCATTCCAGATATTTTTACTTTCTCTTCAGCTGAGTTCAGTGTGTTCTAAACTTACTCATTAAGTTCTTAATTTTAAATATTGGATTTATCAGTTCTAGTCTTTCTATTTTATTTTCAGTAGTTTTTGGTTCTCTGCTGAAATATTATCTTTTTGAACACAGTAAGCATATTTATTATACTAAAGTCTGTGTCTTCTAACTCCAATATATGGAGCCCTTGTGGGTCTGTTTCTCTCCTATCATTTCTGGTCATTTTTAGTCGCTTTTTTTGCCTCTTCATGTGTCATTATGTACTGGACACCTAACAAATAAAGAGAAACACTATGTTCATGGGTTAGAAGACTGAATACTGTGAATCCATCCTTGCACATTGACTTACAGAATTAATGCAATCCACATCAAAATCCCAAGCAAGCGGTTTTATAAAAACTGACAAGCTCATTTTAAGTCATATGGAAATGTAAAGGGCCTGCAACAGCCAAAATATATTTGAAAAAGAACAAAGCTAAAAAACTGTTGCAACCTGAGTTCAGGCCTTTTATAAAGCTGTAGTAATCAAGACAATGTGGCATTGCCACCAAAATACACAAATAAATCAATGAAACAGTACTGGGAGTCCAGAAATAGATCCATACATCCATAGACAACTGATTTCTGACAAAGGCAAAAGGCAATTCAGTAGGAAAAGCGTAGTTTTTCAACAAATACAACTGAAACAACTGGACAATCATGCCCAAAAAAGCCTTTCAATCTGAACCTCCCACTATATATAAAATTTAATCAACTGGTCATAGATATACCTGTCTAAAACTATAAAACTTCTATAACAGAACATAGAAAGACAAACTTCATAATCTTGAGGCAAAGGTTTTGTAGTCACAACATCAAAAGTACACTCTACAAAAGAATAAAATGAATAAACTAGGCTTCATCAAAATTAAAAACTTCTAATCTTTAAGATTCACCTGTGAAGAGAATAAAATGACAAGCCACACTGACAGAAAATACTAGCAAATTCTATATTAGGCAAAGGACTTGTAACTCAGAATATATAAGGAACTCTCAAACCAGTAAGAAAACAACCTATTTAAATATGGGAAAAGACTTGAACAGACATTCACCAAAAAAGGTATGTGATTTGTAAATAAGCAAGATGCTTGAGATCATTAGTTATTAGGGAAATGCAGATTAAAACCACAACGAGATACCACTATACATCTGTCAGTATAACTAAAATTAAAGACTGAACGTATCAAGGGTTGACAAAAATGTGGAGGATGTGGACCTCTGGAACATCCACTTTGCAAAACAGTATGTAGCGATCTTAAGAAGCTAGACATACACGTACCATATGATCCAACCACTCCTCTCTTAGAAGTTTACCCAAGAGAATTTCAAGTGGATGTCCATACACAAACTTGTATGGAAATGTCCATTAGCAATTTCACTTGCATAGTCAAAAACTGGAAACAGCCCAAACATTCATCAACAGAAAAATGGATGAACAAATTGCATTTGTTTATCTTAAGATACTATTCAACAATTTAAAAGAATAAACTATTGATACATGCAACGTAAGTGAATCTCAAAATTATTATGCTGAGTGGAAAAAGTAAGATTTTTAAAAAGAGTATATGCTGTATGATTCTACTTATAGTAAGCTGTAAAACATGCAAACTGGCCTGCCACAGTGGCTCCTGCCCATAATCCCAGCACTTTGGGAGGCTGAGGTGGGAGGATCACTTGAGCTCAGGAGTTCAAGACCAACCTGAGCAACATGGCAAAACCATGTCTCCACCAAACAAACAAAAATTAGCCAGGCATGGTGACATGTGCCTGTAGTCCCAGCTATTTGGGAGGCTAAGGTGGGAGGATCACTTGAGCCCAGGAGGTGGAAGCTGCAGTGAGCCAAGATCGTGCCACTGCACTCCAGCCTGGGCAACAGAGTGAGACCCGGTCTACAAAAAAAAGAAAACAAACAAATAAAACACCCACGAAACAACAACAACAAAAAGCAGACATGCAAACTGATCTCTAGTGACAGAATTGGTGCATATGGCAGGAAGGAGGGAGGTAAAAGCAAAAGGGAGGGGTACAGAGGGCCAGAGAGGAACGCTGGGGTAGTGTATGAGTTCATTGTCTTTGATTGTGCTGATGCTTTCATGGATCATACATATTCCAAAGTCGATCAAAATGCATACTTTAAATAGGTGCAGTTTATTATATGTCAATTATAACTGAATAAAGCTGTTAAAAAATACAAAAGAGCCCAGTACAGTGCCTGTATCTCTCAGGCAGTTATTAGGAGTCCTGTTCACACACAAGTACAGCGCTGTGAGTTTACCTGATCATAAACACAAGAATCAGCAACATACTTTCTTCTAAAACTTTCATTCCAGCAGTATAAATCGCATGAGAGCACACCATAATTCTTCTGTGTCTTTAGATTCATAATGTAGTTAACGCGGCACTACAACCTCTAATGTGTTGGCACAATTAAATAAATGTAAAGTTGCTGTAACCTACAGAAAAATCTCAGGATACAAATCTGTGTTACCTAAATAGGAAGCACCTAAAGGGTCTCTTGCAGTCTGGAAGAGGACGGGCTCGTGGACAGAGGGCGTGGCCACATCCACAGTTGTCCACGCCACACTGTGGGACGACCCGCAAGCCACACACATGATCTTCTGGCCTTCTAAGCCTTGCACGAGTGTGGGCTTCCTGTTAACCGTGGTCGTGCCATTGCCCTGCTGGCCGTGGTCGTTGTCACCCCAAGCATACACCTGTTTACGAGGAGAAAAAAGCTTATAATTTTTCAACATTTCAGGACATTTTCTTTAATGTAATTTTTACTTCAAAATGCTTAACGTGTATGCCATGGTATTTGAAAGAATTGAGTTCTTAAAAGTAAAAGCAAACCATTTCACAATCTTACAAAATGGCATCGGTGTACTATAATTCTGAAGAAAATCTAACCATGAAAATGCCAATAACCATAAAAGGAGTATTTTCTTAATATTAATCAAATTAATTCTGCTTTGTTGCAAGTCACACAGAAGGTCCTCTCTTCAACTAAGTGCAATAATTTTTTCCCTTTTACTTTGCAAAGAAAAATGACCAAAAACAATATGCTCATTTTTCAAGTAAGTAGCTCCTTGGCCTTATAGAATTATAAAGTATAATTCATTTTGACTAAAAAACAGTAATGGTAATTTTGTTTTCATAAATAAAATTTTAAATTGAATATCCACAAGCCGGTCATAGCATATGCTTCTCCAAGCAGAAGAGAGTGTAACACTTGTCAGGCACTAGCTCTGTCTCTAAAATGAGGCATGGGTGCCTCCTCACCAGTTAGCAATTTCCTAAAGCAAAGTCTTGTTAATACCTTGCAGTAGGAGCATCTTCAAGAATAACAATCTTTTGGCCGGGTGCGGTGGCTCACGCCTGTAATCCCAGCACTTTGGGAGGCCGAGGCAGGTGGATCACGAGGTCAGGAGATCGAGACCACGGTGAAACCCCGTCTCTACTAAAAATACAAAAAATTAGCTGGGCGTGGTGGCGGGCGCCTGTAGTCCCAGCTACTCGGGAGGCTGAGGCAGGAGAATGGCATGAACCCAGGAGGCAGAACTTGCAGTGAGCCGAGATCGCGCCACTGCACTCCAGCCTGGGCGACAGAGCGAGACTCTGTCTCAAAAAAAAAAAAAAAAAAAAAAAAAAGGATAACAATCTTTCCACACACTTTTCACGTGGACTTCAGAGTGGGAACGCCTCTTTTCTGAGGACCCCGCCCCCAACCCCTGCTGCTGAGTAGGCAGATACACCAGCGGGCAAAACGGATGGGTCCCGGCCTCATGGTTCTTCAAGCAGTAAGACTCGGCTGAGTTCATCAACAGCTGTGATTTCAACAGGACGAGGGCCATGTCGTGACCCCCACGTCCCCCAAGTCAGGATGGCACGCCACCCCCAGGCCACCTGCAGCCTTACCTGCCCCGAGTCCGTGACCGCCAGGCAGTGCAGGGCCCCGACAGCCACATGCACGATCTTCTTCCCTCTCAGCCCTTCCACCACCTACAGTTTCCACACGTGCACGTCAGAGCCCTGGCGCAACCTGAAGTAATCCCCCTTTCCCCTGAGAAGGAGGCCCGTGGTGGAGTGTTACAATATAGTTGTGGTCTGACAATGCTATACAAGAAGACACTCATTGTCTCACATCTTTCACAGCCAGCTCAATGACATCACACACAGCACCCAAGGTCTTCGAACTTGTATTCAAAATCATACACCATTAATTCAAATTAACTTATTAAGTCAGCTGGGAAAAACCTTAATACCTTAATACATGTTCTACAATATTTAAGTTACTGTTGTAGGTTTTCATATAGACTGAAAATAAGACACATTACTGCAAACACCTATCCAAAGTCCTATCTGGTATACATCTTTCTCAGAGTGCCAATGTCGGCCAGTAGCAGTGGTTCACGCCTGTAATCCCAGCACTTTGGGAGGCCGAGGCGGGTGGATCACAAGGTCAGGAGATCGAGACCATCCTGGCTAACATGGTGAAACCCTATCTCTACTAAAAACACAAAAAAATTAGCCGGGCATGGTGGCAGACGCCTGTAGTCCCAGCTACTCGGGAGGCTGAGGCAGGAGAATGGCGTGAACCCGGGAGACGGAGCTTGCAGTGAGCTGAGATTGTGCCACTGCATTCCAGCCTGGGCGACAGAGCGAGACTCCATCTCAAATAAATAAATAAATAAATAAATAGTGCCAATGTTATGACCAGAGGCAGCAAGGCCTGACACAGCATCCAAGGCCAGTCTGGGCACCTGCTCATTTGCACATTAATATAATAAGCTTTTACAAGAAATACATGTTAACTTTCTCAGGATCAAAGGATTCAGAAGGCTATTTTGCTCTCATTTTATCCTTAGGCTTCAGCAGAAGAAACACTTCCTATAAATCTCGCCCAAACAGGAAAGGTAAGTGGCCTAAAATTTTTCTAGTATTTTCAAAATGACCCAGTTACAATAGGAAATTTCTTCTTGTACTATTGTCACTAATCCCGACTCAATATCCTTTAAAGGACAAAGATGCATGCATAAGTAAAAATATGACAGGTCACAATCACGCCGGGGTGGTCCTGGGGCGAGGCCCAAGTTCCCTGCACGCGTCGGCACAAGCACGCTCACTGTGACGGGGAGGACGTTTACGTACCATGTCCACACCACTCCAGACTTGGTGAGCGCCAGTAGGAACTGAGCTCCACACTCAATCTGGCACACCCCCTGTCCATTTAGTCTCTCAATGTTCTGGGGAATGTTGCAGCCTTCACTTCCGCCCCGGCCCAATTTTCCAAAGTCACCATCACCCCAGGAAAATACCAAACCTAGGTTTAAAAATAGGGAAGGGAAGGGAGAGAAGAAAGGAAAGATAAAGAAAGCCCAACCTCCTTCCAAAATGTCATGAGAATCTTGAGCACATATGGTCCTTGGCATGACCACATGACCTGCAGAGCCCCTGTTATAGAACTCATTTTTATATTTTCCTTAGTATAACAGTTAATATAATATGTCATTTTTGTTAATAGTGTCTTTTTGTCATTTTACTTTTTAAAAGATTTTATTGAAATATACATACAGGAAAGTGCATCTATCATAAGTGTGCAAATTGATGAATTCTAAAATCTTTATTGTACCTGTTTAGCACATAGATTGACACTGAACATAACTAACAACCAGAAATCTCCGTGTACTCCCTTCCTGTAACTACCCCTGCGCCCGACCAAATCACTCTCTTCTAACAGCATAACTTTGTGTGACTAGCTTTTTTAATGTAAAAGAATGAAATCTACAGCATGTATTCATTTGCATCTGGCTTCTGCCACCCAACATTATATTTGTGGGATTCATTTGTACAGTTGCATATTAGTTTGCAGATCCCTCACTCTCATTTCTATATGGTATTATATTGCATAAACGTACCACACTTTATCCAACTACTGTTAAATATTTGTGCATTTTCTACTTGGGGGTGATTTCAAATAGTGCTGCTATGAACATTCTTGTAAATGTCTTTTGGTGAACATATGCAACACATATATGCGTTGTTGTTGGTTCCCAGGAGGGGCATTCCTGGGTCATAAACAATGCGTGTGTTCAGGTTTAGTACAGTATAATGCCAAACAGGTTTCCAAAGTGTTTGTGCCACTTTACATACCTGCCATTATTGAAAAAGAGTTCTGTTTGCTCCACATTGTCACCAATACTTGATATTTTCTGTTTTTTTTTTTCTTTTAAACCGTACTAGTGGGTGTGCAGTGATATTGCAATGTGGTTTTAATTTGCATCTTCCTTGTGACAACCTTGATTACTGTAAGCCACTTGGAAATGTGATTTAAATTCATATAAAGATATAGTAGCAAAACGCATACTAGGTTACTTTCGTATCCAGAAAGTTTAGATAGAATGATTTCTATGTAAGCTTTTACTGTGTAGTCTGAGTCCATGAATATTGATTACAAAAAACACATCTGTAGGTGAGTTACAATACCTCACTTATAATTCCAAATTCATGTTGTGTTAGCTCAATATTTTTCAAATAATTTTTGCATGCAATTTTCACCTTCTTTCTGAGTAGTTTCAGGTATTTTGTATGGTTCCAGCAGTCAGTTAGGTTGCCATTGTTTGGAAGCACACATCCACGTATCTGCACCATGATGATATGACACGCCCATACCCCCCATTTCACATTTTGTCAGAAGTGCATAGTTATCACTAACTTTGCCAGTAGAAATGTACTCCCAATTTCCCACGGACTTATCTTGAATAATCTCTCCACTGAAGCATAACAGGTTTTGAATTCTGTTAGAATAGTTGTTTTTACTATCTTTTAATTTTATACAAATTTCAAAGTTACGTAATACTTTTATTTAAAAAGTGAAACAAAGCTTTTCCTCTCCCTTACCCACATGTTAGCCCAGCAGAGGGGGAAAGCATTGGCCCCAGGCCAAAATCATAAACGCTTTCAATTAACTAATAATAATTGCTGGCATGTTGCCATTAAATATTCTTGTCTCCTTATCTCTGGTTGCTTTATCAAACCCATAGGTCACTGAAGCCCACTTTTGAGACAAAGACTATTTCTCCCCCAAAAGTCAAGGGAAATATAAAAAATGAAATTAGTGATTAAGAATAGAAGTCAATTAATACAATCATTTTGTCTTAATTATTTAAAGTCCAGTTTTTTTCCTCCAGCAAACCTGAAAATACACTATCCTCCAGCTATCAGAATTATATTGAGATCTACTCACATTTATGATGATGTTCAGAGATTCTCATTGGGAAGGAAAAGGCACACGCTGCGGCGGTCTTGCATGACTCTGTTGTTGTGGAAATTCAATTTGTTCATTGTGTTTTGGGCTCTCTGGGTGGTCAGGGCTGGGCTCTGGGTCCTTGGCAATTCCTCAGGTTCCCAGCACTCCAAAGCCAAGCTCACCTCCTCATCACACACCCTACAGGAGAAGCATTAGTGTGTCCGACTACGTGGGTTTCATAGCTGTGGAAAAGCCAAAGGGGAGACTCCTGAAGAAAGGCGGTGAAGACTGTGTCAGGAAGATGAGCACAGCACTGCTACTCCTGTGGGCACAGGGACAGCATGTCTCCAGCCAGTGCCACCTTGTTTAATACATGGGAACTCACTGAAATTCATTCTGTATTTTGCCCGCAAAGTTTTAAAGATTTCATCCACAGTCAGGAATTAAACTTATACCAATGAGAGCCTCACACATTCAAGGATGTACTAAGCACTACAGGCCTCACAGAAACAGAGATCCCATCTTGGAGTTTTCAGTACCACATGGGAGATAAAGGGTTTTGAACATGAAATGACAAAAACAACAGCAAGAAGAAAATTCTTGTCCTTTTTCATTACTATCAGACTCAAATAAATGTCTTGGCTCTTACATTACATTCATTCTTCAACCATTGTGGTCTGGCTTCCACTTCCTTCACTTCACCAACATGGCTCTGCCAAAGGAAGCCCGTGATCTCTAGGCCATCACTTTAATTGATCTCTCTACAACATTTATCCTGGTTGTTAAGCCCTCCTTACAACATTCTTCTCTCTTTGTTTTTATAGCTCCATCTCTCCTGCTTCTTTAACTTGATAATGCATACTTGATTTTTCTATTTGTTATTTCATAAACCAATTAATACACAGATAAAATGACTGTATATCAAACCATGTTTGTATAGAAAAAATGGATTTTGGATGCCTCTCATATGTAATTAGTTCTATTAAACATATTAATTGTATTGTTTAATTTGTCAGGTTTTTGACAGAATTTTGTTTACAAGTAATAAAAATTTTATCTCCAATTTTCAATAATTACACCCATTATTTCTGTTTTATGTCTCATTGCATCGATGAGATCTTGCAGAATAATTTTAAAACAGTAGTGGGTATTTTCTGCTTTTAATGGGTATGTCTAGTATTTCATATATTGTTGCTTATAGAACACTATTCAACCAAGACATGTCAAGACTAGTTGTCTCTCAAACCATTAGTATTTATATTATTCCTTTCCAGCTACACTTGTAGGATGTAAAAGACCATTTCCAGGAATATGGAACTGTTTTACTAGGTGGAGGGTATATATAACCATATAATAGTCACAGAAACTACATTAATACTCACATAAATCAAAGCATAAATGACATAGAATCTTGGCAGATTTGCTTAAGGTTAAATGTATAACTCTTATCAGCAGGAGGTGAAAGAATATATTCTTAGATACTTGGCACATTTAGAAAATATAATCTAATATTCTTTTTAAAGAATAGGCCGGGCACGGTGGCTCACACCTGTAATCCCAGCACTTTGGGAGGCCAAGGCGGGCGGATCACGAGGTCAGGAGATCGAGACCATCCTGGCTAACACGGTGAAACCCCGTCTCTACTAAAAATACAAAAAATTAGCTGGGCGCGGTGGCGGGCGCCTGTAGTCCCAGCTACTCAGGAGGCTGAGGCAGGAGAACGGCGTGAACCCGGGAGGTGGAGCTTGCAGTGAGCCGAGATCGCGCCACTGCACTCCAGCCTGGGCGAAAGAGCGAGACTCTGTCTCAAAAAAAAAAAAAAAAGAATAAATAAAACATCATCTACAAGGGAATTACTTGAAATTAAAACAAATGGTAGTCATATATATGGTACTTCATTATTAGGAAGGTGGCTAAAAGCCCATTTAGACATATTCTGCTTTTCTTAAGGAATAATGATCGTTTCATGTTAGGTTATAGCCAGCACAGCACCTCGTGGGGTCATCAGAGGCCTGTGCTATCATTCTCACTAGGAGGGATGGTTAACCCATGTGTTCTAGGACCACAAACTATGCCCCAATCTACTCATCCATCTAGAAAAAAAGGCATGCTTTTAGTTCAACAATTCCAAAGCATCAGTTGGAGGACCAGTGTTGGCTGCATCAGAATCACCTGGGTGTTTGTAATAAATACAGAATCCTGAGCAGGTATTCTGGCATTTCTGTTCATACAGAATCTCCAGGGTCAGGGCCAAGTATGTCTGATGTGTAGCAACAGACGGAAACCATCACTTTAGTTAGCAGAAGGAAGGCACTGAGCAGAGGGTTGAATATAATACATTGGAAAAATATCTTAAAGAATTGGGAAAAAGTAATATATGTGAATATCACATCATCATTATAATAGGAAAAAACAAGGTCCTCAACATTGTCAAAGGTATAAATTCCTAAAACAGGTCAAATTCGTGTTCTCAAAACATTTTCCTGAAAAATGTTACTAGGTGGTATAGGGATAAATAGGTTTGCAAAGTACTGTACCCTCTATATATCTTGTCTCAGAAATTCAGAAAGTGTTAAAGACTCTGAGAAGTCCTGCAGGCAACTTCTTATATTTAATGCAGTATATCTCAAACTCACTTGAGCACACAATACTTTTTTCCCCCGAGGCATATCTATTAAGGTCCTATAGAACAATATTCTTAGGCATACCATTTAGAGATACAATTCTAAAATGATTTTATCAAATATTATATTTCATGGCAAAGTTTTTCCCTATATATTGACATATTCCAACACTTAGTCTTCTTTTTTGCAATATAAATCTTTTCAAGAGGAAATTATAAGCATTGATTAAATGCATCTTAAATTCAAAACCTTAAATAATATTCATCCCAGTATAATTCTTCTTATTGAAATCTATACTTCAAATTGAGTTAGTCCTATAATTTTTCACTTCTAATTAAACCAATTAAAGCAGGGTATGTCTACTGACCTACTTTCCAGAATTTAAAAAATAAACTAGGAAAAAACATCTTCTGAGCTCTGGGATGTTTCCAGAGCTTCATTAAAATAACTTGAAATTTTCATTTGGGTACAGTTTTTGCTTATTTTATGGTTCAAATATGCAGCACAAAAGATGACTGGAAGAGGATTATTGAAGCAAATTTAATAAAAGCAGAGTCTATATGAGGCAGTGCTGCTTCATTGCTGCTTTTTCTGCTTTGAGGATGGCAAACTAGAAAAGCCCTTAGATTAAGTTTTTACTTTACCTAAGACAGCATTAAAGCTGATTAAAAGGTTCCACTGAAATGGCAAAATGGCCATATCTCTAATAAGCGCCAGTATAAAACTTAATCTTAAATTGGGCAGTCCTGGGGAAAAGAATTAGATTTAATTTATACCAATTTGAATTATAGAAGTCAGACTCATAGCAGCCATTGGCTACTTATTCTGTGTGCTAAACTAAATCTCAACTCAGTCCCAGGAGGACACATTTCCTACTACAGGGCAACCCTTTTCTGCCCAGTGATCTTAGGTTCGATTAT
The DNA here is from genome assembly GCF_000001405.40 of Homo sapiens. Classification (NCBI taxonomy): domain Eukaryota; kingdom Metazoa; phylum Chordata; class Mammalia; order Primates; family Hominidae; genus Homo; species Homo sapiens. The sequence goes on from NW_021160017.1 coordinate 3,487,646, forward strand.
CTATGAAGGGTAGACCATGTGGTAGTAACATATTTTCCAGGGAACAAAACAAATCAGTTTTAATAGTGATCAAACCCCACCCAGCCTCTTTATGTATTAATACCCAACTTACAAAACCGTATGTTAAGCTGTACAATTCCTCCACTGGAAATTTAAGCGCACATTATTATGAGTTCCTTATTTCCTGATAAGTCCCAATGGTTACAAAATTACTCAGTTTCTTTGAAGAATCAGGAAGCCACCACCCATGGGCACTCAATACTGATTGTCATTTTTAACAAATTGTGGGAAATAAGCTTTAAAACTGGGTCACTACCCCTAAAAGTATGCAGTTTAGTTATAATATATCAATACTGATTTGTTAGTTGTGACAAATATACCATAATCATGTAAGATGTTAGCAACAAGGGAAACTGGGTGCCTGTGTGGTACACAGAAACTCTCTATACCACCTTTGCAACTGTTTTCTAAATATAAAACTATGCTAATATTTTTTTAAATTTAAAAATTAAAAGTAGGTCACCAGAAATTTCCTACCCACATAATATAGTCTCATTTTGAATGTAGGCAAAGGAGGATTCTCAATTCTAGGACTGTCTCTCTAAAAAAGTAAAAAGCTGGTAATTTGATAAGATTACTGCAAGAGAAGCATGACTAAGTAGGCATATATCAACAGTCAATATGGTACCTTTATTACCTAACAAAAACAAGGCAAAAATTTATCTTGGAAAACTGGATTGCAGAGAACCCTATCTTCTAATTTAATCATCACACACTTATATAGCTCATGTTACACACACAGTACGGTAATATTTATTTGCTGAAAAGCAGAATACAAAAGCATTAGATACTCCCCATCCACCTATGAGTTCACCATCTAGTTAAGTACACGTCACTGCCAAGAAGCTTAAAATGATAGTATTGTCCCTGATTTCTAAGAGCACACATACGCTGACGGGCAACTCTCATGCCAACCTCAAAGGAAGGTAGAATGGATAACAGCATTAAGTCTACAAATACTGTGCTGTGAACACTGTAGCTAAGACCATTCTGGAATAAACAGTGTATCATCTTTAATGTATAGTATCCTATCCCAAAAGTGATATCAAAATGTCTTTAGTAAAATGAGTTCTGTTCTTCTTCATTCTTTCATTCAGCACCTACTGTCTGCCAAGTGTTGCTGTATATGCTGAGCACACTAACAGCACTAACAAAAATACCCTGCTCTAATAGAAACAGACAATAAGCATATGACGTAGATGGTGTTATGTACTATGAAGAGAAATAAGCCCAGAGCAGATGAGAGTTGATGGAGTTGTGTCTTAATTTGCCTTATTTTACATATATTTAACGTATTAAAATCGTGCTGACATCCTATGTGGAAAGGTTTACTGAAAATTTGAGAGACAGAGAATGGCTGATCTGTAGAACATGGGTACTGTCTAAAAGAACCTTCACTGATTCTTTCAAACTTTTCCAGAGATAAACTTAGACTCATTTTGAAAGTTGCTTTATTACCAAAAAATTGCCACTCCATGAAAAGTTCAGCACTTGATGCCAATAGATGTGACAACAAAAAAGCAACTTCGGCATCACATATATGGTCAGGAAAACCATCAGAAACTAAGAGATTTTTTTTTTTTTTTTTTTTTTGGTGATGGAGTCTTGCTCTGTCACCCAGGCTGGAGTATAGTGTTGCAATCTGGGCTCACTGCAACCTCCGCCTCCCCGGTTCGAGTGATTATCCTGCCTCAGCCTACCGAGTAGCTGGGATTACAGGCATGCACCACCACACCCCAAAATGAGGTTTCACCATGTTGGCCAGGCTGGTCTCAAACTCCTGACCTCAGGTGATCCACCCACCTCTGTTGCAGGAAGTCAGGGACCCCAAACGGAGGGACCAGCTGAAGCCATGGCAGAAGAACATAAATTGTGAAGATTTCATGGAGATTTATTAGTTCCCCAAATTAATACTTTTATAATTTCTTACGCCTGTCTTTACTGCAGTCTCTGAACATAAATTGTGAAGATTTCATGGACACTTATCACTTCCCCAATCAATACCCTTGTGATTTCCTATGCCTGTCTTTAATCTCTTAATCCCGTCATCTTCATAAGCTGAGGAGGATGTATGTCGCCTCAGGACTCTGTGATGATTGCGTTAACTGCACAAATTGTTTGTAGAACATGTGTGTTTGAACAATATGAAATCTGGGCACCTTGAAAAAACAACAGGATAACAGCAATGTTCAGGGAACAAGAGAGATAATCTTAAACTCTGACTGTCGGTGAGCCGGGCGGAACAGAGCCATATTTCTCTTCTTTGAAAAGCAAATGGGAGACATATCGTTGAGTTCTTTTTCTCAGCAAGGAACATCCCTGAGAAAGAGAATGTATCCCTGAGGGGAGGCCTCTGAAATGGCTGCTTTGGGGACGGCTGTCTTTTACAGTCACAGCAGAGGGATGAAATAAGCCCCGGTCTCCCATAGCGCTCCCAGTCTTATTAGGACGAGGAAATTCCTGCCTAATAAATTTTGGTCAGACCAGTTGTCTGCTCTCAAACCCTGTTTCCCGATAAGATGTTATCAATGACAATGCGTGTCTGAAACTTGATTAGCAATTTTAATTTCGCCCCGGTCCTGTGGTCCTGTGATCTCGCCCTGCCTCCATTTGCCTTGTGATATCTTACTACCTTGTGAAGCATGTGATCTCTGTGACCCACACCCTATTCGTACACTCCCTCCCCTTTTGAAAATTGCTAATAAAAACTTGCTGGTTTTACGGCTCAGGGGGCATCACGGAACCTGCCAACATGTGACGTCTCCCCGAGACACCCAGCTTTAAAATTTCTCTTTTGTACTCTGTTCCTTTATTTCTCAGACCGGCCAACACTTAGGGAAAATAGAAAAGAAACTATGTGAAATATCGGGGGTGAATTTTGCCCGATACACCTCAGCCTCCCAAAGTGCCAGGATTACAGGTGTGAGCCTTCGTGCCTGGCCGATAACTCCTTTGAAACAACATAAATATGGAAATGAACTACTCACATATGTTATTATATTGCCCATATCCTTCTGCAGCTTGCCTTTTTCACCCAAAGTTTTCTTCATGAGATTTACCCATGTTAATTCTTTTCAATCTAGTATGTTCATGTTTAATTGCTGTATAATATTCCACCACATGGATATGAGTTTATCCAATCTCTTGTTGGTTAACTTACATTCTGCATCATCTTATGTTACTGCAAATACTACCGTGATAAACAGGTTTTCCAAATTTCTTTGTACACATGTGTTTTTTTGCTCAGGTATGTGCATCTTCAACTTCATTAGAGATTATAAAATTGCGCTCCACTTTACCTAGCTGAGTTTCCACTGGCCCATATCTCTGCCAGCAATTCTGTCAGACTTACATTTTCGCCAATCTGAAGATGACAGAATAGTCATTTTAACTTTCAATTTATCCATGAGTTTCTAGTTCAAGTATCTTTTCCCATGTTTACTGACCATTCCAGTTTCTTCCTCTATAAAGTAACTCTTCACATCCTATGCCCATTTTGTCTTAAGTTTTTCTTTTCATTATTAGGCTATTTTTCATATCCTGGATACTAACCATTACAAAAAGTTTCCCTACAACAAGATCACAAAGACAGGTAAATTTTCTTTGAAATTTTTTCTAGTTTTTCTTTTCATATTTTAGTCTTGTAATGTCAGAAAAAAAGACCTAACACTCAAATGTCAAAAAAAACCTAACTGAATAAAAAAGTGGTACATCCACACTACAAAGTACTAATTTTAAAAAAGATGAAGAACATTTCTATAAACAGATATGAAGTGATCTCTAAGAGAAGTTTAAAAAGGTGCAAAATGGGCCGGATGCAGTGGCTCACACCTGTAATTCCCAGCACTTTGAAAACACTCTGGGAGGCTGAGGCAGGTGGATCGCCTGAGCCCGATATCAGCCTGGGCAGCATGGAAAAACCCAGTCACTACCAAAAATACAAAAAAAATAGCCGGGTGTGGTGGCACACACCTGTGGTTCCAGCTACCCTGGAGGCTGGGGTGGGAAGACAGCTTGAGTCTAGGAGGCAGAGGTTTCATTGAGCCAAGATCACACCACTGTACTCCAGCCTCAGTGACAGAGTGAGACCCCACCCCAGGTCAAAAAACAAAGTGCACAATGGTATATGCTATCTTTTATCTAAGGGAGGGAGAAAATATTCCTGCCTCAGCCTCCCGAGTGGCTGGGACTGCAGGCTGAGCCACCATGCCCGGCTAATTTATTTATTTTTTTTTTTTGGTGGAGATGGGGCTTCATGTTCGTGGGGCTGGTCTCAAACTCCCGACCTCAGGTTATCTGCCTGCCTCGTCCTCTCAGGGTGCTGGGATGGGAACAGGAATTAAAAGAAATTTAAAAATGTGTAAACAAAAACTCAGTTGTATGTAAAAAAACCCAATTCCCCCTGAGAAAGAGAAGAGCTAGAGTCCTTCAAAAAAAACTACTACCTCCTGCTTTTCTATGGCAGTGAGCCTTATCTCTCCTCCCTTCCCGGGCATTATAAAAACCCTAATTCCCTAACTGTACAACTGCAAGGTCACTAAACAAACTCAAGTTACAAAACATATTTTTCCTAAAAAAGGAAAAAATAATATAATGCATGATTCAATTGAACAATTATCTTTGTTTCTCACTTCTATCATATGCTTCACCCTGCACAGATCTACCCCCACCCCATAAAATGCTTAAAAGGTAAGTCTTGTTCAGAACTCAGTGCTTTAAATGTTAATCCGACTGGGTCAATGCACGTAAATAATTAATTAATAACCTCCTAAACCCCATCAGTCTCTCTAATTCCTTAAAAATCCTGCTTCAGGATTGTAAGCATGAGCCACCGGGGTGCTGGGATTGCAGGTGTGAGCCACCGCACCCAGCCCAATTTCTTAATCAGAAAAGAATAGATCGGCCTGGTGTGGTGGCTCACGCTTGTGATCCCAAGAATTTGGACAGCCGAGCGTGTTGGATCCCTTGAGCCTAGGAGTTCCAGACCAGCCTGGGCAACATGGTGAAACCGGGTCACTTTTTTTGTTTGTTTTTTGTTTTTGTTTTTTTTTGAGGCGGAGTTCCGCTCTTGTTGCCCAGGCTGGAGTGCAGTGGTGTGGACTCAGCTCGCCGGGCCTCTGCCTCCCCGGTTTGGGTGGTTCTCCTGCCACAGCCTCCCTAGTGGCTGGGATTGCAGGCGTGAGCCATCATGCTCGGCTCTTTTTTTTTTTTTTTTTTTTTTTTTTATTTTTTTGGTGGAGATGGGGTTTCTCCATGTTGGTCAGGCTGGTCTCAAACTCCCGACCTCAGGTTATCTGCCCGCCTCGGCCTCTAGGGGTGCTGGGATTTCAGGCGTGAGCCACTGCGCAAGTCCCAATTTATTAATCATAAAGGAACTGATCGGCCTGGCGTGGTGGCTCACGATTGATCCCAGGACTTTGTATGGCTGAGCGCGGGGGATCACTTGAGACTAGGAGTTCCAGACTGGCCTGGGCAACATGATGAAACTTGGTCTCTTTTTTTTTTTTTTTTTTTTTTTTTGAGACAGAATTTCGCTCTTGCTGACTGGCTGGAGTGCAGTGGCGTGGTCTCGGCTGCCTGTGGCCTCCCTCTCCGGGTTTGGTTGGTTCTCCTGCCTCAGCTTCCCAAGTGGCTGGGATTGCAGGTGTGAGCCACTATGCCCGGCTTTTTTTTTTTTTTTTTTTTGGTAGAGACGGGGTTTCTTCATGTTTGTCAGGCTGATCTCAGACTCCCGACCTCAGGTGATCCGCCCGCCTCGGCCTCCCTGGGTGCTGGGATTGCAGGCTTGAGTCACCGTTCCTGGCCCAATTTATTAATTAGAAAGGAATAGATTGGCCTGGAGTGGTGGCTCATGCTTGTGATCCCAGGAATTTGGACGGCCGAGAGCGGCAGATCGCTTGAGCCTAGGAGTTCCAGACCAGCCTGGGCAACACGGTGAAACCCGGTCGCTTTGTTTTTTGTTTTTGTTTTGTTTTTTTTTTTTGAGGTGGAGTTACGCTCTTGTTGCCCAGGCTGGAGTGCAGTGGCGTGGACTCAGCTCACTGGGCCTCCGCCTCCTGGGTTTGGGTGGTTCTCCTGCCTCAGCCTCCCGAGTGGCTGGGATTGCAGGTGTGAACCACCATACCTGCTAACTTTGTATTTTTTGTTTTTTTTTTTTTAGTATAGACGAGTATTCTCCACATTGGTCAGGCTGGTCTCAAACTCCCGACTGCAGGTTATCCACCCGCCTCGGCCTCTCGGGGTGGTGCGATTCCAGGCATAAGCCACTGTGACCGGCCCAATTTATTAATCAGAAAGGAACAGATTGGCCTGGCGTGGTGGCTCACGCTGGTGATCCCAGCTGGGACTTTGGACGGCCGAGCACTGAGGATCGATTGAGCCTAGGAGATCCAGACCGGCCTGGGCAACGTGGTGAAACCGGTCTTTTTTTTTTTTTTTTGAGGCAGAGTTTCGCTCTTGTTGCCCAGGCTGGAGTGCAGTGGCCCGGTCTCAGCTCCCCGTGGCCTCCACCTCCCGGGTTTGGGTGGTCCTCCTGCCTTAGCCTCCTGAGTGGCTGGGATTGCAGGCGTGAGCCACCATGCCAAGTTAATTTTTAATTTTTTTATTTTTTTGGTAGAGACTGGGTTTCTCCATGTTGGTCAGGCTGGTCTCCAGCTCCTCACCTCAGGTGATCTGCCGGACTCCACCTTCTGGGGTGCTGGGATTGCAGGCGTGAGTCACTGCACCTGACCCGACACCAGGTCTCTTAACAGAAAAACAAAACAAAAACCATAAAGATTAGCCTGGCCTGGTGGGCCCGGCGGGTAGTCCCAGCTACTCTGAAGGCTGATGTAGGAGGATTGCTTGAGCCAGGGGGTGGAGGTGGCAGTGAGCCATGTTGGCACTGCTGCAGTCCAGACTGGGCGACAGAGCGGGACAGTGTCTCAGGAAAAGGGAAAGGAAAAAAAAAATAAAGAAAAAGAAAGTATATAAAATTGCTAAATCAGGGAACAGCTTAAGAGTATATTATTGAGAGAAATAGAGGCAAAGGTGAGCAGACACCAATGTTCACTTAGTGGAACTGCAGGTGTCCCCAGACAGGAGGCTGCTATTTTTCCAAAAGAAATCTACTATTGACTTAAAAAAAAAAAAAAAAAAAGTTGGTTTGTTACAATATACAAATAGCTACACTTTATATAGCCACCACCCTCTTCTAGCACTGCTCTAAGCCTTTTCCTGCTCTGAAAGAGCTACTGTTACCTCCATTGTAGAAAAAACAGATGCCAGAGGTTGTTGTGGAAGGACCAGGGAAACTATGAAATTTACTTGTACTTTTCAGACTTAAAGGTTCTTCCTGCTCTGCTCCATACACTGCAACATTGTAGTTAACATACCTCTTAAAATACTGGTCCTTTCTGTATTTGGAGGGACTCATCTTGCAGTGTGAAGTTTTTTCTTGCACTAAGCATTTGGTCATAAGCTCATTTGCGTTTTATGTCAGGTTTAAGTACCTCTTCAGACATTGTTCAGTTAGGAATGTAAATATGAGCAAACAGGTATCTGATTGAAATAGATAACCTAGAAAAAATCACATATGAGAAAGTCAAGAAAATGTGAACTCTGGATTTGTGGCTATTTTCAGAATGTATTAATTTTTTGATATTTAATGGTGTTATGAGTATATTTATTTTTAAAAATTCCTTGTCTTCTACAGATACATATAAGGTAATTTTAAAAATGATATGATATATAGGTTTTACTTAAAAATAATTCAGAGGAAGAAGGAATGTATATAAATGAAGTGGGAATACAAATGGAACAAAACAGGATGTGGCCAGGTGCGGTGGCTCACGCCTGTAATCCCAGCACTTTGGGAGGCCGAGGCAGGCAAATCACCTGATGTCAGGAGTTCAAGACCAGCCTGGCCAACGTGGTGACACCCCATCTCTACTAAAAATACAAAAATTAGCCGGATGTTGTGACGGGTGCCTGTAATCCCAGCTACTCAGGAGGCTGAGGCAGGAGAATTGCTTGAACCTGGGAGGCAGAAGTTTCAGTAAGTCAAGATCATGCCACTGCACTCCAGCCTGGGCAACCACAGCAAAAGCCCACCTTTAAAAAAAAAAGCAAAACAAAAACTGGCCATGCCATGAATGAAAAATTGTTGATGATGTATGTATGTAGGGCAGTTATATTATTTTTCTTAACTTTTTTTAGGTTTGAAACTTTTTATTGAACACATGCAAACATCCCTTGATAACTGGGGCTGCTTCCCCATTATTCTCATAGTAGCCCTTCTGATTTTCACTTCATCTTCATTCTTAGAGATTCTGGATTTTTTTTTTTTTTTTTTTGGCAAGATCAAATATGTCTTTGCAAGGACCATCCAGAATGTCTATTTTATGACGGAGGCTTTGCAGAGTACCTACTCAGCCATATTATCAGAAACAGAAATATTTTCCATATTCTTGTCTTGTCCTGTTTAGATTTTTTAAATTCCAAGAACAGTCACCTTCTACCACACACTCTGATGTTGGAAGACAAAGCATATTTTGTAAGTGGCATGATTTCTGGGCTCAAATTTAGAACAGAGCCACAGCTTTCAACAACCAAAAAATAACTTACTGTGACTCACCAAATTTAGAAAGATGGGGATTATTATAAAAAGAAAACCTTAATTTACTATGTGACCTCTAAGTATCTGGGCTGAAAATTGTAAAGATAGAAAGGTAAATCAAAAGATATAGAGACTGTAATCATGCACTTAATGAAGCACTAAATCAAAATATATTTGGCATACGTGAAAGAGTTTAATTTTATCACATTTTTTACTGGCACTATAGCTATTTGCAAGTACATATAAAACTACAGTGTTACATATAAACTACCAAAAAAGAACTTTTTAAGAAATGAGACTCATCTAGCAACTTTATTTAAAAGTTTATCTTAGGGGAATAATTAAGGATGGCCATACAAAAGGATTTAGCCATGACGCGAGAATGTTCTCCCTGGCAAACCAATGGAAATTATTAAATGTGCAAAATGGAACTGTTGGAATAAATTCTAATGCCTTCATATGATCGTATATTTAACCTTTTAAAATGATATTGAAGAGTTGCATACATTGACTTAAACACACATTTGTAACACATCACTGAATAGGAGAAATATGGGCCAGCAAAGAACATAGAGTTGGTCCAATTTCTACAAAAAAAAGAAGACTCTAATAGCATGACAGCAGGGAAGGGGGACTATGTCAACGTATGTGTGTATATGTATGTATATGCATAGCAAGCATGAACTTGAAAAGATATATTTCAAATTGTTTACACAGATTACCTCAGAGAGGTAAATAACTTTGGACTTTGGTGTTCTGTATTCCACATGCTCTGAATTTTCTTTTTTTATTTAAATAGAGATGGGATCTTAGCCAGGAGCAGTGGCTCACCCCTGTAATCCCAGCACTTTGGGAGGCTGAGGAGGGCGGATTGTTTGAGGCAGGAGTTCAAGACCAATCTGGCCAACACGGCAAAACTCTGTCTCAACTAAAAATTCAAAAATTAGCCAGGGGCGCAGTGGCTCATGCCTGTAACCCCAGACACTCGAGAGACTGAGGCATGAGAATTGCTTGAACCAGGAGGCAGAGGTTGCCGTGAGCCGAGATCACACCACGGCACTCCAGCCTGGGCAACAGACCAAGACTCTGTCAAAAAACAAAACAAAACAAAACAAAACAACAACCACAACAACAAAACAGTAATAAAGAGAAAACCTAATGGACAGGAGCAATGTCTCATGCCTGTAATCCCAGTGCTTTGGGAGGCCAAGATGGGAGAATTACTTGAGGCCAGGAGTTCAAGACTAGCATTGGCAACATAGTAAGACCTTTTCTCTACAAAAAAATTTAAAAATTAGCCGGGCATAGTAGTGCATGCTTATACTCCCAGCTACCTGGGAGGCTGAGGTGGGAGGATCACTTGAGCCTAAGAGTTGGAGGTTGCAGTAAGCTGTGATCATACCACCAGAGAGCCACGACCCCATCCCCGCCTCCTTCCTCTGTCCTACGCTAGCAATAAATAAGTTTCCCAGCCACAAATAATTATTAGAACCTCCTCCCCATGTGCCAGCTCCAACCTCTGCTAGGTATGATACAGGGGCAGCCCTACCCTCTGGAATATACAAAATGTTACACAGACACAGTATGTACACCGGGGAAGGTGGGCCACCCCAGCAGCCCATGCCCTCGCTGGTCCACAGTTAGCCCCGCTTTCCGGCCTCAGCTACCTCTCTGAATAAGAAGATGGGAGCCCCCCTGAGGGAAACGTTGCCATGGTGAGAGTAAGGGGACCATCAGGCCTCCTCCAAACAAACCAACTCCACCAGCCTCTGGCTCTTAAATAACAATCATCATCATCATCCAGAAATTTAGGGACTCAGCCCTGCTCAAGGTGGCAAATGGTCTGTTTGTCTTTCCCCATTAGACAGAGGTCTTGTGCTGCTACCCTAATTGTAAAGGGGTGCCTGGGAAGAGGTGGTAGGGACATGGTGGCGGTGGAGACTCCAGCCCCACTTCTCCAGGCTTTGCTGACAGGGGCCTGCTTTTAATTTTTATTTTTATTCCATGACTTTTTAAAAAAATCCCATAACTTCTTTTTCATAACTTTTTTTGTAACTTTTCATAAAACTTTTTTCTACTTTTTTCCCAGAAGTTTTTTTGCCACAACTTTTTTACATTTTTATCCCATAACTTTTTCACCCCATAACTTTTTTAAATAAAGTTATTTAATAAAATAACTTTTTATAAAACTTTAATAAAAGTTTTTTAATAAACCCATAACTTTTTTATTTTGGTTTTTAATAAACACTTGCATAGTTATATTACAACTTTGTAAAAATGAAACACATTATCTCATGCCAAGCATGCCCAGCATTTGCACAGTATCAATACCTTTAATACTATAGTTTTCAAGAAACGCAAAATAAAATTTTAAGGCAAAAACAACACATTCAAACAACTTAATAATTTATTACATTACAGTGGCATCACACCAGCAGTCAATAAGGCCACTCTAGGGAAAAATCTTTCAGTATTTCCATTACACATTCTGTTTACAATAATTCATAAACTGGTAAAATTCATTCTAAGAAAACTTGGCAAATAAAACTTTGGACTGGAATTGGCATTTCTTTCTCTGCTTTTCGTTCCCACTGTTTCTTTCTTTTATACTACAGTATTCATATTTTAAAATGTTTTAAATTATTTCAGAACATTAAGATAGCAGTTACATATTTTAATAATTATATTATTTTAAAACGACTCTTTAAAATTAAGTTTTAGAGAAACTATATTATGGATAGGGCTGATTTACATTTTCAAATTTTCTAAAATCAGCTTTGGTTTTAGAGCTGATTTTTTTTTTCATTTCTGGAAAATTATCAGGTTTAATCAAATACTTTTAAAATGATTATTATATATTGCCATCTTTAAATAGGTATTTTGATTCTTCCTACAGAAATTAAAATGTATTCAGTGGAACTCACAGTTTAAAATTCTGTGTTTCTGATGAACTCTAACATTCCAATGTTGCCTTCTAAGCAAACTGAAAGCTGCCTTATACCAAATGAGGAAGAGCACAAATACTCGGCTGAATGAGGTATCGCAAAAGACTGCATGCACTTTGGAGAAAGACTTAAGTTATTGTCATACAATTTCCATTCTTTTTAGCTTTTTCTTAAATATATGACAAATACCTACACAAAGAGTGGTATTTCAGTCAATATAGTAAATTTATTTTCCAGACTGACCTTCAGCTTAAATATGCCAGTGTGTGATTTAATCCATAGGCACCTCATGAACACATTATTGTCAGATTGGTTACAGATGCTAAACGCTATCCGAAGGTCATTCCTAGTCACTGATATTTATCAGGGTAAAAGTGAAGTGATTTCAACGATAAAAGTACCTTTGAAATAATTTATCAATGTATTAGATAAACCCAGTTTCAGAATGATAAAAGAAAAAACGTTAGACCAAATAATGTGGCTGATTAACAGTGGTCCGATTTCTAGCCCGAGGGTTTAAAATTCTCTTAAAGTAACCGTCTTTAAACTGAACTCAAAGAATGCAAAAGCGGCAAGTTCAGAAAATAAAAGGCGAGAACAGGACTTTAAGTGCATTTTAAACCCACGGGCTACAAATCGTACCACTGTTAATTAGCCGCATTATTTGGTCTAACATTTTTTCTTTATCATTCTGAAACTGGGTTTATCTAATACATTGATACATTCATAAAATTTGGAAGAGTCAGTTGAAGTCACAAGGACCGAATATTTGCACTCTTTCAGTGAATGCCAGCAAATCTGTTATTCCATCGGTAAAATCGTATTGTTGCTCTCCTGTTAATGTCATATTTATAGAAGTATCATGAGGATGCCAAATGCTAAAAATGGAGATGATCTAGTAACTAGAAATCCCCACCGCAGGGAGCACACACACCTATCTCCCTGCATCCTAACAATGTGATGTGTTTTGGAACACAGACATTAGAACTTCATGAAGTTTTAACTGTTGAGTCTTTCCCAAGCATCATCAAGTTACGATTTAGGCAATATATAACTGAAATGCATTCATTCATCATGCATAGGCACAATCACATAAATATTGCACAAAATATGTCCCGAACAGAAACCCAGAGGTACAAAAACATATTTCACTTTGTAAAGAAGTCTGTGAGAAAATATAACTCTGTGATTGTATAGACACGTTTCCTGATAATACATTGACATTCACGAACAGTAGATTGCACTGCAGTTTGTACACATTTTAAGTTTCATAAACTTCTCCTTGATTTTCAAAGATAGTATAATACCGTCTACTAAAACTCCTTTTTGTTTCAACTAAGTATCTCACATATATTAGTTTATAATAATGTTTCTATTATTTTTTAAAGTGTTTTCCATTCAAGGAAAAGGAAGTAAATTCCTATGTCAGAGTAACCAAGGTGGTTGAAGAATAGGTATTAGCCAAAGAGGTCTAGATGGTAAAATCAATCTTCAAGCCTCAAAGAATATCCGTGAACAGAGAGGAATTCCAGGTGTCACACAGCTTTCCTTCACTCTAATTCATTCTTGACTAGAGCCTGTATGCCTGTTCCAGGGACGTTTGAACTCATAAAGGATTTGTTATGATCTTCACTAAATACATTAAGAAGAATGCCAACCAGTGCCCTTTTGTGTACTGGGACATGTAGTCATGTGATTAAAACAGGTAACATGAACTCTGACTTTAAAATGTATTGTAGATACAAATGCTCTAAGCTAGGAAAGGTTTTCCACATCCACAGTCAACGATGGGAACCTTTCATTCCTCAGAAATAAGCCCTTTTTAGGTCATCCAAAAAGAGTGCAACTGCTGCAGCTCATGATGCAATATCTTCATGAGCCCAGAGCACATAGAAATCCTAAGGGAACCACCATAATACACTGCTAATTCCTGGCACCGGAACAGATGAAACACACTCTATCCTGCACATACCTGCCAGAGGAGGCCACTTTCCTCTTCTGTGAGATTTAAAAAGCTCCCCCAAAAGGTTATCACTCCCATCACCAATACACAGAAAATGGAGGAAAGGCTGTTTCCAGTTCTTGGCCTTTAAACAACTCTAAATGTCAGTACTCATAGTGGCATATTACAAAGTAATAAACAGTGCACACTTGGGGGCAAACTACATATTGAGCTAACGAAGAGCTCACTGTGATTAAGATTAGATCAAACAACAGCAGAACATAGGCAAATTTTGTCTGAATTCTATAGTGAATATACATGCTGCAATAACATTAAAAAAGCATGGCAGCCTATTCCAAACCAGCGAGAACAGTTTTGGGCAAAGAGTGGGTCTTTGTGTGTTTGAACTCCCACCACGTAAGGGCAAACTCGATATGCATGCTAATGACCTACAATTATGAAATTAAAAAAGAAAAATGCTAAAAGGATGCCAGAGTGAACATCAGTGAGAGCCACAGACACCCACTCTCTTTTAACTTTTTATAAATAAACTTAAACTATAAATTAGAAACACAAATAATCATGAGTGACTCTAACATTCAAAGGAAGTAAATGAATTGTGTAGGAGATTAACCCCATAACTTGGTTTCTTATTTAAAAATTTCTTGAGCAGCTGTTTGATGATGGTGATGTTTATCTCCTTCTTCTTGGCAGCCAAGCCCAGCAAAAGAATGGCACACAGCAGTTGCTGCCCAAGCCTGGGTGCTCCTGGTGGTCCTGCACGATCGGCTGTGCAGTAGGCTTGTCGTGGGGAGAACCCTCCCTGGCCTCTCCTTGGGCAGAGGAGGTGAGGCTCACCTCACAAAGATCTTTGGAGAGAGGGAGGCAGGGATCTGAGCACAGTGGGAGCCCCCTCTTCCTGCCTGCCCACCCCACCTGAGGGCTCTACTCACCACCATGCTTGTCTGCAGCCCCAAGCTCCTGGGGAGCTGGGGCTCCTGGACCGGGCTCATCAGCAGGGTTGTGGGCAGCGGCCAGGAATTTTCTATGCCCATTGTTGTAGTTGCTGTAAGCCGCAATACCATCTGCTGCAGCTCCAGCAGCTTCACCTGGAGGGAGGGGTGCTCAGCTGCCATGCCGCTGCCTGCGCCCACCCTCACACCCACCCCCACCCCCACCCCCACAGAGATGTTGCACAACCTACCTTCATCTCCTCCCTGAGCTCCAGCCTGATGGTGTCCTCCTCCCAGTGCTGCATCTTTGGAATGGCCCCCTGGTTCTGATAAAAGGTGATGGGTTTTCCTGCGGGAGGACAGGGCTCAGACGCTGGGGCCCCTCCAACGGCCCTGTAGCTCCCCCTGCCGTGCCCTGGCCTCCCACTCACTGATGGCATCTCTCTCGCCAGTGGTGGATGAAGCAGAGTTCTTTTTTCTTCACCAGCTCACTCAGGTCTGCCTTCTCCTCCAGGTGGTCCATAAAGCTGCTCTGGAGCCAAAATATTGCAGTCACATCTCGGCAGCGACCTGCCCTCAGGTGGCATTTTCAAGTCATGGAGAAGGTGGAGGTGAGTCCTGCCATGGGCCAGCTTCTCCGTGACTTCCTGCAGGGCCCGGTGGGTCTCCCCACTCACAGACTCGCCCCCAGGCCCTGGGGCTCCAGGGCCTCTGGCTGCCTCTGGCTCCTTCTGGGCCGAGGCCACCGGGTGAGCCAGGCGCTGGCAGCACACCCTCTGCTCTTTCACCTGCTCTTGTAACTGTGCCTGCTTCTCCTGGGCACTAGCTCCAGCGGACTTGAAAAATGCCACCTGAGGGCAAGATGTGAGCATTCTTCTAGGGGCATACACAGAAGAAATGGGGCAGAGAGGTGGAGCGCAGCCCCTTCCCTTGGGGCCTCAGAGAGTGCACCTGTTGGCCACAGGTGAAATGGTGTCTGACCACTGGCTCTCGGAAGGGGTGAGGGTCCAGAGAAATCAGAAGGCAGGGAAACGAAGAGCATAAAGGGGTCTTGGAGGGACCACAGAGGAAGGTGGCAAAATGGGTGCAGGGGGAGTCAGGCTCACCATGGCCTCCCTGCTCTCCAGGTCCTCTGGGACACTCGGCATGGGCTGAGGTGCCTCCTCCCCCTCACTGTCCAGATGTTCTCCTCCGTGTCCTGTGGGGGGTGGCCAGAGGGGTCTTCAGACAACCCAACAAGGGAGGTACTGTGGGCCCACCTCTGCCTCCACCCTCACTGTGTAATCCTGAGCCAGGCCCTCCCCAGAGAGGAATGAGCTGTTGTTCTTTATTTTTACTTTTAAGAATCAAGATCTTGCTATTCCGCCCAGGCACATTCCCACTACTGGTCGATGTGGGAGTTCTGACCTGCTCCCTTTCTGACCTTGGCCAGTTCAGCCATCCTTAGGCAACTTGGTGACCCCCCGCTCACAGGAGGTCACCACACTGATGCCCAACTTAGTGCAGGCACCCGGTCGGCATAATGACCAGCTGTTCTAAAGGTCTCTTCCAACTCCTCAATCCTATGCTGCTAGCAGTCCCCCCTTCCTCCTGGGGCTCTCTCCTCTTCCTCTGAGCGGTCTCCCGTACCTTCCCCAGGGAGAGCCATGAGGCTCAGCTGGGCTGTTAGCTGCTGGTTCTGCTGGCTGGCAGCTTCCAGGTGCTCCTAAGGGGCCAGGAAAGAGTGAGAAGGGATGGAGTTTGCCAGGTCGTCCCCCTCACAGCCCCATCCTCCGCAGCTCCCTCCCCTGGGTCTCCTGCAACTTTTGGCAGGCCATGTCAGCCACTGCTTTGCCCCAAGCTTCCTGCTGCTGCAGCTGGTTCATTAGCTGGGTCTGTTGCAGTCACTGCCTGTACAGCGCCTCCTTCTCACAGGTCAGCTGCTGATAGGCGGCCACCTGCTGCTGATAGGTGGCCACGTACTGCTGCAGGTGACCCAGGTAATGGTCTGGCTGCTGCTGCAGACTCTGAGCCTCTTGGCTCTTCAGCTCCACCTGCAGGAAGACCCTGGGTGTGAGGGCACATGGTGGCTGGTTTCCAGATTCTGGGCCCATTAATAGGGTAGCGAGGGCACTGTGGGGCTCTGTCAGCTGCCCAGGCCCCTGTCCCCTTACTCCAGGCCTAAGTGACTGCCTCCCTTTCCTAGAACCCCATGCCTCCTTCCCCAGCCTCAAATCTCATACCCTCTTCTCATTTAATCCTCAGCACCTCTGTAAGGAAAATGCTAACTTCCCTTTGAAGTTAAAGAAACAGAGACTTAGAGATGCAAAGTACTTGAATGGTGACCAGTGGAACCGAGGCTGGAATCCAGTTTTAATCTAAGGAGTCTTTTTGTTTTGTTTTCAGACAAGAGTGTCACTCTGTGGCCCAGGCTGGAGTGCAGTGGTGCAATCTCAGCTCACTGCAACCTCCACCTCCTGGGTTGAAGCAATTCTCGTGCCTCAGCCTCCCGAGTAGGTGGAATTACAGTCATGTGCCACAATGTCCTGCTAATTTTTTTTTTTTTTTTTTGTAATTTTAGTAGAGATGAGGTTTTACCACATTGGCCAGGCTGATCTCAAACTCCCGACCTCAAGTGATTCTCCTGCCTCAGCCTCCCAAAGTGCTGGGATTATAGGCATGAGCCACTGCACCTGGCATAAGGAGCCTGTTATACCACTGTCTCTTCCCCTGTGATTGGGGGCTCCATGCCTCTAGCTAGGATGATGATGTCCAGACCTGAGAGGAGCCCAGGGCTACCCACCTTTAAAAGTCAGAGGCAGGAAGCAAGAAACAGGACTGCCCTGGGGGGTGCTGTGGTCACCAGCCCCCAGGCTGGAAGCTGCCTCTGGCCTGGTACCTCCCCTCCCCAGAGGCTGCTGCCCGCCTCCCAGCCCTTCTTGGATGGGGTGGAGGTTTCCGACTCCTTCACCTCACCAAGCTTCTCCTGTAGCTCCTTTACTTGCTGCTCCAACTGCAGTGCGCTCTTGTTCTCATTGTTCTGGACAGAGAGAAGCAATCAGCAGCCACCCACTGCAGCTGGAGACCCCAGAACTTGGTGTCTGCCTCCCATGGCACTGGGAAGGCTGGAGACAGGTTAGAAAAATCACCCCCTCTCTCCCACAGCCACCTGGCTCACAGGTGCCTTTAGAAGTAACATTTCATGTGAGGGCTACACTGCCCCATTTTAGAGGTGGGGAAACAAAGGCCCGGAGGGCTAGGGAGGAGGGCAGGCTCCCCAGTTTGGGCAACGCACTGGCTCCTCGAAGACGCTCTGTGGCTTGGCCAGCTGCTGAAGGCTCTTGTGCTGCTCCTGAATCCTCTCCTCCTGCTTCCGAAGCCTCTCTTCCTGCTCCCGAATCCTCTCTTCTTGTCCCCGGTTCAGGAGACTTATGCGCTGATTGTTTTTGACCTGGGCCTGGAGCGCTCCTGCCACTCTCTCTAGTTCCTTCCTCAGGTGCTGCAGCTCCACCTCAGAGGGCACTGCTGGGGGCTCCGGGGGCAAGGGTTCAGCTGAGAAAGGAAGCAGATAATAAGGGCCTCTGGATTCTCGGAAAAGAAAAAACCTCCTCTTGGTCCACAGCTCCTCTCAGGCTCCTCAAACTTGGCCTCACTGCTAATGATTCCTCGCACCCAGATGGTAGCCAGTCTTCCAAAGCACTTTCAGAGAAAGAGCACTGCGGGTGGCTGGCAACGGGCCCTCTTTGCTGATGGGGACACTGAGACACTGAGACTCATTGAGATGACAAGACTTGCCGTCTCCTGGCACAGACCTCTTTCCCTCTGCCTCAAAGCCCTTCCATCCACCCACCTCCCTGGGGCACTCTAAGCCACCCTCACAGCCCTCTGATGCCAGTCCTGCTGCCAGGTCATGCCAGCCCCATCTTACCCATCTGGTGTTTGAGTTTGGACAAGCTCCTCTCCAGCTTCTCTACCCGACGCATATCTTGCTGCTTCTCTTTCTTTAATGTGCAAATCTGCCCAAAGCACAAGGGGAAAGGGCCCTGGAGAGAGGGGCTGGAGGCTGGACAGGCTGCCCTCTCCCTCTCTGCCCCCACCTCCACAAAGCCCAGACCCATGACCACCTCTGGCTGTACTATTCCCATTTTACAGGTGCCCAGAAAGATCCAGTGACCTATCTAATGTGGGGGGGCTGAAGGGTCAGATCTCACCTCCTGCGACATTTTTCTCATCCTCTGCTGCCACCGGGCCCTCTCTCCTTTTAGATGTTCAGCATATTCATGTCTTTCTAATTGGAGTTGTTGAAATGACTCCTTCAACTGCAAGAATGGGCACAGAAGTTAGGAAGGGCTGTCACTGGTCCTCACCTGCTCCTGGCCACCTGGGGTCATCTTCCTTCCACATAACTCCCTCAGAAAACCTCACCTGTGTCAGCTGCACTTTCAGTAGTGCCTCCTCCCGCATGGACTGCTCTAACTTCCACTCCGTACCTGCTTTACTGGGGCTGGACAACTGGATGGCAAAGAGTGAGAAGTTTCAATCTGGAGAGCCTGGGCATTTCCACACAGTGCCCCTTAACAGGGCTAGGGCTAGGCCCAATATACAACTCGGTCAGTAAAGATCATGGCATTTCCAAGCCCATGGTCTGGTTTTTAAAAGAACACAGTAAAGTTGGAACGGACAGGGAATGAGATTGAATTTATAGCTGGCTAACAGAGGCCCAGAGAGATCAGATAATATTGCTATTGTTATTACCGTTATTATTACCACTGTTTGAACTTTTATGGAGTGCTTCACCAGATACCATGCTAGCAATCCCATTTAATCCTCACAACCACAGATAGGAAGGGGAAAATTAATCTTTTGTTCACTTTTTGAAAGGATGATACATTTGCATAGTCCAAAACTCAGAAGGTACAGAAGGGAAGTATCTCCCGGCCATCTTGTTGCTCTCTCCTGAATTTTTTATGAACCCTTGCAGACATGTTTTATGTATATTATCATAGTATGTACACACACACACACACACACACACACACACACACACACATGCACACGTTTCCTCTTTCTACAGAAATGGTAACATACTAAAGGTACTCTTCTGTACCTTCACAGTACAAGTACCCAATACCCCACCTAGGACTTGCCCAAGACCACAGCCAGGTAAGGGCGGGGCAGGCACTTGGCCTCCAAGCTCTGCGTCCAGTGCTCACTCCACACAGTGACCCCCAACTCACCCACAGCAGCTGACTCAGCCCCAGGCTGCCACTAAAAACCATACAAAAAAGTAGCAAGAAATGGCCATGCTGCCTTCTGGGCAGGACACGCCATCCTGCAGAAGGGACCTTTAGGCTCACTCCTCCATCTGCAAAGGCAGACTCCCAGGGGATGGGGCAGGTGGTTGGACTCACCTGGTTTGCCTTCTTCTTCTGTGTGGCCATGACATCAGAGAGAACACTCTCTAACTCTCCTTTACGCTGCAATGAATGTTGCAGGCAGACAGCCAGATCCTTGGACTTTTCTGTAATGAGAGAGTTGAGATGGGGCCCAAAGGACTCCCCCTGAAGACCTGTCAAAGTGCCAGGTTGAAGGATGACAGGGTGCCCAGATTCCCACCTTCAAAGTATCTGAGAGAACGTTTCATGTGGTACAGGTCCGTATTTAGTTCCTCTTTCTGTATGTTCAATGTCTGGATTTGAACCTTTGGGAGAAAAGCCAAGCAAGTGCTGAAAGAGAAGGAAAGAAACCTTCTCCGGAGGACAGGAGGAAACTGCACACCCTCCACTCACCTCTAGCACCCTTTTGGCTTTCTGTTTCTTGTTGTTTGCTTTCTTTTCCTGTAGGAAGAGGAAGACAGAGCTCTTACCAGGGGGAGGCAGAGATGGCACAGCAAGAGACATGCCCCCAGAATGCCACCAATGCCCCAGGACAGGCCCACCCATGGGACCAGGTTATCGGGGCCCTGAGGGGATGGGGTGGAATCTGAAGGGTGAGCCTTCTTCCAGCAGTCATGTTGCAAGGAAACGAAATCACGTTACTTCTTCCAGCTGATGTTCCACTTGCTTCTTCTGTTGTTTCTGTGGGGAGAGTCAAATAAGGTGATGGAGGGTGGCCCCCTCAACTCTATTCCCCAGACCAGGAAGCGGTAGGCAGGGGCCAGGAATGGATTTTAAAGGCAAAGTTCTCAGACATAATGGGAACACGAACTGGTAAACTCTCCTCAAGCTCCCAAGGACAGAGGATTTGGGTCTTTGTGGGCTTTTGCCCACAGCCACAGAACTCAAAGTCTGAATCTGGAATCTCTTGAGAGGACAGCAACATAAACCTCTAGAGATGGAGTTTCAGAAAGGCCCCTCCTTCTGGCAGCTTGTGATTTAGAAAAGTGGGTTCATTCAATAAACACCTACTGAGCACGTATGGGCCAGGTACGGTTCTTCACAGCAGATATAGGATAGAAAAGGACAGACAGGAGCCCTTAGCCCTGAGGTTTCCATTCTCGGGGGCCTTTAAATCTCAGACTCGAGAGCTAACAGAGACCTTTGATACTCACTACCTCCTCTGGAAACACGAGCCCAAAAAGGAGAGGTGGCTTGTCCAGAATCAAAGAGCAAATTAGGGACTGAGTCATGGCAGAAATACAGGGCCCTTGACAACCAGTCAGGCTAGCACTTCCCCAAGAGGCAACAACCCCAGGGCGTGTGTAGCAAGGACTCGAGCAGGGGTGTCTGGAGAGGAGAGAGTCGGCAAAGAAGGCAGCAAAAGAAGAGCCATGCTGCATGCTCTGGGGTCCCTCCAGGTGAGGCCTGGGCACCCAAGCTCCCTATTTGTCCCGGGCACCAGGGACCCCCAGCCCCTTTCTTCAGGGCCCCAAGGGGAAACTGGAGCCCAGGATTGGCAGCGTGGAATCAGGGGACCCCACCGGACTCTTACCAAAGATTTGATGGTGTTCTTCAGTTGACTGATTTCTACGGACCTTGAATCCAGGACTACTGCTCGTTCTTGGCACGGGCTCTGAGGTTCATGCAGAGAGGAGGAGGTGGAGCAGGAGTCGGGGGAGAGGTAGAACAATCATTAGGGCTGGGGTGTGTGGGCTGTCTCAGCTGGCAGAGGGGCACCCAGTCCCTCCTGGAGGAGGAGGTTGGAGGGCTGACCCGAAGGGTCACTGCACCTCTGCCCAGAGCCTCTTACCTCCAGATCTTTCAGGGTAGCAGATGATGTAGGGCCTTCCCTGTGAAAACCTGTTGCTGACTACAAGAGATGAGAGTGCACATGGAGATGTTCTGTCCCCCACAGTGTCTGAGCCCTCTGACTTCCTTTCTTCCCCATCAACTGGCAACATTTTCTTTTCTGCCTATCTTGGACCCTTTGTCCCATAACTCCTTTGTGCCAACTTCTCTCATGGTTCTTATCTCCCCACCATCCCATCCTGGGGCCCTTTCAGTGACTCCTGATGGCAAGTGGCTGTTCTCATTGTCCTGGCTTCCCCTTGAGACTGGGGATGAGGAAAATCAAACAGCAAAGACCATATCCTGGGTGTCCTGAGTGTTTACAGCAGGCCATGTACTAGGGATTAACATAAAAACAACAATAACAAATCTCATGAAAATTTCACAAATGGAAGTGAAACAATAACACCTCTATTATACAGATGTGAAAAGAGAGGCCCGATGAGGTCTAGCAACTTGCCCTAAATCATATCCCTAGCAGAGCAGATGGAGAGGCAGGATTCAAACCCAGAATTCCTTTTTTTTTTTTTTCTTTGAGACAGAGTCTTGCTCTGTCACCAGGCTGGAGTGCGGTGGCATAATCTTGGCTACTGCAAGCTCCACCTCCCAGGTTCACACCATTCTCTTGCCTCAGCCTTCTGAGTAGCTGGGACTACAGGCACACGCCACCACGCTTGGCTAATGTTTTTGTATTTTTAGTAGAGACAGGGTTTCACCGTGTTAACCAGGATGGTCTCAATCTCCTGACGTCATGATCCGCCTGCCTTGGCCTCCCAAAGTGCTAGGATTACAGGCGTGGGCCACCACACCCGGCTAAAGCCAGAATTCTTAACCCGTACCCAGCAGTCCATCCACAATCTTAACAATTACCCTCTATTGCCCCTTGGGCCCCCTGTCCCCAGAAGCCTGGTCAGCCAAGACTCACATCCCCAGGTGGCTGGCAACCACCAGAAGTGGCTGTCTGAGGGATACTGCCATTTGTTTTCCTGTTCCTGTTTGCTCCTGCTGGAACTCTAGGGCTGTTTTTCTGCCAATATTCTTTTAACTGTTGGAAAGAAGAGCAGTAATACTCATGAGAACCGTCAGCCCCTACAGCCACATCCTCCTTTACAGTTTTTACAAAATACACTTACACACCATCTGATTTAATGACACCAACAACTGTACAAGGTGTTGTCACACTCATTTAGTGACTGAGAAGGATTGATATCATGGCTAGAAAAAAAAAAAAGAAAAAGGCAATACTGGCACTTTGAAACTCAGTCTTCTGACTCCAAGCTCTGAGGTTTTGCCAAGAATCAGCAGCTGCCAGGGACCAAAACCAGAGGCAGAGGTAGAAAAGTAAACATTAAGTAGGCAGGAACTGTATGCCATGTGGTTTAGAGTCATACATCCTCACACGTCTGTTAGTGTGAAGAAGTGCACCAGTACCTCTCAAACTTTTATATCAATGTGTCCTCACGGCAGAAGGCAGCCTTTCTCTTAAATCAGAATTCATCAGAAAGAGGACAACCCAAGCCTCATTTCAGAGAGAGGGCTGGTATACTCTTAGAAACCTATGTGACTGTCATCCCTAAGTATATTCATGTTTTTTCTCTTGATCTCAAGAGAATCAAGGGAAACTGATGCTTCAGAAAGATGTCCCACATTTATCCTGTGGCACTCAAAGTACCCAAGGTTGAGATAATATGAGGAAGATTCAAGGTGTCAAGTTCAGTTTCCCAAGATCTATTCCACAGAAGATGAGCAAATGTCACTTCAGAGACCACTGACTGAAGGAGAGTCTGGTCCCAGAACCATGGAGAATTAGAATATGAGGTGGAGAACTCAGAAAAAAATGTTAAAATCTCTCTGGAAAGTAGAAGCCTGGGAGAAAACCAAACCAAACCCATTCTCTCATTGCCACCCAGAGATACTGTCAATGTTTTGAGTTCATGGGGGAAGTGTAGGCTTTTCCCAACGTCAACATCTGTAAGGGAGTGAGGCAGCCTGGAACCTCTTGCTCCTAGGTCCCATAGTCTCCATTCCCCTTCCAGCTGGAAATTTGTCCTGTGACCAGAGGAACCAGAAACGGGGTGAGAACGCTTAGGGGACTGGGTCATAAGATCAAAGGCCAGTCTTGCAGTAACGGCAGTTACTAGGTGGGCTGTGACATCACAACATTCCAATCCTCCTGGTCAGGGGGAGGGACCATGTCAGCACCATGTCTAAGTCGCCGCTCCACGATGGGGGAGGGAAGCACAGGGTTGGGACCCAGCTCCTTGGAGACGCCAGCACAAAGAACCCAGGGAGGTCGACCTTGAGGCAGCAGGAGGGGAGGGCAGAGTCTGCAGCAGGGAGTCCCAGGAGTCACCAGCCCAAAGTCACCCAGGGATGATTGGCGAGGGTGGGGCCTGGCTCCTTGGAGATGAGAGCCCAAAGAGCCCAGGGAGATCAAGCTTGGGGCGGCAGGAGATGAGGGCCCAGTAACGGAGCGGGAAGTCCCAGGAGTCACCCACCCAAAGTCACCCTGGGGTGATTGGCGAGGGCAAGGACTGGGCTGCTTTCTGAAGGGGTGGGGCTGACTGACAAAACTTTGATGGGGGTAGCCCAAGGCACCGGGGTTGGGGGGAACAGTCCAGTGTGCCTCAGGAGTCATATAGACTCTGGCAGGGGTCTTGTCATCAGAGGGGATCTGTGGCTGGGTTGAGGGGCTATGACCTAGTGCGTTTTTACCTTTTTCTTGGCTGCAGCCAATTTGTTGTGTTGAGTTTCTTCTGCCATCGCAGGGTGGGGAGGGAGGCAGGGTTGGGGCCACAGCAGCAAAATCGCAATGAGAACCGATCAAGGCCTCCAGTCACCTTCCAGGCAGCTGTGTGACTGAGCCAGAGGAGGCGTAACCAGGGCCCCAGTAGAATGCGGAATAGGGGCGTGGCCTTAATGCTCCAAGCCCATTGGTCAATGAGAAAGATGAAAGGGAAAGGGGGCGTGGCCAGACAGCAGCGTGTCCAGAGGGCCCTGTGGCTCACAAGGAAAGCTGCCCATGCGACCGCTCTCCGCACCCACTCTAAGAGAGGGGAGAGGCCTCCCACTCTGGAAGAGAAGAGGGGCCAGCTTTTGCTTTAACAGCTTTAAAACTTTAAAAAATATATGTGTGTATACTTTATATATATGTGTGTGTCCGTGTGTGTGTATCTGTGTTTTTCTCTATAGCTGTCTTCATTATCCAGCTTCTATGCAAGGTCTATGATTTTGGCCTACATTTTTCATCTTTGATTACAGTACAAAAATTACCAGTATTATCTTAACTGAGATACAGATCCTATAAAAATGGAAAATGCATAGCATGCTTGATGATTAATGAAGCAGACTATATTATCCAACATTCTAATAAGATAAAATAATCACAATGATTTCTCTTTTTTGGAAAAATGTTTCTCTTACTCTCCTACGTTTTCGTTAAGATTTTTTTTCTTAAACAAGAAACATGTCTAATATCTGTAAAAACACAAAGCTTTTGGGCCGGGTGCAGTGGCTCATGCCTGTAATTCCAGGACTTTGAGAGCCCAAGGTGGGTGGATCATGACGTCAGGAGATCGAGACCATCCTGGCTAACACGGTGAAACCCCATCTCTACTAAAAATACAAAAAAGGCCGGATGTGGTGGCAGGCAGCTGTAGTCTCAGCTACTTGGGAGGCTGAGGCAGGAGAATGACATGAACCCCCGAGGTGGAGCTTGCAGTGAGCCAAGATCATGCTGCTGCACTCCAGCCTGGGCTACAGAGCAAGACTCCATCTCAATTAATTAATTAATTTATTTATTTATTAATAAAAATAAAAAATTAATAGTAAGAGCAATGTGAACAAAAGATGCAATAAAATAATTTAGAAAATACAAACTATTAAAAAATAGATTTTAAAACTTGTGCAACAAAGTCAAACAGCACCCAACGAAAATGTATACCCTTACATGTTTGTTTAAAAAGCAATTTAAATTACATTGATCCACTAAACTAGGAAAAGCAAAACAAACAAAAAGGGGGAAATAATTAAGACATAAGGAAAAAGGAAAAAGAAAAACCACTAGATTTAAAAAATAAAACTGAAGGAGGATTCTTTCAAAAGACTGAGGAAAATAAAACAGTCAAACCTCTGATAAGTAATCAAGATAAAGAAAACTTTGAAGAGAAAAGGGCATATAGCCACATGTGAATATGATGCAAAAAGTGAAAACTTTACACATCTTTACAACACCTTAGAAGTATGGATGACATGTTCATTTTTTTTTTTTTTTTTTTTTTGAGACGGAGTCTCGCTCTGTCACCCACGCTGGAGTGCAGTGGCGTGATCTTGGCTCACTGCAAGCTCCACCTCCCGGGTTCACAACATTCTCCTGCCTCAACCTCCTGAGTAGCTGGGACTACAGGCGCCCGCCACCACGCCTGGCTAATTTTTTGTATTTTGGCTTAGTAGAGACGGGGTTTCACCATGTTAGCCAGGATGGTCTCAATCTCCTGACCTCGTGATCCACCCGCCTCGGCCTCCCAAAGTGCTGGGATTACAGGCATGAGCCGTCGCACCCGGCCAAAGTGCTCATTTTTTTTTTAAGAACCTACAGTTACGAAAACTAACTGAAGAAGTGGGAAATCTGGAGACCAATATGCAGAAGAAGGAAAAAGACAAAGACTCATCCTCCAAATTGGATATTTATTTAAACCAGAATTTGTCAGCCTCAGCAATATTGATATATTGGGCCAGATAATTCTTTGTGGAGGGTTCTCCTGGTGTGTTGTCGGGCATTTAGTAACATTCCCTCTACCCACAGAATGCCAATAAGACCTCCCGACCATGACCAGTTGTGACCACAAAAATGTCTCCAGATATTTCCAAACGTCCCATAGGAGGCAAAATACTCCTGCAGTTGAAAATTACTGTGTAAACCAGATCTACATCCTAGATCTTAGAAAAAAGATGTAAAGCTTCCCAACTCAGCCCTGCATACCCTTGATACTGAAATGAAATAACAGCCTTAAAGGAAACAAACAAAACTATAATCTTATTTAATACAGAAGAATGCAAAAATAAAACATTACCGTAGCCATTCTAACAGTGTTTATTATAGGAATGCAAAGACAATTCAAAATTATGAAAATTTCATCAGGCAATTCACAAATTATATTTCTACATATAATTGAAGGCACAATCATGAAAAACAAAGTAGCTCTATATGCATTAAGTCCATGATCTATTCAGTGAAAAACACAAGTTGCAGATGTCTTACAGAAGGAAAACTTAACACTGAACATAGATTCTCACCATCTGCTCTTTGTCCTGAGGCTCCAATAGAAATACAGTGAAGAATAAACATTGTATAAGCACACAATTACAAAAAAGGAATGGGGTTACCAACAGAAGAGAATTCATCTTCATTACACAATGACAGTACATGGAAAATGGTTAATTCATGGAGCAAAGCAACAAAGGTGGAGGTCAGGGGGATACTGAGAACAAGGAGGCTAATCTGTCCCACAGCAACCTGGAAAGGTTCTAGACTCAGACACGAGGTACCCCCGACAGTGGGACTGATAGGCAAGACTGAAAACAGAGATTAAGCAAAAGCCCGGATAGAGAACACATTTCACAGGCCCTGAAACACACTGCTGGCCCCATCTCCTTAAACAGAACCCAAGCAAACGTATCCACCTCAGGCAAGAGAATGTAGATTTTACATCCAGAGGAATGGAGTAGTCATCCAGCCATCATTTATGATTGCACCAGGAGATAAGATAGAGGGATGGAGGATAACAATTAGGAATCAGCATACATTCCCCTTAAAGCTATCAGTTGACAAGTCTTGGCCACAAAGAACTCCCAATCAATTTTTATTTATTTTTATTTTTATTTATTTATTTTTTTTGAGACAGGGTCTTGCTCTTTCGCCCAGGCTGGAATGCAGGAATGCAGTGGCATGATCAGAGCTCACTGCAGCCTCAACCTCCTGGGCTCAAGCAATCCTCCTGCCTCAGCCTCCCGAGTAGCTGGGACTGCAGATGGGTGTCACCACACCTAGCTATTTTTTTTTTTAAAGATGGGGTCTCACTATGTTGCCCAAACTAGTCTTGAGCTCCTGGGCTCAAGTGATCCTCCCACTTTGGTCTCCCAAAGCACTGAGATTATAGGTGTGAGCCACCACACCCCGGCTCCCAGTCTTTTAGTACCTCTCTCAAATATGAATGAACAAATAAAGGAATGGAAAAAAGATTACAGGTCAGGCGTGGTGGCTCATGTCTGTAATCCCAGCACTTTGGGAGGCCAAGGTGGGTGGATCACCTGAGGTTGGGAGTTCCAGACCAGACTGACCAACATGGAGAAATCCCATCTCTACTAAAAATACACAAATTAGCTGGGCGTGGTAGCACATGCCTGTAATCCCAGCTACTTGGGAGGCTGAGGCAGGAGAACCGCTTGAACCTTGGAGGCAGACGCTGTGGTGAGCCGAGATCACATCATTGTACTCCAGCCTAGGCAACAAGAGCGAAACTGGGTCTCAAAAAAAAAAAAAAAAAAAAAAAAGACAACAAATGATAAGCAACATAGAATAGATATTTAAGGAAAGGCTTTAAAAAGAAAAATAAGACCAAAATAAACCAAGGAAAAAAATTATTAAAGAACAAGGAGATGCCAGGGAGAAGACAAAGAGTATCAAAATCACTTCATAAAGACACTTGTGAATATATTACATGCATAAAACAAAACAATATGAATAAGAAATAATCAGAGAAGAAAAAGTTCTTAGAACTCATGCTTCATCTTGGGAGTTGGTCTCCAATGAGCCATACCTCCTGTCATCATGTCCTTAGACAGGCCCATCCCATAGTCAATCTGGGTTGGCCCCAACACTCACTTTAACCTATAGCATGTGGTAGAAATGACACTGGACCTGTTCCAGGTCTAAGCCTTAAGAACTCCTGGCAGCTCCATTTCTGTGCTTCTGGAAGCCAAAAATAAGAATTGACTACCTTCTTGGAGAAAGAAAAGCCACATGAAGAGATCCGAGAGGATGAGATGCTATGCAGAGAGAAAGGCCACATCAAGAATTACCAAGGCAGCAGACCTGTGGGTGAAGAAGCCGTCTCGGACATTCCACTGCAGCTGAGCATCCAGATGACCAGTCCCTGACACTGTTTAACCACACAGTGAAAGCTGCAAAATGAGACCAGCAGAAAAACTGTCCAGCTAGCCCCAGGTAATCCATACAGTAGTGACAGATAGACAGATGTGTAGTTTTATGCCATTAAGTTTTGGGATAATTGGTTAAACAACAATAAATAACCAAAACAAAACTTAAAGTTATGACAGTCCAAATAAAATTTCCTGAAAGTCGAAAGATAAGGAAATATTCCAGAACTTAAAATTTTAAAAAAATTTAGAAATAACAGGAGATACAAGACTCAAGACAAGAGGTCTAAAATCCAATTAACAGACACTTCAAAATGAACAAATAAAATGGAAAAGAGAAAGTTAACAACAAAAATATGACAAGATTCAAGACTCCAACTTTGAAAGAGCCTATCCATAGGCCTGTTCATTTGGTGTACCCAGCATAATGAATGAAAAAAGACCCACACTAAGTACACTGTTGTGCTATTTCAGCTCACCAAGGAAAAGACGAACTCCTAAAGCTTCCAGGGAGAAAGTCATGCATAAACAAGTGAAACTCAGGATGGCATGAGGCTTCACCACCATGACTGGTTAGAAGACAACAGTACAGACTTTGAAATTCTAAGGTAAAATTATCCTCAACCTAGAAATACATAATCAAGCAAACTATCAATCAAGTGTGAGGGTAGAATATGAGAGACGTGAATACTGATGGGGATGTGGTATGCAGCAGGCACTGTTCTAAATGGTTTACATGTCCCAACCCAATTAAGAAACTTAAAATACACACACACACACACACACACACACACACACACACACACAGTTTTTCCTGCTAATCATTTTACGATGAAACAACCAAGTAGCTAACCCAGAGCCCACAAAGGCAGGGTAAAAATTCTAACACTTGGTAAAATAAAAATGCACATATACCCTGTGATCTAAAAAAAAAATGCTTAAATATTCAAAGACAGACAGCAATTACAGCTACTGAGAACATCACTGTAAGCAAACTGAGGCAGAGAAAACAAAGGTGCTAATGAGGATTTGAACCACCTAACATGCAGAAACCCACTGGATGCTTTCCTAGGTTCCGAGCTGGCATTGTCTTTCAGAATGATCTAGAAGAGGTCACATGACACTGTTACAAAGGATCTGGAAAAAGGGACCCTTGCTTTATCACTCTGGCTCTCCAGTCATGCTTCACATTTTCACTTCTTACACTCTTTCACATGAAGTCAATTTACAGACCTCCATAAAGCCCTTAGAGACCTTTTTGTAATATTCATGACAAGTTCTGGATGTCATCTCTGCACTTATATATACTTTCAGCAGCATCAACACCTAAAAGTGGTTGACTTTACTACTGTCCTAAATTAAATTACATTCATTTTGTCAATAGGTGTTCCAAATTCGTACTGATCTTTGTCTCCAAGGGGTTCCTGCTGAATATTGAGACAGTTGAAGATTACTAGGGGAAAAAATTCTTAATAATCGAAGTAAGGATCATCTAAGGATAATATGCCACATATACATACACAGTCACATTTTCAGCTTTAAAAATGTTCAGTTATCAAAGTTGTACAGCAAACACTGTCCTAAGCTTAGCATCTTCAGGCATTTGATTTATAATCACTGTAAACTGGCCCTGTTTCAACCCCTTAGATGTAGCCCTCAGTTCAGGGAAGGGAAGAGTTCTCTACTGGGCTGATAAAGCAGAATTCAGAAACATTGTTTTCTTCTTTACCTGGTGTTTTACAAAACCAGAAGATGTGAGTGTGACTCGTAAAGGCAAGAGCATGTATATTATGCAAAAGCAGCCTGAAATATTTTATTCACAGATAGACAGACAATACTTGACTCCCTGCTAATCTGAAATACTTCGTGGGGAGGGCCAGGGAAATCAAAACAAAATTTCAGAAGTAGAATGAGCTATTTGGTGTATGTCTCCAAGGCCAATAAATAACAAGAAGGAAAAATAAATTTCTTTGCTAACAACAAGAAGGAGAAATAAACTTTTTTGCTCTAAAACATTTTCCAATTATCTCCATGACACTGGAGGGAAGGACTAACAAAAAAAAAAAAAAGAAAGAAAGAAAGAAAAAAGAAAGAAAAGGAAAAAAAAAGGTGGGGCATGGTAGCTCATGCCTGTAATCCCAGCACTTTGGGAGGCCAAGGCGGGTGGATCACAAGGTCAGGAGATCGAGACCATCCTGGCCAACATGGTGAAACCTGGCTCTGCTAAAAAATACACAAAATTAGCCGCAGGCACCTGTACTCCCAGCTACTTGGGAGGCTGAGGCAGGAGAATGGCATGAACCCGGGAGGCAGAGCTTGCAGTGAGCCGAGATGGCGCCACTGCACTCCAGCCTGGGGGACAGAGCGAGACTCCATCTCAAAAAAAAAAAAAAAAAAAAAAAAATTAACCATCACAGAGGAGCAGAGAAAAACCTTCTCAAAGACAGAAGTCATTGATTTATTTCCATCCCGGCACAAGCTCCTTAATTCTGTAACTTGTCCAGAACGGTTTCCTGTCACTGTAGATTCTGCATCAGAACATCCTCTTATGCAAAGCTAAAAAACTCCAAACCACCTCTGTTAACTGTGCAGTGCTCCATGGTTTCACACAGTCCAGAGCTGCTTGTGTTTATCAAAAATGAAGCTGAAAACAAAATTCTTCCTTCACACAACCACTACATTCCATTGCACGTTTACCAAAGACATTTACCACGTTGGCATTATTTGTGCATCCATCAAGAAGTGCTGAAAAGCATTCCCCTCACACGCTGCATGTGTCCTGTGAGTGGATCTTCCATTTTACTTGCCAGCTCTGGAAAACTTTGAATTTGTGTGTCGATGGAAAATTAAAGTTTAGTGGCATCTTTGCCCCACATTCACCCAACTTTTCTACGGAACTATTTCAATGCTATTTTTCACTAGTGTCACTTTTCAGTCTTAGCCTCCTGGAGTACAACTTTATTAGAAGCCCGCAAAGCACTAGTGTTAAAATGAGAAATAGTAAACATCTGATTCTGTTGTGTTTTAACTCCATGCTTTTCTCTAATGTTTCATTGTTTTGAATTTAATTCTTTGTGCTTCCCACGTGAATGCAACTTACAGTTTGAATGTCTTCTTTCTTCACTAGCCGATGCACCTGTGCCAGTAACACACGGTGATTCTGTCCTTTCACCTTCAGTTATGCCTGTAAAACCAAATTCAAGACAGATGATCCTCAACTCACAAAGGAGTTATAGCTCATCATCAGTTGAAAATACAAGCCAAAAATGCATTTAAGGCCGGATGCAGTGGCTCAGCCTGTAATCCCAACTCTTTGGGAGGCTGAGGCGGGTGGATCACCTGAGGTCGGGAGTTCGAGACCAGCCTGGCCAACATGGTGAAACCCTGTCTCTACTAAAAATACAAAAATTAGCCAGGCATGTTGGTGCGCACCTGTAATCCCAGCTACTGGGAAGGCTGAGGCAAGAAAATCGCTTGAACCCAAGAGGCAGAGGTTGCAGTGAGCCGAGATCATGCCATTGCACTCCAGCCTGGGTGACAAGAACAAAACACACTGTCTCAAAACATAAAATTAAATTAAATTAAATTAAAATGCATTTAATACACCTAAACTAACATCATAGCTTAGCCTAGCTTACCTTAAACATTCTCAGAAAATTTACATTCACCTTCCATTGGGCAAAAATTATCTCTCACAAACCCACTTTAAAGTGTTGAATATCTCATGTAATTTATTGAATACTGAAGTATGGTTTCTGCTGAATGCATATCACTTTCACACCATCATAAAGTCAAAAAATTATAAGTCAAACCATTGTATGTCAGGGATCATCTGTCCATTAGAAATAGTACTTCTGAGTAAAACGAGGACAAACTCCTTTGGTCTTCATGTCCTCAGAATCACTTTCATAATCATCTCTTGGTTTACAAGGTGCATCTTTTATTGGTTAAAAAAATTAATACAATTTATTTCACTCTCAAATTAGGTTTAATAATAAATAATACAACTTTCTTTTGTTTTCACTAATAATGCTAACATTGGCTTGATTTAAAATTAAAATTATTGCAAATATAAGACTTTATAGAATAGATGTTCCTATTTTTCAGATGTGTGAGATTATACTATAGTTGATAAACTAACCTTAAAGAACGCAGCTTGCAATGTGGTCCTTGTGCATGTGACTCGTTTGCAGCTCACAGCCTCTGCATCTTTCCATTGAGTCTGACAAAACCTCAGTTGGTCTGTAACTGCTCATTGAGACAAGTCCCCTGATGTCACATACAGATGCTGGGAGAATGTCAAGTTTCTATAGAAATTTCTAAACATTTACCCTGAATTTCTATGTTTCTATCATTACGTAGAGATGACAGAGTGTTGACAGACTTTGAGTGGTCTTTAGTAACCAATTGTTGAAAGTCTGGTTTAGCTAAACTAGTTTGTAAATACCTCGGCAGGTGCCTTTGCTGTAGGAATTCTCAGAGTCTCTATAAACTAATGAGCATTGGAAATCTGCAGGGGGGAAACAGAGTATGCAGTATCCCCCATGATGATTCAACCCCAGATTTTATTTTTCACTGAGGATCTCACACTTAGTAGTGTATCTTTTCTATGCATTGGGCACTGGGAGACGACGTGTAGTCATCTCAACAGAGACCTGGCCTTCAGATGCCACCACTCACTGCCGCTCTGTCCAGGCGAGCATCAACTTGCACTGTTTCAGAAGCAAAAGGAAAATGAACCGCAGCCACTGAAGTCCCTCAGAACTGAGGAAAAGTTACTGACTTTCCTGATTTGTGTTCAATCTGGCTGGCCATGGGTACAGACACAGCTGGTTTCCCCATTTGTGAGTTGGACGGATTTAATTCCTGGCTGTTTGAATGATGTATCCCCTCATCAGTGAAACCAACAGAGTAGCTCAACTTAATTTTCTCTTTCTATGGCATGCCATTTATACCCATTCAATTATGCCTGTGTCAATTAAGTCAAACATTCTTACTGTCTCTATTTCTAATAAAAAGTGGTAAACACTCAAAAACCCCTTTCATAAATAGGCATGTATAAAAGCAATGATCTTAATAAAAATGTTGGACTTAATAAAAGTATTTTAAAAAACAGTAGGAACCGTAATATAATAAAGGCCTTGGCCGGGCGTGATGGCTCACACCTGTAATCCTAGCACTTTGGGAGGCTGAGGCGGGCAGATCACGAGATCAGGAGATCGAGACCATCCTGGCTAACACGGTGAAACCCCATCTCTACTAAAAACACAAAAAATTAGCTGGGCGTGGTGGCAGGTGCCTGTGGTCCCAGCTACTCGGGAGGCTGAGGCAGGAGAATGGTGTGAACCCAGGAGGGGGAGTTTGCAGTGAACAGAGATTGTACCACTGAACTCCAGCCTGGGCGACAGAGCGAGACTCCGTCTCAAAAAAAAAAAAAAAAAAAAAAAAATATATATATATATATATATATATATATATATAAAGGCCTCATTTTGCAGGTGAGGACACTGAAGATTATAGAAGAAAGAAGGGCTTCATGCAAAACCACGTTCCTGATTGTTGGCGGAACCAAGCCCACAACCTGGAACTCAAGTTTCTCTACTTATAGTAGACGCTCAAAGAATTATAATACTTTATAACAACGTCATAATCATTTGACGTTTCTAAGCTGGTCATGTTTTCTTTCATGTGTACTTCTCCCCTCTCAACAATTACCGTGCCCTTGGCAATTTAATAAAGCAGGCTAATATTCAACTCAGTGACCTACAGCTTGACAAGCATCTCCTGCTCCCAGAAAACAGAAGGTGTTGCTGTCAAACTAATACTAAATAATAATTTTCTTTAGTCCTAGAACCTCTGGACTTCCCAATTACATGACCAATAAACCCCCTCATTGTCTGAGCCAGTCTGAGCTGGGCAGCCTGACTAAAGTCTGGAACATCCTAACTGGCACAAAGGCCCTTAAGATGACCCCAAGCCACCTGTCTGGCTTTCTCTCGTCACTTCCTTCTACATCCTCTCTGCAACAACCAAATTAGATTACTCACCATTCCCCACACTGCCTTGTGATTTTCTTTCTTTCTTTTTTTTTTTTTTGATGAAGTTTTACTCTTGTTGCCCAGGCTGGAGTGCAGTGGTGTGATCTCAGCTCACTGCAATCTCTGCCTCCTGGGTTCAAGTGATTCTCCTGCCTCAGCCTCCCGAGTAGCTGGAATTACAGGTGCCCACCATCATGCCCAGCTAATTTTTGTATTTTTATGAGAGACAGGGTTTCACCATGTGGGCCAGGCTAGTCTCCAACTCCTGCCTCGGCCTCCCAAAGTGGATTTTCTTTTTTTACCCATGCACTTGCCCAAGCCGACTTTCTGGCTCAAACCTTTCCCCTGGCCTTGCATCCTCTCTATCCATCTGCCCAAACCTCCCTCACTCTCCAAAGTCTCATTTCAAGTGTTGCTTTTCCCTGAAGCTTCTCCTGGAATGACCCATCTCTCCCTCCTCATTCTGATCATTTCCTCTTTGAATTCCCATAGCATTAGGTATGCCCTCCTCTTCCAGCACTGAATCCAGCCTTGCCTCGCATTAGAGTCATTTGTACACCTGACCTTAATCCCCCTGAGGGCAGGGATAGTTTGTGTTTATCCCAAAGTCCTGAAACAACTAGTACAGAACCTGAGACACAGGAAGGCCCCAGAATTGCCTGCTGAATAGAACAGTGATAGTGCTGAATTTGGTTCCTCCTTTAACCTGTGTGACCCCAGACGTTTGTTTTCTATGAAGCCTCAAAACATGGTTATGTTTCCTAATTTACAACTAACACATGGAAACCCATGTTTTGAAAATGGGGGTGGGGAGGATGAACTGAAGGCAGCCTCTTCAGCCAAGTTCCAAAGGCCAGGTGGCCCACTGTGAACCTTGTTTAACCACACAGAACATATGAATAGCTACAACAAGGGATCTAACAGTTACCAGAATGTTTTCAGAAAGGTGACTTCAGAAGTGCCAAGCTTCAGGAAGACCTGGACTGAGAAGGGATCAGACAACTTTAGGAAAGCAGGTACCAAACAGCCCTTTTACAGTTTACACACAGGCCTTGGTGTCAGAAAAATACTGGTTTGAGTACTGGTTATGCATCAGAGATGCCACTCTGGACAAGCTCCTTATGCTCTCTGGGACTCTGCTTTCTCATCTAAAAAATGGGGATCACCTGAGGTCAGGAGTTTGAGACCAGCCTGGCCAACATGGCAAAACCCCACCCCTGCTAAAAATACAAAATTAGATGGGTGTGGTGGCTCGCACCTGTACTTGCAGCTACTTGGGAAGCGGAGGCAGGAGAATTGCTTGAACCTGGGAGGCAGAGGTTGCAGTGAGCTGAGATCGCACCACTGCACTCCAGCCTGGGCAACAGAGTGAGACTCTGTCTCAAAAAACGGGGCGGGGTGGGGTGGATAATAATAGTGCCTACCTCAAGAGGTTGCTGTGAACACCAGAAGAAGCAATACACACCAAGTGCCTACAGATAGTAAGCACTTGGTAAAAATGTAACTGCCATTAACAATAAATATGATGCTCACAGGGTCAGTGGAAAAAGTAGTGGAAAGTAGGAGTGGTGGGAACAGAATAGGAGGGAACAAAGCACCTCTGAGTAGACCTTTCTGTATAGCTCCGACCCTTATTATGTTTCACACTAATAATTCATTAAAACTAGGATAGGAAGGCTGAGGGTGTTTTTGGAATACAAACACTAATGAACCAAACTGCATTATAAATAGTGGCCACACTGAAAGGGATGAAGAAGAAAATAACTACTTTTTTTTTTTTTTTAGACAGAGTCTCCCTTTGTTGCCCAGGCTGGAGTGCAGCGGGGCTATCTCAGCTCACTGCAATCTCTGCCTCCTGGGTTCACGCCATTCTCCTGCCTCAGCCTCCCGCAGTAACTGGGACTACAGGCGCCCGCCACCACACCCAGCTAATTTTTTGTATTTTTAGTAGAGACGGGGTTTTACCATGTTAGCCAGGATGGTCTCGATTTCCTGACCTCGTGATCTGCCTGCTTCGGCCTCCCAAAGTGCTGGGATTACAGGCGTGAGCCACCGCGCCCGGCCCCCCCAGCTCCATTTTTTTTTTTTTTTGAGACGGAGTCCCGCTCTGTTCCCCAGGCTGGAGTGCAGTGGCACAATCTCAGCTCACTGCAAGCTCCGCCTCCCTGGTTCAAGCCATTCTCCTGCCTCAGCCTCCCAAGTTGCTGGGACTACAGGCACCCGCCACCACGCCCTGCTAATATTTTTTGTATTTTTAGTAGAAACGGGGTTTCACCGTGTAAGCCAAGATGGTCTCGGTCTCCTGACCTTGTGATCCACCCACTTTGGCCTCCCAAAGTGCTGGGATTACAGGCGTGAGCCACCGCGCCTGGCCTCCCCCTGCTTTACTTGTATTAACCAAATATTTATGAGTCTATCTATCAAGCGTTCAAATTATTTTACATGTAATCGCCAATCTCCAGAAAATAAATGGGACCACAACAAATTTACCCTAATTTCTGCAGCGAGCATAAATAATTGCTTTCAAGGGATGCTTGAATGAAATTACTATCCTGACTGTAGGGGCAGGGGCTTGGTGAAGATTTGTCCTTTGTGAGTAATGAGAAGAGTATACTTGGATATAAAAATAGTGAAGAAATAAGTAGTTTTTAAAAAAACCCTAAATTCCATGTTTAGCAAAGTTAATGAGCCCTAAATTCCTAAAGCTGAGTATTAGTGTGTAAATGAGTACTCCAAACCAACAGAGAATAACCTTGTAATTCATGGATATTTAGCTAAAACTTCATATGTTCTTATCATTCTGTGTCTCCTAGTTTTAGTTCAAACAGATGTTTTCACTCTTAAAAGACTCAAAATTTCTGACAATGCCCTTTATTAATGTTACTTTTTGAGAAATCACTTATTAAGTAAAAATTAAATTTACATTTTTCAAAATTGCATGTTGGGTTAATTTACCAAATCTTTTATCTGTTTTGTGTTTCCAGTTAGCCATTTTTGTTTCTGATTTGTAAATATTCAAAAATATTTGTTGAAATTACAAATTTTATTAATTGATTTTTGAGGGGAGTAGGGTGCGTTAGTTACTTTTCATTTAAATTCTGTGGTGTTTTTGCATATTCAAATTATTGTATTGTGAATAACCTGAAAGACAGTAGCTGTATGATTGTTTGAGGTAATGGTAACAATACTCAAGGGTTGAAAAGATATGATTTTAAGTATGAGCTAAGGAGACTGCCCTTTATGTAACTACGGGATGATGTGAAAATCTGTTTTAACAGCATGATTAAATTTGGAATTCTTTTTTTTTGAAGTTTTGTAAAAGGGAGGCAGAAGTTTAAGGGAAAAAGTTGGCCAGGTAAACTTGGATAGTTTTAGATCTGTTAGTGACAGAATACTCGAGCTCTTGAAAATAGGAAAAGTTGTTCTTGCCATGTTAAAGGACAAGGGCTGCCATATGCTAATCACTGTATCTTTACTCAGATCCTATAAAATGATTTGTACAGAGAAGGGATTTAGTAAATCTTTACTAAATTAATGTTAGATGATGGAATGGATCATTGCGGCTGAAGGAGAGAGTAGTGAAAATGAGGATATTAGGAAAGGAAGGGGATGATTTGCTCAGATGTTGTTAAATTAGGTTTTGATAGAAAAAACCTGGAAGAAAAAAAACCGACAACAGCCTGCATGACTTCTTAAAGCCCCCATCTCTTAATATTGTTTCAATGGCAATTACATTTCACATGAGTTTGAAGGGGACCTTAAAACCATAGCAAAGAGCACATTATATTCGTTGTTTCTGTGTAGTGCTGCTTCTTTACCAGGCTAATAAATCCTGGTAGACATGCAAGAGCTTGCTCCTAATCCAAAATAAACAAAATGTGTTTTACTGAGAAAATTGCAGACATATCAAAGGGTAGTTTGACAGCACGGGTACAGAATACTATCAAGACATTTTCTTCTGTTTTACATACATGGGTAATTCTTGCTTGAATGCAAGAGGGCTGAATACCAGCCTTATTTAATATATTTTGTGTCAACTTCTGTATACAGATTTTTTTTTCTTGAGGTGAGAGAAGAGGAAAGAGGAGAACGTTAATTCCAGATAGCTTTAAGCAAATGTTAGAAAGGCGAACATTTATAGGTTTCCAAATATCTTTTGGCTAGCTGACATTTACAAACACGGAGCTAGGTAAGCTTTTCCCCCTAGCAATATTAAGGCTCTAGCAGCAAGTAAAGGATATGTGAAGTGAAATATGCCATTCAAACATAGTAAAGAAGAAGACTGTTTGTAACCACCGTTGGTGAAAATCACGAGAACCAAGTCTTTCTTGTTATTTTAAACATCCTATAAAAGCATTGCAAAAGTTTATATTGCTGGTTAAAATATTTGGGACTATTTTGTCCATTTCCACACCTTACTTTAAGGTCCAGGCATTTGTTGAGAGGGAAATTGCCTATTTAACTGAAGGAACAATATGTTTTAAATTACTGAGAGTACTCTGTTGAAACTTAATGAGAACAGAAAGCAGCGTTAATAAGAAAAATAGTATTTACAAAGATTGCTTAAGGATGCAAGCTGGGTACCAACTAATTGTAATTCTTTAATTTCGGTATGCATGCAACATCTCATGTGTATGAAAACAAAATGTGTATTTCCAAGCAGTATGTTTTAGGATCAGAGAATTTCAACCAAATATTAAATTCTCAAATAGTATGCAAACAAGTGTCAATCATGGCTTTAACATGACAGCTGGAGGAAAAAATTTAAGCAACATGTGTAGATAATTGTGGTTAATGTTTATCTGTACATAGGAAGATACTTCAGATGTGTAAGTATGCAAATAACTCTCGGATTTCTAATTACTGTATTTATCAAGTTCTATATGCTGTCTAAATTCAGAAATGAAAGCAATTTTAAAATAGCATGCATATTATAATTACAATATTAAATTGAGCTCAACTTTCCTAGCTATTCTCTGCCTTTCTGTCTGCCTCTGCCTATGTCTCTATCTCACACATGTATGTGTGTATGTGTATATATACCCTCACTTGTGAACATATATTCATAACCACATGTATAAACACACAGTATAAAAGGATATTAGGAAAGGAAGTGGATGATTTGCTCAGATTTTGTTAAATTAGGTTTTGATAGAACAAACCTGAAAAAATACACTAAAACATATGAGGACATATACCAAAATATTATCAGTAGTTAATTTTAAGACAAGCCTGATGGGTCATTTTAATTTTCTACTTTTTACCTGTCTGTTTTGATTGCAACTTTAAAAATAAGCCTGTGTTACTTTTTAAAGAGAAAGAGAGAGGGAGAGAGCAAGATTTGCCTGTTTTGGAAAATTGTTTTAAAGGAACACCACAGGAAATTAAGTCATTCTTAGGTGCCTGCCATTTATATCTAAAAATGGTTTTCAATAATGGGATAGCTCTAATATCAGTAGAGAGATCCATTATCACATGCAGATTTAACCTTGTTGTTGCAGGCCAGAAATATTTAAAACCATTTAACTGACTTGAAGAATTCTTCAATTTTTGAAAATATATTTAAAAAGAAAAACTTTCCAGTTAATTTTATGAAGTTAACAAAATATTGATTCTAAATGATATATTTATAAAATTTTATTTTGTAATTGGTTATTGGTAGTGTAAGGAAATAAAATAGACTTTTATGTGCTCATATTGTAACCAGTGATCCTG
Source organism: Homo sapiens (assembly GCF_000001405.40). Classification (NCBI taxonomy): domain Eukaryota; kingdom Metazoa; phylum Chordata; class Mammalia; order Primates; family Hominidae; genus Homo; species Homo sapiens. The sequence goes on from NW_021160017.1 coordinate 3,528,258, forward strand.
ATAGCTATATTTAGTTATTCGTTCTAATATTTTATTTTAGATATTCTACATATACAATAATGTCCTTAGCAAATAATGACCTGTGTATTTCTTTCTTGCTAATTCTTACTTTTTTTTTCTTATTGAACTGACTAGGGAATTTTTTTTCTGATCCCATAAGGAAAGCTTTCCATATTTCCTTATTAATTATAATATTTTTGTAAGATTTTATGATTATCTTTCACCAGATTAAATACATTCCATTCTATTGTTTGCAATATTAAAAAATATATTCTGCATCCATTGAGATGAGATTTTCTTCCATATTGTTAATATAGTGATATTAAAATAATATTTTATTATTGAAACACAATTGGTTTTTACTTTACTGTACTTTTTAAAATTAAGATATAATTCATACACCATAATATTTGTCCTTAACAAGGATGCAGCTCAGTGATTAGTATATTCAGAAGGTTATGGTATAATCATTGCAAATTCCAGAATAATTTCATCACTGAACAACAACAAAAAAATCCTGTGTCTCTTATTAGCCAGTCCTTGTTTGCTCTTCTCTCTAGCCCCTGGCAATCACTGATCTACCTTCTGTCTCTATAGATTTGCTTTTTCTGGGCATTTCATATAAGTAGGATTATAGAATATGTGACATTTTGTGTCTGGCATTTTTCACTTAATGTTTTCATGATTCATACCTGTATCATGTATCAGTAGTTCATTCCTTTTATGGCTAAATTATATTCCATTGTATGGATATACCACTTTTTGATTATCCATTCATCAATTGATGGACATTTGCATTGTCTTTATGGCCATTACAAATAATGTTGCTATAAACATTTGTGTCCAGGTTCTTTGTAGACATGTTTTTCATTCTTTGGGAGATATTCCTAAGGAGTAGAATTGTCCAGTCATTTGATAACACTGTTTAACTTTTTTTTCTTTTCTTTCTTTCTTTTTCTTTTTTTTTCTGAGACAGAGTCTCACTCTGTCGCCCAGGCTGGAGTGCAGTGGCGTGGTCTCAGCTCACTGCAACCTCCGCCTCCTAGGTTCGAGCAATTCTCCTGCCTCAGCCTCATGAGTAGCTGGAATTACAGGTGCCTGCCACCACGCCTGGGTAATTTTTGTGTTTTTAGTAGAGATGGGTTTTCACTGTGTTGGCCAGGCTGGACTCAAACTCTTGACCTCAGGTGATCCTCCCACCTTGGCCTCCCAAAGTGCAACTGCAAAATTGTTCCTACCATGGCTGCATCGTTTTGCGTTCCCACCAGCGATTTATGTGGGATTGTTTCCACATTCTCAAACATATTTGTTATTTTCTTTTTGATCATAGTATGAAATGGTATCTCCTGGTGGTTTTGATTCGCATTTCTCAAATGACCAATAATGTTGAGTATCTTTTCATGTGCTTCTTGCCTATTGTGTATCTTTTTTGGAGAATTTTCTACTCAAATCATTTCTCCATTTTAAAAATAGGTTATATGTTTTTTTATTATTGAGTTGTAAGATACATATTCTGAATACAAGTCTTTTAGAAGATGTATGATTTGCAAAATTGTTCTCCCATTCTGTAGGTTGTCTTTTCACTTCCTTGGCTTTTTCTTTTGAAGAAAAAATTTAGTTTTAATTAAGCATAATATAGCCCCCTTTTTTTTCTTTTGTTGCTTGTAATTTGGTGCTATATCTAAGAAACCATTGTTTAATCTAAGGTCATGAAGATTTTGCTTATGTTTTCTTCTATGAGTTTTTTACTTCTAGGTCTTACATTTAGGTTTTGATCAACTTTGTGTGTAAGGTAAGGTCAGAATCCAACTTCGTTTGTTTGCATGCATATGTACAGTTGTCCCAACACTATTTGTTGACAAGACTACTATTTCCCCTTTGAATTTTCTTGGCATCCTTTTAAATATCAATTGCTCATAAATATAAGGTTTATTGATTAATGCTCAATATTATTTCATTAAATTTATATGTCTATCTTTATGCTAATGCAACACCGAATTAATACAGTTTGGTAGAAAATTTTCTGTTTCAAGACTATTTAGACCATTCTGGGTGCTTTGCTATAGTAGTTTCCTGTTCCTGATGTAACATCTTACTACAAAGTTATGCCTAAAAATATCACAGCTTTATCATCTTAATGTGTGCATGTGTGCGTGCGTGTGTGCGTGCGTGTGTGGATTCCTTAGGATTTCCTGTATGCATACATATTTTTCCATGTATATCTATATACAAATTCTTTATACCTCATGGCATCTCCATATAGAGATAGTTATATTTCTTTCTTTTTAATCTTCACCCCAGGCTACTATCCAATTGAATAAAAGGTGGTGCTACTATTGAACGTGCCATAGAATATTAACTTTGTAAACTGACTTGAAGTCTCCCTGGGTGAATGCTAACCCTCTCATATATAATAATGGCTTCATTTACAAAATGTATAACATGATGACTACCAAATTATTTCTTCAGCCTTGACTTTTATCAAGAACTGCCAAATCTGAATCTAATTCCCATTTAGGATTGCCACAGGTATGTTCAAAATAGTACTTTCTTTTTCTCATAAGATTCTGCCTTATGTCTTGAATTTATACTCTAGGTAAATGTTGTAAGCAGAATAAAAACCCCCAAAGATGCTCACACTTTAATCCTTGAGACCTGAATATTCTGTATTACCTGACAAAAGAGACTTTGCAGTTAGAATTATGAATATTAAAATGAGGACCGTATATGAGTCCAATCTAATCACTATGAGCCCTTAAAAGCTGAGACCATGTGCAGTTGATTTCTGAGAGACGGGGCAGGAGGGAAAGGCAGAGATATTTGAAATGTTCGTGCTGCTGGAAAGGCCCATGAAAAAAGCATAAGAAGGAACAGGGACAGTCTCTAGGAGGAAAGGCTGGTCCCAGCTGACGGCCAGCAAGGAAATGGGGACTGCAATAATACCCACTCAAGGAACTAAGTGTGTATAACAATCTGAACACACGTGGAAGCAGACCTTTCCTCAGAGCCTACAATAAAAAATGCAAGAGTGTGGCCGGGCGCGGGGGCTCACGCCTGTAATCCCAGCACTTTGGGAGGCCGAGGCGGGCAGATCACGAAGTCAGGAGATCAAGACCATCCTGGCTAACACGGTGAAACCCCGTCTCTACTAAGAAAAATACAAAAAAATTAGCCAGGCGTGGTGGCGGGCGCCTGTAGTCCCAGCTACTCGGGAGGCTGAGGCAGGAGAATGGCGTGAACCCGGGAGGCGGAGCTTGCAGTGAGCCGAGATCGCGCCACTGCACTCCAGTCTGGGCGACAGGGCGAGACTCCGCCTCAAAACAAACAAACAAAATGCAAGAGTGATGGAGTCAGTGCATTACTACCTGAATACAACACACTTTTCAAGCTATATAAACTTCATGCTTTCCTCGTTTTATAAAAGTCATCTCCTCTGCCTTGAAAACTCTCCCCATTGTTATTAATCTGCCTGAAAATTTATCTTCATCCTCAAGTGTCTACGCAAATGGTCTGTTAAATGAGTTCTTCCCAGATGATCCCAGATAATGAGTACCACTTTTTAAAATTAGATTTCTAGATACTTTCATTATTGTAATCCACTTTTATAGGAAATTTTTGTTGTTGTGTATCTCCTTACTAAAGGAACTTTTTTTTGTTTTTGAATCTGCATCAATTGTTGAACACATATAGAATATATTAAATACATACAAGCTAATGAAGTAACACATGAATGCATCTCAGACCACTGATCCTAAAACAACCATTTTTTTCTTTCATTCTGTCAAATACTTTTTCTCTAATATCCTATACTTTTGTTACTATTCATGGATTTTATCTATTTATAGTTATTTTCTTACTGATATGCAAGAATTTTCTATGTATAGTGTATCACATATCTTGCAAAATTTTGTTTGGTTTGCATAATATCTTTTTATTTTATTGTGAATGACATTATAGAACTTTACAGATGAAATAAAGTCTGTCGGCCGGCTGCGGTGGCTCGTGCCTGTAATCCCAGCACTTTGAGAGGCAGAGGCGGGCAGATGACGAAGTCAGATCAAGACCATCCTAGGCCAACATGGTGAAACCCTGTCTCTATTAAAAATACAAAAATTAGACAGGCGTAGTGGTGCGTGCCTGTAGTCCCAGCTACTTAGGAGGCCGAGGCAGGAGAATTGCTTGAACCCGGGAGGCGGAGGCTGCAGTGAGCCGAGATCGCGCCACTACACTCCAGCTTGGGCTACAGAGGGAGCCTCTGAAAAAAAAAAAAAAATCTGGCTAGGCGCGGTGGCTCACGCCTGTAATCCCAGCAATTTTGGAGGCCGACGCGGGCGGATCACGAGGTCAGGAGATTGAGACCATCCTGGGTAACACTGTGAAATCCCATCTCTACTAAAAAAATACAAAAAATCAGCCGGTGGGCACCTGTAGTACCAGCCTGTCCGGAGGCTGAGGCAGAAGAATGAGGTGAACCCGGGAGGCGGAGCTTACAGTGAGCATAGATAGCACCTCTGCACTCCAGCCTGGGCGACAGAGCGAAGACTCCGTCTCAAAAAAAAAAAAAAAAAGGCATTTATATGTCCATTCTTCCACTTATGCAGCCCTACTTAATTATTGTCATTACAAAATGATGCTTATCCTTCTGCTAAATTTCTCTGAGTATTTCTAATATTTATGCTTACAGATAAAATTGAATTATTTTTAATCAAAGTCCAAAAATACATCATTAAATTTATATTTTTTTCAAAAGAAAAGACAAAAAAAATTTTTAATTTATCCAATGCTCCTTTTAAATCCCTAATGGAAAAATACGTTTTATTCATTCATTATATATAATGAATTCATTTTATTGAATGATTAATAAAGTGATTTTATTAATGAATGAATAAAATGTATATAAAATGAATGAATAAAATGTATATATAAATATATTTATATTTATTTTTAAAGAATTTTTGGCTAATTTTTTGCTAATTTTATTTTTATTATTATTATTTTTTTTGTGACGGACTCTCTGTCTGTGCCCAGGCTGGAGTGCAGTGGTGCGATCTCGGCTCACTGCAACCTCCGTCTCCTGGGTTCGAGCGAGTCTTCTGCCTCAGTTTCCCAAGTAGCTGGGACTACAGGCATTCACCACCATGCCCAGCTAATTTTTGTATTTTTAGTAGTGATGGGGTTTCACCATATTGGCCAGGCTGGTCTTGAACTCCTGACCTTGTGATCCACCCATTTCAGCCTCCCAGAGTGCTGAGATTACAGGCATAAGCCACCATGCTCGGCCACTAATTTTTTTTTTTTTTGAGACAGTCTCCCCCTGTTGCCCAGGCTGTGGTGATGTCATTGCAACCCCCACCTCCCACGCTTAAGTGATTCTCGTGCCTCAGCCTCCTGAGTAGTTGGGATTACAGGCATGTGCCACCATAGCCGACTAATTTTTTTTATTTTGTAGTAGACAGGGTTCCTCTATGTTGGCCAGACTGGTCTTGAATTCCTGGCCTCAAGCGATCTGCCCACCTCGGCCTCCCAAAGTGCTGGGATTACAGGCATGAACCACCATGCCCAACCAAGAGTTAATGTTACTTTTAAAATAAATCAAAAGAGCAAAACTTATCTGACAGCAATTGACAAAAGAAAACAGCAGTCTACTATTAAACATAATAAAATTTAAGGCAAAATTATTTTATTTGGGATTTTGGATTTCCTTGTGTTTTCTCTTCTTACTTAAACCTGCTTCCTTTCTATGCCTGCATTTCTCACCATCACTTTTCCCACTACAAGCTTACTGCTCCAGTTTTTTAAAAAGTCATGGCTCTTCTGTCTTTTTTAGTGTAAAAAGGGGAAATTTTCTAATTTTCAGATTTCTTGTGTTACATTCTTTTCATAAGTACATTCTTTTTGAATCCTAAATATTTCGTTGTTAGATGATTGTTCAACATCAGTTTGCTCGTTCATGACTATAGAAAGATGTAGATTTAAGCCCTGGTTTTTGCAACAGAAAAGCCAGATGGCCCACAGCTTATCCCAGTTTCTACTTGAACACAATAAGCTTTCTTTTTCTCTCAACTTTATCCAGGAAGAACCATTTTATATACAGATTTCTGATCCAGTCTCCAGGGTTTCCAAGGCATTAATCAAGCATGGCTTTACTGGACAAATGTAGGGCCTTCTGTGTCTTTAATACTGGACTTTCTATGCCAGACAGTATCTTTGTTCTAGTTCTTCTTTGCACTGTTCATATCTCACTGGTTTAGATATAATTGCCTGCTGCAGGGTGGTGACTTCCCTCCGTGAATCTTCCTCAGTTTCATTATTGATGGTATACCATGTACGTGAGACAAAGATTTCTTTACTCTTCTTGAGGTCTCTCTATGCTGTTTGGTTCAGATAATATGGAGTTACCCATTGTAAACTCATTTACAGTGAAGTCAGTTGCAGCACTGATCTAGTTTGGCTGTGTCCCCACCCTAATCGCATCTTGAATTGTAGTTACCGTAATCCCCATGTGTCGTGGGAGGGACCCAGTGGGAGGTAACTGAATCATGGGGGCTGTTACCCCCATGCTGCTGCTCTCGTGATAGTGAGTTCTCGTGAGATCTGATGGTTTTATATGGGTCTTTTCTCTCTTTGCTCTGTATTTCTCCTTCTGCCATCATGTGAAGAAGGATGTTGTTTGCTTCCCCTTCTGTTCCCCTTTTTTCCTGTATTTATTGATTCGAGTGTCATTCAGTTCAACATAAATTTTGTGAACAGCTGGTGTATGGTCAGCCCAAGGCTAAAACATTGTAAATGAATACATGGAGGACAGAAGTTTTGTGAACAGTGGGAGCAGAAGGCAAATCGCTGTAGACAGAGGAGAGAGCAAGAATGGACAACTTGCAAGAAGTTGAGCTATGTAGACAATGGGGTAAGAAAGCCAGGGGTGTTAGAGGAAGAGAAGTGAAAGTCGGATACCATAGCTTATAATGAGAACAGGAATTGGTAAAAATGTCAAGACAGGAGAAATCATATATGTTTAGAGGTTTAGTAGAGGAGCCATTTGACTTCTCTGTTCTTTTTGAGAAAGACGTGAATTGACAGAGATATAGGGAAAGTGTATTTGAAGTACAAGCAACAGCATGTATCTGGAAAACCAAAACACGGAGGGCATAAGTATGGGGGAACTGTGAATATTCCAACTTTGGCCACAACATTGGGTAGATATCATAGTTGCCCAGTAATGAAAACTTGTCTGAAAATGTATGTTTATGTCACACTGTGATAAAGAAGTATGTAATTAATTGGTTTATTTTAATTCCAATTATTGATTTTCCTGAATTATTGAGTATCACGAGACAATGGCCCATCTTAAGAAGTTCTAAGGAAGGTAGACTAATATGCAGGAAGGTATTTGTAACCCTCGAAACCCATTGGAGACACCTCACTAATGTATGGTAACCAGAATAATAGGAGGGTAGGAACTACGCCAATAATCAAAGTGATCCCTCCGCACGCCACTACCTAACTTCTTCAGCTTTGCTTAAACTCTGCCATCTGCTTGTGTGGCAGCAACTTCCTCCTAATAGTGTATGTTTACACTGAGTATTGGCACATAGTTTCTGCATCGTATAGAATTAAATTTCCTGTTTATTTTTTATTTTTGCTTTGTATTGTGTTGTACTTCGGTTCACTTATTTGTGTTTAGTCCAGATCATGATTCTAACAGGTTATAAAAATTTTGTGCATATGCCTCTTTTGAAATTTGTTTCTTGTTTGTATATCCACAGAATCCTTGAAAGATTCCTTTACCCAATGCCAAAAGAAATCCACTTAATACATTCCGCTGAGGCCTTTATATTAGTACACGTTAACTTTAAGTGGGAATATGCCACCGTGTGACATACTTTATGTGACAAGAAAAATGTTCTTAGATAAGATTCTCATCTCAAGCAAACTTTATACTGGAGACATTGCTTGCAATATCAGACTTCACTATTTTCAGCTCACAGTTTACTAAAGAGGATAATTGGAGAGGCATTCTAACATTAGTGGAGAAAAAGGCACTTGATGTTCATGACACTTGATAACAGAACCTCTGTATTTCTTAGTCTCTAGCACCATTTCATAGAATGAACTAAGTTATCAGAGGAGAGGAGATACACATTCGACCCAATTCTAAAAATTTAATATAATCAATATTTACTTATAAGGTACATTAATTATATTAATACATGTCAAGTCTCAAGATAAATTCTGAATAAAAATTTTTCAGTTAAATGTTGCAAATAATTTTTATCATTCAATTTTAAATACACAGATTATCTGTGTAACATATTAAAATGTATGTCATATAATGACAAAGGATTTCTCTATTGGAACATCTTTTATTTCACTGGCTTATTATTTCTGGTTGGTAAGTTTAAAAGACTACAATCTTTAATTTTATTTAGTTAAATGATTTGTTGTATTTTAAAATCAGTAGATAGTATATGTATCATCTTAGTCTTAATTTATAAATATATGACATTTCAATAAAATTCTTGAAGCCAATCAATAAAATTGATTAAGCTTTAAATTCTAGGCTATCTGAGTCTAATTGATTATATTTCTTTATGATTCTTTAAGGGGAAAGCAGACACTTTCTTTTGTTTCAAGATGCCAATTTTCTTTTCTTCTTTTTTTTTTTTTTGAGACAGAATCTCGCTCTGTTGCCCAGGCTGGAGTGCAGTAGCACGATCTCCGCTCACTGCAAGCTCCGCCTCCTGGGTTCACGCCATTCTCCTGCCTCAGCCTCCCTAGTAGCTGGGACTACAGGCGCCCACCACCACGCCTGGCTAATTTTTTGTATTTTTAGTAGAGATAGGGTTTCACCGCGTTAGCCAGGATGGTCTTGATCTCCTGATCTCGTGATCCGCCTGCCTTGGCCTCCCATAGTGCTGGGATTACAGGTGTGAGCCACTGCGCCCGGCCTCAAGATGCCAATTTTCTAAAGTGAGAAAAATTAATTTTAAAAATTAAATCGTATGTCCAATATCTATGTGAGATCAGATAAACCCTGTGTCTTAGATAGGGAAAGGTTTGAAAGTATAATTTTTATAGTTTCTTATTTATCTATCTTTTCCTATATGATTGTTGTTGAAATATCTTAAATTTATTTCACATTAAAATTGTCAAATATGTGAATTCATGAGCCACCTGTTGAAGACCACTGAAAGAATATAAATAAATAAAATTGGTAACTCATTGTTTTTCAATAACTTGTGAAGACTAAGCTCTGATTTTTTTATTTTGCCCAAATTCCTATCTAAGGGGTCTGGGGAGTCATCCCCTACTAACCATAAATTCTCATCAGATGGATTTTATTTAACCCTATATATCATGGCTTACTTTGCAATCTGACTCTGGCATAACATTATGTGACAAAGAAGAAAGTAAAAAAAATTTTATCCCAAAAGCAAGTTTCTTTGTCATATTTTGAAATGGTCCTGCAAAGCTGCCCTTTGTTGGGGGACATATGCATCTGTAAAGAATCTCTATTGACATAACTAGATCTTTTCCTTCCAAGCCCTCCCAATCCTGAAGAAATTAGTAAAAGTCAAGCACCTTTTAAAGGTCTGAATAGGAAATATTTGTCATCTATTATCTCTAAGGGCAGCCACTATAAGACTTCAGAAGAACCTTGGTATCCACAATCTTTTAGCTTAACCTGAACATATCCTTTCCTTTGATCCCAGGTTTTTAGACAAACTAAACCAATTGTCAATTGGAAAATGTTTAAATTTACCTATAGCCTGAAAGCCCCCCCCAACCCCTGCTTTAAATTGTTCCGCCTTTCTGAACCAAACCAATGTGTTTCTTAAATGTATTTGATTGATGTCTCATGTCTCCCTAAAATGTATAAAACTAACCTGCACCCTGACCACCTTGGGCACGTGTTCTCAGGATCTCCTTAGGGCTGTGTCATGTGCCATGGTCACTCATATTTGGCTCAGAATAAGTCTCTTAAAATATTTTACCGAGTTTGACTCTTCATCGACACTTGTTTTATTGAACAAACTGGATTTCCATTGTTAATATTACCCTAATAATGTAAAGAGCAGTGAAGTAACAGACTTTTTGTCAGCCTTTTACTTACAGAATAGATGACCCCATGATCTGAGCCCTAATTCCTAAGAGGGGATGCTTTGGAATGAGCAAATCAAGAGGTGCCTTGAACTGGAGATTGGTCCTGCTTCATGGTAGCATTTTCCCAGAAAACATGTCTCCATAATAAAAAAGAGTGACTGAATGGCAGATGAAGATATCCAGTTATAAAGCCAAGAGATAAGCCACCCATTCCAGAATTGCTACTTCCTCCTTTATCTGCAATGATCAAGTGGCAACTGTGACAGTGTCAACAGGTTGTACAGTGCACAAAAGGGATGTTCTGGCTGAGAACAGAAAGTGTGCAAATGATAAGAGAGCAAAAGGAAGAAGTCCTAAATTGAGGAGAAACTGTCCTTTAGGGACAGGAAAAGGAAAATGAGCAAGAAGAATAAAAGATTTTAAAAAGAAATGAAGCTGGAAATCTATCATCATCGCCTAATCCCTAAATACCCCGCAGAGGTTAGAAGAATGCCAAGCATTCCTGAAGTTGATAGACACAGATATAGATAGGTAGGTAGATACATAGAGATAGATTAATAGATAGGCAGATACATACATACATTCATGCATACATAGGTAGCTACATAGACACATAGATGTATTGAATTGTACACATACACGTGTATATATCATATATACCTATGTATGAGAGAGACAAATGAGATATTAAATTATAATTAGCTAAAGACCATTTACAATACCCTATACAAAGAGAAATATCTAAAGTGTTTTTGGATAATTAATTCCATATTCTTTAGCAACTCATCCAATTTCCCACTGGCAGAGATTCAGGGCAAAGACATTTCAAGCCATTTTACAATGAGTCTCAAAAAGCAGTAAAATACCTTTATTCTGAGCACCATTTTAAACTTTTTAGCAAGTTGATGCTACTGCGACTCTTATTCCTGTCACCAGAGAAGCAATTCAGAAGAATTGTTAATATTTCAGAAGTTGCTTAAACTTCCTGTAAAGTGATAGGCCTGACCTCCTGGGGTTAATGTGAGCATCATAACAGTTAACACACGTAAATGCTTGACATAAGATAAATGCTATGTAAGTGTTAGCCATGATTAGTATTTTCATCACTCAAAAATGCGTCTTTTCCGTCTCATACCATATTTCCCTAAAGTGCCCTGCCGTTTCTTTATCTTTAACCATACTTCCCACTCTTGCTCCAATATTTCTCTCTTTTATATTTTTATTCCTTCATATACTGCTTCCAATACCTTCCTACTCAAACAGAAAGCTGCCTCTGTCCTTTAAGAATACCCACTAGTAGTCCCTAGAAAGATTATTCTTCAGACACTTACCATAAGGTGGGGTGGGGTTAGCATTCACCTTTTTTCATGCTGCCATTTTTAAAACTACACTATCTTAGTCTCCTTATGTTCAGGATAACACCATTCATAATCTACCCCTTCTTCATTGGGCCTCATGCCATCATGTCCACATTTTTGGAATACACAAACACCTGTCATTTTCCTTGAGACCTCAGAGCCCTGTGCAGGTGTCATCCAGTTACCCGGCCTCACTCTTTCGTAACTGGTGCACCAATGACTACCATCATCATTTATGCATTTCTCACCTTAATTAATGGGGAGGGGCCGGGCACGGTGGCTCACGCCTGTAATCCCAGCACTCTGGGAGGCCAAGGCGGGCGGATCACGAGGTCAGGAGATCGAGACCATCCTGGCTTACACGGTGAAACCCTGTCTCTACTAAAAATACAAAAAATTAGCCGGGCGTGGTGGCGGGCGCCTGTAGTCCCAGCTACTCAGGAGACTGAGGCAGGACAATGGCGTGAACCCAGGTGGTGGAGCTTGCAGTGAGCCAGGATGGTGCCACTGCACTCCAGCCTGGGCAATAGAGCAAGACTCCGTCTCAAAAAAAAAAAAAAAAAATTAAGGGGGAGCTTGCCTGAAGGAAATCATTTCCTAGTACTGAATTATGACATAAGTGCATTTGCTGAGACATTTTATATATATGGGCCATTGAATTATGATACTCTTCAACAATATTTTTGTATTAGGCAACAAAATGGATTTCATATGACTATTTGTTGTATTGTTCTTTTATTAAAAGGAGTAGAGCATGGCCCGAAAACTTAATTCAAGGAAAGAAACTGTTGGAGACTAAGGCAGTGTAGTTCAAGTTTGTAGCCTCCTGGTGATTTGATTTGACCAAGGCTAAAATTTATAATACCCAGAGGAGTGACAGCCTTCAAATGATTTTCTGTAAGTATTAAAGTTGAGGTGTTTATTAAATGTCCACTTCTGTTTGGTAACACTTTAAGATTTTCTAGTTATTTTGAAGACTCATAAAATTCTAAAAAAAAAACAAAATCCTTAGTAAAAAATAGTTTCCTCAAAATAAATACATTGCTCACAATTTTAATGATTCAGCATTAAAGCTAACAAGGAAAGGGGTATTATCTGTCTTAAACTATTTGTAATTGATAAATAAGAGGTTAAATTTTTCCCTACAGAGTTTTACTATTGAGCCATTATTCAATTATGAGAAAGAGTAAACTGAAATATTTGCCAAGTACTTATGATATAACAGATATAGTGCCAGGTTGTTTTACATATTGTATATCACTAAATGTCAGAATTAAACTTCTGAAAATCAAAGCTGGCTAAAAGTAGGTATTTAACTTTTGTGGACTTGTTGAAACCCAATACAGAGATGTGTCTACTTGGGATCATGAAATCAAATATTCAGAAGAAATATATTTTTCATGCATATTCTGAAATCAGTGGCTGAAACCACAAGACATAAGTGAACAGAGCTTATAAATATTGATTTATTGAGTTTATTCCCTTAGGTTCATATCACGGAGATGCTTAAAATACTTAAGCTAGAGTTATATTTAAAGTACTGCTATGTACAGATGTAATACAACTTATTTTACAGAGCTTCCCTTTGCGGGGCAAGAATTATTAATGTATGTGGTTATCCTGAGCTCCCTCTTTCTGTTTGCTAATGGGGATTCTGGCTTTGTCTGCTCAATTTCTTCCCCATTGCTCTTCTCTGAAAAGGCACTGCTGGTGGCTGACAGTGATATTCTCTTTCGTATCTCCACATCAGTACAATGATAAGAGGAAACTGGAACAAAAAGGCAGGAGGGGTGGTAGGTAAAGATTGAGAACATGCATTTGAGTAAGGCCTAGGTGAGCTTTCTTCCAGAAAAGAAAAAATATATACATAGTCAGGAGGCAATGACAAATTTTAACCAGAAGGATTTAAAGAAAGAGAGATATGGATAAAACGATATAAAGATGTGTGCATTATATTTTATGTCTTATTCAGATATTACCAAAATACAAATACACTCGAGGTATTTTTACATTATGTTTCATTATAATAGAATGATTTATATTCCTATGAGTATATACCCAGAAATGAGATTGCTGGGTGAAATGGCAATTCTGGTTCTAGGTCTTTTAGGAATTGCCACACTGTCTTCCACAATGGTTGAACTAATTTACATTCCCACCAACAGTGTAAAAGCATTCCTATTGCATCTGTTTTTTGCTTCACTATTCACAATAGCACAGACATGGAATCAACCCAAATGCCCATCAATGATAGACTAGAAAAAGAAAATGTGGTACCTATACACCATGGAATACTATGCAGTCATAGAAAGGAGCAAGATCATATCCTTTGCAGGGACATAGATGGAGCTGGAAGCCATTGTCCTTAGCAAACTAACACAGGAACAGAAAACCAAACACCGCATGTTCTCACTTCTAAGTGGAAGCTGAATAATGAGAACACAAGCACACAGGGAGGGGAACAAAACACACTGGGACCTACTGGGGGGCTGGGGGGAAGGAGAGCATCAGGATAAATAGCTAGTGCATGGGGGCCTTAAAACCTAGGTGATAGGTTGATAGGGGTAGCAAACCACCATGACACACGTTTACCTATGTAACAAACCTGCACGTCCTGCACATGTATCCCAGAACTTAAAATTAAAAAAAAAAATTACATTTCACCTTTTTTAAACCAGAGTGTTGTCATGCTATATCATTTGGATCCCATCATTATAGGCATTATGTATTCTAATAAGATGGCAAGAGAAAAAATGTTTAAGCTGTTCAGGCTGGAGGTAAAATGGAAGAGTTGAGGCTGGTCTTGGCTGAGAGTCAGTTGAGTCTGGACTCTGGCCCTACCTGGCCATGTCTATGGATAAGTTTCTGAACTTCTTTTCTTCAAAATATAACCAGGCTAAGAGCAGCCTGATGGGAGTCCGACTGAGCAGGGTTTGAATCCCAGCTTTGCCATTTAGCATGATGAGATGTGAGGTAAGTTACTTAATTCAAGCCCCACGTCCTCATCTTTAAATGCAGACAACAGTATCTACCTTCAGGTTGTTTTCAGGATTAATATAATTTATGTAAAGTATTTTACCCAACATTTGGCATATATTTGTATACAGTAATTGGCATATCTTTGGTATAAAATAAATGTTACAAAACATGAGTATTTTCCTTGTTATTGGTGTGGTACCTTGCATTTTCAAGTTGTCTTAGTCCATTCACATTACTATAAAAAAACACCTTAGACAGGATAATTTAGACAACTATAAAACAGAAATTTATTGCTCACAGTTCTGGAGGGTGGGAGTTTAAGACTGAAGTGTCAGCAGATTTGGTATCTGGCGAGAGCTTGCTCTCTACTTCATAGATGGTGACTTCTGTGCGTCCTTACTTGGTGGAAGGGGCTAGGGAGATTTTGGAGGCCTCTTTTATGAAGGCACCAATCCCATTCATGAGGGCTCTGCCAGTCACATTCCAAAGCCTTCATCTCTTAATACTATTGCATTGGAGATTAAGTTTCAACACATGAATTTTAGAGACACAAACATTTAGACCATAGCACAAGTCAATATGTTTCTCTTTTGTTTAGATTTGCTGAGAGAGAGAAATTGAGAGACAGATTGAGATTCAGTAAAGGGTAAAGTTACTGAAGTTGTAAAAGTATATTCAAGAGCATTATATGGGAAATGTATAGGGCATTGCAGCAAATAAAATATAATATGGATACTGTGAATGATTTCTAAAAACTCAAGTTTACAAAAAACATATTTTGAAGACTTGAACTGTTTGAAACATTTAATCCTTGTAGATCATGAGTGGAAGAACAGATTCTCTAAGCAGTGAAGAGAAATAGAGCAGTGGTCCCCAACCTTTTTGGCATCAAGGACTGGTTTTGTGGAAGACAATTTTTTTCACAGAGCTGGTGGTGGTGGGGATGGTTTCAGAATGATTCAAGCCCATTACATTTATTGTGCACTTTATTTCTATTAGTATTACTTTGTAACATATAATGAAATAGTTATACGACTGACCATAATGTAGAATCCCTGGGAGCCCTGAGCTTGTTTTCCTGCAACTAGATGTTCCCAGCTGGGGGCAATGGGAGACAGTGACAGATCATCAGTCATTAGATTCTCATAAGGAGCACACAACCTAGATCCCTTGCATGCTTAGTTCACAATAGGGTTCATGCTCCTGTGAGAATCTAACGCTGCTGCTGATCTGACAGGAGGAGGAGCTCAGGGGGTAACATGAGCCATGAGGAGCAGCTGTAAATACAGATGAAGCTTCGCTCACTCAGCCGCCACTCACCTCCTGCTGTGGAGCCCAGTTCCTAACAGCCATGGACTAGTATGGGTTTGGAGAGCCCTGAAATAGAGGATATCCAGCAAGCCTTTCAAATGAGTGAATTATTCCATTCCAACCTCTGGAATATAAAAGATAGTCTCTCACGAATTCACACTGTGTGGCCTTTTGCATTAAAGCAATCACCTAAGTTATCTGGAGCTTCATGTACATGGGTCAGATGTTGCTGGCATTGTCCTAACTCTGCGTGGCTGCTCTCAAATCAGTCCTTCACCATCTCCATGAGAGTCATGCTGTGAGACCCTAATTTCCTTCATTTTTTCAAAGATGTCTGTTTTCCAGGAGGACACGTCTGCGTTTTTAAGGAAAACTCTGGCTACAGGCCATCAGATGTTTTTCCCCCTGCCAACATTCTGGGTAACGTTAGCGCATTTGTGCAAAATACATTCAACACCCTGGCCTTACAACTTTTGATCTCCTTATCTTCAATAACATGTATTTCTACTCTAATTTAGGCACCCACATTCATTGCCTCATCAGGAATGATGACATCTTCTGTAGTTATTCACATTGTATTTTTGAATTTCAGTGGCCCTCTCACCTTTGACTTCAATACCTGATTCTTTTAGTTCTTTAAAATTTTTATTTTCTCTTCACACATTATTTCACCTCCTGTAGAACACTATTTTCTTCCACCTTTGCCTCAGTTATTTACCAAATATCTCTCCTTCTTTTTTTTTTTTCTTTTGAGACGGAGTCTTGCTCTGTTCCCTAGGCTGGAGTGCAGTGGTGCAATCTTGGCTCACTGCAACCTCTGCCTCCCAGGTTCAAACAATTATCCCGCCTCAGCCTCCCAAGTAGCTGGGATTACAGGCACCTGCCAACATGCCCAGCTAAGTTTTGTATTTTAAGTAGAGACAGAGTTTCACCATGTTGGCCAGGCTGGTCTCGAACTCCTGACCTCAGGTGATCCAACCACCTCGGCCACTGCACCCGGCCAACCAAATATCTCTTAAGCACCTCAAGTGCTTTACAACATGGAATGCCAGAATATACCAATTCCAAGCAAAATCCACACAGGAGTGAAAAATTCTGTTTAGATAAATGCAACTATTCCAAAACATGCTTTCAAATAACACTTCTTCCTTAGTGCTGAGGGCCATCTTGATACTTTGTTAAAAGGATTCCATGGAAAGACAGAATAGAGAGATTGAGGGAGAGTGTGATGCTTTCTTAAATGCCCTGATCCTGAGTTAGATGTGTCAGCAATGTGTCCTGGAGCTTTTTCTAAACCTCCTGTTTCCACATCTACCACCTTCTATCACACTGGATTCTTTACATAGTTTCCACCACGACACTGTAAATGTTAAGGATGTCAAATCAAGACTGAATCTTGGTTTTTCCATTGCCTTTATATTATAGCAAAGTACCTGGTACACAGTTTATAGTTAATAAGTATTTATCATCTAAGTGGATTAGTTACCCTACATTATCTTCCCAAATAAATGCCGATTTCAAATAAATACCAAATTTTGCCAACTCTCTATTCACACCCACATCTTTCATTTTCAGGAAATGACATATTCTCTTTAATGAAAATAAGGACATAAAGTATCATCTACCTTTATGTAGCCAGTCCCACCCTCCTATAAACTTACCTATAATTGGGTGATGAGTCATCCTTCCTCTCACCTTGTAATTTTTTCACTTGTATAATTTTTCACTTGTAGAATTGATCTAGCTCATGCCTTTCATTGTATCTTGTATCTTTCCCCATTTGTTATTGTGTCTCGTATCTCTGCCTTCAGCCCTTTCCACTTCTCTATCTCTTATTTTGCCTGTAAACATGATTGAGGCAAAATGATTGAGGTAGAATGACATAACCAAAAAGAGGGTAATTTCAGAATTTCACTCCAATGTGAGAGAGCTCCAGTGGGCCCTTTTGTCTTCTAAAATCACCCTCTTTTTTGTTATGCTATTCTCTAGCTTCCAACTACATTTTTTTAAAGAGATGGGGTCTCGCTACATTGACCAGGCTGGTCTTGAAATCCTGACCTCAAGTGATCCTCCCATCTTAGCCTCCCAAAGTGCTGGGATTACAGGCGTGATCCATCACAGCCAGGCCCCAATTACTATCTTGCTGACCCTTTTCTAACTCTCTTCTTTCGAAAGGAGTTTTCAATTTGCTACTTTACTTCCTAATATCCCATTCATGCATCAACCCAATGTAGAGTAGCTTCTATTCTAACTACTCTACCAAAGCTGTTCTTCTATACCGTTCCACTCCTTTCACTCAAAGTACCCCATATTTTTGAAGAATGGTATCATTCATGATACAATGTTCTCTAGTAAGCAGACTTGGACATGGAGATATATACTAGGGAGTGCCCTTGAATCCAAGGCACTGTGAAAAGGAGAAGAAGGAAGCTGGATTGAGGGAAAGGGAAAAAGCTGGGCTGAAAAGAAGTCCTGGACCACAGCTTTGGCTCATCTCACAGGGGACTTTGAAGATAAAATGGCCCACTGGCATCCTTTCACATTGCAATGACATGACTGAGTCTTTATAGGCCCCAAGTCCCCTCCCCACCTCTTTCACCTGCCTCCTTGCCTCACCTCAATCAGTCATTGCATATGCACCACAACTGGGAACCTCAGGACCTTAGGCAGGGGGAAGCTCTGCAGCTGAGGTGACGTCTGAAGGGGCTCACAACTGAGTCCTGTCTACTGACACAGCTCTCAGGGAGGACCTAGGTGATGCATCTCTGTGTATATCATATATATGAGTAATGATATTAGAGGTTTTATAATTTAACCTTTTTTCTCCTTTTTATCTTTAATCTTCACTGTATTTCAGTCATGGTCTTGAGGTTTCAAAGTGACCTTTAAGATTCAGCAAAGAATATACAGCTTTTTAAACATGGGGAATAAAACAAGAACAATGTGATAGCATAGTGTAATGGTGCCATAGAAATAAACAATAAAAAGAATTTAAAGAGAGAACCAGGAGTCAATTTCATAAATGCCACCATTACATTACTTAGGTTAAGCTTTTGAATTTATCTAGAAAAATGTCATTGGCTAAGACATTAACATTTATAGAGGAATGCAAAAGTGCAAAATTAAAGTTCCTAAGAATCAAGTCCAGAAAAATAGAAAATGTGTAAAGGCTGTTGTTCTCAGTTTGGCAAATAAAATAAAAAAAAAAATAAGCAAACCCAGAATTGGTTAATTTCAAATAACATTTCTAGTATTTCCCACACATTTTTTTTTACATATTTTAAAATCACTAATACAGCATTACATTTTAAAAAGGCATATTTGAATACCTTACCTTGAAATCATAAGATGCATTTGTTCAATGAAATCTTACAGTAAAGCAGCATAAAAAATATAAATTGTACAGTGTGATATAAATGCAAACTATTTGATGTTCAATTTAACCATTTTTTTCAGGAACCTAAATGTTAGTTATTTATTATTACTTTAACGACTTAATATTAATTACAATGAAAAGAATATTGCCTTTGAGATCTTTCATTAATGATTCAGTTCCCAGGCCCTGATTTCTTTATAAACTTATAAATTCTTAAGAGAGAAATGTACTTGGCTCAAATTTAATCATGTTAGAATACAGGTTCTGTATCAACTTAGTTTTTGTAGACACTATATGGTATAAGGAGACAATGTTTAATTTTATGTCAATTTCTTGCATAAACTTGTTCAAGTAATTCATTCAATAAATAGTCATTGAGTTCATATCATGTCCCAGGTACTTTTTTTTTTTTTTTTTTTTTTTTTTTTTTGAGATGGAGTCTTGCTCTGTCGCCCTGGCTGGAGTGCAGTGGCACGATGTCCGCTCACTGCAAGCTCCGCCTCCCGGGTTCACGCCTTTCTCCGGCCTCAGCCTCCGGAGTAGCTGGGACTACAGGCGCCCGCCACCACGCCCGGCTAATTTTTTTGTTATTTTTAGTAGAGACGGAGTTTCACCGTATTAGGCAGGATGGTTTCGATCTCCTGACCTCGTGATCCTCCCTCCTCGGCCTTCCAAAGTGCTGGGATTACGGCGTAAGCCACCACGCCCAGCCATCCCAGGTACTATTAAAAACACTGATATTATATGGTGAAAAAGACTGACGGGGTCCCAGTACATGCTTTATATGGAACATACTGATGTCTTTTCTAAAACCTCAAGTATAGTCTCTGATTTGCCTATATAAAGAGTGACAAGTTTTATTTTTACTTTCTGCAAAAATTCAGTTTCTTGTTGTTTTATCATCATACATACAACTTTTATTCAAATATTCATCTAGGGGCCAGGTGCGGTGATCTCTACTAAAAATACAAAAAATATTAGCCGGGCGTGGTAGCGGGCGCCTGTAGTCCCAGCTACTCCAGAGGCTGAGGCAGGAGAATGGCGTGAACCCGGGAGGCGGAGCTTGCAGTGAGCCGAGATCACACAACTGCACTCCAGCCTGGGTGAGAGAGCGAGACTCCATCTCAAAAATAAAATAAAATAAAAAGAAAACCCGATATTAGGGATTTCACAGTGCTGTACGCTGAATGATGGTGCCCCCCACAATTCAGCTGTTGAAAAGTAACACCCATATGATGATATTTGCAGGTGGGGCCTTAGAGGGAGGGGATTAGATCATGACGGTAGAGCCCTCATGAATGGGATTAGTGCACTTATAAAAGAGTCCCGAGAGACTCCTGCCCCTTTCACCAAGTGAGGATGCAGGGAAGAGATGGCAATTCATGAATCAAGAAGCAGGTCCTCACCAAATCTTACGGCACTTTGATCTAGGACTTCCCGCCCTCCAGAACTGTGAACAACAAATTTCTATTACCTATAATCTACCAATTTATGGTATTTTGTTATAGCTGTTCAAATAGATTAAGACACCTAGGATGGGAAACCCGTTATACTGTAATACAGAGATGAGCTTTCTCTTCCTCTAACTACTTTTAAAGTCTAAGATAATTAGGAAATGATGTTTTGTGTAGCTATATTTTGATTTAAAATTATCTGCCTCAATTACTGATGAACTAACTTGATTTTGTGCCTGAGTTTTAATAACTGTGATATTTTGAATCAATGTGAGTTATTTGATCAGTTCAAAATATCCAAAAAAAATTTATCTGGTTAAGATCATGTGCATCTCCATGATGGGATTAGTGTTCTTATAGGAAGAGAAACTGAGACCACAGCTCTCTGTCTTTCTCTATTTTGTGCCATGTGAAGACATTGTCAGAAGGCAGGAGCCTGTAGTCTAGGAAGGGGGCTTTCACCAGGGACTGAATCTGCCGGCACCTTGTGGAGGATTTCCCAGCCTCCAAAACTGTGAGAAATAAATGTCTGCTTAAGACACCAGTCTCTGGTATTCTGTTACGGCAGCTTGAGCTGCCTAAGACACCATGACAATATAAAAATATTAACAAGATTAGCCTGGGCACCATAAGAAGACCCCATCTTTAAAAATAATACAAATAATAATAATAATAACAACAAACTAAAACATTTTGAATTTTTAAGTGATAATTTTCTCATTAGATACTGAATCACCTACTTAGAAAGATACAGATCCCAGGGCAGGGCGCGGTGGCTCAGCCTGTAATCCCAGCACTCTGGGAAGCCGAGGCGGGCAGATCACAAGGTCAGGACATTGAGACCATCCTGGCTAACACGGTGAAACCCCGTCTCTACTAAAAATACGAAAAATTAGCCGGGCGTGGTGGCGGGCGCCTGTAGTCCCTCCCACCTACCCGGGAGGCTGAGGCAGGAGAATGGCGTGAACCCGGCAGGCGGAGCTTGCAGTGAGCTGACATCGTGCCACTGCACTCCAGCCTGGGCGACAGAGCGAGACTCCGTCTCAAAAAAACAGAAAAAGAGAGCATGATACAGATCCCAAACTCATTATTCTTAATATTTCTTCTAAAATGTTCATTTTGAAGATTAAGATTTCTTAATGCATCTGTACACACATGCATATATTCATACAAATAACTACAGTCATTTTATCAGTTTTATTTTGACTTTTATTTATTTAAAAATATTAAATGTATTTTATAAATGAAGAATGCATGTGTGTATTTATTTATTTATATTTTTATTTTGAGACGGAGTCTTGCTCTTTCGCCCAGGATGGAGTGCAGTGGCGGGATCTCCACTCACTGCAGGCTCCGCCTCCGGGGTTCATGCCATTATCCTGCCTCAGCCTCCCGAGTAGCTGGGACTACAGGCGCCTGCCACCAAGCCCGGCTAATTTTTTTGTATTTTTAGTAGAGACGGGGTTTCACTGTGTTAGCCAGGATGATCTCGATCTCCTGACCTCCTGATCCGCCCGCCTCGGCCTCCAAAAGTGCTGGGATTACAGGCGTGAGCCACTGCTCTGGGCCTCATTCAAGTATATTTATATAGGAATGTCTGAAATACTGCCACCTAATGTTCAGCAATTATTTTCATTTCTGAGCAGTAGAATTTGAGTGATTTTTATTACTTTTGATTCTGCAATGTGATGTATTCTTTAATTTTTTCATAATGTCTTTCGTATTTATTAAAAGGTTAATTAAATCATCCTAAGAATATTTTATGCATATTTTTGTTAAAATGGGATGTTTAATAGTCAAAATTCTCCATTTACTAAATCTTTCTCAGTCAATGCTTCAGACTTTCCTTTTCTACATTTACTAAAAATTTAATTTCAATGTTATATACTAGAATAACATAAAGTATCTATTTTAAATTTTACCTTCACAAACATCTTTAACCAGAAAATGAAATAAGCATTTAAAATATCAAATAAAATACTAGTTTTCAGGTCTGTTGCTTTGAAAATGTGCTTCCTCGTTGAGCAGTATCTGAATTTTTATTACTATACCAGGGTATAGATGAAATATCTAACTAGTATACTTTTAAATTGAAACTGCAAAAAATATATACAGAATTCAGTAGTGCATATTCAGCATGTAAAACATTTTGCCTATTACATTCTTCATGTTGATGGTAGCTATGGCTAAAGTTTGTAGATACTTGGTTTCGTTAGCTTTTAGAGTTGCTTAGGTTAAATATGCTATAATATACCAGTCCCTGCTGGCTTTGAACTACTTGGAATTCTAAGAAGTGGAGCAACATAGTACAAACCTATAGAAAATATGATAAATGTACCACGAATGACACAAAATATTTTCTGCATGTCACATAAGGAGTCATTCTCTATCCAGGCACAGTGGCTCAGGCAGGCGCACACCTGTAATCCCAGCACTTTGGAAGGCCAAGGCAGGTGGATCACAGGGTCAGGAGGTTGAGACCATCCTGGCCATCCTGGCTAACACGGTGAAACCCCGTCTCTACTAAAAATACAAAAAATTTGCCAGGCGTGGTGGCGCCCGCTTGTAGTCCCAGCTACTTGGGAGGCTGAGGCAGGAGGATGGTGTGAACCCAGAAGGTGGAGTTTGCAGTGAGCCGAGATCCCGCCACTGCACTCCAGCCTTGGCTACAAAGCGAGACTCTGTCTCCAAAAAAAAAAAAAAAGTTCCCAATGCACAAATCAATCAAGAATTTCACCCCCAACAGTGAAAAAAAAATGTGAAAGCAGTCAGGTTTTAGTCACTGTAAATCACAATTTCAATTCCACCCCGTCCAAAGAAAGCTATGTACGTCCTTCTCATTCCAAACACATACAGGCCATGAGTTAATAATCTTTCATTCTTCTAAAATACCAACAGGTTTGCTTTTTTACTTTCATTTGTAGTTTATAGCACTCACAATTAAATTGATCCAAATGTATTTGAGGTATATTTTATATATATATATATATGGATCAAAGGTCAATGCTATTGTCTATGCATTAGCCACTCCCATTTATGAGAATTTTCTGAACTTGTTGCTATATATCTCTTAAATGGTGTCCGTTGGCCACATTTCTTTCCTGAGAAACAACTGAGCAGCTGACAATGAAAATGAAGCTCTCTGCATTCCTGTTAGGCATACTGCATACATCTTAGGCTCTCTGCATGCCTCTTAGGCACTTACATTTACATATATTTGTATCTCATTACATAGTGATACAGTCCTAAAATAAAGTAAATAATGAGTTATTTTCTAGACAAATTTGATGAGGCTTTTATTTGATAACAAATTAAAATTATGCCACCAGATGCCTATACCTTGACTTATAAAATGTGTTATGTTCTGCATGGGCAAATAGAAAGTGCAGAAATTGAACGGCTGCCTGGTAAAATTACCTAAATCCACAATGCCACTGGACAACATTGAACTAGATATTTAAATAAGTGAAAGTAATCAAGTAGTTGAGTTCACTGATAAAATTATACTTGGAACCTTACATCATTCCCAGATTAATATATACAATGTATATCAAATGTCATTGCTATGGGAATGGAAACTGTTACACATGAGGTTAAATTTTTATAAGGAATTTTTTTTCCTCTAGAACTGACATTGAGAAACTTGATATCCTCTGTTTATGGCATGTCTTAAGAAAATGTCAACCCAATGTCAAAGGATAATTAATTTTTTTAAAGAAAAGAAAAATAATGGTTCTCATACAAATGTAAAATGAATATATGTTCATGATTTTATTTAACTGATTAATAAATAAGAGTGCCACAGGATGTTTTAACGGGTTCAAAGGAGAATACAAAGAGCAGAGAATATATAGGCAGACATTCAGGCTGAAATGAATTTGCTTAATAAAGGCAAAACTAGCCAATATCCATAGGGTGATGGTCAAATATATCTACACTGGATAATTTGCATTTTCATGGACAGGAATTATTGGCAATTTACACAGTTGTGAAATAGGTAAAACAAACAAAAAGTGAAAGGTTCAGAAACCCCATACAATCAGCTAAACTAACATTTAGTTTTCCATTGAAAATATTTAGCAATTTTTTGAGACCATTTCAAAGTTTTTCTTAATTTTTCTCTGCTCTAAACAAGTATATAAATTATTTCCAATGAAAATTAGAGCTTTTTCTTTGTTGAATTAGTATTTTGAAAAATTTATGGAAGGAGACAGAACATAAAAGCAGTTGCCAAGTTTATCAATTAAGTTGGTACGATTACAAATCCCAATTAAGAAATATTTTTAAGTATATTTTTCTTTCCAAGACAAATAGACATTAAACAGTCCTAATGTTCATATCCTTTATGTTACATATATATGTATAGATGTGTAAGTATATGTATATCTACATGTATATAAAAAGACACAAACTCACATAGTTATTTCAGAGAATTATTTATGGAAATGTGTTGGGTTTTCTTTTTGTAAAGCTACGTTATCAAGAAGTTATTCTTAGTTTTACAGAAAATAAAACAGCTCTAGCTCTTTGTATCATAAGATAAATATCTGTTTATAAATATCAGTATTTTCTAATACTTCTGATGTACTCTTTTGGAGGTAATGGTATATGAAACCCTATAAGAGCAATTCTACTTCATTAATTAATTCGGAAGAAACACAAGTTTTTAAGACCCAGTGTATGCCAACAATTGACAAAGTCATTAAGGTAGACAAAGATGGGTAGAGCCTGGGCTTTGGCTATGAATGTTAGAAAATGAATCACTGAAAGTAAAACATGTTTAAAAGATTAAAATAACAAAAAATGGTTTGAAATTAATTTCAGTTATTGGCCATCAATTGGTTAGAAAGAGTAATTAAGAATGAGTCAAAGCTTTTTTCTCTTCATTTAGGTCAAATATGTCATAAAAATAGTCAATTTTAGATTATTATAAGTCAATTATGTCAAAATGGTTGAATGACATGTCATTGAAATTAATCTTTAGCTTGTAATGCTATCATTTCAGTTTTAATTAATATTGGGGCCAAAATGTTCATTAGATACTGTTTTTAATGATCAGTTTTTATGCAAATGATTTATATAAGTCAGAACTTCAATTCAATGTTTGGTAGCTGTTTGATTTTTAGGACATTATATATTGAAATGTACACTGATTATCCTAAAGTTGTAAATATTTAAGAAACTTTACAGCAAAAAGTCTAAAATAAAGATATATTTATATTATTTCCAAAACAGAAAATTTAAATTGATTCCCTAGTCAAAGAAACTGTTTGTAAATAAAATGTAACAAACTATATATTCCTTGGCCCCCAGACATTTTAAAGTCACTTTTCCTTTTTATATACATGTTCTAATATTATAAACAGTGAGCTCAGGAATACCCTAATTTGTCTTTTGTATATTTTCAGCAGATTGTGCTGTTTCAAATTCTATTATTTTACTCCAATTCTTTTGTTTACATATTGCTTTTTTTGCTAGCGTTTTTTGTATTTTAAAATATATTACTATATTGTATATAGTAATATTGTGTTTCTATTTCTCTTTCTTCATGTTTTATTTTGTTCCATAACCTTTGGCTTGTCCTTTTTATTCCATATTCCCATTTGTAGATGTAGTTTTCAAAGGTGCTTATTTACACAAACTTAAGACTCTTGGGCCAGGCGTGGTGGCTCACACCTGTAACCCCAGCACTGTGGGAGGCCGAGACGGGCGGATCACAAGATCAGGAGATTTGAGACCATCCTGGCTAACATGGTGGAACCCTGTCTCTACTAAAAATACAAAAAAAAATTAGCCGGGCGTGGTGGCAGACGCCTGCAGTCCCAGCTACTAGGGAGGCTGATGCAGGAGAATGGCGTGAACCCGGGAGGCGGAGCTTGCAGTGAGCCGAGATCGCGCCATTGCACTCCAGCCTGGGCGACAAAGCGAGACTCCGTCTCAAAAAAAACAAAAAAACAAAAAACTTTTGAACCAAAATATTCTGAATGAGATCAAAGTCAAAGCTCAAACGTTTCTTAAAAATGAGGTTTTTCTGAGTTGGGAACCAGAGTCATCTATTGCCCAATGCAATAGGCATTGAGAATAGAACTTGCGACAACTCTCTGTTAACAATAGAAAAAATGGGATAAGATAGAGGCAAGGAACATACATTCACGGAGCAAGAGGAAACACTGAAGAACTAATAGAAATTGGGCTTATTAAAATAAACTTACCAAGGTATGGTACCAATTCTCCTTTTTTTGTTCAGTCCATAATAGAGTTCTTAATGCTTTCAATTTTTTTCTTATAATAGTTTTCCTAAATATATTTCATTTATTGGTTTGTTTGTTTTTTACATGGTGTCTCGCTTCATCGCCCAGGCTGGAGTGCAGTGGCGTGATCTCGGCCTACTGCAACCTCCGCCTTGTGGGTTCAAGCAATTCTCCTGTCTCACCCTCCTGAGTAGCTGGGACTACAGGTGCCCGCCACCACACCTGGCTAATTTTTGTATTTTTAGTAGAGACGGTATTTCACCTTGTTGGTCAGGCTGGTCTTAAACTCCTGACCTCAGGTGATCCACCCGCTTCGGCCTCCCAAAGTGATGGTATTACAGGTGTGAGTCACTGCGCCCGGCCCTAAATCTATTATTTAAAAATCCACCTGTACAATTGGTATTCACAGAAATTGCCCATATATGTTATTATTTTATTCTCATAACTCTCTATGCCAAGTATAGATACATTATTGATGTGGAAAATTAGATCACAGAGATAAAGTGACTTTCCCAAGGTCAGTGCAGAAAGGGAAAGGTGAAAATTTGAAATTGTACCTGAAGAGTAAGAGCAAAGGGGTTAAGGAGTTACTCATAGATCTTTGTGCCTCAGAGGTCCTTACTGAGAGTTTTAATCCAAATGGTTTGGTAAATTTGGGGCGACAGCTATAACATGGCTTATGTGATGCTTAGTGTTTTGGAACCATCAAGATCTTTGCAATGGCATCACAGATAACAACCCCATCATCTTGTACAACATGGACATGTTGGGAAATAATGTTTTAGTTCAGTCATTGAACTGACCCAAACTTCTGTGTTCATATTTTTATAGACCTCATGATTGTTAAGATATAAAGAAGCATCAGAAGTTTTGTTTTTTTTTTTTTAATTACAAAGGAGTTAGGATATTCCTAACATCCAAAGTGAATTAAAATAATTCATTTGATGTGAGAAAGAGCTTCTTGTCTTAGGGACACTGGTGAGGTGAATTCACAACTATGGGTTGTTTTAATTGAATTACATCCTCAGAGGGTTAGTTTTGAGCTCTGAATCTACAATCTGTATTTTGCAAGTAATCAATGGTATTTATTTAAGTGCTCTTGGTAAAGATAATGTGAATAGGGAAATCTGCTTATTTCTAGCATAAAATTGTTTATTAAGCAAAATAATAGAGCACTGCAAATTAACTAGTAAAAAATTGAAATCTTTAACTTTCACACCTTCATTTGATATTTACTGAATATTCTGGGGACTAGCTTATATGTAATTTAGCTCAACTTTTGTTTAAAATAGGAAACTGAACTTTGAAAATAAGTACTTTTAAAAATATTTTAGAATGCAAGATAGTTTTCATGGAAACTTTCATGGAATAATATTCTTTATATTTTAGAATCAAGGTATGTTCCTACTTGGTATTTAATCAAGGAAATACCTAAATCAAGAACAATTCCAAATGGCTGTTTATTAAGTGTGATGGTTTACTAATGTCAACAAAAGTGAAAAAAATTATATTGAAGTATAAATAGTAATCTTGTTTAACATATTTATAAATACATTTTTGTACATATTTGTGTTTTGTACCTATTTATATAAAAAAATTATTATCTTTTGTACAAATATTTTTAAGATCTGGCACTTTTTTAGCACCCCAGAAAAATATTTTTCAGGCTCTCAGCTGATGCTGAGAAAAAGAAGTCAGTCTCATATGTTACCATAGATTAATATTGCCTATCTTTGTCTTCATATAAATGGAAGCATACGGTATTTATTTTTTTCTGGCTTATTTCACTCAAAATTACATTTGTGAAATCTGTTTATGTTAAGGACCAGTGATTCATTCCTTTTTGTTTTGTGTAGCACCCTGTTGAATGAATATGGAGCTTTCCAATCCGTTCTATCCTGATGAATATCCAGGTGTTTCTGTTGAAACTGCTGGTCATATATTATGTGTTTAAATGTAGTAGATAATGATAATTATTTTTCCAAAATGGTTGTATCAACTTAATAACTCATTCAAATACGTGAAGACCTTCTAACAATCTAAAAAGATGGACCTCCAATTTCAAATAATAAATAAAAAGATTAAGTACTTGAACAGGCAGTATATGCACATTTTTTAAAATAAAAGATTGAGTTAAATTTTGTAAAATGTAGGCCGGGCGTGGTGGCTCACGCCTGTAATCCCAGCACTTTGGGAGGCAGAGACAAGCGGATCACGAGGTCAGGAGATCGAGACCATCCTGGCTAACACTGTGAAACCCCGTCTCTACTAAAAATACAAAAAATTAGCCGGGCGTGGTGGCGGGCACCTGTAGTCCCAGCTACTTGGGAGGCTGAAACAGGAGAATGGCATGAACCCAGGAGGCAGAGCTTGCAGTGAGCTGAGATTGCGCCACTGCACTCCAGCCTGGGCGACAGAGCGAGACTCCATCTCAAAAAAAAAAAAAAAAAGAGAGAGAAATGTTAAGTAAGAATCTCATTTGAGCTACATGTGTGAAAATATGTCTTTTACATTATTATATAACACAGATTTTGGATATGACGAGTGCTGAACTGAGGCTTTTCACTTGATATGCATTACAAATTAGAATTTTTCACTCACAAAACATGCTTATGACAATTTTATATGTGAATAGAATTGTAAAAATTGCCTTAAGAGTTATTGAATAAAATGTTTAAAGTGCCTCATAGGATGAGGAAAAAATGGAAGAGTTAATTAACAAGGATACAAAGCGTAAAAGATAGAGAAGAATAAGAGTTCAAATAAAATCGAATGAAAAGACACCATCTTGTGTAACTCTGTAGTTAATTGTGCATGTGTGCTATTTTTCATGACTTGGAGCACGTTATTTTTTGGCGAAGAGCTTCCATTCTATCTATGGATATGCCAAAATTTTCCTATTTTAGATCTTCTAGTCTCCAACTCTCAAGATAAAAAACAAAAATCATTAAAACCTCTGACTGATATTGAATGCCTGCAAAAATATCTCCTCCCATCACCTTGCAACAGATGACTTGCTCGTACACCTTTTTGACTACCACTCCCCATCAAGGGTTCTCTCCTTCGAGACGGCAGTAATTCTCTATGTATTTCATGTTATGTGCAAACTTTACTTTCAAAGAGTTGTTACCTATATTAATGTATTTACATCATTCACTTAATATATTTTCTCTATCAGTAAAATTGGTTTAGATATATTGGATTAGGATAGAACACGTCACAATTTTTCTCACCTTTATGATTTTTTTTTTTAGTTGGACCGTTTTTCAGTTGGTGACAGTGTCAGAAATGAATTAAAGTTGTTAAGAATAGGTAAGGGTAAAGAGAAGGGTGTCCTTATGTATCAACTTTGCTTATTTAGTTTTTTCAAGTTCAATAAGACCCTCCTCTCCCTTCAAGGAAGATGATTCCTAGGCACGTCTGTTATTTCTATCAAAACAGCTGAGGTTTTTTTTTTTCATTCATATTGTTAAAATACCAATTGTGGAGCGAAAAATGCTTCACCTGGGACTGTCCCCTGACAGGCGGTGCGACGAGGTCAGGCCCGCGCCCGCCAAGCCCTAGGGCCGCTGCCGCCGACGGCCATGGAGGACGAGCAGCCCGACAGCCTGGAGGGCTGGGCGCCGCTCCGGGAGGGCCTCTTCGCCGATCCCCAGGGGCACCGGTTACGCTTCCTGGTGGCTTGGAACGGCGCGGAGGGCAAGTTTGCTGTGACTTGTCACGACCGCACCGCGCAGCAGCCGCAGCGGCGCGAGGGGCCCGGCTGGGGCTGGAGCACAAGCCCGAGGCCGCCGTGTCCCCGCCCAGCTGGGCCGGCCGGCTCTCGGCCGCGGGGTTCCGCGGCGCGCGCCGGCAGCTAGCGGCGCTGTGGCCGCCTCTGGAACACTGCTTCCCACGGCTGCCGCCGGAGCTGGACGTGGGCGGCGGCGGGGCCTGAGGTCTGGGGCTCGGGCGGTGGGCGCTGCTGTGGCCGGCGCGCGTGGGCCCCGGCGAGGCGGCACTGCAGGAGCTTTGCGGGCAGCTGGAGCGCTACCTGGGCGCGGCGGCCCACGGCTGTGGCTGCGCCACCGTGCGCGACGCTCTCTTCGCGGCTAACGGCCGCGCGGCCGACTGCGAGAGCCCGCGCGAGTTTCGGGAGCGGGCCCTGCGCGCCTGATGGGTCGAGGCGGACGCGCGGCTGCGTCAGGTAAGCGAGGCCGGGCCGCCGGCGTTTGACCGCGCTTGGGTGGCCTGGGACCCGGTGGGAGGCTTCCCCGGCGCCGAGAGCCCTGGCTGACGGCTGATGGGGAGGAGCCGGCGGGCGGAGAAGGCCACGGGCTCCCCAGTACCCTCACCTGCGCGGGATCGCTGCGGGAAACCAGGGGGAGCTTCGGCAGGGCCTGCAGAGAGGACAAGCGAAGTTAGAGCCTAGTGTACTTGCCGCTGGGAGCTGGGCTAGGCCCCCAACCTTTGCCCTGAAGATGCTGGCAGAGCAGGATGTTGTAACGGGAAATGCCAGAAATACTGCAAGCAAAACTGAAAACAACCCATCCATGTAGGAAAGAATAACACGGACTACACGTAAGCAATTCCAAGTCTGTGTCTGCGGGGACGTCGCAAGTGGGATAAAATGGTTTAAAGGAAGAAATGGCTTTTAGGAGTTAGGGTGTTTTGTTTTAAGTAATACAGACTTGGTCAAATGGAAAGCCGGTAGAAAGTGAGCTTTATTCATCAGTTTAGAATAACCGCATTAGTGCCCTTTTAAGCTTGAAAGAGGTAGTTTGAGAGAGTAATTATTTGAGTGGTAAACTTACTGAACTTAAGGGGACGGGGAAGTGCATGTTCATAGAAGGGTTTAGGAGAAAGTATGCCTTCTAAATCCACACCTACAGTTTACTAAGCAGAGCCAGGCTGGAGTCTCGGCTCACTGCTCTTATTAACCTGAATGATATTTTTCTGTGCATTCTTTTGAGGAAGGGGAGGTGAAGAGAAGAATTCAGCCTAAGCTAAATATAGAATAAGCTTTCTAAATTAAAATGGTTTTATAAAAGGAGCTTGTTAGTGGGGTCATTTTTGTACTGTGAGCTTTATGTGTAAATGTCTACACACCCACTTAACGTGTTGATTTCACTTTAGAATATGAGGAAACCACAGGGGAGTTTCAGGCCAGTCAGCTTTTCATCTTCAACTTTATAACTTTCACCTTAGGATATGAGGAACCCACAGGGGAGTTTCAAAAATGGTATCATTTTGTATCAGACTTGTTTTTTAAACACTTGGTTTCTCACAGAGATAGGTGGTTTCTCCTTAAAATCGAACATTTATATGGTGTATTTTACTGTAGTTGCTATCAGAAAAGTTAGTTTTCCCAAATTTAAGTTCACTCTGGGGTACTATAGCATGAATGTAGTTCATTCTGTTGAGCTAGCTGTTCACGTTAGTGTAGTTCACATATTTATCTGGAACTCAAAAATGAGGGGTTGAGAGGGGAAGCTAAAATTCACAACATGTCCAAATATATAATTTTAATATTTACTTTATATTTAGAATAGAAAAGCAATTGATTCTAGAATTAGACCAATTGCTAGCATTGCTAGGATATATAAAATGAAGCTGAATGTTTTAACTCTGGAATTTTTCTGAATAGTCTAAGAAAGAAGGCTGAAATGTACCACTTGCCTTTTGACTTTTGCTTGTGTGTTTTAATTTTGTTCAGTGAGGCTTTCACTTAAAAAAAATGATAATATTATTACCTGGATAAAAAATACAGCTGAAAGTAGATCACTTTAGCCTTAAGCAGAAGGGTGGAAATAGAAGACTTTAAGAATGTATTGGTTGAAAAAAATCTATATTATTTGATTTTATTTCTCTTCTTGTGGGAGTAAAATAATTTCCAACCAAATCAGTCCACCTAGATTATACACTGTTCAGTTTGTTTTCTGCCCTGCAGCACAAGCAATAACCAGCAGAGACCGGAACCACAGCTGAGGCTCTGTAAATGAGTTGACTGCTAAGGACTTCATGGGAATATTAACCTGGGGCATTAAGAGAATCAACATGCTAAAGTACTTGGAGACAGCTCTGTAATGTTTTATGAGATTTTGTTTAGTTGAGTTTTGTTTTGTTTTTTGAGAGAGTCTTGTACTGTCGCCCAGGCTGGAGTGCAGTGGTGCCATCTTGGCTCACTGCAAGCTCTGCCTCCCGGGTTCACGCCATTTTCCTGCCTCAGCCTCCCCAGTAGCTGGGAGTGCAGGCGCCCGCCACCACGCCCGGCTAATTTTTTGTATTGTTAGTATAGACAGGTTTCACCGTGTTAGCCAGGATGGTCTCGTTCTCCTGACCTCGTGATGCGCCTGCTGTGGCCTCCCAAAGTGCTGGGGTTACAGGCGTGAGCCACCACGCCTGGCCCTTATGAGCTTTTAAAAAGGAATACAGCCTCACAAAACCTTTACAGTCAGAAAAGTCAAATGAAAAAATATCCACAACCTCAAACCTTCTTTTGGGTCCTTTTCGCTGCATACTTAGTGCACAGTTGAGATTAAATTTTATACTCTGCCTCTCCATTTAATTATAAAAGTCTCTTTTTTTTTTTGAAACGGAGTTTCATTCTTGTTGCCCAGGCTGGAATGCAATGGCACTGTCTCGGCTCACCGCAACCTCCGCCTCCCGGGTTCAAGCGATTCTCCTGCCTCAGCCTCCCCAGTAGCTGGGATTACAGGCGTGCGCCACCACGCCCAACTAATTTTGTATTTTTAGTACAGACAGTGTTTCTCTATGTTGGTCAGGCTGGTCTCGAAGTCCTGACCTCAAGTGATCCACCCGCCTTGGCCTCCCAAAGTGCTGGAATTACCGGCATGAGCCACCGTGCCTGGCCAAAAGTCTCCATATTATTAAACAATCTTCAGAAGCACAGTGCTGAATGACTACACTAATAATATTCTGCCATGGATATATCATAATTTTCTTAACAATTCTTGTTTTATTGGGCATTTTTGATGGAGGATGATAACATTTTCGTATTTAATCAATATTTTAAATTGATGTATTGAAAGTTGAGAACATGAAGGTTTCTTTTGTTTAGCTTTGTTTGTTGGGTATGTATTACACTGTCCTGACTTGAGCTTTATTCACATTTGCTCTCTAGGTTATTCAAGGACACCGAAAAGCCAACACCATGGTAGCATTAATGAAAGTTTACCAAGAGGAAGATGAAGCCTACCAGGAATTAGTTACCGTGGCAACCACGTTCTTCCAGTACTTACTGCAGCCATTTAGGGCTATGCGAGAAGTTGCAACTTTATGTAAGCTTGATATTTTGGTATTTTTTTAAAATTTTTATTTTATCACATTTACTATTTGTCATATATTATTTCTTTATTTACACTTAATCTTCAATCTCTGTACTTTGTTTGGGTTTGTTTGGGTTTACTCTTATGTTTATTTACTTATTTATTGATAGAGATGAGGTTTTGCCATGTTGCTCAAGCTCGTTTCTAACTCCTGAGCTCAAGCAGTCTGCCCACCTCGGCCTCCCAAAGCGTAGCATTACAGGCGTAAGCCACTATGCCTAGTTCACCCTCGTGTTTAAATATTGAATTTATATTTAAAATTGATAGAAAATGAAGACATTTATGTTGGTCATCTTAATAGCTTAAGATTCCTACAGATTTTAAAGAGTTAAATGTTTTTTCTGGCGATGAATTTTTTTTTTGTTTTTTGAGATAGGGTCTCTCTTTGTCAGCTAGGCTAGAGTGCAGTGGCACAATCTTGGCTCACTGCAACCTCCTCCAGGTTCAAGTGACTCTTCTGCCTCAGCCTCCTGAGTAGCTGGGATTACAGGTGTGCACTACCATGCCCAGCTAACTTTTTTTGTATTTTTAGTAGAGACGGGGTTTCACCATGTTGGCCAGACTGGTCTCGAACTCCTGGCCTCAAGTGAGCCACCCGTCTCAGCCTCCCAAAGTGCTGGGATTACAAGCGTGAGCCACTGCGCCCAGCCTGATGAATTGTTTTTGATGTGATGTTTATTTGCTTCAGTTGTTTTCCTCTAAGGACTCATGCAGATTTCTTAAAATAGGATGAAAATTTAAATAGCAGGACCCTAGATTGTAATTCAGTAACTTAAATTTTAGTAAATACAGTTATCGCTCTTGCTTCATTGAGCCATCAAACATCCTTGTGACACCATTCAGGAAAGGCATTCTTATTCCAGTGTTACAAATGAATCTAGAGTCCAGAGTTGTTAAATAGCTTGCCTTGGGTCTCAACAACGGGAATCAGAAGACACCTAAGAGATCTCTTGATTTCTGCCCCCTGCACTGGGCCATCTTTCCACATATAATCTCATGCCCCTGCCAGATGATTGTACTATAAAAATAGTATCACATTTAGATGAAACTCATGCCACTCTAACCTGTGGATAAAGTTGTTCTGTTCATTATTTTGAAAGTCTATTATTTGGAGAGTCTACTTCTTGCATATATTTTGCTTTCTTCTTTTTTTTTTTTTTTTTTTGAGATGGAGTTTCGCTCTTGTTGCCCAGGCTGGAGTGCAATGGCGTGATCTTGGCTCACGGCAACCTCCACCTCCTGGATTCAAGCGATTCTTCTGCCTCAGCCTCCCGAGTAGCTGGGATTACAGGCATGTGCCACCATGTCCAGCCCGGCTAATTTTGTATTTTTTTAGTAGAGACGGGGTTTCTTCATGTTGGTCAGGCTGGTCTCGAACTCCTGACCTCAGGTGATCTGCCTGCCTCAGGCTCCCATTGTGCTGGGATTACAGGCATGAGCCACCGCACCCAGTCTATAATTTTCCTTTCTTTAAGTAACAGCTGTTTTAAAATACCATTCACAGACTATATATATATATATATATATAATCTGTATATATATATGTATACATATATATGTATGTATGTATGCATGTATATGTACATACATATATGTATATATGTATGCGTATATATGTATACATATATATAATCTGTATAATATATGTATATATGTATATGTGTATATGTGTATATATACGTATATATGTATATGTATATATGTGTATATGTATATGTACACATATATACATATATATATATGTATATACGTATATATATGCATATATATATATATAAAATATATCTACATATATAAAAAGATGTACAATTCAGTGATTTTTAGTATATTGAAAGTTGCACAATGATCATTACTATGTAATTTCAGGACATTTTCACCCCCAAAAGAAACCCTGTACCCATTAGTCACTGCCAGCCCTGGGCAACCACCAATCTACTTTCTGTCTCTGTGGATTTCCCTACTCTGGACATAGCAACAGCATTATTGAATATGTGGTCCTTTCACTCAGCACAATGTTTGCAAGGCTAATCCATGTTGTAGCAAATACCAGGATTTCATTTCTTTTTATTGCTCAGTGATATTCATTGTATGGATATATTGCATTTTTTTCATCAGTTGATGGACATTTGGGTTGTTTCCACTTTTTGGCTATCATGAATAATTCTGCTATGAATGCTTGTGTGTGAGTTTTTGTGTAGACATATCTTTTCATTGCTCTTGTGTACGTACTGAGGAGTAGGATTGCTGGGTCCTGTGATTACCCAGTGTTTAACCTTTTGAAAGACGCCAGATGGTTTTCCAAAGTGGGTGCATCATTTATATTCCCAGAAGAAGTAAATGAGGGTTCCAATTTGTCCACATTATCACCAACACTTGTAATTGTGTGTCTCTTTGGTTACAGCCATCCTAGTGGGTGTGAAGTGGTATCTCGTTATGGTTTTGATTTGTAATTCCTTGTCGGCTAACTTGTACATATTTCTTATGCTTTGTAGAAGAAAAATTGCATATTGGATGACATAGCTGTACATGTCTTAGTTCAGGCTGTTGTAACAAAGTACTGTAGATTAGTGGCTTATAAACAACAAAACTTTTTTTCTCACAGTTCTGGAGGCTGGGTAGTCTAAGATCAAGGTGCTGGCAGATCCAGTGTCTTGTGAGGGCCAGTTTCTTAATTTGTAGATGACTGTCTTGCTGTGTCTTCACATGGTGAAGAGCAGAGAGAGAGATCCTGTGTCTCCTCTTCTTTTTATAAGGGCATTAATCCCAATTTTCTTGAGGTCTCCACCCTCATGACCTAATTACCTCCCAAAGGCCCCATCTTCAAATCCCATCACACTGGGGATTTAGGCTTCAACATATGCATTTTGGGGGGACCCAAACATTCAGTCCAATACCAGTACATGTTATAAGCATGAATATACAGATACTGTCTTTTAGGTGATAATATTACATATCCCTAAAAGAAATGATAACAACAGCTAACACTTAAGTGCTGTTTTCCAGGCCCTGTGCTGAGTGTTTGACAACACAGATCACTCATTTAAACAATTGTGTATTATTATTAATAGAGAGAAGCATAAGTTGACAACATTCCTCTCTAGAAAAAGTTATTCTAGGCATGTGAAGTGAAAGTAGTTTTTTTTCCCCCCACTTTATGCCCCAGAGGGTCCTTTTGTCTTCCAGGTGGTGCTCAGCTTAGAGCCTTATTCATATGCAGTAAGGGACTGCTGAATGAATGAAAATTTAACTGACTGAGTAGTAGTGTAGTTAAATTAATCCATGTGACCAATTTCCTTTCAATTTCCTAATGGTTCTACATAACTATTAGCTCTTACTAAGATAATTTTCCCTTCTGTCTGTAGAAGTCCTTGGATGAGGATGACCTAGGTCCTAGAAGGGTAGTTGCCCTGGAGAAAGAAGCTGAAGAATGGACCAGACGGGCTGGAGAAGCTGTCGTCTCTATTCAAGATATCACAGTGAATTATTTTAAGGAGACAGTAAAAGCATTAGCAGGTGATAATCTAAAAAATGCTATACGCAGATACGTGTAATTGATTGTCATTTTATTCAAATACCATTTGAGTCCCTCTTACGCACTAGGCACTGTGTTTTCTAGGTGGCGAGAATTCAGTGTCAAGCATTAAGAGACATTGTACAGTCTGGTGAAGGGAGAGAAATCTTAATTATCTATTCACTGAAGCACACAGAAAATGGCAGTGACAATAAATGGCACAAAGAAGAGAGACATGGGGCTCTGAGGGTCTGTGAGAGAGAAATTGGGCTTGATCAGGGTGGTCACTGAAGGCCTCTGAGAAGTGGCGCTTGCCCCAATATCTGAAGGGTAAATGGAAATTGAGAGAATAGAAAAAGTGAGGAGTGTTCTGGGCAGAAGGAATAGCACTGGCGAAGGTCCCCTGGCTTGAGGGAAGTTGGCAAATAGGAGCTTACAGAAAACCTGCGGGGCTGGATCGCAGAGAGTGCAGGACAATGTGGTATGAGGGAGAATGCTGGCAAGACAGGCAGGGATCAGACCGTGCAGGGGCTTGCGGGCTGGGTGAAGGACTTTTTTTCAGTCTTAAATAATTGTTGATAAAAACACCAAATAGGAAACAACTTAATGTCTGTCAGTTTGTTAAGTTATGGTACATTCATAAAAGAGAAAACTACATAGCTATTAAGCATGATTCTTGATTTTTTTTTTATAAATGGCAGGAGTTTCTGATATATTGCACAGAATCAACAAGATATAAAGCAGAATGATGATCCTGGTTTTTTGGTCAAACTATCCATATGAGCCTGTCTGACTAGCTAGTCATAGAAACAATATGGAAGCAAGTGTGCCAAAATATAAGAAGCACTTGCCTCAACTAGGTGAGATCATGACTTATTATTGTCCTTTTAAAAATTGAATACCTAAAATTGTATATTAATGACCATGTATTATTTTTATAATAATAAAAAATTAATAAAACAAAATTTCTTTTAAAAAAGATGTTCTGCAGGTAGTATGGAGGCAATAAAAAAAGAATTAGCTCATGATCAATGTTTCCCTTTTTAATGAGGTGTAATTATATTTTATTTTTATAATCCAACAGGAATGCAGAAAGAAATGGAACAGGATGTGAAGAGATTTGGCCAGGCTGCCTGGGCCACAGCAATTCCCAGGTTGGAAAAACTTCAGCTAATGCTAGCTCAAGAGACTCTGCAACTCATGAGAGCGAAAGAGTTATGTTTAAATCACAAAAGAGCTGAAATTCAGGGAAAGGTAAGACAAAGATAAACATAACTTTGTTTTAAAAATACACTTGTATTTATTTTTTATTTTATTTTATTTTTTTTGAGACAGAGTCTCGCTCTTTTGCCTAGGCCGGACTGCAGTGGCACGATCTCGGCTCATTGCAAGCTCTGCCTCCTGGGTTCATGCCATTCTCCTGCCTCAGCCTCCTGAGTAGCTGGGGCTACAGGTGCCCGCCACCGCGCCCAGCTAATTTTTTGTATTTTTAGTAGAGACGGGGTTTCACCGTGTTAGCCAGGATGGTCTCGATCTCCTGACCTCGTGATCCGCCCACCTTGGCCTCCGAAAGTGCTGGGATTACAGGCGTGAGCCACCGTGCCCCGCCCCACTTTTATTTTTTAAAAATTTTGTATAAATAAAGGATACAAGTGCAGTTTTGTTCCATGGATATATTGTGTAGTGGTGAAGTTTGGGCTTTTAGCGTAATCATCACCTACATAATGTAATTGTACCCATTAAATATTTCTCATCCCCCCTCCCACCCTCTTACTCTTCTGAGTCTCCAGTGTCTGTTATTCCACACTGTCTGTGTATACACTACTTAGCTCCCACTTATAAGTGAGACCATGTGGTAAAGCACACTTGTATTTTTAGATAGCACTTTTCTTTCCAGGCATTGTTAAAGAGCTTCTTTTCTTCACTTATTCCAACACCATCTCCTATGGAAGGTTAGACATAAAGTTTTCCTTTGGTTAAGATGTTTCAAAATACCACACTGTAGGATTCACTTTATAGTAACACCAAGCCCAGTATTGAAGTGGGTACTGTACTTGAAAATCAATCCAGCAATGTTTTCAGTACAGCTTTAAAATAATCAAAGAGATACTTCCCTGAAGGATCTTAGACACTTAAGTTTTTTCCTATAATCTTATGACTTTAAAGCAGAAAACACTGTAAACACCTGTCTTAGTTGGCTAAGGCTGCTGTAACAATATTAAATGTCACAGATTGGGTGGCTTCAACAATGGACATGTATTTCTCACAGTTCTGGAGGCTGGGAAGTCCAAGATCAAGGTGCCTGCAGATTCACTGTCTGGTGCGGATCCTCTTCCTGTCTAGTAGACAGCTGCCTTCTTAACTGAGTGCTCACATAGCCTTTCTTCTGTGTGTATGTTTGGAGAGAAAGAAAGTGATCCCTGTCTTTCTCTTCTAATAAGGGCACTAATCCCATGATGGGGGTGCTATCCTTTTGACATAATCTGAACCTAATTACTTCCAAAGGACCCACCTCCAAATAACATCACATTGGGAGTTACAGTGTCAACATATGAATTTTGGGGGGACACCGATATGCAATACATAATAATACCTCATTGCCATTTATGTTTCTCAAAACCTAAATGTTTTTCTCTGTTTCAAGGATGGGATAAAGTATTAGCATCACTAGATGAAATGAAAAAGTGTTTCTTTCCTATTTGCTCTTTTATATTTAGTACGGAACAAGGAATAGAAAATAGCTAGAATGCTTCTAAAGTTTGTTTTTAATATACTATTTGTTTTAACTTATTTTTCTTTTTTCTATGAAAATAAGATGGAAGATCTTCCAGAACAAGAAAAAAATATAAATGTTGTAGATGAATTAGCAATACAATTTTATGAAATTCAGTTAGAACTATATGAAGTTAAATTTGAGATATTAAAAAACAAAGAAATACTGCTTACTACACAGTTGGACTCTCTTGAAAGACTTATAAAAGGTAAAGTTTTTATTTAAGTATATAGATTACAATGTTTATAAATTTAAGGAAATACAGACCATATTATCAATTACTTTTTGTAAACTGTAACATCTGAAAATTTCCTAAAGTTTTCCTTCAGTGGTTTATTATTCAAATAATATATTCATTGTTAGCACATAGCAAAACAAAGAAAGAAAAATGATTATTACCCCAATCCCATCATCTAGAGATGCTCAATGGTTGGCTGGGCACAGTGGCTCAGGCCTATAATCCCAGCACTTTGGGAGGCTGAGGCGGGCAGATCACTTGAGGTCAGGAGTTCCAGACCAGTCTGACCAACATGGTGAAACCCCGTCTCTACTAAAAATACAAAAATACTAAACCCTGTTTCTACTAAAAATACAAAGTCCAATGTGGTGGCACGTGCCTGTAATCCCAGCTACTTGGGAGGCTGAGGCAGGAGAATGGCTTGAACCCATGAGGTGGAAGTTTCAGTGAGCCAAGATCGTGCCACTGCACTCCAGCCTAGAAGACAGAGCGAGACTCCATCTAAAAAAGAAAAAAAAAAAGACAGATACTTAGTGGTAACAATTTGCTGTATAACTTTGTAGATTTCAAAATATGCTGATATGTAAAAATATAAATTTTTAACCAAAACTACATAACCAGTTCAGTAACATCTTTTTTAAAATTTTTTAATGTTTAGGGGTGCATAGCAGATATATATATTTATGGGTTACATGAGATATTTTGACACAGGCATACAATGCATAATAGTCTCTTTTTCATTTAATACATAATAATTGTCTTTCTGTTTCAGAAATAATAAAAGTATCAAAATTTTAATGGCTGCATAGTATTCCATTATATGGATATACCGTGATTTCCAAATTTCCGCTGTTTTGAACAGTAGTGTAGTGAACTTTCCTTTACACATGTCTTTGAGTATAGGACAGATTATCTCCTTGGAATAAATATCTAAGGATGGAATTATTGGGTCAAGGGCAATGTATATTTTACATTTTGCTATGTAACAATACAGCAGTCATCTGAGATACATTTTTCCTCACCTCTGTATTATTTTCTGATTTCTAAATTTCATACTATGTAGTGGCCCTCTAGATAGGTCGTACATTTAAAATGACGCTCCCAGGCTGGGCGTGGTGGCTCACGCCTGTAATCTCAGCACTTTGGGAGGCTGAGTGGGGGCAGATCACTTGAGGTCAGGAGTTCAAGACCAGCTTGGCCAACGTGGTGAAACCCTGTCTCTACTAAAAATACAAAAATTAGCCGGGCGTGGTGGTGGGTGCCTGCAATCCCAGCTACCTGGGAGACTGAGGCGGGAGAATCGCTTGAACCTGGGAGGTTGAGATTGCAGTGAGCTGAGATGGCACCACTGCACTCCAGCCTGGGCGACAGAGTAAGACTCTGTCTCAAAAAAAAAAGAAAAGAAAAAAGACGCTCCCATCAGCAGAATATGAGTGTGTATGTTTCCCAGACTCATGCCATTCTTTTGCATTTTTGCTTACTTGACAGAGAAAATGGCAGTCTTCCAATTTTCATTTATTTAATTATGAGTGATTATTGAACAAAATTTTGTATGTTTACAAGCCATTTGTACTTATTTTATGAAATGCCTATTCATAGTCTTTGTCCATTTTTCTTTGGAATATTTCCTTTCAACATTAAGAATAATGTCCTCTATTGTCTGTCATATGTTGCAAATAATCTCTCCTTGTCATTTGCGTTTTCTTGCCTTTCAGAAATATTTAAGTTTTATGAAGTCGTGTTTATCGATTTTTTTCCCCTATGGCTTCTGCTTTTAGTATTATGTCTGGCAATAGTCTCCTATCCCAAAATTATGTCAATATATACTTATGTTTTCTTTCAGTATGTTTATGATGTTATTTTTGAAAACATTTAATTCTTTAGTCCAGGTGGAATTTATTTTGATTGTGGTAGGAATTGAACCTTTCCCTCAAATTGTTAAACAGTCCCAATCACTGATTTTAAAAACATTTTCCCTAAATGTTTAACATTTCTCCAGTTAAACATTAGATTGACTTTGGTCTGTTTCTGAGTTGTTCTCCTCCATTGGTTCGTGAGTGGCTTCTGCTACTGGCTCCATACTGTTCCCACAACTGTCTTGGAGGCACATTTTAGGGTCTGGTAAGGCAAGTACCCCCCACATTACTTCACAAGTTTTCTGACTATTTTCACTCCTTTATTCTTTCAGATGAAATTTAGAATCAAGTTCAAAACAAAAAACTCTTTGGAATTTTGATTGTGATTTTGCTTAAAATTAGAGATTACTTTGGGGAGAATAGTGGTCTTTGCAATTTTGAATCTTCCTACCCAAGAACATGGTATGTCTCTCTCCATTTATTTAAATCTTTTTTCCTAAAGTTCCTCCAAGTTTAATAAATTTCTTCACATAGATCCTGAACTTTTAGTTTAATCCTGAGTATTCAGAATTTTTTTCAGTAGTTTCAGGTTATAAGCATTTTACATATTTAGGAAAAAAATTACATTAAAAAAGAAGTTAATCTGGAAGGATGCATGCCAAATTGTTCATAATGTTTTTCCTCTGAGAATGACTCAGAAGGTTTGGGGAAGGAGCAATAGAATTTCACTGTTTATTTGATGTACTTCGGGTGGGTTTGAATTTGTTACAGTAAGCATGACTTTTAAAAAATCAATATGTAATCAAGATTAAATATCACTAAGGCATCTTAATAATATATTGCTGGTAGAATATAAGTTGCCTTTCTGGAGGGCAGTGTGGCAATGGGTATCAAGATCCTTAAACACTTATCTGCTAAGGAAGTGATAAAAAGCATACACAAAGATTTATACAGAGATGTTCATCACAGTGAAATGAATAATAATGGAACATTGGAACAGCCTAACAACATGGATTGCTTAAATTAGAGAATACTATGCTGCCATTAAAATTTATCTTTTTTAATTTTTTTTTTGTTTTTGGAGATGGAGTCTTGCTCTGTTGCCCAGGCTGGAGTGCAGTGGCACGATCTCGGCTCACTGCAACTTCTGCCTCCCAGGTTCATGCTGTTCTCCTGCCTCAGCCTCCTGAGTAGCTGGGATTACAGGCACACGCCACTGTGCCCAACTAGTTTTGTATTTTTAGTAGAGATGGGGTTTTGCCATGTTGGCCAGGCTGGTCTTGA
Source organism: Homo sapiens (assembly GCF_000001405.40). Lineage (NCBI taxonomy): Eukaryota > Metazoa > Chordata > Mammalia > Primates > Hominidae > Homo > Homo sapiens. The sequence goes on from NW_021160017.1 coordinate 3,572,078, forward strand.
ACTCCTGACCTCAGGTGTGCAGCCTGCCTTGGCCTCCCAAAGTGCTGGGATTACAGGCGTGAGCCACCGCACCTGGCCTAAAAATTTATTTCCATCCCATGGAAAGTGTTCTTTTAGAACTCCATTGATACGTGTAGCTATGTAAGTAGTATGTGTGTGTGTGTGCATGTGTATATATACATATGTCTATACAGGTATATATACATGCATATACTACTTACATGTATATACACACATGCTACTTACATACATGTGTATAGTCATGTATATATACACATGTGTATATGTATATTACATTTATACACAGATTTTTTATATGTTAATAGTGATTCTCAGTGGTGGGATTACAAGTGATCTTTATTTTCCTTACATTTAAAAAAATTCAATGTATTTTTACAAATAATAAAATATGTTTTAAACAATCATTAATACCTTTTTAGAAAAACAGGATGAAGTTGTCTATTACGATCCATGTGAAAGTCCAGAGGAACTTAGTCATTGACTGTGGTGGGGCTGCAGGACGATAAGAATTCGGAAGTGAAAGAACTCAGAAGGCAGTGCCAGCAGCTGGAGTCTATTAAACGGGGCAGGATCTGTGTCAAAAGAGCTTCTCTCCAGAGTAGAAAGGTGGGTACGCTCAGAGCGGCTTTCTTTTCTTTTCTCTTCCAGAGATTTATTCTTGTATGAAGGATAAAGAGGTATTGAAATAAGGTTTTTACCAACACAGTGATTAATTTTTTGTGTGCTTATGAACTTATCCATGGCTATAGTTAAAATGATTTTTAATATTTTTCTTAAAAATATTATTTTTTTCTTTTGGGTTTTAAGCATTTAGCAAATCTCAAGGTTTTAATTTATTCATTCAACAACTATTTGTTGAGTTCCCACTGCATACACAGGCACTTTATTTTTATTTTTTTTGAGACAGAGTCTTGCTCTGTCACCCAGGCTGGAGTGCGGAGGCATGATCTTGGCTCACTACAACTTCTGCCTCCTAGGTTCAAGCAATTCTCGTGCCTTAGCCTGCCAAGTAGCTGGGTTTACAGGCACGTGCCACCACGCCCAGCTAATTTTTGTATATTTTGTAGAGACGGGGTTTCGCCATGTCGGCTAGGCTCGTCTTGAACTCCTGACCTCAAGTGATCCGCCCACCTTGGCCTCCCAAAGTCCTGGGATTACAGGTGTGAGCCACCACCCCCGGACCACAGGTACTTTAAAAACCACAATAGGTAGAAACTCTATTTCTAATAACCAGCTATAATAATTCTAAATATATTTTAGTACACAAAACAATTACAGATAACAATATTCAGCTCACCTCAGACCTTGTATTTGGTGATTTTTTTCTTAATTTTTAAAAATCCATGAATACATAAAAAGATAACACTAAGAAATTTAATTTTTTCTGACAGAAAAGGAAGCTTCTATATATCATTTTTATACAGACTTTTATGTGTATTTACTCATATTTACTATACTTTTCTCCCTTTTTTTTTTTGATGCGCAGTCTTGCTCTGTCTCCCAGGCTGGAGTGCAGTGGCGTGATCTCGGTTCACTGCAACCTCCACCTCCCAGGTTCAAGTGAATCTGCTGCCTCAGCCTCCTGCGTAGCTGGGATTACAGGTGCCTGCCACCAAGCCTGGCTAATTTTTGTATTTTTAGTAGAGATGGGGTTTCACCATGTTGGTCAGACTAGCCTTGAATTCCTGACCTCGAGCAATCCACCTGCCTCAGCCTCCCAAAGTGCTGGGATTACAGGCGTGAGCCACTGTGCCGAGCCTACTATACTTTTCTTGTTAGAATTAAGAAAACATGAAAATTGTGACTTTCGTAGCTTACAAAAATGTTAATTACTCTTCCATGTAAATACAAATACTTAAAAAAAACTTGGCTAGGTGCTGTGGCTTATGCCTGTAATCCCAGCACTTTGGGAGGTTGAGGTGGGAGAATCACTTAAGGCCAGAAGTTCGAGACCAGGGACAACACAGGGAGACCTCATGTCTGTGGTGCGCATGTATAGTCCCAGCTACTCAAGAGGCTGAGGCAGGAGGATTGCTTGAGGCCAGGAGGTTGAGGCCTCAGTGAGCTGTGATTGTACCACTGCACTCCAGCTAGGGTGATAGAACAAAACCCTGTCTCTAATAAAAATTAAAAATAAAAAAATTTGTTAGAAGAGTATATTCTTTGCATGTTCATGTTTAAGAATTGTACTTCTGGATTTAGGAACTGTTATTCAGAGGATTTGAAGATCTACAGGCATTTGCCCTTTGCTCCACATTTCAGAAAACCCATGAGCCCCAAGAGGAGTCTCCTTTGGCACTCCCATGGTGCTGTGGATGAACAGATGCCTCCACCTCCTTGGCAGTGTTATATGTATATGTATATAAAATGCTCCTGTGCCTTCTCTTATCCAGACTTGGAGCATTAACCTTCACTCTCAAGATATAATCACTCCCCCTACCCCATTTAGAGGAGCTCTTTCCACTGATTCTGGAAATGTTGGAATTTGGAAGGCACTCGGTTAATAGAATGGTAGTTGAGGTGAGCTCTCAACTTGGGTTCAGATCGCAGTCTGGCCACTTAGGTAGTAGTCATGTGACATTAGGCAAATTACTTAAATCTCTTTTGGGCTCACAGTTTTCTCCTCTGTTAAAAGAGGATGATAGATCAGGCACGGCACCCGTAATCCCAGCTACTTGGGAGGCTGAGGCAGGAGAATCGCTTGAACCCAGGAGGCGGAAGTTGCAGTGAGCCGAGATCATGCCATTACACTCCTCCAGCCTGGGCAACAAGAGCAAAACTCAGTCTCAAAAAAAAAAGATAGTGGTAATAATACAAATTTCATGTGACGATAGAGTAGCATAAGGCATGAAAAGTACTTATCATTGAAGCTAAAACCTACTCAATAAATGTTAGTATTATCTGTGAGTATTACTGTATTATTTTTTACATAGATTAAGGATTTTATGTACATATAGCATATTATATATTGGTATAGTGAGTGGTTAAGCACAGGTGAAACACAGTTATAACAATTTTTCAGTTGCTCTGCGTTTGTAGGTATGCTTGGAAATGTAATTAGTATTTATAATGTTATGGGGAAATGTGTTTAAAACAATCACATTAAAACATTGTTGGGACACATCCCATTTAAGAATGGGGGCTGCCTGTGTGTCCTCTCATGGTTGGCGGATTGTTTTCACCTCTTAAAGCACTCTGCTGGGAATAAATTATTTCCATAAGCAGCCAGGCAACTCTCATCATAGACTGTGGAGGAGAGTACCATTGGGCCGCACCAGAACTAATATTAATGAATGCCTTACACTACGCCCAAATGCAGTGCTTTCTTCTTTTAACCTTTTATGCTATACCAGGGTAACACTAAAAACCATGTAGGTGATTTGTATTATTCCACCAGGATCAGTGCGAAGAAAATCATTGGCTCAGATTGCAACAGGCTGAAGAAAGCATAAGATATTCTCGTCAGCATCACAGTATTCAGATGGTGAGTGTCCTCCGAAGGAAAATGTTCTATGTTTGTGTAGCGTGACATGCAGGCCTAGACTTGTGGAAACTGGAGTTGCGCTGCCCTGGACCTGCAGCTGTCAGCCAATTCACCTCCAGGCCTGCAGTCTGGTTGCAGTCTTGGGGTGGTAATGTTGGGGTACAGCCTCTTTCTTTGTCAAGACATTTTTATTGTATGCCACGACATTTTTGTAATGTTGAGCAATTTACAAATATACATCTGCTTAAATATAGAAAAGAGACAAGATAAAAAGGAGCAAAAGAAAAAAGAATGGATCAACCAAGAACGTCAAACACTCCAACAGTTGAGAACATTTAAAGATGTAAGTTTTATAAACAATCACCTCATCTACACTTCTGGGGAAATAAATGAAGACCGCTCTAAAGAGGAAAGTATTAAGAACAGGTCATTCAGAACATGTAACATTTAAAAAATAACATTATTTCTGGTATATCAATAAAAAGCAACAACAAAAATAGAATATCAGTGATTCAAAACCCATGATATAAAATAACTGCTGTTTTTGACATCACAACACGCTTGGGTTCCTGCTCTGCACTCTTCACTGAGTAGTCCTTACTGGCACTGGTGGTTTAGATTGGCAGGGAAAACTGAAAACTGTTCAACTCCCTTGACTTTAGCTGGCATTTCCTCTCATTTGTAATAAACAATTCTTTAAAATGTTATCCAGGCAGCATTGTGATATAAGTGTAGTGAAAGTGCCCAGTTAAAAGTAAAATGTGTTGTTTTTTTTTTTGATATCTACAACTTTCTTTTTTCTTTTAAAGTATATACTTAAGAGGATGATGTTATTTTTTTATGCCCTCTGTTCCAGGCCTACATTTGTATTTCCTCCACAAAATGATCCTCAGTCTGTAATTTTTGTTCTATTTGACTTTATTATTAGAGATAAATTCCTTTAATTAAAAAAAAGCTACTATGAAGGTTGAAAAAATAATTTTTTGGTTTTTTTTAATTGACACATAATTGTACATATTTATGAGGTATAGTGTGATATTTTGAGGTGTATAATATGGAATGATCAAATCAGGGTAATTAGCGTATCTATCACCTCAAACATTTATCTAAAGGTAAATAGGTTTTTTAAAATAATGTAAATAGGGAGTCCGGCACAGTGGCTCATGCCTATAATCCCAGCACTTTGGGAGGCTGAGGCGGGTGGATTGCTTGAGACCATGAATTTGAGACCAGGCTGGGCAACATGGTGAAACCCCAGCTCTCCTAAAAATACAAAAATTAGCTGGACATGGTGGTGCATGCCTGTAGTCCCAGCTACTTGGGAGGAAAAATACCAATTGTGCACATATTTTTGTAAAATTATACATAAACGCTTTATTTTTTATGTCATTCTAAATAATTTTTTGTATGTTTCTATTTCCAAACGTTGTTTGGTAATATATAGAAATATGATTGATTTTGTTTATTGAGTTTGCATATAACCACATTACTAAACTCGCATATTGAGAATTTTAATAGGTTATTTTGAATACTTTTACATAGACTGTTGTCTGAAAATAGAAACAGGTTTATTTCTTCCTTTCTGATGTGGATGTCACTGATTTTTTTCCCTACATTACTGATCTGGCTAGGACTATCAGTATAAAGTTGAATATAAGTGGTAAAAGAGCTGACTTCTTGCCTTGGACCCAGTTTTTAAATCAGTTGGAGAGTCACCATTAAGTGTAATTTAGTGGTAGTTTTGTTTGTTTTTTTTTTTGTTTGTTTTGTAGATGCCCTCTATCAGGATAAGTTCCCTTTTCTCATTTTGTTGAGAGTTTTTATAAAGAATAGCTATTGAATTTTGTCAAATGCTTTTTTTTTTTTTTTTTTTTTTTTTTTTTTTTGAGACGGAGTCTCGTTCTGTCGCCCAGGCGGGAGTGCTGTGGCGCGATCTCCGCTCACTGCAAGCTCCGCCTTCCGGGTTCACGCCATTCTCCTGCCTCAGCCTCCCGAGTAGCTGGGACTACAGGCGCCCGCCACTGCGCCCGGCTAATTTTTTGTATTTTTAGTAGAGATGGGGTTTCACCGTGGTCTCGATCTCCTGACCTCGTGATCCGCCCGCCTCGGCCTCCCAAAGTGCTGGGATTACAGGCGTGAGCCACCGCGCCCGGCCGAATTTTGTCAAATGCTTTTGCTGCATCTGCTGAAATGACACGTTTATTCTTCATCTACCTAATAATGTTGCAATTTATATCTGTTGAGCTTTGAATGTTGAACCAGCCTTGCATTCATGGTATAAATCACTTGTTTGTAAAGTATTGTTTTTAAATATTGCCAGATTTGATATCTTAGTATTGTATTTTTATATTTGTCTTCATGTGTTTTTGTTTTCTCATAAGTGTCTGTACCCCCCTTTTTTTTTCTTTAAAGAGAAATAATGAGAGAGATTGTCTGTCTTGAAGTTCTCAGTGCCTGTGCATTGCTGCCACTACACAGCTAGTATCATGACAGCAGCTTCAGAACCAGAGCTGGCTTCCAGGCAAGGCTGGGTGGGGAAGAAAGAGAAAAACAAAAGAATTATTTCTCTATGCCGAGACCAGCTCGGTCAGGGAGACCCTAACCTAGCGGTGCTAGAGGAATTAAAGACATAGACACAGAAATATAGAGGTGTGAAGTGGGAAATCAGGGGTCTCACAGCCTTCAGAGCTCAGCCACGAACAGAGATTTACCCACGTATTTATTAACAGCAAGCCAGTCATTAGCATTGTTTCTATAGATATTAAATTAACTAAACGTATCCCTTATGGGAAACGAAGGGAGGGGCCGAATTAAAGGAATAGGTTGGGCTAGTTAACTGCAGCAGGAGCATGTCCTTAAGGCACAGATCGCTCATGCTATTGTTTGTGGCTTAAGAATGCCTTTAAGCGGTTTTCCACCCCGGGCAGGCCAGGTGTTCCTTGCCCTCATTCCAGTAAACCCACAACCTTCCAGCATGGGTGTTAGGGCCATTATGAACATGTTACAGTGCTGCAGAGATTTTATTTATGGCCAGTTTATGGCCAGATTTTGGGGGGCCTGCTCCCAACACTCTACATATGCTCCATCTTGCAGAGGCTTCATTCTTGGTTCTCTAGCTAAAAACAGTAGAAATTTTGCACACCTGGGTTAGAAAAAAAAAATAGCCATTAAACCCACCCCTGTTACAGGTCACTATTGGTATTTTGATTTTGCCTTCAATCCATCTGTTATTGTTTACTTTTAAGAGTCCTTGATAGTTGCTTTTTATGTCCAGAGTTTTAATTTCAGTCAGAAAGAGAAATAGGCCTTGGTGAGCATGCTTTGTCTTGGCTGGTGCCAGAAGTCTGTACTCAAATATTTTTAAAATAATTTTTAGTTGAATAACAAGTTAGACCTGTGTTTAGCTTTCTCATTGTTTTCCTAAAAATAGAAGAAAAGGTTTTAAATACTTTAACCACGAAATACTTTAAAGCAGGTTTAAAATAAACTCCTTCATTTTGCCTGTTCTATTACTCTGTTCTCACACTGCTAATAAAGACATACCCAAGACTGGTAATTTATAAAGTAAAGAGGTTTAATTGACTCACAGTTCCACATGGCTGGGGAGGCCTCCCAATCATGGCAGAAGGTGAATGAGGAGCAAAGTCACATCTTTGTGGCAGGCAAGAGAGAGAGCATGTGTGCAGGGGAATTCCCCTTTATAAAACCGTCCAATCTCATGAGACTTATGCACTCTCATGGGAGCAGCATGAGAAAGACTCACCTCCGTGATTCAGTTACCTCCCACTGTGTCCCTGCCACAACATGTGGGAATTGTGGGAGCTAAAAATCAAGATGAGATTTGGGTAGGAACACAGTCAAACCATATCTCCTGTATACATTCACACTAGCATTTTAGTTTTAGAACTAGTTCTATGTTACTATCTGAATTAATTTTTCCACAATTTTGTAAGGAAAAATAATGCGTTCTTTGAATTTCATGTGTAAATGATATTTTTAGTTTTGTGTCATTTTGTCCAATAAATTCTGAAAATCTTTGTATTGACAGTGTGTTATCTCTGCATAACCATATATGTATAAGAGCGCTCAATAAAAAGAATAAAGAGGAAAAAGCACTGGATCTATACCTATACAAAACAAGCTACCAGCAGAGCCCACTGGGAGTGGTCATGATATAATCAGGAATGTTATATTCACATGTTGTAGATCTGCATATGAGAGGAGGGTTTGCAGATAGCAGATTCTAGAAAAGTTGTCTAATCAGACAGTAAATGAAGGTGTTGAAGCACTGAACAAAAATAAGTTGCTTTAATTACTCATAAGAGGGAAGTACAAGTCATTATTCCATCTGCCAATTTACAGACTGTAAGATACCCTTTAAAAGTAGCAGTAAGTAAACTCTTCATAAAAGTTAGACTGTATGACAAATCCACTGCCTTTCTTCTTTTGCAGCAGGGCCTTTCTTTTTAATTACTATTTTTTGTTTTTGGAGATGAAGTCTCTGTCACCCAGGCTGGAGTTCAGTGGCCTGATTGATCACTGCAGCCTCGACCTCCAGCTCACATAATCCTCCTGCTTCAGCCTCCTGAGTAGCTGGGACTACGGGTGTGTGCCACCATGCCTGGCTTTTTTAAAAAAAAATTTTGTGGAGTTGGTGTCTCGCTATGTTGCCCAAGCTGATGTCAAACTTCTGGATTCAAGCACTTCTGCCCAAAGTGCTAGGATTATAGGTGTGAGCCACTGTGCCCAAGCTAGTGACTATTTTTGAAAAAAAAAGCACATTACCCTCCCTTGTTAATCACTTATGTACAAAAATGCATGTTTTGCTGTTGATCTGTTTTAACTCTTTCTACATAAATAACACATTTGTACATGTATATGTGCAGATATATTTATAATGTTAAAATTGTGTTTAAGTGATGTTTACTAAACAGGATAAAATTTTGTTTGGAAAATTGCGATGTGAAATTTTATCTAGTTAATCTATAGTCCTTTCCCTTATGGTGTCCAGCTCTATGCAGGCTCTGCCTCACTCCAGATTATGTAAATATCAATTCATATTCAAATGAATTTGAAATTTAGCTTTCAACATTTGCCTTTTTAATTCATCTTGAAATCATTGTGGTAATATTATTTCCTGTCCACTAGCATACTTTTTAATCCCAACAGTAAAGTTTCTGAAAAGACCACTAGTTCTTCTATTGAGCAGTTACTGATACCTTGCCATTGAAGGGGAGGATAGATGCCCACAGCCCCTCTCCTTCAACCACATATGTCCAAGTAAAACTAGTATTTCTTCTTTTTAAAAAGATAGACATAATTATTTTCCGTATTATTGAATACATTTCTGTTGTAACCTCAGTTCTACTCTTCAGAATCCTTTGTTCGATTTTCTTGTAGTTGATTTGATGATCCCACTCACACTTTCCTACCAGTTGTTCCAGAGACGATGGGCTTAGTCACACAGTGGGGAGACACGTTTGTGGGGGTTGGGTGGAAGTTCTGGTTCAGGTCTGCATCTGTTCACCATCATTTATGATGATGCTGTAACTCACATCTGCTCTTTGATGAGAAGTCACACAAGTAATTGCTAAATTAACCCGTCAAATCTAACTATCATTCAGCTATGTCTCACTGAGCCTTTTCTGGACAAATCGTGTTGTTCTCAAGAATGTTTATGTGACTTTATCCTTTGTGCAAAGGCTATAGGCAACGGAAGCGATAGGGGAAGTATGTGGAAGGTTGACCCACATAGCTGTTGCCATATGCAACTTTTCAATCTTCTTGAATTCTGCTTCTCTTCCCAGTTCTTATCATCCATAGTGATTTTTGGAAAAACTGCCACTACATTGGCATTGTGAGTACTCAGAGTGGTGTGTCTCTTCTCCTTAGCTAGACTGTCAGGACAATTCTATTCGCTTTCAGACTTCCAAATGTCATCACATCTTATTCGTGCCTGACCTCCTTTTCTCTCATTCGCAAGATATTCATGGCTCCTTTTAAATAGGATAGTGGCCAAATGGAAAGTGTGTTATTTTCTGAAAAAATTGCTGAAAGGTCAGGAAAGTGGCAAATGTATTTGCTTATAAAATTTTTAAGGAAAAAATTAAGGTTGAAATGAAAGTAAGGATATTTTCATCCAATTACCTCATTCAATTATCATAATCAAGGTCAGAGAAGAAAGAAACTTCAGTTCAGCCTTTGCTAGAAGTAACTTGCAACAAATCACACATCTACGGACTCTGACATTCGCCCAGTGATAGCAGCAATGTTCCACATGTCACATGCTATACTGAAATATAGCAATTAAAATAGTTTTCAATGCAGATCAAGCAGTAATTACTTTTGCCCAGAAATCTTAAAAAATAAATTGTATGTGGAGAACAGGAAGCTTAGGAAATGAGGGTGCCTTTTATCTTTGCAGTGACAATTTACCTTGCGCTCGCAGTGACATTTTCTAGATTTTAAAAATCAACGTTTTTTATTTTTATTTATTTATTTATTTATTTAAATCTGCTGGCCCTTTTGCTTTTAGCAGCCACAGACTTCTTGGCCTCTCAAATGCCCGGATGCCTGAAACTTCTGAAGAGATACCGCCTTCAACTTCTTCTCAGTCACAGCACGGTGTGAACACATAGCTCCAATGATGCCTCTGCTTGCTTCAGCCTGCTGGTGCTTAATTAGGTGCTTATCCTAACACATTAGAACATACTTTCTGTAGATGGTTTAATTCCAACCATCATATATGCTTTTTCTCAGATTTTCTCCAGCTTCTCAAAACTTCCCTGTAAATGAGGCCTTGTAGGCAGCTTTCTTGCTATGACCTCACCTTCCGTTCAGCACAGAAACAGCATCCATTGCTGTTATGCAATGGATAAAATTGTATAACAAAGGTTATGGTTTCATATCTTTAATGTTACTGGCAGACTTTACTCCTGGCCTTCTCCTAATCAATAGGCCAGTCTTCCCCTCCCCAATCCCCCATTTTTAGCCATCTAATCTTATTCCTTACATTCGTTCTTATAAAGGCAAAAACCTGGCCGGGCACGGTGGCTAATTCCTGTAAGCCCAGCGCTTTGGGAGGCCAAGGAGGGTGGATCATGAGGTCAGGAGATCGAGACCATCCTGGCTAACACAGTGAAACCCCGCCTCTACTAAAAATATAAAAAAATTAGCGTGGCAGCGGGCACCTGTAGTCCCAGCTACTCGGGAGGCTGAGGCAGGAGAATGGCGTGAACCCGGGAGGCAGAGCTTGCAGTGATCCAAGATCGCGCCACTGCACTCCATCCTGGGTGACAGAGCGAGACTCAATCTCAAAAAAAAACGCAAAAATCTTTTTTAGCCTTCTCTTCAGAATGGTTAAAATATATTGGCAACAAAAAAAATTTTTACAAATGATTTAAAACACAAATTATTTGCTTATTATTTTTCACAGTAATAACAAAGAATATAGACACTATATATGTTCCAATCACATTGATCATGCAGAAAATAAATATTCTTTGGTACTGGTTTTCCTTTGATCACAAACAGATATGAGGGCAAAATGTCTTATCACTTATTTACAAATAACTGATGGCAGAAATGGATAATTGTCATGATAGAAGTTATTGACACTGGCTGGGTGGGGTGGCTCATGCTTGTAATCCTAGCACTTTGGGAGACCGAGAAAGGTGGGATCACCTGAGGTCAGGAGTTTGAGACCAGCCTGGTCAACATGTAGAAACCCTGTCTCTACATAAAAAAAAATAAAAAATAAATAAACACTCTTTGGTTTTGGTGGTGGGCACCTGTAATTCCAGTTACTTTGGGAGGCTGAGGCAGGAAAGAAGTTATTGATACAAATATTTGCAAAAATAAAAAGTTATTTGATACCCACAAACAATTCCAAAGTATGTCCATGTGCTAATTTGTAAATAGGAAGGAAGTTCTTATTTTGAAACTTGCAGCCTGGAAAATATTTATAAGGTTGTTATGACATTGATAACTGGAGTACTTCCTATATCAACTTACTGGAATTTTGGAGACTGACTTTAAAATATAATAAAAAGGGAAAGACAGGGAATTGAACTTCCTTCTCATGTTTTTTACAAATTTTACAGGGAGCCAGAGTCTCATTTATGTAATCACAGATTTATTTTACAAGTTTGGACTTGCAAAAATACGCCAAAATTTGAATGTCTTACCCATTTTTTTGGGAAGCAGCTAAAATATGTAATGCACTGACCTTTTAATGTTCACTTTGATTGGTTAATGGTTACACCTTTACAGCTCAGTCAGATTGTAAACAAGGGGACAAAACTGAATATATAAGGTCAGAGAAGTATACTGACAACATTTATGAACCCCTATACATTTCCTATGAATAAAAAATGATTAAAATTCATACGTTTGCTTTTTAAATATATACATAAGAAACATCAAAAATTAATTCAAAGCATATATTAGCAAATATATTCTTAATTTTGTCTTGAATAACCTTCTTTAGGTGTGCCTTTTTCTACAAAGTTATGTCTTCATTAAACATTTTTCAAATTATTAGTATTATTATTTTTAACTGATGCTTCATATTTTATTTCCCCTCTGCTCTCCCATCCCACCCTTGGTGATGGTTGTGCCCATCTGAGCATTTCGGGGCACATGACCGTAAGTAAATCTTGAGAGAGGAGCGGAATTATTGTCTAAACAGTAACAGAAGGGGATTACCTGTAAGGATAGCATAACTGTTGTGAGAGTGCATAGAAAAAAGACTTAGAATTATGGAACATCTGTCCCCCCAACCACCCTTTCCCACCCATCCCCCAAACCCCCACTCCAACCCTATTCCCCGCCCAATTAATAGTGTTAACAAAAGGTTAATCTAACTTTTTTTTTTTTTTTTGACGGAGTCTTGCTCAGTCGCCCAGGCTGGAGTGCAGTGGCGCGATCTCAGCTCACTGCAAGCTCCACCTCCCGGGTTCACGCCATTCTCCTGCCTCAGCCTCCCAAGTAGCTGAGACTGCAGGCGCCCGCCACGACGCCCAACTAATTTTTTGTATTTTTTAGTACAGACGGGGTTTCACCGTGTTAGCCAGGATGGTCTCCATCTCCTGACCTTGTGATCCGCCCGCCTCGGCCTCCCAAAGTGCTGGGATTACAGGCGTGAGCCACCGCGCCCGGCTTCCAGAATATAAAAAATGAGTTCCATGACGACAGGGCTGAGCTGGCAGGCCCCTCCATGGATCACCGGCACCAAGGCGCTGTCCAAATCATTCATGGACTGCGAAGGAAGGGGCTGGCCGCTGCTCCCTGCTTGATAGCCAGCCTGATCTGAGTCAAGTGTTACACGTAGTCCCAGTTTGGTCATTCCATCCTCCTTCAGAAGCTTCAGGAGCAAGGCAAAAAGCCTTGGCAACATGCTCAGTCAATCTACTGTGATCTGTAGGATCACTGAGGCAATTGTGCCGGTCATCGTTTCCTTGTAATCCCAGCACTAGGATTTCTAGGAAATCCTGGGAATCGTTTTCTAGAAAAAACGCCTCTGTCCATATGATGACTTTTCCATTTGCTTTGTATTCTGATCCGTGGAATATCTTCACATTTGTTATAGTCTCCATGGACTTCCCGTCTATAGGACTTACGACACCCTTGCTAACGTTCTTGTCATCATCCACTCACTGGATGTGCATGCGCTCCTGGGGATCCTCCGCGTCTGCCTTCCCACAGGTGATGCTGAAGTCCCTCGTCTCTAGCAGTGCCTGCCTCAAGGAATCCATGTTCTCTGCAGTGATCTGGACCATAACGCCATCTTCCACAATACTGGACTTGGCAAGATATCCAGAAGAGGATTTCAGAGCGCCACCGAACACAAAAAAACTGCTTTGAGTTTGCATATAGTTACAGTAGTACTGAAAAATCCTCGCAATTTAGGTTTTTGTTTTCAGTTTTGTTTCTCTGTTTTCTAGTGCATAATGACTTAATAAATATTCATTTAACAAAAATTGAAATCTCAAAGGTACATATAAATAAACAATATAAATAACCATCCTTATTACAGTTAACTTTGTGCTTTAAAAAAAAAAGGCATCCAAAGAAAGACAGACGTATTCATGCAATAAAATCTTAGCAATCCCTGCAATAGTTTTCCAGAATTATCAGCCCTCCCATCTTAGTCTGGACAGAATGAAAAAAAAATTAGTTCTCTCGTGTTATTCTTTGAGCTCCAACTAGGAAAAATTACTGAAAACAGCTGGACGTTACAACTGTTTTGGGCAGAGAAGTCACACTGTTCAGGAGGACCCCACGGTAGAAACTGTTTTAAAAAAGTTCTTTTTACTTGAAATTACACAAGAAAGCAGAAAATGACATTGCAAAAAGGAAAAAAGTATAGGCAGGAACATTGTTACAGAAGCCAGGTGACAATGAGAAGTAGAGAGTAGAAAGCAATCAACCCTTTTGACCACTGAGAATGAGGATAGTAGAAATTCAATGGCTCATGGATAGCAACAGTCACTCACATGTCAATAACAGGGATTCTGAAGAGTCAGACTTATGCATACACAGAGCATCTCTACCACATGCATGAATTGTGTGTGAGTTTGGTGATAATGAAGAGAGACAAACTGCTGCATCAACTAATATACTCTGGGAGTGAAGAGCAGGATAAAAAAAAAACTGTAGAGACCACTACTCTAGGTCATTTAAGTATTTTAAGGGGAAAAAAATAACATAATAGAAGAAAGTGATAACTATCTGGAGTGGTGGGATGGGTGGCTTCTGACACAGCTCCCATGTTTCTGATTCCACCTCCCGATATCTTGTATTATCTCCCCTTCTTGAGTATGAGCTGGACCTGGTGCCTTGCTGCTAAGAAACAGAATTCAACAAAAGTAATGCGGTGTTACTTCCTTGGTTAGCTAACAAGGAACTATGTCTTGCCCCTTGCTAGCCACCCCCAACTCTTGCTGGCATTTCCTCTTGCCCTCTCGCTTGCTTGCTTTGATAAAGAGAGTTGCCATGTTGTGTGATGCTTTGTGGAGAGACCCACGTGACAAGGAACCAAGGGAGTTTACAGCACAACACCTGGCACAAAACTAAAGCCAACAACTATGTGAGTGAGTCTGCAAATAAATCATTCCCTGTCCAGCCTTAAGATGACTGCAGACTTTTAAAAGAGTGAGAGTCAGAGGCCACAGCTAATCCACATGTGGATTCCCACCAACAAAAATTGAAATAATGTGTGTTTTAAAATGCTAAGTTTGGGGGTGATATGTTACATATAAATAGATAAATAATAAAGATGGTTTGGCATGGAGATAATGACAGAAAGGAATTCGACTATTTTAATAGTCCAATGAAGAGGTATGAAAGATCTGAATTTGGATGGTAGCAGTGTGAATGATGTAAAAGAATGTGAGATTCTATAAGGTAAGATTTTATAGGACCTACCAATAATAGGGGTGAGAGGAGGATAGAGAGATGGGAGAGAGAAAGGGAGGGGGAAAGAGAGAAAAGGAGAGGGAGAAGTGGTAAATGAACAAGATTTTTAGTTCAAGTCAGTAGGAAAACCACTGGCAGAGTTGTTTTATTTAAGCATTAACAATTACTTTCCGAGCAACTGTGATGTGTAAGACATTATGTTATCTGTACTAGACACTGAGATGAACCCTCAAAATGGTGACGCCCTCAAAATGGTATAGTGCAAAGTAGAATGTTGTGAAATTTTTCCTAATGGAGAAATTCATCCAATTAGCATTTGAGGAAAGGTATATGTGAGTTGGACTTTGGATAGTAACATACAGAGATTAGCATTAGAAAGGAAGCAAAATATTTCATTAGACATATAAAGAAGTCAATAGTTTATTTTCACTAGATTGCAAGCATATGAAAAAGACAACGGGAAAATGTGTCTCAATGTCAGCCTAAATTTAACATCTTATTCTGTAGTGAAATCACAGGACAAGTAAATAGATGTCTTGCACTTAGGACAAATTATTTAAGTTTGTTGAAGAAATGAGATGATTGATTTTATTTTTAAGTAATAAGTAATGTGAGAAAATCTGCAATCAGTAAGATTTATGTAGATCCAGGCTCAACAAACTACTGCCGATGGGCCAAATCTAGTCTGCAGCTCATTCATGTAAACAAAGTTTCATTGGAATATAGCCGTCCTCATTCATTACGTAATGTCTATGGCTTTGACAGAGACTGTGCCACCTGCAAAGTCAAAAATATTTACTATCTGTCCCTGGACAGGAAACGCTTCTCAATCCCTGGTCTACATCATAAAATGGATTTGAGTAGAGAGAAAGAAAAAAAACTCATTAAAACATATGGGGTGTTACTGCCTTAAACAAGTAGTATACTAACAATAGAAATGGAAAGGAAAAGTTGGAGTGTGCATGTGGGTATGCATCTGTGTGCATTTGTGTGTATGTGATGAAAACTGTTTAAATGCAGGGTACAATATAGAAGAGGAGGCCATCGTGGTGCTTAGATGGCTCTGAATTGACAGTCTCCTCCGTTAATATTTAAGTGCAATTTTGGAGAAATAAGTCTTTCCACTCAACTCTTAAGTGGTTTAATCAACTGGCCATAATTTTTTCCTAATGGTTAGAAAGGATAAGTTACTCAGAAGGAAAAGTAGTATTGATTGAGAAAGAATTATAATGGAAGGGGGGGGTGATTGCATACTTCTAGGAAAGCTGGAGGGAACAGCTAAAAAACAGTATGATACTGAACACTTGGATGAAAGCATGAGTGAAAGCAGGTGAGAGCAGCCCTAAAAGGAAGCCAGTTTGCACCAAAAGTAAACACTGGTTTTCATGCTGCCTCTTGTATATATGTATCAAAAGATACTGGTACTTAATGTATAAATTAGAATATTAACTTTTAAAATATGAATTGAACTTATATGGGGTTTAAAAAAATCAATTATTTAAAAACATCACCAGGTTCCTTTTGTTGTTTAAATTCTCTCCTGATAGAACTAAATAGGGGTCTCTTAAACAGGGTTCAAGAAGCAGAAACATACATAATGGTACTCAGGATTCAATGCATTAAAGATTAATATTCCTTGAATTAGAAGAGCCGAACTAAGCATCCAAACACCAGATATAGGTCTAGAATAGCAGATACATCTAAGTAGGTTTCAACTGTCTAAGGGCACATGCCTGGTGCAGGGACATGAACAAATTGTGAGTAAACAGGGATAAAAGCCCTATGAGGGATGTTTAACATTGAAATGTATAAAGTTTTTATTTAATCACAAAGTTTTCTATATTGGCTAAAATTTTATAATGATAATGAATTATTCATGTGAAAATTAAAAACTGTTTTTTTGTATTTTTAAAGAAAAAAGCACAAATACACCCATAGAACACTGTGAAATATTATCTTTCACAATGTACACCAGGCCAGGAAATTATTGGGCTAATTTGAGTCTTCAACAAAATTTTACTTTGTGAAGAAATAAGACAATGCTGGAGGGACCAAGGTTTTCATTTGCCTGTGCTCCTTCTGATGCCATCTTTACTCTCCAGGTGAAAGGATGTTTCTGAGATCAATATTCCTCTCCTTTGATAGTTACCTTCTTTTAAAACCTACTGAACACTGACTTACTCAGCTCTTCTCTATTCTTCCCCGTTTCCTCTGGGTCCTTTGATAATAGATGCTGGTATCCCTGTCTGTCATTCACTCCTATATGGTTCTCAGGATTTGTTTGCTGTTCCTCCCTCTGTTAACCTGAACCTTACGGGCCAAAGTAAATTACTCTCCCAGCACCTTTTATACAGAGTGGTCCATAGTAGTTTTCCTGACACCTATGTTATTACACATTTCTCTCCAAGAACATCTCTAAAGCTTTATGATTTATACATTTGAGTTACCTTAGACCAATTGACCTAAACACAAGATATGCTGTCACATTTTAAGCTGCTTCCTCAGAATATGTTGGTTGAAATCTACTGCCTCTCCCTTGTCCAGGGTTTCTAAATACCCGTAGGGTAGCTTCTCAATAATATATATTACTAATAGCTCAGAATGATTATTATACTAACAAGAACTTTTTACTTTCATTACTGTGTCAGAGGACTCGGAATATCATTAGCAAAACCTGTTTAGAACAGCCATCTTAAATCCTTGTTGAACCAATTCCAGCATGCTTTTAATTTAAGTAATCCTGGCGCCGTGGCTCATGCCTGTAATCCAATCACTTTGGGAGGCCGAGGCAGGCAGATCACGAGGTCAGGAGATCCAGACCTTCCTGGCCAACATGGTGAAACCCCATCTCTACTAAAAATACAAAAATAGTTGGGCGTGGTGGCATGTGCCTGTAATCCCAGCTACTCAAGAGGCTGAGGCAGGTGAATCTCTTGAACCCAGGAGGCAGAGGTTGCAGTGAGCTGAGATCGCGCCACTGCACTCCAGCCTGGTGACAGAGTGAGACCCCATCTCAAAAAAAAAAAAAAAAAAAAAAAAAGAAATCTTGAGTAGTACATTCCTTCCCAAGATGAGCATGCAAACAAAGATAACATGACTTTTTATTCTATATGTACGTTTGAAAGATCTCTTTAGTCCTTTAAAAACTTCATGAGATGTATAATTTTATAAATATTGAGATGCTTTGGGAAAAATATTGAAGAAAGGCCATTTGATTAGGCATAAAGCACTTAAAGTGAATGACAAGAAAGTTGCATAGGTCAAAATAGGTCCACAAAAATGTATAGATTAATGAACCTTCCAATGTGAACTGACTGTTTCTCTGAGTGTCTTTTATAATTATGGGTGAAGGCTGAGGATTGGGCCTGGCCCAGATATGGATTAGGGGTAAAATAAGCAGTGGCACACAAAAGATATTTTCCCTGAGGCATATTGACTGAATTATTGTGATATATGCAAGAATGAGGAGTTATTCCAGAAGATTTCAAGAGACAGAATAAAATCTTCAAGAGTATCACAGCAAATGGGAGACAAACTCATTGCAAAGAAGAGAGCCTGCCCCAAAAGCATGGCCAACTCCCTTGTTCAACACATTTCTAAGATTTTGAAGCTGAATAGGGTGAAATGCTAAAGAGCTAAGCCCAATACCCCTGAAATTAAAATTTAATCTCCAACAACATTTTTTGAGACTAATGAGAAGTAGTTCCAACCAGCTCTCAATCAAAAGCTCAAAAGGAACAAACTTCAGAAACAGAGATAAGCCAAAGATGCCAGTCTTACTGAAACTAAAACTGAATCCTGACTGCTCCAATATCTGATTGTATTGGTAATGACTTTCTCCCAACACTATCTGCTTAATAGAGAAAAGTGGGAATACATTCTAAAACTACTATTATCAGAATACTTTATTATTCTTTTATACACAATGTCCAGCATGATACAAAAAACGTCTAGATATGTGAAGTGGCAAAAATTGTATTAATCAAAACACATGTGCACAATAAGCACAGCTCACTGATTCACAGTTCAGAATTTAGCAGACAAATTTAGAATGACCGTTGCTAATATAATAAAAGTAGGCAAACTGGATGAAATGATGGAGAGTGCAGCGAAGATTTAAATATCTATAAAAAGTCACACAGATATTCTAAAACAGAAACATAATAATTGAACTTATGTCACTGAATAGGTTTGCTTTAGAATAAATGTAGTAAAACAAGTTAACCTGAAAAGAGATTCATAGAAATAATATAAATTGATCTATAGAAATAATCTCAACTGAAGAGATTTAATAAAGCAGAACAAAAAAGACATAAGGCACTGTCACAACATCTACTATAACTAAACTGGACATAAAGACAAATGAGAGAGAATGGAGAAGCAGCAATATCAGAAGAGCCGTTGGTCAAAAATTTTGTAAAATTGATAAAGAATATCAACCTACTTGCAAGAAACTTAACAAAACCTAAGGAATATAATACAAATAAAACTTTACCTATCCAGATTATAAGCTGCTGAACCAAAACAAAACTCTCAAAAGTAAGTAAAAGAGCACAAATAAGTATTCCAACAAAAACAATAGAAGCTGGAGACAATGAAATGGCATTTTAACATGCTGAGGGGCAAATTTGCCAGTCTAAAATTTAATAACCAGTGAAAAAACACATAAAAGTGAAGCGCAGTAAAATATATTCAGACAAGTAATTGTTGAGAGAATGTTTGCCTAGGAGAACTGAACTACAGAAATACTAAGGAAAGTTCTTCAGACTAAGAAAAAATTATCCCAGAGAGAAGCATACAATTAGAGGAAGCAATGAAATTAACTGAAATAAAAGCCTTAAAATATTGGCACAAGAAGTTCTAAAGATCTGAGTAAGTTCTGTATGTATTATAGAAACTATATTTATGATTAACACATTTTACACACACACACACACACACACACACAATTCCAACCACATGTGGATTACCTGGTGAATCCTTACCAAAACTTAAGGAACTAATTGAACTAGTCTTACACAAGCATTTTCAGGAAATAATACAAAAGAAAGAACACTTTAATTTTTTTGTGGGAAGCCAGTAATCATTGACACAAAAATCCGAAAGATATTAAAGAAAAGTAATTTATAAAGAATATTCACCATGAAAATAAACCTGAGAAGTAAGGATAAATATAATTAACTTGTCTTTTACAAAGTTTAAATGTTGAATAAAATATATGACAAAGAGTGGGAGTAGCTAAATAGTGTTCAACTGCTCTAAGGTCCTTACATTGTTGGAGAAGTGGAAAAAGTACGAACATACTTCAGAAATAGTAGTCCACAATAGTTGAGAATAAATATTATATCCTCTAGGATAACTAAGGTACTTAAGGTAGTCCACAATAGTCTAGAATAAATATTCTGTAGGATAACTAAAAGTACTAAAAAGGAATTACAAGTATTTTAATAAAATGAAAAATAAATAATTATTCTAAAAATGGAAAAAAGGCCGGGCGAAGTGGCTCCTGCCTGTAATCCCAGCACTTTGGGAGTCCGAGGCGGGTGGATCACAAGGTCAGGAGTTCCAGACCAGCCTGACCAACATGGTGAAACCCCATCTCTACTAAAAAATACAAAAATTAGCCAGGCGTGGTGGCGCATGCCTGTAATCTCAGCTACTCAGGAGGCTGAGGCAGGAGAATCACTTGAACCCAAGAGGCGGAGGCTGCAGTGAGCTGAGATGGCACCACTGCACTCCAGCAGGGGCAACAGAGCGATTAAAAAAAAAAAGCCAAAAAAGGAAATAAGAATAAAAAAAGATAGTACAAATATAAAAATATTAAATCCAGAATTTTAAAGATTAAATCCAGAATTTTAATACAGAAGATTGTTTCAGAAGATTGTTTCAGAAGATGTGGAATAACTACCACTCTTATAGACTGTTGTGTGAATGTGAATCTGAACAACCATCTTGAAAATTCTTTTGGCGAGATCTACTGAAGTTAAATGTTTGCATACCCTTTGACCCAGCAATTCCACTCCTGGGTATATATACTCAAGATCAATGAGTACTTCAGTCTAACAAAAGATATATATAACATATTCAATTAGCATTATTTATAGTAGCCCAAAATTAGAAACAGATGAATCATCCAATAGCACAGTTATATATTCATAAAATGGAATACCCCTATTAAAATTATAAAGTATGAACTATAGGTATATACAAGAATCTCATAAATTTTGAAAACCTAATATTGAATAAAATCAGCCATATGCAGGAGCATATATACTGCATGATACTATTTTTATGAAGCTCATTAACAGCCTATTAACATTAATTCATTAATGGAATGAATCTATATAAATAGAGGTCAGTATAGGAGTTATCTTTTTTTGGGTTGTAGTTGACTGAGATGGCAAGAAGAAGGTTTATGGGGTATTTGTAAGATTTTTTTTTTTTTTTGGAGGTGGAGTCTCTCTCTTGTCACCCAGGCTGGAGTGCAGTGGCACAATCTGGGTTCACTGCAACCTCCGTCTCCTGGGTTCAAGCAATTCTTCTATCTCAGCCTCCCGAGTAGCTGGGATTACAGGTGCCCGCCACCACACCCAGCTAATTTTTGCATTTTTAGTAGAGACGGGGTTTCATCAGGCTGGCCAGGCTGCTCTTGAACTCCTAAACTCAGGTGATCCACCCGCCTCGGCCTCCCAAAGTGCTGGAATTACAGGCATGAGCCACCGCGCCCGGCCTGTAAGATATTTTTTATCTGAGTTGTTCCGTGTATGAAGCTATGTGAAAATTCAATGAGGTGTATACTTAAGATCTGTACACTCTGTTATGTGTAAATTATACATTAATATTTAAAAGAAAAATGAGTAGATTAATAAAACACAG
The DNA here is from genome assembly GCF_000001405.40 of Homo sapiens. Classification (NCBI taxonomy): domain Eukaryota; kingdom Metazoa; phylum Chordata; class Mammalia; order Primates; family Hominidae; genus Homo; species Homo sapiens. The sequence goes on from NW_021160017.1 coordinate 3,593,877, forward strand.
TTTGGTTTTACAGATACCTATCTATGACCCAACCATTCTACATTTAAGTATATACCCAACAGATAAGACTGGGAATTTTTTACACCAAAAGACTTTCATTATAATATTATTTTTATATGCAGACACTCAAAACAGTTCAATTGTCCACCAACAGCAGAATGTAAAAATATTTTATGGATCATTGATAGAGTGGAATAAAATACAGCAATTAAAGAACTGCTGCTACATCTGTGGTGTCACAAATATGCCTGCATTCATAGAAATTTCCTCAGGAAAAATGAATCTATTGTAGAGGAAGTCAGAAAAGTGTTCTATTCGGTAGAAGAAAATCAATGAGGCATGAAAGAGGCTTCTGAGGTGCTCTTGTTTATGGTGGTCACATGACTGAGTCCATATTGAAAGATTATAAAAATTGTACACTTATGATTGATGCACTTTTTAGTCTATAACAATGTATTCATTTGTAGGAGCTGCTCTCCAAGGTACCACAAACCGGGTGGCTTAAAACAACTCACATTTATTGTGTCACGGTTTGGGAAGCTAGAAGTCTGAAAACAAGATGTAGTCAAGGTAGTTTCCTCCAGAAGGATATGAGGGAGGCTGTCTGTGTCTCTTGCATCTCTCCCAGGATCTGGTGGTTTGTTGGAAATCACTGGTGTTTCTGAGTTTACAGATGTGTCAGCCCAGTCTTCCATATAGTGTCTGCATATAGTCTTCCCTCTGTGCATGTTCCCCTTGTGTTCAATTTTCCCCTTTTTATAAGAACACTAGTAATATTGGATTAGTACCCACCCTAATGACCCCATTTTAACTAGACAACCTCTGTAAAGACTCTGTTTCTATATAAGGTCACATTCTAAAGTATTGGGGGTTAGGGCATTAGCATATATTTTCGGGAAAAACACAGTTCAACCCATAACAACATATAATTCCATTTTTAAAATCCCAAAATTACATCTAGCCTAAAAAGGAATGAAATTGAAATAAAGATCGCAGAGGCCTGCAGTAAGCCTTGATGATGTAATACCTGTTTATAAACCAAATGTTAGAATGGCTTGAAACAGAATTGAACATTTTTGCGCTATAAGACACATAGGAGAAATTTTAAGTACTTTTTTTGGATGAGACATTAGTCTCAACAAGACTGAATGATTTTCTTTTAAGGTCACACATTTAAATAGTTAACAGGAGAAATAGCGACCAGAATCATAGTCAAATACCCACCTACCCCCTTTCCAAGACAACTAAGGTCTCAAATTGTGCCCATTTTTCTCAAATTATTTCTAGAATGTTTAGCAAAAGAGGCTTTTAATTTGGCATATCTTTGTCTACAATTTTGTAGTTTATGTAAAGAAAGGTAGACTAAGGGAATTTCATTTTAAAGGTGAGAATCAGAATGACATTTGTGAAGCTATGATGCCTGTGCCATCTGGCATACACGAGGGTGTAGTACTAAATGGGATCAGAATGAGCTCCTTTTGGAAGGAAACCTTTAATAGACTGGGAAACATTAAGGGAATCTTCCCTTTTTTATTTTTATTTTATTTTCTTTCTTTCTTTTTCTTTTCTTTTTTTTTTTTGAGATGGAGTCTCGCTCTGTCACCCAGGCTGGAGTGCAGTGGCGTGATCTCGGCTCACTGCAAGCTCCGCCTCCTGGGTTCACGCCTTTCTCCTGTCTCAGCCTCCAGAGTAGCTGGGGCTACAGGCGCCCACCACCACGCCCGGCTAATTTTTTGTATTTTTAGTAGAGACGGGGTTTTACAGTGTTAGCCAGGATGGTCTCGATCTCCTGACCTTGTGATCCGCCCGCCTCAGCCTCCCAAAGTGCTGGGATTACAAGCGAGAGCCACCATGCCCGGCCTTTTATTTTTAATAGAGCATTGGAAAATGAATTCTGCATAGCTGGCTAATGAAGGAAATCCAGAGTCATTGCCAAAACCAAGTTTTAAAGGAATTTGCAATCCTTCACAGTTCATTCAAGGAGGCAATGGAAATTTTGAAGAAGAAATTTTTTAAAATCTTTCTTAAAAGGAGCCCTTACATTGGCATTGTATCATGACTAAAGTCTTGCTCCCTCCCTCTCTCCCTTCTATGCTTTTTGTTTCTCTTTTCTATCTTTCAATGACATCAGTTTCATGGAGATAAATGGTTAAAAGATAATGATTACAACACATACAGTTGAGTGACACAAATCTTGTTGTAGTGTTAGAAATACATCAATACATTGGGATCATAAAGAGAAATGGCAAGAAAAAAAATCTAAGTTAATAACAGAAAATGCTGATTCCCACAGTCCGTGTGGAAAATACACGTTTTTTTTTATGTCAGTGGAGATAACTGAGACCAGTTAATATTGTCAATTCTGTTCCTTCTGACTGAGCCAGGTGAGGCAAAATTTAGCAGATGACTTGAGGGACAAAACTATGACCTTGGCAACATAAAAATTAATACTGTCTACATTGTTTACTAGGAAATGCATGCAAAATTAATACACTCTTGGTAGTACAGGTTGGTTTCACTTCTATAGTGTGTGGTTACTAGAAAGCTGATTCAACAGATGATAGATTCAACAGACGACATAGAATTGTCTAAAATCCAGCCGGGCGCAGGGCCTCACGCCTGTACTCCCAGCACTTTGGGAGGCCGAGGAGGGCAGATCACAATGTTAGGAGATCGAGACCATCCTGGCTAACATGGTGAAACCCCGTCTCTACTAAAAATACGAAAAAATTAGCCGGGAGTGGTGGTGGGTGCCTGTAGCCCCAGCCACTCGGAAGGCTGAGGCAGAAGAATGGCGTGAACCCGGGAGGCGGAGCTTGCAGTGAGCGGAGATCGCGCCACTGCACTCCCGCCTGGGCGACAGTGCGAGACTCCATCTAAAAAAAAAAAAAAAAGAATTGTCTGAAATTCATCTTCAATTAGTCCATGGCATGTTTTGGAATTTATTCACTTGTTTGCCTCAGGAACAGTAGCCGTTCAGATTTGTTCTTTGATTTTGGAAATGAGGTTACCGTGCTCTGTAGTGTCAGGAAGATGACGTGGCATAATCAGGCAAACGGCTAGGCATTTTCTCAGCAGTAAATTACCAGTGCCCTTGCTTGCCATAATACCCACAAAAGGCAGAGGCAGTTTCCTGAGGCAATCCAGGCCACAAAGAACTGTACATTTGGGGAAAACGTATCTTCAAATATATATGTTAAAATCTAAAAAATTGGTTAGTATGTATTACTTTTGTGGATATTTAAACATTCCCTATGCATAAAGACCTAGTTAAAGAGGTGCAGGCATTTGGCATGTTAAATAACTCCTTGATGAGAAACCACACTACGAATAATAAATATGACTTCATAAAAATGAAAAATAATGAGATTAGTTTCTATTGAACTATTCTTGCTTAGAATGCCCCTGAATTTCAGTCATAGAAATTCACTTGTACCTGGGTAAGTTACAAGTTCTTATTTGTGCTGGTTTCTGTGTCATTGGCAATTAAAATTTTGGTAAGTTGAATAAAAGATCTTTCTAAAAAGGGAGTTCTTTTTTTTTCTTTTTTGAGGGGGACGGAGTCTCGCTCTGTCGCCCAGGCTGGAGTGCAGTGGCGCGATCTCGGCTCACCGCAAACTCCACCTCCCGGGTCCATGCCATTCTCCTGCCTCAGCCTCCCGAGTAGCTGGGACTACCGGCGCCCGCCACCACGCCCGGCTAATTTTTTTTGTATTTTTAGTAGAGACTGGGTTTCACCGTGTTAGCCAGGATGGTCTCCATCTCCTGACCTCGTGATCCGCCCTCCTCCGCCTCCCAACGTGCTGGGATTACAGGTGTGAGCCACCGCGCCCGGCCAAAAGGGAGTTCTTACACTGGCAATGTATCATGATTAACGTTTTCCTCCCTCTTTCTCTCCCTCCCACATATGTATTTTCGTGTCAGTATATGTATATGTGATTTGTGCCATTTGTGTGTGTGTAGGTAAATGAAAGTGGCATCAAGAAAATCTCACATTAAAAAAATTTGAGATAGTACAATTCTTATGCATCATATGTTGCATAATGTTTGACTATTAAGAAGTTTGCATCACACGTCTACTTATTTCATTAAACATGTTACAGGCAATTAATTTACTTACACCCTCCGTTTCTTTTTTCCCCCTCTCTGGGTCTCCTGCTACAGGGTCATTATATGTTCCACTCACAAAATGTCCTTGTTTTTCCCTTACTCCTGTCATTGATCTTCTGAATCTTTCCGGTGAATTTAGCATGGATGTTTTGATAGAAAGCTCTGGCATTAACTCTGGAGTTGTTTTGCAAGGAAGATTGTTCGCTTTTTCACCATTTTTTTTTTTAGGTCCTTGAAGTGTTTTCACATAGATATTTCACAAGAGCCATTTCAGAACTGAGAACATTCGGCGTGCACTTTTCCTCTTTTGGTCCCACAGTTTTTATGAGTCCTACTTGAAATTATGTTTGCTCCCGTTTCAATTGTAATATTGCACTTACTCATTAGTTTTTAGTTTGAACTCTCCTGGGAGGTCTAATGTAGAGTTTGGACAAGGACACAGATTCATAATAAACCTACCCAGTCAATTTGGTATAAAGGCTTAGAAGGTGGAACTGGCCACATTTTGAATTGGAGGTAAGGATCAGGAATGGTAATGGAGAGACATACAGGATTTTCTTATGGGAACAAGAAACAACCTCTGGGCAGTATTAGAGCCCAGAGAGTGAAAAGCCTCTTCTAACTTCAATATTCTATGTACAAATTTACAAGACTTTTTTTTTTTTCTTTTTTTTTGAGACGGAGTCTCACTCAGTATCCCAGGCCGGAGTGCAATGGTGCGATCTCAGCTCACTGCAAGCTCCGCCTCCCGGGTTCACGCCATTCTCCTGCCTCAGCCTCGCGAGTAGCTGGGACTACAGGCGCCTGCCACACCCGGCTAATTTTTGTATTTTTAGTAGAGACTGGGTTTCACCGTGTTAGCCAGGATGGTCTCCATCTCCTGACCTCGTGAGCCACCGCGCCCGGCTGAGACTTTTAATTGACAGACTGCATTGCATAAGCCAAAGGCCAACAGAGAGGTGACCTTTCAAATTACTGGCACAACAGGAGCCGAGATCAGAAAGCTCCAACTTAATGCAAACATCGACAAGAAATCCGACAGAAATGACTTCTGTGTCTGGTCAACTTAACATAACATGACATATTGTCAAGCGCATTTTGCTTTTTAGGTAGAATTGTCTATAACGATTTAACTGCTTTAGAAAATATAAATGTGAAGATTTGTGGTATTCGGGTTTATATATAAGATATTTCTACATTTAAAAGAGACAGAGTGGAAAAGCTTGATATAAGATTTGTAAAATATGTTTGTAATAATGCTAATGGAAGAGGTGAGAGTTGGGTGGGGTGCGGTGTAGATGGGAACATGGTTTGGGGATTGGGGAAAGGGAAGTCATGCTGTAAATAAAATAGTGAGGCATGTTGTATAAAGTGTGTTTTATGTCTCAATTGAAATGTTATAGGGAGAAATTTAAAATAGATCATGATTGGTTTTGAATCTGATTTCTAATTTTAAAATGTTATGAGCTTTTGTTGCTTTCCTATTTCATACACATTTCTTTATGGGTTTCACTTAGACTGCATGAAATTGCAGATGCCAATTACCTTTCAATAAAATTAAATTCACATATATGTATAATTTGCATGTATATATTCACGGAATTTTTTATTCTATACGTGACATTATTTTTAAATGGTTTATCAATGACATAACGTATAATTTTTCTATACTTTCAGTTTTCTGGTTTGGATTTTTTCTGGCAACACTAATTTTCACCTACCTATACTCATTGATAGTATAAAGTTGTACAAGTGCATATTTTACCATGATTACAGTTGAATAGATGACTGGAGGTACATCTATGATGACTAATACTTTCTAAACACATATTTACCTCTCATATATCTGTGTAAATGATTGTAAGAGGAAGGGGAAAATAGAGATGTATCATTAGGTATACTGTCTTAAAGCACATTCAGCTGCTCTCATGTTTGGAGAATTTTGAATGTGATGAATGTTTCTCTTTCACCACTAACAGATTGTGTGTGTGAGCCAGATTTTATTGCAAGTGTTTGAAAGACTATTGCAAATATCGGATATTGCCAGACAGTTGGTAAAAAGCAAATTGAGTCTATTGAGAAATTAATTCACCAGCTGAAGGAAGTACATTTGCCTTACAGTCATCAGATATTCTACCCACCAGACTCATCTCCGAGATAGCATCCTAATGAGCTTCCTAAACCAACTAAACATAAGCAGGAAGCATCAGTCGTCAAAACTGACTCTTTTCAGCCAATCAGCTGACTGCACAAACTGCATGGCATTGAGGAAAGGAAGAACATTCTGGAAGTTTTTTTTTTCATTCTGCCCTCACTTTGTTGGTTTCTGTTTTACAGATGCAGTGTCATGCGCAGAACCCTGTAAATGAGCATAGTTCATTCAAGTATATAAAGTGCTTTCGTGTATTATTATTCAGTGGAATAAAATGAATGTTAACAGGCTTAAGTGATTTTCCTAAAGGCACACAATTAATGTATGGCTGGAATTCAAAATCGGGTCTTTTCCTCTGTTCTGATTGTTCTATAAATAGGGGTGTAGTGATTGATTTTCTACCCACCATGACAGGGAATAGGTTCAAAACTTAAAACCCTGTTCATTTTATAATTAGGTAGACTCAAATGACAGGTCAAGGCAGGGAGGGGAGCCGGTCATTTTTATTTCCATATGGGTTTGCTCCTTCAAAGACAGGATTGGGGTAGCAGGGTCAGTTCCTACAGGTTATAACGATCTTAATGATAAAGTTAACTAACCATAACTGAATACTCATAATGTGCTAGCACTTTTCATAATGTATCCCAAATAATACTCACAAAACCTTCCAAATAAATATTACCTTTTTGTTATCTTTGTTTTATTTTGTTTTGTTTTGTTTGAGACAGGGTTTCAGTCTGCTGCCCAGGCTTTAGTGCTGTGATGCAATCATGGTTCACTGCAGCGTCAAACTCCTGGGCTCAAGCAATCCTCCCACCTCAGCCTCCCAAGAAGCTGAGACTACAGGCATGCACCACCACTCCCAGCTCCAAATAAATATTCTTATCCCATTTTACTGATGCAGAAAAACGTATGGCCCAGAGAAGTAATGTTAAGTTTATTGGGGGATTTAAGTTGTAAAAAATTATTTTATCGAACCCTAATGTAAACTATGGACTCTAGGTGATAGTGATGCGTCAGTGTAGGTTCATCGATTATAACAAATGCATCATTCTGGTGCAGGATGTTGACAGTGGGGGAAGCTGTGTGTGTATGGGAGTAGGGAGTCTATGGGAACTCTTCTACTTTCCACTCAGTTTTGCTGTGAGTCTAAAACTACTCTAAAAAATGAAGTTTATTAATCAAGAAAAAAATTCTTATATTTTATGAATATATGGGACAGCTATTCATGTATGTGGTAAAAATGAAGAGATTTGTTACAGTACTCGGCAGGAGTGTGTCTAATATGACTGATATTCATGTGTCACATAAAAACTGGCTTCATAACCAATCTGTAGATTCATTTCATTTGTGTATGTTCACTTAAGGGCGCACACATGGAAACCCTTTGGTGTTATTAGAGGTCTGTTGGGAGGGCTCCTCTTTGGTGGAAGCTATGTCTATTTCTTAAAAGTGATTTAAGAGTAAGATGTGAAATAGCACTCGCCCCCGAGGATGGAGCCAACAGAGGATAGGGGAGTTATTTGATGCTGTCTCTGAGAGACTGGAGAGAGGAATATAAAAAGTTTATTCCTTAAGAAAGAATAGGGGAGGACTTCCTTACCTGATATCTCAGATTATGAAGCTACAGTTCTCTCCCTGCTTTAGGGAAAAATAATAATAACAGACTTTTGCAAAAATCAATTACTGAACATATTCCTATATTCTAGATTTATAATGAAGCATTTTTGTACATATTCATTAAAAAGAGTAATTAAAATATTTTTCTCTGGTTTATAGTAACTAGGATGGCAACACAGATATATCTTGGAAGTATTTCGTGGTATGATTCTTCAACATAAAACTATTCTTAAAAACTTCTTAGAAGTCTCCAGGTACTCAGGAATAAGGTCATTATAAATTATTCCTTATTGACCATAAGAAAAATAATTAGGCAAGACCACAAAACTAAATGTTTAGACTGTTTCTCCTGTTTCCTGATTTTCAGGTTATTTTTTATCCCAATTTTATTTTGCTGTATGGTCATACATTTCATCTTTGAAATAAAGTATATAATAATCACTTTTTTTTTTTTTGAGACAGAGTCTCGCTCTGTCGCCCAGGCTGGAGTGCAGTGGCACGATCTCCGCTCACTGCAAGCTCCGCCTCCTGGGTTCACGCCATTCTCCTGCCTCAGCCTCTCCAGTAGCTGGGACTACAGGCGCCTGCCACCATGTCCGGCTAATTTTTTGTATTTTTTTTTTTTTTTTTAGTAGAGACGGGGTTTCACCGTGTTAGCCAGGATGGCCTCGATCTCCTGACCTCGTGATTTTCAAAGCTGTTTGAGGGCATTTATCAGGCTTTTAACTCTAGGTACTCTTTCCCGCAGTGTGAAGGCCAAGAGAAGGGATCCTGGGCTCTCTTCCCTGGCCCGAGGACGGGAATTCAGGGGGAAAATTCTTATCTACTCTTACCCCACAAAAGAAAACTTATTCATCAGTTGTCAAGCTAAGGAGCTTCAGAGTCCATAAAGAAGGAAATTGCTAAGAGGTTATCAGTAGTGTCCACCCCCCATCCCCACCTGGGGTCACATGGAGAATGATGGTGGGGGCGCCGATCTTGTCCTACTTCAGGTGAAAAGCAGGGGTGTGGGGGGGTTTCATTGTGAAGGGCTCCTTTGTTAAAATTCCTTCCAATTCCAGGAAAAACATGCACTCCAAAACCATTATCTCTTTTACTTTGTACTAGGGGACTTTTAGGAAAGAGAGAGAGGAGAAAGAAGAGGGCAAAACAACTGCAGTGAATTTAGTCACCTCTCCAATTGCCTTTCTTGTTGCAGAATATTTCACATTCCAGGAGTTTCCTTCTTGACCTCTGGACTGTTGATACACCCAAGATCTTAATATGTTTTCAATCACAGGTTAAAGACATCAAGCGCCAGATCGCTTGGGCCTAGGAGTTCCAGACCGGCCTGGACAGAATAGTGAAACCCAGTCACATTTTTTTTTTTTAAGGGGGAGATTTGCTCTTGTTGCCCAGGCTGGAGTGCAGTGGCGAGGTCTCGGCTTGCGGGACCTCTGCCTCCCGGGTTTGGATGGTTCTCCTGCCACAGCCTCCCGAGTGGCTGGGATTGCGGTGTGAGCCACCATGCCCGACTAATTCCTTAACTGTGCAACTGCAAGGTCACTAAATAAACTCAAGTCACAAAACATATTTTTCCTTAAATAGTAAAAAATAATATAATGTATGTTTCAATTAAATAAGTATCTTTGTTTCTCGCTTCTATAATATGTTTCTCCCTGCACAGATCTCCCCCTTCGCCCCACATAATGCTTGAAAGGTAACTCTTGGTTCAGTACTCAATCCTTTAAATGTTAATCCGACTGGGCGGGTGCACCTAAATAATTAATAAATGTTCTCCTAAATCCCATGAGTCTATCTAATTCCTTAAAAATCCCGCTACAGGATTGCAGGTGTGAGCCACCGCAGCCCAGGCCAATTTATTAATCAGAGAGGAATAGATGGGCCTGGCTTGGTGGCTCGCGCTTGTGATCCAAGGACTTTGGATGGCAGAGCACTGGGGATCATTTGAGCCTAGGAGATCCAGACAGGCCTGGGCAACATGGTGAAACTCGGTCTCTCTCGTTTTTTTTGTTTTTTTTTTTTTTGAGGCGCAGTTTCGCTCTTGTTGCCCAGGCTGGAGTGCAGTTGTGCAGTCTCGGCTCCCCGCCGCCTCCGCCTCTTGGGTTTGGATGGTTCTTCTGCCTCAACCTCCCTAATGGCTGAGATTGCAGGTGTGAGCCACCATGCCTGGCTAATTTTCTTTTTTCTTTTTTTTTTTGGTACACACAGGGTTTCCACCTGTTGGTCAGGCTGGTCTCAAACTCAGGACCTCAGGTTATCCGCCCGCCTTGGCTTCCGGGGGTGCTGGGATTGCAGGCGTGAGCCAGCACACAAAGCCCAACTGATTAATCAGAAAGGAATAGATCGGCCTGGCGTGGTGGCTCACGCTTGTGGTCCCAGGACGTCGGACGGCCGAGCGCGGGGGATCGATCACTTGAGCCTAGGAGTTCCACACCGGCCTGGGCAACATGGTGAAACCCGGTCTCTCTTCTCTTTTTTTTTTTGGTACAGACAGGGTTTCTCCATGTTCATCAGGCTGGTCTCAAACTCCCGACCCCAGGTTATCCACCCGCCTCCTCGGCCTCTGGGGGTGCTGGGATTGCAGGCGTGAGCCAGCGCGCCCAGCCCAGTTTATTAATCAGAAAGGAATAGATCGGCCTTGCATGGTGGCTCACGCTTATGATCCCAGGAATTTGGACGGCTGAGCGCGGCGGATCGCTTGAGCCTAGGAGTTCGTTCCATACTTGCCTGGGCAACATGGTGAAACCCGATCACTTTTTGTTTTGAGGCGGAGATTGGCTCTTGTTGCCCAGGCTGGAGTGCAGTGGTGAGGTCTTGGCTCAACGGGCCTCCGCCTCCCGGGTTTGGGTGGTTCTCCTGCCACAGCCTCCCGAGTGGCTGGGATTGCAGCGTGAGCCACCATGCCCAGCTCATTTTGTTTTTTGTTTGTTTGTTTTTGTTGTTGGAGATGGGGTTTCTCCATGTTCATAAGGCTGGTCTCAAACTCCAACCTCAGGTTATCCGACCGCCTCGGCCTCCCTGGGTGTTAGGATCGCAGGCGTTAACCACCACGCCCGGCCCAATTTTTAATCAGACAGGAATAGATCGGCGTGGTGTCATGGCTCACGCTTGTGATCCCAGGACTTTGGACGGCTGAGCGCGGTGAATCGCTTGAGCCTAGGAGATCCAGACCCGCCTGGGCAACATGGTGAAACCTGTTTTTTTGTTTTGTTTTGTTTTCGAGGCGGAGTTTCCCTCTTGTTGCCCAGGCTGGAGTGCAGTGGCGTGGTCTCGGCTCCCCGGGCCTCCGCCTCCCGGGTTTGGGTGATTCTCCTGCTTCAGCCTCTTGAGTGGCTGGGATTGCAGGCGTGAGCCACCATGCCCGGCTACTTATTTATTTATTTATTTATTTTGGTTGAGATGGGGTTTCTCCATGTTGGTCGGGCTGGTCTCCAGCTCCTAACCTCGGGTGACCCGCCGGCCTCGGCCTTCCGGGGTGCTGCGATTGCAGGCCTGAGTCACCGCGCCTGGCCCGAAACCCAGTCCCTTAACTGAAAAACAAAACAAAAACCACAAAGATTAGCGGGGCCTGGTGGGCCCGGCGGGTAGTCCCAGCTACTCTGAAGGCTGATGTAGGAGGATTGCTTGAGCCGGAGAGGGGTGGGGGTGAGGTGGCAGTGAGCCATCATGGCGCTGCTGCAGTCCAAACTGGGCGATAGAGCGGGACTATGTCTCAGGAAAACAGAAAGGAAAAAAAAAATAAAAGTACATAAAATTGCTAAATCAAGGAACAGAGCTTGACAGTATATTATTGAGAGAAATAGAGGCAAAGGTGAGCAGACACCAATGTTCACTTAGTGGAACTGCAGGTGTCCCCAGACAGGAGGCTGCTACTTTTCGAAAAGAAATCTATTATTGACAACAACAACAACAAAAAAGGTGGTTTGTTAAAATATACAAATAGCTAAACTTTATATAGCCACGACCCTCTTCTAGCACTGCTCTAAGCCTTTTCCTGCTCTGGAATAGCTACTATTGTTACCTCCATTGTAGAGAAAACAGATGCCAGAGGTTGTTGTGGAAGGACCAGGGAAACTGACTAGGAAATCGACTTGTAAGTTTAGGACTTAAAGGTTCTTCCTGTTTTGCTCCTTACATTGCCACATTTTAGTTAACATACCTCTTAAAATACTGGTCCTTTCTATATTTGGAGGGATTCGTGTTGCAGTTTGAAGTTTTTTCTTGCACTAAGCATTTGGTCAGAAGATCATGTGCGTTTTATGTCAGTTTTAAGTTAAACATTGTTCAGTAAGGAATGTAAATATGAGCAAACAGTTACCTGATTAAATAGAAAACCTAGAAGAAAAATCACCTATGAGAAAGTCAAGAAAATGTGAACTCTGGATTTGTGGCTATTTTCAGAATATTAATTTTTTGGTATTTAATGGCATTGTGAATATATTTATTTTTAAAAATTCCTTGTCTTCTACAGATACATATACGGTAATTAAAAAATGATATGATGTGTAGATTTTACTTCAAAATAATTCAGAGGAAGAAGGAATGTATATAAATGAAGTGGGAGTATAAATGAAACAAAACTGGCTGTGGCCAGGTGTGGTGGCTCATGCCTGTAATCCCAGCACTTTGGGAGACGGAGGCAGGTGGATCACCTGAGGTCAGGAGTTCAAGACCAGCCTGGCCAACGTGGTGAAACATCATCTCTACTAAAAATACAACAGTTAGCCGGATGTGGTGCTGGGTGCCTGTAATCCCAGCTACTTGGGAGGCTGAGGCAGGAGAATCGCTTGAACCTGAGAGGCAGAATTTGCAGTGAGCCAAGATCATGCCACTGCACTCCAGCCTGGGCGACCACAGCAAAATCCCACCTTTAAAAACAAACAACAACAAAAAAACAACAAAAACCAAAAAACTGTCCATGCCATGAATGAAAAATTGTTGATGATGTGTATATGTAGGGCAATTATAATTTTTCTCAACTTTTTTTACATCTGAAACTTTTTATTGAACTCATGCACACGTCCCTTGATAAGTGGGGCTGCTTCCCCATTACTCTCTCAAAAGAAAACCTTAATTTACTATGTGACCTCTAAGTATCTCAGCTGAAAATTGTAAAGATAGAAAGGTAAATCAAAAGATGCAGATAATCATGCACTTAATGAAGCGCTAAATCAAAGTATTTTTGGCACATGTGAAAGAGTTTCATTTTATCACATTTTTTACTGGTACTATAGCTATTTGCAAGTACATATAAAACTACAGTGTTACATATAAACTACCAAAAAGCAACTTTTTTTAAAAATTTTATTATTATTATACTTTAAGTTTTAGGGTACATGTGCACAAAGTGCAGGTTAGTTCCATATGTATACATGTGCCATGTTGGTGTGCTGCACCCATTCACTAGTCATTTAGCATTAGGTATATCTCCTAATGCTATCCCTCCCCCTCCCCCCCACCCCACAACAGGCCCCGGTGTGTGATGTTCCCCTTCCTGTGTCCATGTGTTCTCATTCTTCAATTCCCACCTATGAGTGAGAACATGCGGTGTTTGTTTTTTTGTCCTTGTGATAGTTTGCTGAGAATGATGGTTTCCAGTTTCATCCATGTCCCTACAAAGGACATGAACTCATCATTTTTTATGGCTGCATAGTATTCCCTGGTGTATATGTGCCACATTTTCTTAATCCAGTCTATCATTGTTAGACATTTAAGTTGGTTCCAAGTCTTTGCTATTGTGAATAGTGCTACAATAAACATATGTGTGCATGTGTCTTTATAGCAGCATGATTTATAGTCCTTTGGGTATATACCCAGTAATGGGATGGCTGGGTCAAATGGTATTTCTAGTTCTAGATCCCTGAGGATTTAGACACACTGACTTCCACAATGGTTGAACTAGTTTACAGTCCCACCAACAGTGTAAAAGTGTTCCTCTTTCTCCACATCCTCTCCAGCACCTGTTGTTTCCTGACTTTTTAATGATCGCCATTCTAACTGGTGTGAGATGGTATCTCATTGTGGTTTTGATTTGCATTTCTCTGATGGCCAGTGATGAGCATTTTTTCATGTGCTTTTTGGCTGCATAAATGTCTTCTTTTGAGAAGTGTCTGTTCATATCCTTTGCCCACTTTTTGATGGGGTTGCTTGTATTTTTCTTGTAAATTTGTTGGAGTTCATTGTAGATTCTGGATATTAGCCCTTTGTGAGATTAGGTTGCGAAAATTTTCTCCCATTTTGTCAAAAAACAGCTTTTTAAGAAATGAGACTAATCTAGCAACTTTATTGAGAGGACGTGAAGTGTTTGCTTAGGAATGGTGCAATTGGTGGTGGTTGTGGACATGTGAGATGTAAGATGCCTCAACTTCCAATGTTGTTCAGAAGCAATCCAGCTTTCTGAATTATTCTTATGAATTCTGGATTTGAAACAGTAACTTCCCAAATGGCAGGGGCTTTCAGCAGAGAGGAACCTGGAGGGACCCTGTCCCTGACACCTTCTGGGTTGTCAGCTCCAGATCAAAAGAACTCCTGATTTGGAAAAAGCTTCTTGAAAAGAAGAGGGGAGGTGACCTTGGTGAAGCCTCTGGGGACATGAGCTATTTTTAGGGCTTTTGGCAGGAAAAGAGCTTTTGAAAACGGAGATAAGGCATGGTATTAAAAAGGCTTACATTGGAGAAAGAAGTCATAAAACTCCATACAGTTAGGGCAATAGTTTTGTTTTTTACTAGGACAGCATCAGTTTATTGGAGTATTTATATAACATAAGCAAGGTCTCTTGATACTTTAACAATTAACAACTGGATTTTATTTTCTACTATAGGTGCAGTTTATCATTCTGAATCCAAAGCCAAGGAATATAAACATGTATGCAAACGAGCTTGTCAGAGGGTATCAACGCAATGTGTATGATCTATGCGTTTCAGTTTTGAACATAAAGCAGTGGCTCTGAGCGCGACCCGGAGGACGACGCCGCGGCCGCAGCCATGGGTGCTGGGCCTGCAGGGGCGCGGGGGGGAGGGGGACGCTAGGACCTGCGGGGCCGGGCGGGAGAGAGGGCTGCCGGGACCGGCCCTAGACACTGAGCCGCGGTGGGATCCCCGCCGGCTCTGCGAGGCCCCTGCGAGCGCCAGGGAGGCGCCTCGAGGGAGCCGGGCAGCCGCCGGCCACTTCAAGGGGGCCCGCCACTTCACGGCGGTCGAAAGAGCCTTGGGGGCACATCTCGGGGTGCGGTGACCCGCCCGGCGCATTTCGGGGGTCGGGGCGCATTTGCCAGGAGACATCTGGAGCCCGGCCCTGCTTCTGTCGGGCTCCAGGGTACCCCTGGATGGCTGCGCTGTGCCCTCGCCGGCCGCCCGGGCGCCACAGCGGCTGAGTTCGCCGGGATCGCCGGGCCGCCGCCGCCCTTGCCACCGGCTGCATGCTCGGCGCCCGGGTCGCGGCCCACCTGGACGCACTGGGCCCCCTGGTCCCCTACGTGCCGCCGCCGCTGCTGCCCTCTATGTTCTACGTGGGCCTGTTCGTCAATGTGCTGATCCTGTACTACGCCTTCCTCATGGAGTACATCGTCCTCAACGTGGGCCTCGTCTTCCTGTTCGAGGACATGGACCAGGCGCTCGTGGACCTCGGCGTGCTCTCCGACCCCGGCTCGGGCCTTTACGATGCTGACTCGGAGCTCGACGTCTTTGATGGGTACTTGGAGTAGGGTCTCGACTGCCGTTCCCCTCTTCCCTCCACGATCCGCAACCCACGCCCTGGACCAGCCGCCCAGATCATGGCGCCACAGCTGGTTGGGGGCACCATCTGGACGGGGATGGTTCCCCAGGAGGAGACCCTCCCCTGCCTCCGAGGCCTGCCTGCTCCCCTCAAAAGCTTCGTGCCAACAGAGAGGTTCCTGTTTGGACCCAGGAGAGTGGAAGAGAGATTGGGACTGAGTGCTGAGGTTGGGAGGCACCTGCTCCCACAGAAGGGGGAACGCAAGGGGCGTCCCAAGACCTCATCTGCCTGCAGCGTCACACCGATGGCCTGGCCTTGTCTTCTGATTATTTGCAACTGCCATGGATGTTTACAGGAACCCAGCCAGAGTTTGCCTCCCTGCACTTCATCCCAGAGCGCACCTGCTTCCCCCACTTCACCTTCGGAGAGGACACTTCAAACTGCGGACACACGCAAAAGTAACTCCCAGCTCTGTTTGATGTGAGTTGAGCCTTCAGGCCAGCTGGGTTTAGCCCGAGGCTGGTCTTAGATGCAGCGACTGTTTCAGAGTGACTCAGAAGAAAAAGAAGCTGAGGAAGCTGTTGGGGGGCTGAGGATGGGATTCTCGCTTCTTCATTTCAGGTTACTCGTTCCTCAGCAAGTTGGCAAAACAGATATCATGCTGGTGAGTGCCACGTTACTCCCCTGGCTGGAAATGCTTTTCTGAAAGTATGAGTGTCGTGCCTACTTAATTCTGATAAACCTGTTTAAGCAATACTTAGGAGGCTGACTTCTTTGGATTAAAAAAATGTATGCAACTCCAAAAAAAAAAAGAAATTCAACATTTAAAAGTTTCATTTCTAGGGCAGTCTTCCGGTTTGGACTACAAAATTATTTTGCTTGTTTTTGTAGGGGATCGTTTTGTGTTGTTTTGTGTCTTTCTCCACATGATGCTTAGCTCTTTCCCCACTTCCCAGATTAAAGTCTGTATTTTTGTAATTGTGGGCACACAATCATATCTCTTTTAATCTTTGCAACGATGTTGAACTTCTGTAGACAGAAGGATAGAGAAAACAGCTTGAAGGCAGTCAGTGTGTTTTTCCATGAAAGGAAAAAAATAAATAAATAAATTAAAATGGGTGCTTTTTTAAGAGAGATTGTCCTATACTTTTTCATTCTGTTTTTCATCACGTAGTTTGTATCATAGCAAGTTCATTGTCATTGCAGAGTTCAGCTTTGCCCTTGTACTCAGTTGTGCTTTTTTCCCATTGGTTTTTGAGGTTTTGCTAAATTGTTGAATATTTAATGTGGGGACAGGAATGGACTCAGAAGAAATGTTTTTTATTTTGATTCTTACTAGTCTTGTAGGCAAACCTTCCATTACTTTTTATGCAAATAGAATCTAGTTGAATATTGTATATCAAGTAAATATGCGTTTCTCTCTGCTCTTTTCATTGATATTTACATAACATTAAAAAGATTATACTTTATCAGAGATTCAAGCTTTTTCTTATGAATGAAGCCCTATAAATAAGAATATTTTGTTACAGGGATTTTGTTCTTTTGAAATTTATAATAATAAAGCTAAAAGTTCTCTAAGCTGTTTTATATTTTTTCTTATTTTTCAAAGTGTGAAATTTTTCTGTCATCTGAAAATAAATTTTATATAACTATAGTCCTAGAAATCTAATACATTTGAATTGTGTATTTAGCCTCTTTAATATTTCCAATGAATACACTTCTTAAAAGTTTAATTAGGAATACAGTTCTTAGTTTTTGAGCTTTCTCTTTGTTGACTAAATTGAAATGTTAATAATTCATTTATAAATGACTTTTCCTTCTCTCTCTTTTCCTCTCCTAATTTATGCTCAAGGCCAGGTGATTTTATAGACCTTTATTCTGTGTAGTTTATATTACAAAATAATATGTTACATCTTGATTTAGAATTTACATTATAGTATCCAAAATGTTTTTGTCAAATGTGTGCTTTTATCCTCAGATTCTGGCGCCCCGTGACTCAGAGTCACTTCTTTTTAGGTATGGAGAGTACTAACGGGGAGGAGAAATGATTCGTTTGAGATTTAGTTATCTATATAAAATACGAATTCTCAGGATATTTGAACCAAACTGGGTCATACGATTTCTGTGGCTATTTTGAATAGCCTTACAATGAATTAAGCTAACTAAATTCCTTGTACTTTTCATTTAATAGCTAGATGTTATTGTTTTAATTTGAAGAATATTAAGTGAGCCATATTACCAATTAACCTGAATATAAACACTTGCTTGTTTTTACTCTGAGTAGTTTATGTCTTAAAGTATGGAATGGAACTAGTGGTCAATTTTTATTAATCTAAGCGTCTCCCATACTTCTTTAAGCTTTTGGAAAGTTTGAGAAGTTGTGATTTTGCAATGAATAATCTCTCCCCTTGGTTTCATAGGCAATTGAAAAGCTGCAGGCCGGTGCTCTTGCAACTGACGCAGTCACTGCAGCACTGGTGGAACTTGAGGTATTTCTTTTCTCTGTTTTATTGAAAATATTAGTGAGTTTATCTTTGTTGTTCTTAAATGACATGAAACTGTTGAGTTAGTCAACCATAAATTATATGACCAGTGTTGCCCACCAGTATTAGCACAGTTATGAAGAAGCCTATGATATTGTTGTTTTCATTGGTGACTTTTCTGAGTAATATAAAAGTTGGTTAAATTCCTTTCTTTTCTTGATTTTTTTTTTTGTGAGATTCGTGAATACAAAAGTTAGTGATTGGATACTGAAGTTTCTCATTTTCAGTAGGAAAATCCTTGAAGTTAACCCCCAAAAAATGATGTATGTTCTGTTGTTTAAAAATAAATTCCAACTGTCCAAAGTGCCTAAAGTAGAAGGGGAAGATTCTTCACGAACCTAACGGTTAGATGTATGTCCTGAAATTGTGTGCTGTGAAGTGTGCCTTGTCCCAGTGTTACGGTTAGGTTTGTCCCCAGTTTACTGTGGACATCGAATAATTGAGTGGGGAGGCTCTCACGTTTGCCATAATTTTTTATACTCTAGAGTGAGGTCCTCTTAGTTCTCTTGATTTGGACCCTTGATGAATTCGTGCAGGGGATGTTGAGGTCTTCAGAAGATTGACTTGCTGCTCAAACTTGGAGAAGATAGATTTGTATCTATCAGTTGAGAGGATTATCGTGAAAAATATTTTTCTGGTTGAGAATACTCCTTAGGGAATCAAGTAAGACATGATGACGAAACAATGATGAGTTTGAGGGAGGAGATGATAGTTAAAGGCGACATTTCCAGGTTGACTGGGTTGTGGCCCTTGTATTCAGGCTCTCATACCAGGGCACGCACCCTTTCATGCCTTTCCTTGTGAAAATTGCCCAGGTGTTTACCAAAAGTCCTAGCTGTGTTTTCTGTATATTCTCATGCTTAATTGTGGACCTGAGCTTTTGATCATGCTTTGTAGATTTTAATTTCTCTTGGTAATGTCAGATTGGTCCTAATGTAGTCAAGGAAGGTGAAAGTATATGGTGGGCACCTAGTTCTATTGAATCTTACATGGGGATGTGTGATGCCCTCCTAATGTGACTGATACATTTCATGCCAGCTCTACCAGTCATTAGCCATGTGTCCATGGGTGTGGCACAGTCTGTCCTTGACTCAGTTTCCCTATTTATGAGGATAATAATTCCCACTTCACAGAGTTGTGAAGATTAACTGAGTTCATATATGACTAATACAGGACAGTCTCTTAGAACAGTGTGTGGTACGTAGTAAGCACCCATAACTGTTAGCAATTATTACAGTTATGAGGTGCTTTGGAAGTGGTATGTATGAGATGAATATTTATGGTAACTATTAATGACAAGTTTTACAGCATCAAAGAAAGGTTAATTATATGTTGAGGATCAGAGGAGAAAAATGACATAAGAAAGAAGATAGATGTATTTACCACCAAATGTTACCTTTACTCCAAACAGACACACAAAGAGGGCTTCATCTAACTTAACTAATTCAATTGTTAGTTGAAAATTACTTGCATGGAGTCAGCATAGGTTTGGGAAAGAAGGTTATTGAGTAGCTGGAGAATATACTAGAATGGCAACCATGAATGCAAAACTGAATAAAATTAAGTTTCTCTTTTTATCTTAGAATAACTTTAATTTTCCTAAGTCATACTTATATATCATGTTTAATATTTCATTCTATTTTCCCCTAGTGTTGAATCTGACTTTTAAGGGGTTTACTTATTTATACTTAAAGATGATAAGAATACATTTTGAAATAATGAGTTTCTCCTGAGTAAGTGGACTTATAGTTTTGGATAACTTGTGTTTTTTTAAGAGTGTGGATATGAATTTAAAGGAAAACAATTTCTTGTTCTATTATTTTTGATTGGAATAAGTCATAAGGATAATGGTAGCATAGAATTCTTCCCCAAGTGACTTTAGTGCATCCCACACCTCAACTTTCAATTATTTTATTTTACATATATGTATATTTTTGAGATGGATTCTCACTCTGTAGCCCAAGCTGGAGTGCAGTGGTGCGATCTTGGCTCACTGCAACCTCTGCCTCCCAGGCTGAAGTGATTCTTGTGCCTCAGCTTCCCGTGTAGCTGGGACTACAGGCATGCACCACCACACCCAGCTAATTTTTGTATTTTTTTTTTTTTTTAGTAGAGATGGGGTTTCACCATGTTGACCAGGGTGGTCTTGAACTCCTGAGCTCAGGTGATCCACCTACCTCGGCCTCCCAAAGTGCTGCAATTACAGGTGTGAGCCACTGTGCCTGGCCTCAACTTTTGATTATTAAATTTGTGGAAGAATTTCAATTATCTTTAACAATTAACTTTTCTATGGACTCTTTGATTGAAATATATGTTAATAGTTTAAGGTTAAGCTTACACTAACAGGAAGAATTTTCCTAAATCTTAAGAATTATGTTGCAAATCATGCTTATACTGCCCCCTGCAGTTTCTCTCACCTTGAATAATTGTGATTCATTACCTTAAAACAGGATAGGTTTTCAGATGGACTTCAGTTGGGGAAGTATTGTAATAGCTTGGGTCAATGGAAAGATGTAAGAAGATTGGATTCTAATATTTGCCGTACTTAGAGAAATATAAGTAGCAGTATTGAGTCCTTTCAGAATACTGAAAAGTGCTGAGAAAAATTCTGGAGAGCCTTATTAATAATGCATTATGTTTAATTTGAGAATAAACACTTATCTTAGTTTTGGTCAGTCTATTCAGTTAAGTCATGTCTGGATTATTGAACAGATGCAAACAGTCATTGTTCTTTTCTCTTTAGACTTTGGGATATACTTTTTGATTTAAAAAATGATGTTCTTGCCACTGAGCTTAAGGAAACAATACATAAACATATTTTTAAAACTTGCCCGTTATATTATTACTTAGGCAGATATTGAAATTGATATGAATTCCTTAAATAGTAATTGTGGATTGAAATGACTGAAATGTTTTAATGGTCTTTATTGCCTAGAAAGAGTATCTGGCCGTATATTTTAAAAATGTGATAATTTGTATTTTCCCAAATATTGAAAAGTATACTGATCTTAACTCCATGCAGTGGAGGAGGAAGAGACAAGGCAAAAGAAATGTGTGTGTGTGTGTGTGTGTGTGTGTGTGTGTATAGTAGTGTGTTCCACACACACTAAAGGGAACTATGCAGACATATCATTTTTTAGCTTTTCTTAGAGACTGATAATTTTGTGTGGTTTTATTTTTCTTTACCACCACTACAGACAAGTGATGTCATCTTAAGACTGTCACTTCTGGACAACAGAATGAGGTGTTTTCTTCATTTAAGTAAAGGAGGGGCAGGTGCAAAAGTTCCTATCTATTAAATTGACCACCTTCTCCCTTTAGAATTTTGGGAGGGAAGGTGGCTGCTTCTGTATGAGAGGTTTTCTGCAGTGTGGAAATGCAAATGATATTACTCCAAAGTATATTTTGTTTATCTTCAAAATGTAGGGAAGGAAATGGAAAGGTCAGTTTATAGATCATATTTTAATGATTTATTGGTAAGTTGATTCATTCCTGTTGTTTCATATAGCTTTTTTGAGATTATCTTAATAACTGATGAGAAAGTGAATTCTGTTCACTGGATGGTACAACTCTGGTTTCACTCACAGCAGAGAAGATTAATATTGTGAAAGAATTTGGTCTTCATATTTGGGACTATACATTTGAATGCCAGTTGCTTTTTTGGCTGCTTTTGAAATAGTTTTGGATCAAGTAGTGACAGTGGATTTAAGATTCCAGACCATAATTTTGCATATTTCACATGGTAAAACTTCTAATGTGAATTTCTTTTTTGAGAAAATTGGATATAGAACTGGGTGAGTCATGATGCTACCATTTTCTTAGGATTGTTTCTGAAGTAGAAAGTGTTTCATGGATTCTGATAGAAAATGAACTATTTATAAAATACTGCCTGAAGCTCCTTTTGCACAATGGTGTTTTTCTTAAAAAGTACAAAGACCTGGTTTAAAAAAGTCTAATGAGTAATAATAGGTGAAATATGAATGACAGACTTTTGGAAGGTAATTTATAATCTTTTGTGAGAAAACTGATGAATTTCGCAGAGGTTTTGAAGATCTTGTTGTAACCTTTGAGAAATTTTGGTTAATTCATTCTGAAAACTGATTATTTTGGTAGGTAGAATACCGTGTATTAAGAATAGTGATGGGGCCGGGCACAGTGGCTCACGCCTGTAATCCCAGCACTTTGGGAGGCCGAAGTGGACGCATCACGAGGTCAGGAGATCAAGACCAGCCTGGCCAATATGGTGAAACCCCATCTCTAATAAAAATACAAAAATTAGCTGGGCGTGGTGGCGTGTTCCTGTAATCCCAGCTAGTTGGGAGGCTGAGGCAGAAGAATTGCTTGAACTGGGACCCAGGAGGCAGAGGTTGCAGTGAGCTGAGACTGCACTGAGACTGCGCCACTGCACTCCAGCCTGGGCTACGGACTGAGACTCCGTCTAAAAGAAAAAAAAAAAAGAATAGTGATAGGAATAGCTTTTACGTTTTATGTAGTAAAAGGCAAATTATACAGGTTCCTTTGTTAAAAATCTTTTGTTGAACTTCTGTTATTAAAAATGGACTGTGAAGTTTTTTACTCACTTAATTCATGCTTTAAAGCTCCCTATGGTCAGGGGAGATGCTAATTCATGGTTAAAACTCGTTTCTTGTCCAAATGCTTTAGCGTTTATAGGGCAGATTATATTGGGCCAAGTTTTTAGTCATTCTGTTAAAAACAGTTCATCGTCTTTGGATCTCTGTGTAATACAAATATTGCTTGCTTGTAAACTCTAGGGAAGTCCTTTAAGAATAACTTGTTCAGATGACTGATATTTTGGTATGTAAGAGAAAGAAAGTAGGTATTTTCATTATATATTTATATTATTATATATAATACTGTTATACATTTGTCTGTATCTTTGTTGTTGTTGTTGAGACAGATTCTCGCTCTGTCGCCCAGGCTGGAGTGCAGTGGTATGATCTCGGCTCACTGCAATCTCTACCTCCCAGGTTCAAACGATTTTCATGCCTCAGCCTCCTGAGTAGTTGGGACTACAGGTGTGCGCCACCACACCTGGCTAATTTTTTTGTGTTTTTAGTAGAGACGGGGTTTTGCCACGTTGCCCAGGCTGTCCTCAAGCTCCTGGCCTCAAGTGATCCATCTGCCTTGGCCTCCCAAAGTGCTGGGATGACAGGTGTGAGCCACCGTGCCCAGCCAGGTCTGCATTTCTTTAAGTCAGGGATCTCCAGAATGGGAATGTTGGTCACACTTGAGTAGTTTATTGTGAGGGGACCCCAGCGCAGGCCTCTTGCGCAGCTGCAGGAATAGGCCATATTCTCTTCCCTGGGCTTTATACTTCTGGCTGGAATTGTCTGTGTGCCTCAGGGGGATAGAAGAAACTTCTAAGGCCTGCCAGTCCTTGAAATGCCTAGTGGTCATGGAGATGGTGTGGCTTCCTGATGGCATATGGGCATACCTAGGATGGAAGGGGACATTGGAAAGAGCTGATACATTTCCCTTTTCCCTCACCAAACTTATAACAAGTTTTCTTGTGAGCAGATGCTTAACCACACCCTGCTCCCTACCCTACTTCAGTCATTTGGTTTTTATTGCAAAAAAGGAGGGGCATCTACTTTAAGGTCGTTTCTGTGATTTGGGAAGTTTAAAATTATTTAAATAAACGAGCATCTCGTTTCCTGTACATTTTTATTTTTGTAGAAATTATGTTTTCATAAGCAGAGTGGTCCCTTGCTCTTTCCCCAGCACCCCCTGCCCCCCAGTACAGCTGACCACACTGGAAAGACAGCTTGATGCATTTAGCTCACATTTATGTAAGTGCTCATTAACTATAATGTGGCTGGTGAGTCTAATTTTAGACCTACCACCCTTGAAAATCTCATTTTTCTCTTCCATTGATAATATATTTTATTCTCTGTAAGGGGAGTGGGATGTGTTTCTACGTATGTAAAGTAGAAGATTTACCTTTTTTCTTTTGTAGTACTTACAATGTTTTCATTGCATGAAATTTGAGTTTTGACCTTAGGTGCTCTTTTTTCCTTTTTTTTTTCTTAACTTGGTATTATTGATGATTTCAAAGACCCTATTTTGCCTGTCTGTTTAGCAGTATTCCCAGCGGTGCTTCAGTATTTCTGTGTATTCCAGCTGTTTATGGAGTCTTTATGTTTCTCTGCATTTTTTATTTTTTGAGGTGTACACACACAGTTATGCTTCATGGAGTTGCATCCAACCAAGTATCCATGTTCTTCTTGTGAAGAGGCAGAGAAAATCACCTCTCCCAAGAATTTCCACCTTCTGAACAAGGGAAATGTATCCTGAAGAGCTGTACGTAGATGGGAGGCAACTTGTTTGCTTGTTCTGCTGCTGGAGCATTGATTTAATTAGAAGACAGGCTGTGGGTGGCCATGTGCAGACAAAGAAGCACCAGACAGAGCCCGTTTAGCCTGGGTCAGTAAGAGTAAGTTACACTCTTTTTAAAACACTTTTTTGAGTACTGATGCTGATTCTTGCCTTCAGTACTAAGGGGCAACTTGTAACTTACTGTTTGTGTTTACACATAGATACATCTGTTCTTTTTCTGAGACCCTGGAAATGACACATGCTCTCTAGCACAAAGTACCTGCGCAATGGAAAAGCAGTGATTTCTTCCCCAACCACCTTTTTTTTTTTAAGAATAAAAAGAAAATGGAATCAATGATTACATTCTAGATTAATTTTACACTGTAGCAAACCCGGTGTTAGCGTTTGACCAAGTCAAAACACTTAAGTATAGAGCTTGTCATGCTTTTACTTTGTAGTAATGGGAACATGAGAAACGATTTTAGCCTTTTCCAGCCATTTCTTGATAAGGTATGTGGGTCTCATCAGATATATTCATCCTGGCCGAACCTAGTAGAAGAGAGGGTCCAAGATCAGACCTAGCAGTTCCTGAGGAGCATGGAACTCTATATGTGTGCCCTTGTTTTTCTCTGGGAGTTGTTACTCTCAAAAATATACTTCATTTTGGAAATCAGTTTTGAGCTACCTAAAGCCACATATGGTAGTGTGGTGGAGTTAGTGGAAATCCTGTGTTGTTGACTATGTGGAAGCCATTTAGACTTTTGGATTTTTGAGTATAAAATGTCTTCTAGTCCTATATTAATAGGGATATTACACAAAAGGGATTTAATTAGATTCATTGGTCCTAGGATTTATAGTGTTGTGATTTTTGAATCTGTGTGTGTGTGTGTATATATTTGTGTTTGTTTGGATCTGTATCATTTGTGGCATCAGGTTTATACCTTAGCATCTACTGTTTTGGTTTGTTTTGCTCTTGGTAATGAAGGAAGTAGGCTAAAAAGATTTTTCTATGTTTGGAAAATCACAGGCTGGTATGATGGTGTTTAATTTCAAAGACTACCTTTTGATTTTAAGTTTTTTTCCATCTCTCAAACCCACCCCTTTATTCAGAATCTGGAAAAGAATGAGGAAGAAACTTAAGTTACATAATTTTTAAGATTCTCGGCCTGGCACGGTGGCTCACACCTGTAATCCTAGCACTTTGGGAGGCCGAGACGGGCAGATCACGAGGTCAGGAGATCGAGACCATCCTGGCTAACACGGTGAAACCCCGTCTCTACTAAAAATACAAAAAATTAGCCAGGTGTGGTGGTGGGTGCCTGTAGTCCCAGCTACTTGGGAGGCTGAGGCAGGAGAATGGCGTGAACCCGGGAGGTGGAGCTTGCAGTGAGCCGAGATAGCGCCACTGCATTCCAGCCTGGGTAACAGAGCGAGACTCCTTCTCAAAACAAAACAAAACAAAACAAACAAAAAAACAGATTCTCATCAAGATTCTAAATCTTGCTCTCCTCTCTCTCTCTTTCATGTGTTCATTACCTAAGTGTTAGAATAATGAAGGATTGTACCTCACTATAGAAATCAGCTTAAAGTTGAATCTTAGACATACCAATTGACAAAAGTTCTTTGGCCATTCCCATTGCCAGGCAGTTTTTACAGGCAGTCATTCTCACTCAGGGTCCAGCCTCCTGCATGGTGTACACATTTCCTGACAGCTCATGACACGCATGTACTGTAACACAGGACATCAACACTATAACACATTCATAGTGGGGAATTTATTTTAATGTTTCCTTTTTCTGGAGTATGTGCAAATGTAAGCATATTTTCTAGTGGGTTGGAAGTCTTTTTATTAAAAAAACCTTAGTAGAGGACTTAAAAGTTACTAGTATCCCTCTTTCCTCTCCAGTTCTGACCATGTCATTTGATAAAAGGATGGTTTAAATTATTATAATTCCATGGTCTGTTAGGTTCTTCTTGAGTGATATTTCCATATTATTGTCAATATGGTTAAAAGGTATAATTATTTAGGTTGAAGGGAAGTAGAAGTAGATGTATACAACAGATGGTAGCCTCTAGCTGAGATCCCAAGGAGAATATTCTGTTACTGGGAAAGGGTGATTATGTGTTTATTTAGCAAACACAAAGTGTTTACCATGTGCCAGGCACTCTTTAAGCACTTTACAAATATTGCCTCATTAGTTTTCACAAGTGCCCTGAGATGGGTACTGTTGTTAGCCCTATTTGATGAGGATACTGATGCACAGAGTGGTTAAGTAATTTCCTCAAGGTCACATAGCTAGGAAGTGTTGGAGCCAGAAATGGAATCCTGCTGCCGTGACCCACTCAGTCAATTTTTTTTTTTTTTTTGAGACCGAGTCTTGCTCTGTTGCCCAGGCTGCAGTGCAGTGGTGCAATCTCGGCTCACTGCAACCTCCGCCTCCTGGGTTCAGACGATTCTTCTGCCTCAGCCTCCCCAGTAGCTGGGACTACAGGCTCCTACCATTACACTGGCTAATTTTTGTATTTTTAGTAGGGATGGGGTTTCTCCAAGTTGGCCAGACTCGTCTTGAACTCCTGACCTCAGGTGAGCCGCCTGCCTCGGCCTCCCAAAGTGCTGGGATTACAGGCCTTAGCCACTGCTCCCGGCCCCTCATTCAGTTTAATCAACAAATGAACAGCGTCACTGAAGATCCCTCAAACTCAGTGATGAACACATCTGAAAAAGTTAAAGAAAATTAAGTTCAAAGTAGAAACTTTTCATTGTCACCATTGTCCGTGAATGTAGTGATCTAAAAATTCTCTTTATCATTGTGCTTTAAATAGTGATTTAGTTTTGATCTTTAAATGTCAATAGACTATTGATACTTTGATCTTTAAATATCAAATATGTATAGATGTGTGAATATTGGAAAGAAAACATGAATAGTCACTTTTACAGTTCGGGTTTTTGTCTTAAAATTTTGTTGTAATTTCTCTTCCTAATCTTAGATCTGCTTGAGAAGATGGTGCCTGTGTCAGTGCGGCAGTCTTTGGCTGCCTGTGATCAGAGGAAAGCCGATTTGTTAACAGATCAATTGCTCAGATGAGAGAAGCCACCACTTTGGCAAATGGGTAGGTAGAGCTTAATTTTAGAGCCTAAAGTTTTCCGTTTGGTTGTTCTTTAGTTTATGAACATTTTAGTTTCTGAGCTTAGAGCTAAATGCCAAGAGTATATAAAATGGAAAATGTAGACACACACTTACAACTATTTTTGGTGGACACTGTATTTATGAAGCTCTAGCAAATATAGTTGGAAGAAATTATAGAAACAAGGTGAGGATATTTGACTAAAAATTTGTATTTTAAGAGATATTTATTTGGGGGAAATGAGAAGTAGAAATGAACTCAGATACATGGTACGTTTAGTGTTCTGAACCAATTTTTGTTTCTGATGGATTGAATACTAAGAAAATAATTCATTGGTTTAAAAAAATTTTAGGTATATTTTGCACACACGAAATACACCTATTCTAAGTACACAGTTCAATTATTATATGTATATATGTGTGTATGTGTGTGTATATATATATTTTTTTGTTTGTTTTGTTTTGTTTTTTGGGACAGGGTCTTACTGTCACCAGGCTGGAGTGCAGTGGTGTAAACATTAAACATGGCTCACTGCAATCTCAACCTTCTGGGCTCAGGTGATCCTCCTGCCTCAGCCTCCTGTGTAGCTGAGGCCACAGGTGCAAGCCACCGCACCTGGCTAATTTTTTCATTTTTTTATAGAGATGAGATCTCGCTTTGTTGCCCAGGCTGGTCTTGAACTCCTGGGCTCCTGGTCTTGAACTCCTGGGCTCAAGTGATCCTCTTGCCTTGACCTCCCAAAGTGCTGGGATTACAGGCATGAGCCACCATGCCTGGCTATTTAGTTAGTTTTGATAAATGTATGTACCCATGTAACCGGCACTATGATTAAGATAGAGAACATTACTGTTACCCTAAAAAAATTCTCTCATGCCCCTTTCCCAGTCCTTCTTCTCCTGGCCCCTGGCCACTATTGATCTACTCCCTGTCTTAAGTTTAGTTTTACTTTTTATACAATTTAAAATACATGTAATCATTCTAGCATATACATATACAGTACTTACAGTATGTACAATATATACTTAGAATGTGTTTTGCTTTTTTTCACTTAGTTACTGTTTTTGAGATTCATCTATATTATGTGTATCAGTTTGAGTCTTTTCTATGGCTGAGCAGTATTCCATTTTATGGTTATGGAGTAGTATTCCATTTTATGGTTATAGAGCAGTTTGTTAACTCTTTCACCTGTTAATGGACATTTCAGTTTCTATGAACATTTGTGTATAAATCTTCATGTGGACATATTTTAGTTCTCTTGGGTAAATACTTAGGAGTGGAATTGTTAGGTTGTGTGGTTAGCATATTTAATTTTACATGAAATTGCCAGGTTGTTTTCCAAAGTGGTTGTTCCATTTTATATCCTATCTGCACTGTTTGAGAAATACAGTTGTTTGGCATCCTCACCAATACTTGGTGCCGTCAGTCTTTTTAGTTTTAGCTGCTTTAGTGTGTGTGTAGCAGAATCTCACTGTGATTTAATTTACATTCTCCTAATTACTAATGATACTGAACAGCTTTTCATGTGCTTACTAGCCATTCATATCTTTTCTGTAAAGTGTCTATTGAAATCTTTTTCTCAGTTTTTAAAACTGAGTTTTCTTAATATTTAAAGAGTTCTTTACATATTTTGGAGGCAAGTCCTTTGTCAGATACATACAATTGAGAATATAGTTGACCCTGAACAACATAGGGGTAATGGGTGCTGACCCCCCTGCACAGTCAAATCTGCATATAACTTCTGAGTCCCCAAAACTTAACTACTAATAGCCTGCTGTTGACCAGAAGCCTTACCGATAACATAAACAGTCAATTAACACATATTTTGTATATGTATTATATAGTATATTCTTATAATAAATAAGCTAGAGAAAAAATGCTATTAAGAAAATCATAAGGAAGAGAAAATATATTTACTATGATTAAATGGAAGTGGATCATCATAAAGGTCTTCGTCCTTGTCTATTTCATGTTTGAGTAGGCTGAGGAAGAGGAGGAAGGAGGGTTGGTCTTGCTGTCTTAGAGGTGGCAAAGGTGAAAGAGGTGGAAGTCCACATATACATGGACTCACGTAGTTCAAATCTGTGTTGTTCAGGGGCCAGCTGTATTTCTCTCGTAGTTGGCTTGCCTTTTCATGTGTTTAGTTTTGATTAATGCATGGATTTTACCATCATTTTTCTTGAACAAGAAAGGAATGTAAGTTTACTCTAGCATATGATAAACAGGCAGTCTGAGATTTTACAGAGCTTCTTTTCTGAGGAGTTCATTGTATTCCATCATTTCATTTGCCTTTTTTCTTTACATAGTAGGTAGGGATATGTACCTCCCTTCCCCATCATGTAAATGAAATAACTGAGGAATTGTTAGTGTGCTACAAAACCGAGAACAGATGAAGATTCTGTAATGAAGACTTAGATCATCTATCTTCTGTTGACATTTTGCCTAGATGATGTGAAATTATAATTATTGATTCTGTTGAAAGAGAGCAAAAAAGAAAAAAATAACTATTTTGTGTATTGTTTCTGACTCGTTACAGATGCTGTAACAATCAAAAGTATAAAAGACTGCTTTTTTAGGATAGAATTTTTGACTTTTAATTACTTAGACTGAAAGAAGTTTGAACTGTAAGCCAACGATACCTAATATATTTTAATGCGGTCATAATTTTTCGGCTTTTTTTTTTTTTTTTTCCAGACGGAGTCTTACTCTGTCGCCCAGGCTGGAGTGCAGTGGTGAGATCTCGGCTCACTGCAACCTTCGTCTCCTGGCTTCAGGTGATTCTTGTGCCTCAGCCTCCCAAGTAGCTGGGATTATAGGTGCTCACCACTACGCCTGACTAATTTTTGTATTTTTAGTAGAGATGGGGTTTCACCATGTTGGCCAGGCTGGTCTCGAATTCCTGACCTCAGGTGATCCGCCCGCCTTGGCCTCCCAAGTGCTGGGATTACAGGTGTGAGCCACTGCACCAGCCTATTTTTTGGCTTTTAATTCTGAATTGTGAACTTAATTTTTTAATGATTTTGGTTTAATTGTATCAATCACTGATTTTTTTGTTTTTCTGTTAATCTTTGCTTTGTTTTTCATTGATAGGGCTTATCCAGTTTTTCTGGGTGCTAACTCCATTGCTGTTGATTTGGTTATAGAAGATTAAATTAAATAAAATAAATATTGATGAGTTAAATTGTTTTAGACTTCAATATAACATAGTATCTCATTTTTTCAGGGTGCTAGCTTCCCTTAATCTTCCAGCAGCAATTGAAGATGTGTCTGGAGACACTGTACCTCAGTCTATATTGACTAAATCCAGATCTGTGATTGAACAGGGAGGCATCCAGACTGTTGATCAGTTGATTAAAGAACTGCCTGAATTGCTGCAATGAAATAGAGAAATCCTAGATGAGGTATGTTTTATAAGATTTGCTTTTCAAGTATAAACACTGTGATCCCTTGATGTCCAGCAGGGATTGGGACTGGAGACTTCCTCATGCTAGTGCTCACAGTGTAGTTAGTATTCATCACTTTGGTGAATTTACTGTGGCCCAGAGCCTTCTCTTTAGCATAAGAGAAATTCTGGTTGAGTGAGAATGGGTTTCATTTTTATCTTAAGGGTAAGTAAGTACACATTAATGAAACTCAAATGACCACTGTGTAAAACTAGTATACTGTGAGAAATCAACTATCATACAAACTGTTCAGTCTTTGTAATTATTGATTTATTTTATACATAGCGTGTAGCAAGATTTTTCTTTTTAGTTTGTCTTAACCTGGAAGGTTAAACCCTTTAATTTATCCCTAATTTCTTGAAATATATTAAATATATTTATTTTATATTATTTATCTTATAATTCCAATGTCTGTAGTTTCTGTGGGTTTGATTCTATGATTTGTGATTTTTGCTGATTCTTGCTTATGGTGGCTTGTTTTCTCTTGTGTTCAGTTTTTTTGTTACTGTTTTTTAAAACTTTAAAAAATAGTTTCAGATTTACAGAGACTTTGCAAATTTAGTGTAGAAAGTTCCTGTATATTTTTCACCTAGCTTCCCTGAAAGTTAAAATCTTACGTGGTCATGGCACATTTGTTAAAACTAGGAAATTGACATTGGTACAGTATTATTACTCCGATTTTACCAGTTATTCCACCAATGTTCCTCCTTCTGTTCCAAGATCCAGTACAGAATACTGAATTGCATTTAGTGTTCAGTGAGTTTTGATTGTGCATTCATATTTCCTGTAATTTATTTGTGGGAATTCATTGAGATCTGGGTTTAAGGTGAATTCTAGAAAGAATTTGTGTTTGCTTCTGCCATAAAAAGGCATTATATACCTGGCACCTCCTCAAACTTAAGAGGTTTTTTCTTTTCTTTTATAATCTTTTAATTATAGTAGTAATTTATCTTAGGACTTTGTGTCACACAAATAGTGTGGTTTCTAGTCCCAAGTTCAGGCTTTTGATCAGGAATCTCAGATAATACTTCTTTTTTTTTTTCTTTTTTCTTTAGAGCCAAGGTCCAGACAGGCATGTTTTCTTCTGTAGGGCAGTTTTCTGTTTTAAAAATTCATCCACTGAGAATCATCTATTTGGAAGTATACCAGTTTGAGTGTGGAGAGTGCTTTTGATCTGACCTCTCTCACCTTTTATTGTCCCTACCTATGTTTCTTGTTGAC
Source organism: Homo sapiens (assembly GCF_000001405.40). NCBI lineage: Eukaryota > Metazoa > Chordata > Mammalia > Primates > Hominidae > Homo > Homo sapiens. Next base: position 3,626,141 of record NW_021160017.1, read on the forward strand.
TTTTCATGTTCTAAATTCACAATGCAAGTCAATGGTGAACTACACAGCTGGTGAACTATGGATGGTGGGCCAGTGCAGGCTTGTGGCCTACTTTTGTGTGGTTCACTAGTTAAGGATAATTTTTATCTTTTTTAGAGCATTGTCAAAAAAGAAGAATTCTATGTGCCATAGACTGTGGCCCACAAAGCCTAAAATATTTACTCTGTGGTGTTTGACAGAAGTTTGCTATTCTTTGTCCTAAGCTATCGGGGATTGTCATAAATTGTTGGTGCTAGCACTGTGTCTACTGGTAGATTAGTATTTTCTTGTGTTTCTGGCCCCCTACTATCCTGTCATCTTATCTACACATTAAAAGGCATTTAAAAATATATTAAACATAATTTTCTGTTTGTTGTATTGGAATGAAAGTCTAAATCTTTTATTTTTTAATGTAATTGATCAGTTTTTCCCCTTTGTTTATGGCTTCTATTTATCTATTTTAATCTTAAAACTTTCTTTAAATTGATATATGGATGTAAATAGTCTCTTATGTATTCTTTTTTTTTTTACTGAGAAAGGTGATAGCTAATTCAGCCTTAAATTTATAAGACTTTTTGTTAAATGCATTATAACTTAGATGTCTGCAAGAAAAAAGTCGATTTATATTCTAACCTAGTATTCCCATCTCACCAAATTCTCCCTTATATTGTGTATGAACAATTTATTAAATGCATTAAATTTTTTAATCCAGAAATGACATTTCAGGGTTCTTTTTGCTTCCTTTTAAAGTCATTAAGGTTGTTGGATGAAGAAGAAGCAACCGATAATGATTTATGAGCAAAATTTAAGGAACGCTGGCAAAGGACATCATCCAATGAACTGTATAAGCCTTTAAGAGCAGGTAAAAATGTGTATAAATGACCTTCATTTGAATAAATTCCCAATTTGGACCCACATTTTTACTTGATTAAATTAGGCTCAGTTGTAAATTTGTTTTTACCGAAACTGTTTTTCCTCAGTTTTAGTATAAAGATTAAAAAAGTTCACAAAAGTGATCTGCCAATTGTCAGAAGTACAGATTCTTAAGAACGGTATAAAGGGAAAAGTTAAAATGGTCCTCCAACTTTCATTTTCTGTTCCAAGCTCTGTGCATATTTTATTTTATTTTATTTTATTTTTTGAGACAAGGTCTTGCTCTGTCACTTAGGCTGGAGTGCAGTGGCAGGATCACAGCTCGCTGCAGCCCCAACCTCCAGGGCTCAGGCAATCCTTCTACCTCAGCCTCCTGAGTAGCTGACACCGTAGACATGTGCTACCACGCCTGGCTAATTTTTGTATTTTTTGCAGAGACGAGGTTTTACCGTGTTGCCCTGGCTTGTCTTGAACTCCTGGGCTCAAGTGATCCACCTGCCTCCACTTCCCAAAGTGATGAGATTACAGGCTTGAATCACCATGCCTGGCCCCTGCGCATATTTTAAAAACATAAATGAGAGCATATTACATTTATGGCTTTGTAATTTTTTTTTCATTTAGTAGTGAATCCTGGGTGGTAAAAAAAATGAGCTTTAAGTTATTTTGAGGCCAAATTTATGCTTCTTAAGACTTTGATTATGAAGATTTTGTGCTTGCTGAGATAAATGCTGTCTTCATGGTGGCTGGAGATTAGTTTTATTTGTCTTTGTAAAAAGTTTGTATATTATTGAGATTTTTCTAAAAATCTTTTTTTTTTAAGTCACATTGCTCTTTTGAGAGAGGAATACTTTTAAAATAAATGGACCAATTTTTGGAGAGAATGATTTCTTCCTACATTCATGAGTTGTAGGAAAAGATTAATATTAATTAGGTTTTATTTGGCAGATAGTAACCTCCAAATGTATTTTAAGGTATAGCTATGCTTTTGATTTTATAAGTGATTTTGTCATCTTTCCAAAAACGAGAACGCAAAGACTGTTAGGAGGTGTTTTTATGATTAAGTGAATTGGGGTCTAGAGAAGGGGAAGATAAGTAAAGTTGGAGACTAGAACTCAACATATAACCAGGCCATACACGTTGCTGTTAGAATCACTTCTGTGCTCTGCAAACCTATTTTCTCCCAGAGGGAACCAGCTTCAGAACAGTTTTAGATAAAGCTGTGCAAGCAGATGGACACGTGAAAGAATGTTACCCGTCTCATCGTGACCCCATCGTGCTTTTGTGTAAGCCAGAGCCTGAGCTGAATGCTGTCATCCCTTCTGCTAATCCAGCAAAGACCATGCAGGGCAGTGAGGTGAGAAGGGCACTTTGATGTGGGTTGTCATCTGCTTAAGAAAACCACATTCAAGCCATTTTATATAATGCACTGCCAATTCCTTATTGTCATCTTTAAAAAAATGCAGAAATAAATTGGGGTTGTTATATTTCAAGTAGTATATGGACTGTGTAATAGGAAATTATACTAATATTAACTATCCTGTAATAGTCACTTCCATTTATTGAATGCCCCTTTTTGAACTAAATTTTAGATAATTCATAGGTCAACAGTATTTAATTTGGGTTTTATAAAAGAGAGAAGCTTGGAAGTATAGAAATTTCCTGAAATGAAAGGACTGGGTATGGCCAGATACACAAATTCTTTATTTCTTCCATTGTTCTATACTCCCTTCCACCTTGTTTCCCCGGGACTACCTTTGAAGGGAAGATTGGCAAGGTGTGCGTGTTAATAAATGGATAGCTCCGTCATGGTGTTTCTACTGATGACAGGAAACAGAGAATTGAATAGTAGGGCATCTGATTTGGAAAGTCCTAAGAGAAAGTGCAAGTATAATTTAATGGCCTATCACGGGGAGGTAGGGTAAGTTAGTAGGAAAAGATAGAGGTCCCAAATCTCTGCACAGGAAAACAAGCCAAAGGGCAAGAAATACTGCTGAAAACTTCTTGAAAAAAGTGAATTTCCTGGGATAGTAAGTTCTGAAAAGTATGAGTTTTGTTTCTTATTTGTCATTCCGCAGAAGCATTTTATATATTTCATATATGTATTCCAAGACCTACTGGATATCTGCTCTGTGTAAGGCACTATGGTAGGTACATTGGAAAATTAACATACAAATTATACACAGGCTTTACCCTCAATTTATGATCCTTTGTGGAATATTAGTCATGTACAGGGATGACTGTGATATAGGGAAGAAGTTTAAAAATGTCACAGGGAAAGTATAGGAAGTATGTTATGAGGATTTAGATGAAGTACTTAAAATTTCAGTAATTTGGAGTAGTTCTCTTCAGAGGCTTCTTAAGAGATTGGCACATTATGAGAACAGAGTGGATAGGCAGAAAAAGTAAACGTGTAGGATCGGAGAAGGGCTGAGTAGTGGCTGTGTCTAGAGAGTTATCCGAGGTTCAGAGGATCTGCAAACACAGCTTTTACTCCTGATTTCTCGTGACAGAAGGTTTATAGACATGTTGAGAATGGCTGGAATCTGTTTATTTATTTATTCACCAAGTGTTTGAAGGCCTGCTATTCCAGAGCAGTGCTGAGCACCTTGGTCCCTAACATAAAGAGACAAAAAACTGCTCTGGGTTACCTTTAGTGTAGGGTAAATGCACAGGTACCGGGCACCTCTCAAAGGGAAGAGAAGGCTACGTAGTTGAATGTGCATTGAACCTGAATCTAACGGGGGAACCCAGTGGAACAGGGAATGTGAGTTGTTGCTTTGAGGACATAGCGGAGAAAAGGGAGGTGGTCAGAAGATTAACTTGTGAGCAACAAAGAACCCGAAGAAGAAACTGTAGACCCTTGGAAGAGCAATACATTCTGGTACCTTTTTATTTTAGAAAAAGATCTCTGTTTAGTACTCTCTTTGTATTCTTTTTGGTGTCTTGTACATGACTCAGAATTATGTGGCTTTTGTCCTTTGATTCTTCTGCTTTCAGTAGAAAAGTAAAAATGGTTTGTGCTAAGCAAAATCTGCATTGGTATGCACTGATTTGTTGATATTTTATTCAGTTGTATCAGTTTTATTAGTCCTTACTTGTGTTACACAGGAGAAAGGAACTTTTATAGTCAATATGAAGTAATTTTTTGGAAGCTAGATTTCTTGATGGGGTAACCACAAAAATTTCAGTACTCTCTATATATTCGTTTGTCTTGTGCCTTAATCAAATAAGGCAAGCATCAGGTTTATCAGAGCTATTTCAGATGGTTGTCGTAATAGTTGATGACGCATTTTAGCCAGAATTTTTATGTTAAAACTCAGTTTTTTGATTGCTGATTAGAGTGATGCAATGTACATGTTTTATTAAAAAGTCCAAGTTTGATGGTAGGGCTGTTTTTTCTTTTATTGTGAAGTAGCCTACTTTCTAGTTACTTATTTTCAGTCTCTTTGGGCATCTGGTTTTAGATATTGAGATACTCTGAAAAATTTTGCAGACTAGTGGTCATTTGTATTTCAAGATTTTTGTATTAAATACCTAGGATCACTGCTTGTGATTGGTTGCCTGTGATCTACTGTGGCCTGAAGTCTGGTCTGTGGTTGGCTGGCCAAGCCTTGGCCCTAATGTATATGGGGCTGAGTCTAGCCAGAGGAAGGAACATCTATTTTTTTGCACAAGGATGATGTTCAATTATACTCAAAGTGTTACATCTGCTGGGAGTAGTGGAGGGGGTACCTTTGAAAAAAAAAACCCTTTATCTCCTTAGAGGTAGAGCATAAAGAGAACTGTTTAAAACTGTGTGCCCTCCCAGAGGAGTGCCTTTTTTGGATTCACAGACTAGTGGAGGATCTGCAAACACAGCTTTTACTCCTGATTTCTCGTGACAGAAAGTTTATAGACATGTTGAGAATGGCTGGAATCTGTTTGTTTATTTACTCACCAAGTGTTTTTTGAAGGCCTACTATTCCAGAACTGTGCTGAGTACCTTGGTTCCTAACATAAAGAGACAAAAAACTCCCCTAGGTTACCTTTAGTGTAGGGTAAATGTATCAAGTTTCTGCATTCCTTGCTGTAGACATTGTTGCTTATTTGCCTTTTCTGAAAATAAAATGACAAGGTTATAAAAGTAAAATAGAAGATTTCGTTGAGGGCATTTCTTTCTTTCTTTCTTTCTTTTGAGACGGAGTCTCGCTCTGTCACCCAGGCTGGAGTGCAGTGGCGCAGTCTTGGCTCACTGCAACCTCTGCCTCCTGGGTTCAAGCAATTCTCCTGCCTCAGCCTCCCGAGTAGCTGGGACTGTAGGCATGCGCTACCATGCCCAGCTAATTTTTGTATGTTTAGTAGAGACAGGGTTTCACCATGTTGGCCAGGATGGTCTCGATCTCTTGACCTCGTGATCCGCCTGCCTTGGCCTCCCAAAGTGCTGGGATTACAGGCATGAGCCACCGCGCCCGGCCCATTGAGGGCATTTCTTATGTCTCATATTGTACTTGGTGCTGTTAAATGCCACAGAGGGTTTTAAATCTAAAACTCAGGTCAGGAACCTGTGGCTTGTGGGCCGAATCCTCTGCCTCTTCTCTTTGTATGGCCTGGGAGCCAGGAATGAGTTTTACATTTTTTAAACATAAAACTCTACTTTCTACTTCATTTTTTAAATGGCTAAAAAAAAGTCAAACGAATGTTTTAATATGTGGGCATTATATAAAATTCAGATTTCAGTGTTAATACATTTTTGTTGAAACATAGCTGCGCTCATTCATTTACACATTGTCTTTCACACTGCAAAGCAGAGTTAAAGAGTTGCAACAGAGACTGTGGCCTACTGAGGCAAAAATATTTTCTGTTTGGTCCTTTACCAAAAAAGTTTGTAAGTTCCTGATCTGAAAGACAAAGTATTGACAGCCTAGGTGATGCCATTCCTGCCATTCTCTTTGACCTCATCTCCTGTTCTGCCTTTTGTTTACTATGCTTCAGACAGAGTGGCCTTTTTTTCTTTCCTTTGATCCTGCCAAGCTTGTGCCTGCCACAGGACTGTTACATTTGCGTTTCCTTCTGTGCAGGGCTTTCTTCCCATTTCCATGGCTATTACCTCTTTTTCATTAGTCTCAGATGTCACCTCTTCTCCATCTTTGTCATTGTCTACCCACATTATTCTATTTTTGTGTATTTGTTTAATCCTCCCCTTTCCATATTTATTTAATCCTCTCTGGTCTGCGAATGAAGGAAAAGACTGTTTTTGTTAGTAGTTGTGTCCATAGCATCTAGAATGGTCCCAAAACAAAAAGCATTTGTTTGAATGATCATCGCTGGCAGCTTTAACTTAATAAAGGGACACATTTAATTGCAGTTGAAAGATAGCTGGAGCTGTGTATAAGAAATAAATACGCTAGGATTCTAATTATTTATATACTTTGATAACATGTTAAACCTCAAATTTGAATTTATAAGAAAATTTAGGCAGTGGTTTTCTTATTATCATGGTCATTCATTTGTGGAAGCAGTTTAATTCATTTTCTACTTCATTTACTCTGTTAAAATGAGGCGAGTGTCATATAATCTGAAATATGTTAAACTAGTGCACTGCATATGAATTTTTTTAAAAAGATGTTCGTAATATAAGGGATCTCTATCTTTGTGTGGTAGTCCACAAGTTTGTTCATAAATTCGTTGTTTGAAATGGCATTTTTTCCCCAGAAAGTTAGAATTATTGCATTTTTGAATATCACAGGATTTGTTAACTATTTGGCCCTCTGTATCAGTCTGGTTAGAAAGCTTCTGTATCAGTCTGGTTGGATACCATGGAAGTTGCGGTTAGCTTTTCTTCCTAATCTAGGTAATATGATTGAATACTTACCCTTTGTTAGAAGTTATGTTGAGCACTTTATATAGATTATCTCAGTCTTCACAACAGTCCTGAAATAGGTACTACTATGCCCATTTTGCAGCTGCGAAAATTGAGTTTTCTACGTAGTAACCTGTCCTTGATTGCACAGTCACTAAGCCCATTATGGTCTCTAAGGGAGTATAGTCCGAGTTGAAGTGTTTTTAATTTTCTATGTAATTATGTTTTTTCTGTGTAATTACGTTTCACTTTGATAGACCATTAGTTCATTTGTTTCCATATTCAAGTTTTGACTTAATCTTGTTTTCTGAGTGTGTAAAAAATGTTCATGATTCAAAAGGTACATGCAGAGTAAGCCTCATTCCTTTTCCTTCTACTTCTTTCCTGTATACTTCCTGTAAGTAACCATATCCGTTAGTTTCTGGTTTGTCCTTACTGATTTTCTTTTTGCAAGAACAACAACAAACAAAAAACCCAACCTCCCCCAAAATTATGCATACATATGTATACATATGTACATATTATGTATGTGTATATTTATTTTCTGATTTTCCTTCTGTCTTACTCAAATTGCAGCACACTATATATGCTTGTGTACCCTTTTTTTCTCATTTAATAATATGTCCTGGAAGTCACTTGGAAGGAAACTTTTATTCACATCGTCTGATATCAAGTTCTACTAGGTCTTTAAACAGACTTTGTCATATCCACCCACGTATGATTCTTTCTCCTCCTCCTTCCTTTTAGAGTTTCTGTGGTTTGATGCTTTCTAGACTCTAGGAATCATATTTCTTTCTCTTTCCACAGCCTTCTCCCCTGTACCCTCTTCTTTCTCTCCCTCCCTTTCTCCTTCCCTTCCCCCTTCCTTCCTCTCTTCTCCCCCTCCCCCTTCTCTTCCTTTCCTTTCCTTCCATTTTAAAATTAGGATGTTTAGAAGATACGGATGTAAACGAGGCCAAAAAGGAAATTCGCCTACATTTAGCAGAAACCTCGAGTCTCTGGTCTTCACAAAGGGATGTTACTTTGGATGTTCCTATCAAGGAGTTAACTAAGACTGTGGAAGAAAGAGTAGGGTAGGAATTTTTAGAAACAGGCAGTTGGTAGGGGGATCATGGGAATTGGACTTGCTGCTGGTAATGAGAAAGACAGGGGTGGAGACAGGGCTCATGATGTCCTCTTCTTCCTTTGTCTTTCCCCCGGTTTTCTTTCTATGAGCATCATTGGGGCAAGCAGAATAGGGAGATTGGGTTGATGTTCTTGGTGGTCCTAGCAAAGTATGAAGAGATGAGTGAAAGGGCAGCTTGAAAGTGCTCATTAGAAGGCACTTGAACACTATGACTATAAAGGGGTATTTATGAATCAGGTGGGTATAAGTCAGAGAGTGTCTTGACTGAATACAAGAGATAAATCTCTGTTTTGTTTTTGTGTTTTGTTTTGACACAGGGTTTCTCTCTGTCACCCAGGCTGGAGTGCAGTGGCGTGATCATGGCTCACTGCAGCCTTGACCCCCTGGGCTGAAGCAATCCTCCTGCCTCAGCCTCTGAAGTAGCTGTGACTGCAGGTGCACACCATTGCACCCAACTAATTTTTTTTTAATGTAGAAATGGGGGTCTCACTTTGTTGCCTGGGCTGGTCTCGAACTCCTAGGCTCAGGTGATCCTCCTAAAGTGCTGGGATTGCAGGTATGAACCTCTACATCTGGCCTAAAACTCTTAATGCTATGAAGAGAGGCACAAGAACCCTCTTTCCCTTTCCTCTCCTGGTGTATAAAATAAATGCGGTATATACCTTTATATCTGTGTCTTTCTCTATTTCTTTCTCCATCTACCGTGCTTGCTTCATAACTATCTCTATTTCTATCTTCACCTCTATTTCTCTATATCTCTCTCAGTCTCTCTAGGCAAAATAGGATATCTACTTATCTAGCAAACTCATACCTTCCCCTGCTTCACAGCCATGATTGGGAGGGAGTAGAGTGTAGAGTGGCTAAGAGATTGGTTTTGGAACTAGTCAGACTTAGGTCTCAAATTTCACCTCTGCCCCTTAGTAGCTGTATAACCATGTCACTTAATTTTTCTGAGACTCGTTATCCCTATCTTTGGAATAGAGGTCATAAATATATATACCCCATGGGGTATTGTAAGGAATACATAAAATTATATTTCTGAAGTGTTTAGCATGGTGCCTAACACATAGGAGTTCAGTAAATTGTAGCTGTTGGCTATTGTTATTAATGCTGCTTTTGTTTTAGTATGAGTCAACTGAACGTACAGTGTCTATCTATATAAACCTGATGTTCAATTTATATTTGGCTCTCTGAGAAATCATCTCTCTCTCAGCCTGAATGAACCTTTATATATTATTTCCTTCTTGAAATTGGCTTTTTTTTTTCAGTTAAAGTGTCTTTTTTATTGTTTAGGTTGTAAATGTCTTAAAATCCTTATTGTCAAATCTTGATGAAGTAAAGAAGGAAAGAGAGGGTCTGGAGAATGACTTGAAATCTGTGAATTTTGACATGACAAGCAAGTTTTTGACAGCCCTGGCTCAAGATGGTGTGATAAATGAAGAAGCTCTTTCTGTTACTGAACTAGATCGAGTCTATGGAGGTCTTACAACTAAAGTCCAAGAATCTCTAAAGACACAGGAGGGACTTCTTAAAAATATTCAGGTGAAATTTATGTATTTAATAACATCTATGTTTTAAAAATTACAGAAAAGATATGTCTGGACTAAACCTATATTCAATTAGAAAAATGACATTGGAGAATATCTATAGTTGAGAGTAGAACTTAATACATGTATGTTTTGTAAAATTAAACTTGGCACATCAGTTTTATTTGTATCTATGAAACCAAGTCACTCCTTTTTTTTTTTTTTTTTTTTTTTGAGATGGAGTCTCGTTCTGTCGCCCAGGCTGGAGTGCAGTGGTGCGATCTTGGCTCACTGCAAGCTCCACCTCCCGGGTTCACACCATTCTCCCGCCTCAGCCTCCCGAGTAGCTGGGACTACAGGCGCCCGCCACCACACCCTGCTAATTTTTTGTATTTTTAGTAGAGACGGGATTTCACCGTGTTAGCCAGAATGGTCTCCATCTCCTGACCTCCTGATCCTCCCTCCTTGGCCTCCCAAAGTGCTGGGATTACAGACGTGAGCCACCACGCCCGGCAGAAACAAAGTCATTTCTATGGCTAAAATGTTGCATATTACTTAGGAGTGCTTGATACTTCTGATATTTTTCATGGTTTCAAGTTTTTAATAGCTTTGTTTTTTTTTCCATACGGGAGGAAAATCGAAATTAGTTGGAATTACTGATACCTTTAATTATACGGCTAACATACATACAGACTTCAGTCATTTTTTAAAAAAATAATGCAAACTAAATATGTTGAGAAGTTTGAAGTTAGTTTTCGTGTTTACAGATAGGTAGTTTGGACTAACAAAGACTTGAAAGTTTGCCCTTTTCATAGTTAATGTGCAAAATTAAACATATATTTCTACTCCTAAACATTGTATCTATATATGATATAAAATATTCCAAAAGGTAAAATAATTTTCATGTTATATTTTTTGCAAGTGTTATATACTAATAGAAATCTGTGATCATTATTGGTTGTTTTGACTCCTATTGGATTTTTGAAATTTTTACTTAAGAAAGATTTAAAGCATAATGAGGCTTCAAAAGAGTATACTAGGTATTTCTAGTAATTTTGCATATGTATTTAATTACATATAATTTTCATAATTGGAAAAGATCAATAAAAATGTTATAAGCCATATTAATTTTATAAGTAAATGTAAATACATAAATCTTTCTTTTAACAAGGTCTCACATCAGGAATTTTCGAAAATGAAGCAATCTAATAATGAAGCTAACTTAAGAAAAGAAGTTTTGAAGAATTTAGCTACTGCATATGACAACTTTGTTGAACTTGTAGCTAATTCGAAGGAAGACACAAAGGTATGAAGTACATGCAAAAGGAACCATAGCTAGCAAGTACAGATGTGAACGTATAGGTTGGAAGTTAAATGGTATTTCCAGTTGAACCAAATTACTCTTTGCCTGGAATGTTAGCTTTAATGCCATTGCCTCTGCGAAGTTTGTTATAGGAGGGAGAAAGCTTAATGAAGGTGGCAACATTTCATGGGAACTTTGAAGAATGAATTGCATATTTCAACTGGCAGAAAAGGGGTACAAATATTCCAGGTAGCAGGAATTAGCAGAGATGTCAATGACACCTTTTTAAGGGATAGGAAGTTGATTAATTTGATGAATTTTGAGGGGACAGGAGTAGTCAAAGCTGATTTGTGATGGAAAAGCTGGGGGACATGACTTTTATATTCTGTGTGGTGGTTTGCTGAGGACAGACTTGTGGCCTGCCCAAGTGTCAGAAGCCTTACTGAATATGTAAGTACTTTCTTGCCTTGTCCTTTAAAAAGTTTAGGGAATTCACTTATATTTCTTTTTACCAATTTGTTTTTGAGGGAACAGTGATTTTTAAGGTTTTTCAGATGCATAATTCCTTTTGGTACTTAACTCCATAATAATCACTGAATAAAGTTACCTTGATATAAATACAGTAGGTAAAATGTAAAACCCTCTGAAGAGAGGGTGAAAATACTGCAAAGCCTTCCAAATAGAGAGGATAGTAAAATGCCATTTTAACTTGGTTTAAAATGCTTTCTTTAAATAGGTAAGCTGAGAAAACCCTCCAGAGAGCCTTTAGAAATTCTTTTAAGGGTTTCTGAAGTGTGCTTGCATTTCTTTTTTTTTTTTTTATACTTTTAGGGTACATGTGCACAACGTGCAGTTTTGTTACATATGTATACATGTGCCATGTTGGTGTGCTGCACCCATTAACTCATCATTTAGCATTAGGTATATCTCCTAATGCTATCCCTCCCCTCTCCCCCCATCCCACAACAGTCCCCGGTGTGTGATGTTCCCCTTCCTGTGTCCATGTGTTCTCATTGTTCAGTTCCCACCTATGAGTGAGAACGTGCGGTGTTTGGTTTTTTGTCCTTGCGATAGTTTGCTGAGAATGATGGTTTCCAGCTTCATCCATGTCCCTACAAAGGACATGAACTCATCCTTTTTTATGGCTGCATAGTATTCCATGGTGTATATGTGCCACATTTTCTTTATCCAGTCTATCGTTGTTGGACATTTGGGTTGGTTCCAAGTCTTTGCTATTGTGAATAGTGCCGCAGTAAACATATGAGTGCATGTGTCTTTATAGCAGCATGATTTATAATCCTTTGGGTATATACCCAGTAATGGGATGGCTGGGTCAAATGGTATTTCTAGTTCTAGATCCCTGAGGAATCACCACACCGACTTCCACAATGGTTGAACTAGTTTACAGTCCCACCAACAGTGTAAAAGTGTTCCTATTTCTCCACATCCTCTCCAGCACCTGTTGTTTCCTGACTTTTTAATGATCGCCATTCTAACTGGTGTGAGATGGTATCTCATTGTGGTTTTGATTTGCATTTCTCTGATGGCCAGTGACGATGAGCATTTTTTCATGTGTTTTTTGGCTGCATAAATGTCTTCTTTTGAGAAGTGTCTGTTCATATCCTTTGCCCACTTTTTGATGGGGAGTATGCTTGCATTTCTGTAGTGAATTTGAAAACCTAATCCTTCCACTTAAATAGGTTTCATGTTATTAAGCAATTGACTTTTCTCTAGGAATTAGGAAGATTTTCATGATCATGAAACTTTTAACTTGTTACATTTTTGATGATAATGTTCTGTAAAAATGATTTTATTATTTTTATTTTCTTTAGGAATCTTAGATCATATTTAATATTAAGTTGTTGGGCCTAGTAAATTGTACGGATGTATCTCATGCAGATCTCAGTTCTTCGGCTTTAACTGTCATTGACAAATTAGCTTTAGATCACATTACTCTCTGGATTAAAAAATTGTTCTTGTTCATTACTTGTATTTGTTCTTTGCTTATAGTTTTACAATGAGTTGACTGAAATCCTGGTCAGGTTCCAGAACAAATGCAGCGATATAGTTTTGGCATGGAAGACAGAAAGAGATGAACTCTTAAAGTAAGTCTGTTTTGTGTATCAAATTGTACTTAAAGAATTTTCTTTTAAAAAATCATGTGGAGACTTTTGGTGTGGTCACAGAAATGATAAAACAGTTCAGGTGGCAGATCTCAGGAAGTGCCAGTAAATACAAGCAATTTATTTTGAAGTGGCAAATAGGTTTCTTACATAAAACTAGAGCTATAGAACATGGAGGAGACAGCGTGAATAGCTCAGAGAATACCAGCAAAATCACTTTCAGAGGAGGCTGCTGAGAAAGCAGGGCCAGTTAACATACGACTCATTTCCTGCTGAGTAATCAACACGGAGTAGCACAGCGCTGATAAAAGGTGAAAAACATTAACAAAATTTAATAAAACTTCATAGATGAAGAACATTTACCAAAATAATATTGTCACAGAATAGGTGAAAATTATGAGCAAACGTCTGACCATGAACTAAACAAAAAGAACAACAACAACAAATGTAAGAAGGCAGTCATTCTAAGGCCGGGGTCCCCAGTCCTGGGGCCATGGACTGGTACTGGTTCGTGGCCTGTTAGGAACTGGGCTGCACAGCAGGAGGTGGGTGGCAGACAGGCCGGCGGCTGGGCGAGTATTACTGCCTGAGCCCCACCTCCTGTCAGGTCAGCCTCAGCATTAGATTCTCATAGGAGCGCAAACCCTATTGTGAACTGCCCGTGTAAGGGATCTAGGTTGTGCGTTGCTTATGAGACTCTGAGTAATGCCTGATGATCTGAGGTGGAACAGTTTCATCCTGAAATCATCTTCCGCTCCCCTGTGGAAAAATTGTCTTGCATGAGACCGGTCCCTGATGCCATAAAGGTTTGGGGACTGCTCCTCTAAGGAACACTTGGAGCAGAAATTCCAGAACTGCAGGAATATGGTAAGAAAACAGGAAGTGGTAAGATGTGAGGTGTCAGAATTCAGGAAAGAAGTAGAAGGGAAGAATCAAACCACGACATGGGAAAGAGCACAAAGGGCGAGTAAACACTGAAGAACACACAGGAACACAGAGTAGAAATGAGGAAATTAAAATGAAACCAAAGTCAAGAAAGAATGAGAAAGGATTAGAGAGAAGATGGGCACAGAAGATCTAATATGGGCAAAACTGAATTTCTCTCAAAGAAGAAAAACCAGACAGAACAGTTATTTAACGTTCTGTAAACAGAGCACTTATTTCATGATACTCAAGAACATTTTCTTAAAACAAGTGAAGGTTGTTGAAAGAGGATATCACATGGTAGGGGAAATTGATCAAGAACTGTCAGCATCAAGGCATATAAATTATTGGCCTTAAAAGGTAATGGCAGAATCCTTTAGGCACTCAGGCAAAACAATCAAACCAGTATATAAAAAGGTGAAAAAAATTAGGCTGGCAGCTCTGTATGCCAGAAGAGAGTGGAGTGATTGCTGTAATCTCAAGGATAGTAAATATGAGCTAAAGATTTTATATCATATAGTAAATACATGCTAAAGATTTTATATCCAAACTGTCCTTCGGGTACATAAAAAGCCATATATTCATTAGTAATAAATATAAAGAGCTGAAAGAGTCTTATACCGATGACCCTTTCAGCCAACTAGATCTTTATTCATCTCTCTGTTCATGTTCATGTTCATTCACCTCTCTGCTCATGTTCATGAGAGAAGTTATTTTCTTCTACCTCTAAGAAAGAGCAGGTTAGTTGTTTTTAGAATATTTCTACTAAACCTATAAAAAGCAAATAATTAGAATGTTTTAAAAATGGTTCTAAATGTTTTAAAAAAGGTGATTTTTTTTAGATAGAGTTTTGCTCTGTCGCCCAGGCTGGAGTGCAATGGTGCAATCTTGGCTCACTGCAACCTCCGCCTCCCGGGTTCAAGCAATTCTTCTGCCTCAGCTTCCCAAGTAGCTGGCATTACAGGTGTGCGCCACCACGCCTGGCTAATTTTTGTATTTTTAGTAGAGACAGGGTTTTGCCATGTTGGCCAGGCTGGTCTCGAACTCCTGACCTCAGGTGATTGGAATTACAGGTGTGAGCCACCCCCCCAGCCTAAAAAAAGATGAGTATTCTCCATATTAGTCTTAAAGATAAAAAAAACCTAACAAAGATTAATACAAAACAGTCTACAGACCAGTTTCAGTTATGAATATGGATGCAAAAGTCCTAAATAAAGTATTTGCCAGTAATAGTCACCAGGACGTTAAAAAATAATTATTGACCAAGAGGAGGGGGGCATTTATTCCAGTATTCAGTATTCAGTGTTTTCACGTCAAAGGAAAGATCACAGGCTTGTCTTAATAGATGAGGCAGAAGCATTTAAGAAAATGAGTGTTCTGATACTCAGTAAAATAAGAATAGATAGAAGATAGATGCTTCCGTAACATGAAAAAATATATGTGTATGTGTGTGTATATATTTCTGCCCAAAACTCAGTATAGTGATTAATGGAGAAGCACTATAAACAGTCCCCTCTGAAGTCAAGAACAGACAACAAATGTCACTGTCAGCACTATTTTTAAATACTATACTGCAGTACCAGCCAAGACAATCACATGAGAGAGAAATTAAAAAATAGGAAAGGAAGAAGTAAAACTAGCACTATTTACAGACATTATGATTGTACAACTACTTGAAAACCCAAGAGAACCCCAAAACTCTGCAAATAATAAAATAATTATTACTGAAGTTGTTGATCATAAAAATAATTTGTAGAAATCAGTGGCTTTCATGTAAATAAACGTATAGAGGATAAGATGAAGAGACCCACTTACGGTAGCAACAAAAAGGATAAAATATAAAATATAAGTTTGTCATATATGAGACCTATGTGAAGAAAACACTATTTCAAGGACACAAAAGAAGGCTTGAGCAAGTTAAAAAGCATGTTCTTGGGTAGGATGACTCAACTTCATCAAGATGTCAACTCTCAGTTAACTTATGTATCAACTGGGCGTGACGGCATGCACTGCGAGTCCCAGCTACTTGGGAGATTGAAGTGGGAGGATGGTTTGAGCCCTGGAACTCTAGGTTGTAGTGCGCTATGATTGTACCTATAAATAGCCACGGTACTCCAGTCTGGGCAGCAGTGAGACCCTATCTCTAATAACAAACATAAATAAAGAAATAAACATATACGGCCGGGCGCGGTGGCTCACGCCTGTAATCCCAGCACTTTGGGAGGCCGAGGCAGGTGGATCACGAGGTCAGGAGATCAAGACCATCCTGGCTAACACGGTGAAACCCCGTCTCTACTAAAAATAAAAAAAATTAGCCGGGCGTGGTGGTGGGCGCCTGTAGTTCCAGCTACTCGGGAGGCTGAGACAGGAGAATGGTGTGAACCCGGGAGGCAGAGCTTGCAGTGAGCCGAGATCGTGCCACTGTACTCCAGCCTGGGCGACAGAGTGAGACTCCGTCTCAAAAAAAAAAAAAAAAAAAAAGAAAGAAACATATGCATTCAACATGCTTTTGATTAAAAAAAATCAGCTTTTCATTTGGAATTAGACAAGTTGATCCTAAAGTTCAAGTAGAAAAAGGAACAAGGTCAGCCAGGAAAACAATAAAAAGAGTAGTGAAGGGATACTAGTTCTACCAGATATTAAGGTATATAATACCATCTTTAATTAAAACACAGTGGTACTGGTACATGATTAGACAAAGACAGAATAGAAAATAGAAATAGATTCAAATACATATGTGAATTTAGTGTAAAAGATCTTCAACCAACCAGAAGAGGTTGTGGACAACTGCCCAGCCATTTAGAAAATAAAAGTTATCTTTATACCAGAGTAAGTTCTGAGTGGACCAAACTTGAAATTTGTAAATGAAATATAAAGTGTAAAATAGAATGGAGGAGAATTCCTTAATAAAGCTGGGATGGGCAGGATCTAATAACTCCTACTTAAAATCCAGAAGCCATTAAAAAAAAGAAAATAATAAGTTTCTCATAGAAATATGATAAACAGAGTCAGGATATGACAAATTGGGGATCCAATATTTGAAACTTATTCAGAGGCAAAAGGCTAATTTACTTTATTTAGAAAAGAACTCCTAGAAATGAACAAGAAGAAAACCCAGTAGACAACTGAGGAAAAGATGCAAACAGAATTTTGCAGACAAGGAAATACAAATAGCTCTTAAATAAATGAAAAAAAAATGAATACCCTCATTCATTATAAAATACAAATCAAAATTAGTCTGAAGTAATATTTTTCAGATTGGCAAGAATCTGAAAGTTTGTTTAAAGTCTGTTCTGGGTCTTCCACATTCATTATTCTCTACGGTCAATCACATTCCAAGGATTGTTGCCTCCAATGCATGCCTTTTTCTCAATTTTATTTTCTCCCATCAGAGTCATGCACAGATTAGCTCCCAAGTGAGCTATTATAATGGCCTCCTAGCATCTAAACTCTCCTTTTTTCCAATTGATAGTTCTGCCAGAGTTGTCTTCTTAAAGCAGAGGTTAGACCGCATTTCTCTAAGTAAATTCCAATGACACCAAAACAGTGATTCTTAATAAGAATTACAAGTAGGGAAATACAGATGGGAGAGTTTGCTTAGTAAATAAGTTCATAAAATCTAGGTTAAACAAAGTTAAATGGGGTTTGCTTTTCGCTGTTGCTTTGTTAATGTGCATTTGAAATTTCTAAAGTGGCATTACATATCCGTAATTTCCCTTATCTATTTGACAAAGGAATCTGGTTTGTTTAGAAGCATTTTTTCAGAGCTGTGATAGGTCAACCTTTCAGAAATTCCTCATTATCAACAGTCAAATCCAGATGTATTTTCTTTGGCTCTCACAACAGGCTTAGAGGAATTTCTAGTCTGTTCTCCTGATGTTTCATTATGTGCATCTTTTGCTTAGGCCTGTTAAACCTTCTCAATGTGTGTATCTTCTACTCCATGTCTTTATTCCTACTGTTGTCTTAACAGGAAATCCTTGCAACCCAATTCATAGTTTTTGTTCTTTGGAAAAATCCAAATCATGTATCATGAATACATATTTTTTCTCTATTGAGATTTGCCTGTTTTTATGTATCACAGCCAGAAGTAATCACTGCATAGTGTATTTCTGTAGAAAGATAGAAGAGTTCTATTTTAACACAATATTTACTATACACCCAGCAAAGGTCTAGGTATTTATACATACTATTTTATTTATTCATCTCATCAACGCAATGAAGAAATATTAATAAATCCATTATATATGTTAAAAGGTAGCGACACATATATGCTACATGTGCAGGTTTTCTCAGGTATTATTAGCTAGGGAAGCTGTGTTGTAACAATCTTCAAAAACTTCTTTCTGTTGTTTACATGCTATTCCACATCATTTTGTTTTCATTTCTTTTGTAGTATCTAATGTATTCTACTAAAAAAAAAAGTAGAGTAGTTGAAAAACTTGTGAAAAAAACATGTATTACATATATACCATTCTTCATGATTCTCAAAATTTTCATCATTATTAATGTTTTGTATATATATATTGTGTGTGTATGTATGCATGTTAGATATATAATTTAAAAGAAAACAATAAGTTGGTGGCTTATGGCAAATTGTTCCTTAAGTCCTGCATTTGAAACATAGACACTGAGTGAATCAGCACATTTGATCATCTTTTAACTACAATAGATGATTATACATTAAAAATACATTAACCATCCAAATACATCTTTTTTCTTATTTATTTATGTATGTATGTATGTATGTATTTATTTTTATTTTTTTGAGATGGAGTCTCTTTCTGTTGCCCAGGCTGGAGTGCAGTGGCGCGATCTCAGCTCACTGCAAGCTCCACCTCCCAGGTT
The DNA here is from genome assembly GCF_000001405.40 of Homo sapiens. Lineage (NCBI taxonomy): Eukaryota > Metazoa > Chordata > Mammalia > Primates > Hominidae > Homo > Homo sapiens. The sequence goes on from NW_021160017.1 coordinate 3,644,721, forward strand.
CCCGCCATTCTCCTGCCTCAGCCTCCCGAATAGCTGGGACTACAAGCGCCCGCCACCATGCCTAGCTAATTTTTTTGTACTTTTAGTAGAGACGGGTTTTCACCATGTTAGCCAGGATGGTCTCGATCTCCTGACCTCGTGATCCGCCTGCCTTGGCCTTCCAAAGTGCTGGGATTACAGGCCTGAACCTCGGCGCCCGGCCCAAATGCATCTTTAGGAAAATTATATTTAAGCTCTTCATGGAGACATTAAAAAACCAAGCTTCATTAATGATAAATAATTATATCATTCATTAGTAAGGAGTAAATAGCTGTTTTCTATTTGAGAAGTATTAATTGGATTGTCCATCTGTATGCAGGAACATCTGTTTTCTGACATGCTTTAATCACCATTTGTTTTGTACTTGTACCATAATTACACTTGTTTGTAATATTGAACCGAGACAATGATTAAAATCAATTTATGAATACGATTCTTTTATGCTTTTGTATTTCATTAGAAAATGTGTAATTCTGGTATGACATTTATAAGTATATATAAAAGAAAGTATTTGATTAACAAAATGCCTCAACAGATGATGTCAGTAAAATGAGTGTTATATCATGCAGTCTATGTTACTATTTTGGCATTTTTAAGGAAAGTTTATTGCTTCACGGAAGCTTTTTTAACTGACCATCTATGAATTTTCTGTATTCTTTATTTCAGTGTGATCACATGGTCATAGAAGAGACATTTTTAGATCATCAGAAGTTGACAGTTTTCAGTGTAGTGTATGTGCTTAGTATAAGATGGAATTAAGTTTGTTGTATGGGTGATTGATGAATTTTTACTGAATCATGGATAACTGCTGTTCTATTAATGACATTTCATCAATCAACTCTTTTGGATATGGTTTATCACAAAATGTTGCTGATTTAATGTTTGTGGATTAACTGAGGTGAAAGTGATACCTGGTAGAAGTTTCATTAATACAAATTTTCCTCTCTTAGGAGTAGGATGGATTATATTATTTGTCGAAATGCCTTTGCATGTAAGTTCTTAACTGTCAGCTTTCTTGTCCTGTGAATCATATCTTTTCTGTATTTGCTGAAATAGAGACTTAACATTGTTAAATGATTTTTCCATGTCATGGAAAATGTATGCCTCTAAATCTGCGTTCCTTCCTACAAATTACAAGTTCAAAATGACTTTTTTTAAGAAACAAAAAAAAAGATGGATTTCTGGTATTTTGTGGCAGGATAAGCTCCCTGTAGCCTATCTTACATGTTGATTACAACTAAAACTATGAAAAGTACAATAAGCAACTAACTGAGGAATCTGAAAAGTAAATAAAAGTAGAATTATGAGTGATAGGCAAAATCTGGAGAAGCACCTTGCAGTAGTGTGAGCTTCCATTGTTGTATTTCTTTCAATCAAAACCAAAACAAACAAACAAAACAAATAAAAACCAGAAAAGAACACCACCAACAAGAAAACACTCAAGGAAAATAGATATTGTGATAGAAACAGCAGAAATGTCGAGAAACAAAACCAGGAGGTTAGAATTATTAGAGAAAATAATATAAAAAGTAATTTTAAAGTATCTAAACAAAATTTTAAAAAGGAATTTAAAAAATAAGCAAGGAGAAGACAATAAAAATAGGTTGATAATTCATTTGTTAGCATTTGTCTGTTTGGTATTTGTTGACCATTTTATTTTTAAAACATTTGGCTATATTTGATTTTGGTGTATTTCTTGTATATGTATTGTAAAATTTAGTATTAAATATTTTATATTGTTAAATGATAATTTATTTTTATTGATAAGAAAGATGTAGTTTTCTGGTTGTTATTTTTGTAATTTTACCTGCATTTATATTTTTCTCCATTTATTTAGATAATACCTAATGGTTCCCCACAATGAGTGGCAATTAAATTAGACTCTTTGCTATTTTCACTTTCTCAACTTCTCCTGAACTATTTGATTTTTGTGGCAGGATATTTCTTAATATTTGCCTTTGTGCCACTTAATGTTTTCATACTATTATGGGCAAATTTTGAGATTTAAAATGAACCCATTACTCTCAGCTATTATAGACGAGGCAATCAGGGAGCTAATTCCTACTTTCCCCTTTCTTTTACTCTGTCCTCCTAGTTGTTACAGTTGAATCATTTGTACATTATCAGAATCATCAGTAAAATATCTTTTTACATTTTCTACACCATGTATCCCTTAAATCTATATATGATGCATTGAATGCTTACCTCTTGCCTTACTGGTAGTATTTTACCTACTCAGAACTAGGTTGATTGAACTTTGTCCTGTGGTAAATCTCTTAATAAGAACTTTCTGTAAACAGTGTTCCCTGCAATTATGGGTGCTTATAACTGTACACTTTATAGCTGATAGATATCTTGCAAGGATAAGGATAACCATTTGCTTCTCCCTTCTCTTCTTTCTCAATATTTCCCCCCATTTTCTGGTGTTAACTTTTGCTGTGGAAAACTCTGATGCCAAAATGATTTTCTTTTTCTCTAAGTTGACTATTTTTGCTTAAGCCCCCACATAATGCTTTCTTAATCTTTAAAGTCCTAGTCCCATACACAGATATATCTTGGTGTTGAACATTCTAATAACATATATAAGCATATACTACACAGTAATGTAAATATATGTGCTTATGATGATCTATCTTGGCTTAATATAGGCAATAACTTTTTTCTAATTCTATCCTATGTTTTACAGTTTTTGGATTTTTGGACGGGGAGAGGACTTATTACATATTCTTCTCTCACTTACACCCTTTACGACCCTTACATTATTTGGGGTTCAGTCTCCCTTGTTCTCTTTACAATTTAGTTTTTTTTTTTTTCCTACAATGATTTTGTTTTTAAATCCTATTTCTTTCATGGATTCTGCCAGTTGCTATTGCACTTTCTGGCTATCTCTTCCCCATGCTCTTGCATTTCACTTCATGGTCTCTTTATGTTTTATTACACCCTTAAAATTTATGTTGGAATGTATAAATGTTCATTCCTTTTTTCATCTGTTTTGTAGCAACATGTTTCTAGTTATTACAAGAGTTGATATATTCCTTTTTTATCTTTATTCTTAGAGTATTTTTATGTGAATGCTGAGAAAATTCCTTTAGTATTTCTCATATGTGAAAGTTGAATTTCCTACAGGACAAAGGAAAGGGGTTGTAGAATGTGCCCCAGCCTGCTAGCTCAAGGGCCCTCTCATCATTTGCTACAGTGACAGACTGTTGCCTCATTTTGGGGACATTATGGAGTCACCGCTCGTTCTCCATAAGAGCATAAATGATTACCAGGTAGTTGTTACTGTCTTCTCTCCTTGATACTCATACATAACTCATAGCACATATGGAAGCAACCTTCTAAATACCCATGTTTTATCTTTAAAATGTTCTTTGTGTGTAGCTGCCCATTTGTTTTGTGCTAACTGACTGCCCCTATTACCTTCAGTTGTAACAACCCATTTAAGGTAGAAACGAAGGACACTCATCTCCATGTGTTTTCAGAATTTAAATGAAAAAATAAAAAGAGGCTGATGTCACGTCCCAGTTTAACGTAGGGGTTTTATTTATTTATGTACACTCAATCAAACTATGACTATTACAAATGGTTTTACCGCTACAATAAAGATAGTTAATTCATAGCTCAATAAAAATGAAGAGTGAAAGATTAAAAAAGGAAAGCAACAATTCTAAACTATAAAATCTACTTCAAAAAGCTACATACAGCAAAGCTCAATAAATAAATTATGAAAAAAAAAATATGGGATAAGTTTTATGGTTTAGGAGATACCTTCCTATAAGCCAAAAACCTAAAAAAAATGCTAAAGGTATAGCTTGCTATAGTACGTCGTAGGAGAAATTAACATGTATAAAATCAATAACATTCACATTATGTGATAGTCTACAGCCAAACAATAATAGAAAGCAAGTGAAATGCTTAGCATAGCTATTTAGTCTACTAAATTAGGTTTGTGAAAATGGGAATGCCAAATGCCTTAAGGCTTACAGCAGGTGCAAAAGCAAAACATCAGAGGTCAACCTAAGGATATTTTTAATATAAAATTAATGTACCTGCATTGTAAGCATTTTTTTTTGTATGGTAGAAAGGAAAAAATTCTTGTATTATTCTACTATAAATGTGTATTCTTTGCTCTACTAAATTTGCATGTCATTGTCAGCCTTTCACTTTGTCTTCAGCTAACAAGAACCTCTTGGGTTCATCCTTTGGAGAACCTGATATCATGGAAAATGGACTGAACTAGGAGAAGAGCCTTTGTTTAGACCACATGCTGAGGTCTAGTGGCTTCAATTAAAAATATATAAATGTGGCCGGGCACAGTGGCTCACGCCTGTTAACTCCAGCACTTTGGGATTCTGAGGCGGGCAGATCACGAGGTCAGGAGTTCAAGACCAGCCTGACCAACGTGATGAAATCCCGTCTCTACTAAAAATACAAAAATTAGCTAGGCATGGTGGCACGTGCCTGTAATCCCAGCTACTCAGGAGGCTGACGCAGGAGAATCGCTTGAATCCCGGAGGCGGAAGCTGTAGTGAGCCAAGATCATGCCATTGCACTCTAGCCTGGGACGACAGAGTGAGACTCCATCTCAAAAAAAAAAAAAACAATTATGTGTGTGTGTGTGTATATATATATATATATATATATATATATATATATATATATATGCTTAATCTCTAAGCTTTGGAAGGAACAGCCTATCTACAGAAAAATTTAAAACTTGGTCATGGCAGGTACAGAGCTGGGCCCCATGAATTTTGTTGACATTGGGGTCAGCAGATTCTGTAAATTTTCACTATACCTCTCATATGATCTGCCGCCACACCATTCATACTCTTTTAACTTTATTTCTCCTCATACCAGTAAATTACTAAAACTGCCAAGTTTTTTTTTCACAAATTAGTATTTTTAGCATTCTCTTCCTTCAGTCTGCAATGAAATTCTCTACTCCCCTCCCTCCTCCTTCCTCCTTGACTCCCACTAATGCACATTTGTGTTTTGGTTTCCACACCAAATGAGCTACCTTCAATAAGCATCCCACAACTCCACAGGGAACTTTTGTTTCTCTACCTTCTGTGCTGTGGAAGCACTTGGCTCAGAATGAGAGATCTGTCTGCATTTCAGATCTACAAATTACTCATTGTGTGACCTTGGACATATCCCTAATATTTTTGAGCCTCAGTTTCTCAAAAATTAGAATAAAGATACCAAACTCCTGGGGTTTTGTGAGAGTAAAATGAGACGATGTGTGTAAGAGACTCAGTGCAGTGTCAGTATCTACCATGTGCTATGCACTCTGCGTTTTCTTTTTTTTTTTTTTTTTTTTTGAGACGGAGTCTCGCTCTGTCACCCAGGCTGGAGTGCAGTGGCGTGATCTTGGCTCATTGCAAACTCTGCCTCCTGGGTTCAAGAGATTCTCCTGTCTCAGCCTTCGAGTAGCTGGGACTACAGGCCCTTGCCACCACGCCTGGCTAATTTTTGTATTTTTAGTAAAGACAGCGTTTCACCATATTGGTCAGGCTGGTCTTGAACTCCTGACCTCAGGTCATCCACCCACCTCGGCATCCGAAAGTGCTGGGATTACAGGTGTGAGCCACCATGCCCGGGCCAACCCATAGCCTTTTGGTCTTCTCTCAGCCAAGGCATCCAGTGAAAATGCAATTTATTTTTCAGATTCCTCTGGAGAATTAAAAAGTCTCTTTTGCGGCTGGACACAGCAACTCCTGTAATCCCAGCACTCTGGGAGGCTGAGGCAGGCAGATCACAAGGTCAGGAGATCGAGACCATCCTGGCCATGGCCAAAATGGTGAAACCTGTCTCTACTAAAAATACAGAAATTAGCTGGGTGTGGTGGCACAGGCCTGTTGTCCCAGCTACGTGGGAGGCTGAGGCAGGAGAATTGCTTGAACCCAGGAGACGGAGGTTGCAGTGGGCCAAGATTGAGCCACTGCACTTGCTCTGGTGAAAGAGCAAGACTCCGTCTCAAAAAAAAAAAAAAAAAAAAAAAGTCTCTTTTGCATCAAATTGCCATACTCTCTGCTCTTGGTCCTCTTTTCCATGTACTCATTCTTCAAGCATTTATTTTCTCATTGCCTGATCCAGATCATTGCAATGACCAAAAAATGTTCGGATGCTATGATTTTTGTGATATTCTTTTAGCAAGTTAATCACGATGTTGCATTCTTGAGTGTGCAAGTGTGGAGGTAAGTCAGGATGCATCTTTAAGACAAAAAGATGGGTCACGGCAGTGCCACACCACTCACGGCCACACCAGGAGAGCTGAAAGTCACCAACGAAGATGCCTGACCCAGAAGCTGGCTGCTAGGGAGCCAAGCCAGGTCACTCCACATGTGGCCAATGCCCGGGGATGGCCCTCCACCGCCCAAGCTTATTATTATTACTATTATTATTATTTTGAGATGGAGTCTGGCTCTGCCTCCCCATGGAGTGCAGTAGCACGATCTCGGCTCACTGCAACCTCCGCCTCTGGGGTTCAAGCGATTCTCCTGCCTCAGCCTCCCGAGTAGCTGGGACCACAGGCACGTGCCACCTCACCTGGCTAATTTTATTTTTTGAATAGACAGGGTCTTGTTATGTTGCCCAGGCTGGTCTTGAACTCCCGGGCTCAAGCGATCCTCCCACTTCAGCCTCCCAAAGTGCCAAGACTACAGGTGTGAGCCACCACACCTGGCCAAGTTCTACTTTTCTAATATTTAAAATATGAAATAGGCCGGGCACGGTGGCTCACACCTGTAATCCCAGAACTTTGGGAGGCTGAGGCGGGCAGATCACCAGAGGTCAGGAGTTCGTGACCAGCCTGGCCAACATGATGAAACCCCGTCACTACTGAAAATACAAAAATTAGCCAGGTGTGGTAGCAGATGCCTGTAATCCCAGCTACTCGGAAGGCTGAGGCACCTAAACCGGGGAGGTGGAGGTTGTAGTGAGCCGCTACCATGCCACTGCACTCCAGTCTCGGCGACGCAATGAGACTCTGTCTCAAAAAAAAAAAAAAATAGATGATGTCAGTGATTTCTATTACATGAGGTCTGGAAGCACTCTGTACGTGATTGCTCCACGTTTAGTGGTGCTAAGTTCAAATAATTCAGGTGGTGAGAAACTGACTTCCGTAGGAGTGCGGGTGTGCGTGCGTGCCGCGGAAATCCCGCCTTCTGGCACCTGCGGTTGCCCCCTGGCCTCAGCCGGTGGGCTCCCAAGTAGGAAGATAAACCGCATTGCAGGAAGCGGGAGAGTCCGGAGGAGCGGCGAAGCGCTCCTCTTCCCCATTGGCTGCGCCCACGGAGCCGCCTTGCGATTGGCCCTAAGCGCGGGTGGCGGGGGTCGGGAGAGGCGTCAGGATCCCTGGCGCCGCCTGAGCCAGCGGCTGCTAGGAGGCTGTGTCCGCAAGCCAGCGGGGCGAGGCGGCTGGGCCCTGCGCGTCAGGTCCCGGCCTGGGGCACCGGGGCTGCCAGCGTCGGAGGAGGTGCGGGCGCTGGGTTGACGGGCGGCCGAACGGGGGGCCTGCGCGGACCGCCCGCGGCGCAGCCTTGGGTCTGTCTCCATGTCTAAGTGGTGGTGGCTGTGGGTTTTTCTGCAGGTGATCCTTTTGAGTAATTTGTTTCACGCAGGCGCCCTGCTGTAGGGTAAAGCGGCAGATTCGTGCTGCTGTCATTTGTCGTTCAAACTGTGGGCTTCTTGACCAGGCGCGGTGGCTCAAGCCTGTAATCCCAGCACTTTGGGAGGCCGAGGCGGGCGGATCACGAGGTCAGGAGATGGAGATCATCCTGGCTAACACGGCGAAACCCTGTCTCTACTAAAAATACAAAAAATTAGCTGGGCGTGGTGGCGGGCGCCTGCAGTCCCAGCTACTCGGGAGGCTGAGGCAGGACAATGGTGTGAACCCGGGAGGTGGAGCTTGCAGTGAGCTGAGATTCCGCCACTGCACTCAAGACTGGGTGACAGAGGAAGACTCCATCTCAAAACAAAACAAAAAACGATGGGCTTTCTGTCATGTGTGTGTGTACCTTTTGGATTTGAGGGCAGGGGGATGACATTGTGATCTGGCCTCCTGAGAAACCAGGCACACCCTGCCTACCTTGGAAGGAGGCTTTCCCTTCCCCACCTCCCTCTCCCTCCATCTGTTCCCTCTTTCCCTCTCTGCACTTCACTCCGGTCCCCCAGCTCTTCTCTCCCATCTTTTTGTTCTCTGTCTCTCTCTTTTGTTTTTTTTCTGCATTAAACCTTTCCGGAGTGTCTTTGTAAAATAGTAAAAAGCGTTAGGTCTTCAACATGTATGTTTACTTGCAGGCCTGAGAACTGGGAGGAAGCTGGAGAAAAGATGCCCTCTGAATCTTTGTGTTTGGCTGCCCAGGCTCGCCTTGACACCGAATGGTTGAAAACAGATATACAGGTGGGGTTTGACATGTGTTTTTCTTGGTGTATTTCTGCTTCCATGTTTAAATTTCTCGTGTAAGGCTTTTTTTTAGGGTATGTAAGGGGAAGTCAGTTGTATCTTGCTATATTAGAGGATCAGGTTTGTTTCCTGTAACTTAAAATGTAACAGTCTTCATGGCTGTTTTTGTAGATCGTGCAGGGCTGCCTTTTAATTAGTTTCTTGCAAGTGCAGGAAACGAGATTTATTAATAGGCAAAATTTTTTTCTTAATTATTATTACTGGTTGAGAAATCTGCTACACTCCTAACCATATCATGGTGACTGTTGTTTGTTACTGATAGTTTTTGAGCTGTTGAGTTAACTGTGGAGGGCAAAATTGGAGAAGTAAGTTGCAGTAATTATGGCCGCTAGAAACTCACTCCTTTTATGAGGTCTTTTGTTTGTGTTTCTGGAGAGAAAAGAGTTAGTTCAGTTGAGCTGTTTGTTTTGTATTTGTAACCAATACAAGGACTGAGGACAATTATGTTGAAACTGAGGTCATAATGTTGGGATCTTAAGGGCTGAAGGTTCCAAATAAATGGTATGTATAGAATTCTCTCTGACTTGAAATTTTCCCTTTCCGGACCTCCAGATGCTGAGGCTAGGAGTGTCCATATGACAGTGCCTTCCATGACTGGAGTCAGCAACCTTTTTTTTTTTTTTTTTACACGTATCAGTAATTCATTCTCTATATTTTGAAAAGTTTTAACCTCTTCTTCCTAGCCCTCCAGTATTTGTTAATAAATTAAAACGTTTCCCAAAGTGTTTTTTGTGAAACAATAATTCTAAAAGATGCTCTAGAAAAGCTAAGTACATGGAAAAATCCAAAGTGTATATTTTATTTATTACATTTCATGAATTTTTGTTTTTGTTTTTTCCTCTTGAGAGGGAGTCTTGCTCTGTCTCTCAGGCTGGAGTGCAGTGGCATGATCTTGGCTCACTGCAACCTCCGCCTCCTGGGTTCAAGCAGTTCTCTGCCTTAGCCTCCAGAGTAGCTAGGATTACAGGTGCCCTCCACCACGGCCAGCTAATTTTTGTGTTTTTAGTAGAGACAGAGTTTCACCATATTGGCCAGGCTGGTCTTGAACTCCTGACCTCATGATCCACCCTCCTTGGCCTCCCAAAGTGCTGGGATTACAGGTGTGAGCCACTGTGCCTGGACCACATTTGATGACTTTTTTTGTCCTTTGTTCTTTTAAAAATCATGGTTAGAAAGCAGAGCATAATTGTTCTTTACGTAGAACCCAACTGATTGGGGTTTTTAGGGAGACGTTTTGACATTCAGTAAATGTTTTTGTTTTCCATTATTAAGACTATGAATTTTTTATTTTACTTTCTGAGACAGGGTCTTGCTCTGTTGCCCAGGCTGGAGTGCAGTGGCGTGATCTTGGCTCACTGCAACCTCTGCCTCCCGGGTTCAAGCAGTTCTCCTGCCTCAGCCTCCCGAGTAGCTGGCATTACAGGTGCCCGCCACCACTACCCTCCCCCTTTCAGGTTCAAGCGATCCTCTGCCTCAGCCTCCTGAGTAGCTGGGATTACAGGTGCACGCCAGCATGCCCGGCTAATTTTTGAATTTTTAGTAGAGACGAGGTTTCACCGTGTTGGTTAGATTGGTCTCGAATTCCTGACCTTGTGATCCACCCGCCTCGGTCTCCCAAAGTGCTGGGATTACAGGCCTGAGCCACATTTTTAGTAGAGATGGGGTATCACTATGTTGGCCAGGCTGCTCTGGAACTCCTGACCTCAAGTGATCCCCTCACCTCGGCTTCCCAAAGTGCTAGGATTACAGATGTAAGCTACCACGCCTAGCCGTATTTTGTATTTTTAGTAGAGATGGGGTTTTGCTGTGTTGGCCAGGCTGGTCTTGATCTCCTGGGTGCAAGTGATCATCCCACATTGGCCTCTCAAAGTGCTGGGATTACAGGCATGAGCCACCACACCTGGCCAATGGGAGGTCTCGCTTCCCTTCTCTCCAGCATTCCATAAGCAATGTGTTTCGGTAGTATGTGTTCGATTTTCTCTATGTATACTTTGAACCCTACAGTAGTGAAAGGAAGAGTAGACAACTTTGAAGTTGTTGTGGTGTGGTCTTTGAGCTGGTGGTGCTAATTACTCTTGGTTGTTTTCGTGGCCTCCAGTGACTTCATCCTGCTTTTGCTGTTGTAAAGTGTTGTAATTTATGCTCCTGAGAATAACTCTTGAGGTGTACTTAGGGTTCTTGTCTGCTTGCTGGTGACTGTCGAAGCTTTTCATCTTGAAGAAGGGAGATGAGCAGTGTTCCAGTACACTGAGTTTAAAATTAAGAATGTTGCATTTTTTTAATGTGTAAAATTTATAGCCAGCTGTAGGGTAGGGGTGGCCTACTTTCTCTAAAGGGCCAGAAAGTAAATATTTTAAGGTCTCAATGGACCCTATGGTCTCTGTCATAGCCATGAGACCTTGCAGATTTAGTGCCAAAGTAGCCACAGACAATACCACGTCAGCGGGCAGGGGACGTTCATTCTGTAAAGTGTATTTATGGACACCAAAAGATGAAGTCCACCGAATGTTTGCAAGTCACAAAATACTGTTTTTCTTTTGAATGTTTTTCAATTATTAAAAAATATAAAATACAGTGGCCGGGCATGGTGGCTCACACCTGTAATCCCAGCACTTTTAGAGGCTGAGGCAGGCGGATCACCTGAGGTCAGGAGTTCGAGACCAGCCTGGCCAGCATGGTGAAACCCCATCTCTACTAAAAACAAAAAATTAGCGGGGCATGGTGATGCACGCCTGTAATCCCAGCTCCTCGGAGGCTGAGGCAGGAGAATCACTTGAACCTGGGAGAATCGCTTGAGCCTGGGAGGCAGAGGTTGTGATGAGCCAAGACTCTGTCTCAAAAGAACAACAAAAATAAAATACTTTCTCTGCGTTCAGACCATACACAAAGAGGCTGTGGGCTGGGTTTGGCCCCTGGGCTGTGGTTAGTGACCCCAAACACACACACACATACACACACGTAGGGCAGAGTCTGGCATTTAGAGCCAGCACCTGTGTTCTCACCTGAGCTGTGTTCCTGGCTGGGTTCTGCTGTGTATTCTGTGACCCAAGATGTCTGTCTACCTTGGTAAACTGGAGACAACAAAGCCTGCCTCCTTCAAGGTTGTTTGTAAAGATTTAAAAGGGTAATGTATTGTTGTTAGGCCAGATGCTTTGCATAGTACATGTTAGGTTATTTTCACTTTTTTTTTTTTTTTTTGAGACAGAGTCCTACTCTGTTGTACAGGCTGGAGTCCAGTGGCGAGATTCCAGCTCACTGCAACCTCTGCCTCCCAGGTTCAAGCAATTCTCCTGCCTCAGCCTCTCGAGCTGCTGGGATTACAGGTGGCTGCCACCATGCCAGGCCAATTTTGATATTTTTAGTAGAGATCGGGTTTCACCATGTTGGCCAGGCCGGTCTCAAACTCCTGACCTCAAGTGATCCACCCACCTCGGCCTCCCAACGTGGTGGGATTACAGGCGTGAGCCACCGCATCTGGCCCATTTTCACTTTCCATTAGCTGCTTTTTTCCCCCATTCATTTCCTACCTTTCTGTGTATGATTTCTGAATTAAATGTATTTCATGTCTTAACCTTCTGAATTGTTTGTCCTCTCATTTTCCATGTTGTTAAGGAAAATAAGAGGCTAAGTGAGACGTATTAAATTTGTATGTAGTTTCTCAGATCAGGATAAATGCTCACCTGTTGCAGAACGGGACTCTGCTCTTGCTTCACCCAGGATGCCTTTCCTAGTTCCTTCCTAGAGTGGGGCTGCACCCTACTCCAGCCCTCCAGACCCAGCTCCCTGCTCTGACATGATTCCACCAGACCGTATTCCAGCTGTTCTCCCTGGACCTAGATATTTTCCTTCTTTTTTTTTTTTTTTTTTTCCTGAGATGAAGTCTCACTCGGTGGTCCAGGCTGGAGTGCAATGGTGTGATCTCGGCTCACTGCAACCTCCGCCTTCCAGGTTCAAGCCATTCTCCTGCCTCAGGCTCCCAAGTAGCTGGGATTACAGGCACGTGCCACCAAGCCTGGGTAATTTTTGTATTTTTAGTAGAGACAGGGTTTCACCATGTTGGCCAGGCTGGTGTCGAACTCCTGACCTTGTGATCCACCCGCCTCGGCCTCCCAAAGTGCTGGGATTACAGGTGTGAGCCACCACACCCACCCAGCCAACATATTTTTATTAAAAAACTTATATGAAATTTATTTTATTGTGGTATGTAGTTCAGTAAATTTTGACCTCTATAGATTCGTGTAACCCCCATCATCATCAGGGTGGAGAATTTTCTTCACCCCGAAAGCTCCCTTGTGCTGCTCCTTTTTATCACGTGTTCCCTGGTCTCATACCCTGGCAACCACTGATCTGTTCTCCATCAGTATAGGGTATTCTTTTTGAGAATGTCATGTGAGTGGAACCATATTTTAAGTAACGTTTTGAAACCATCTTCATTTACTCCCAGTTATATGTTTGAGATTTATCTGCTGTTCTATGTATTAATAGTTGTTTTTATTGCTGATTAGTATTTCATCATTTGGATGTACCACATGGTGTTTATCCATTCTGCCATTGTAGGACCTTGTGGTTGTTTCCATTTTTCTTTCCCAATTGTAATCCTACTGTGAGCATTTCTCTACAGATTTTATGTGAATATAGTTTCCATTTCCCTAGGATAAAGACCTAGTAGTGTGAAAGTTGGGTCATGTGCTGAACTGTTTTCCGAAGTGGCTGTTTTAGTTTGCATTCCCACTGGCAATCTGTCACGTTTCTGTTGCTCTGTGTCTTTGTTAGCACTTGGTGTTATCAGTGTTTTTTAGTTGAGCCATTCTAACAAGTCTAGTGGGATCTCATTGTGGTTTTAATTTGCACTTCCGTAATGGCTAAGAATGCTGAATATCGTGTTCTTCTTTGCCACTCTTGTATCCTCTGTGAAGTTTCTGTTCAGATCTTTTGCACAGAAAAAGCTGTATCATGGAACCAGTAAAATAACCAAGGAGAGGTTGATTAAAGTTCTGTTTATAACCCTAGAAGATTCCTGCCCTAGGGATATGGGATGGCTGAACGTAGGACACCGACACTGGACAGATGAAATAGCAGTTTATTAGTCACGCATGCTCACAGCCCTGGGGTGGGGGATACCGCATGCCATTCAGTTAATGATGTGTGTTGTAACTTTTCGGGGAGGGACATTTGCAGAGACTAATGGTATGACATTCTGAAAAGCGGTGACAGATTAAAAAATTTTTTAATTCTGCAGATGATAGTGTCGAACCAAGTGGAACAAAGAAAGAAGATCTGAATGACAAAGAGAAAAAAGATGAAGACGAAACTCCTGCACCTGTATATAGGGCCAAGTCAATTCTGGAGACCTGGGTGTGGGTCAAGCAACCAGGTAATCTTCTGAGTTTTGGCATTTTGGAAAGCTTGATCTGACGCTCCTTTTCTAAATAACTTGGATGGATTATTCGTATTTTTTGGTAACAATTTAAAAAAATGTAATTAAAAAAATTTAAATATTGTGGTAAAATATACATACCTTAAAACTTGCCATTTTAATCATTTTTATGTGTACAGTTCATTGGCATTAAGTATATTCACATTATTGCCCAGCCATCACCACCATCCATCTCTACAACTTTTGCCCTTTCTCCAACTGAAACTCCGTATCCATGAAACACTAACTCCTTCTGTCCCCAGGCAACCACCATTCTACTTTTGTCTCAGAATTTGACTACTCAAGGTGTCTCCTATAAGGGGAATCATACAGTATTTGTCCTTTTGTGACTGGGTTATTGAACTTCCTAGGTGTTTGGGGTTCATCCGCATGTGTCAAAATTTTCTTTTAAAGGCTCAATGCTATTCCATTATATATGTAAGCCACATGTTATCCCTTCAGTGGGCAATCAGGTTGCTTTCATCTCTTGACTGTTGTGAGTAATGCTGCTATGAACACTGGTTTACGAGTGTCTTGAGTGTCTGCTTTTAATTCTTTGTGGCTATACCTAGGAGTGGAATTGGTCAATAATGTGGAATGCTTACATATTTATTTTTTTTGAGATGGCATCTCGCTCTGTCGCCCAGGCTGGGGTGCAGTGGCGCCATCTCAGCTCACAGCAAGCTCCGCCTCTCGGGTTCACGCAATTCTCCTGCCTCAGCTTCCTGAGTAGCTGGGACTACAGGCGCCCGCCACCATGCCTGGCTAATTTTTTTGTATTTTTAGTAGAGACTGGGTTTCACCGTGTTAGCCATGATGGTCTCCATCTCCTGACCTCGTGATCCACCCGCCTCAGCCTCCCAAATTGCTGGGATTACAGGTGTGAGCCACCGCACCTGGCCAATAATGTGGTAGTTAGATTTATGTTTAACTTATTATTGTTGTTTTTGAGATTGGGTCTCACTCTGTCACTCAGGCTGGAATGCGTTGATGTAATCATAGCTCACTGCAGCCTTGAGCTCCTGGGCTCCAGTGACCTTCTTGCCTCAGCCTCTCAAGTAGCTAGGACTAGAGGCGCAGGGAATTTCTCATCTTCTCTCTACTGCCTCTGAGTTGGAGATGTCAGAGGGAGCCATGGCCCACTGTAAAGTAACACAATGTCCCCACCCACAGGGTTAGAACCCCTCTTCTGGTGGCAGCTCTGAGGGGAGCAGTCACATGTGGAGAGTACAGGGCTCTGTGTCCAGCTGGGGGAAGGAGGTTACCAAGGGGGTTGACCCCCCTCTGGCCAGGTGGCTGCCTTCTGACACACCAGTCTCTCTCTCTAGCACGGTGGCCCCTACACACCCAGCCTGTCAAACCTTCAGCCCTCAGGAAGGCTTTGGCCAAATCCATGAGCGGCTCCCTCTGTTAAGAAGGAAGCACAGCTGAAGCATGAGGAGGGCAGTAGAGTGTGTATGCTCTGCCGCGTCTCCCCACAGTCTGACCAGAAGGAAGGGGCCTTTCAGCCAGGCTCACCCAGGCTGGGGTTGGAGTGTCAGCATCAAGCCAATGTCTTCTTGCTTAATGAGTGAGCCCAGCTGCTCCCGTGCAGCTGCCACCATAGTGAGGGTGAACCAGCAGGAGGCTCCACGGCACTTTCAGGCTCAGGCTGCCTGGTGAGATCTACTCTGTGGGCTCTGTAGGCTGGTAGAGGCTTCCAGGAGGAGGAGGGGATGCAGCCACCAGTCCCCACTCCTGGGAGTCGTATTTCTGAAAGCTTGGGTATACAGTAAATATTAGGCTGTGGGCTGGTTTATCTATGGATTTGATGTGGGAGGGTTATAGGTACAAGCAGTTTAAAGATGGAAATTTTGAGAGAACAGGAAGGGATTTAGTGCTGGGTAAGGCAAGCAGGCTTGTCAAAGCAGCTCTTTTGGGGAGGCCAGAATCCTGTACAAATGTCCTCAGCATGTTCATCAGCTGCTGGGGGAGTGCCGGACAGGATGAAAGCACAGGAGAACTTTCTGGATGATAAATGTTCCATATCTTCAAAGGAGGTGGGTTACATGGGTAATGCATTTGTTAAAAGTCATCAAAATGTAAACCAGATCTGTGCATTTCACGGAATAGGAATTATACCTCAAATTAGAAACATTTATAAAAAGACAGATGGGCTGGATGCAGTGGCACACGCCTGTAATCCCAGCACTTGGGGAGGCCGAGGCGGGTAGATCACATGAGTCAGGAGCTCGAGACCAGCCTGGACAACATGGTGAAATCCCGTCTCTACTAAAAATATAAAAATTAGCCAGGGGTGGTGGCATACGCGTGTAATCCCAGCTACTTGGGAGGCTGAGGCAGGAGAATTGCTTGAACCCAGGAGGTGGAGGTTACAGTGAGCAGAGATTGCACCACTGCACTAGAGCCTGGGCAACAGAGTGAGACTCCATCTCAAAAAAAAAAAAAGGGTTTTCAACATTCATTAAAGGCAGAGTAGCTTGTTATAGACTAGCCTCCCCACAGGAACAGTTAGAAAAACTGGACAAAAATGTGTCCCCCCTTCCCCCCACCATCAAAAACAATTGTTGGAAGGTAATTGGGGACCTCAGCCAGGACTTGAGTGACCAGGCCTAGGAGGTGATCCTGACAGTCCTTAGTGCTTTTCCCACATTTGGTGATCGGTCAACAGTAGAGGGCTAAGAGGCTAAGAAACTGAGTATGAAGTGATAGTTAAGAGGCTGGAGAGCCTAGCTGAATGTTTGGCACTCTCACAGGGCTGAAATGACATAATGAGAATTTGGGTCCCAGTAAGGAGATGAGACCTTGGTGGGGATCCTGGAAGGGCCACCCCTAAGAGTCCAAAAGAATAAAAAATAGACCAGCTGTCACAAAAACTAAAACCTGCTTTGAGCCAGCTTAGTCCCAAACTAGATGAAAGCGATCTGCTTGAACGCCAATTGTGTGCCATAAAGTCAAAGTCAATACTCTCTGGAGACACATAAAACTTTACTAGGCATGCCATAAGACAAGACAACACAAGACGAAAGGAGAAAACAAACAAAAAAAACAATAGAAACATACATAGATATTAGAGTCCTCAGGTAGAAAATTTTTTTTTTTTTTTTTGAAATGGGAGTTTCACTCTGTCACCCAGACTGGAGTGCAGTGGTGTGATCTCGGCTCACTGCAACCTCAACCTCCCACGTAGCTGGGATTGGTGATCCACCCGCCTAGGCCTCCCAAAGTGGTGTGATTACAGGTGCAGGCCACCGTGCCCGGCCAGTATTTTGCCACAATTTAAAATACATTTTCTTTTTTTCAAGTTTGTTCTCAGACTATATTCACAAGGTCACATGGCGGCTTACACTTCTGTAGGCCTTGTTGACCGTTCTTTTTAGATATTGATGATCTTGATCTTTTTCTTGTCTCCTCGGTAGAAGAATGGGATGCAGGAGGTGCTGCCTAAGCCTGGGCGCTCCTGGGCGTTCTTCATTCCAGGGGGCAGCTGCATGATCTGCTGTGCAGTGTGGCGGTCATGGGAATAACCCTTCCCGGCTTCTCGTGCAGGCTCCAGGCTGCCAGGGTGGCTCATATCACAAGGATATTTGGAGGGAGGGAGGCAGGGCTCTGAGCACCGCTCCTCCTGCATCTTCTCCTCCTGCTCTCCCATCCTCTCCTTCTTCTCCCCCATCTTCTCCACCTGCCCCCGGATCTTCTCCTCCTCCTCCTGCATCTTCTCATACTCATCCCACAGCCTCTCCTCCTTGAATCGCAGCCTCTCGACCTGCTTCCGCATCTGCTCCTCCTGCTCCCCCATCTGCTCCTCCTGCTTCCTCATCTGCTCCTCCTGCTCCCCCATCTGCTCCTCCTGCTTCCGCATCTGCTCCTCCTGCTCCCCCATCTGCTCCTCCTGCTTCCGCATCTGCTCCTCCTGCTCCCACATCTGCTCCTCCTGCTCCCCCATCTGCTCCTCCTGCTCCCCCATCTGCTCCTCCTGCTTCCCCATCTGCTCCTCCTGCTCCCCCATCTGCTCCTCCTGCTTCCTCATCTGCTCCTCCTGCTCCCCCATCTGCTCCTCCTGCTTCCGCATCTGCTCCTCCTGCTCCCGCATCTGCTCCTCCTGCTCCCCCACCTGCTCCTCCTGCTTCCGCATCTGCTCCTCCTGCTTCCGCATCTGCTCCTCCTGCTTCAGCATCTGCTCCTCCTGCTCCCCCATCTGCTCCTCCTGCTTCCGCATCTGCTCCTCCTGCTCCCCCATCTGCTCCTCCTGCTCCCCCATCTGCTCCTCCTGCTTCCGCATCTGCTCCTCCTGCTTCCGCATCTGCTCCTCCTGCTCCCCCATCTGCTCCTCCTTCTCCCCCATCTGCTCCTCCTGCTTCTGCATCTGCTCCTCCTGCTCCCCCATCTGCTCCTCCTGCTCCCTCATCTGCTCCTCCTGCTCCCCCACCTGCTCCTCTTGCTCCCGCACCTGCTCCTCCTGCTCCATCTGCTCCTCCTGCTTCCGCATCTGCTCCTCCTGCTTTTGCACCTGCTCCTCCTGCTTCCGCATCTGCTCCTCCTGCTCCCCCATTTGCTCCTCCTGCTCCCCCATTTGCTCCTCCTGCTTCCGCATCTGCTCCTTCTGCTCCCCCATTTGCTCCTCCTGCTTCTGCATCTGCTCCTCCTGCTTCCGCATCTGCTCCTCCTGCTCCCCCATCTGCTCCTCCTGCTCCCCCATCTGCTCCTTCTGCTTCAGCATCTGCTTCTCCTGCTTCCGCATCTGCTCCTCCTGCTCCCCCATCTGCTCCTCCTGCTCCCGCACCTGCTCCTCCTGCTCCCCCATCTGCTCCTCCTGCTTCCGCATCTGCTCCTCCTGCTTCCGCATCTGCTCCTCCTGCTTCCGCATCTGCTCCTTCTGCTCCCCCATGTGCTCCTCCTGCTTCCGCATCTGCTCCTTCTGCTCCCCCATTTGCTCCTCCTGCTCCCGCATCTGCTCCTTCTGCTCCCCCATTTGCTCCTTCTGCTCCCCCATTTGCTCCTCCTGCTTCCGCATCTGCTCCTCCTGCTTCCGCATCTGCTCCTCCTGCTTCCGCATCTGCTCCTCCTGCTTTCGCACCTGCTCCTCCTGCTTCTGCATCTGCTCCTCCTGCTCCCCCATTTGCTCCTCCTGCTTCCACATCTGCTCCTTCTGCTCCCACATTTGCTCCTTCTGCTCCCACATCTGTTCCTCCTGCTTCCCCATCTGCTCCTCCTGCTCCCGCATCTGCTCCTCCTGCTCCCGCATCTGCTCCTCCTGCTCCCGCATCTGCTCCTCCTGCTCCCGCATCTGCTCCTCCTGCTCCCCCGTCTGCTCCTCCTGCTCCGTCTGCTCCTTCTGCTTCAGCATCTGCTCCTCCTGCTCCCGCATCTGCTCCTCCTGCTCCCGCATCTGCTCCTCCTGCTTCCGCATCTGCTCCTCCTGCTTTTGCACCTGCTCCTCCTGCTTCTGCATCTGCTCCTCCTGCTCCCCCATTTGCTCCTCCTGCTTCCGCATCTGCTCCTTCTGCTCCCCCATTTGCTCCTCCTGCTTCTGCATCTGCTCCTCCTCTCCCCCATCTGCTCCTCCTGCTCCCCCTCCCCTCCTGCTCCCCCCCCCCCCCCCCCCCCCCCCTGCTCCCCACCTGCCCCTCCTGCTCCCGCACCTGCCCCTCCTGCTCCCGCACCTGCCCCTCCTGCTCCCGCACCTGCCCCTCCTGCTCCCGCACCTGCCCCTCCTGCTCCCGCACCTGCCCCTCCTGCTCCCGCACCTGCCCCTCCTGCTCCCGCACCTGCCCCTCCTGCTCCCGCACCTGCCCCTCCTGCTCCCGCACCTGCCCCTCCTGCTCCCGCACCTGCCCCTCCTGCTCCCGCACCTGCCCCTCCTGCTCCCGCACCTGCCCCTCCTGCTCCCGCACCTGCCCCTCCTGCTCCCGCACCTGCCCCTCCTGCTCCCGCACCTGCCCCTCCTGCTCCCGCACCTGCCCCTCCTGCTCCCGCACCTGCCCCTCCTGCTCCCGCACCTGCCCCTCCTGCTCCCGCACCTGCCCCTCCTGCTCCCGCACCTGCCCCTCCTGCTCCCGCACCTGCCCCTCCTGCTTCCGCACCTGCCCCTCCTGCTCCCGCACCTGCCCCTCCTGCTCCCGCATCTGCTCCTCCTGCTCCCGCATCTGCTGCTCCTGCTCCCGCATTTGCTGCTCCTGCTCCCACAGCTCCTTCTCCTGGTCCCGCAGCCTCTGCTCCTGTCACCACATCTTCTCCTTGTGCTTCCGTAGCTTCTCCTGATCCTGTAGCTCCTCCTTCTGCCTCCACATCTTCTCCTGCAAAGTGTTGGTTTGAACCTCAAAAGGAAATAGAGTCATAAGCTAGGTATATAAATGTAATCTATAAAATAACGGTTTTCGTCTATGATTCTTTAAAAAGAAATTTTAAGCCCTAACCCTGAGGTTCTGATTTCCCAGGCATGGTCCCAAATTGTAGATTTTTAGCACACTCTAGAGGATTCTATGGTGGGACCAGAACAAGGACTCAAATTTTCCAGCTCTTGGCTGGAGCCTCCCCACACCCTGCATGATCCCTAGACCATGTCCCAGCCGGATGCGGCTCCCACACCCCCGGGGCTGCAGCCGCTCACCTGTGGCAGCGGGATTTTGTCCGTCTCCAGTTTCCTTTTTAGCTCCTTGATGTGGAGCTGGATCTCAGACTTTTCAGTTTCTACCAGTTGAAGTTCTTCTTGTAGTTCGGCATTTTTCTCCTTCAGCTCCTCATTGGTTATGCTATGGCCGGAGGCAGTAGAGAAAGGAATGAACGAAGAACAGAAAGGACCGCTTTGGTGATCGACCCTCTACCCTCGCCCCACAACCACAGAACCGTGGCATTGGAAGGGACCCCAGGAATTAAAAGTCCCAGGTGGCAGGCCAGAGAGAAGACATGAGTTGCCTGAGGCTACCCCATGAGTCAGTGGCACAGCCGTCACTGGAGCTTCCCTGCACACACATGTAAACCTGTATGACCCCCTACCATGCTCACCTGTACCCCCCACCTCCCAGCACACCACCCACGCTAAGGGCCCCCAGACCTCCCATCCCACCTTCCCCCATCCTACGTGTTCCTGTACAGTTCCAGACTCATGGCTTCCCTCTCCTTTGTTAACTCCTCGATGTACTGCAAATAGAGAAAGGTCAAGTCAGGATACAGCAGGCAGAGGAGCAGCTGGACGACCAGTAACGACAGCTACACTGATACTCCACAGTAACACTTGCTCCCTCTCAGTCACACCCGACATGTTCTCAAGGCGTTTCCAAACCCATGGTCTCATTTGTTTTTCCTTTCTTTTTTTTTTTTTTTTTTTGAGATGGAGTTTCGCTCTTGTTGCCCAGGCTGGAGTGCAATGGCGCGATCTCACCCCACCGCAACCTCCGCCTCCCGGCTTCAAGCGATTCTTCTGCCTCAGCCTCCTAAGTAGCTGGGATTACAGGCATGTGCCACTGCACCTGGCTCTCACTTGTTTTTCAGAGAACTCAGTAAGGGTGGAAGGCACAGGGAAAGAGACTGAATTGATAGCTGGCTAACGGGCCCAGAGCGATCAGATAATATTGCTATTGTTATTACTGTTATTACTACCACTGTTGGAACCTTTCTTGAGTGCTTCACCAGGCACTATGCTAACAATCCCATTTAATCCTCACAGCCACCACAGGAGACAGTTATCATTATCACCTCTATTGTGTAGATGAAGAACATGGGGTATTAAAGGTTAAGTGCTTGCCTAAGATCACTTAGAGCTGGGATTTCAACACCCAGGTATATCTGATTCTCTAAACCCATTCTTTTGGTTGGGGGTAGGGGCACAGATAAGGAGGAGGAAATTAATCCTTTGTTGACTTTTTGAAAGAATGATACATTGGCATAGTCCAAACCTCAGAAGGTACAGAAGGGAAATATCTTCCCCCAACACTGTTCCTCTCTCCTGAGTTTTTTATGAATCCTTACAAACATGTTTTATGTATATTACCATAATACGTACGTACACACACACACACACACACACACACACACCCACGTACATGTGTTCCCTCTCTCTACACAAATGGTAACATACTAAAGATACTCTTCTGTACCTTCATGGTACAAGTACCCTCAACTCCACCTAGGATTTGACCAAGGCCACAGCCAAGTATGGGTGGGGTGGGCACTTGGCCTCCGAGCTCTGTGTCCAGTGCTCGCTCCCCACAGCGCCCCGCAACTCACCCACAGCAGCTGACTCAGCCCCAACCTGCCTCTAACAACCACGCACAAAAGCAGCAAGAAATGGCCCATGCTGTCTTCTGGGCAGGACACTGCATTCTGCAGAAGGGACCTTTAGGCTCATTCCTCCATCTGCGAAGCTGGGCTCCCAGGGGACCCGGTAAGTGGTTGGACTCACCCTGTCCGCCCTCTTGTGCTCTGCGGACATAGCAGAGAGAGCCCGCTGTAACTCTCCTGCAAAGTGCCAGGAATGATGCAGGCAGCCTGCCAGATCCTTGGAATCTTCTGGAATGAGAGAGGTTGAGCTGCAGCCCAAAGGCCTGTGAAAGTGCCAGGTTGAAGGGTGACGGGGTGCCCAGATTCCCACCTTCAAATTTCCTGGCAGCATCCTGGCTGTCATGGAGCGCTGTCTCCAGTTCAGTTTTCTGACACATAAGGATTCGTATGGTATGATCCTGGGCCTTTGGGAGACAAGAAAAGCAAGTGCTGAAAGAGAAGCAAAGAAACCTTCTCCAGAGGACAGGAGGGAACTTCACACCCTCCACTCACCTCTAGCTGCCTCCTTAGGGCTTGCTGATGTTGGTGGCTTGCCTTCTTTTCCTATAGAAAAGAAGAGGAAGACAGAGCTCTTACTAGAGGGAGGCAGAGATGGCACAGCAAGAGACATGCCCCCAGCATGGCACCACTGTCCCAGGACAGGCCCACCCATGGGACCAGGTTATCAGGGACCCTGTGGGGATGGGGTGGAAGCTGGGAGGTGAGCCTTCCTCCCCAGGCTGGGAGTAGGCGAGACGAGACTGGGGCCTCTACATCTGAGTGCCCCCCAAACCCAGCGGTCATGTCGTGAGCAAAGAAAGAAACCATGTTACCTCTTTCAGCTGAGCTCGGTTCTGTTGTTTCTGTGGGGAGAGTCAAAGGAAGGTGACTGAGGGTGGCCCCTCGACTCTATTCCCCAGGCCAGGAAGCGGTAGGCAGGGGTCAGGAATGGATTTTAAGGGCAAAGTTCTCAGACCCAATGGGAACACAAACTGGTCAACTTGCCTTAACGCCCAAAGAAAAAGGATTTGGGTCTTTGTTGGTTTTTGCCCACAGCCACAGAACTGAAAGTCTGAAACTAGATTCTCTGGAAAAGACAGTAACATAAACCTTCCGACATAAGAGTGTGAGAAAAGCCCACCCTTCTGCCAGCTTGTGATGGAGAAAGATGCGTTCATTCAACAAGCATTGAGCAAGCACATAGGGGCCGGGGACGGTTCTTCACAGCTGGGATATAGGACGGAAAAGGCAGACAGGAGCCCTTGGCCCCAAGGTTTCCATTCTAGTGAATCTTTAAATCTCAGACTCTCAGAGCAAACAGAACCTCTGATACTCTAACTCTACCTCCTCAGGAAACGGAAGCCCAAAGAGGAGGGGAGCTTACAGCAGGCCCTGGACTAGGGATTAACACAAAAACAACAGCAACAAATCTGATTTAAGCTTCACACATGTAAGTAAAACATTACCATCCCCATTTTACAGATGTGAAAAGAGAGGCCCAAAGAACTCGAGCAATTTTCCCTAAACCGTGTCCCTCGCAGATGGAGAGAGAAGTAGGACTCAAACCCAGAATTCTTAGCCAGTACCCGGCAGTTCTTCCTTCCACAATCTTAACAGTTACCCTCGACCTCCCCCTTGTGCCCCTTGTCCTCAGGAGACCGGCCAGCCAAGACTCACATCCTCAGGCGAGTGGCAGCCCCCCGAAGTGGTTGTCTCAGGGTTAGTGCCATGATTTATTTTCTTCTTTTTGGTGTCGGTTGCTCCGGTACCAACACCAGCACTGTTCCACTGATGATAGTCTGTGAACTGTGGAAAAGAGGAGCAGTGATACTCATGAGAACTACAAGCTCCTACAGTCACTTTACAGTTTATACAAAATACTCTCATAGACGATCTGATTTAATGCCACCAACGACTGTACGAGGTGTTGTCGCAATCACTTAGTGACTGAGAGGGATTGATACCATGGCTAAAAGAAAGGCAATAATGGAACTGAAACTCAGTCTTCTGACTCTGAGCTCTGGGGTGTTGCCACAAATCAGCAGCTGCCAGAGACCAAAACCAGAGGCAGAGGTAGAAAAGTAAAAAGTAGGCAGGAAGGTGTACACTGTGTGGTTTACAGTCATACATCCTCTTAGAGTCATGTATCCTCAGGGCAGAAGGCAGCCTTTCTGTTAAATGTGGGAATTAAACAGAAAGAGGACAACCCAAGCTGCATTTCAGAGAGAAGTCTTGTATACTCTTTGAAATCTATGTGACTATCATCCCTAAGAACATTAATGTTTTGTGTCTCCCACGAGAATCAAGGAAAACTGATGCTTCAGAAAGATGCCCCATATGTATCCTGTGGCACTCAAAGTACCCCAGGTTGAGATGAGATGAGGAAGATTCAAGTTGTCAAGTCCAGTTTCCCAAGATCTCTTGCACAGAAGATGAGCAAATCTCACTTCAAAGATCACTGACTGATGGGCACTCTGGTCCCAGAACCATGGAGAATTCAAATATGAGGTGGATAACTTAGAAAAAACTGTTAAAGTCTCTCTGGAGAGTAGAAGCCTGGGAGAAAACCAAACCAAACCCATTCTCCCATCAGTGCTGCGCCCAAGTTGCCTCTTTGAGATTGGCGTGGGGTCACAGGGTTGGGACCCAGGTACTTGGAGACGTGAGCCCAAAGAGCCCAGGGAAGTCAGGCTTGGGGCAGCGGTAGGTGAGGGCTGAGTATGGAGTGGGGAGCCCCAGGAGTCACCTGCCCAAAGTCACCCTGGGGTGACTGGTGAGGGCAGGTGCTGGGGCATCCAGTTCCTTGGAAACGTGAGCCCGAAGGGCCCAGGGAGATCCGTTTTTGGACAATAGGAGGTGAGGGCAGAGTACCAAGCAGGGAGCCCCACGAGTCACCGGCTGAAAGTCACCCTGGGGTGACCGGTGAGGGCAGCGGCCGGACTGCTGAGGGGTTGGGGCTGACACAAGATTTTGGTTGGGGGAGCCCAGAGGCACTGGGGGGGCCCAGCCCTGTGTGCCTCTGGAGTGACACGGATTCTGGCAGCTGTTCTGCCATCAGAGGGGACCTGGGGCTGGGTTGGGGTTGGGGTGCTGCAATCCGAAGCATTTTACCTTTCTCTTGGCCCCAGCCAATTTTCTGTGTCAGGTTTTTTCTGACATCATGGGGTGGGGAGGGAGGTGGGGTTGGGGCCACATTGGCGTGATCCAGGCGAGGACAGTGATATGCCTCCAGTCACGTACCACGCAGCTATGTGACTGAGCCACAGGAGGTGTCACCAGGGTCGCACTAGAATGCAGAAAAGGGGCGTGGCCTTAATGATCCAAGCCCATTGGTCAATGAGAAAGATGAAAGGGAAAGGAGGCGGGGCCAGGCAGCTGCGTGTCATGAAGGTCCTGTGATGTCACAAGGAAAGCCGCCCATGCAACTGCTGTCCCCGCCCACTCTGGGAGAGAGGCGGGGCTGGCTTTCACTTTCTAAACTTTAAAACTTTATCACCTTAATTGAGGTACAAATCCTGTTGTAATGGAAAATTTACAGCGTGTTTAATGATTAGTAAAGTAGATTATATTATCCAACATTCCAATAAGATAAAATAATCACAGTGATTTCTCTTTTTTGGAAAAAGTTTCTCTTATTCTCCTACATTATTGTTAAGTTTTTTTTTTTTAAACTAGAGACATGTCTAATATATTTAAAAACACAAAGCTTTTGAGGTGGGCGTGGTGGCTCATGCCTGTAATCCCAGCACGTTGGTAGGCTGAGATGGGCATATCACCTGAGATCAGGAGTCAAGACCAAAATTTTAGTATTTTAGTGTGTATTTTAGTATTTATTTTAGTATTTAATACATCATTTAGGGCTACATGTAGCCACAGAAAGAATAAATCTGATTCAGTGACTTAAAGAAATATAGATTTCATTTTTGTCACTTAAAATGTGCAGAGGAAGGCAGTCCAGGGTTCTTTTCAGTTTCCTGATACTTTCTTAGCCAGGTTTTTATTCTTGTGGTTAAAATATGGCTGCTGTTTTTCCAGGCCTTGGATTGCCTTCCAAGGAGGGAAAGAAGAAAGGTCAGAAGGCTGAGTTTCTCTCTTTTTAGCTGAAAAACATAGATTTCTCAAAAGTTGTAAGATTATACTGCAATTCAATTTTCATTCCTTTTTTTTTTTTTTTTTTTGAAACGCAGTCTTGCTCTGTTGCCAGGCTGGAGTACAGTGGCACAATCTCGGCTCACTGTCACAATGTCCGCCTCCATGGTTCAAGCGATTCTCCTGCCTCAGCCTCCCTAATAGCTAGGAATACAGGCGCATGACACCACGCCCGGCTCATTTCTTTTTGTATTTTTAGTAGAGACGAGATTTCACCATGTTGGCCAGGCTGGTTTTGAACTCCAGACCTTGTGATCCGCCCGCCTCTGCCTCCCAAAGTGCTAGGATTAGAGGCATGAGCCACCGCGCCTGGCCTGCAATTTTCATCTTTTGGCTGCAAATAAGTTATGTCACTATTCTCAGCTGGGGGAGTGTTTAACTCACATGTTGCTTCCTCTCTGTTAGACAGGTTTTAAGATTTATGAATAGGTACTGAATTGTATCAATTGCTTTTTTCTTTCTTGATTGAGCAATGTTTTTTCTTATCTTTTTATGTTGATAAGGTAACTTAACAGTGATTGGCTTTTGAATGTTGAACATTGCATTTCTGGAATTAAATCAACTTTGTTGTGATAAATGATTAATACCATATTATGTATGGTTGAGATGGGCTTGCTCCTAGTTCATTTGGTAGTTTTGTACTTATGTTCACAAGAGAAAGTGGAGTCTAATTTTTTTTTTTCTGGTGATTTTTGTTCGTTTGTTTGTTTGTTTGTTTGTTTTTGCCATGGAGTCTGGCTCTGTTATCCAGGCTGGAATGCAGTGGCGTGATCTCAACTCATTGCAAGCTCCACCTTCTGGGTTCATGCCATTCTCCTGCTTCAGCCTCCTGAGTAGCTGGGACTACAGGCGCCCAACACCACACCTGGCTAATTTATTGTATTTTTTAGTAGAGACGGGGTTTCACCTTGTTAGCCAGGATGGTCTTGATCTCCTGACCTCGTGATCCACCCGCCTCGGCCTCCCAAAGTGCTGGGATTACAGGCTTGAGCCACCACGCCCAGACTTGTGAGGTTTTAATATGAAGTATTAAAGCTATGCTGGTTAGACAATTTGGAAAATGTTTCTTCTCCTATTTCTGACAGAGTTTATGTAAGATGTGTGCTATTTCTTCCTTAAGCATTTGGAAAGAATTCACTTATTAAGCCATGTGAGACTGTAGTTTTCTTTATAAGGTGTTTAACTACAGGTTCAATTACATATATATAAATATTCATTTTGGTAACCTGTGTTTGCTGAATCAATTTGTTCATTTTATCGAAAATTTCAAAGTTATTCTATTATTCATTTATCTTTTTAATACTTATAAAGTCTCCGGTTAGAGTTTGTGCCTTTTGTCTGTTTTGTTAATCAATCTTGCTGGAGGCCATCAATTTTATTAGTGTTTCAAAAAAGCAAACTTTGATTTTATTCATCCCTTTACCATACTGAAAATGTTTTGCTTAATTTCCAAACTTATAGTTCCACTGTGATTAAATATTTGTATAACTAAAACTCTGTGGAATTTGTGTCTTCTCAATGATTGAAAATATGATTAATTTTTATAAATATTGCTTCTGCACTTGAAAAGGATATGTATTCTGCATGTTGAGCGTAGTGTACCACGTATCTCAGTTAGGTCCAGTGTGTTAAATGCATCCTTTAAAGATTCTATGTGCTTACTGATGTTTGTTTATTTTTCAGTGGCTGAGACACAGATATTAAAGTTTCCCACAATGATCATCAACTTATTTCTTTTTTTTCATTTGTTAAGCTTGTTCTGTGTGTTTTAAGGTTAAGTTACCAGGCATAAACACATTTAGAATTCCTTTTTCTCCCTTCTGGTTGCACCCTTTTATCATGAGGAAATACCCACTTTATCTCTCACATAGCTCTTTCGTTAAGAGTTTTTTTTAATATGTAAGAGAAAATAAAGTCTTGGAACCACCAAACCTGTTATGCTAAGGGAGACGTTAAGTTTGGGAGCTGAGTCATGCAACACTACCATTCTTTCTCCCCAAAGAGATAGCTGCCATTTCACAACCCTGTGTGATGGCATTAGACATAAGCCAGGTCCCCACTACCACAAAAGGCCACGTACCTCTCCATATGGCCCCCCTCACAAATCGCTCACAGGGATGTTCTTTACTGGCCCCTGAATCTTTCAGGATCCATGTCCCCCTATAAAATAAGCATATGCCCATTGTAACCGTGGCTCTGCAACCTCAGTTCAAGATGTAAAACTGAGTTCTATTCAATCTGACACTGACAATGTTGATTACAGGCCTATCTTCCCAGGTACAGAACAAGAACATGAGATCAATCACTCTTCCACCTACCCTGAGATGGCTGCATAATTGACTCTTTCCTTCCTCTTTTCAGATGTTTACCTATCTTATGTAAAATGAAGATTTACTGAGCACTAATTAGAGCTTCCTAAGAATGTAACCACCGCTTCACTGCCTGCTCCCCCTCCCTTTCTTCTCTCCTGCACGCCTTCTCCCCTTATGTACTGAGTTCCCAAAACCCTCTTTGGAAAGCACAGGTCACAGGCGTTTCTCTGGCTTGTGTTTTTTCTGGGGGTATCATCAAATTTTGGCTGAACAAAGCTCTGTTGATGGAGGCACTTGCCTCAGTCAGTCACTCATTTTTTGATTAACAGATATAAATATAGTTACCCCTGTTTTTATTTACTTAGTCTTTGCTTTGTCAGTTCTTTGACTCTCAATTTTTCTTTTTTAAAAATAAATCTTATTGTGTATATTTAAGGCTTACAACATGATGCTAAGAGTTATATATAGATTGTAAAAAGATTCCTATACTGAAAGAAATTAACACACCAATCATTTCACATAGTTCCCCATTTCCTTGTTGCTTTTGTGGCAAGAGCAGTTGAAATCTACTCATTTAGCATGAATTTCACATGCATAACAATTTTGTTCCCTGCAGTCCTCATGTCATACATTACATCTCTAGACTTGTTCATCCTTCATACCTGCTACTTTGTGTCCTTTGGCCTCCATGTCCCCAATTCCTCCCCTCTCCCACCTCCCCTGGTAAACAATGTTTTGCTCTCTATCTCTGTAGATTTATTTATTTACATTTTTACATCCCACATATAAATGGGTTTATGCAATATTTGTTTTTCTGTGTATGCTTTATTTCACTTAGCATGACGTCCTCCAGCCTCATCCATCTTGCAGCAAATGGCAAGACCTTGTTTGTTTTAGGGCTGAATAATATTCCATTGTGAGTGTGTGCCACAGTCTCTTTATCCATTTATCCATTGATGGACACTTAGATTGTTTCCATATCTTGGCTATTATGGTTAGGACTGCAATGAACATGAGAATACAGGTAACTTTACATAGTAATGATTTCATTTCCTTTGGGTGTATGCTCAGAAGAGGGATTGCTGAGTCATATGGTAGTTCTATTTTTAATTTCTCTAGAAATCTTCATACTCTTTTCCAGAATGACTGTATCAATGTACATTCTCATCAACAGTATGCAAAAGTTCCTATTTCGCCACACCCTTGCCAACATTTATCTTTTGACTTTTTGATAATAGTCATAAGGGGTGTGAGGTGGCATCTCAATGGGTTTGATTTGCATTTCCCTAATGATTTACAATGCAAAACGCCTTTCAGATACCCACTTGCTATTTTCATGTTTTGTTTAAAGAAATGTCTATTCAAGTTTTTTAAAAACATTTTAAAAATTAGGTTATTTGTTTTGAGTTGTATTAATTCTTTATACATTTTGGATTTTTTTTTTTTTTTTTTTTGGAGACAGGGTCTTGCTCTGTTACACAGACTGGAGTACAGTGGCACAATCACAGCTTACTTGACCTTCTGGGTTCAAACACTCCTCCATCTCAGCCTCCCAGGTAGTTGTGACTACAGGCGCACACCACCATGCCTGGCTAAGTTCTAAATTTTTTGTTAAGACAAGGTCTCACTATGTTGCCAGACCTGGACTCAAACTCCTGGGCTCAAGTGATCCTCCTACCTCAGCTTCTGAAAGTGCTGGGATTAAGGAGTGAGCCACTGCACCGGGCTAAATGTTGGATATTTACCCCTAATTGGCTGGGTATAGTGGCTCACACTTGTAATCTCAGCACTTTGGAGGCCGAGGTGCTTGGATCACTTGTGGTCAGGGGTTCGAGACCAGCCTGGCCAATATGGTGAAACCCCATAATGGAGTTTCGGCTTCTTTAACTGGGAAATGAGGATCATGACCATCCCTGTCAAGCAGGAGAGGAGATGGGCTGATGTGTATTGTGAGGCCCAACATGGTGAAACCCCATTTCTACTAAAAATACAAAAATTAGCCAGGCATGGTGGTGGGCACCTGATATCCCAGCTACTCGGGAGGCTGAGGCAGGAGAATTGCTTGAACCCAGGAGGTGGAGGTTGCAGTGAGCCAAGATTGCACCATTGCACTCCTGTGTGGGCAACAGAGTAAGACTTCGTCTCATTAAAAAAAAAAAAAAAAGAATATTCACTTCAATAAATGGTGAGACCAGCTTTGCAAAGATGACAGTGAGAGAAGTTTAGCATGGCTGACTCCATCTTGCTTCCAGTCTCACGGGCCTGCTGTCTTTGCTCATTCCTGGGCATAGGCCAAATCAGCCATGGGAGAAATGTAGTTCATAGTCTAACGTTGCCATTTCCAGTCCTCGGGGGTCACCTCTTTCCACTCCACGCTTAGTTATCAATTTGTTACTCTGCTTTAAAATGTACCTTTTTTTTTTTGTAATCTCAGCTACTCAGGAGACTGAGGCAGGAGAATCGGTTGAACCTGGGATGCGGAGGTTGCAGTGAGCTGAGATCGCACCATTGCACTCCAGCCTGGGCAACAGAATGAAACTGTCTCATAAAACAAATATAACATGAAATGGTAACGTCTTTCTTTAAAACCAAAGAAAATATGCAAGGCGGATGTCTTCCTGTCACTTCGCACAGTCTACTGCCATAGCGCCTGAGCCCCAGACCCCAAACTCACTGTCCTGCTCGGGGACCCCCAGACCACAGTGAACATTACGGGTACCCCAAGTACTCTCCTATCCTCACCTCGCTCCTGCAGTAAATGGCTAAATGAATAACTCAGAAGTGAAGCCAAAAAGAAAAAGAAAATGCACATGGGGAACAGGAGAGGAGAGCAGAGGCCACAGTGTGGAGGCCTGGGCTGATACACTGCAAAGAGATCTTTGGGGCTCCGAAGAGATCTTTGAGGCTCCAGGTCTCATGAGTGGGGGCCAGGCTCCCTAGAGAAACCCTTCTTGTCTAGGGCTGGGGAGCCCACCAGAGTGACCCAATCAGTTCTCAGGGCCTGTGATGGGGCCACATGGTTTTGAGAAGCCGGTGTTCAGCTCCATCCTAAAGAGCACTCATGCACGTTGGGGAGGAGGGCCGGGGTGCACAGCTCTGACCTGAGTCAGACCCACCTCAGGACTGAGCCCAGCAGAAGGAGGCCCAGAGTCACTGACCATAAAAGGAGCAGATGCCCTCCCCCGTGTTGGTTGAGATGAGTCTTGGGCATTAACTCTAATAATTTCTAACTGCACCCAGAAATACTGATTCACACAGCAACTAGTAAATAATAACCTTTTAGAGCTAAAAAAAAAAAAGCCTTGTATGATTTATTATGAATTAACATATGCATTTTACACAAACTAGAGGCACCGTGGTGGGCCAGCAGCAGCCTGTTAGGGGCCACAGCAAGGAGACTGGATTTCCTCAAGTGCAATGGGAGTTACTGGCTAGGCTTTAAGGTTTTAGCCACAGGAAAGATGAATGTATTTCAGAGCAACGTGGGTGGATTCAAAATGAGGTTTAGAACTAGATCCATTAAATTTTTTTTTTTTTTTAGACGGAGTCTGACTCTTATTGCCCAGGCTGGAGTGCAGTGGTGCTATCTCGGCTCACTGCAACCTCTGCCACCCAGGTTCAAGGGATTCTCCTACCTCAGCCTCCCGAGTAGCTGGGATTACAGGCACCTGCCATTGTGTCTGGCTAATTTTTGTATTTTTAGTAGAGACGGGGTTTCACCATCTTGGCCAGGCTGGTCTTCAACTCCTGACCTCATGATCCACCCACCTTGGCCTCCCAAACTGCTGAATTTTTTATCTGAAAAATCTCCCACCGGGCGCGGTGGCTCACGCCTGTAATCCCAGCACTTTGGGAGGCCAAGGCGGGCACATCATGAGGTCAGGAGATCGAGACCATCCTGGCAAACGCAGTGAAACCCCATCTCTACTAAAAACATAAAAAATTAGCCAGGCATGGTGGCGGGTGCTTGTAGTCCCAGCTACTTGGGAGGCTGAGGCAGGAGAATGGCGTGAATCCGGGAGGTGGAGCTTGCAGTGAGCCAAGATCGCGCCACTGCACTCCAGCCTGGGCAACAGAGCGAGACTCCATCTCAAAAAAAAAAAAAAGAAAAGAAAAGAAAAGAAAAAAAAGAAAAATCTCCCCTCTCCAAAAATCTCCCGGCATTTCTACAGAAGTCTCTACCTAGGTAAGGAGAAGAAACAATTCTTGGCCGGGTACAGTGGCTCACGCCTGTAATCCCAGCACTTTGGGAGGCCGAAGCTGGTGGATCACGAAGTCAGTAGTTCAAGACCAGCCTGGCCGAGATGGTGAAACCCTGTCTCTACTAAAAATACAAAAAAATTCGCCAGGCGTGGTGGCAGGCGTCTGTAATCCCAGCTACTTGGGAGGCTGAAGCAGAGAATTGGTTGAACCCATGAAGCGTAGGTTGCAGTGAGCCAAGATCACGCCACTGCACTCCAGCCTGGGTGACAGAGCAAGACTCCATCTCAAAACATAAGACGAAAAAAAAATTTTTTAGGGAGCTGAAAAGTGAACTGATTTCCTCATTTCTCCTTGCAAGGAATCAATTGATAGCCCAAAATTGAAACCCAGAGTTAAAATAAACGTAACTCCCACCCTCTTAGTGTTTCTCACTTTTTTTTTTTTTTTTTTGAGACAGGGTCTCACTTCTGTTGCCCAGGCTGGAGTGCAGTGGCGTGATCATGGCTCACTGTAGCCTCAACTTCTGGGGTCAAGTGATCCTCCCATAGCCTCCTGAGTAGCTGGGACTACAAGCACATGTCACCATGCCTGGCTAATTTTTGTATTTTTTTGCAGAGATGGGGTTTCATCATGTTGCCCAGGCTGATCTCAAACTCCTGGGCTCAAGTGATCTGCTGGCCTTGGCCTCCCAAAGTACTGGGATTATAGGCATGAGCCACTGTACCTGGCCTACTAACTTTAATTTTAGGTGTATCTTTTAGGAAGTAATATCTCATGGCAAAATAATGTTTGTCATTCAGTAGTTACTGTAGTTTCATTTCAGTTTTTCTTTTGTTAAATTCAAGCAAAATATAGTTTTATGTTTTTAATTAAAATCCCATATGTGTTTCCCCATCAGATAAAATATGCCTGTCATTTAACCTATGTACTCACATGGAAAAATGTCTGGGGTGGAGTTCTTTTTTTTTTCTTTTTTTTTGAGACGGAGTCTCACTCCGTCGCCCAGGCTGGAGTGCAGTGGTGCCATCTCGGCTCACTGCAAGCTCCGCCTCCCGGGTTCACGCCATTCTCCTGCCTCAGCCTCCTGAGTAGCTGGGACTACAGGCGCCCTCCACCATGCCCGGCTAATTTTTTGTATTTTTAGTAGAGACCGGGTTTCATCGTGTTAGCTAGGATGGTCTCGATCTCTTGACCTCCTGATCCATCCACCTGACCTCCGGATCCGTCCGCCTCCGCCTCCCAAAGTGCTGGGATTACAGTCATGAGCCACCTCCCCGGCCCTATTTTATATTTCTTCACAAAATAATAATGCTGTATGCAAAGCTGCCAAAAGGTTTATACTTTTCGTTTGTTTTTGAGACAATCTTGCTCTGTTGCCCAGGCTGGAGTGCAGTGGTGCAATAACAGCTCACTGCAACCTCCACCTCAAGCCATCCTCCCACCTCTGCCTCCAGAGTATCTGGGGTTGGAGGTAAAAGCCACCACGCCCCGCTAATTAATTTTTTTCTTTTTTTGGTAGAGACGGGTCTCGCTACGTTGCCCAGGCTGGTCTTGAACGTCTGAGCTCAAGCGAGCCTCCCACCTCGGTCCCCAAAGTGCTGGGATTATAGGTGTGAGCCACTGTGCCCAGCTTGTAGCATCGTTTATAGACAACAAAACCTGGCAGCAACCGGCCAGGCGCGGTGGTTCACGCCTGTAATCCCAGCACTTTGGGAGGTAGAGCGGACGGATCACCTGAGGTCAGGAGTTCAAGACCAGCCTTGCCAAGATGGTGAAACCGCGTCTCTACTCAAAATACAAAAATTAACCCGGGCGTGGTGGCGGACGCCTGTAATTCTAGATACTCGGAGGCTGAGGCCGAGAATCGCTTGAATCCGGGAGGCGTAAGGTTGCAGTGAGCCGAGATCGCGCCATTGCACTCCAGCCTGGGCGACAGAGCGAGACTCTGTCTCAAAAAAACAAACCAACCTGGTAGCTACCTAACACCCAACAATGGCTGAATGGTTAGACAAATTATTATACTGTCATTAGAATAATCATATTTATGTACCGATACAGAAACTGATATATATTAAATAAAAAGGAAATTTCGTATATTGTAATTGGAAACATGTAAAAGTATGTATACATTATGGGAAAACACCTAAAATACTAATAATTAGGTGAGGGTTGTGGAATTGAGTCACTTTAAAAAATATTTTTTTCCAAAAAAAATAAAATAACTTTTTCCTATTTTTCAAGCTTGTAATTTTGTTGTTGTTTCTTTTTTTTTTTTTTTTGAGACGGAGTCTCGCTCTGTCGCCCAGGCTCGAGTGCAGTTGTGTGATCTCCGCTCACTGCAAGCTCTGCCTCCCGGGTTCACACCCTTCTCCTGGCTCAGCCTCCCGAGTAGCTGGGACTACAGGCCTCCGCCACGACGCCCAGCTAATTTTTTGTATTTTTAGTAGAGACGGGGTTTCACTGTGTTAGCCAGGATGGTCTCGATCTCCTGACCTTGTGATCCACCCGCCTCGGCCTCCCGAAGTGCTGGGATTACAGGCGTGAGCCACCGCGCCCGGCTTGTTGTAGTTTATTAAAACGAGGAAACTAGACTATGGGATCACAAGCCCAGAGCCCCATGTAGCTGACTCTAGCGCCAAGGGCGGAAGAGAAACGCCCAGCGCCAGGGCTCTCCTTCGATCTCTGCAGCGGCGCGCCGGGCTTCGCGCTCCGGTGAGTTGGGCCGGCCTCCGCTGGAGGCTCTTCGGGGACCGCTGCCCGCCGGTGCGTCCTGCCGCGCTCCGCTGCCCGGATATTGCAGAGGACACCACTCAGAAAGTATGCGTGTTTCTCCGCGCTGGAAACTTAACCAGGAGTCCTGCATTTCCATTTGCGAAATCCGGGAACCCCCGCCCCACCCAGCGCCTCACCGGCCCCTCACTGCCGCCGCGTCCGGCGCCACTGCTGTCCCCGCAGCCTAAGGCGCCGGTCCCTGGCACCCCCGTCCCGCCCCCGCCCCTCTTCCTGCTCCTCCCCCACCCGTCCCCCTCCCCTCCCCCGCCCGCGCCTCCCGGTCACCCCCCATCCCGCCCCGCGGGGCGCGGCGCGCAGGCGCAGGCTCGGAGGGCGGGCGCGGGCGGAATGGGGACTGCAGCTGCGGCAGCGGCGGCGGCGGCGGCGGCGGCGGCCGGGGAGGGGGCGCGTAGCCCGAGCCCCGCCGCCGTGTCGCTCGGCCTGGGCGTGGCCGTCGTGTCGAGCCTGGTGAACGGGTCCACGTTCGTGCTACAGAAGAAGGGCATCGTGCGTGCCAAGCGGCGAGGTAGGGCGGGCGGCAGGCGGCAGGCGGCGGGCGGGTGGGGGAGGCGGGCGGCGGAGAAGGCGGTCGCAGGTGGGGGCGCCCGGGTCGGGGCAGGGGACGGGGTCGGGGCCCGGGCCCAGGTTGGGGGAAGGCTGCGCGGGCGGGTGCTCCCCGCGGCGTGCCCAGGCTGCCGCCGCGTCCTGGCGCTCGGGCCCGGGAGCGGCCCAGGAATCACAGGTGCGTCCTGAGCGTCCGGCGCTTCGCCGACGCCACGGCTTTTCTCCGTTCTCAGCGGCTGGAGCGGCTTGCTTTGGTGTGCGGGCTTCCCCGGCTGACTTTTTCCCTCGGTCCAAGACCTGCCCCGCGCCGCCCGGCAGCCCTCGCCGTGGCCCGCAACCCGCGGCCGGGAGCCTCCTGCGGACGCGGTGCTGGGGTGCTCGAGCCCAGCGCCCGCCTGGAAGCGCCGCTTCAGCCGATGCGCGGCCCGCTCCTAGGGTACGCTCGGTAGAGCAAGACCTGGGATTTCCAGTCCCCCGCAGGGGCCTCGCTGGTGCAAAAGGAAGACCCGGGCGGGCTCTCAGGGCTGTGCGTTCCTGGGGTGCTCTTACGGAGCCCGCTGCGCCTTAGACCTGCACCAAATGAATACAAGTGATCTTCAGTTTGGAGAACACGCGCGGCAGATCCAAAACCAAGCCCTGGACGGGCCAAGGCCACTTCCCAGGTGGATGTGCCGCAGCACCGCACTCCGTAGTGCTCTGCGGGGTAGAGCTCTCTGTCAGTGTCGTTTGTGCTGGGAGGCCCCGGACGGGACCGGTTTGCCAATGCAGGATATGGCAGGCTGTGAAACAGTCCGTTTCCATTGCTTCCAGAGGGACTGAGAAAGTCTTGTGGTTCTTGGCCATACTCTTAGAAGAAGAATATTAAGAGCTCTCAGGGAAGGATGTGGCCCCCGACTCTTGGGTTGTGAGAGAAAGTGAACTCGTAATTTACATGGCGGAATGCAGGTGAAACTTTCTCTGAGTGAGCCAGGCGTTGGCTTCAGAGAAGAGATAAAGGGCCCGACAGTCTCGAATGAAAATATAAAATCATGGATAATTTAAGGAATTTAGCTTTAAAGTGAAAGCATAGTGGTCTCCCATACAATTTAAATAGAATTAAATAAAACCAAGTATGATTTTCCAAGGATGCAGATGTGTCTGTCTCTAAGGCACACAGATACACACACACCGCAGCCACACTTCAGGGAGCATCTGTCCGTGTGACAGGCCCCAGGACTGGGTGAGATGGTCAACGCGCGTGACCTTATAAATAGGATGGCCTGAGAAAGCACCTCACCTCCCCAATCCACGGCCCTAGCGTAAGCATGAGGAAAACACCACACAAACCGGAGTAGAAGAACATCTTGCGGCCGGGCGCGGTGGCTGGTGCCTGTAGTCCCAGCACTTTGGGAGGCCGAGGCGGGCGGGTCACAAGGTCAGGAGATCTAGACCATCCTGGCTAACACGACGAAACCCCATCTCTACTAAAAATACAAAAAATTATCCCGGTGTGGTGGCACGCACCTGTAGTACCAGCTACTCGAGAGGCTGAGGCAGGAGAGTCTCTTGAACCCGGGAGACAGAGGTTGCAGTGAGCCGGGATCCGCCACTGCACTCAGCCTGGGCGGCAGAGCAAGACTCCATCTCAAAAAAAAAAAAAAAAATCTTGCAGTACACCTGACCAGTCCTCTGTGAAGGTCATGGAATCTGAAAGCACGTCACAACCAGGAGGAGCCTAAGAACACGTGAACACCAGATGTAAGACATTAGGGAAAAACGAAGGAAAGCTGAATACCAGCTTTAGTTAGTTTTCTAAAAAGTTGAGGAAAACTGTGTTATTTCAACCCAGGTCATGTGGCTCAAAGGAATTGGTGAATAGGAAAATAAACAAGCGAGTAGCCTTTTAAAAAAAACATGATAAGCTGGGTGCAGTGGCTCACACCTGTAATCCCAGCTACTCGGGAGGCTGAGGCAGGAGAATTGCTTGAACCCAGGAGGGGGAGGTTGCAGTGAGCCAAAATTGTGCCATTGCACTCCAGCCCGAGCGAGAAGAACAAGACTCTGTCTTAAAAAAAAAAAAAAAAAAAAAAAAAAAAAAAGATAAATGCTGTTTCTTATACCTATATACTATGCTTTCATTCATTTATTTATTTTTTATTATGATTTTTTTTTGAGACGGAGTTTCGCTCTTGTTGCCCAGGCTGGAGTGCAATGGCGCGATCTTGGCTCACTGAACCTCTGCCTCCCGGGTTCAAGCGATTCGCCTGCCACAGCCTCCCGAGCTGGGATTACAGGCGCGTGCCACCATATCTGGCTAATTTTGTGCTTTTACTGGAGATGGGGTTTCATCATGTTGGCCAGGATGGTCCCGAACTCCAGACCTCAGGTGATCTGCCCACCTCAGTCTCCCAAAATGCTGGGATTACAGGCGTGAGCCACCAACACTCGGCCTATATTATGGTTTTAAATTGATCAAAGTGAACTTGTGATTTTCATTATTTATTTTAAGCCCCAGACATTGCATGGTGTTAGGCTTTAGCTCTATGACTCTTCAGAGCCTCCCGTCCAGGAGGCCATTAGCACCTCAGTTCTTCCCGGTCTGGACCCAAGGTCCTTTCCATCCCTGTGAGCCACCCATCAAGGTGAGCTGAGAGACCAGCCGGCGGGGCAGAGTCACTTACGGCTGAGAGGAATTGTTTTGGGATTTGGTTAGTAAGTAGGAGAGAAAAGGAGAAGAAAACTTGTATGGGGGTTGAGCACCTCCCGCCGAAGAAGGCGAGGGAGGCATGGAGGTGTCTTACACTAGGGAACATTTCCGAGTCATGTGGCACCAAAGTATGTTACCAGTGGGGAATCCATGTGGGACTGCAACAACCTCAATTCTTGCTTCCTCAGAAGAAAGAATTTGGCTGAGGGGCACAAAGCAGAAGGAGACCTAGGCAAGGTTTAGAGCAGGAATGAAAGTTGTTTTTTGGAGATGGAGTCTAGCTCTGTCACCCAGGCTGGAGTGCAGTGGCGCGATCTTGGCTCATTGCAGCCCCCGCCTCCTAGGCTCAAGCAATTCTCCTGTCTTAGGCTCCTGAGTAGCTGGGATTACAGGTACACGCTACCATGTCCAGCTAATTTTTGTATTTTAGCAGAGACGGGGTTTCACCATGTTGGCCAGGCTGGTATTGAACTCCTGACCTCAGATGATCTGCCCACCTTGGCCTCCCAAAGTGGTGGGATTACAGGTCTGAGCCACCATGCCCTGTCAAAAGTTTATTTAAAAGCTTTAGAACAGGAATGAAAGGAAGTAAAGTAGACTTTGAAGAGGGCCAAGCTGGCAACTTGAGAGATCAGAGGCCTTCATTAATTTCATACTTCCCCAGTGACCACCCAGTGCCACTGATTCAGGCTAGCTGTGTTACTCATGGTGGTAGAAGATAGACATAGAGTCTTGTTTCAATGTCTGCTTTGATTTGTTCAACAGATACTGATGAAGCTTTTTTTGTTTTTGTTTTGTTTTTGAGATGGAGTCTTGCTCTGTCACCAGTCTCGATCTCCTGACCTTGTGATCCTCCCGCCTCGGCCTCCCAAAGTGCTTTTTTTTTTTTTTTTGAGACGGAGTTTTGCTTTTGTTGCCCAGGCTGGAGTGCAATGGTGCAATCTCACTGCAACTTCCACCTCCCGGGTTCAAGCGATTCTCCTGCCTCAGCCTCCCGAGTAGTTGGGTTATAGGCATGCACCACCACGCCTGGCTAATTTTGTGTTTTTAGTAGAGACAGGTTTCTCCATATTGGTCAGGCTGGTCTCGAACTTCCAAACTCAGGTGATCCACCCACCTTGACCTCCCAAAGTGCTGGGATTACAGGCATGAGCCACCATGCTTGGCCTTGATGAAGCTCTTGTAATGCACCAGGCATTGTGTAGGTGTTGAGAATACAGCAGTTTTAAAATCTACTCGCCATAAAATCCTTTCCTACATCTGTTGCAAGCAGCAGAATTGACCAATATGAAATGACAGAAATAGAGGATGAGGGAGGAGAGGGGAGATACGCAAGCACCAGAGAATGAAGTTCTTGCTTTAAGGGAGACCTAGCGTGACGTTCCTTATGCTGGAAAAAGTTGTGTCTTACTGAAATTTTAAGCTTTAAAAATTTTTTAAATTTTTGGATGGATTTAGGGGTACAAATGCAGTTATGTTATATGGTTATATTGCACAGTGGTGAAGTCTGGGCTTTTAATGTAACATCACCTGAATATAATATTTCATCGCTCCCACCCTTCCCTTCAGGTTAACCCAGCTAGCCTGTATCAGTGGCACTGGGTGGTCACTGGCGAAGTATGAAATTAATGAAGGCACTTGATCTCTCAAGTTGCCCGCTTGGCCCTCTTCCAAGTCTACTTTACTTCCTTTCATTCCTGTTCATTTGGAGTTTCCAATGTCTGTTATTCCACTCTGTATGTCTGAAAGTCAAAAACCGCATGTTCTCACTTACAAGTGGAAGCTAAACAATGAAAGTTTAAACTCTAAATGAATTGCCAGGTGGTAGCATTTCTAGATTTGAGATTCTAGATAGTCTCATCTTCAGGGGAGTCAAGTTCTGGTGACAGTCCTTCTACTGAGGGATTTGAGGCATGGCTTCCTCTTTCACTTTTTTTTTTTTTTTTTTTTTTTTTTTGAGACGGAGTGTTGCTCTGTTGCCCAGGCTGGAGTGCAGTGGTGCCATCTCGGCTCACTGTAATCTCTGCTTCCCAGGTTCAAGCGATTCTCCTGCCTCAGCCTCCCCAGTAGCTGGCATTACAGGCGTCCGCCACCACACCTGGCTAATTTTTGTATTTTGAGTAGAGGCAGGGTTTCACCATATTGGCCAGGCTGGTCTTCATCCACCCGCCTCGACCTCCCAAAGTGCTGGGATTACAGATGTGAGCCACCGCACCTGGCCCTCTTTCACTTTTAAAGGAACTTCCCAGAGAATCAGCCAGATACACAGTACAACTCCCAGTAGTCCAGGGAGCGTCGTCTACAGCATAGGCTCGGATGGGACAGCCTGCCTTCTTTGCCATGCTTTTGGATGACATAGTCCAGGGAGCGTCCTCTACAGCATAGGCTCGGATGGGGCCGCCTGCCTTCTTTGCCATGCTTTTGGAAGACATAGTCCAGGGAGCGTGCTCTACAGCATAGGCTCAGATGGGGCTGCCTACAAACTTCTTTGCCATGCTTTTGGATGACATGCTGTGGGAAGCAGGCAGGGAGGCAGGTGGGTCATGTTCAGTGTCAGAGCCCCATTGAAGCAGGGCTTATGGAAGAGAAACATTCACAGGATGTGAATGTTTGTGGAAAGCCCATGGCAACATTAGAATAGCAGTGCCTTCACTCAGCAGGTGCAGCAGAGGCTGAGTGTGCCTGGGTGGGTGAGGATGGGCCCAAAGTCAGGCTGCGCAGGAGAGCTGCCATTGAGGGGTTCGCATGGCTGCCCTGGGACAGGCTTCCTGGGGACAGTCTCAGGAAAGCTGTGTGTTTAGAATTTGTTGGAGGCTTTTTTCTTTTTTTTTTTGAGACGGAGTCTCGCTCTGTTGCCCAGGCTGGAGTGCAGTGGCATGATCTCCACTCACTGCAAGCTCCGCCTCCCAGGTTCACGCCATTTTCCTGCCTCAGCCTCCCAAATAGCTGGGACTACAGATGCCCGCCACCACACCCGGCTAATTTTTTGTATTTTTAGTAGAGACGGGGTTTCACCATGTTAGCCAGAATGGTCTCGATCTCCTGACCTCGTGATCTGCCTTCTTCGGCCTCCCAATGTGCTGGGCTCCCACTGTGCCCAGCTTGGAGGCTTTTAAGAATTGGGTGGGGGCTGGGCATGGTGGCTCACACCTGTAATCCCAGCACTTTAGGAGGCCGAGGCAGGTGGATCGCCTGAGGTCAGGTGTTTGAGACCAGCCTGGCCAGCATGGTGAAACCCCGTCTGTACTAAAAATACAGAAATTGTCCGGGTGTGGTGGTGGGCACCTGTAATCCCAGCTACTTGGGAGGCTGAGGCAGGAGAATTGCTTGAACCTGGGAGGCGGAAGTTTCAGTGAGGCTAGATTGCGCCATTGCGCTCCAGCCTCGGCAACAAGAGCAAAAACTCCATCTAAAAAAAGAACAAAAAGAATTGGGTTGGTAGCGGGAGGCACAGGTTACAGTGGCCAAGATCACACCACTGCACTCCAGCCTGGGCAACGGAGTGAGACTCTGTCTCAAAAATCCCGGGCGTGCGGTGGCTCATGCCTATAATCACAGCACTTTGGGACACCAAGGTGGGCAGATCACCTGAGGTCAGGAGTTCAAGATCAGCCTGGCCAACATGATGAAACCCCATCTCTACAAAAATACAAAAATTAGCCGGGCGTGGTGGCACATGCCTGTAGTCCCAGCCACTTGGGAGGCTGAGGCATGAAAATTGCCTGAACCTGGGCTGCAGAGGTTGCAGTGAGCTGAGATCGCACCACTGCACTCCACTTCACGCCAGCCAGGCTACGGAGTGAGACTGTGTCTCAAAAAAAAAAAAAAAAAAAAAAAAGAGAATACATGGTATTGTTGCTAAGTATAGTCATTCTGCCCTGCTGTCAAACATTAGAGCTTCTTTTTTTTTATTTTTTTGAGAGGGAGTCTTGCTCCATCTCCCAGGCTGGAGTGCAATGGCGTGATCTTGGCTCACTGCAACCTCCACCTGCCAGGTTCAAGGGATCCTCCTGCCTCAGCCTCCCGAGTAGCTGGGACTACAGGTGTCCGCCACCATGCCCGGCTAATTTTCCTGTCTTTAGTAGAGACAGGGTTTCACCATGTTGGCCAGCCTGGTCTCGAACTCCTGACCTCAAGTGTTCTGCCTGTTTTCAGCCTTCCAACTTATGTTTAAGTCTTTAGTCTATCTTGAGTTGACTTTTGTGTATGGTGACACATAGGGGTCCGGTTTTATTTTTCTGCACATGGCTATTAAGTTTTCCTAGCTACATTTATTGAAAAGTATATCCTTTCCCCAGTGTATGTTCTTGCTGGCTTTGTTGAGGATCAATGGGAGTAAATATGTAGATTTATTTCTGGGTTCTTTATTCTGTCCCATTGGTCTGTGTGTCTTTTTATACAAATGCCAGGCTATTTTGGTTACTCTAGGCTTATAATTTGTTTTGAAGTCAGGAGGTGTGTTGCCTTCAGCATTGTTCTTTTTGCTCAGGATTGCTTTGGATATTTGGGCTCTTTTTTGGCTTCATATGAATTTTTTTTTTCTATTTCCCTGAAAAATATTGCTGTTATATTGACAGGGATTGCATTGAATCTCGTAGCATTATCTGCAACAACCTAGCAACCAGGTGTCATCAACTGAAGGATGATAGCAAAAGTCAGTTCTCACACATGCTGCAACATGGAGGACATTGTGCTGAGCGAAACAAGCCAATCACAAATGACAAAGCCGGTGATTCCGCTTATGTGAGGCACCCACTGCAGTGACATTCATAGAGAC
The DNA here is from genome assembly GCF_000001405.40 of Homo sapiens. Classification (NCBI taxonomy): domain Eukaryota; kingdom Metazoa; phylum Chordata; class Mammalia; order Primates; family Hominidae; genus Homo; species Homo sapiens. Next base: position 3,688,368 of record NW_021160017.1, read on the forward strand.
AGGAAGTAGAATGGTGGTTCCAGGGGTGGGGGGAGGGGAAATATGGGAGTTGGTGTTTATGGGTACAAAGCTTCAGTGTGTGAAGATGGAGTGTGGAGATGGATGGTGGTGATGGCTGCACAGCAATGTCAGTGTACTTCACAGGACTGAGCTGAACACTTCAAAATGGTTAAGATGATAAAGTTTATGTTATGTATATTTTACCAAAATAAAACATGCTTTTCGGATTTTGTAGACTCCTCCCTGAGAGGAGTGCTGCCTGCAGTGCAGCCATGCTGTGGAGATGTGGAGGGGAAGGGAGTTGTCTCGTGAGAGTGTAAACTGAGATCCAGGCGTCCCATTTCGAGTCCCCAAGCCTTCCACACTCGCACTGGCTCTGGGGTGGATGTATTCTTTCTCATTGCCTTTCCTGTCATACCCACGCTCCTCATACCTGGGCACGCTCCCGTCCCTAGGTGGAGACGGAACGAGGTTAGTTCTGCTGCTTCTGGGGACCCTCCGGACCCTGACATGAGGTCATTGCCCCTTGTGTGTCTCCCTGGTGCATGTCCTCAGCACCCCCGGCCCTCTCCTGTCCCCTGACCCTGAGGGATGATGGCCTATTCACTCATTTGCATTCCCCCCCATCCCAGCTCTTCCAGGGCTGTCACGTGTCCACTGGGAGGAATGGGCTGGACACGGAGCAGAGGCATCTAACTGGCCACAGGGAGCCGCAGAGTGAGGATGGCGAACCTGAGCCTTTCATTTTATGAAAGGATTTCGGAGCTGTCTTCAGGTGCCTCGGAGCTGACCTTACTTACGTCCTACTAAGCAACAGAATCTAGAGTTACTGCCAGCTCTGATCTTTATCTGACCCTGAGAGGAGATCACTGATATAGGCATGGTGAGAAGGGCGTGAGAGTCGGGAGTCTTTGAATGGCTCGCAGCCTGTGCTTGGTTTCCTTAATGCTGTTTCCATCAGAAAAGGAGATAAAGGAGGGCTGCTGCGTACCGAAGCCCCATGGTGTCCCAGACTCATGCCATGTTGTGATTCTGTGGTGGACTGGGCTCCGCTGGGCGACTCTCCAGCAGCTGCAAGCAGATGGTGGCTGGGGCTGGAGTCAACTCAGTGCCGGACAGGACTGGGCAGCCATGCAGATGGCATCTTCACTCGAGTCTGGGGTAGCTGGACAGCTGAGGGCTTGCTGAGCATTGCTGTCTCTGCTCTCCCTTCCTCTATCCCTGTGGCTTCTTCACACAGGGCTCCCTTGGACGCCCTTACAGCGTGCTGGTCTCTGGGAAGCCAGACCCCTTCCATGGTGTGTGGCTTTCCCTTGGCAAAGCCTCCTAAGGACCACGGTGGAAGCTTGGTGGATCCTTGTAGTGCTGCTTCTGCCACATCTCTTGGCTTGCTCGGGCTGCTCAAGTGCAGTGTGGGAGGGAATGTATAAGGATGTGAATGCCAGGGGCAAGATACAGAAGAGGAGGTTCAGATTTGCAGAGATCCTCACACGTGCCTGGTCACACAACTGGTGGTGCCGGAATGTGAACACAGCTGGGGCTGATTTTGGTATTGTTCTCTCACCCTGCCCCCTGTAGGGTGGTTAGGGGGAAGATAGATAAATCCACCTACAGATAAGGCATTTTTTTTTTAAGACAGGGTCTTTTTCCGTCGCCCAGGCTGGAGTACATTGGCGTGATCTTGGCTCACTGCAGCTTCGACCTCCTGGGCTCAAGTGATCCTCCTACCCCAGCCTCCCGAGTAGCACCACCTCTGCATCTAGCTAATTTTTATATATTTTTTTTTTAGAGACAAGATCTTGCTATGTTGTCCAGGCTGGTCTTGAACTCCTGGGGCTCAAGTGGTCCTCCACCTCAGCCTCCCAAAGTGCTGGGATTACATGTGTGAGCCACCATGCATGGCCCCAGATAAGGCTTTTCTAGGAGGGACTTAACTCTTTATTTAGAAAAAGGCTGTACTCTGATGCTGGGCAAACAGAAATTCATTTTCATTTTCTTATGATAGAAGCAGGAAGACATCACCAATGTAAATTTCTACATGAAACCAACAATCCTTGGTCTTACTGAATTGCTGTTGGACAGAATATATTTTGCCCTCAAAAATATTTATAGTATAAATGTAATTTATATTTATATTTTCAGTTCTTTTTTTTTCTTTTTTCTTTTTTTAGAGATAGGGTCTTGTTATGTTGATCAGGCTGGTCTCCCACTCCTGGCCTCAAGTGATCCTCCCATCTTAGCCTTCCAAATTACTAGGATTCCAGGCGTGAGCCACTACACCCAGCTATTTTCAGTTCTTTAATTAAGCCCTTAATGAATACCAATTTCTTTTTTGTTTTAACCATGAGGGACTAGAAAAGATCACTTTCAGAAAGGAAATGTTCAGTCTCACACTCCTACTCTGCAGCCAGGAGCCTGTGAATGTAAACGGTCCCTTTTAGATGCTGCCAGGGCTGGTCTGAGAGGCCATGTCCCCGACCCATGCAGGGACAGGGTTGCCTGACTTGTGCCCAGCCGGGGCTCTTTACTGTGATATAATTATTCAGCAGAGTATATCTTGAGTTTCCAGAACCTAGGCTTAGTCATATTTTTAAAAAGCATTTTTTCCTGATTGTAGAATACATAGTCATTGTTTAAAATCTGGAAAGTACAGAAAATGGTGGTTCGGAAAGTGGAACTTACTCATCTCTCCACCTGGAGGTGGCTGCTATTACAATTGAGGTTTCTTTTTTTTTTTTTTTAGATAAAGTCTCGCTCTGTCACCCAGGCTGGAGTGCAGTGGCGCGATCTCAGCTCACTGCAACTTCCGCCTCCCAGGTTCAAGCGATTCTTGTGCCTCAGCCTCCCGAGTAGCTGGGATTACATGTGAACACCACCATGCCCGGCTAATATATTTGGGTTTTTTTTTTTGGACGGAGTCTCGCTCTGTTGCCCAGGCTGGAGTGCAGTGGTGTGATCTCTGCTCACTGCAAGCTCTGTCTCCCGGGTTCACACCATTCTCCTGCCTCAGCCTCCCAAGTAGCTGGGACTACAGGCGCCCGCCATCACACCCAGCTAATTGTTTTTTGTACATTGAGTAGAGACGGGGTTTCACCATGTTAGCCAGGATGGTCTCGATCTCCTGACCTCGTGATCCACCCGCCTCGGCCTCCCAAAGTGCTGGGATTACAGGCGTGAGTCACCGCGCCTGGCTTTTTTTTTTTTTTTTGAGATGGAGTTTTGCTCGTTTCCCAGGCCAGAGTGCAATGGTGCAATCTCGGCACACCGCAACTTCCACCTCCCGTTCAAGCAGTTCTCCTGCCTCAGCCTCCCAAGTAGCTGGGATTATAGGCATGCGCCACCACGCCTGGCTAATTTTGTATTTTTAGTAGAGTTGAGTTTTCACTATATTGGCTAGGCTGGTCTTGAACTCCTGACCTCACGTGATCCGCCCACCTCGGCCTCCCAAAGTATTGGGATTACAGCAGGCGTGAGCCACCGCTCCTGGCCATATATTTCTTTCTAGTCACATTCAGTAATTATATTTCAAAACCGATTTTTTTTTTTTTTTGAGACGGAGTCTTGCTCTGTCACCCAGGCTGGAGTGCCGTGGCACAATCTCGGCTCACTGCAAGCTCCGCCTCCTGGGTTCATGCCATTCTCCTTCCTCAGCCTCCCCAGCAGCTGGGACCACAGGCACCTGCCACTACGCCCGGCTAATTTCTTTTAGTATTTTTAGTAGAGACGGGGTTTCACCATGTTAGCCAGGATGGTCTTGATCTCCTTACCTTGTGATCCCCCCGCCTCAGCCTCCTAAAATGCCGGGATTACAGGCGTGAGCCACCGCGCCCGGCCTCAAAACTGATTCTTAATGAAAAAATCCTATGCACAAAACATATGTTAACACCACCTATCAGATGTTCTAAGAAACATATATGCTAAAAATCTTTTTTTTTTTTTTTTGGAGACAGAATCTCGCTCTGTCGCCCAGGCTGGAGTGCAGTGGCGCGATCTCAGCTCACTGCAGGCTCCGCTTCCCGGGTTCACACCATTCTCCTGCCTCAGCCTCCCGAGTAGCTGGGACTACAGGCGCCCGCCACCATGCCCAGCTAATTTTTTGTATTTTAAGTAGAGACGGGGTTTCACCGTGTTGGCCAGGATGGTCTTGATCTCCTGACCTTGTGATCTGCCTGCCTCGGCCTCCCTAAGTGCTGGGATTACAGGCATGAGCCACTGTGCCTGGCCTATCCTAAAAATCTTAAAAAAAAAAACCGGCAGGGTGCACTGGCTCATGTCTGTAATCCCAGCACCTTGGGAGGCTGAGACGGGTGGATCACGAGGTCAGGAGATCGAGACCATCCTGGCCAACACGGTGAATCCCCGTCTCTACTAAAAATACAAAAAATTAGTCGGGTGCCTGTAGTCCCAGCTACTCGGGAGTCTGAGGCAGGAGAATGGCGTGAACCCGGGAGGCGGAACTTGCAGTGAGCCGAGATCGCGCCACTGCACTCCAGCCTGGGCGACAGAGCGAGACCCCGTCTCAAAAAAAAAAAAAAAAAAAAAAAAAAACCTCTTTATTGTGGTAAATATCAAATATGTTCAAAGTAGAGGAAGTAGTTAATGAATCCCATGTACATATCACCCTTGGTTAACAATGATCATTTCTCACCCATACACTGTGGGTGGCAATGTAAATTAGTTCAACCCCTGTGGAAAACAGGATGGAGATTTTTCAAAGAACTAAAAGTAGATCTACCATTCAACCCAGCAGTCCCAGTACTGGGTGTCTACTCAAAGGAAAATAAATAGTTTTATCAAAAAGACACATGCACTTGTATGTTTACTGTGGCACTACTTACAATAGCAGTGTCATGGAATTAACCTAAGTGTTCACCGACAGTTGACCAGATAAAGAAAATGTGACACATATACACATATGGAATACTATGCAGCCATAAAAAGAACAAGATCACGTCCTTCACAGCAACATGGATGGAGCTGGAGGCCATTATCCTAACTCACAGAAAATCAAATACCACATGTTCTTACTTATATGTGGGAGCTAAACACATAGACATAAAGATGAATATAATAGTTTGTAATCCCAGTAATCTGCCGAGGTGGGCAGATCACTTCAGCCCAGGAGTTCAAGACCAGCCTGGGCAACATGGCGAAACCTCATCTCTACAAAAAATACAAAAATTGGCCGGCCAGCGCAGTGGCTCACACCTGTAATCCCAGCACTTTGGGAGGCCAAGGTGGGCAGATCACGAGGTCAGGAGATCGAGACCATCCTGGCTAACACGGTGAAACCCCATCTCTACTAAAAATACAAAAAATTAGCCAGGTGTGGCGGCAGGCGCCTGTAGTCCCAGCTACTCGGGAGGCTGAGTCAGGAGAATGGCGTGAACCCAGGAGGCGGAGGTTGCAGTGAGCCGAGATCGCACCATTGCACTCCAGCCTGGGCGACAGAGCAAGACTCTGTCTCAAAAAAAAAAAAAAATTAGGCGAGTGTTGTGCACCTGTAGTCTCAGCTACTGGGGAGGCTGAGATAGGAGGATGGCTTGAACCCAGGAGGTTGAGGCTTCAGGGAGCCAAGATCCCACCACTGCACTCCAGCCTGGGAGACAGAATGAGACCCTGTCTCAAAAAAAAAAAAAAAAAAAAAAAAAAAGGGAAAGAAAAGATGATGTAATAGACACTGGGGACTGCTAGAGGGGAAGGGTAGAAGACTGGGGTGAGGGTTGAAAAATTACCTGTTGGGTACTATGTGCACTATTTGGGTGATGAGTTCACTAGAAGCCCAAACCCCAGCATTGCACAATATACGCAAAGAACAAACCTGCCCATGGTCCCCTGAATTACTCAACCACAACAACAACAAATCATCCTTCCTCAGCAATTTCGCTTTATCTATACCCCAGTGCCAACCCCACCCACACCCCTGTAGGATTTTTTTGAAATAGATCCCAAGCAAATTACCATTTCATCTGCATATTGCCACGAGTCTTTCTTTGTTAAACATAATACCTTTATTGCACCAGAAAATTAAGAATAATTTTTTAATGTTCTCACATGTCTGGTTAGTGTTTAAATTTCTGTGATTATCTTGCAAGTTTTGCCCAGTTCATCTTTTAGAATCAGGATGCAGTTAAGACCTACACGTTGGGTGGTACAGCTCTTTATCATGTAATTTAAAAAATGAGGCAGTGGGCTGGGCGTGGTGGCTGACGTCTATAATCCCAACACTTTTGGGAGGCTGAGGTGAGCGGATCACCTGAGGTCAGGAGCTCGAGACCAGCCTGACCAACATGGTGAAGCCCCGTCTCTACTAAAAATACAAAATTGGCACCGGGCGTCGTGGCTCACGCCTGTAATCCCAGCACTTTGGGAGGCCGAGGTGGGCATATCACAAGGTCAGGAGATTGAGACCATCCTGGCTAACACGGTAAAACCCCATCTCTACTAAAAATACAAAAAAAATTTAGCCGGACGTGGTGGCAGGCACCTGTAGTCCCAGCTACTTGGGAGGCTGAGGCAGGAGAATGGCGTGAACCCGGGAGGTGGAGCTTGCAGTGAGCTGAGATCACGCCACTGCACTCCAGCCTGGGCGACAGTGCGAGACTCCGTCTCAAAAAAAAAAAAAGAAAAAAAAAAATTAGCCTGGTGTGATGTCGCATGCCTGTAGTCCCAGCTACTCGGGAGGCTGAGGTTGCAGGGAGCCGAGATCATGCCACTGCACTCCAGCTTGGGTGACAAGAGTAAAACTCCAGCTCAAGAAAAAAAAAAAAGAGGCAGTATACACTGAGCCCACCCCATGTATGTCAGTTTATGTCCTGTGGTTGTGTTCAGTCTGTCGTGAGCTTGTCCCCCTGTTAGATGTTCTTTGCAAACATATTCAGGGCTGCATGAATGTTACCGTTCTACTTTTACAGGGCATGGACATTTCCAGTTCCTTACCAGTGCACATGACAGAGCTCATTATCCTAGATTTTTCTGTTCACATCAGCAGAGCACGCTAGTACAGGTATAATACTTGACATCTACCCGTCATGTATCAAGGAGTCGGCCAGCTTGGCTTCTCAGGCCTCAGGGGGCGTGGGGGCAGTGTTGATCCCTGTGGTGGGGGAAAGGATGAGAGAGATTGCCTTTAGTTAAGGCAGAGAGGAAGAGGGTGCTCTGTAGGGGCAGACAACACTTCCAGCGACTTTTTTTTTTTTTTTTTTTTTGAGAGACAGAGTCTTGCTCTGTCACCCAGGCTGGAGTGCAGTGGCATGATCTCGGCTCACTGCAACTTCCACCTCCCGGGGTTCAAGCAGTTCTCCTGCCTCAGCCTCCCGAGTAGCTAGGACTACAGGCACCCGCCACCGCGCCCAGCTAATTTTTGTATTTTTAGTAGAGACGGGGTTTCACCATATTGGCCAGGCTGGTCTCGAACTCCTGACCTTGTGATCCATATGCCTTGGCCTCCCAAAGTGTTAGGATTACAGGCGTGAGCCACTGCGCCTGGCTGTGACTTTTTATGTGTTTGTATTCACTGAGGACTGTGTACACTGATGATTCTCAGTAAATATTTGATAGATGGAATAAAGAAATAGAATAGAGATACTGCACTGAGCTTCCCTGGAGGGAGGATGGAGAGGAAGAAGCATGTGTTAATATGTGCTGTACTCTTAATTTCCATCTGAAACAGGGAATGACATTTCCCATAGAAACTGCAAGAAACTTTATTACAGTGGTTAGTTGTATTAGGGTCAGCATTGTGTGGGCTAGCCCAGAAACTTAACTTTTTAAATTAAAAAAATTAAGGGTCGGGCACAGTGGCTCACGCCCGTAATCCCAGCACTTTGGGAGGCCGAGGCAGGCAGATCACGAGGTCAGGAGTTTGAGACCAGCCTGACCAACATGGTGAAACCCTGTCTCTACTAAAAATACAAAAATTAGCCAGGCGTGGTGGCACATGCCTGTAATCACAGCTACTTGAGAGACTAAGGCAGGAAAAGCACTTGAACCCGGGAAGTGGAGGTTGTGGTGAGCCGAGATCACGCCACTGCCCTTCAACCTGGGCGACAGAGTGAGACTCTGTCTCAAAAAAAAAAAAAAAAAAAATTTAAACCACTTTATTGGGGTATGATTAATATATAAAAAGCTGTGCATGTTTAATGTACACACCTCCATGAGTGCACGAATAAGTGTGCTACCTGTGAAATCCTCACCACCAAGAAATTTAACTGTCATTTATCAACTATTTCTTGTTTAAGTATTGGGGTATAATTACATAGAATAAGCTGCACAGATCTTAAAGGTACAGTTTGATGAGTTTTGACAAATGAATATGCCTGTGTAACCAACAGCCCAGTGAAGAAATTGATTGTTGCTGCCACCCTAGAAAGTTCCCTGGTGCCTCATCCCCCATACCAAGGTGCCTACTCTTCTGATGCCCATCTGCATAGGTTGAATTAATTTTGCCTGTTCCCATGCTTCATATAAATGGAATTATATAGTATGTATTCTCTTACGTCTGCTTTTGCTGGACATAGTTTGAAGATTCATCGTGATGTGGGTATCAGCAATATGTTCCTTATTATTGCTGAGTAGTGTTGTGTTGTTTGAGTATACCAGTTTACATATCCATTCTCCTGTTGATGAACTTTTTGTTTTTTGGGTGGGTGGTGACAGAGACTCTTGCTCTGTCGCCCATGCTGGAGTGCAGTGGTGCGATCTTGGCTCACTGTAACCTCTGCCTACCGGGTTCAAGCGATTCTCCTGCCTCAGCCTCTCCAGTAGCTGGGATTATAGGCAGCTGTCACCATGCCTGGCTAAGTTTTGTATTTTTAGTAGAGATGGGATTTCACTATGTTGGCCAGGCTGGTCTCAAACTCCTGACCGCGGGTGATCCACTCACCTCGGCCTCCCAAAGTGCTGGGATTATAGGCATGAGCCACCACATCTGGCTGGGTTCCCAAAGTGCTGGGATTATAGGCATGAGCCACCACGCCTGGCTGGGTTCTACCGTATTATTGACTGGTAAGAGTGTGTGTGTGTATATGTATATATTACGTATGTATATATATACTCACACATATATACGCATATATTAACCATACAGATATATGTTATATATCTGGATACAAGTTTTTGTCAGATACAGGGATTGGAAATATTTTCTCTGTGGCTTGCCTTTTCATTTTCTTAAAAGTGCCTTTTTTTTTTTTTTTTTTTTTTGAGACGGAGTCTCACTCTGTTGCGTAGGCTGGAGTGCAGTGGCGTGATCTTGGCTCACTGCAACCTCTGCCCCCCTGGTTCAAGTGATTCTCCTGCCTCAGCCTCCTGAGTAGCTGGGATTACAGGCACCTGCTACCGGGCCCGGCTAATTTTTTTTTTTTTTTTTTTTTTTTGAGACAGAGTCTTGCTCTGTCGCCCAGGCTGGAGTGTAGTGGCGTGATCTCGGCTCACTGCAGACTCTGCCTCCCAAGTTCATGCCATTCTCCTGCCTCACGCTCCCGAGTAGCTGGGACTACAGGCACCCGCCACCACGCCCGGCTAATTTTTTGTATTTTTAGTAGAGACGGGGTTTCACTGTGTTAGCCAGAATGATCTCGAGCTCCTGACCTTGTGATCTGCCCGCCTCGGCCTCCGAAAGTGCTGGGATTACAGGCGTGAGCCACCGTGCCCGGCCTTGTTTTTGTTTTTTTGAGACAGGGTCTCACTCTGTTGCCCAGGCTGGAATGCAGTGGCGTGATCTTGGCTCACTGCAACCTCTGCCTCCCTAGTTCGAGCGATTCTCCTGCGTCAGCGTCCTGAGTAGCTGGGATTACAGGCATGAACCACCACATCCAGCTAATTTTTTAAATTTTTAGTAGAGACGGGGTTTCATCATGTTGGCCAGGCTGGTCTCGAACCCCTGACCCCAGGTGATTCACCCACCTCAGCCTCCCAAAGTGCAAGGATTACAGGTGTGAGCCACCGCACCCAGCTGGGCCCGGCTAATTTTTGTGTTTTTAGTAGAGAAAGGGTTTCACCATCTTGGCCAGGCTGGTCTTGAACTCCTGACCTCGTGATCCACCCGCCCCGGCCTCCTAAAGTGCTAGGATTACAGTCATGAGCCACTGCGCCTGGCCTAAAAGTTCCTCTTGAGGAGCACGAATGTTTAGTTTTGTTGAAGTCTAATTTGTCTGTTTTTTTCCTATCTGGTCGGTGCTTTTGATTTCTGCCTGAGAAATCTTTGTCTCTCCTCAGGTCACAATGGCATCTTCTTGTGTGTTCTTAGAGCTTCACAGCTTTAGTGTTTAGCGTTAGGTCCGTAAGCCACGTTGAGTTACAGGATGGTCTGAGGCATGAATTAAACTTCAACGTTTTCTCTACAACATCCAGTTGGTCCAGCACCATTTGTTGGAGACTTTTCCATTGAATTGTACTGGTGCTTCATTCAGTCTGTGATCTGGCTGTACATGTATGGACCGATTTCTGAACTCTATTCCGTTGTGTTTGTCTATCCTTATGCCAGTACCATACTGTCTTGATTATATAGTTTTATAGTAAATTTTTTTTTTTTTAAGACGGAGTCCGCTCTGTCGCCCAGGCTGGAGTGCAGTGGCGCAATCTTGGCTCACTGCAAGCTCCGCCTCCTGGGTTCACGCCATTCTCCTGCCTCAGCCTCCCGAGTGAGTAGCTGGGACTACAGGCACCTGCCACCATGCCTGGCTAATTTTTTGCATTTTTAGTAGAGATAGGATTTCACTGTGTTAGCCAGGATGGTCTCAATCTCCTGACCTCATGATCCACCTGCCTCAGCCTCCCAAAGTGCTGGGATTACAGGCGTGAGCCACCATGCCCAGCCTATGGTAAATCTTAAAATTAGATAGTATATGTCATAAAACTTTGTCTTTTTTCCATAATTGCCAAACTATTTCTTAGGAAAAATAAGTTCTGCATATCTAATAACCAACAGGCAAAAGAACTTCAAATATTAAGTCCATGAGTTAAGTTGGTGCACAGCAGTGCTCAGTTAATGTTTCAGAAGGCAGTTAATGCCTTCCTCTGGCTGTGCCGGTGTCAGGAAAGAATATTTATTTATTCTTAGTCCTTCTTAGAGAACTCTGTAGGACCGGGCGCGGTGGCTCACGCCTGTAATCCCAGCACTTTGGGAGGCCGAGGTGAGCGGATCACCTGAGGTCAGGAGTACAAGACCATCCTGACCAATATGGTGAAACCCTGTCTCTACTAAAAATACAAAAATTAGCTGGGTGTGGTGGCGCAGCCTGTAATGCCAGCTACTCAGGAGGCTGAGGCAGGAGAACTGTTTGAACCCAGGAGTCAGAGGTTGCAGTGAGCAGAGATCACACCAGTGCACTCCAGCCTGGGCAAGAGAGTGAGACTCTGTCTCAAAAAGAAAAAGAAAAAGAAAAATCTGTAAAAACTATGTTACATCTTTTTTATACATTAATTTACAAAGAACTAGTTATCCACTCTTGCTTGGCTTTTATCAGCAACTTCTGTTGTTGATGTTAGAAGCACACATAAGTGGAAGCAATCTTTTTGTGGAATAATTAGAAGGTAAATACATTGGATGCCCATCTATATTTTTATACTATAAAGCTGTATTTTATTTATTTTTTTTTACTTATTTATTTATTTATTTTGGGATGGAGTCTCACTCTGTCGCCCAGGCTGGAGTGCAGTGGCGCGATCTCGGCTCACTGCAAGCTCCGCCTTCTGGGTTCACACCATTCTCCTGCCTCAGCCTCCCGAATAGCTGGGACTACAGGCGCCCGCCACCACGCCCAGCTAATTTTTTGTATTTTTAGCAGAGACGGGGTTTCACCGTGTTAGCCAGGATGGTCTTGATCTCCTGACCTTGTGATCCGCCCGCCTCGGCCTCCCAAAGTGCCGGGATTACAGGCGTGAGCCACCGCGCCCGGCCTAAAGCTGTATTTTAAGGACATTTCCGACACATTTATAACTAAATGGAAGGTCTAAAGCCACATGCCCCTGGTTGGACAGCATCACTGTCAGTTGATACTGTCATCCTGGCAAGGCTCTTTTGTGTTTGCACAAACACTTCTTTGTTTTATAGTTTAGCTGTTATAAACAGCTATGCAACTCTCAGCACCCAGGGTTTCCAATGAGAGGAAAACCAATGGAACTTAGCGATCATATCCTCTGCAGCCCACACCTAGGAGTGGGGGAGGAGACGTGAGTGTGGCAAGACAAACAGCATCCTCTGCATCCTTCAGTGCTGCAGCTCCCTGTTGTTGCTGAGGCCGGAGGACCTGCAGATTAATAGAGGACCGTCATCAACTGGGAAGAGGAGAAGCTTGGGCATAGATACCTACTGAGAGTGCTGGCTAATGAGCTTTCGGAACAACAGTGCTTAGGGGCAGCAATGCTTAGGGTGAAACTGTGAAGAAACCCAGTTGTTTTAGATATCCTCACAGATATCTGTATGACGGGCCAAGGGCTAATATGGAATGCAGACTCCTAGGAGCTCCTGGCAAAAGAAGGAGGAGGGAAAATGGAGCAGCCAACTCAGTGAGGAAGCTGGGCACACAGCCATGCACTTCCTGCAGGGCAGAACAGGGGACACCCCTGGACCGAGGCTCTCAGGGACCATGTGCAGGAGCTTCACTTTTGTTTATGGGTAGGGGTATGGGACAGGTACCTGGATGGAGAAAAACCTGACTTGCTTAATGTCTGTGGATGCAGAAAAATTTTGCCTAATACTGGTTTAAAAGGTGAGGGTGACCTATACACCTTTTGATTTGTGCAAATCCAGGCTCTTGATGGAGAGTACAAGTTGCAGGGCCTGAAATGCTTGGAACTGAACTGGACCCTTTGGGAAAAGAACGAAAACCATTTTGTTCACTTTGCCATTCCTGTGTACCTGGTATTCCAGGTTCCTCCTCATTTTGTGACTTTTGACATTTTATAAACTGCCAAAAACATATACTATGTGATGATCAATGTTGGGATAACCATAGCAGTGAAAGGGGGGTGCCTATGGGCCTCATTGCACTGGTCACTGTCATCCTTGACCAGCTTTCACTGTAGGAGGGTCACACAGTCCAGCTGCTGTAGCAGGAATCCCATGACTTCACAAAACGTCCTGACCAAACCATGTTCATTACAATAAAAGGACAGCTGGATGTGGTGGCCCACGCCTGTAATCCCAGCTACTTGGGAGGCTGAGGCAGGAGAATCACTTGAACCTGGGAGATGGAGGTTGCAGTGAACTGAGAGACCATGCCACTACACCCCAGCCTGGGCAACAGAGTGAGACCCTGTCTCAAAAAGAAAAAAAAAATCTAAAAACCCAATAAAAACAAAATCAAAAGTTGGTTCTTTGAAAAGAACAATGAAATTGACAAACCTTTAGCTAGACTGACCAAGCAAAAAAGAAGAATCAAATTACTAAAATCAGGAATGAAAAAGGAGATATTTTCTGTATGCCCTTAGGATAATTTCCACAGAGTTTAAATTCACTTGTGTGTGTGTGTGTGTGTGTGATGGAGTCTCTCTCTGTTGCCCAGGCTGGAGTGCAGTGGCACAATCTCGGCTTACTGCAAGCTCTGCCTCCCAGGTTCATGCCATTTTCCTGCCTCAGCCTCCCAAATAGCTGGGACTACAGGCGCCCACCACCATGCCCAGCTAATTTTTTTTTGTATTTTTTTTAGTAGAGACGGGGTTTCACTGTGTTAGCCGGGATGGTCTCGGTCTCCTGACCTTGTGATCCACCAACTTCGGCCTCGCAAAGTGCTGGGATTACAGGCATGAGCCACTGCACCCGGCCCACTTTGTTAAGTACTTTATTTATTAGTTATGGTGGTTTTGTTGGGAAACTGGTCCACAGACTTTTCACACTAGTATTCTGGACCTGATGACCTTTCACTCAAGTATTCGGCATGCATTTTGGGATAGCCACTTTGATTAGCACATTTAGAAATCTAACATTGATTCTGTATTAATAGCTGACTCTCCTACAGTGCCCACCATGGGACATTCTTAAGCTTCGCTAAACTTTCTGCTTCATAGGACACCCTGGGTCCTGTTTGTATTAGATACACTGAGAGGGACACCAGACAGGAGCCCCAGTGGTGCCAGGCTGTCTTCTCCAGTGGAGCCTGGCAGCAGAGGTAGGGCGTGGCTCAGGGCTGGGAGACAGCCACAGCAGGCAGGTGGCACAACTGATGCTGGGGACTTTGACCACTTGGCTAAGCCAGTGTCCATCAGGCTTATCTATAAAGATAACTTTTTCTGTTCATAATTAATAAGAAAAACCCATGGAGGTGACTCAGTAAATTTTCATTCGCTTGTTTTAGTATCCGTTAATGATTCTTGCCTAAATCAGTTTTTACTGTGATGTGATCAAATAGCAATATTCTTTTTTTTTTTTTTTTTTTTTTGAGACAGTGTCTCACTCTATCACCCAGGCTGGAATGAAGTGGCATGATCATGGCTAACTGCAGCCTCATCCTCCTGGGCTCAAGCGATTCTTCTGTCTCAGCCTCCTGAATAGCTGGGACCACAGGCATGCACCACCACACCCAGCTAATTTTTAAATTTTTTGTAGAGATAGAGTCTTGCTATGTTGCCCAGGCTGACCTTGAACTCCTAGGCTCAAGTGATCATCCTGCCTCAGGCTTCCAAAATGCTGGCATTACAGGTGTGAGCCGCCGGGCCCAGCCCCCATTTCATTTTGTAAGTACTTTTTCTAATACTTGTAGCTCTGCTGCTCCATTAAGCAGGCTAGCAGGCTATGTGTCTTATACCAAATTGTGGTTTTCCTACTGAGAATAAAAACAATTAGAATTAGTTACTGTGGCTGGGCACGGTGATTCACTCCTGTAATCACAGCACTTTGGGAGGCTGAGGTGGGTGGATCACTTGGAGCCAGGAATTGAAGACCAGCCTGGCCAATATAGCAAAACCCCCTCTCTACTAAAAATACAAAAATTAGCCGCACGTGGTGGTGCACGCCTGTAATCCCAGCTACTTGGGAGGCTGAAGCATGAGAATTGCTTGAACCCAGGAGGCGGAGGTTGTAGTCAGCTGAGATCGTGCCACTGCACTCCAGCCTCAGCGACAGAGTGATACTCCATCTCAAAAAAAGGAAAAGGAAAAAAGAATTCATTACTGTAATCTGTGGTTAACAACAAAAAATCTCCTCAAAAAATGCTTAGCAGGCCAGGCGTGCTGCACACCTGTAATCCAGCAGTTTGGGAGTCTGAGGCAGGCGGATCACCTGAGGTCAGGAGTTCGAGACCAGCCTGACCAATTTGGTGAAACCCCGTCTCTACTAAAAATTCAAAAATTAGCCAGGTGTGGTGGCATGCTCCTGTAGTCTCAGCTACTCGGGAGGCTGAGACGGGAGAATTGTTTGAACCCGGAAAGTGGAGGTTTCAGTGAGTCAACATCGCACCAGTGCATTCCAGCCTGGGTGACAGAGTGAGACTCTGTCTGAAAAAAAAAAAAAGGCCAGGCGCGGTGGCTCACACCTGTAATCCCAGCATTTTGGGAGGCCGAGGTGGGCGGATCACCTGAGATCGGGAGTTCAAGATCAGCCTGACCAACGTGGAGAAACCTCGTCTCTACTAAAAAAAAATACAAAATTAGCTGGGCATGGTGGCACATGCCTGTAATCCCAGCTACTAGGGAGGGTGAGGCAGGAGAATCGCTTGAACCTGGGAGGAGGCGGAGGTTGCGGTGAGCCGACATCGCGCCATTGCACTCCAGCCTGGGCAACAAGAGTGAAACTCTGCCTCAAAAAAAAAAGTGCTTAGGAGCATTTTGCCATATCTGAAGGACAAACCTGTCTCAAAGGTTGGGAGACCTCTCACCATACACACCTGTCAAGAGGCAGGGGGAGGGAGGAAGGTGCTGGGGCTCCGCCTGCCCTGCGTGGGATGGGTGGGGTAACCTGAGAGGATGCCGGCAAGTCTCAGGTCAAATGTCAGAGCATCAGGTGAGTGTAAGGATGTGGTTCCCGCATGGCTGAAAGAAGAGTCGTATCAGAAGAGTTATAAATAATGAAAATTGAGTGACTTGTTTAAGCAGGAAGTCAAACCCTATGATAATAAAATTCTTATATAAATGGACTACAGTAAATGCATGAGAGAGTTGGACTTTAAAGACTCAAACCCTTTTGAGATAAAAATAAAACTCCATCAAAGGAATATCTTTGTGGTAGCTTGTTGGGTGAAAGAAAACTGATGTATAAAGATCTCATTTCCTTATTTGGGTCAGCCTGTGTTGGTTGCAAAAAATATCTTGACTTTGCCACTTTCGGTGGTCTCTAATGCTGCCATTTATAGATGAAAGATTCTCTTTAGGGTGAATAAACAGTATGACATTCATTCTTTTCAATTTTAGTTTTCATGTCAAAAGTTTCTCGCTTGTAAACCTCTTCCTGATATACGTAGCTGGTAAACCCACTTTTCTGACATTTTTTATCTCATTTTTTATAGGTACTTCCTATTTAACAGACATTGTGTGGTGGGCTGGCACAATCGCAAGTAAGTAGCCTGTGTGGCGAAGTCTGGTCTTTTCCTTTCTTAGAATCCATCACTGGTCTGGGCAGGGCTGGAGTGGCTGGGCTAGGGTGGCTCTGTTCTTTGGAAGAGGGTGTCGCGTGGCCTCTCCCCAGGCCCTAAGCGTGCCTTTCAGTTCGGATGTCCCTGCCTCCCCAGGGCACTCTCCCTGCTCCCCTTCCTCCCAGGATGAGAGTGCAGAAGGACAAGTTAGGAGCTGGTGGAGGCCCCTGCTGCCCACGATTAGCCGTGAATTCAGTCCAGGCTGATCTGTCCTGGGCCCGAAGAAATTAAAACAGCTCCTGCTTACTCATGTAGTCGGGCTGTTGGCATTTGGTGAAATTCCATGTTAGGCTGCCTTGTTTTTCTCAGCACAGTTGGTTTAACAGAGAATTTCATGAGTCAAAGATCAGGTCATGTGCTATAATGTAAAGATAAATAATAATATTAGAGTTCAGAACTCTAAATGTATTATAAAGGACAATTGTCTTTGAAATTCAGAAATATTATGTTTGGCCAGGCATGGTGGCTCACGCCTGTAATCCCAGCACTTTGGGAGGCTGAGACAGGTGGATTGTTTGAGCCCAGGAGTTCAAGACCAGCCTGGGAAACATGGCAAAACCCTGTCTGTACAAAAACAAAAATTACCTGGGCATGGTGGGATGCACCTGTTTTCAAAGCTATTTGGAGGCTGAGGTGGGAGGATTGCTTGAGCCTGGGAGGTGGAGGCTGCAGTGAGCCAAGATCACGCCAGTGCACTCCAGCCTGGGTGACAGAGTGAGACTCTGTCTCAAAAGAAAAAAAAGAAACATCATGTACTTTGTTTGTCACATTTGTCTTTTAATACGACATTACGTGGCAATACCAATTCTGTTCCTTGAAGAGCTCCTCTTTAAGCTCCATCTGGGTGATGTCCCTGCTGCAGTCTTGTGCGGCAGTACTGTATCCTCTTGCTATGCCAGTGGCCTGTCACCGTGGCCAGCTGCCTATGCCAGAGTAGGTCCCAGGCCACTAGAGGGTGCACAGGAAGTTCTGCCTGATTTGTGTGAAAACAAGGATGTGTTAAGAGAGCGGAGATATGCCCAGTGCTGCGCCCATTTCAGTCACTGCTGGTTAGGTTCGGCATTTCCATGGAGGGCTGAACCTACTCACCCGACTGATGGGACCAGTGAAGGTGTGGTTCCTGACCCCTGACCCCTTAAATGTGCAGATGACACCCCAGATGTGATTCTTCACAAGTAATGTGAATGAAGTAGCCCTTTCAGGGCAGAGCCTAGCGTAATTCAACTGTGATCAGTGCTGGAAGAGAGCTCTGTAATTGCAAGTAGTATCCTTGTGATTTTCTTGACAGTGGCTGTTGGCCAGATTGGAAACTTCCTGGCTTACACGGCGGTCCCCACGGTCCTGGTAACCCCCCTGGGCGCCCTTGGAGTACCGTTCGGGTGAGAGCCAAGATTGTGTTTGGTATTTAATGTGTAGTGTAGATATAACAACTTTTCATTTTAAATGTTTCTGTTAAAGTAATAAGAGCAAAATTGTAATAGAAGATAGATCTTCAGGCCGGGCATGGTGGCTTACGCCTGTAATCCCAGCACTTTGGGAGGCCAAGGAGGGTGAATTATTTGAGGTCAGGAGTTCAAGACCAGCCTGGCCAACATGGTGAAACCCTGTCTCTACTAACAATATGAAAAATTAGCTGGACATGGTGGCGACCACCTGTAGTCCTAGCTACTCGGGAGGGTGAGACACAAGAATTGCTTGAACCTGGGGGGCAGAGGTTGCAGTGAGTTGAGATGGCACCACAGCACTCCAGCCTGGGAGACAGAGCGAGACTCTGCCTTAAAAAAAAAAAAGAAGATAGATCTTCAGTATTCTACTCTATATCGTTTAATTTTATCCCTTCAAATGTAGTTCTGGGTAGTATTAACCCTTTTCTTAGATATTTAGTATATTTGAAACTGTCACTCATTTTTCCTGCTTATCAGTGAATCTGATGCTCTCATTCTCCTGGTCGTTGTCCTGGAGTACATCTTAGAGACTAGAGAGTCTTCTGACACCTTGGCAAGTTATTCTGAGAACTCATTAAGCAAAATGACTGAGTTGGTGTTTTATTGGGGTGCTTAGCATTCCTTGCTGGATGCCGGACAGTCCCCACCTCAGCCCAGGAAATTACAGAGGTTGGGATGAATAATACACGGCATCAATGGATGTGAAATAGGATTTATGACTGACGCAGTCAATAGCACATGGATTTTCTTAGGAGAAGGTCCCGGGTTTGGTTCTGAGTGAGACGAGTGAGGGGGACCTTTGGATTTTTATTGTAGTTAGGTGGTGGGGTGGGCTGGGGGGCGGTTTGCATGCTTAGGCCGGGCTGGCATGGAGTGAAGTTTTTGCCCATGCCAAGGGACTGAGGACTCTGGGAACTGAGGACTCCAGGGACCCAGTGTGTGCGCAGGCTTCTTTTTAAATTTTAATTTCATTTTATTTATTTTTTTAATTTTATTTCTCCATTTTAAATCATCTTTTTAATTGATACACATGAGTAAGCTTCCTATAAGGTTGCCCAGTTGTGGGGCAAAGGGGAAAGGGGGGAAATGGGAACTGGAGGGCTGCAAGCCATCAAACATTGCAGCTGGACTCTCTGTTTACTTACTGCGAAAATGATTGATGAGATACTTATTAAATAACATATATCCTCGTGTGAACCTATTTATATTCTGATTTGTCTTTGAAGAAATCATTAGAAATAAAAATAGGGTAGAAGAGAAATAAAATCCAAGTTTCTAACTCATGGATACATTGGTTTTCTGCTGTATTCCAGACAGATGCCCAAATCCTTGCAGAGAAGTGTGTCCATGATGGATGTATTGAAGTTTACACCTTAGAGTCACGTAGGCATTAAGGTTCTGTGACCTAAATACCATGTTTTTCACATGCGACGCCTTGAGAATGTGTGTGTGGCACATTTTTCTCGTGAACACATACACTGCTATCATGTGTGGCTTGGTGTCCCTTTGTGTTTCGGATGGCTCTGAGGCGCTGGGAGGGCAAGAGTGTTCTCACTTTGGGAAACACTCCTCCAGCTTCTGTGACCCGTCCCCCTGAAAGATAATCAGGCAGATAAACAACCTGACCTGGTGATCTTGGCACGTGGCACATTGAATGCACATATACTAAAATGTTTTGCTCAGTTAATTTCCTTAGAACTGTTCTCATGCACTTTGATGATTAAGTCACTTCACCAGAAATGTTCACTGCTCCACATCTGCAGGTGTTACTCACTGTAGGAACCATGTCAGATGGTGTTCTGGATAAAAAGCCTGTCTTCAACTTGGAATCCCAGTAAGACCTTTTCTTTTAAACAGAATAAAACTAAAATTAATTTGGAAAAAAACAATCAAAGATGATTATCAAAGTGTGCATATATGTATGTATATATGAGTTTTTTTTTTGTTTTTTTTTTTGAGACGGAGTCTCGCTCTGTCGCCCAGGCTGGAGTGCAGTGGCACGATCTCGGCTCACTGCAAGCTCTACCTGCTGGGTTCATGCCCGGCTAATTTTTTTTGTATTTTTAGTAGAGACGGGGTTTGACCGTGTTGGCTGGGATGGTCTTGATCTCCTGACCTCGTGATCCGCCCGCCGTCCTCCCAGAGTGCTGGGATTACAGGCCTGAGCCACCACGCCTGGCCAATATGTATGTATATATGTATATTTTAAAAGCAGTTCTGTTCTTGATAATGGGATGGGGTTGCTGGAATTACATAGAAACAGAAATGAAAAGAATGTGGCACTGGAAAAATAAGTCTGTGTAGCAGTGAATAGAATAGAGAGCCCCCAAATAGGTTCATTTCTTTCTGTAATAGTGTAATGTATGATAAAGTAATCATCTGTACATGCTGTGTTTAGAAAGAGGTTTAAAAAACTTTTGGGAAATATTTTCAAATTACAGAAAGGAAACAGGATTAAGTATAACCAAAGCAATGTCCATCTCCCCTTACCCAGACACACCTGCTGCTAACATCTTACCCACTTGCCTCATCATACACTTTCTCTGTATCTGGGTATCTCAGTCTCAGCACTGTTGATGCTTGAAGCCAGATAACTCTTTGTTGAGGGAGCCATTCTGTGCATTGTGAGGTGTTTAGCAGCATCCTGGCCTTCACCTCCCAGATGCCAGTAGCACTCAACCTCCCCAAAATGTCTCCAGACACTGGCAGATGTCCCCTGCGGGGCAAACCACCCCTGGTCAAGAAGCACTGTTCTATATGAATATGATGTGATTTTTTTTTCCTGTTTTTAAAAAAAAATCCATTTTAGCATAAGTTATGATTCTTTACCCCTGAACACATCAATTAGTATTTTCTAAGAGTAGAGATATTCAGATTCTCTCCAAATAACCACAGTACAGTGATCAATTTCGATAAATTTAACCTTGTTATGATACATGTATCAAATCAACCTCCATATTCCAATTCTGACAATTGACCTGTTATGCCATTATTTTATGTCATTATCTTTTATACCGTTATTTTTCTTCTAGTACAAGATCTAGGCCAGGTGCAGTGTGATTCATGCTTGTAATCCCAGCACTTTGGGAGGCCAAGGCAGGTGGATCATTTGAACCCAGGGAGACCAGCCAGCCTGGCCAGCATGGCAAAACCCTGTCTCTACTAAAAATACAAAAATTATCCAGGTGTGGTGGCACACACCTGTAATCCCAGCTACTTGGGTGGCTGAGGGGCAGAGATTGCAGTGAATTGACATTGAACCACTGCTCCAGCCTGGGTGACAGAGCAAAACTCTGTCCCTCCCCCGCCCCCCAAAAAAACAAAGAAAAGATAAAGCTCATTAAAAAAACAACTATGAACTAATTCTCTTATGAATATAGATGGAGAAATTTTGAACAAAATACTAACCAGTTGGATCCAGCAATATATAAAAAGGATTATACAAGTGGGATTTATCCCAGAAATGCAAAGTAGATTTAGCATTGAAAATAAATTAGTGTAATATACCACAGCAATAGAATAATCACCATGTGATCATCTCAAAAGACACACAAAAATTATGTGGTACAATTCAATACTCTTTCATGACGAAAACTCTCAATATGCTAGGCATAGAAAATAACTTCCTAAACTGACAAAGGGCCTCTGTCAAAGTACCCCAGCTAACATCATACTTAATGGCACAAGGGTTGATGTTTTCCCCTTAAGATCAGGAAGAAAATAAGCTGCCTACTTTCACCTCATCTA
The DNA here is from genome assembly GCF_000001405.40 of Homo sapiens. Lineage (NCBI taxonomy): Eukaryota > Metazoa > Chordata > Mammalia > Primates > Hominidae > Homo > Homo sapiens. Next base: position 3,710,128 of record NW_021160017.1, read on the forward strand.
TTCATCATTGTACTGGATGTTATAGCCACAGCAATTAGGTAAGCAAACAAATTAAAAGGCATCCATATTGGAAAGGAAAGGAAGAATTTAATTGCCTTTATTGGCAGAAGACCTGATTTTTTTTTTTTTTTTTTTTTTTTTTTGAGACAGAGTCTCACTCTGTCACCAGGCTAGAGTTCAGTTGTGTGATCTTGGCTCACTGCAACCTCCACCTCCCGGGTTCAAGTGATTCTCCTTCCTCAGCCTCCCGAGTAGCTGGGACTACAGGCGCGTACCACCATGCCCAGCTAATTTTTGTATTTTTAGTAGAGACGGGGTTTCACCATGTTAGCCAGGATGGTCTTGATTTCCTGACCTTGTGGTCTGCCTGCCTCGGCCTCCCAAAGTGCTGGGATTACAGGTGTGAGCCACCGCACCCAGCCTTTTTTTTTTTTTTTTTTTTTTTTTTTTTCAGATGGAGTCTCACTCTGTCACCCAGGCTGGAGTGCAGTGGTGTGCTGTCGGCTCACTGCAACCTCGGCCTCCTGGGTTCAAGTGATTCTCCTGCCTCAGCCTCCGAGGAGCTTGGATTACAGGTGCCCACCACCACGCCCAGCTAATTTTTGTATTTTTAGTAGAGATGGGGTTTTGCCATGTTGGCTAGGCTAGTCTTGAACTCCTGACTTTAGGTGATCCACCCACTTTGGCCTCCCAAAGTGCTGGGATTACAGGCATGAGCCACCACACCCAGCAGAGGACCTGATCTTATATAGAGAGTCCTAAAGAATCACTAAGAAATTATTAGAACTAATAAGTTTAGCAAGGTCGATGGACACAAGATCACTATATAAAAATTACATCTGAGGCCGGGCGTAGTGGCTCACTCCTGTAATCCCAGCACTCTGGGAGGCTGAGACGGGAAGATCACCTGAGGTCAGGAGTTAGAGACCAGCCTGGCCAACATGGTGAAACCCCATCTCTACAAAAATACAAAAAAAAATCAGCCAGGTGTGGTGGCACATGCCTGTAGTCCCAGCTACTCAGGAGGCTGAGGCAGGAGAATTGCTTAAACCCAGGAGGTAGAGGTTACAGTGAGCCGAGATTGTGCCACTGCACTCCAGCCCAGGCAACAGAGTGAGACTCTGTCTCAAAAAAAAAAAAAAAAAAAAAAATTACATCTGCCAGGCGCAGTGGCTCAGGCCTGTAATCCCAGCACTTTGGGAGGCTGAGGTGGGTGGATCACCTGAGGTAAGGAGTTCGAGATCAGCCTGACCAACGTGGTGAAACCCCGTCTCTCATAAAAATACAAAATTAGCCAAGCATGGTGGCGCATGCCTGTAATCCCAGCCACTCGGGAGGCTGAGGCAGGAGAATCGCTTGAACCCAGTAGGCAGAGGTTGCAGTGAGCCGAGATCGGGCCATTGCACTCCAGCCTGGGCAACAAAAGCGAAACTCCGTCTCAAAAAAAAAAAAAAAAAAATTACGGCTGGGCACAGTGGCTGATGCCTGTAATCCCAGCACTTTGGGAGGCTGAGGTGGGTGGATCACGAGGTCAGGAGATCAAGACCATCCTGGCTAACACGGTGAAACCCCATCTCTACTAAAAGAAATACAAAAAATTAGCTGGGCGTAGTGGCAGGCACCTGTAGTCCCAGCTACTCGGGAGGCTGAGGCAGGAGAATGGCGTGAACCCGGGAGGCGGAGCTTGCAGTGAGCTGAGATCGTGCCACTGCACTTCAGCCTGAGTGACAGAGCGAGACTGTGTCTCAAAGAAAAAAAAAAAAATTGCATCTATATACAGTAGCAGTGAGCGAACCAAAAATGAAATTAAGAAAGCAATTTCATATGCAGTAGCACCAAAATGATGAAATACTTAAGAATAAATTTAACTGGCCAGGCACAGTGGCTTATGCCTTCAATTCCCACACTTTGGGAGGCCCAGGCAGGTGGATCACGAAGGGCACAAACAACAGAAGGAAAATAGATAAATTCGATGTCATCAAAATTAAAAACCTTTCTGCTTAAAAGGATGCCATCAATGAAGTGAAAACTCGTGGGAGAAAAAATTTCAAAGTATATATCTGATAAGGGACTTGTAGTTAGAACACATAAAAACTCTTGCCGGTCGTGGTGGCTCATGCCTGTAATCCCAGCACTTTGGGAGGCCGAGGCGGGTGGATCATGAGATCAGGAGTTCGAGACCAGCCTGGCCAACATGGTAAAACTCCGTCTCTACTAAATACAAAAAATTAGCCTGGTGTGGTGGCACATGCCTGTAATCCCAGCTACTTGGGAGGCTGAGGCAGGAGAATTGTTTGACCTCAGGAGGTGGAGGTTCCATTGAGCCGAGATTGCGCCATTGCACTCCAGCCTGGGCACCAAGAGGGAAACTCTGTCTCAACAAAAGAAAACGAAACAGAAACTCTTACAGTGCATCAGTAAAAAGTCAGATAACCCAATTTAAAAATGGCACTGTCAGCCAGGCGCAGTGGCTCATGCCTATAATCCCAGCACTTTGGGAGGCGAGGCGGGTGAATCACTTGAGGTCAGGAGTTTGAGACCAGCCTGGCCAACATGGTGAAACCCCGTCTTTACTAAAAATACAAAAATCCCCCAGGGCATGGTGGCGGGCATCTGTAATCCCAGCTACTCGGGAGGCTGAGGCAGGAGAATTGCTTGAACCCGGGAGGCAGAGGTTGCAGTGAGTCGAGACTGCTCCACTGCACTCCAGCCTGGGTCACAGAGTGAGACTCTGTCTCAATAAATGAATGAATGAATGAATGAAAATGGCACTGTCCTCTGGTATTCCACAATGGAATAAGAGATGATTTGGCCTCGTGGCTCATACTGTCCACTTTCGTGCATGGCAACCCTTTCCCATCTTGGCATAGTCCACCCGTTGTCCGAGGCCAGTTCCAGGCCCACTTTTTGCCCTGTGAGCCCCCTGCATTTCTGGTTTCTCCTTTTCCAGGCAGCTACTCGGTGGAGCTTCTCTATTTAACATCTAGTTGTGTATTCATGTCTTTTGTTGTTTCTTTCAGTGATGTTGCTTATTTCCCCAATGACACTGTTGGGAGCTTCTTAAGAACAGGCTGTCTAGGGACAAGGATGTGAAGTGGTACAAGGGAAAAGTAGGCCGTTTAGGACCTGTGGGTGTGTCATGACCGTGCTTGTATCTCTTGTTAGCTTTGTGGCCTTAGGTTCAATGCTGACCCTTTCTGAGGCTCAAGTTTCCTTATCTTTAAAATAGGTATTAAAGGAAGTAATCCGGTCCATACCTGAGCCTGGTATGCCCTCCTCCCGGATGTTCCTGTTTTCTGATCGTCTTCAGCACAGACATGAGTAAAGTGACAATGACCAGTCCTGTGACTTACTGAGGGCAAGGTGTTCCAATTCAGATTGTATACTGATAATTACACAGGGAAATAAGAGAAGAAACAAGTTAGAAGCCTGGAGATTATAGATGTTTTTGAAGAATACATTTTTTTGCATTAATAATGTGACCAGTTTTTAAAAGTTTTCAGTATTAGAGGAAATAGCCACCCCATACTACTTCTACTACTGCAATTACTATTAGCATTTTTATTTTTTCTTTTGTTTGTGCATTTTTCACTTAATTTATTTTGTTTTTATCATGCATTACTTATAATTATTTTGACAGTTTTTGTACCCTACTTTTCCATGTAGCATAGATATTAGTATTTTTGATTGGTTCCTTTTATAAGAAAGGAAGCATTACTTTTATTTTTGGTCAGTCATAAAACTTTTTATACTCTGGTGTATTTTATATGTGCTGACATAGTAATATAGTGGTGTAAGTTATGTGTATCATTAACTACGTAGTGGTTATACATGGAATTGGTGTGAAAATCCTGGCCAGGCATGGTGGCTCACACCTATAATTCCAGCACTTTGGGAGTCCAAGGCAAGAGGATCGTTTGAGCCCAGGAGTTTGAGACTTGCCTGGGCAATCTAGTGAGACCCAGTCTCTACACAAAATTTTTAAAAAATTAGCTGGGTGTGGTGGCATGCACCTGTAGTCCCAGCTACTCCGGTGGCTGAGGTAGGAGGATCACTTGAGCCCAGGAGTTCAAGCTTGTGGTGAGCTGTGATTGCACCACTGCACTCCAGCCTGGGCAACAGAGTGGGAGGTGGTCTCTTAAAGGGAAAAAAAGAAGAAAAAGAAAATGGTTTTTCTAGATAAAATATCTGCTGTTAGAAGAAAGGTCAGGTAGTTTGGTTTAAACTTTAATGATTTCTCTTTTTTCAATAAAGGTCCATTTTAGCTTCCTATCTCCTGAAGGAAAAGCTCAACATCTTGGGCAAGTTGGGGTGCCTGCTAAGCTGTGCAGGCTCCGTCGTGCTGATTATCCACTCCCCAAAGTCTGAGAGTGTGACGACTCAGGCTGAGCTGGAGGAAAAGCTGACCAATCCAGGTAATTCCTTTCTAGCAGCACTGCCAAGAAAGTTTGCAGTAGGAGTGCCAACTTTTTTAACCACGTCTTCAAATTGGATGCTTCCTGGCAGGGCAGAGGAACCGTGTGTCCACCCTGATCTGTTACTGTAGATCTGTGTTCTCTGGGAACGTGCATCAGTGGGCTGTGCTCGCAGGCTAGCCCTCTGCCCTCACCCTCCCGCCTGATCCTCAGGCCCTGCGGGGAGCCTCCGTGGCCTGGTATTCCTTCGGGTTCTCTTCTGGGGCCTTGTGCATGGGCGCCTTCCCTTCCCACAGTGGCTCCCCTTGGGCCACCCTCCCAAGTCTGACTGCCACCCGCCCCTCCCCACATACCTTTCCTGGTGTACCCTGCCCACTCTATCTCCACCTCAGCACTTCACTCCCTCCAGCGTGAAGCTCTGTGAGAACAAAGACCTGGCATCTCTTAAGTTTAGATTCCTCATATAGCCCTGTTTATATATCTTTTGACATAATTTCTTTTCTTTTCTTTTTTTTTTTTTTTGGAGACGGAGTCTCGCTCTGTCACCCAGGCTGGAGTGCAGTGGCGCGATCTCAGCTCACTGCGAGTTCCGCCATTCTTCTGCCTCAGCCTCCTGAGTAGCCGGGGACTACAGGCGCCTGCCACCATGCCCGGCTAATTTTTTTTGTATTTTTAGTAGAGATGGGATTTCATCATGTTAGCCAGGATGGTCTTGATCTCCTGACCTCGTGATCCGCCCACCTCGCCCTTCCAAAGTGCTGGGATTACAGGCGTGAGCCACCATGCCCGTCCTTTTTTTATTTTGATAAATACACTAAAAACTACTATCTACATGATTACAACAGACTTAAAGTATAGATTTCACTTTAAGTAGACCACCCTGTGTTGCTTACCAACAAGTTTAGGCAGGTTCCAGCACAAAACTGCCTCCACATCAGTTTGCTGGTTTACATGTCCACACTCGCTGGTTTGCATGTCCATACTCGCTGGTTTGCATGTCCACACTCCCTGGTTTTCATATCCACACTCGCTGGTTTTCTCGTCCACACTCACTGGTTTTGTCCACACTCGGTGGTCTGCATGTCCACACTCGCTGGTTTTCTTGTCCACACTCACTGGTTTTCTTGTCCACACTGGCTGGTTTGCATGTCCACACCCTGGTTTGCATGTCCACACTCGCTGGTTTGCATGTTAACACCTAGTTTGCATGTCCACACTCACTGGTTTTCTTGTCCACACTCGCTGGTTTTCTTGTCCACACTCGCTGGTTTGCATGTCCACACTTGCTGGTTTGCATAGCCAGCAGTTCCCAGCCCTCTCAGGTCCATTTGTGATGTTGGAATGGATTTCATGGAAAACACAACCTCCTTATACACACAAGTTCAAACCATCAATTTAATGCCCTAACTGTAATATAAAGGAGAAATACCAGGACAATACTTTAAAACAAAACATCCCTTTCAATATGTAAATGCTCAGGTCCCACTATAAGAGAAGACCTATTGAAGCTGGCCGACCCCACACCTTGTGAGGAGTGGTTGAGAATCTGGTAGCTGCAGATATAGACTGACGTGGGGGTGTAATGTTATTGACTTGGACACTTGAGGTCTTGCTATCAACAAAATGATCCTCAGATGGAGCATAACTCTTAATGAAGTTTTGATCAAAGAACAATCCTCCCTCAATTTACATGGAAGTGACATGTCTGAAAAATTCAGCATATATTAAATCCATGCAAAAATTACTTTGTTTCATACATAAAATAGTTTCTAGGCTCTGATTATTATAGGCATATTTTTCAGTTACAAGTCCGAGGAGACATTCAGCAGTTGTGACGAGAATGGGATGATTTTTGATGGGGGTGGGGGTTGCTGTCTGCACATGCCTCTGCCCACTGGATGCAGCCCCCAATCATTGCAAAACCCACAAACACCCCCACAGCTTAAAGGCCTCCCTCCTGTCCCCTGCCTTACCCCTGCCCCCTGGATTCCCAGGTGCTTTTTTGAAACCTCGGAGCATCTCCATTCACTTGTATTGTTAAGAGAATGTTTCTAGGCCGGGCACAGTGGCTCACGCCTGTAATCCCAACACTTTGGGAGGCCGAGGACGGCGGATCACCTAAGGTCAGGAGTTCGAGACCAGCCTGGCCAACATGGCGAAACCCCGTCTCTGCTAAAAATATAATAGCCAGGCGTGGTGGCGGGTGCTTATGTATTCCCAGCTACTCAGGAGGCTGAAGCAGGAGAATCGCTTGAACCTGGGAGGTGGAGGTTGCAGTGAGCGGAGATCGTGCTATTGCAATCCAGCCTGGGCAACAAAGAGCAAAACTCCATCTCAAAAAAACAAAACAAACAACAAGAAAAAAAGAGAATGGTTCCAATAGAGGACCATGTAAACATTTAGGAGCTGTAAATGGTTTTTTTTTTTTTTTTTTTTTTTGAGATGGACTCTTGCTCTGTCGCCCAGGCTGGAGTGCAGTGGTGTGATCTCGGCTCACTGCAACCTCTGCCTCCCGGGTTCAAGCGATTCTCCTGCCTCAGCCTCCTGAGTAGCTGGGATTACTGGTGCATGCCACCACGCCTAGCTAATTTTTTGTATTTTTAGTGGAGAACAGGGTTTCACCAAGTTAGCCAGGATGGTATTGATCTCCTGATCGGCCCACCTCGGCCTCCCAAAGTGCTGGGATTACAGGTGTGAGCCATTGTGCCCTTCTGTAAATTTTTTTTTTTTTTCTGAGATGGAGTCTTGCTCTGTCACCCAGGCTGGAGTACAGTGGTTTGATCTCGGCTCACTGCAACCTCCACCCCCTAGGTTCAAGTGATTCTCCTGCCTCAGCCTCCCAAGTAGCTGGGATTACAGGCGCGCTGTAATTTTTGTACTTTTAGTAGAGACGGGGTTTCACCATCTTGGCCAGGCTGGTCTTGAACTCCTGACCTCATGATCCACCTGCCTTGGCCCCCCAAAGTGCTGGGATTACAGGCATGAGCCACTGCGTCTGGCTAACCCGGCTGTAAATGTTTTAACAGTGAAAATGATGGGAATACTTTTGTGGAATGAAATCAGTGGGTCTGGTAAATTCAAGCCAGAGCCCACATGCTCCCCAGGGCTGTGCCGCAGTAGAGGCCGGTGGCGGGTGGCGGGTGGGGGCCCGGGTGCTGCCCCAGTCCACCTCCTGGGTTGCGGCTGCTAGGCGGTGGCTCTGGGTGACTGTGTGCTGTCTGTGTTCCAGTGTTTGTGGGCTACCTGTGCATCGTGCTGCTCATGCTGCTGCTGCTCATCTTCTGGATCGCGCCGGCCCATGGGCCCACCAACATCATGGTCTACATCAGCATCTGCTCCTTGCTGGGCAGTTTCACCGTGCCTTCCACCAAGGGCATCGGGCTGGCGGCCCAAGACATCTTGCATAACAACCCGTCCAGTCAGAGAGCCCTCTGCCTGTGCCTGGTACTCCTGGCCGTGCTCGGCTGCAGCATCATCGTCCAGTTCAGGTACATCAACAAGGCGCTGGAGTGCTTCGACTCCTCGGTGTTCGGGGCCATCTACTACGTCGTGTTTACCACGCTGGTCCTGCTGGCCTCAGCCATCCTCTTCCGGGAGTGGAGCAACGTGGGCCTGGTGGACTTCTTGGGGATGGCCTGTGGATTCACGACCGTCTCCGTGGGGATTGTCCTTATACAGGTGTTCAAAGAGTTCAATTTCAACCTTGGGGAGATGAACAAATCTAATATGAAAACAGACTAGATTGCAATAGGAGCTTGGATGGTTCGAGGAATAGGCATTGGAGGTGGTTTCTGGCCGTGATTGGATGTGAAGTAGAAGAGGTCCTCGATCATGGTGTTAGAATTGACTGGATAGTAACAGGTGGTCTGGTGGATAGCGGGGAGCATGGCTCAGCACCAGAGCAGAGGCCCAGCCAGCCCTCTGCAGCCCAAACGTCCCCAACGGTTGCCTGGCACCATCTCTCTCTGATGAGACGAATCTCATTTTCATTTCCATTAACCTGGAAGCTTTCATGAATATTCTCTTCCTTTAAAACATTTTAACATTATTTAAACAGAAAAAGATGGGCTCTTTCTGGTTAGTTGTTACATGATAGCAGAGATATTTTTACTTAGATTACTTTGGGAATGAGAGATTGTTGTCTTGAACTCTGGCACTGTACAGTGAATGTGTCTGTAGTTGTGTTAGTTTGCATTAAGCATGTATAACATTCAAGTATGTCATCCAAATAAGAGGCATATACATTGAATTGTTTTTAATCCTCTGACAAGTTGACTCTTCGACCCCCACCCCCACCCAAGACATTTTAATAGTAAATAGAGAGAGAGAGAAGAGTTAATGAACATGAGGTAGTGTTCCACTGGCAGGATGACTTTTCAATAGCTCAAATCAATTTCAGTGCCTTTATCACTTGAATTATTAACTTAATTTGACTCTTAATGTGTATATGTTCTTAGATTAGAATAATGCAACTTCGAGTATGCTTTAATATTTCAATATTCAAGTTACAAATGTATAAGGCAGTTAGAAATAATACAGTCACATGTCACTTAATGATAGGGAAACATTCTGAGAAATGCATTGTAAGGTGACTTTATTGTGTGAACATCATGGAGTGCACTTATACAAACCTAGATGGGACACCTATGACCCACCCAGGCCAGATGGTACAGCCTGTTGCTCCTGGGCCACACACCTGTACAGCATGTGACTGCACTGAATACCGCAGGCAATTGTAACACAGTGGTGAGTATTTGTGTTTACAAACATAGGAAAGGTACAGTAAAACTATGGTATTACAATGTTATGGGACCACCGTCATGTAAGTGGTATGTCTTTGACAGAAACATGGTTACGTGGTTCATGACTGTATATTCACTGGAAGATAGTCAAGACTAAAGACACATTAGAGCAAATTGACCCCTTTAACATGTGATTATTGTCCAATTAAAGACAGTTGATTTAAGTAGCATGAGGTATTATTTTATTTGTATTCGATCTGTGTTACCTGGGATCCAGTATCAAATATATCCACATTCTTTATCAGCAAGCATTCATGGCCATTCAGAAGAAATAAATTAGGTAACTTGATAATAAGGCTAAGTGGGAGAGTACCTGTTCAATAGCTCATATATCGAGTACCCTGTCATACAGGAACAAGTTAAAGGACACAATTGAGGTTAGGCTAGCTTCTACAAATTGCAATATGCAGTTTTTGAAAGATTTTCTAACAAAAAGCCAATAAATGTAGCCATCTCCTTGTTGTTTGCAATGGCAGAGCATCCTAGAGTTCCTCAGCTAACCTCTCATTATGTGTCTTAAATGCAAAAGAGCCATTAATTATGCCAGTATTTGAATCAAAGAGGTCATTCTCTGTCTATAGTGTTCCCATCCATGTGTTCCAAATGGGAGCATAGCATGAAGTGATGCACATATTTCACCACGGTATCATGTACTTCATGGCCAGTGTTTTATCTCAGCAGGGAACTACGCCAAGTTGAAAGATGGGGTTGGGTAAAGTAGATTAGGTGAAGTAGAACATAAAATTGAATAGTACCCAATTAAAGTTCCTCAGTAAGAAAAAAAAATGTGTTTTTGTAGGCAAAAAGAACATTTCTAAAGTCTCAAGGAATAGCTTCCTAAAGTGTTGAGTAAAGAGGCTAAATAAGATGAGACTAGTTTAATATAGAGAGAAAAATACCTTTATGGAGTAAAAGTGTACGTGATGATCATGGGTTGTCAGTGATTTGTGAACTGAGAGCAGCAACAACATTATTTTTTAAAAATCTTAAATCCTCTCTTAATGGATGGTTAACAAATGCTCAAAGTCCATTACTCTTTTTATTGGCTCTTGCAGGTTTTGTGTTTTATCATCAGTGCTTTTAGAAATGCAGGCCTTAACTTACTGAACTGAACTTTCTGAAAACGTAATGTAGCAGTATCAATATACTTTTGGGCATAAAAATAGTTTCCTAGGTAAGGGGTGTGAGATATTCAAAGAATACATGTGGCTAACAAGTGTAATGAGAAAGTTCATGTGTCACATGAAAATGATCATGTTTGTGTTGCTACAGCTTTTGTGGGAAATTTAGTTTAAAGGCAGCTCTTGGTGTACCTTAGTATATTTTAATCCACAATTATACCATTGATACTGAGAGGTGATACCCGATGATCTTCTCTATAATATTCTTAGAGTAAAACAAAATCTCAAAAGTATTAATAGCTCTTCTACCCTTGAAGGTGACTGGTCCTGGGACAGTTAGAATCTTTCAGGTTTACCTCTGTTCAGCAGATACTTCAGTAGGATACATAGCTTTTCTTCCAGTGAAACAAAGTTCATATCATCCATTGTTTTTCAAGCACGTGACACCAGCCTCAAAGTAAATGACATGACCAGTGGTTGAACAGTCTAATTTTCAAATTTAATATAGAGCATATAACTTCTGATTTGATAGTATTTATTTTAAAAAATTATGTTTTCATCATTCATTTGAAAATGAAAAAGCCCCAAAGTGAGAACTTTGGGGGAGGGCCTAGAACATGGATAGATCTCTTAGTGGTCTTTCCAAAAGTACATGTACTTGAAATATTTTCATTATCATACTATTCTTTGAAAAAAAAGATGCTTACTGTATACTTGTTTTCAAGCATCCTCTAAAATCAAAGGTTTTGATCACAATATGCAGATTTCTCTTGATAGATACTTAAATAGGCTATTTCTCTCCTCTTCTTGGGCAATGCCTTGTTTTCTCCTCTGAATATTTGCATTTGAAAGGATTGCTTCCTGTTCTGCTCATTGATCAAAGGTAGGGCCAATTAAGGATTCTAACCCTAACCCAGCACCACAAAGCCCCCCTGGAGCATCTTCCCGGCTGGCAGGACCATGCCATCTCTGTGGAGAAGGTGCTGGGGAGGGAAGTCCTTCCAGTGCCACATGGAGTGAGGCCCTGCCCATGCTGGGGACTTTGGGGAGGAATTTGGTATTCTGGTGGCCTTGCTCAGCTCTCATTGAGATCTTTTCCTATCAGAATGTTAGTGAATATACTTCGCAGCTCTTTGTTCAGCAATAAGGAATATTCTTTCAATTCCTGCTCTTCAAGCCAATTTACTACACCCAGTTGTCTTTCCAGAAGTTCATCCCAGCGGTAATATGTTGGTGTTTGTTCTTCTTTGGATTTCACATCTGTTTTCTGGTAGAAGTGAGCACTGTTCACTTGTGCAGTCGTCTTATTTTCCTTCTTCCTAGATGACTCAGCTCTTTGTAAATGTTGTGCTCAACTTCTAGGGGCCAGTTCTAGACTTTGGAGATGCAGTGTCTCCCAGGTGTGCACGGACACCTGGTCCGTGGAAACAGGTGTGATGGGCACAGGCTGCTGCCCTTCTGTCTGGTCGGGGGATTCCTCTTCTTCAAGCTGCTCAGCTAACCCAGAAGAGGGGAGAGAGTACTCCGGTGGTTCCCAGAGCCCCTCCCGTTGTGCCGCTTCGACCTGACACCTGCTCGATGCTGACTTAGGCTTCCTGCCACCAAGCAGGAAACTAGAAAGAGAACATTTCAGTGTAAGGTCTGTTCCCGACAGCATGGATTAGCTTCCGTGTTCTGAAGTTGTTCTTTTCATGGTGTCTGACACCGAGGGCGTTGTTCGTCCATCAGGCGGGATTGGATGGAGTCTTGGTGTTTTGCCTTCTCAGGGACCAAAAATGTATCATTGACTCCTTAACAGTGACCTTCCTCCCAAGGACATATCCGTGTTCATTTTTCATAGGTTTTACTCATATTCATAGGTAGATTCTGTTAATGTGAGTTGGAAAGAAAAGACCAATTTGTACACCAGTCACACCACAAGACAGTTTATCATATAAAATACCTCAATTTTTTGTATTCCTCATTTCCACCTCACAATTGTACTGGTGATGAATTTTAAGGGTCTGTCCTTTAGCTTATAGGTGATGTTTCACATCTGGCCAGATTCTTATACCTCCATTGTATACTTGAAAAGGTTCAGAATTACAGGAACAGCAGTGAGAATTTGGCCCACTACCACGACTCATTTGTTTCATTCACATTCCTCACGTGCAACAACATAATTATATTTTAAGAAAATGTAACTTTGTTACATCAAAATATGTTGTCTAGTAAAAAGTTGATATTCAGTAGAACAAGGATCATGTAAATAAACATCTATTTCACATGTACCCAAAAGCATTTAAAAAGCAGAATCCAGGGCCCAGAGCATGAGCCAGGGAGGAGGATGTTTTTCTTCTTTTCTCTATTTTTCCCTAAATTGTGCAAACATAGGTGAGTCTCTTAACCTTTCTGTGCCTCAGTTTTTCTACCTCTAAAGGGGTGGGATGGTTCTTCAAATTGTTTCTAAAACACCGGCACTTTCAGCAGTGTTCTGGTGGCCTGAGATGAGAGCACCGTGTTCAGAAGTGCCTGGGAGTGGCACAGTGGAAACTCCGCTTGCACGGACCATGGAGTCTGCTCAGGACCATGCTGTAGGACACACAGCCTCATGCGCTGAGAAAGCAAAGGAAGTGCTGGGTGTAAAGTTTGCATGATTCCATGAAGCTTTAGTTTTCCTTTTTTTGTTTTAAAAGAAAGGGTTTTATATGTTCTATTGTAAAATATGGAAATTAAACAGGGACTTCAGAAAGCCGCACAGAAAGATCACCTTCCGATGGTGTGATGTGCTCCTGACATTCGGCCGAGGTCTGTATTCTGAAAAAGATTTAATGGCCTGTGAAACACGTGGATTCTGTTGCACTGGATTTGTAATAAATGACGCTGAACTTCCTGCTTCCAAGCAGCTCAACCCTGATGCTGAACTGACACCAGGCGAATGTCAGGGCTCCCAAACCACTAGTGCCAAAGGGTCATGTTGAAAAGTTCAGAATATTTATTTGTCAGAATATAATAATTGCCCCCCACCTTAGTATTTTTGCACTTTACAGAAATTTAGATACTGTTTTTCAGTGGCTTGAGCGTTTTGCCTTTTCAAAGGATAACTATTATTTTCTTGAAAATGGAATATAATCATGAGAGGAAGAAGATGTAAAAAATGTCAAATGTTGATTGGTTGTGTAAAAGTTTTGTCATAGACATGTATTGGGGAGCTTCCAATTAGCATACATAGACACATGTGTCAGTGGCCAAGACCTGCTTATATTTTGCTTTATAGATGTAGTCATAGCATGTTGTTATTGCCTCATGTAAATAAAAAGGCTATTAAGTTTTCCAGTAATATTTATTAATCTGTATGTGTTTTAAAATAAAATAACTTATTTCTAGCTGAACATTTGTTGATTTTTTTTTTTCCCTTTACTTGAAATGCTTATGTAGTCTCAGGTTCCAGATCATCCCAGTTCCTCCCATTTTTCCTATTCTCTTTTTAGAAATGAGTAGCCTAGGCTGGGTGCAGTGGCTCATGCCTGTAATCGCAGCACTTTAGGGGGCTGAGGCGGGTGGGACACTTGAGGCCAGGAGTTTGAGACCAGCCTGGTCAACATGGTAAAACCCCATCTCTACTAAAAAATAACAAAAATTAGACAGGCATGGTGGTGCACATCTGTAGTCCCAGGTACTCAGCAGGCTGAAGCAGGAGAATCACTTGAACTTGGGAGGCAGAGGTTGCAGTGACCGAGATCACAGCACTGCACTCCAGCCTGGACAACAGAGCGAGACTCCATCTCAAAAAAAAAAAAGACAGAAATGACTAGCCTCTAGATCTCTATAACAATGTAGAAAATGTCTACCTGTGGGCCAGGTGTGGTGGCTCACACCTGTAATCCCAGTGCTTTGGGAGGCTGAGGCGGGCGGATCACCTGAGGTCGGGAGTTTGAGAGTAGCCTGACCAACATGGAGAAACCCTGTCTCTGCTAAAAATACAAAATTAGCCAGAGGTGGTGGTGCATGCCTGTAATCCCAGCTACTCAGGAGGCCGAGGCAGGAGAATCACTTGAACCTGAGAGGCAGAGGTTGCAGTGAGCCGAGATCACACCATTGCACTCCAGCCTGGGCAACAAGAGCAAAACTCCGTCTCAAAAACAAAACAAAACAAAACAAAAAAGGCCAGGTGCGGTGGCTCACGCCTATAATCCCAGCACTTCAGGAGGCCAAGGCAGGCAGATCACGAGGTCAGGAGTTCGAGACCAGCCTGGCCAACATGGTGAAACCCCGTCTCTACTAAAAATACAAAAATTAGTTGTGCGTGGTGGTGTGTGCCTGTAATCCCAGCTACTCCAGAGGCTGAGGCAGGAGAATCACTTAAACCCGGGAGGTGGAGGTTGCAGGGAGCCGAGATCGTGCCACTGCACTCTAGCCTGGACGACAAGAGCGAAACTCCGTCTTGGAAAAAAAAAGAAAAAGAAAAAGAAACCGTCTACCTGTGCATCTACCTTAGGGAGCAAATCCATGATGTATGCAGAAATTCCCTGTCCTGCGACTGTCTCTTGATCCAATGAAGTGATAGTATTAAATAAAACCAGCTCTATTTTAATATGTTAGTACCTTTGACATGTTTTTGAGTTGTATAACATATCATTTTACATTTTTAGCCCATAGAAAATGAGACAATTATAACGCATTTTCATACTTCAAGCATCATTAGAAATCTTGTTGCTGATCTTCTTTAGTGTCCTATAATTTTCTTTGTTTTGGTTTTTTTTTTTTTTTTTGAGAGACAGGGTCTCACTCTCTTACAGTCATAGCTCACTGCAGCCTCAAACTGCTGGGCTCAAGCGACCCTCCTGCGTCAGCCTCCCCGGTAGCTAGGACTACAGGCCTGTGCCTCCACACCTGGGTAATTTTTTAATTTTTTTGTAGAGACAGGGTCTAGTTATGTTGCTCAGACTGGTGTCCTATAAGTTATTTTATCAAATGAGAAAAAATGAGTAAGATTTTTTTCTTAGTCTCTATCCCAAAAGATTTAATTATTCACATTTTGATCAAAGTATACTTATACAGAAAACAAGAACAAACATTTTATGAAATCACCAAATGCATCTATGGATAACTCCAGATAGGTTTTTGGGGCTGTGAAGTGTATTAATGCCAAATTCTGCTGTCATTGAACAAAAGCTTGCATTGGTTGGTTACTACTATAGAGTAGTTTGTGCTGGCTGCTAGCCAAGCCTTCCCTGCAAGGGACTTGTTCTAGAATTTCTGTGTTGCTTAGTTACATCCATCCCATCCATCTGATGACCCTTCGTTTTGACATTGTCAGCATGTTTGTTGTAGTATTAGTCACACTTACTTGTTCACCATTAGTTTGAATCTCACATGATAGTTTTAAAAAGGTTTTTAGTTGGAGAGGTGAGACACAGACAAGAAACAGATATAAAAGATCTAGGTACCTCTGCAGCCAGGCACAGTGGCTCACGCCTGTAATCCCAGCACTTTCGGAGGCCAAGGCCGGTGGATTACCTGAGGTCAGGGGTTTGAGACCAGCCTGACCAACATGGAGAAACCCCTGTCTCTACTAAAAATACATAATTAGCTGAGCGTGGTGGTGCACGCCTGTAATCCCAGCTATTCGGGAGGCTGAGGCAGGAGAATTGCTTGAACCCGGGAGGCAGAGGTTGCGGTGAGCTGAGATCACGCCACTGCACTCCAGCCTGGGCAGCAAGAGCGAAACTCCGTCTAAAAAAAAAAAGATCTAGGTACCTCTCTATTACCAGTCCAAAGAGGACAGGATTCATTCCAGCCGAGCACATGAGAGAGAGGTGTGGAACTGGATGGTGGCAAGCAGGACAGCGGTGGTGGTGACCAAGTAAACATAATGAGTGTGAAAATCACTGAGATGATGGACCAGAGGGTGGAGAGAAGGTCAGACCAGGTTGCTCATCTATAACACTGAATCTGTTTTATTTTTGACAAAGACATTGGGGGGATCCCAGCATCTTCTCCTTCCCTTAATTTGGCATACTTATTGTGTTAGTTTTTTATTACGGCTCTTCACAAGTTACATACCTTGTAGCTTAAAACAACACACGCGTATCATCTTACAATTCTGGAGGTTAGAAGTTCCACACAAGCTTTGCTGGGCTAAAATCAAGGTGCAGACAGGATTACTTCCCTCTGGAGGCTCCTGGGAAGAGTCTCATCCCTGCTCTTTTGGTTTCTAGAGGCCGCCTTTGTATCTTGCCTCGTGGCTCCTTCCTCCATCTTTGAAGCCAGCAATGTCATCTCTCTCGCCACTCATCCATCATCATAGCTTACTCTCTGACTCTGACACTCCTGTCACCCTCTTGGAAGGACCTTCATGACTGCTTTGGGCCCACATGGACAATCCAGGGTCAGCTCCCTCTCTCAAGATCCTTAGTTGCCTCTGCAGAGCCCCTTTTGCCATGGAAGGTGGCACAGTCACAGGTTACAAGGTGAGGACGTGGATATCTTTGGGCTTTCTGCTTACCACATCCACTTACCATTTTACCAAGTGAGGCAGTTCACAAAAGCCAACTCCTGGCTTTTAATCACTATCCCACTGTTCTACCTCAATTCACCTTGAGTTATTCCTATATTTTTCAGAAAGTTTCTCCCTGCTCAACCCCAACAAATGTTTTGGAAAATGCCCTACTACATTTGTAGGTCATTGATGGCCTTGAATAAACCAAATAATATTAATTGAAAAGTATTCATATAATAGAAATGCTTTAAAATGGCAGGGAATTATTGGGGAACCTGCCCCGATAGTCACGTAGGTTCTTTTCTATTTTCCCTAAGCATCAGCCGGTTTGAGAAATAAAGGGACAGAGTACAAAAGGGAGAAATTTTAAAGCTGGGCGTCCGGGGGAGACATCACATGTTAGTAGGTTTTGTGATGCCCCCCAAGCCACAAAACCAGCAAGTTTTTATTAGGGACTTTCAAAAGGGGAGGGAGTGTGCGAATAGGTGTGGGTCACAGACATCAAGTACTTTACAAGGTAATAGAATATCACAAGGCAAATGGAGGCAGGGCGAGATCACAGGACCACAGGACGGGGCAAAATTAAAATTGCTAATGAAGTTTCGGGCACCATTGTCATTGATAACATCAGGAGACAGGGTTTTGAGAGCAACCGGTCTGACCAAAATTTATTAGGCAGGAATTTCTTCTTCCTAATAAGCCTGGGAGCACTATGGGAGACTGGGGTCTGTTTCACCCCTGCAGTCTACAGACCATAAAAGACGGCCATGCCCAGGGGGGCCAGTTTAGAGACCCACCCCCAGGCATGTATTCTCTTTCCCAGGGATGTTCCTTGCTGAGAAAAAGAATTCAGCGATATTTCTCCCATTTGCTTTTGAAAGAAGAGAAATATGGCTCTGTTCTGCCGGGCTCACTGGTGGTCAGAGTTTAAGGTTAGCTCTCTTATTCCCTGAACAATTGCTGTTATCCTGTTCTTTTTTCAAGGTGCCCAGATTTCATATTGTTCAAACACACATGCTCTACAATTTGTGCAGTTAACTCAATTATCACATGGTCCTGAGGCGACATACGTCCTCCTCGGTTTACGAGATGACAGGATTAAGAGATTAAAGTAAAGACAGGCATAGGAAATCACAAGAATATTGATTGGGGAAGTGATAAGTGTCCATGAAATCTTCACAATTTATGTTTAGAGATTGCAGTAAAGACAAGCATAAGAAATTATAAAAGTATTAATTTGGGGAACTAATAAATGTCCATGAAATCTTCACAATCCACGTTCTTCTGCCATGGCTTCAGTCGGTCCCTCCCTTTGGGGGTCCCTGACTTCCCGCAACAGGGAATGCCACTATTCATTTTGGAAGGACAAAGGGCAATTTTAACTAGTGATAGGGGTTGAGGTAAAGAAAAAATGATCATCTGCTTTGCTGTTTTGATGCTTCTGTTGTAACAAAACCAAAACATACAAGAGTAATTGGGGAACAATTTATACATAAGAAAACTATTTGATTTCCTAATACATGATTTTTAAAAATACTGTTTTAAAGCTGTTGAAGTCTTGTCATTGTTACAGAAGCACAGGCCAGACTTCTTGCTTCTGTGCCTCTGTAACAATGACAAGATTTCAACAGCTTTATTGGGGTATAATTGACATATAATAAACTGCACATATATAAAATGTGTGATTTGGTAAGTTTTGACAAGTGTCTTATGATGAAAACATTGCCATAAACAAAACACCGAACATCCCCATCACACCAAAGTTTCTTTTTGACCCACTGTAATCCCTTCACCCTCCTTGCCTCCTCTACTCCTAGGGGCCCACTCATCTGCTTTCTGTAACTATACATGGGCTTCCATTTCCTAGGCTTTTATATAAATGTGATCGTTGAGTACACACTGTTTTTTTGGTCTGCTTGTTTCACTTACTAATTATTTTGAGACTCAGCTATGTTAAGGCATGTATCAATAGTTCATCCCCCTGCCTTTTTTTTTTTTTTTTTTTTTTTTTGAGGCTTTTTTTTTAGGAGTTTTGCTCTTGTTCCCCAGGCTGGAGTGCAATGGTGCGATCTCAGCTCACTGCAAGCTCCGCCTCCCGGGTTCCCGCTGTTCTCCTGTCTCAGCCTCCCGAGTAGCTGTTACTATAGGTGCCGCCACCACCACACCCAGCTAATTTTTGTAATTTTAGTAGAGACGGGGTTTCACCGTGTTAGCCGGGATGGTCTCAATCTCCTAACCTCGTGATCCGCCCATCTCGGCCTCCCAAAGGGCTGGGATTACAGGTGTGAGCCACCGCACCCGGCCTGCAAGTATTTTTATGGATACATTTCTGTTGAGTAAATACTCAGGAGTAGAACTGCCAGGTCATTTGGTCGGTGTATGTTTAACTTTTTAAGAAACTGTCAACCAATTTTCCAAGGAAATTGTCCCATTTTACAATTCCACCAGTAGTGTATGAGAAGGAGTTAGAGTTTTAAAACCTTAAAAATATCTCATGACAACTGCTTGAACACTCAGAGTATACAAGATGTACAACATCACGGGCTGGAGAAGTGATGTGGGCATGTAAGAAGCCTGCAGCATATTAGCAAGGTATATATAGACTTATAAAGACAATGCACTGTGCAGTGTCGGGGGAGGTGTCCGGTGGGAGGTCCAGATAATGACAGAAAGCTGATTAGATGAGGTGGAGCTCCAGCTGGCAGAAAGGAGTGACAAGCAAATTAGGTTGTCACTCCTTAGGTTAAATTAACATATCGACACCTAAGCATTCCTGTTCATATGAACAAACCACTACTTTATTACTCATCTGCCTCCTAGAGCAGCAGTCCCCAACCCTTTTGGTACCAAGGACTGATTTCATAGAAGACAATTTTTCCACAGACGCTGGGGAAGCGGGGCGCGGGGAGGATGTTTTCGGGATGAAAGTGTCCCACCTCAGATCATCAGGCATTATTTAGATTCTCATAAGGAGCGTGCAACCTAGATCCCTCGCATGCACAATTCACAATAAGGTTCGCACTCTTGGGGACATCTGTCCTAGAGGTATTTGTTGGCATCTGTATCAGTTAGTTATTGCTACATACCAATCTACCCCAAAATAAGTGGCTCAGACAATAGTAATTTATCCTTCCTCATGTGTTTATGGGTTAATGGGGCAGTTTTGGTCAGTGGCTGGTCTCAATGGTAGTCAGCCAGCATTTACCTAGGTGGATTTGCTGCTTGCCTTGCCCCATGTGGTCCCCTCCTCCAGCAGGCTAGTCCAGGCATCATAATTTAGTCTGGAACTGCCACATGTTCTTGGCCAAAGCCCAAGGCCAGTACAGATTCAGGAAATAGAGGGGAGCTGCAAAGTCACTGCAAAATGTGTGGGAAATTGGAGCCATTTTTCATCAATCTACCACATCACCTGAGACCAACTTGTCAACCGTCTTTCAATATTCAATGGAATTCCTTATCTGAGAGTGTCAACTAGCCAAAACATGGCTGAGACCAAAGAAAGTAATAGATCCTCTGAGCCAGTTCTGAGATGCAAGTAATAGGTCCTCTGAGCCAGTTTTAAGATGATTGCTAGGCTCACGGCAGATTAAAAGCTTTAAAATTAGAAGCTGCATAGTGACCTAAACCAAAACCAGAGTGGTCAGGGGCTGTGTATACAGTCTAGAACACAACAGTCCAATAGGATTAGAGCCTGAAAAGGACAAATGATATTTGGTGTTTTGTTTCAAAAAGTGCATAATTCATTTTATAAAGATCCTCCCCCCACATGATTTGAATTTCATATAATAGTGTTTTTGTGTCTAGTCACAACCTGGAACAACATTCCTAAGGGACTCTACACCTGCAACCAAGGAATCATTGATTTACTAGGAGATCTAACTCTAGCTGGCTACTCTTTGCTTCTTACAAATGAGCTCTGTCTTTGACTACTTTTGCAGAAACCACGTTGGTGGATCCCAAGGAATTTCTCCTTTCCAGGAGGAGCCAAGGCAGGATAGCCTAACAGTTAGTTTCCTATACATCTCATGAAAAATAAATCTGCGCTTTGGGAGGCTGAGGCGGGTGAATCACGAGGTCAAGAGATCGAGACCATCCTGGCCAACATGGTGAAACCCTGTCTCTAATAAAAATGCAAAAATTGGCTGGGTGTGGTGGCTCACACCTGTAATCCCAGCACTTTGGGAGGCCGAGGCGGGCGGATCACGAGGTCAGGAGTTCGAAACCAGCCTGGCCAACATGGTGAAACCCCATCTCTACTAAAAATACAAAAATTAGCTGGGCGTGGTGGTGTGCACCTGTAATCCCAGCTACTGGGGAGGCTGAGGCAGGAGAATGGCTTCATTGAACCCAGGAGGCAGAGGTTGCAGTGAGCCGAGATCGTGTCACTGCGCTCCAGCCTGGGTGACAAGAAAGACTCCGTCTTAAAAAAAAAAAAAAAATTAGCCGGGCGTGGCGGCGCGCGCCTACAGTCCCAGCTATTCGGGAGGCTGAGGCAGGAGAATCGCTTGAACCGGGGAGGCGGAGTTTGCAGTGAGCCGAGATCGTGCCACTGCACTCCAGTCTGGCGACAGAGCGAGACTTTGTCTCAAAATCAATCATTCAATCAATCTGCTCTCAGTGTCTCGAGGCGGGCTTTCACCAAACGTCAACCTCACATCTATTCCGCGACCGGGTCAGTAAGGAAGGGCCCAGCGGTCGTCGAACTACCACAGCTATTTCGGCCCCGCCCCGTCCCGCCCCCAGCTTTGGACCCACCCTTTCCCCCGCTTCTTGCCCTCTTGGGAGCTCTGTTCCCCTTTGGCATCGCCCGGGGACACCAATTAAATGCAGCTTCACACTGTGACTGCCCCTGGGAACCCTCATTTTATTTTATTTATTTATTTATTTTTGAGAAGGAGTCTCGCTCTGTCGCCCAGGTGGAGTGCAGTGGCTGATCTCGGCTCACTGCAACCTCCGCCTCCCGAGTTCAAGCGATTCCCCTGCCTCAGCCTCTGGAGTAGCTGAGATTACAGGCGCGCACCAACACGTCCAGCTAATTTTTGTATTTTTAGTAGAGATGCGGTTTCCCCATGTTGGTCACGTTGGTCTCGAACTCCTGACCTCGTGATCTGCCCGCCTCGGCCTCCCAAAGTGCTGTGATTACAGGTGTGAGCCACCGCGCCTGGCCGGAACCCTCATTTATTCTATTTTTTTTTGAGACGGAGTCTCGCTCTGTCGCCCAGGCTGGAGTGCAGTGGCGGGATCTCCGATCACTGCAAGCTCCGCCTCCCGGGTTCGCGCCCTTCTCCTGCCTCAGTGTCCCGAGTAGCTGGGACTACAAGCACCCGCCACCACGCCCGGCTAATTTTTTGTATTTTTAGTAGGGGCGGGGTTTCACCGTGTTAGCCAGGATGGTCTCGATCTGCTGACCTCGGGATCCGCCCGCCTTGGTCTCCCAAAGTGCTGGGATTACAGGCGTGAGCCACAGCGCCGGGCCCGGAATCCTCGTTTTAAATAAGGGCCACGCCGGAGTTTGATTTTGAACTGATCGGCCAACGCCACCTGGCAGCATACTGTACTGCTTAACTACGCTTCCAGCTTCGTCCCTCGCCAGGTCCCGCCTGGATCCTGCGCCCCGCCCCCGTCCCCACACTCTACGCGCCCCGCCCTCCGCGCTCAGCCGACTGGGGCCTTGTAAAGGAACCGGAACCCGGCGGGAGAGAGCCCCGGGGGCGGGGTGTACGTGGTGCGGCACTGCGCGTGCGCGCGAGGCCTCTTGCGTCATTTAGCCGCGCCTAGGTTTTCCGGCGCCGGCCCTAGGTCCCGGCAGCGGTGGTGACGGCGGTGCCGGAGGTTGTCCTTGGCAGGTTTTCCTCGGCGCTTCTCCATGGAGGAGGCGGTGCGAACGGCTTCAGCCCCGAATGCTCGCATCTCCCACTGGACGGCGACGAAGGCGGTGGCCGTGCGAGCGCAGGACTGGGCGGCCTGTGTGGGGGTGTGAGCCGCGGTGCCCAAGGCTGCGCCGGCGAGGGGAAGCCGCGCGGCCGGCCGGCCGACTAGGGTGAGGTCGCCACTCCTTCCTTTCAGGCAAGCGCGAAGGGGCTGACTTGGTGGCGAGCCAGCCCGCCTTGTGTCGGAGAAGGGTTCTTCGGGCAACTTTCCTTTCCGGGTGTTCTGAAGCGGTTTTCCTGTAATCCTCAGTGAGGAAACCCACCGTGAATCGGATTGCCGTTCAGTCCCACGGAAGCCTGGCTCGTTGGCCATGTCGGGGACGCATGTTCATTAAGTTCATTAAAATAATTTCATTTGTCTTGGTGAGTTTTAGAAGGTGGCTTCAGCTGCTGCGGGGATCATAACTGACAGTTAAACAAGCCTTAGAAGTCTGCTGTGACGTTTTGAGCCTGGCTGTTTTAATTTCCTTTTATAAAATCACGGAATCCTATTTCCCTCTCTATACAATTGCTCAAAACTGTGTGTTTAGTTTGGTGTTTGTGCCTCCTTAATTTCTTTTCTAGGTTGTTAGTTCATTTAATACAGGACTGCATGTTAAGTTCTGTTTCTAGAAATCCTGTGTATAGCCATGTGCCCGGTTAATACTTTTTTTAGTAAGAGGAAATATCAGAGTCGAGAGTTTCCATTCCAGTAAGCTGCCTGTCGAAGCAGTAGTTGTGCTCGATTGAGTAGGTTTTATGTTGATTGGTTGGCAAAATGAGTATGAAGGCTAGTAACCAAATTATAAAACGTACTTAGTAACTTTAAGTCTTTTGCCTACTTCTGTGTTTTCTTCTTTCTAGGCTGGAGCTACTCGGCCAGGGTTTAAGACTTTAAATGAGAATAAAGGGTGGTATTTACGAGGAAATGAGAGTGAATAAGTCATCTCTAACCTCTCCCAGCCTTTTTTTCATAAGAGAGACCATATTAAACTTACATGTAAGTTAAAATTGTAATTTATAACTAATATTGTTGCATAGTTAGGGTTGGAGATTTAGGTTCTGTAATATTTATAAGTACAGTACTGCTTTGAAAAATTATTAGCCAAGTGAGAGGTTGGAAAAAATTAAATCTAACATGTATTTAATTTTTCTGAGCCAAGGTCTTGCTCAGTCCCCAGGCTAGACGGTGCAATCTGGGGTCACTGCAACTTCCGCCTCCCGGGCTCAAGTGCTCCTCCCACCTCAGCCTCCCCAGCAGCTGGGACCACAGACGTGCGGCACCATGCCTGGCTAATTTTTGTATTTTTTTTAGAACCGGGGTTTCACCATGTTACACCGGCTGGTCTCCTAATCCTGGACTTAAGCGATCCAACCACCTTGGCCTCCAAAGTGCGGGGATTACAGGTGTGAGCCACCGAGCCGGGCCTAAGCTAACTTAGATAGCAGTGGAAACCAGGTAGTAAAGATTTCGTAGAAAACTAAGAGCTCTATATATAGTTTTTTTTTTTGTTTTTTTTTTTTTGAGATGGAATCTTGCTCTGTCACTCGGGCTGGAGTGCAGTGGCACGATCTCTGCTCACTGCAACCTCCGCCTCCTGGGTTCAAGCGGTTCTCCTGCCTCAGCCTCCGGAGTAGCTGGGGTTACAGGCGCCGGCGACCACGCCCAGCTAATTTTTGTATTTTTAGTAGAGACGGGGGTTTCACCTTGTTGGCCAGGCTGGTCTCTTAACTCCTGACCTCAGGTGATCCGCCCGCCTCGACCCCCCAAAGTGCTGGGATTACAGGCGTGAGCCACCGCGCCCGACCTAAGAGCTCTAAAGTGTTAATGTAATGTGGGCAGCCGGGTGTAGAAGTAAAGTCCCTTTCTGTGTGGTCCTCTGCATGTGACTCTTTTTTACCCCTGGGAGGTTTCCTTAGCTGTAAAGTGATACCTTCATCTTATTGCGTAGAAGAGAAATGAGTAGAAATGATGCATGGAATAGTGCCTGGGGAGGTGTTCAGTAAGTGGTAGCTATTGTTAGGGAGAGATAATAAAAAGAATTTCACATATTTTCAGAATGTTTTTAATAGGTAAATATGGTTTACTCATATTTAAAACACATGACTTTGAATATTACATTTTTTTATAGATGGTGTAAGCTTCATTTAAACTGATTTATTTGATTGCTATACATTGTGATATTGAACAGAAAGATAAGACTTCTGCAGAGAATAAAAGGTGGGGTGGGGGTGGGAGAGGAAATGGGAGATTTAGGTCACAGGATACAAAGTAGCAGATATTCAGGATGTACAACTTGAGAACTACAGCTAATGAAATTGTATTAGAGATTTTCCTTCAATGAGTAGATTTTAGCTGCTTTTGTCATAAAAAAGTAACTACATGAGATGATAGATATGTTGATTTGCTCTACTGTGGTAACTGTGTTAGTATCTGTATGTTTCCCATAACATAAATCTCAAATATACACAATTTGCAAAGATTTATCTGTGTTGTAGAATTAAATACACCCCTCAGACTAGATTAGAGCATCCTTAAACATTTCTGCATATCTATTTGTTTTATGTAAATGAAGTTGAAACAGAACTACTTAAATAGTTCTGTAATGGCTCCAGATGAAAATAAATTATGATCTGGCCAAATAAATGGGTTGCAGATCTGTTCCTTGCCTTTTGGGTTTGTGTATGGCCCATAGGGCCCCACGTGATCTGACACTCACCTTTTTTTTTCTTCTGAGATGCAGTTTTGCTCTTGTTGCCCAGGCTAGAGTGCAGCTGTGCGATCTCGGCTCACTGCAACCTCCGCCCTCCAGTTTCTAGCGATTCTCCTGCCTCAGCCTCCCGAGTAGCTGGGATTACAGGCGCCCGCCACCATGCCTGGCTGATTTTTGTATTTTTAGTAGAGTCGGGGTTTCACCATGTTGGTCAGGCTGGTCTCGAACTCCTGACCTCATGATCCACCCGCCTCGACCTCCCAAAGTGCTGGGATTATAGGCGTGAGCCACCGCGCCCGGCCGGACACTCGCTTTTTCACGCTAATGTATCTCACCTGCCCTCACTCAAGGTCAGCCACAGTGGCCTTTGTTTAGGAAACTGCACACCCGCTCATACCTCAGAGCCCCTGCACTTGCTTCTCTCTCCTTTGTTCTTTTCAAAAAGCTCTTTGAAGCTTCTACTCAAGTGTTACTGCTCAGCAAGGCCTCCTAACTATGGTCATTAGAATCCCCCAACTCAACTCCCCAGTGCCCTTCACATGTTTTATTTTTTACCATAACATTTGCCACTTTTCCAGAATAATGTCTTTATTTCGTTTATTATTTCGCCCTACCTCTAGCAGGAGATAACCCCATGTGGGCTGTTGTACCCCTGCTCCTAGAATATTGTACATGCTCAGTAAACGTTGGTTGGTTGAGTAAATGATATAAGCAAGCCACATGTTCACTGGGAGCCACAGTGAAGGCAGTACTAGTTAAGTACCAAAGTAACCGTAACAGAGGGGTAGTTAGTGTCAACCAAATATGGAGGAGGAAAGGTAGGAGCAGGTTAGAATAGCAGCAGAGTGCTGACCGGGGTAGAACACAGGATGTGTGAAATATGGTATGGGGAAATAAGATCTAGGCTGGGCGCGGTGGCTTACGCCTGTAATCCCAGCACTTTGGGAGGCTGAGGTGGGTGGATCACAAGGTCAGGAGATCGAGACCATCCTGGCTAACATGGTGAAACCCCATCTCTACTAAAAAAAAAACCCAAAATATTGGCCGGGCACGGTAACTCACGCCTGTAATCCCAGCACTTTGGGAGGCCGAGGCAGAAGGATCACCCGAGGTCAGGAGTTCAAGACCAGCCTGACCAACATGGCGAAACCCCATCTCTACTAAAAATACAAAAATTAGCTGGGCGTGGTTGCAGGCACCTGTAATCCCAGATACTCAGGAGGCTGAGGCAGGAGAATCACTTGAACCTGGGAGGCAGAGGTTGCAGTGAGCCAAGATTGCGCCAGCGCACTCCAGCCTGGGGGATAGAGCGAGACTCTGCATCCAAAAAAATTAAAAAATGCAAAAAATTTGCCTAGTGTAGTGGTGGGCGCCTGTAGTCCCAGCTACTCGGGAGGCAGAGGCAGGAGAATGGCATGAACCCAGGAGGCGGAGCTTGCAGTGAGCAGAGATTGCGTCACTGCACTCCAGCCTGGGCAACAGAGTGAGACTCTGTCTCAAAAAAAAAAAAAAGAGAGATCTAAAAGGTAGGTTTGGAACAAATGATGCAGGGTCTTTGTTACTAGTTTACACAATTTGGTCTTCTTGCTACAAACAGGGGTCGTGATTCCAAATTCTTCAGCAGAAGGCTGAGATTGGCAGAGATGAGGAGGCCTGGATTATAGTTCTGCTTCTGCTACCTCAGCTGTGTGACGTGTTACTTAACATCTCTGGACTTGGGCCAGGTGCGGTGGCTCACGCCTGTAATCCCAGCACTTTAGGAGGCCAAGGCTGTTGGATCACGAGGTCAGGAGATCGAGACCATCCTGGCTAACATGGTGAAACCCCCGTCTCTACTAAAAATACAAAAAAATTAGCCATGCATGGTGGTGGGTGCCTGTAGTCCCAGCTACTCAGGAGGCTGAGACAGGAGAATGGCGTGAACCCGGGAGGCAGAGCTTGCAGTGAGCCGAGATAGCGCCACTGCACTCCAGCCTGGGGGACAGAGCGAGACTCCATCTAAAAAAAAAAAAAAAATCTCTGGACCTGGTTCCTCATTGTGGGCCCTTACCACATATCTTTTTAATTAAGGCTTTGTTGAAATGTCAAAAGTGCTGTGAAAAGTTTAAGGCTGTCTATGCACTTCATTTGGTGTAATTTTTTCAATTTTTTCCTTTTTTTTT
Source organism: Homo sapiens (assembly GCF_000001405.40). Lineage (NCBI taxonomy): Eukaryota > Metazoa > Chordata > Mammalia > Primates > Hominidae > Homo > Homo sapiens. The sequence goes on from NW_021160017.1 coordinate 3,737,732, forward strand.
TTGAGACGGAGTCTCGCCCTGTGGCCCAGGCTGGAGTGCAGTGGTGCAATCTTGGCTCACTGCAACCTCCACCTCCCAGGTTCAATAGATTCTCCTTCCTTAGCCTCACCAGTAGCTGGGATTACAGGCACCCGCCCTCATGGCAAATACAAAAAAATAATTTTTATGTTTTTGTAGAGATGGGGTTTCACCAGGTTGGCCAGGTATGTTTTGTAGAGATGGGGTTTCACCATGTTGGCCAGGCTGGTCTCGAACTCCTGGCCTCAGGTGATCTCCCACCTCGGCCTCCCAAGGTGCTGGGGTTACAGATGTGAGCCGCCGTGCTCGGCCCAGTTGGTGTAATTTTTAAAGTTTGCTAACTTTGGTGATTGTGTTGCCTACTGATAATCATTTTGCAAAGCAGGTCCTAGTTTAGGTTTTCCTTATTAGAATACTAGTCCATTTTTGCCTGTTTCTTAAATCATGTGTTTTCCACATTTTTTAAGAAAGTGGACTAATTTCATAATTTTCTTTTATTTGAGATGTATTTATTCCATTTTTGACATGCTTTATGTTTAATGAAAGTTCACATTACAAATATTAGTAAAATCAATTGTGAAAATTGAACTTGTTGGCCGGGAGTGGTGGTTCACTCCTGTAATCCCAGCACTTTGGGAGGCCAAGGTGGGCGGATCACGAAGTCAGGAGTTCGAGACCAGCCTGGCCAACATAGTGAAACCCCGTCTCTACTACAAAAAATTAGCCGGGTGTGGCAGTACACGTCTGTAATCCCAGCTATGCGGGAGGCTGAGGCAGGAGAATCGCTTGAACCCGGGAGACGGAGGTTGCAGTGAGCCGAGATGGCGCCATCGCACTCCAGCCCGGGCGACAGTGCAAGACTGTGACTCAAAAAAAAAAAGAGTTTGTTAAAATGTAGAGAGAACAAGCAGAACAAAAAAATTAGCTAGGTGTCGTGGTATACGCCTGTGGTCCTGTTGATTTGAGCAGCTGAGGTCAGAGATCACTGCAACCCAGGCATTTGAGACAGCAGTGAGCGATGATCGCGCCACTGCACTCCAGCCTGGGAAACAGAGTGAGACACTGTCAAAAACCACAACAACAACAACAACAACAAAAAAGCCCTTCCCCTCCCACACACAGAATAAGCAGAAAATCATAAGACTCTTTAAAAGTGTTTAAAACGTCAGTAGGTTATTTTTGGAATTTTTAATTCTCTTAGTCGTGGAGTCCTTGAGGATAGGCCCTTTGATCATCTTTACAACTTCAGTGCCTGGCAGATAATAGCTGCTCAGTGTTTGTTGAGCAATGGTCACAGTTCGGATTACTCCCGAGTCCCCCTAAGTAAACTGGGCAGGTGAACCACATGGAGCTTGGGAACCTAGTTGAAGTGAAATTTAGAAAATTTTACTGTTTATCTGTCTTTAATACTGGCCCTGCCTCATGGCTAATTCTTAAGAAGAAAAAATATCTCTGTTGCAGGCTCTCCCGGCTGTGATAGACCTTCAGTTACAGAGAGAGGGAGCAGAGTGGGACCAGGTCTGAGAATAGTGAAGCAACTCATTCCTTTCAGGACATTCCCTCTGATGTCCTATTTTCAAACTGTAAGTCAGAATGAGATCACTTATTTTCTTGGTGGCAGAAGGCTGCTTTATAATTTGAAGGCTTGCAAATTGTATGCTGCTTGTCATCCCCCAGCCCTCCACACATACACCCTGGTACAGTTCCATGCATGAAGAAACAACCAGATCACCTTATTTGGTGATATGCCTCATTCTAGAAAGATTTGTAAATCAAATTTGCTACCGTAAATGAGTGCCTTTTGTGGGGAAACCACCACAGAAAACCTAAGTAATTGTTTTTAAGGAACTTAAAGAGTTTACCTTGAAGATAGAACAGTAGTTGAGAATTAAATAGTAAAGAAGAGAAAATGCCTGTGGGCTGGAGTTAATTGCAGAAGTCTTTGTAGCACAGCTTAAGGTGTACCCTGGCCTTGAGTGGAGAGCAGGCTTTGGGTTGCAGGAGGAGGAGGAGGGGAGGGCCTGTCTGAGGGTGTCAGGTTTCTGTGTTAGGAAATGAAGTGGGCAGGAGAGGGGTGCCTGGCCAGGGGGACTCTCGAAAGCCATATGCACATGATGGACCCAGCTGGTCAGAAAAGGCCTTCTCTCTGCTTTTTGTGTTTGAAATTTCCCATAACACATAAATTAAAATAAAAGGGAAAGGGGAAAATAGATTTTAAATAGCATCATGAAACTTTATGTAAAATAAATATGGAGAAAATCTCATATGATAGCCTTAGTAAGGTTAGGAATAATGTTCATTGGCCTTAGGATTAAATGAGTAAAATTCCATTATATGTATTGTTTTAATCACCTCTTCACCTTGTCAGCGAGAGAGGGATTTCCATCCCACAGTACTGACACTGGACAGACGAGATGGACGGAAGTTTCTTAGTCTTTCGCTTAGGATAGAACGGAGAACCAGGGGCTGCGGGAGGCAAGGCTTTGTGGTAACGAGAGTGGCTGTGGTTCCTGCAGAAAGACTAATAATTGCTTTCAGAATTCCTTGGGCTGGCAGGGCAGTGGGGCCTACTCCTCAGGCATAAGCAGCAACTGTACCTGTGCCTGGTCACTGTGATGAGAATTGTTTGGCATCTTGGGGAGGGAAGCTTGCCCTGAGGCCATTAAAAGCTCCTGGTTTTTACCAGATGTCAAGGCAACATGTAATACTGGCTCTTAATGTTAGACCTTACACCACATGTATGTAACTTGCATTTAGTGAAAGTTAACATTAAGTGTTAGTAAATATTAGTAAATTAAGTAGTTACAAATCAGTTATTTGAAAGGTTCATGATACAAGTAAAATCTGGGCAGGATGCAGTGGGTGACACTTGTAATCTACCACTTTGGGAGGCCGAGGCAGGCAGATCGCTTGAGCTCAGGAGTTTGGGACCAGCCTGGACAACATGGTGAAACTCTGTATCGACAAAAAATACCAAAATTAGCCAGGTGGTGTAGTGTTGCACACTTATGGTCCCAGCTACTTGAGAGGCTGAGGTGGGAGGATCACTTGAGCCTGGGAAGTCGAGGTTGCAGTGAACCATGATTGTGCCACTGCACTCCAGCCTGGGTGACAGAATGAGACCCTGTCTCCAAATTAATAATAATAATAATAATAATTATTATTATTATTATTATTATTATTTAAATTTGGATTTGTGAGTCTGTTGTTTTTTGTTTTTGTTGTTGTTTTTTTTTTGTTTGTTTGAGACCGAGTTTCGCTCTTGTTGCCCAGGCTGGAGTGCAATGGTGTAATCTTGGCTCACCACAACCTCTGCCTCCCGGGTTCAAGCGATTCTCCTGCCTCAGCCTCCCGAGTAGCTAAGATTACAGGTATGTGCCACCATGCCCTGCTAATTTTTTTGTATTTTTAGTAGAGACAGGGTTTCTCCATGTTGGTCAGGCTGGTCTCGAACTCCCGACCTCAGGTGATCTGCCCGCTTCTTCCTCCCAAAGTGCTGGGATTACAGGCCTGAGCCACCGCGCCCGGCCTTGTGAGTCTATTGTTATACTGGGATTAGAACTGTAGATAAACCTGACTTTTTTCTGGATATCATCTTTATTGGTAAGAAGGTTCAATTTTATTGCTTACAGAATATTCAGACTATAAATTTGATTTGTTCCATTACCATAGAACTTAAAGTATATAGTGAGCAATACAGCTGTCAAGTAGTCACTTCCACAGCAGTAGAACTTGCATGATAATTAAGAACATTGCTTCATGAAGACAAAGATTAAAGGAGGATGATGATTCTTTTTTTTTTTTTCCGAGACGGAGTCTTGCTCTGTCACCTAGGGTGGAATGCAGTGGGGTGATCTCGGCTTACTGAAACCTCCGCCTTCTGGCTTCAAGCAGTTCTCCTGCCTCAGCCTCCCAAGTAGCTATGATTACAGGAACCCGCCACTGCGCCAGCTAATTTTTGTATTTTTAGTAGAGATGGGGTTTCACCATGTTGGCAAGGATGGTCTCGAAATCCTGACCTCGTGATCTGCCCACCTCGGCCTCCCAAAGTGTTGGGATTACAGGCATGAGCCACCGTGCCCGGCCGATGATTTTTATGTCAGATGATCTTTTTTATTTTATCTTATTTTTATTTTTTTGAGACAGAGTTTCTATCTTGTTGCCCAGGCTGGAATGCAATGGCACTATCTCAACTCACCACAACCTCTGCCTCCCTGGTTGAGGCAATTCTCCTGCCTCAGCCTCCCAGGTAGCTGGGATTACAGGCATGTGCCACCACGCCCAGCTAATTTTTGTATTTTTAGTAGAGACGGGGTTTCTCCATGTTGGTCAGGCTGGTCTCGAACTCCCGACCTCAGGTGATCCGCCCACCTCGGCCTCCCAAAGTGCTGGGATTACAGGCGTGAGCCACCACGCCTGGTCGATGATTTTTATGTTGGATGATCTTAAGGAATGCTTTCATTGAAGTGAGGTGACCCTGACTCATGAGAAGGATATACCTGCCAGGAGGGCTGAAGCGTTTGGGTAGCTCGGTTTCTCACTCCCATTTTCGTAGTCCGTATAACCATTTTCCTTGCATTTTCACTTCCATCTAGTACTGCCACTTGCTAGCATATTGGATAAATGATTATGGTTCTCAAGTTTAAAAGCTATAAAACATCGGTTACATTTTAGGATGCCAATCTAAATGATGCAGTAGTTTTCTGTGTATTAATGGCTGCTTTGTTTGTTTGTTTGAGACCAGGCATAACTATGTTGCCCAGGCTAAACTTGAACTCCTGGTTTCAAGCAATCCTTCTGCCTCAGCCTCCTGGTGTGTACCACTGTATCTGGCTGTTTTTAAGGGCTAATTATGAATTATTCCATTTGGCTGGGGTGGTGGCTCATGGCTGTAATCCTAGCACTTTTTGAAGGCTGAGATGGGCGGATCACTCGAGGTCAGGAGTTCCAGACCAGCCTGGCCAACATAGTGAAACTCCATCTCTACTAAAAATACAAAAACTAGCTGGGCATGGCAGCATGTGCCTGTAGTCCCAGCTACTCAGAGGCTGAGGCAGGAGAATCACTTGAACCTGGGCAGTAGAGGTTGCAGTGAGCCGAGATCATGCTACTGCACTCTAGCCTGGGTGACAGAGCAAGACTCTTGTCTCAAAAAAAAAAAAAAAAAAAAAAAAAAAGAATTACTCCATTCATCCATATTCACCCAGAAAACACACATTAAGACCTATTTTGAGACTACCAGATAGCTATGTGCATAGGCTAAAAGGGCGAATATCATGCAGGAGCCCAGGAGCTTACAGTCTGATGCAGGAGACTGGCTGATAAACACAGATCAACAAGCCATGCAGGATGCAGTGGGAACAGTGTAAGCACACCTGCTTTTTGTTGCAATGTTACAGCGTGTAGAAATGATGATTGTCCCTGACATCTTGTTTCAAGTTCTCCTACCTTGTCTTTAAATGTGTTTACATCTCTGTAATTTATTTTTACTGTCAATGAGACTCACCTATCTAGAATTATTCCATAGATATGCTGAAGTTAACTTGAGGCTTGAGATGACCAGTATTTGGCACATAAAGTGGGTAATACCTTAGATTGTTCAGCTTCTTTCTTTTTATGTATATATCTGTTAATGTGGTGACTCATCCAAGATCACACCTCCAGCTGGAAGCAAGACGGGGTCTCCAAACTCCCCACCTAAGACTTTTCTCATGGAATCTTGCCTTATGAATGGCACAGAGGGACTAGGGGTACTTTTCCAAATCTGTTAAGGGAGAGGTCAGTTCTGGAAGGCTTTCGGGTAGACAGTCTCATCCATGAGATTATGACTGATACTTAGAAGAACTCAGCACCTTTTTGACTTGAGTGTTTTCTTTCAATGTTTCAGTATTTTTTTTTTTTTTGAGATAGAGTCTCGCTCTGTCGCCCAGGCTGGAGTGCAGTGGCGCGATCTCGGCTCACTGCAAGCTCCCTGTCCCAGGTTCATGCCATTCTCCCGCCTCAGCCTCCCAAGTAGCTGGAACTACAGGCGCCTGCCACCACTTCCGGCTAATTTTGTTTTTGTATTTTTAGTAGAGATGGGGTTTCACCGTGTTAGCCAGGATGACTCGATCTCCTGACCTTGTGATCCACCAGCCTCAGCCTCCCAAAGTGCTGGGATTACATGTGTGAGCCACCGCGCCCGACCCAGTGTTTCAGTATTATTTTGTCTTAGGTTGTGGGGTGACCTGGCTTTTGGGACTTGCTGGTGGTTTCTACCTTGGCATCCTTGTACCTTTTGAGCACTAAAGGTTGTATTTTAAAAACGTTAATATGGAAATGTTCAGAAATACACAAAAGCAGATATAGTAATACAATGAGTCCCTGTGTACCCATCACCCAGCTTTTACCCATCACTGAATCCCCATTTTCTACAGAAAATTTTTGGTTTTTCAAAAATCAGGGTGGAAACTTCATACTTGCAGTAAGCCTGTTTGTGTGTGTGAGTTAGCTATCTCAGTGGCATAGAGGAATGAGCACTTAGATCATGCTCACAGTTCTGTGAGTCACTGGGACGATTTTGTTCTGTACCCTTCACTCTGTTGTGATCAGGACATGCACTTCCTGTGGCTATGGCAGGGTGCGAAGGGGCAAGCAGAAGTAAGAGAGGCCTCTAGGTGTAGACTCAGAACTGGCACTCTGTTCCTTACACCTCCCTCCCATTGGCCAAAGCAAGCTTGATGGCCAAGCGGCAAATCAGGGGTGAGGGAGAATAGTCTTCTCATTGAATCATACAGGAACGATAATGCACCTTAATGGGCAAATCAAAAACATTGGACTTTTTCATTTCTTGGGAGTAATATCAACTCAGTGTGATAATGTCGTGTTTACCATTATTGCAGTCTCCCTGCAGTAATGTTATCACTCCTTATTTAACTATCTCTTGTCTGTCTTCCTTGTGAAGCTAGAGAGCTTAGCATAATAAACGCTTAGCACATAATATCCAGTAAATACTGTTTGAATGGATGGATAAAGTAATTGAGGGGCTAGGTGGACAGGGAGTTTAAGTTGCTTTGGTTAAAAGCCAGTGTCTCATAACTTGAAGAACGGAAAAACATGGCTAGTTAGGGTCCTGACTGAATTGCAGATTAGTTTTGGAACTCCGAAGTTAAATTGTGGGACTAAAAATCCCAAGATGTGCTAGAAAGCTGATCTGGCAGTTAGAACCAATCATAAACCTTGTTGCTAAAAACTATTTTTTCTCTGCTATCCACACTGTGCTTTAGTTCATCTGTCAACTGAGTTTATGAGTTGGCCATTTGGAAAAACAATTGCAGTCTTGGTAAGCCTCTGCTTCCTGTCTGGCCTCGAGGATTGAGCCCTCCAGATACCATGGTCCTCATGTTCTCCAAAGGCCACCGGTACCATACTGCACGCCCCAGCAGACACCTCTCTGCAAGAATTGTTACCCTCTGATAAATAATGTGAAATCTGCCTTCTCTCAGCACATCCCTGAATAGGCTAAATAAATAAATTAGCATATGCTTATGTGCACCTATTGCTAAGAAGAAAATGTATGGGTGAGAAAATTTTGAGTTTCTTTGTATAGATTATTCAAAAGGACACATTTGAGAACCTGATAAATGTATTTCCAAACTAGATTTGTATATTATGCCTAATTTTTTCTGCAGAATTTTTTTTTCTTATCAGAAAGTTTTATTAAGGCTAGAAACATTTTTTTTTAAAATATGGGATCAGAGTTTATGAAATCAGTTTAAACTTGGTTTTATAGCATGATCCTATCTTTTGCCATAATTTGAAGAAATATACAGGTTGGTGCTAAATTTAAATAATAAATATTATCAATATTAGTAATGAAGGAGCTATTTTTTCTTTAGGGGAAGAGAAATGGAGTAAAATTTTGAATTGCATGTGAGCTGTCATGAGCATTCTGTGAAAACCACATTTCATTTTTTATTGTTTAGGTTTGAAGACTGCTTCATTCTGCCTCTAGTACCAGCGGTTTCTCTGTTCTGTGATCAATGTGATTCACAGGAACTCCTTAAGTAACAAACGAAATGAGCCAGGGGCGTGGAAAATATGACTTCTATATTGGTCTGGGATTGGCTATGAGCTCCAGCATTTTCATTGGAGGAAGTTTCATTTTGAAAAAAAAGGGCCTCCTTCGACTTGCCAGGAAAGGCTCTATGAGAGCAGGTAGGTTATGCCTTATGTGACTTTGAAGTGACCTCAGTGTCTACCTACATGCACAGGTTCTTTGTACAAGACCACATCTTCATTTCTCGTGAGTGTATTTGAAACTTTGAATTGTTCAAGAGTTCTAAATGTTTACAAAGTTGATGTTTGGTTATTTATATTGAGAAAAGAAGTGAGAAGATGTCATAATTAGTTAACTACTCAGTCCTGCAGTTATCATCAAAATGGAAACAGGGACCAATGCCCAAGTAATATCCAACCTTTTCTTTAAATTTTGATATGTCTGCAGGGAAGGAAATAAGAGTCCATGGTTAGGCTGGGCGTGGTGGCTCATGCCTGTAATCCCAGCACTTTGGGAGGCTGAGGCGGGTGGATCACCTGAGGTCAGGAGTTCGAGACCAGCCTGGCAAACATGGTGAAACCCCATCTCTACTGAAAATACAAAAATTAGCCGGGCATGGTGGCCTGGCCTATAGTCCCAGCTACTCAGGAGGATGAGGCAGGAGAATCGCTTGAACCCGGGAGGCAGAAACCTCTGCAGTGAGCCAAAATGGCACCACTGCACTCCAGCCTGGGTGACAGAGTGAGACTCCGTCTAAAAAAAAAAAAAAGCCATGGTTAAAATCAGAATTTATTAAAGGCTGGGATCTTTTGTCCATGATAGTAGACGTTCTGACTTTGAACTTCGACATTTTGGCAGGAAGGAAAGACTGGGCTTCCCCAGCTTGAAGAGTATCCAGTTTAGTGAACTTCGGCTGGTGTAGGTTGTTTCTCTAGAAATCACTGACAAGTCACAAGACCCTGCGGGGTAATCAGGATGATTGGCCCTGCCCTGACTCCTCTATCAGGGACACTCGTGGTAGCTCCCGGTGTTAAGTGGCGTTATGGTCACATTCCATCATTCTATCCTGGCTTCATTTTTAGACCTGATTGGACCTTATGAGGAGAGCTGCCTTGGCAGGAAACAGTACCACCCTTCTGTCTTCCCTGTGCCATCTCTGTGGCTAAACCTAATTCAGCAGTCAGAAAAACATGAAATGATAGCCTCTATGGGGTTCAGTGGACAGAGGAGAAACTGTCAGCATCTACTGCTTGTTCCCCTAGTCCCTGATGCTTGGTCCTAAGAGGTGCTCTCACTGTTCATGACGGGTATGCTTGTAAAGGATTCATTCACCTTGGCAAGATAATCATTAAGAAATTGTCAGAGAAATCCCGAGTCATGCAGAAACCTTTATTTAAAGGAGTAACTGAGATATTTAAAAATCTGTCATTACTAATAGTTATAATTTATACAAGAGTCTTACAGTCTTCCAAAGATGTGAAATATTTCTTCATTCACAGGTCAAGGTGGCCATGCATATCTTAAGGAATGGTTGTGGTGGGCTGGACTGCTGTCAAGTATGTATAAAGAACATTGCAAGAAAAATATGATAGCTATATATTAAAATATTTGCATATGGTATTATAGCCTCATTACTAGCAAGTTTTAAAGGTTTAAATAATCTTTTTTTTTTTTTTTTTGAGACAGAGTCTCACTCTGTCACCCAGGCTGGAGTGCAGTGGCGTGATCTTGGCTCAGTGCAACCTCCACCTCCTGGATTCAAGCGATTCTCCTGCCTCAGCCTCCCGAGTAGTTGGGATTACAGGCGTGCCACCACCACGCCCAGCTAATTTTTTGTATTTTTAGTAGAGACGGGGTTTCACTGTGTTGGTCAGGCTGGTCTCAAACTCCTGACCTCAGGTGATTCACCTGCCTTGCCCTCGCAAAGTGCTGGGATTACAGGCGTGAGCCACCGCACCCGGCCTACTTTTTTCATTTTTGTGAGTACTTAGTAGGTACTTATAGGGTACATGAGATACTTTAATAAAGGCATGCAATTCATAATAATTGCATTATGGTATCCATGGGTTATCCATCCCCTCAACAATTTATCCTTTGCAGGACAAACAATCCAGTTAGTCCTTTTTTTTGTTTTTGAGATGGAATCTTGCTCTGTCGCCAGGCTGTAATGCAGTGGCCCATCTCGGCTCACTGCAGCCTTCGCCTCCCGGGTTCAAGCGATTATCCTGCCTCATCCTCCTGAGTAGCTGAGACTACTGGTGCGCACCACTATGCCCAGCTAATTTTTGTATTTTTAGTAGAGACAGGGATTCACACGTTGGCCAGGCTGGTCTCGATCTCTTGACCTCGTGATCCGCCCACCTTGGCCTCCCAAAGTGCTGGGATTACAGGCGTGAGCCACCATGCCCAGCCGTTACTTATTTATTTATTTTTTGAGACACAGTCTTGCTCTGTTGCCAGGCTGGAGTGTAGTGGCACCATCTTGGCTCACTGCAACCTCTGCCTCCTGGGTTCAAGCGATTCTCCTGCCTCATCCTCCTGAGTAGCTGGACTACAGGTGTGCGCCACCAAGCCCAGCTAATTTTTGTATTTTTAGTAGGGAAGGGGTTTCACCATGTTGCCCAGGATGGTCTCGATCTCCTGACCTTGTGATCTGTCTGCCTCAGCCTCCCAAAGTGCTGGGATTACAGGTGTGAGCCACCGTGCCTGGCCTCTTAGTTATTTTTAAATGTACAATTAAATTATTATTGGGCCGGGCGCGGTGGCTCACACCTGTAATCCCAGCACTTTGGGAGGCCAAGGTGGGTGGATCACTTGAGGTCAAGAGTTCAAGACCAGCCTGGCCAACATGGTGAAACCCCGTCTCTACTAAAAATAGCAAAAATTAGCCGGGCGTGGTGGCAGGCGCCTGTAATCACAGCTACTCGGGAGGCTGAGGCCCGAGAATCGCTTGAAACTGGGAGGTGGAGGTTGCAGTGAGCTGATAACTGCACCACTGCACTCCAGCCTGGGTGATAGAGTGAGACTCAGTCTCAAAAAACAAAACAAAAAAAATTATTATTGACTGTAGTCACCCTGTTGTGCTATCAAATACTTGATGTTATTCACCAGGTATTCAAGTCTTTCTATTTGTCGTACCCTCATAGTGCATTTAAATGGAACGACAAGGCTTTTTTTTACCCATCTGATTAAAACATGTTTGATAGGCCTGTGCATTTTTAAAATTTCTGCTCAATTTAAGGTAATTTTGAAAGTTAAGAGGAGAATTCTGTTTTAATTTGTTGCCCCTCCATTTGTTCTCATTCCAAATTAAAAAGAGGTATGTATTTGATAAGACTTACCAAATAAAAATACAAAAAATCACCATGCCTATTTTGGTAATAACTTTTAAAAAGGCACGTGGAAAAAAATTATTCTGGGCCGGGCGTGGTGGCTCATGCCTGTAATCCCAGCACTTTGGGAGCCCGAGGTGGGTGGATCACCTGAGGTCAGGAGTGAGACCAGCCTGACCAACATGGAGAAACCTCGTCTCTAGTAAAAAAAAAACAAAAGAATTAGCTGGGCATGGTGGTGCATGCCTGTAATCCCAGCTACTCGGGAGGCTGAGGCAGGAGAATTGCTTGGACCTGAAAGGCAGAGGTTACAGTGAGCTGAGATTGTGCCGTTGCACTCCAGCCTGGGCAACAAGAGTGAAACTGTCTCAAAAAAAAAAAAATATTCTGAAGACACTGAGCCTTGACTGACTGTTCAGTCAACAAATACTTATTGATCATGTCTTGTATGCCAGGCATTGTTCTAGGTGCTGGAGATACATCAGTGAGAGGAAAAGACTGAAAAATCTCCACCCACATGAAGCTTACATTCTAGGTGGGAGACATTAAACAAGATAAAGAAGTTATGTGTTTATGTGCCTGTGCGTGATGATAAATGGGAAGGAGAAGGAGTGAAGTCGGAAGGAGTGTTGTGAAATGGAGGATAGATAGGTTTATTAGGATGTTAGATCTGCAGCCAGGGCCAGCCTCGCTGAAAGGTATTTGGGTAGAAGATGTAAAGGAAGCGAGTGATCTGCCCATATGATATTTGGGGGAGAAACCCTTGAAGCAGGAGGAAACTGTAACTGTGAAGGCCACGAGTGGGGAGCATGCCAGGCCAATTAACGTGTGATACATAGCCCTCAGTGACTCCCCTCCTGGTATTCACACCTTTCTCTAATCCCCTTTCACAGTGAATTAGTGCAGTTCAAAACGGTGTGATCCAAGAATACCACAGAAGTGATGATGTGTGTCTTCCGAGGTGAAGCAGAGAGAGGCATTGCAGCTTTTTCCTGATTCCTTGGATTGCTCACTTTGAGAGAAGCCAGCTGCTGTGCTCTGAGGACACTCAGGCAGCCATGGAGAGCTCCCCAGGCTCTCACTGTGCCAGGACCTACTTGCCAGTCCTGTGAGTGAGCTACCTTGGCTCACCTGTTGTGTATTAAAAAATACACAACAATAGTCAGTTGGAAGGGAAAAAATGGATGAAGAGTTCTAAGGTTCTGGCATTATCCAGAAGGAAATAAAGCTAAATATTAATATTAGACTTCACAGGTTAAGCATACACGTAATTTCTAGAGTATTCAGTTAAAAAAAATAGAAGATTGTGTATAATTTCCTAATTAGTTAAAAAGCTTTCTCCAAGCTTTTTTTTTTTCTTTTTGAGAAGTCAGTCATACATAAATGGAAATTAGATAGTAGAGAGTATCCTGGATAAAAAGATATTTGAGACATTGCAGCCAAATTCCTTGATTGAATTTTAACAGTAACCATATTTAAAAGACATTTTGGGAATTAAAGAAGAAAGAGTTTAACAAGAGAAGAAAAAGGCAAATTGTAGAGTGTAAATGAAGATAATTGTAATATGTTTAACCAATAAAAGATTTACATCTGAAATATATAAAGAATTACCTTAAATCAATTAGAGAAAACAGGATAAACTTTAACAGCTACTTCCCTAAAAGATTTCATAGGGTTAATAAACAAATGAAAATGGGAAATGCAAATTGAAGGCATAACAGAATCATCCCATACTCCTAACAAAGATCAGCAGGGAGAATGGAGCAAAGGGAGCTCTCATACGCTGCTAAATGAAAATTGGCATAACTTTTGGAAAAAGCAGTAGCCAAGAGGGATCCTTTTGTGAGATCATGCCTCTGCCCTGTGTAGGATTCCTCAGTAGCTTTTCAATTTAGATAATTCCTTAGTGGGACTTAATTTCCCAGTGTTCTAAAATTTCTTATCTGACAGCCCATATCTAATGCCATGACACATAGTAGGATACCTTCTTTCATCACCAGCACTTTATTCTTTTCCCTCACTGTTTTTCTTCATAACACTTTTAACCTCTTGGCACATGTGCTTGGTTTGTCTGTCTTCCCTCACTAAAAGTTTTATGAGAGGCTGGGCGTGGTGGCTCACGCCTGTAATCCCAGCACTTTGGGAGGCTGAGGCGGGTGGATCACCTTAGGTCAGGAGTTCAAGACCAGCCTGACCAACATGGTGAAACCCTGTCTCTACTAAAAATACAAAAATCAGCCGGGTGTGGTGGCGGGTATGTGGGCCTGTAATCCCAGCTACTTGGGAGGCTGAGGCAGGAGAATCGCTTTAACTTGGGAGGTGGAGGTTGTAGTGAGCCAAGATCACGCACGCCATTGCAGTGCACACTGGGCGACAGAGCGAGACTCTGTCTCAAAAAAAAAAAAAAAGTTTTATCAGAGCAATGTCTTTGTTTTGCACCCTGCTGTATATCCTGATTCTAGAACAGGACCTGGTGTATAGCATGATTTGCATTTTTAAAAAGAGCAAGCTGGGCACGGTGGCTCACGCCTATAATCCCAGCACTTTGGGAGGCTGAGGTGGGTGGATCATTTGAGGTCAGGAGTTCAAGACCAGCCTGGTCAACATGGTGAAACCCCGTCTCTACTAAAAATATAAAAATTACCTGGGCATGGTGGCGCCCGCCTGTAGTCCCAGCTACTCGGGAGGCCGAGGCAGGAGAATTGCTTGAACCCGGGAGGTGGAGGTTGCAGTGAGCTGAGATCGTGCCACTGCATTCCAGCCTGGGCGATAGAGCAAGACTCCATCTCAAAAAAAAAAAAAAAAAAAAAAGGACCAAATGAAAAGGACTTGGGGGAAGAGTACCTTTACCTTCATGTCGGCTTCTTCTCAGTGATTTTTATTTACTGTCCTGGGATATAAGTATCTATTTAAAATTTTTATTAAAATGCCTTATGTCAGCATGAGCTAGATTTCTTCCGTTAGATTTACAGATATGTGTTGTTTCTAGAATGTTTCTAATTGACTTGGACTCTTACTGTAATAGAAATTTACAGACCCATAACCCTTATTAATAAATTGGAGAGGCTGGGCGCAGTGGCTCACGCCTGTAATCCCAGCACTTTGGGAGGCCGAGGCGGGCAGATCACGAGGTCAGGAGATCAAGACCATCCTGGCTAACACGGTGAAACTCCGTCTCTACTAAAAATACAAAAAAATTAGCTGGGCATAGTGGCGAGTGCCTGTGGTCCCAGCTACTTGGGAGGCTGAGGCAGGAGAATGGCGTGAACCCGGGAGGCGGAGCTCGCAGTGAGTTGAGATCACACCACTGCACTGCAGCCTGGGCGACAGAGTGAGACTCCGTCTCAAAAAAATAAAAATAATAAATTGGAAAAATATGGAGGTTACTAAATACAGTTGAAATAATATATAGATAGTGCATAAAATGCCGGCATTTCCAAGTTGAGTACATACATTCTTACCTGAGTTTTTCTTTTGTTGTCTGTCTCTAAGTGGGAGCTGGTGAGGTGGCCAACTTCGCTGCGTATGCGTTTGCACCAGCCACTCTAGTGACTCCACTAGGAGCTCTCAGCGTGCTAGTAAGGTAAGGACACGTTTTTCATGTAGAAACAGTAGTCGGTATCTTAGTTTCTAAAATATTCAGTACCATCTAATTAAATATGTTCAACACAATTTACATTTCAACAACCTGGAGAACTTCGCTTTTTACACTACGTAGTAATTGCTTTTAAAAAGTTACTTCTGTGCATAGGCAGGCTATTGATTTGTGGGAGAAAATGCTTTGTCTTGCTTGTATTCAGAGCCAGTACTAGTTCTACTTCGATTTCAGTTTTTTAATATTCAAAGTTGGCTGGGAACAGTGGCTCATGCCTGTAATCCCAGCATTTTGGGAGGCCAAGACGGGTGGATCACCTGAGGTCAGAAGTTTGAGACCAGCCTAACATGGTAAAACCCTGTCTCTACTAAAAATACAAAAATTAGCTGGGCGTGGTGGCGGGCACCTGTAGTCCCAGCTACTCAGGAGGCTGAGACAGGAGAATGGCTTGAACGCAGGAAGCGGAGGTTGCAATGACCCGAGATAGCACCACTGCACTCCACCCTGGGCTATAGAGCGAGACTCTGTCTCAAAAAATAAATAAATAAAAAATAAGTAAAATTCAAAGTTACACTCATCCCAGTATTTATCATTCAGTGCATGTGCACTTTGGTAGGGTCTGGTTGGTAATGAGTAGATTTCTTTTTCTTTTTTTTTTTTTTTTTTTGAGGCGGAGTCTTGCTCTGTCGCCCACACTGGAGTGCAGTGGCACGATCTCGGCTCCCTGCAAGCTCCACCTCCCGGGTTCACACCATTCTCCTGCCACAGCCTCCCGAGTAGCTGGGACTACAGGCACCCGCCACCACACCTGGCTAATGTTTTGTATTTTTAGTAGAGATGTGGTTTCACCATGTTAGCCAGGATGGTCTCGATGTCCTGACCTCGTGATCCACCCGCCTTGGCCTCCCAAAGTGTTGGGATTACAGGCGTGAGCCACTGTGCCCGGCCAATGAGTAGATTTGCATGCCTGGCCTGGAGTGCTTGTTTTGAATGAGTGATCTGAGATTTGTCCCATTTCTGCTTTGTAATGATTAGCCCAAACAACTAAGCCCATATTGATGTCTGGATCTTGGTTACTATTCCCAAAGTAGATTGACTGATTTTTATCTGTTTTTTTTTCCCCAAAAAACTATATGTAAAACAGGGTTATGGTATAAGTCATTGCCCTTTACCCTTAATTTTCTTTGTAGTATTTTGTTACTGTATTTATTGGTTTATGCTGTATTTTCTTTTTAGGTCTAGATAAAACTAGCTACAAGTTATTAAAACCTGATAATGTAATAGGCAAATTATATACAATTAACAACATAAGAGGGGTGCATGCATCAACCAATAGGAATAAGTTGAGTAAATTTTAAGCACTGGTGGTTTGGATAGAGATTCTTTTTTTTTTTTTTTTCCTTTGGAGATGGAGTTTCACTGTGTCACCCAGGCTGGAGTGCAGTGGCGCGATGTCAGCTCGCTGCAACCTCTGCCTTCTAGGTCCTGCCCCAGCCTCCCGAGTAGCTGGGATTACAGGATGCCCGCCACCATGCCTGACTGATTTTTGTATTTTTAGTAGAGATGGGGTTTCACCATGTTGGCCAGGCTGGGCTTGAACTCCTGACCTGAGGTGACCCGCGCACCTTGGCCTCCCAAAGTGCTGGGATTACAGGCGTGAGGCACTCTGCCTGGCCCGGATATAGGTTCTTAATTAGGATATAAATGTATACAAATTTGTTCTTTATTATAAATTTCATACTGACTTCTTGCAGTGGAAAGATGGTAAGTATACAGGTGTAGTGTATGATGAAGCAGATGATTCCCTAGAAATGTTTACATTTTATGATGAAATGTATACTTTTTTTCCTTGGCGAAAGCCAGAATCTTCATAAGTTCACAGTGTTTTAGTTTGATTTCAGTGATTTAAATTACGAGTTTTATTGATATTTGAAAAAGGAAAGTAGCTGATTAAAGTTCTCAATTTTTTTTCCTCCCCATTTTAGTGCCATTCTTTCTTCATACTTTCTCAATGAAAGACTTAATCTTCATGGGAAAATTGGGTGTTTGCTAAGTATTCTAGGATCTACAGTTATGGTCATTCATGCTCCAAAGGAAGAGGAGATTGAGACTTTAAATGAAATGTCTCACAAGCTAGGTGATCCAGGTAAGAAAAAAGTCTTATTAGTCTTACTGTATTTTACTTTTTAACTTAGTTTTTACTTTAATCGAAATTTGATGAGCACATAAGGAAAGAAATTGTTCCACCTGGTAGAAGAACAAATTGTCGTCATGTTCCCTGCTCCCTCCTATCAATCCCAAGCCTGTGTTTCTACTGTTCTTTAACTCTGTGTTTGTAAGTAGTGTGCGTATATTGCTACTACTTACTTCCTTAGCTTTAGGCATTATCTGTTTTACCTTTTATTTACTGTACCTATATAGTTTTCTTGAGATTGTTTACATTATCATTGATACATAACTTTTATTGTCATCTTAGTCTTTATTATGGTTGTTGTTCCTTCCCTGTATAATTTGTTTTTCCAGAAGTAATAATTATCTTGTTTGTGTAGTTTTTTATGAATCGATCAATGTATCATGAAACTCTTCCCCAGTTGACTAATTCTACTCTCAGTAATTTCAAACAAAGAGGTATTCTTTGTTTCATCTCTTTTGGAAATTTCTCTCAGTGCCTTCTGTGTGGCCTCAATCTAGGCGGGTGTCTCCAGGCTGCCAGCACAGCTGTTATCTGCATTTCTCTTCAGCAGCATCCTGGGGATTCCCTTCAGTTTGCTTTTTCTTGGATCCCTTATTTCCAGAATCCTGGGTTTGTGCCTTCATTTTGGTGGTGTCACTCTAGAGGAGACAAGAAAGGGCATGAAGAGATGAGATTTTTTGAGACCTTGTTTATCTCAAAATGTTTTTAACCTATTGTGACCACCGTCTTCTCATTTCTGATGTTGCTGTTGAGAAATTGAACAGTTTATCCCTTATCTTTTATATGCGACCAATTTTTTGTTTTTGGAAGCATGTAGGATGTTCTCTTTCCCCACAGTGTCTGAAATTTCCCACTGACATGCCTAGAGATGGGTCCATTTTTGTCCATTGTGCTGGGTGCCTGATGGTTCATTTTATTTTGAGACAGGGCCGTGTTGCCCAGGCTGGAATGCAGTGATGTGATCTCAGCTCACTGCAACCTCCTCCTCCCCAGCCCAAGCGATTCTCCCATCTCAGCCTTCCAAGTAGCTGGGACTGCAGGCGTGTGCCACCATGCCTGGCTAATTTTTTTTGTTTGTTTGGTAGAAACAAGGTTTTACCATGTTGGCCAGGTTGGTGTCGAACTCCTGATCACAAGTGATCCACCCACCTTGCCTCCCAAAGTGTTGGGATTACAGGTGTGAGCCACCATGCCCCGCCTGATGGGTCTCTCTCTTTTTTTTTTTTTTTTTTTTTGAGACAGAGTTTTGTTCTTCTTGCTCAGGCTGGAGTGCAATGGCGTGATCTCGGCTCACTGCATCCTCCGCCTCTTGGGTTCAAGTTATTCTCCTGCCTCAGCCTCCCAAGTAGCTGGGATTACAGGCGCCCACCACCACGCCCAGCTAATTTTTGTATTTTTAGTAGAGACAGGGTTTCACCAGGTTGGCCAGGCTGGTCTCGAATTCCTGACCTCAGGTGATCCACCTGCCTCGGCCTCCCAAAGTGCTGGGATTACAGGTGTGAGCTACTGTGCCTGGCCTGATCTGAAAATTTATGTCTGACTCTTGGGAACTGAATTGAATACTCCTTTGATATTCTTGTTTGCTCTTTGTGAGATTCTTATTCATCTGTTTATTGCAGTTCCTGACCTAGATCATTAATTTTCTTATCTTTTCTTTCCCTCATTTTACCATTTTGTCTTTTTGCTCTGCCTTTGGGGAGATTTTCTGTTTTTTCTTCCAGCCCTTCTGAGTTTTTATTTCTGCGGTTATATTGTTAATTTCTAAGAGTTTCTTGCCTCTGTTCTTTGATTCCTAGTTATTTTAAAGTCTTTGTCTGCTAACTTTAGTTTTAGAATTCTTTGTGGGCCTCCTGTGGTGGTGTTTCTCTTTTGGCTTTTAGGCATTTTTTAATTGAATGCTGGATGTAGGATATTAGAAGGTGTAGAGGTTTTAAGTGATGTTTTTTCTTCCTTCAGAGAGAATGTAAATTTCTTCTGGTAGGCAGAAAAGAATACAGTAGCTCACCTTCACCCTGAAGGTATTGTTTTAAGCTTTGTTGGGCCTAGTTTCTTTCAGTTTGCCTTTATTCTTTTTTTTTTTTTTTTTTTTGGAGACAGTATCTCACTCTGTTGCCCAGGCTGGAGTGCAGTGGTGTGATCATGGCTCACTGCATCCTCTGCCTCTCGGGCTCAAGCGATCCTCCCACCTCAGCCTCCTGTGTAGCTGGGACTACAGGTGTGTGCCACCACATCTGGCTAATTTTTGTATTTTCTTTGTTTTTTTTTTTTTGAGATGGAGTCTCGCCGTCACCCAGGCTGGAGCACAGTGGTGCAGTCTCGGCTCATTGCTCCCTCTGCCTCCTGGGTTCAAGTGATTCTCCTGCTTTAGCCTCCCAAGTAGTTGCGATGACAGGCATGCGCCACTGTGCCTGGCCTAATTTTTGTATCTTTTTTTGGTAGAGACAGGGTTTTGTCATGTTGGCTGGGCTGGTCTCAACCTACTGGGCTCAAGTGATCCACCTCCCTCGGCCTCCCAAAGGGCTGGGATTACAGGCATGAGCCACCACACCTGGCTCAGTTTGCCTTTATTCTTATTCATAGCCCTTTGGCTCTCAACTGATAGCTTCAGATGTTGGTTTGGGCCCCTCCACCTGAGAAACTGAGAGCTCCAGGATCTGCTCCTCAGTAACTTGAGACACTAAAATCCCTGCTTAGTCCTGTGGCCTCCTGGCCGGGCTTTCCATTTGGCTCCTCTGACCTTGGCTGTGCAGCTTGTGTGCCAAGAAACACCGTAAGGGGAAATGCACACAGAAATTTGGGCTCACTACTCTATAGTTCCCTCCTTTCTGGGTCTTGTTCCATTCAGTTCCAGCTGCTTAGGCAGCCCCAAATTCCAACTTGTTTTTACCTAGTCCCCTTAAGCTTAGGCCGGTGTTGATTGGCCTTTATGCCATCTCACCCCTTGCATTAGTAGTTGCCCCAAGGGAGAAGGCAGAGGTGAGTGTTGGGCTGATTCTTCTCTTTTCTCTGGATTTTGGCCCTTTAAGTCCTGGCTACTTTGATGGCTCTTTGATGCCCTCAAATAAATGTTTCTTTTTTATTTGTTTGGGGTTTTTTGTTGTTGTAGATCCATCGTTTGTAGGTATTTGGGGTGCCAGGTCAGTCTGTTTCATTGTGTCTCTGAGGATATTAATAATAGTTTTTCTTGCTTTTCTGAGGATATTAGTAATTTTTTTGTTTTTTGAGGGACAGTTGTTTATTTTGAAGTTTTCCTCTGTCTACATGGGAGAAAGAGGCTTTGCACTTTTCTGTTTGTTTTGGCTTCTCTCCTGGTGGTCTTTGGCTATCTTTCTTTTTATTTTTTTGAGACAGAGTCTTGCTCTGTTGCCCAGGCTGGAGTGCAGTGGCGTGATCTTGGCTCACTGCAAGCTCCCCTCCTGGGTTCACGCCATTCTCCTGCCTCAGCCTCCCGAGTAGCTGGGACTACAGGCACCCACCACCAGGCCTGGCTAATTTTTTGTATTTTTAGTAGAGACGGGGTTTCACCATGTTAGCCAGGATGGTCTCGATCTTCTGACCTCATGATCCGCCCACCTCGGCCGCCCAAAGTGCTGGGATTACAGGCGTGAGCCACCACGCCCAGCCTGCTGTCCTCTGTTATGTAAAAGTTGGGCTGGTCAGATCCCCAGCAAAAAAAGCTTCCAGTTTCATGGCTGGCTGTGGGCATCCTGGGAATTGACTGGGGGGAAGGATTAATGCCTGGAGGCATGGTTGACCTCAGCTTCCTGGAACTCTGTGGCACGGGAGGGACAGTCTCCCAGAACTGGGCAGGAGTCTCCTTGTTTCTTGAATGGACTTTTCAGCCAGTCCTCACTTTCAATCTTGCCTTTACTCCACTTCAGAGGCACTTTGTATCTTTTGAGCATTCTGTGCCACAAACTAAATTGCTTTTTCATCTTTTATCACAGCGGATGTGTAGGATTCCGCTTTCTTGGATCTCTGTACCAGTTATTAGTTAGCCTTTGCTTTCTGACTTACGAAGGATTGTTATCTTCGGTCCTCTCTTTTTTCTTGAGACAGTCTCACTCTATTGCCCAGGCTGGAGTGCAGTGGCATGATCTCAGCTCATTGCAACCTCCACCTCCCAGATTCAAGCGATTCTCCTGTTTCAGCCTCCCAAGTAGCTGGCATTACAGGTGTCTGCCACCACGCCTGGCTAATTTTTGTATTTTTAGAAGAGATGAGGTTTCACCATGTTGGCTAGGCTGGTCTCGAACTCCTGACCTCAGGTGATCTGCCATCCTCGGCCTCCCAGTGCTGGGATTACAGGCGTGAGCCACCACACCTGGCTTCTTGTTCTTAATTTTGTGTATTTGTGTCTTTAATAATCTATTACTGCTGGGTGCGGTGGCTCACGCCTGTAATCCCAGCACTTTGGGAGGCCAGAGCGGGTGGATCACGAGGTCAGGAGATGGAGACCATCCTGACTAACATGGTGAAACCCCGTCTCTACTAAGAATACAAAAAATTAGCTGGGCGTGTTGGCGGGCACCTGTAGTCCCAGCTACTCAGGAGGCTGAGGCAGGAGAATGGCGTGAACCCGGGAGGCGGAGCTTGCAGTGAGCCAAGATCGCACCACTGCACTCCAGCCTGGGCGACAGAGCAAGACTCTGTCTCAAAAAAAAAAAATCCTATTACTGTGTATTTTATTAGTGGAATTTGAGGAAGGAAGAGTAAATTCATGTGACTTATCTGGGCCTCAGTTTCCTCATCCGAAAATGCAGGTGGTAGTATCCGTGATAACAGGGTAGTTGAGTGCGAATTGCTGAGAAAAATGCCTGGCCCACAGTGCTACACAGTTGTTGGCTATTATCATGCTGGATTTAATTCTCCGTATTCAACCAGAACCCCAGTAGTATCTTTCAAGTTCTCCAGTTGACTTGCTCGTTACTCCAGCAGTTGTCCACAAATTTTAAAAGTTTCCCCTTTTAGGGAAAACTTGATGAAGAACTCTTGTTTTTGTGTTTTTTGTTTTTTTTAGCATCTATAAATTGTTGAACATTCAAGGCCACCTCATGGTTTCTCCTCCCTAGTTTCTGTGTCTGTTCTGTTCCCACTGTCCCTCTTGCCTGGTGAGCTAGAGCACTTAAGTTGGCATAAAGTGCTGCTGCAAAAATGTTAGGGGTATAACAATTTGTGAATATGAAGCTCGCATTAATCTTCCAGTGTGTCCATCTAAGTAAATTTTTGTGGTTGCATTTCTGCTTGGGCTGCAAAATAAAGCTGATTTTTATTTCCAGGCCATACCTTTTCTCCCTATCAAGTTTATTATATTTTGTTTTGCATTCTGTGTTTAAGAACAACCAACCATTTGACTCATGTAACTTTTCTTTGCCTCCTCCAGGTTTTGTGGTCTTTGCAACCCTTGTGGTCATTGTGGCCTTGATATTAATCTTCGTGGTGGGTCCTCGCCATGGACAGACAAACATTCTTGTGTACATAACAATCTGCTCTGTAATCGGCGCGTTTTCAGTCTCCTGTGTGAAGGGCCTGGGCATTGCTATCAAGGAGCTGTTTGCAGGGAAGCCTGTGCTGCGGCATCCCCTGGCTTGGATTCTGCTGCTGAGCCTCATCGTCTGTGTGAGCACACAGATTAATTACCTAAATAGGGCCCTGGATATATTCAACACTTCCATTGTGACTCCAATATATTATGTATTCTTTACAACATCAGTTTTAACTTGTTCAGCTATTCTTTTTAAGGAGTGGCAAGATATGCCTGTTGACGATGTCATTGGTACTTTGAGTGGCTTCTTTACAATCATTGTGGGGATATTCTTGTTGCATGCCTTTAAAGACGTCAGCTTTAGTCTAGCAAGTCTGCCTGTGTCTTTTCGAAAAGACGAGAAAGCAATGAATGGCAATCTCTCTAATATGTATGAAGTTCTTAATAATAATGAAGAAAGCTTAACCTGTGGAATCGAACAACACACTGGTGAAAATGTCTCCCGAAGAAATGGAAATCTGACAGCTTTTTAAGGTGTAATTAAAGGTTAATCTGTGATTGTTATGAAGTGAATTTGAATATCATCAGAATGTGTCTGAAAAAACATTGTCCTCAAATAATGTTCTTTAAAGGCAATCTTTTTAAAGATTTCACTAATTTGGACCAAGAAATTACTTTTCTTGTATTTAAACAAACAATGGTAGCTCACTAAAATGACCTCAGCACATGACGATTTCTATTAACATTTTATTGTTGTAGAAGTATTTTACATTTTCATCCCTTCTCCAAAAGCCGAATGCACTAATGACAGTTTTAAGTCTATGAAAATGCTTTATTTTTTCATTGGTGATGAAAGTCTGAAATGTGCATTTGTCATCCCCACTCCATCAATCCCTGACCATGTAAGGCTTTTTTATTTTAAAAAAACAGAGTTATCCCAATACATTATCCTGTGATTTACCTTACCTACAAAAGTGGCTCCTGTTTGTTTGATGATGATTGGTTTTATTTTTGAAATATTTATTAAGGGAAAACTAAGTTACTGAATGAAGGAACCTCTTTCTTACAAAACAAAAAAAAGGGCAGAAATCACCCCAAGGAACGATTTCTCAGGTTGAGATGATCACCGTGAATCCGGCTTCCTCTGAGCATTCGATGGCCTTAGCACCTCATCAAGCCAGCACATCCTGCCTGCTGTTGCAGCCTGGCTGGGTTTATTCTTCAGTTACCCTAATCCCATGATGCCTGGAACCTTGATTACCGTTTTACATCAGCTCTTGTACTTTTCAGTATATTTTCATAATGAGTTATATTGTCATTTAGACTTTGAACAGCTCTGGGAAATAGAAGACTAGGGTTGTTTCTTAAAGTTTAGCTCATGTTATAATAAAAAGTTGAAATGAAGTTCTTATTCTAAAAGTCTGAATGCTTAGAACAAACTTAACATGTTTATAGAATATGGTCTCTTTGTACCAAGTACTTTGCTTAAGAGCTCCTTTGGGCCACTACATATTTTGGTTTCTAGAAAATGTTTGTTTGTTTATGAAGAAGTTGATGGAAAACTGCAAACATATGCAGAAAAGGTAGAATAATAAAAAAGGTCTAATGAACTCCATTCAGCTTTGAACCTATCCACTCATAACCATTGACTGGCCTTTAAAAAAAAGTATTGGCAGAATTAATTTCCACCTAGGTGATGGGAAGAAAGTGTTCGCCTGTTCCAGCCTGTGGCTCCTGCCTGGAGGTTACCCAGTGGTGCGCCAGCGCCAAGCCATCACTCCCCGAGGGCCTCCCCTGCCAATGGTGCTGGTATCCCATGCAGCTCACCACTGGCTGCGTGGAAACTCCCTTTTTTCCAACTGTATTATTGGCCTTCTAAGGAGCTGTTTTAGATGTTTTTTCTAACTGCCTCCTCCCATGCCATTTTAATACTACAGATGTACTACGTATCTGTTTATATACTGTACCTACATCTGTGCTTTGTACATAAAAGAACCAGTTTTCTCCCCCTTGAGGACAGAGACTCATTTGAACATGCATAGGTTAATAAATAATAAATTCTTATTTAACATTTTGTAGCACTTGAGATTGTCTTATACCTAAGGTATTACATATTTGGTATATAATTAAGCCTTATAAAACTTGGTAATTGATTAAGTTTTACCATAATTTTTCATCCTATTCTGTAGTTTCTAAGATAAGCACAGCTACCACCTCTAAATCTGCAGCAGAATGCTGGCCCCAGGGTTATTAATTCACATTACCAAAAGCATTTTTAGGGAACTTTTTATAAAGAAAGAATAATTGTTTGTTAGGCTTCATGTCACTTGAGTGAGTTTGGCAGTGTAACAGGATGGTTCGTACACTTACTACTTTTCTGTGCCGTGCATCATATGCTTCTGGACAGTTTCCAAAGGCCTCCGGAAAAGTAGGCGAGGCCTGCTTTTTATGGCAACTTGGCATCCATAGAAAATTTTAAAATTGGTGAAGGTTGCAATACTCCAAATAATGTAAAATGACTGCCAGGCTACAATATAAAGTGAGTTCAGTTAATCATGCTGGACTTGTGTTTATCTGTAGTATTCATCTACAATAAACAGGCATAGCATCTTTTTCCATTCAGTTAGGATTTTCAGAACCTCATTGCCTTAGTACTTTTTAAAATATGGCTTTAGTTTCTCAAACATGTTCGTGACTCTACTGGTAGTCTAGACCGATTGTTTTTCATTCTGACAGATCATGTGAACCAGCTCCAGCCATGTGAGCCCTGTGGATCGGGGACAGCTGAAGGCTGGACTCGGTGCTCCCGGTCCCTTTGTGCAGCACCCACTGGGCCTGACTGATCTCCTCCCACATTGCTGGCTTCCTCCAGGTCATGGGCACAGGTAACAGAGAGGCACTGAGTAGCCTCTTCATATCCAGATTGGAGCAGCCAACACGGCCGTTTTACACCTCATTTGCCTGCGGAACCCTAAATATAAAGCTAAACCTGTGCTGAGGTGAGCGGTATATGGGATGGTGTCACGGTCCCATCCCACCTCAGCCTTAGAGGTGACCTCCATCCCAGCTGGCCTGGTATGTGAGTTCAGGTTAGAGTTCCTTGCCAAGCCAGGCAGCACAGGGTTAGAGTAAATAAATGAACACAAATAGATCTCATTAGTTTTATTTCTATAACCTTTCGATCTGATGTCACGTTAGATTTTGTCACAACTGGATTTAGTGGAAGCAGGGGAATCAAGTTCACTATTTTCTGAAACACACAAAAAAGGGATGGGAACAATGACTTAGAACTAAGATTGCTCATAAAAGACCATCAGAAAGATCCCTAAACAAAAGCTAAATAGTTACAGTTAATGGTAACTGGCAAGGGATTTAATGCATTTGCTGGTATTAAGTTTCTTATGGAATGAATGAATGAACCCAGCAGCATTTTATGACACAGCTGCCAGAACATCCCATAGAAAAACAATTTTGTAGGAACGTGATGGCAACAATCAGCAGCCAATATTCTCAAGAGTTCCTAATTACCAAAAGCATATACAATTTTAGTCTAGAAAAATAAGTCAATTTTATAAAATTAAGTTTTTAGATCGAAAAGCACCCCCTTTAACAGGTACAGAGATACTGAAAAATAGTCCCTAAAAATCTCACTAAATAGTTTACGGAGAGAAAGGCATGCCATGTTGAGTTACGGAGTGCAGCGCGTGCCCTCAGCTGCTGGCGAGGGACTGGTGGATGGGCGGCTGGAAGCAGCGCACATGCTCCACTGGCGTGCCCTCCCCGTCGCCTGACTTCAGGTACTTATCCAGGATGGTGATGATCTCATCATTGAGAATCTGGAACTTGCGAATTCTCTCCACCATCTTCTTCAAAGGCTACAACCATCAAAGTGAGGATGTTTTACTATTAACACTTCAACATTTATTCTTCATGTTTCAAAATGTCAGGATTCTTATATTTTCTCAGAAAAATAATAGCAAACGGAATTGACACACATACTGTTCTTTTTGGGTTTTTTTTTTGTAAGATAGGGTCTCACTCTGACGCCCAGGCTGGAGTGCAGTGGCATGATCACGGCTCACTGTAGCCTCAAGACATCCTCCCACCTCAGCCTCCTGAGTAGCTGGGACCACAGGCGTGTACCACCACACGCAGCTAATTTTTAAATTTAATTTTGTAAAGACAAGGTCTTATTATGCTGTCCAGGATGGTCTTGAACTCCTGAGCTCAAGCAATCCTCCTCTGCCTCAGCCTCCCAAACTGTTGGGATTACAGGTATGAGCCAGCACTCCCAGCCACATACCATCTCTTTAATGCAACAGTTGGAAGGATGAATATATTTTGAATTTAGAATCCCTCTGTTGGCTTCATGCTGCTGTAGATTCATTCATGCGCACAATTGATAGGCCTATTCCTTCCACATTGGCAATTAAGAACCTACTGTCTGCTCAAAGCTGGGGATCTCCAGATGAAGATGATGTGGTCAGTGGAGAAAGGCCAGTCAACTAACACAAGTTTTAGACTTCCAGTTTGGAAATACTGTGACGGGATACTCTGACAGACCCTCCTGCTACCACAGGAATAAAGAACACGAATTAAGAA
Organism: Homo sapiens; assembly: GCF_000001405.40. Taxonomy (NCBI): domain Eukaryota; kingdom Metazoa; phylum Chordata; class Mammalia; order Primates; family Hominidae; genus Homo; species Homo sapiens. The sequence continues at coordinate 3,764,996 of NW_021160017.1, forward strand.
CATACACGCAAACAAAACGCTTTGAAAAGCTGGTTCTACCTATGCAGGTGGTAAGGGGGAAGCCAGGGCCTCCTCAGGGGCAGATGCCAACAGCGGCGGTGGGGTGAGGAGCAGCCCGGGCGTAAGCAAGCGGGACCACACCGAAGACTCCCCAGTGAAGCCAGGACCTCCAATTCGGCTAAAGCGGCCCTGAGTTGGTAGCACCCCATAGAGATGGGCAGATACAAATGCACATCTTGGGGGAAAGCAATCTAAATTAACTCCAATTAAATAAAGACTCCCAAATAACCCAACACACAAGGAAACAGCAAAGTTTTAAATACCTCCAAGGCCTTCAGATACTAGAAGGAAAACACACAGAATATACAATACATGAATTGGATAAAGAAATAAGAGATGGAAAAAGTTCAGTTAAGACAATAAAACTGTCAGTTACCAAGAAGATTTGAAGAACCTAACTGAACTTTAAAAAGTGAACTAATAATATTTTCAGAGTAAAAGCTCAGCAGATTAGAGCTGAAGTAAACAAGTTAACTAAGACACATGAATACAGTATCTGGACACACCTCTGGGAGCCCCGGAAATGGAGGAGTGGGAGGCAGAAGGGCCCCTGAGAGAGGCCCATGACCTGGAGCCTGTGACTGCATTGCCTCCACTCCACGGGGCCTGGGCAGGTGTGGCTAAGACTGGACTGTAGGACAGGGAGAGTATCTGGGGTTGTCCAGTGGGCTCAATATAGTCACAGTCAGGGAATGTTCTCTGGCCGGAGGCAGGAGAGACATGGCAGAAGACTAGAGGCTGAGACTGCCCAACCCACCATTGCTGGAGGGGGCCACTTGGAAAGCATGAGAAGGAAGGGGGACCCAGTCCTACAGCTGCAAGGAATAATTGAGCCAACTGTGCATAAGCTTGAAGGCCTCCAGGGTGAACCCAGCACCTCAGACACTGGCCCCATGAGACTGAGCAGAGGACCCAGCTGGGCCTGGCTGAACTCAGGCATCTGACTTAGAGAATTGTGAGATAATCAGTGGTATTTAAACTGCCAAGCCTGTGGTGATTTGTTGTCATGGAAGCAATAGAAAACTAATACAACAGGGCTGGGCGCGCCTGTAATCCTAGCACTTTGGGAGGTGGGCGGATCACCTTATGTCAGGAGTTCAAGATCAGCCTGGCCAACATGGTGAAACCTAGTCTCTACTAAAAATACAAAATTACAAAATACAAAAATTAGCCGGGCGTGGTGGCAGGTGCCTATAATCCCAGCTACTCGGGAGGCTGAGGCAGGAGAATCACTTGAACCTGGGCAGCAGAGATTGCAGTGAGCCAAGATCGTGGCATTGCACCCCAGCCTGAGCAACAAGAGCGAAACTGTCTCAAAAAAAAAAAAAAAAGAAAGAAAAAAGAAAACTGATACAACAAAGAGATGTGGAGAATAGAATGAGAAGGTCTAACATATGTTTAACTGAAGTCCTGAATGGCAAGAATAGGGAGAATGGAAAGGAGGCTGAAATATTTCAAAGATAATGGCTGAGTATTTTCCAGAATTCAACTATGAGGGATCCATAAAGCAACAAAGACAAAAGGCCTTTAAAGCAGCCAAGAAAGCACAGACTTCCAGGGGCCCGAAGACTATAGTTGCCAATATTCTGACAATGCAGATCCTGTAAGACTGGAAGTAAATCTAAGTACCTTGAGAAGGAAAACGGAACAATGAGTATTTTCTCTGCCAGACTGCTTTACTGGCCAATTATATTTAGATTCATTTTGGGAACGAAAAGAAAGTTTCTGTTGGTGGCACCTTACGTACTAGGATGAAAAACATTGCCAGAAACAAGAACTTATAACACAAAGAAAGTATGCTTTTGCAAAAGGTCCACAGATGGTGCGAGATTTTCATCCACATACCACATTTTTAATAATCTCATCTTTGCCATCATGTTTCTGGACTTTAAGTAGATGGTAGCAGAAATCCAGCACAGCAAAACGCCGCTGCTGCCCAAGAAGTACGATGATCATACAGCCAGCCCAGTGTAGCCCATCACCAAAGCACTGCCTAGGAACAAGAAGCAGAAACAGAATGGGAGATGAGTGATACGTTATGAAGTCTTTTCTCAGTCTGTCTCCAGATGTCAGTGACCAAGCCATCTGCATTACTGTCTGTGCCTACACAGTCACCTTCCACAGCCAGGAAGAGAATGCCGGGCAGCAGGTGGCTGTTCCCTGGTTTTGATAAATAACTTTTTTGGGCTCTTCTGGTGTGCTGCTTCCTATCCCTTTTTAGATCATATCCCCTCTGTGATGAATGACTCTATGGACCTCCCACCTAGAAAAATGCACGCCCAACGTGCATACAATTGCCGTGGGTTCAGAGACTCCCTGAATACTAGAGTCCTGAGTCAGCTCTTTGGCATCAAGTAAGAATCCCCACTACAGGAGGCTTAAAAGCCGCTCAGTGAGTTTCTGGTCCACTTCCTGAGCATGGCTGGCTGCTTGTTAGCCTAACACGCCTCCCCTCCCCCACAGCTCCTCCCCTCCTCTGGGGCTTTGTCCTGCTCTCAGCACACACTTACTCGACTGTGAACTCGTGTGTCCCCACGGGAATGCAGTAGACAAACTGCATGGCACTCCACAGTCTGTGAAACTCCACACACTCGTCCACATGCATGACCCCATTGCTGGGCAGAGGCCCGCGCCAGATGGGGTCATCCAGAAAGCTCCGGATCCGTGTCAGGATGACCTCAAACATGGACAGGCCGCAGCAGAGGCGCTCCTTTGTCAGCAGGTCCCCCTCTCTTGCGATGGCAATTTGCTGCAGAAAGGACAAGCCGTGGAATGCCGTGGGCCTCCAGGCATCCAGCTACTCCACATCCTCTATGTCTCTTTTCTCTTGAGACAGGGTCTTGCTCTGCTGCCTAGGCTGGAGTGCAGTGGCACAATCACAGCTCGCTGCAGCCTTGACTTCCCAGGCTCAAGCGACCAGGTGCATGCCACCACACCCGGATAATTTTTGTATTTTTTGTAGAGATGGGGTTTCGCCATGTTGCCCAGGCTGGTCTCAAACTCCTGTCTTGGCCTCCCAAAGTGCTGGGATGACAGGAATGAACCCCGGTGCCCGGCCCTGGAAAAATGTTTTGGGTGGAGCGGGTCTACTGGCAGCTAGTGTGGAGGCCAGGGACGCTGCTAACCATCCTACGATGCACAGGGCGCCCCAGCCCCCACCATAGAGTTATCTGGTCCAAAATGGCTGAGAAACCCTGACTTAGCATAAGCAGCTGGATCACTGTAGAACTCTACCCTGACACCTTGCCTCCTGGCCTAATTTCTTCTGTTCTTAAACACCTATGGGAAAGCCTTCTTCATGAAGGGCTGGACAGTGAAAGTGATGTCTTCTGTGTAAGCCTTACGTGCCAGGTGATGTGCTAAGCTCTTTCCAGGTGTTAGCTCATCTGAATCCTCCCACCACCCAGGGAAGCAGTCCTGGTGCACACCCCACTTGCAACACTTGAGGCCTGAGCAGCCACGCAGCCGCTGGACTTCACGATGCCTTCCAGTCTGGCTCCCAACCAGGCCACCTGGCCTGGCATGGATGCCCAGCTTGCAACAGCCACAGCCATCACGGTACACGTTACCTGAGGGGTCCCCAGTCTTTCAATCAGTGGGACAAGATGCAGCGGGGCGTACTTTGATTCTAGTCTTTTCATTTTGGCATCAAGTCTCTCCCCCTCTGCAGTAGAAAAAATATTTTACTATATTCTGCTCCTTTGTATGAAACGGTAATTGCAAAGGTTTACATTTGTTTAAAAAACAAAAGATTTTTAAGTTAACATTATGGATACAGATTCTCTTTGAAAATTATTTTACAGAACTGGCTCATTTAATATTTTAATTCAAACCGGCAGAACCAATTTTCTGCTCAATATTCACTTTTCATTTATTGAATATTCCAAATGTAATCGAAAGCAGAAAATGGCACAATGAGCCTGTACCCATCATCTGCTATAATTATCAACTCATGGCCACTCTGCTTCTTATATACCCAACTCCCCCTGCTCCCATGCTATTGATATTTGGAAGCAATTCTAAGACATCATATCATTGCAGCTCTATTTCTCAATCTTCATTTAACTAGGTTCTGTACACTCCTCATTACCCCTGGGTATGACTGAACAGGCGCCAAACCCACAATCTGCACTGGTCCTTAGCTCTCCGGTTGCATACAGTGGGCACCACCCCCACAGAGGGCAGTCTGGACTCCCTGGTGGGGGTCAGCAGGCTCACCTTTCACATGGACTCGCGGCAAGATGTTCTGGAAAGGAGCCGCGTGCAGCAGGTCACACACTTCTTCTAAAGACTAGAGCAGAGAAAGAGAGGGTCAAGCTAGGAAGGGTATCTCGCCAGAGAGCAATCTGGTGCTGAAAACCAAGAACTTCTTTGCCTTTTAGCATAAAATAAACTCTGTAAGTTTATTTTATCTCTGTCAAGAGATTTCTGGGATGATGGAAATGCTTCCGTCTGTCCTGTCCATTCCGGCAGCCGCCAGCCATGCATGCCTAGTAAGTACTTGGAATGTGGCTTGGCACTTGAGGAACTGAATTTTATTTTTAGTTACATTTAATTAATGTAAATATAGACACAGGTAAGACCCAGTGTTGAATGTGTGCTCTGTTTTCCAGGATTTACCTGTCTAAAAGCTCTCGCCCCATCCTTCCCTGCTAATTTGCCACCAGGCTCTTAAGAACCACAGTTTATGACAAGATCCCACCACACTGACAGAAGGAAGGGGCGTCTCCTGCAAACAACACAGGAGATGGAAGGAGTAGGGGTGGCCTACCCTGGTGTCCACATCCACTCATTCCCTACAGAGCCCAAAACAAAGTTCTAGGCCATCATGCCGAACTGCTCTTGGGTCACAAGCTCCTTTACAGAGGTAATAAAAACCACACAAGGTCCGTTCTCCAGAATAACATATATATATATATATAAAGAAAATGTACCTCCAGGATCATGAGGACAGCAGAACACCCCAAATCCACCAAGAACCCAAAGATGGTCAAAAATTGAGCAACTGCTGTTCATCTTTAGAGGTGAGGGCTCTTAGGCCACCAGGAAGGGCCTCTTCAGACCACAGTGCGCTCACCACCCCCACGGAGCAGGCAGAAGGTGATGGAGCCTTCAGTGCCTCCGACCCCACAGCCATGCTGAAATCTTAAAGTCCCATAGGAGTAAAAGAAATGATTAAACAAAGAAACAGCTATCAGAAAATCAAGAAATACCGACAATGAGATTTTAACTTCTGAGGACCTCCCAGAGATGATGGCAAAACTAAGACCAAGAGGAAGAAAGGCAGACTTTTCCGTACTCATCAACGTCAATCCAGTGCCAGACGCCGGCCAGACACCATCTGCTCCGCTTCTCTTTCCCTGTTTCTAATGCAGCATCACACTCCATCCAGAAGCCAACAGAGGGCCAACTGTTGCCATGACAATGCACAGAAACCGTGCCTTTAAGCTAAGAGATTATCCTAGTAAATTCCATTCTGCCTGCTTCAAACTCTTGTGGTTCTATAATTATTTATGTCCATGAGTCCTGGGATGGACATAAATAATTATAGAACCACAAGAGTTTGTTTATGTGAAGAATGTCAGGCCAGGTGCAGTGGCTCACGCCTGTAATCCCAGCACTTTGGGAGGGCGAGGCGGGAGGTCGGGAGTTCAAGACCAGCCTGACCAACATGGAGAAACCCCATCTCTACTAAAAACACAAAATTAGCCGGGTGTGGTGGCACATGCCTGTAATCCCAGCTACTCGGGAGACTGAGGCAGGAGAATCACTTGAACCCAGGAGGTAGAAGTTGTGGTGAGTCAAGATTGTGCCACTGCACTCCAGCCTGGGCAACAAGCGTGAAACTCCAGTCTAAAAAAAAAAAAGAAATGATGTAATGAAAAGCTTTTGACACTTTATCTTATTTCCAAAAAGGGCAGCTGGACAGAAGAGAAACCAGCCCTAAGGGGTCCCTGACACTATCTCTATCAATTCCACAAGGCTGTCTCCCCATTAAGAAAGCTCGGGTCTCACCTCCCTGACCTGAGGCCAATGACCAGACAGGCATCCTCAGGCTTGGACATACACGGAGGCTATGGTTTGGATGTGGTTTGTCCCTGCCAAAACTCATGGTGAAATTTAATTGCCAATGTAGCAGTGTTGGAAGGTGGTCCGAGAGGTGATGGATTTCTTACAGGGCTGGGTCAGTTCTCCCACAATTGGGTTAGTTTTTGTGGGAATGGATAAGCTCCTGCGAGAGCAGGTTGTTGTAAGCAAGGCTGCCTCTCATGTTTGTTCTCTTGGCAACACCCGCTTCCCCTTCTCTGTTCCCCCAGAGCTGAAGCAGCATGAGACCCTGACAGATGGGCTGCCTGATCTTGGACTTCCCAGCCTCCAGAGTCATGAGCCAAATAAACTCCTTTTCTTTATAAATTACTCAGTCTCAGGCACTGCCACAGCAACACAAAATGGACTAAGATAGCAGATGAGATAGGGCGCGCCTTATGCTGTAAGTTCAGGAAAAGTCACCCATGAAAGGAATATTCCTGTATTAAATATTTAAAATTCATAATGAGAGATTATACTTAAAGAGATGCTTCCTAACATCTGGTTTTTAACAATTCACAATTATTTGGGGAACATGTCCTTAGAGCAGGGGCCACCCTGGACACTGGCTTCTTGCTGGTCTGAGACACTGGTGGGTTCTCCATCTTGTACCCCTCACACTCACAGTGGTGAGGGGAGCATGGGAGGAGATGCTACTTGGGGTCCCCACCGAGCCTGTGGGTGGCCAGGACAATGAAGGCCTGGGGCTGCTGCAGTCCCTCTTTGAAACCACCAGGAGAGGGTCTGCCTAGGCGTGCAGGCATAGAGGGAGCCGAAGATGCAGGTCTGATGGAGGCTGTCAGCTCCCAGGCGTGTCACGCCTGACCTCGGACTCCCCTGACATGTGAGCCAACACATTCTCTTTCACCGCACAGGCTGGTGTGAGGCGGCTGGTCCAGAGGCTCAGTCCCCAGAGGCCTGGCAGTCTGACAGCAATGCCCTGAGCTGTGTACAGACCACCCTCTCCCTGTTCTTCCCAAACACAACTCTGCCTTTGCAAAGCTACCAGAGACCTAAAGACAAGAGACTGCTTTGGGAAACAACATAGGAAAGGCCTCCCCAGGCAGCTCTGGAGACGAAGTGCCGTTCCCATGCACAAGCCAGTACGCTTCGCCAGGGTATGTGGTGAACCAATCCCCAAACAGGGCAGAGCAGAGAGCCCTGGGGAGGGAACATGCTGAAGAAGAAGGAGCAAGGCAGGGAACGCGGCAAGTGGGGACTCGAGAGTCATGTTAGAGCAACGATGAGCAAGACAATGTGCTATGATGTCAGAGACAGATGCCTGGACCAGCGAGATGTGGCAGAAGGCCAGGAGACAGGCCGGTGTGCCCATGAAAAGCTGGCAGATGGCAGGGGACACCACTGGTCAGCAACGGGAGGAGGAGCCCTTCAGCCACTAGAGGAGGGACAACTGGGTCTCCACAGAGAGAAAGAAGCTTCCTCTGCCTCTCACATTATACACAAAGACCAACTCCAGAAGGATTACAAACTTCCATGCAGAAGGCAAAGCTTCAAATCTTTAGATGACAATGTAAAGGAATGTCTTCATGACCCCAAGGCAGGGAAAACATCTTCAAAAAGATACTGAAAGTTCCATGTGCAGATGGTAGATTAAAAAAAAAAAAAAGTGCTAATCATTAAAAAAAAAAAGGCTACATCCAAATTAAGAGCATTTTATCAAAAATCACCACTATCAGAGTGAAAAGGTAAGCCACAAATGGGAGAAGAATTTACGATATGTGCAGCACATAAAGAGTCTACACAGAATGAGCTGTAGAAAAATAGGCAAAAGAGGCCGGGCGCAGTGGCTCACGCCTGTAATCCCAGCACTTTGGGAGACCAAGGCGGGTGGATCACAAAGTCAGGAGTTGGAGACCAGCCTGGCTAACACGGTGAAACCCCGTCTCTACTAAAAATACAAAAAATTAGCTGGGCGTGGTGGTGGGCGCCTGTAGTCCCAGCTACTTCTGAGGCGGAGGCAGGAGAATGGCGTGAACCCGGGAGGCGGAGCTTGCAGTGAGCCAACATCACGCCACTGCACTCCAGCCGGGGTGACAGAGCGAGACTCCGTCTCAAAAAAAAAGAAAAAGAAAAAGAAAATAGGCCGAAGAACTCAATGGGGCACTTCACAGGAAAAGAAACAAGAAGACGCAACGAACGAAGAGATGCCCACCTCGTTAGTCACGATGGAAGGCAGGAGAGGGCTACCTGAGATTCCATTTCCCACTGGCTTTCCCAGCCCAGGAGGTTATAAACTGAGCTGCTGTGATGTACAGGACAGAGGGACAGCCAGACAGCACCACAAAAAGGCGGCCAGTCGAAAACACGAGGCGTCCACTGTGCCACGTCCTAAGAGGGGGTGGGCTCCCGGGGGCTCCCCTTTCATGCTGGCCACTCGTGCTGTCCACCATGGGGCACGTGCAGCCATTCAGATTTAAATCAGTGATAATTCAGTAACATTTAGCACTCAGTTCCTCAGTCACACTGAGCCACACTTCAACTGCTCAGCGGCCTCAGGCATGCAGAGGGCCCTCCTGCGCAGCAATGCCTTATACCTTACAGGCACACCAAATATGTTCATTTAGATGTTGAAAACATCACATAATATAACAGTTTTATGACGTTAACACAGAAAAACATTCTTGAGACAGTGAACTACAGTACATTTTTGTTTTTCAATTGAAGGGAACAAATTCAAACTAAAGTCTCAACAGCCACAAAAAAAAAAAAATGATGCACAGCTGTTGCCACACCCCCACTAAAGAACCCGCCAAAGAAAGCCCTCCCCTGGCCGGTGGGGTGGGGTGGGGTGGGCTGGGGCGGGGAGGGGCGGCGTTGGGGGGCCACTCACCAGGCTCTGCTCGATGAGCAGGCAGAAGAGGATGGCGTTCCCCACCTCCCGCAGGTTCTGGAAGCACACCGTCTTCAGCTCTGCGTACTCCACGATGTCCTTCAGCTGGTGGTGGAAGAACTCCAGGATACCTACGGTGGCGGGAGTGAGGTGGGGTTGGGGGACTGGAGGGGGCCGGGCCCTAGCAGCCTGGGTCCACAGCCAGGAGCACCTGCCGTTCTGACACCGCCATCAAGCCTGGCTATAAGGACAGCCACAACGTCCCATCCCCAGCATCTTCCCTGCAGCGGTGGTTTATTCGCCACCTGGGCACGTTCTCCACACACCATGTGACCCCGGGCCTTGGCTCTGAAGCCTCTTTTCAACTCAACCTCATATCTTTAGGGAAGGCTATGATGATAGGAAACGTCACCACATGACAAGAACAAAGACTGCACCACATCCCCAGTGGGGGCAGACAAGGTATTTGACAAAATGCAATCTCTCTTCGCAGGCATGGAAGGGGCCGCACCTAATCTGAGAAAGGGCATCTAGGAAGCCTGCAGCTAACTAACAGCACGCCCAACGGGAGGCCGCACACCAGGCCAGCTCCAGAGCAAGGCAGGCGTCTCAACGGCATCCCGGACAGCGGAATAAGGCACAAAAAGACGCAAGGTGCAAATATGGGACAGAAGGCCAACGTTTCCCAGCCAATCTACAGCTTCAACTCCAGCCCAGACAGAAACCGGCAGCTGACCGCACAATGAACGTGGCATCAGGAGGGGCCGAAACTACCCTGGGAAGAGCAAAGCGGGAGGCTCAGCAGACCTTAAACCCTTGTCCCAGCAGGTCTTGCCCGAGTGCCCCTTCCCCAAGGACCAGCGGCCCGACACGGCCCCTCTGCTCCTCCCAGCTCTCAGCACCGCTGCAGGGACTCAGCCCCACTTGGCGGGGGTGGGGACGGGGACGCTCATGCACCTGTGTCATTCCCAGCAAGCTTTCCCTGTACCACACTGGGAAATGGCTCCCTCCTCAACATCTGAAATTTCCATCTCTAGTCACGACATAAGCATTGGTTTTAATCATCCCAGCATTCCTCCTCTACTTTCTGACAATAAACTGAAATCAGATTCTCTTGAGCCAGGGCCGTGCTGATGGCTACTTCCCCATGGTGGCTGAGGGGGACACCTTATCGTCTCCTCAAACACCAGCAACAGCCCTGGGGAGTTGCCAAAAAGCAAAAAGTCCTGAGCCACGTGTTCAAGAGCTCAGCCACGCTGACTGACTGCCCATCAGGACAGTGCCTCGTCGGTCACCCACGTGCAGGCTCAAGTCGCTTTACAACACAAGGCTAGTGTTCAACTGTCCAGCTTTCAAGAAAACTCGGCCAGGTAAGAGACTAAAAGCAGTTTTGTTACGTGACAAAGGTCCCTGTCATACAATTTTATGAGACAATGCTTTCTGAGATCACTAAAGCTATTTATTTGCATTGCCCCAAACCAACCCACAGCAAGTCACGTGGGCCTGTCCCTAAGAGCACACCTGCCTGAGGGCCCTGCAGCTGGACCTGCAGATGGATGGGACGGCCTGGGGGCAGGGGCAGGCCTTGCACCATCTCGGTGGGCCTGTCTCTGAGCCTCAAGTCCCTATAGGCCCAGCAGGGCAGCAGGACCCAGCAGTCGGCTCTCTCGCCTCATTGGGTGGCAATTCTTTCGTAGGGGTGCCCGAGAGCGTGGTGTTCAGGGGTCTCTTGTCTCAACTCTTGCAGGCTGACCTCTGCTTCCTCGCCTGCAGACAGTGACCCCAACACACCTCTTCCTGGTTGTAAGGTGCATTTGTCTGTCTACTGCCTCTTCCCACATGGCAAATCTAATCCTTCTCAAGAATTTCTGACTTGAATTCCTTTCTGACCTCTCCACAGACAGCACTGTGAGCTCCACACGCCCGCACTCACCAGGAGAGCCGTACTCGTGCCGGGGCAGGCGGCAGATCTTGGGCATCACCTCCATCAGCGTCTTCACGTACTGCAGGATTGTGCCTTGCAGCTGCCGGGGAGATGAGACGGGCTGCGTCAGCCACCCCACTCCGCTCTGCTAACGCCTGTGGCCGGCGCATACCCTGAAACAAGTCTGTTAGCAAAGAGCTCGGTAACCAGCAAGGCTGCAGGATCGTCTGGCTGGGGAATAAAATCCACCCCGGGAGAGAGAGCAACCATCACCAGGTGGCTTCCCATGACTGAATTCATGTTCTGAAACTGGACTCCTCTTTCAAGATGAAAGTGGTCCCGGGGTGCCACAATGAGGGGAGAGCTTTGTCGCCAGGCGTCTCCTATGGGGATGCACCCCAGCATCGTGAGCACTGCCAGCTCCAGGGTCCCCCAGGACGCTGTCTGTGCTCCTGGGTGCGGCCCCAGGCTCAGCTGTGGTGAGGTCAGCAATCCTAACACCCTCCAAGCTGCCACATGTTTTGGGACAGAGTCCCCAGCGGGTCCTGGAAGGACCTGTTTGGGTCACGGGCTGATGGCTGTGCCAAGTGACCAAACTCTTACATGGTCTCAAGTCACAGAAGATTAAAATAATAAAAAGGATGAAAAATTATAAAAAGTAAGTTATGTCTAGAAAACTAAATCCAGGCTGGCCAAGGTGGCTCACGCCTGTAACCCCAGCACTTTGGGAGGCCAAGATGGGCAGATCTCTGGAGCCCAGGAGTTCAAGGACAGCCTGAGCAACATAGCAAGACCCCCTCTCTACACATACAAATAAAAACTCTGCGTATCAGTTAAAATAACCTGGACCCATTCTCTTGAGTTTGAAAAGATGAGGGAAGTATCACACTATATATGGTCAGAAATGTTTGAAGCCTAATTGAACGAATCCAGCTGTTGGAGAATCACAGTCCAGGCAGAGAAGACCCTCTGGCATGGGTGCCCCAGGGAATCCAGGCTGTGTGAAAGAAGCATGTCCAGGGAACACTCACCAGGCTCTTGACGACCTTCAGCAGCTCCTCCATGACCACGGCGATACCCTGGTAGCCGAGAAGCCGGCAGATGACTTGAAAGTGTGGAGGTCCCACGAAGTTCCGGTAGCTGCCGTAAATGCTGGAGTAGGCCAAGTTCAAAGCCTGGAAAACAGGGCACAGAGCTCTCAGCATGGTCCCCGCACACATGTGCAGATGAAGAACTGTGTGAGAAGATCACTCAACACACACAGGCTCAGGTGAGCGGGTCTGAGTCTACTGACTTGTAAAATCTACTGCCCTTAACTGGTACAGTTACAAAACCTACTTAGCCTGCCACCAAAAAGAAACCTGCTAAAATAGAAAAGAAAAGAAAACCATTTGGTGTTTCAACATTTGTTGAATAGCCGACTCGCTAGAAGCCATTTTGAAGTCTAGAATGAGAAATGAATACGACCCAGAGTTTCCCCCTGCCTCCCAGTCTCCCAGCAGGATGCCCAAGGTCGGACCCTGAAGGGGCCGGGGGAGCTGCCTTCTCAGGATGCACAGGGCACCCCCGGAGCCGGGAGAGAGACCCCTGTGGAGTGGGAAGGCGAGGAAGGTAGTTAGGGTGTGTATTAGTCCGTTTTCACACTGCTATAGAGAAATACCCAAGACTGCATAATTTATTTTAAAAAAAAGCAGGTTTAGGCCAGGCGCGGCGACTCACACCTGTAATCCCAGCACTTTGGGAGGCCGAGGTGGGCAGATCACAAGGTCAGGAGATCGAGACCATCCTGGCTAACACGGTGAAACCCCGTCTCTACTAAATATACAAAAAATTAGCCGGGCGTGGTGGCAGGTGCCTGTAGTCCCAGCTACTCGGGAGGCTGAGGCAGGAGAATGGCATGAACCTGGGATGTGGAGCTTGCAGTGAGCCGAGATCGCGCCACTGCACTCCAGCCCGGGTGACAGAACGAGACTTCATCTCAAAAAAAAAAAAAAAAAAAAAAGGCAGGTTTAACTGACTCACAGTTCCACATGGCTGGGGAGGCCTCAGAAAACTTACAGTTATGCAGAAGGTAAAGGGGAAGCAAGCACCTTCTTCACAAGAAGGCAGGAAAGATAAGAGAGAACAAAAGGCGAAGCCCCTTATAAAACCATCAGATCTCGTGAGAACTCACTCACTATCACAAGAACAGCATGTGGAAAACTGCCCCCATGAACCAGTCAACTCCCACCAGCTCCCACCCTTGACATGTGGGCATAATGGGGATTACAAGTGGAGATGAGATTTGGGTGGGGACACAGCCAAACCTTATCATTCTGCCCCTGGCCCCTCCCAAATCTCAATCATGCTTTCCCAACAGTGCCCCAAAGTCTTAACTCATTCCAGCATTAATTCAAAAGTCCAAGTCCAAAGTCTCATCTGAGACAAGTCAAGTCCCTTCCACCTATGAGCCTATATAATAAAAAACAAGTTAGTTACTTCCTAGATACAATAGGGGTACAGGCATTGGATAAATGCTCCCATTGCAAATGGGAGAGACTGGCCAAAACAAAGGGGCTCCAGGCCCCATGGAAGCCCAAAGTCCAGTGGGGCAGTCATTAAATCTTAAAGCTTTAAAATAATCTCCTTTGACTCCGTGTCTCTCATCCAGGTCACACTGATGCAAGATGTGGGCTCCCACAGTCTTGGGCAGCTCCACCCTGTGGCTTTGCAGGGTACAGTCCCCCTCCTGGCTGTTTTCACAGGCTGGCATTGAGTGTCTGTGGCTTTTCCAGGTACACAGTACAAGCTGACTGGGGTCTGGAGGAGGGTGGCCCTCTTTTTACAGCTCCACTAGGCAGTATTCCAGTGGGAACTCTGTGTGTGGGGCTCCAACCCCCCATTTCCCTTCCTCACTGCCCTAGCAGAGGTTCTCCATGATGGCTCCACCCCCACAGCAAACCTCTGCATGGACATTCAGGCATTTCCACATATCCTTTGAAATCTAGGTGGTCCAACACCACGCGGAAGCCACCAAGGCTTGGGGCTTGCACCCTCTGAAGCAACAGCCTGAGCTGTATGTTGGCCCCTTTTAGCGACCAGGAAGCAGGGATGCAGGGCACCAAGTCCTGAAGCTGCACGGGGATGGGGGGTGGGGTGGGGAGGTGGGGGAGGGGGAACCATAGGGGCAGGGCAGGCCCTGGGCCCAGCCAAGAAAACCATTTTTCCCTCCTAGGCCTCTGGGTTTATGATGGGAGGGGCTGCCTCGTACATGTCCTGGAGACATTTTCCCCATTGTCTTGGTGATTGACATTCAAAATTTCTGCAGCCAGCTTGAATTCCTCTCCAGAAAATGGGTTTTTCTTTTCCATCACATCCTCAGGCTGCAAATTTTCCAAACTTTTATACTCTGCTTCCCTTTTAAACAAACTCCAATTTCAGATCTCTCTCAAGTTCAATGTACCACGTATCTCTAGGGCGGGGCAAAATGCTGCTAGTCTCTTGGCTAAAGTGTAGTAAAAGTGACCTTTGCTCCAGTTCCCAACAAGCTCCTCAATTCCATCTGAGACCACCTTAGTTAGCCTGCACTTTATTGTCCATAGCACCATCAGCATTTTGGTCAAAACCATTCAACAGGCAGGGCGTGGTGGCTCACGCCTGTAATCCTAGCACGTTGGGAGGCCGAGGTGGGTGGATCACAAGGTCAGGAGTTTGAGAACAGCCTGGCCAACACGGTGAAACTCTGTCTCTACTAAAAATCCAAAAAAATTAACTGGGCATGGTGGTGGGCACCTGTAATCCCAGCTACTTGGGAGGCTGAGGCAGGAGAATTATTTGAACCTGGGAGGCGGAGGTTGCAGTGAGCTGAGATTGCGCCATTGCACTCCAGCCTGGGCAACAGGGTGAGACTCCATTTCAAAAAACAAACAAACAAACAAAAAACATTCAACAAGTCTCTAGAGAGTTCCAAACTTTCCCACATCTTCCCGCCTTCTTTGGAGCCCTCCGAACTGTTCCAACCTCTGCCTGTTACCCAGTTCCAAAGTCACTTCCACATTTTCAGGTATCTTTATAGCAGTACTCCACTCTACCAGTACCAATTTACTGTATTAGTCCATTTTCACCCTGCTAAAAATAAATACCTGAGACTGGATAATTTATAAAGGAAAGAGGTTTAACTGACTCATAGTTCCACATGGCTGGGGAGGCCTCAGAAAACTTCAATCATGGCGGAAGGTGAAGGGGGAGCAGGCACCTTCTTCACAAGGTGGCAGGAATGAGAAGAGAGAGCAAGGGGGAAGAACCCCTTATAAAACCATCAGATCTCGTGAGAACTCACTATCATGAGAACATCGTCACCCCCATGATCCAATCACCTCCCACCAGGTCCCTCCCTTGACTCATGGGGGTTATGAGGATTACAATTTCAGATGAGATTTGGGTGTGGACATAGAGCCAAAACATATCAAGGTGGTTCCTGCAGAAGGACACCCCTCAGCTTGTCTAAGGACACGGGTGCAGATAGCAGGAGACCCCTACTGTGAGTATTCAGTGCTATAAATTTCCCTCTCAGCACTTTAGCTGTATACCAAATAAATCAAATAAATAAATCGAATAATCAAATCAAATAAATCACTTCTTTAGCTGTATATATCAAATCTTGATATATTTACATTTCATTCAATTCAATGTATTTTTAAATTTCTCTTGAGATTTCCTCTTCAACCCAAGGATTATTTAAAAGTGTGCTAATTTCCGAGCATATAGAGATTTTCTGGTTATCTTTTTATTATTGGTTTCTGGTTTGAGTTCATTGTGGTTGGAGAACACTCTCCATAGGATTTCAGTTCTTTAAATTTTGTTGAGGTGAGTTTTATGGCCCAGCGTATGGTCTATCTTGGTGAATGTTTCATGGGAATCTGAAAAACGTATATATTCTGCTGTTGTGGGGTAGAGGAACCTACACACGTCAGTTAGATCCTGTTGGTCGATGGTGGTGTTCAGTTCTTTTCTACTGTTGCTGATTTTGTGTCTACTTGTTCTGTCAATTACTAAAATGAGAGTTGAAGTCCCCAACTGTAACTGTGGGATTGTTCACTTCTCCTTTACTTCTATTAGTCTTTCCTTCAAGTACAGAAGCCTTGTTGTTTGACGCATAAACATCTAGCATTGCTATGTTTTCTTCGTGGTGGTTTGACTTATTATTATGTAATCTCCCTGGCAATATTCTTTGCTCTGAAGTTGATTTTATCTTATATTAATACAGCCACTCCTGCTTTCTTCAGCCTCCGCCTGATCTGTCTGCTTCCATTACTGATCCTGCTTTGTACCCCTTTGCTGGAATAAACTGCAGCTGTAAGACTCTGAGTTATGTGAGTCCTTCTAGTGAATTATCAGATGTGTAGAGGGTCATGAGACCCCCCAAAACAAAGAGCCAAAACTGATTACAGTGACGAGATTAGACAACACTGAAGGACAGAAACCCCACCCAGTGTCTGTCCCAGGCCCAAGCCCTGCGGCCCGCTGCAACCTTGAAGAAACCATCTACACATCTTCGCCCACACACCCTCCTCCCAGCCTCTCCTCAGAGCAGCACCCTGGGCTTTATGTGCTGGGATTCTGTGTAATATTTTTGGTTGATAACAGGTTCAATGTTTGAAAAGAAGAACACGAAAGTCATCAGTGAAATCTAATGACCTCATGTTACAAGTGAGAGAATTCATTCTCAGACCCGCCCTGACTGGCTCAGGATGACAGCTGTCAGAGGAGGCATCACTCAATGAACACATGGTCCCAGGCCTCTGGCCCCCTGCCCAGTGTCCGGTTTCCCAGTAGACTAAGCTCACCCCAAAGATGACACATCCGAGAGACAACACAGCTAGGGTAACAAACAGCAGATGTGACTTAACTACTCAGGGGAGTGGGAGGAGGCACTACTTCTGGGGAAGGGCACCGTCACAAACACTGTGCTGTAAAAGACTTAAGCTCAGAAGAGGAAGCACTCTGGATGTCCAGTCACACAGCTCAGTTCAAGACAGACTCTGCTGCCCGTGCCTGATACAGTCTCCAGCCTTGTTCGACAAGCAGAGAAGGTGGGTCACAGCACACAGAGCCGGCTCTGGACTCGCCAGTCGTGCAACTTGGGTGCTCTAACTTTCACGACACTCTGAGCCTTCATCTGTGAAATGGGGACAATCTTACTTATGAGATAAAGAATACTAGTTAATGTGCTCAAAAGGGTGTCTTACTGAGAAGCAGGCATGCTGTAAGTGGTGACATGACCAAGAACGAAAAAGATAACATTGCATAAATGGGTCCCTCATCTAAGTTTATTTTATTCCTGCAAGATACCAGCCCTAGTTCACTATTCATAAAAAAAGCACTAATCTGTTTTTTGAGTGGATTCCTGTGTATTCCATAATCACACAGATATACACTGTGACTCATACTGCAGCAGAAGCAAGTGCACGTGGCATATGTGAGTGCTTGTGAGTACAAGGGCTGTCTGCTGTGAGCACATGACTCAGCTCAGACATCATCTCTTTTAGTATCCAGCCTCTTCTTGAGTGGGTGGTGGTCAACATCAGTGTCACTTGTATATGTCTAAATAATCTAATAGAAAATTACTGGTTTAGGACTAGGCACGGTGGCTCACGGCTACATCCCAGCACTTTGGGAGGCCCAGGCAGGAGATCTGATTGAGCTCAGGAGTTCGCGACCAGCCTGTGCAACATGGTGAAATCCCATCTCTACAAAAAACACAAAAATTAGCCAGATGTGGTGGTGCATGCCTGTAGTCCCAGCCACTTGGGAGGCTGAGGCAGGAGGATTGCTTGAGCCTGGGAGGCGGAGGTTTCAGTGAACTGTGATTGCGCCACTGCAATCCAGCAATGGGTGACAAAGCAAAAACCCTGTCTCAAAAAAAAAAAAAATTACTGGTTTATGGCCAGGCACAGTGGCTCACGCCTTTATCCCAGCACTTTGGGAGGCTGAAGCAGGTGGATCATTTGAGGTCAGGAGTTCGAGACCAGCCTGGCTAACATGGTGAAACCCTGTCTCGACTAAAAATACAAAAATTGGCCAGGCGTGGTGGCACACTCCTGTAATCCCAGCTACTCGGGAGGCTGAGGCACACGAATCACTGGAATCACAATAATCACTGGAGGTTGCAGTGAGGCAAGATCACACCACTGTACTCCAGCCTAGGGGACAGACTCTGTCTCAAAAAAAAAAAACACAAAAAAAAAACAAAAAACAAAAAGAAAAACCATGTACTAGCTTAGGTTTTAACAAAAACGACACAAACAGTTTCTGAAACGGAGGCAGAAATCTCTTACAGTGAGGTTCAAGTTCAGTTGCAAATAGTTGAATTTAAAAAAAAATCAAATTCACATCATCAAATCTTTCTTTCTCTCCAAAAGAGCATCAGCTTTGCAAATGCCTCCAAGTGCCCATTCCCTGGAGCCATCCCTGAGGTGGTGCCCATGCACACAGGGCAGCAGGGTGCTCTGGCAGTGTAGGGGCTGACTCAAGGCAAATGTGCACCCCGCACCACCACCCTGGAACAGCGCGCTCATGTTGGCATCTTAATGGAAGCAACAGTGCCTCCCTGCACTCCTGGGAGAAAATCCTGGAGAATAAAAACGTGTGTCAAGAGCCTTTAACACCACAAAGGGCACACAGACACACTGGGCAGCAAAGATGTCACCACAGTGCTATCCTGGGATCTCAAAAACCAACCCCACGAGGCCCCTTCCAGGACTCGATCCATCAGAACCGCAGGTGCACGGCCCCACGCAGTCGGGTCGCCTGCCTACCCCCCGCCTGCCTCCCTCGCTTCCACAGCCATCCTCTCCAGATGGGGGTGACAGAGGAGCCTCTCTGCCCAGTGCCCTCTGCGCACAAATGCCTCTCTATCAGGGAGTGACAAAAACCTACTTTATTGTTATGCCTAAAACAGGGATTAAAAATTTCAAAGTCAAGAGAAGCCCAGAGCAAATCTTTTAGTTCACAGAGACCCAAGAAATTATTCTCACTCGCCAAACTTTCTAGTCCTATCTTCTAAAATAACATTTCCTTCAGTTCTAAAGGTAAAACACTACATTTTACTTTCAGAAGCAGAAGCCTCAGAACACTTACTCTAATCCTTTAAAGAAACATCCTTTTGAGTATAACTAATTATTGCATAAAAGTCAGCTTCAACTGGGCACCACCATTGGCTCATGCCTGTAATTCCAACACTTCGGGAGGCCAAGGTGGGCGGATCATTTGAGGTCAGGAGTTCAAAACCAACCTGGCCAACATGGTGAAACCCCATCTCTACTAAAAAAAAAAAAAATACAAAAAATTGTCCGGGCATGGTGGCAGGCGCCTTTAATCCCAGCTATTTGGGAGGCTGAGGCAGGAGAATTGTTTGAACCCAGGAGGTGGAGGTTGCAGTAAGCCGAGATTGTGCCCTGCACTCCATCCTAGGTGATAGAGGAGACTCCATCTCAAAAAAAAAAAAAAAAAGAAAAGTCAACTTCAATCCTTGCTAGAAAGAACATGGGAGTATCACATGGAGCAGAATGGAGGTGAATTCTTAACCACTCACAGGGCTTCGGGAAGTGAGGGGGAGCCCCGTAACAGCTGTGGCGCACCCCTGCCCAGGCGTGCACCCCACCCTGCCCCACAGAGGAGAGGCCCGGTCACTGCATTCTTGGCGCCTGGGTACCTGTCTGGATGCCCTCCTGGGGCACCAACACAGCCACATGAAGCCCAGAATCACACGAACTGTGTGTCCACTCACAGTTCCACAGCCATTAGGAGTTGCTAAGAACAGAGACAGGGTGGAGGGGCACAGCGGAGGCCGCACCTGCCAACAGCCTCGAGAACACGAACAGAGACAGGGTGGAGGGGCACAGCGGAGGCCGCACCTGCCAACAGCCTCGAGAACACGAACAGAGACAGGGTGGAGGGGCACAGCGGAGGCCGCACCTGCCAACAGCCTCGAGAACACGAACAGAGACAGGGTGGAGGGGCACAGCGGAGGCCGCACCTGCCAACAGCCTCGAGAACGCGGAGTGTGGAATGATGGAATGAGCCTGTCCCATGTTCTCCAGGCATTGGCGACCCTGGCCCTCATGTGTCAGCGAGGCTCCCAGCCCTGACATTTTTCTCCCCAAGGCAGGCAATGCCACCTCCCACCCCCACCTTTAACCTTGTCTTTGTGAAAGGCAAGAACCCACTTCCTTCAAACATCTGCACCCTAGAGAGGATCTGAATTGTATTTTTTTCAATTGCCATCATAACATTGCTAAAAAAAAATAACCCCTAAAACACTAAAGATGGCCAGGCGCAGTGGCTCACACCTGTAATCCGAGCACTTTGGGAGGCCGATGCGGGCAGATCACCTGAGGTCAGGAGTTGGAGACCAGCCTGGCCAACATGGTGAAACCCCGTCTCTACCAAAAATACAAAAATTAGCCAGGCATGGTGTTGCACACCTGTAATCCCAGCTACTCGGGAGGTTGAGGCAGGAGGATCACTTGAACCCAGGAGGCGGAGGCTGCAGTGAGCCGAGATCATGCCACTGCCCTCCAGCCTGGGCGACAAAGTGAGACTCCATCTCAAAAAAATAAAAAATAAAAAGAACATATTTTCAAGGACATAATGTTTACACAGTCACCCTTGGTCCACGTGGGCCCCGTTTCCCGAAGAGGAATCTCACATCCCCTTCATCACTGCACACAGTTCAGACGACCTGTCTCTCCTGCTCAGAGATGCTCTGAGTGCCGTAAAAAGGCCGCCCCCGGCCCACACTCGCTCTTTTCAGGGGCGGGAGAGACGGGCAGCGTATGCCGAGGCTTGGGCCCTCCAAAAACCAATGCCCTGATTTGGGTGTTTGCCGTTTCCCAGGTGCAAACACTTGCGCTCCTGCCAGGTCCAAGGCACTGCCCTGTAAGGAGAAGGAAGACGCCCAAAGGACTGGAGTGAGAAGATCTCGCTCTGAAGAACAGAGGGTTAGAAAGGAATGAGTGGAAAACATTGTTTCCGCCACTCAGAGCCAGCTGGTGCGTTAGAAAGCGTCCAGGTGCAGGCAGCGTGTGAGCGGCAGGGCCTGGGCCCTCTCCATCCCAGCTCCAGGCATTGGGCAGATGGGGCAGACAATGTCCTGTGATTGTCCCCGCTTCCTACAAGCGAGGACACTTAAATACTGATGAGTGCTGGCAGCCTGCCCCCACCGCAGAGCCCGGGGACACCGCAGCTCGCAGAGGGAAGACGCTTTCGCTCTTCACAGGCGAGCCAGATCCTCTGGCCTCATCCTGGGGGCCTGCTGGCTCTTGCCGCCATCATTGTTCCTTCCCCAGCTCCGCTGAGGCTGGGGATCTGCTTGTATTTGCTCTGCTCTATTTTTGTGGGGTATCTGCTCATTTCATCTCTCTTCGTTGCTACAATGTTTATATTTTCCTTACTAAATCACACGGGTGCTTGAAACGTGAAGAAACTAGCCCTTAATAATACTCAGACTTGTGACAAGCCAAGCCACCCCCAGCGTGGACATCATCCTATCTCACACATGGTAGACCCAGGTGCTCCGGGTTTCCACCCTCCAGGCACAGGCGGACATCCTTGTTTCTGGATGTCAGACCTTCCCTGGGCTCACCTTTCCAGCTCCGCTCCTCCGGTCAGGCCTTACAGCCACCCTGGGCCTCCTTATCTCAGGAATGCACCTGAGCCTCTTCCACTTGTCTTCTCAGCTTGATGTTTTTAAACCTGTAATCTTCCAACAATCTCACTTGTGTTTGTGCTGGGAATGAGACCAGGCCCAGCCTGACACCTATCACAAGGCCAGAGCTGTCCCAACACTACGTACGCGCTAGTTCTAGATAAGCACTGTTTTGGGTTGGTTGGCTAGTTTTTGTTTTAAATTACTGCTACTTTTCAGGAAGATGTTAACAGAATGGAAAAAAAAAATAACATTTTATACACAGCGTGATACATTTAGGTCACTGCAACCAAACCAATTAAACTACACTTCAAAACATGCTTCATTATGAGCTTCAAGCTCGTAACACGAACACATTGGAGCCTACCTTGGATCCATGCAGATACTGAGGCTGTGCATTAGGCTGCTTATCTCTTTGAAATTCCTGAGAAAATGGTAACACTGTCCGAACAAACCTAAACAAGAAAGATTTAAAAAAGAAAAAGAAACCAAATTTAACAATAGTTCTTTAAAATTCAGAAGTCCTCCATAATCCATCTACTAAATCTTCCTCCCAGTCAACTGATACAATCATCAAATAGGAAAATTCTAGTGAATCGAAAACCATAGAACGAATGAGATCTCAATACTCAAATATAATAAATGCACCCAAAGCTCAGGGGCCACAGCAGGAACACCCGGGGCCTGGTCTGCTGTACCAGAGCCGCCTCGAGCCCAACGCAATCCTCAGGTAGCTCGTGGGCTCTGCTGCGCTTCCAGACACGGCGAGGACGGTGGGGCAGCTGCCTGTGACGAGAACGGCGACGCCCCGGTGGTTCAGATCACAAGTTACACACCAGCAGGGAAGGACAGGGACACTTAGGTATTTGTAACCCACTCAATTAGTCAAGAGATTGTGTCTTGATAATGGATTAGGGGACACTTAAAATCGAATGTGTCCATTTTCATGCAGAAACATCAAACTCAGCTAAGCCTTTCAAATTGGAAGGGTTCGTTTAAACACATAAAACTTTTGCAAAGAAGTATAAGAAAGACAATTTTGTGGATTTGCTAATTATGTAATTCCAAGCACTTGATTAACTCATATTCCACTTCAGGAAATGGAAACAGATGTAATTGTGAAAATACTGCTGTCCCACACAATGTGTGCATCTGAGAGGACGTGCTGCACAGAGGAGCAGCCACTAGGCCCCCTGACCACCTACCGCAGTACTTCTGGGTATGCCTTTCCAAACGGATCCTAAATCCCTGTGCTGTCAGTATGCCAATATCCCTGGGTGCCACAGTCCTCAGTGCTTGGCATGCATGTCTGTCTGCATGTCTCTGTGCACCTGCATCTGCGTGAGTCCATGTATGGAGATGTGTTATCTGCAGATGTGTCTGCAACAGGATGTGTGCATGTCTGTGTGTCCCTGCGCCTGTGTTCTTAACACCCGTTCCAGGAAGTACATTCCATCAGGAGGCGCTACGGTCAGGGTGATGCTCAGAAAAGGGAACCCCATTTCCCAGAGATTCCTGGGCACTGCTCACACCCTTGACAGCAGCACACCTGCAAAGCCACGGCACACTCATCAACCTCTGTCCACCTCCGATGGTGACACACCTGCAAAGCTACGGCACACACGTCAGCCTCCGTCCACCTACAATGGTGACGGCGGGGTGCGGGAGAAGACAACAAATGGAAAATCAGAGTAAAAATCCATGCAGGGAGCCAAGCGCCAGGATATGATGCCACTTATATTACAGCAGACTTTTCTTTTTTTTTTTTTTTTTTTTTTTTTCTGAGATGGAGTTTTGCTCTTGATGCCCAGGCTGGAGTGCTGTGGTGTGATCTTGGCTCACCACAACCTCCGCCTTCCGGATTCAAACGATTCTCCTGCCTCAGCCTCCCGAGTAGCTGGGATTACAGGCATGTGCCACCAACGCTTGGCTAATTTTGTATTTTTAGTAGAGACAGGGTTTCTCCATTTTGGTCAGGCTGGTCTTGAACTCCTGACTTCAAGTGATCCGCCCACCTTGGCCTCCCGAAGTGCTGGGATTACAGGCATGAGCCACCACGCCCGGCCTAGAGGAGGCTTTACTACTATGTCTGCTTAGAACACAATGTTTTCCCTGCTTAGAATGTTTAAAATGATGGTTAAATTTAGAAAGCAGGCCTTAATTTATTTTGTCTATGATATAACTCAGATACAGAACTGTTGAAGTAATGCAATTACTCTTTATAATATTATTTAAAATTTTAATCAAAATACATATATATGATACATAACATAATACATGTATTTATTCTATATAATTATATATATACATTTATAGTCTATATGTATATATTATATATTTTATATATATATATATTTTTTTTTTTTTTGTCACCCACACTGGAGTGCAGTGGTGTGATCTTGACTAACTGCAGCCTCAACCTCCTGGACTCAAGTCATCCTCCCACCTCAGCCTCATGAGTATCTGGGACTACAGGTCACCATGCCTGGCTAATTTTTTTTTTTTTTTTTAGACAGAGTCTTGCTCTGTCGCCCAGGCTGGAGTGCAGTGGCGTGATCTTGGCTCACTGTAAGCTCCGCCTCCCAGGTTCAGGCCATTCTCCTGCCTCAGCCTCCCAAGTAGCTGGGACTACAGGCGCCCGCCACCAAGCCCAGCTAACTTTTTGTATTTTTAGTAGAGATGGGGTTTCACTGTGTTAGCCAGGATGGTCTCGATCTCCTGACCTCGTGATCTGTCTGCCTCGGCCTCCCAAAGTGTTGGGATTACAGGCGTAAGCCATTGTGCTTGGCCTTAATTTTTGTATTTTTTGTAGAGACAGGGTCTTGCCACGTTGGCCAGGCTGGTCTCGAACTCCTGGGCTCAAACAATCTGCCTGCCTTGGCCTCCCAAAGTGCCGGTATTACAGGTGTGAGCCACTACGCTCGGCCTCTATATTTCTAAATAATACATTTCTACAACTTCTTCTTGATTTATCAAGTTTAGATACTGATTGACTCCTGGGTAGGATTTGGTGGCCTCTGGCCCAGTTCTAGGAGGCAGTCTCTACACCCTCATTTCTGAGTGACAGGAATGACTGGTATCACGGGGCCACACCTGACTTTATGCTAGCAAGATGACTCAACATGGGGCTGGCCACACCAGAAAGACAGCATGGGGTTAGAGGCCTGGGGCTGTGTGCCTGGTGAACTCAGCTGACTTCCTGGGAGGTGAAGGGCTGGAGGCTGAGCTCAGCTACGTGGCCAGTGATTCAGTCAACTGTGCCCATGCAACGAAGCCCCAATAAAAACTGAACACCACAGCCCAAGTGAGCGCCCCTGGCTGGCAGTACCCTGAGGAGCGTCCCACCTCAGAGCTCGGAGGGTGATGCGTCCCTGAGGACAGGGAAAGCTTTGCACATGGAAACCTCCCAGACTTTGCCCTGCACATCCTTCCAACAAGCATCCTTTCCTCCAATTGACTATAATCGTATTAGGGCACGCCCAGTGAGTACTGCGAATGTGTCACCTGAAGAGCTGGGGAGGGTGGATCCTGAACTGTAACCTGCTGGTTAGAAGTGAGGGTGGCCCCAGGGACCCCAAATGTGTGGCTGGTGTCTGCAGCAAAGGCAGTCTTGTGGAGGACTGTGCCCTCAGATTCTGCAGTTTGACAATGTCACTGCAATCCCCTAAGAGGAAAACTAAGTTTCAGCACCAATATCCTAAGCCCCCACTGCACGTTGCCTCGGGTACACTGAGGTTCAGCTCCAGCCTTATTTTGACCTGGTCAGTGCTAGGCCCAACAGTGGCTCTTTTCCTTTGTGTCGATCCTGCTTGAGGTTTATTGAGCTTCTTGTATCTGTGGGTTTATCGTTTTCATCAAATCTGGGAAATTCAAGGGCATTAATTTTGAAATCTTTTCTGCCCCCCGACAACCTCTTACTAGGATTCCAATCACAGGCATATTAGAATCGCTGATGTTTGTCTCAGTTTGCTGAGGCCCTTCTCGTTTTTTTCATCATTTTTTTCTTTTGGTGCTTCAGTTCAGCTAGTTTCCACTGTTATAATCTCAAACTCACTCAACTCCCGCAAAGTCTACTCTGATATTTGGCCCAACAAGTAATTTTTCATTCTAGATACTGCATTTCAGCTTTAATTCACTGGATTATTTATATAACACCCATTTATCTCTGCATTGTTTTCCCTGAATCCTTGAGCACATGCATAGTCGCTGCCTTAACATCCTTGTCTGCGAATTCCATCATCTCTGTCATTTCTGCGTCTGTTTTGTACAGAGTGATTTTTCTCTGGGCTATGGGTCACATTTTCCTGGTTCTTGGCATATCTAGTAATTCTTGATTGGGCACTGGGCATTTCAGTGCCATGTTGCATGTCTTGACTTTGTTACTGTCTTTTAAAGAGTGTTGGCCGGGCGAGGTGGCTCACGGCTGTAATCCCAGCACTTTGGGAGGCCGAGGCAGGTGGATCACCTGAACCTGAGGTCAGGAGTTTGAGACCAGCCTGGCCAACATGGTGAAACCCCATGTCTACTAAAAATACAAAAGTTAGCCAGGCGTGGTGGCACATGCCTGTAATCTCAGGTACTCGGGAGGCTGAGGCAGGAGAATCACTTGAACCCAGGAGGCAGAAGTTGCAGTGAGCCGAGATCACACTGTTACACTCTAGCCTGGGCAACAAGAGCAAAACTCTGTCCCCCCAAAAAAAGGAAAACTAGTATAACAAAGGGACGTGGAGAATAAAATGAGAAGGTCTAACTAACATATATCTAACTGAAATCCAGAATGGCAAGAATAGGGAGAAAAAAAAAAGAGAGAGTGTTGAATGTCTTGGGGGGCAGGCAGTTGACTTACTTGTCAATCTGCTGGATCTTGTCATGATGAATTTTTGGCACTTGTAGGGATGGGCATAATTCAGTACCTCTGGCACCTCTAGTGAACATCTGGGTGTTCAACAGGGTTGTTTTTTTTTTTTGTTTGTGTTGTTTTTTAAAGATAGTCTCTGTCACCCAGGCTGGAGTGCAGTCGCGCATTCTTGGCTCACTGCAGCCTTGACGTCCCGGGTTCAAGTGATCCTCCCGCCTCAGCCTCCTGAGTAGCTGGGACTACAGTCGCCTGCCACCACGCCTGGCTAATTTTTGTATTTTTAGTAGAGGTGGAGTTTCACCATGTTGGCCAGGCTGGTCTCGAACTCCTGACCTCAAGTGATTTGCCTGTCTTGGCCTCCCAAAGTGCTGGGATTACAGGCGTGAGCCACTGTGCCCAGCCTCAACAGAGTTCCATTCTTCTTGCTAGTAGGAACTCAGAAGCCTCCTGGCCTTGTGTGAACGCTGAGAATCATTCAGCTAGCAGCTCCCTGGCACACGCACAGTTTAGTATTCAAGCAAAGGCTATGGGATGCCCATGTGGTTTCAGGAGCTGTTTCTGTTAAGGTCCCTGCTCTCTCATATGCCACCCTGCAAATTCCAGCTGCCTCAGCTTCCCCAAGTTCCAGTTTGTCCCCTCTACCAATCAGGAACTTCCAAGCTGTACTTGGACTGTTCCTCTCTGAACTTGGTCCAGAAAGTGCTTTCAGATGGAAGTCAGGGAGATCACAGGGCTCACCTCACTTGCTTCCGTCCCCTCAGCAAAAGGTCCGAGTCTGAAAACAGCTGATCCATACGTCCTGTCCAGTTTTTCACTTAAGGAGTAAGAATAAATCTAAACCCTGTTACTCTATCATTCCAAATAATTTAATTTAATTTTATTTATTTATTTATTTTGAGACAGAGTCTCACTCTGTCACCCAGGGGAGTGCAGTGGCACAATCTCAGCTCACTGCAACTTCCATGTCCTGGGTTCAAGCAATTCTCCTGCCTGGGCCTCCTGAGTAGCTGGGACTACAGATGTGTGCCACCATGCTCGGCTAATGAATTTTAAACATAATATTTTACTATATATTCTCAATCTAAAGATAAAAATTTGATAACAAATATTGAACTAGAGTTGGCAGGTTTGTGTTTTACGGTGGTAAAAATGAGCAATTCTTTCTTATTTTGAGACAAGGTCTTGCTTTGTCACTCAGGCGGGCGTGCAGCGGCATGATCACAGCTCACTACAGCCTAGACCTCCCCAGGCTCAAGTGATCCTCCCATGTCAGCCTTCCAAGTAGCTGAGACTACAGGGGTGTGCTACCATACCCAGCTAATTTTAAAAACCTTTTTGTAGACCAGGCACGGTGGCTCATGCCTGTAATCCCAGCACTTTGGGAGGCTGAGGTGGGCGGATTATGAGGTCAGGAGATCAAGACCATCCTGGCTAAAATGGTGAAACCCCGTCTCTACTAAAAATACAAAAAATTAGCCGGGCGTGGTGGCGGGCGACTATAGTCCAGCTAATCGGGAGGCTAAGGCAGGGGAATTGCTTGAATCCGGGAGGCAGAGGTTGCAGTGAGCCGAGACTGTGCCACTGCACTCCAGCCTGGGTGACAGCATGAGACTCTGTCTAAAAAAAAAAAAAAATTTGTAGAGACGAGGTCTCCTTATGTTGCCTAGGCTGGTCTTGAACTCCTGGACTCAAGAGATCTTCCTGCCTTGGCCTCTCAAAGTGCTAGGATTACAGGTGTGAGCCACTGCACCCAGCCAGGATTAGCAATTCTGAAACTACTTTCTGTGTTTTTTTGGAAATGAGCAAATGAGTAATATACTAAGAATAATGAAGCAAGGATCCTCAGTGTTTAATGAAGTCAGAAAAAGGGAAAGAGAGAAGACTAGAATGAACTCTGCAGTGCTGAAATGGAATTGGAAATATCAGTATAAACTTATAGTTTTAATACGTAGGTAACTATATAGAAATAAACATGCACATTGATATGGTTTGGCTGTGTCCCCACCCAAATCTCATCTTGAATTATAACTCCCATAATTCCCACGTCTCATGAGTGGGACTCGTTAGGAGGTAACTGAATAATGGGGGCAGGTCTTTCCCATGCTTTTTTCATGATTGTGAGTGAGTCTCATGACATCTCATGGTTTTAAAAGGTGAGTTTCCCTGCACAAGCTCTCTCTCTTGTCTGCTGCCATGTGAGACATCCCTCTCACCTTCCGCCATGATTGTGAGGCCTCGCCAGCTATGTAGAACCATAAGTCCATTAAACCTCTTTCTTTTGTAAATCGCCCAGCCTCAGGTATGTCTTTATCGGCAGTGTGAAAATGGACTAATACACATGCACATGTGGGCTATGGGTTGTACTGTCTCTGAAAACAGTATGTTCGTCCAGGTGCAGTGGCTCATGCGTGTAATCCCAGCACTTTGGAAGGCTGAGGCAGGTGGATCACCTGAGGTTGGGAATTCAAGACCAGCCTGGCTAACATGGTGAAACCCCATTTCTACTAAAAATACAAAAATTAGCCGGGCATGGTGGCAGGCACCTGTAATCCCAGCTGCTCAGGAGGCTGTGGCAGGAGAATCGCTTGAACCTACTGGAGGTTGCAGTGAGCCGAGACTGTACAACTGCACTCCAGCCTG
The DNA here is from genome assembly GCF_000001405.40 of Homo sapiens. Classification (NCBI taxonomy): domain Eukaryota; kingdom Metazoa; phylum Chordata; class Mammalia; order Primates; family Hominidae; genus Homo; species Homo sapiens. Next base: position 3,794,103 of record NW_021160017.1, read on the forward strand.
GGTGGCAGAACGAGACTCCGTCGAAAAAGATATGTTCAATCCTCACTCCTAGTACCTCAGAATGTGAAGTCTGCTGGAAAGAGGGTCACCACATATGTGTCTGGCTAAGACAAGGTCATACTGGAGTAGCAGGGTAGGTCCTTGACCCAATATGACTGAAGTCCTTGCGAGAAGAGAAGAGACAGAGACACACAGGGACAGTGGCAAGTGAAGACAGAGAGGAGACTGGAGTGATGCCACTGCAAGCCAAGAACACCCAGAACTGAGGTCACCGCCAGAAGTAACAGCTCTACCCAGTGTCTCAGAGGGGGCGTGGTCCTGCTGACACCTTGATTCCAGACTTCTGGACTCCAGAACCGTAAGAGAATAAATTTCTGTTCTTTTTTTTTTTTTTTTGAGACGGAGTCTCACTCTGTCGCCCAGGGTGGAGTGCAGTGGTGCAATCTCGGCTCACTGCAACCTCCGCTGCCCAGGTTCACGCCATTCTCCTGCCTCAGCCTCCCAAGTAGCTGGGACTGCAGGCGCCCGCCACCACACCCAGCTAATTTTTTTGTATTGTTTTAGTAGAGACAGGGTTTCACCGTGTTAGCCAGAATGGTCTTGGTCTCCTACCTCAGGATCTGCCCGCCTCGGCCTCCCAAAGTGCTGGGATTACAGGCATGAGCCACCGTGCCTGGCCGAGCCTGGAACATCTTGTGGTGCAGAAAGAATGGTGGAGACGGCCCCAGGAGACTGAAACCAAGCAGGCAGCTCCCACTGCCCAAACCGCACCCACCCCAGCCTCAAAACTCCACAGTAATGGATAATCCTTAGTACAAATAAGCAAATAATAAACAAATGCTACCACGTACAGCAGAATTCCAGCTAGTACCTGCAGAGGGAATGAAGGAGTTAAAACTCAGCTGGGCACGGTGGCTCATACCTGTAATCCCAGCACTTTGGGTAGCCGAGGCGGGCAGATCATCTCAGGTCAGGAGTTTGAGATCAGCCTGGCCAACATAGTGAAACCCTGTCTCTATTAAAATTATAAAAATTAGCCAGGCATGGTGGCATGCATCTGTAATCCCAGCTACTCCGGAGGCTGAGGCAGGAGAATCGCTTGAACTCGGAAGGCAGAGGCTGCAATGAGCCAAGATCACACCACTGCACTCCAGCCTGGGCGACAGAGTAAGACTCTGTCACAAAAAAACAAAAAAAAAAACCAAAAAAACAACTCACTGCTGTTCAACCACCAGTGTGAAGATAACTGATTCGGACAGGAATCGTCGACAGATGTTAAAACGACCGGGACAAATTTTAATGAGGGAGTTTGTTTACATCATCTCAAATTATCTCCCTACAAATTATAACTTTTAAACAGAAAAATGGTAACATGACAGTGGGAACACCTGGCAGCCACCACCTCACCCCAGGGACAGAAGTCACCATGAGCAGTGAGGGGACAGTTGCCGCCTTGGGCTCCAGGTGCGCCCCGCTGAGGACATGCCCTCCATCTATGGTCTTCTGGAAAAGAGGCCTAACTCTGGACTGAGGAAATACCCTTCTGCCAGCTTCTTTCCAGAGCTGCAGCACTGTCACACATTTACCCACTGTACAGGTTAAATTCCAGTCGCAGACCACCTAGGTCACCTCCTAGAGCCACCACACGTAGCTCACTAACCGGAAGTTAGGCCAGGCAACGAGCAAAGTCCTGGCTTGTGCCATGTAGCTCTCAGAAAACCCTCAGGCATGGGACTAAAATTCCGGGTAGCATGGTTTATGTGTCTTCTCAGGATTCGACACAGAACTTGGATACGCAAAATCCTGTTTTAAAATGCCTTTCCCAGATAACACAGCTCTCCTGATTCCACCAAAGACTTGTGGGAAATGCAGACACAATGGCTTCTACCAACACTCACGGAAGGTGGAGGTTGCTGAGTAAACCGGAGCTCTTCTGCAGAAAATGCCCCTGTGACAAGCTAGGGTTCCCTGTGAATCACACCTCAAGTGTCCCCAGGCACCAGGAGGCTGAGGTCACTGCATGCTGACCTCTGCCCAACAGGTATGGCCCGAGGCAGCAGCTCTGGGTCTCTTGGGGAAACAGGTGACACACATGAAATTGGTTTCCAGATAAGATGGAACCAGCCTGCCTGTGTCCAGGGTCCCCCATGGGTCCAGGGGCCTCCTGCCGCCCACAGTGGGGACGAGTGCAGCTACCTGGGTGTAAGGCCCCAGCAGATGGCTCTGAGCAGCTGCACGCATGGCACTGGGTGCACCGTGCTGATCTGCACACAGAAGTGTTCACGTCACCTCCCGGGGTGTGGGGAAGGAGGCGCCTGGCCATCCCCTCCCTGCTGCTGTGATGTATGTGGTACTGCAGGGGTGCAGACTCGGGATGGAGAGGCCGAGGGCCGCCCATGCCTCACTTTAGAGGACAAATACATTTTTACCAAGGAAACCTCTGGGGAGTTCACTCATTTTTCTCTCCTATGTATCCATGATTTCCCATTTTTCTATAATTTTGATATATTACTTGTGTAAGAATATTTTTGCAATTAATTCCAAGCATAAACATCTTTTAAAAATGTTGAGGAAAATGGACACCATAAAGGTGAGTTAAACAGAGACGGTGGTCTTCACGGTTTGGTTTCCATGGACCACTCCCAGCCCGGCCTGGAGGCCCCCTGAGCTGAAAAGCCAAGCCAGGTGCTGCCACCTGCAGCCCAGAGCGCGTGGCCATGACCCTGGAGAATGGCCTCAGTGATGCAACACACCTGGGCCTGACCCACGGCCCCACAGGAAACGCGGTCCTGCACCCAGGGGTCCTGAACAGACGACAGCCACAGCAGGCAGGACTGGGCCGTGGGGCAGCTGCGCCTCTCCTCTCTCTCATCAGAGCTCTCATCAGAGCTCGGCATCCTGTCTCCTGAGACACAAAACTCTGGGCCTACAAGTCAGTAAGAATTCAGCCACATGTGGGTGGGACGCGGAGATCAGAGGCAAGCACAAGCACTTATTTGTAAAAGTGCTCCTAACACTCGCATGTGCACACACCTGCACTCCTCTACGTCTGGATGGAGCTCAGTGGCCAGGCACCTTGCTTGGTGCCCTGGTCATCCCCCCAGGCTGTTGGTGTCTATGGGAAGGCATGGTGGGTGACACAGACATGTCCCTGGCACGCGCTGACACTGTATAGATGCTGAGCTCAGTGAGCAGAGAAGGAACCTCAGCCAGAATGACCGCCACCCGGTGTGCGGAGCCCAGGGCAGGGCTGTCCCAGGACTCAGGCCCTACTATGAGGCTGAACCTCAGGATACTGCCAGCATCCACCGTTTCACCACCAATCACATCACTTCATGCTGTCCATGGGCGGTGGGTGGGAGGGTGGCTTCCCCACACTCCAACATGCCAGCACGGAAGCATAAGAAGCAGACTCACCCCACTTCCACCATCAGGCAAACAGAAAGCCAGGAGATGCAGCCCCACGCAAGCCCCACGTGCAAAGCCATGACCATCCACCCGAGGGTAGACCCGAGGCTGCCTGTGCACACAGAAGACACTGGAGGGCCTGCGTGCTCTTCATGTGAGAAGTGATGGGGAGCAGCAAGAGCAGGGAGACAGGGACCTGGTGACATGGAGGAAGCCTGCGGGGACATGGGTCCCTGAGCGCCTCGCCTGTGGGCGCCTGTGTGGCGGGCACGCTCACCGGTTGGTAGAGCCGTTGTAGCAGTAGTTGGGCAGGAAGTCATAGTTGAGCTCCCAGAAGACGTGCAGGGTGATCCTCCCGTAGGGCGCTGACACGTTGTGGTTGGCCTCCCGGAACATGGCGTCGAAGCCGTCCAGCGTCAGGTACCGGCTCAGCAGCTTGTGGGTCATGCGGTTGATTTCCAACAGGCCATCCAGCTCCTGTGGCACCAAAGACAGGGGTGGGTGACAGAGCTGGTCCAGGCAGGAAGGAGGCGCCGAGTGGCCTCTGATCCCACCCAGGCCTCACAGTCCCTGGCAGGGCTGCACGGAGGCAGCCCCCAGTGAGCGTAGGCTCTGACAGGTGACATGAGCTTGCTTCTTGGCACCCCACCTTTTCAGTCACCCCCACTGGGTCATGCCTTTCTCCACTGCAGTCACCTCCACGCCACCTACCCCTGCTGTCCAGCACCCTGTGGGGCAGCGTGCACGTGTGGCCTGCTACTGCCACCCTTCCCCCCATGTGCCCGCTGAGCCCCGGCCCTGCCCTGCAGTATAACCCAGCCGGCGGCTGCATCTCCCTGGGCGTTGGAGCTGAGCCAGCTTTCTCTGAGGTGCCTGAAGTCACTGAAAGGCACGTGTGGGTGGCAGGGCAGGTGCACTTGTTCCCACAGGCCTTGCAAGCCCTCACGTGCGCTGCTCTGGAGCTCGCCCAGACTGCACTGTCCGATGTGGCAGCCGGGGCCGGAGCACAGCTGCTCCCACCTGAGGCGCACTACATGAGACACCAGATTTCAAAGACTGAGTAGGACAAAACAGACTAGCAAATACCCACCTCAACTATACTGCCATAGGAATGACGTGGTGAATTAATATGGGGATACAGTGGATTAAGTATGTTATTAAAAATAACTTCACCTATTTCCTTTTCTAATGAGACTATGGGAAAATTTCAAATTACGGATCTGACTTGTGTTCTATTTCTATTGGACAGTAATGGCCTCGATCAAAGCCTCGACCAATGATTTTACTCAAAATCATATTTGGCCAATGCCAACAGAAACACCATGGCCTGTACCAAATTACGCTCGTAGAAAAAGGCCGCCACAGGTCTGTCTCTGAGTCCCAGCCTGTTTGACTCTAAGGATGAATACGCAGGGCCCTGCTCTGAAGTGCAGAGATGCTCACAGGGACACGCACTGTGCCCGCCAGCGCCCAGTGTCTGCCAGCCAAGGTCTGTTCTCCAGGAATGAACAATCCTCTGGAGCCCTGGCACGTTCATTACCATCTGTCTGCAGCCTTTATTCTCAGAAGATCAATTTGGCTGGCGACCAAACCCTCGATTCACAGTTCCTTTCCTTGGCTCTGGTGAAGGTCTGAGGACAATCGGATTTTCCTTCCCTGCCTGCCCTGCTCAGACAGCCCAAGGACTTCTTCCTCACCTGGAAAGTCCAAAACTTTCACTGCAATACCGTTTTTAAATGTATTATTATTATTTTTTCTAATCTTCAACCAGCCTAAGATGCAGTATTTCTAAGTGTTGACAAGCTTGGGTCGGTTTTACCAAATACATGATGTATGCTTTTAATAGACACTTTCAAGGTGTCTTCTATTTTATCAATATTTTCTTGAAATAGATGCCAGTCGGCCCTGTTCCGTTGCTTTGGTTTTCTTCTTGAGGAAGCTGTATGACAGGTACACTGAATCTTCATCATCCATGATGATGATCATCTGAGAACATCATTTCCTCTCAAATCCTTTTTCTGCTTTAATTTCTTTTTGATTTTAAAAATGTTCCCTCTTTTCATTCCTTTTTTTTTTTTTTTTGAGACAGAGCCTCAAAAACTCCTGGGTTCAAGCGATTCCCCTGCCTCAGCATCCCGAGTAGCTGGGACTACAAGCGTGTGCCACCATGCCTGGTTAATTTATTGTATTTTTTAGTAGAGACGGGGTTTACCATGGTGGCCAGGATGGTCTCGATCTCCTGACCTCGTGATCCATCCACCTTGGCCTCCCAAAGTGCTGGAATTATAGGAGCGAGCCACCGAGTGCCCAGCCTTCATTCTTATTTCTGTTTTTTTTTTTTGTTTTTGTTTTGAGACGGAGTCTCGCTCTGTCACCCAGGCTGTAGTACAGTGGAACGATCTCGGCTCACTGCAACCTCTGTCTCCCGGGTTCCTGCCATTCTCCTGCCTCAGCCTCCCGAGTAAGCTGGGACTACAGGTGCCCGCCACCACACCCGGCTAATTTTTTTATTTTTAGTAGAGACGGGGTTTCACCATGTTAGCCAGGATGGTCTTGATCTCCTGACCTCGTGATCTGCCTGCCTCAGTCTCCCAAAGTGCTGGGATTACAGGCATGAGCCACTGTGCCCGGCCTTTTCTCTTTTCAAAACTTTCTTTTTTCCAATAACCTTATTTCTCGATTTATTTTTTTTTTTCTTTGAGACAGAGTCTTGCTCTGTTGCCTAGGCTGGAGTGCAATGGCACAATCTTGGCTCACTGCAACCTCTGCCTCCTGGGTTCAAGCAATTCTCCTGCCCCAGCCTCCCAAGTAGCTGAGATTACAGGCATGTGCCACCACGCCCGGCTAATTTTTTGTATTTTTAGTAGAGATGGGGTTTCACCACGTTGGCCAGCCTGGTCTTGAACTCCTGACCTCAGGCAATCCACCCACCTCAGCCTCCAAAAGTGCTGGGATTACAGGTGTGAGCCACCGTGCCCAGCCTATTTCTGGATTTCTAAAAATTCTCATTTATATTATTCTTTCACAGCAACTACTATTTTTTTTTTTTTTTTTTTTTGAGACGGAGTCTCGCTCTGTTGCCCAGGCTGGAGTGCAGTGGCACAATCTCGGCTCACTGCAACCTCCGCCTCCCGGGTTCACGCCATTCTCCTGCCTCAGCCTCCCGAGTAGCTGGGACTACAGGCGTCCGCCATCAAGCCTGGCTAATTTTTTGTATTTTTAGTAGAGACGGGGTTTCACCATGTTAGCCAGGATGGTCTCGATCTCCTGACCTCGTGATCCGCCCGCCTCGTCCTCCCAAAGTGCTGGGATTACAGCCGTGAGCCACAGCGCCCGGCCAGCAACTACTACTTTCTTCATTTCTTTTAGCTCACTGTGAAAGATGAAGTTACAGTTTCCATGGTCCGTGGGTGTCTGTCTGACGTGCCTCCACTGTCTGTAGGGACACTGCTGTGCACTTACATTTTCTTTTTTAGTGTAATACGTCTAAAGGGGATTGGACCATGATCTTTACCTGTGGCTCGACTGGAAGTGAAATAAGCTCTCTCATGCTTCTGAAGAGGAAGAGGGGTTGGTCAGGGCCAAGAGTAACAGCACTGGCTCAAGCCTTCTGAGACCTGCCTCTCATGCTCCCCTCCGCCATGATCCTAACCCTTACCAGCTTACATGCTATTCCCAGCAGCTTCTCCCATGGGCAGCTTTGTCTTAGGAGGGAATTTTGATTTATTCAATTCCAGAGTCAGCAGGGCCTACTGTTTTAGCTCCCTGAAACCTGTTCTCATCTCAGGCATCTTTGAAGAGCTCTGTCTAAATTATTCTCTGTAGGCCACCAGCCTGGGCTCCTTGACTCCAATGGTGCCAGGTGGCGGGCAGCACAACTCATGTGTACTCAAATTGCCTGACTCACAGGGGTGCCAGTGTTGGCACAGGGGTGCCAGTGTTGACTAAAGGACTGTGGTATCCCCAGGGCTGGCACAAACGATCAGCCTTCGGAAGTCTCATTGATCTGGATAAAGGGAAAAGCCCTAGGCCGACCAATACCAGCCTAACTTGAATCATCATAAAAGAAATTCATGGCTCCTCAACCAGTTCTCAGACCCAGAGCTCCTTGGGTGAAGGGGAGAAAGGACCTTGTGCATTTTGTTAGAAAATGCACACTGTAAACCCTCCCCCTGCTCCCACAGTGGAAACGGACGTGTGGCCATGCACCAATGACCACGCACTGGAGAAGGGAAGACAACCAGCCCATTCAGGCTTACTGCCTACTAGCTCTGATTAAATCCTAAAGATTCAAAGGCACCACAGGCCGAGGGTCAGAGTTGGGGGGTGGTCAGGTGATCCACAGAGCTGTGGCTCGGGGGCCCGCTCACTGAGGTCCCCCTGTGGCTCCGGCCCTGGCTCCAGCATGTGTAGTTGGGTGGCACACCTGAGTGGCAGGCCGGTGTCTTCTGTCCACGTTAAGGTCTTTCTGCCATCTTCTCTTCAGACAAGTCTTCCGTGACACCACTCTCTCTCTCATCTCCTCTAACACTCCAGTTACACGTTAGGTCTTTCCACTGTTTTCTACATTTCTTATGCTCTTTTCTGTCTCATTCATTTTTATTTTTCTCTGTTCCCCAGTTCAGATGTTTTTAACCTCTGTTTTCCTGTTCCTTAGTCTTGCCTCTTCCTGAGTTCAAATTGTGATAGAGACACAGGGAAAAATGGCAGACAGAAGGTAGGACTAACTGGCAGCTCCCATTCAGACGAACACAGCAGTGTGTGAAGACTCACACTGCAAATTTTTGCTTCAAGAAATACCACAGGAACATACCAGGAAAGCAGAGAATCCAAAGACCCTCTGAAGGAAGCGGCTTGCCTCTGTAGGCTCCGTGAGACAGCCGAAAAATGGGTGAGCGCCCAAAGAGGGTGAGCGGGGAACGTTGGCCCCGAACACACATCCTCACTGGGAAACCTGAAGGTCCAGATAACAGGAGAAGGATTAGACCTTACCTGGAGATGAGATGAATTCAGACAGCCAAGCGAAATGTAGGGGTAGAAGAATTAGCAGGAAGACCCTTGTGGGCTCTCTTGGTCCCTAAAGAAGATATTTCTTTTTTTTTTTTTTTTTTTTTTTTTTGAGACAGAGTCTTGCTCTGTCGCCCAGGCTGGAGTGCAGTGGCGCGATCTGGGCTCACTGCAACCCTGCCTCCTGGATTCAAGCGATTCTCCTGCCTCAGCTTCCGGAGTAGCTCGGACTACAGGTGCCTGCCACCACGCCCGCCTAATTTTTGTAGTTTTAGTGGAGATGGGGTTTCACTATGTTGGCCAGGCTGGTCTCAAACTCCTGACCTCAAATGATCCACCCCCGCAGGCCTCCCAAAGTGCTGGGATTACAGGCATGAGCCACCGTGCCAGCCAAAGTTAAACATTTTTATCTCCTAGCTCGTTCATACTAAAATGTAAACACGTTATTAAGTGGTGTGCTACCTTTTGCCATAGTTGGCGATTTTTTCAAGATTGGGGTTATGTGTTCGTTAAGTCAATTTAGCATTGTGAACACTGAGTGTAGGCTTGGTATAGGCCACGCCCGATGAGTGCATCTCTTTTATTATCTATACAAGAGGCTTGGTATAGGCCACGCCCAGTGAGTGCATCTCTTTTATTATCTATACAAGAGGCTTGGTATAGGCCACGCCCGATGAGTGCATCTCTTTTATCATCTATACAAGAACTGGACCTACCCTTAGTCCAATTTATCAATAGGGCAAAGTGAAATTACTTACAACTATGGAGGTCAAATCTTCACTTTCAAATCGTCCAATCGCCAGTTCTAGGGACTTATACATGGCTGCTGAGACGCGCTGGGTGATCAGACGATTGAGGTCTATTGATCTGCCGAGGAGCTGGCGTACACAGGGAAGGATAGCAGGTAAAGAGTGGACATGAGCAGCTCGAAAACAACAAACGCCTCACCAGAGACCCTGGAGAAGCTGGTCTGTCAATAACGACACCCTTTACAACCACGTTCAAGACCCATCTCCCCACATACATGGCAGCCTGTGTGTGTCTTTTTACAGGTGTTATGACGATAAATAAAATTACTCCATCTCTATTTTGGCCTACTAGGAACATATCCATACTTCAGTGTTGTTCTAACTACATAAAAATATGACAAAGCCCTGGTGAAAATGTCCAAAAATGTGCATGATGATTATTCGTGTATAGAGAGTAGAATTAAATGCAATTTTTTTTAGTTTTCCATATTTTACTAACTAGTTTTGTGTGTGTAATGTAACATCACTTTTAATTTTTAATTTTTTTTCTTTTTTTAATGTTTGTGGGTACGCAGTAAGTGTACATATTTATGGGGTACATGAGATGTTTTGATACAGGCATGCAATGTGAATCTTTTTTTAAAAGCTGTAAAAAATAAGCACTGTATATCTTTAAATTCTTCCTGCTGGCCAGGAGAAAGTTTTCTCTGATACTCTGAGCTGATGAGTGCTTCTCACCTTCATTCTTTTTAAGCTCTGGCTTTTGGGCTCCTGGAGAAGGGCTGACCCCTCCGGGCTATGCCTGCCCCCAGGAGCCGCAGGGCAGATACAGAATGCTGCAGGTGTTCCCTGTGTGTGAGGTGACCCAATAGAAACGGTGTGTCTTTCAATGCCTAACAATTTATAAGGACGTTCACACTCACAAGGCATGCTGATATCTAAACCTAGCTAGCTATAAGAAATCTCAATCATTTTTTTTTTCTTTTTTTTGAGACGGAGTCTTGCTCACTCTGTCACCCAGGCTGGAGTGCAGTGGTGCAATCTCAGCTCACTGCAAGCTCCACTTCCCAGGTTCAGGCGATTCTCTTGCCTCAGCATCCCAGAGCGGCTGGGACTACAGGAACCCACCAGCACGCCCAGCTAATTTTTGTATTTTTAGTAGAGATGGGGTTTTGCTATGTTGGCCAGGCTGGTCTTGAACTCCTAACCTCAGGTGATCCGCCCACCTTGGCCTCCCAGTGTTGGGATTACAGGCGTGAGCCACCGCACCCAGCCGAAAACCCAGTCTTTTCAATGCACACTCTACGTCCCCACCACAGCCCGGCCCCAGCTCACCTGCACATGCCTCTGCTTCAGCAGCGTCTCGTAGCGGTTAGACGGCGGGAGGTGGATCGTGGCTCCCTGATTCTTGCATTCTGATCGTAACCGTTTATCAAGAAGCAAACTAGTGTAGAAGGAAGACAGAAAGTTTTTCATACGCCATAAATTGTAATGGGAATGTCAGATCAAATTATGAAACGTTTTATATCAAAATCACACACCAGATACTCACCTTCCTGCCATAACCTTATAATAGGCAAATATCTGGTCTGCTAGCTTGTAAACAAATTGGTCAAAACATAGATTCACCTGAAGAAAAAGAAAGCACACGTTACAGTTTGATTCCCTAAAGCAAGATCAAATAACAAGGTGAAAAACAAAATGTTTCGTTAAGGCAACTAACTGAGGCTCTTTTATTTTTTTGAGACGGAGTCTTGCTCTGTTGCCCAGGCTGGAGCGCAGTAGTGCGATCTTGGCTCACTGCAATCTCTGCCTCAAGTGATTCTCCTGCCTCAGCCTCCTGAGTAGCTGGGATTATAGGTGCCCACCACCATTAGCCTGGTGTGGTGGCACGTGCCCGTGGTCCTGGCTACTCGGGAGGCTAAGCACAAGAATCGCTTGAACTCACACCACTGCACTCCAGCCTCGGCGACAGAGCAAGACTCCACCTCAAAAAAGAAAAATAAACTAAAGAAACTAGCAATAATCTTACTGTCCAACAACAGCACACTAAATAAACTGCAGTGTGGCCAGGAGTGACTACCACACTGCCACAGAAAACTAGGCTAGAACCAATCTTACTGAGGGAGAAAAATATTCCTATTCTCTGAAATGCAAGAGAGAATCAACAAGGCTCTCTTCACTGTGTGCAGTGACCACGAGGAGCTACTGTGCATTGCAGGTGGGTTCCTGCCCTGGGGCAGCTCCGCCTACTGTGCACTCCAGGAGGCACCACCGAGGGCCTTCCCTGGAGCAAAGCGGCTGTTCTGGGTGTGAGATTGGTCAGGAGGTACCCTCAAAAGACCCTTACTTGCAGATGGGATTCGCACTATCTCCTGGAACTGTGAGGAGAATACCTGTGCTTCGTGGCAAGTGGGACCCAGGACCCATCTGCCCAGCAGACAGGGCCAAGAAGGGCGTCTCTGCCCTCCTCCCATCCTGCAGGGCCGGGGACCTGTGACATCTCCCTGAAGCACCATTTTCAGGTGGTCTTTGTGAGAAGGCAGAGGAGATGATGTGTAGAATAAGGTTCATCTCCTTAAATGTGCATACACTAACCTGAGAATTCCACCTGTGGGAATTTGTCCTATAGAAGTCATGCGATGCAAATAAAAAACATGCCAGGGAGTGCAGCAGAGTGCTATTTATAAAATCCAAAACCAAAAAAATAGAGAAATAAAACAGGAGTTGCTTCAGTTGAACATCAAAGATCATGCTCATAACCAAAAATAGATGAGGACACAGACACCGCAGTGACACACGGTCAAGTGAAAAAGCGCATCCTGCACTCATCGTGGAAGCATATCCACAGAGGAAGGGCTTGCTCCCACATGCTTGCTTCGTGGTTTATACTGTCTTATATTTTAAAGAAAGTTGAATACTTGGGAGAAAACAAAAAGAGAAAGGAGATTTAATTGAAGGAAATGAACAGAAATGGAGCTGCAGGGGCCTCACCTCGGCCTCAATTTCGTCGTACAGGAACTGCTTGTTGAACCTGGTGAGCGCGTAGTGGGCGCTGTCATTGTACAGGTCCAGGGAGTAGAGCACGTACCTGCAGAGGACAGCAGCAGTGTGACCAGCAGCCTCTGCCACTCACTCGCAGCTCCGACAGCCTCGCCCCACCTCAGAAACTCAACTCCATTTTCCACCTCTCACGTAAGGAAAAACAACTTTCACTTCAAACACCAGTCCTCCTGTGAAAGCACGTGGTGGCTGCGCCTGAGGCGGCCGCCACACCCACCAGGCTGCGAGGATGCTTGGGGACAGCAGACGCTCACTGAAGGCCACACACGGACAAGGGCCTCCACCTGCCTGCATCTTCTCACTTAGCAGACTTTAAAATATTTCACTACAAGTACATAGGATTTTTAACAAAAGAAAATTATTTTCTTATTTCAAGAATGAACTCCAAGGACCAGGCTTGGTGGTTCATGCCTGTAATCCCAGCACTTTGTGGGGCTGAGGTGGGCAGATCACTTGATTGAGGTGAGGAGTTCAAGACCAGCCTGGGCAATACGGCAATACTGTCTCTAACAAAACTACAAAAAACTATCTGGGCGTGGTGGCGCACGCCTGAGTCCCAGCTACTTGGGAGGCTGAGGTAGAAGGATCACTTGAGCCTGAGAGGTTGAGGCTGCAGTGAGCTGAGATCGTGCCACTACACTCTAGCCTGTGTGACAGAGTGAGACCCTGTCCAAAAAAAATGATAGAGAATGAACTCCAGCACTTTAGGTGGATGAGGCAGGAAGATAACATGAGGCCAGGAGTTTGAGACCAGGTTGGACAACATAGCAAGACCCCGTCTCCATGAAACACAAAACAATTAGCCAGGTGTGGTGGCGCATGCCTGTAGTCCCAGCTACTCAGGAGGCTGAGGCAGGAGGATCACCTGAGCCTGGGAGGTTGAAGCTGCAGTGAGCTGTCTTTGCACCACTGCACTCCAGCCTGGGCAATAGAGCAAGACCTTGTCTCTGTTGGGGGGAAAAAAAAAAAGAATGAACTGACTGGAAAAGAACAAAGGTGGACTGGGCGCGGTGACTCATGCCTGTAATCCCAGCACTTTGGGAGGCCGAGGTGGGCGGATCACTTGAGGTCAGGAGTTCGAGACCAGCCTGGCTAACATGATGAAACTCATCTCTACTAAAAATACAAAAATTAGCCGGGCGTGGTGGTGGGTGCCTGTAGTCCCAGCTACTTGGGATGCTGAGGCCGGAGAATTGCTTGAACCCGGGAGGCATAGGTTGCAATGAGCTGAGATTGTGCCACTGCACTCCAGCCTGGGTAACAGAGCAAGGCTCTGTCTCAAAAAAAAAAAAAAAAAAAAAAAAGAAAGAAAGAAAAAAAAGAAAAAATTACACCAACGGAAGTACATAGACAGCATTAAAAAAAAAAAAAAAAAAAAAAAGAACAAAGGTGAAGGTCCTGGATCCCACAGCTCACCAGGAGCATGTCCAGCATGGCCCATGGTTGAAGGCCCGTCTCCCACTACCTCATATCTGGACAAAGGCCATGGCCAGGGGCAAGGAGGCCCATGCCTGAAGGAGGCCTCCAAGCTGGTTCCAGCTCCTCACGCCACCCCAATGCTGTGCAACGAGCCATCAGAGGCTCTGCCCACACAAATGGCATGGCCATGCCACAGCCACAGAGAGTGGAAGGTGACTGCCCTTACCATCTCCTGGGCACCACAAGGGATGTGTGAGGAGTGACGCACAAGGAACTCAGGGGCTTCCCACTCACGGTGCTCAGAAGACAGACCGGCTGGGCGGCTCCCCAGTCGCTCACCATGAGACACACCCTTTTCCAAACACTTTCCCTTCCATGAACTTTATATTTTGAAAGACTGCCCTTCCATCTAGGTCCACAGTCCTGATCCCCAGAACAAAGCTGTTCAATCAATACTTCCTTTCCCCACTTCATCTGGGTCAGAGGCTGTGTCACACAAAAGGCCAGGCCACAGGGCTCCCGCAAGGCAGCTCACGGGCATGGCCACCTCACAGGGCCTGCACTACGAAGGCCTGGGGAAGGTCCAGGTTCATCCATCTCCCTGGTCCAGGCTGAGTCCCCGGGTCCCAGCCAGCACCCATGCAAAGTAGGAACGTGACTGGTTCTAGTGCCTGAGCTCTCAATTCCAGTCTGACACCAAGAAACTGGTTAGTTACTTGTATTAATCTCTAAAGCTTTACCCCAGGAAACATGATTTCTCTTTTTTTTTTTTTTTATTTGGAGACAGGGTCTTGCTACGTGGCCAGGCTGGAATGCAGTGGTGCAATCCATAGCTCAATGCAGCCACAAATTTCTGTGGTAAAGCAATCCTCCCGCATCAGCCACCACACCAGGCTAAGTTTTCTCATTTTTGTAGAGACTGGGGTCTTGCTATTTTGCCCAGGCCCAGAAACTTGATTTCAAATACAATACTAAAAACAGTCCCGGCCTCTCCGCCACCTCCTCTGAGGACCCCCGGTCACCACACACAAAGGCTGGAGACAGGCCCGCAGGACACGCACTCCATCATCGATGCCTCCTTGGTCTCCAGGATGTGGTCCGTCAGGATCCAGGGCATCGACATCTCAATGGGGAACTGGATCCTCCTGCCCATGGTCAGCTCCAGGAAGAACTCTCGGAACCACAGCTGCGAAAGGTCACAGCACTGCTGCAGCGTTTCTGGGAGGGTTCAAACAACTCCATGTTATCTCCCGCAAGCAAAAAAAAACCTTTAGCAGAGATGACACAAGGGCTGTGTGCTGGGTGCCTGCTCCTCCTCGCTCAGCCCCAAGCCATGCAGCATGGACATGAGTGGGGAGGGGTCACCGGGGCCTTGCACTAGGGACAGGACCAGCTGGGCATAGCTGCAGGTAAAGCCACCTCATCAACCCTGTGAGCCCTTCAGTGGGATCCAGGGGGAAAGTGTCTTTTTTTTTTTTTTGAGACAGAGTCTATCTCACTCTGTCACCCAGGCTGGAGGTGAGTGGCGCGATCATAGCTTACTGCAGCCTTCAACTCCTGGGCTCAAGCGATCCTCCTGCCTCAGCCTCCCAAGTAGCTGAGAACACAGGCACGTGCCACCAACTGATTTTGTATTTTTTATAGAGATGGGGGTCTCGCCATGTTGCCCAGGCTGGTCTCAAACTCCCGAATTCAAGTGATTCTCCTGCCTTGGCTTCCCAAAGTGTTAGGATTAACAGGTATGAGCCACTGTGTCTTACCTAAAAATGTTCTTCTCAAAAGGAGACATAAAAACAGGACTTCTGGCTGGGCACAGTGGCTCACGCCTGTAATCCTAGCACTTTGGGAGGCCGAGGCGGGTGGATCACAAGGTCAGGAGTTTGAGACCAGCCTGGCCAACATGGTAAAACCCCATCTCTACTAAAAATACAAAAATTAGCCAGGCGCAGTGGTGAGCACCTATAATCCCAGCTACTTGGGAGGCTGAGGGAGGAGAATCTCTTGAACCTGGGAGGCGGAGCTTGCAGTGAGCTGAGATCGCCCCACTGTACTCTAGCCTGGGTGACAGAGCAAGACTTCGTCTCAACAAAAAACAAAACAAAAAAACAGGACTTCTTCACTTTCACTTAGGATAAAAACCAATGTCCAGGCTGCAGCATTAGAGGCACACTCAGGGAGGTCTGTCTAACGCAAAAATGAGACAGATTAAAAGAGCCCACACTCGAACTCCATCCTTTCATGGAGTTAACAGCAAAAGTGGTACTATTTCCTCCAATACCTCGCAGCACCCCAGCCAAGACAGCAGGGATCCTGTTCTGAGCAAGAGGTGGACAACGGAGGACTTGATGAGAACACGGGACAGACACACGGAGGGCAGAGAGCGCACCCACCGGTGGCCGGTCAAGGTGGCCGGGTGTCACCCAGGATGGGCTTGCCTGGCACAGGGCACCCGCCACCTTCCCCCCACGTCATGGTCTGCAAGGGCCATTTCTAGTATTTATCAATGCCTGTGTCTCAACTCAGGCACCAGATTACATTCGCCTGTTTCCAACCCCGCATGGGTTGAAAAGATTTTCTGTTCATGTCTCAGGGCCAGCCCGGGCTCCTCAGTTTATACCCTTGTAGGGACCACGCCCTGTGGAGCGAGCTCAGGCCAGGGACGTACAGCCACCGCCACAGAGGGCAGGACGAGTCACCGTCTGGGTGCACCAAGGGACGGGGTAGGGGGTGGTCAGGCGGGCGGAAGCATTCTAGACGGTGTTAGTGGTGTTAGGACATGCCAGGCCGGATGCTGCTCAGCAGTATCTCTTACCACTGAAATTTATCAAGTGAGTGTAGAAGAATGACTCTCGATGAAATTTTTCTATGTCCAATATGGTGGGCCCCTCAAGGCTACTTCTCAAGGTTTTCTTGGAACCACTTTTGTCTGCAATGAGGGACTCTAGCATGGTTCTCACCATGTAAAGCTGGATTATCCAAGGAAACATTTGTGGGGGAGAAAATATACATGGTACATTAGTTATGCCAAACTCAAAAAGCCCATGAGAGAAGGACTGCTCCGCTACGCCCTGGTCGGGAGGGCCCCGCACCAGCTCCCCGAGGGGTCCGGGTGCCTGTCTACGCGGCCACGTTGCTGCTGCTTTGGGGAAAGAACAACTTGTAGCGGAGCAGTTCGCCTCCGTGCCATAAACGTCAAGAGAAACAAATGATGTCTTACCACCAAAGGTTAAAAGGGGTAGGTAGGTGCACGACTGCCTCAGAAACGTGTTAACCGCATGCAAGAGCCTCTCCATGCCCAGAGACTTGAGCTGCCTGAGCAGCTCGGCAGAGCCCAAGGACTCGGCCATGGTGCGCACCAGGTAGAGCTAGACACGGACAGACAGGAGGGAGAGGCAGGAGAGAGACGTTAGTCACTCGACACACACACCCCAGGCAGGGACACGGGACGCACGCAGAGGGAGGCAGGGAGGGTGGCTGGCACCACGCACAGGCCGAGGGCCGTCCCCCTGACCCTCCTGCAGAGCCAGCAGCGTGCATTGCTGGTGACTTTCCAGAAGAGTGGCAGAAGAGATTAAAAGCCTCCGGCAGAGATGAGGGAGAAGACCAGCCCCAGGACGGAGGACAGACGCAGCGGTGTGGATTAAACCGGGTGTGAAAGTCGTGAGAAGCACCTCGGGGAGGCCTGAACACACCAGGAGAGAGGACAGTGGGCAGCTTAGGACCATGACACACGCAAGCAGCACCTCACAGTTTCCCACGCCCCATCTACAGTCATTTGCAGACCCAACGTAAAAATTATACAGACATTCAAACACCCATCAAGAAACACAGAATGAATACAGACACGTGGACTTGTGCCCACATTTTTGGGATGGGAGTTGAAATGGAGTCAGACTCCTTTTTAGTGCACATGACACATCTGACAATCAAGGCACGTCTCCTCACGCTCCCAACTCACTTGGGTGGGAAACAGAGGAGCAGCAGAAACCACAGGCGCCACTTTCTCTGCCTGAGCAGGCAGCGAGGACCTCATTTAACCCGGGCCTCACCAGCCCCACCCGCTCACAGCTCAGGGTGGGTCCCCCCAGGGAGAGGTGCAGGCGGGGCTCAAGGGACGAGAACCTGAGTGCTGGAGGGTCCCACGGCGCGGCGTGGTACTTTTATGTCGAAGCCGCTCTTGGGGTCCTTCTCGCCCCGCAAGGCTGGGTCATTGAAGGGCTCATGCCCCGTCTCCCAGTCACACACGGTCTTCCTGATGGCCTGCAGGACACTGAACACCCCACCAAGTGATCAGCAAGGCCCAGAGGCCGAGACCTCCAGCCTCACAATCACACCATCTCCTCACCCAACTACAAGGCTCTCAGAACAGCCCCCATGAAAATACAAATTCCTCTGGGGGCCATGGAGGGATGTGGTAATGGACCAGCTCAACAGGAAAGTTAAAAAGGAGTCTGCCTTCTGGAGAGTATTACTACCCCCAGAAGACTGCCCTGAGCTCCAGTTCGCATCTGTTAGCCCAGGGCAGCAGTGAGGTGGCTCTGAGTCATGCTGTGGGCAGGGAGAGGGCAGAACACAGCCTCCGCACGGAGCAGAGCTGGGCCCCGCCTGCCCGCAGCTGGCTGTCCCCAGTAACCAACAGGAATGTGAAGTCACCCACATGACCAGAGCCTGGCCATGTCTCTCGACTGGTTTGGAACACAGCCTCATCACCAACAGGGCTCCACCGTGCAGAGACCCCCATAAGGCACCATGCATGAACCACAGGCACCGCGAGCCTGGGATAAATGCACCTTGTCCCGGGGTCCTCAGACTCCCTAGACACTCGGCAGCTGACTTACTGTCCATTGTTTGGGTTAATAATTGGACCCATGCATTACTTTTAGAGGTAATTCACCAAGAGGGCATCTGAAGGTTGAAGATAAATATATTGAAATCATTTTTGAGAATTTAACGCTCCTGTTGTTTGAATCCAAGTTCATCCGAGGACGTGTGGGCACAGCGGGCACAGGGCGTGGGGAAGGCTGACCTCTGGATGACGTTCTTCTTCTTCTTGATGGCCTGCCGCAGCGGCTCCCTAAGGGTCACCTGGGAGAAGTCCTGCAGTGCGGCATAGACGGTGTGCCGGATGGCGTGGTTGAACACGCTCTCCATCCTGCCCATCAGCACCTGCAGGCCTTTGATCATGGCGATCACCTGCGGGGGACACAGCAACAGGGACGGCCCTTCTTAGGGATGGCACCAAGCCTCCTCTGCCTGGCACATGCCGGGGGCTGCTCCTCCTCGCCCACAGCACCTTACGCCCTCCCGCGTTCGTGCCCTGCAGCTGCCCTGCCCCAAAACGTCTTCTCCAAAGCCATAGTCAATGGAACTGTGCCCGCATCTGACTCCCCATCAGACCATGAGCACCTGGAGGACAGGGATGCATCTGACTCGAAACACACATGCATCCACCCCAGCACACCCTCCTGTGATGGAATTCAAATAGGAAAGAAGAAAAAGACTCAGGAAAGCAGGCATGATATTACTAGAAAAAGAAGTTACAAGAGGTTGTAGTCCAAATCCCATATTGTTCACAACAAAGGCGCAGTGAACTACCATTCACAGAAAAAGCCTGGAAGACTCTGATGGAACATAATTACATGACAAAGAGCTTCCAGAGGAATTCCTGGGACAGAAAAATGGTGCCAGGGCTCATTATTTCCCTGTTTCCAGACAGTAATTTTGTCATGACAGTGTGCTTTATTACTTTCTGAATAAACAATTGAAGGTCACAAACCAAGTATGACCTTTACAATTGCATGAGCTTTCTTACGGCTTTTGCCGTTTATAAATATTTCTACAGCCAACTTCATGATAGCTATGTGAGGCCTAGAAATCTCTCTGAAAGCAGCAAGTGAGGCAGAGCAAGACACACTTACCCCAAGTCCACCCTGCCGTGTGGATGTCTGACATATAAGACACCAAAGTGGAACATTTAATAGCACCAGTGAAACATAATTCACTTCTTTTTATCTTTTAACTAGAACGCTGTACCTAAGACTAATACATTTGGGAAAATCTTAACAACCCTTCTTTGGCCAGGCACAGTGGCTCACACCCATAATCCTGGCACTTTGGGAGGCTGAGGCGGGAGAATCACTTGAGACCAGAGTTCAAGATCAGCCCGAACAAAATGGCCAGACCCCATCTCTACAAAAAATTTAAAAATTAGCCAGGTGTGGTGGCATGAGCCTATAGTCCCAGCTACTCGGGAGGCTAAGCCAGGAGGATCACTTGAGCCTAGGAGTTCGAGGCTGCAGTGAGCCATGACTATGCCACTGCTCTCCAGCCTGGGTGACAGAGCGAGACCCTGTCTCAAAACAAAACAAAACAAAAACCCTACTTCAACATCTGAAAATGGTCTTCAGTCCACAGTAATAAAAAAAAACAAAAAACAAACAAACAAAAAAAACCTTTTGAAATTAAGTATTTGACAGATTCAAAATTAAGGCAGCTTTTTTTTTTTTTTTTTTTTTTTTTTGAGACAGGGTCTCACTCTGTTGCCCAGACTGGAGTGCAGTGGCATGATCATAGCTCACTGCAGCCTTGAACTCCCAGGGTCAATCGATCCTCCTGCCTCAGCCTCCTGGGTAACTAGTTCTATAAGCATGCACTACCATGCTTGGCTAGGCATCTTCCTACTTTTATTAAATCTGTTGGTTTGAAGTTCACTTAGCAAGAACACAAATGTGTTTCCCCAAGGCTTCACACAGTCTCCCTCTATCACTTTCTGGTTTTATTCACACCTTTTGAGTTCCTCATTATGGCTTTATAAACAGCCTGATTCATGGGTAAATGAAGACGTGTCTGACAAGTACTTGAAACATGGCTTATATGATTTTGGTGCTTTTCTTTTTCATGAAATTTTCAGGTGGAAAAGTTGACAGTCTGCTTTTAATTCATCCTTCTATAACGTAAAGAATTTCCAAATAGACTGCTTTCATGTAAGACTCATGGTCTATATGCAATTAAAATAATGAAAATTTTAGAAAGGAAAAAGTCTGGAAGAAAACGCACCCAGCTGCTCAGCGCCATCTCTGTGATGGCGCCGCAGGCACTGTGCCTTCCTAATGCCATGCTTGTGTTTTCAGCATGCTTACTTTGGAAAACTGATGATTTTATATTGTTTTTCCAATCAACAAAAAAGAAAAGTTCTATTTAAAAAACCAAACGAGGAAAAACCCATTTAAGTGAACATAACAATCCTACATATTCACACTTACAGGAAGAAGGAAAAGGCAAGTTAACAGCAAACTGAGAGCTTTAGATGCACGCATTAGAAAACTAAAAAGGATAAAAATCATAATACTTATCAAACATTCATCACTAATTTATAGAAAACAGCAAAATAAACCCCCCCAAAATCGAAGAAAAATAACTAAAAGCACCCGGGCGCAGTGGCTCATGCCTGTAATCCCAGTATTTTGGGAGGCCGAGGCAGGCGGATCACAAGGTCAGGAGTTCGAGACCAGCCTGGCCAATATGGTGAAACCCCGTCTCTACTAAAAATACAAAAATTAGCCTGGTGTGGTGGTGCACACCTGTAGTCCCAGCTACTTGGGAGGCTAAGGCAGGAGAACTGCTTGAAACTGGGAGGTGGAGGTTGCAGTGAGCTGAGATGGCGTCACTACACTCCAGCCTAGGTGACACAGCGAGACTCTGTCTCAAAAATAAATAAATAAATAAATAAATAAATAAATGTAACAATGAAACAGAAAACAAGTGTATAATCAAGGGTGATCAACAAAGACAAAGCTGTTCAGTAAATAAACAGTAAAACTGACAAATGCTTAGCAAGAATAACAAAGAAAAAAAAGACAGAGAAGCAGGCCAGGCACAGTAGCTCACGCCTGTAATCCCAGCACTTTGGGAGGTCAAGGAGGGTGGATCACTTGAGGTCAGGAGTTCAAGACCAGCCAGGCCAACATTGGTGAAACCCTGTATCTACTAAAAATACAAAAATTGGCCAGAAGTAGCTTGAACCCGGGAGGTGAAGGTTGCAGTAAGCTGAGATTGTGCCACTGCACTCTAGCCTGGGCAACACGCGAGACTCTGTCTCAAAAAAAAAAAAAAAAAAAAAAGAAGCACGAGTTACCAGCATTAAGAATGAAAAAGGGGACATTAGCAGTTTATAGACAGATTAAGAGATTATGAAAAAATACTGTCATAGGATAGACAGAGGTCAATGGGATAGGATTAAGAGTCCAGAAGTTAACTTACAATTGATTTTCAACAGGGTACCAAAACAATTTGATGG
The DNA here is from genome assembly GCF_000001405.40 of Homo sapiens. Lineage (NCBI taxonomy): Eukaryota > Metazoa > Chordata > Mammalia > Primates > Hominidae > Homo > Homo sapiens. The sequence goes on from NW_021160017.1 coordinate 3,816,045, forward strand.
GGAAAGATCATCTTTTCAACAAATAGTACTGACAACTGTATCTGCACATGCGAGAGAATCAAGGTGGACCCTTGTGCAGGAAAGGGTTAACTCAGCAGGCTGGGGAGAATGAAACTCCGCACATCCCCAAGAAAGGCCCATCTTCAGGACTGGCTGAAGTCATCCCAGGAACCAGCTCTGAACCTTGGGAGTGTCCTGCCTAGAGATTATGTTTTTGTGTGCCTGGGGCCCCGGGCCTACTGCTGTACCAGTCTGATCAGTCTCTGCTAACAAGGTGACTAATAGTGACCTCCTGTGTGTGTTTTGAGGACCTAGAGTCTGAGTAGCCAAGGTCAGCCACGTGACTGGCCCCCAGTAAAAACCCAGGACCCCAAGGCTCTGGGGAGCTGCCCTGGTGAGCCACAATTTGTGTGTGCTGTCACACATCATCGCTGGGAGAAATAAGCACGTCCCGTGCAATTCCACTAGCAGGCACAGCTGGAAGTTTACACCTGTCTTCTCTGGACTCCACTCCTGTGCCTTTTCCCTTTGCTGATCTGACTCTGTCTTTTGGCTGCAAGGAGTCATAACCTTCAGTGCAACAACTACCAAGCCCTGTGAGTCCTCCCAGCCAGTCAGGGGGATGGAGGGTGGTCTGGAGGGCCCCTCACACAACCTTGTCAAACGCTGTATAAAAATCCACTCAAAATGGATCATATATTTAAATTAGGTTTAAGTTAGGAGCTAAAACTATAAAACTTTTAGAAGAGGCTGGGCGTGGCGGCTCATGCCTGTAATCCTACCACTTTGGGAGGCAAAGGCGGGTAGATCACCTGAGGTGAGGGGTTCAGGACCAGCCTGGCCAACATGGTGAAACCCTGTCTCTACTAAAAATGCAAAAATTAGCTGGGTGTGGTGGCGCACACCTGTAATCCCAGCTACTTGGGAGGCTGAAGCAGGAGAATTGCTTGAACCTGGGAGGCAGAAGTTGCAGTGAGCTGAGATCATGCCACTGCACTCCAGCCTGGGTGACAGAGCAAGACTCTGTCTCAAAAAAGAAAAAAAAAAAAGACTTTTAGAAGGAAACACAGGAGTAAATCATCATGACCTGGGTTACACAATGATTTCTTATATATGACACCAAAAGCATAAGCAACGAAAGAAAAACAGATAAATCAAACATAATCAAAATTCAAACACTTTGTGTCTCAAAAGACTCCATTAAGAAACTAAAAGGACAATCATAGAATGGGAGAAGATACTGAAAATCCTATGGCTGTAAGGAACTGATATTTAGAATGTATAAGGAACTGTTACAACTCAATAATAAAAAAGATAACCTAATTAAAAATGGGCAAAGGATCTGAAGAGACATTTCTCCAAATAATGCACACAAATGGCCAACAAGCACATAAGAAGACGTTTAACATCCTTAGTTGTTAGAAAACCGCAAATCAAAAGCGCAATGAAATGAGATACCACCTCACACCCACTAGGATAGCTAGAATCAAAAAGACATACAATAACAAGTTTGGTGTGGATGTGGGGAAACTGGAGCCCTCACTTACTGCTGGTAAGAAGGAGAAATGGTGCTGCCACTATCTGGTAGTTCCTCAAAAGCTAAATGTGCTGTTATGATCCAGTAATTGCATTTCTAGCTATACAATCAAAAGAAATGAAAACCAGCATCTACACAAAAACCCGCACATGAAAGCTCATAGAGGCTGGGCATGGTGGCTCACCTCTAATCCCAGTGCTTTGGGAAGTCAAAGCAGGAGGATCACTTGAGCTCAGGAGTTCAAGACCAGACTAGGCAACACAGTGAGACCCCATCTCTACAAAAAATTTAAAAATTAGTCAGGCATGGTGGTTTGTGCCTGTGGTCCTAGCTACTTGGGAGGCTGGGGAGGGAGGATTGTCTGAGCCCAGAAGATTGAGGCTGCAATAAGCCATAATCCTGCCACTGCACTCCAGTTGGGTGACAGAGTGAGACCTTGTCTCCAAAAAAAAAAAAAAAAAAAAAAAAAAACAAGAAAAAGAAGTTCTCAGCAACTTCATAGTAGTGAAAAGGTAGAAATAACCCAAATGTCTATCATCTGATGGATGGATAAATACAATGTAACATATCCATGTAATGCAATATTATTCAGCAATAAACAGAACAAAACAGTGATACCTGTGTGAATCTTGAAAATTATGCTAAGTGGCCTGGCACGGTAGCTCACGCCTGTAATCCTGGCACTTTGGGAGCCCAAGGCAGGCGGATTACCTGAGGTCAGGAGTTTGAGACCAGCCCGGCCAACATGGTGAAACCTTGTCTCTACTATAAATACAAAAATTAGCCGGGCGTGGTGGTGGGTGCCTGTAATCCCAGCTACTCTGGAGACTGAGGCACAAGAATTGCTTGAACCCGGGAGGGAGAAGTTGCAGTAAGCTGAGATCACGCCACTGCCCTCTAGCCTGGGTGACAGAGCAAGGCTCCATCTTAAGAAAAATAAAAGGAAAATTATGCTAAGTGAAAATTATGCTTTGTGAAAGCCAGTCACAAAGGGCCACATATGGTATGATCTACTCATATGAAATGCCCAGAGCAGGCAAATCTACAGGGTCAGAAAGCAGAGTGGTGGCTGCATACGGTTGAGGGAGGGAAGAATGAAGGGTGGCTGATAATGGGCTGGCATTTATATTTGTTCTAAATTTGACTGTGACTGTACAACTCTGTGAATGTGCTGAAAGCATTGACTTTTACACTTCAAATGGGTGAACTGTATGGTTATGTGAAAAAAAAAGCTTCTACCAAAATAAGATGAGAATTTACTATGAAAAACCTTATGTCAAAAAATCAGAAAATTTTGGCTGGGCGCAGTGGCTCACACCTGCAATCCCAGCACTTTCGGAGGCTGAGGCGGGTGGATTGCTTGAGCTCAGGAGTTTGAGACGAACCCGGGCAACTTGGTGACACCCCATCTCTACCAAAAATATAAAAATTAGCCAGGTGTGGTGGCATGCACCTATAGTTTCAGCTAATGGGGAGGCTGAGGTGGGAGGATTGCTTGAGTCCAGGAGGCTGAGGCCAAAACAGTGGTTTTTAACATTTTTATTACTTTTTACTGTTGTAGTGTTATTTTTTCTTTCTGAACATTTTTGACCCAAGGTTGGTTCATGGAGGTGGAACCCAAGAACACTGAGGGCCAACTGTATGAGACTTCTGTCAATTCTGTCATGATCCATAGGATTGTTCATATCCTGATTAAAATCCTCACTGTGGGATGGGAAAAGCTGATTCTAAAATGAATATGAAACTACAGTGGGGAAGAATAGCCAAGGAAGTCTAGGAGACAGAAAGACGTGCTTTCTCATACACGGTAGATGACTACAAAGCTACAGAGTGGTGCTGGGATACCGACAGCAACTGACACTGGGTTAGAGCAGAGCAGAAACACAGCCACACATGCATTGTCATGTGACCAGCTACAAAGGTGGCAGCGTGAGGGTTGGACGGAATTGTTTCAAAAATGAATTTCAGGTGAATTTCGCATCTCAGTGTGAAAGCAGAGTGAAGTATCCAGAAAGCAATGCAGAATACCTTCACGACCTGAGAGTATGCAAAGATTTCTCAAACAGCACAGGAAAAGCACAGCTATGAAAGAAAAGATACCAGTTGATGCTGGAATGAAGAGCTGCCCATGGAAAGGCTCACGAGGGGAGTGCAGCGCCTGCCTCACAGGAGAGCAAGACAGCTCTTCTCTCTCAGCAGGGGCCACATCTCTTTCACCTCCCTTCCCCGCACCCGACGCTGCTCTCCATCCAGACGCAGGTCCAGGAGTCCAGATTCGCACCCAGGGAGCTTCAGTGCAGACCCAGGACCGACAACCACTGTTTCTCTAATGCGTTCTACTCTGACTACTCTGCCAGATGGAAAGGGGTGCCCACACAGAAGCAATGAGTAAACAGGCAGTTTTGTTCATGTTTTTGCTTTTGACAGAGAAGATGGTGTGAAGCTAGAGCGACATGAGGAAGAGCGAGCGGCCGAGCATCCTCACCTCCACTAGGGCAAACTTCTCCTCGCTGGTGTAGTTGTAGCGCGTGGCACGCTCGTACTCTTCAGCGCTGTCGGGGCAGTCCTTGTTGGAGTACTTGTCGGTGGGGTGCACAAGCTTCCAGGAATACTGTGGTGGCCGAAAGAGCAGAGGTGTTCCATATTGCATGCAAAACGCCTGGCTTCTGGTCTGACTCACACGATGGTGGCCAAAGCCAGGCCAGCCTTCAAACCTTTGCTGCATTCTGAAAGTCACACATGAGGGCGCACACACCGTCCATCTCCACAGATGGGCAAAAGACCCTGGCCCTGTAACCTCTCGTTTAAAAAATCTACCCGGCAAAATGGCCTGGATAGTGAGTGCTGAGTATCTAAGACTCTGGCATTTCATCATCATTTTAAAAAGGATTCTGGGCCAGGCACAGTGGCTCATGCCTATGACCCCAGCACTTGGGAGGTTGAGGTAGGAGGATCACTTGAGCCCAAGAGTTCAAGATCAGCCTGAGCAATATAGTGAGGCCTCATCTCTACAAAAAATAAAATAATAAGTAAGTAAATAAAGATTTTGCCTTTCAAATGACCATGTACTCTTCCAATTTGATAATTTTTATGTGATCAAAATAAATCACAAAAGGGAAAATCTTTCATTGCTTACAGGTATCCAAATCTTTATATGGCACCAGAAATAATTTACTAATGTTCAACAAAAGACATTGATGGCTGGAGCTCCAAAGAGAAAATGTTATCTTAAAAATGCAGGGCGTGAAGCGACATTAATGGGTACAAATGTACAGTCTGATATTAGAAATAAGACAGTGTTAGATAGATCAGTTAGGGTGACTATTAATTAAAATAATTTATGGTACATTTCAGAATAGATAGGGAAGAACTCGAATTTTTCTGGCATAAGGACAAATATTTATGGCGATGGACATCCCAAGCACACCAATTAGATCTTTGCAAACTGTATGACTGTATTAAATTATCACATGTATCCTGAAACTATGTACCCCTATTATGCATCAATACAAGTAAATATTTAAAGCAAAATAAAATTTAAATGAAAAAATGAGACTTGGCCAGGTACAGTGGCTCACGCCTGTAATCCCAGCACTTTGGAAGGCCCAGGCAGGCAGATGGCTTGAGGCCAGGAGTTTGAGACCAGCCTGGCCCACACGGCGAGACTGCCTGTACAAAAAAAACCAAAAAACAAAAAACTAGGCCAGGTGCGGTGGCTCAAGCCTGTAATCCTAGCACTTTGGGAGACTGAGGCGGGTAGTTCACCTGAGGTCAGGAGTTCAAGACCAGTGTGGCCAACATGGTGAAATACCATCTCTACTAAAAACACAAAAAAATTAGCCAGAAGTGGTGGTGGGCGCCTGTAATCCCAGCTAACTCAGGAGGCTGAGGCAGGAGAATCGCTTGAACCCAGGAGGCAGAGGTTGCAGTGAGCCGAGATCACGCCATTGCACTCCAGCCTGGGCAACAAGAGCGAAACTCCGTCTCAAAAAAAAAAAAAAAAAAAAAAAAATTAGCCGGGAGCCGTGGTGCACACCTGTGGTCCCAGCAACTTGGGAGGCTGAGGCAGAAGGATCGCTTGGGGTGGGGAGTCAAGGCTGTAGGGACTTATGTTTGCACCACCGCACTCCAGCCTAAGCGACAGGGTGAGACTATCTCAAAAAAAGAGCGACTTAAAGAAAATCACAATGGTACAAATTTAATTCTATCAAGATTTTTTTTAAAAAGGAGGCCCTTCATTTATTACACACATAAATGAAATGTACTTAAAATCACCTTGGAAACATATCTACTGATAGATATTCTCGTCTTTCTAGGGCCAAAGATAAAAAGCCCAAAGACCAAAAGTTAATGTGAATAAAGTGCCCGAGGCAGCTTTGGAGCGGGGCTGGGGTCGGGGACGGGGCCTACCACTTCCATCACGTGCGCGCTCCACTGCGACAACAGCTGCAGGCCCTGCAGCGCCAGGTCGAAGAGCTTGCGGTACTCCGCGTCCGTCTTCTGGGCCTCCTGGCGGCCCGAGCCCGTGACCACCTGCACAAGGCGGGCACGGCCCCGTGAGAAACCAGCGCCCCCACCCAGCTCCCCCCATCCCGGGATCCACCATGAGAATCCACCCCAAAGTCACACGTGTGAAAATAAGAAATGCAGGAGGCCAAGGCGGGCGGATCACAAGGTCGGGAGATCCAGACCATCCTAAAACAGTGAAACCCCGTCTCTACTGAAAAATACAAAAAAATTAGCTGGGCATGGTGGCGGGCACCTGTAGTCCCAGCTACTTCAGAGGCTGAGGCAGGAGAATGGCGTGAGCCCGGGAGGCGGAGCTTGCAGTGAGCCGACACTGCGCCACTGCACTCCAGCCTGGGCGACAGAGCGAGACTCCGTCTCAAAAAATAATAAATAAATAAATAAATAAATAAATAAAAAGAAAATAAGAAATGCTGTGGGTGCTGGACCCTCCTCCCGGGAAAATGGCGGCCAAGGGCGTGCTGCAGAGCACAGAGCAAGGGACAGGCCGCTGCCACAGCCACCGCCTGGGGGACCGCGGGCTGGGCGCGGGGCTGTTACACGCGTGGGCTTGGCGCACTTCCACTAGGCCGGGGAAGGGCAACACACAAGTCACGTGGGTTTGCTTCTATCATATAACCACCCCCTAAATTTAAACATGTGACCTATGGGGAGGAAGGGGCACCGTGGAGAAGGCAGGCTTCTTTGAATATACCTTTTTATAGATGTGATATTAGAACCACACAAATATTTTATATATTTAGGACACAGAATTAAATGAGATCGGAAATGCAATGCCTAGAAGTCAAAAGCAAAATGAAACAATGGCGGGAACCTGCATGGAGCTCACAGCATGACCACTGAGAGGACCCTGAGCAGCTCTAAACACCACGGTGTGACTTAAAATCCTCTGAGTGAGGGGCCCGGTGCGATGGCTCATGCTGTAATCCCAGCACTTTGGGAGGCCGGGGCAGGTGGATTGCCTGAGGTCAGGAGTTCGAGATCAGCCTGGCCAACATAGTGAAACCCCATCTCTACCAAAAATATAAAAAAGTAGCTGGGCGTGGTGCTGCATGCCTGTAATCTCAGCTACTCGGGAAGCTGAGGCAGGAGAATTGCTAGAACCCAGGAGGCGAAGATTGCAGTGAGCCGAGATCCCGCCATCACACGCCATCCAGCCTGGGCAACAAGAGCGAAACTCCATCTCAAAAAAAAAAAAAAAAGTACCCTGAGTAAGAAGCTCAAGGGCAAAATCACCTGCAAAACAAATCATAAAACAATTTCTAGTCACTGTAATTAGTAGTGCTGGCATTGCTCTTTTAAGACTAGATTATGACCGGGTGCAATGGCTCATGCCTGTAATCCCAAAACTCTGGGAGGCTGAGGTGGGCGAATCACAAGGTCAAGAGATGGAGATCATCCTGGCCAACATGGTGAAACCCCGTCTCTACTAAAAATACAAAAATTAGCTAAGCATGGTGGCGTGCGCCTGTAGTCCCAGCTACTTGGGAGGCTGAGGCAGGAGAATTGCTTGAATCCGGGAGGTGGAAGGTGCAATGAGCCAAGATCACACCATTGCACTCCAGCCTGGGCAACAGAGAGAGACTCTGTCTCAAAAAAAAAAAAAAAAAAAAAAAAGGCCAGGCACGGTGGCTCACGCCTGTAATCCCAGCACTTTGGGAGGCCGAGACGGGCGGATCACGAGGTCAGGAGATCAAGACCATCCTGGCTAACACGGTGAAACCCCATCTCTACTAAAAATACAAAAAAATTAGCCGGGCGTGGTGGCGGGCGCCTGTAGTCCCAGCTACTCAGAAGGCTGAGGCAGGAGAATGGCGTGAACCTGGGAGGCGGAGCTTGCAGTGAGCCGAGATCGCGCCACTGCACTCCAGCCTGGGCAACAGAGCAAGACTCCACCTCAAAAACAAAAAAAAAAAGACTAGATTATGACATAATGACATAAATCAAATTATGCTGGCGTCATTCACCAGGATGTTCAGCTTTCAGAAAAAAGAAAATCAACAAACCTAAAGTCGAATCACTTTAAAATTGTACTCAGAGGCCGGGTGCGGTGGCTCATGCCTGTAATCCCAGCACTTTGGGAGGCCGAGACGGGTGGATCACCAGGTCAGGAGATTGAGACCATCCTGGCTAGAACAGTGTCTCTACTAAAAAAACACACAAAAAACACACACAAAAAAAACCACAAAAAAACACACACACAAAAATTAGCCAGGCGTAGTGGTGGGTGCCTGTAGTCCCAGCTACTCGGGAGGCTGAGGAAGGAGAATGGTGTGAACCTTGGCTTGCAGTGAGCCGAGATTGCACCACTGCACTCCAGCCTGGGCGACACAGCAAGACTCCGTCTCACCCAAAAAAAAAACAAAAAAAAAAACTGTACTCCGAAAAAAACTGATTTGTTACCTTAGACAATGCCAGAGAAACAATTACAGTCAGATGCCACCTAAGGATGCTCCAGTCAACAAGACCACACACATGATGGTGCTCCCATAAAATCTTAACGTAGTGGAAAAATTCCTACTGCCTAGTGATGTCCTGATGATCCTGACCCCGTGTAGGCCTAGGCTAATGTGTGTGTTTGGGTCTTCATTTTTAACGAAAAAGCTCAAAAGGAAAAAAACAAAAACTTTTTGGTAGAAAAATAATTTACAGAATAAGGAGATAAAGAAAAAATATTTTTGCACAGGTATAGAGTGTGTTTGTGTTTTAAGCAAAGTGTTGTTACAAAAGCCAAAAAGCTCTTTTTAAAAGTAAAAAGTTTATAAAGTAAAAAAGTTACAGTAAGCTAAGGCTAATTCGTTATTAAAGAAAGAAAAAGCCTTTTAAAAAATTTAGCACAGCCTAAGCACACAGTGTTCATAAAGGCCACAGCAGTGCACAGTACTGTCCTAGGCCTCCCACTCGCTCGCCACTCACTCACTGACTCACCCAGGACAGCCTCCTTGTCTGACATGCCCAAACGCTTGCCAGGGGTCTGTGTTAGAAGCAGCAGGTGCCCCAACATACCTGGACTACTGGGTTGTCAGTCAGTTTGGTTACATGATGATGACTGGTAACCATGGGGGGTGGGGGACAGGGTGCTCATCGTCCTGCAGTGGGTGGGGCCAACATCCACAGAGTTGTCCCCGCTAAGGTTAATGGTCCTCCTGAGACCCTTGAGGGACTAACCAGTTCAGCAAAGCAGCCTGCGTATATGCCCTAAAACCCGCAGTCCCTGCCAGCAATTTGCAGCACAGACATGCCAGCAGTGCTGGCTCGGAGTCAACCTGGGTGAGTGAGGAGAATGGGAGTGGCCAAAATGACAACATGGCAAACCCAGCTGCAAAGCTGGAAGGAACTAAAGAGAAAGCACCTGTTCTCTGCACCCAACTCCAGGCCCACCTCCTGGACACATGGACCCAATGCCCCTGGGACGTCTTCTGACAGCCACCCAGAGGCTCCTGCTCACCTCTGGCCTCAGGACTTCTTCCCTTCTAGGCTTACAGGGGCCCCAGGTCAGAATCACCCTTTCCTTTCCCAGTGTCCTCCCTTCTCTCCAACCATCTTTCGAGTTGCTTGGAATCACAGTACTAGACTAGGAAATGCCACTTAATCAATTAATTATCTCATCTCTGTCCTTTCTCTTGGGATCCCTATAATGTTTTTCTGAAAAAAAAAAAAAAAAAAAAAAAAAAAAAAAAAAAAAAAGCTTTTTGTACAGCTGAACAGAGAGAACACTAGTTTCACTGCCTTGTCAATTATAATGGGTGCTTTTGAAGTACAGTCATGCACCACATTTGGTCAATGACAGCATATACAACGGTGGTCCCATAAGATTATAATACCATCTTTTCACTGTACCTTTTCTATGTTTAGATATGTTTAGATACACAAATACATACCATTGTGTTACAACTATCCAGAGTCTTCAGCACAGCAACGTGCTCCATAGGTGTGTGGCCTAGGAGCCATCGGCTGTACCCTGCAGCCTAGCTGTGCCACAGGCTGTACCATCCAGGCTAGCATGAGGACACGATGACGTTCCCACAATGATGAAACTGCCTAATGACACATTTGTCAGAACCTGTCCCTGTCATTATGTGACATATGATCGTATCTGGTAGTAAACTGTTTTTCAAAGCAATTAAACCTAAGATTTGGGTGCAAACACACACAGGCGACCCTCGGGTGCCTGTGCAACTCCAGGTCGCGGGGCGCACCTCGCTGTTGCTGTAGCGCGCCAGCTCCGAAATGAAGCGCATGTGGTCCTCGCGGATCTGGATCATCTGCTCGCAGATGTTGTACTGAGGGCTGCTGCCGGAGGATGTGCACGTCCATCTGTGCAGAGAGAAAGCACCCGCGTTACCTGCGGAGGCGCCGGCAGGCCACAGCACTGGGGCAGCTCAGGACGCCTGTTTGGCACCAGAGCCACACAAATGGCTTTTATGTTTTTAAAGGGTTGTTTAAAAAAACAACACAGAAGCATATCCGAAGGAGACCACCTGTGGCCTGTAAAGCCTAAAATACTTGTTATGTGTCCTTTACTGAAAAGGTTTCTTGACCCCTGAGACTGAGATGCAACTTCGTTTGTCAAAATCATGGCTGAATGGTGACTGCAGGTTGGCTACGGGCACAGTGCTTGGCAAAAGTCAATGAAAGCCTCCCCTGAGGCTCAGATGGCTCTGTAGAGTCTGCAGTGGGGAGGAGTGCCTGCCAGCATCTGGAACTGTGCTGAGGATCTTTATAGTTCTTCACAGAGTAAGATGGTACACAGTTTAGGATTTAGGGCCACATTGTCTGCAGATGTCACATCTGACACACTGTCAGTCTCTTCTTTTTTTCTTTGAGGTAGGGTCTTGCTCTCTTGCCCAGGCTGGACTGCAGTGGTGCAATCTTGGTTCACTGCAACCTCCACCTCCTAGACTACTCAAGTGATCCTCCCACCTCAGCCTCCTGAGTAGCTGGGACTACAGGCGTGTGCCACCATGCCCGGCTAATTTTTGTATTTTTTCATACAGTCAAGGTCTCACTGTGTTGCCCAGGCTGGTCTCAAACTCCTGAGTTCAAGAGATCCATCCACCTCGGCCTCCCAAAGTGCTGGGATTACAGGCATGAGCCACCGCGCCCCACCCTCTTCTTTTTTTTTAAGACAACCTTTTTAAACATAAAGACTATCACCCAGCACTGTCCAATAGGAATCCCTAGGATGATGAAAGTGTTCTGTATCTGTGCTGTCCAACACAGTAGCCACTAACTATTGAACATTTCAAACGTGGCTGTCGTAAGGAAATTAAAATTTCAATTGTATTTTTCTTTCTTTTTTTTTTTTTGAGACGGAGTCTTGCTCTGTCGCCCAGGTTGGAGTGCAGTGGCGCGATCTCTGCTCACTGCAAGCTCCGCCTCCCAGGTTCATGCCATTCTCCTACCTCAGCCTCCCAAGTAGCTGGGACTACAGGCGCCCACCACCACGCCCGGCTAATTTTTTCTATTTTTAGTAGAGACGGGGTTTCACCGTGTTAGCTAGGATGGTCTCGATCTCCTGACCTCGTGATCCGCCCGCCTCGGCCTCCCAAAGTGCTGGGATTACAGGCGTGAGCCACCGCGCCCGGCCTCAATTGTATTTTTCAATAAACTTAAATGTAAATAGCCGCATGTGGCAAAGGCTGCAATACTGGACATTTAATTCCAGGCTGAGAATGTTAACAGTGTTATCTCTAGACAAATAAGCAGGATGTTTGAAAACCGCACAATGAGGACACTGCCGAAAGCTCAAACCAGGCAGCTTTCCTCTCCTCCTACCGAGATTTATTTTCCTCGTAGTGGGCGCTGGTCTTGATATATCTTGCCAGTTCTATTTGCATGTCCCCAAATAGCGGAACCACCTGGAGTTGCTGTATTCAAAGAACAAAAAAATAGAGTCATTATGTATATTTAGTCACCAAATACATAAGCACAAGGAAACTGACTAATGCTAATAATTACTTCGGCTTGAATGCTACCTCTGCAAATGATTCATTACAAAAAAAAAACTATAAGTAACTTCTACATTCGCTTTGAGAGGAACAAAATACAATTTAAAAACCAACATCTATAAAAACTATTCAAATGTTAAAATTAACCTACCATGTTGCTAGATCCACAGTCATAAAAAAAAAAAAATCACTGCATTTCTTTCTTTTTTTTTTTTTTTTTTTTTTTTTTTTTGAGACAGAGTCTCGCTCTGTCGCCCAGGCTGGAGTGCAGTGGCGTGATCTCGGCTCACTGCAAGCTCCACCTCCCAGGTTCACATCATTCTCCTGCCTCAGGCTCCCGAGTAGCTGGGACTACAGGCGCCCGCCACCACACCCGGCTAATTTTTTGTATTTTTAGTAGAGATGGGATTCACTGTGTTAGCCAGGATGGTCTCAATCTCCTGACCTCGTGATCTACCCACCTCAGCCTCCCAAAGTGCTGGGATTACAGGCGTGAACCACCGCACCCAGCCCTTTTTTTTTTTTTTTTTTTTTTTTTTTTTTGAGACAGTCTCACTCTGTTACTAGGCTGCGCTGCAGTGCAGTGGCGTGATCTTGGGTCACTGCAACCTCTACCTCCAGGGTTCAAGAGATTCTCCTGCCTCAGCCTCCCGAGGAGCTGGGACTACAGGCAACTGCCACCATGCCCAGCTAATTTTTTTGTATTTTTAGTAGAGACGGGTTTTCACCGTGTTAGCCAGGATGGTCTCGATCTCCTGACCTCGTGATCCACCCGCCTCGGCCTCCCAAAGTGCTGGGATTACAGGCATAAGCCACCGTGCCCAGCCAACTGCATTTCTATATACTAGCAACAATCAGAATACAAAAACTTAAAGAGAAATACTTTGCAACAGCATCCAAAAAAAAATGCATCAGTAAATCTAACAAAAAATGTGCAAGACCTCTAAACAAAAGTACTACCCCGAAAATTCTAGAAAAAGTTCTCAGTAAATGGAGAAATGATCATGTTTGTGCCTAGGAAGGCTTCAAATTTTTTAAATGTCCATTCTCTCAAAATAGATCTATAATCAATCCCAGTCAATATTCCAGAAGAAAAAAAATGGTTTTGGGGGGATAGTGTGTATAAATCAGGAAATCAATTCTAACGTGCATCTCCAAAGGTGAAGGGATGATATCTGAGACTATCCTGAAGGACAAAACTGGAAGACACACCCTTCCAGATTAGGAGTCTTGTTAGAAAGCTCCAACAATTAAGGCAGTGTGGCCCTGGAGCAGGGATGGAGGCTTGTGGACAGGACAGAGAACCTGGACAGAGCCACAGACAGATTCATGACCTTAGCAGCACTGCAGAACAATGGGCTTTGCAATAAATGGGCAGGCCCAACTGGGAAGCCATACTGGGAAAGATCCAAGGACACGAAACCCCTACCTCCTACCACGCGCAGAAGTCAGTTCCAGGGGGATTAGATCTAGGTGAAAAAGGAGACAGAATGCTTCTAGAAGCTAACACAGCAGAAACGTCTCATGAGCTGGATGGCTGCAAAGATTTATTTAGGTGGACATTAATGAAAAGATTCATATATGAGACTACATGAAAATGACAAACTTCTGTTCAGCAAATGACACCATCGAGAACGCGAAAAGGCTACTGGAGGCAGGAGGAGGAAGGGAATATACTGGTCAAAGCGTATAAAGTTTCAATTCCGCAGCATAGTTAAGTTCTGAAGACCTCATCTATGGCACAGTAGCTATGGTTAATAACAATGCATTGAATGCTTAAAATATGCTAAAAGAGTAGATCTTAAGTGTTCTCATCACAAAATAAAAAAAATGGTGTGTTAGGTAATGGACATGTTAAATTAGCTTGAATTCATCATTTCACAATGTGTATGTGTATCAAAACATCACACCATATACCATAAACATACAATTTTTACTTGTCAATTACACCTTGATAAAGCTGGGAAAAAGTGAAAGGGTAGGCCTCTTAGGGGAGAATACATGTATATTAAAATGTAAGGCCAGGTGCAGTGGCTCAGGCCTGTAATCTTGGCACTTTGAGAGGCCAGGGCTGGAGGACTGCTTGAGGCCAGGAGTTCGAGACCAGCCTGGGCAACATAGGGAGATCTCGTTGCTACTAAAAGTTTAAAAACTAGCCAAGCATGATGGTAAGCACCTGTAGTCCCAGCTACTTGAGAGGCTGGGGTGGGAGAAATCACCAAGGCCTGCTACACTCCAGCCTGGATGACAGAGCGAGGGCCTGTCTCAAAAACAAAACAAAACAAACAAACAAAAAAACTCACTTGTGTCCAACAAAGGACATGTATCCAGAATATATAAAGAACTGTAAATCAATAGGGAAAAAAGAGCAAAACACTTGAAGTGGCACATCACGAAGGGAACACGCTAATAACATGGAAAGCCATTAGGGAAACATGAACGAAACACTAGCCAATACAATGAAACACTAGCCAATACAATCTCAATGCTGTACGCATCCTCAGGATATCCCCCCACCCCAAAAAGGCAGTGCTAAGTACTGATGTGGCACCAGCGGCGCATTCTCTCACTGCTGATGGGAACGGAGATCAGGACAGCTGTGCTGGAGCGTCATCAGGCTGCAGGTAACTACTGACACTGAAAACAGATCAGGCCTGTGACCCCCGGTCCCTCTCCTGGGTATGCACCCAACAGAGGACAGTCGACCAGAGCTGCACTGTTTGGACGCGCCAAAACTTGGGAACATCCGAGAGCCCGCCAACATTGGAACGGATAAGTTACGGTGTAGTCATCAGATAGAAAACTACACCACAACCGAAAGCTACAAGCTGTAGCTACGGGCTTCCTCCAGGATGCACCTCACAAACAAGAGGCTGGTGACAGCAGCTGGACGCAGAAGAGTACAAATAGCACAATTCCATCTGTATAAAGCTCCACCCAGGCAAAACCAGCACAGGGCAAAAGGAAAGAGAAAGCGCGGTCACCTCTGCAGACGGGAGAACGTGCATGCCCCAGACTCCACCCAGCCCCAGCGTTTCCTGATATAGATCACAGTCACACAGGGGCTCACTTCCCCAAAATTCAAAGTGCACACAAATCAATAAAAACATTGATCTAAAAACATGTAACTCACCTTGAAGTACTTGTCGATTTTGGATAAGTTTATTCTTTTCTTGGCATCCAACTTATAGATGTTACTGACACTCCCATCCATCAGGTACAGACCAAATCCCATGACCTGAAAAGCCACAAAATGAATGATGCGACAAAGCTCAGAACTGAGAATTTCACTACCCATAAGGACTTACACTGTTACAGCTGATGACTTTGAAGGCACAATTTGAAATAGATCACAAAGATCTATCTTTAGGCTGCTTGTCTGGTGCTTGAAATGCATCATTTTATCCTCAGTGAAACTGGGATACAAAGCGGGGCTGGGCTTCCAGGTCAGTCGCTAAAAGCGGAAAAAACAAATCCTCTCCCCTAGCCTAACCCAAGCGGTAGGGATATTCTAGAGCTACTAAGCTGGTGCAAAAGTAATTGCGTTTTTTTTGCCATTAAAAGTAATGTCCAATATGCAGCCACATGTAACCAGTTAAGTTTCGGTGTATGCAAACTAAAAATTCTTTTTTTGTTTTTTTTTTTTGAGATGGAGTCTGGCTCTGTCACCCGGGCTGGAGTGCAGTGGTGCCATCTCAGCTCACTGCAACCTCTGCCTCCCAGGTTCAAGCGATTCTCCTGCCTCAGCCTCCCAAGTAGCTGGGATTACAGGCGCCCATGACCACCACGCCTGGCTAATTTTTTTTGTATTTTTAGTAGAGATGGGGTTTCACCATGTTGGTCAGGCTGGTGTAAAACTCCTGACCTCAAGTGATCCACCCACCTCAACTCCCAAAGTGCTGGGATTACAGGCATGAGCCACCGTGCCCAGTCACAAACTAAAAATTCTTAACGTGGACTAGCCACCTGCATGCTCCAGTGCTCCGCAGGGGCTCATGGCCAGGGCTCCCACACCAGCCGGTGCAGACACAACGTTTCTGCTGTCACAAAGCACTCCGTGGACAGTGCTCCCCTGCTCAGGAGGAGTCTGGGGGCTGGGCTGGTGGGACACCCAGCAAAGGGTCCCCCAAGGCCACCCTGCAGAGGTGGAGAAGAGAGCAAAGGGAACAGCCGAACTGCCGCCCATCTTTCCCATGAGAAACACAGATGGAAAGCTTCCTAATTTGAACAGAATAATAAAGAATATGGTGAACCAACAAAAGGCTACTTTAATTATGTGACACAAGGTATCAAAGTCCTAGGAATCACATGCTTGACAAGTAGAATCTTGGATAACTTCTGTCACAAAGCTGGCGGGGCATGGTGGCTTATGCCTGTAATCCTAGCACTTTGCGGGGGACAAGGCAAGAAGATTGCTTGAGCCCAGGAGTTCAAGGTCAGCCAGGGCAACAAAGTGAGATCTCATATCTACAAAAATTCAAAAACTTAGCTGGGCATTGGTGCAAGTGCCTGTGGTCCCAGTTACTCAGGAGCCTGAGGCAGAAAGATCACTTGAGCCAAGGAGGTCAAGGCTATAGTGAGCTGTGTCCGCACCATTGCACTGGAGCCTGGGTGAAAGAGCAAAGCCCTGTCTCAAAAATAAAAAAAAAATAAAAAGGGCAGTGGCTCAAGCTTGTATTCACAGAGCTTTGGGAGGCTGAGGCAGGAGGGTCCCTTGAGCCCAGGAGTTTGAGAACAGCCTGTACAACATGGCAAGATTCTCTCTCTACAAAAAATTTAAAAATTAGCGAGGCATGGTGGCGTGCACCTGTAGTCCCAGCTACTTAGGAGGCTGAGGTGGGAGGATCACTTGAGCCCAGGAGGTTGAGGCTATATTGGGCTGTGATTGTGCCACTGCACTCCAGCCTGGGCAAGAGCAACACCCTGCCTTGAGAATAAAACGAAAAGCAGCTTAAAAAAAAAAAAAAAAAAAAAAAAGCTGAGAATCCTTGACCCGGACCTCCTGGCCAGCACCTTCTCCCAGGGTCAGTGTGTGACACACTCATGGGGTGTGTTGAGAGCCTGTTGTGCAGGCTGTGTGCAAGGGCAGGACGCTGTTCACACATGACAGCATGCAAATAAGACACAGCTGTCAAAAGGATTCTAGATAAAGCACAGCCTATTGACAAGAGTAAGGCTGTCCCTCGGCAGTGCCACGGGCTAGCGTCCCCACACACGTACTTTGAGAAGCATGTGTTTCTCACTGGGCGTCAAATACATCCTGTTCTCGTAGTAATCCACACACAGATTCACAATATCTGCCAGGAGCTCTTCGTAGCCAGAAATCACTTCGAGCTGCTGCTGCAGAGACTGAAACACAGAGCAAGAGACTCATGCATGGGCCCGGCGCCCGGCCGGCTGCTTGGCCCATCAACCTGAGTGTGCAAACACCAGCCTTACCTGTGTGATCTTGTTATGATTGGCCAGGAACATGGACAGATTCTGCGATTCCTGGATGGACTGTGGATCTGCCATTTTACGTAAAAACTGAGCGGCCCTTTGAAAACAAAAAGAATTCATCCCAAAATGCACCAACGTGCCACATTTAAAAAAAAAAAAAAAAAAAAAAAAAGCCTGGTTCGAGTGGGATCCCTTTCCCCTACAGTCATCTGCAGAAATGTGGGTCAATCTCAGAAGCCACCTATGATTTCAGCCTTTTCAGGCGTCTCTGGCCCTGCACTCCAGGTCAGTCTTCTGCCAACTTAGACGTGTCTTGCACAGGCTGGGACAGCTCTCCACCCTGCTGGTCACAGCTGACGGCTCCCTGCAGGGTCCCTGCACACTGGTCTCTGCCCTATACTGGTGGACGCCCACCTCATCTAGGGGGCACAGGGCTCCTGGACCCCGAGTCTGAGAAGGGCCACTGCCATCTCCGTGACTCCCACAAGCCCTGCCATGAAGCCGGCCAGCACTGCTGAGGTTCTCTGCTGGGAACCCTCTGGACCACACCTCCCCAGGCCACCTCAGGGACCACTGGTGTCCAAGGTCCTGAGACAGAGCCCTGGCCTGCCACCAATTTGTAGCTACACCCGTACGTGAGGCCCAACAATACAATACTGCAAGGCCATGCTAAGCCTGCGAGGTCTGGCAGGGCAGGGTGAAGGCGGGGGTGTGAGGATTCTGATCATCTAGGACTGTCCCGCAAGAAAGTTCAGTGGAAACGGCCCACATAAGGATAGGTCTGTGCAACCCAGAACCTTGGGGGTTTAGTTTTAAGAGTTACCAAGGCAAAGGCTGATAACCTACACCAACATTCACTTCCTCCCCTTCCTCCTTAGGAACGAGCCCTGCATTTCTGTGGAACACACATTCCAGGGAGCCCCACACATTCCGTGTGCCTCGCCCACCCTGCAGCTAGCTGTGGCCAAGTGACCAAGGACTAGGCCATGAGATATAATGCAAGATACTGACAAGCACTCAAAGTTTACTCATGAGGAAGCATGGAGCCCATCTTTCCCCACTTTCTGCCTGCTGACTGGAATGGAGAAATGACAGCTGGAGCTTAAGCAACCATTTAGGACCAGGAGGCAACACCTGAAGCGGAGCCACAGGACCACAGGAGCCCTGGGTCCCGTAGAGCCTCGATCAGCTGCAGACCACCCAATTCAGGACTTTTCAGGAGACAGAGAAATAAACTGCAATCTTTTTAAAGCCACTGTTATTTATCTGGGCTTTAAACAATTGCATACAGTTAAATGTAATATTAACTGATACAGTAACATTCCTTGCCTTTTTAAACATGTTTCCAGGGCGGGGCATGGTGGCTCATGCCAGTAATCCCAGCATTTTGGGAGAAGGAGGCAGGCAAATCACTTGAGTCAGGCGTTCAACACCAGCCTGGCCAACATGGTGAAACCCCATCTCTACTAAAAATATAAAAATTAGCCCGGTGTGGTGGCTCACACCTGTAATCCCAACTACTCGGGAGGCTGAGACAGGAGAATTGCTTGAATCCAGGAGACGCAGAGGTTGCAGTGAGCCAAGATCGTGCCACCGCACTCCAGCCTGGGCCAGTGAGACTCTGTCTCAAAAAGAAAAAACCATGTTTCCTTTTTTTTTAAATAGACACAGGGTCTCACTCTGTCACCCAGGCTGGAATACAGTGGTACAATCACAGCTCACTGCAGCCTCTACCTCCTGGGCTCAAGTGATTCTCCAACCTCAGCGTCCCAAGTAGCTGGGACCACAGGTGCATGCCACCACACCCAGCTAGTTTTTTTTGCTCTTGTTTTTTTAGAGATGGGGTCTTGCTATGTTACCCAGACTGGTCTCAAATTCCTGGGCTCAAGTGATCCTTCTGCCTCAGCCTCTCAAGGTGCTGGGATTACAGGTGTGAGCCATCGCACCTGGCCATGTTTGCTTTATTGATTTGAGTAGCTGCTGAGGTGGCGGGTGGGGAGACTAAGGAAAGGGTCAAGGATACTGTTTTCTATTTTCCTCAAGCCTCACCATAACCATATGAGTTATCTTGGCATTGACACTTAAAAGAGGTTATACTAGTAGCCACGAGCAGGTGCCAAAAGAGCTAGATGCGTGTGTGTGTGGTGGGGGTCTTGGGAGGGGTGGGGGTGATGGTCTGGGAAGGTTAACCAACAGGGGTCCCAGATAGAGGTCAGAGGAAGAGGCAGCAGTAAGAGCTACGGAACTGCCCCAGGCCCACTCTTTGGTGCTCAGGGGAACCTGGAGGTGGTGAAGACGCTAGAGGGGAAACCCTCCTTCCCCCAGCTTTGCACACAGCAGCCCCATCTGTAAACTGTTTTACAGACTAGGCTTTAGAATAAAGGTGCTAGTGCTAAAAGGAAAAAAAAAACAACAACACACACACACAACTTTTAAATACTTTTAAATATTGAAAACCACCTCCCCCATTTCCCTGACAAAGCCAAAACGGCGGCTGAGAAGGCTGCTTAAAATCACACAGCTACTGGATTGGGCGGCTGGGACCAGGAGCCCACTCCGACCAGTGAGTCTCGATGCTAGATTCCCACAGATGCTGTTATCAAACAGGGACCCTTCAGACTTCTGCCCCAAGAGGGGCTCACAGGTCAACTCCAGAGACCTTTCTCTAGTTCTGAAGATCTAGACTTCTGTGCAGAGCTGATGATTTTAGGTGATAAATGGAACACTGCATTATTTCACATGAATGAGGCTTAAAATTCTGCCTGACCTAGCTTGACTCCTACTGCTGCCTCATTTTGTCCCAAGTGGGTTTTTTAAATAAAGACATAGCAACAGTTGTATGATTTAAAATGCAACATAACTAGAGCATATTCAGATGCAAAGTAAGGTCTCTTCGAATTTAATTTTAGAGCTAAGATGCCTTACTTAGCAGAGGAAATTGAAATTAGCATCTCATTCCAGCAAAACATGTCTTCAAAAGCACTGAGCACAGATGAAGCAGAGCAAGAGCATCAGGAGACAGCGTGCCAAGTGTCACCAAACGCCGGTCGGCAGCGTGCCAAGTGTCACCGAACGCCGGTCGGCAGTGCGCCGAGTGTCACCAAATGCCCATCGGCCACCCACTGCCCCACACTGCTCCAGAAGCACACACTGGGCCATGCCTGCCTCTTCCGCTCGTCTTGCCAGCCTCTCCAGAGGCTAGCTTCTCCAGAAGCTCTCTACATCCAGAAAGAAAACCACCAGGGAGAGGATCTGGAAGCGCAGTGTGACCACGAGACACCCTGTGACTGTGCACGGGCCACGTCTGCACATTGCTGGGATGGTGCTCATGTGCTGGGGACCCCCGCTGGCGAGTGACCGGCACCGAGGACTGCAGCCCCAACGCCCAAGGTAGGCTGCAGAGGCCACCTGCCCCCTTGCCAAGATGCTCCCTGAGCCAGATGCCTGTGCTCTGTGAGCTAGGCCTACATCTTGTGCATGTCTGTCTTCCCAGGGGCTCGAAGGTCCTCTGTGACATCTGAGGACAGCCAGGGCACGAAGAGCCTGCTCTAGCTGTGCAAAGCCACGATATGCACTTATCTGCTGGCTCCCCTCACCTTATCCCTCGAAGCAGGTGCTCACACAGCCCTGACACTGAGACGTAGCTGCTGCCTACCAGAAGTGACGACTTCAGCAAACAAAGACGCACACCTGCTGTGCACAAGGCAGGCCACTGAGCTGGGTGCTCTCGGGAGGGCCCGCAGTGCGCGAGGCGGGTGCTCACCTCTTGTACGCTGAGTGGTCGTTCTTCACACTGCACTTCATGTTCTTCAGCTCGTCCAGCACAGCGAACATGTTGATGAATTTGCCCAGTGTGATCAGGTAGGCTTCTGACACGAAGTCCTTCCTCCTCTCGGCATGGCACAGGCGCCTCACTTCCCCGCAGAAACGCTCAATGGCATTTCTCTGTGCAGAGGAAGCAGGAGGGCAGAAAGCTGCAGGTCAGTGAGGAGCCAAGCCCATGTCCCTCCTTCAAGCACCTGCAGTCACTGCTCCTCGATGAGAAACGATCTGCCCAGTGAGGCTCCAGGCCGAAGTGTTTACAATGTGGGCAACCAGACCCCTTCCTGAAAGCAGCTCCCACTGCCTGCTCTGCACCATCATTACTTGACTTGCACTTTACCAACTACATCACTAAAGTAACAAAATCTTGCTGATTATTCCAGCAAAATTACTGAGCAAAATGCTCCAATAAAACGCCTGTAAAATTCAGATGTTCTAACTTTCAGAAGTGAAAACTGGGAGAGATTTTTTTCCTCTTGGTAACTTTCAAGGTAAAACAAAAATTCATCTCCCAGTTAGTTCCATCTCCTCCCTTTGCTGAAGGACATCATCATAAAAAATCTGGATGTTTCCAAAATACTTCTTTAAAAAGCAGCAAGCCCCTTCCATGTGGCTACTTCTTGCCTAACCAAGGCCAGGGCGAGGACCACCAGGAATGGACAGTCAGGGTGAGGCTAACAGCAAGAAAATACCTGAAAGAGCAGACGAAAACAAAAGTACAAATT
Source organism: Homo sapiens (assembly GCF_000001405.40). Lineage (NCBI taxonomy): Eukaryota > Metazoa > Chordata > Mammalia > Primates > Hominidae > Homo > Homo sapiens. The sequence continues at coordinate 3,838,046 of NW_021160017.1, forward strand.
GGCCAGGCGTGGTGGCTCACACCTGTAATCTCAGCATTTTGGGAGGCCAAGATGGGCAGATCATCTGAGGTCAGGAGTTCAAAACCAGCTTGGCCAACATGGTGAAACCCTGTCTCCACTAAAAATACAAAAATTAGCTGGGCGTGGTGGCGGGCACCTGTAATCCCAGCTACTCAGGAAGCTGAGGCAGGAGAATCGCTTGAACCTGGGAGGCAGAGGTTGCAGTGAGCCGAGATCATGCCATTGCACTCTAGCCAGGGCGACAAAGCAAGACTCTGTCTCAAAAAAAAAAAAAAAAAAAAAAAAGTACAAACTGGCAAAAAGTCAAAGCATTGTACTTGAAACTGACAGAAAGCAGGCTCCATGAAGGAAACATAAAATCACTCTCAGAGAAGAGAAGTGAACCACAAAAGGAGCGTTGATTCCGAAAGGGCATGAGGAACTTTAGACTGTCAAAGGCTTGGTCCCTTTTGTCTCAGAAACTGGTTGCTTTAATTTGCAGGCACTCTGTTCAGGGTGTTCACAGTGACAGTGATGGGTAGGAAGGGGTCAGCAACCCACCCCTCGGTGTTACACCCCCCCCAGATTATTTGCCATTTTACCTGGAAGTACATGAAATTCATCAGTTTTGTGACCTCAGGCTCCAGAACCTCCACGGTTTTCTCGTAGATTTCCACTCTGTTAGGCTGCTCGTTACATTTCACCTGGGAATAAAGGAACAAGGATGACATAAGAGGCTTTGATCCAGCCAGAAGCAGCCGCTGGGCTTCTAGAGCTAGTGATCCCGCCCTGCTGTGGGGTGAGAACTGGGAGGAGAGTGGGCCAGGCATGGCAGGGGCAGGGGTGTGGTGTGGCAGGGGCCTGGCAGGGTGTGGCTGGAGGGGAAGAGCCAGGCGAGCGTGGCACCTGTGGGATGGCCCGGGAGCAGCTCCTCCAGGTGTACAGCATGACAGCATATTCTTGGCCCTCCTCCAGCATCTCGTTCTGCAATGGAACACAGGGCAAATCAAAGGCAGGCGGGGGAACTAGCATGAAAAGCAGATGCCAGTTGCTAAAATCCAGACAAAGCGCCACAAACTATCCTAAGCACTGTGGCCTGTGTGCCAAGAGACGGCTGCCAGAAGCTAGTGACACTGAGGTGCGGCGCTGGGGGCCACAATGACCACCCAAAACACCCCATGGCTTCTGCAGGCGAGAGGGGTGTCAGTGACACGCAGGCATCTCTGAGGGGTGCCACAGGCGTTACACCTTGGCTCCACCCAGCCCTCAACAACCTGCTGGCCATGAGACCTGCAGTTAGGAACACAGAGGAAGGGCTCAGGGCAGACGCCCTGCCCGGTGTGAGCACACACAGGATCCCCATGGCCTCCTCACTGGCTCACAGGGCCTCCCGGTCCCAGAGAGGACTAGAGGCAGGGCTGCCAGCCCCGGGTGTGCAGGAGGAAAAGTTAGGAGCACGCCCACAGCACTTAAAATCTAGGTAGAGAGTCCATGGGAAGAGGACTGTCATCACTGCTGTAAAACTGCTTTTGCTTTCCACTCTTTAACATCGTTTCCTTTGGAAAAAATCAAATAGATGCTCTTAAATCTAGCCTTTATTTAGTGAGACGTTCATCACAGTATTTTTTTTTTTTTTTGAGACGAGTCTTGCTCTGTCCCCCAGGCTGGAGTGCAGTGGCACGATCTCAGCTCACTGCAACCTCTGCCTCCCGGGTTCAAGCAATTCTCTTGCCTCAGCCTCCTGAGTAGCTGGGATTACAGGTGTGCGCACCACCATGCCTGGTTAATTTTTGTATTTTTTTTTTTTTGTAGAGACAGGGTTTCACCATGTTGGCCAGGCTGGTCTCGAACTCCTGACCTTAGGTGATCTGCCCACTTTGGCCTCCCAAAATGCTGGGATTACAGGCGTGGGCCACTGCGCCCAGCCTACAGCATTTTTTTATTACACGACATAAAAGAGGAAGTCAATGCGCAAAAATAGTTGAATTGTGGACATTTACAAAATGGTTTACGTAGCCATTAAGGATTGCTTTCTCTAGCACATTTTCATGGCATGAAAATATTCTTGTCCAGGTGCAGTGGCTCAGGCTGTAATCCCAGTACTTTGGGAGGCTGGGCAGGCGGATTCCTTGAGTCCAGGAATTCAAGACCAACCTGGGCAACATGGTGAGACCTCGCCTCTACAAAAAACACAAAAAAGTAGATGGGCATGGTGGTGTGTGCCTGTAGTCCCAGCTACTCAGGAGGCAGAGGTGGGAGGATTGCTTGAACCCGGGAGGTTGAGGCTGCAGTGAGCCCTAATCACACCACTGCACTCTAGCCTGGGCAACCTGAGTGAGACCATCTCAAAAAAAAAAAAGAAAGAAAGAAAACCTGTTGATGAGACCATTAAAATGCAGAACTAGCTAGGTGTGGTGGCTCATGCCTGTAATCCCAGCACTTTGGGAGGCTAAGGTGGGCAGATCACTTGAGGTCAGGAATTCGAGACCAGCCCGACCAACATGGTGAAACCCTGTCTCTACTAAAAATGCACAAATTAGCTGGGCGTAGTGGTGGGCGCCAGTAGTCCCAGCTACTCGGGAGGCTGAGGCACAAGAACTGCTTGAACCTGGGAGGCGGAGGTTGCAGTGAACCAAGATCGCGCCACTGTACTCCAGCCTGGGTGGCAGAGCAAGACTCTGTCTCAAAAAAAAAGCAGAACTATAATAACAATGCAATTCATTTATAAATCTAAATCTCATATGGGCACATACCTGGTGTGTGTGGGTGCAGATCTGGAGAGGGAATGAGCATTAACAGGGCAGGCGCACCCTTGAAACGCTGACAAAGGTTTTCTCTGGGCCAGAGACATTGAATTTTCAGAACCAGCATGTATTGTTTTTATACTAAGAAAAGCAAAGACTGTCTTAAAAATATAAGGCATTTCATTCATTTTCTTCTCTTTTTCCTCACTGCATAGTCTATTGGGATAATACCAAAAAGTATACATCTGTCCTTCAAACACGCCCTTCTCTGCAGAGAGAAACAAAGACACACCGCAACATTACCATGCTAGAGTGGACGGTGGCTTGTTCAATGTATCTTGCGATGCCAGTAACAAATGCATTTCTGTCTTCAAAGTTAGTGTTGAAATTTGGCTGAAGGAAAGGAAGAGAAAAACATCATGTGGGGTCGGAGCACAGGCTGTACGCCCTGCAGCTGCTGGGCACCCACCTGGTAGAGCAGCGAGGATGGCGGGGGCTCGATGCAGGGCTGCTGGTCGGGCAGGGGCAGCTCCTCCAGGAGGTCCACGTTGGACAGCGCGTCCTCCAGAGTCACCTGGGCCGCCATCCTGGGCTGGAACAACACATAAGGACCCCTGTTCTGTGAGGAGAAGGAGGGGACACCCAACAAGCTTCGAGGTTGGGTACCCAGGCCTCTAACCCCTTCCCGCTCTCCCGAGGGCACCGGACATGGCTGACAGGGGCATGATCAGTCCTTGGGAGTTGCGTGTCTCTCTCAGGGCACATGGGCCAGCAGGCTGGGAGGCCCTGTGCAGCTTATCCTTCCACACTCGCTGAGAACAGGCTCTCCTGGCCTCCAGGAGGGTCACAGTATGGGGCACATGGTTCCTGCCATCCTTCCCACCATGGGGGCCGCCGTCCTGAGTTGCTGGTGCTGAGGACTCTCTCGAGGGTCTGACGACCCCCTCAAAGTGCTGGAGGGGCAGCACCTCTCCAATGCCACATCTGCCCAGCAGAGCCTCCCTAAATGCAGCCACCTCCCAGGTGGTGCCTCCAAACACACTAGGGCCTGACATGGAAAAGACGAGCGCCCTGCCGCCCAACACCAGCTGTCTAGCTGCACAGACAGGCTGAGATTGCAAGGAGTATGGGGCTGCCGCAGGGGACAGAAAGTGCCACACCGCAGCTGGAGCAGAGGTGCAGAAATGAAGGCAGACATCGTCTAAACACACCTTCAGAGCCAGCTCCAGGGAGAGGGGGCAATCTGCCTTCTGCTGAATCTGCTCCAGTCTCAAGGGTACTCAGCAGGGGCTCTGCCCTGGGATGGGACCAGGGGCAGCTGAGCCACATTCTATGAAGGAAAGAGCAGCAGGTGGCCTGGAGGAGACACTGAACAGAAGGAGCCCCAAATCCCTCCTCCAGCACTGGCGCAGGCATGGAGGTGCACAGTGGAACGGGTAGTCAGTCCCACTGCACTGGCTGAGGGTGGAGAAGGGAAGCTCTCCAGGGACCCAGGAAGCCCCAGTGGCAGTGTGGAGAGGAAGCAGCTCAGAAGAGCCAGCCGACAAAATTGCTCATGAGCTTCAAGCCCATCCTCAAGCTGCAGGGGTGTGGATCTGATCCTCTTCACACCCCAAACCCTGAGACCACAGCCAGACAGCCACCAGCGGCACACAGGGGGCAGGTCCAAGTGGCAGTGCAGGAGGCTGTGAAGCCAGAATTGACATGGAGCTGCCACCCACTGAAGGCAAGTCAGAACCACAGCCCAAGTCTCCTCAGGGTGTTTGCTTTCTAAAATAAAAATATCAACATCCTCCTAGGATTTTAACAAGACCCAGATCTCATATCATAACATCCAACCATCCACTTACAGCCCAGATTACTCAGCACACAAAGAACGAGGAACGTATGGGCTCCTACAGGAAAAGAGAATCAACAGATGCCAAAATAACACAGGTGCTGCAATTATCCACCCGACTTTAAAGCAACTACTGTGCTATGAAATGCTCTAACGATTGTAACACTCCCAAACTGAATGAAAAAATGGAAATCAGCAAAAGGCAAACAAAACAAGATATAAAGAAGAACCAAATGGAAATTTCAAAACTAAAAGACACACTACTGAAATGTAAAAAAAAAAAAAAAAAACCTCAGGAAAGATTCAGTGAACTTGAAGATAGAGCAATGTTAAGTTTTCTAATCTGAATACCAGAGAGAAAAAAAGATTGAAAAAATTTTGGGGATCTTCGGGACAAGAGAGAAGGTCTAACATCTGTGCCATGAGAGTGCAAAAGGCAAAGGGGAAACCAAGCAGTGATGAAAAACAGCTGAAAAAAATGACAGAAAACACCCTAAATTTGGAGAAAGTCTTTTGTCTACAGATTCAAGAAGCTCTATGGATCCCAAACAAGACAAACAAGAAATCCACACCCAGACACATCACGGTCAAACTGCTGAACACTAAAGATAAAGGAAAACAGATCTTGAAAACAGCAGGAGAAATGACGCTCAGCAGAGCACAGAGCAACAGTGGGAGGGCCGCGGATTCCCCCCGGGGACCAGGCAGGCCGGAGGGCGGGCACAATGTGCCTAAGCCTAAAGCGGGGAGGTGCCAACTTGGGATCCTCCCTCAAGATGGGAACGTGTCTTCCAGGAAGGAAGGTGAAGCCAGGACGTGGGCAGAGGAGGAAAACAAAGAGCATGCTGGCCAGCGGTACAGGCTGACAGGAAGGGAGGTGGAAGGAGGCATGGGCTACGAACCACAAAGCAGAGGCAGTAGGCAGGCTAAGCGGCGAGGGCGCAGGACACACAACGACCCCACAGCTCTTCCAAAGTGCTTGGCGGTTAAAAGCAAAAATCAAAGTACTGTCTAATGGGCCTTTCAGTGTACATAAATGTAAATTACACAAATACATAACAAGTAAATTATAAAATATTTCTAGGTATATAATTGTATAAATCATATAAACAAGACAACTGTAATCTAAAAGGGGGAGGGGAAACCTGGATGGGGTAAGATTTCTATGTCCCACTAGAAGTAGTAAAAAGCAGACTTTTCAGATCCTCAGCAGAATATGAAATGTTAATAAGCATGGACTTCGAAATCCTTAGAGCAACCACCGAAGAAAGCTGTACAGCCAGGCGCTGCAGTCCCAGCTACTTGGGAGGCTGAGAAGGGAGGATCACTTGAGTCCAGGAGTTCAAGGCCTGTCTGGGCAACACAGTGAAATCCTGCCTCTTTTAAAAAAAGAAAAATTAACATACTTTTTAAAAAAGCTATCCAAAGCAAAATAGATAACATATAATTTAGAATAAATTAAAACAGAATACTATGTTTTTAAAAACCTAAAAGGAAATAGAGCAATGATAAAGATAGTGATCTAACAGAAGTCAGATAATAAAATGGTAGACCTGAATCGAAACACATTGATAATTACACTATCATAATAATCTAAAAACACCAATTAGAAGAGGTTGTCAGAACAGATAAATAAAATCCTAACCCAACCATATGCCATCTACAAGAAACTTACTTCAAATATACTGATACAGGTAGGTAAGTCGAAAGCAAAAGGGGAAAAAGGTGAACCAGGCAAGCGCTGGCCAAAAGGAAGCTGGGGTGGCTTTGTCAGCACCAGACCCAGCCAGCCTCCGAGCAAGGAACTCATCAGAGAGAGAGAAGGAAGGGGTCAGCTCCCCAAGGAGCCAGAACAACCCTCAATGTGAATGCACCCGGCCAAAAAGCTTCCTTCACGTTACACTAGGCAAAAGCTGACAGAGCTGGAAGAAGAAATGCCATAGCCACCCCCGAATCTCAGTTTCACTTTCCACGATTTCAATGACCAGAGGTCAACTGCACTCCAAAAATATTAAACGGAAAACTCCATTCACAAACACTCCGTAAGTTTTAAACTGTGCGCTGTTCTGAGTAGGATGATAAACTCTCAGACCGTCCTGCTCCTCCCACCCAGGACACAAACCATCCCCTTGTCCAGCGTGTCCACGCTGTATGTGCGACCCGCCTGTGAGCCACACAGTAGCCGGCTGGGTCGCCAGCATGGGACTGCAGCGGTATGGCCAGGCTGGTCAAGGTCAGCAGCGGCCTAAGGCTGCATTGCAATGCCTGCGCCGCCCATCTCACCGCCATCTCACGGCGGGCACCAAAGGGCAAGAGAGAGAGAGAGAGACCACATTCACATAACTTTTATGACAGTATATTGTTACAACTGTTCTATTATTATTGTAATCTCTTACCGTGCCTAATTTACCAATTAAAGTTCGTCACTGGTATGCAAGTACGGAAAAACATAGACTACGCAGGGTTCAGTACAGTCTCCAGGCTCAGGCATCCACGCGGGGTGTTGGGCCGGTTCCACAGATACATGGAAACAATTGCAGGCCAATCCCCAATGGCGGCTGGAGACGCCACCCATTTTCTCAGGAACTGACTGGAAATGAGGGAGAACAGAGGCACCGGCCGCACCGCCAGCCACCTGGACCTCCCCGACACGTAAGGGAACGCCCCCGACCGCAGCCGGTCACTGCTGCATGTTCCTCACTAGAAATCTACATGTAGCAGAAACTCTCGTCCACTTCCCTCCACATCACAGCTTCCTGTTCCACACACCTCAGAAAGGAGCAGTGCAGGGCAGCCCCGGCCGGGTGGGTGCAGGGTCCAGCCCCAGCGCTGCCTGCAGAGCCAGCATGGGGGGCCTGCCCTTGGTGTCCACGCAGGCACCTCAGGGTGATGCCGCTCGGAGGGGCCAGGCTGCCTGAGGACGTGCTTCGGCCCCATAGGGGCTGCCCGTGTCCTGCGACTCCAGCCCAGAGTCCCGCAGTCTGCCCTTTCTGCGGCCTGAACCCAGATAGTGCCAGGAGAGGCCTGGGGGCGTGTCCAGTCATGCCCGGGCCCCACGCGGGTCAACAAGAAGACAGGTCGGACCGAGCACCCTGGGAAGCCACAGATCCCACATGGCAACAGCCCCTGACCCCGCGCAGCACCCACAGGGACTCGCCTTCCTCCCCGGCCTCTGCCCAGGAGAGGCCAAGATGACCCCATGGTGGAGGAAGGTGGGGAGGGGCGCCACAGACAGGCTCGGGGGAGAACTGCTCGTGCGTCAGCTGTGATCCACAGCAGGGACCACTGATGTCGAACCCACGGAAAAACGCCAGATGCGCAGCTTGTTGAACCCACGGAAAAACACCAGATAACGCAGCTTGTTGAACCCATGGAAAAACGCCAGATGCGCAGCTTGTTCCAAGCCAGTGCTTGCAGACTTCTTTCTTTGTATAAAAATAACAGTATTTATGTGGTCAGTGGAATGTTAGCCTTAAAAGAAAGGAAATTCTGACAAGTTACAACATGGTTGAACCTTAACGACCTTAGGCTAAGTGAAATAGGCCAGTCACAAAAGAAAAAACGCCGCATGATTCCACTCATATGAATTACCTAAAGTGGTCAAACTCAGAGACAGAAAGGAGAACAGTGGTGACAGGGGCTGCGTGCTGGGCTGGGGAGTTGGTGTTTAGTGGATACAGAGTTTCGGCTTGGAAAGATGAAACGCTCTAGCTGGACAGTGGTGGTGGTTGCAGAATAAGGTGAAATGTACTTAACGCCACTGAGCTGTACACTTAAAATGGTGAAGATGGGGGAGGACGCGGTGGCTCCAGCCTATAATCCTGGCACTTCAGGAGGCCGAGGCGGGCGAATCACGAGGTCAGGAGTTCGAGACCAGCCTGGACAATATGGTGAAACACCATCTCTACTAAAAATACAAAAAATTAGCTGGGCATAGTGACAGGTGCCTGTAATCCCAGCTACTCAGGAGGCTGAGGCAGGAGAATCACTTGAACCCAGGAGGCGGAGGTTGCAGTGAGCTGAGATCGCACCACTGCACTCCAACCCCAGCGACAGAGTGAGGTGAGACTCCATCTCAAAAAAAAAAAAAAAAAAAAAAAAAAAAGGTAAACATGGGGGTAAAGTTTATGTTATGCATATTTTACTACAATCAAAAATAGCAATGTTTGATGCTGATTAATCAGAAAACATGGAAAAGGAAAAAGAAAACCTATCATCAATCATCCCACTGTCCCTTACAAAAACAAGATACTGTCATACAAACTGCTTTGTAAGCTCTTTCTTTCTCCCAGCTTCCACAAAATTTCTCAAGTCATCAGAGCACCGTGCGGAGTGCTGGCCAGGGCCCTGCTGTGGCAAACTGCTGTTCTCTCCTATTCTTCACATTTTCATATTTCAGGTTTTTCATGATCATAGGCAGCCCTCCCACATCCGCCTTGGTGTGTGATGCCAAGCAGCTGTCACCGCACGCACACGGCCTGGGCCCGGCCCGCTTCCAAGGGCTCTCCGTCCGTGCATCTTCCATAGATGCGAATCTGCACAGCTTCTGCCTCACCCTGTTAGGCGGACTTGGAGTAATCAGCTCTAAATCCAAGTCTCCAAGGTCTCAGCCCTGGCAGCGTGGGTGCAGGGTCTGGCCTGGGTGCCACCTACAGAGCCAGCGTGGGGGCCCTGGCGGTGTCCACTCCACACAGGCACATCAGAGCTCATGTCTCATCCCATCTTGTTCTCTGACTCCTCACAGTTCCACCTCCCAAAGCTCTTTCAAGTGCATTTACTTTGCTCCGTCTCTAACTGCCACCAGCGGACCCTGCACCCCACTGCTAGAGAACAAAGGCAATGCGTGACTCCAGCCGCCTGCACCCTGGGATTTTTTCCGGCCCTCCTTTTGTCCTCCCATGAATGCCACGTCCCACAGGGATTTTCCCCCAGCACCAGCATCCAGCACAGCCTCTAGTCTCCTTCTGTGTCTAAGAAGCCCCCATTCCCAGGCAGCAGCACCAGGTCTGGCCTGGTCACTGCAAAGCCAGTGTCCACTGCCCTTGGAATGGAGCCTCAGTTGTATCTGACCAGCCTTTATAAGTGGCTGCCACAGTGCAAATATCCAACAGCATAATTAAAGTCACGTATTTGGAACGGCATACAAACTGTTCTGCCGGTGCTACTAGCCAGCACTTTAGAGTTTAACAATAGGATCAGGGCCTGGTGCAGTGGCTCACGCCTGTAATCCCAGCACTTTGGGAGGCCGAGGCGGGTGGATCACGAAGTCAGGAGATCGAGACCATCCTGGCTAATACAGTGAAACTCCGTCTCTATTAAAAATACAAAAAAATTAGCCAGGCGTGGTGGCGGGCGCCTGTAGTCCCAGCTACTCGGGAGGCTGAGGCAGGAAAATGGCATGAACCCGGGAGGCGGAGCTTGCAGTGAGCCAAGATCGCGCCACTGCACTCCAGCCTGGGTGACAGAGCGAAGACTGTCTCAAAAAAACAAAAACAAAAACAAAAACAATAGGATCGCATTTCTGTCTCTGCTCGTTCAGCTCGTGTGGACAGGTACATTGATGTCCACTGCTTGGGGCCTGATCAGAGCAGGGCAATGCGTGACCAGGCACAGAGGGAAGACCACGAGAGGACACAGAGAGAAGGTGGCCATTCACAAGAGAGGCCAACCCTGCTGGCCCCCTGATCTCAGACTCCCAGCTCCAGAACTGAGAGAAAGAAATTCCTGCCTGATCTGTGGTGTTTTGTTAATGGTAGCCCTGGCAAATGAACACAGAGCCAAGAACAGGTAGGACGGAGTCACCCAGGTGGGACGCAGATTCCCTGCGCTGTCTGCCGGGTAAGAACCCACACGAGCTGGTATTTTGCTGATCATGAAAATAATACGTGCTCCATGCAGAAAGAGCACACTGCTGGGAACAAAACAAGCCAGCCAGACCTGCATGAGCTCGGTCACAAGGCGCTACCATGCCACAGTTCCAGCTGCCTGTGCCCCCGGCCTCCCCAGGCGGCGAACCGACCCAAAAATAACATGCCCACCCTCGGTTTATGTCATTGAACAACATAAAGAGATGTTTTTTCCTTCCCTGACTGATTTTCTATCAGCAGCAGTTCTCAACCCTCATGTTTGATTCCAAATCCTATAGCTTGTCAAGATATAAAAATGAATTTAAATATGGTAGGGGAACTGCTGTTTTAATAAGCCATCAGTTCGTTTATTTTGTAAATTTAAGAGTTTTTAAAAATAAAGATTTCAAAGGAGGACATCATCATACTTGGCTGCTCTTCCAGTGATGTCCTCAGAGTCCCGGGTCAATCTCTGAGTGTCTCATGGGTCGGGATGCACCTCTGCTCTAGGCAGCTGCAGGGCAGTTTACAGAGTGAGCAACATCCACCGGGCGGTGGCAGACTGGCTCCGTGTCTGAGCTCACATCATGCTGCACACCTCACTCACCTGCTGGATCGTGGAACCCCAGATGGGCTTCAAGGGACCCACGGTGGGCAGGAGGCAAAGGTTCCCAGTGCCACCCACTTGAAGGGCAGTGCCTACAGGGCATGCTGGGGGCTCCATGGGTCCACCTCCTTTCTTCCACATGTCACTGGCTGCCCCTCAGCCTCAGATCCACACAGATGCAGTCTCAAGAAGTGGTCCTCACAGCTGCCTTAAGGTGGAGGCCACCCTGACACATTGGCAAATGAGTGGAGGGAGGCTGGATGGGGTCGCCAGCTGCCCCAGGGCCCACAGCCACAGAGCAAGGTTGAGAACCGCCCTGACCCAGTGCCGGGTGCCCACCCAGGGGGTCAAGGCCAGAGGCACAGAGGTACAGATGGCCACTTTCCAAGTGCGAGTGAGGTGCTGGAGACCGATTTAGGCCTGAGGGGCAGGACAGAGGCAGCACGGAGCTGGAGCCACAGACAGAGTTGCCCCGGCATGGGCAGGCAGCAGGGGCTGGGGAGGCAGGGGAGCAGGGTCAAGGACCCAACCCCTCTCCTGCCCTGCTGGCCCCAGCAGAGCCCTGAAGATGCTGGAGAAAGTTCGAGACAGCAGGCCAAGGGGCAAAGGCAAAGGAGGCATGCACCAGTGCTTCCACCAACTAGAAAACGGGCAGATCCGCCCAGGCTCCTGGTCTTTAACCCATCTAGATGTGGCCAGCCCTCGCCACACTCCCCCTGCAAGCTCACGGGCTCAGGGCATCAGCCAGTGCCTCCCCATGCTGCCCTTGGGGAACCCAGTTCCCAGAGAGACCCTGGACCTCACTTCTCCACACAGCAGACATCCCAGGAGATGGGAGGGTGATTTTTGTAAAACCTCACAATCATCACATGCTTCAAAACAAAGAACAGTGAATCAACAGAATTTTTTTTAAATGTGATTTGGGGCTGGGCACAGTGGCTCACTTCTCTAATCCCAGCACTTTGGGAGACCGAGGCTTGAGGTCAGGAGTTTGAGACCAGCCTGGCTAACATGGCGAAATACTTCCTCTACTAAAAATACAAAAATCAGCTGGGCATGGTGGTAGGTGCCTGTAATCCCAGCTACTTGGGAAACTGAGGCATGAGAATCACTTGAACCCAGGAGGCGGAGGTTGTAGTGAGCTGAGATCGCGCCACTGCACTCCAGCCTGGGCGACAGAGTGAGACTCTGTCTCAAAAAAAATAAATAAATGTGATTTGGTCCTTTTCCCTGTGTCTGAGCAGCATGAGGGCAGGTGGCTGGGAAGAAAGAGATGTCTCTCGTGCTCAGCAGGCAGCTCAGTCAGTAGGTCATAACCCTGAGTCCTGGCATAACTCAACAGTCTTGAAAATGAAAAAAGACACTACTAGGCTGCAAAAACAAATGGAAATTAAAGCAGCCAAGACTAACTTTAACCTGGAAGCAGAGGTGGTGCCAAGAGATTAAAAGGGAAAAGGAAAAAAAAAGTTTGTATGTGTGAGTGTGTATGTGTGTGAGAGTGTGTGTCTTCAATAAGCCAGCATCCCTGGGAGAACACAGGCCCCGTGGGAAACCGGCCTTGGACACCAGACAAAACAAAGGAGTCAAACAAGTCAGGGGCTCTGGAGACGGGGCATCTCAGGGGAGGCTCGGGGCAGGTGGCCAGGAAAGGTGGGGGCTGGTAAAGGGGGAACGGGTGGCCACACCATCCAGATGGCCCCACGGCCCCACTGCCGCCCCGAGACAGCAGTGTGCATGCGGCCACTCTGGCCGGGCCCAGGCTCCCAAGATGCCAGCGAGCACACAGCAGAATGGTGGCTGCACACACAGGGACAACGTGCACTGCTCGCTCCAGCCAGCCCCTGGCCACGGAGGGACCTTGTATTTTACCACATTAGAGGATAAACTTTTGAGATGTATTTACTTCTCTTTCCACCCTAGGTCAAGAGGGAGCTTTTCACAGGGACCGAACAGTCATCTCTTTAGGTGTTAAAATAGAAACTGCCAAGACAGCTCAACACCAAGGTTGCAAAATGTGGAGAAGCCACAATCCAGAAAATGCAGAAGCGAAGGCGTCGGTGCCACGCAGGCGGCAGTGCTGTGGCAGGCGGCACGCCGACGCTAACTCCCGCCACTGCAGCCCGCACTGAGACAGGTGGAGAGATGCTTTGCTAGAAAGAGGGTCTTCCCAGCATTTCTAAACCAGTCATTTAAAAATTTTACAACTTGTGGCCGGGCACGGTGGCTCACGCCTGTAATCCCAGCACTCTGGGAGGCCGAGGCAGGCGGATCACGAGGTCAGGAGATCTAGACAATCCTGGCTAACACGGTGAAACCTCATCTCTACTAAAAATACAAAAAATTGGCCGGGCGCAGTGGCTCACACCTGTAATCCCAGCACTTTGGGAGGCCGAGGCAGGTGGATCACGAGGTCAGGAGATCAAGACCATCCTAGCTAACACGGTGAAACCCCACCTCTACTAAAAATACAAAAAATTAGCCAGGCATGGTGGCGGGCGCCTGTAGTGCCAGCTACTAGGGAGGCTGAGGCAGAAGAATGGCGTGAACCCAGGAGGCGGAGCTTGCAGTGAGCCGAGATCGTGTCACTGCACTCCAGCCTGGACAACAGAGCAAGACTCCATCTCAAAAAACAAAAAATGTTACAACTTGTAAGCATTCCACTTGTCCAGCTAAACAGCATAATCAAACAAAGACAAACTATGAAATGTTTCTGCAAACGTGCACAAGGCATGAGCTGATTTTCTTCCTCTTCTATATGCAAAATGATGGCACTTCCCAGAAAAGTAGAAACTTCCAATATTTTTGTGCAAGCTGTTCATGTAAAATAGGCATAAAATAAATCATCTGAAGAAGAAAAGCATACTTTGCTGTCCCTTTCTCTCCCAGGTGTAGAAAGAATGTGCTCTTCTGTATTTGGAAGCAGGGGACCGCGCCAGCATGGCTGCAGCTGGTTTTCCCCAGGTTAAACGGCCTGACCGCACGGCTGCAGCACAGAAACAGGCTGTCATGACCAGCAAGGCAAACAGTGCATAGTTAAAAACCAATATAACATCTTCTAGACTAGCTTTATTACTGAAGTAATTTGCTTTTTTTTTTTTTTTTGAAATGGAGTCTCGTTCTTGTCACCCGGGCTGGCGCAATCTCGGCTCACTGCAACCTCTGCCTCCCAGGTTCAAGCAATTTTCCTGCCTCAGCCTCTCAAGTAGCTGGGATTACAGGCACCCGCCACCACACCTGGCTAATTTTTGTATTTCTAATAGAGACGGGGTTTCACCATGTTGGTCAGGCTGGTCTTGAACTCCTGACCTCAGGTGATCTGCCTGCCTCGGCCTCTCCAAGTGCTGGGATTACAGGTGTGAGGTAATCTGCTTTCTTTAATGCACAAAAACTTCAAATTCCATCCTCAAAAGCGGCCACTCAAAACCAGCTCAAAAGAACAGCCTCATCAACAGAGAAACAGAAATCAAGTTTGAAAATCACAATGAGGTGCTGACATCTAAAACAGTGTGCCAAGGAACCCTGAAAGAGAGCACGTCTCCACGCCACATGGCCTCCGCCCCCCACCTTGGGGCTGCAGCCCCTTCGGCCAGGGTCAGGCTGCCTCTGGGAGGGGTCTCCCAAGACCAAGTGGTCTCACAACCTCCTAACATCGCCCTCCCCCAGGCTTCCCTCTGATCCCCCAGGCACCGCCAAACCTGCACTCACCTCTGCTTCTCTTCCTGTCACTCTCCTGCTCACGCTTTCACTGGCTCTCTCTGCCTACAGCTGTGGTTTTCAAACCATGCGCCATGAAACCCCAGAGTGCCCCAGGAGGGCAAGGGAGAGCAGTTCTGTCTTTATCTGTCAAATTTGTATGAAAAAAACTATTCGGATGCTAAAATAATTAATAAAAGGCAGAGATGGGGCCCAGTATTCCACAGAATAAAGTCTCAATCGCTCATAGAACACCCAAGGGCCTCCCTCCATCTCCCACACCCCTGGGCCATGGAGGACCCGCTGTGCCATCCACCAGTCCCACTGCCCCAGGTGGGGCCCTCAGGACAATGAGAACATGCACCTCAGCCCAGGGCTGGGCTACCAGGCACACAGATGAGCTCGGGGAAGCTCCATCAGCCCACCTGGCAGATGCCTGGGTTGGGTAGGGATCAGGCTGGTGGGAGGGGCTGTTTCTTTCCCACCTGTGTGCACCTGGGCAACACACAGACAGCATAAACAATTAAGGAGTGCTCCTCGACGACGGCCATTCCTTCATCTTTCACCCGAATCCAGTGCATGTTTAAAAGGCACAAAGGGAAGAAGACAGCGTTTCCCGCTCCACCTACTCTTTCTGTTAGGGCAGACCCACCATGGCGGTCTCCGGGAGGACAGTCACACCACAGAGGGGGCGCTCCCACGCTCAGGAGAAGAGTGGGGGTCCCCATTCACAGATGCCGACACTGAGCCCAGAGGGACAGGGAGCTGCCGCAGCCCCGTGGCTTGCCTCACGTGCCTCAGTGGCGTGGCCCGCATGGCCGGGCAGTCCCGCCTGCTCAGGAGGCCATGGGCTCGGCTGGGCACCAAGCATGACCTCGGGCGCTTGACAAAGCAATTCCACCGCTGGCCATTCTGGCTGGGGGCTCTCAGCCTGCTCTGATTCCTGCGGCTTGAAGGAAAGGGAACTGGCTGCCACCCACCTTGTCCCCCACCTTATCACTGTGCCCAACAGACCGTGTATCTGCTGGGTCCTGCGGCGCCCGGCTGAGGAACAGGCGCCACGGGCGATCGAGCCCCGTGCTCCCCCTCCCCACCAGCCTCTCAGGTTCTCCTCTCAGGGCCCAGGAGGGTGCAGGTTGATGACCAAAGGCTACACGGCAGCCACCAGATCATCTTCACCCAGCATCCACACCTCCTGATGTGCCTGTTCTTTTCCTGTCTCTCCCTCCCCTGTAAGGACCTGAATCCCCGAATCCCCACGTGGCTGGCCTGGATGTGGCCTGGCCCTGCCAGGGTCTGGCATAGCCCAGTAGCAGCCCAGCCCTTCTCCTGCACCAAGTGCACCCACGAGGAGCTGCAGGCTCCCCTACTGCGCCTGGCCTGTGGGCCGAGTGTCTCCCGGGCTCCACCACTGTGCCCAGCCCGTGGGCAGAGTGTCTCCTGGGATCCCCTACTGCCTCCAGCCTGAGGTCAAGCCCATGACCTTAGCTACCACCTACACTACACCTCACTCGCCAATCTCTATCAAGGGTCCTGCTGTCAAGACACTTGGGCTGGAAACACCAGCATCAACCTCACCAGCTTCCTCCACATGCACCAAGACACCTCACAGGTCCCACGCAGTGGGGTGGTCTGTGCCTTCGGGTGCCCCATTTCAGCGGGCTCGTGCTCTGGGATGTCCCAGGCACCTTGCCGGAGACGTCCTGCAGAGACAGGAGCTCCATAAGCAGGCGGTGCCACAGAACATCCCCAGTGACTGTGAACCGAGCAGGGACCTAACGGGGAGCTTCTCAGGTAAACCAGAATCCTGATCTTAAAGCTCCGGGTCTTCACGAAAACTGTGGGAAAGGTATCCAGGCCATTTAGCTGTCCATCAAAGGAACAAAAGCAGAAAGCAGCTCTTTCACTGAGGTCATATAAATCTTTTCCACCATTACAGCAACACCTGCACATCCAGAACATGTGAAGGAAACACCACTGGCCCATGCATGAACCGCAGCCTGCTTCAGGGCGGCCCGCCCTCCTCCTGCTTAGGCATGAGACAAGCCTGACAATACCACATCTGGGCGGAAAAGCCTGGAGTGTGTTTGCAGATGACTTTCCTAGCAGCACATCCCAGGAGGTTTCTTAGGTCACACAATGTCTCTAAAGCTGCAGGTGGCTTTGGGCCAGGTGCCCTCCTACGGGGGCCCACGAACAAGGTGGAGCCGGACAGTAGCATGGCGCTTCCCAACAGAATCCAGGGGTCACTTCTGTTTTTATAATTTAATCTGAATGTTCTTTTAATTTGTATTTCATTTATTTATTTATTTATTTATATTTTATTTATTTTTAAGATGGAGTCTCACTGTCACCCAGGCTGGAGTGCAAGTGGCATGATCTCGACTCACTGCAACCTCCGCCTCCTGTCTTCAAGTGATTCTCCTGCCTCAGCCTCCCGAGAAGCTGGGATTACAGGGGCTCGCCACCATGCCGGGCTAATGTTTGTATTTTTAGTAGAGACGGGGTTTCACCATGTTGGCCAGGCTGGTCTCGAACTCCTGACCTCAAGTGATCCGCCGGCTTTGGCCTTCCAAAGCGCTGAGATTGCAGGCATGAGCCACTGTGCCTGGCCTTAATTTTCATTTCTTGTATTATCACTGAGATGAAACATATTTCTATGCATTAACCAGTTTGTTTTTCTTCTTTTTTGAGACAGGGTCTCACTGTCAACCAGGCTGAAGTGCAGTGGTGTGATAACAGCTTACTGCAGCCTCAACTTCTCAGGCTCAAGTGATCCTCCCACCTCAGCCCCCCAGGTAGCTGGGACTACAGGCGTGCACCACCACGTCTGGCTAATTTTTTTGAATTTTTGTAGAGACAGAGTCTTGCCTTGTTGCACAGGCTGGTCTTGAACTCCTAAGCTCAAGAGATCCTCCAGCCTCAGCCTCCCAAAGATGCTGAAATTACAGGCACGAGCCACTTCCCCCTGCCTGTTTTTCTTCATTTGTAACTTGCCAGCTTGGGTTGTTTGCCTGTTTGTTTTTTTAAAATCCTTGGAATCTTGGTATTTTCCTCAGCAACTGACAGATGGACTTACTATACTAACAACGTTAAAGATATTAAAGCTTTGTGAGAATTGCTACAAAACTTTTTCCAGGTCAAGCTACTTTCTTTTTCATTTCACTTACTATTTTCTTTGAAACTAAGTTTTAACTTTTTATCATATTAGCTTTTCCCTTTGGAATTTCCTGTTTCACTTCTAAATTTACCAAGGAGGAAGAACTCTGCCAGCCCAGGCCCAGGGAAGGAAGCAGTTTCTAATCATAGCCCCAGTTTCTGCAAATTGCTGTGGCCACTATGGGAAGCCAAACAGCTGCTCAGGTGAGAAACAGTGTCAAGGCAGCACTACTATAGGTAATCTCAGATAATTCATTTAAAAGTAATCTTGAGATCAATAAAAATTTCAGCAAACTGATTGGTAGTAGGATTTTTAAAACTGGGACTCAGATACATAATAATTCTTGGACTCTGACCTGCTCTCACCATAATTAGTAATGTTTAATGATGTCAAAGACGTGCGAACTCACTGCCCACACCGAAAGGCAGAGTCCTGCTTGTGATCCACAGTGAGCCCCTGCTCTGCACCCCCAGGCATCGATCCCCTGCTTTCTTCTGCATAAACTGTATCTCATCTATATTCTTCTTTTTTTTCTTTTTTTTTTTTTTTGAGACGGAGTTTTGCTCTTGTTGCCCACGCTGGAATACAATGGTACAATCTCAGCTCACCGCCACCTCCGCCTCCCTGGTTCAAGCTATTCTCGTGCCTAAGCCTCCCGAGTAGCTGGGATTACAGGTGTGCGCCACCATGCCCGGCTAAATTTTGTTATTTTTTTTTAGTAGAGACAGGATTTCTCCATGTTGGTCAAGCTGGTCTCGAACTCCCGACCTCAGGTGATCCACCAGCCTCGGCCTCCCAAAGTGCTGAGATTACAGACGTGAGCCACCACGCCCGGCCATAGCTCATCTATATTCTTAAAAAGCACCTTTCAGTTGAGTTGTTATAAAAGGGATATCATCTATATATAGTCACCTGACCTATTCATACTGTGCCCACTGCTATTACGAGACGCATGCACGCTGCCAGGCGGTGCTCCTGAAGCACCATGTTGACGTGTGCGTGCTATTCCACCCAACCAACAAACCAGGCTACATGTCCTGTCTCCTGCTGCTCAGAACCAATGCCATTTGCAGACACTTGGCTGTCATGACCTCTGAGGAACATTCTTACACATGAATACCTGGGCAACACATGCTCCAGCACAGGGCTCGGCAAGCATTTTCTAAACAGGGCCAGTAGTGGACAAGTGTCCTGTGGCACACAAGAGAACATCCTCATTCTTAGGAAATAGACACTGATGTGTCTAGAGGTAAAGGGCCTCAAGTGGAGAGAGAAGTGTTTGAATTGTGTTCTTTGTCCTATTTTTATTTTTGCAATGTTTTGTATAAGTTTGAAGTTATTTAAAATGAGTAAGAAAGGCCAGACGCGGTGGCTCACACCTGTAATCTCAGCACTTTGGGAGGCAGAGGCGGGCGATCACCTGAGGTCAGCCTGACCAATATGGAGAAACCCCGTCCCTACTAAAAATACAGAATTAGATGGGCGTGGTGGCAGATGCCTGTAGTCCCAGCTACTCAAGAGGCTGAGGCAGGAGAATCGCTTCAATCCAGGAGGTGGAGGTTGCAGTGAGCCAAGACTGTGCCATTGCACTCCAGCCTGGGCAACAAGAGCAAAACTCTGTTTCAAAAATAACATAACATAACATAACATAACATAACATAACATAACATAACATAACATAACATAACATAACATAACATAAGAAAGAATGAAATATCCCCCTGAAAACTTTTTGTGAACATAAGGGAAAGGAATGGGAAATGTCTCAAACAGACTTGCCCCGACTCTTCGAGCGGAAGTGTGTTTTGGTCGCCCCTCACTCCTATGGCCCCGGGCAGGCTGGACGCTGGCACGTATCGCAGGCTGAACCCATCTCACCAGCCAGAGCACGGCCACAACATGCCCGCGTCTGCCTAGAGGAAGGTTTTGCCCAGAGTCACGCACTCCTGGGCAGAAAGCTTTTAACCCCCAGTTGTGAGAGATGCCTGGACACCATGCCTTCATACGGACGGCTTGTAGAAAGGACCTTCCAGGCCCAGTCAGCCCCGGGAATAAACATCAGTGTTATAATCAGAATGCTTCAGATCATTGCAAAAGAGCTGGGTTTTGTTTTTTGTGGATGGGCCAAACTAATTTATTATGAGACAGAAACTATGGATTCACATGTTTTTATATAAATTAAGGTATTGTTGACAAATAAAAATTGTATATATTTACTGCATACAATCAGAGGTTTACATATATGTGTACCTTGTGGAATGGTTAAATCGAGCTATTACGCATATGTATCACTTCACATACTTTTTTTTTTTTTTTTTTTCCCTTTCTGGAGCAAGAGCAGCTACTTTCCCAGCCAGGTGATGAGCTTAAAATATGTGAACCCTACCCCACCCCCATGCAGAGTGAGTCCACTCCTCCTCACCACACACACACACACACACACACACACACACACACACAACTGGCGGCCCCACCAGCAGACTCCGCAACCTCATCACTCACACACACACACACACACACACACACACACACACACACACACACACACACACACACACACCCGGCAGCCCTGCCAGCAGACTCCGCAGCCTGGAAGGCAGGAAGCAGCCTCCAGCCCCAGCAAGAAGGCAGGTCTTGGCCTTTGGCTGACCTCGGCCACGGTGCCCCAGGCCAGCAGGGCAGTTTCCCCTGCCCGGCAGCTCCCCGGGGAGTCGGGAACCAAGTGCAGCCGGCGAAGATGCCACGGGCACCTGAGACACAGGGCTCCATGTTCCCTCTGGGAAAAAGGGACCCCACCCTGTCCTCAATCACCTTCAACACCAGCACATCTCAGCCGCTTGCACTTCGTGAAGCCTTGGGCTGTCTGAGCTCATTCAACCCCTTCTTTAGAGACGGCGAAATTGAGGGCCAGAGAAAGTGATTTGTCCAAATTCACAGAGCCGAGAAACGGCAGGAGATGGATGCCAACCCCAGCCCCGTCTGCCTGCCCAGATGGGTTATTTGCAGCGACCCTCATTCTACTCTCTGCTTCTATGAGCTCAAATTTTCTAGATTCCACATAGAAATCAGGTCATGCAGTATCTGTCTTTCTGGGCCTGGCTTATTTTACTAAGCGTAATGTCTTCCAGGTTTATCCTTGTCACAAATGACAGGATTTCCTTCTTTTTAAAGGCTGAATAGTATTCCATTGTGTGTGTGTGTGTGTGTGTGTGTGTGTGTGTGTACACATATATTAATAAACATATCAACATACAGGTAACCAAAAAGTGCTAGATTTTACGTAAAAATACTCTAAACTTAAAATTACTTAAAAACATCCTAAATTACTGTCTGGGTGTGGTGGCTCACGCCTATAGTCCCAACACTTTGAGAGGCCAAGGCAGGCGGATCACCTGAGGTCAGGAGTTCGAGACCAGCCCAGCCAACGTGGTGAAACCTCGTCTCTACTAAAAATACAAAAATTAGCCAGGTGTGGTGGCGTACGCCTGTAATCCCAGCTACTTGGGAGGCTGAGGCAGGAGAATTGCTTGAACCTGGAAGGCAGAGGTTGTGGTGAGCTGAGATGGTGTCACTGTACCATTTCTATGTTTACGTAAACTTGGATACACAAATACTCTTAACCACAGTGTTCACTGCAGTAACACACTGCACAGGCGTGTGGCCTGGGAGCAACAGGCTCTAGCGTGGAGCCTAGGCGTGCAGCAGGCAGTACCATCTGGGTGTGTGTAAGTGCCCTTTATGATGCCCACACAATGACAAAAGTGCCTAACAATGCATTTCTCAGAACATATCCCTGTTGGTAAGTGATGCATGACTGTGATTCCTTGGAATGACAGAAGCAAATACTAGAGCACCTGTATTTTTATCTAACAGGGATAACGAATTAGGCTTCCCTAGTAGCGGACACACCAGGCCCCAGCCCCTTCCCGCTGCCCTGGTGTCCCCAGAGCAGCAGGAGTCCATGGCTCTGAGAGTTCAGGGGCGCCCCATCAACAAGGGCTTGGCCCAGGGGATCAAAGGCGATAATGAAGAGCCCACGTTTTAACAAAACAAACTGTTATGGGCTGAACTGTGTGCTCTCAAAATTCGTGTGTTGAAGCCTTAACCCCCAGGACCTCAGAATGCTTCCGTTCTTTACAGAGATAATTAAGTTAAAATGAATCCATCAGGGTGGGCCCTCATCCAATAGGACTGGGTCCTTATAAGACAAGGAGATTAGGTCGGGTGCAGTGGATCACACCTGTAATCCCAACACTTTGGGAGGCCGAGGCGGGTGGATCACCTGAGGTCAGGAGTTCGAGACCAGCCTGACCAACATGGAGAAACCCCGTCTCTACTAAAAAAAAAAATACAAAATTAGCCAGGCGTGGTGGCGTGGGCCTGTAATCCCAGCTACACACTGAAATCCCAGCTACTCAGAAGGCTGAGGCAGGAGAATCGCTCGAACCCGGGAGGCAGAGGTTGCGGTGGGCCCAGATCACGCCACTGCACTCCAGCCTGGGCAACAAAAGCAAAACTCCGTCTCAAAAAAAAAAAAAAAAGACAAGATTAGGACACAGATGCACACAGAGAGAAGACCACGCAAGGACGCAGGGAGAGGACGGCCATCTGCAAGCCAAGGAGACAGGCCACAGAGGGAACCAACCTGCCCACACTGTGATCTTGGATGTCCAGCCTCCAGAACTGTGAGCAAATACTATGTCTGTGGTGAGGCCACCCAGTCGCTGGTACTGTGTTTTGGCAGCCTTAGCAGATAAATACACAAAAGCTTAGGAGGGGTTTGTTCCTGCCGGGGATGAAGAAGGACCTGAGTTGTGGCCAACAACAGGCTGCAGAAAGGCAATGCCATCCTGAAGATTTCTCAACTAAGAGTCTGCACCCATGACAGCCCACCGAGACCCTCGCTCCAAGTTTGTGGAGAAAGGGAACCCGCTTGGCAGCATGTGGAAAGACCCCACGATGAGCAGCAGACACAGCAACGCTGCCTCCTACATCTCGACAGCATCTGTGTAAGACTCGCTAGCATCTGGTGCACACACTGTATGAGACAGCAACAGCCAGAACAGACAGCTTTACGTTGATGAACACACAGACGGTGGCGCATGTTCAGAGATGCCGAGGGGACGCCGCAGTTCCCAAAATCACCTCTGCCTTTTTTTTTTTCTGCAGGGGAGCCAATAAAAAAAGCTGATAAAAGATGAAAAGAGAATACTTAATAAGTAAGCATAATTTATTTAAACTTTTCCAAGCAACCTGAGGTACCTGAATACCTGAAGCACTGGCTCTAGCATCGGTTGGGACACGGGACAAGGAGGCAGTGCTCTCCTATCGCCCCTTCCCAGGAGCTGCTGGCAGCAACAGGTTATGGACTACAATGGGCAGGTCACCCACCACCTGTTTATAAATCTTGGAGAGTCTTCCTCAAAAGTGACAATGGCCTGGACGGGGCCCGACTAAGCCCTGCTGGCTGAGGGGCTCAGGACAGGTGACTTCAGAGCACGCTCCCAGATCTCACTAAATGAAATCACAAAGTTCCTGAAGCACAGAGTTCCAATCGCACTTTCCACCATGTAGTCTTGGCTAAGTCTACAGGAGTGCGGCCGACATATGTGAAGAGGAAGAACTCGGGGCACCTGAACCTTTCCTGCTCACAGTGTGTGGGAAGACATGTGCCGGCCTGTGTCTTCACACACACTTCCAGGGCCCGGCCCCACCACAGCCCGCAGCTACAACATAGCACCCCACCACAGCCCGCAGCTACAACACAGCACATCTGCCCTCCACCTGGGCCTGGGATAGAATCAGGGCAACCAAGAGCTCCAGAGGCTTCTCAGGTGCCCATCACAGGTCACAGTCAATTCCATGTGACCAGTGAGGTCAGCCTGAAATGTGTGACTGAAATACAAGAAGGCCGGGCATGGTGGCTCCTGTAATCCCAGCACTTTGGGAGGTTGAGGTGGGAGGATCACTTGAGCCCAGGAGTTCATGACCAGCCTGGGCTACACAGTGAGACCCCATCTCAAAAAGAAAAGAAGTCAGCACTCTGGGAGGCTGACACAGGCAGATCACTTGAGGTCAGGAGTTTGAGAACAGCCTGACCAATATGGTGAAACCCCGTCTCTACTAAAAACACAAAAATTAGCCAGGCGTGGTGGCACACGCCTGTAATCCCAGCTACTCAAGAGGCTGAGGCAGGAGAATCGCTTGAACCAGGGAGGTGGAGGTTGCAGTGAGCCAAGATAGCGCCACTGCACTCCAGCTTGGGCGACACAGCGAGACTCCATCTCAAAAAATAAATAAATAAATAAAAATAAAACGCAAATTATTTAAATACAAAATAAAAATCAATCCCTGTGATGGTTGCTTTTATGTGTCAACTTGGCCAGGCCATGGTACCCAGTTTTTGGTCCAACTCCAATCTAAACATTGCTATGAAAGTACTTTTTAGATGAGATTAACATCTATACCAGTAGACTCTGAATGAAACAAATTACCCTCCATAATTTGGGTGGGCCTCATCCAACCAGTGCAGGCCTTGAAAGAAAAAAGACTGACCTCTCCTAAGAAAGAGGGAATCTTGCCTTCAGGCTGCCTTCAACATCAGCTTTTCCCCGGGTCTTTAGCCTATGGGCCTGCCTTGCAAACGCTGGACTTGCCAGCCTCTACAATTGTGAGTCAGATCCTTAAAATAAATCTCTCTAGACGCACATCCACACATATCCTGCTGCTTCTGTTTCTCTGGAGAACCCTGACTAATACATCACCTCTACCACCTCCACACCCTGTCATCACGACAAACAAGAAAACACAACTTGTGCATATGAAAACCTTATCCCTGTGGTCTCCTTGACAGGAACAAGGCTACCTCTCAAGAGTCAGTGAAGTTTTTGTTCATATGCACAAGTCTACTCAATTTAACACATACAGTTATTCAATGATCTCTGGGGGCAGCTGGCCCCACTGAGCCATGAGTCCAGGTGGTGTTAAGGCTCACTGGTTTCGTGGAGACTGGTCCTTCTAGGAACAGCTTGAGAAGTTGAGCTTTGGACAGGGATTCAAATGTAATGCAGAACTTCACCACTTCAGCTGTGGGGCTATGTGGTTCTTCAGAGCAAGCACATCTCCTTCTGTGAGTATCTTCAAGGACAAATCAACACTCATCCCCACTGTCCTGGCCAGGAAAACATGACTGCAAGGAGTGACCACACAGGCTCTGAGCATCAAATTTTGGCTATGGAATCAGGTTTCAAGATGAAACCCACTGCTTTCAGAGTGTTTTGGGCTTTTTTCCCCCTCCCCTGTGATGCAAATGTGAATGTGAAGGGGAAAGCAAAGAACAGGGCATGACAAGGTCACAGCGGCTATCACTGTACATCTGTCTTATTCCCATCTAAAAAACCTGGGAGCCACAGTTCAACAGACATCACCTCTGCCCCCATGGAGGGCCAAGCCACAGCCCACGGCATGGGCTGTGCGTGAAGGAAATGCAGTCGTAATAAAGTTGGAGGGGGAGCGACCAGGAAAACAAATGCCCAGTGAGCTTGTGCTGAATAGCACAGATGCACATCAGGCTTAAACCAACACGATGGTGAAAAACACATCCCTAATTTCTTGAGACCATGTTCTAAGAGGCTTTTAACACAAAAAAATTCATACAAATGCAAATCTTGTCCCTGGAATGCTCTGAAATCCTTCTATTAGATAACCCTCCTATTAGAAATCAGGCCGGAGCTGCTGTGGCCATCAGCTCTCTGGATATAAGACATAAAGAGAACAAATAACAAAATGACAGATGTAAATCCCACTACATACATATTTGCATTAAATGTAAATGAACAAGATACTCAAATCAAAAGGCAGAGATTTACAGAGTAAACAGAAAACATGAACCAACTATATGCTATCCACTAGAAACAAATTTTAAATATAAAAATACAAGTACGGTGAAACTAAAAGAACGCAAAAGGACATACCATGCAAAGAGTAACCAAAAGAGAGGGAAGTGGCAATACTAACATTAGACAAGTATTAGACAAAACAGACCTGCGGACAAAAATTACTACAAACATTATGATAAAAAGGTAGTCCCTCTGTGCCTCATAACACATGAAACTCTGGATGACATGATTTTATATGTAGTAAATCCCAAAGATTCCATAATAATTATTAGTTAGAGCTAATAAACGAATTCAGGGAAGTTGCAGGATACAAAAGCAACATGTAAAAATCAGTTGCATTTCTATATTTTAGCAATGAACAATCCCAAAAGGAAATTAATTCCATGTACAACAGCATCCAAAAGATGAAGAATGTAGTGTAAATGAATTTTACTTATTCAAGATATTAGTCTCAAAATGGCTAAATACAAGTTTCAATTTAAAAAAATATAATCAAGGAGGTGAAAGACTTACACACTAAAAAATATAAAACACTGCTGAAAGAAATTAAATACAAACAAATGGAAAGACATCTTTGTTAATGGATTGGAAGACATAATATTGTTAAGATGACAATACAATCCAAAGCCTTCTAAAGACTCAATGCAATCCCTTTGAAAATTCCAACAGCACTTTGTTTTTGCAAAAATAACCCATTTTAAAATTCATAGGAATCTCCAAGGACCCAGAATAGCCAAAGCAATCTTGAAAAAGATGAACAAAGTTGGAGACTTCACTCCTTTTTATTTCAAAACTTACCATAAAGCTACAGTAATTGAAACAGTGTGGCACTGGCATAAAGAAAGGCATACTGGCCAATTAAACAGAACAAAGAACCCAGACATAAACCTTCACATATGTGGCCAAACAATTTTCAACAATGATGTCAAGATCATTCAATGGAAAAAGAATAGTCTTTTCAACAAATTGTGTTAGGAAAACTGAATATCCACACATACATGAATTATGTTGGACCATTACCTTATATAATATACAGAAAAGTTAATTTGGCCTGGCGTGGTGGCTCACTCCTGTAATCCCAGCACTTTGGGAGGCCGAGTCGGGCAGATCACAAGGTCAAGAGATCGAGACCATCCTGGCTAACACGGTGAAATCCCGTCTCTACTAAAAATACAAAAAATTAGCTGGGTGTGGTGGCGGGGGCCTGTAATCCCAGCTCCTAGAGAGGCTGAGGCAGGAGAATCGCTTGAACCCGGGAGGCGGAGCTTGCAGTGAGCCGAGATTGCGCCACCGCACTCCAGCCTGGGCGACAGAGCAAGGATCTGTCTCGAAAAAAAACCAAACACACACACAAAAAAGAAAAGTTAATTCAAAACAGATCAACGCCTAAACATCGGATCTAAAACTATAAAACTCTTAGAAGAAAACAGGAGAAATGCTTCATGACATCAGATTTGGCAATGATTTCTTGGATATGACACCAAAAACACTGGCAACAACAGAATTAATAGACCAGGTGCTGTTGCTCACATCTGTAATCCCAACACTTTGTGAGGATGAGGTGGGAGGATCACTTGAGCTCAAGAGTTCAAGACTAGCCTGGGCAACACAGCTAGACCTTGTCTCTACTAAAAAATAAAATAAGGCTGGGCGTGATGGCTCATGCCTGTAATCCCAGCACTTTGGGAGGCCAAGGCAGGCAGATCGCTTGAGGTCAGGAGTTCCAGACCAGCCTGACCACCATGCAGAAACCCTATCTCTGCTAAAAATACAAAATTAGCCAGGCGTGGTAGTGGGCGCCTGTAATCCCAGCTTGAGTAGCTTGAGGCTGAGGCAGGAGAACTGCTTGAACACGGGAGGCAGAGGTTGCGGTGAGCCAAGATTGCGCCATTGCACTCTAGCCTGAGCAACAAGACCAAAACTCTGTCTCAAAAAAAAAAAGAAAAAAGAAAAAGAAAAGAAATAAAATAAAAAGTAGCTGCACGTGGTGGCTCACACCTGTAGTCCCAGACACTCAGGAGGCTGAAGTGGGAGGATCGCTTGAGCCCAGGATATCAAAGCTGCAGTGAGCCATGACTGCACCACTGAACTCCAGCCTGGGTAACAGCCTAGGTAACTCATCTCAAAAAATAAATAAACAATAGATAGTACCCAAAGCAATCTACAAATTCAATGCAATCTACAGGTTCAATGCAATCTACAGATTCAAAGCAATCTACAGATTCAATGCAATCTACAGATTCAATGCAGTCTCTATCAAAATACCTACCATATTCTTCATGCAAATAGAAAAAGAAATCCTAAAATTTGTGTGGAACCACAAAAGACTTGGAATAGCAAAAGCTATCCTGAGCAAAAGAACAAGGCTGGAGGCATCACACTACCTGACTTCAGAATATACTACAGAGGCTGGGCATGGTGGCTCCCGCCTGTAATCCCAGCACTTTGGGAGGCTGAGGTGGGCGGATCACCTGAGGGCAGGAGTTCGAGACCAGCCTGGCCAACATGGTGAAACACCGTCTCTGCTAAAAACAAAAAAATTAGCTGGGTGTGGTGGCGCACGCCTGTAATCCCCAGCTACTCAGGAGGCTGAGGCAGGAGAATCGCTTGAACCCGGGAGGCGGAGGTTGCAGTGATCCAAGATTGCGCCATTGCACTCCAGCCTGGGTGACAGAGTGAGACTCCGTCTCAAAAACAAAACAAAACAAAAAAAACTACAGAGATATAGTAACCCAAACAGCACACTATTGTCATAAACACAGACACATAAACCAATGGAACAGAATAGAGCCTGGAAATAAATGCATGCATTTGCAGCCAACTGATTTTTAACAAAGGTGCCAAGAACACACAATGAGAAAAGGATAGGTTCTTCAATAAACGGTGTTGAGAAAACTAGATACACACATACAGAAAAATAATATCAGACCTTGGCTTCTCAACATAGACAAAAATCAACCCGAAATGAATTAAAGACTTAAATGTGGCCAGGTGCGGTGGCTTAGCCTATAATCCCTGCGAAGCCCAGGCAGGGGGATCACCTGAGCTCAGGAGTTTGAGACCAGTCTGAGCAACATGGTGAAACCCTATTTCTACAAAAAAACACAAAAATTAGGCGGTGGCTCACACCTGTAATCCCAACACTTTGGGAGGCTGAGGCAGGAGGATCACTTGAGGTAAGGAGTTTGAGACTAGCCTGGCCAACATGGTGAAACCCTGCCTCCACTAAAAATACAAAAATTAGCCGGGCATGGTGGTGCACACCTGTAATCCCAGCTACTCAGGAGGCTGAGACAGGAGAATCGTTTGAACCTGGGAGACAGAGGTTGCAGTGAGCCAAGATCGCGCCACTGCTCTCCAACCTGGGCGACAGAGTGAGACTCCGTCTCAAAAAAACAAAACAACAACCAACCAAAATTTAGCCAGGCATGATGGTGCACACCTGTAGTGCCAGGTACTGGAGAGGCTGAGGTGGGAGAATTGCTTAAGCCCAAAAGGGCAAGGCTGCAGTAAGCCATGATTGCCCCACTGCATTCCAGCCTGGGTGACAGAACGAGACCTTGTCAAAAAAAAAAAAAAAAAAAAAAAAAGGGAGAAGAAACTCCCTAACCATTAGCAGTTATTCTCACTTTTTCTACCCGTTCTTCACTGATCCTCTCTCCCCTGCTTTCTGGCCCCAGGCAATCACCTGTCTACTCTCTGTCTCTGTATATTTGCCTATTCTGGACTTTCCCCCTTGTATCTAACTGTAAATGTGTATCCTTTGACCAACATCTTCCTCTCTCCCCTTCCGCCAGCCACCCCAGCCTCTGGTAACCACCATTCTGCTCTGTTCTTCTGTGGCATCAGCGTTTTCAGATTCCACATGTGAGTGAGATCGTGCAGTACTTGTCTTTCTGTGCCTGGCTTATTTTGAGGAAATAAAGCCTCAAAAGCAAAGGCCACAAAAGAAAAAATAGACAAATGGGATTACATCAAACTAAAAATGTTCTGCACAGCAAAGGAATCAATCAACAAAGTGACAATCTACAGAATGCAGGAAAATATCTGCAAACCATATAACTAATAAGGGATTAATAATGAAAATATACAAAGAATTCAAACAACTCAATTGTAAAAGATCTGAATGGATATTTCTCAAAAGAAGGTGTACAAGTGGCCAACAGGTGTATGAAAAAATGCTCAACATCGCTAATCATCAGGGAATCCAAATCAAAACCACAATGAGCTATCACCTCACACCTGTCAGACTGGCTCTTGTCAAAAAGGCAAAAGATAACAAGTGTTGTCCAGGGTGTGGAGAAAGGGAAACCCTTGTACACTGTTGGTGGAGATGTAAATCAGTATAGCCATTGTAGAAAACAGTGCCGGGGGTTCCTCAAAATATTAAAAATAGAACTACCATATGACCCAGCAACACCACTGTTGGGTATATATCTAAAAGAAATGAAATCCGTATGTCCAAGAGATCGCTGTACCCCATGTTTATTGCAGCACCTTTCACAACAGCCAAGACATGGAATCAACCTAACTGTCCATCAACAGATGAGCAAGGCCGGGCCTGGTGGCTCACATCTGTAATCCTAGCACTTTCAGGAGGAAAGGAGGATTGCTCCAGCCCAGAAGTTCAAGACCAGCCTGGGCAACATAGTGATACCCCATCTCCATTTAAAAAATAATTAAAATTAAAAAAACAAAAACAGGCCGGACACGATGGCTCATGCCTATAATCCCAGTACTGGGAGGCCGAGGCAGATGAATCACTTGAGGCCAGGAGTTCGAGACCAGCCTGGCCAACACGGTGAAACCCCTTCCTCTACTAAAAATGCAAAAAAATTAGTCAGGCTTGGTGGCACCTCCTGTAATCCCAGGTACTTGGGAAGCTGAGGCATGAGAATCACTGGAACCCAGGAGGCGGAGGTTGCAGTAAGCTGAGATCACACCACTGCACTCCAGCCTGGGTGACAGAGTGAGACCCTGTCTCAAAACAAACAAACAAAAACTGGATTATGGTGATGGTTGTTGCACAGCTCCAGAAATCTTCTAAAAATTATTGTATAGTTGTCCCTGAAACAACACGTGTTTGAACCATGCGGGTCCACTTATTTGCAGACTTTTTCCAGTAAAAGTTACACGGTGTATGCCTGCCTCTCTAGCCCCTCCTTCCACCTCCCTCCACTTCTGCCTTTGCCACCCCCAAGACAGCAAAACCAACCCATCCACTTCCTCCTCCTTGGCCTGCTCACTGTGAGCTTTTTGAGGATGGAGACCTTTCTGATGATCCACTTCCACGTGATGAGTAGTCAGTTTATTTCCTCTTCCTCATGATTTTCTTAACAACATTTTCTTTTCTCTAGCTTACTTTATTATGAGAACACAGTATGTAATACATATAACTTACAAAATCTCTGTTAATCAACTGTTTATGTTATCAGTAAGGTTTCTGGTCAATAGCAGGCTATTCGTAGTTTTAACTTTTGGGAAGTCACGTAGTTTTAACTTTTGAGAAGTCAAAAGTTATACTTGTCCAGCCTGGCCAACATGGTGAAATCCCATCTCTACTAAAAATATAAAATTAGCCAGGCATGGTGGCGGGTGCCTGTAATCTCAGCTACTCAGGAGGCCGAGGCAGGAGAATCGCTTGAACCCGGGAGGCAGAGCTTGCAGTGAGCCGAGACAGAGCGAGACTCCGTCTCAAAAAAAAAAAAAAAAAAAAAAAAAAGGTTAAAGGCCAGGCTCGGTGGCTAACGCCTGTAATCCCAGCACTCTGGGAGGCAGAGGCAGAGGCGGGCAGATCACCTGAGGTCAGGAGGTCGAGATCAGCCTGACCAACACAGTGAAACCCCCTCTCTACTAAAAATACAAAATTAGTGGGAGTGGTGGCGCATGCCTGTAATCCAAGCTACTTGGGAGGCTGAGGCAGGAGAATGGCTTAAACCCAGGAGGCAGAGGTTGCAGTGTGCCAAGATCGTGCCATTGCACTCTATCCTGGGCAATAAGAGCGAAACTCCATCTCAAAAAAAGTTACACTCGGATTTTCAACTGCACAGGGGGTTGGAATCCCTAACCCCCTCGTTCACAGGCCAGCCAAACGTATACTTAAAAGTAGGTGAATTTTATAAAGTAGGTATATTATACCTCAATAAACAAAATTTTTGTTTAAAATTTTTGTTTTTAAAGCATGCTAATATTTTTAAATTGGAATTGGGTTAAATTTATAGATCAATATGAAGAGAACTGATGTCTTTACTATGTTGAGTGTTCCAACCACTGACCATGGTATGTTCCCCCATTTACTTAAATGATCTTTGATTTCTCTCATCTTCAGCATACAGATCCTGTAAGTCTTATTCAATGTATACCTAAGTATTTGATTCCTTTGAAGCAAACGAAATGTTGTGTTTTTAAATTTAATTTTCTTTTTTTTTTTTTGAGACGGAGTCTCGCTCTGTTGCCCAGGCTGGACTGCAGTGGCGCGATCTCGGCTCACCACAACCTCCGCCTCCCGGGTTCAGGCGATTCTCCTGCTTCAGCCTCCTGAGTAGCTGGGACTACAGGCGCACGCCACCATGCCCAACTAATTTTTGTATTTTTAGTAGAGACAGGGTTTCACTATGTTGGCCAGGCTGGTCTCGAACTCCTGCCCTTGTGATCCGCCCGCCTCGGCCTCCCAAAGTGCTGGGATTACAGGCGTGAGCAACCACGCCCAGCCAAATTTAACTTTCTAATTGTACATTGCTAGTACAGTAGTCCCCACTTACCTGTAGTTTCATTATCTGCAATTTCTGTTTCCCCAGTTATAGCTGCCTACAGTCAACTGCCCTCCAAAAATAGGTGAGTGCATACAAAAAGATATTTTGAAAGAGAGAACACATTTATATAACTTTTATTCAGTATATAATTATTCTATATTATGAACAGTTATTGTTGGTAATCTCTTACTGCGCCTAATTTGTAAATTAAGCTTTATCATAGGCATAGATGTATAGGGAAAAAAACCACAGTACACGGAGGGTTCTGTCTTATCTCAGGTTTCAGGCTTCCATTGGAACGTATCGTCCATGGATAACAAGGACTGTTGTAAACAGAAATAAGGTCAGCTTGTATAGTGTTGACTTTGCATGTATCTCCCCATGGATAAGGGGCACTGCTGTATGCAGAAATAAGGTCGCCAGGCCGGGCCCGGTGGCTCACGCCTATAATCCTAGCACTTTGGGAGGCCGAGGCAGGCGGATCACCTGAGGTTGGGAGTTCCAGACCAGCCTGACCAACACGGAGAAACCCCATCTCTACTAAAAACACAAAATTAGCCAGACATGGTGGCACATGCCTGTAATCCCAGCTACTCGGGAGGCTGAGGCAGGAGAATCGCTTGAACCCGGGAGGCAGAGGTTGCGGTGGGCCGAGATCGCACCATTGCACTCTAGCCTGGGCAACAAGAATGAAACTCTGTCTCAAAAAAAAAAAAGAAAAATAAGGTCGCCTTCTGTGTGTTGACTTTGTATCTTGTGACCTTGCTAACCTCATTAATTAGTTCTAGTAGCTTTTTCATAGATTCCCTGGATTTTCTATGTAGATAATCATGTTGTCAGCAAATAGGGACAATTTTCCCTTTCCAATTTGTATGCCTTTTCTTTCTTTGTCTGATACTATTGCACTGGCTAAAATAAGGTTTTTAAATTATGTCAGTGTAATTAATCCATGCTTTATCAATGGCCTCTAAGGGTTGGCTAAATTTTAATAGGAAAAACAATGAGAATAGCTTGGACATGTTAGTTAAAACTTCACACTATAAAATATGTTTTGGCTGGGCGCGGTGGTTCACGCCTGTAATCCCAGCACGTTGGGAGGCCGAGGTGGGTGGATCACCTGAGGTCAGGAGTTTGAGACCAGCCTGGCCAACATGGCAAAACCCTGTCTCTACTAAAAATACAAAAATTAGCTGGGTGTGGTGGCAGGCGCCTGTAATCCCAGCTACTCGGAAGGCTGGGGCAGGAGAATTGCTTGAACCCAGGAGGTGGAAGTTGCAGTGAGCCGAGATCACACCATTGCACTCCAGCCTGGGCAACAAGAGCAAAACCCTGTCTCACAAAAAATAAAATAAAATAACATAACATAAAAGAAAAGAAAACAAAGGAGGGAGGGAGATGTTAGCTATTATTTAAACCCAAAGTCACCTTTAGCATTATAAACTTGAGTATGTGCACAAAGATACAGACACAAGCATTGACTGTAGTGGTGAAAAACAGTAAATAACTATAATGTCAATCAACAGGAGGCTGATAAAATTATGAAACATCCACACTACAGAATACTATAGTGATTTGGCCGGGCACAGTGGCTCATGCCTGTAATACCAGCACTTTGGGAGGCTGAGGCGGGCAGATCACTTGAGGTCAGGAGTTCAAGACCAGCCTGGGCAACATGGCAAAACCCCGTCTCTACTAAAAAGACAAAAATTAGCCGGGTGTGGTGGTGCGTGCCTGTAATCCCAGCTACTCAGGGGGCTGAGGTGGGAGAACCACCTGAACCCAGGAGGCATAGGTTGTGGCGAGCCGAGTTTGCGTCACTGCACTCCAGTCTGGGCCACAGAGTTAAGACTCTGTCACAAAAAAAAAAAAAAAAAAAAAAAAAAAAAAAGGAATACTATACGGTTATTTAAAAGATTGAGGGAAATCTGTGTGTACAGACTATATATATCAACATGTAAAGATTGCTAAGATCTTTAAGTAACCAAACATCATTAAGTGAAAAATGTATGACGATAATATATGCAATATGATCTCACTATGTTATTTAAAAAATTACTTATGCACAGAAAAGACTATTATACTACTTAGAAGTACCGAGGGAATTTCACTTTTAGTATACACGGTTCTATGCTGTTTAATGTTTTTAATGAACTATAGTTTTGTAATTTTTCTCATCACTTTATCATTTTAGTCTCTCTCTCAGGCTGTATCCGAGAGCCACACTTTTCAGACCCTTGTATCTTTACTCTTCAGGGACAAACCAGAGCATAGCTGAATCTCCAACGCCTTATGCTAAGCGAAACAAGCCAGACTCCAAGCCCACATGTGACATTCTGGAATGGGCAAAGCAGGAGGACTGAGGAACAGACAGGCGGCTGCAAGAGCGGGGAGGAGAGAGGCTGCCTTCCTGAGTATCCTGACTGCGGTGGAAGTCACTACAGTCCATGCACCTGCTACAGCTCACTGAACTGAACACCAAAAAGTGAATCTTACTAAAAGTTTAAAATAAATTTAAACACACACACAAACTTAGGGGGTACATTTTCTTTGAGCGCAGCACAGACACCTGTCTTAACGCAGGAAACGTCCTCCGCCACGACTCCAGGGCGCCTCGGTCGCAGTGAGGGCACCGGCACTATATCCCTACTGGCCCTACGAGTGCACACCTGCTACGGCCCGCGCCCACTCACAGCGTGACTCGTTCTTCCAGGCTCCGTGCCTGCAGATCTAGACATCACTTGGAAAACCGCTGGCCACCCGCAGGGAAAAGGCAGCATGCGTGGGGCCCCCGCGGGTCCCGGCCTGGCCGGGACTCTGCCGCCAAGCTGTCAAGCATAGCAATGTGCGCACTGCACCAGGCATCACCGCGGCTCCGACCACGCCTCATTCCGGAGTCCGACGGACGACTGCAAGAAACACCACCGCTCCCGGCGCAGCCACGGTGCCCTCCGCCGCCAGAAAACAAACGCTCCCGAGCCTCAGTCCCCAGCGGCGACCACGCGGCGCTGGGCTCAATCAGCAGCCGCTCCCTGACTGGACTTAATAGCGGAGCTGACACCGTCCAGACGCCCCTCTCAGCTTAAAACACGTTCCATCAACCCCGTTTCCCGATTATTCTTGCACCCTTCTTGTCACACCCACAATGTGCTGCAAATTAAGCTCACGCATTTCAGCCTTAAAATACACAATTCAGATGCTTGTGCGAAACAGTGCTGCCTCCGTAACGATCGCGCCTCCTTAACAAAGCCCAAAACTCCTCTCTCCAAGAATGCCCGGAATGGCTCCGCGGACCAGGCTCCCTCCGCTCCTCACAGGGGCACGAAACAAAAACGGGTTCAGATCTTGCTGCGCGACCTTAGTGCAACATTAACAATCTGCCTGCTCCTTACTTTCCAACAAAAACGTCAAACACTAAGGTATTCCTTCGCCACTGGAGCTGTGCCATGTGCCGGGGCGCGGAATCCGGGATCCGGGGGCGCGAGGCGGTGAACGCGGGGGCGGGGAGCTCGGGGCCGAGGCCGAAAGGCCGGGGGCGCAGGGACCGGGAAGCCAGTGCAGGGAGTGCGGGGACCTGGAGCCCGGGAGGCGCGGGAGCCCGGGGCCGGGACCTGGGGGACGCGGGGACCAGGACGATCCCGGAGGCCGCGCCGCCGGGGAGGCCGCGCCGCCGGGGTTGGGGGGGGGGGGGGGGTCCGTCCCGGCCCCGCCGCCGCCCTGGCCGGCCCAGGTTCCGAGGGGGACCCGGACCCCGCGGAGGCCGCAGGGCAGGCGCGGGCGAGCGGGGTTCCTCACCTGCGTCCGCGGCGGCTTGGGGGTCCTGGGCGGGCCCTGGGAGTTTCCTTGGCCGAGTGAGTCACTCGGGCTGGCCGGGAATGCGCCAGGAAACACTCGGCCTCCTCCCCTTCCTCCCGGGGCGGGGGCTCTCCCGGCTCGGCCTCTTCCTCCCGGCGCTCCTCCCTCCCGGCCGCGGCCCCGGCCGCTCCCTCCTCCTGGCGGGGCATCCCCGGCCGGGCGGCCCCTTTCCCCACGCCAGCCGCCGAAGGTGTCCTCCCAGGCAGAGAGCCCCTGGCTACCTGCCGGCCTGGGTCACCGCAGCCTGCGCGGGACGGCGGGGTCGGAGCGGAGCGGGCGTGGGGTCCTCCTGCGGGTCCGTCCGGTTCGGAGCGCGAAGGAACGGGGTCCGCACCCTGTCCCGGGGCTCCACCGGGTCAGGGCGGGGGTTGGCCTGAGCTGCGGAAGGAGCTCAGGGGGACACCCAGGACGCCCGTGTGGCGCCGCCCCACTTGGCAGGAGGCGCTCACCTGCGCTCGTCGGGAGGGTTCCAGGCGCGGGTCCCAGCTGCAGGTCGGCGCGCAGAGCCCGCTGGGGACCCCCCCGGCCGGCCCCTGCGGCCCCATTGCCTGCGGGAACCAGGGACAAATCCGTGCGCAGACCTGCGGGAACGGCGGACGGAAGAAAACCTGATTTGAGCTCGTGCCAAAAAACAATCTTGAAAGGCCGGTGAAGAAACATACCTCACACGGAAACGCTGAGTGGAGTCAGCTGGTCACAGGCGTGTTTAGGAAAACTGCCCTAAACGCCCCGCTCAGCCGCAGCAACCTCACTCCCCATTCATCCGCGACCCCTGGTTCTTACGGAGAACAGTAAGGATGGGCATCAGATATTCTAGTCTGGTCTCTAGATTATGAAGGTTTGGTTACCCCCGCTTGTGCTCTGCGGTAAGGCAAAAAGCAGCAAATGAATCCTGACCAGCGGATTGAGACAATCTACCAGTTGACTCAATATTCGGATATCACTTTCTCACATTCCTGCAAAACAGGGGCTTTGGATAACATTCTGGTTCCCAGTCCACACATTTTCAAATCAGCAGATTACTCCTTTTCTGTGCCTAGGGTGGAGTCTCAAAATTAGATTCCAAAGGTTTTTACATTGTAGATGACATGATAGAACCCAAATTCAAGTTATACTGTGATAATTTAAAATATTGTAATCCCGGCCGAGCGCAGTGGCTCACGCCTGTAATCGCAGCATTTTGGGAGTCCGAGGCGGGCGGATCACCTGAGGTCAGGCGTTCGAGACCACACTGGCCAACATGGTGAAGACCCCGTCTCTACTAAAAATACAAAAATTAGTCGGGCATGGTGGTGTGGGCTTGTAATCCCAGCTACTCGGGAGGCCGAGGCAGGAGAATCGCTTGAACCCAGGAAGTGGAGGTTGCAGTGAGCCAAGATCGTGTCGCTGCACTCCGGCCTGGGCGACAGAGCAAGACTCCGTCTTAAAATAATAAAATATTGTAATCCCTAGAGCAATTAATAAAAAATAATACAGCTAAAAATCCAAGAAAAGAGATAAAATAGAATACAAAAATATGCTTGATCCAAAAGAAAGCAGGAAGGAAGGAGCAAAAAGCACATAAGGCAAAGACAAAGAGCAAGCAGTTAGACTTCAACCACATTAGTAATCACATTGAATGTAAATGGACTAAACATGTAATCCGTTTACTAACTGTAAATGGATTAAAACACAGAAATTGTCACATTGGATTAAAAACGAGACCCAAATATATTCTGTTTTAAGAAGACATAATTTTGGCCGGGCACAGTGACTCATGCCTGTTAATCCCAGCACTTTCGGAGGCCAACGCGGGTGGATCAACTGAGGTCAGGAGTTCAAGACGAGCCTGACCCACATGGCAAAACCCCGTCTTTACTAAAAATACAAAATTAGCTGGGTGTGGTGGCACATGCCTATAATCCCAGCTACTCAGGAGACTGAGGCAGGAGAATCGCTTGAACCCGGGAGGCAGAGGTTGCAGTTAGCTGAGATTGCGCCATTGAACTCCAGCCTAAGCAACAAGAGTGAAACCTGGTCTCAAAAAAAAAAAAAAAAAAGACATAATTTAAATATAAGGACACAAAGAGGCTGAAATTAAAAAGATGCAAAAGGACATGCTAATCAGAAAGGTGGAGTGATTATATTAATATCAAAGTAGAATTCAACTCAAGGGGCACTATCAGTGATAAAAAGGACATTTGATAAAAATAAATGGGTCAATTAAGTATGAAAAAATAGGCCGGGCATGGTGGCTCACGCCTGTAATTCCAACACTTTGGGAGGCTGAGGCGGGCAGGTCATCTGAGGTCAGGAGTTCGAGACCAGCCTGGCTAACATACCCTGTTTCTACCAAAAATACAAAAAATTAGCCAGGTCTGGTGGCACATGCCTGTAATCCCAGCTACTCGGGAGGTTGAGGCAGGAGAATCGCTTCAACCTGGGAGGCGAAGGTTGCAGTAATCCCAGCTACTTGGGAGGTTGAGGCAGGAGAATCACTTGAACCCGGGAGGCGGAGGTTACAGTGAGCCAAGGTCGTGCCATTGCACTCTAGCTTGGGCAACAAGAGTGAAACTCCGTCTCAAAAGAAAAGGAAGAAAAAATAACTTTTAGTGCATATATACATCAAATAAGTTTTGAAATATTTAGACAAAGATGGATAGAATCAAAAGAAGAAATAGGCGAATACACACTCATAGAGATTTGAACTTCTCTCTATTAGTAATTGATAGGACAGGCAGACACAAAAAGAAGTAAAGATACAAAATTTTTTTTAAGTAATTAACGTATTATACCTAAATGGCACCTCCACAAAACAGAATACAGAATGCATTGTACGGAATGAAAGATGTTCAGACGCTTTGTACTGAAGACTTCAAGCTGTTACTGACAGGAATTAAAGTTTTCAAATAAACACGTAACATTCACAAAATATACCATATGTTAGGAAGTAAAACAAGTCTCATCAGATTTCAAAGGGTCAAAATTATTTACAGTAGTTCCCACCTCATCTTCTGGGGGATAAGCTTCAAGACCCCTGGTGGATGTCTGAAAGGACAGATAGTAGCACACTCTACACTGTATAGACTATATATTTTTCTATATATGCAGGCCTATGATAAAGTTTAATTTATAAAGTACACACAGGTCGGTAATCCCAGCATTTTGGGAGGTCAAGGTGGGCGGATTGCTTGAGCTCTGGAGGCAGAGGTTGCAGTGAGCTGAGATTGTGCCACTGCACTCCAGCCTGGGCGATAGAGTGAGACTCACAGAGTGAGATTCCATCTAAAAATAAATAAATAAATAAATTAGACACAGTAAGACATTAACAATAATAAAAATAGAACAATTGTAGTGGTATACTATAATAAAAGTGATGTAGTTCGTCTCTCTCTCAAAATATCTCATTATACTGTACTAGTAGTCCCCCTCCTCTGAGTTCCAGTTACTCATGGTCAACCATAGTCTGAAAATAGGTGAGTATAGTACAGTGCTTATTTAAAAACAACCATTAGGCCAGGTGCGGTGGCTCATGCCTGTAATCCCAGCACTTTGGGAGGCCGAGGCAGTGGATTGCTTGAGCTCAGGGGTTCGAGACCAGCCTGGCCAACAGGACAAAACCCCCTCTCTACAAAATACAAAAATTAGCTGGGCATAGTAGGCGGTGCCTGTGGTCCCAGCTACCACTGAGGCTGAGGCAGGAGAATCACTTGAACCCGAGAGTTGGAGGTTGTAGTGAGCTGACATCGTGCCACTGCACTCCAGGCTGGGCGACAGAGCATGACCCTGTCTCAAAAAAATAGAACGAAATAAAATAAAATAAAATAAATAACCATTTAAAGCCTCTGGAAATGGGCCTAAGGGCAAACAGCCAATGAAGAATTATCTATAGAAATGAGACTACTATACAGCAATGGAACAGAATAGTGAAAATTAAGTACACATTATTTGGTCAATTGGTTTTCAATTAAGATGCTAAAGGACTTCCATGGAGAAAGAAAACTCTTTTTTGGCTGGGCACAGTGGCTCACACCTGTAATCCCAGCACTTTGGGAGGCCAAGACGTGCAGATCATCTGAGGTCAGGAGTTCGAGACCAGCCTGGCCAACGTGGCGAAACCCTGTCTCTACTGAAAATACCAAAATTAGCTGGGTGTGGTGGCGAGTGCCTGTAATCCCAGCTACCCCGGGGGCTGAGGCAGGAGAATCACTTGAATCCAGGAGACAGAGGTTGCAGTGAGCTGAGATCATGCCACTGCACTCCAACCTGGCAACAGAGAGAGACTCCGTGTTAAAAAAAAAATAAAAGAAACTTTTTTTAAAAATGGTGCTAGAATAACTGCATAACGATGTACAAAAACTGAAACTCAACTTCCTCCCCAACACCATGTACAAAAAGTAACTGGCTGTGTATGGATCATAGACCTAAATTTGAAAGCTAAAGATACAAAGCTTCTAGAAGAAAACATAAGAGAATAATTTTATAACGGTAGAGTAGAGGAAGGCAAGATTTCTCAAAAATGTAGGGTTAGTACCTTTAGGAAAAAAATGATAAATTGATTTGATCGAAATTTAAAACTTCTCATCAAAAGAATGTTAAAAGAGTGAAAAGACATAGACAATATTGCAAGACAATACTGCAATACATATAACAGACAGAGAGTTTGTGTCCAGAATATGTAAAGAACCCAAACAACAATAAAATGACAATGCAGGAAAAATAGGGCAAAAGACTTTAACTCACACTTCAGAAAGAAACCACATTGGAAGTCTTTTATAAAATTCAACATATATATCTCCTATGATGGTAATTCTACTTCTAAGTATTTACCTAATAGAAATACAAATTAATCTCTGCACAAAAACTTGTATAATTAATAGTCTTTTGTTTTTTCTTTTTTGTTTTTTTTGAGATGGAGTTTCACTCTTGTTGCCCAGGCTGGAGTACAATGGCGTGATCTCTGCTCACCACAACCTCCACCTCCCGAGTTAAAGCGATTGTCCTGCCTCAGCCTTCCGAGTAGCTGGGATTACAGGCATGCGCCACCACTCCTGGCTAATTTTGTATTTTTAGTAGAGATGGGGTTTCTCCATGTTGATCAGGCTGGTCTCAAACTCCCGACCTCAGGTGATCCGCCTGCCTCGGCCTCCCAAAGTGCTAGGATTACAGGCATGAGCCACCACACCTGGCTGTATAATGAATATTCTTACCAGCTTATTTATAATCGCAAAAAACTAGAAACAACCCAAAGTGCACAAATAGGAGAATGGATAAACAAATACTGTTCATATAATGGAATATTACTCAGCAATAAAAAGGAAAGAACAAATCAAAAGGATTTGTTCTTGTGTTTTTCTATTTCACACTCATTAGGATGCCTACTATCAACAAACAGCTACTTGGGAGGCTGAGGCAGGAGAATCGCTTGAACCCAGGAGGCGGAGGTTGCAGTGAGCCAAGATCCTGCCACTGCACTCCAGCCTGGGCGACAGAGTGAGACTCCATCTCAAAAAAAAGAAATAATAGGCCGGGCACGGTGGCTCATGCCTGTAATTCCAGCACTTTGGAAGGCCGAGATG
The DNA here is from genome assembly GCF_000001405.40 of Homo sapiens. Classification (NCBI taxonomy): domain Eukaryota; kingdom Metazoa; phylum Chordata; class Mammalia; order Primates; family Hominidae; genus Homo; species Homo sapiens. The sequence goes on from NW_021160017.1 coordinate 3,879,993, forward strand.
GGCGGATCACAAGGTCAGGAGATCGAGACCATCCTGGCTAACACGGTGAAACCTTGTCTCTATCAAAAATACAAAAAAATTAGCTGGGTGTGGTGGCGAGTGCCTGTAGTCCCAGCTACTCAGGAGGCTGAGACAGGAGAATGGTGTGAACCCGGGAGGCAGAGCTTGCAGTGAGCCGAGGTCACGCCACTGCACTCCAGCCTGGGCGACAGAGCAAGACTCTGTCTCAAAAAAAAAAAAAAAATAATAATAATAATAAAATAAAAATAAACAAAATAACAAGTATTGGCAAGGATATGATGAAATTGGAACTCTGTGTACTCTTAGTGGGCATGTAAAATGGTGCCACTATGGAAAACAATATGATGAAAAAAGTTTTTAAAAGGGGAAGAAAATGGATATACAAGTAGTATTATAAAATAGATGAACCTCAAAACTATTCTGTAATTTTCCACACACAAAAGACCATGTACATATTGTGGGATTTCATCTATATGAACTTCCATGACAGATAGCACCACTACTCACTGGTGACAGAAGTCAGAAATTGGCCGGGCGTGGTGGTTCACCCCTGTAATCCCAGCACTTTGGGAGGCCAAGGCGGGTGGATCACTCGAGGTCAGGAGTTCGAGACCAGCCTGACCAACATGGCGAAACCCCATCTCTACTAAAAATACAAAAAATTAGCCGGGTGTGGTGGTGGGTGCCTGTAATCCTAGCTACTCAGGGGGCTGAGGCAGAAGAATCACTTGAACCCAGGAGGTGGAGGCTGCAGTGAGCTGAGATTGCGCCACCGCACTCCAACCTGGGCAACAGAATGAGACTCTGTCTCAAAAAAAAAAAAAGAAAGAAAAGGAAGTCAGAAATCGTTAAATCGTTTGCTTGGGTGAGGTGGTCTGCAGGGAATAGGATGGACTGAAAAGAGGCGTGTAGGAAACTTCTGGGGACTTGGAAATATTCTGCATCTTTGTCAGGCTGATATTGACACAAGCATATTATGTCAGTCAGGGTTCAACCAGAAAAGCAGAATCAGTAGGAGATACATATTAGGAGATTTACTGCAAGGAATTGGCTTATGCACTATGGGGGCTGGCTCAGCTAGGATGAAATCTGGAGGGCAGGCCATCAGAAAGTTACTGTCCTGTGGCTGGGGGCGGTGGCTCACGCCTGTAATCCCAGCACTTTGGGAGGCTGAGGCAGGCGGACCACCTGAGGTCAGGAGTTCAAGACCAGCCTGACCAACATGGAGAAACCCCATCTCTACTAAAAATACAAGAAATTAACCGGGCGTGGTGGAACATGCCTGCAATTCCAGCTACTTGGGAGGCTGAGGCAGGAGAATCACTTGAATGGGGGAGGCGGAGGTTGTGGTGAGCCAAGATCACTCCATTGTGCACTCCAGCCTGGGCAACAAGAGCAAAACTCCATCTCAAAAAAAAAAAAAAAGAAAAGAAAGTTACTGTCCTGTTTTTAGGTTTCTGTCACGGTCACAACAAATTACTACAAATTTTTGGCTCTGGTAAACTGAAAAAGCATCCCCCAGCAAATACCTGTGTCAAATCCCTGGAACCTGTGGCTGTTACTACTATGTTGAAACCCCATCACCAAGATGATGGCATTAGGAGGTGGGGCCTTTGGGAGCTGACAGGTCACAAAAGTAGAGTCCTCATGAGTGGGATTTGTGCCCTTATAAAAGACACCCCAGAGGGGGCCAGGCGCGGTGGCTCACGCCTGTAATCCCAGCACTTTGGGAGGCTGAGGTGGGTGGATCATGAGGTCAGGAGATGGAGACCATCCTGGCTAACACGGTGAAACCCCGTCTCTACTAAAAATACAAAAAATTAGCCGGGCGTGGTGGCGGGTGCCTGTAGTCCCAGCTACTCGGGAAGCTGAGGTGGGAGAATGGCATGAACCCGGGAGGCAGAGTTTGCAGTGAGCCGAGATTGCGCCACCACACTCCAGCCTGGGTGACAGAGCGAGACTCCATCTCAAAAAAAAAAAAAAAAAAAAAAAAAAAAGACACCCCAGAGAACAGCCTTGTCCTTTCTGCCATGTGAAGACACAGCCAGACAACAGCCACTGAGAACCAGACAGTGGGACCTCACCAGACACCCACTCTGTGGTGCCTTGATGTTGGGCACTCAGCTTCCAGAACTATGAGTAATACATTTCTCCTGTTTATAGCCACCCAGTCTATGGTGCTTTGTTATAGGAGTCCTGACGGACTAAGACAGTACCTTATATGAAGAAAGAGTCTTAGCGGATCTAAGTTCTTGAGATGGGATCATCTTAGATTATCTGAAGGGGCCCTAAATCCAATAAGCAGTGTGCTTACATGAGACACTGAGAGCAGACCCAGAAAAAGAGGCAGTGTGAACACAGAGGCAGAGATGGGAGTGAAGCAGCCACACAGCCACAAGTCATAGAATGCTGGCAGCCCCCGAAACTGAGCAGGTAAAGAATGGTGGAGGCAAGGCCCTATTGCTGCCTTGAATTTTGGCCTTCCAGCCCCCAGAACTTGAAGATAATTAATATCTGGTTTTTTTGGCCGGTTGCGGTGGCTGAAGCCTGTAATCCCAGCACTTTGGGAGGCCAAGGCGGGCGTATCACGAGGTCAGGAGATCGAGACCATCCTGGCTAACACAGTGAAACCCCGTCTCTACTAGAAAATACAAAAAAAATTAGCCGGGCGTGGTGGTGGGTGCCTGTAGTCCCAGCTACTCGGGAGGCTGAGGCAGGAGAATGGCGTGAACCTAGGAGGCAGAGCTTGCAGTGAGCCGAGATCGCGTGACTGCACTCCAGCCTGGGCGACAGAGCGAGACTCCGTCTCAAAAAAAAAAAAAAATCTGTTTTTTTGTTGTTTGTTGTTTGTTTGTTTTTTGAGACGGAGTCTTGTTCTGTTGCCAGGCTGGAGTGCAGTGGCGTGATCTCAGCTCACTGCAACCTCCGATTCCCTGGTTCAAGCGATTCAGGCATGCACCACCAGGCCCAGCTAGTTTTTGTGTTTTTAGTACAGACAGGATTTCTCCATATTGGTGTAGAGGCCACTCACATTCCCGGATCCTGCTCCTTCCCTTGACTTTTTCTGTCCTCAAAGCCCTCAGCTGGCTCTGCCCTCAGGCTGCCCTGGCCTCACACCTTTCTCTGACACTGTGCTTCTGTCCCCTCTTCCACCTTTAGGAGCCGTGTGACGACATCCCCAGATAATGCAGGGTAACGTCTCTATCTCAAGTCAGTGGACTAGCAACCCTAATTCCATCTGCAATTTTAATTCTCCTCTTGCCATGTAAACTAACATAGTCACACGGCCCAGGGATTAGGAAGCAGACAGCTTTGGGGCTACCATTCCGCCTTGTCTCAGGAAGCTGGAGCTCTGCCTCAGTGTCCTCTAACCCATTGAATCCGGCCCAGCTGGACTGCCTGGGATCATCTCCTTTACTTAAAGTCAACTGATATGAAATTTAATCACATCCAGTAAATACCTTCTAGCAACACGAGGTGTGTGTTTGATAGAACAGCTGGGACAGCCTCACTAGGTTGACACAATAAAAAGACCACCACAACCCACCCCCTGTTAACTTGGCACCCATACATATCCCCTTAAATCATACTTGTCTTGGTCTGTCTTTTTAAATTTATGATTTATTTATTTATCTAGAGACAGGGTCTCACTTTGTTGTCCAGGTTGGCCTTGAACTCCTGGCCTCCAGGGATCCTCCCACCTGGCCTCCCAAAGTGCTGGGATTACAGGTGCAAGTCATGTGCCTGGCCAACCAGGAGGAACTTTAATTCCTTCTTAACTGATCCCTCCATTCCACAATAGCATGATCTCAGCTGCTATATTTGTACAACCTGATCTCTTATTTCTTGCCACACCTTGTTCAAGCTGGAGTGGGCACCTGACCCAAGTTGACTCGCTGTGGGAACCTTGGTTGGGAGCTTAGAGTTGGAACTTTCTCACTCACATCACAGCCTCCTAACTTCAGGACTTTTATTTCTTCTGCAGTGAAAACATGTGGACTCCAACCAAGAACCCAACCACACGTCTCCCTGGTGCCCGCCTGGATCTCTCACCTCCTGCCCTGGGGCTTCCCTGTCACCAGGAGGCATCAGAGTCCTCTGAGATCACACATGAACCATGCAGCTGTGCACAGAGTTAACATTCCCTGCACCTTTGACTAATGAGAGGCACTCACAGGCAGATTCCTCTCTTTCCTTCCTGATGCAGTCCACATGGCTTCTAGGGACATCCCGAGAGGTGGGGCAGGCACACTTAGCAATGCCATCTTACTGAGATGGCCCCATATCCATCAGCACTCCCCCTCCTTCTCCCACTCCTCCCCCTCCTCTTCCCCTCCTCTTCCATCTCTCTCCTCCTCCTGCTAGGGCACTCTCTGACTCCCACTACGGGCACTGCACCCCATCTCAGAGTAGAGGCACCTACGGCTTTGTCTCAGGTTGTATTTCTGGGGAACCCAGGCCAAGGCTGGAGCCAAGAACTGGTCACGTGCATTTGGGATCTGTGAGCATCCACCTTCCAACCACTACAGGAAAAGCACAGCAAGGAAAGGTGAGAAAGCAGAAGTAACAGGTAGAAAAACAAATACCAGCAGAACAGGGAGACAGCTCTCCCCGAGCAGGAAACACAGCATGCATTTTTGGATTAAAATTCCTCCATTCCCTCACCAGACACCAACTCTGTGGTGCCATGATCTTGGGCGCTCAGCTTCCAGAACTGTAATAAATTTCTCCTGTTTAGAGCCACCCAGTCTATGCTGCTTTGTTATAGCAGCCTTAACAGACTAAGACAGTTACCTTATGTGAAGAAAAAGAGTCTTAGCAGATCTAAGTTCTTGAGATGGGATCATCTTAGATTATCTGAAGGGGCCCTAAATCCAATAAGCAGTGTGCTTACAAGAGACACGCAGAGAACAGACCCAGAAAGAGGCAGTGTGAACACAGAGGCAGGGATGGGAGTGAAGCAGCCACACAGCCACAGTCATAGAATGCTGGCAGCCCCCAGAAACTGGGGAGGCAAAGAATGGCGCGGCCATGGCCCTATTGCTCCCTTGAATTTTGGCCTTCTGTCCTCCAGAACTTCAAGAGAATGAATATCTGTTGTTTTAAGCCACCAGGTTTATGGTAATGTGTTACAGCAGCCACAGGCAACAGTATAAGGACTTCCTTATAATAAATTACTTTTTTTTTTTTTTGAGACGGAGTCTCGCGCGCTCACCAGGCTGGAGTGCAGTGGCGCGATGTCAGCTCACTGCAACCTCTGCCTCCCAGGCTCAAGTGATTCTACTGCCTCAGCCTCTTGAGTAGCTGGGATTACAGGCGCACACCACCACACCCGGCTAATTTTCTATATTAGTAGAGACGGGGTTTCACCATGTTGGCCAGGCTGGTCTCGAACTCATGACCTCAGGTGATCCGCCTGCCTCGGCCTCCCAAAGTGCTGGGATTACAGGTGTGAGCCACCATGCCCAGCCAAATTACTCTTTCTTAACTTAATGATGCCATGAATTGATGTGGTGGCTTTGCAGCATGTGGAGCTGGCTAAGCTGACCCAGGTTTACTAGAGTTCTTCCTGTGTTTCTGCAAGACCATGAGGGAGGCGCTGGCGGAGGCTTGGGGAGAGGCAGGGAGCTGCCACTGTGTTGTGGCTCACACGTGTTGTGGGTCTGACAGCTTACACTGTTAACACCACCATGGCCAGGACTGCCACTACTGCCTTCTTCTTGTCAACCTAAAATAATCAAAAGGAACAGAATCTAGTTTAGAGAGTTTATTCAAGCAAAAAGTTTGAGGATGGGCCACCTGGGAAGCACCCATCTCAAAGAACAGAAGTCAGTGTTCCAAAGTGTAGATGTTTGGGAATGCTTATTTAGACAAAGGTTAGGGAAGTGTAACAAAATTTCATCATCTTTCTGTGGAAGACTTCATGCATAGTTATGATGATCTGATTAGTCAAGTTGGTCTTTTTCTTCCAGGCAAGGCATATTTAACATTCCACACTGAGGTTGTACTAGTGATAGGGTCTTGAGCACCGTCTGGTCCACATTAGGTACCGGACAGCAAAGGAGGCAGTTCATCTACAACAAAACCAGTGATTGGAAGTGGGGAGGTCTGGTCTCTGGTCTCTCTTAGTCATTTACAGAACAAGAACAATGAGGAAGAGAGTGAATCTGAGAAGAATTGCAGTCGTACGACCTGACAGTCTCCAGGGCTCAACTTCCTCCCTGGCGTAATAAATCCAGACAGTCCTGAAGTTTTACTTTCATTGACTCTCTGGATCCTGTGGCTCCCGAAGGAGGCATCTGGCTCATCTTCATGATGAGAGGCCCTAGCTTCTGCAGCACCTCCACACCACCAAGGCCAGAAGCAGCAAGAACTGACGCAGGTTTAGGTCCCTCCCAAACCTCCTGTGGACAGTAGGCTCCAGCGTCGGATGCAGACAACAGGCAGCCCTATGGAAACTGACGAATCAGTTTACACAATTAACTGTGTAAGAGCAAAGCCCTGCAGCAAGTCCACGATTATCCACAGGTATGGGTGTATGGGTAATATATATATACACACATATATATGTATGTATATGTGTGTCACACACACACATGTATATTAATGGCTCTGCTCTTGGACTGATACAGATTTTGGTACAGAGAGAGGATGCTGCTGTAGCAAAACCTAACAGGTGGGCATGGCTCTGGGACCAGGGTTTGAGGAGAGTGTTGATGACACTAAAGTGCTTTGAACACACTGTTCTTAGACTTTGGACTTTGAGGACATTGCTGAAGAGGGCTTAAAAGAAAGTGAGAAGAATGTTGTTATTGGAAATTGAAGGAAGACTTTCACTAAGTAGCAGCAGAAAGTTTAGCCCTGCTGTTACCTGACGTTACATGGATAGGACAGAATATACATAATAAACGGGTGACCTAGCTAATGAGATTTTCCAAACAAAGTATTCAAGATGCTGCCTGGTTTCTTCCTGCTGGGTATAGTAAAATGTGAGAGGAGAGCATTAACTGAGAGAAAGATTTAAAAAAAAAAGGAGACAGAATTAATGGTTTTGAAATGTTTTAGCCTCCCCATACGGCAAATGATGCTAAAATAAGAAAATGACTATCGAGCAAGGATAAACTATATGGCACTGCCAAGAAAATGTGCTCTAGAGACGATGCTCAGGATGTGATTGGAAACTCTTTATTTTTGAGATTGAGTCTCGCTCTGTCGCCCAGGCTGGAGTGTAGCGGTGTGATCTCAGCTCACTGCAACCTCCACCTCCCGGCTTCAAGCGATTCCCCTGCCTCAGCCTCCTAAGTAGCTGGGATCACAGGCATGCGCCACCATGCCCGGCTAACTTTTGTATTTTTAGTAGAGACAGGGTTTCACCATGTTGGTCAGGCTGGTCTCGAACTCCTGACCTCGTGATTCGCCTGCCTCTGCCTCCCAAAGTGCTGAGATTACAGGTGTGAGCCACCGCGCCCAGCTGGAAACTCTTTTTTATTTTGAGACATGAACTTACTCTGCCGCCCAGGCTGGAGTGCAGTGGCACGATCAAGCTCACTAGACCCTCGACCTCCTGGGCTCAAATAATCCTCCCACCTCAGCCCCCGAAGTTTTTTTTTTTTTTTTTTTTTTTTTTTTTTTTTTAATATGAGACGGAGTCTCGCTCTGTCGCCCAGGCTGGAGTGTAATGGTGCGATCTCGGCTCACTGCAACCTCCGCCTCCTGGGTTCAAGCGGTTCTCCTGTCTCAGCCTCCTGAGTAGCTGGGATTACAGGTATGCACCACCATGCCCAGCTAGTTCTTGTATTTTCAGTAGAGATGGGGTTTCACCATGTTGGCCAGGCTGGTCTCGAACTCCTGACCTCAGATGATCCACCTGCCTCGGCCTCCCAAAGTGTTGGGATTACAGGCGTGAGCCACCGTGCCCAGACTAATTTTTGTATTTTTTGTAGAGATGCGGTTTCACCACGTTGGCCAGGCTAGTCTTGAACTCCTGGGCTCAAGCGATTCGCCTGCCTCGGCCTCCCAAAATGCTGGGATTACAGGTGTGAGCCACTGAGCTTCTGATGTCAAAAAGATTAATAAATGTTGCCTCAGAGTACCCTTTAGTGACACTAAAGGCTCTGTGAATAGATTAAGGGTGTGTCTCACAGAATCTCTCCAACAATAGGGTCTTTTTTCCCTTCTTTTTTAGGATGAAGTTTTGCTCTTGTTGCCCAGGCTGCAGTGCAATGGTGCAGTCTCGGCTCACTGCAACTCTGCCTCCTGGGTTCAAGAGATTCTCCTGCCTCAGCCTCCCAGGTAGCTGGGATTAGAGGTGCCCACCACCACGCCTGGCTAATTGTTTTGTATTTTTAGTAGAGACGGGGTTTCACCATATTGGCCAGGTTGGTCTTGAACTCGTGACCTCCAATAATCCGCCTGCCTTGGCCTCCCAAAATGCTGGGATTACAGGCGTGAGCCACCGTGCCTGGTCCCAGTCCATTTTACAGATAGGATAGGGCGATGTGCAGCACGGCCTTAGCTTTTCCACACACATGAGCAAAGGAACAGCTCTTAGATTCAGTGTAAAGATGTCTTTTCATTCAGAAAACTCAAGCAGTTTGAGACTCATCCAAGTTGTTACAAAGTCATGTTTTCCTTTCTGTGCAGTATTCCATTGGGTAAATTGAAGCTGTTTATTCATTCACCAGTTGATGGTCATGTGGACTGTTTCTAGTTTTTGGCACTTATTCGTAAAGCCACTATAAACATTTGTGTACAGGTTTTTGTGTGAATATACATTTCATTTCTCTTGGGTAAACACCTAGGAGTGGGATTGCTGGGTGATAAGTTGTTTAACATTGTAAAAATATGTTTAATAAAGATATGTTTAACAGTGTAAAAGACTGAAAAACTCTTCCAAATTGGCTGTACCAAGGCTGGGCACGGTGGCTCACGCCTGTAATCCCAGCACTTTGGGAGGCCAGTGCAGGATTGTGCTTGAGCTCCAAAGTTTGAGACCACCCTGGGCAACATAGCGAGACCCCATCTATATTTTAAAAATAAGGCCGGGGGCAGTGGCTCATGCCTGTAATCCCATCACTTTGGGAGGCCCAGGTGGACGGATCACTCGAGGTCGGGAGTTCAAGAACAGCCTGGCTAACACGGTGAGACCCCATCTCTATTAAAAATACAAAAATTACCTGGGCATGATGGTGTGCGTCTGTGGTCCCAGCCACTCAGGAGACTAAGGCAGGAGAATCACTTGAACCTGGGAGGCAGAGGTTGAGGTGAGCTGAGATCACACCATTGCACTCCAGCCTGGGGGACAGAGCGAGAATCTGTCTAAAATAAATAAATAAATAAAAATAAAAATAAAAGAATAAATAAAAGAAATACAAATTAAAAGATCACTCAGATGCTGTTTTACTCATTCAATTATAAAAACAGAAGTGACCCCTGGATTCTGTTGGGAAGCACCATACTGGTGTCCGGCTCCACCTTGTTCGTGGTCCCCCATAGGAGGGCACCTGGCCCAAAGCCACCTGCAGCTTTAAAGACATTGTGTAACCTAAGAAACCTCCTGGGATGTGCTGCTAGGAAAGTCATCTGCAAACACACACCAGGTGAGATCGCACCACTGCAATCCAGCCTAGGTGACAAAGCAAGGCTCCGTCTCAAAAAAAAAAAAAAACAAAACAAAAACCAAAAAAACCCAAATTGGCTGTACCATCTGCATTTCCACCAGTAATGTAAGAAATTCCCAGTTGCTCCACACCCAGCCCCACACTTGATACAATTCAATGAGTTTTGTCACATGCATGTACCTGTGGGACCAATGAAGACACAGAACACACCCATCACCCCCAGAAATTTCCCCCAACCCCCTTTCAGGTAACATGTCATGGCCAGAGGCAACCACTGTTGCAATTTCTATCACTGGAGACTAGTTTTACCAGTTCATTAACTTCATGTAAATGGAATAATAACGGATCCTTTTAAGTCTGGCTTTTTTTTCGACATAAAGTTCCTGGAATTCTCTTATGTCGTTATGTGGATGAGCTGTGTTTTCACAGCTGAACTGCATTCCACTGCGTGCATATACTTCAGTGTTGATCCATCTACCTCTTCACCGTCATCAGGATGTTTCTAGCTTTTAGCTCTTATGAATATTCAGATACAAATCTCTGCGTGGACGCATTTAAAAATTCCTCTTGGATAAATACCTAAGGGTGAACTGCTGCTTCTCAGGGGTAGATACATGTTAACCTTTGTAAGAAAATGCCATATAGTTTCCCCAAGTGCTTGTACCATCTTGTAATTTCCAGTTGCTCTAAATCCTTGAAAATTATTTGACATGCCGGTCTTTTTATTTTAGCCATGCCAGAGGCTGTGGTGCTCGTGCGGTTTAATTGGCCATTTTTGTGCCTTCCTTGCCTCTTTGTGCTCATTAAAAAAAATGTCTTGGGCTGGGTGCAATGGCGCACACCTGTAATCCCAGCACTTTGGGAGGCTGAGGCCAGAGGACTACTTGGGCCCAGGAATTCACATCAGCCGGGGAACATAGTTAAGACTTCATCTTTTTAATTTTTATTTTCTTTAATTTTTGAATCAGAGTCTTGCTCTGTCACCCAGGCCGAAGGGCTGTGGTGTGATCTTGGCTCACTGCCACTTCCAACTCCCAGGTTTAAGCAATTCTCATGCCTCAGCCTTCCCAGAGTAGGTGGGACTACAGGTGTCTGTCACCACACCCAGCTATTTTTTGTATTTTTAGTAGAGATGGAGTTTCACCATGTTGGCCAGGCGGGTCTCAAACTCCTGGCCTCAAGTGATCGGTCTGCCTAGGCCTTCCAAAGTGCTGGGATTATAGGCATGAGCCACTGCACCTGGCTGAAAACCCAACTCTTCCAAAAAAACACAAAAGATTAGCCGCATATGGTGGTGCATACCTGTAGTCTCAGCTACTCAGGAGGCTGAGGGAGGAGTGCTTGCTCCCCGGAGGTTGAGGCTTCAGTGAGCCAAGACTGTGCCAATGCGCTCCAGCATGGGCAACAAAGCAAGACCTTGCATCAATGAAAAAAAAAAAAGCTTGTCTTACTAATTTAAAATGCCTTCATACACTCTGAACATAGTTACTTCTGGACACCCTGGGCAACAGTGGTTGCCTCTGGGCATGACATGGTTCCTGAAAGGGGCTAAGGGGAAATGTTCTCTCCCAGTCTGTGGCCTGTATTACCATTTTCCTAGCAATGTTTTTTGGTGATGTCCAATTCACCAATAATTCCTTTTTTTTTTTCCTTTTGAGACGGAGTCTTGCTCTGTCACCCAGGCTGGAGTGCAGTGGTGTGATCTCGGCTCACTGCAACCTCTGCCTCCCAGGTTCAAGCGATTCTCCTGTCTCAGCCTCCTGAGTAGCTGGGACTACAGGTGTGCGCCACCACGCCCGGCTGATTTTTGTATTTTTAGTAGAGACGGGGTTTCCCCATATTGGTCAGGCTGGTCTGGAACTCTTGACCTCAGGTGATCCACCCACCTTGACCTCCCAAAGTGCTGGGACTGCAGGCATGAGCCACCGTGCTCGGCCCCTTTTTTGATTTTATGTAAGAAATCTTTGTCTACCCCAAGTTTGTAGTGTTAATTTCCCATGTTTGCTTCTAGAAGCTTTCTAGTCCTAACTTCCACATTTTGTTGTTTCCAGTTCTAGCTTTCATATTTTTTTTCTTTTTCTTATTTTTTTCTGAGACAGAGTCTCGCTCTGTCGCCCAGGCTGGAGTGCAGTGGCATGATCTCAGCTCACTGCAACCTCCGGCCACCCAGGTTCAAGCAATTCTCTGGCCTCAGCCTCCTGAGTAGCTAGGATTACAGGTGTGTGCCACCACGCCCAGCTAATTTTTGTATTTTTAGTAGAGACAAGGTTTCACCACATTGGTCAGGCTGGTCTCGAACTCCTGACCTCATGATCCACCCACCTTGGCTTCCCAAAGTGCTGGGATTGCAGGCATGAGTCACTATGTGTGGCCTTTTTTTTTTTTAAAGATAGTCTCACTCTATAAAAAGAAAATATGGAAAAATTTAATAGTAAGCATAATTCTATTCAAAATATAACTGGTTAGCTCACAAAAATTGCTCAGAAATATTGCCAGGCACAGTGGCTCACGCCTGTAATCCCAGCACTTTGGGAGGCTAAGGCGGGTGGATCACCTGAGGCCAGGAGTTCGACACCAGTCTGGCCAACAAGGTGAAACCCTGTCTCTACTAAAAATACAAAAATTAGCTGGGCGTGGTGGTGCACGCCTGAGATCCCAGCTACTCGGGAGGCTGAGGCAGGAGAATCACTTGAATCCAGGAGGCAGAGGTTGTAGTGAGCCGAGATCGTGCTACTGCACTGCAGCCTAGGTAACAGAGTGAGCCTCCACATTTCAAAAAACAAGGAAATACCAAACAATAGTATGTACCAACAGTTGGCCCTAAGTGAAGTTGGCCTTTTACATTTATCGCTATCAGTTGAAGCTATTTTCCATGTAGAACTTCTCAGGCACAACAAAACATATATACATTTCTTTCTTTCTTTTTTTTTGTTGGAGACAAGGTCTTGCTCTGTTGTCCAGGCTGGAGTGCAGTGATGCAATCATGGTTCACTGCAGCCTTGACCTCCCGGTCTCAATCGATCCTCCCACCTCAGCCTCCCAAGTAGCTGGGACCACAGGCATGTGCCACCATGCTTGGCTAATTTTTTTTTTTCGGAGTCTTGCTCTGTCACCCAGGATGGAGTGCAGTGGTACAATCTAGGCTCACCGCAACCTCTGCCTCCTGGGTTCAAGTGATTCTCCTGCCTCAGCCTCCCAAGTAGCTGGGATTACAGATGTGGGCCACCACACCTGGCTAATTTTTTTGTATTTTTAGTAGAGACGGGGTTTCACCACATTGGCCAGGCTGGTCTTGAACTCCTGACCTCAGATGATCCGCCCACCTCGGCCTCCCAAAGTGCTGGGATTACAGGGGTGAGCCACCGTGCCCAGCCCTTGGCTAATTTTTAAGTTGTTTTTGGAGAGATGGGGTCTCATATGTTGCCTAGGCAGGTCTTAAACTGCTGGCCTCAAGGAATCCTCTCACCTCAGTCTTTCAAAGTGCCAGGATTACAAGCTTGAGAAACTACACCCAGCCAAAATATAAACATTTCTAGGACAGCTACATCTAAGACAACTTTTAGGGAAGACAACATGTAAAACTCTATATAAAAAGCTTCTGTGACTGTAGGACAGCAGCAAAAGGATAATAAAATGATTTTAAGTCCTTTAATTTATTTTGAATATCAGTAATTACATTTTCAAAATATGATATAATTTAAAGGTATCAGTACCATAAATCTGTATCTTACAGTAGGAAATGTAAGAGTAAACAGCCTATATACACTTTGTACTACTGACACAATTTTATGTATACAACTCTATACAGTATCTACTAATCTCCAGAAAACCCACCTACAATCCATCTGTCTGGACTGTGGGCAAGTGGTTCTTTCTGAGTCAGGGTCTCACTCTGTCACCCAGGTTGCACTGCAGTAGTGCAATCATGGCTCACTGTAGCCTTGACCTCCTGGGCTCAAGTAATCCTCCCATCTTTGCCTCCTGAGTAGCTGGGACTACAGGTACACACCACCATGTCTGGATACATTTTGTATTTTTGGTAGACACCGGGTTTCACCATGTTGCCCAGGCTGGCCTCAAACTCCTGGGCTCAAGTGATCTGCCTGTCTTGGCCTCCCATCGTGCTGGGATTAGAGGCATGAGCGACTGTGCCAGGCTGACTGTGGACAAGTTTTACAAATAAACCAAAATAAAAATATTTTCACTTTTCAGCTGCACATGGTGGAAATGTACATGTATGATGACAAAGTCGGAGATATTTATTACGCTGAAGACATTTAACTTTGTTCCATGCCAGCCATGAGTGACAACGCTAGAGATTCCACTGTGGGAAGAATAAAAATAAGGTTAAAACAATAGGTTTAAATGTTGAAAAAAAATTTTTTTTGAAGACGGAGTCCCACTGTCACCCAGGCTGGAGTGCAATGGTACAATCTCAGCTCACTGCAACCTCTGCCTCCCGGGTTCAAGCAATTTTCCTGCCTCAGCCTGCTGTGTAGCTGGGATTTCAGGCATGTGCCACCATGCCTAGCTCATTTTTGTATTTTTAGCAGAGACAGGGTTTTGCCATGTAGGCCAGGCTGGTCTTCCAACTCCTGACCTTAAGTGATTCACTCAACCTCCCAAAGGGCTGGGATTAGAGGCATGAGCCACCGCGCCAGGCCAGGAGCTTTAAATTCCTAAAAAAATTTTTAAAAAGACTAGATTTTGAAAAGAAATAGTTACAAAAACTACACGATAGTGAAGTGTGACAGAAATCTATTCTGCCATCAACTTTATTTAATAGGAGTTTTAGAAATCTGTTGTAATAAATGGTATACCAGAAAGTAAGATCCTCAGGCTTACACTCACCTCACCGTAATGCTTAAAAAGCAATTCAAAGCATGGGACAACTGCTAAGGGACTTTTCAGTTTTGAAAATGGTGAGAATTTCTAATTCTTCATGGGATCAGTAACAAAACAATGACACATACACTTAGTTACAAGGAAATACAGAGGTAGAAATATTTTAACATGATATACTCACAATGGGGAAAGGATCCTCTACAGACGGCTTTGTTTAAAATGGTTACAAGAAACATATGGCAGTTTTTAAAATCAGATTCCATTTTCTCTATAGATTCCATTCTAGGAATAAAAGTAAATTTCAATTAAGTAAGTGCATTGCGGGTATATAGGTAGGCTTCAAGATATCTGTGGAGTAATTTCAAATGTATTTTGGTTTAATTATTTAAAATCCTAAATCTAAAGATTATAAAATAAAACACATAACGTCCTACCCTACTTTAAAATAAAAAATGTCAAAGTGTTTCAAAGGAAGTTTCATTAGGATATAAAACTGTGCTGTTTCCAGATAGTATCTAGTTCTGGAACTAGGAGGACCAAAGATACTCCCTTTTCCTTTATACAGTCTTGTTTTTATTGTTTACAAGCATACATTCTCTTTGAAATAAAGAACACATTAAGGATATAAAACTTAAAATCTGAAATTATTTTTAAAAAGGTTTTTTTTCTTTTTGAGATGGAGTCTTGCTCTGTCGCCCATGCTGGAGAGCAGTGGCACGATCTCGGCTCACTGTAACCTCCGCCTCCTGGGTTCAAGTGATTCTCCTGCCTCAGCCTCCTGAGTAGCTGGGATTACAGATGCCCACCACCATGTCTGGCTAATTTTTGTATTTTTTGTAGAGATGGGGTTTCGCCATGTTGGTCAGGCTGGTCTCGAACTCCTGACCTCAGCTGATCTGCCCCCACTGGCCTCCCAAAGTGCTGGGATTGCAGTTGTGAGCCATGGAGCCTGGCTGCCTTTTTTTTTTTTAGACAGAGTTTCGCTCTTGTTGCCCAGGCTGGAGTGCAATGTAGCGATCTCGGCTCACCACACCACAACCTCTGCCTCCTGGGTTCAGCAATTCTCCTGCCTCAGCCTCCCAAGTAGCTGGGATTACAGGCATGCACCACCACGCCTGGCTAATTTTGTATTTTTAGTAGAGATGGAGTTTCTCCATGTTGGTCAGGCTGGTCTCGAACTCCTGACCTCAGGAGATCCGCCCACCTCAGCCTCTCAAAGCACTGGGATTACAGGCGTAAGCCACTGTGCTCGGCTTTCTTTCTTTCTTTTTTTTTTTTTTAAAGAAATATCAAACACTTTGTAAGAGAGAACTTCAGAAGGGGTTTCCATGGCCCACTGCCCAGCCATGGCAGGTGCCACATGCCAAGCTTACACCTCCACAGCCCCACCACAATATTCAGAAGCAAACAGGAGACATCAGAGCACCACAGTCATGAATATTTCATAAGTATAAATGTATACTTTAAAGATAAAGACTCCTTTCAAAACACAGCCACAACACCATTTGCTCAAAAATATCATCTAATAGCATTCAAGCAAATTTCACATTGCTTCTACAATTTTTCACTTTTCGGCTTTAAGTCTCAATCAGGAACAATTAACTTATCCATAAACTGCGATGGTTGATAGACTTCTTAAGTTCCTCACCCCCTGTATTTTTCTCACATTTATTTGTAAAAAAAACCTGAAAGAGTTGAATTTCAGCAAAGCATATGCAGCAGTGTTATTTCTCCTCCACCCCAAAGTGAGACAAAAAAAAAAGAAAAAAAAAAAGCAAAATATATTTTGCACACTTTGAGCCAGCAATATAAAGCGAGGAAGACTTCTATTTCCATCCCTGCAGCTATGGCTTCATC
Organism: Homo sapiens; assembly: GCF_000001405.40. Lineage (NCBI taxonomy): Eukaryota > Metazoa > Chordata > Mammalia > Primates > Hominidae > Homo > Homo sapiens. Next base: position 3,896,336 of record NW_021160017.1, read on the forward strand.
TACTACCTTAGTTTCTTGATTCCGAGTACAGCCAATGGGAGATTTCGAATTATACTAGCACTCAAATGAATTCTTACTTCCTTACTGACATGGAGTAAGTACAGTCAACCAAACATGCACTTTTATTTCATGGAAGTAACAGCAGAATTACTGTTGCACTGACTTTATAAACAGGACAGGTAACAAAATATTGAGCTGTACACTGGAGTTAACAGTAGAGGATGGCAGTGCTAGAGGGAGCTGCTCCCGGGCCACTTCCCCTGATTCAGTGCACTTGCCTATGTGATGTGTGTGAATAACAAACACTCTCAAAACACAGCATCTTTTAGAGCTCATCCAAAATACAACTTTGGAGAATAGTCTAGCATGATGTCCAGAATTTGATTTAAAATAATTCAGCAAGTGTGACTGGGGAGGTGGGCACAGACATGACAGAGCTGTCCTCACTGGCACAGCTGAAGCAGGTGCCATCACGGTGTTCACAACACTGTCTTTGCCACTTCAGTTTGAAGGTGTCCATGATAAAAATTTAACAAAACGTACACAATATAACATGAGTATAATCTAAAAATGTTTGCTTGTTTAAATCAGAAGACCTCAGATTTTTAAAAATGTTTTACTTCTCAAAAAATACTTGCACTTTTTTTTTTTTTTAAAGACTGGGTTTTGCTATGTTGCCCAGGCTAGTCTTGAACTCCTGGGGTCAAGCAATCCTCTCCTCTCAGCCTCCTGAATGGCTGGGAAGACCCTGTCTCTAAAAAAAAGGGAAGCTGAAGCTGAAATGGTCACAGTGCAGATGCTGCAGAAATCACATACTTACCGCCAAGTGCCCAGGCCTGCCTGCCAACCGTCTGCAAACATGAGAGCCAAGTTCAACACCTTCATGATAGCTTCTTTCACAAAGCTGACCTGCAGACCAAAGTCACAGAACACAAACTGTGTAACTAGGTTTGGACACTGATACCAACACTTTTACCTATTTTAAATGAATCACAGAAAAAGTTCATCACCACAGTGACTGCCTTCTGTGTATATGGAAGGGTACTAGGCTCTGAACCATGCCCATTTGGGACCAGGCACATGCATTCACTGAATGTAAGATACAAGTGATATTAGCAGTACAGTCAAACCAACAAAACAAACTATTAAGACCTTTTCCTGGGATGGCCATTTAAATTCACCAATGAAACTAGGACAAATAATTGCAATGGTTTTAACATTACTGAATTCTATCTATTCACATGAAGTGGACATGCTATTGCTCCGCAACTGCAGACACAATTTTCCAAATGAATCCAAGAGTAACGCAGAGTGAGTGTTGACTATCACACATAGTTCTCATGTTGCTCTTAGATACAATTTCTACGAATAGGGCACTCCTCCTTCTGTTTTTTTTTTTTTTTTTTTTTTTTTTTTTTAAGAGACAAGGTCTTGCTCTGTTACCCAAGCTGGAGTGGAGTGCAGTGGTGTCAGATCATAGTTCACTGCAGCCTCAAACTCCTGGCCTCAAACAATGCTCCCACCTCAGCCTCCCAAGTAGCTGGGCCTCCAGGTATGCACCACCATGTCTGCTAATCTTTTTAACTTTTTGTAAAGACAGAGTCTTGCTATGTTGCCCAGGGTGGTCTTGAACTCTTGGCCTCATAAGATCTGCCTGCCTCAGTTTCCCAATGTGCTGGGATTACAGGCATGAGCCATTGTGGCCGGCCTGGGGCATTTGTTTGTAACCTCATTTCATCTGGTTCTTCCTTAAAGAATATTCTACAGGACAGAAGCTTAATCATCATAAAATTCCAAAGCACGCAGACAGCGCCACTCGCCCAGCAGTGGCCACATCTGCAGGAGACATCTCATGTACCTTTTCTCTCAGCAGACACCGGTCATGGATGGTTGACAGATACCTATAGTGAATTTTAATCAATTGATCTAAATCCTTGGCTTCCTCGACTTGATGTTGAAACTCCAGCCCTGTACTGTGTAGAATCTTGGAAGAGAAAGATAAAAAGCTTCATCAGCAGCCTTCTTTGAGGACTTGTGTGCTGCACACAAATCTTTTTTACTAAGCTCTTCTACTCCTCTCAAATTCTTCCTTCAATAAGCACATCTAGACAGTTTCATAAAGTACCATTCTTCAAAGGCTGGCTGGATACTCTGGCGTTCTGATCCTAAGAGGACGGCGGGGGCAATCCTGTAGGACGCCCACTTGCACAGTGAATGAATGAACGCCAAACTCTGGACTAACAGACTTCCTGGCAGGAAGGGGCAAGCACATTAAGCTGTATATAAGACACATCGATAAAAAAAAAATCAAGTAAATGTGTTACTTTTATACAAATAATTACAGTGAATTTATGTTTCTTAAGTTCCTTTTCTCATACATTGATCTTTCTCTAAAATGAGTATAAGTATACCTCAAATAAAAAACAAACTAAGAAAAAACTTAAACTCTTATCATTTACTCTTAACAATTAGGGGCTTAATGAAGGCCAACCTTGTGAAGGCAGTAATGCAGTCAGGGGAAACGTGGAGCCCCTCTGCCATAGCCTTCCCATCCAAAACACAGGCTTCAGTGGCTCACTTCACCCAAGCAAGTTGGGTTTCAGAACTCACAGACCAGGTATAAACAGGTCTAAACAACAATTCAAACCCCAAATGCATACTGTCCTCTAATAATACTGCTCTTGTTCCAATTTCTGAACGCTTCTTTTAGAACTTCCCCTAGAACTGGCTTTTAGATGTATCAGAAAAATAATTTCATTTACTTTGTAGTGAGTTCTTGTTTTTAAGAAAAAAGTCTATAACCTGGCTGCATCTTCCTCCCACACACCGTAGTGGATTTTGGCTGTTATTAAACATTGGAGCCATTTTTTAGGGACAGCTGTCACCACTATTGAAACCTAAAGGACTATGCGGCACATTCTGAAGGCAATTCCAGAAGACGAGCTGTGGCTGTGCCTGTCCCCAGGGGCTGCTGGACTGGAGGGACAACAGCCTCTGGATACACATATTCCGGTATATTTACAAAAACATTCCTCCCACTGCCATGTTATTTTATGATCAAATTTGCTACATGTCCCGTTTTCACAGTCTGTAGGTATTTTTTACTTATAAACATAGTATGAGTAATTCTCTACGAACAACTGTATAGATACGACGATAGAACTGAAGCAGATGGGAGAGGCACAAACCCTGGTCATGATGTAGTTGTGCAAGCTGTTCACGAAATGCATGAGCTTCACTCTTAAGAGGAACATGCGATGAATCTGCTGTCTTACTGGTTCTTTTTGTGGTCCGAACTGAGCAACTGTGTCTTGTTCATGTATAAGGCCTTCTTTAAGTCGTGGTTTTTCTGCAGTACTAACCAGTTCTATAAAACATTGGAAGAGCAAAGTGGACAGAAAGAGCATCAACTCAAACCCCACTGCACCATGACGCCTGGCAGAAACACTGACGGATGTGGTCCTGGCACCACAGAAAGCACTGGCAGGGGTGGCAGGAACCGAACCTCAGTGCCTCTGGAAGGTGCAGTGGGAAAAGTTTCCTGTATCACTTTTCCTAATCAAGTTGTTGCATTTCAGATCAACTGTACATACAACTTCCTGATCTTTCTTTCAGGCATTTGATGTCCATAAAACTACTGCTAGAATACGCACCATTTTGGCATTTGTGTACACATAAAAAATGATCAACAACCACCAACTTTTTTTTTTTTTCCAGATCCCCGTATGCTTCCCTTTCCCATTAACCTCTTTTATTAAGGGCTAAAATTAAATAAAATTACAATTTATCTGCTGAAAACAAATCTTACCACCAAAAAGTAAAACATCCAGACTATATTTTGCCCACTTTATTTGCAATAAGAGAAGAAACACTTGATTATAAATTTTTTGACATTCCAAACTTATAACAATGTCCACGGGCCATGGGACCTATGAAACAAAAACAAAATTAGAAAGTAACCAATTACTTGCATGTTTTAATGTTAGCAGAAAACACGGTTCATACAAGGAATATCAGCATATACCTTGTAGCTGAGGGTCAGACCATCTAAGATATGAACAGGCAGCTTCTTCTTAGCTGTGTCAACATTTTCAAAAGATATAGATAGACTAAAGAAAGAAATTCCAGTTTTAGTTTGTGAAAGCACTATGTCACACAAAAATGCTCTTTTAAAATAATTGGTATTTCATTTACATAATATTCCCCAAAAGATACTGCATTTCATAAAAGAAATGCAAACATTCCAACAAATGTATCTCTTCTAACATATATTCCAGAGCAGAAATTTGGATTTAGAAACAGAGAGGGAGAAAACTTTTAAACAATGAGTTTAGTTAAAGAGACACTTAACAATGGTAGTAATTAGAAAAAGGATGAAGCTGAGGAAGACAGTAAACTTCAGGCAATGGCTGGGAAGATGAAGCCTCTGCTGAGGTTGGGGGTGGGCAGGAGAGGACGAGCAGAGCAGCTCGACGGAGCCGAGCATGTGGTGAGAGTACTGCTTCGAGAGCCCCATCGAGATGGGATGGGGTCTGCTTCTACACCAGAGGCACTGTGCAGTGCTTCATCCACAAGTTCCTGAGACAGGTTTGAATGTGACTCACAGAGGAAAGCAAGCATCTAACATGGACATGAAAATGTCCAAGTGCCAGGCACTATTATGTGTCCTTAGCTCATTTAATCCTCAAAATACTCCCATCAGTGGTTCCTGAGAAATGATGTCCTCTTCCACAGTCACAGAGGCACTAAGAGGGGATGCCTGGATGCATATGAAGAAGGTTTAAAGTGGGGAGTTAACTTCCAAATCAGAGATGTCACAGGGCAGTGTGTGATTATGAACTGGCTGATCCATGACACAGGCACTAGTCAGAATTTTTAGCTCTTTGCCGGGTGCGGTGGCTCACACCTGTAATCCCAGCACTTTGGCATCCTCGAGGATCACGAGGTCAGGAGATCGAGACCATCCTGGCTAACCCAGTGAAACCCCGTCTCTATAAAAATACAAAAAATTAGCTGGGCGCCTGTAGTCCCAGCAACTCGGGAGGCTGAGGCAGGAAAATGGCATGAACCCGGGAGGCGGAGCTTGCAGTGAGTCGAGATTGTGCCACTGCACTCCAGCCTGGGTGACAGAGCAAGACTCTGTCTCAAAAAAAAGAATTTTTAGCTCTTAATGGCCTGATATGTATGCATTCACTCAGTGCTTAGTAGGCATCTACCAAATACTAATACTAAGTTAGGTGCTGCACTGAGCAGGCAATAGAAAGCCAATCTCTCTTCCCTCCAGGGACTCCCAGCCCAGTGCAGCACACGAAGACAAGGGGGATGTAGGAATGAGCAGACCTCTGCCGGGCCCATGAACTGGAGACTATGTCACAGGGGGGCGGGAGGACAGCACTAGCAGACACCAGAAATATTCTGAAATCCCTGAAACGCGAAGGAAGACAGGAAAGAGAACATGGTGTGTATGTGTGCAAGACATGAGGCTGGGAAAATGGAGCCAGACAGTAAATAGCTTTCTCCCTTCTAAGACAAAGCTTAGTCCATCTGTTTAGGAGGCACCCACGGGGAGCATAGGGATGAGTGGTGGAAGTCACTGCTGGTGGTCTGAGGTCACCCTGGTGAGGGTCAAGTCCGTTTTGGTGGAAGGGAGTGAGGCTGAGAGACACAGAGGTCATTGGGGAGTTCTGAGCCAGTTCTGAGAGGTCAGGGGCATTCTCTAGGAGGCAGGACTGAAAAACCTCATGTGTGGGAGCTCAGGGAGAGGAAGCACTGACTCCAGCCATGTGAAGGAGGCCATCAGACCCTGACAGGTCGTATGGTGGCAACTTTTTTCTTTTTTTATAGGGACGAGGTCCCACTATGTTGCCCAGGCTGGTTGCAAACTCCTAAGCTCAAGCAATCCTCCCACCTTGGCCTCCCAAAGTGCTAGGATTACTGGCATGAGCCACTGCATCTGGCCATATGGTGGCATCTCAACGTCTTTTGTTGTTTAGCAGGAGAGTCACATAGCTAGCCTCTGCCTCAATTTTTTCTTTTTTTTTAAATGGAGTCTCGTTCTTGTCGCCCAGGCTGGAGTGCAGTGGCATGATCTTGGCTCACTGCAACCTCTGCCTCCCAGGTTCAAGCGATTCTCCTGCTTCAGCCTCCCAAATAGCCAGGATTACAGGCGCCTGCCACCATGCTTTTTGTATTTTTAGTAGAGACAGAGTTTCACCATGTTGGCCAGGCTGGTCTCGAACTCCTGACCTCAGGTGATCCACCGCCTCTGCCTCCCAAAGTGCTGGCATTACAGGTGTGAGCCACCGTGCCTGGCCTCCATTTTCTAATAAGTAAAATAATATTAGTAAAACTCATAGGAATAGTGAGGATAAAATAATATGTGTAATTCATAGAAGACTTACTGGCACATAGTTCATGTTACACTAATTTAAATAAAGGTGGCGTCCATATTTTACCGTGAACTATCTTCAGGATAACGCTGTCCTACTGCTTCTTGGAGTTGGACATTAAGAAAAGACACATTCTGCCATGTTTCCTTTTCTCTTATTTTATCAAAAATTGACGTGTAGAAGTCATACATGGTATCTCCTCCTTCCATTAAGAAAAAATTCCTCATAGCTTGCAAGTATTCTACCAACCTGAATGGAGAGAAAATGAGTGACACTAAGATCTCTGGCATTCGTAAGGCAGGATTCTGGATCAACAACAGGTTTTGTAACCTGTTTTTAGTGGAACAAGTTTACATTCTACATTTACTAAAATTAGAAATATTAACACCTCTTAAACTTGTTCCAATAATAAAAACAGCATAGGTTTTCCTTTCATCATCAGAAAGGTTATCTTCTATAACATTATAGAAAATTGGGCAGTCACAAAAATGTAACAAAAAAAAATCCAAATCCCATCATTTATGGTGGATTTCCATCATTAATATTTAATATCTGGAATGTTTCTTTCCTGTCTTCTCTTCTATGTGTTAAGAAAACCTAGTTCCTACCGTATTATATCTCCTGCTTTTTAATTGCCATAATTTTTTTTTTTTTGAGATGGAGTCTTGCTCTGTCGCCCAGGCTGGAGTGCAGTGGCCCGATCTCAGCTCACTGCAAGCTCTGCCTCCTGGGTTCACGCCATTCTCCTGCCCCAGCCTCCAGAGTAACTGGGACTACAGGCGCCCGGCACCACGCCCGGCGAATTTTTTGTATTTTTAGTAGAGACGGGGTTTCACCGTGTTAGCCAGGATGCTCTCGATCTCCTGATCTCGTGATCCTCCCACCTCAGCCTCCCAAAGTGCTGGGATTACAGGTGTGAGCCACCGTGCTCGGCCTAATTGCCATAATTTTTATGAACTTTACAAAGTTCATATGTGGGTATGTATATGCCATATTTATGGATATGCATAGTTTAAAAAACTAGTCATCTATCACTAAGTAATTTAGTGTTTTTCATTCTGATAACAAACTTTGTAATTTTTCTACAAGCTTTTTCTGTATTTCTTTTGGGAAAGATTCTCAGAAATAAAGAATTAAGTTTCAAAACATAGTTAAGAAAATATTGATGGTCAATTGATTTCTCTTAGAAAATTGTTTACTGTATATCCATTTCCTACTCTAATAAAAATTGAAATAGGTTTTAAAATAATCTCAACTGTTCTTCAAGTACAATCAACTATTTACTACTTCCAAAATTAAATTACTCTTTTACCTGTAATCTTTTTTTAGAGTTTGCATGAGATTTCCACAGCAATCTAGATACTGCTTGTCAATATGAGGATAGAGGCAGGATCTCAGCGTTAATTCAAAAGTCTGGCATGTCACAGATTCCGATGATCTATCCACACATACATCACCACCAGCAAACTTCTCGTGAAAGTCACTCTGCTCCAAATACATCCTTCAAGATAAAAATGTGAGTCTTCTTTTTATGAGCTGCTGTCAACAGAACTCTCTTAAATCAAAACCCTGAAGTTCCATTTTTACCTTTAGTCTTGAAGTTACCAACTATTACAGAAAGAGAAAAATCTTTCTCCCAAAAATATCCTTTGAGTGAACCAGTCTCTTGAAGTTGCCACTGACTTAGGGTCAGGTACTAGAGCTGGTCTTTCTAGTGATTAGGGCTGGACACAGCAAATGCTGGCCATTAGACAACCGGGAACTGTGTGGGTATTAATGACTTACTCTAATGGACTAAGTGCCTAAAAGCAGCTTAAGCCCAGGACATATTATATGCCAGTGGGGACCCTGACTCAATGGGTGTCCAGGGCCCACTCATGGCCCAGAGTTTCAGCATCTTCTGGGTAAATGATGACATTTCCAGGGGCCCGAGGGCACAGACAAAAGTTGTACCACATGGTGGCAGGGCCAAGTCTGCAGACTTCCACAAACGACATGGAATCCAAACTATACACCTGAAGTAGGTGAGCACAACATCTTGTATTCTGCTTGTTATAAAGGATAGGCATGGCATGGTGGCTCACACCTGTAATCCCAGCACTTTGGGAGGCCGAGGTGGGCAGATCACCTGAGGTCAGGAGTTCGAGGCAAGCCTGGCCAACAGGAGGAAACCCCGTCTCTACAAAAAATACAAAAATTAGCGGGGCATGGTGGCACATGCCTCTAGTCCCAGGTAGCTGGGAGGCTGAGGTAGGAAAATTGCTTAACCTGGGAGGCAGAGGTTGCAGCAGTCAGCCAAGATCACACCACTACACTCCAGCCTGGGTGACAGACTGAGGCTCCATCTCAAACAAACAAAAAAAAAAAAGGAAAAAGAAAAAAGAAAGGATAGCCTACAAGAGTTTTTGTTTTTAGCCCTACCTGCCAGAAATAAACAGTTAGCAAACATTGCACAAATGATGCCATTTCAATTACTGATAACCTTGCAGGTGTGTCTCACCTTGCAAAGTTAATGGCAAGCAGTGGATCATGAACATCATCCAGTTCAAGATGGCTTTCAGCAATGGACTGCATCTTCATCAGGTTCTCCTTGGTTGCCTGTTGCTCAGTAAGAACCTGTGGAGTGGAATCTTCTCCATGTCGAAGACGGGACTGTACAGATTCCAGAAAGAGAGTGTATAAACTTTTTCTTTCTGCATCTGAAACATAAAGAAATATGTAAGGTGAACTAAGTTCTGTTTAATCATATTAAGTAACATTCTGTTTAATCATATTAACATTAACAATATATTAAGTAACAAAATCTATATATTTATATATAAATATTAAATATATGTAAATATTAAATATATATATTTATATATAGTAACAAAATAATATATATTTTTTGAGATGGAGTTTTGCTCTTGTTGCCCAGGCTGGAGCGCAATGGCGCCATCTTGGCTCACTGCAACCTCCGCCTCCCGGGTTCAAACAATTCTCCTGCCTCAGCCTCCCAAGTAGCTGGGATTACAGGCATGTGCCACCACGCCCGGCTAATTTTATATATTTGTTTTTTAGTACAGACGGGGTTTCACCATGTTGGTCAGGCTGGTCTCAAACTCCTGACTCAAGTGATCCACCCACCTCGGCCTCCCAAAGTGCTGGGATTACAGGCGTGAGCCACTGTGCCTGGCCCAAGAAATATTAAATAATATCATGTCCGGGTGCAGTGGCTCATGCCTGTAATCCCAGCACTTTGGGAGGCTGAGGCGGGTGGATCACTTAAGCTCAGGAGTTTGAGACCAGCCTGGGCAACATGGTGAAACCTCAGCTCTACAAAAAAATTAGCTGAGTGCAGTGGAATGTGCCTGTGGTCCCAAGCTACTTGGGAGGCTGAGGCACGAGAACTGCGTGAGCACTGGCAGGTGAAGGTTGCAATGCGCTGAGATCACGCCACTGCACTCCAGTCCAGTTTGGGCAATAGGAGTGAAACCTGACTCAAAAAAAAAAAAAAAAAAAGAGTAAGATCCTAATCAGCACACTTGAAATTTATTACAATACTGCATAACACTATGGTAACCCTGATAGGAGTCGCAGTCTCATTGGAAAAAACACTTCTGACAGTGGCCCTGGGAAGCTCACTACATAAGAAGGAAATATTCCACAAAGTGAAAATAAGTATTGCATCTACTTATTTCAAGTAGATACAATAATATAATTAACATAACATTGAGATGATTGAGATGTATAAATAAGGTCACATCTTTATCTTCCAAGCCTTTTTAGTCAGTTGATAAAACTTTTTTTTTTGACATGGAGTCTCACTCTGTCACCAGGCTGGAGTGCAGTGGCATGATCTCGGCTCACTGCAATCTCTGACTCCCTGGTTGAAGCGATTATCTTGCCTCAGCCTCCTGAGTAGTGGGGAATTACAGGCCCATGCCATCATGCCCAGCTAATTTTTGTATTTTTAGTAGAGATGGGGTTTTACCACGTTGACCAGGATGGTATCGATCTCCTGACCTCGTGATCTGCCTGCCTCAGCCTCCCAAAGTGCTGGGATTACAGCATAAAACTTTGAATATATTAAATTGCATCATTTTCTTGAAATTTATGATCGAGTCTGAACTGCTCATAAGAAATTCTTATCAGCCATGGTTCACGGCCCTCAAGGGCTAAACGCTGCATTGCATTAAGAAATGCCAGAAGGGCTGGTTGTGGTGGCTCACGCTTGTAATCCCAGCACTTTAAGAGGCGGGTGGATCAGCTGAGGTCAGGAGTTCAAGACCAGCTTGGCCAACATGGTGAAACCCCATCTCTACTAAAAACACAAAAAATTAGCCGGGCGTAGTGGCTCACATCTATAGTCCCAGCTACTTGGGAAGCTGAGGCATGAGAAATCACTTGAACCTGTGAGGCAGAAGTTGCAGTGAGCCGAGATCATGCCACTGCACTCCAGTCGCCAGCAAGGTGGCTGCCTGGAGACGTCTGGTGTTCCTCTCCCAACAGCAAGAGAGGACCAAAGCAACGAATCAACAGTTAAGATCCGACTGGAGGCTGGGGGTGGTGACTCACACCTGTAATCCCAACACTTCAGGAGGCCGAGGCGGGCGGATCATGAGGTCAGGGGATCGAGACCATACTGGCTAGTATGGTAAAACCCCGTCTCTACTAAAAATACAAAAAAATTAGCCGGGCACGGTGGTGTGCGCCTGTAGTCCCAGCTGCTGGGGAGGCTGAGGCAGGAGAGAACCCAGGAGGCGAAGTTCGCAGTGAGCCGAGATCGCGCCGCTGCACTCCAGCCTGGGCGACAGGGAAAGACTCCGTCTCAAAAAAAAAAGATCCGACTGGAGTTGAAGGGCGAGTGCTGGAGTGCAGAGGGGGAATGTGACACAGTGTTGGTGACTGGAGGCCCAGGAGGGCAGTGTGGAGGCTTCCAGCCTCTGCAGCTTCGCAGAACAGGCTGGTCTGGAGTCAAGAAGGACTTCCCATTGTAGGGTAAGGGTAAGCAGAAGAAACCCACCAGCCCCCACAAACACCTACAGTCATTACTACAGGAGGATTCCACAGTTCCCACGAGCTCTGAGCCCAGTTTGGAGAGCTGCTGGGAATTCACGCAGCTGCCTTGCCCCGGGTTAGGGGCACAAGGTGTGCCTTCCCCACCCACCCCTTTGAGCCAAGCTGTTGCAGCATGGCACCATCTTCAGACCAGAGCCACCTCTGGAGCACGCCCTCCTCTGGGCCAGTAGCTGCTGCACCTCTCCTGCACCCCAGCCACTGGGGCTCCATCCTCATTCCACCAAGGCCACAGGGATGGCTGAACACCACAACCCCAGCTATGTGGAGCCTGGGCCCAGGATCGACTGGTGATTCTGGTCCTGCACAGCAGAAAAACCAGCCCCTGCCACTGCACTTTCAGACAGAGGAACAGTCTGGCAGCCCCAACAGACCAAACCCATCTTTGAGCTGGCCAAATTGCTGTGCCATCTCTAGAGGGTGGGAACAGACCCCTGAGCTTCCTACCAGCTGACATGCCTCCAGGCTGGTGAAGCAGTTACAGACCTTTGCCCAGGAACTGAGAAACAGCCCCACAGCATCAACCCCTTGCAGACAGGCCCGTGGCCTACCCAGTGGCCCTGGGTCAGCATTCAGGGTCTGAGAAACAGTTTCAGAGGCTGCCCTGGCAGGCATGTACCTAGGCTTCTTGAGCGGCCTTGCACGGCATCTTTGGTTGGAGAAGAAGCCCCATAGGCAGCGCCTGGGAGTCACAGGCCAACAGAGCGGCCACAGGCCTGCATACTGGGCCTGCCAAACAGCCCTGTGGTCTGCCCTTGGTGGGCATGTTCTGAGCCAGCTGGCACCCATATCCCAAACCTGAGAAAGAGCCTTGAAGACCACCCCCAGTAATCACACCCTCATGCCAGCCAAGCAGCCTTCCACCCACATGCTGGGCCTCAGAAGCAGCCTCATGGGCTGCCACTGGCAGATACATACCTAGGACGGCCAACAAGCCATGTGACCATGTCCCAGGACTGAGAAAGAGCCCCTTGAACTGTGCAGGCAGACATGCACCCAGGCTAGCAAAGCAGCCTTGTACCCACATCCTGGGCCTAAGAAACAGCCTTATAGGTTACCCCCAGCAAACATACTCCCAGGCGAGCAAAGAAGCCTGTGCTCATGTCCAAGGCTTGAGAAATGACCCTGAGGGCTGTTCTCATGGAGCCCCTGGCCAGAAAACCAGTTTTGTGCCTACATCCTAGGCCTGAGAAACAGCCCCTTGGGCCATTGCTGGCAGGCAAATAAACCTATAGGCTGGCCAAGCAACCACATGCTCATGTTCCTGGCCAGAGTAACAGCCTGTGGTCCCAAACCCTGAGCCAGACCCCACCTTGGCCAAACCACTGTGTACATGCATGTACCCCTAATCTGAGAAACAGTCCAGCAAGCCCATCCCAGCAAAGCTGTGCTACTGTTTGTTTTTTGTTTTGGGACAGAGTCTTGCTTTGTTGCCCAGGTTGGAGTACAGTGGTATAATCTTGGCTCACTGCAAACCTCCGCCTTCCGGGTTCCAGTGATTCTTGTGCCTCAGCCTCCCAAGCAGCTGGGATTATAGGCATGCGCCACCACATCTAGCTAATTTTTATATTTTGGGTAGAGACAGGGTTTCACCATGTTGGCCAGGCTGGTCTCAAACTCCTGGCCTCAAGTAATCCACCTGCCTTGGCCTCCGAAAGTGCTGGGATTGGCTGGGCGTGATGGCTCACGCCTGCAATCCCAATACTTTGGGAGGCCGAGGCGGGTGGATTGCTTGAGGCTAGGAGTTTGAGATCAGCCTCACCAACATGGTAAAACCCGATCGCTACTAAAAATACAAAAATTAGCCAGGCGTGGTGGCACATGCCTGTAATCCCATCTACTTGAGAGACTGAGGCAAGAGAATGACTTGAACCCAGGAGGCAGAGTTTGCAGTGAGCCGAGATCATGCCACTGCACTCCAGCCTAGGTAATAGAGCAAGACTGTCTCAAAAAAGAAAGTGCTGGGATTATAGGCGTGAGCCACCACGCCCAGCCAACTGTGCCACTGTTGCCACAAACCCCCTCACTGTAGGCCACTGAGGCACTTGCAAACATCACTAAAGTGGATTACAACTGAAGAAAGTACATGGAGACTATACTACTGCATTTGTCCAGAACCAAGGTGAATGCATCCCACTGAACCCACACTCCAAGACCCATTCATATGAATAACTCTTTACAAAACGTACTCCATAAAATTGGAAAAGGTGACTTTCCCACCAGATGTGTAGAAATCAATGTAGAAATACATCAAACATGAAAAAGCAAAGAAACATGACACCTCCCAAGAAAACCAATAATTCTCTAGCAAGAGACTACAATGATATAGGAAATGCCGGAAAAATAATTCAGAATTAAAATCTTAAGGAAACTCGGTGAGATACAAGAGAACTCGGTGAGATACAAGACAGTACAAATAAACACTCAACAAAATCAGGAAAAGAATGATTTGAATGAGAAATTCAACAGAAACAGATGTTTAACAAACAAATTTTACAGTGAAAGAATTCAATGAATGAGGCCAGGCACGGTGGCTCACGCCTGTAATCCCAGCACTCTGGGAGGCCAAGGCGGGCAGATCACTTGAGGTCAGGAGTTCGAGATCAGCCTGGCCAACATGGTGAAACCTCGTCTCTACTAAAAACACAAAAAATCAGCCGGGTGTGGTGGCGGGTGCCTATAATCCCAGCTGCTCAGGAGGCTGAAGCAGGAGAATCACTTGAGCCAGGGAGGCAGAGCTTGCAGTGAGCCCAGATTGCACCACTGCACTCCAGCCTGGGTGATGGGAGTAAAACTCTGTCTCAGGAAAAAAAAAAAAAAAAGGCAAATGATCTGAACAGACATTTCTCCAAAGAAGTAATACAAATGGCCAAGAAATAGATGAAAAAATGCTCAGCATCACTAATTATTAGGGAAAATGCAAATCAAAACCACAATGAGGTATCATTTCACCCCAGTCAGGATGGTTATTTATCACGAAGACAAAAAATAAATGCTGGTGAGGATGTGGAGAAAAGGAAACTCTTACACAATGTTGGTGGGAACATAAACTAGTACAGACACCATGGAGAACAGTTTGGCGGTTCCTCAAAAAACTACAAATAGAACTACTATATGATATAGCAATCCCACTGGTGGGCATTTATCCAAAGGAAAGGAAATCAGGATATCAAAGAGACATCCGCACCCCCATGTTTACTGCAGCACTATTCACACAGCCAAGACATGGAATCAACCTAGGTGCCCAACAACAGATGAATGGGTAAAAAAATTGTGAGATATATATATATATATATGTATATATCTTGAAGATAAAAGAGTGAATCCTGTTGTTTGCAGCAACACTGATGGAAATGGTGGACATTAAGTGAAATAAGCCAGGAACAGAAAGTTAAACACTGCATGTTCTCACTCATCTGGTAGCTAAAAAATGTTGATCTCGTATTAGTAAAAAGTAGAACAGGATACCAGATGCTGGATTTTGTAGGGGGAAGGGAGAAAGAGGAAGATATTTGTTAAAGGATACAAATAGCTAGCTGGAAGGAATAAGTTCTAGTGCTCTGTATCACTATGGGATGACTATAGTTAATAATGTATTATAGAGTTGCACATAGCAAAGAAGAGGATACTGAATGTCCCCAACATAAAGAAGTAGTAAATGTTTGAGATGATGGAAGTGCTAATTATCCTGATCTGATCACTATATATGTATCAAAACATCACTATGTACCCCATGAATATGTACAATTATTATGTCAATTTATAAAAATAATAAAAGAAAAGAAATGGCAGGGGATTACTTTTTAAAGTTCCAGTCCTAAGGAATCCAGAGTGAGGAAAATGCATGTGGAACTTATCGTCACTGCCTTTTCAAACACAGCACTAAAAGTTTTCAATGAAGACAATCTTTTAAAAAATCAAGAGCAGCATGGTTACTAATTCAACCATGACGATAATTGCCACCGAAATAAGAGGGTTTGATGACTTGCAAACTACAAAATAATTAGGTATCAGGATGACAAGAGCGAGTAGGGTCAGGTGTCCCAACACCAAGAGAGACACAGGAAGACGGAACAAGTACCTCTGGCTCCTGCCTGGCAGGTGGTGCTCTCCGCACACTGCAGGTTCTTCAGCAGCTGCATCGACTTGCCAGCCATTATGATCTGCTTCAGGACAGGTTTGAGGAAGGACACCATGGTGTGCTGCCTGCTGGAGGGCCCCTGGTCACTGCCGGAACTCGCACTAGCGTTATCACTCATTTTTTCTTCATTTTCTGTCTTTTCTGATACGCTATATAACGTGTAAGTTGCATACCAGAAGTCTCTGTGATTAACTGGAACATTTTTGTTTCTAAAGAGATTCAAAAGAATTTTAAACTCTTATTTCTCTTTCTTAAAAACAGCATACTTGTTCTAGTTTGTTGTCCAGACATTATAAAACATAGTATTAATTATTAGTAAACTGAAGCAAACTTTAGGCAAAATGGGACAGTTTTAATCTCATCTCAGTTTAAAGAGAAAAGTGAATAAATACTTTGAATAGTGTAAGTAAAATTTAAGTAGAAATAGTTTCCTGAATTGGAATTATTTAAAATATGACTAATTTGGTCCTCTTTAGAAGAAGAATAAAAGTTTATCCATTTACCATCTGCTGTGAAACTAATTTGCAGACTTCTCTATCATTTTCCCTACAAAGATTCTTAACTGGACTACTTTTAACAATAAAATGATGGTCAATCATCACCCTAGAAGAACAGTCAGAGTCCTATTTTTCACAAAAATTCTCATGTGAGATTGATGAATCAGAACACAGTGACAGATATGAGATTGAGTTGAAGGAAGGGTCAGTTCACTTATGTGAGCATTGCATACATATTGCTACCCTTCCAGAACACTAAAGACTTAAAGTTATCCTTCCTGATGAGCTCAATGGATAGCTATCAATAGAAACCATATATCTAAATATACCGCATAATTTAAAATTGGGCTAAAAGAGTACAAATAGCTCTACATTGTTTATATGATTCTATTCAGAAAAATCAATTAACTGAAGGGAAATTGTCATAAATGGATTAAGATTTTCCTTGTTTTGTAAAATATACTAAGGTAAAAGAAATCAGTAGATAATTCAGAGAAATAAATATATTAGAGGCATACTCTGTAATATTTCTGTATCTCTTTACTGATAATTTACAATGGAAATAGCTGAAACCATATGATATCATCTAAACTCATTTTATGGGAAGCAGTGTGTACTAGCTAGCCATAAATATACTACCATCCAAAAATATAATTTGCTTAAGAAAAGTTGCGGACTGACAAAACTTGGACAAAGATATTTCTAATCAGCTGGTATTACTGATGCCTTCCGTAAAAATGAGATAGAACTTGCCTATGATGACGACAAGTTCTGTGATGTGAACTGTGCTTTCTCAGTACTGTCTGAAACTAACGAAAGCATTTGATTTTCATGGGGAGGAAACTGGTGATGCCAGCCCCCAGTGACCTTGTGCTCTGCTGCAGCTCACCTCTGGATGATGAACTCCCTGGCGCCATCCCACAGGTGCCCGTGCACGATCCACTCGTCCACCGTCTGCAGGTAAGGCCGCACCGTTTCCACCCAGAGAGAGAAAAGGAGGGAGACCTGAGGCAGAGAGTGTGCACGGTCAGCTCTCAGGGTTCCCTGGTCACTAGGATAAAAGGAGGTTTAAACATTTCTGAAATGCCTTTAAAAAAGTGATCGGATTTCTATGTTTTTTGGGGCACAAAGAAATTAAAAATCCAAAAACATACACTATAAAATCCTTATGAAAAACTCACCTAAATGCCGGGCGTGGTGGCTCACGCCTGTGATCCCAGCACTTTGGGAGACCGAGGTGGGCGGATCACCTGAGGTAAGAAATCGAGACCATCCTGGCCAACATGGTGAAACCCCCTCTCTACTAAAAATACAAAAATTAGCTGGGCATGGTGACACGCGCCTGTAGTCCTGGCTACTTGGGAGGCTGAGGGAGGAGAATTGCTTGAATCTGGCAGGTGGAGGCTGCAATGAGCCAAGATCGTGCCACTACACTCCAGCCTGGCAACAGAGTGACACTGTCTCAAAACAAAAAGAAAAAAAAAAGAAAAAAGAAAAACTCACCTAAATATGGGATGATCATATTGTTTGTAGTCCAGACTGGGAAACTTGAGAGTGAAAGTGACACAGAGGCAGCAGGTGTATCCTGAGATAGCCCAGGCAAGCGAACAAGGTTTCCCTATCTAAATCCTATTACTAGCAAAGCATCCATTAAGGATGAGGAAATTGGCTGGGCATGGTGGCTCACGCCTGTAACCCCAGCACTTTGGGAGGCTGAGGTGGGCAGATCACAAGGGCAGGAGTTTGAGACCAGCCTGGCCAATATGGTGAAACCCCATCTCTATTAAAAAAAAATACAGCTGGGTGTGGTGGCTCATGCCTGTAATCCCAGCACTTTGGAAGGCCGAGGTAGGCGGATCAGGAGGTCAGGAGCTCGAGACCAGCCTGGCCAACATGGTGAAACCCCATCTCTATTAAAAATACAAAAATTAGATGGGCATGGTGGTGGGCGCCTGTAATCCCAGGTACTCAGGAGGCTAAGGCAGGAGAATAGTTTGAACCCAGGAGGCAGAGGTTGCAGTGAGCCAAGATCATGACACTGCACTCCAGCCTGGGCGACAGGGCGAGACTCCATCTCAAACAAAAAACAAAAAAAAACCCCAAAAAATTAGCCGGGCATGGTGATGTGCGCCTGTAGTCCCAGCTACTCAGGGGGCTGAGGCAGAAGAATCACTTGAACCTGGGAGGTGGAGGTTGCAGTGAGCCAAGATCGTGCGACTGCACTCCAGCCTGGCAACAGAGCAAGACTACGTCTCAAAAAAAAAAAAAAAAAAAAAAGAAAAAAAGAAATATGGTATTAAATTGGTGTGAAAAAAAGTTATACCAACAAACTAGAAAATACACCTAATGTACATACCCAACTAAGACTGTAGCATTCTAAATTACAGCCTCTAGTTAGATTTTTATTTTTAAATCTATATATTGTTTGAGACAGGGTCTTGCTCTGTTACCCAAGCTGGAGTGCAGTGGCACAAACATGGCTCACTGCAGCCTTGACCTTCCACACTCAAGCCATCTTCCTGCCTTAGCCTCTCGAGTACCTGGGACCATAGGCATGTGCCTCCAGAGCTGGCTACCTTTTTTGAGACAGAGTCTTGCTCTGTTGCCCAGGCTGGAGTGTAGTGGTGCGATCTCGGCTCACTGCATCCTCCCGGGTTCAAGCAATTCTCCTGCCTCAGCCTCCTGAGTAGCTGGGATGACAGGTGTTCGCCACCACACTAGGCTAATGTTTGTATTTTTAGTAGAGACGGGGTTTCACCATGTTGGCCAGGCTGGTCTCGAATTCCTGGTGTCAGCACACCTGGCTACTTTAAAAATTTTTTGTAGAGACAGGGTCTCAGTATGTTGCCCGGGCTGGTCTCAAATTCCTGGGCTCAAGTGATCCTCTCACCTCAGACTCATATGTAGCTGGGACTACAGGCGTGAGCCACTATGCATGGCCTAGATTTGTATTTTTTAAAATACAATATAAAATATATAACATAAAATTTATCTTAACTGTATATTTTAAAAAATTTTAATTTAACTAATTTTTTAAAGACAGAGTCTTACTATGTTGCCCAGGCAAGTCTCAAACTCCTGGGCTCAATCAATCCTCCTGCCTCGGCCTCCCAAAGTGTTGGGATTACAGGCACGAGCCACTGTGCCTGACCCTCAGCATTTTTAAGTTCAGAGGTTTTAAGTACATTCATATCGTTGTGACAAATCTCCAGAACTTTTTCATGTTATAAAACTGAAACTCTGTACCCATTAAACAACAGCTCCCCATTCCCCAGCCCTTGGTAACCAGCATTCCACTTTGTTTCTGTGGATGTGTCTACTTCAGCTATCTCATGTCATGTTAGTTACATGTTAGTGTTTATGTAAGAAAGCGTTATTGTAAATATCTATACACATCAGGTAGGTACTTCTCACAGCTTGCCTTGTCCTTGCCTCATCCTTCTGAGGATCTTGGCAATTAGAGCTGAAAAGCCAGTTTCCTACAGCCTTAAATTTGGAAGTTAATTTAAAAACTCTGAACTGTCTGACGAGTCATCATTCAAGTATCAACAAAGAACTACCATCAGCTGTCTATCACTCCTCTGCTGTGCAGCATGGAGTCACACACTTTAGGCAGAAGTCTCACTTACGGTTTGCTCAGAGGCTTCTCCAACATTGTCATATTCAAGAATGGCCTTGTACAGGGTGTTAAGCAGGTGAGAGGCCCGGACGACATTTCGAGTATCAGGTGGAACTTCTGCTACTCCAGTACTAAACACTTTGTGCAGAACCTTGAGCTGAGACAATCGAGGTGCCAACTTGTCCACCACTATTGCAAGAGTTATTGTAGTATCTGCAAATATCAATAAATCAAACTCAACAGCAAGGAAAAATACATGCATCTAAAATGTGACATAAATGCTGGCAAATCATCAGGCTTATGGACAGGCAGGGCAAAATGGAGGACGGTGGATTTTAATCTCATACCACAAGGACCTAATTTCCCTAAGGAAGAACTCCTGCAAGTCACAGAGAAAAAGACAACTCAGCAGAAAAATAATGTATAAAGGAACTGACAGTTCATAAAAAAGGAATGATGAGTGATTCTAAAACATACAGAAAGTCACTTGACCTTACTTATAATAAAAGAACGCAAATTAAAATTACACTAGGTAAAACAAAACACCTCCCAATGGGCTAATGTTACAGAGAGGGGTGAGGGAGGCTGTGCCTACAAAGGGCTGCACAAGCAAGCTCCTGGGAGGCGATGGCACAGCTGTGATCTGAACATGGAAGTGGCTATGTGGAGCTAGACATGTGATAAACTATACATGAATATACCACACCCACCCCTGTTCAAAGCAAGTTCCTGCG
Organism: Homo sapiens; assembly: GCF_000001405.40. Classification (NCBI taxonomy): domain Eukaryota; kingdom Metazoa; phylum Chordata; class Mammalia; order Primates; family Hominidae; genus Homo; species Homo sapiens. The sequence continues at coordinate 3,916,774 of NW_021160017.1, forward strand.
ACACTGGTGAAACCATGTCAGGTCTGCAGTTTGGCTAATGTGCTGTGTCAATGTCAGTTTCCCAGTTTTGACCATGTACTGTCACTATGTAAGGTTTTACCACTGGGGGAAGCAAGGTCATGGGAACACAGGGCCTCTCTGTACTATTTTTTGTGGTAGTTCAAAATGAAATTTAAGGGGAAAAAAGCTACATGGGTTACCATTTTACAGCTGTCATACTGGTGAAGACCAAAACGTCTGGTAACACACAGATGGCAAGAAGTGTGAGGAAACAGGTATTCATCTACTTGGTTCACAACAGTAAAAATGTATTTACCTATACCTCCCCATAAAGTGGCAAAACTTAGGAAAATCACACATGACCCAGCAATTCCATTTATAAGAACCTACCCCACATGGTCAGATGCAGTATAATCCCAGCTTATGCCCGTAATCCCAGCATTTTGGGAGGCCAAGGTGGTCAACATGGTGAAAGCCTGTCTCTATTGAAAATACAAAAATTAGCTGGGGATGGTGGCAGGTGCCTGTAATCAGTTACTCGGGAGGCTGAGGCAGGAGGATGGCGTGAACCCGGGAGGCGGAGCTTGCAGTAAGCAGAGATTGAGCCACTGCACTCCAGCCTAGGTAACAGAGCGAGACTCCGTCTCAAATGAAAAAAAAAAAAAAAGAACCTACCCTACAGATAACTCACTGCCTGTGTACGATAACGGATATGTAGAAGTGATTATCACTGCAGCACTACTGGCAATAGCAAAAGCCTGGGAACAACCTAAATCCATTAAGGGGACTGGGCTATGACACGACCATATGATGAAACACTCAATTTGTAAAAAGGAAAACAGAAGCTCTTCATATATGTATGGTATTATCCTCAAAATTTAAACTGGAAAAATTTGAAGAGAGCAGTGTAATGACTGCTAGGTATGCGTATATGTATATGCACTGCTCATGTATGTTGAAACTCTTTCTGGAAGGATGCGTAAGAAGCCAAGGACCTGGCTGTCTCTGGAGAGGAGAACTGACTGGCTGGGGTACTGGTGCAGGAAGAATAATTTAGATTTTTCATTCTAAATCTTCTGTAGTTTTTTGATTTTTAGAGATATGAATGGCTTAAAAATATAAATTTAAAATAATTTTAAAAGAAGCATTCACGAGAACTACTTATCTGCTAGGCAACTTTCAAATCTTATATAATAAAAACTCTAAGTGGCATTCAAATTATGAGTTACGTGTAGTATGAGTAAAGATGAAGAACATTTAATACCATTATTGATGATGCACTTCTCAATTTCTGCAAGTTCCTCTTTGAAACTAATGAAATATTTGTACAGGGCCCACATGAAAGCCTGGTAGGTTCTAAAGGGAGCTTCAGTTGACTTCTTAGGAACAGACCCACTTCCAGGCAGCATGCTCTCAGAACTGTGTCCCATGACTTCATCAATGAACTCCTGGAGTCGAAACACAACCTGGCCATATGCTGCTATTTGTTCCAGCACAGATCGTAAACAGCTCTACAACACAAGCAAACTGCAATTATTCAAAGGTGGTCTTCTGTAAACATTCAAATTCATTTCCCTCTCGCTGTAAAATACTTCTTTTGCAATTGTTTTAAACAGTATGTTTAGTAGAAGACAAAGTAATAATATGATTAATATTTATAATTTTATACACAAAGGAAAAAGTGAACAATAATTTCAACAGACTAGAGAATTATGGCTTATATTTTTAAAAACATACATAAGTAAATGTACTTAAAGCAAAACAAAATTACAGTATATAACTTTCACAATACAGAATGACAAATAAAAAGCAGAAAATGCAAATTGAAATTAAATATGTTCCAAACAATATTAAGGAATCCTCTACGTACTATAAAGATGCACAACTCAATTTTTCTTTTTGGATATTAAATATTTTTAAGTTAGCTTTTTTTTGCATGTGAGGAAGCAAGAACGAGTTCAATAGCAATTTTAATATTGTAAAATGTTCTAAAATTATATTACTAGTTTACATAAATCCTATTTCTTAAATTACCATAAATACAAATAACTTACATGTGTTAAATGAGTTACTATAATATTGTTTCTCACAGTTACCTTCCCATCTATCAACTGAAATATAAAGAGCTTTTTCACTCCTGAAAGTAACCTGAAATGAGATTAAAAAAAGACGAGTGTACTTTAAGTCTAGAAAAATATTCATGACAGTATGCCCAGGACATTTTTTTTTTTTTTTGACAGGGACTCACTTTGTCACCCACCCAGGCTGGAGTGCAGCAGCATGATCACAGCTCACTGGAGCCACAACCTCCTGGGTTCAAGTGATTCTGCAGCCTCAGCCTCTCCAGCAGTTGGGACTACAGGTGCATGTCACCATGCCTGGCTAATTTTTGCATTTTTTGTAGATACGGGGTTTCACCATGTTGCCCAGGCTGGTCTCGAACTCCTGAGCTCAAGTGATCCACCTGCCTTGGCCTCCCACAGCACTGGGATTACAGGTGTGAACCACCATGCCCCACCTCAGGAAATTTTTATTAAATATTCAGAATTAGGGGCAAAAAGGTCAGATAATAAGAAAATGGAAGACATCAATCTTTTCATCTGATTACCCTAAGACTCAAGATATTTCAACATCATCTTAGAGAAGTCTAAAACATGTTGTCAAAGCATCTCCCCTATATACTTGACGACCCAAAGAGATCTTCCTATTTCTAAGAATGCGAGCATGTCAATATCATACTTTATGGTGAGAGCACCAGGACTTGGAATTTCAGTAGTAACAGCACCATGTGCCGCATTAGATTCCTGGCTTCCAGGTACGGGCACAGGCCCTCATTGATATACTCCACCTATTAAGAATAGTCAGTAGCTACCGGCGCGGTGGCTCACGCCTGTAATCCCAGCACTTTGGGAGGCCAAGGTGGGTGGATCATGAGGTCAGGAGATCTAGACCATCCTGGCTAACATGGTGAAACCCCGTCTCTACTAAAAAAGTAAAAATTAGCCGGGCTTGGTGGTGGGTTCCTGTAGTCCCAGCTACTCGGGAGGCTGAGGCAGGAGAATGGCGTGAACCCAGGAGGTGAAGCTTGCAGTGAGCTGAGATAGAGCTACTGCACTCCAGCCTGAGCAACAGAGTGAGACTCCGTCTCAAAAAAAAAAAAAAAAAATCAGTAGCAAATCTTGCTTTGAACTCAGGTGTTAAAGAAGAGATGGGCTAACCTAAGTAAATCATATGCTAAATTATTTAAAATGAAAATGAAGTAATTATATCAAACTCTCTCAATCTCCACAGTCAAATCTGGTCCGAACTTCACACCTAATGGACCTTTTCTAGTTTGCATGTGAAAATGCTTGAAAAGTTTCCTTTAATAAAAGTTTTTGCTTCTCAGTAATCAAGTCTCATAAAGACTATTAATTAAATGAACATTTCTTACCATAGGGTTTCCCGAATAACCTGAGTCTCAGTAACCAAAACCCTGTCATCTGGAACATACAATGGATCACTGCTGTACAAGTGTTGGTCCCTATGAGACAGCAAACATAAATGTCAATAGAAAGGTTTCTAAGTAAGTAAATAACTTATCTCAAAGAATATCTGCAATTTAGTGCTAACTTAAGTAGCAATCAACTAACAAGTATACATAATAAATGGCTTAAATGCCCCCTATATTTTCATGTCAATCAGAATACTCTGAGAAACACTTTCAGAACAATTACAATTGTTACGTTTATTGCTGATTTAGGCAAATGTTTACAACTATGTAATGTTGTTTTCTGGAAAACAAGATGTGTATTTTTGCAGTAAGTATACCAAAACAGAAATCAAATAATGCCCTAATATATACCAATCCATTTACACTGAAATTAACAACAAAAAATGGAAACAGAGACTATAATTAAATAATACTATAATTTAATGATTTTCAATAACAAATAATTAAAAACTATTCAACTAAAATTTTCAACACCAGCCAGGTGTGCTGGCTCACGCCTGTAATTCCAGCACTTTGGGAGGCCGAGGCAGGTGGATCACTTGAGGACAGGAGTTCAAGACCAGCCTGGCCAACATGGTAAAACCCCATCTCCGCTAAAAATATAAAAATTAGCTGGGCATGGTGGCATGCACCTATAATCTCAGCTACTTGGGAGGCTGAAGGACGACAATTGCTGGAACCCGGGAGGCAGATGTTACAGTGAGCCATGATTACGCCACTGCACTCCAGCCAGGGTGACAGAGCGAGACTTTGTCTCCCCCTGCAAAAAAAAGTAAAATAAAATAAAAAATAAAAAATTAGTTGAGTGAGGTCTAGACTGCAGTGAGCTGAGATCTGACCACTGCACTGCAGTCTGGGCAACGAAGAGTGAGAATCTGTCTCCAAAAAAAAAAGAATTGTCAAAACAAAAACAAGTTTAAATTTCAGGGAAGAACTTAAGTCACAAATCAAAGCCAAACGTTTAAACATCAAAGTTTCTTCTATCATCACATTAAATGAAAACTTTAGCTTCTTACCAGACAGCAGCTAAATTAGAGTGCAAATGTAAACTATGAGGAAACTGGGAGGGCCTGGCTGTCCAGTACTGATGGACCACATGATGTTCCAGCCAGCTTCGGTCATCTGGCTCATCTGCTTGAAAGAAATGTAATCAGTTTGAGTTAACAACAACAAAATACTGGGTCACAATACCTGGACTTACAGCTCCATTCAAACGTATAGTTGAAAATGGCTTTTTAAAAATAACAGCTACCTAACATTTATGTATATATGATTATTTTAAACCACATATATCTGCTGGGTTCTATGGCTCACACATATAATCCCAGCCCTTTGGGAAGCCAGGGTGGGATGACCACTTGAATCCAGGAGTTCAAGACCAGCCTGGGCAACAAAGTATGACCCCCCATCTCCACAAAAAATACAAAAAAATTAGCCAGGGATGGTGGCATGTGCTTGTTCTCGGGAGGCTGACACGAGAGGGGACTGGTTGAGCCAAGAGGTTGAGGCTGCAGTGATCTGAGATCATGCCACTACGCTCCAGCCTGGGTGACACAGTAAGACCCTATCTCAAAAAACAAAGTAAAATAAAATAAAACCACACATATAGAAACGCATACTAAATTTAATTAAATGTAACTGACTAGAAAGTAAAAAAAAAAAAAATTGCCACATACATAAAAAGATATAAATGGTATATGTTAATTGTCCAGTAACCATTAAGGAAACTGAAATGGTAACTGAAGACCTTCCCAACCACTACGGAAGTCTCAGGACTGGTGCTAAATTTTGAAGGATTAGATAACCTCTATCTTATACAAGTTGTTTGAAAAAGCAGAAAAAGAGAAAGCCACCTAACATTTTATGAGGCTAATGTAACAGTGATGCTTTAAACTAGACAAAGACAGGATACATGTAATTCATCAAAGAATAAAGATGAAAAATCCTACATTAAAAAAGAGCTAACCTGTTGGGCTCGGTGGCTCACACCTGCAATCCCAGCCTGGGCTGGTCTCAAACATAGTGAGACCTCATCTCTACAAAAAAGTAACAAACTTAGCTGGGTGTGGTGGCATGCACTGGAAGCCCCAGCTTCTTAGGAGGCTGAGGTGGGAGGATACTTTGAGCCCAGGAGGTTGAGGCTGGAGTGAGCTGTGATCACGCTACTGCACTCCAGCCTGGGTGACAGAGCAGGGCCCGGTCTTAAAAAAAAAAAAAAAAAAAAAGCAAATCCAAAATTGAATCCGATCTAAAAATGTACTAAAAAATAACATGATCAAGCAAGTTTAGGTGAAGAATTCAAGGATAATTCAACATCAGAAAATCTATCGATGCATTATTAGGATAAAAGAGAAAAGTTATGAGATTATCTCACGGATAAATAGTAGCATTTAATAAAAATTCAACATTTATTCATAATTAAAGACTTCTAGAAAAAAAAAGTAATAGAAGGAAATTGTCTTAATTTGATAAAGGCCACATACCCTGAACTGATACCAAACAACCATCACACTTAACGGAGGAGTTTCAGGTATAACCCCCCTTAGGATGAGACCTAGTCATCCAGGAAGCCCACTCCCATGAGCTGTTGCTTCTGCTACGGACTAGAGGGTTGGGCTGCTGGGCCAGAAAAGAGATTTGATCATGTCACAGAGAAGATACAGGCATAAGAACTAGCAGGAAGAATAAAACCATCAATATTCGCAGATGATACTAATCATCTATATAAGAAACCAAATGAATCAACAAACTATTATGAGAATTCAGTAAAAATGCTGCATATACGGACAACTTACAGAAAGCAATATTATTTCTTCTACATCAGGAATAAACAAAAGAGGCAACATTCACAAAAATAAAAACTATAACATATGTAGAAATTAACAAATGAACACTCAAGATGTTTAAAAAAAATTTCCAAACTCTAGTAAAAGATAAAAAATTACGATAAATGTAGCTATTATTATGTTAAGGCAATCAAGCCTCCCCAAATTAGATCTATAAATTCTCTGCAATCCCAATAAAAACTCCAGCTGGATTATTTTTTATTTATTTATTTTTTTTGAGATAAAGTTTTGCTCTTGTTGCCCAGGCTGGAGTGCAATGGTGTGATCTTGGCTCTCTGCAACCTCTACCTGCTGGGTTCAAGCGATTCTTCTGCTTCAGCCTCCCAGGTAGCTGGGATTACAGGCATGCGCCACTATGCCCAGCTAATTTTGTATTTTTAGTAGACGTGGGGTTTCACCATGTTGGTCAGGCTGGTCTTGAACTCCTGACCTCAAGTGATCCACCCAGCTCGGCCTCCCAAAGTGCTGCGATTACAGGCGTAAGCCACTGCACCTGGCCTTTTTTTTCTTTAAAGTTTACCACCCTGCTTCCAAAATGTCTATAGAAGAATAAAAGTTCACAAATAGCTAAGCCAATTTTGAAAAAGAGCAGTGATTCACATCTGTAATCCCCGCACGTTGGGAGGCAGAGGCAGGTGGACGAGTTGAGGTCAGGAATTTGAGACCAGCCTGGCCAACATGGTGAAACCCTGTCTCTACTAAAAATACAAAAATTAGCTGAGTGTGGTACACGCCTGTAACCCCAGCTACTCGGGAAACTGAGGCAGGAGAATTGTTTGAACCTGGGAGATGGAGTTTGCAGTGAGGTGAGATCATGCTACTGTACCATAGCCTGGGCGACAGAGTGAGACTCCGTCTCAAAAAAAGGGGGTGGGGGGGAAGAGCAAAGTGGGCTGGGCATGGTGGCTCACATCTGTAATCCCAGCACTTTGGGACGCAGAGGCGGAGTAATTGCTTGAGTCTAGGAGTTTGAGACTAGCCTGGGCAACATGGTGAAACCCTGTGTCTACAAAAAATACAAAAATTAACTGGGTATGGTGGCACTCACCTGTAGTTCCAGCTACTCAGGAGGCTGAGGTGGGAGGATCGCTTGAGGCCAGGAGGCAGAGGTTGCAGTGAGCTAAGATTGTGCCACTGCACTCTAGCCTGGGAAACAGAGTGAGACCCTTGTCTCCAAAAAAAAAGAAAAGGAGCCAAGTGATTTTCCTGCCTCAGCCTCCCAAGTAGCTGAAAGGAAACTTGCCATCTATGTATTAAGACATAATACTACAAAGCCACACAAATAAAAAAGTCTGTCTGTTTCTGGGTCACACTGACACCAAGTGCACAGATTAGAAAGTCCGGAATAAATGCAGCTGTCCCTCAGTATCCAATGGGGACTGGTTGCAGGAATGCTGCAGACGCCAAAATCTGCAGGTGCTCAAGTCCCTGATATAAAATGGCATAGTATTTGCATATAACCTATGCATATCCTCCCTTATACTTTTTTATTTTAATTTTTTTTTGAGACAGGGTCTCGCTCTGTTGCCAGAGCTGGAGTGCAGTGGCACAATCTTAGCAAAATCAGTCCTTCTCCAATTAAAAAAAAAAAAAAAAAAGGAAACATTTACAGCTGAGAAAGTTCTCAGAAGTATAGGAAAAAAATTACAAAATTACACTCTACATGTATGAATTCAACATTAATTCTATAGTACTACTACTTAAGCATCATAGAAAACATTACTAATGGTTTTAAAAATTGGTTTTATAAGGATGGTAGAGCTTAGCCAATACCTTGATTACATGGAACTGATCTCAAAGTTTGCCTTTCCTTCTAGGGAATTTGTCTATTAGAAAATGCGAGCACCTCATAACACATAATACCTTTCCAACTGATACAAGGATCCAGTTTTCTGTTTTGATCTTGTTCTTCTAACGGTGTCCTGTCTACCTGAATTCCAGAGTCCTCTCTGCTTAAGGGCTGTTGATCATTTTCCTCTTCACTTTCTTCAGACCAATTCTGATTTAAAAAAGAGATACACTTTAGCTTTACAGAGTATAACACTTAAAGCTATTTACATTAAAAGACTAAGAAAACTTTGAAGAAAAGCAAAAACTTTGAAGCAACATGGAACAGAAAAACAAATTTTTTTTTCCTAAATCTCTTGGAAGTGCCTATTATAGGAATGGAAATATGATTACTACTTTTTCTTTTTTTCTATAATGTTGAAATAATAAGGAATGGAATTATTTTTTGTGGCAAAAAGTCCCAAGATCACAGGTCCTTAAGGGATACTTGTACTCACCCCTTTTAACTTCTTTTTTTTTTTTTGAGACAGAGTCTCTCGCTTTGTCATCCAGGTTGGAGTGCAATAGCACGATCTCAGCTCATTGCAACCTCCACCTCCTGTGTTCAAGAGATTCTCGTGCCTGAGCCTCCTGAGTAGCTGGGATTACAGGCGTGTACCACCACACCCAGCTAATTTTTTGTATTCTTAGTTGACGGGGTTTCACTATGTTGCCCAGGCTGCTCTCGAACTCCTCTGGCCTCAAGTGATCCGCCTACCTCAGCCTCCCACAATGCTGGGATTACAGTTGTGAGCCACCAAGCCCAGACAACTTTTTTAGAATTTATTTTTTAAAAATAGACACAGGATCTCGCTATGTTGCCCAGGCTGGTCTCAAATTCCTAGGCTCAAGCAATCCTCCTGCCTCTCGAAAGTGAGCAGGAGATTACAGATGTGAGCCACCACGCCCGGCCCCTTTTAACTTCTTACCACTAATGATTTGGTGCGAAATCCTAATCAGTCTTCCATAATAAATGACTCTAGCTTAGTGAAGAGTGTTCCTGTTTTAGCTAAGTTGACCTAGGGTGGAAAGACCCATGAAAATCATCTATATCACCTGGCGTGTATTTCAATTTTCAATAGCAAAACTACTACCACTTACTGGTGTGTCCATGTACGGACCAATGTCCATTTCTTCATCTTCCATCAAGTATTTTCCCCAGTCGAAATCATCTTTCTTTTCTAAAATGTAACAGAAGAACTTCATTGGCTTTATTATATCTATCTTTGAAAAAAAACCTCAAAACTAAGGAAAAAAGACTAACAAGACTCAAAATACTCAGGAAATAAAAATTTAAAAATATTGAAACATTTAATAAATTGATATCCTAAAACATTTTACATTTTAATTAACTCATTCTCAAAGGTGAGTGTTCTCTTTCTACAGCTGAAGGTAGTTTGTAAAGTTAGAACGAATACAGTCATCCCTCAATATCTGAGGGGAATTGGTTCCAGGAGGTACACCACCCTCCGCAATGCTCAAGGCTGACAGAAAATGGTGTAGTATGTGCACATAACCTAAATACATCCTGCTGTATACTTTAAATAATCTCTAGATTACTTATAATACCTAATATCATGTAAATGCTATGTAAATAGTTTTTTAAAAGATTGTATTATTTTAGACTGTTGTATTATTATTTATTTATTTTGAATATTTTTGATCTGTAGTTGATTGAATCTGTGGGTCTGGAACCTGAGAATATAGAGGGCTGACAGCATTTTAAATAAAATTTTACAATTGTGATAGCATCTAAAGCAATAGAAATACTTTAGTTTCACAGATTTTTAGAAGTTTCAATAAAACTCAGTGTTTAGCAACTAAGTAATCAAACAATTTCTCTTTTACTTCTCATATGTTAAGGAATCTAGTAACATACCCACTTCTTTATTTCTTGGTGTCTCCACATAACTGCTGTTTGAAGGAGAGTCTGACAGACACAGAAGAAGTGACAGTATGGAATAATGTGCATCTGTCTTTAAAACAAAAAAAAGAACATAAATCTCTGAGGTTGGGAAATGCTTTCTACACCAGATTGAGTAAAGATAACTCCATGACAGTTATGTCCCCAATTTTTTTCCTGGTTTGAGAAAACATGAGTTATACCTAAATAATCCTTAACCTTCAAACTTCTTCATAGCTCAAATGCATACACATAAGGAACCTCAAAGCCATCTGAAATCTGAGTTCTATATTTCTAACAAGTATAAGATCTGAGTGGATGACAGCTTTTTATTTCTAAAACGACGGAAATGTCTTTAGAGTATAACATTATGGTTAAAAATTATTCTCCTGTGGCAATATGTATCATGAAGGTTAAACATGCCTGATAGTTTAACTAAGATGTATCATATTTTATTTAACCAGTCCCCTATTAATGAAATTTAGATTTTTTCCCAATCTTTTGCTATCACAAACTTATGTTGTTTCATATTTTTTTTCCCCCCGAGATGGATTTTCGCTCTGTCGCCCAGGCTGGAGTGCAATAGTGCAATCTCAGCTCACCGCAACCTCAGCCTCCCCTGGTTCAAGTGATTCTCCTGTCTCAGCCTCCCGAGTAGCTGGGATTACAGGTACGCGCCACCACGCCCGGGTAACTTTTGTATTTTTAGTAGAGATGGGGTTTCACCATGTTGGCCAGGATGGTCTCCAACTCCTGACCTCATGATCCGCCCACCTTGGCCTCCCAAAGTACTGGGATTACAGGCATGGGCCACCACACTTGGCTGTTGTTTCATAATTATAAGAGTTTATCTGTATAATAAATTCCTAAAAAGTGAAACACTAAGTCAAAGAGTGTTTGCATTTGGAATTTTGAGAAATAATGCCAAAATATATTCCATACAGGTAATACAAATATACATACGCATAGAATTACCTGTTTCCCACACCTTTTATTAATCAGATCGGTGAAAAACATTCTCTCAGTGTTGCTTTAATTTGCATTTATCTTATCTTATGAAATGGTAGGCACTTTTCCATAAGCTTAAAATTACTGATTTTCCTTTATTGGGTATTACTCTCCTCTGTTCAAGTTTCTATTTGATTGCCAGTCTTTTCTTATTTATATGATTGATTTTTAAATTGGGATATTAGCTGTGTGGGAATGCATTAACTCAGCAAGCCTGAATTGCCAAAGCCTTCAGCATCCCCCAAAAGGGCTTATTTTCATGAATAAGCCTTGGCCAGCTTGTGGTAACTGAGCTCTTGAAATATCTGAACTGGCAAATGTGTTCTGTATGCTCAGATCTTGAACCATGTTGTACTAGTCTGTTTAGATAGTTTGCGCAAACAGTGTGACTGAAGGTGAACACCTGCTTTCCTTTGAAGGCTCTGGAACTTCAGTAATTGTGGTCAGTCACACAGGTCCTATGCCTAAGAGATAAGCCCCCAATAAAAGCCCCAGAGTCCTGGGCTCAGGTGTCCAGGTAGACAACACTGGCCACCTGACAGTATGTCAGAAGAGACAGAGCAAGCATCCAAACCAGACTCAAATATGGCAGGGATGTTGGAATTATCAGCCCGGGAATTGAAAACAACTATGATTAATATGCTAAGAGTGCTAATGAAAAATGTGGATAACAAGGAAGAACAGATCAGAAATATAAGTGGTGAGATGGAAACTCAAAGAATCGAAGTGTTCCAATGAAAAATAAAGTGTCAGAAATGAAGAATGCTTTTGATGGGCTCACCCAGTAGACTGGCATGAGCTTGAAAATATATCAACAGAGCAGGCCGGGGTGGCTCACGCCTGTAATCCCAGCACTTTTGGAACCAAGGTGGGCAGATCACTTGAGGTCAGGAGTTCGACACTACCCTGGCCAACATGGCGAAACCTCATCTCTACTAAAAATACAAAAATTAGCCGGGCGGGGTGGTGTACGCTTGTAATCCCAGTTACTTGGGAGGCTGAGGCTGCAGTGAGCTGAGATTGCACCATTGCATTCCAGCCTGGGCAACAGAGCAAGATTCCGTCTCAAAAAACAAAAAAACAAACAAACAAAAAGACATTGAAAACAGGAACAATAATAAAAATGGCAAAACCAAAAACTGATTCGCTGAAGAGATTAATAACATTAATAAATCTCTAGACATACTAACCACAAAAAAAAAGAGAGTATACATACATTACTAAAATCAGAAAATAAAGAGGGGTCATCACTACTGATCCCACAGACATTAAAAGGATAATAAAGAAGCTCGGCATGGTGGCTCATGCCTGTAATCCCAGCACTTTGGGAGGCCAAGGCAGGTGGATTGCTTGAGGTCAAGAGTTCGGGACCAGCCTGGCCAACATGGTGAAACCCTGTCTCTACTAAAAATACAAAAAATTAGCTGGGCATGGTGGTGGGCACCTGTAATCCCAGCTACTCGGGAGGCTGAGGCAGGAGAATCACTTGAATCTGGGAAGTGGGGGTTGCAATGAGTCGAGACTGCACCACTGCACTCCAAGCCTGGGTGACAAAGTGACACTCAGTCTTAAAAAAAAAAAAGAAAAAAAGTGTGAAGTTATTGCTACACCACACAGCAATCCCCAACCGTTTTGGCACCAGGGACTGGTTTTGTGGAAGACAATTTTTCCATGGACTGTTGGGTGGGGGTTGGTTTCAAGGATGAAACTGTTCCACCTCAGATCATTAGGCATTAGATTGTCATAAGGAGCATGCAACCTAGATCCCTCAAATGTGCAGTTCACAATGGGGTTTGCTCTCCTATGAGAATCTAATGCCACCGCTGATCTGACAGGAGGTGGAGCTCAGGCAGTCATCCTCACTCACCCCACTGCACCTCCTGCCATGGAGCCCTGTTCCTAGCAGGCACATATTGGTACTCGTCCACCATGTGGGGGTTGGGGACCTCTGCCATAACAAACACATCCAAGATGCCACACAGCAAGAGAAAAGGATAACCAATCCCACCTTGTGTAAGTGGGTGGGGGCTGTGGACACAGAGGGGATAGTGAAGCAGACAAGACTGCACAGCCTTACTGATTCCCTCAACAAACATGCACTGTCCACTGTGCTCTAGGTGTCCGGGAACAAATCAGACACAGAGCCCTATGCCTGTAAAATGTGCCTTTTAAAGGGGGAGACAAGAAAGGAACTATAAAGAATTGAAATACATAGCATGTGTGGAGACAGTGCCTGAGTTTAATATTAAAACGTGAGCTTCCTCAGGCAGGAGAAAGGGAAAGAACTATGTAGGCACAAGATGTGTCACAGCAGAGCTAGGGAATGTGGTCCCACCGTGTTCAGGGAACCCACAGCTGTTTCCATACGCTTGCCATCCTTGGTTTGACCTCTAGGGGGCTACAGACTCAGCAGCTAAGGTCAGCCATGTGGGCTCTGCTTGCTTATGTGACCCACCCCCAATAAAAATGCTGGTCACCAAGGCTCAGCCGAGTGGCCCTGGGGGGAGTGGAGGGTAATACTTTGCACATGTTGTCATATACTGTTACTGAGAGAATTAACTGCATCCCCAGGTGACTCCACTAGGAAGGAACATTTGGACATGCGTGCCTAGCTTCTCCTAGACTTTGCTCTAAGCACCTTTTCCCTTTGGTGATTTTAATCTGTATCCTTTCACTGTAATAAACTATTAACAGTGAGGATAACAGCTTTTTTTTTTTAAGTTCTGTGAATCCTTTGAGCAAATCATTATGCCAAAAGGTGGTCTTGGGGAATCCCCCAAACAATATGAAAGTATACCAGGCATCTAGTAAGCATCTACAGACAGTCACTGCCAAGTGCTGAGAAACCATTTGAAAGTTTTGAGATACCCAAACAATGCTACTATTTGTATCAATCTCTGATCTCTCTTTCCTTAGTAGGACTGAGGTGAAAAAATGATTAAAAACAAGCTCTTTCTTTCATCACAAACTGAGGCATATCTGGTTTGATGGCAATATTTAAGTAAATTTCCAAGAGATCCCGTTAGCCAGTAGATAATACTAAAATAGAATGTTTAAACAGTAACTGAAACAAATTGACGATAATCAGATAGGAAACAGTAAAATACACAGTGGAGATTTCATAATTGAAGGCATACCTTTATTTCCTTTATACTGGGAAGTGGTGCATTTAGAAATTCCTCCGTTAATCTCTTCCAACTAGCAGCTTTGCTTAGATCAGAATGAATGACAAATTTTTCATAAATTCTAAAATATAAGAAAAGATTATAAAGCTATCTTAAAAAGATCTATAAGAAAATACATATATTTCTGGATGCGTATATATACACACTGACTTACCCTTCGATTGTTTTTTCTATTTTGTGGCTGTTGACATCCAAGAAACGATGAAATCTATTAAAGACAAAATGCAATTCTTATGCCAACTCTGTCACACAGGTAAGTGAACTCATCTCATGGCCCTCCATATCCCCCATATGCTCTGTACTCAGCTACACATTTCCAGAATGGAGTGTACCTTGTCCTCCGTTACCTCCACCATCAGGCAGGCAAATAATCACCGTGTCCGAGACTGTGCAAGCATCCTTTCTCCAGCACACAGGTTCTTCCTGACCCTCCCAACCTTGTCCTCTGGCTCCTCTGTCTTCCCATAAGCCCCTGTACCTAAGTCCAGCTGAACACATTCTACATCAGGTGGTCCCAACCTTTTTATGCCATAGTGAGGCCCGGTGAAGCCTAAGGACCCCTTCTCTGAATAACATTTTTAAAGCCAAAAAATAAATACAAAGGAATCCCATTATACTGAGATACAGTTGTCAAATATTTAAAGAAGTTTAAGATATGGCAAGAAATGTTATTTATGAAAGTATTAAATAACAAGATTTAGCAGTAGGTCCAATTAACTACCATTAAAGTAACAGTAAACAACATTTACAAATATCTACAACTCTGATGTGAAAACAGTATGCGATTTCTACTGGTGATAAAGTCATAGGTAGGCTAATACTGCTATGGTTTGCTGCCTTCATTCATAATAGAAGGAGATGCTACTTTTCAGTTAGAGAAAAGTGAGCTTGCTCAGTGCAAGCTCCGCCTCCTGGGTTCGCGCCATTCTCCTGCCTCAGCCTCCCAAGTAGCTGGGACTACAGGCGCCTGCCACCACGCCCGGCTAATTTTTTGTACTTTTAGTAGAGACCGGGTTTCACCGTGTTAGCCAGGATAGTCTCGATCTCCTGACCTCGTGATCCACCCACCTCGGCCTCCTAAAGTGCTGGGATTACAGGCGTGAGCCACCGCGCCCAGTCCACAATTTTCAAGAATGTAAACATGAACTATTCATTTTTCTGATGGTTTAAAGCATCATAAAATTACAGCACAGCCTATGCAACTAATGTATATGTACATAGCATAGCCTATGCAAAAAATGTTTTCCATTTTTTAGTATCAAAGCGAGCAATCTGTACTTAAATAAAATTACACTACTGAAAAACACATGATTCTAGGCCAGTAAATGGGTGAATGGAACACCACTTTACCTATTATAATTTAGTTCCTGAAATCTGTGAATGAAAATAGTAACCTCCAACGTCTCTCCCAGCTCTAAAATGATGACAATCTGCCTACTGTCATTTAGAAATATTAGTAGAAAAATAACTTGGATTTCAGCATTTAAGTTTCTGTATTGTATAACCTATTTCACACATTGTTTATTTTTATAAGTTACACTTAAGAATTCAGTTTATTACTTCAGAAACTTGGCATGGTTTAAAAGAATCTGAAAGCCCCGTATTCCTATTATAAGCCAACTAGACACTTTATGGCTATGATCATTAAGGTAACTAAGATTACGGATTTTGAAAAACTGTTCATTATTCAAGAAGATTTTTACTGAAATTAAACAGGTAGAATATTAACATTAACATTTTTTTAGTAATAATTTCATTATGGGTAATGACTCTAAAAGTATTAATTTACATCTCCCATAAAGAAAAATAGGAGATCTCACTTTACGTAAATATCTAAATTCTGTAAGTCTTTAAAAATTAGTTACAAGAGAAACTGCATTAGAAATTGTATTAGGTGACTCAGCGTGCTACGTGCCAGGAGCTGTGCAGAGATGCAGCATTCTAGCTGGAGTGGAAGTGGAGGAGACAGTAATGACAGGTTAAATCAGTGTCATGACACGCGTTTTGGAAAAAGGAGAGCAGGGTGAGAGATCTTACACTGGGCTGACCAGGGAGCAGGAGTCAGTGAGAATACAATCTCTTTAATTTAAAAAAAAAAAAAATTATAAACATGGAGTTGCTACGTTGCCCAAGCTGGCCTGGAGTCCCGCCTGGGCCTCCCAGAGCGCTGGGGTTGCAGGCGCGCGCGCCGGCCGGCAAGAAACCCAGTTCACGCTTTCCCCGTGACGATCAGGACGCGTCCCGGGTAACACGCCCTGTGGTGCGCAGGGCACCGCGCCGAGAGCGCTGGCCGGCGGGGAGCAGGCGGTGGCAGGGCCTGCGAAGGCTCCCTGAGGCCGCGCCCGCCTCCGCCCCATGCCCTGCCCCAGCGCGCCCCGACCCCGGGCTGTGCGGGACCCACGCGCGGGCTCCGGGCTGTGGCCGGGAACCCGCCCGCGCGCCGTGCCCCACACCTGAAGTTGGACCAGGCGAAGTTTAGGGCGAGCTGGAAGTTGGGGTCTGCCTCGTCCTGGAGGCCGGCGACACCCCGGACGAGCTCCCGCACGTCGCGCTCCTGCTGCGCGTCCAACCGACTCCACGGTGGCCCGTGCCGCGCCATGTTCCGCGCTCCTGCAGCGCGCGTCTAACGAATTGGTGCCTGTCGCGCGAGAGCTCGGGCTCCTGCCGCAGTCGCCTCCGGAGCTGGCGGCATTCTCGCGAGAGTTCGCGCTCCCGCGCCGGGCGACTTCCAAGCCGACCGCTATTCTCGCGACAGTTCGAGCTCCGGCTGTGGAGGGTACTGCCTGGCGCTGTCCCGTGGTGGGGACTGGAGTGCGCATTTTCTGGTTGCCCGACGGTACGTTTTCTACTGTACTCAGAGTTAGCTGGTGTCATCGTGAATCAGATACATAAGGGTCTCTGGCCGGCCTCGGTGACAGTCAGTGATTTTGAGAGCAGCCCGTTAGGTGCCCGGTCAGCAAATGCATTGGGACCCGCCTTTCCAGGAACCCTGAACTGCTTACCTGCTGAACCCTCCCGGCCCTGCAGCTTCTCCCTCCAGTGATGGTCTCTGCGGATTTCCGTGCCCCATCCACACAACACAGTCACGCTACACACATCCATGCTACACAACCAGCATCAGCGAAGCAGCTGTCCCGACCCGCTAGTAGTGCCTGCTGGCCCTTGCCTCGCCTGTTCCTCAGGGGCGGCTTGGGGGACTTCATGACCCCACCTGGCCAGAGGTGCTGAGGGGGGGAACTTCATAAATGTCACCTGGCCAGAGGTGGTGGGGGAGATTTCATAACCCCACCTAGCCAGAGGTGCTGGGGGGACTTCATAACCACACCTAGCCAGAGGTGCCGGGAGGACTTCATAACCACACCTGGACAGAGGTGCTGGGGGGACATCATAACCTCACCTGCTCAGAGGTGCTAGGGGGTATCATAATCCCACCTGGCCAGAGGTGCTGTGGGGCCATCATAACCCAACCTGGCCAGAGGTGCTGGGGGGACATCTTAACCTCACCTGGCCAGAGGTGCTAGGGGGATATCATAATCCCACCTGGCCAGAGATTCTGGGGGGACATCATAACCCCAGCTGGCCGGAGGTGCCGGGGGGCGGGGGGAACTTCATAACCCCACCTGGCCAGAGGTGCTGGGGGGACATCATAACCTCACCTGGCCAGAGGTGCTAGGGGGTATCATAATCCCACCTGGCCAGAGATGCTGGGGGGCCATCATAACCCCACCTGGCCAGAGGTGCTGTGGGGCCATCATAACCCCACCTGGCCGGAGGTGCTGGGGGGCGGGGGGAACTTCTTAACCCCACCTGGCCAGAGGTGCTGGGGGTGACTTCATAAATGTCACCTGGCCAGAGGTGCTGGGGGGGATTTCATAACCCCACCTGACCAGAGGTGCTGGGGGGACATCATAACCTCACCTGGCCAGAGGTGCTGGGGGGTATCATAATCTGACCTGGCCAGAGATGCTGGGGCGACATCATAACCCCACTTGGCCAGAGGTGTTGTGGGGCCATCATAACCCCAGCTGGCCGGAGGTGCTGGGGGGCGGGGGGAACTTCTTAACCCCACCTGGCCAGAGGTGCTGGGGGTGACTTCATAAATGTCACCTGGCCAGAGGTGCTGGGGGGGATTTCATAACCCCACCTGGCCAGAGGTGCTGGGGGGACATCATAACCTCACCTGGCCAGAGGTGCTGGGGGGTATCATAATCCCACCTGGCCAGAGATGCTGGGGGGACATCATAACCCCACTTGGCCAGAGGTGCTGTGGGGCCATCATAACCCCAGCTGGCCGGAGGTGCTGGGGAGCGGGGGGAACTTCATAACCCCACCCGGCCAGAGGTGCTGGGGGTGACTTCATAAATGTCACCTGGCCAGAGGTGCTGGGGGGATTTCATAACCCAACCTGGCCAGAGGTGCTGGGGGGACATCTTAACCTCACCTGGCCAGAGGTGCTAGGGGGATATCATAATCCCACCTGGCCAGAGATGCTGGGGGGACATCATAACCCCACCTGGCCGGAGGTGCTGGGGGGCGGGGGGAACTTCATAACCCCACCTGGCCAGAGGTGCTGGTGGTGACTTCATAAATGTCACCTGGCCAGAGGTGCTGGGGGGGATTTCATAACCACAGCTGGCCATAGGTGCTGGGGGAGATTTCATAACCCCACCTGGCCAGAGGTGCTGGGGGGACTTCATAACCACACCTGGCCAGAGGTGCCAGGAGGACTTCATAACCACACCTGGCCAGAGGTGCTGGGGGGACATCATAACCTCACCTGGCCAGAGGTGCTGTGGGGGGGTATTATAACCCCACCTGGCCAGAGGTGCTGGGGGGTATCATAATCCTACCTCGACAGAGGTGCTGTGGGGCCATCATAACCCCAGCTGGCAGGAGGTCCTGGTGGGCCATCATAACCCCACCTGGCCAGAGGTGCTGGGCGGCGGGGGGAACTTCTTAACCCCACCTGGCCAGAGGTGCTGGGGGTGACTTCAAAATGTCACCTGGCGAGAGGTGCTGGGGGGGATTTCATAACCCCACCTGGCCAGAGGTGCCGGGGGGACTTCATAACCCCACCTGGCCAGAGGTGCCGGGAGGACTTCATAACCACACCTGGCCAGAGGTGCCGGGGGGGCATCATAACCACACCTGGCCAGAGGTGCCGGTGGGACTTCATAACCCCACCTGGCCAGAGGTGCCGGGGGGACTTCATAACCACACCTGGCCAGAGGTACCGGGGGGACATCATAACCACACCTGGCCAGAGGTGCCGGGGGGACATCATAACCTCACCTGGCCAGAGGTGCTGGGGGTGGGTATTATATCCCCACCTGGCCAGAGGTGCTGGGGGGGACGTCATAACCACACTTGGCCAGAGGTGCCGGTGGGACTTCATAACCCCACCTGGCCAGAGGTGCTGGGGGACATCATAACCCCACCTGGCCAGAGGTGCCAGGGGGGACATCATAACCCCACCTGGCCAGAGGTGCTGGGGGACATCATAATCCCACCTGGCCAGAGGTGCTCTGGGGCCATCATAACCCCACTTGGCCGGAGGTGCTGGGGGGCGGGGGGAACTTCATAACCCCACCTGGCCAGAGGTGCTGGGGGTGACTTCATAACTGTCACCTGGCCAGAGGTGCTGGGGGGGATTTCATAACCCCACCTGGCCAGAGGTGCTGCGGGGGACTTCATAACCACACCTGGCCAGAGGTGCCGGGAGGACTTCATAACCCCACCTGGCCAGAGGTGCTGGGGGACATCATAACCTCACCTGGCCAGAGGTGCTGGGGGGTATCATAATCCCACCTGGCCAGAGATGCTGGGGGGACATCATAACCCCACCTGGCCAGAGGTGCTGTGGGGCCATCATAACCCCAGCTGGCCGGAGGTGCTGGGGGCAGGGGGAATTTCGTAACCCCACCCGGCCAGAGGTGCTGGGGGTAACTTCATAAATGTCACCTGGCCAGAGGTGCTGGAGGGGATTTCATAACCCCACCTGGCCAGAGGTGCTGGGGGGGACTTCATAACCCCACCTGGCCAGAGGTGCCAGGGGGACTTCATAACCCCACCTGGTCAGAGGTGCTGGGGGGACATCATAACTTCACCTGGCCAGAGGTGCTGGGGGGTATCATAATCCCACCTGGCCAGAGATGCTGGGGGGACATCATAACCCCACCTGCCAGAGGTGCTGGGGGGCGGGGGGAACTTCATAACCCCACCTGGCCAGAGGTGCTGGGGGTGACTTCATAAATGTCACCTGGCCAGAGGTGCTGGGGGGATTTCATAACCCCACCTGGCCAGAGGTGCTGGGGGGACATCATAACCTCACCTGGCCAGAGGTGCTGGGGGGTATCATAATCCCACCTGGCCAGAGATGCTGGGGGGACATCATAACCCCACCTGGCCGGAGGTGCTGGGGGGCGGGGGGAACTTCATAACCCCACCTGGCCAGAGGTGCTGGGGGTGACTTCATAAATGTCACCTGGCCAGAGGTGCTGGGGGGGATTTCATAACCACAGCTGGCCAGAGGTGCTGGGGGAGATTTCATAACCCCACCTGGCCAGAGGTGCTAGTGGGACTTCATAATCACACCTGGCCAGAGGTGCCAGGAGGACTTCATAACCACACCTGGCCAGAGGTGCTGGGGGGACATCATAACCTCACCTGGCCAGAGGTGCTGTGGGGGGGTATTATAACCCCACCTGGCCAGAGGTGCTGGGGGGGTCATAACCCCACCTGGCCAGAGGTGCTGTGGGGCCATCATAACCCCAGCTGGCCGGAGGTGCTGGGGGGCGGGGGGAACTTCATAACCCCACCTGGCCAGAGGTGCTGGGGGTGACTTCATAAATGTCACCTGGCCAGAGGTGCTGGGGGGGATTTCATAACCCCACCTGGCCAGAGGTGCTGGGGGGACATCATAACCTCACCTGGCCAGAGGTGCTAGGGGATATCATAATCACACCTGGCCAGAGATGCTGGGGGGCCATCATAACCCCACCTGGCCAGCGGTGCTGTGGGGCCATCATAACCCCACCTGGCCAGAGGTGCTGGGGGTGACTTCATAAATGTCACCTGGCCAGAGGTGCTGGGGGGGATTTCATAACCCCACCTGGCCAGGGGTGCTGGGGGGACATCATAACCTCACCTGGCCAGAGGTGCTGGGGGGTATCATAATCTGACCTGGCCAGAGATGCTGGGGGGACATCATAACCCCACCTGGCCAGAGGTGCTGTGGGGCCATCATAACCCCAGCTAGCCGGAAGTGCTGGGGGCTGGGGGAACTTCTTAACCCCACCTGGCTAGAGGTGCTGGGGGTGACTTCATAAATGTCACCTGGCCAGAGGTGCTGGGGGGGGATTTCATAACCCCACCTGGCCGGAGGTGCCGAGGGGCGGGGGGAACTTCATAACCCCACCTGGCCAGAGGTGCTGGGGGTGACTTCATAAATGTCACCTGGCCAGAGGTGCTTCGGGGGATTTCATAACCCCACCTGGCCAGAGGTGCTGGGGGGACATCATAACCTCACCTGGCCAGAGGTGCTAGGGGGTATCATAATCCCACCTGGCCAGAGATGCTGTGGGGCCATCATAACCCCAGCTGGCCGGAGGTGCTGGGGGTTGGGGGGAACTTCTTAACCCCACCTGGCCAGAGGTGCTGGGGGTGACTTCATAAATGTCACCTGGCCAGAGGTGCTGGGGGGGATTTCATAACCCCACCTGGCCAGAGGTGCTGGGGGGACATCATAACCTCACCTGGCCAGAGGTGCTGGGGGGTATCATAATCCCACCTGGCCAGAGATGCTGGGGGGACATCATAACCCCACCTGGCCAGAGGTGCTGTGGGGCCATCATAACCCCAGCTGGCCGGAGGTGCTGGGGGGCGGGGGGAACTTCATAACCCCACCCGGCCAGAGGTGCTGGGGGTGACTTCCTAAATGTCACCTGGCCAGAGGTGCTGGGGGGATTTCATAACCTAACCTGGCCAGAGGTGCTGGGGGGACATCTTAACCTCACCTGGCCAGAGGCGCTAGGGGGATATCACAATCCCACCTGGCCAGAGATGCTGGGGGGACATCATAACCCCACCTGGCCGGAGGTGCTGGGAGGCGGGGGGAACTTCATAACCCCACCTGGCCAGAGGTGCTGGTGGTGACTTCATAAATGTCACCTGGCCAGAGGTGCTGGGGGGGATTTCATAACCACAGCTGGCCATAGGTGCTGGGGGAGATTTCATAACCCCACCTGGCCAGAGGTGCTGGGGGGACTTCATAACCACACCTGGCCAGAGGTGCCAGGAGGACTTCATAACCACACCTGGCCAGAGGTGCTGGGGGGACATCATAACCTCACCTGGCCAGAGGTGCTGTGGGGGGGTATTATAACCCCACCTGGCCAGAGGTGCTGGGGGGTATCATAATCCCACCTGGCCAGAGGTGCTGTGGGGCCATCATAACCCCAGCTGGCAGGAGGTCCTGGGGGGCCATCATAACCCCACCTGGCCAGAGGTGCTGGGCGGCGGGGGGAACTTCTTAACCCCACCTGGCCAGAGGTGCTGGGGGTGACTTCAAAATGTCACCTGGCGAGAGGTGTTGGGGGGGATTTCATAACCCCACCTGGCCAGAGGTGCCGGGGGGACTTCATAACCCCACCTGGCCAGAGGTGCCGGGAGGACTTCATAACCACACCTGGCCAGAGGTACCGGGGGGACATCATAACCACACCTGGCCAGAGGTGCCGGTGGGACTTCATAACCCCACCTGGCCAGAGGTGCCGGGGGGACTTCATAACCACACCTGGCCAGAGGTGCCGGGGGGACATCATAACCACACCTGGCCAGAGGTGCCGGGGGGACATCATAACCTCACCTGGCCAGAGGTGCTGGGGGTGGGTATTATATCCCCACCTGGCCAGAGGTGCTGGGGGGGGACGTGATAACCACACTTGGCCAGAGGTGCCGGTGGGACTTCATAACCCCACCTGGCCAGAGGTGCTGGGGGACATCATAACCCCACCTGGCCAGAGGTGCCAGGGGGGACATCATAACCCCACCTGGCCAGAGGTGCTGGGCGGCGGGGGGAACTTCTTAACCCCACCTGGCCAGAGGTGCTGGGGGTGACTTCAAAATGTCACCTGGCGAGAGGTGTTGGGGGGGATTTCATAACCCCACCTGGCCAGAGGTGCCGGGGGGACTTCATAACCCCACCTGGCCAGAGGTGCCGGGAGGACTTCATAACCACACCTGGCCAGAGGTACCGGGGGGACATCATAACCACACCTGGCCAGAGGTGCCGGTGGGACTTCATAACCCCACCTGGCCAGAGGTGCCGGGGGGACTTCATAACCACACGTGGACAGAGGTGCCGGGGGGACATCATAACCACACCTGGCCAGAGGTGCCGGGGGCACATCATAACCTCACCTGGCCAGAGGTGCTGGGGGTGGGTATTATATCCCCACCTGGCCAGAGGTGCTGGGGGGGGACGTGATAACCACACTTGGCCAGAGGTGCCGGTGGGACTTCATAACCCCACCTGGCCAGAGGTGCTGGGGGACATCATAACCCCACCTGGCCAGAGGTGCCAGGGGGGACATCATAACCCCACCTGGCCAGAGGTGCTGGGGGACATCATAATCCCACCTCGCCAGAGGTGCTGTGGGGCCATCATAACCCCACTTGGCCGCAGGTGCTGGGGGGCGGGGGGAACTTCATAACCCCACCTGGCCAGAGGTGCTGGGGGTGACTTCATAAATGTCACCTGGCCAGAGGTGCTGGGGGGGATTTCATAACCCCACCTGGCCAGAGGTGCTGCGGGGGACTTCATAACCACACCTGGCCAGAGGTGCCGGGAGGACTTCATAACCCCACCTGGCCAGAGGTGCTGGGGGACATCATAACCTCACCTGGCCAGAGGTGCTGGGGGGTATCATAATCCCACCTGGCCAGAGATGCTGGGGGGACATCATAACCCCACCTGGCCAGAGGTGCTGTGGGGCCATCATAACCCCAGCTGGCCGGAGGTGCTGGGGGCAGGGGGAATTTCATAACCCTACCCGGACAGAGGTGCTAGGGGTGACTTCATAAATGTCACCTGGCCAGAGGTGCTGGAGGGGATTTCATAACCCCACCTGGCCAGAGGTGCTGGGGGGGACTTCATAACCCCACCTGGCCAGAGGTCCTGGGGGACTTCATAACCCCACCTGGCCAGAGGTGCTGGGGGGACATCATAACTTCACCTGGCCAGAGGTGCTGGGGGGTATCATAATCCCACCTGGCCAGAGATGCTGGGGGGACATCATAACCCCACCTGCCAGAGGTGCTGGGGGGCGGGGGGAACTTCATAACCCCACCTGGCCAGAGGTGCTGGGGGTGACTTCATAAATGTCACCTGGCCAGAGGTGCTGGGGGGATTTCATAACCCAACCTGGCCAGAGGTGCTGGGGGGACATCATAACCTCACCTGGCCAGAGGTGCTAGGGGGATATCATAATCCCACCTGGCCAGAGATGCTGGGGGGACATCATAACCCCACCTGGCCGGAGGTGCTGGGGGGCGGGGGGAACTTCCTAACCCTACCTGGCCGGAGGTGCTGGGGGTGACTTCATAAATGTCACCAGGCCAGAGGTGCTGGGGGGGATTTCATAACCACAGCTGGCCAGAGGTGCTGGGGGAGATTTCATAACCCCACCTGGCCAGAGGTGCTAGTGGGACTTCATAATCACACCTGGCCAGAGGTGCCAGGAGGACTTCATAACCACACCTGGCCAGAGGTGCTGGGGGGACATCATAACCTCACCTGGCCAGAGGTGCTGTGGGGGGGTATTATAACCCCACCTGGCCAGAGGTGCTGGGGGGGTCATAATCCCACTTGGCCAGAGGTGCTGTGGGGCCATCATAACCCCAGCTGGCCGGAGGTGCCGGGGGGCGGGGGGAACTTCATAACCCCACCTGGCCAGAGTTGCTGGGGGTGACTTCATAAATGTCACCTGGCCAGAGGTGCTGCGGGGGATTTCATAACCCCACCTGGCCAGAGGTGCTGGGGGGACATCATAACCTCACCTGGCCAGAGGTGCTAGGGGATATCATAATCCCACCTGGCCAGAGATGCTGGGGGGCCATCATAACCCCACCTGGCCAGAGGTGCTGTGGGGCCATCATAACCCCACCTGGCCAGAGGTGCTGGGGTTGACTTCATAAATGTCACCTGGCCAGAGGTGCTTGGGGGGATTTCATAACCCCACCTGGCCAGGGGTGCTGGGGGGACATCATAACCTCACCTGGCCAGAGGTGCTGGGGGGTATCATAATCTGACCTGGCCAGAGATGCTGGGGGGACATCATAACCCCACCTGGCCAGAGGTGCTGTGGGGCCATCATAACCCCAGCTGGCCGGAGGTGCTGGGGGTTGGGGGGAACTTCTTAACCCCACCTGGCCAGAGGTGCTGGGTGTGACTTCATAAATGTCACCTGGCCAGAGGTGCTGGGGGAGATTTCATAACCCCACCTGGCCAGAGGTGCTGGGGGGATATCATAACCTCACCTGGCCAGAGGTGCTGGGGGGTATCATAATCCCACCTGGCCAGAGATGCTGGGGGGACATCATAACCCCACCTAGCCAGTGGTGCTGTGGGGCCATCATAACCCCAGCTGGCCGGAGGTGCTGGGGGGCGGGGGGAACTTCATAACCCCACCCGGCCAGAGGTGCTGGGGGTGACTTCATAAATGTCACCTGGCCAGAGGTGCTGGGGGGATTTCATAACCTAACCTGGCCAGAGGTGCTGGGGGGACATCTTAACCTCACCTGGCCAGAGGTGCTAGGGGGATATCATAATCCCACCTGGCCAGAGATGTTGGGGGGACATCATAACCCCACCTGGCCGGAGGTGCTGGGAGGCGGGGGGAACTTCATAACCCCACCTGGCCAGAGGTGCTGGTGGTGACTTCATAAATGTCACCTGGCCAGAGGTGCTGGGGGGGATTTCATAACCACAGCTGGCCATAGGTGCTGGGGGAGATTTCATAACCCCACCTGGCCAGAGGTGCTGGGGGGACTTCATAACCTCACCTGGCTAGAGGTGCTGTGGGGGTGTATTATAACCCCACCTGGCCAGAGGTGCTGGGGGGTATCATAATCCCACCTGGCCAGAGGTGCTGTGGGGCCATCATAACCCAATCTGGCCGGAGGTCCTGGGGGGCCATCATAACCCCACCTGGCCAGAGGTGCTGGGGGGCGGGGGGAACTTCTTAACCCCACCTGGCCAGAGGTGCTGGGGGTGACTTCATAAATGTCACCTGGCCAGAGGTGCTGCGGGGGATTTCATAACCCCACCTGGCCAGAGGTGCTGGGGGGACATCATAACCTCACCTGGCCAGAGGTGCTAGGGGATATCATAATCCCACCTGGCCAGAGATGCTGGGGGGCCATAATAACCCCACCCGGCCGGAGGTGCTGGGGGGCGGGGGGAACTTCATAACCCCACCTGAGCAGAGGTGCTGGGGGTGACTTCATAAATGTCACCTGGCCAGAGGTGCCGGGGGGACTTCATAACCCCACCTGGCCAGAGGTGCCGGGAGGACTTCATAACCACACCTGGCCAGAGGTGCTGCGGGGACATCATAACCTCACCTGGCCAGAGGTGCTGGGGGTGGGTATTATATCCCCACCTGGCCAGAGGTGCTGGTGGGGGGACTTCATAACCACACCTGGCCAGACTTGCCGGGGGGACATCATAACCACACCTGGCCAGAGGTGCCAGTGGGACTTCATAACCCTACCTGGCCAGAGGTGCCGGGGGTACTTCATAACCCCACCTGGCCAGAGGTGCTGGGGGGACATCATAACCACACCTGGCCAGAGGTGCCGGGGGGACATCATAACCACACCTGGCCAGAGGTGCCGGGGGGACATCATAACCACACCTGGCCAGAGGTGCCCGGAGGACTTCATAACCACACCTGGCCAGAGGTGCCGGGGGGACATCATAACCACACCTGGCCAGAGGTGCTGGGGGTGGGTATTATATCCCCACCTGGCCAGAGGTGCTGGGAGGGGACTTCATAACCACACCTGGCCAGAGGTGCCGGGGGGACATCATAACCACACCTGGCCAGAGGTGCCGGTGGGACTTCATAACCCCACCTGGCCAGAGGTGCCAGGGGACTTCATAACTACACCTGGCCAGAGGTGCCGGTGGGACATCATAACCACACCTGGGCAGAGGTGCCGGGGGGACATCATAACCACACCTGGCCAGAGGTGCCAGGAGGACTTCATAAACACACCTGGCCAGAGGTGCCCGGAGGACTTCATAACCACACCTGTCCAGAGGTGCCAGGAGGACTTCATAACCACACCTGGCCAGAGGTGCTGGGCGGACTTCATAACCACACCTGGCCAGAGGTGCTGGGGGACATCATAACCCCACCTGGCCAGAGGTGCTGGGGGACATCATAACCACACCTGGCCAGAGGTGCTGGGGGACATCATAACCCCACCTGGCCAGAGGTGCTTGGGGACTTCATAACCACACCTGGCCAGAGGTCCCGGGGGGGCCATCATAACCCCACCTGGCCGGAGGTGCCGGGGGGGGCCATCATAACCCCACCTGGCCAGAGGTGCCGGGGGGACTTCATAACCACGCCTGGCCAGAGGTGCCGGGGGGACTTCATAACCACGCCTGGCCATAGGTGCCGGGGGGACTTCATAACCGCGCCTGGCCAGAGGTGCTGGGGGACTTCATAACTGCACCTGGCCAGAGGTGCTGGGGGATATCATAACCGCACCTGGCCAGTGGTGCTCGGGGACATCATAACCCCACCTGGCCAGAGGTGCTGGGGGAGTTCATAACCCCACCTGGCCAGAGGTGCTGGAGGCCATCACAACCCCACCTGGCCATAGGTGCTGGGGGACTTCATAACCACACCTGGTGTGTACCACCACGCCACCCTAATTTTTGAATTTTTAGTAGAGACGGGGTTTCGCCATGTTGGCAAGGCTGGTCTCTACTCCTTACCTCTAGTGATCCATCCACCTCAGCCTCCGAAAATGCTGGGATTA
This sequence comes from Homo sapiens, assembly GCF_000001405.40. Taxonomy (NCBI): domain Eukaryota; kingdom Metazoa; phylum Chordata; class Mammalia; order Primates; family Hominidae; genus Homo; species Homo sapiens. The sequence goes on from NW_021160017.1 coordinate 3,945,091, forward strand.
CAGGCATGAGCCACCGCGCCCGGCCGTATCCTGGAACTTTACTGAATTCATTTATGAATTCTGACAGTTGTTTGGAAGAATCTTTAGGTTTGTTTAAATATAAGGTCACATCATCTACTAACAATGACAATTTGACTTTCCATTATTCATGCTGTTTGTTTCTTTCTGTTGTCTAATTGCTCTGGTTAAAACTTTGAGTACTATGTTGAATAAGTGGGGAAAATGAGTATCCTTGTTTTGTTCCAGATCAGAGAAAAGGCTTTCGGTTTTTTTTCCCATTTAGTATAATACTAGCTGTGAGTTTATTTTATATGACATTTATTATGTTCTTCCTATACACAGTTTGTTCAGGGTTTTTCTCATGACAGGATGTGGAATTTTATTGAATGTTTAAAAGCATCTATTGAAATAATTTATGGTTTTTGTCCTGCATTCTTTTGATGCATTGTGCCACGTTTATTGATTTGCATATGCTGAACCATCTTTGCATCCCGGGGATGCATCCCACTTGATCAAAATGAATGATCTTTTTAATGTGTTCTTGAATTTGGGATGCTAGTATTTCACTGAGGATTTTTGTATCTACATTCATCAGAAATATTGGCCTGTAGTTTTCTTTTTTGTTTGTCTGGTTTTTGTATCAGGATAATGCTGGACTTGTAGAATGAGTTTAGGTGTATTTCCTTCTTTTATATTTTTTGGGGTAGTTTGAGTAGAATTGGTATTAGTTGTTCTTTAGATATTTGGCAAATTCAGCAGTGAAGCCATGAGGTACTTAGCTTTTCTTTGATGGGAGACTTTTCAGCACTGCCCCTATCTCACTGTATGTTATTGGTGTATTCATGCTTTCCATTTCTTCATGTTTAAATCCTGGTAGGTGGTATGTGTCTAGGAATTTATCAATTTCCTCTGCCTTTTCCAATTTTTTGGCATGTATAATAGTTGCTCATAGTAGTCTCTAAAGATATTTTGAATTTCAGTGATATCAGTTGTAATGTCATCTCTCTGATTTAATTTATTTGAGTCTTCTCTTTTTTCTTAGTCTGTCAAAAGAGTTTGTCAATTTTGTTTATCTTTCCAAAAACCGACTTTTTGTTTTGTGATCTTTTGTATTTTTTGTTTCAATTTGATTTCTGCTCTGATCTTTATTATTTATTGTCTTCTCTTAATTTTAGGTTTGATTTGCTATTGCTTTTCTAATTCTTTAAGGTGGTGCATCATTTGGTTGTCTGAAGTCTTTTTACTCTCTCTCTCTCTTTTTTTTTTTTTTTTGAGACAGGGTCTGGCTCTGTCACTCAGGCTGGAGTGTAGTGGCGTGATCTCGGCTTACTGCAACCTCTGCCTCCCAAGCTCATGCCATCCTCCCACCTCAGCCTCCTGCGTAGTTGGGACTCTAGGCATGTGCCACCACACTCAGCTTTTTTTTTTTTTTTTTTTTTTTTTTGTATTTTTGGTAGAAACGGGGTTTCATCATGTTGCTCAGGCTTGTCTCAAACTCCTGAGCTCAAGCAATCCACCTGCTTTGGCTTCCCGAAGTGCTGGGATTACAGGCATGAGCCACTGTGCCTAGCCTTTACTCTTCTAACATAGGCATTTATTAGTATAAGCTTCCTTCTTAGTACTGCTTTTGATATACTTCATAGGTTTTGGTACGTTGTATTTCAATTTTTTACAGTTTCAAGAAACTTTAAAATTTCTGTCTTAGTTGCTTCATTGAGCAATGGTATTCAGGAGCATGTTATTTAATTTCTATGTATTTGAATAGTTTCCCAAGTTCCTCTTGTTGTTGATTTCTAGTTTTATTCTATTGTGGTCACAGAAGACAACTGATATAATTTTGATTTTTTCAAATTTTCTGAGACTTTTTTTGTGGCCTAAGGTATGGTCTGTTCTGGAGAATGTTCCATGTGCTAATAAGAATGTGTATTCTGCAGCTGTTAGATGAAATGTTCTGTAAATATCTGTTAGATCCATTTGGTCTCTAGCGCAGATTAAGTCAGATGTTTCTATGTTGATTTTCTGCCTGGAAGTTCTGTCCAGTGCTGAAAGTAGGTTGTTGAAGTCTCCAGCTATTATGGTACTGAGGACTATCTCTCTCTTTAGCTGTAATAATATTTGCTTTATACATCTGGCTGCTCCAGTGTTGGGCCCATATATGTTTACCATTGTTATATCCTCTTGCTGAGTTAACCACTTCATCCTCATATAATAACCGTTTTTGTCTTTTTTTTTTACTGTTTTGTCTTGAAACGTCTTATATCAGAAACTTTATCTGATATAAATACAGTGACTCTTGCTTTTTTGTTTCCATTTGCATGGAATATCTATTTTCATCCCTTCCTTTTCAGTCTGTGTGTATCTTTATGGGTGAAGTGAGTTTCTTTCCTTTTTTTTTTTTTTTTGACAGAATTTCTTTCTCATTGCCCAGGCTGGAGTGTAATGACACGGTCTTGGCTCACTACAACCTCCACTTCCTGGGTTCAAGCGATTCTCCTGCCTCAGTCTCCCAAGTAGCTGGGATTACAGGCACCTGCACCACTCATGGCTAATTTTTTTGTATTTTTAGTAGAGACGCAGTTTCACCATGTTGGCCAGGGTGGTCTTGAACTCCTGAACTCAAGTGATCTGCCTGCCTCAGCCTCCCAAAAGTGCTGGGATTACAGGCGTGAGCCATTGTGCCCAGCCGAAATGAGTTTCTTATAGGCAACATATAGTGAGTCTTGTTTTTAAAATACATTCAGCCACTCTACGTCTTTTTATTGGAGAATATAGCCTATTTAAATTCAATGTTATTATTGATAGGTTATTAATGCCATTTTGTTACTTGTTTTCTGGTTGTTTTATTAGTCCTTCCTTTCTCCTGGTCTTCCTTTTTGTAGAAGTGATATTCTCTGGTAGCATATTTTGATTTCTTGCTTTTTAATTTTTGTGTATCTATTATAGGTTTTTCCTTGGTGATTACCATGAGGTTTGCAAAAAACATCATCAGTTCTTTTAAACTGATGACAACTCAACTCTGATCACATAGAAAAGAAAAAAGAAAGAAAAATTAACTTTGTCACTGCTGCTTGTTGACTTTTTCTTGTTTCTATTTTTATATTTTTTGTATCTTCACAATTGTTTTACTTATGATTATTTTTGATGGGTTTGTCTTTTAGTCTTCACACTAACGATATGAGTGATTTTTTTTTTTTTTTTGAGACAGAGTCTTGCTCTGTCACCCAGGCTGGAATGCAGTGGTGCAATCTCGGCTCACTGCCAGCTCCGCCTCCCGGGTTCACACCATTCTCCTGCCTCAGCCTCCCGAGTAGCTGGGACTACAGGTCCCCACCACCATGCTCGGATAATTTTTTGTATTTTTAGTAGAGACAGGGTTTCACCGTGTTAGCCAGGATGGTCTCGATCTCCTGACCTTGTGATCCACCCGCTTCGGCCTCCCAAAGTGTTGGGATTACATGTGTGAGCCACCACGCCTGGCCAAGTGATTTTTTTTTTTTTCTGAGACAGAGTCTGGCTTTGTCATCCAGGTTGGAGCACAGTGGTGTGATCTTGATTCACTGCAACCTCCACCTCCAGGATTCAAGTGATCTTGTGCCTCAGGCACCTGAGTAGCTGGGATTACAGGCACGCACCACCATACCCAGCTACTTTTTGTATTTTTAGTAAAGATGGGGTTTTGCCATGTTGGCCAGCTGGTCTTGAACTCCTGAGTTCAAGTGATTCACCCACCTCAGCCTCCCAACGTGACATGAGTGATTTATACTCTCCAATTACAATATTAGAGTATTAGGTATACTCACTTTCATCAGCAGGTTTTGTTCTTTCTGATGATTTCTTGTTGCATATTAGCATCCTTTACTTTCAGAATGAAGTACCTTTAGCATTTCTTGTAAAATTGATCTAGCATTGATGAATTTCCTTAGCTTTTGTTTGTCTGGAAAAGCTTTTATTTCTCCTTGGTGTTTGAAGGATAACTTCGTTGGATACAGTATTTTATGTTAGAAGTTGTTCCACTCAGGACTTTGTATATGTCATTCCACTCTCTCCGGGCTTGTACAGTTTCCACTGAGCAGTCTACAACCAGATACATTGGAGCTTCTTTATATGTTATTTGCTTCTTTCTGTTACTGTTTTTAGGATCCTTTTTTTGTCCTTGACCTTTGAGAGTTTGATTATTATAGGCCTTGAGGGAGTCTTATTTAGCTTGAATCTTTTTGGTGTGTGCTTTTTTTTTTTAACCTTCTTCTATGTGGATATTACTATCTTTTTCTAGGTTTGAAAAGTTACATGTTATTTGCCTGAATAAACCTTCTACCCAAATCTCTTTCTCCATCCTCTTTAAGGTTAATAACTCTTATATTTGTCCTTTTAAGGCTGTTTTCTAGATAGCCTTAAAAGGGCAAATATAAGAGTAAGCATACTTTATTCTTTTATTTTCTGCTCTGTGTATTTTCAAATAGCCTATCTTTGAGCTCAATAATTTATTCCTTTGCTTGATCAATTCTGGAGGCATTCTGATGCATTTTTCAGTTTGCTAATTGAATTTTTAGTCTCTGGGATCATACCACTGCACTCCGGCCTGGGTGACAGAGTGGGACTCTGTCTCAAAGAAAACAACAACAACAACAACAAAACAACAAACAAAAAAACTTGTCTCTGGAATTTGATTTTTTAAAAATTATTTTCATTTCTCTTTTTTTGATAGAATTCTAAGTTTCTTCTTTGTGTTATCTTGAAATTCATTGAGCTTCCTCAAGACAGTTATTTGAATTCCTCATCAAATTATCTTGGGGCAGACATCTTTCCGGCCAGAGGGGGGTTATCTCGAGGCTGGCATCTTCCTGGCGGAGGGGGGTTATCTTGGGGCTAGCATGTCTCTGGTCGGGGAGGAGTTTGGAATGTTTCTGGTTGGAGATGTTATTTGTGGTTTATGGTCGTGCTGACCTTAGCCATTAGGCTGATGCCCTTTGGACTGAGGCAGTTTTTTACCAAGGTAGAAATCAGAATAAAAATTAGAATCAGGAGCTTGTCCAAGATGGCAATGCTCCTGCTCTGTCAGTACCCACTTGGAAGGCACAGTCTTCTTTACTCTTCCCTCTCCTTCCCCCAAGATGAAGGAGTCTCTCCATGACAAACTGCCTGCAGTTGGGCAAGGGGTTATGCGAGCATTCCCATGGCTGCTGTAGCTGGTGTTATGCTGGGTCACACCACAAGTTCACAGCCTCTGAAATGAGTGCAGCACATCTGCTTGGCCAAGGATGCAGTCACTGTGGGCTGGCAGTCACTCAAATTTACTCAGTACCCAGGCCATTTTAGCCAGGCTGTGGTGAAGCAAGCTGGGACTTGGGTTCCTCCTATTGGAGTGGAGGATTCCTCTCTGGCCTGGGGCTGGTTTAAGTGTTCCCTCTGTGGGCATCAGGGGTTTCTGTCCAGTGTTGTGCTCCATTGCGACAGAAAAGCACTGATTTCCAATGTGAAGTTCCATGCTCATTTCACTCTGTCTCCCACAAACACACAGATTGTTTCTCCATACTGTGATGCCTGGGGTTGTTGGTGGTGGTAGTGGTGTAGGCAATGTAACATTGTCCTTCCTACCCTCTTCAATGTGCCTTTATGTTATATTATGTTCAAACCAGGTACTGTTGTCACTCATTTAATTTTTTGATTCTTACGAAGTTGCTTTCTTGGGTAGATAGTTGTTGAATTTGGTGTCCCTGTTGGGGAGATAGCAACTGGAGGGTTCCATTTACCACCTGGTTCCACCTCCCTCCTCTAAGCAAGCTTCTTCAGAAATGCATTATTTGCTGTTTTCTTTCAGAAAATGGAACTTTTAACAGAGAACTCCAATCTAATGTTGAGAATTTAATATTGTTAAACATTGTTCAATAGCAACACTATCTTACTTTTGTTCATAAGAGCTTGTTATGCCAACTTTACATATACTTGTTTAAAAGGTAAATGTAAGCAAGCTTCTTTAGAGATGGATTATGTGGGCCGGGTGTGGTGGCTCACGCCTGTAATCCCAGCACTTTGGGAGGCCAAGGCGGGTGGATCACAAGGTCAGGAGATCGAGACCATCCTGGCTAACACGGTGAAACCCTGTCTCTACTAAAAATACAAAAAAATTAGCCGGGCGTGGTGGCGGGCGCCTGTAGTCGCAGCTACTCAGGAGGCTGAGGCAGGAGAATGGCGTGAACCTGGGAGGCGGAGCTTGCAGTGAGCAGAGATCACGCCACTGCACTCCAGCCTGGGCAACAGAGTGAGACTACATCTCAAAAAAAAAAAAAAAAAAAAAAAAAGAGAGATGGATTATGTGGTATATTCTTTCAGAAATTGGAACTGTTTAACAAATACAGAATTCTGTAATCTAGTGTGGAGAAAATGCTATTGAATGATAGTTCTTACCTTTGTTCACAATGGCTTATGATGATGGGTTTACATAAACACGGTTAAGAGGTAAATCTTCACAAGCTTCTTTAGAGAGGCATTTTGTGCTGTTTTCTTTCAGAAATTGGAACTGTTTAACAAATACAGAACTCTGTAACCTAGTGTTGGGAACATGCTATTGAATGATATTTCTAGTATTTGTTCCCTAAATCTTATAATGAAATGATTACAAACGCTTGTTTGGGAGGCAAATCTAAGCAGCCTTCTTCAGAGCTGCTCATTTGCAGTTTTCTTTCAGAGAATGAAAGTGCTTAATTGCTAAAAACTCTGTAATCTAGTGTTAACAACATGCTATTGAGTGATATATCACACCTTTGTTTCTACAATAAGAGGTTATTGTAAGGTATTTACATATACTCATTTAAAATGTAAATTTAACCAAGCTGCTTAAGAGATGCATCCTATGGTGTTTTCTATCAGAGAATGGAATTGCTTAACACATAAAGACTATGTAGTCTAGTGTTGAAACATGTTATTGAATAATATTTCTCATTTGAGTTGCTACAGGCTTATTAAGTGGTGTTTATGTATACATGTTTAAACGGTAAGCTAAGCAAACTTCATCAGAGATGTATTGTGCCCTGTTTTGTTTTAGAGAACAGATTTGGTATTACATGGACAACTCTGAAATGTAGTCTCAACAACATGTTCTTGAATGATATTATCATTATTCTGAAAATGTTATTGTGAGGTGTTTACATATGTGCATTTAAAAGCTAAATCTAAGGAAGCTTCTTCAAAGATGCATAATTTATTTTTTCCCCCAGAGAAGTATTTATTACACAGAGAACTGGGAATCTAGTGTTGACAACATGCTATTTTATGGTGTTTGTGATCCTTGCTCCACAGAAGTTACTGGGAGGTATTTACATATACTTGTTTAAAGGGAAATATAAATGAGTTTCTCCAAAAATGCATTATGCTGCTTTTGTTCAGAGAATTAAATTGATTAACATATAAAAAACTCTTTTTTTTTTCTGAGACGGTGTCTCATCCTGTCACCCAGGCTGGAGTGCAATGGCGCGATCTCGGCTCACTGCAACCTCTGCCCCCCGGATTCAAGTGATTCTCCTGCCTCAGCCTCCTGAGTAGCTGGGATTACAGGCACGCACCACCATGCCCGGCTAATTTTTATATTTTTAATAGAGATGGGGCTTCACCATGTAGGCCAAGCTGGTCTCGAACTCCTGACCTCAAGTGATCTGCTTACTTCAGCCTCCCAAAGTGCTGGGATTACAGCCACTGCGCCCAGCCAAAGAGCTCTTAAATATAGTGTTAATAACATGCTACTGAATGATATTTCTTATCTTTGTTCCAAATGAGTTATTACAAATTTACATATACATGTTTAAAAGGTAAATCTAAGTAAACTTATTTAGGGATGCATTACATGCTATTTTTTTTTCAGAATATGAAAGTCTTTATTACATAGAGAACTCTGTAATGTAGTGTTGGCAACATTCTATTGAAAGATATTTCTTACACTGAAATACTTTTCCTGAGGGCTTATAATGAGGTGTTAACATATACACATTTAAAAGGTATATGGCAGAAAGGCACCATGGGCTGGTTTCTTTCAGGAAATGAACTATTTATCACAAAGAGATATCTGAAATTTAGTGGTTTTTTTTTTTTTTTTTTGGCAAAGTCTTACTCTGTCACCCAGACTGAATTACAGTGGCACTATCTTGGCTTACTGTAGCGCCTGCCTCCCAGGCTCCCAGCTCAGCCTCCCATGTAGCTGGGATCATAGACATGTACCACCACATTGGGCTAATGTTTTTATATTTTATTTTTTATTTTTAGTAGAGTTGAGGTCTTGCTACATTGCCCAGGCTAGTCTTGAACTCCTGGGATCAAGTGATCCACCTTCCTCGGTCTCCCAAAGTGCTGGGATTACAGGCCTGAGCCACCGCGCCTGGCCTGAAATTTAATTTTGATAACATGCTGTTAAATAATATTTCTTATTTGTTCCAAAGGAGTTATTATGAGGTGTTTACATATAAATACTTAAAATATAAATATAAGCAAGCTTCTTCAGAGATGCGTCATGTGCTGTTTTGTTTCAGAGAATGGAATTGTTTATAACATATAAAATTTAAAAGTCTCTTTTTGACAACATGCTAATGAATGATTTTCTTTTTTACGTTTGTTCCTAAGGATTTATTATGAGGTATTACAAGGCGTGTTTAAAAGGTAAGTCTGGCTGGGCATGGTGGCTCATGCCTGTAATCCCAGCACATTGGGAGGCCAAGGTGGGTGGACTGCTTGAGCCCAGGAGTTCAAACATGGACAACATGGCAAAATCCCACCTCTACAAAAAATGCAAAAAAATTATCCAGGCATGGTGGCATGTGCCTGTAATTCCAGCTATTCAGGAGGCTGAGGTGAGAGGATCACCTGAGCCCAGGAGGTTGAGGCTGCAGTGAGCCACGATTGCACCACTGCACTCAAGCCTGGGTGACAGAGCGAGACTATGTCTCAAAAAACAAACAAAAAACAAAAACAAAACAAAAAAAGGTAAATCTAAGCAAGCTTTGGCGAAGTACATCATGTGCTGTTTTCTTTCAGAGAATGAGAATGTTTAGCACTTAAAGAACTCTGTGATCTACTGTTGATTAACATGCTATTGATGATAATTCTTACATTTGTTCCTATGGCTTATTATAAAGTGTTTACATAAAATATTTAAGGTAAATCGAAACAAGTTTCTTTAGAGATGCACCATATGTTTTTTTTTTTGTTTCAGAGAGTGGAATTATTTATTATTATTTCAGAGAATTCTGAAATTTAGTGTTGACAACATGCTCTTGAATGATATTTCTTATTATTGTTCCAAAGAGGTTATTATGAGGTATTTACATAAGCACATTTAAAAGGTAAATCTAGGCCAGGCACGGTGGCTCATGCCAGTAATTACAGCACTTTGGAAGGCTGAGGTGGATGGATCGCTTGAGGCAAGGAGTTCGAGACCAGCCTGGCCAACATGGTGAAACTCTGTCTCTACTAAAAATACAAAAAGTAGCTGGGTGTGGTGGTGCATACCTGTAGTCCCAGCTGCTCTGGAGGGTGAGGAAGGAGAATTGCTTGAACCCAGGAAGTGGAGGCTGCAGTGAGCTGAGATTGCACCACTGCAGTCCAGCCTGGACAACTGAGTGAGACTCATCTCAAAAAAAAAAAGAAAAAAAGGTAAATCTAAACAATTTTTTTCAGAGGTGCATCATGTGCTCATTACTTTCAGAGAATGGAAATGGTTAACACGTAGAGCACTCTGTAATCTAGTGTTGACAACATGCTATTGGAATGAAATTTCTCACATTTGTTCTTAATTTCTTTTTATGTATTTTCTATCTGAGTCTGTTTTTGTTTTGCTCTAAAGGAATACCTGAGGCTGGGTAATTGATAAAGAAAAGAGGTTTATTTAGCTTACAGTTGTGCAGCTTGCCTGAGAAGCAAGTCCCCTGCATCTGCATCTGGTGAGTCTCCTGGGGGGCTTTCACCCCTGGTGGAAGGTGAAGGGGTGCCGTGTGTGCAGAATCACATGATGAGACCGCAGAAGCAAGAGAGCAAGGAGGGGAGTTCCAGGCTCTTTTAAACATTCAGTTCTCATAGGAATTAAGAGTGAGAATTCACTCATTACAGAGAGGATGGCATCAAACATTCATGAGGGGTTTGTCCTCATGACACAAATACCTCCTATTAGGTCCCACCTCCACATTGGGTACAAATTTCAACATGATATTTGGAGGGGATGAATATCCAAACTTTATCATTTCGCCTCAGACCGTCCAAATCATATGTACTTCTCACATTGCAAAATATAATCACCCTTTCCTAATAGTCCCCAAAGGCTTAACTTGTTCCAATCATCAACTCATAAGTCCAAAGTCTAAAGTCTGATTTGAGACTCAAGGTCAAGTTTTTACACCTGTAAGCCTGTACAACTAAAAACAAGTTGTTTGCTTTTAAGATAGAATGGTAAGACATATACTGGGTAAGCGTTCTTATTTCAAAAGTGAGAAATTGGCCAAAAGAAAGGGTTATTGCAAGACTGAAATTGGCCATGCAAGACTGAAACCTATTGGCGAAGGCATTAAACCTTTAAGCTCCAAAATAATATTTGGGTCCATGTACTGTATCCTGGGCACCATGGTGCAAGAGGTGGTCCCCCCAAGGCCTTGGGCATTCCCACCCCCATGGCTTTGCTGGGTGCAGCCCACCTGGCTACTCTCACAGGTTGGAGTTCAATGGCTTTGGCTTTTCCAGGCTGAGGGTGCACACTGCTGGTGGCTCTACTGTTCTTGGGTCTGGAAGGTGGCATCCCTGTTCCCACAGCTCCATTAGCCATTGCCCTAATATAGGCTTTTTTTTGTGGGGCCCTCAACCGCACTATCCACTCAGGATTGCCTGAGTAGAGTCTCTCTTTGGGGGTTCTGCCCTGCAGCAGCCTTCTGCCTGGGCACCCTGGATTCCTGGCACATCCTCTGACACCTAGGTGGAAGCTTCCAAGCCTCCCCCACACTTGCATTTTGCAGACTTAACACATGTGGAAACTGCCAAGGCTTATGACTTTCACCCTTTGGAGCAGCAGCCCAAGCTGTACTTGAGGCTATTTGGGCTATGGCTACAGCCAGAATGGCTTGGATATGGGAGCAGCATTCCAAGGTGCCACAAAGCTGTGGCACCTGGGGCCTGGCACCCAAAAACATACTGTCCCCCTAGACCTCTGGGCCTGTGATGAGAGAGGTGTCCTTGAAGATTTCTAAAATGCCTCTAGGGCTTTCCTGCATTGTCTTGACTATTAGCACCTGGCTCCCTTTTGTCTCTGCCTATGTCTCTAGCAAGAGATTGCTCCACTGCCCCCTTGAATTCCTTGTCTGAAAATGCTCTTTCCTTTCCTACCACATAGCAAGGCTGGAAATTTTCCAAATTTTAATGGTTTATTTCCTTTTTAATTATAAATTCCACCTTTAAGTCATTCTCTTACTGTCAAATCTGGTCATAGGCTGTTAAAAAGCAGCCCTGCTGACTGGGCACAGTGGCTCATGCCTGTAATCCCAGCACTTTGGGAGGCCAAGGTGGGCAGATCACTTGAGGCCAGGAGTTCAAGGCCAGCCTGGCCAACATAGCGAAAACTCATCACTACTAAAAATACAAAAATTAGCCAGGCCTGGTGATGTGCACCTGCAGTCCCAGCTACTCAGGAGGCTAAGGTCAGAGAATCACTTGAATCCAGGAGGCGGAGGTTGCAGGGAGCTGAAATGGTGTCACTGCATTCCAGCCTGGGTGACAGAGTGAGACTCTGTCTCAACCCCCCCCCCAAAACAAAACAAAACAAAACAAAAAACAAACAAACAAAAAAACCCAGCCATGCCACTTCTTGAACACTTTGCTGCTTAAAAATTTCTTTCGACAGATACCCTAGGTCATCACTCTTGTTTGTCCTTCCATGAATCCTTGGGGTATGGACACAATGCAGTCATGTTCTTTGCTATGGTGTCACAAGTGTGACCTTTGCTCCATTTCCCAATAACTTCCTCATTTCCATCTGAGACCTCATCAGACTGGACTTCACTGTCCATATCATTATGAGCATTTTGGTCACAACCATTCAACCAGTCTCTAGGAAGTTCCAAACTTTCCCTCATCTTCCTCTCTTCTTCTGTGCCCTCCACACTCTCCTAACCTCTGCCCATTACCCAGTTCCAGAGCTGCTTCCACATTTTCAGGTATCTTTGTAGCAATGTTCCACTTCTAGGTATCAATTTTCTGTATTAGTCCATTCATGCATTGCTATAAAGAAATATCTGAGACTGGGTAATTTATGAAGAAAAGAGGTTTAATTGGCTCACAGTTCCACAGGCTGTACAGGAAGCATGATGCTGGCATCTGCTTGGCTTCTGGGAAGCCCTCAGGAAGCTTCCATTCATGGCGGAAGGCAGAGGTAGAGCATGTACTTCACATGGCCAGAGTAGGAGCAAGAGACAGTGAGGGGAGCGGTGCTATACACTTTTAACCAGAGTTTATGAGAATTCACTTACTATTGAGAGCACAGTACCAAGATAGATGGTGCTAAACCATTCATGAGAAAGTGCTCCCATGATCAAATCACCTTCCCATCAGGACCCACCTCCAACATTAGGGATTACGATTCAACATGAGATTCAAGGACACAGATCCAAACCATATCATGCTCTGTAATTCTTTCTTTAGCTTGGCCTATTCTGCTGCTAATGCTTTTGATTGTATTATGAAATTCTTGAGGAGGAGCCAAGATGGCTGAGTAGATGCAGCCAGGAGGAATATTCTCCCACAAAGATACTGGGATATTGAGAGAGACTGGCACACTCTGAGCAGCTCTTCAGAACAAAAGTGTTGAGAGTGGACAGAGGGAGGACACAGATGCTGGACTGAAGGGGGAGTATGCTGGGAGCCCTACACGGGGTTTCTGAGCACCAGGACTTGTTGCTTGCTCCTAGCATCTCCTGGGGAAGGAGTAAACTGAACAGGTGAGGAGTGGCCTACTCTCACCATGAACCTCCAGAATCCTAGCTGCAGGAGACCCCACAACCCCCATAGACATCTGAGCTGACAGGAAGAGCTGCCTAGACAGGTAGTAGGGGCAGGACTCCAGCCTGTGCAGAGCCCAGAGGGTTTTGGCATGGGAATGGCTACAGTGGAGCATGGCCAGTGACATCCATCCCCCAAGGTTCGCCATGCTCCTCTGGGAGATTTTAGCCTTAGCATGACTGTTGGACCTGGACAGAGCAGGATGGTCTTGCCCTTGGTCTTGCTCAGTCTGATCTGAGTGCCCCCTTGTCTGCTGGCCTCTCCTGAGGTCCCAGCCTGGCCATGCCTGCTTGCAGCACAGCCTTGGATGCCCAATCAGCGTGCTTCCCAGGGACCCTCATCACAGCTCCCTTGCTGGTGGACTGCACCTAACCTTTTGGAAGCTCCAGCAGACTGACCTCTGCTGATGCACACCAGTGTACCCACGGCCTCTTCCCCCACTGCTTTGTCAGCACACTCGCATGGGCAGATCTTGCCTACCATGCTGGTGCATGTGTGTGCAGGTATTACACCATGCCACTGCTACTGGCATGAGTGCACCCTGCTGCTCTCCACCCCTGCGGATGTGTGGTCACTCTGCCATGTCACCAGTGCCAGTATGAACATGTGCACAGACACTGACAACCCTGCCCCTTCCACACCACTGCAATCACCAGTGCAAACGCATGCACGGACACTGGCAATCCTGCCCGCATCATGCCACTGCTGTTGCTGGTATGAATGCACACGTGGACACCAGCAACCCTGCCCCCACAAGTTCCCTGTCCCTGCCATGCTGCTGCCAGTGTGAGAGCATGTGCAGGAATGCTGCTGCCCTGCTCTCACCAGTGCCCCTCCCCAGCCAATGTGCATGCACCCCACTGTGCTGCTGCAGCTGCTGACATGCATGAGTGAGCATAAATCCCACTGCCATTGCCCCAATGAAACACTTTGGCTGACACCCCCCATTGGAGTGTTGGGGGTCAGTGGACCAGAAACACCTTGGCCCCTCTAGTCCGGCAAATTCCTAAATCAAGGGGCCAGAGAAGAAAGCTGGGAGCCCAAAACCAGTGCCCCAGAGTTAGAGCAGTTAGCCCAGGAGTGCTGAGCTAAGCCTTAGCCCCCCTAAAATGATCCAGAAACAAAATCAGTCAAATGAACCCACCTTACATCACAATCAAACCCCAAAGGGCATCACATATACAAGCAAAAAAACCCATCCAAAGGAAATAACTTCAAAGATTAAAGGAACATCAGCCCCACACATAAGGGAAAGAATCAGCGTAAAAACTATGGTAATTCAAAAAGCCAGAGTGTCTTCCTACCTCCAAATGACTGCACTAGTTCCCCAGCAATATTCTTAACCAAGCTGAAATGGCTGAAATGACAGACACACAATTCAGAATAGGAATAGGAATGAGGATTATCGAGATTCAAGAGAAAGTTGAAACCCAACCCAAGGAATTTAAGGAATACAATAAAATAATACAGGAACCAAAAGATGAAATGGCCGTTTTAAGAAGGAACCCAAATTGATCTGATGTAGCTAAAAAATTTATTTCAATAATTTCTAAATACAATCACAATTATTACTATTATTATTATTATTATTATTATTGAGACAGAGCTCTGCTACCCAGGCTGGAGTGCAGTCAGGGGATCCCGGCTCACTGCAACCTCTGCTTCCTGGGTTCAAGTGATTCCCCTGCCTCAGCCTCCTGAGTAGCTGGGACTACAGGCACAGTACACCACACCTGGCTAATTTTTGTATTTTTAGTAGAGATGAGCCTTCACAAACTCCTGACCTCAGGTGGTCCACCTGCCTTGGCCTCCCAAAGTGCTGGGATTACAGGAGTGATGGGTCTGGCATGGTGGCTCACACTTTTGATCCCAGGACTTTGGACGGCCGAGCGCGGAGGATCGCTTGAGCACAGAAGATTGCTTGAGCCTAGGAGTTCCAGACCAGCCTGGGCAACATGGTGAAACCCGGTCTCTTTTTAATTTTTTTGAGACTGGGAGTTTCGCTCTTGTTGCCCAGGCTGGAGCGCAGTGGCATGGTTTTTGCTGGCTGTGGCCTCCGCCTCCCAATTTTGGGTGGTTTTCCCTCAGCCTCCGGAGTGGCAGGGATTGCAGGCATGAGCCACCATGCCCGGCTCATTTGTTTTTTATTTTTTTATATTTTTAATTTTTATTTTTTGGTACAGACGGGTTTCTCCCTGTTGGTTAGGCTGGTCTCAAACTCCTGACCTCAGGTTATCTGCCTGCCTCGGCCTCCCGGGTTGCAGGCGTGAGCCACCGGGGTGCTGGGATTGCAGGGGTGATCCACCACGCCTGGCCCACTTTATTAATCGGAAAGGAATAGATCGGCCTGGCACGGTGGCTCACGCTTGTGATCCCAGGACTTCGGACGGCCGAGGGCGCGCGGATCTCATGAGCCTAGGTGTTCCAGACTGGCCTGGGCAACATGGTGAAACCCGGTCTTTTTTTTTTCGAGGTGGAGTTTCGCTCTTGTTGCCCGGCTTGGAGTGCAGTGGCCCGGTCTCAGCTCCCAGCGGCCTCCGCCTCTGGGTTTGGGTGGTTCTCCAGTCTCAGCCTCTGGAGTGGCTGGGATTGCACGCGTGAGCCACAATGCCCGGCTCATTTTGTAGTTTTTTTGTATTTTTTGTTTTTGTTCTTTGTTGGTACAGACGAGGTTTCTCCATGTTTGTCAGGCTGGTCTCAGACTCCCGACCTCAGGTTACCCGCCAGCCTTGGTCTCCCGGGGTGCTGGGATTGCAGGTGTGAGCCACCGCTCCCGGCCCAATTTATTAATCAGAAAGGAATAGATCGGCCTGGCGTAGTGGCTCACGCTTGTGATCCCAAGAATTTGGACGGCCGAGCGCGGCGGATCGTTTGAGCCAGGAGTTCCAGATCCGCCTGGGCAACGCGGTGAAACCTGGTCTCTCTTTTTTTTTTTTTTTTTTTTGAGACAGCGTCTTGCTCTCTTGCCCAGGCTGGAATGCAGTGGCACGATCTCAGCTCACTGCAAGCTCCGCCTCCCGGGTTCACGCCATTCTCCTGCCTCAGCCTCCCGAGAAGCTGGGACTACAGGCGCCCGCCACTACGCCTAATTTTTTTGTATTTTTTTTAGTAGAGTCGGGGTTTCACCGTGTTAGCCAGCATGGTCTCGATCTCCTGACCTCGTGATCCGCCAGCCTCAGCCTCTCAAAATGCTGGGATTACAGGCGTGAGCCACCGCGCCCGGCTTGTTTTTTTTTGTTTGTTTGTTTTGAGACGGAGATTCACTCTTGTTGCCCAGGGTGGAGTGCAGTGGCGCAGTCTCGGCTCGCCGGGCCTCCGCCTCCCAGGTTTGGTTGGTTCTCCTGCCACAGCCTCCCGAGTGGCTGGGATTGCACACTTGAGCCATCATGCCCGGGTCATTTTTTTTTTTTTTTTTTTTTTTTGGTGGAGATGGGGTTTCTCCATGTTCCTCAGGCTGGTCTCAAACTCCCGACCTCAGGTTATCTGCCCGCCTCGGCCTCCCGAGTGGCTGGGATTGCAGGCGTGAGCCATCGTGCCCGGCTAATTCCCTAACTGTGCAATTGCAAGGTCACTAAACAAACTCAACAAAACGTATTTTTCCTTAAATAGTAAAAAATAATATAATGCATATTTCAATTAATTATCTTTGTTTCTCGCTTCTGTATTATGCTTCCCCCTGCACAGATCTACCCCCGCCCCACAAAATGCTTAAAAGATAGCCCTTGGTTCCAGAACTCAATGCTTTAAATGTTAAGCTGACTGGGCCAGTGCACCTAAATAATATCCTCCTAAACCCCATCAGTCTCTCTAATTCCTTAAAAATCCCGCTACAGAATTGCAAGCCTGAGACACCGCGCCCGGCCCAATTTATTTATCAGAAAGGAATAGATAGGCCTGGCGTGGTGGCTCACGCTTGTGATCCCAGGACATTCAACGGCCAAGCCCGGCAGATCCCATGAGCCTAGGAGTTCCAGACCGGCCTGGACAACATGGTGAAACCTGGTCTATTTATTATTATTATTATTAATTTTTTTCTTTTTTGAGGCGGAATTTCGTTCTTCTAGCCCAGCTGGAGAGCAGTGGCGTGGTCTTGGCTCCCCGTGGCCTCCGCCTCCGGGTTTGGGTGGTTCTCCAGCCTCAGCCTCCCTAGTGGCTGGGATTGCAGGCGTGAGCCACAATGCCCAGCTCATTTTTTTTTTTTCTTTTTGGTACAGATGGGGTTTCTCCATGTTGGTTAGGCTGGTCTCAAACTGCCGACCTCAGGTTAACTGCCCGCCTCAGCCTCCAGGGATGCTGAGATTGCAGGCGTGAGCCACCGCGCCTGGCCCAATTTATTAATCAGAAAGGAATAGATCAGCCTGGCGTGGTGGCTCACGTTTGTGATCCTAGGACTTTGGATGGCCGAGCACGGCGGATCTCTTGAGCCTAGGAGTTCCAGACCCTCCTGGGCAACATGGTGAAACCTGGTCTTTTTTTTTTTGGGTGGGGGGCGGAGTTTCGCTCTTGTTGCCCAGGCTGGACAGCGGTGGCAAGGTCTCGGTTCGCTAGGCCTCTGCCTCCGGGTTTAGTTGGTTCTCCTGCCTCAGCCTCCAAGTGGCTGGGATTGCACGCATGAGCTACCATGCCCGGCTGATTTATTTATTTATTTATTTATTTTTTGGTACAGACGGGGGTTTCTCCCTGTTGGTCAGGCTGGTCTCAAACTCCCGACCTCAGGTTACCCGCCCTCCTCGGCCTCCGGGGGTGCTGCGATTGCAGGCATGAGCCAGGGCGCACGGCCCAATTTATTATTTTTATTATTTTTTTTCGAGACGGAGTCTCTGTCACCCAGGCTGGAGTGCAGTTGCGCTATCCCGGCTCACTGCAACCTCCACCTGCAAGGTTCAACCGATTCTCCTGCCTCAGCCTTCTGAGTAGCTGGGATTACAGGCGCCCGCCACACACTCGGCTGATTTTTTTGTATTTTTGGTAGAGACGGGGTTTCATCATATTGGCCAGGCTGGTCTCGAACTCCTGAACTCAGCTGATCCACCCACCTCAGCCTCCCAAAGTGCTGGGATTACAGGCGTGATCGGCCTGGCTTGGTGGCTCACGCTTTTGATCTCAGGACTTGGGATGGCTGAGCGTGGCAGATCACTTGAGCCTAGGAGTTCAGACCGGCCTGGGCAACATGGTGAAACCAGGTCTCTTTTTTGCTTGTTTTTTTTGAGAGGGAGTTTCGCTCTTGTTGCCCAGGCTGGAGTGCAGTGGCGCAGTCTCGGCTCCCCGCGGCCTCCGCCTCCCGGGTTTGGGTGGTCCTCATGCCTCAGCCTCCCGAGTGGCCGGGATTCCAGGCATGAACCACCATACCCGGCTAATTTTTTTTTTTTTTTTTTGGTCCAGACGAGGTTTCTCCATATTGGTCAGGATGGTCTCAAACTCCCGACTTCACGTTACCCAACCGCCTCGGCCTCCCGGGGTGCTGGGATTGCAGGTTTGAGCCACCGCGCCCGGCCCAATTTATTAATCAGAAAGGAATAGATCGGCCCGGAGTGGTGGCTCACGCTTTTGATCCCAGGACTTTGGACGGCCGAGTGCGGCAGATCGCTTGAGCCTAGGAGTTCCAGACCTGCCTGGGCAATATGGTGGAACCTGATCTCTTTTTTTTTTCTTGAAGCGGAGTCTCGCTCCTTTGCCCAGGTTGGAGGGCAGTGGCGCGGTCTCGGCTCGCCTAGGCCTCCGCCTCCCAGGTTTGGGTGATTCTTCTGCCTCAGCCTCCTGAGTGGCTGGGATTGCGGGCGTCAGCCACCATGCCCGGTTAGTTTTTTATTTTTTATTTTTTTGGTAGAGATGCGGTTTCTCCATGTTGGTCGGGCTGGTCTCCAGCTCCTCACCTCGGGTGATCCGCCGGCCTCGGCCTCCCGGGCTGCTGGAATTGCAGTCGTGAGTCACTGCGCCTGGCCCGAAACCCGGTCTCTTAACGGAAAAACAAAACAAAAGCCACAAAGATTAGCCGGGCGTGGTGGGCCCCGCGGGTAGTCCCAGCTACTCCAAAGGCTGATGCAGGAGGATTGCTTGAGCCCGGGGGGTGTGGGGGGGTGTGGTGGGGGGTGGAGGTGGCAGTGAGCCATGATGGCCCTGCTGTAGTCCAGACTGGAGGACAGAGCGGGACTGTGTCTCAGGAAAAGGGAAAGGAAAAAAAAAAAAAGAAAGTATATAAAATTGTTAAATCAAGGAGCAGCTGGACAGTGTATTACTGAGAGAAGTAGAGGCAAAGGTTAGCGGACACCAGTGGTCACTTAGTGGAACTGCAGGTGCTCCCCGACAGGAGGCTGCTACTCTTCCCAAAGAACTCTATTATTGACTTAAAAAAAAAAAGTTGTAGGTTTGTTACAATATACAAATAGCTAAACTTTATATAGCCTCAACCCTCTTCTAGCACTGCTCTAAGCCTTTTCCTGCTCTGAAATAGCTACTATTGTTACCTTCATTGTAGGTATGCCAGAGGTTGTTGTGGAAGGACCAGGGAAACTGACTATGAAATTGACTTGCAAGTTTCAGACTTAAAGGTTCTTCCTGCTCTGCTTCTTACATTGCCACATTTTAGTTAACATATCTCTTAAAATACTGGTCTTTTCTATATTTGGAGGGACTCCTCTTGCAATTTGAAGTTTTTTCTTGCACTAAGCATTTGGTCATAAGATCGTCTGTGTTTTATGTCAGTTTAAGTTTAGACATTGTTCAGTTAGGAATGTAAATATGAGCAAACAGGTATCTGATTGAAATAGATAACCTAGAAAAAATCACTTATGAAAAAGTCAAGAAAATGTGAACTCTGGATTTGCGGCTATTTTCAGAATGTATTAATTTTTTGGTATTTAATGGCATTGTGAATATATTTTTAAAAATTCTTTGTCTTCTACAGATACATATAAGGTAATTAAAAAATGATATGATGTATAGTTTTCACTTCAAAATAATTCAGAGGAAGAAGGAATGTATATAAATGAAGTGGGAATATAAATGAAACAAAACTGGCTGTGGCCAGGTGCGGTGGCTCACGCCTGTAATCTCAGCACTTTGGGAGGCCAAGGTAGGCGGATCACTTGAGGTCAGGAGTTCGAGACGAGCCTGGCCAACATGGTGAAGCCCTGTCTCTAATAAAAATATAAATAAATAAATGAATTAGCTGGGCGTGGCAGCAGGTGTCTGCAATCCTAGCTACTCGGGAGGCTGAGGCTGGAGAATTGGTTGAATCTGGTGGGGCGGGGGGGAAGTTGCAGTGAGCCAAGATAGCGCCACTGCACTTCAGCCTAGGCGGCAGAGCAAGGCTCCATCTCAAAAAAATTAAAATAGCCTTTTGGTGTGGTGGCAGGGGTTGTACTTGACAATAATTCTATGTGAGAAGGGCCATGATTAATCTGTAAGTGTTTAGAATGATTTAAGTATAAGTCAAGTTCATAGAGACCTTCCATTTACTCATAGGTCATTTTTGTTTTATTCAGTGATGCAACCATTATTTTACATGGTCAAAAAAGATATTGACCCCATATCATGTATTATAATAGATATGTTCTAGGTAGCAGAGATACAGCTATGAACAAGACAGTCAACATCTCTGCTGTCATGGAGTTAGCTTACAACTAATGTGGAAGTTAGAAACAAAAAAAGTTAATATGACATGCAATGCTAGGGAGAAGATTAGAGCAGGTTAAGGGAAGAAGAGGGGTGGAGGCCCTGGATGATAGGAGATAGAGTTGTCAGGAAAGACTTGGAGGAGGAGATAACAGAGCATGGCCTGAATAAAGTGAAGATGGAAGCCATGTGATGAGCTGGGGGAAAAGCATTCCAAGAGAGGGAACAGCAAGTCCAAAGGCACAGAGATGAGAAGAAACTGTTCACAGAATGAGAAATTAGTATGTGAGACTCAAACAGTAAGTTGGGGGAGAGTAGGAATAGATTAAGTCTGAGAAGTAAAGTGCGAGATCATCTAGGGTCTTGTAGACCATGGTAAAGATTTTGTGGCCTGGCACAGTGTCTTACGCCTGTAATCCCAGCACTTTGGGAGGCCGAGGCGGGTGGATCACGAGGTAAGGAGTTCAAGACCAGCCTGGCAAAGATGGCGAAACCCTGTCTCTACTAAAAATACAAAAAAAAATTAGCCAGGTGTGGTGGCACGCGCCTGTAATCCCATGTACTCCAAAGGCTGAGGCAGAGAATTGCTTAAACCTGGAGGGGCGGAGGTTGCAGTGAGCCGAGATCGCGCCACTGCACCCCAGCCTGGGCGACAGAGCAAGACTCTGTCTCAAAAAAAAAAAAAAAAAAATTCATCTCTAAGCTCCCCACCACTCTAAAGATGGGCCATATTGGCCGGGTGCGGTGGCTTATGCGTATAATCCCAGCACTTTGGGAGGCTGAGGCAGGCAGATCACTTGAGGTCAGGAGTTTGGGACCTGCCTGGCCAACATGGTGAAACTCTGTCTCTACTAAAAATACAAAAATTAGCCGGGTGTTGTGGTGCACACCTGTAGTCCCAGCTACTTGGGAGGCTGAGGCAGGAGAATCTCTTGAATCTGGGAGGCGAAGGTTGCAGTGAACCAAGATCGTGCCACTGCATTCCAGCCTGAGTGACAGAGGGAGATTCTGTCTCAAAAACAAGAAACAAACAAAAGTCAAATGGATTAGAGAAATGAGAGGGGTAGATAATTCACTCACACAATAAGTAGTTATGGAAGGCCTACTATAATGTTACTATTTTATAACTTACAATTTATTGAGCACTTATATGCAGACATTCTGCTAAGTGTTGTACATTTGCAGTGATCTCACTTCTCACAACAATCCATTAAGGCTGGTACCGTTATTCTCCCCATTGTACACACAAGGAGACAGGCTCAGAGAGATCTAGTAACTTACCCAGGGACAAACAGCTGGTAAACAGCACAAAGGTCTATAAGGTTACAAAGCTCAGGATATCTGCTATGCTCTCCCACATGCCAGACACAATTGCATTTGTGTAATCATGACATTCCACTGCAGGAACTCCTCCTATTTGATCCCAGCCTGAAAACAGGGCACCTGAACTTAGTTGCCCACTGGGAGCAGCTGAGGTGGAGGAAGAGGGATCTGCAACTTTGCACTCCTGTGCAGTCTTGGTGGAGCTGTCCATCAAGGTGCCTGCCCTCCTTAGCTAAAGTGTGGACATGTTACCTGAGCTCAGCCAATTGAACCCTTGCTCCAGGGACTTTGACTCATCAAAGAAAGCTCTGGTCAAGAAAGGGAAAAAAAACATGGAATTGATTCACTTGCCTGCCTAAACTCTCAAAACATCTCCGCTTTCTAACCTTTTCTAAGCCTGATTCTCCAGCTTCGTGTTACCTCTGTGAGTTAGACACTAGCCTGCCAATAAAATCCTTTTCAGGTAAAGTTAGCCAGAATTGATTCTTAAGACTCGCAATCAAAGAACTTGCACTGGCAATATCAGCAAAAAAAATTACACAGTCTTGTAAAGCTTAAGTGAGTGACTCATTCCTTGGATAAATGTGTATTAAGCAGGGTCAGGACTAGAATGAAGCAAAGTGAGGCACCCAGGGTACAAAATTTAAGGCTTTCTTCCTCAGTGTTGTGTGAGTGCAGGGTTGGCTCTAACAGCCCTCCCTGCTATCAAAATTAGTAATAAAAAGAACGGAGAAGATCATTTCTTTTTCACATAAGAGTATGAAGTGAGTGTCCCAAGTCGGCAGGTAGCATTCGGCACCTTCTGTGCTGTGGCTCTGTCCCCTAGCACGTCATCATCATCATCACAAGGTCAAGGCTGGGCCAGCCAGTGAGAAGGAGAAAGAGTAACTCCTGCCAGAGCTTTAGCAATGTTAGCTATGGCTAAGCCTCAACCTCCCCAAGCCTCACTTTATTCACCTGTAAAATAGGACTAAGAAAAATCATCTTTAATTCCAAGATGTTTTGAGGATCAAATGAAACAACATGTAAAACTGCTTTGCAGACTGTGCAGTGCCCTATAAGCGGTAGTCACTATGTAGTCTCTTTGCTGAGTATCAGTTTATCTGCAAAGTGACAACTGAATACACACCTCCCAGGATTGTTGTAAGAATCTGCTAGACGAACGATTAAAGTATAAACTTTGGAATCCAACAGGAATAGGTTGGCGTTTTGCTCTGCCCCTCACCAGCTGTAAGATCTCGGACCCTCTGTGAGCCTGTGTCCTCATCTGCAGCGAAGGGATCAGGGTGCTCCTCCATCACAGGGCTGCTGTGAGCATGAAGAGAGACAGCAGGAGTGAGTCCTTGGCGCGGTGCCCAGCCTTGTTCCGATCCGCAGGTGCAGTGACGAATGCCACCTCCGGGATCCCTTCCAAAAAGCACAGCCGGGTTGTACCCTTCTGCCTCTGCTCAGCGCCCACGGTCAGCCCCACTCGGTGTGAGCAGAGCGGCTGCTCACAGCCTCTGACACGAAAGTCACTCCCACTCAGTTCCCCAAACCACAGCTATCCCCACTGTTGAGTGTGCGGTAAGTGCCCGCTGGGCACAGGGCGGAGTGCCACCAGACGACCGCTTAGAGCTCACAACCTATGATTTAACGCAGGGAACCAAAGCCTTTTCCTTCATTCTAAGACTGCATACCAAAAAGAAAAAAAAAGTTTGGGGGAAAAATAAAGCTGCCTCTTGCATTTGGAAGGAAATCACGTTCCTTCAGACCCCGTGCTGGCGGGGTCCTTACTAATAGAAGGAGATCATCTTTCACTTCCTTCCTTGAGATGGATTTTCCAACCCTGCTGTCAGACTCCAGCTCCGTGAAGCAGCAGTCACTGTACGGGTGATTGATAAAGCTCCATGGGGTCTTCTGTAACAGTGCTGATTTTATAAGCACACCTTCTAGAAGCCACTTAGAGACTGCTCTATTGGAGACACTAATGTTCCTATTTTTCTATACTTTTCCCAGCTCTATATTTGAGAAACTGGCCTTTTATTCTTAATGACTTACAGTAAAATTGTCTTCAGGTCAGTGTGTGCCTCTCCTGTTTTGTAGCATTTTGATTTTCCAAATCATCCTTATATCTGTAATGCTTAAAGAGGGGTGGAAGGGAGAAGGGTGGAGAGTTGTTTAATCTGGAAGGGGCCCTCTGGGCCTTGATGTGGAACTAGAGCTCCTTTATTCTGGTGGTTTGCGGTTGAGCTACAGTACTGCTGAGTGGTGGAGCAAGAGGCCATTTATAACCCTGAGAATTTTGCAATGTTATTGAATTCCTTCTACCTAATTTCCACTTCCTTTCTGGAATGAAAATGAAGAGAGTAAGCAAACATGTGCTGGGAGGGTTCCCTACAAGGATATATTTTATCCTGGGAATCTTATCTGGAGAATAGAATTACTTCTAGTCTCCTATCTCCTGATGTTTCTATTCCATAGGGAGAAAAGCAGAGAGATGTTTTCCTCTTTAACTAGAGTTAGGTGTGCTAACCCTGATTTTTCAGTAAGAATTATTCTAATGTTTGATATGAAAACAACAGTTCTTTAATTTAATTTTTATTTTTTAATAGAGACAGGATCTTGCTCTGTCACCCAGGCTAGAGTTCAGTGACATGATCATAGTTCACTGCTGCCTCGAACTTCTGGGCTGAAGCGACTCTCCTGCCTCAGCCTCCTAAGTAGCTAGGGACTACAGGAACATGCCACCATGCCCAGCTAATGTTTTATTTTTTTTGTAGAAACAGGTCTCTAACTCCTGGCCTGAAGTGATCCTCCTGCCTTCACCTCCCAAAGCATTGGGATTACAGGTGTGAGCCACTGCGCCCAGCCAAAACAAACTGTTAAACAATGAAAATACTTTGTAGTGAAAGGGTATTGGGACACAGAGGGAACACCAGACAACCTGCGCAATTCATGCCCATCCCTGTCCATTTGGAGCCAGCTTGGTTCCAGCTTGGAAGAAGTCAGAGTCATCGGGTTTAAGCAGACACAGGTGCTTACTGAGCCTTCGCTGGACACCAAGTGTTGTGCTAGGTTGACACTGCAGAGTTATACCTGTCCTGGAGGAGGAGCTAGTGGAGATATGTAAATATGTAACTATAATAGAGTATGACAAGATCACACTCGCTAATGGAAGTATGAACAGGATGCTGTGAGAACACAGAGGCCCCTGTCCTATTTAGTTTTGCCAGGAAAAGTTAGAGAAAGCTAAGACTAGTACAGGGAAGAGGTAGCATCTGATCTGAACTAGGCTTTGATGCTTGAATAGGAGCTGTTCTGACAGTCAGTAGGAGGAAGAGAATATGCAAAGGTACAGAAGAATTGAAAGAACACGGCCTTATAGAAATAGCAGGTAGTCCAGGGAAGAGTCTGGCTAGATTGTAAAGGACCAAATAGCACACAAGGGACCGTGGCCCACCTGTAGACAGTGGAGTGCTATCTTTTGATACAATGGTGAGTTCTTGTGAAAGTTTCTTAGCCTCAGTGTGCTTTGGTTTCGGATACACAAACCAGAAATTGCCACAAAGCACCTGCTGCGGGTCAAGTGCAGAGCCACCTGCTTTCTCATGGCTTTCCAGCAATACCAGATAACCTGGGATCAAATTCTGGCTGTGCCACTTCCTAGCTGTGTGACACTGAGCCTGCTACTTAACTCTTCTGTGCCTCTATTTTCTTGTCTCTAAAGTGGGGATAATAACATACCACACAGCGTTGCTGTGCAGATTAAATTAATTAGTATATATAGAGCCTTTAAAATAGTGCCCTAGCATTATGTAATTGTTAGCTAATGTCATCATGTAAGGAAGTATTATGTAGAGGGATCAGTCCTAAGACCTTGGCTTCAGACCCAGTTCTGAAGTGTTGGGTTGACTTACTGTTCTTTTCCCTCCCTTCTTTTTTTTTCTTCCTTCATTTGGGAGGGAGGTGTAGAAAGAGGTACATGGAGAACAAGTTTGTCGATCCATCTGAACTTCAGTTGCCTTACCTGTAAGATAGGAATGTTTTTCAGAGTTCTTATGAGCATCAACTAAAATAATGCTATAGAAGTGAGCAATCAACTATAAAGAGGCTACCTGGGCTGGGCATAGTGGCTCACGCCTATAATCCCAGCACTTTGGGAGGCTGAGGCAGGTGGATCACCTGAGGTCAGGAGTTCAAGAGCAGCCTGGCCAACATGGTGAAACCCCGTCTCTATTAAAAATACAAAAATTAGCTGGGTGTGGTGGCGAGCACTTGTAATCCCAGCTACTCGGGAGGCTGAGGCAGGAGAATCGCTTGAACCCAGGAGGTGGAGGTTGCAGTGAGTGGAGATCGCGCCATTGCACTCCAGCCTGGGAGACAGCGAGACTCCATCTCAAAAAAAAAAAAAAAAAAAGGCTGGGCGCGGTGGCTCACGCCTGTAATCCCAGCACTTTGGGAGGCCAAGGCAGGCTGATCACGAGGTCAGCAGATCGAGACCATCCTGGCGAACACAGTGAAACCCCATCTCTACTAAAAATACACACACACACACACACACACACACACACACACTACACACACTAGCCGGGCGTGGTGGCGGGTGCCTGTAGTCCCAGCTACTCAGGAGGCTGAGGCAGGAGAATGGCGAGAACCCGGGGGGCGGAGCTTGCAGTGAGCAGAGATCGCGCCACTGCACTCCAGCCTGGGAGACAGCGAGACTCCGTCTCAAAAAAATAAATAAATAAAAATAAAATAAAAATAAAGACGCTACCTGTACGTTACTATTAGATATACGATTACTACGAAGTTACTGTATAACTGATCTGTTGCAAACAAATCAGACTTACCTAGTGGATAAGAGCAAACCTGTGGATTTTGCTGTCATTAATTCAGCCATTGTTAATTAAGTGCTTACCCAGAACCATCATCTTATGCCAGTGATGCTGCTGTCTGCTCAGACCTCCATTTTAGAGTTCCTGCAGAACTTGGGGGCAGTTTTGGTCTTAGGCTTATTAGTTGCAATGAGTAGATACATAGACTAGCTTAATTTATAGGAGTTTTATTGGCAGGATACAGTGGACTTTCAGGTACCCCAAGCATAGGAAGTGTAGCCACGTAATCGGGAAAGTTACCAGGTAATGGCTTTTCTCATCTTTCTGATTTCTGGCCTCAGCTCATTTATATATTTCTGGATTCCTCTTGCAGAATCACTTCCTCTGAAAGGCTCTTGGTTTTTTATTCTCCGTATTTTTGGCTTATGCGAATCTTTGGCTTGCCATGGTAACTGCTCTGAAGCTTACTATGATCTTACTTCTCCAGGGCCCGTTATCACCCAGTTCCCTTAGTCTGTGTCTTTTGTTTGTTTGTATGTATGTATGTATGTATTTATGATGGAGTGTCACTCTGTCGCCCAGGCTGGAGTGTAATGGTGCAATCTAGGCTCACTGCAACCTCTGCCTCCCAGGTTCAAGCGATCCTCCCTGCCTCAGCCTCCTGAGTAGTTGGGATTACAGGCGCCTGCCATCACGCCCAGCTAATTTTTGTATTTGTAGTACAGACGGGGTTTCGCCATGTTGGCCAGGCTGGTCTTGAACTCCTGACCTCAGGTGATCCACCTGCCTCAGCCTCCCAAAGTGCTGGGATTACAGGCGTGAGTCACCACGCCTGGCCAATCTGTGTATTTTAAATTCAAGAGAAAGAATTGGAATAATTCAGCTAAAGTTGGGTATTCACTTTGGTCCCATCAGCTATGGCAGGGTTGTGGAGAGTGTCATTCAGTTCAGATAGGCTGCCTGGGCTTTGTGGGAAGGACAGAGTCACTGAGAATGGGGGCTTATTAATATCTTTCAAATAGTTCAGTAGTTGCAAATCTCCATGCTTTAAAATGTATATGAACTTTTGAACAGCTGAGAATCATTCAGTGCTAACTTTAATAAACAGAGCATCAACCTAGGATATGTCATATGGGGTCAAGAGAAAATAATAGGTATAACATAATGAGCTTTGGCTTAATTATCTCCAAAGATGGTTTTCAGAAAGGAGTTAAAAATAATGTGGTTTGTTTCTTAGCAGCACCATCGAAATTAAGGAAGGGTGTAACTTCATTTGGTGAGGACTTTAAAATGGGCATCCTCACTTGGATTTTTAAAATTCCACTTAAGAATCATGGACTTTTAGACTTAGAAGTCACCTGAGACATGCTTTAGTTCTACACTCACGTCTTTCTTTCTTTCTTTTTTTTTTTTCGAGACGGAGTCTTGCTCTTTCGCCCAGGCCGGACTGCCGTGGTGCGATCTCTATCTCGGCTCACTGCAAGCTCCGCCTCCCGGGTTCACGCCATTCTCCTGCCTCAGCCTCCCGAGTAGCTGGGACTACAGGCGCCCGCCACTGTGTCTGGCTAATTTTTTGTATTTTTAGTAGAGACAGGGTTTCACCATGTTAGCCAGGATGGTCTCGATGTCCTGGCCTCATGATCCGCCTGCCTCGGCCTCCCAAAGTGCTGGGATTACAAGCATGAGCCACCGCACCTGGCCTACACTCACATCTTTCAATAGAAGAAAACTGAGATTTGGTTAAAGGGGCATGTATACATCGTGAAAGACCTAGGATTGGGTCCTGAGGCCTTTGGCTCTAAATACAGTCACTTTTTTCAGCAGGGACAATTATCCATCCCTCAATAGAAGAAAACTGAGATTTGGTTAAAGGGGCATGTATACATCGTGAAAGACCTAGGATTGGGTCCTGAGGCCTTTGGCTCTAAATCCAGTCACTTTTTTCAGCAGGGACAATTATCCATCCCTCAATAGAAGAAAACTGAGATTTGGTTAAAGGGGCATGTATACATCATGAAAGAGCTAGGATTGGGTCTTGAGGCCTTTGGCTCTAAATCCAGTCACTTTTTTCACCAGGGACAATTATCCTAGCCCAGTGCTCTTTCTGTTGTGCCTTTTGTACCTGCTTATTTTAAAAATAAGAAGAAGCCAAATTGAAAAACAAATGATCTAAAAAGTCATATTGTATAGTTCCGTTTATATGGAGTACAAAAACAGGCAAAACTCATGGATGATGATAAGAAGTCAGAAATTCCCCTTTAAAGGACTGAAAGGATTGACAGGAAGAGGAAGTATGAAGTAATTTTCTAGGGTGATGAAAATGTTCAGTGTCCCGTTTTGAGTGGCGGTTACAGGGAGATGCATGTGTTTATGTCTATTATGTATATGCATACAAACATATGTACACTTAAGCCCTCTGCATTTTATTGTATGTAAATTATATCTCAGTTTTTAAAATTGACCTCACAACCATGCAGTCCTAGTCTACTAATTGCAGCCGCTTTGCCGATAAGGATAAGGACGCATCTCTAGGCATCCAGAGATTGATGGCGCCACCCCTGGAACGAGAACTCCCTGCCCTGCTGTAACTGCAACAGAGCAGTCTCCCCAGAAATTATGCTGATAGGGCCAGTTTCTTTTCTGAGGTTTGTTGTGTGTCTAGGCATGTAAAAATTACTGTGAAAAATTCTGCCACAAGCCACAGAAGTTATGGAAGCTTTGGGGGCCATAAGGCCAACCCACTTCAATCCCTTTAGGCTGCGTTTAATTGCAGTGGACAGAAGTTGAAGCTGGCTCAGAGGAAAAGGGGAAAGCACTGGCTGAAGCCAGTCCGAGTTCTGTCCCCTATTATGACTTACTAGCTGGGTGACCTTGGGCACTTGACAAAACACTGAGCTTTAGTTGTGCCATCTTCAAATGCAGGTGATAATCCTCTTCTGCCTAATTCATGGTGCTGCTGGGAGGACACAATAAAGTAAGTGAAAGCACTTTGAAAACTAGTTCCTTTACATTGTCATGGTCTGGAAATGCTGGTTTTTTATGACAGTAGACTTCTGAAGCATCCCATCCTGACTAGGAAATGGTCATGAAAGCATCCCTCTTTCTGAGGCCGGGGGGCTTGTGGGGGACAGGACTTTTACTCCTTTTCATCAAAGAGGTTTATACTTATCAGGCTGTGAGAACTGGCATCTGTGTTTAGGCTGAAAAATTGATAGCATACGTGCATAATAGCCTCACAACAGCTATGCTTTGTATGCCAGGAGAGGCAGGTGGTCCCCATAAGCGAGACATGAATTGTGGGTGAATGGCTAAATCTGGAAGATGCAGAAAGGTCTTTTTCATTAAGAGAGAGCCCTCTCCTGGCCAGGAGCGGTGGCTCACGCCTGTAATCCCAGCACTTTGGGAGGCCGAGGCAGGCAGATCATGAGGTCAGGAGATCAAGACCATCCTGGCTAACACGGTGAAACCCCGTCTCAACTAAAAATACAAAAAAATTAGCCGGGCGTGGTGGCGGGTGCCTGTAGTCCCAGCTACTTGGGAGGCCGAGGCAGGAGAATGGCGTGAACCCGGGAGGCGGAGCTTGCAGTGAGCCAAGATCGCAGCCACTGCACTCCAGCCTGGGGCGACAGAGCGAGACTCCGTCTCAAAAAAAAAAAAAAAAAAAAAAGCCCTCTCCTGAACCTGTAGGCAAGGAGTGTAAATATACATCGAAATAATCCATCAGCCAAGTGACTTCCCTTCGTCAGACCTTGGAGAGAGAATGCTTTAGTTACTGCTTGGAATACCAGTAAGCTATCAGAGTTGCCTAGGATACCAGTCACTTGGGCCCATCTTCCAGACTTGCTCAAGATAATTTATTTTCCTTTATTTTGGAGAGAAGTGGGGGAGGTGGTCAGAGGTACTTGCAAAGCCTTGTCCTTATAAGACGGGCCCTTGTGTGAAGATATCTTTATCTCCCTCCACTTGAGTTGTCAGCTGCTATTGCCCTTGGCAATAGGGATGAAAATAGCATTTCCTGTCCCAGTTCTCTTCCCCATTTTCTGATGTCATCCCACACAGAGGTGGCTTTGCATAGTGTCCTTTGAGGGGAAAGCAGTGGCATTGATGAGTGCGAGGGAAGCAAGAGAGCATGTAGCTGTGCCCCGCTGATGCTGGGATCTTCCTAGGATGACTGCAGAACAGAAGGAGCCTGGCTCCTCCAGCTAACCACTCAACCAAGAAAAGCCTGGCTATTCTTATCTGTTTCGGAGCATATGCTTCTCTCCTAAAGGGGGCCAGCGCCTCCACACCTGTGGGTATTTCTTGTCAGGTGGGATGAGAGACTGAGAAAAGAAATAAGACACAGAGACAAAGTATAGAGAAAGAACAGTGGCCCAGGGGACCGGCGCTCAGCATACGGAGGACCCGCACCGGCACTGGTCTCTTGAGTTGCCTCAGTATTTGTTGAGCACTATCTCTACCATCTTGGAGAGGGGGATGTGGCAGGACTATAGGGTAATAGTGGGGAGAGGGTCAGCAGGAAAACATGTGAGCAAAGGTCTCTGGGTCATAAATAAGTTTAAGGAAAGGTGCTGTGCCTCGATGTGCATGTAGGCCAGATTTATGTTTGACTCTACACAAACATCTCAGTGTAGTAAAGAGCAGTATTGCCGCCAGCATGTCTCACCTCCAGCCACAAGGTGGTTTTCTCCTATCTTAGTAAATAGAATGTATGATCAGGTTTTACACCGAGACATTCCATTCCCAGGGACGAGCAGGAGACAGATGCCTTCCTCTTATCTCAACTGCAAAGAGGCCTTCCTCTTTCGCTAGTCCTCCTCAGCATAGACCCTTTATGGGTGTCGGGCTGGGGGATGGTCAGGTCTTTCCCTTCCCACAGGGCCATATCTCAGGCTGTCTCAGTGGGGAGAAACCTTGGACAATACCCAGGCTTTCTTGGGCAGAGGTCCCTGCATCCTTCTGCAGTGCATTGTGTCCCTGGGTACTCGAGATTAGAGAATGGTGATGACTTTTACCAAGCATACTGCCTTCAAACACATTTTTAACAAAGCACATCCTGCACAGCCCTAAATCCATTAAACCTTGAGTCAACACAGCACATGTCTCTGTGGGCACAGTGTTGGGGCTAGGGTTACAGATTAACCGCATCTCAGGGCAGAATAATTTTTCTTAGTACAGAACAAAATGGAGTTTCTTATGTCTACTTCTTTCTACATAGACACAGTAACAGTCTGATCTCTCTTTCCCCCACACTCTCCTCCCAAGGTCTCAAGACAGGAATTTGCAGTAAATACGTTCTTCTACCACTGAGTCCTCTCGACTCTTAAACTGAAGTGCCACATTGGCACATGTTGCTGCTGGCTGATCTATGGATGATAGACAGTTTGTCCCATTTTTTCTTGCTGATTTAATGTCAAAAAACAAAACCCCAAGGAGAGGTTTTGGTATGATCTAGAAAAATTCAAACCAAGTAGTTTCATGTGTTACTTTATGCAGTGTCTGTCTGTAGACTCTTCAAAACATGTAACAAGAGTGAAAAATGAAGAGGTACTCTGACTTTTTCTGTCTTTCAGATTCTTTCTCCCCAGGCAGTCGTGTCTGTGTTCTTGTCTTGCAGAATTAGAGCCCACTGGTTGGGAAAAATGCCACCACCATCAGACATTGTCAAAGTGGCCATTGAGTGTCCAGATGCTAATGCCCAGCTCCTTGAAATCAACCAGGTACACTCCTGAAGTGAGGAAAGGCACCTGGGGAGTGCATGGCAGAGGATATCTTGAGGGATGGGGACTACTGGCATCAAGAGTAAGAACCATCAACAGGAAGGCTAAGCTTTGGGCCTGGCCCACCCTAGGGAAGGTCTGTCACCATGGCTTGGGAGAGGCTTCCTCTTTAACAAAAGCTGTTAGGAAAGAAGTACATTCTCATGCCCCGGCTTGACCCTGCTTGGCAGGCTCTCTTGTCTGAACCTTGGCTTGGGTAGGATGTTGCTGCTATTGAAGGCTCTTTCTCTCTTTTTCAGAAATGGCCCCTGGCATCCATTATCAAGGAAGTTTGTGATGGGTAGGTTGAAATGGACCTCGTTTTTGACAGTGGCAGCTCTGACTGAAGGAGCACTGCCACACCTTGAGGGGAGTTCTGGGAAGGATCTCCAGTTAGGCAGGTCCCCAGAAAGGGGCTCTTGGGAATCATTGTCTTGGGAAGGAGGTACAGTTGACAACAATACCCCTAAGACGTTTATACTTCTTAATTTTTTCCTGTAAGTCTAGCATTGCCCTGCTTGAGGTCATGGTAGGATCTGAGACCCCTCCTCAGTTCCGCACACCTCCTTTTGTGGTGCTTGTCTTTACAAAAGGCTGAGGCTGTGATTTTTTCAACATGACAACCTAAAGCTTTGTTTTTTTCCACTGTATTCCAAATAGGCCACCTGATCCCTTGAGCAACTCTACTGAAAATGACTTATGAGAAGCTTCTGGACAAGAGAGTGGCCAAGTGGGATATACTGTTTTTCTCTTGCGTAGGTGGTCGTTGCCAAACCCAGAGTATTACACCCTCCGTCATGCAGATGATCCTCAGCTGTACATCACTGAACAGGTTAATATAGGGAAAGGCAAAATCAATGTGGGCCTTGCTTGGAAGTAAATGACCCAAGGAGACAGCACTATTTATCTTCACTCAGCATCCAGGTAGCTTCCATGTGTTGGGTAAAGAGTCGCTCCCTGGGCAGACTGGGAAGTACCAGCCCTTGTTCCTCCCTAGTGGCTGGAAAAAGGTGGCTTTTACTTCCTGAGGGCCCAGGGTGCTAGAAGAGGATCTTAGAAGCTCTTTGCCAAGGAATAAGCAGGAGAAGAGGGCCCGACTGAAGAGCCTGTTACATCTACTGTAAAAAAGACAAAACATTATGTTGATTCAACTTGCTTGTACCACTTTAACATTTTATCTTAGTTACCTTTGTTGTTTCTTTGCTTTTCACTACCCAGACTCGCAGTGACGTTAAGAATGGGACAATCGGGCCAGGCGTGGTGGCCCACGCCTGTAATCCTGCACTTTGGGAGGCCGAGGCAGGCGGATCATGAGGTCAGGAGATCAAGACCATCCTGGCTAACACAGTGAAACCCCGTCTCTACTAAAAATACAAAAAAAAAAAAAATTAGCTGGACGTGGTGGCGGGTGCCTGTAGTCCCAGCTACTCGGGAGGCTGAGGCAGGAGAATGGCGTGAACCCGGGAGGTGGAGCTTGCAGTGAGCCGAGATCATGCCACTGCACTCCAGCCTGGGCAACAAAGCGAGACTCCGTCTCAGAAAAAAAAAAAAAAATGAGACAATCTTACAACTGGCTATCTCCCCAGTAGGTATTCTTCCTTCCTTAGGAGTTTATTCATGTCACAAACAAATAAGAGCACCTACCATGGGCCAGGCTCTGTTCTAGAAACAAGGACTCTGGAGATTAAAAAGTCAGTCCTTTTGTATCAGGACATAATATAGGAAGATAAGAGTGTCTTGGTTCTCACCACCTAGTGGGGAGTAAACACATGCAATTGAAGGCCTGTCTCAAGGATCTTGAGAGAAAGTTGCTTAGAGAGCTGTGAGAACTCACAAAGGGGACCACCTAACTCAGCCTGGAGATTTCCAGAAAGCCTTGCCAGAGAAAGGGTCACTTAGCTCAGATGTTAAAGGATGAGCAAGAATTAGCTGGAGAAATAAGAAAAGGAAAAGTATTCTAGTCAGAGAAATCAGCATATGCCAAGGCACAGAGGTTTGCTGTGTTTGGGAAAAGCAGAAGTGCTGGGTGGCTGGAGGCTTGTAGCAATCATTGAAAAGCCAGGTATTCAATGTTCCTTGATGGCCTGCTCATAGGTTTGAACTCTGTCCAGAAGGAAACTAGGGATATTGAAGGATTTTAAGCAGGAAGATATGTTATGTTTAGATTTTAAGTTTTAGAAAGATGACTTTAGTGACCGTGTGGAAGATGGGCCTTAAGAAGTAGGTTGGTGGTAGTAGGAACCTTTTAAGAGGCAAATGAGGAATGTTAACAGCCCAGGGAAGGCAAATGGTAATGGAGATGAAAGGATATGAAGAGTATCTAGGAGGTAACCTTTATGAGTATGGTGATACGCTGGATGTGGAAGGAAAGGGGAGAATGGAGAATGACTCTGGTTTTTGCAAGAGCAGCCCTTAAAGGTCACCAAGGAAGCAACCAGAAGGGTAGAAAGAACACCAAGAATGTGAAGTGACAGGAGCTTTGGGCAGGGAGAGTGTCAGGATTGGGGAAAACATGGTCTGCAATTTTTAATGAGCAGAGAAATTTAGCAAACTGAGAACAGAGAAGCTGTCTCAAGACTTGGGAGGTGAAGAGGACCTTGGTGATCTTCACAAAAAAGTTATGGTGGGGAGGCCAGGTGGCCAGACTGAACTGAGTCAAGTAAAAGAAAGGTAAAAAAGTAAGGACTTTGAGTCTACTGCTGTATCAAGAAGCTTGGTTTTAAAAGAAAACACAGAGAAGGTGATAACGTGAAGAGGATGTAGAGTCAAAAAGATGCGCTTTTTAAAAGCCCGTAAAGCATTCATGTGTTTCACAAATCAAAAATTTTCACAGAGATGTAGCAAAAGGTCTCCCTGCAACTCCTGTCCCCATCTGCCCAGTTCCCCACATTTCTGACCCTTCCTGGTTGTTGTTTCTGTTGCAATTTTTTATGTGCCCTTAAGAATGTGTTAAGATGGAAGAGAGGAAGGTTGAAGGTGCAGGAAAGCAGGTAATCAATAGAACAGGATCTTAGTGGACCAGGAGAGGAAGGACTCAAAGCCCAGGTAGAGGGAATCACCTTGACTGCTAAGCCCATGAGGAAGACAGCCAATATGATTGCACCTTTGGTTACATTCGTAGAAGCGCAGCTAGCAAAATAAGGGCGTGATGGCACCTCTTTTCTTGGTGCAGAGAGAGAGACTGGTTCATCTGAGAGGAGGGGAGGTATGAAGTGATATCAGCCAACCTTTACTGAATGCCTGTATTTTGCTAAATACTTTGTGTAATTAAATCATCTAATCTTTACAAACGTCCCATGAGATAGGTACTCTTAATAGCCACATTCTGTAGACAAGGAAACCAAGGCTTAGAGAGGTTAAATTACTTGCCACTTGTCACACAGCTAATAAAGTAGCCAAGCCTGCTCTCAGACCCAGGTCTGCCTGACTCTAGGCCCATATTCCTCCCATCATGTTCTTCTGCCTCCCCCTCTTCTCCTGAACTCTTCTCATTTTAAGGACTTCATTCTTCCCTCCTAAGCTCTGGTAATTTAATATGACAGCCTGGGAGTTACACACTTTTATGGAAGTGCTGACACATTTCCGACCTCTTGCACAGTGCAGTTGCCTTTCCCAGAAGCACATCTCTCTGGAGCGGGAGGCAGCAGCCCAGAAATGCTGTATCAGGAGGAAAATTGACAGAGTTGGAAGTTTCTAAGTGGGATGCAGACCAGTGCTCTTCAGATTGTTCTGTGCTGTGACCTTTTCCTGTGGCGCACGTTTTGTCCACTGTAGACAGAGTGAGGGCTTCTCTATCACAGAGAGCATTGTGCTGTGAAGGGCCAGCTTTGTAATAGTAAAAGAGGAGAGGCAAAGGGGAGAGGGACAACAGGCCTGACTCCGTGGTGGCCGCAGGAATTGGGCTCCAGTCACTTGCTTAACACTGAGAAAAAGAAGACAGGAGTGTTTTTGCTCTTAAGGCTCTTCCTTTCTAGTGGAGAACATTAAATTAACACCCAAAAAACAGAGTATGATGAAACAGTAAATTGTGAGGTACTATGTACTAACAAGCTCAGCAGAAGGAAAGCCCAGTGAATGCTAGAGGAGGGATTTTAGCCACAGTTTGCAGAAAAGGAGGCAGGCATCCTGCTAGAAAAAGTTCATGTGCTAGGAGGAGGTTTTGTCTTCATCAGCCTTCATTTTCAAAAAATGATTGGGAAATTGTTTCTGGCTCCTTGATATTCTTAAAATTTCTCCAGAACTGTTACTTTGAGGAATAATCATATGGATTTTGAGAGAAAGTTTTTAAAAAATTATCAAGCTTTTCACATTTTAGGATTAAAAGGGAGCTTAGAGAACATTAGATTAAATTCTTCACCCAATGCAAGAATCCCTTCTACAGCATCTTTGACAGATAGTTGTCCACATTCTCCTTGATTGCTTCTGGTGACAGGGAGCTTAATACCCCAAGAGAAACCTCTTCTGCTGTCTAACAGTTTTATAAATTTTATTTTATTTTATTTATTTTTTTTGAGATGGAGTCTTGCTCTGTCGCCCAGGCTGGAGTGCAGTGGCATGATCTCGGCTCACTGCAACCTCCGCCTCCTGGGTTCAAGTGATTCTCCTGCCTTAGCCTCCTGAGTAGCTGGGATTACAGGTGCATGCCACCATGCCCGGCTAATTTTTGCATTTTTAGTAGAGACGGGATTTCACCATGTTGGTCAGGTTGGTCTCGAACTCCCGACCTTGTGATCTGCCTGCCTCGGCCTCCCAAAGTGCTGGGATTACGGGCGTGAGCCACTGCGCCCGGCCAGTTTTATTTAATTTATTTTTTTTATTTTTGAGAGACAGTCTTGCTCTATGACCCAGGCTGCAACGCAGTGGCACAGTCCTAGCTTACTGCAACCTTGAACTCCTGGGCTCAAGCAATCTTCCCACCTCAGCCTCCTGAGTAGCTAGGACTACAGGTGTGCACCACCACACCTGGCTCATTTTTAAAAATTTTTTGTGGAGACGGGGTGTCACTCTGTTGCCCAAGCTGGTGTCTAACTTCTGGTCTCAAGCAATCCTCCTGCCTTGGCCTTTCAAAGCCTTGGGATTATAGGCATGAGCCACTGCACCCAGCCAGACAGCTTTAATTAATAGACAACCTTCCTCTATTAAACCAATATCTGTTTCTCTGTGACTCATTAGTGGGCCTCCCAGATGTCTCTGGTATTCCCTTGGTAGGAATTTTTTTAATCCATAGACCAGAGTGGTACAGAAAAGATACAGATAAATACAGATTTGTTTTGGTATGCTAATAACTCCCTGATTGATCCCACAATTTAGCAACTCCTAAGCAGTGTTAAAAAAGCTAGTTCTGCCTCAGGTTTGGATGTCCACAAAAGAGCCTCTGTGAGCTATCCACAGAGTAGTAACCTGCTCCAAGGAGCAGATGGCACATGTCTTGTCCCTGGTTTCCTAGTCCCAGGCTGCACGCCCAGCTGATGGAGAGGACCCAGTCATCCAACATGGAGACCCGGCTGGATACCATGAAGGTGCTGGCCAAGCTCTGCTGACGTGACTTTTGCTACTGAGTTCATCAACATGGATGGCATCATTGTGCTGACGAGGCTTGTGGAAAATGGAACCAAACTCCTGTCCCAGTGAGTATGACTAAGGTCTCATTCCAGAGACTTCAGTGATTTACTACATCCCACAGGGCATCCTAGTCTCATTTCCATCAAGTCACATAAGGAGTTTATTGAATACCACCTATGTACAGAGCAGTGTGCAAAGCACTAGAGTCCATACCGAGACATATAATTCCGTGTTGTTCTTCTAAATCTTGTAGTATAGTTGGGCTCTCACAAATTAAATAATAGTACAAAACAATACTGTGCCAAGTGAGCAGTGAAAATAGGGGCTAGAGAAGTCAGTAGGAGAGCGGTCAGGTTGTGACAGACCTGTTAATTGCTGGAAATGCTTGGTCTGATGAGGGTTACTGAGCACATGGTCCAATATGTCCCAGGTGTGTGTCCATCTGTAACCACCCCCTGCTCCCTCTCTCTCAAGTCACCTTCCACCACACACACAACACACACACACACACACACACACAGCTTCGTTTGTGTTTACCACAGGTTACAACCTACCAAGTCACCATCTCCCTGCCACACTTTTGCACAGGGAGGAGGAGACCAGAACTTTATGATACCCACAAACATTTTCATCATACCCCAGAGTTGACATGCATGAGGTGGGCAGCTGTGCCTTGTGAAGAGCAGTCAGTAAACAGGTGCTTGGAGCCTACGCTGCCAAAGAGGGAATCAGAAATCTTCTCAGCCCGTAGATGAACTATGGAAATTTTCAGCCAAATCAAGTAACTAATCATAGATATTTGTTTTACATCTTGGATCTTCCAGCTGTACTCAAGTCCTGAAGCCTTCAGCTGCCATCAGCACTGACACAGTTCTACAGTCTCCCGAGAGTGCAGGGTTAGACTGGCCTTAGTTTCCCTCTCTTTAGCCTGAGGATAATAATAGCTACCTTGCAGTATTATTGTGAGAAGTATTGTTAATGAGACTGTGTCTGAACATGCTTTGTAAATGGGAATATCATCTGTTAATTCTAGAGCACTGTACAGATATATAAAGGAGAAGAGAGAAAAGAGAAAACATTTTAATCCTTATTCTCTATCAGCACTAGAATAAGTGCTTTGCATACATCATCATCTTGCCCTCTCCACAATCCTGTGAGGTTAACGCTGTGAGACTAACTTGATTTTACAGAGGAAGACATTGAGTTTTGAAAAGATAAAATTTGCTTGGTTAGTAAGGTGGACAAGAACTGAGCCCATCTCTTGCACTCTACTGCCTCTTGGCCCAAAGGTTAACATGGCACTTATGCCTCCTTAGGTTCCCCCAATAGGTGCTGGAGTTTGACAAGGGTCCGATGTCTTCTTTGGTCTTGAGAAATAGATAAGTGATTCTGTGTCCCTAGGATGAAGCACATAGAGAAGAAAGGTCTGATCAGCCAGCAGCATTTTTTTTGGCAGTGATAGATACCTGGGCTGAACCTGCTCTACTTGCTAGGTGTGCGCACAGGCACTTACAGTTACAGTTGCATCGACTGATTTCCCATGGGGTGTTCACATTAAAATTCATCATTTTTTTTTTTTTTTTTTTTTTTTTTTAGACGGAGTCTGGCTCTGTCACCCAGGCTGGAGTGCAGTGGCCCAATCTCGGCTCACTGCCAGCTCTGCCTCCCAGGTTCATGCCATTCTCCTGCCTCAGCCTCCGGAGTAGCTGGGACTACAGGTGCCCGCCACCACACTTGGCTAAGTTTTTTGTATTTTTTAGTACAGACGGGGTTTCACCATGTTAGCCAGGATAGTCTCGATCTCCTGATCTCATCCACCCGCCTCAGCCTCCCAAAGTGCTGAGATTACAGGCATGAGCCACCACACCCAGCCTAAAATTCATCTTTTTTGTGGCTGCCCTCACACCTGTGTTTCCCAGTCTGCATCTTTGTCCATTTTGTGTGTGTCTCAGCTACAGTGATATGCTGGCATTCACCCTGACTGCCTTCCTAGAGCTCATGGACCATGGCATTGTCTCCTGGGACATGGTTTCAATCACCTTTATTAAGCAGGTGAGGCATCCAACATTCTGTCTTTCTCTCCTCCCTCAGCTGCCAGTTCACAGGGTTTAAGGGGAGATACAAGCAATATCGCTATTTTGGTGATATCAGCTTTATATTCCCTGGGGCCAGATTTTTCATCCTCAAGTTCTGGTCTTTTGTGGCTTCTGAAAGATGTGGATTTTGTTATACTCTCAGGGCCTGCACTGAGATGGAACTGGACCGTCAGAACTAAATATGATCAAAGTAGAGTTAGGTTGTCAGTGAGACTGGGGATAAAGCCAGCCAGTCAACCAGGACTATCCCTGAGTCTTTTGACTGACTTCCTGAGCTCTCTCTTCTCTTTGGATTAAAAAAAAATGTGCATTTCATTTGCAAATCTGCCTTCTATTTACAAATCTGCAAGGTAGCCTGTTTGTATTGTCAGACTAAGCTCAGTGGGTAGGAGAGGGTACTTCTGGTTTTACCTTCCTTTCTTTTATACAAAGGAGCAGTGTCAATTCAGAAAACTGAATTAAAACCATTGAATAATACTCTCTCTGCTGCCCTAGAACTTCACTTATCATTGGCTTAGGACATTGGGACTCCCCGACCCTGGACACAAGTGAAATGACCATGTGTCAGGTATATTATAATGGGGATTGAGAAGAAGGATTAGAGTAAAAGGCTTCAAGGTCCTTTCTACCTCTCAAAGTCTTAAGTGTGTTTAGGGAGAATGTGTGTCAGGGGAGGAATACATGGAGATAAAATGAGATCCCAGTATGAGTAAAATCCTCTGCTGTTTTTTTTTCTTTTGATGGAGCCTCACTCTGTCACCCAGGCTGGAGTGCAGTGGCGCGATCTCAGCTCACTGCAAGCTCTGCCTCCTGGGTTCACACCATTCTCCTGCCTCAGCCTCCCGAGTAGCTGGGACTACAGGCACCCGCCACCACACCCGGCTAATTTTTTGTATTTTTAGTAGAGATGGGGTTTCATAGTGCTAGCCAGGATGGTCTCGATCTCCTGACCTCATGATCGTCCGCCTCGGCCTCCCAAAGTGCTGGGATTACAGGTGTGAGCCACCGTGCCTGGCAATCTTCTGCTTTTTTATACCCCACTTTCTCATGCTGGAACTCTTATTTTGATAAAAAGAATTAAGCTTTTAGATTTTGAGGAAACACAATTAAGTGGATACTATAATCTGAAATTAAGGTATCCATGCCAAGGGAATCCCTGGCACATTGGCCAGGGTAGCCGTAAACCAGGTACCACTGTCCACCTAGCAATAGCTGCCCAAATGTGAAGCAGAGAGAGCTCCAAGGGCTAGCATCAGATGCTAAGCTTCTATCTTTCTTAGGCCCTGAGCTTCTCAATTGATGTGCCATCTCTGGGCCTAGATTGCAGGGTATGTGAGCGAGCCCACGGTGGATGTTTCAGTCCTTCAGAGGTCCCTGGCCATCCTGGAGAGCATAGTCCACACCAGAAGATACCAGAGTCTGTACCAGAAGATAGCTGAGGAAATCACCATGGGACAGCTCATCTCACACTTCCAGGTGTGAGTAAAAGACCCTACACCCCTACACCTCCCTCCCTTCACTTGTCTGTCCTCGTCTCTCCTCTTATTTGAAGTCTTCCAATCCTACTCTGCTTTGCTTATATTCCAAGCTGCTGGTTGGCTTCTTCATTCATCGCCTCTTCCACACTCCTGCCAGAATTTCTACCATCATTCAGACCTCATCATGTCATGCTCCTGCCTAAAATCCTCTGTAACTCTCTCTGCCCCTTAGGTTAAAATGAAGATTTTCCCAGTCTTCCCATACTGCCCTAGTACCAGGCAAAATTAGATGCTTCCTCCCCACATGAGCCCAGTAGTCTGTTTGTACCTATGATAATTATATAAAATACTGGATTTTTATTATCTGTTGCCCATTTTGAACATAGAGCCCCCTAGAAACAGAGATCAATCATTGTCATATCCCCTGTTTTATTAGTACTTGTTGAATGAATGCTTACTGAACTGATGATGCGCTGTGGGTGATTGTAAGAAGTATCACACAGGGCGTGAGTTTGGAATATCAATTCAAATCCAGGCTCTTCTGCATACTGGGTCTCTGCTATCAGCAAGTAACCTAGTCTCTTCTGGCCTCAGTTTCTTCATCTCTAGACTAGGTTAATCATCTTCACTTCTCACGTGAGGATCAAAGGAGATTTTAAAAAAGTCTAGCATAGTGGCCAGCACAGGTTAAGTATTCAGTAAATTCAGGGGCTTTTTGCTTTTGTTTGTTAAGACTCTCATCACATCCTAAAACATTTTACCAGTAATGAAACCATATGACAAATGAACCCATTGGAGTTATGTTTCTCCTGTCTTCATTGTTTTTACTTCCTGTCCAACCAACCTACACCAGGTAAGGAAGCTGGACTTTGCAGAACAGCGGTGGCACTACTGATGATTCTGTTCTGACTGTTGTTCACTTCTGTCTTTTTGGATATTGTCAGAATGTTGCCAGAATCCCCCCACCAGTTTGAGGGGAAGTCATAGCTCCCAGATTTGGGAGGTTATAGTGACCCTGTTTTCACTCAGCTATGTTCCCAACTTGTTTCTCCCCACTAATCCAAGTAAAAAGGAAGCACAATTATTTCTTTGCAACTCTGATTTCTCCTTGTCACTTTTAAGAAATTTTCAGCCTCAGCTTTCTTTGCCTTTCTTTTTTGAAACAATCTGTCACCCAGGCTGGAGTGCAGTGGCATGATCATAACTCACTGCAGGTTCAAGCAGTCCTCCTCATCTCAGCCTCCTGAGTAGCTGGAATCATAGGCACACTCCACCACACCTGGCTAGTTTTTTTTTTTGTTTTTTAATTATTTATTTATTTATTTTTTTGAGACAGAGTCTCGCTCTGTTGCCCAGGCTGGAGTGCAGTGGTGCCATCTCGGCTCACTGCAAGCTCCGCCTCCCAGGTTCATGCCATTTTCCTGCCTCAGCCTCCCAAGTAGCTGGGACTACAGGTGCCTGCCACCATGCCTGGCTAATTTTTTGTATTTTTAGTAGAGATGGGGTTTCACTGTGTTAGTCAGGATGGTCTCGATCTGACCTCGTGATCTGCCCGCCTCGGCCTCCCAAAGTGCTGGGATTACAGGCCTGAGCCACCACACCTGGCCAATTTTTTTTTTTATTTTTGTAGAGATAGGGTCTCGCTGTGTTGTCCAGGCTGGTCTCAAACTGTTGGGCTCAAGCAGTCCTCCCACTCCAGCCTCCTTAGTAGCTGAGACTACAGGTGTGAGCCACCATGCCTGGTCTAGCCTCAGCTTTCATACCCAGTGAGCCACCAAGGTTGATGAAGATGAGAGGGATATTATAAACTCCAGATAGAGAATTCTGATTTTCCTGTAACCTCACGTCTACCTCTGTTTTTTTGTCTCTGAATTCGGAGTGGCCCTAGTTGCCTCCCTAGGGTCGATACGGGAACATGGCATTTCACAGGGGCCAATCGTGAATACTTTCAGCCCACAGCTGTCGCCAGAACCTATATGCTTTCCTATTTGGGCTGAGGGACACTTCGTGCCCTCTGGTAGACTCTCTGGGTACCCTGTGACTAACCAGGAAGCCCATCAGCCCCTCTGGAAAGACAGCCACAGAATGCTCCCAAGACATGGCAGGTGGAGATGTCAAGTACTGAGATTGTAAGATTCCAGGGAATGATTGTAGTTATTTTGTTTGTTCATAATAAAATAAGTTTATAGTCAAGACTTTAAAAATACAGAAAAACCCAAAAATAAATTATTTGCCCATTATCTCACCTCCAGACATACCCACTGTTAAACATTAAATATCCCTTCAGTATTTTTTATGCATATTTTTAACAAAATTGGGATCTTATTATATATACTATGTGTACCTTGATTTTTTTTAACTGAATAATATATCTTGAACATTTCTCCATGTCAAAGATTTTTCTAAAAGGTAGTTCTAAGTCTTTTTTGCAACCTAGACACCTTTGAAAATCTGGTTAACAAGTATGTACTCTCACCAGTTTGGAGAAAATACCACTTCGTCAGCAAACTACATAGAATAATTTCTGTATCATTCCTGGGGTTCACAGATACTCTAAGCCCATCCCTGAATCCCAGGTTAAGAATGTTTATTTACCCTAAAACATGACTTTTAATAACTACTTAAGATTCTCATATATATAAACAGTTGGCTACTGTGATCATTTGGATTACTTTCCATTCTTTTTTAAGTTGTACTTTAGTGAAATGCCTTGTCAGTAAATCTTGCATAGCTCTCTGATTACTGTCTTAGGATAAGTTTCTATTAGTGAAATTGCTGGGTCAAGAGCATGTCCACTTTGGATGCTTTTGAGACTTAGCTCCAGGTCATTATTTGCTTATAATCTGTAAATGAT
Source organism: Homo sapiens (assembly GCF_000001405.40). Lineage (NCBI taxonomy): Eukaryota > Metazoa > Chordata > Mammalia > Primates > Hominidae > Homo > Homo sapiens. The sequence continues at coordinate 3,989,611 of NW_021160017.1, forward strand.
TGTTTTAAACTATCTCTAAGCATCATCTTGCTGTTCAGTCTTCTAATCTCCCTGTGCCGTCTTTCTCCATTGACATAGCTCCAGACAGGAGATTCAGACCTACGCCATTGCACTGATTAATGCACTTTTTCTGAAGCCTCCCGAGGACTAGAGACAGATCTGTGGCTGCCTTTTCACATTTTTCATCTGGGCTCTTCTGAGAGAAGAATTCTCACCCCACGTACTCTTTGCTGTTCAGAGAGCACAAATCCAGGCATTTTCCCAAGAGTCCTTCCTCCTAGCCCTCTGGTCTAGAGCCCAGCAGGGTGGCTTTGCTAAGGAAGACCCAGGGAAGAACTATGAGGAGAAACCAGCTGGATCTTAGATGAGATTAGGGCCCTTCAAACTTTTTCCTCTAAAGGGCCAGAGAATAAACATGTTTGACTTTATGGGCCATATGGCCTATGTGATAGCTACTCAACCTTGCCATTGTAGCCAGAAGCAGCCTCAGACAGTAGGTAAATGAATGGGTATGGCTGTCTTCCAATAAAATCTTATTTACAAAAACAGGCAACAAGCCTAATATGGCCATAGTTTGCCAACTCCTGGGTTAGAGGATCAAGAATAAGGAAGAAGAGACCCTGTGGGTACCCTGAGTCCAAGGGCTCCAATATAAATGGGACTTCACACTAAGTTTTATGTTTAAAGGTTCTCTGATGCAGATTCTAAACATCTTCTTTCGCCTGTTCATTAACTGTGACATTATGCAAATAGCTCTGCCTCTGTGAACCTTAGTTTCCTCACCTGTCACATGGCAGCAACAACATCTGCCTTGTTTAGCTCACAAGGGTGTCTGAGGAAAAACAAGCTCCCTGTTTCACAGATGAGGAAACTAAGAATCAGCTGGGTGGTGGAACAAGCCCTGACCTAAGAGCCAAGGGGCCTGGAACTAAGTACTCTCCCTGCTGCTGGCTGGGCAAGTGCTTGTAACCTCTTTGGGTCTCAGTTTCTCTTTTTGTAAAATGAAAGGGCCAGTTTAAATGATCTTTGACAGCCCTTCCAACACTAACATTCTAGATTTCTCTGAGAAAAGCCCAAGTGGTGTTAAAAGTAAGACGTTTTAGTTCTCTGACAATCTTATGGGCTCAGTAAGATGAAATCTAAGTGGGATCATGTATGTACCCAGCTCTTGGTAGATTCTAGAGGGAAGACCAAAAGCATCTGTGGTTCTTTCTGTCCTTGTCTTTGGTGGATGGCTTGGCTCTGTTAATCTTCCTTCCTGGTCCTTGTTTGAATGTAAGCTGAAAGCTCATTCCGTCTGCTTCTCTCTATGCTTTTGCTTTCTGCCGGCAGGACAAGCACCTTAATCCTCTAGACCTGCCTGTCACTGTAAGTAACACCATTATGTGGAAAGGGCCCTGGCTCTTCCAGGTGGGGAAGTCAAACCTGGGCAAAAATCTCATGGTCTGATCTAGATGTTCAGGGCATGCCAAGACCCAGGGAAAGTTTGTGTGCTGTGAATCTCCTTTGTCAGGACACTTAGGGAAGTACTGCAGATGAGAGTCACAGAAAGGATTAAGGGGGTACATGCCCCAGGGAGTATGGCCCCAGCCTTCCTTTGAAACTTGCCTTTGCATGGGTCTGTGGTTCAACTAGGGAAGACCAGACTCAGAAACAGCTGTGACTCAGCACATCAAGAAGCTTATCCACCATGATCAAGTGGGCTTCATCCCTGGGATGCAAGGCTGGTTCAACATATGCAAATCAATAAAAGTAATCCAGCATATAAACAGAACCAAAGACAAAAACCACATGATTATCTCAATAGATGCAGAAAAGGCCTTTGACAAAATTCAACAACCTTCATGCTAAAAACTCTCAATAAATTAGGTATTGATGGGACGTATCTCAAAATAATAAGAGCTATCTATGACAAACCCACAGCCAATATCATACTGAATGGACAAAAACTGGAAGTATTCCCTTTGAAAACTGGCACAAGACAGGGATGCCCTCTCTCACCACTCCTGTTCAACATAGTGTTGGAAGTTCTCGCCAGGGCAATCAGGCAGGAGAAATAAATAAAGGGCATTCAATTAGGAAAAGAGGAAGTCAAATTGTCCCTGTTTGCAGATGACATGATTGGATATTTAGAAAACCCCATCATCTCAGCCCCAAATCTCCTTAAGCTGATAAGCAACTTCAGCAAAGTCTCAGGATACAAAATCAGTGTGCAAAAATCACAAGCATTCTTATACACAAATAACAGACAAACAGAGAGCCAAATCATGAGTGAACTCCCATTCACAATTGCTTCAAAGAGAATACAATACCTAGGAATCCAACTTACAAGGGATGTGAAGGACCTCTTCAAGGAGAACTACAAACCACTGTTCAATGAAATAAAAGAGGATACAAACAAATGGAAGAACATTCCATGCTCATGGATAGGAAGAATCAATATCATGAAAATGGACATACTGCCCAACGTAATTTATAGATTAAATGGCATCCCCATCAAGCTACCAATGACTTTCTTCACAGAATTGGAAAAAACTACTTTAAAGTTCATATGGAACCAAAAAAGAGCCTGCATTTCCAAGACAATCCTAAGCCAAAAGAACAAAGCTGGAGGCATCATGCCACCTGACTTCAAACTATACTACAAGGCTACAGTAACCAAAACAGCATGGTACTGGTACCAAAACAGAGAAATAGACCAATGGAACAGAACAGAGCCCTCAGAAATAATGCCACACATCTACAACCATCTGATCTTTGACAAACCTGACAAAAACAAGAAATGGGGAAAGGATTCCGTATTTAGTAAATGGTGCTGGGAAAACTGGCTAGCCATATGTAGAAAGCTGAAACTGGATCCCTTCCTTACACCTTATACAAAAATTAATTCAAGATGGATTAAAGACTTACATGTTAGACCTAAAACCATAAAAACCCTAGAAGAAAACCTAGGCAATACCATTCAGGATGTAGGCATGGGCAAGGACTTCATTTCTAAAACACCAAAAGCGATGGCAACAAAAGCCAAAATTGACAAATGGGATCTAATGAAACTAAAGAGCTTCTGCACAGCAAAAGAAACTACCATCAGAGTGAACAGGCAACCTACAGAATGGGAGAAAATTTTCACAACCTACTCATCTGACAAAGGGCTAATATCCAGAATCTACAATGAACTCAAACAAATTTACAAGAAAAAAACAAACAACCCCATCAACAAGTGGGCGAAGGATATGAACAGACACTTCTCAAAAGAAGACATTTATGCAGCCAAAAAACACATGAAAAAATGCTCATCGTCACTGGCCATCAGAGAAATGCAAATCAAAACCACAATGAGATACCATCTCACACCAGTTAGAATGGTGATCATTAAAAAGTCAGGAAACAACAGGTGCTGGAGAGGATGTGGAGAAATAGGAACACTTTTACACTGTTGGTGGGACTGTAAACTAGTTCAACCATTGTGGAAGACAGTGTGGCGATTCCTCAGGGATCTAGAACTAGAAATACCATTTGACCCAGCCATCCCATTACTGGGTATATACCCAAAGGATTATAAATCATGCTGCTATAAAGACACATGCACACGTATGTTTATTGCAGCACTATTCACAATAGCAAAGACTTGGAACCAACCCAAATGTCCACCAATTATAGATTGGATTAAGAAAATATGGCACGTATACACCATGGAATACTATGCAGCCATAAAAAATGATGAGTTCATGTCGTTTGTAGGGACATGGATGAAGCTGGAAACCATCATTCTCAGCAAACTATTGCAAGAACAAAAAACCAAACACCGCATGTTCTCACTCATAGATGGGAATTGAACAATTAGAACACTTGGACACAGGAAGGGGAACATCACACACTGGGGCCTGTTGTGGGGTGGGGGAAGGGAGGAGGGATAGCATTAGGAGATATACCTAATGTAAATGATGAGTTAATGGGTGCAGCACACCAACATGGCACATGTATACGTATGTAACCTGTATGTAACATTGTGTATATGTACCCTAGAACTTAAAGTATAATTAAAAAAAAAAAAACAGCTGTGACTTTGATCTAGACAATACCATGGATGCGTCACCTTCTTACTTGCTTTAGCGGAGTAAAGCAAGCTTTTGCTTTACAAAAGCTTTACAGAGAAGCTTTTGGTCTTAAGACCTTTGTATTCTGGCTGCAGACCACTGTCAATTACACATTTTGTGAGTTGTCCATAGCAAGATTTAATCTCAGTTGACCTCCTAGGGTTAACCAAAGAAGTTTCTAGGCCACTATCCTCCTCTGCCAGCCAGTATGTATTCATTGAATGCGAAGTAAAATTTAATGTTCCTGGCAGCATCAGCCATTTGGAAAGTGGCTAGAAATCCAGAAGTGAGAGAGAGGGGCCTTTCAGCTCTGAGAAGAATGACACAGAGCTCACAGATACTACTCCGTAGGAGAGGTGTGACAGCTCCCTCAGGCCCATTGATTTAGGATTCTCTATAAAATTAAATGAAGGCAGCAGTTTAGGAAATGAAGTCATAGTAATTAACATTAGTAAGAAGTGATGGGCAACATTGGAAGGAGGAGACAGAAGAATTATGAAAAGCTGTCAGAAGAATTAAAGGCATTGTAATCTGGGACCATTTTGTTTATGGGAAAAGAGCTTCACATCTCAATAGCTCCTCAGGGTATCACAGTGTCACAACACAGAATAATCACTGATGTTCTTTTTGATGAAGCCGACTCCTTAGCACTGACTAAATTATAATCACTGTAGTCACTTCAGAAATAAAGAAATGTATATATCTTTAAAAGATTTGCATAAGAATGGTCAAAATAATGGTTCTGAGAGAACCCTTAAAGCTTTGCTCCCTGGAAGATTGATTTATGTAGGATACTTGATTTCCTGGGTGGGCTAAATAAATAAAGCATAACTGTCAAAATCTGGATCAAATATTATAAAAAAGGTGAGCCTGTTATAAAAAATTACCCAAAGCGCCTGACCCATTGTTCTCTAAGCCAGTTAGAACTGAATCCTAGACTACTTACTGTTGTAGAGCGTCCAGGCCCCAGCCCGTCTGCTGTAGGGTGGGACGGGGTTGCTGGACCAAAGTCCCTCTTTGGAGTCAGTGCTTCACCAGAGTTCCTTCTAGCCTTAGCGGTGGGGTCTGCCTGGCATGATGCGTGTGGCTTGGAAACCATCATGCTGCTCTGTGTCCATGTGCAATGTCCTTGTGACACAAGCGTCTCATTTTCAAGCAGTCCACATCTCTTTTTGAAGACAGTGCAGTTGATTGTGCCGTTAGGAAGGGAAATCCTATTTGAATTAATTTGCACTCACAAAAATGGGGAATGTTTCAGAGTGTAAAATACATTTGATGGTCAGTGGATTTTCATTCATTCACCCACTTTTCATTTGGGAGGAAAAAAATTTAAGAAAGTGAAAAAGGACCGGAGTTACGACATCAGCTTCCTCTCGATAGTACCGACGCACAGAGGAACCTAATCAATAGGTAAATACCTCTCGAACTGAAGAGCTTTTTCCTGTGATCCTCTGTGAGCAAAGTTGCCTTGAGGCAGCCATCTCGCCAGCAATTGCAGCGCCTCCAGGGAGGGACCAAAGCCAGCTCTACTGTTTGTAGCCCTGCAAATCTAGAATTTTTATCCAGAGGGAATATGTTAAAATAGGCATGAAAAGGGAAAGTAACTCATCCAGCTGACACTGATTAAAAACCTGAATTGTTTAGGGCACTGACAGAACTAAGTAATCAAATGTATTTGCTCTCAAAGACCTTCTGGGCCGGTAGGAAAGACTAGTGATCATAGTGCGGTGTGATCCAGGTTTGTGGTCTGGGAAAGGATGGAGGAGGAACAGTAAGTTCTGTCTTGAAGTGTTTCTGGAAACATTTAGAGGAATGTCTTCAGACGAGCCTTGGAGGATGAGTAGGCAGACTAGGAATAACAGGAATTTCAGCCAGAGGGTGGCTAGAACCCAGAAGGAGTGTGTCGATTAGGCACAGGGCAAGGAGCAAGTGGGTGAGGAGCTGGAGAGGTAGCGAGGACCAGATCAGGAAAGGCCTTAGTCTCATTCCTAAGGACAGCTGAGGGCATTTAATTAAGTTGGTGAAATATCTAGATTTGCATTTTAGAAAGAGCACAGGAAAGACCTGTGTAGCTAATGGGTCCCTGAGGGAGGAGAGCAGAGCAGGAGTTGGCAGGTGGATCTGGAAAGAGGTGTAAATCCCTGTTACCGCCTGTGGGGTGGAGTAGGGCCAATGTTGGGAGGTGGGGCCAGTGGGAGTGGAGGAGGAGAGCCAAGGATCTGAATTAAAAGGAGGCAACTTTGGCCAGGCGCAGTGGCTCACGCCTGTAATCCCAGCACTTTGGGAGGCCGAGGCAGGAGGATTGCCTGAGGTCAGGAGTTTGAGACCAGCCCGACTGACATGGTGAAACCTCGTCTCTAATAAAAATGCAAAAATTAGCTAGGTGTGGTGGCAGACACCTGTAATCTCAGCTACTCAGGAGGCTGAGGTGGGAGAATTGCTTGAACCCTGGAGGCGGAGGTTGCAGTGAGCCGAGACTGGGCCATTGCACTCTAGCCTAGACAACAAGAGTGAAACTCCATTTCAAAGAAAAAAGAGGCAAGTTTATCAATTGTCAGAAACAAGGGAAACCTGTGAGACCACAGTGAAGGGAATAAAATGAAAAATTAGAAGATTAGAAGTCAAGTGTAAGATTTAAGCTAAAGATGGACTTAGGAGTCAGCAAGCCCCTCCTCTGCCATTTTCCAATCTTTGATCTTGAGCAATTCACGTAACTTCTCTAGACTTCAATTTGCTCATCTGGATATGAGGACTAAGTGAGCCAATGTATATACCACGCTTAGCAGGGTGCCTGGCACTCAGTAAGCCACTTTTTCCATTTTTTTCCCCTAAACACTTAATAGGAAACTTTTTTTTTTTTTTGAGACGGAGTTTCGCTCGTTGCCCAGGCTGGAGTGCAATGGTGTGATCTTGGCTTACTGCAACCTCCACCTCACAGGTTCAAGCCGTTCTTCTGCCTCAGCCTCCCGAGTAGCTGGGGGTTATAGGCATGCGCCACCACTCCGGGCTAATTTTGTATTTTTAGTAGAGACGGGGTTTCACTGTGTTAGTCAGAAGATCTCTATCTCCTGACCTCGTGATCCACCTGCCTCTGCCTCCCAAAGTGCTGGGATTACAGGCATGAGCCACTGCGCCCGGCCCAAATATTTCATTTTCAAGGCTGGAGGAGTTTGAGGGCTCATGGATATTTCCTGCTGTTTACTGGGGAGAAATATATTGGATGAGCTCATTACAAATTTCTATAATTATAATCTCTAAAAACTTAAAGTAGTTAATGCTAATTTACTTTAATCGTTATCAGACTGTATTTATAGCGACAGATTTTAGGATTCACAGATTTTAGTATAGACAATTCAAGCTGGGCACAATTGTATGCGCCTGTAGCCCCAGTTACTTGGGAGGCTGTGGCTGGAGGATTGCATGAATCTAGGAGTTCAAGGCCAGCCTGGGCAACATGGTGGGACCCCATATCTCTCTCTCTCTCTTTTTTTTTTTTGAGATGGAGTCTGTCTGTTGCCCAGGCTGGAGTGCAGTGGTGCGATCTTGACTCACTGCAACCTCTGCCTCCTGGTTCAAGCAATTCTCATGCCTCAGCCTCCCGAGTAACTGGGGTTACAGGCATGAGCCACTGCAGCTGGCTAATTTTTGTAGAAAGATACAGAACAATTCCAGTTTCCCAAAAAATGACCTTGTGCTGCTTTTTTCTTAGGCAAACCACCCTCCATCCCAGTCCCTGGCAATCACTGATGTCTTCTCTGCCCCTATAGCTTTAGCTTTTCCAGAATGTCATATAAATGTGATCATACTGCATATAATCTTTGCAGCTGGTTTCTTTCACTTAATACAGTGCAGTTGAGGTTCATCCATGTCACTGCATGTATCAGTAGTTCATTACTGCAGAGTACTGTTTCATTATGTAGATGTACCACAGTTTCTTTATTCATGTACACATTGAAGGACATGTGAACTGTTTTCGGTTTTTGACTATAGGTTAAATATCCCTTATCCAAGATGCTTGAGACCAGAAGTGTTTCAGATTTCAGTGTTTTAGGATCTTGCAATATTTGTATATACATAATGAGATAGCTTGGGGATGGGACCCAAGTCTAAGCACAAAATTTATTTATGTTTCATATACACCTTGTATAAAATAAGGCGAAGGTAATTTCATACAATATTTTAAATATTTTCAGTGCATGAAACAAAGTTTGTGTTAAGTACTTATGTGTGGAATTTTCCACTTGCATCATGTCAGTGCTCAAAAAGTTTTGGATTTGGGAGCATTACAGATTTCAGATTTTTGGATTTGGGATACTCAATCTGTATTATAACTAAATATTGCTATCAATTTTTGTGTACAAGATTCTCTGTGAACTTAAGTTTTTATTTCATTAGGATACTTAGAAGTAGGATGGTTGAGGCATATATGATAGGTATGTATTGAACATTTTAATGAAACTGCCAAACTGTTTTCCAGGATTCCTGTGCCATTTCTGCATTTCCACTAGCAATGTATGAAAAACTTCAATTGCTTCACATACTCACCATTTTTCATGCTAGTCATTCTAATAAGTTCATAGTTATAGTCAGTATGATTTTAATTTGCACTACTGTAATGATTATGATATTGAGCATCCTTGCATTTATTTATTTGACAGATACTTTTTTTGGTGAAATGTCTGTTTAAATATTTTTTTTTTTTTTTTTTTTTTTTGAGACGGAGTCTCGCTCTGTCGCCCAGGTGGGACTGCGGACTGCAGTGGCGCAATCTCGGCTCACTGCAAGCTCCGCTTCCCGGGTTCACGCCATTCTCCTGCCTCAGCCTCCCGAGTAGCTGGGACTACAGGCGCCCGCCACCGCGCCCGGCTAATTTTTTTTGTATTTTTAGTAGAGACGGGGTTTCACCTTGTTAGCCAGGATGGTCTCGATCTCCTGACCTCATGATCCACCCGCCTCGGCCTCCCAAAGTGCTGGGATTACAGGCGTGAGCCACCGCGCCCGGCCTAAATATTTTGTTCATTAAAATTTTTTTTCTTAATTTTGAGTTTTGAGAGTTCTTTATATATTCTGGGTACAAATATTTTCTCTGAGTATGTGGCTTGTCTTTTCTTACAGTGTCCTTCACAGAGGAGAAATTTTAATTTTGATGAAGTTTACTGATATTCAGTTGTATAATACATTTTGGGTTAATTTTTGCATATGGAGTGAGGAATGAGTGTAAGTTAACATTTTTGCATGCGGATATTCAGTTGTTCCAGCATCATTTGGTGATATGATTATCCTTTTTCCAATGTTGCCTTTGCACCTTTATCGTAAACTAATTGACTATATTTCTGAACTCTAGTTTGTTTCCTCATTCTGTGTGTCTCATTTTGTCGATACTACATTGTTTTGATCACTGTAGTTTTTGTATGTCTTAAAATTATTGTGTGATTCTTGCATATCCCCCCAAAATTGTTTTGCATTTTCTAGTTTTTTTTTTTTTACCTTTCCATAGAAATTTTAAACTTAGTTTATATCTACAAAATATCCTGTTGGGATTTTGATTGAAGTTGCATTGAGTCTATAGATCAATTTGGGGAGAATTGATGACTAACTTGAGTCTTACTACATGAACATGGAATGTCTCTTCATTATATGTTTAAAAAGTTTTATTTTATCACTATTTTAGAGTGTTAATGTACAGATTCTGTAGATGTTTTGTTAGGGTGAAAGCAATACTTCTTTGTTGTTGTTATGGTTGGAGCTATTGAAAAGTAGTACTTTAAAAAGGATTTATTTTCCATTTGTTCATTATTGGTATATTGAAATATACTAGATCTTGCTAAACTCACTTATAAGTTATAGAAACTTTTTTTTTGTAAATTCCTTGGGATTTTCTACATAGATCATCATGCCATCTGCAAATATTTCTCTCATTCAAATCTAAATGTCATTTATTTATTTTTCTTATACTGGCTACAGCTTTCAGTAAAATATTGAATCATGGGTGATAAGAGTGGACATCCTTGCTTTCTTCCCAGTTTCTGGGGAAACACCTAGTCTTTCATCATTAAGTATGATGCTAGCTGTAGGTTTTTTTCTGCTTGCCTTTTTTCAGATTGAGGACGTCTCTTTTATTCCTAGGTTGCTGAGAGTTTTTATTATGAATGTATGTTGAATTTTGTAAAATGCTTTTTTATTAGTAATTGATATGGTTATGTGATTTTTCTTGTTTCATCCGTTAATTATGATGAATTACACTGATTGCTTTTCAAATGTTGAATCAGCCTTGAATTCCTGGGGTAAACCTCACTTGGTCATAATGTTTTATTCCTTTAATATATTCTGGATCAATGTGCTTATATTTTGTTGAGGAGTCTTTGCATCTGTATTCCTAAGGTATATTGTCTATACCTCCTTGTCTTGTATAACTAAGTGACTTGGACCTTTTTGATGTCTATAAATGCTTACTTAATGATAGTTCCTTCAAATTGAGCGGTTACAGTACAGCTTACCTCTCCCTTAATTTTGGCTTGTTTTGTTTTTTGTTTTGGTTGAGTGGTATCTTAGTATGTTTGGGCTGCTATAACAAGGTACCTTAGACTGGGTAATGTATAAATAATGGAAATTTATTGCTCACCATTCTGGAGGCTGGGAAGTCCAAGATCAAGGCACTAGAAGATTTGGTGTCTAGTGTGGGCCCATTTGTCACAGATAGTGTCTTCTTTGTGTCCTTACATGTTGGAAAGGGTAAATAAACTCACTCAGGCCTCTTTTATAAGGGTACTAACCTCATTCATGAGGGTGTAGTCCTTATGACCTACTTACCTCCCAAAGGCTCCACCTCTTAACATTATTACATTGGAGATTAAATTTAACATATGATTGGGGGCAAGCAAAAACATTCAGACCATAGCAGGTAAAATCAGAGCATTTCAACCCGGCATGGTGGCTCACACCTGTAATCCCAGCACTTTGGGAGGCCAAGGCGGGCAGATCACGAGGTCAGGAGATCGAGACCATCCTGGCTAACACGGTAAAAATCCATCTCTACTAAAAATACAAAAAACTAGCCGGGCATGGTGGCACGAGCCTGTAGTCCCAGTTACTTGAGAGGCTGAAGCAGGATAATTGCTTGAACCCAGGAAGCGGAGGTTGCAGTAAGGCGAGATTGCACCACTGTACTCTAGCCTGGGCACAGAGTGAGACTCGGTCTCCAAAAAAAGTTTTTATCAGCTGAAATGTTTTTGATTTTCCTTTTTTGTTGTCTTTATATGTGAAATAGGTTTGTATGGATAGCTTTATATGAAACTTGCCTCCTATTTTCTGTATTTTTTGAAATACTTTAAATTATCCTTGGTTAATGTGATATTCCATATGGAAGAGATCAGAGGTTTCAGTTGTTTCTAGAACTCTTACTTTCTTAGTTCTTTAGTTCTTTTCTTAGTTATTGATATTTATATATCAAGAGAATCACCACTTTATTCAAAAAATGTGCTGCAAATACATTCTCTAGTTTATGTGTTTTTCTATATAGTGTTTTATTTCTATGTGGCATTTAATGTTTTTTGTATTTACATTTCTCACGCTTATTTTGTTCTTTCTGATAAATTATTTATGAACATTTTCCCCAGTCTGAGATTGAAATATGTATATATGTACGTATATATGTTTGTATTCCTACCTGCCATGGCCTATTCTAGATCTTAAATCTTAGATTTGTTTGGTGTTTATTTTGAAGTAGGACATGAGATAGGCTCCAACATGCATATGTACTCGGTCTGTTAATTTTGTGTGGATCAATATCTAGTGGACCTTTCTTTGTTTACATCACTTTGTGTTTCAAATTACACTCAGGTGCTTCAGATAGTCTGTCAGTTTTTTCTCCTGAGTTCTCTCTGGGGGTCTCTGACCAGCTTCCACACAGATGGGCTGCCCTCTGTCTGGTGAAGGCTGTCACCTTGGAATCATCCTGGGATTCCCTTTGCCACTTTCCTTTTTTCAATATTCTCAATTTCCTTTTTTTATTTCCTCATGGTGAGTGTTGAGGGTATTCAGTGGAGTTGATGGTATGATACATGATTTTGGAAAGATAATGAAAAGCCAGACCATGAAGAACCTCATATGCCACGAGTTTTAGCTTCTTTTTAATGGTAGTGTAACTATTGAGAATATTTTATAGGTGAGTTATATTTGCTCTTATAGAGGATCCACTGTGGCTAAAATTTGTAGAATAGATGGAATAAAGGAAAATTAGGTAAAGCCTGTTGTAGTAATTCAGGAAAGATATAATAGTACATAGAAATAAGACAGCCATAGTGGGGGTGTCATTTTCACAGAGCTTGGGGTTAATTGGGCATGGGACAAAGGAAAGAAGGGTCAAGGATGGTACCCAGGCTTCTGAGTTTGGCTAGTAGACTGATCCTCAGAGTAGGAGTATCATGTTTAGAGTAGGCACTGAGTGTAATTTTGGACATACAGTGTAAATGATTGCAATAGATCCTTTGCCCACATTCACCAAATGTTAACATTCTACTATGTTTACTTTATGATTTATCTGTCTCTCTGTCTTTATCTCTTTCACTTTGTGTGCACATGTGTGTGAGTGTGTGTATGTTTTCTGACCCATTTGAGAAGTTTGTGGACATGATGCTTTTCTAAATCTAATTACTTCACTGAATGTTTCCTTGAAACAAGCCGTGATTGTCAAAATCAAGAAATTAACATTCAGTGTTGTTAGCTAATCTACAGACCTTATTCAGATTTTGCCAGTTGTCCCAATAGTGTTCTTTATGGGGAACAGAACTTCCAGATCTTGAATTGAAGTCAGTTATCATGTCTTTTTAATCTCATATAATCTGGAAGAGTTTTTCAGTCTATGATTGCTGGAAATTTGAATGGCTTTGGAATTATGTGTGTATATGTTGGGGGTGGTGTTGATATGGGAAACAGACTTGTGATTGTGGTCCTTAGACCACAGAGTATAAATTAGAATCAGGAATGCATCTGGGGAGATGGATTTTCTACTGTCTGTTGCTGGAAAGGTAGAAAACAGATCTTCTACTCAAGGATGACTGCATTGATTTGTTTTTTACCCGAGATGAATAATTTGGCTTTGATAATTTGGTTCAGGAACTAGGTGAGACTGATGCTTAGATATGTTTGTATCCTTAAGTAGTATAGAGTTTACATGGCATATACATGACTATGTAAATTCTTCCTACCTGGAAACATACCAGTGAATAGAAAAGGATTGGAGTGTGGCCAAAAAAAATCGAGCTTCTTAAATCTATCTTGGACACACAGTGTTACTGTTAGGTGCTGGCCTCTGTTAAGCTCTCTTGGGAACTTATATATTCCTGTTCTCTGTAGTCACCTTGCTGATATTATGATTCCATATTTCTGACTATTTACATTCATTAACCATGTGTGTGCATGTGTGTCTGTTTTCTGTTTGCATATTGATATAAATTATTTATAGTCTGTTTTTTAAAAGGGAAAGTAGCAGTATTCCTTGTCAATACTTAGTCCTCTGTGTTGAATTATACCTTTAATTGAAGAGTGGTATAGGAGTATATGTTTCTTTGTGTCATGTATTGAGTATTGTCTTCATTTTCTGTTAAGCCCTCAGATGTGTAGACCAGAGATATGATCTCTCTGTATGCAGCTCTTCTCAGAGATTTATATCTACATGCAGTTGTGACTGACAGTTGTATTATTTGCTGCCACATTTCCAGTTGTGTGATTGAGTAGTGAACAGGCAGGCTTTGTCATTCAACTGGCCTGGATTTTATACAAGGCCAGTTGAATTTTATCTGAATTTGGGTAAATTGCTTATTATCTGAATTTGGGTAATTGCTTAACTTTTCAATATTCATTTTTCTCTTTCAAGTGGGGACAATATTGTCAACTTTTTTTTTTTTTTTTTGAGATGGAGTCTTGCTCAGTCGCCTAGGCTGGAGTTCAGTAGCGCAATCTCGGCTCACTGCAAGCTCTGCCTCCTGGGTTCATGCCATTCTTCTGCCTCAGCCTCCCGATAGCTGGGACCACAGGCGCGTGCCACCACGCCTGGCTAATTTTTTTGTATTTTTAGTAGAGACGGGGTTTCACTGTGTTAGCCAGGATGGTCTCAATCTCCTGACCTCATGATCCGCCCGCCTTGGCCTCCCAAAGTGCTTGGATTACAGGTGTGAGCCACCATGCCCGGCCAATATTGTCAACTTTTTATGACTTTCAGATTTAAATGAGATAATATTAAAATTTAGTTATGGGATCTGGCACAAATTGAGAATGCGAAAACAGTAGTTGATATTATTTTACTTCCTGCCATCTGCTTGATTATTATAGGCTGTTCACCCTGAGAATTGAGACTGCCCTATTTTTTTATGTTCTCTCAAAAAATTTTTTAAATGTCTTCCACAAGATTTTGTCTCCACAGTTATCCATTTACTTGACAGCCTCTCAGCATACGTTAGAGCAAAAGCCTTCCTGGTTCTTCTATATATTTTGATTTATAACTGTGAAATGTTGCTGTTCAATTGCCAAGCAAGGTAAGATTTTCTCTGATGTTTTCTTCAGTAGCTTCAATTTAGTGCCTCTTGTATTAGTAGTTTTAGGGTATTTTTTGGCTTCTGTGTATCTGGTATATATTTTTTAAGAGTTTTTCCAGGGGCTTAATATTTCTTCTGTAATCTCAGTTTGGAAGTACTGAGGACCCCGAGAAGACCTCTGAAACTGTAGCAGGGTGAGAAATGCCTGGTGTGTCCTTGATATGATTTGGCTGTTTGTCCCCACCTGAATCTCACTTTGAATTATAATCCCCATAATCCCCATGTGTCAAGGGTGGGACCAAGTGAGGGTCATTGGATCATGGGAGTGGTTTTCCGCATTCTGTTCTTGTGATTATGAGTGAGTCTCACCACATCTGATTTTTATAAGGAGCTGGCGTTTCCCCTGCTGGCATTCAGTCTATCCTGCCGGCTGTGAAGAAGGTGCCTGTTTTTCCTTTACCTTCTGCCGTCATTGTAAGTTTCCTGAGGCCTCCCCAGCAATGTGGATCAATTAAACCTCTTTCCTTTATAAATTACCCAGTCTCAGATATGTCTTCATAGCAGTGTGAGAATGAGCTAATACAGCCCTAGATCTGAGAACAGTCCAAAGCAGGGTGTTGAGAAGGTTCTGGTTTGTACCTTTGGGAGTCAATATTGGACCAGTGGTTTGGTTGTAATTTTGCTTATTGTAAGATTCTGGAATAAGTAGCTGAAGGCTCAGAAGGAGGAGCAGGGCAGGGGGCAAGAGTTTATGGACTGGTCCTAGGAAGGGCAGGTCTTTCTCCTGGCTTGTAACTCTTTCCTCTAAAAGGAGGAGCTATTCTAGATGCTCCTCAAGTTTTCTTCATGTTCTGGTGCTTTCTGATTAACATCTTCTGAACCATCTCATCCATGCTGTATTGAAGCCCAGAGAAGCCCTGGCAATTTGGTTTAATGCCTGTTTCTAGATCCAGATTTTTACTTGTTCTAGAGTACTGAGCAGAGCCTGGTATTGCTGAGATTGATCTAGATTAGGGGTTGACAATTTTTTTTTTTCCTGGTAACAGTGAGAGGGTAGGCTTTGTAGGTCAAGAGGCAAAATTGGGCCTATTATATACCTTCCTATATAACAAACAAGGACACAAATTTCCATGTGTACTTTTGGAGACAGGGTCTTACTCTGTTGCCCGGGCTGGAGTGCAGTGGTGTAATCACAGCTCACTGGAGCCTTGAGCCCCACACCAGGCTCAAGCGATCCTCTCGCCTCAGCTCCCAGAGTAGCTGGCACTACAGGTGCATATCATCATGCCCAGATAATTTTTAAAATATTTTGATGGAGACAGGGTCTCACTGTGTTGTCCATGCTGGTCTTGAACTCCTAGGCTTGAGTGATTCTCTTGCCTCAGCTTCCTAAAGTGCTAGGATTATAGGCATGAGCCACCATGCCCAGACCATGTTTTTTATTGACATAAAAATATACCAATCATAATTGAATGAAATTTTTCTTTTGTAATACAGGTCTGTTAATGAGAAGAGAATTTTTTCAGGGGAAGGGGGAGATGACATTTTGCTTAATTGGGCATCAAAGTTAGTGTCTTTATCATTAAATCAATGGCAAATGTTCTCTTAGTGCTGATTTTTAATGTGATTTAATGTGTTTTGTCTTTGAAAATGTCTTCACACAGGTAGATACTGCCAAATAACAATATCAACTCATGAGCATATGATTTTAATTGAGCATATTTGTCACTGGGAAGGCATTTGTAGAATTCTATTAGATTCTTCTCTTGATTTCTGTGTTTCAGGATGTCATTACATTATAGATCAATCACTTCCAATTGAGGGATGTGGAATTTCCTAACAAACCTCCTTGTTTCTCATCATTTAGGGATCACTATTTTTCCTTGTCCAGTGTCTTGAAGTTTGATGTTTCATGTATTTTGTCTATTTTTTGGTTGTTTTAGATGGGAGGGCGAATCCTGTTTCTGTTAGTCTATTATGGCCAGAAGTGGAAGTCACTCTTGTCTATTTATTTTTAATGGCCTCACCACTGGCTTCGCTACCTCTGATCTGTCTTTGCATTTACTGTCATTTTTCACTAGAACAACTAATATTGTTTCTCAACAGTTCTACCATATAGAGTTAGGGCAAGAAAAGAGAAAAAAAAGGAGAAAATAAAACAATAAAAGAGAAAGAACAAGTAAAAAACTTTTTCAATGGATGCTCCTACATCATTTCTTGTACTCACAGTCTGGTTTCTATATAGCAGCTTAGAGTACCTACATACCGTGAATCAGCTTTTGTTTCTTCCCTTCTCGGACTCCTCCAGTAACATGCAGTCACTCTGAAATAATACCCCTGCCCCTCACCATGTCCTGCCTGTCCTGCCTTGTCTAATTCTTGCCCTTGTGTTAGCCCTTGTCTTCTTTGGGCACACTCCATTCCAGCCCCATGGCTTGCCTGTTGCTTTTTGAATGCACTAAGCCTGTTGTGCTCACCTCAGGGCTTTTCTTGGTTGCTGTTTCCTGTGCCTATGATCTCTTCTTTCAGATGCTTGCATGGCTGGCTTCCTCAGATCATTCAAGTCTCTGTCCAAGGGTTACTTCTTCTGAGAGCCACCCTGATGACGTTATCTAAAATACCCGTAACCTCAACTTCAGAAACTCTTTAACTGGAAGCAACTAAACCACTTACACCTTCAGAGCTTGGGTATGACATATGTGATCCCTCCTCCCTGGAAATTGCTGTGACTTGTCTCTGAATGAATGTTTAGAAGCTGGAGCAGTGGTGGGAACGTGGTGGTTTGAAGGCATGCCCCTGACACTGACCTCCACTCTTCTCACTCTCTGGAGCAACACAACAAGCAGGGTGATTGTAGAGAGAGGGTCTGGCAGATGACCTTAGCCTTGCTGGGGAGGTAAGGTAGGCTCCATTTCTCCTGCACTGTGTGGCAGAGATGGTGCCCCTGTCCTTGGGTTCCTAAGCTCAGCATGAATAGTAGAACTTGGTGCTTCTGTAGGGTCTAAAATGCAGATGCTTTCTACATGTGGTGGTTTGGGCTTGCAGTCTTATTCCCAGGAGATCTTGAGCAGAACTGAAATGGTGGGCCAATCTGTCCCCGTCTGTAAGGTTCGAGAAAGACCACATCACCTTCCTGCCCTTGAAAAGAACAGCTCCCTCTTACTACCTGCTTCTTTGCCACACCTGTCCTGATTGGGTGCTGAGTAGCTTAAGAAGTCAGTAGGCAGAGATTTGTCCCAGCCCAGTTAGGGAAACATAGTACTTGAAAGAGAAAGAACAGGCACACCAGGCATTTTTTTTTTTTTTTTTTTTTGAGACCAAGTCTCACTGTGTGACCCAGGCTGGAGTACAGTGGCCTGATCTCGGCTCACTGCAACCTCTGCCTCCTGGGTTTGAGTGATTCTTCTGCTTCAGCCTCCTGAATAGCTGAGACTACAGCTGCTCACCACCACGCCCAGCTAATTTTTGTATTTTTAGTAGAGACAGGGTTTCACCATGTTGGCCAGGCTGGTCTCAAACTCCTGACCTTGATGATCCGCCTGCCTTGACCTCCCAAAGTGCTGGGATTACAGGCATGAGCTGCCACACGCGGCCAGATCAGGCATTTCTTATGGAGGCAAAACAAATGGAAGAGACAGAAAAGAATTTTAACAAATATCGAAAACTCTATGGAGAAGGCAGTGGCTTTTTTGTTTGTTTGTTTGTTTGTTTGTTTGTTTCTGAAAGTCTAAAACTGAAGAGAATGGCCTCTGCTGGGGATAGCATTGGTGCTTTGAAAGGCAGTATGAAAGGGCACATTGAACCATTCAGAGCTGATGACAAAGACATGGAAACTTGAGAGGAAACAATAAGAAAGTACGAGTGGAGATCCAGGAGACCTCACATGCCAAGTGCTAAGAATTTTAGGAGGAGTAAAGAACAGATGGAGGAGGATTTCCAGTCGAGGAAATCATAGCGGTCATCTTCTGGTTGAACATGCTCTTTTCTGATACTGTACTCAAATGAGAATAAAAGAATTAAAAGACGTGAAACCACAAGGGCAGAAGCAAAGGGAAAGATGGCTAAAGCAGATGAATGTTGTTACCTTGTCTTTGTGTTTTGGAAGTTGAAAATTACCACGGACTCCGTGATTTAAGGCAGTGCTTGTTTATTAATCTGACAGTTTCCATGGGTCAGGAGTCTGGGCTTGTTATAACTGAATCCTCTGCTCACAACTCACATACTTGATGTCAAGGTGTTGGCTGGTGCTGAGATTCTCATTTGAGGCTTGAGGTTCTCTTCCAAGCTCGCTGATTCTTGACAGAATTCATTTTCTTGCAGTCTTTGACATCCTCACTTTCTTGCTGATATTTGGCTGGGGTTCACTCTCAGCTTCAGGAATCTGTCCTTTTTCTTCGTTGACAGTTTACTGCATACCTGTTTACTTTCTCTTGGTGGCCAGCAAGATTGCTTCTCATGTCCTGAGAAGCAGGGACTCATTCCCCTCATGCTTCAAACATCTTTGACTTCCTTCCTCTGCCATCAGTCAGAGAAAATGAGTTTTAAATGTCTCACTTGATTAGCTTAGGCTCACTCAGATAATCTATCTTTTTTTTTTTTTTTTTTTTTTTTTTTTTTTTTTTGAGACGGAGTCTCGCTCTGTCGCCCAGGCTGGAGTGCAGTGGCGGGATCTTGGCTCACTGCAAGCTCCGCCTCCCGGGTTCACGCCATTCTCCTGCCTCAGCCTCCCAAGTAGCTGGGACTACAGGCGCCCGCCACTACGCCCGGCTAATTTTTTGTATTTTTAGTAGAGACGGGGTTTCACCGTTTTAGCCAGGATGGTCTCAATCTCCTGACCTCGTGATCCGCCCGCCTCGGCCTCCCAAAGTGGATAATCTATCTTAAGATTAATGGAATTGGGACTTTAATTATGTCTTCAAACTCACTTCCCAATACAGATGCTCCTTGATTTACAGTGAAGTTGCATTTCAGTAAACCCATCGTAAGTTGAAAATATCATGTCAAAAATGCATTTAATACCTCTAACCTACTGAACATCATAGCTTAGCCCAACCTACCTTACATGTGCTCAGAACACTTACATTAGCCTATAGTTGGGCAAAATCATCTAATGCAAAGCCAACTTTTTTTTTTTTGAGATGGAGTCTCGCTTTGTCGTGCAGGCTGGAGTGCAGTGGCGTGATCTTGGCTCACTGCAGCCTCTGTCTCCCAGATTCAAGTGATTCTCCTGCCTCAGCTTCCCGAGTAGCTGGGATTACAGGTGTGTGCTGCCATGCCTGACTACTGTTTGTATTTTTAGTAGAGATGGGGTTTCACCATGTTGGCCAGGCTGATCTCAAACTCCTGACCTCAAGTGATCCACCTGCCTTGGCCTCCCAAAGTGCTGGGATTACAGGTGTGAGCCACTGCACCCTGCCCACAAAGCCTGTTTTTATAATAAAGTGTGGAATATCTCATGTAATTTATTGAATACCACCCTGAAAGTGAAAACCAGAATGGTTGTACGAGTATTCCATATATGGTTTCTACTGAATATTGTTTTTGTACCATCGCAAACTAAAATATCATAAAATTGCAAGTTGAATTAATGTAAGTTGGGGACCAGCGGAAGTATCTAGATTGGTGTTTGAATGGCCAGGATGGTGGGGCTTTGGGGGCAGGGGGATCTTTAGCATTCTGCCAACCATCACAGTCCCCAGAATGGAGGGCTACACAGTTGTGGAAAGGCACAAGGAAGATGTCTGTACACAGCCATGGAGTCATCTACAAGACATTATTCTCCTGATAAGAGTCAGATGTAGAACAGTTATTCATAGCATACTATTAATACCTTTTGTCTAAGAAAGGGGGTGAAAACAGAGAAGATATGTGCCTTTACTAATATTTTACAAAAGACAGAATGGAAAGTTAAATAAATTAAAAAGAGTGATAGTTTACAGGATTAGAAACAGAATAAGGAAGGTGCAGGGCCAGGAATGAGCTATGCTTCTCTGAATGTACCTGCTTTATGGTCTAGACTTAAGAACCAGGCAAATGTTTTATATAATGTTAAAAATAAAAATGATAAAAATAAAGTGGTCTTTAAAAATTGAAAGCAATCTGTGTGTCAAGTTTGTGGTATGATTCCCCAGAGAAGAGATGTTTAAAGCGAATGCTTTTAAATTACAGTATTATGGCAGAATATTTCTATCATAATATATCTTAATCATAATATAATATATTTTAATCCCATTAAGAAACCTTAAACTGCATTCAGTGTTCTGGTTGTCAGTGTTAATATATGTATTGCCATTTGAAACTATTTTTTATATATATATATATATATATATGGTGTGTGTTTCTGTGTGTGTGTGTATATATGCTCTCTATGGTGTGTGTGTATATATATGCTCTCTCTATATATGGTGTATGTGTGTGTGTATATATATATATGTGGCCTGTATGGTATATATATGTCTCTATGGTGTGTTTGTATATATATCTATATATATATATATGGTCTCTCTCTATATATGGTGAGAAAACTAATAATCATGCTAATTCCAATAATAACCAGTATTAGTGTAAAATTAAATGTACAATTATAAAAATATAATTAAGTAAAATTCTCTCATCTTTAATTTGACTCAAAAGTGTTAGGATAAACTCATTTATTTTTCTATCTTTTTAAGGAAATTATATATTTCATGTATATATATATATATATGCTCTATGGTGTGTGTGTGTATATATATGCTCTCTCTATATATGGTGTATGTGTGTGTGTATATATATATGTGGCCTCTATGGTATATATATGTCTCTCTGGTGTGTTTATATATATATCTATATATCTATATGTATATGGTCTCTATATATATGGTGAAGAAACTAATAATTATGCTAACTCCAATAATAACCAATATTATTAGTGTAAAATTAAATGTACAATTAGAAAAATATAATTAAGTAAAATTCTCTCTTCTTTAATTTGACTCAAAAGTGTTAGGATAAACTCATTTATTTTTCCATCTTTTTAAGGAAATTATATATTTCATAGTTTTATCTATGTGTATTAGTTTGCTTGGGCTGTCATAAGAGAGTACCACAGATCAGGCAACTTAAACAACATAAATTTATTTTCTCACAGTTCATCGGCTACAGATCCAAGATCAAGGTCCCGGCAGGTTTGGTTTCTGGTGAGGTCTTTCTTCTTGGCTTACATAGAGGGCTGTCTTCTGGATTAGACATCCCCCATATGACCTCATTTAGCCTTAATTACCCCCTTAAATCTCCAAATACAGCCCTATCTCCAAATACAGCCCTATCTCCAAATACATACCTATCTTCAAATATAGTCACATTGAGGATTAGGGCTTCAACATGTGAATTTTGAGGGGAACAGAATTCAGTTTATAACACTAAGAAGCTAGTATTCAAGTTTTAATTTCTAAGTACCATTTTCTACTCAAATCATGGTCTGTTGTATAAATAGGTTCCAAGTCTCTGGCACAGCTTTACATTTAGGCCAGAAATGAACAAATTGAGGCTGGGACATGTCTTTCCTGAAAGCAAGGAAGTTATCAGAGACTTCTAAGGTCATGTTAAAAAGAATGCAGGAGCCAATGTGAAGGAGCTTCTACTGGCCAAAAGTGGAATTTTGAGAGTTCTTTATATATTTTAGACATGAGCCCACTGTCAGATATATGGTTTGCAAATTTTTTCTCTCTGTGTGTAGCTTGTCATCTTTTCTTAACAGGATATTTTACAGAACCAAAGTTTTGAATTTTAATGGGTTCACTTTATCAGTTTTTCCTTTGATGGTTTGTATTTTTGATGTCAAGTATAAGAACCCTGTCTAGAGTCCAAAGATTTTCTCTCTTGTTTTAAAAAATATTTTTTATGGTTATACACTTTTTTAAAAATTATACTTTAAGTTTTAGGGTACATGTGCACAACGTGCAGGTTTGTTACATATGTATACATGTGCCATGTTGGTGTGCTGCACCCATTAACTTGTCATTTAACATTAGGTATATCTCTTAATGCTATCCCTCCCCCCTCCCCCCACCCCACAACAGGCCCCGGTGTGTGATGTTCCCCTTCCTGTGTCCATGTGTTCTCATTGTTGAATTCCTACCTATGAGTGAGAATATGTGGTGTTTGGTTTTTTGTCCTTGCGATAGTTTGCTGAGAATGATGGTTTCCAGCTTCATCAATGTCCCTACAGAGGACATGAACTCATCATTTTTTATGGCTGCATAGTATTCCATGGTTATATGTTTATATTTAAGTTTGTGATCCATTTTGAGTTAATTTCCATATAAAATATAAGGTTTAGTTAGAGGTTTTCTTTTGGTTTTGGTTTTTGCCTGTGGATATTTAATTGCTCTGGTGTTACTTGTTGAAAAGGCTATCTTTCCTGCGTTGAATTACTTTTGTGTCTTGTCAAAAATCATTTGGACATACATGTGTGGGGCTACTTATGGGTTCTCTAAACTTTTCCATTGATCTGTGTGTCTGTCCCTTTATCAATACAACATTGTGTTGATTACTGTAATTAAGACTACTTGATCATAATAAGGCTTAATATTGGACAGAGTGAGTCCTCTCCTTTTATTCTTCTTTGTTAAGATTGTTTTAGCTGTTCTGGGACCTATATGCTTTTCCAGATAAGTTTTGGAATGAGCTTGTTCATATTTTCCAAAACCTTGCTGGGCTTGCATTAAACTAATGCATCAGTACAGGGATAGTTGATATATTTACTGTATGGTCTACTGATCCTTAAACGTGGTGTCTCCCTCCATTTATTTAGCTTTTTTAAAAACCTTCTTTCATTAGCATTCTATAATTTCATAATGTTTTGTTAAGTATATACCTAGTATTTCTTTTTGGAGGGGAGCAATTGTAAATGGTATTGCATCATTAATTTCAGTTTCCACATTTAACTGATGTGATTTTTGTGTTTCTTGATTTTATCTTCTACAACCTTACTAAACTCACTTATCAATTCTAGGTGTTTTTTGTTGTTGTTGTTTTTTGTTTTTGTTTTTGTTTTTTTTGCAGGTTCCAGGAGATTTTCTATATAGCCAATCATGTCATCTGTAAATGTGGACAGTTGTATTTTTTTCTCTCTTGTTTGTGTGCCCTTTATTTTTATTGCCTTATTTTAGTATCTAGAATTTCCAGTACTATGTTGAATAAGAGCAGTGAGAGCAGATGTTCTTGCTTTGTTTCTGGCCTTGTAGGGAAAGCATTTTTAGGCTTCCATGTTAAGGATAATGTTAACTCTAGATTTTTTGTAGATGTTCTTTATCAGTGGAGGAAGGTCACTCTGATTCCTATTCTTTATCTCCAATTTTCTTAGAGTTTTTTTTTCTTTCATCATGAATGGGTATTGGATTTTGTCAAATGCTTTTTCTCTATCAATTAATATGACATTATGATTTTTGTAGCTGTTGCTATAATACATTGCATTAATTGTTTTTCAAATTCTACAGCATTTGCATACCTGGAGTAATCTCACGTGGTCATAGTGTGATAAAGATAAGAGATTAGGAAAACTGCTGGGAGCAGTGGTTCACACCTGTAATCCCAGCACTTTGGGAGTTCAGGAGCTCCCAGCACTTGAGCTCAGGAGTTTGAGACCAGCCTGGGCAACATGGTGAGACCTCATCTCTGCAAAAAATACAAAATTAGCTGGGCGTGGTTACATGCACCTGTGATCCCATCTACTTGGGAGTCTGAGTTGAGAGGACTGCTTGAGCCTGGGAGGCAGAGGGGTTGCAATGAGCTGAGGTCATCCAACTGTACTCCAGCCTGGGCAACAGAGCAAGACTCTGTCTCAAAAAAAAAAAAAAGATTAAGGATACTAAAATAAAAACATGAGTGTTTGGAGAGAAGACCAAATGGATAAACTGAATTGATATAGGAAAATAAGAGAATTCTGTAAGGTAGCTGAAAAAGCTGGCATTTTATACACTGAAGTCATAATTGCTGTCTTTTAGAAGTTAGAGATAATAAGAATTTGAGTTTAGAGTCAAAAGGGTCAGTCTCCATCAAATACTAATATCCTAATCAAATAATTACTTGGCTGAGTGTAGTGGCTCATGCCTGTAATCCCAGCACTTTGGGAGGCCAAGGTGGATGGATGACAAGGTCAGGAGATTGAGACCATCCTGGCTAACATGGTGAAACCACTGTCTCTACTAAAAATACAAAAAATTAGCCGGGCATGGTGGCGGGCTCCTGTAGTCCCAGCTACTTGGGAGGCCGAGGCAGGAGAATGGCATGAACCCAGGAGGTGGAGCTTGCAGTGAGCCGAGACCACGCCACTGCACTCCAGACTGGGCAACAGAGCGAGAGACTCCATCTCAAAATAATAATAATAATTATTATTATTTAACTTAACTTTACGATGCTCTAATAATCAAAATTGATAGTGGCTTGTGAACAGATAGATCACTTGAACAGATAGATCACTTGAATAGAATAGAGCCCAGAAATAAACCCAAATGCTTCTGGGGGAGTTTAGTATATTATAAACATGACATTTTAAATCAATGAGGAAAAGAAATCATTTGCAGCTCACCCTACCATACGCAGCAGGAATAGGAAGTCATTGGCAGAATAAAAAGATGGTAAGAACAGAACAGAATTATAGAACAGTACGTTTCTTCCTTCCCCACTTTTCAAAGTATTTTTTGCTTTTACACAAGTATAAGTGTAATTTTATTTTCTAAATGTATACTAATTGTTTTGTCTCTTTCTTAGATGAATGAAAAAAATTACACCTTTAGAAAAAGAGTTGTTAGAAAAAAGCCTTGGCTGCATGTAGGGGAAGTGACAGCACAGAAGAGACCAGAGAAGAGCCTCCTGGAGGAGAGCCTACGCTTTGAC
Organism: Homo sapiens; assembly: GCF_000001405.40. NCBI lineage: Eukaryota > Metazoa > Chordata > Mammalia > Primates > Hominidae > Homo > Homo sapiens. Next base: position 4,015,118 of record NW_021160017.1, read on the forward strand.
CATGCTGTCCGGATGGGTACGGTGCCCTCTTCTGCAGAGTGTTCATTTCTATGCTTTTTCTATGGTTCCATTTCATAGAAAGATTTGGGGTGATGTTTCTTTTCCCTCAACTTTTTATTTTAAAACTTGCAAACACAGAAAAGTTGATAAAATAATACAGTGAACATCGGTATGCTATTCAACTGGATTCACCAATTAAGGTTTTGTCATACTTGTTTTCTCTCCTCCGCATATGGAAGATTGTATATGTGCCCTTTTTCCCCCTGAATCATTTCAAAGTAAGTTACCAGTATCGTGGCATTTCACTGTTAAGTACTTTCACAGATATCTTCTAGGAACCAGGACATTCTCCTATATAATCACAATACCATTAATCCACCCCAAAAATTTAACATCAATACACTAATGATACCTACTGTATAGATTATAATCAGCTTCCTTGCAGAATCTGTTTAGAAGGCTTGCATCCTGTCACTGTCCACTGATTAAATTTTGAACTCTAACTTGAAACCCTGGTCATCTCATTGCCTTCTTTCTTATACCCATTAAGTCAAAAGGAGCTCTCATTTTATTTCAATGGAAAACAGAATGGAAAAGAGGGGAAGAGTCCGTAGGTACCTTGGATAAAGTATGAGCACTTACTACCATATGTATTCTAGTTCTGTAGTTTTCAAACTTCAGGGAGCATTTCAAGGCTTATTAAAGCACAGATAGTTGTCCTTCTTCCCCACTTTCTGATTCAGGAGGTGTGGGGCTGGCCCAGGAATTTGCATGTCTAACAAGTTCCCACGTGTTTCTGATGCTGAGGGTCTAAGGACTACAATGCATGAATCCGTGGTTTAGTGGATATCCACCTAATGAATACATGTTGTATTTCCTTTAGCACCTGTGATTACAGAGGAAACACCTTTCAACTGGAAGATATCATTAAGCAGAGGATAAGAGATCAGGTCAGTAAGAATTAAATTTCACTTAATTGAAATGTCACTGAAATTTTTAGAAATAATATGATAGGCCTGGCACGGTGGCTCATGCCTGTAATCCCAGCACTTTGGGAGGCCAAGGCGGATGGATCACTTGAGGTCGGGAGTTCAAGACCAGCCTGTCCAAGATGGTAAAACCTCCTCTCTACTAAAAATACAAAAATTAGCTGGGCATGGTGGTGCATGCCTATAGTCCCAGCTACTTGGGAGGCTGAGGCAGGGGAATCGCTTGATCTCGGGAGATGGAGGTTGCAGTGAGCTGAGATGCACCACTGCACTCCAGCCTGGGTAACAGAGTGAGACTCCATCTCAAAATAAATAAATAAATAAATAAATAAATAAATAAATAAATAAATAAGATAAAAATAAAAATAAAGGGAAGATGGGGCAGCTTTGTGTACTGCATGTCCCGAAAATGGGCTGATTTCTCTCAAGAGGCAGGGATTTAAGCTCTCTAGCCTACATGGAATACATGGAGTAGAAAAAAGAAGAAAAAGAAAAGAAATGTAAATATAAATAAATGAAAATAACACTTCTCCCCGATTATAAAGGAAATCACTCTTTTTGTAATAATTTAGATGACAAAATATAAAGAAAAATCTTTAATTTTGCCACTGAAAACATTTTGGTTTGTTGCTTTTTACACTTTTTATGCATATAAACATTTTAAAAAGTAGAATCATAATATATGGTCTTTTGTCACTTACTATATTTTAAGCATGTTTCTATGGCAGAAATATATCCTGGCATCATCACTTTCAATAGCTGGATGTATGTTAAGTGAATCATTGCCACCCCAGAGGTGGATTTCCTTCTATATATATTTTAATGAACTCGAGTCAGGATTTTTGCACTGAATTCATACAAGTAGAATTTCTAGAGGAAAGTAATATAAAACAGTTTTAGGATTTTTAAAAGAAATGTTCAAATCATCCTATAGGAAAATTGGTTGAGTTTATACTCCCACCAACAGGGACAGAGCTCCAGGTTCCCCCTTCCATTTGTCATCTTCGCTGGTCTTTAAGCAGAAAATCTCATTGTTTTCATTATATTTCTTTGATTTCTAGTGCTTTTGAATCTTTTTCATATGCTCATTGGCTATTTTTATTCTTGTGGGAAGTGCCGGTTTCTCTACTGCCCATTTTCTGCTGGAAATCATTAATTTTTTTTTTCTGAGTAATTTTAAATTTTTCTTTATAGGCTAAGGATACAAACCTTTAATGTCATTGAGGTTACAAAGACTTTCTCCTCATAAGTAATTTGTCATTTCGCTTTATTTATTTATATTTTGCTAGCCAAGCACCAAAGTCACATTTCACTTAATTTTTATGTTGCTGAATGAAAACATTTTAACTTAATGATTTTACTGGAAAGAGGAGCAGGACAGAATGTAATATCTAGATCTTGCTCTGTCACCCCAACTGGAGTGGAGTGGCATGATCATAGCTACTGCAGCCTCAAACTTCTGGGCTCAAGTGATTTTCCCACCTCAGTCTCCCAAGTAGCTAGGACTACAGGTGTGTGACGCCATGCCCAGCTAATGTTTAATTTTTTTTTGTAGAGCTGTGAATTCGCTATGCTGCCCAGGCTGGTCTTGAACTCCTAACTTACTCCACCTTGGCTTGCCAATATGCTGGGAGTACAGGTGTGAACTACTGCTCGTGACTGAGAGCTTACTTTTGTTTGCTAGTGGTGTTCTTGGTATCTTTTTATATTTGAGGCTTTTGTGCTAGTGCTGAAGTATTATACTCACCATCTGAGGTTCACAGGACTTTTGTTTTTATTATATTTTTATTTTTTATTATTATGCTTTAGGTTTTAGGGTACATGTGCACAACGTGCAGGTTTGTTACATATGTATACATGTGCCATGTTGGTGTGCTGCACCCATTAACGGGTCATTTAGCATTGGGTATATCTCCTAATGCTATCCCTCCCCCCTCTCCCAACCCCACAACAGTCCCCGGTGTGTGATGTTCCCCTTCCTGTGTCCATGTGTTCTCATTGTTGAATTCCCACCTATGAGAGAGAACATGCGGTGTTTGTTTTTTTTTTCCCTGCAATAGTTTGCTGAGAATGGTGGTTTCCAGCTTCATCCATGTCCCTACAAAGGACATGAACTCATCCTTTTTTATGGCTGCATAGTATTCCATGGTGTATGTGTGCCACATTTTCTTAATCCAGTCTATCATTGTTGGACATTTGGATTGGGTCCAAGTCTTTGCTATTGTGAATAGTGCCGCAATAAACATACGTGTGCATGTGTCTTTATAGCAGCACGATTTATAATCCTTTGGGTATATACCCAGTAATGGGATGGCTGGGTCAAATGGTATTTGTAGTTCTAGATCCCTGAGAAATCAGAGCCCGTAGCTGGTGGTCAAGATGAGGGAGAGGCCCTCAGGGTCAGCCGAATGCCTGAGAGGCCGGACAGGCCCAAAGGTGAGCAACGTGAGCACATCAGGTGGGCTCAGAGCTGGCGCATGAGCCCCACAGCCTGCAGAGCAGCCCTGTACTCGGGAGCCCGCTCGCACCAACCCAGTGGGACTTCAGAGATGTGGGGTCCAGCCTTTCCTACTATTGCTGGGCTGAGGGCTGGGAGCTGCAGATTCTGACCCCACAGCTGCCTTAGACATGCCAGATGGTCTGGGGCAAGACACACCCCTCTCTATGAAATGAGCAGCCAGTCCAAATAGGTACATTAGAGAAGGGCTGTGGGATGGACCCAGCTGTAGCCTGGGGCTACAGACTGGCTTCCGGGGTACTCAAGCAGCTGGCCTCTGGGGTAGCAGCCCCAGGTATGAGAGGCAGGACTCAGAATCTAGGCCAAGCCTCCATAGGAATCCCCTCTGGAGAGCCCGGGCACTCTGCAGGAGGGGCAGCAGGCAGCAGGTGCACCAGGAGCATGTTTCACAAGGTGCCCAATATCGCATCTGCTCAGATAGGCAGCGAGTTGGAAAGTGGATGCAATAGGCAGGGTGGTGGCTGCTCCCCACAGCCAGGAGTCCGGCCCAGCACCCACCTGAGTCCGCCTCAGTCCTGCTCAATTGGGTTATCCGTGCTCTTGGCCCTCTGGTCCCACCCACAGAGGGAGGTCTTTGGGGCGACCAGGTGAGCTGGCCCTTGTGGGAGGATGTAACTGACTCCTGAGCCTGGCGAGCCAGGCAGCCCCTCGCCAACGTCCCCACCCCTACCTCTCCAGCCCCCCCGCATTCCCTGATCCTCCCATCCGCTCCCCTGACCCAGCAGTTGCCTCTGCTCACTCTCTTTTCCTGCTCCCAGGCTCGCCTGGTCATGTGTCCTTCACTCTCCTCTGAGTCTCCCTCTTTCCAAGCCGCCTCCACTCTACTTGACACACTCTCCCTTAAGACACCAGAGTACACAAGCGCAAGTCCCTGCACCTCACCTTTACTCCCAGACATGGGAGGGAGATGACATGAAGACCCAAACGCCACTTAGCAGGAGATCTGGGGTATGCAGAGGGGCAGAACGGAGGCTGTGGAAGCTCCAGGGGCTCCCTGCAGGAGGCCACATGTAAGCCGGCTATTGAATGTGGCTCTGAGCTGAGACCTCTCCTTGAAGCTCCAGACCAGGAGCCAGCTGCTAGCTGGACCCCTCCATTTGGTGCCTCAGAGAAACTTTGCACTCTCTAGGTCTAACTTTGAACCCAGAAAATTCCCCCATGTCGGCCCTGTCTCTTCACAGGGAAAGCACCACCTCAGACCCAGTTCTGCACCAAACCCACATTTGAGTCACGAGGCTCCTGCCCTGCACTGTGAGCACTCTGGATAAGCCAGTGCTGAGGGGGAAAGAGCTCTGAATGCCAAGCCAAAACATGAGCTTCAACTCCACCTCCAGCTCTGAGAGCTGTGGGTAGGGAAGGGCCCTCGTCCAGTTTGCTGTAGAAAGATCAGTCTGCCACTGTATGGCACATGGATGGCAGGGGCAGAGTGCAGGTGGAGAGAACAGAAGGTGGGCAGGGCGGGGGAGGCAGGGACATGGCTGTAGCCGTGGAGATGGGAGGACAGACAGGACTTGGTGGCCACTTGGGTGAACCAAGGGAGGAGTCAGGAAGAGACACCCAGTTTTGTATCAGATGTGTAGAGCGTGGGATGCTGTTCATTGACGGAGGGAGGAGGAGGAGGAAGAGGTATGGCATGGGGAGGAGGTAGCTGAGCTCTGTCGTGAATGTCATTTGAAGTCCCCAGGGAAAGCCAGGCCGGCCAGCACCTTCACTGCTTCAGCCAGCTCTCAGGGTGTCTGTGCTCCCTGGCCCTCTCAGCTCCTGCTTCATAGCTGTCAGCTGCAGTGGGAGACAGCTGCACAAGGGCCCAGCATGTCTGTGTGTTTACCCAGGGGACTGCCGCATGGCCCATGCCGAGCAGAAACTGATGGACGACCTTCTGAACAAAACCTGTTACAACAACCTGATCCGCCCAGCCACCAGCTCCTCACAGCTCATCTCCATCCAGACGGCGCTCTCCCTGGCCCAGTGCATCAGCGTGGTAGGTGCAGAGGGTACCTGTGGCTCAGGCTCAGGTGAAGAGGCAGCTCATGCCCAAGCCCTAAGCAGTCAATGTCCAGAGGAATGAAATGACTAGAGTTGACTTAGACTCACCGGTACACGGTGGGGAGGCTGGAGGAGGGTCCATGAGGTTTATAGGTGTCCAGTATTTAATGAGGTCATGGTTTTGTTAACAAAGAAGAAATGAGGGTGGGAGCGAGATCACCACTGGCTAGGCAGCCAATGGGCCTGCAGAGACTCTGCTCAGCTGAGTCTCCAGCACGACCATGAGCTTCTCATCCTGATCCTCCCATCCCCACCCTACTTTTCTCCCCCAGCTTGCTCAACAGGTGACCTTACAGGCTCCCTACTCTTTGCAGGGAATAAGAACCAGACTGGGGGAACTGACGGGTACAGAGGCCCAGGTGTAGGCGCAGGACCACAGGCAGTGAAGCGTCTACTGACCCAGGCGGGTGAGGGTCTGGAGAGTGGGCATGGCTGCTGCAGGCATGGAAAGCAGGCACAGATGGCGGCACTCCCAGGGCCCATTGTCAGGGTCTCCACATGTGGACGTGTGCAGAGGTGGGGGTGCTGAGGGAGGAGGGGCAGGGAATTTCTCATCTTCTCTCTACTGCCTCTGAGTTGGAGATGTCAGAGGGAGCCATGGCCCACTGTAAAGTAACACAATGTCCCCACCCACAGGATTAGAACCCCTCCCCTGGAAGCAGCTCTGAGGGGAACAGTCACATGTAGAGAGTGCAGGGCACTGTGTCCAGCCGGGGGAAGGAGGTCACCAAGGGGGTTGACCCCCCTCTGGCCAGGTGGCTGCCTTCTGACACACCAGCCTCTGTCTCTAGCACGGTGGCCCCCACACACCCAGCCTGTGAAACCTACAGCCCTCAAGAAGGCTTTGGCCAAATTAAGGAGCGGCTCCCTCTCCCAGGAGGAAGCACAGGTGAAGGATGTGGAGGGCAGTAGAGTTGTGTGTGCTCCGCCCCCTTTCTCCACAGTCGGATGGAAAGAAGGGGGCTTTCAGCCAGGCTCGCCCAGGCTGGGGTCTGAGTGTCACTGTCCAGCTATTGGCTTCTTGCTTAATGGGTGAGCCCAGCTGCTCCCGTGCAGCTGCCGCCCTAGTGAGGGTGAACCGGCAGGCGAGTTACATTTCTGAAAGCCTGGGAATACAGTAAATATTAGGCTGTGGGCTGCTGGGCCAGGAAGAGTTGTTTATTTTTCAGGGTTTGTTTATCTATTGACTTGATGAGGGAGGGTTATAGGTACAACCAGTTTAAAGATGGAAATTTTGAGAGAGCAGGCAGGGATTTAGTGCTGGGTAAGCCTGGTCAAAGCGGCTCTTTTGGGGCGGCCAGAATCCAGTACCAATGTCCTCAGCATGTTCATCAGCTGCTGGGGGAGTGCGGGACAGCATGAAAGCACAGGAGAACTTTCTGGATGATAGAAATACTCTGTATCTTCAAAGGAGGTGGGTTCCATAGTAATGTTAAATGAGTTAAAACTCATCAAAATGTAAACCAGACCTGTGCATTTCACTAATAGAAATTATACCTCCAATTAAAAACATGTTTTAAAAGACAGATGGGCCGGATGCAGTGGCTCATACTTGTAATCCCAGCACTTTGGGAGGCTGAGGCAGGTAGATCACCTGAGTCAGGAGCTCGAGACCAGCCTGGAAAACATGGTGACATCCTGCCTCTATTAAAGGTATAAAAAAAAATTAGCCAGGCATGGTGGCACACGCTACGCGGGAAGCTGAGGCAGGAGAATTGCTTGAACCCAGGAGGCAGAGGTTACAGTGAGCAGAGATCGTGCCATTGCACTAGAGCCTGGGCAACAGCGCAAGACTCCATCTCAACAACAACAAAAAAAGGACAGATGAAGGTTTTCAACTTTCAGTAAAGGCAGAGGAGCTTGTTACAGATTCGCCTCCCCACAAGAGCAGTTAGAAAAACTGGATAAAAATGTGCCCCGCCCCCAATCAAAAACAATTGTTGGAAGGTAATTGGAGACCTCAGTCAGGACTTGAGTGACCAGGCCTAGGAGGTGATCCTGACAGTCTGTAGTGCTTTCCCACATTTGGTGATTGGTCAACAGTAGAGGGCTAAGAGGCTAAGAAACTGAGTATGAAGTGGTAGTTAAGAGGCTGGAGAGCCTAGCTGAATGTTTGGCACTCTCACAGGGCTGAAATGACCTAATGAGAATTTGGGTCCCAGGAAGGAGATGGGACCTTGGTGGGGACCCTGGAAGGGCCACCCCTGGGAGTCCAAATGAATAAAACATAGACCAGCCATCAGAAAACCTAAAACCTGCTTTGAACCAGCTTAGTCCCAAAGTAGATGAAGGCGATCTGCCCTTACTCCAATTGTGTGCCATAAACTCAAAGTCAATACTCTCTGGAGGCAGATAAAAGTTTACTATGAATGTCAAAAGACAACACAAGACTAAATGAGAAAGACCAAGAAGAAAACTAATAGAAACATACATGTAAGGAAGAAACTTTTTTTTTTGAGACGGAGTTTCGCTCTGTCACCCAGGCTTGAGTGCAGTGGCACGATCTCAGCTCACTGCAACCTCTGCCTCCCAGGTTCAAGCGATTCTCCTGCCTCAGCCTCCCAAGTAGCTGGGATTACAGGCATGCGCCACCATGCCCGGCTAATTTTTGTATTGGCCAGGCTGGTCTTGAACTCTTGACCTCAGGTCATCCATTTACCTCGGCCTCCCAAATTGCTAGGATTACAGGCGTGAGCTACCATGCCTGGCCAGTATTTTGCCACAATTTAAAATAAATAAAATTTTTTTTTCAGGTTTGTGCTCAGACTATATTCTAAACAGTCACATGGCGGCTTACTCTTCTCCAGGCCTTGCTGCCGGCTTTTACATGTTTATTGTCTTTGCCTTCTTGTCATGTGCTCATTAGATGGCAGCTTCCAGGTGCTCCTAAGGGGCCAGGAAAGAGAGTGAGAAGGCACGGAGGTTGCCAGATCATCCCCCTTGGGGCCCCGCCCTCATCAACTCCCTCAACCGGGTCTCCTGCAACTATTGGTGGGCCATCTCGGCCACCGCTTCGCCCTGAGCTTCCTGCTGCTGCAGCTGGGCAGTGCCTCCTTCTCAGAGGCCAGCTGCTGATAGGCGGCCACGTACTGCTGCAGGTGACCCAGGTAATGGTCTCGCTGCTGCTGCAGACTCAGCCTCTTGGCTCTTCAGCTCCACCTGCAGGATAGGCGTCAGGGTAGGTAGTGGCTGGCTTCCAGATTCTGGGCCCATAAACAGGGTAGTGAGGGCACTGCGGGGCTCTGTCGCCTACCCAGGCCCCTGGCCCTGGCCCCTTCCTCCAGGCCTAAATGACTGCCTCCCTTGCCTAGAGGCCCATGCCTCCCTCCCCAGCCTCAAATCTCACACCCTTCTTCCCACCATTTAAACTGTAGGCCACAGACTGGTGGAAAAGCAGAGGGAGCCAACCACCATCTGCTAAGTTGTGGTGAGGTCGTTCTGTATGATCTCCAGGGTTTGCACACACCTCCGCCTGCTCCCCCCAAGAGCTCGGCCTTCTGCCCCAGCTTCCCCAGCCTCTCCTCCAGCTCCTGCAGCCTCACCTGGTGTTCCTGCATCTTCTCCTCCTGCTGCCGCAGCCTCACTTCCTGCTCCCACATCTTCTCCTCCTGCCTCCGCATCTTCTCCTCCTGTTCTTGCATCTTCTCTTCCTGCTCACACATCTTCTCCTCCTGCTCCCACATCTTCTCTTCCTGTTCCTGCATCATCTCCTCCTGCTCTCGTATCTTCTCCTCCTGCTCCCATATCTTCTCCTCCTGCTCTCGTATCTTCTCCTTCTGCTCCCGTATCTTCTCCTCCTGCTCCCTTATCTTCTCCTCCTGCCTCCGCATCTTCTCCTGTTCTTGCATCTTCTCTTCCTGCTCCCCCATCTTCTCTTCCTGTTCCTGCATCATCTCCTCCTGCTCTCGTATCTTCTCCTCCTGCTCCCGTATCTTCTCCTCCTGCTCCCTTATCTTCTCCTCCTGCCTCCACATCTTCTCCTCCTGCTCCCGTATCTTCTCCTCCTGGTCGTGCATCTTCTCCTCCTGCCTCCACACCTTCTCCTCCTGCTTCCGTATCTTCTCCTGCTCGTGCATCTTCTCCTTTTGCCTCCATATCTCCTCCTGCTCCCTTATCTTCTCCTCCTGCCTCCACATCTCCTCCTGCTCCTGCCTCTTCTCCTCCTCCCGTATCTTCTCCTGCTCGTGAATCTTCTCCTCCTGCCTCCACATCTTTTTCTCCTGCTCCCGTATCTTCTCTTCCTGCTCCCGTATCTTCTCCTCCTGCCTCCACATCTTCGCCTCCTGCTCCTGCCTCTTCTCCTGCTCGCGTATCTTCTCCTCCTCCTGCCTCTTCTCTTCCTGCTCCCGTATCTTCTCCTGCTCGTGCATCTTCTCTTCCAGCTCCCGTATCTTCTCCTCCTTCTCCCACATCATCTCCTCCAGCCTCCGCATCTTCTCCTCCTTCTCCCACATCATCTCCTCCTGCCTCCGCATCTTCTCCTCCTTCTCCCACATCATCTCCTCCTGCCTCCGCATCTTCTCCTCCTGCTCCCGTATCTTCTCCTCCTGCTCCCGTATCTTCTCCTCCTGCTCCTGTATCTTCTCCTCCCACTCCTGTATCTTCTCCTCCTGCCTCCACATCTTCTCCTCCTGTTGCTGGTTCAGGCGGTTCCACAACTCGTTCTCTTCCACCTGGGCTTGGAGCTTTGCTGACACACTCTGCAGCTCCTTACCCAGGTGGTCAGCCTCCGCCTGCAGCTGCTGCTGGAATAGTGAAAGTGTTTTTTTGAACCTCAGAAGGAAGCAGAATCATGAGCTAGCCACATAAATGTAATCTATAGGCTGGGAGCGGTGGCTCACGCCTGTAATCCCAGCACTTTGGGAGGCCGAGGTGGGCGGATCACGAGGTCAGGAGATCGAGACCATCCTGGTTAACACAGTGAAACCCCGTCTCTACTAAAAATACAAAAAAATTAGCCGGGTGTGGTGGTGGGCACCTGTAGTCCCAGCTACTTGGGAGGCTGAGGCAGGAGAATGGCGTGAAGCCGGGGGGTGGAGCTTGCAGTGAGCCGAGATTGCGCCACTGCACTCTGGCCTGGGTGACAGAGTGAGACTACTTCTCAAATAAATAAATAAATAAATAAATAAATAAATAAATAAATGTAATCTATAAAATAATGGTTTTCATCCATGATCCTTTAAAAAAATATTTTTAAGCCCTAACTCTTGAGATTCTGATTCCCCAGGCAGGGCCCCAATTTGTACATTTTTAGTACACTCTAGAGGATTCTATGGCGGGACCAGAACAAGGACCCAAATTTTCCAGCTCTTGGCTGGAGCCTCCCCATACCCTGCATGATCCCTAGACCATGGTCCCAGCTGGATGGGTCTCCCACAACCCCCGGGGCTGCAGCTGCTCACCTGTGGCAGCAGGAGCTTGGCCCTCTCCAGTTTCCTTTTTAGCTCCTTTACGTTGAGCTGGATCTCAGACTTTTCAGATTCTACAAGTTGAAGTTTTTCTTGTAGTTTGGCATTTTTCTCCTTCAGCTCCTCATCAGTTATGCTATGGCCAGAGGCAGTAGAGAAAGGAATGAATGAAGAACATAAAAGACCACTTTGGTGATTGACCCCCTACCCTCGCCCCACAACCACAGAACCGTGGCGCTGGAAGGGACCCCAGGAATTAAAAGTCCCAGGTGGCAGGCCAGAGAGAAGACATGAGTTGCCTGAGGCTACCCCATGAGTCAGTGGCACAGCCAGCACTAGAGCTTCCGTGTGCACACATGAAAACATGTATGAGCCTCTCCCCACACTCACCTGGACCCCCCACCTCCCAGCACACCACCCATGCTAAGGGCCCCCAGACCTCCCATTCCACCTTCCCCCATCCTACGTGTTCCTGTACAGTTCCAGACTCAGGGCGTCCCTCTCCTTTGTTAACTCCTCAATGTACTGCAAATAGAGAAAGGTTAAGTCAGGATAGAGCAGGCACAGCAGTAGCTGGACGACCAGGAACAACTGCTACGGTGACTACTCCACAGTAACACTTCCTCACTCTCAATCACACCTGACGTGTTCTCAAGGCATTTCCAAGCCCATGGTCTCATTTGTTTTTCTTTCTTTCTTTCTTTCTTTTTTTTTTTTTTTTTGGCAGAGTTTCATTCTTGTTGCCCTCACTGGAGTGCAATGGCACAATCTCAGCTCACCACAACCTACACCTCCTGGGTTCAAGCAATTCTCCTGCCTCAGCTTCCCGAGTAGTTGGGATTACAGGCATGTGCCACCACACCGGGCTAATTTTGTATTTTTAGTAGAGACGGGGTTTCTTCGTGTTGGTCAGTCTAGTCTTGAACTCCTGACCGCAGGTGATCCGCCCACCTCAGCCTCCCAAAGTGCTGGCATTACAGGCGTGAGCGAGAGCACCTGGCCCTCATTTGTTTTTCAAAGAACTCAGTGGATGTGGAAGGGACAGGGAAAGAGATTGAATTTAGAGCTGGCTAACAGGGGCCCAGAGCGATCAGATAATATTGTTATTGTTATTACTGTTAGTACTACCATTGTTCGAACCTTTCTTGAGTGCTTCACCAGGCACTATGCTAACAATCCCATTTAATCCTCACAACCTCCATAGGAGACGGTTACCATTATTACCTCTATTGTGTAGATGAAAAACATGCGGTATTAAAGGTTAAGTGCTGCCTAAGATCACTTGGAGCTGGGATTTCAACACCCAGGTATATCTGATTCTCTAAGCCCATTCTTCCGCTGGAGGTAGGGGCACAGTTAAGAAGGAGGAAATTAATCCTTTGTTGAATTTTTGAAAGGATGATACGTTCGCATAGTCCAAAACTCAGAAAGTCCAGAAGGGAAATATCTCCCCCCAACACTGTGCCTCTATCCTGAGTTTTTTAATGAATCCTTACAAACGTGTTTTATGTATGTTACCATAATACGTACACACACACACATATACACCTGCCCCCTCTCTCCACACAAATAATAACATACTCAAGATACTCTTCTGTACCTTTATGGTACAAGTACCCTAACCGCCACTTAGGACTTGGCCAAGGCCACAGCCAAATATGGGCAGGGCGGGCACTTGGCCTCTGAGCTCTATGTCCAGTGCTCGCTCCTCACAGTGCTCCCCAACTCACCCACAACAGCCGACTCAGCCCCAGTCTGCCTCTAACAACCACACACAAAAGCAGCAAGAAATGGCCATGCTGCCTTCTGGGCAGGACACTCCATCCTACAGAAGGGACCTTTAGGCTCACTCCTCCATCTGCGAAGCTGGGCTCCCAAGGGACGGGGCCGTGTTTGGACTCACCCTATCCGCCTTCTTCTTCTGTGTAGCGACAGCAGAGAGAGCCTGCTCTAACTCTCCTGCAAACTTCCATGAATCATGCAGGCGGCTGATCAGATCCCTGGCCTCTCCTGGAATGAGAGACATTCAGATGTGGCCCAAAGGACTCCCCCTAAAGGCCTGTCAAAGTGCCAGGTTGAAGGATGATGGGGTGCCAGATTCCCACCTTCCAACTGCTTGACAGCATGCTGGCTGTAGTAGAGTGCCATCTGAAGCTCAGTTTTCTGACATGTAAGGATTCGTATGGTATGAACCTGGGCCTTTGGGAGAAAAGACAAGCAAATGCTGAAAGAGAAGCAAAGAAACATTCTCCAGAGGGCAGGAGGGAACTTCACACCCTCCACTCACCTCTAGCTCCCTCCTTAGGGCTTCCTGATGTTGGTGGCTTGCCTTCTGTTCCTATAGAAAGAGGAAAACAGAGCTCTTACTAGGGGGAGGCAGAGATCCACAGCAAGAGACATGCCCCCAGAATGGCACCACTGCCCCAGAACAGGCCCACCCATGGGACCAGTTTATCAGGGACCCTGTGGGGATGGGGTGGAATCTTGGGGGTGAGCCTTCTTCCCCAGGCTGGGAGTGGGTGAGATGAGCCTGGGGCCTCTACATCTGAGTGCCCCCAAACCCAGCGGTCATGTCGTGAGCAAAGAAATCACACTACTTCTTCCAGCTGAGCTCGGTTCTATTGTTTCTGTGGGGAGAGTCAAAGGAAGGTGACTGAGGGTGGCCCCCTTGACTCTATTCCCCAGGCCAGGAAGCGATAGGCAGGGGCCAGGAATGGATTTAAAAGGCACAGTTCTCAGACCCAATGGGAACATGAACTGGTCAACTCTCCTCAACTCCCAAAGAAGAAGGATTTGGGTCTTTTTGGTTTTTGCCCACAGCCACAGAACTCAAAGTCTGAAACTAGATTCTCTTGAAAAGACAGTAACAGAAACCTTCAGAGGTGGAGTGCGAGAAAAGCCCACCCTTCCGCCAGCTTGTGATTTAGAAAGGTGCATTCACTCAGCAAACGTTGAGCACATACGGGCCAGGGACGGTTCTTCACAGCGGGAATAGAGGTCAGAAAAGGCAGACAGGAGCCCTTGGCCCCGAGGTTTCCATTCTAGTGGGCCTTTAACTCTCGGGCTCTCAGAGCTAACAGAAACCTCTGATACTCTCTAACTCTACCTCAGGAAACGCAAGCCCAAGAAGGAGAGTTTACAGCAGGTCCTGGACGAGGGATTAACATAAAAACACAATGACAAATCTCATTTAAACTTCACAAACGTAAGGAAAACAATACCACTCGTATTTTACGGATGTGAAAAGAGAGGCCCAAAGAGCTCAAGCAATTTGCGCTAAATCATGTCCCTAGCAGATGGAGGGGTAGGATTCAAACCCAGAATTCTTAGCCAGTACCTGGCAGTTCTTCCACAATCTTAACAATTACCCTCCACCACCCCTTGGGCCCTCTGTCCCCAGGAGCCCGGCCAGCCAAGACTCACATCCTCAGGCGAGTGGCAACCACCAGAAGTGGTTGTCTCAGGGTTAGTGCCATTATTTATTTTCTTCTTTTTGGTGTCGCTTGCTGCTGTACCAACACTAGGGTTGGTCTGGGGATGATGGTCTGTCAACTGTGGAAAGGAAGAGCAGTGATACTCATGAGAACTACAAGCTCCTACAGTCACATCCTGCTTTACAGTTTATACTAAATACTCTTATAGACCATCTGATTTAATGCCACCAACTGTAGGAAATGTTGTCACAATCACTTAGTGACTGAGAGAGATTGATACCATGGCTGAAAAAAAAGGCAGTAATGGAACTTAAACTCAGTCTTCTGACTCTGAGCTCTGGGATTTTGCCCTAAATCAGCAGCTGCCAGGGACCAAAACCAGAGGCAGAGGTAGAAAAGCAAATATTAAGTAGGCAGGAACTGTGCACTATGTGGTTTAGGGTTATTCACCCTCACACGTCTGTTAGTGTTAAAAAGTACACCAGTAACTCTCAAACCTTTACATCAATGTCTCCTCATGGCAGAAGGCAGCCTTTCTGCTAAATCTGGGAATTTAACAGAAAGAGGACAACCCAAGCCTCATTTCAGAGAGAAGTCTTGTATACGCTTATAAATCTACGTGACTTTCATCCCTAAGTACATTAATGTTTTGCCTCTCAATAGAATCAAGGGAAACTGATGCTTCAGAAAGATGCCCCATATTTATCCTGTGGCACTCAAAGTACCCCAGGTTGAGATGAGATGAGGAAGACTCAAGCTAAGTTCAGTTTCCCAAGATCTGTTCCACAGAAGATAAGCAGATCTCACTCCAGAACCAGTGACTGAGGGGCACTCTGGTCCCAGAACAATGGAGAATTCAAATCTGAGGTGCAGAACTGAGAAAAAATGTTAAAGTCTCTCTGGAGAGTAGAAGCCTGGGAGAAAACCAAACCAAACCCGTTCTCCCATTGCCACCCAGAGACACTGTCAACGTGTTGAGCTCATGGGGGAGGTGTAGGCTTTTCACACTGTCAAGGTCTGTGGTAAGGAAGTCAGGCAGCCTGAAACCTCTCTCTTCTAGGTCCCACAGTCCCCATTCCCCTTCCAGCTGGAAACCTGTGCTGCAACCAGAGGAAACAGAAGTGGGCAAGAACACTTAGGGGACTGGGTCCTAAGACCAAAGGCCGGTCTTGTGGTAGTAATGACAGTTTGTAGCGGGACTGTGACATCACTACATTCTACTCCTCGGTGGAGTGGTTGGGGGGGACACATGAGTGCAATGCCCAAGTTGCCGCTTTGAGACTGGGGAGGGGGGTCACAAAATTGGGAGCCAGGTCCTTGGAGACGTGACCCCAAAGAGCCCCGGGAGGTCAGGCTTGGGGCGGCAGGAGGTGAGGGCCAATTAAGGAGCAAGGAGCTCCAGGAGTCACATCCCCAAAGTCACCCTGTGGCAACTGGTGAGGGCAGGTTCTGGGGCACCCAGGTCCTTGGAGATGTGAGCTCAAGGAGCCCAGGGAGGTCGGGTTTGGGGTAGCAGGAGGTAAGGGCGGAGTATGGAGTTGGAAGCCCCAGGAGTCACCTGCTCAAAGTCACCCTGGTGTGCCGGGCAGAGCAGGGGCAGGACTTATGAGGGGGTTGGGCTGGCTGACAAGATTTTGGTGTGGGGAGCCCAGAGGCACTGGGGTGGGGGGCCCAGCCTGGTGTCCCTCAGGAGTGGCACAGACTCTGGCAGCAGTTCGGCTGTCAGAGGGGGCCTCGGGTTGGGTTGGGGTGTTGGTGCGTTTACCTGTTCCTTGGCCTCGGCCAATTTGCTCTGTCTGGTTTCTTTGGACATCATAGGATGGGTAGGGAGGTGGGGATGGGTAGGGAGGTGGGGATGGGTAGGGAGGTGGGGATGGGTAGGGAGGTGGGGATGGGTAGGGAGGTGGGGATGGGTAGGGAGGTGGGGTTGGGGCCACATCAGCATGATCCAGGTGAGGACAAGTATATACCTCCAGTCACCTCTACGTCGCTGTGTGACTGAGCCAGAGGAGGCGTAACCAGGGCTGCACTAGAATGCAGAATAGGGGTGTGGCCTTCATGCTTGAAGCCCATTGGTCAATGAGAAAGATGAAAGGAAAAGGAGGTGTGGCCAGACAGCAGCGTGTCATCAAGGACCTGTGTTGTCACAAGGAAAGCTGCCTATGCAACCGCTGTCCCCGCCCACTCCAGGAGAGGGGCGGGGCTGGCTTTCACTTTAAAAACTTTAAAACTTTATTACCTCAATTGAGGTACAAGTCCTATTAAAATGGAAATTTTATAGTGTGCTTGATGATTGATAAAGCAGACTTTATTATCCAACATTCCAATAAGATAATCACAATGTTTTCTCTTTTTTGGAAAAACTTTCTCTTATTCTCCTACATTAGCGTTTAGTTTTTTTTAAAAAAACAAACAAACAAGAAACATGTCTAATATCTTTAAAAATACAAAGCTTTGAGCCAGGCGTGATGGCTCATGCCTGTAATCCCAGCACTTTGGGAGGCTGGGGCGGGTGGATCACCCGAATTCAGGAGTTCAAGACCAGCCCGGCCAACATGATGAAATCCTGTCTCTACTAAAAATACAAAAGTAGCTGGGCATGGTGGCAGGTGCCTGTAATCCTAGCTACTTGGGAGGCTGAGGCAGGAGAATCCCTTGAACCTGTGAGGCAGAGGTTGCAGTGAGCCAAAATCATGCCACTGCACTTCAGCCTGGGCTGCTACAGAATGTGACTCTGTCTCTAAATACACACACACACACACACACACGCACAGACACACACACACACACACGCACAGACACACACACACACACACACACAAGGCTTTCCATTTAATAAGCACTCAAAGTTCTTTACAAGGTTAAAGCAAATACAGGACCCTTCTAAAGTAAGGCTAAATGCTAAGTGATGGGGGAGAGAAAAAGGACATAAATAACTCCTACTCTCATGAGTTAATCACTAAATCCGATTTTTCTAGAATCACCTGGCCTCTAAGCCCTGAAAATGAAACTGAATTTCTCACTCGATACTTGGCTATGACTTGCAATCATGAAAACCAAGAATTGTGTTATGTCACTGTGTATTGCTTGTTACCTGGGATCAAGGGTTGACTTTTTCATGATTTGCTCCATTACATGTGTGCTTCTTCTCCCAGTCCAAACTACGCTTTTTTCTAGAGTTCTACAATTTACAGTTAGTATGTAAGGGTGGCTCTCAAACATGTAGTCTCCGGACCAGGAGCACCTGGGAACTTCTTATAAATGTAAATTCTCAGGCCCCACCCTAGACATGAATGAATCAGAAACTCTGCAGTAGGGCCCAGCAATCCGTGCTGCAATAATCCCTCCAGGTGCTCAGGAACCTCTGCCATACAGCAGGTAGAAAAATGTGTTTCCTTCTGTAGGTCCAAAGCCAGGGATACTATATGTTCTGTCTCAATATGAAACAATGACATGCAATTAAAAGACATAAATCTCCTTCCTACTTCCACCCTCCAGCCAGTGTGTTTTATTTTTATGAGTTCAATAAGAAAACGTGTGGCAATCAGAGATTTCATCTAAAAAATATATCTACAGGTATCAGTTCTCATCCAGCCTGATCTCATCCAATATCATTTCTATCCTCTTACATCTAAAGTTTTAGAAAAGGATTTTCACAACGTAAGACTCAGGCGCACTAGGAGTTCTATGATAAAAGACCAAGTAGATCTGAATGTCCAAACTTACTAGAGAAGAAAAGTGGACTCATTGGCTATATTTTCAAATTGCATTCAACAGGAAATTAAAGTTTTGAATTTTTTCCACCTTCATCCTTCCAAGTTAATAGAATTAAACCAGAATACTCCATTCTTCCAAAGCCTGTAGCCAGGCAAACTTTTACTGTATTACTTCTTGCTTTTCAATGGATATAAAGCAGAGTCCTGGTAGGCACATTTTGTATACCTGCAAAGATGCAAAACTAAACAGTTCCCTCGGTTCAATATTAAAACAAAAGTCCTGTAAACCTCAGATGGTGAGTGTAATACTTCAGCACTAGCACGAAAGCCTCAAATATAAAAAGATACCAAGAACCTTGCTAGCAAACCAAAGTAAGCTCTTGGCCGGGAGCAGTAGTTCACGCCCGTACTCCCAGCATATTGGCAAGCTAAGGTGGGGTAAGTCAGGAGTTAAAGACCAGCCTGGGCAGCATAGCGAATTCATATCTCTACAAAGAAAATTTAAAAATTAGCTGGGCTTGGCGGCACACACCTGTAGTCCTAGAGCTACTTGGGAGGCTGAGGTGGGAAAATCACTTGAGCCCAGAAGTTTGAGGCTGCAGTAGCTATGATCATGCCACTGCACTCCAGTTGGGGTGACAGAGCGAGATCTAATTATTACATTCTGTCCTGCTCCTGTTTCCACTAAAATCACTAACTTAAAATGTGTTCATTCAGCAGGATAAAAATTAAGTGAAATTTGACTTTGGTGCTTTGCTAGCAAAAAATAAATAAATAAAGTGAAGTGACAAATTACTTACTGGGAGAAGATCTTTGTAACCTCAATGACAGATTAAAGGTTTGTATCCTTAGCCTATAAAGAAATCTTTAAAATTACTCAGAAAAAAAAATGAATGATTTGCAGCAGAAAATGGGCAATGGAGAAACCAGCACTTCCCACAAGAATAAAAATGGCCAATGAGCAAATGAAAAAGATTCAAAAGCACTAGAAATCAAAGAAAGGTAATGAAAACAATGAGATTTTCTGCTTAAAGACCAGCGAAGACGACAAATGGAAGGCGGAACCTGGAGCTCTGTCCCTGTTGGTGGGAGCGTAAACTCAACCAATTTTCCTATAGGATGATTTGAACATTTGTTTTAAAAATCCTAAAACTGTTTTATATTATTTTCTTCTAGAAATTCTACTTCTATGAATTCAGTGCAAAAATCCTCACTCGAGTCCATTAAAATATATATAGAAGGAAATCCACCTCTGGGGTGGCAATGATTCACTTAACATACATCCAGCTGTTGAAAGTGATGATGCCAGGATATATTTCTCCCATAGAAACATGCTTAAAATATAGTAAGTGACAAAAGACCATGTATTGTGATTCTACTTTTTAAAATGTTTACAGCATAAAAAGTGTGAAAAGCAACAAACCGGAATGTTTTGAGTGGCAAAATTAAAGATTTTTCTTTACATTTTGTCATCCAAATTATTACAAAAACAATGTGATTTCCTTTATAATCATGGAAAAGTGTTATTTTCATTTATTTATATTTACATTTCTTTTCTTTTTCTTCTTTTTTCTCCTGTATGTATCCCACATAGGCTACAGAGCTTAAATCCCTGCCTCTTGAGAGAAATCAGCCCATTTTCAGGACATGCAATACACAAAGCTGCCCCATCTTCCCTTTATTTTTATTTTTATCTTATTTATTTATTTATTTATTTATTTATTTATTTATTTATGTTGAGATGGAGTCTCACTCTGTTGCCCAGGCTGGAGTGCGGTGGCGCATCTCAGCTCACTGCAACCTCCATATCCCGAGATCAAGCGATTCCCCTGCCTCAGCCTCCCGAGTACCTGGGACTATAGGCATGCACCACCATGCCCAGCTAATTTTTGTATTTTTAGTAGAGAGGAAGTTTTACCATCTTGGACAGGCTGGTCTCGAACTCCTGACCTCAAGTGATCCGTCTGCCTTGGCCTCCCAAAGTGCTGGGATTACAGGCATGAGCCACTGTGCCTGGCCTGTCATATTATTTCTAAACATTTGAGTGACATTTCAATTAAGTGAAATTTAATTCTTACTGACCTGATCTCTTATCCTCTGTTTAATGATACCTTCCAGTTGAAAGGTGTTTCCTCTGTAATCACGGGTGCCAAAGGAAATACAACATGTATTCATTAGGTGGATATCCACTAAACCACGGATTCATGCATTGTAGTCCTTAGACCCTCAGCATCAGAAACACGTGGGAACTTGTTAGACATGCAAATTCCTGGGCCAGCCCCACACCTCCTGAATCAGAAAGTGGGGAAGGACAGCTATCTGTGCTTTAATAAGCCTTGAGATGCTCCCTGAAGTTTGAAAACTACAGAACTAGAATACATATGGTAGTAAGTGCTCATACTTTATCCAAGGTACTAGGGACTCTTCCCCGCTTTTCCATTCTCTTTTCTGTTGAAATAAAATGAGAGCTCCTTTTGACTTAATGGGTATAAGAAAGAAGGCAATGAGATGACCAGGGTTTCAAGTTAGAGTTCAAAATTTAATCAGTGGACAGTGACAGGATGCAAGCCTTCTAAACAGATTGCTGCAAGGAAGCTGATTATAATCTATACAGTAGGTATCATTAGTGTATTGATGTTAAATTTTGGGGGTGGATTAATGGTATTGTGATTATATAGGAGAAGTCCTGGTTCCTAGAAGATATCTGCGAAAGTACTTAACAGTGAAATGCTCTGATACTGCCAACTTACTTTGAAATGATTCAGGGGGAAAAAGGGCACATATACAATCTTCCATACGCAGAAGACAGAAAACAAGTGTGACAAAACATTAACTAGTGAATCCAGTTGAATAGCATACAGATGTTCACTGTATGATTTTATCAACTTTTCTGTGTTTGCAAGTTTTCAAAATAAAAGTTGAGGGAAAGAAACATCACCCCAAATCTTTCTATGAAATGGGACCACAGAAAAAGCAGAGAAGTGAACACTTTGCAGAAAAGAGCACTGCACCCATCCGGACAGCATGGTCAAAGTGCAGGCTCTCCTCCAGGAGGCTCTTCTCTGGTCTCTTCTGTGCTGTCACTTCCCCCACATGCAGCCAAGGCTTTTTTCTAACAACTCTTTTTCTAAAGATGTAATTTTTGTCATTCATCTAAGAAAGAGAAGAAAAGAATTAGTATACATTTAGAAAATAAAATTACACTTACATTTGTGAAAAAGCAAAAAATACTTTGAAAAGTGGGGAAGCGAGAAATGTACTGTTCTACAATTCTGTTCTGTTCTTACCATCTTTTTATTCTGCCAATGACTTCCTATTCCTGCTGTGTATGGTGGGGTGAGCTGCAAATGATTTCTTTTCCTCATTGATTTAAAATGTCATGTTTATAATGTACCAAACTCCCCCAGAAGCATTTGGGTTTATTTCTGGGCTCTATTCTATTCAAGTAATCTATCTGTTCACAAGCCACTATCAATTTTGATTATTGGAGCATCCTAAAGTTAAGTAATTGTTGTTTTTGTTTTTGAGATGCAGTCTCTCACTCTGCCGCCCAGCTGGACTGCAGTGGCGTGATCTAGGCTCACTGCAAGCTCCACCTCCCGGGTTCATGGCATTCTCCTGCCTCAGCCTCCCGAGTAGCTGGGACTACAGGCACCTGCCACCACGCCTGGCTAATTTTTTGTATGTTTAGTGGAGATGGGGTTTCACCTTGTTAGCCAGGATGGTCTCGATCTCCTGACCTCGTGATCCGCCTGCCTCGGCCTCCCAAAGTGCTGGGATTACAGGCGTGAGCCACCGCGCCTGGCCCTGAATTTGCTTGAGTTTTTAGCTCTCTCACCCATTTCAGGATTGTCACCACCCATATCTGACACGTCCTCCTCCTCCTCTAAATCTTCTAGGTCCTCCTGGCCATCAGCCTCTGTTTCTGAACCAGCCTCTTCATGCTCCTGTTCTTCACTCTCTGGGAGAAGACTGATATCTTCATCTTTCTTTCACTAACCGCATTCTGGAAGCACTGTAAAATTGCTTCATTTTGCAATTCCAGTTGTTGCAAAGTCTGCTCATCATCAAAACTTTCTATCACAAGTTTTTGTAAAGAGCTGCCATGGATTCTACCATTCTCTACTGTTTTATTAAAGTCATAAAGCACTTTCGTTAAAGAAGTGAACTTTGGTTCCAATCCAGCTTGAAACCTATTGGGAGGAATTAAATGAGATTTAGAATTATAGATAATAATTTCACAGCCCACTTAATTAAAAGAAAAATAAAAACCTCAACTCTTCTGTAAAATCAAATTTGAATAAAGTGTAAGTATAGATTCTGGCCCCAACAATATATAAGCTGATGAGCCACAATGATATATAAAACCTGTCAACCAAGTATTTGTGAATCAGCTGTATAGATTGTTGGCAGGAAAAGCATTACAAATCTATTTGCTTGGAGATGTATAGAGAATTAGCCTTAAATTTTCTACTCTGCTACATTATATACCACTCCATTCATTCATTCCCTTATTCACTCAATGATCAACATTTGCTTTGGCTTACAGTGGTCAAGGAAAACCTCTCCTAGATGTGACATCTGAGGTGAAACTTACAGACAAGTATAGTCTTATAAAGATTGGGAAACATGTATTCCAGGCAGAAGAAACAGCAAGAACAAATTCTCTAAGATGCAATTGAGCTTGGTAAGCCTGAGGAATAAAAAAGTGAGCATGGCTATAGCGTGAAGGAGGCAGAAGGTGAAGTCGGAGAGACTGATGGGAGCCAAATTCTGCAGGGCTCAAGGGTAAGAGTTTGCCGTTTTAAGTGTAATAAGAAAATGTGAGAAGATTTTAAGCAGAAGGATGAAATGATGATTTATACGAAGGAAGAAGAAAGGGAGGAAGGAGGAGGAGGAAAGTAGAGTGATTAGAAGGTTGATGCAGCATTCCAGGCAAAGGATGATGGTGATTTAAGCTGGAGTTAGAGCAGTGAATATGCTGAGTACAGTTTGGAGGTAGAACTGACAGGATTGCTAAGGAATTAGATACAGAATAGAGAAAAGTGAAGACATCAAAATAGCAGCCTAGTTTTATGTGCGAGCAACTGGAGAGACAGAACTGCCATTTACTGCGATAGGCAAGGCTTGAGTGGTGGAGCAAGGGGAAAGGACTTCAGCGGATGGCAGAGTGTAGGTGGGTAGAAACAACATTCTACTGTATTTTGGACACGGTGAATTTGTGATGCTGAGAGGACCAAAATTTAAAAAATTGTTAAAAGCCGTACGGTGCGGATATCCCAGTTGTGCGCTACTGAATTCCAACTAAGCTCAGTCTGGAGTTGCTTGTGAGCAAGGAACTCAAGGGAGAGGTTGGAGTTTGAAACATAAATGAGTCATAATTTTATAGGTCATATTTGAAGTTCTTCAACAAAATACACATAAAACGTTTGTGTTGGGAAGAGACATGAAAGTTCTAATTCTCAAGAAGCTTAGTGGGGTAGACAGACAAGTGACAAGTTTGTGCTTTCAATAAAGTATGATGGCAGGTAAACACTGAGTGCTTTAGGAGCACAGGCGGAAGGAGAAACCAACACAGTTGTGTGTAGGGGGATGGGGGCCGTAATAAGCCTCAAGGGGAGCTTATAGGCGTGAATAACTGAGGTTAGGTTGATTTCAATAACATTCAACTGAGAGATCCATACTGTAAAAGTTTTAACAATTTTTAAAATTTTGATAGCCTAGGTCCTCTGAAATGTGGGGAAAAGTGATTTACATTTCCCCTTACCTTTCCCCAGCTCCACAATTTGCCAGGGGTCTGCAACCCGTGTCCACGTGCGACCGCAGTCGCACCCGAGCCCGGGATCTGTGCACTTACGTGAGGATGCACTCGGGCCAGCCAGTGGCTTTGCCCACCTCCCTCAGACACCGCTCCAGGGTCCGTCAGCGCCAGGCCCATGGGCCATGGCTGTCTGCAACTCCCGACACAAGCTGCAAGGCAAGAGAGCCGCTGGGAAACTGCACCGCAAGGATGCTGGCATTGGAACAGGAATTAAAAGAAATGAAAAAATGTGTAAGCAAAAACTCAGCTGTATGTAAAAAAAACCCAATTCCCCCTGAGAATGAGAAAGAGCCTTAGTCCTTTAAAAAAACTACCTGTTTTCCTATGGCTAGTGAGCCTTATCGCTCCCTTCCCAGGCATTATCAAAACCCTAATTCCCTAACTGTGCAACTGCAAGGTCACTAAACAAACAAATGCAAGTCACAAAACATATTTTTCCTAAAAACGTAAAAAAAAAAAAAACATAATGCGTGCTTCAATTAAATAACTCTCTGTTTCTCGCTTCTGTAATATGCTTCCCCCTGCACAGATCTACCCGGGCTCCACAAAATGCTAAAAGATAACTCTTTATTCAGCTCCACGCTTTGATCTGCCTGGCGTGGTGGCTCACTCTTGTGATCCCAGGACTTTGGACGGCCAAGTAGGGTGGATCGCTTGTGCCTTGGAGTTCCAGACAGGCCTGGGCAACATGGTGAAACCTGGTCTTTTTGTTTTGTGTTGTTTTGAGACGGAGTTTCGCTCTTGTTGCCCAGGCTGGAATGCAGTGGCTGGGTCTCTGCTTGCCGCGACTTCCGCCTCCCGGGTTTCGGTCGTTGTCCTGCATCAGCCTCCAGAGTGGCTGGGATTGCAGGCATAAGCCACCAAGCCCGGCTAATTTTGTATTTTTTTTTTATTTTTATTTTGGTACAGATGGGGTTTCTCCCTGTTGGTCAGGCTGGTCTCAAACTCCCGACCTCAGGTGATCCACCTGCCTAGGCCTCCCGAGGTGCTAGGATTGCAGGCTTGAGCCACCGCTCCCGGCCCAACTTATTAATCAGAAAGGAATAGATCGTCCTGGTGTGGTGGCTCACGCTTGTGATCCCAGTACTTCGGATGGCCCAGCGCGGGGTATCCCTTGAGCCTAGGAGTTCCAGACCTGCCTGGGCAACATGGTGAAACCCGGTCTCTCTCTCTCTCTCTCTTTCTTTTTTGAGGCGGAGTTTCGCTCTTGTTGCCCAGGGTGGAGTGCAGTGGCTGGGTCTCCGCTCGCAGCGACTTCTGCCTCCAGGGTTTTAGTAGTTCTCCTGCCTCAGTCTCCGGAGTGGCTGGGATTGCAGGCCTGACCAACATTGCTCTGCTAATTTTTTTTTATTTGTTTTTGGTAGAGACGGGGTTTCTCCATGCTGGGCAAGCTGATCTCAAACTCCAGACCTCAGGTTATCCGCCCACCTCGGCCTCCGGGGATGCTGGAATTGCAGGCGTGAGCCAGCGCACACACCCAATTTATTTTTATTTCATTTTTTATTTTTATATATATATACTTTTGAGACGGAGTCTCACTTTGTCACCCAGGCTGGAGTGCAGTGGTGCACTGTCTCGGCTCACTGCAACCTCTGCCTCCCAGGTTCAAGCGATTCTCCTGCCTCAGCCGCCTGAGTAGCTGAGATTACAGGCACCCGCTAGCACACCCATCTAATTTTTTTTTTTTTTTTTTTTTTTTTTTTTGTATTTTTAGTAGAGATGGGTTTTCATCATGTTGGCCAGGCTGGTCTCGAACTCCGGACCTCAGGTAAACCCACCTCGGCCTCCCAAAGTGCTGGGATGACAGGAAGGATCGGCCTGGCGTGGTGGCTCACGCTTTTGATCCCAGGAGTTTGGACGGGCCGAGCGTGGCGGATCCCTTGATCCTAGGAGTTCTAGACCAGCCTGGGCAACATGGTGAAAACCGGTCTCTCTCTCTCTCTCTTTTTTTTTTTTGAGGCGTAGTTTCCCTCTTGTTGCAGGGCTGGAGTGCAGTGGTGCGGTGTCGGCTCCCCGCGGCCTCTGCCTCTGGGTTTGGGTGGTTCTCCTGCCTCAGCCTCCGAGTGACTGGGATTGCAGGCGGGAGCCACCATGCCCAGCTCTTTTTTTTTTTTTTTTTTTTTTTTCTGGTAGAGACAGGTCTCTCCATGTTGGTCAGGCTGGTCTCAAACTCCCGATCTCAGGTGATCCGCCCGCCACGGCCTCCCGGGGTGCTGGGACTGCAGGCGTGAGCCACCGCTCCCGGCCCAATTTATTAATCAGAAAGAAATAGATCGGCCTGGCGTGGTGGCTCACGCTTTTGATCCCAGGACTTTGGACAACCGAGCGTGGGGAATTGCTTGAGCCTAAGAGTTCCAGACCTGCCTGGGCAACATGGTGAAAATCTGTCTCTTATTATTATTTTTTTTTTTTTTGAGGCGGAGTTTCCTTCTTGTTGCCCAGGCTGGAGTGCAGTGGCTGGGTCTCCGCTCGCGGCAAATTCTGCATCCCGGGTTTTGGTGGTTCTCCTGCCTCAGCCTCCTGAGTAGCTGGGATTACAGGCGCCTGCCGCCACACCCGGCTAATTTTTTTTTTTGTATTTTTAGTAGAGACGGGTTTTCATCATGTTGGCCAGGCTGGTCTCAAATTCCTGACCTCCGGTGATCCACCCACCTCCGCCTCCCCAAGTGCTGGGATGACAGGCGTGATCGGCCTGGCGTGGTGGTTCACGCTTTTGATTCCAGGACTTTGGACTGGCCAAGCGTGGGGGATTGCTTGAGCCTAGGAGTTCCAGACCGGCCTGGGCAACATGGTTAAACCCAGTCTTTTTTTAAATTCCTTTATTATTATTATTATTATTTTTTTTTTTGAGACGGAGTCTCTCTGTCGCCCAGGCTGGAGTGCAGTGGCGCTATCTCGGCTCACTGCAGCCTCTGCCTCCCAGGGTCAAGGGATTCTCCTGCCTCAGCCTCCTGAGTAGCTGGGATTACAGGCGCCCACCACCACACCCGGCTAATTATTTTTTATTTTTTAGTAGATCGTGGTAACTGCCTTAAAATGATGATTGTTCAGAAAGTCAGTTTAATTTAGATACTAAGGATATTGAGGTTATGTAACATTTGAGCAAGTTCTAAAAAAAAGAGAAATAGTATATTTAATTGCTAATAAAGTATTGTCAACTCACAAATATATTCACATAGCATACATTTCAAGAGCAGAATAACCATGAATATAAAAGGAATTAGCAAAAACGAAACAAAAAAGACATGAAGAAATAAAAACAGATGGAACAAATAGCACAAAATACGATGAAAGTTATAAAAGAAACTATGCCAACAATCACAATAAATGTAAATAGACTGAATAATTAAGAGAAAATGACTATAAAACAGAATTAGGGCACGCGTGGTGGCTAATGCCTGTAATCCCAGCACTTTGGGAGGATGAGGCAGGCGGAGGGATCACAAGGTCAGGAGTTCGAGAGCAGCCTGACCAACATGGTGAAACCCCATCTCTGCTAATACAA
Source organism: Homo sapiens (assembly GCF_000001405.40). Lineage (NCBI taxonomy): Eukaryota > Metazoa > Chordata > Mammalia > Primates > Hominidae > Homo > Homo sapiens. Next base: position 4,042,555 of record NW_021160017.1, read on the forward strand.
AAATTAGCCGGCGTGGTGGTGAACATCTGTAATCCCAGTTACTCAGGAGGCTGAGGCAGGAGAATCGCTTGAATCCAGGAGGCAGAGGTTGCAGTGCCGAGATCACACCATTACACTCCAGCCTGGGCAACAGAGCAAGACTCCGTATCAAAAAAAAAAAAAACACAAAAAAAAACACAAAAAACAGAAAATAAACAGTATGAAAAGACATCTAAAACATAAAGTCACAGAAAGACTGAGAGAGATTGAAAAAAGATACACCTGTCATATGTACCTAACCCAAAGAAGGGTTGGAAGCTATATTATTATCAGATAAAATAGGCTTTGGGCAAAAAGCAATATGGGAGATTTTTTAAGGCCACAATATAATGATAAAAATTCTAATAAACCAAGGGAGAAGGTAATCTAAAATGTTAATGTATCTAATAACTAGCACTCAAAATACATGAAAGCAAAATATGACAAAATTGCAACCCTCAGAGGGCAATTTAAATACATATCTCAGTATCTGATAAAAGAGACAAAAAACAATCAGCATAGACATAGAAGATTTACATCTCTCTAGAAAATTAACAAGCTTGACCTAATGTACAGAAAAAACATATCTCTCCAAAGTGACAGCATTCACCCCCCCAAGTACATATGTACTGAGCCATAAGGAAAATCTCAACAAATTCCAAAGAAGCGGAATCATGCACCCATCTTTCTCTCTAACCATAATCTCATTAAACTAAAAACAATAATAAAAAGATAAAGTAAAAAGCCAGAAAGGCAGATGCTAAATGAGAAAGTGACAGAAAAGTTACAGATTTTGTTAAGCATACAAAGCTTCTATGGGGTAAAGCAGTCAAAGGGATATGCAAATTTACACAGAAATCCAACCGATATAAATCCTTGAAAGATACTACATACAGATATTTCATCAGTTCTCACATGCCAAACCCAGCAAAGCCAAACTTTGGAGCCTCCCCTGCGAGCAGACCTGCCACAGGAGGAGAGGCAGCACAAACCTCCCTTTGCAGTGAAAATGCCACATTGTGTGTGCTTCTTACCCCATCACCTCTTTGGAAGTGGCCCCACTCAGCGCTAGCTGAGAATCGCTTCCCTCATACCACTCTCAGTAGTTCACCCCAAGACACACGGGACAACTCTGTACCTGGTAAGTCATTGTGAATCCAATTAATAATGGCATTCAGAAAGTTAGGAATCTTTGAATTATTAGATTCATAGTGATATTCAAAAGAAAGAAAACGACATCATTTCTGTTCCACGCATGTTGCCCACATTCACTGCGTAAAAGGCAAAGGGAACTGTGAGTACCCACAAAGAACCTGATATTGACGGCACATACATTTCTTCATTAGGAAGAATAAATTTAGACTGTAACAATTTAAAAAACCAGAAAATACAACTGTACATTTTAGCTCTTATTAAAATCCAAGAGGTTTAACTTATTTGCTCCTTGTTTAGGTAATTAGTGTCTAAAACATTTCAAAGATAACATATATAGTGGCTATGATTTCTAGTACTTTTTAAAAATTCAAGCCCAGTCTCTTCTAATTAAATGTATAAATGATTTATCTCTGTCTTTCTTAAAAAGAACCAAGAGCCCCAATTAAAAAGTAAAACTTAAATTTCCTCTTAAAAAATTGTTACGTCAAAATTATCTAATAAACCATAGTTCAGAAAATAATTTCTGAATTAAGAAAATATGAAGAATAAAACCAACAGTTTATGTGCTGAATTTCACATTTTTATTTTTTATTATTTTTAAAATTTTGTTTTAAGTTCTAGGGTACATGTGCAGGAGTGTTACGTAGGGAAACGTGTGCCATGGTGGTTTGGTCCACCTATCAACTCATCACCTCAGTGTTAAGCCCAGCACGCATTAGCTATTTTTCCTGATGCTCCTCCCCCACCCGCCCTGACAGGCCCCAGTATGTGTTGTTTCCCTTCCTGTGTCCATGTGTTCTCACTGAACCTCACATTTTTAAATACAGCATATGCCAGGTGTCATTTCAGTACCCATAATTATACATAGTATAATTATACATAGTATATGTATATGTGTAAATATATGTATATGTGTACATATATGTATGTAATATGTGTATGTAAATATTATGTAAATATGTATGTATGTAAGTATATATGTAAATATGTATGTGAATGTATGTAAATATATACACATGTAAATATGTATGTAAAAATATGTACGTAAATATATGTATGTAAATATAGGTATATATAAATGTAAAATATGTAAATATTTGTAAATGTAAAATATGTAAATGTAAAATAAATGTAGAATGTCAAATGTAAATGTAAAATGTAAAATAAATGTAAAATGTAAAATAAATGTAAAATGTAAATGTAAAATATGTAAATATATGTATATGTGTAAATATATATGTGTAAATATATATGTATATGTGTAAATATATATGTGTAAATATATATGTATATGTGTAATATATATGTATATGTGTAAATATATATGTATATATAACACAGCATACAGCATATGCCAGGTGTCATTTCAGTACCCATAATTATACATAGTATAATTATACATAGTATAATTAGACTACTATGTTAGCTAAAAAATGTTGATTAGATACAAATGTATAAATTTATCTTCTCTAAACGTGGAAATTCTCTAGAGGCTATTTCCAGCTTCTGTGTGGATTGTAGAGCAGGCTGCTACCTGTACCCCAAAAATGAACACCTTAAAAAAAAGACAAGTTTCTCAGCCTCCCTATTGCACACACATATGAAAAATATGTTAAATTCAACGCCAAATATTCCTGAGATCAACACAGCAGTGATCCCAAAGAGAAAATTTCTCTTTGCTAATGGGCACAAACTTGAAGGGCAAAGCAGTGGAAGGGTAAGTCTGCAGACTCGGGTGGGGCTCAAGTCAGAATCACGTGGAAGATCATTGCCACATGTTTTTGTTTTTTTAAATAGCAAACACCACCAAGTGGAGCCCGCCGGGTTTAGTAGATATTAAACCTCTAAGGAGTGGCACATCCGAGACTGAAATTCCCATCTTTTGATTCCCAGCTCAAGGTCTCTGAAATGCCAGCACCAGCTGTGAAATTGTTCTTCTGCATTTTCATGGAGACCTTTTCTTCTATACTGCCATACTCTTTTTTTTGGAACAGTTATACCTGATCTTCCTATTTTTGTGTGTGTTCCACCGAAAGTTTTTCACTCTAAATACTTCCCTCTTTCCAACTGAGCATTTACATCTGTAACAAGGACAAAAACATCTAACATCTCTCTCACCCTTGGTTTGTGTTTTGTTTTGTTTGTTTTTGAGACAGGGTCTTGCTCTGTCACCCAGGCTGGAGTGCAGTGGCGTGATCACCGTTCACTGCAGCCTCGAGCTCCTGAGCTGAAGCAATTTTCCCACCTCAACCTCTGAGTAGCTGAGACTATAGGTGTGTGCCACCACGCCTGGCTAATATGTGTACTTTTTGTAGAGATGAGTTTTTGCCATGTTGCCCAGGCTGGTATTGAACTCCTGGCTTAAGTGATCCTCCTGCCTAGGCTTCCCAAAGTGCTGGAAGGAATTACAGGTATGAGCCACCGTGCCTGGCCTCACCATTGTTAAAATTATGGAAATCGTGTTTGCAAAACAGGTTGGCCTGTTTGGAAAAGGGTGTCATAATTTCTCAGGTAACTCCAAAAAGAGAAAGCTACGAAAATTACTTTAATACATTCATTACAGTCTCAGTATAAGATTATAGCTTCCTCTCCCAAAGCGTAACCACAACCTGACGCAGGATGAGTTGGTTTGAAAATACCGCATACAATATCCTCTTGAGTAGAATCATAATTTAGAACTCTAAAATTGACCAGAAACAAAACTGTCCAAGTTTGTTTAACGTAATGTGTTTCAACTTATTTGACTAGAAAACCCTTCATTCGTGCAACACTTATAAATATCCCATGGCAAATCTAGTTTTCTATGAATAATGAACGAAACATTTATAATCTAAAACTAAAATTGTCTTCTAAGCAGAGATCTACGTATCAATAAAATGAAGAAATAAAATTTCCATACTGTTTTCTTCCCAATACAAGGATTAGAAGGAAAGGGAAAAGAGTAACAGCGAGAATCAATAGCCCATGTCTGGCCAGGCTCCATGGCTCAATCACACCTGTAATCCCAGCAATTTCAGAAGCTGAGGCGGGAGGATCACTGGCCTTTAGTGATCCTTGAATGAAACTCCATCTCTAAAAAATTAAAAATATTAGCTTAGAGAATCATTTGGGCCCAGGAGTTTGAGGCTGTATTGAACTATGACTATGCTACTGCATTGCAGCCTGGGCAACAGGCTGCTTAAACCTGGAGGGGCAGAGCTTGCAGTGAGCCGAGATCGCGCCACTGCACTCCAGCCTGGGCAAAGGAGCCAGACTCCGTGGCAAAAAAAAAAAGAGATTCTATTGACAATAGCAACAAAACCCTGAGAATATATCTAGCAAAGTATACACAAGGCCTTTCATGAAGAGTATTGCCATAGCCTGAATGTGTCTCCCAAAATTCATGTATTAAAACTTAATTCCCAAGATGATAGTACTAAGAAGTGGGGCCTTTAAGAAGTGATTAAGACATAAGGGTGAGCCCTCATGCATGAGATTAGTGCCTTCCTTATAAAAGGGCTTGTGGGTGGTGGTAAATCTGTCCCTTCTGCCTCATGAGAACATAGCATTTGCCTGCTCCAGAGGAAGCAGCATTCAACGTACCATCTTGGAAGCAGAGACCAGGCCCTCACTAGACACTGTGTCTGCTGGAGTCTTGATCTTGTTCTTCCCAACCTCCAGAACTGAGAAAATAAACTTCTGCTCTGTGTAAATTACCCAGTCTCAGGTGTTTTGTTATGGCACTATGAAGGGACTAAGACAAATATAAAAATTACCCAGGGACTTAAAGGAAGAACTGACTAAACTGAAATATATGCCATATATATTATGAATCGTAGGACTCAATGCTATAAACATACTACTTCTCAACAAATTAATCTATAAATTCAAGAAATTCCTACACAAATCCCAATAGAATTTTTTTGTGGAACTCGAGAGGCTGATCCTAAAATTCATACAGTCACTTGAGGGGCCAAGAATAGTGTAACAGGGCTGGCGGGGCTGGTGGCTCACACCTGTAGTCCCAGTACTTTGGGAAGTCAAGACTGGAGGATGGTTTGAACCCAGGAGTTCAAGACCAGCCTAGGCAACATAGCAAGATGTTGTCTCAAAATATTAAAAATAAATAAATAAATAAATAAAAAGAAGGTTAAGTATGCACATTTTGTTGTGAATTTCAATTTTATAGTGATTTTTTTTTTTTTTTTTGAGACAGGGTCTTGCTCTGTCACCCAGGCTGGAGTGCAGTGGTGCCATCTTGGTTCACTGCAACCTCTGCGTGGGCTCAAGCAATCCTCCCGCCTCACTCTCTGGAGTAGCTGGGACCACAGTTATGTGCCACCACACCTGACTAATTTTTATATATTTTTTTTGTAGAGACGGGGTTTTTCCATGTTGCCCAGGTTGTTCTCAAACTCATCCACCTGCCTTGGCCTCCGTAAGTGAGATCACAGACATGGGCCACTGTGCCCGGTCTAGTGCGCTTTTTTTTTTTTTTTAACCAAACAAACGATGAAGTCTCAGGAGTAAAAGTTGATACACAAGTAAATTTTATTGGTAATGTTTTTGTGTGGTCTTTAAGCAGAGGGAAAATTAGTCTGCATTATGGTGTATCCAGACTAAATAACTGATATTAAAATGAAATTATCCTTAGGATTTGCAATCTTAGAGAAAACTTTTTCATTTTTTTTGAGTTACAAATTATCTTCACTTACATTTGAGAACAGTGAGTCACAGAGGTATCTTACTCAAGATCTTGCAAGTGTTTGGTTTGAACCCAATCTTTTCACTCTGCAGAACTCAGAGTCACTCTTATTTGGAAACTTTTTAACTGATGTGGATCCTCTAATATGGGCTTCCTATTATTCATTCCGTATTAGTCAAAAGTTTTGCAAGCAGGCAGAATTCATTTTGCCAATTACGGGATTTTCCCTCAGTTGCAGTCAAGGTTCATAAAACTATAACCATTTATCTTTAATTATAAATTTTGTTTTTGAGACAAAGTCTTGCTCTGTTGCTCAGACTGGGATCCAGTGGCACAGTAACAGCCCATTGCAGCTTTGAACTCCTGGGCTCAAGGGATCCTCCGCCTCAGCCTCCCAAGTATCTGGGACTACAAGTGCATGCCATCATCCCTGGCTAATTTTGTTAAAAAAAAAAAAATTGTAGAGATAGGGTCTTGCTTCGTTGCCCAGGCTGGTCTCAAACTCCTGGCCTCAAGCAAGCCTTCAGCCTTGGTCTCCCAAAGTGCTGAGATTACAGGTGTCAGCCATTGCACCTGGCCAAAACTGTAACTATATATACACACACACATAACTACATATAGATGTGTGTGTGTATGTATGTGTGTGTGTATATATATTTTTATATATAAATAGATATATCTGAAAGGCATCAAAAGAAAAAAGCTGTAACTTTTAGTCTTGATCTTGATAGTGACTTGATTAGGCTATCTGTTTAACATCAAAGATGCAAATTAATGCTTTCTTTGGGTGAGCATATTAAAAATGCAGAAAATATTGGAGTAGTTTTTTATGTTAAATAAATTGTATTCTGTGTATTTAAGGTATACAACATGATTTTGTGGGATGCATATAGATGGTTAAAAAAATTACTACAGTGAAGCAAATTAACGTATCCTTCAACTCAGATAGTTACCCGTTTTCTTTTTGTTTGGTGGCAAGAGGAGCTTAAAATCTCATTTAGCGTGAATCCCAATACAGCACAATTTTATTACCTATATTTCTCGCGTTGTACATTATATTTCTAGGCTTGTTCATCCTACATATCTGCTACTGTGTAACCTCTGAGCTATGTCCACCCATTTTCTCTCTTGCCCCCCAAGTAATTTCCTAAAGTGTCTCATATAAAAAGGCAGTAGCTTTCAGCTTAAACTTTTTCTCTGTATATATTTAAGTCAATTTCTTTGAGGTATGTTTTTCTCTCCAGAATAGTTAGATGTAGGCATACCACTTTAATGTTGACACTAGTTCACCTAGAACTTATCTTCTGCAAATCTGTCTCTATGTCCATCTCTGTCTCCATCTTTGTCTCTATCTTTATCTCTGTCTATCTATCTATCCATCCATCCATCCATCCATCCATCTATCTATCTATCCATCTATCTGTCTATCTAACTAAAGCAAATTCATGCCCTTCTCCTATTTATGGAATCGAGACCATAAACAGAGGTGAGGGAAAGAATTTGGCAGGAATTGCGATGTGTATTACCTGTGGCATAAGGAAACTTTACAGAACTAGGGTCAAAAGTATACTTTCTAGTTCTTTCCCATGGCTTTTCACTTTGATGTAGTCCTTATCAGGCAACCGAGGTTTTATATAAGTCCCCTGATTCTTAGAACATGAAGGTGTAGTATTCAAGTTTGGTCCCTTGAAACCACAATTTTTGTTAAAAAAAAATTAAGAAAATTGTATGATTTCCTCAGCAAATACATATTGATCATCTGTTATACAGCCATGAGAAGTGGTTCTGTTGAACACGTTTATTTCATCAGATCCCAATTCTAAACCAGGCATAGAATGGAAACCATGAAGGTAGGATGAAATAACTTCTGAATGTTTGAAAATAGTGTACTTAAAAATAAATATCAGGTGTTTTTGTTTTGTTTTTTGTTTTTTGTTTTTGAGACAGGGTCTCACTCTGTCACCCAGGCTGGAGTGTGGTGGTGCCATCTCACCTCATTGCAGCCTTGACCTCCCAGGCTCGGGTGATCTCCCACCTCAGCCTCCCAAGTAGCTGGGACTACAGGCACATGCCACCATGCCCAGCTAATTTTTTGTATTTTTTGTAGAGACAGGGTTTCACCATGTTGCCCAAGCTGGTCTAGAACTCCTGGGCTTAAGCGATCTTCCCACCTCAGCCTCCCAAAGTGCCAGGATTACAGGCATGAGCCACCATGCCTGGCTGAAAATACCAGGTTTTTAAGTATCAGCACTGCCTCTTCAATCTTTTCTATTACTATGTTGTGCTCAGTGGTATTTTTTATTGAATTAGAGCAGTGCTGTTCAATGGAACCTTCTTTGAGGATGGAAATCTTTTATGTCTCTGCTGTGTGGGTATGGTATTAGCTGGGTATGGGGCACCTGCCTATAGTCCCAGCTACTCAAGAGGCTGAGGTGGGAGGATCACTTGAGCCCAGGAGGCCGAGTCTGCAGGTTCGTACCACTGCAATTCAGCCTGTGTGACAGAATGAGACTCAGTCTCAGAATAAAATGAAATAAGGAAATAAAAATGTAATTGTTGAAATAAGAAACTAGTGGATGGATTAGACACGAGAAGAAAGAATTAATTGTTTAGGCGATTCTCTCCAAAAAGTAAGTCAGCATGTCACACAGAGAGACATGAGGATAGATGATAGGGCAGAAGTTGGTGGGCTTGGAGGGGAGAGGAAGATCAGAATGAGGTCCAAAATGTGTCTTAGTGAAATCCCAGGAGGAGATATTAAAATTATATTAGAAAGTGAAAGAAATAGAAGTTTTATTTATTTATTTATTTATTTTGAGAAGGAGTCTCGCTCTGTAGCCCAGGCTCGAGTGCAGTGGCACGATCTGAGCTCACTGCAAGCTCCACCTCCTGGGTTCACGCCATTCTCCTGCCTCAGCTTCCCAAGTAGCTGGGACTACAGGCACCCACCACCACGCCTGGCTAATTTTTTGTATTTTTAGTAGAGATGTGGTTTCACCTTTTTAGTCAGGATGGTCTCAATCTCCTGACCTCATGATCCACCAGCCTCAGGCTCCTAAAGTGCTGGAATTATACGCATAAGCCACTGCACCCCGCCCAAAAGCTTTGTGTTTTTACAAATATTACACATGTTTCTTGTTTAAGAAAAAAAGTCTTCACAATAACGTAGGAGAATAAGAGAAACATTTTTCCAAAAAAGAGAAGTCATTGTGATTATTTTATCTTATTGGAATGTTGGATAATATAGTCTGCTTCAGTAATCATCAAGCATGCTATGGATTTTCCATTTTCATAGGATCTGTATCTCGGTTAAGGTAATACTGGTAATTTTTGTACTCTATGAAAAATATAGGCCAAAATCATAGACCTTGCATAGAAGCTGGATCATGAAGACAGCTCTGGAGGAACACACAGGTACACACACACAGACACACATATATATAAAGTATACACATATATATATTTTAAAAGCTTTTAAAGCAAAAGCCGGCCCTGCCCCTCTCCCAGAGTTGGCGGCCTCTCCCCTCTCTTAGAGTGGGTGGGGACAGTGGTTGCATGGGCAGCTTTCCTTGTGAGCCAAAGGTCCCTCTGGACACATGATGCCTGGCCACGCCCCCTTTCCCTTTCATCTTTCTCATTAACCAATGGGCTTGGAGCATTAAGGCCACGCCCCTATTCTGCCTTCTACTGCATCCCTGGTTACGCCTCCTCTGGCTCAGTCGCACAGCTACCTGGTAGGTGACTGGAGGTGTTGATCAGTGCTTGGTGGGATTTTGCTGATGTGGCCCCAAGCCCGCCTCCCTCCCCACCCTGCGATGGCAGAAGAAACTCGACAAAGTAAATTGGCAGCAGCCAAGAGAAAGGTAAAAACACACCAGGTCACGGACCCCCAACCCAGCCATAGATCCTCTCCAACGACAAGACTGCTGCCAGAGTCCATACCACTCCCGAGGTTCACCGGACTGGGACCCCCACACCGGTGCCTCTGGGCTACCCCCACCAAAGTTTTGCCAGTCAGCCCCACCCCTTCAGCAAGCAGCCCAGTCTCTGCCCTCACCAATCACCCCAGGGTGACTTTGGGCAGGTGAATCCTGGGGCTCCCCGCTCCTTTACTGGGCCCTCATCTCCTGCCACCCCAAGCTTGACCTCCCAGGGCTTTTTGGGCTCACATCTCCAAGGACCTGGGTCCCACAGCCCCAGACCCTACCCTCACCAGTCATCCCTGGGTGACTTTAGGCTGGTGAATCCTGGGGCTCCCTGCTGCTGACTCTTCCCTTCCCTCCTGCTGCCTCAAGGTGGACCTCCCTAGGCTGTGTGCACTGGCGTCTCCAAGGACCTGGGTCCCAGCTCTGTTTTTCCCTCCCCTATCATGGAGCGGTGACTCGGACATCATGCTGATGTGGTCCCTCCCCCTCACCAGGAAGAGTGGAATGTAGTGATGTCACGGTCCATCCAGTAACTGTCATTACTGCAAGACTGGCCTTTGATCTTATGACCCAGTCCCCTAAGCATTGCCACCCCATTTCTGGTTCCTCTTGTCACAGCACAAATTTCCAGCTGGAAGGGGAATGGAGATTGGGACCTAGGAGCAAGAGGTTTCAGGCTGCCTCACTCCCTTAACATAAACATTGACAGCGGGAAAAGCCTACACTTCCCCTGTGAGCTCAAAACATTGACAGTACCTCTGGATGGCAACTGGAGAATGGGTTTGACTTGGTTTGGTTTTCTCCCAGGCTTCTACTTTCCAGAGAGATTTTAACAAATTTTTTGTGAGTTCTCCACCTCACATTCTAATTCTCCATGGTTCTGGGACCAGACTGCCCTTCAGTCAGTGGTCTGTGAAGTGAGATTTGCTCATCTTCTGTGGAATAGATCTTGGGAAACTGAACTTGACAGCTTGAATCTTCCTCATATTATGTAAACCTGGGGTACTTTGAGTGCCACAGGATACATATGGGACATCTTTCTGAAGCATCAGTTTCCATTGATTCTCTTGAGATCAAGAGAAAAAACATTAATGTACTTAGGGATGACAGTCACATAGGTTTCTAAGAGTATACCAGACCTCTCTCTGAAATGAGGCTTGGGTTGTCCTCTTTCTGATAAATTCCCAGATTTAACAGAAAGGCTGCCTTCTGCCATGAGGATACATTGATATAAGAGTTTGAGAGGTACTGGTGCACTTCTTCACACTAACAGACGTGTGAGGATGTATGACTCTAAACCACATGGCATACAGTTCCTGCCTACTTAATGTTTACTTTTCTACCTCTGCCTCTGGTTTTGGTCCCTGGCAGCTGCTGATTCTTGGTAATACCCCAGAGTTTGGAGTCAGAAGACTGAGTTTCAAAGTTCGTCTGTCGCCTTTTTCTTTTCTTCTTTTTTTTTCTAGCCATGATATCAATCTCTTTGAGTCACTAAATGATTGTGACAACACCTTGTACAGTTGTTGGTATCATTAAATCAGATGGTGTATAAGAGTATTTTATAAAAACTGTAAAGGAGGATGTGGCTGCAGGGGCTGATAGTTCTCATGAGTATTACTGCTCTTGTTTCTGACAGTTAAAAGAATATTGGCAGAGAAACAGCCCTGGTGTTCCAGCAGGAGCCAAGAGGAAGAGGAAAACAAATGGCAGCATCCATGAGACAGCCACTTCTGGTGGTTGCCACTCACCTGGAGATGTGAGTCTTGGCTGACTAGGTTCCTGGGGACAGGGGACCCAAGGGGCACTAGAGGGTAATTGTTAAGATTGTGGATGGACTGTTGGGTACCTGTGAAGAATTCTGGGTTTGAATCCTGCCTCTTTGTCTGCTAGGGATATGAATTAGGGCAAGTTGCTAGACCTCATCGGGCCTCTCTTTTCACATCTGTATAATAGAGGTGGTATTGTTTCACTTCCATTTGTGAAGTTTAAATGAGATTTGTTGTTGTTGTTTTTATGTTAATCCCTAGTACATGGCCTGCTGTAAACACCCAGAACACCCAGGATATGGTCATTGCTGTTCGATTTTCCTCATCCCCAGTCTCAAGGGGAAGCCAGGACAATGAGAACAGTCACTTGGCACAGGAGTCACTGAAAGGGCCGCAGGGTGCTGTGGTGGGGAGATAAGAACCATGAGAGAAGTTGGCACAAAGGAGTTATGGGACAAAGGGTCCAAGATAGGCAGAAAAGAAAATTGTGCCAGTTGATGGGGAAGAAAAGAAGTCAGAGGGCTTAGATACTGAGTGGGACAGAACATCTTCATGTGCACTCTCATCTCTTGTAGTCAGCAACAGGTATCCACGGGGAGAGCCCTACATCATCTGCTACCCTGAAGGATCTGGAGGTAAGAGGCTCTGGGCAGAGGTGCAGTGACCCTGCAGGGCAGCCCTCCAACCTCCTCCTCCAGGTGGGACGGGGTGCCCCTCTGCCAGCTGAGACAGTCCACACACACCCCAGCCCTAATGATTGCTCTCTCTACCTCTCCCCCCACTCCTCCTCCACCTCCTCCTCTCTGCATGCGCCTCAGAGCCCGTGCCAAGAACTAGCAGTAGTCCCAGACTCGAGGTCCGTAAAAGTCAGTCAACTGAAGAACACCATCAAATCTTTGGTAAGAGTCCACTGGGGTCCCCTGATTCCACGCTGCCAATCCTGGGCTCTAGTTTCCCCTTGGGGCCCTGAAGAAAGGGGACGGCGGCCCCTGGTGCCAAGGGCGAATAGGGAGCTGGGGCGCCCAGGCCTCACCTGGAGGGACCCCGGAGCATGCAGCATGGCTCTTTTTTTGCTGCCCTGTTTGCTGACTCTCCCCTCTCCAGACGCCCCTGCTCGAGTCCTTGCTACACACGCCCTGGGATTGTTGCCTCTTGGGGAAGTGCTAGCCTGACTGGTTGTCAGGGGCCCTGTATTTCTGCCATGACTCAGTCCCTAATTTGCTCTTTGATTCTGGACAAGCCACCTCTCCTTTTTGGGCTCATGTTTCCAGAGGAAGTAGTGAGTATCAAAGGTCTCTGTTAGCTCTCGAGTCTGAGATTTAAAGGCCTCCTAGAATGGAAACCTCAGGGCCAAAGGCTCCTGTCTGTCCTTTTCCACCCTAAATCTTCTGTGAAGAACCGTACTTGGCCCGTACGTGCTCAGTAAATGTTTATTGAATGAATGCACTTTTCTAAATCACAAGCTGGCAGAAGGGGGGGCCTTTCTCAAACTCCATCTCTAGAGGTTTATATTGCTGTCCTCTCAAGAGATTCCAGATTCAGACCTTGAGTTCTGTGGCTGTGGGCAAAAGCCAACAAAGACCCAAATCCTCTGTCCTTGGGAGCTTGAGGAGAGTTTACCAGTTCGAGTTCCCACTGGGTCTGAGAACTTTGCCTTTAAAATCCATTCCTGGTCCCTGCCTACCACTTCCTGCTCTGGGGAATAGAGTTGAGGGGGCCACCCTCCATCACCTTAATGTGACTCTCCCCACAGAAACAACAGAAGAAACAAGTGGAACATCAGCTGGAAGAAGTAACATGATTTCTTTGTTTGCTCGCGACATGACTGCTCGGTTTGGGGGACACTCAGATGTAGAGGCCCCGAGTCTCGTCTCACCCACTCCCAGCCTGGGGAAGAAGGCTCACCCCCCAGAGTCCACCCCATCCCCCACAGGGTCTCTGATAACCCGGTCCCATGGGTGGGCCTGTCCCGGGGCAGGGGCAGTGGTGGCATTCTGGGGACATGTCTCTTGCAGTACCATCTCTGCCTCTGCCTGGTTAGATCTCTGTCTTCCTCTTCCTACAGGAAAAGAAAGCAAACAACGAGAAACAGAAAGCCGAAAGGGAGCTAGAGGTGAGTGGACGGTGTGCAGTTTCCTCCTGTCCTCCGGAGAATGTTTCTTTCCTTCTCTTTCAGCACTTGCTTGGCTTTTCTCCCAAAGGTTCAAATCCAGAGATTGAACATACAGAAAGGGAAACTAAATACGGACCTGTACCACACGAAACGTTCTCTCAGATACTTTGAAGGTGGGAATCTGGGTACCCTGTCATCCTTCAACCTGGAACTTTGACAGGTCTTCAGGGGGAGTCCTTTGGGCCCCATCTCAACTCTCTCATTACAGAAGAGTCCAAGGATCTGGCCGTCCGTCTGCAACATTCATTGCAGCGTAAAGGAGAGTTAGAGCGGGCTCTCTCTGCTGTCACCGCCACACAGAAGAAGAAGGCGGAGAGGGTGAGTCCAACCACCTGCCCCGTCCCCTGGGAGCCTGGCTTCACAGACAGAGGAGTGAGCCTAAAGGTCCCTTCTGCAGGATGGAGTGTCCTGCCCAGAAGGCAGCATGGCCATTTCTCACTGCTTTTTTGTATGGTTGTTAGCGGCAGCTTGGGACTGAGTCAGCTGCTGTGGGTGAGTTGGGGGGCACTCTGGGGAGAGAGCACAGGACGTAGAGCTTGGAGGCCAAGTGCCTGCCATGCCTTTACCTGGCTGTGGTCTTGGCCAAGTCCTCAGTGGGTATTGGGTACTTGTACTGTGAAGGTACAGAAGAGTACCTTTAGTATGTTACCATTTCTGTAGAGAGAGGAAACGTGTGTGTGTGTGTGTACATATTATGATAATATACATAAAATATGTTTGCAAGTGTTCATAAAAACTCAGGAGAGAGCAACAGGGTGGCTGGGAGATACTTCCCTTCTGTACCTTCTGAGTCTGGGACTATGTGAATGTATTATCCTTTCAAAAAGTGAACAAAAGATTAATTTTCCCCTTCCTAGCTGTGCCCCCACCCCCAGCAAGAAAAATGGGCTTAGAGAATTGGATAGATCTGGGTGTTTAAATCCCAGCTCTGCCTAAGTGATCTTAGGCAAGCACTTAACCTCAAATACTCCATGTTTTTTCATCTACACAATAGAGGTCATCATAGTAACTGTCTCCCATGGTGGTTGCGAGGATTAAATGGGATTGCTAGCATGGTATCTGGTGAAGCACTCCATAAAAGTTCAAACAGTGGTAATAATAACAGTAATAACAATAGCAATATTATCTGATCTCTCTGGGCCTCTGTTAGCCAGCTATAAATTCGATCTCTTTCCCTGTCCCTTCCAACTTTACTGAGTTCTTTAAAAACCAAACCACGGGCTTGGAAATGCCTTGATCTTTACTGACCGAGTTGTATATTGGGCCTAGCCCTGGCCCTTTTAAGGGGCACTGTGTGGAATGGCCCGGCCTCCCCAGATTGAAACTTCTCACTCTTCAGCAGTTCTCCAGCCGCAGTAAAGCACGTATGGAGTGGAAGTTAGAGCAGTCCATGCGGGAGCAGGCACTGCTGAAAGCGCAGCTGACACAGGTGAGGTGTTCAGAGGGAGGGATGTGGAAGGAAGATGACCCCAGGTAACCAGGAGCAGGTGAGGACCAGTGACAGCCCTTCCTAATTTCTGTGCCCATTCTTGCAGTTGAAGGAGTCACTTAAAGAAGTCCAGCTAGAGAGGGATGAATATGCTGAACATCTAAAAGGAGAGAGGGCCCGGTGGCAGCAGAGGATGAGAAAAATGTCACAGGAGGTGAGATCTGACCCTTCAGCCCCCCCACATTAGATAGGTCACTGGATCTTTCTGGGCACCTGTAAAATGGGAATAGTACAGCCAGAGGTGGTCATGGGTCTGGGCTTTGTGGAGGTGGGGGCAGAGAGAGAGATGGTAGCATGTCCAGCCTCCAGCCCCTCTCTCCAGGGCCCTTTCCCCCTGTGCTTTGGGCAGGTTTGCTCGTTGAAGAAGGAGAAGAAGCATGATAAATATCGGGTAGAGAAGCTGGAGAGGAGCTTGTCCAAACTCAAAAACCAGATGGGTAAGATGGGGCTGGCGTGACCTGGCAGCAGGACTGGCATCAGAGGGCTGTGAGGGTGGCTTGGAGTGCCCCAGCGAGGTGGGTGGATGGAAGGGCTTTGAGGCAGAGGGAAAGAGGTCTGTGCCAGGAGACGGCAAGTCTTGTCATCTCAATGAGCCTCAGTGTCCCCATCAGCAAAGAGGGCCCGTTGTCAGCCACCCGCAGTGCTCTTTCTCTGAAAGTGCTTTGGAAGACTGGCTACCCATCTGGGTGCGAGGAATCATTAGCAGTGAGGCTAAGTTTGAGGAGCCGGAGAGGAGCTGTGCGCCAAGAGGAGGGTTTTTTCTTTTCTTTTCTTTTCTTTTTTTTTTGGAATCCAGAGGCTCTTATTATCTGCTTCCTTTCTCAGCTGAACCTCTGCCCCCGGAGCCCCCAGCAGTGCCCTCTGAGGTGGAGCTGCAGCACCTGAGGAAGGAACTAGAGAGAGTGGCAGGAGCGCTCCAGGCCCAGGTGGAGTACAATCAGCGCATAAGTCTCCTGAATGAGGGGCAAAAGGAGAGGCTTCGGGAGCAGGAGGAGAGGCTTCAGCAGCAGCAGGAGAGGCTTCCAGAGCAGGAGGAGAGGCTTCAGCAGCTGGCCGAGCCACAGAACAGCTTCAAGGAGCTGGTGCGTTGCCCCAGCTGGGGAGCCTGCCCTCCTCCCTAGCCCTCCAGGCCTTTGTTTCCCCACCTATAAAATGGGGCAGTGTAGCCCTCAAGTGAAATGTTACTCCTAAAGGCACCTGTGAGCCAGAGCCCTGCTCTGGTGGCTGTGGGAGACAGGGGATGATTTTTCTAACCTGCCTCCACCCTTCCCGGTGCCATGGGAGGCAGTCACCAAGTTCTGGGGTCTCCAGCTGCAGTGGGTGGCTGCTGATTGCTTCTCTCTGTCCAGAACAATGAGAACAAGAGCGTACTACAGTTGGAGCAGCAAGTAAAGGAGCTGCAGGAGAAGCTAGGCAAGGTGAAGGAGACGGTAACCTCCACCCCATCCAAGAAGGTCTGGGAGGTGGGCACCAGCCTCTGGGGAGGGGAGGTGCCAGGCCAGAGGCAGCTCCAGCCCGGGGGCAGGTGACCCCAGCACCCTCCAGGGCAGTCCTGTGGCTGTTTCTTGCTTCCTGCCCTCTGATTTTAGAGGTGGGTAGCCCTGGGCTCCTCCCAGGTCTGGACATCATCATTCCAGCTAGAGACATGGAGCACCCCCAATCACAGGGGAAGAGACAGAGTGGTATAACAGTCTTCTTATGCCAGACGCGGTGGCTTACGCCTATAGTGCCAACACTTTGGGAGGCTGAGGCAGGAGAATCACTTGAGGTTTGGAGTTTGAGATCAGCCTGGCCAACATGGTAAAACCTCATCTCTACTAAAATTACAAAAACAAAAAACAAAAAAAGAAAGAAAAATTAGTGGGGCATGGTGGTGGCGCATGCCTGTAATCCCACCTACTCAGGAGGCTGAGGCACGAGAATTGCTTGAGCCCAGGAGGTGGAGGTTGCAGTGAGCTGAGATTGCACCACTGCACTCCGGCCTGGGCCACAGAGTGACACTCTGTCTCAAAACAAAACAAAAAGACTCCTTAGATTAAAACTGGATTCCAGCCTCAGTTCCACTGGTCACCATTCAAGTACTTCACATCTCTAAGTCTCTGTTTCTTTAACTTCAAAAGGAAGTTAGCATTTTCCTTACAGAGGTGCTGAGGATTAAATGAGATAATACATGGGAAGCATTAGGCCTGTAGCACATTTAGCAGATGGTGGTTGGCTCCCACTACTTTTCTACCATTCTGTGGCCTACAGTTGAAATGGTGGGAAGAGGACATGAGATTTGAGGCTGGGGAAGGAGGCATGGGGTTCTAGGAAAGGGAGGCAGTCACTTAGGCCTGGAGTAAGGGGCCAGGGGCCTGGGCAGGCGACAGAGCCCCACAGTGCCCTCGCTACCCTATTAATGGGCCCAGAATCTGGAAACCAGCCACCACGTGCCCTCACACCCAGGGTCTTCCTGCAGGTGGAGCTGAAGAGCCAAGAGGCTCAGAGTCTGCAGCAGCAGCCAGACCATTACCTGGGTCACCTGCAGCAGTACGTGGCCACCTATCAGCAGCAGGTGGCCGCCTATCAGCAGCTGACCTGTGAGAAGGAGGCGCTGTACAGGCAGTGACTGCAGCAGACCCAGCTAATGAACCAGCTGCAGCAGCAGGAAGCTTGGGGCAAAGCGGTGGCCGAGATGGCCTGCCAAAAGTTGCAGGAGGCCCAGGGGAGGGAGCTGCCGAGGATGGGGCCGTGAGGGGGACGACCTGGCAAACTCTGTGCCTTCTCACTCTTTCCTGGCCCCTTAGGAGCGTCTGGAAGCTGCCAGCCAGCAGAACCAGCAGCTAACGGCCCAGTTGAGCCTCATGGCTCTCCCTGGGGAAGGTACGGGAGACCGCTCAGAGGAAGAGGAGAGAGCCCCAGGAGGAAGGGGGGACTGCTAGCAGCATAGGATTGAGGAGTTGGAAGAGACCTTTAGAACAGCTGGTCATTATACTAACCGGGTGCCTGCACTAAGTTCAGCATCAATATGGTGACCTCCTGGGAGCGGGGGGCCACCAAGTTGCCTAAGGATGGCTGAACTGGCCGAGGTCAGAAAGGGAGCAGGTCAGAACTCCCACACCGACCAGTAGTGGGAATGTGCCTGGGCAGTATAGCAAGATCTTGGTTCTTCAAAGTAAAAATAAATAACAGCAGCTCATTCCTCTCTGGGGAGGGCCTGGCTCAGGGTTACACAATGAGGGTGGAGGCAGAGGTGGGCCCACAATACTTCCCTTGTTGAGTTGTCTGAAGACCCCTCTGGCCACCCCCAACAGGACACGGAGGAGAACATCTGGACAGTGAGGGGGAGGAGGCACCTCGGCCCATGCCGAGTGTCCCAGAGGACCTGGAGAGCAGGGAGGCCATGGTGAGCCTGACTCCCCCTGCACCCATTTTGCCACCTTTCTCTGTGGTCCCTCCAAGACCCCTTTATGCTCTTCGTTTCCCTGCCTTCTGGTTTCTCTGGACCCTCACCCCTTCCGAGAGCCAGTGGTCAGACACCATTTCACCTGTGGCCAACAGGTGCACTCTCTGAGGCCCCAAGGGAAGGGGCTGCGCTCCACCTCTCTGCCCCATTTCTTCTGTGTATGCCCCTAGAAGAATGCTCACATCTTGCCCTCAGGTGGCATTTTTCAAGTCCGCTGGAGCTAGTGCCCAGGAGAAGCAGGCACAGTTACAAGAGCAGGTGAAAGAGCAGAGGGTGTGCTGCCAGCGCCTGGCTCACCCGGTGGCCTCGGCCCAGAAGGAGCCAGAGGCAGCGGTCCCAGCCCCAGGGCCTGGGGGCGAGTCTGTGAGTGGGGAGACCCACCGGGCCCTGCAGGAAGTCATGGAGAAGCTGGCCCATGCCGGAACTCACCTCCGCCTTCTCCATGACTTGAAAATGCCACCTGAGGGCAGGTCGCTGGCGAGATGTGACCCCATTATTTTGGCTCCAGAGCGGCTTTATGGACCACCTGGAGGAGAAGGCAGACCTGAGTGAGCTGGTGGAGAAAGAAGAACTTGGATTCTTCCAGTACTACAGAGAGAGATGCCATCAGTGAGTGGGAGGCCAGGGCATGGCAGGGGGAGCTGCAGGGCTGTTGGAGGGGCCCCAGCGTCTGAGCCCTGTCCTCCCGCAGGAAAGTTTATCACCCTATAACAAAGCCAGGGGGCAGTGCCAAAGATGCAGCACCGGGAGGAGGACACCATCAGGCTGGCCCTGGACAGGGAGGAGATGAAGGTAGAGTGTGCAACATCTCTGCGGGGGTGGGGGTGGCTGTGACGGTGAGCGCTGGCAGCAGCGTGACAGCTGAGCACCCCTCCCTCCAGGTGAAGCTGCTGGAGCTGCAGGAGATGGTGTTGCAGCTGGTGGCGACTACAAGGGACACAGCAAATTCTTGGTGACTGCCCAGAACCCTGCTCATGAGCCCAGTCCAGGAGCCCCAGCCCCCCAGGAGCTTGGGGCTGCCCACAAGCATGGTGGTGAGTAGAGCCCTCAGGCGGGGTGGGCAGGCAGGAGCAGGGGGGCTCTCACTGAGCTCAGATCCCCGCCTCCCTCTCTCCAAAGATCTTTGTGAGGTGAGCCTCACTGACAGCGTGGAGCCTGTGCAAGGAGAGGCCAGGGAGGGTTCTCCCCACGACAACCCTACTGCACAGCCGATCGTGCAGGACCACCAGGAGCACCCAGGCTTGGGCAGCAACTGCTGTGTGCCATTCTTTTGCTGGGCTTGGCTGCCAAGAAGAAGGAGATAAACATGACCATCGTCAAAGAGCTGCTCAAGAAATTTTTAAAAAAGAAACAAAGTTATGGGGTTAATCTCCTACACAATTCATTTACTTCGTTTGAATGTTATAGCCACTTATGATTATTTGTGTTTCTAATTTATAGTTTAAGTTTATTTGTAAATAGTTAAAAGAGAGTGGGTCTCTGTGGCTTTCACTGATGTTCACTCTGGCATACTTTCGCAATTTTCTTTTTCAATTTCATGATTGTAGGTCATTAGCATGCATATTGAGTTTGCCCTTACGTGGTGGGAGTTCAAACACACAAAGACCCACTATTTGCACAAAACTATTCTTGCTGGTTTGGAATAGGCTGCCATGTGTTTTTAATGTTATTGAAGCATGTATATTCATTACAGAATTCAGATAAAATTTGCCTATGTTCTGCTATTGTTTGATCTAATCTTAATCACAGTGAGCTCTTCATTAGCACAATATGTGGTTTGCCCCAAGTTTGCACTATTTAATACTTTGTAATATGCCACCAAGAGTACTGACATTTAGAGTTGTTTAAAGGCCGAGAACTGGAAACAGCCTTTCCCTCATTTTCTGTGTATTGGTGATGGGAGTAATAACATTTTGGGGGAGCTTTTTAAATTTCACAGAAGAGGAAAGTTGCCTGCTCTGGCAGGTATGTGCAAGATAGAGTGTGTTTCATTTGTTCTGTTGCCAAGAATTAGTGCTGTACTATTGTAGTTCCTTTAGGATTTGTATGTGCTCTGGGCTCATGAAGATATTGCATCATGAGCTGCAGCAGTTGTACTCTTTTTTGATGACCTAAAAAGGGCTTATTTCTGAGGAATGAAAGGTTCCCATCATTGACTATGGATGTGGAAAACCTTTCCTAGCTTAGAGCATTTGTATCTATATTTTAAAGTCAGAGTTCATGTTACCTGTTTTAATCACATGACTGCATGTCCCAGTACACAAAAGGGCACTGGTTGGCATTCTTCTTAATGTATTTAGTAAAGATCAGAAGAAATCCTTTAAGAGTTTAAATGTCCCTGGAACACGCATACAGGCTCTAGTCAAGAATGAATTAGAGTGAAGGAAAGCTGTGTGACACCTGGCATTCCTCTGTTCATGGAGCTTCTTTGAGGCTTGAAGATTGATTTTACCATCTAGACCACTCTGCCTATTCTTCAACCACCTTGGTTACTTTGACATAGGAATTGACTTCTTTTCCTTGAATGGAAAACACTTTGAAATAATAATAAACATTGTTATAAACTAATATATGTGAGAGTGCTTAGTTGAAACAAAAAGGAGTTTTAGTAGACAGTATTATACTATCTTTGAAAATCAAGGAGAAGTTTATGCAACTTAAAATGTGTACAAACTGCAGTGCAATCTACTGTTGGTGAATGTCAGTGTATTATCAGGAAACATGTCTATACAATCACAGAGTTATATTTCCTCACAAACTTCTTTGTGAAGAGTGAAATGTGTTTCTGTACCTCTGGGTTTCACTTACGGGCATATTTTGTGCAGTATTTATGTGATTGTGCCTATGCATGATGAATGAATGAATTTCAGTTGTACATTGCCTAAATCATAACTTGATGATGCTTGGGAAAGACTCAACAGTTAAAACTTCATGAAGTTCTAATGTCTGTGTTCCAAAACACATCACATTATTAGGATGTAGGGAGATATGTATGTGTGCTCCCTGGGGTGGGGATTTCTAGTTACTAGACCATCTCCATTTTTAGCAGTTGGCATCCTCATGATACTTTTATAAATACGACATTAACAGGAGAGCAGCAGTACGATTTTGCCGATGGAATAACAGATTTGCCGGCAATCACTGAAAGAGTGCAAATATCGGGTCCTTGTGACTTCAACGGACTCTTCCAAATTGTATGAATGTATCAATGTATTAGATAAACCCAGTTTCAGAATGATAAAGAAAAAATGTTAGACCAAATAATGCGGCTAGTTAACAGTGGTACGATTTCTAGCCCGTGGCTTTAAAATGCACTTAAAGTCCTGTCCTTGCCTTTTATTTTCTGAACTTGATGTTTTTGCATTCTTTGAGTTCAGTTTAAAGACAACTACGAGCATCTGTAACCAATCTGACAATAATGTGTTCATCAGGTGCCTATGGATTAAATCACATACTGGCATATTTAAGCTGAATGTCAATCTGGAAAATAAATTGACTGTATTAACAGAAATACCACTCTTTGTGTAGATATTTGTCGTATATTTAAGAAAAAGCTAAAAAGAATGGAAATCGCATGACTATAACTTAAGTCTTTCTTCAAAGTGCATTGCAGTCTTTTGCGATACCTCATTCAGCCAAGTATTGGTATTCTTCCTCATTCGGTATAAGGCAGCTTTCAATTTGCTTAGAAGGCAACATTGGAAGGTTAGAGTTCATCAGAAACAGAATTCTAAAATGTGAGTTCAATTCAATAAATTTGAATTTCTGTAGGAAGAATCAAATCACCGATTTAAAGAGTGCAATATATAATAATCATTTTTAAAGTATTGGATTAAATCTGATAGGTTTTCCAGAAATGAACAAAAATCAGCTCTAAAACCAAAGCTGATTTTTAGAAAATTTGAAAATGTAAATCAGCCCTATCCATACTATAGTTTCTCTAAAACTTTATCTGAAAGAGTCATTTTAAAATAACTATTAAACAATGTAACTGCTATCTTAATGTTCTGAAATAAGTTAAAACATTTTAAAATATGAATACTGTAAAGGAAATAAATGGTGGGAAGGAAAAGTAGAGAAAGAAATGCCAATTCCAGTCCAAAGCTTTATTTGCCAAGTTTTCTTAGAATGAATTTTACCAATTTATGAATTCTTGTAAGCGGAATGTAAAACGGAAATACTGAAAGACTTTTGCCTAAAGTGGCATTATTGACTGCTGGTGTGATGCTACTGTAATGTAATAAATTATTAAGTTGTTGCAAAGTGCTGTTTTTGCCTTAAAATTTTATTCTGTGTGTCTTGAAAAATATAGTATTAAAGGTATTGATACTGTGCAAATGCTGAGCATGCTTGGCATGAGATAATGTTTCATTTTTACAAAATTGTAATATAACTATGCAAGGGTTTATTAAAAGAACACAAAATAAAAAAGTTATGGGATTAACAAAAGTTATGGGGTGAAAAAGTTATGGGATAAAAAATGTAAAAAAGTTGTGGCAAAAAAATCTTGTGACCAAAAAGTAGAAGAAAGTTTTATGAAAAGTTACCAAAAAAAGTTATGAAAAAGAAGTTATGGGATTTAAAAAAAAAGGCATGGGATAAAAATAAAAATAAAAATTAAAAGCAGGCCCCTGTCAGCAAAGCCTGGAGAAGTGGGGCTGGGGTCTCTCCACCACCACACTGTCCCTATCTCCCCTTCCCAGTCACCCCTTTACAATTAGGGTAGCAAGACAAGACCACTGTCTAACGAGGAAAGACAAACAGACCCTTTGCCACCTTGACCAGAGCTGAGTCCTTAAATTTCTGGATGATATTGTTATTTAAGAGCCAGAGGCTGGTGGAGTTGGTT
Organism: Homo sapiens; assembly: GCF_000001405.40. Taxonomy (NCBI): domain Eukaryota; kingdom Metazoa; phylum Chordata; class Mammalia; order Primates; family Hominidae; genus Homo; species Homo sapiens. The sequence goes on from NW_021160017.1 coordinate 4,066,060, forward strand.
TGTTTGGAGGAGGCCTCATGGCCTCCTTACTCTCACCATAGCAACTTTTCCCTCAGTGGGGGCTCCAATCTTCTTATTCAGAGAGGTAGCTGAGGCAGGACAGTGGGGCTAACTGTGGACCAGGCGAAGGCATGGGCTGCTGGGGTGGCCCCCCTTCCCCGGTGTATATATTGTGTCTGTGTAAGGTTTTGTATATTCCAGAGGGTAGGGCCACCCCTGTATCATACCTAGCGGTGGTTGGAGGTGGCACATGGGGAGGAGGTTCTAATAATTATTTGTGGCTGGGAAACTTACTTATTGCTAGCATAGGACAGAGGAAGAAGGCAGGGATGGGGTCATGGCTTCCCAGTGGTGTGATCACAGTTCACTGCAACCTCCAACTCTCATGCTCAAGTGATCCTCCCACCTCAGCCTCCCAGGTAGCTGGGAGTATAAGCATGCACTACTATGCCTGGCTAATTTTTAAATTTTTTGTAGAGAAAAGGTCTTGCTATGTTGCCCATGCTGGTCTTGAACTCCTGGGCTCAAGCGATTCTCCCATCTTGGCCTCCCAAAGCACTGGGGTTACAGGCATGAGACATTGCTCCTGTCCATAAGATTTTCTCTTTATTACTGTTTTGTTGTTGGTGGTGGTGTTTTGTTTTGTTTTTATTTTTTGACAGAGTCTCGGTCTGTTGCCTAAGCTGGAGTGCAGTGGTGCAATCTCTGCTCACTGCAACCTCCGCCTCCTGGTTCAAGCAATTCTTATGCCTCAGCCTCCCGAGTACCTGGGGTTATAGGCATAAGCCACTGCGCCTGGCTAATTTTTGGATTTTTAGTAGAGACAGAGTTTTGCCATGTTGGCCAGATTGGTCTTGAACTCCTGGCCTTAAGCAATCCGCCCTCCTCAGCCTCCCAAAGTGCTGGGATTACAGGTGTGAGCCACTGCTCCTGGCTAAGATCCCATCTCTATTTAAATAAAAAAAGAAAATTCAGAATCTATGGAACACAGAACACCAAAGGCCAGTTATTTACCTCTCTGAGGTAATCTGTGTAAACAATTTGATATATATCCTTTCAAGTTCATACTTGCTATGCATACATATATATACACACATACATTGACATATTCCCCCTTCCCTGCTGTCATGCTATTAGTCTACTTTTTTTTGTAGAAATTGGACCAACTCTATGTTCTTTGCTGGCCCGTATTTCTCCTATTCAGTGATGTGTTATGAATATCTGTTTAAGTCAATGTATGCAACTCTTTAATATCATTTTAAAAGGTTACGACATACGATCATATGAAGGCATTAGAATTTATTCCAACAGTTCCCTTTTGCACATTTAATAATTTCCATTGATTTGCCAGGAAGAACATTCTCGTGTCATGGCTAAATCCTTTTGTATGGACATCCTTAATTATTCCCTTAAGATAAACTTTTAAATAAAGTTGCTAGATTAGTCTCGTTTCTTAAGTTCCTTTTTGGTAGTTTATATGTAACACTGTAGTTTTATATGTACTTACAAATACCTATAGTGCCAGTAGAAAATGGGATAAAATTAAACTCTTTCACATATGCCAAATACATTTTGATTTAGCGCTTTATTAACTGCATGATTACAGTCTCTGTATCTTTTGATTTACCTTTCTATCTTTACAATTTTCAGCCGAGACACTTAGCGGTCACATAATAAATTAAGGTTTTCTTTTTTTAATAATCTCCATCTTTCTAAATATGGTGAGTCACAGTCAGCTATTTTTGGATTGTTGAAAGCTGTGACTGTTCTAAATCGGAGCCCAGAAATCATGCCACTTACCAAATATGCTTTGTCTTCCAACATCAGAGTGTCTGGTAGAAGGTGACTGTTCTTGGAATTTAAAAAATCTGAACAGGACAAGACAAGAATCTGGACACTTTTTCTGTTTCTGATAATATGATTGAGTAGGTAGACATGCTGGATAATCCTTGCAAAGACATACTTGAACTTCCCCCAAAAAAAAATAAAATCCAGAATCTCTAAGAATGAAGATGGAGTGAAAATCAGAAGGGCTGCTGAGAGAATAATGGGGAAGCAGCCCCAGTTATCAAGGGACATGTCCATGTGTTCAATAGAAAGTTTCAGATGTAAAAAAAAGTTGAGAAAAATAATATATATATTATATATAATAAATGATATAATTGCCCTACATATACACATCATCAACAATTTTTCATTCATGGTATGGACAGTTTTTTTTTTTTTTTGGTTGTTTTTTGTTTGTTTGTTTGTTTTTAAAGGTGGGATTTTGCTGTGGTTGCCCAGGCTGGAGTGCAGTGGCATGATCTTGGCTCACTGCAACTTCCACCTCCCAGGTTCAAGCGATTCTCCTGCCTCAGCTTCCCGAGTAGCTGGGATTACAGGCACCCGGCACCACATCCGGCTAATTGTTGTATTTTTAGTAGAGATGGTGTTTCACCACGTTGGCCAGGCTGGTCTTGAACTCCTGACCTCAGGTGATCCACCTGCCTCGGTCTCCCAAAGTGCTGAGACTACAGGCGTGAGCCACCACACCTGGCCACAGCCAGTTTTGTTTCATTTATATTCCCACTTCATTTATATACATTCCTTCTTCCTCTGAATGATTTTGAAGTAAAACCTATACATCCTATCATTTTTAATTACCTTATATGTATCTGTAGAAGACAAGGAATTCTTAAAAATAAATATATTCACAATGCCATTAAATATCAAAAAATTAATATTCTGAAAATAGCCACAAATCCAGAGTTGACATTTTGTTGACTTTCTCATAGGTGACTTTTTTTCTAGTTTATCTATTTCAATCAGATAACTGTTTGCTCATATTTACATTCCTTACTGAACAATGTCTAAACTTAAACTGACATAAAATGGAGATGATCTTCTAACCAGATGCTTAGTGTAAGAAAAAACTTCAAACTGCAAGAGGAGTCCCTCCAAATACAGAAAGGACCAGTATTTTAAGAGGTATGTTAACTAAAATGTGGCAATGTAAGGAGCAAAGCAGGAAGAACCTTTAAGTCCTCAACTTACAAGTCAATTTCATAGTCAGTTTCCCTGGTCCTTCCACAACAACCTCCCCCATCTGTTTTCTCTACAATGGAGGTAACAATAGTAGCTATTCCAGAGCAGGAAAAGGCTTAGAGCAGTGCTAGAAGAGGGTCGTGGCTATATAAAGTTTAGCTATTTGTGTATTGTAACAAACCACCTTTTTTTTTTTTTGTCAATAATAGATTTCTTTTGTAAAAGTAGCAGCCTCCTGTCTGGGGACAACTGCAGTTCCACTAAGTGAACATTGGTGTCTGCTAACCTTTGCCTCTATTTCTCTCAATATACTGTGAAGCTGTTCCTGGATTTAGCAATTTTATATACTTCTTTTTCTTTATTATTCTTTTTTTCCTTTCCCTTTTCCTGAGACACAGTCCTGCTCTATCACCCAGTCTGGACTGCAGCAGCGCCATCATGGCTCACTGCCACCTCCACCCCGGGCTCAAGCAATCCTCCTGCATCAGCCTTCAGGGTAGCTGGGAGTACCCAGGGGGGCCCACCAGGTCTGGCTAATCTTTGTGGTTTTTGTTTTGTTTTTCCGTTAAGGGACTGGGTTTCCGGCCAGGCACAGTGACTCACGCCTGCAATCGCACCACCCCTGGAGGCCGAGGCCGGCGGATCTCCCCAGGTGAGGAGCAGGAGACCAGCCCGACCAACATGGAGAAACCCCATCTCAACCTAAATAAATAAATAAATAAATAAATAAATAAATAAATAAAAGTAGCCAGGCTTGGTGGCTCACGCCCTTGATCCCAGCCACTCAGGAGGCTGAAGCAGGAGAATCACCCAAACCCGGGAGGCGGAGGCCCGGCGAGCCGAGACCGCGCCACTGCACTCCAGCCTGGGCAACAAGAGGGAAACTCCGTCTCAGAAAAAAAAAAAACAGGTTTCACCATGTTGCCCAAGCGGGTCTGGATCTCCTAGGCTCAAGCGATTTGCCACACTCAGCCGTCCAAAATCCTAGGATCACAAGCGTGAGCCATGACGCCAGGCCGATCTATTCCTGTCTGATTAAAAATTGGGCCGGTTGCGGTGGTTCACGCCTGCGATCCCAGCACCCCGGGAGGCTGAGGCGGGCGGATAACCTGAGGTCAGATTGAGGCCAGCCTGAGTAACATGGAGAAACCCCATCTCTACCAAAAAAAAAAAAAAAAAAAAAAAAAAAATTAGCAGGGCATGGTGGCTCACGCTTGCAATCCCAGCCACTCGGGAGGCTGAGCCAGGAGAACCACCCAAACCCGGGAGGCTGAGGCTGCGGGGAGCTGAGACCCTGCCACTGCACTCCAGCCTGGGCAACAAGAGTGAAACTCCCTCTCAAAAAAAAAAAAAGAGAGAGAGAGAGAGAGACTGAGTTTCACCATGTTGCCCAGGCCGGCGTGTAACTCCTAGGCTCAAGCGATCCGCAGCGCTCGGCCATCGGAAGTCCTGGGATCACAAGCATGAGCCGCCACGCCAGGCCCATCTGTTCCTTTCTCATTAATAAATTGCGCCCGGCGCGGTGGCTCCCTCCTGCAACCCCACCACCCTGGGAGGCCGAGGCGGGCGGATCACCTGAGGTCGGGAGTTTGAGACCAGCCTGACCAACATGGAGAAACCCGTCTCTACCAAAAAAGAAAAAAAAATAAGCTGGGCATGGTGGCTCACGCCTGCAATCCCACCACCCCGGGAGGTCGAAGCAGACGGGTAATCTGAGGTCAGGAGTTTGAGACTACCCTGACGAAGGGAGAAACCCCGTCTATACCAAAAAAAAAAAAAAAAAAAAAATACAAAAAGAGCTGGGCATGTTGGCTCATGCCTGCAATCTCAGCCACTTGGTAAGCTGAGGCAGGAGAACCACCCAAATCCGGGAAGCGGAGGCTGCGGGGAGCTGAGACCGCGCCACTGCACTCCAACCGGGCAACAAGAGTGAAACTGCCGCAAAAAAAAAAAAAAAAAAAAAAAAAAAAAAGAGAGAGCGGGTTTCACCGTGTTGCCCCGGCCTGTCTGGAATTCCTAGGCTCAAGGGATCCCCGGCCCTATTCCTTTCTGATTTATAGATTAGGCCTTGCGCGCTGGCTCACGCTTGCAATCCCAGCACCTCCGGACGCCGAGGCGGGCGGATAACCTGAGGTGGGAAGTTTGAGACCAGCCTTATGAACATGGAGAAACCCCATCTCCAACAATAAAAACAAAAACAAACAAAAAACAAAATGAGCTGGGCATGGTGGCTCACGCGTGCAATCCCAGCCACTCGGGAGGCTGTGGCAGGAGAACCACCCAAACCCTGGAGGCGGAGGCCCGTTGAGCCAAGACCTCACCACTGCACTCCAGGCTGGGCAACAAGAGCGAATCTCCGCCTCAAAACAAACAAAAAGTGACCAGGTTTCACCATGTTACCCAGGCAGGTCTGGAACTCCTAGGCTCAAGTGATCCGCCGCGCTTGCCGTCCAAATTCCTGGGATCACAAGCGTGAGCCACCATGCCAGGCCGATCTAGTCCTTTATGATTAATAAACTGGACCGGGCGCGCTGGCTCACGCCTGCAATCCCAGCATCCCCAGAGGCCGAGGAGGTGGGCAGATAACCTGAGGTCGGGAGTTTGAGACCAGCCTGATGAATATGGAGAAACCCTGCCTGTACCCCCCCCGCCAAAAAAAAGAGAGACCGGGTTTCACCATGTTGCCCAAGCCGGTGTGGAACTCCTAGGCTCAAGTGATCCCCAGCGCTCGGCCGTCCGACGTCCTGGGATCACAAGCGTGAACCACCACGCCAGGCTGATTTATTTTTTTCTGATTAATCAATTGGGCCTTGCGCGCTGGCTCACGCCTGCAATCCCAGCATCCCCGGAAGCCAAGGCAGGCGGATAACCTGAGGTCCTGAGTTTGAGACCAGCCTGACCAACAGGGAGAAACCCTGTGTGTACCAAAAGAAAAAAAAAAAGAAAATTAGCCGGGCATGGTGGCTCACACCTGCAATCTCAGCCACTAGGGAGGCTGAGGCAGGAGAACCACCCAAACCCAAGAGGTGGAGGTGGCAGGGAGCCGAGACTGCACCACTGCACTCCAGCCTGGGCAACAAGAGCAAAACTCTGCCTCCAAAAAAACAAAAAAAAGAGAGAGACCGAGTTCCACCATGTTGCCCAGGCCAGTCTGGATCTCCTAGGCTCAAGTGATCCCCAGTGCTCCATCATCCAAAGTCCCTGGATCACAAGCGTGAGCCACCACGCCAGGCCGATCTATTCCTCTCTGATTAATAAATTAGGCGGGGTGCAGTGGCTCACACCTGCAGTCCTGTAGAGGGATTTTTAAGGAATTAGATAGACTCATGGGGTTTAGGAGGACATTTATTAATTATTTAGGTGCACCGGCCCAGTCGGATTAACATTTAAAGGATTGAGCACTGAACCAAGAGTTACCTTTCAAGCATTATGTGGGGCGAAGGGGGAGATCTGTGCAGGGAGAAGTATATTATAGAAGCGAGAAACAAAGATTGTTATTTAATTGAAACATGCATTATATTATTTTTTACTATTTAAGGAAAAATATGTTTTGTGACTTGAGTTTATTTGTTTAGTGACCTTGTAGTTGCACAGTTAAGGAATTAGTCGGGCATGGTGGCTCACACCGCAATCCCAGCCACTCGGGAGGCTTTGGCAGGAGAACCACCCAAACCCCGGAGACGGAGGTCTGGCAAGCTGAGACCTCGCCACTGCACTCCAGCCTGGACAGCAAGAGCAAATTTCCCCCTAAAAAAAAATATATATGACTGGGTTTCACCATGTTGTCCAGGCCGGTCTGGAACTCCTAGGCTCAAGCAATCTGGCTCTGGATGTCTTTAACTTGTGATTGAAAGCGTATTAAGATGTTGGGTGTATCAACAGTCCGGAGGACAAGAAGGAAAATCCTGGCATGTGAAATATTCTGCAACAAGAAAAGCAATCGGAGAGGTGACTACATTCACTCAGCTGTTTTGCCCTCTTCTTCCCCACCCCCCCCCCCCCCCCCCCCGTCTCTTTCCTGGAAGTTCCCTAGTAAGAAGTAAAAGAGATAATGGCTTTCGAGTGCATGTTTTTCCTGGAATTGGAAGGAATTTTAACAAAGGAGCCCTTCACAATGAAACCCCCCCACACCCCTGCTTTTCACCTGAAGTAGGACAAGATCGTCGCCCCCACCATCATTCTCCACGTGACCCCAGGTGGGGATGGGTAGTGGACACTACTGATAAGCTCTTAGCAATTTCCCTATTTGTGGACTCTGAAGCTCCTTAGCTTGACAACTGATGCATAAGTTTTCTTTTGTGGGATAAGAATAGGAGAATAGGTGACCTTTTCCCCCTGAATTCCCATCCTGGGGCCAGGGAAGAGAGCCCAGGATCCCTTCTCTTGGCCTTCACACTGTGGGAAAGAGTACCTAGAGTTAAAAGCCTGATAAATGCCCTCGAACAGCTTTGAAAATCACAAGGTCAGGAGATCGAGGCCATCCTGCCTAACACGGTCAAACCCGTCTCTACTAAAAAAAAAAAAAAAAAAAAATTGGCTTATGCCTGCAATTTTAACACTTTGGGAGGCAGAGGTGGGAGGATCATTTTACCTAGGAGTTTGAGACCAGCCTGGGCAACATAGTGAGATCTTGTCTCTACAAAAACAGTTTTAAATTAGTCAGGCGTGGTGGTGCATACCTGTAGCCCCAGCTACTTAGGAGGCTGGGGCAGGAGAATCCTGCTGCTGCATTTTGTGCTACTTTTAAAAATATTTGGTAAAATTCAGGAGTAAAGCCGTCGGGTCTTGGGCTTTTCTTTCCCGGGAAACTTTTTTTTATTTTTTGAGAGGGCGTCTCGCTCTGTCGCCCAGGCTGGAGTGCAGTGGCCTGATCTCGACTCACTGCAGGCTCCGCCCCTCAGGTTCACGCCATTCTCCTACCTCAGCCTCCTGAGTAGCTGGGACTAGAGGCACCCGCCACCATGCCCAGCTAATTTTTTTTTTTTTTTTGTATTTTTTTTAGTAGAGACGGGGTTTGACCGTGTTAGCCAGGATGGTCTCCATCTCCTGACCTCGTGATCCGCCCGCCTCGGCTTCCCAAAGTGCTGGGATTACACGCGTGAGCCACTGCACCCGGCTTTTCCTGGGAAAATTGTTTCCGTCTCACTACTTATTGGTCTTTTCAGGTTTTGGATTTCTTTGTGGTTCATTCTTGCTAGGTTGTATGTATCTAGGAAAGTATCCATTTATTCTAGATTTTCTAATTTATTGGTCTATAGTTGCTCATACTAGCCTCTAATGATCCTTAGAATTTCTACAGTATCAATGAAAATGTCCCCGTTTTCATCTTGATTTTATTTATTTAGGGTTTTTTGTTTTTTTTTTAGTGTGGCTAAAGGTTACTGGTTTGGTTTATCTTTTTTAAAAAACGAACTTTTCGTTTTGTTCATATTTTGTATTTTTTCATTTCAATTTCATTAATTTTTGCTCTTATCTTTATTCTTTCCTTTCTTCTATACTTATTTTGGGTCTGGTTTATTCTTGCTTTTCTAGTTCTTTTAAGATGTATCGGCGCCACGGGCCCCGCAGAGCCAGGGCGGCTCCTGCCGGTAGCCTGTGTGTGGGCCCCGGCCAGCCGCGCCCCCAGTCCATATCGCCCTTCACTGCCCCGAGGCTGGCGCGGCTATGGGGCGCGGGGCCGGCGCTGCTCTGGGGCGTTGGAGCCGCGCGCCGCTGGAGGAGCTGCTGCCGGGGCGGGGGTCTGGGCGGCTCGGGGGGCCACGCGGGCCTCGGACGGCTCCCGGGGCTGTGGGCTTGGGCCCGGCAGCTGCAGGTGCGGGGCTCTTGCCGGCCGGGCGCTCCTCGGCTCCCGCGCGCCGGGTTCCCGGGCGGTCCCACCGCCACTGCCTGGGCAGGGGAGGAGGCCTGGCGGAGCGGGCGGGCGGCGCCTTCCCGGGACGACCAGCGGCTACGACCCATGGCGCCCGGACTCTCGGAGGCCGGGAAGCTCCTGGGGCTGGAGTTCCCTGAGCGCCAGAGGCTGGCAGCTGCGGTTGGATTTCTCCGATGTCCGGTGTTATCTCCATGTCTGCCCCTTTCTTCCTGGGGAAGATCATCGATGCCATCTATACCAACCCCACTGTGGACTACAGCGACAACCTGACCCGCCTCTGCCTTGGCCTCAGTGGCGTGTTTCTGTGTGGTGCTGCCGCCAATGCCATTCGTGTCTACCTCATGCAAACTTCACGTCAGCGCGTTGTGAAGAGGCTGAGAACTTCGTTATTCTCCTCCATTCTGGGGCAGGAGGTTGCTTTCTCTGACAAGGCTGGCACAGGGGAATTGATTAACCGCCTCTCATCGGACACTGCACTCCTGGGGCGCTCAGTGACTGAAAACCTCTCAGATGGGCTCAGGGCCGGGGCCCGGGCTTCTGTAGGCATCAGGACGATGTTTTGTGTCTCACCTAATCGGGCCACCTTTGTTGTGAGTGTGGTGCCTCTAGTGTCAATCATTGATGTAATTTATGGACGATATCTACGGAAACTGACCAAAGTCACCCAGGATTCGCTGGCACAAGCCACTCAGGAGGAACGTATTGGAAATGTTAAGAACTGTTCGAGCTTTTGGGAAAGAAATGACTGAAATAGAAAAATAGGCCAGCAAAGTGGACCATGTGATGTAGTCAGCAAGGAAAGCGGCATTCGCTCAGGCTGGCTTCTTTGGAGAACTAGGCTGTCCGGAAACCTGATTGTGCTTTCTGTCCTGTACAAAGGGGGGCTGCTGATGGGCAGTGCCCACATGACCATGGGTGAACTCTCTTCCTTCCTATGTATGCTTTCGGGGTTGGAATAAGCATTGGAGGTCTGAGCTTTTTCTACTCGGAGCTGATGAAAGGACTGGGTGCCGGGGGGCGCCTCTGGGAGCTCCTGGAGAGAGAGCCCAATCTGCCTTTTAAGGAGGGGGAAGGGTTATCTTAAATGAGAAAAGCTTCCAGGGTGCTTTGGAGTTTAAGAACGTGCATTTTGCCGATCCCGCTTGCCCAGAGGCGCCCATATTTCAGGATTTCAGCCTTTCCATTCCGTCAGGATCTGTCACGGCACTGGTTGGCCCAGGTGGTTCTGGCAAATCAACAGTGCTTTCGCTCCTGCTGAGGTTGTTCGACCCTGCTTCTGGAACTATCAGTCTTGATGGCCATGACATCCGTCAGCTAAACCCAGTGTGGCTGAGATCCAAGATTGGGACAGTGAGACAGGAAACCCATTTTGTTTTCTTGCTCTATCACTGAGAACATTGCTTATGGTGCTGATGGCCTTCCTCTGTGACCGCTGAGCAAGTCCAGAGAGTGGCTGAAGTGGCCAATGCAGTGGTCTTGATCCGGAATTTCCCCCAAGGGTTCAACACTGTGGTTGGAGAAAAGGGTGTTCTCCTCTCAGGTGGGCAGAAACAGCGGATTGCAATTGCCCGTGCTCTGCTGAAGAATCCCAAAATTCTTCTCCTAGATGAAGCAACCAGTGCGCTGGATGCTGAAAATGAGTACCTTGTTCAAGAAGCTCTAGATCCACTGATGGATGGAAGAACAGCGTTAGTTATTGCCCATCATCTCTCCACCATTAAGAATGCTAATATGGTTGCTGTTCTTGACCAAGGAAAAATTACTGAATATGGAAAACACGAAGAGCTGCTTTCAAAACCAAATGGGATATACAGAAAACTAATGAACAAGCAAAGTTTTATTTCAGCCTAAGGAAACAATTACTGGTAAACAACATGAGAGACTTTAATGCAAAACAGTATTGTAGAGAAAAAAAACCTCAGAGACTGCATGAAATATGTAAACCATATATCAAGTTATTTGAAAAATAGCTATTTTTTCCAAAGCGTGTAAAATATTGCTTTGAAATGTACCTGTTCTCAAGATCTTTTTATTCAGAGTTTTAACCATTGTAACTTTTTAAATGTCTATAGCACTGAAGTTATTTTCAGGTTTTGTATTTTCTTTCATTGTGGAATATTTTAATTAATATAGCATGGCACCTCATTTTCTTTTGCCTGCTGTTAAAGATGGAAGCTGTTGTCAAATGACAACTTTAAAAAGGGAAGTATAAATAAAAAGCCTGATTATTTTAGGCCAGTTTGCCAATCACTGTGTAATTCCTCTGGTAGTATTCTACCTACTTTAAGTCTAATTTTACTAGATAGAGTAATGGAAAATGAAAATTTAACCCTTTATTCCGATAATCTCATGAAGCAAACCTAACTATTTAACATCAGCTGGAAAGAAGGGAACATTTATATTGCCCGTCTCCTGTGTCTTCAAAGGTGTGAGAGTTGAGGAATATGTGTTCCTACGGGAACTATGTTTGAATATGTGCAGTTTTCAACATTTTGGCAAATGAAAGCCTGACAAGTTTTTAAAAGGGCAGAAGCTTTATTTTTTGAACAGAAAAATCTATTTTTTAAATTCACATGTTTGTATGAGTACTTCTGGGAAGCAAGGGATGAACTGCTAGGTATTATTAAGAATGAATGATTTTTGCATTTAAGTTGTTTGAAGGCATGTATTTTGAAAAATATCTGTTACAAATTTATAATTTCAAGACATACTAAATCTTATAATACTTTTGGAATTTCATTAATAAGGCTAAAATCTGAGGAATGTAACTAATTTTCAGCCTTAAGACACTTAAGTTTGGAAGTCCTTGCTATTCAACAGAATAACAAGAAACCTTCAGAATGTATCACTCTCCCAAAAAGAAGATATTAATAAGCCCTTTTCTTTTATTCATGGTTATAGTTTTTTTATAGTCTCAAAATTCCTAAAGCAATGCTGACAGCCATTGAATTTGCCATATTTTGTATTCAGTGCTGTTAATGTGCTGTTGCCTCAAGAAAAAGTGCTTTTTCTCCATTGATGAGGCTAGACCCTAAGAGGTAATTAAGTCAATGTAAATCAAATGGAAGTTTTGCCATGAACTAAGCATTTATTAGTTCCCTGATTAGACTGGAAGAAGAAACCGCTATTTCATGACAAGCATGGAATATTATATTTTCTTCTTCATAATTAATGAATAAAATTGATATGAGCGAATGAATGTAGTATTTTTTGAATTAGTAAACAGTACATCTGTGACAATCATTTTAACAAGCTCTACTTGTGTTCTTTATAAAGTGTGATTTTCAGAAAGCAAACAAAACACAATTAAAAGGTTGAATCTGAGGAAAATAATGCTTGTACCATAGAAGTATTTACAAAATTGCATTTCATTGTTATGTTTTATTTTCTGATACCTGATGTTCAATTATATCTGTAGGTAATATTTTATATCATAGATTAAAATTTATAGTGACCTTAAAAAAAGATGTATCATCAGGTTATTTATTTGAGGTTTTTCACTTTTTTGATCTTGGAAATTATAGGTATAAATTTCCCTCTTACTACTGCTGTTTGCTGTATCCCATAGGTTTTGGTATGTTGTGTTGCCGTTTTTATCTGCTTCAATAAATTTTTCAATTTCTTCTGAATTTCTTTGTTGAAATTGTAAGGATCATTAGAGGCTACTATGAGCAACCATAGGCCAGAAATTAGAAAACCTAGACTATATGGATACATATAGATACAGAAAAATTCACATTATGAATTTGTTCTTAAATAAGCTTTGGTAATTTGTCTCTTTAAAGAACTTTAAGCTGCCAAATTCTTGAGTATGGAATTGTTCATAATAGTTATTATCATTTAAATATAGAGGTTCTGTAATGATATTTCTTCTTTTATCAGTCCTTTTTTCTTAGTCTTACTAGTATGTAACAACTTTACTGATTTTTTCAAAGGAACTTTTCACTTTGTGAATTTATTTACTTTCAATTTCATTTATTTCTTTCATTACCTGTTATTTTATTTTTTCAAATTACGTTTTATTTGTTTATTTTTTCATTGACTTTTAAACCTATGTATTTTTCTAATAGAAGAATTTCAAATAATAAATTACCCTCTCAATTTAACTCTACACCACAAATATGAAGCTTTTATTATCATAATTTTGTTTTATTTTATTTTTTTAATTGGCACATAATAATTGTGCATATTTATGGGTACATAGTGATGTTTCAGTACTCATAGTGTATATATTTAATTACCCTGATGAGGTGATGGTAATTAGCATATCCATCATTGCAAACATTTATCATTTCTTTGTTTTGGGAACATTCAATATCCTTTCCTAACTATTTGAAGCTATATATTATTGTTAACTATTGTCATACCATAATGGTATAGAGCATTAGAACTTATTCCTCCTATCTAGCTTTAATTTTGAATCTTTTAACAAATCTCTCCCTATCCCTCCCTCCCTCTTATACTTTCCAGCCTCTAGCATCCTCTGTTTTAACTTCTATAAGATCAAAATATTTTAGCTTCCACATATGAGTGAGAAGCTGTAATGTTTAACTTTCTCTTCTTGGCTCATTTCACTCACATAATACACTCCATTTCTATGCACGTTGCTTTTATGGCCGAATAGTACTTCATTGTGTATCTATTCCTTTTCCCCTCCTGTCCCCTCCCTTCCCCTCCTCTCCCCTCCCCTCTCCTTCCTTTCCCTTCTTGAGATGGAGTCTTGCTCTGGAGTGCAATGGTGTGATCTTGGCTCACTGTAACCTCTGCCTCTCGGATTCAAGTGATCTTCCACCTCAGCCTCCCGAGTAGCTGGGGACGTGCCACCATGCCCAGCTAATTTTTATATTTGTAGTAGAGATGGGGTTTCACCATGGTGGCCAGGCTAGTCTCGAACTCCTGACCTCCAGTGATCCACCCATCTTGGCCTTCCAAAGTGCTGGGATTGCAGGCGTGAGCCACCGTGCCCGGCCTATATACCACATTTTCTTTAACCATCATCTGTTGCTGGACCCTTAGGTTGATTCCATATCTTGCCTATTGTGAATAGTGCTGCAATAAACATCTAGGTGCAGATGTTTATTTAATATACTGTTTTCCTTATTTCATATTTTTTCTAAATTATCTTTTGATTTCTTTTATGAACTATGAGTTAAATAGTGTTTCATGTTATTTACAACTATTTGGGGGTTTCCTAGGAATCTCTTATGTCATCGATTTCAAATTAAATTTTATTGTGATCAGAGAATATATTCTATAAAATCTAAAGCTTAAATTCATTTAAACTTACTCTTTGATTCAGCATTTGGCCTATGTTGGTGGTGCTTTCAATACACAAGAAAACAACGTATATTCAGCATTTGAAATGTAGTTTTTATAAATGTCAATAAGATCAAGGTGATTTATAATGAAGTTGAAATGTTCTATAGCCATACGAATGGTTTGTCTTACTGTTCAATCAGTGATGAACAGAGGGATGTTAAAATCTTTAATTATTATTGTCATTTATCCATTTCTCCCTTCAATTCTGCTTTTTCCTTCATGAATTATGAGGCTTTATTATTAAGTTGGTGTCCCTTTCATAATTATGAAATGGGGGCATTTCATAATTATGGACATATATGTCATATTAGGACAATAATATAATAACCAATTCATCGGAGGACAATAATATTGCTTATATTATTGTCCTCCGATGAATTGGTTATTTCATAATTATGAAATGCCCCCATTTTCTCTTATAATGCACCCTCTTTTCCAGTCTACATTGCATTTTGCTAATATAGCCACACAAGCTTCCTAATGCTTGCTGTGTATATGGTTTATCTTTTCTTGTAGGTTTACTTTTCATCTATCTGTGTCTTTATGTTTAATATATGTTTCTGGTAGACAACATTAGTTGGGTCTCATTCTTTTGTCTAATATGACAGTCTCTACCTTGTAATTGAATAATTTAGTTCATAAATATGTTAAATGAAATGTGTTGCCACTTTTAAAAACTGTACAATCTCTTGTTTCTCTTCTCGTATTTTTGTTTAATTGTATTTTAAGTATTCATTTTAAATTGCATAGATGAGTTAGTTGCAACGCTTTTTTGTATTGAGTTATTTGTATTACAATAATCATCAATTTATACTTAACTAATCTAAATTTTACTTCGAGGTAATTTTTGACAACTTCATATATAATGTAAAAAACTGATGACATCTGTTCTATTTTTACATTCTCTCCAGTGATTGATAGTGTTGCCTACTTTGTCAAATCAAAACAAGGCAACATTTTCCTAAAAAGTGATCTGTGCTCCACCTATCCTATTCATATGCACAGAAGACTTTCAGGGCAGAAAACTATTCTGCATGATACTATACTGGTATATGAATTTGCCTAAACTCATAGAATGTATGACAGCAAGCGTGGACCCTAATATAACTATGGACCTTGGTGATAAGGATGTGCCAGTGCAGGTTCATCAGCGGTAAGTAATGTGCCACTCCAGAGGAGAATGACAGCAAGGGGTCAGGCTGTGCCTGTGTGGACACAATGATGTATGAGAAATCTTTGTATCTTTCTTTCAATTTTGCTGTGAACTTACAACTGCCCTAAAAATAAAGTCTATTAAAAAAACCCAAAACAACAACAACAAAAACTGATGACGGTAACATTTCCTTTATTCCCCCTCTGTCTTTTGTGATTTTTTTTAGTATAAGTTTTTCTATCCACATCATAAACCCCACAATAAAATGATATCTTTTTAAATTTAAATAGTCAGTTTCCCTTCAACAAAATCGACAGATTAAAAAAAAGTATTTCCTGTTACTCATATACTTACCATTTCTATGCTTTTCATTTCCTCTAATCTGGAGTTTAGATTCGATGTTATTTCCCTTCAGGCCAAAAAACTTCTGCTAGCATGTTTTGTAGTACAGATTTGCTGGTGACAAATTGGCCCATTTAATTTTTCCGAAAATGTCTTAATTTTACCTTCAACTTTGAAAGATACTTTAATAATATATAGAAACGAACCTGATGCTCTGTCATCTCCAAATACTTTAGTAGACTGATTCTCAACCAGGGGGAGTTTTGCCCTCCAGGAAACATCTGATAATATCTCAAGATATTTTTAGTTGTTAGCCTGGGGAAAGGTGTGAGGAGGATGCTACTGTCATTTAGTTATTAAAGGCAAACCAAGTCGCTAAACATCCTGCAATTCACAGGAAATGCCCCCAACAAAGAATTATGTGGCCCAAATGTCAGAAGCGATAGTGCCAAAGTTGAAAAACCTTGCTTTCATATATATTTTCTACAAACACAATTGTGTCTATATATGTATATACATATATATAATTCTATATATTACAAATCTATTACAGTAATATATGTGCCCCCCCAAATGCAATACGTGCACAGTACAACGAACAAAACCAGAAAATTAATATTAATATATTGCTACATCTAATTATCAAGTCCGCATTAAAATTTCACCAATAGTCAGCCGGGCACGGTGGCTCACGCCTGTAATCCCAGCACTTTGGGAGGCCGAGGCGGATGGGTCACGAGGTCAGGCGATCAAGACCATCCTGGCTAACACGGTGAAACCCCGTCTCTACTAAAAATACAAAAAAAAAAAAGGAAAAAATTAGCCGGGCGTGGTGGTGGGTGCCTGTAGTCCCAGCTACTCGGGAGGCTGAGGCAGGAGAATGGCGTGAACCCAGGAGGCCAGGCTTGCAGTGAGCCCAGACCGCGCCACTGCACTCCAGGCTGGGCGACAGACGGAGACCCCGTCTCAAAAAAAAAAAAAAATTCACCAATAGTCCCAATAATGTTTCATAGCAAAAGGATCAAGTTCAGAATCATGCATTGCCTTTCATTGTCATGTCTTTTTAATGTCCTTGTATCAAGAATAGATCTTTAGACCTAACTTAACCAAGATTTCTGGCCCATATTTTCTTCTTTTTTTCCTTTGCTTTGCTTCTCCTTCCTTTTCTCCTTTCCTTTCTCCTTCGCTTTCCCCTTCCTTTTTCTCTTCCCTCTCCCCTTCCCTTCCCCCTCCCCTTCCTTCTCCTCTCCTCTTTCCCTTACTTTTTCCTTTTCCCTTCCTTCTTTTTTGAATGGCTCCCTTTAGGTTTTCTGAGGTTTCCTTGTGACTAGAGTCAGGCAATGCATTTTGGCAAGAATATCACAGAATTGATGCTGCGTTTTTTTCATTGCATCCTATCAGGTGGTACATGATTCCATTTTGTCTCATTACTGACAATGTTTATTTTGACAGGTTGATAATGGTGGTATATAGTAGGCTTCTATCTTGTTATTCTCTATTTCTAGATTCTGTTACTTTATTTTATGTTGTTTTTCCTAAAGGGTAATAGGAATTTTCTCTGTTTCTTTATTTTGTTTTTGTTTATTTCCCTATTTTTATTCCTTACTATACTTTTAGCACATAGTACCTAGTGCAAAATACTAATATATGTTGAACACCAACAGTTGTTGAACAAATGTCTGAAACTGACTCTGTCCTGCTACCACAAAAACATATATATATATATATTTTTTTTTCCTATAGGGATACCATCAACTACATAGTTGTCTAAGCCAAGACCTCCTGCTAGGACTGATTAAAGCCTGTGCATCCTCATTATCCAGAGCCTGTGTTGCTCCTCTAGAGCTATAGTCAGGCTAACCATTCCTTCTGGTTAATATCTGAAAGGAAGAATCATGCAGCAAGAAGAGAACTGTGAGGGAAGAAAAATGGCACAAACCCAGCCTGGATTTCTCTCTCCCCTTTTAATGATGAATGAATGAAAAAAATTCATCATTAGCTGTAGTTAGTTTCTATTACATAAAAAGGAAGCTGATGAAATATATAACTGAGTTATATACCCACATCCAATTGGTTCTGTTTCTCTGGAGAACTCTATTAAAGAAGTTATTGAGTATTGTTTACATGTACACTGACAAATATGTCTAAAGGTTATGTCTGAACACCTATAAATTTATATCAATGATTCTATATAGTTCATTCTTATTACACTTGATTCTAATTCTTATGAAGTTGATGTTTGGTAGAATGAATGATAAAAGGAGATTCTGTCCCCTATTGAAGTGTTTGTGTAGTTACACGCCAGAGTTTTGGAGATTGAGGAAAAGGTTGAGCTTAAATAATTTTATGGGCAAACTCAATGCTTGAATGTAAGATAGTACTTTACTTTGAAAGATTTGGAGGATTTCATAATGACTTTTACTTTTGCTAATTATTGATACAGTCACTTGTAAATAAGTTTACTTAGGTAAGCTCAAGGAAATCATGCTTTTTCTCAGGCTTATTTTAAATCTGAATATTTTTACTGTCTTTGCTTTTACAAGAAAATATTCATCATTGTATTTTTTGTCTTAATTTTCAAAGTCAAATGTTAATTGTTTTTGTGGGATTACTTTGGCAAATATGGGAGATCCCCAAACAAATTTTAAAAAGTTTTTTCGGCCGGGCGCTGTGGCTCACGCCTGCAATCCCAGCACTTTGGGAGGCTGAGGCGGGCGGATCACGAGGTCAGGAGGTCAAGACCATCCTGGCTAACACAGTGAAACCCCGTCTCTACTAAAAATACAAAAGAATTAGCCGGACGTGGTGGCGGGCGCCTGTAGTCCCAGCTACTCGGGAGGCTGAGGCAGGAGAACGGCGTGAACCCGGGAGGCAGAGCTTGCAGTGAGCTGAGATCGTGCCACTGCACTCCAGCCTGGGCGACAGAGCGAGATTCTGTCTCAAAAAAAAAAAAAAAAAAAAGTTGTTTCTGTTCTCCTTTGTTTTCTACTTTCTCTTAAATAGAAATATATTTCTTGTACAAATAAATGCCATGAATTAAAAAAATAATAAATTATGATTTTCCTTCGTGAGGATCAGTTCTCCTAGACATTGGTTTAGCTAATGCCAGCTATTTGGTATAAAAATCTGTATCCGTGGAGAGGTAAAAAAGAGCTAAAGGAAGCATAAGAAAGACAACCGCATCTTTAAGAAGTTCCTCTTTTTCTTTTTTCTTTTTTTTCTTTTTTTTTTTTGAGACGGAGTCTTGCTTTGTTCCCCATTGTTCCCCAGGCTGGAGTGCAGCGGCGCGATTTCTGCTCAGTGCAAACTCCGCCTCCCGGGTTCACGCCATTCTCCTGCCTCAGCCTCCCGTGCAGCCGGGACTACAAGTGCCCGCTACGGCGCCCAGCTAATTTTTTGTATCTTTAGTAGAGACGGGGTTTCACTGTGTTAACCAGGATGGTCTCGATCTCCTGACCTCGTGATCCACCCGCCTCGGCCTCCCAAAGTGCTGGGATTACAGGCGTGAGCCACAGCACCCGGCCAAGAAGGTTCTCTTAAAAGGAATCACTTCTTGTTTTCTTACAAGTTATAACCTCACTACCCTAGAGTCACATTTTTTAATAACTTATGAATTTTCTGAAACTTCAAATACCCTATGGCCCCATGGTAAAACATCAGATGACATTTGCCTCTCATTTAAACCATTTTTCTTTTCCTCTTTCTTCATTTTTCTTATACTCTCTCATTTCTTTTTCTCTCTTCCTATTTCTCTTTTTCTCTCTGCTTCTTCCTACCTCCCCTCGTGACTTTGTCTCCTCATCCCGTCACCGTGCTACTTAGATGCCACATCAATTTGACTAGCCTCAAATTTACAATGAATACTTTTTAAATTCATGCTTCTGAAACTTTTAAAGGATGAAGAGGTATAAATGTCTCAAATAATAATTTGCTTGATGGCTGAAATGAATGGCATTTCTCAAAAAGGCCAAGGGACTGAATACAGCAATTTAAACAATCACTTTCCGTTAGTGATATGGTTTGGATGGTTTGTCCCCTCCAAATCTCATGTTGAAATGCGACCTCCAGTGTTGGAGGTGGGCCTAGTAATAGGTGTTTGTTTCCCAAGGGTGGATCCCCATGAATGGTTTTGTGCTGTCCTCCCGGTAATGAGTGAGTTCTTGCTCTATGAATTCACGAGAGATCTTGTTGTTTAAAAGAGCCTGGCATCTCCCTTGCTCCCTCTCTCCCCATGTAATATGCCAGCTCCCCCTTTGCCTTAAGCCATGATTGTCAGCTTCCCGGGCCTCAGCAGAAGCTGAGCAGATACTGGTGGCCTGTTTGTACAGCCTGCAAACCATCAGCCAAATACTCCTCTTTTCTTTATAAATTACCCAGTCTCAGGTATTCCTTTATAGCATTGAGATGGACTAACATAGTCAGTTTTGACAACATGAACCTTTCATATTAAAATTTAATTTCTAAATTCACTCATTTACTGTGATTGGTTTATAGCTTTTCTGTAATAATGAATTTTACGTGTGACTTTCAATGTGCTTTAAAACTTGATTCACTTTTTAGCTCTATTTTTGGAAACTACCAGCTTCCACTGTTGAGGCAAAAGTGTCATCATTGAGGCTCTCCTGCTGAGGTAGCTGTTGTCTGATTTCCCTTCAGTTCTACTGCTGTCCCAGTGGAAAAAGGGAATCTTCACCACTTACATGACATGTTTGCCTGAACTCTAATCTTCCACACTTGCTGTAGAAAAGAGTAAAGTGGCAGTTCAGGGCAGTTTACCAATTTAGAAACGGTGTCCGCTCGGTATTTTCCTCTGTGTCACTTACTAAAACATATAAAAGAAACCATGGACATTAAAAGAAAGAGAGAGGTTTAATGTGATATTTTAATTCTAACAAGGATTTATGGGCACATGAATGCCCAAAATCACATACCCCCTTAGTGTTTTTCATCTCACACATATCACATCAGACACATATCACACATATCAGGCACATATCACACAGAACTTACCATAATTAAATTATCAGTTTTTGAAAAATATCATTTGCTCTCTTTTTTTCTATATAAATAAATTTTTTTAAAATATGATTTTCAGTTCTGGGATACATGCACGGAACATGCAGGTTTGTTATATAGGTATACATGTGCCATATAGGTGGTTTCTTATTTGTGTTTTCATCTTATGGCTTTGGCTAGAACTAGATAATAAAAGTATGCATCAATTTAAGAGTTATTTTTAATCATGGTAAGGACATATCTATAACTACTTTGTTAAATTTCATCAGTCATGCATGTTAAATATCATTAAATAAATATCAAAAATGGGCTGCTGTACCAGAATACCATAGACTTGGTGGCTTATAAACAACAGAAAGGAATTTCTCACAGTTCTGGGGTCTGGGAAATCTAAGACCAAGGTACTAGCCAATCTGGTGTCTGGGAAAAACTTTTGTTCTAGTTCAAAGAAGGCTGCCCTTTCTCTATAACCTCAGTTGGGGAAGGAGCAAGGGAGTTCAGGGGGCTGCTTTAGAAGGGTGCTAAACCCATTAATGAGGGCTGCTCTCTCATGACTTAATTAGTTCCCAAAAGCCCCACCTTCAAAAACCCTCACACTGGCGGTTAGCATTTCAACATATGAATTTGAGAGGGATGTAAACATTTAGTCTGTAGCAGTAAATGTACAATATAAGGTAAATAGCTTTATTGTTGTGTTGCATTATATTAATACATATTTTCTAGTATTAAATCTTTGTATGCCAAATCACTGGGGTGGGTGATTTCTTAGTAAGTGTAGAATTCAGTTCCTTTTTCTTTCAGTTAAGAATATTTTAACTATGTTTATAAGGGATACTGTTTAGTAATTTTATTCTTTTTGTATTCACTTCATCAAGAGTTAGTAATAGTTATATTTGCTTTGTAAAATGAACTGAAAGGAAGCCACTTTTTATAACTTTATCCATATTTCCTAGTCTGGGGTCCATTTTACAAGATGTTTTAAACAGATGCTTATTAAAAACACTGGTTATAGGGACTTTAATAAAAATTTTTAAAATAATGTTTTACATTTCTTGCAAACATTGATGCCTGCAACCTATTTACTATTTTTAAAATTAAATTAAGATTCATTTAAGCAGTACATGTTTATTTTAGTGAAACACGTATTTAATTTTCTAAGATAGTATTTTTTGTCTTTAAAACAATTTCTGCATGTTTTGTTTTTTTTTTCACTTTAAATTTTATGTTTTCTCAGTTTTTGTTTTATCACATTTGCTGTATTTTTCTGTATCATGGGTTATTTGTTAAAGAATGAACTTGTGTATGTTTATAAATTGTTACTGTTTTTGTTTATAATTTATTGCCTTCTAACTTAATATGTAATTAGCATTCCTTTTAATTTTGCTTGTATGCTTTGCTGTACCATTTTGAAATTCTTGAGTTAAATGCTTAACTATTTTTTATCAAGTTTAAATATTAAATTAAATATGTCCCATCAGTTTAGTCATTTTAATATTCTCACTCATCAGACATTTTTTGGGAACACCATATGCCTTTTCATGCAGTCAGTTTCAAGAAAATGAAAATTACTTTTTATATGTTTATACTCAAAGCTTGGCTAGAGATAAGTCTCCCCTTCCTTAAGTTGGGGAGAGAGTGATTTCTTCCAGGCTATAGTCAAAAGAGATACAATTATAGTAATTTTTTGTGTTTGTTTGGGTTGTTTCTGTTTGTTTGTTTGTTTGTTTGTTTGAGACGGAGGTTGGATCTTGTTGCCCAGGCTGGAGTGTAGTGGCATAATCTCAGCTCACTGCAACCTCCGCCTCCTGGGTTCAAGCAATTCTAAACATATTTTAGCACAAAACTGTTTAAGATTTCAATTTATATCTTTTTATTATCTTCCATATACTCTTTTGATACATTACCCATTATGTTGATTATTAACGTACACTCAAGTCAAGATCTTTTATTATGTGAGGTCATCAGTCAATGATAACAGATATTGATGAATTAGTCTCCTCATCAGAAATTGAGCAACATTTTCATTCAAGACGACACATGGGCCTTTAAAGCATATTCAATAATACTGAGTCTCAGTCTTCTCCTGCTATTTTCTGAATGTGCATTTAGACCTTTATACATCTATCTATCTACTGACCCATTTATTAAATTTTCAGCATTTACTTTGTACTCCAAGGACCAGAACCATGTTTGTCTTGTTCACTGCTGTACTCCTATTGCAAGGACCTAGAACATAGTAGGAGCTCATTAAACTCTGAGGATTCAAAATAAGTGAATAGAGGTTGTAGCAGGAAGAAGTCTAAGATAGCCCCTATGACCTTCATTTCCTCATGTTACCCTGTTGATACCTCACACGGCAAAGGAGTCTTGCACATGTCACTAAGGCTAATAATCCGTCAGCCTTAAGACGGGGGGAGTACCTGGGTAAACCTAACCTAATCACACCAAAACCTAACAATCAGGGAGTTTTCTACAACTGAGAGTAGAATGGGAAGTCAGAGAGTTTCAGAGTCCAAGAAGCATTTATAGCACCCTTATTGACTTTGAAGATGCTTTGCTTCTTCTTTTGAGTTCAGTTTGAGATTATCTTTCTAATAATTGATTAGATTTTATTCTTGTAAAAAAAGAGATAATTTAAAGGAATCTATTTTTAAATACTCTGAGGAGGGTGATACTAGGGGTGCTGGTTGTCCTGTTTTAACTTTGTCTTAATTTCTAATGTAATTAAATTTTGAGTAGGTAATGTGACCTGTGTGGTTTTTATTTTAAAAAATATATTGAGGTTTTATATAATCTATTTTTAAAATATTCAATGGAAACTTGAAAACATACTGTTTCACATATTCTTGTATATATATATTAAAAATCTTTTTTTATTTATTTTTTATTTTTATTTTTTTTTTGAGACGGAGTCTCGCTCTGTCGCCCAGGCTGGAGTGCAGTGGCGCCATCTGGGCTCACTGCAAGCTCCGCCTCCTGGGTTCACGCCATTCTCCTGCCTCAGCCTCCCGAGTAGCTGGGACTGCAGGCACCCACCACCACGCCCAGCTAATTTTTTGTATTTTTAGTGGAGACAGAGTTTCACCGTGTTAGCCAGGATGGTCTCGATTTCCTGACCTCGTGATCCGCCCGCCTCAGCCTCCCAAAGTGCTGGGATTACAGGCGTGAGCCACTTAGCCCGGCCTAATTATTTGTTTTTTAAAAGATGGTACATAGGAAGAAGTAAATCAGGAAAAGTGGATAGTGATTGGTGGCAGTAGAAGTGAGTCAGTGTTACAGTTACTATTGCTGCTTAAGAAACTAACCCAAATGGCCTGGGTGCCGTGGCTCACGCCTGTAATCCCAGCAGTTTGGGAGGCTGAGACGGGCGGATCATGAGTTCAGGAGATCGAGACCATCCTGCCTAATACGGTGAAACTCTGTCTCTACTAAAAATACAAAAGTTAGCCTGGCCTGGTGGTGGTGGGCGCCTTAAGTCCCAGCTACTCGGGAGGCTGAGGCAGGAGAATGGCGTGAACCCGGGAGGCGGAGCTTGCTGTGAGCCGAGATCGCGCCACTGCAGTCCAGCCTGGGCGACAGAGGGAGACTCCGTCTCAAAAAAAAAAAAATTAAAAAAAAGAAAAAGAAAAAAGAAACTACCCTAAATTTAATAAGGTAAAACAACGACCACTTCATTATATCTCATGGATCCTATAGGTGAGAAATTCCAGCAGGATTCATCTGAGTGATTCTTCCTCTCTCACATCATTAACTAGGGTGACTCAGTGCTAGTCGGCTGGCAAACAAGTCAGTCTGGAAGGTGCAAGGTGCTTTTTTTCTGTCTTATAAATTGGTGGAGTTGTCTGGAAGGCAAGGCTCAGATGGGAAGGACTCTTAGTTATAGTGCCTGCACAGGGTAAACTTTTTTTTTTTCTTTTTTTTTTGAGACGGAGTCTCACTGTCCCCCAGGCTGGAGTGGTGTGGCCCGATCTCGGCTAACTGCAAGCTCCGCCTCCCGGGTTCACGCCATTCTCCTGCCTCAGCCTCCCGAGTAGCTGGGACTACAGGCGCCCACCACCAGGCCCAGCTATTTTTTTGTATTTTTAGTAGAGACGGGGTTTCACCGTGTTAGCCAGGATGGTCTCGATCTCCTGACCTCGTGATCCACCCGCCTTGGCCTCCCAAAGTGCTGGGATTACAGGCCTGAGCCACCGCGCCCGGCCTGCACAGGGTAAACTTCTTATATGGCTGCTGGCTTTCCGCAGATCAAACACTCCAAGGGAACCAGGTGGAAAAGGCCTGGTCTCTTTTTATCTCACCTTAAAGGTCAGGTAGAATTATTTGTCATACTCTATTGATTGTAGCAGTCACAAGCACGTCCAGATTTAGGGAAGGGAGACATAGACCTATTTTTTGATGAGAAGAATATCAACCTGTTTTTGGACTATGTTTAAAACTGCCACACATGACAATTACACACCAGGTAGAAGGCATTTGGCGACAGACTTCTTGAAGGAAATGAGGAGGAATCGTGCTCTGCTGAAAAAAGAGCATTCCAAAGAGAGACCACAGCTTGGGCAAAAGCCCTGAGTCGGAATCATGTGGACTTATTCTTAGAACAGCATCGAGGAAGCCATTATAGCTGGAGTAGAATGAGAAGGGGGAAGAGTATTAGTAGATGGTGGCAGAGAAATAAACATGAGAAGACGGATGATGGAACGAGCACCTTGTACGTCATTTTAAGGACTTTGGCTGTTCCTCAAACTGACATGGGACCATTGAAAGATTTTTTTATTTTTTATTTTTTAAATTTAACTTTTAAGTTCAGTGGTACACGTGCAGGTTTGTTATGTAGGTAAACTTGTGTCATGGGGGTTTGTTGTACGGATTATTCTGTTACCCACATGGTAAACCTGCTACCCACTAGTTGTCTTTCCTGATCCTCTCCCTCCTCCCAGCTTTCACCCTCCTTTTCAAAATAAGACATACATGCAGCCAACAAACATAGAAAAAAAGCTCAGCATCACTGATCATTAAAGAAATGCACATCAGAAGTACAATGAGATACTATCTCACACCATTCAGAATGGTTATTATTAAAAAGCCAAAAAATAACATGCTGGCAATATTGTGGAGAAAAGGCAACATTTCTACACTGTTGGTGGGAGTGTAAATTAGTTCAGCCATTGTGGAAGACAGTGTGGTGATTCCTCAAAGACCTAAAAGAACTACCATTCGACCCGGCAATCCTATTACTGGGTATACACCCAAAGGAATATAAATTGTTCTGTCATAAAGACACATGCATGCATATGTTTATTGCAGCGCTATTCACAGTAGCAAAGGCATGGAATCAACATAAATGCCCATCAATGGTAGACTGGATAAAGAAAATGTGGTATATATACACCATGGCATATTATGCCACCATAAAAGATGAGATCACGCCCTTTGTAGGAACATGGATGGAGCTGGAAGCCATTATCCTTAGCCAACTAATGCAGGAACAGAAAACCAAATGTTCCCACTTAGAAGCGAGAGTCAAAGGGGAGAATACATGAACACGTAGAGGGGAACAACATTGAAAGATATAAGCAAAGAAGTGATATCATCTGAATTGCATTTCTGAGATTTCTCTGGCACTTGTGTAAAAAATAGCTGAAAGGAATCAACGGCAGAAGCTGGGAGACCAGTTAGGGAGCTTTTGCAATAACCATAAGAGGAAATATGTGTGGCTTAGACTAGGAATCGTCAGGTTGGGAGTGCTCATTCAAATGTGGTCAGAATCCGGACATTTTGAGTGAGCCTACAGAAAGCTTTAATACTATCTCAAACTAAAGGATATAGAAGGTTTTCCCTTTCTCTTGCCCTGAAACCTTCTGTATCCTTTATTTTGAGATAGTATTAGAATTCTTACTATCTTACTGACAATTCTCACTATCTTGTTTTATAACTTGGAACATGATTATAATTATAGTATTGTTAAATATTTTATTTTTATTTTATAATTATACTTTAAAAATATTATTTTGGTAAATAATCATAAAATATGAAAAATAAATCTTTCCATTAACTGAATCAATTGTCCCCTTGCAGGATTTTGGCTTCACAACTTCCTAATCCTTGAAATATTAATTTTGATTATTTTTCTAATATGTACCCATATGTCTTTGAGTAAATTTTTATTGGAAGGACAAATCAGTGCTGGATATACAGATGCCATTGCTTCGTACTCAGGTAAAGACAACCTGATATTTATGATCCTCTTGATCATATTTTTATTCTCTTAAAATCTTTATGTCTTCTAATAATGTTAACAGAGAAGAAAAAAAGTCTTATCTAAGCCTGACTTTTTATTTTTAAGGAAGTTTTTTTATTTATTTGTAAAATTCAGGAGTTTGGCTAGTTGTTATTTAAATATGGAGAACTCTTCCTTGTTTCTTCCCCCTCCCTGCCTAGAAGCTGGTTGGTGCTTTTATTATTCGTACTTCAGTGATAGCTTTGATTATTGTTTCAGATCTCCTTGCCCTTGTGTCTTTCCCCAGTACACAAACTATTCTCGAGGTGGAACCTGTGGTCTCTGGCATACCCATCCGCCTTCTTCTCTGTCATTAGTTCATCTCTTCCTTTGCCCTCCAGAGCTCTGATTCAATTGCTGCTTGAACTTTTCAGTGTGTCAGTTTCTTTCTCCACGGATTTCCCTGTGGATGGAAAATCTGCCCTTGCACTTTAGTTTTCATAGAAGCCTCATCTCAGCTATCTCCCATTTTGTGATATGAGCCTCTTTTGTTATTGTAGCCTTCATCTCCTATTTCCTAAATTCCATGTGTTTCTACATACTGTTCATAGACAAATAGTTTAAAGCAATGGTCTATAGTTTCTTGTGGTTTGAAAGTCATATATTTTTAAATACGTTTTCTCCCCCTGAGAATTCAGCATACAGTTTCATTTTTCTTGTACGCAGGATGATTTTTAGGATTTTTTTTCTGTTATATTTTTTCCATTCTGGTTACCTAGAAGGTAGTGATTATTACCCCAAACCAGGGTTTGATACTGTGTTAGTCCACTTTCATACTGCTATGAAGAAATACCTGAGACTGGGTAATTTATAAAGAAAAAAAGGTTTAATGGACTCAGTTCCACGTGGCTGGGGAAGCCTCACAATCATGGCAGAAGGCAAAGGAGGAGCAAAGACATGTCTTACATGGTGGCAGGCAAGAGAGAGAGCATGTGCAGGGGAACTCCCCTTTATAAAACCATCAGATCTTGTGAGACTTATTCGGTTTCACAAGAACAACACAGGGAGAAACCCATCCCCATGATTCAGTTACCTCCCACTGGGTCCCTTTCATGACATATGGGGATTATGGGAGCTACAATTCAAGATGAGATTTGGGTAGGGACATAGCCAAACCATATCATTCTTCCCCTGGCGCCTCCTGAATCTCATGTTCTCACATTTCAAAATCAATCATGCCTTCCCAACAGTCCCCCAAAGTTTTAACTCGTTTCAACATTAACTGAAAAGTCCACAGTCCAAGGTCTCATCTGAGACAAGTCCCTTCCACCTATGAGCCTGTAAAACTAAAAGCAAGTTAGTTACTTCCTACATACAATGGGGGTACAGGCATTGGGTACCCCCAGTGTATCTACACCTGTTCCAGATGGGAGACATTGGTCAAAACAAAGGGGCTACAGGCTCCATGCAAGTCTGAAATCCAATAGGGCAGTCATTAAACGTTAAAGTTCCAAAATGATCTCCTTTGACTCCGTGTCTCACATGCAGGTCACACTGACGCAAGTGGTGGTCTCCCATGGCCTTGGGCAGCTCTGCCTCTGTGGCTTTGCAGGGTACAGCCTCCCTCCTGGCTGCTTTCACTGGCTGGCATTGTCTGTGGCTTTTCCAGGTACACAGTGTAAACTGTTTGTGGATCTACCAATTGGGGGTTTGGAGGGCAGCGGCCCTCTTCTCATAGCTCCACTAGGCATTGCCCCAGTAGGGACTCTGTATGGGAGACAGAGCCCACATTTCAATTCTCTACTACCCTGGAAGAGGTTCTTCATGAGCCCCTGCTCCTGCCCCCGCACCCCACCAGAGCAAACTTCTGCCTGAACATCCAAGTGTTTCCATACATTCTCTGAAATCTAGGTGGAGGGTCCCAAACCTCAATTCTTGACTTCTGTGCGCCTGCAGGCTCAACATCTTGTGGAAGCTGCCAAGGCTTGGGGCTGCAACCTCCGAAGACATGGCCTGAGCTGTAGCCTGGTGTCTCCCACCCCAGCCATGGCTGGAGTGGCTGGAATGCCGGGCACCAAGTCTCTAGGCTGCACACAGCAGGGGGACCTGGACCTGCTCCAGGAAATCATTTTTCCATACTAGGCTTTTGAGCCTGTGATGGAAAGAGCTGCCGTGAAGGTGTTAAGGTCTTTAATGTTCTGGAGACATTTTCCCCATTGTCTTGGTGATTACATTTGGCTCCTTGTTACTTATGCAAATTTCTGCAGGAGGCTTTAATGAAAGTCGGTTTTTCTTTTCTTTTCTTTTCTTTTTTTTTTGGATTGGGAGTCTCACTCTCTTGCCCAGGCTGGAGTGCAGTGCCGCAATCTGGGCTCACTGCAAGCTCCGCCTCCCAGGTTCACGCC
The DNA here is from genome assembly GCF_000001405.40 of Homo sapiens. Classification (NCBI taxonomy): domain Eukaryota; kingdom Metazoa; phylum Chordata; class Mammalia; order Primates; family Hominidae; genus Homo; species Homo sapiens. Next base: position 4,095,411 of record NW_021160017.1, read on the forward strand.
ATTCCTCAGCCTCCCAAGTAGCTGGGACTACAGGTGCCCGCCACCACGCCTGGCTAATTTTTTTGTATTTTTTTAGTAGAGACAGGGTTTCACCGTGTTAGCCAGGATGGTCTGGATTTGCTGACCTCGTGATCCGCCCGCCTCAGCCTCTCAAAGTGCTGGGACTACAGGCGTGAGCCACCGCGCCCGGCCAAAAAATCTTATACATTATATTGCTCAAATTTTATCCTTTAATAAGTCATAACGGAGAAACATGCTAATGATTTCACAATTAAATGTGACGTTCATTTAGTGTTTTGCTTTGTAATATTAAATATTTTATTGTTTTCCATGGGATACCTTTTCCTTTAAAATTCTACTTTATGTGAAATCGATGATGTTATAAATAGTCTTTGATTTTTACTTTATTAATCTTTGTACATTTTAATATCGTTAAACTTACAGGAACAGTTTGTACACTTCATGGAAATAGAGTAGAGTAATAGAGTTTGATTATTTGTTTTGTTTTCAGCTGAGGGTTTTTTTTTTTTTGGTAATTTCAGTCTTAGAGTCTTTCTTTTCAGCAGTTAGTGGTATAATTCATATTTGCTTCTCATAGCTGATTTTTTGTTTTAACTTTTGTGAACTTGCTTATAGTTTCTTTACAACTATTAGGCCGGTGCAAAAGTTATTGAAGTTTTCACTAATTATTATTATTATTATTATTTTGAGGCGGACTCTCCCTCTGTCGCCCAGGCTGGAGTGCAGTGGCGCGATCTCAGCTCACTGCAAGCTCCGCCTCCCGGGTTCACGCCATTTTCTTGCCTCAGCCTCCCGAGTAGCTGGGACTGCAGGCCCCGGTCACCACGCCTGGCTAATTTTTTGTATTTTTAGCGGAGATGGGGTTTCACCATATTAGCTAGGATGGTCTCGATCTCCTGACCTCGTGATCCGCCCGCCTCAGCCTCCCAAAGTGCTGGGATTACAGGCGTGAGCCACTGCACCCGGCCTAATTATTTGTTTTTTAAAAGATGGTACATACGAGGAAGTAAATCAGGAAAGGAGGATAGTGATTGGTGGCAGTAGAAGTGAGTCAGTGTTACAGTTACTATTGCTGCTTAAGAAACTACCCCAAATGGCCCGGGCGCTGTGGCTCACGCCTGTAATCCCAGCACTTTGGGAGGCTGAGACGGGCGGATCACGAGTTCAGGAGATCGAGACCATCCTGCCTAACACGGTGAAACCCCGTCTCTACTAAAAATACAAAAGTTAGCCGGGCGTGGTGGTGGGTGACTGTAGTCCCAGCTACTCGGGAGGCTGAGGCAGGAGAATGGTGTGAACCCGGGAGGCGGAGCTTGCGGTGAGCCGAGATTGCGCCACTGCACTCCAGCTTGGGCCACAGAGCGAGACTCCGTCTCAAAAAAAAAAAAGAAAAAAAAAGAAAAAAAGAAAAAAGAAACTACCCCAAATTTAATAAGGTAAAACAACGACCACTTCATTGTATCTCATGGATCCTATAGGTGAGAAATTCCAGCAGGATTCGTCTGAGTGATTCTTCCTCTCTCATATCATTAACTAGGGTGACTCAGTGCTATGCGGCTGGCAAACAAGTCAGTCTGGAAGGTGCAAGGTGCTTTTTTTCTGTCTTATGTATTGGTGGGGTTGTCTGGAAGGCAAGGCTCAGATGGGAGGGACTCGTAGTTATAGTGCCTGCATAGGGTGAACTTCTTTTTTTTTTTTTTAGACGGAGTCTCACTGTCCCCCAGGCTGGAGTGGTGTGGCCCGATCTCGGCTCACTGCAAGCTCCGCCTCCCGGGTTCACGCCATTCTCCTGCCTCAGCCTCCCAAGTAGCTGGGACTATAGGCGCCCACCACCAGGCCCGGCTAATTTTTTGTATTTTTAGTAGAGACGGGGTTTCACCGTGTTAGCCAGGATGGTCTCGATCTCCTGACCTCGTGATCCGCCCTCCTCGGCCTCCCAAAGTGCTGGGATTACAGGCCTGAGCCACCGCGCCCGGCCTGTGCTCACCCATATTTCTGTTTGCTGTGTGGTGCAGTGCGACCACACGGTTCTTCAGACACAACCTCTGCTTTCTCATTTACCTCAACACTTTAACCCTTAGATTCTTTTTTACTATACTTCAGTGTATTTCCCAGGCATATATTGTCTATGAGGGATAAAATAAAATATCAATTAAAAACAAAAAAATTCAGAGAAATATTAACCATTCACTCTTCTAAGTTCTCAAAGGTTACATTCTTCACCAAATCATATAACCAGGTCCCAATAAAATACCATCATGCAGGGAATTTAACATCATGTAGTTTAAAATACCATCATGCGGGCAGCTTTCAACTAAGCATCCTGTAAGAAAAGATCATTTGTTCTTACATCTTTAAAAGTTTGGAAATTGCTATGGAAGATTATTTTTATTATATTGTCCATTGTCTGTTGCTTGAAGACATATATTTTGCTTGAGTTTAGAGTTACCAAAAAATAGTTGCTGATATATCCAGATACTATTTTATTAACTAACAATACCTATTTGAATTCTGGTTTTCCTTTTGGCCTTTAAGAACAAGGGGCTTAGGACTAAATTTTAGGCTGAAGGGTAGTGTTTCCTTCCCTAGGTTGTCCCATGTAATTGTCACCTCTTTCTCTTCATTATTCTGTCATTTTGCCCTTGTTTTATAGTGTCTGTGCCTTTCATTCTAAGCTATCTCAGGGGCTTTTCTGGAAATACACAGTGTATAAGTACAAAATGATGAAATAAACATGCTTCTTTTTTTTTTTTTAAGACAGAGTCTCACTCTATTGCCCAGACTGGAGTGCAGTGGCACGATCTCGGCTCACTGCAAGCTCTGCCTCCTGGGTTCACTCCATTCTCCGGCCTCAGCCTCGCGAGTAGCTGGGACTACAGGCACCTGCCACCATGTCCGGCTAATTTTTTGTATTTTTAGTAGAGACGGGGTTTCACCATGTTAGGCAGGATGGTCTCGATCTCCTGACCTTGTGATCTGCCCGCCTTGGCCTCCCAAAGTGCTGGGATTACAGGCGTGAGCCACCGCATCAGGCCAACACACGTCTTTATTTTGTTTTCAAAGATGCTTGGGTGGGACTAGATGACCTCTAAGGTCCTTTCCAGCTCTAAATTTACGTTACTTTCACCAAAGACAGACAAAAAAAAAATCTGTTAGGTTATAGGTCTAGAGATGAGTGCCAAGTACTATATTCCTGCTCTAGGTGCATTTCTTGTTGAAGGCAGTGCTAGATTCAGTGACCTGTTACGGCCGTTTACAGTCTTATGGTGATAAAACAAGAGAACTGATTGCTAAAAAAAAAAAAAAAAAATTCAGTTGAAATATCTTTTTACTCTTAAGCATCAACAAAAAATAAATAGAAAACAGAAGAGTTGAATTATTTAGTTTGAGCTATTTGTAATAAATTTGGACAACTAAGCTAAGCCCGAGTGTAGTTAATTCAATGAAATTAGTCATATTTGAATATTGTCACAACCTTACTACCACATTAGCATTAAGTGTGATTAAAATTTATTCTTTGTTTCTGTGTGAGTCTCCACAGAATCAGCTATCAACACCTTCATAATAAACTAGCCCTTCATTGCTTTCAGGAAACTTTTAGATTCAGAGCAGGTGGTTGGGCTTCTGCTTTAAAAGAGAACAAATCATTTTTAAAGTCCCTTTCCTGTTTGTGTGTGTGAATTTAGAACACAGAAATTATCCATTGCATTGTTTATTTTTGCTAGGAGGTAGAAGTTCTTAAAAATATAGGAAATACTAGATATCATGTACTGATAATTTCCAAAGCTAATTATTTTTCTTAAGTCCAAGCTATAATTTAAGAGGCGTACTTGTGAAATATGAATATTGTTTTAGAGTAATAAAATGTTTCTCATGGAAAAATAGAATATGATTTTGTCGAAGTTCAAGGGAATATCCATTTTCATTCAGGTAGCTTCCAGATTTTTGTCTTTACATGTTCTGTGTAGTGATTTAAATACCGTACCTCCAAAATTTATGTCCATTAGGAACTTTAGAATGTGATTTTATTTGGAAGTAGGGTCTTTGCAGATATAATTAACCCAGTGATTGAGATGAGGTCATCCTGGGTGAAGGTGGGCCCTAAATCCAGTGTAAATGTCCTTATAACATACAGGAAAAGACACACACAAGGTCATGTGAAGATGGAGACAGAAATTGGAGTTATGCAGTCATAAATCAAAGAAGGTCAAGGATTGCCAGGAGCCACTGGAAGCCAGGAAGAAGCGAGGGAGAATTCTTCCCTAGGGTCTTCAGGGGGAGTGTGGCCCCGCCAACATCTTGATTTCAGAGGTCCAGGCTTCCGAACTATGAGAGAATATATTTCTGTCCTCTTAACCCACCAAGTGTGTGATAATTAGGTATGATGGCCCTAGGCAACTACTACACTCTAATTCAGAAGTTCTTCTGGATTTTATTGTATCATGTGTTGGTAGGAAGTACCTGGCTGTTTCATTTGCATGATATGTGGGTAATCTTAGAATTATCATATCTTGCAAGTAATTTTAAAGTATGTTGTAATGTAGTCAGAAGCTTTTTAAATATGAAATTTAATTCATGCTGGTGTCAACTACATTTGAAAAAATACAAAAAAGCTATATAAGATTCTAGGATCTTTCAGAATTTTATAATGTTTATAATGGACAGTTGGTTAAATAAAAATTGTACCCTAAACAATTTTGTTGTTGGCTTAAAATAGCATTTAATTTATTAGTGCTCAGATAATAGTTATCCCCTAAATAGCATTTTTACTTTCATATGTTGATATCAAACAGTGAAGTGAGACAGCAAATCAGTACAACGTGGTGATTATCAAACATCATAAATCCATGAAGGATAGCCTTGATCTTACTGAGAAGAGTTTAATTTTAAAACGCATACCTGGAAAAGGCAACTTAGATTAACATTTCAAACTCACATAGCATTATTTGTGATTGATTATAGTTATAATTGATCATTTTACTTTTGGACCGTCACTTTGAATCAAACTGGGATAAATATAAATTAAAGATTGATTATTTGCTTTGAATTTTAGATTAAAAAATTCAAAAACCATAAAAACAGAGCTTTGACTATAATAAAGGTATTTATCCTTTCTTGGTAAGAATTGGGGAGGGGTTTAAGAAAAGGCTAAGCAATGTTCTATTTTTTACATAGGCAAAAGTTCATTTGTGCTACTTTTTAATTAGGTAGTTTGTTGTTTTTTAAATGACAGCTTCCTAAACACTACTGATTTTACATGTGCAGTCATTAGCTTTTCATGTGGAAATAGTATCTTTCAAATTCACGCAGCTGCTTATTTTATGAAATGCAATGGGACTACTTACTTGCCACCTGTCTAAACTGGAATGCATAGATTCATGCCTTGCCAAATGAGGAGTTAGGGTGAAAAGTGATTAACGTCCGTTCTTTAATGAGTTTCTAAGTCTTTCTGAACATGTTTTTATTCTATTTATTGCAGTGGTATACTAACATTTTCGTGTTGGTTGCTGTACAAAGCATGATAATACCTTTATTAAAGCAATGTTAATGACATCCATAAGATATCATAAAATATTATATTCTTAATAGGAAATTTGTTATATATAAATAACAATAAAGATCGTAATAAGCTCTCCTTAATTCTGTTTATTTTGACTTCATTATTAAGTTTGGAAACATAGGTGTCAAATTTAGACATTATTTATATGTAATTATAAAGCCAAATAAATGTTAGAGATTAACTTAAAAAGAGTTTTGTGGCTTAACAATTGAAGTGAGATAGTGAGATCACAAGGGGCTTAATCATTCTGAATTGATTCTACAGATGTCTCCTTTCTCTAAATGCCCTGTAAGCTTCCTATCTTCCATGAAAGTTTATTCCCATAATCCTGGCACATAAAATTAGTCATATAACTCTTTTCCATTCTGAGATTTCAAGGATTAGGACTTTCAACATAGAGAAAACGTGCTGTGTAGAAGCTGAATGTACAAAAGGCAACACTTGGCAACGGAATCCAGTATTTCCCAAGTATTTGAGGAAACTTACAAAACCCAAATCTCTAGTACTTGCTTTCACATTTGCTATCAGAACCAGGAAGGGAGGCCTAGAAATGGTTTGAATGGAAAATTTGTTGTTGTAGAAGGGGTTCCCATTCACTGGTGAATAGACACAACGTATTTCCCAACCTTCTTTTAATCCAAGATAGCAACATTTTTACTGGAGCCAAAGATAAAACCAGTATTTAATCTCCTAGAAATTAGGAGATTTATGACTCTGGAAATGGAAAGAATTTTCATATCCAGCCACATAACCAAGTCATGCAAGAACATAATAAACAAACCAATCAAACAACAAGAATAACAACCACAACATGGTCCCCATTCTGTCTTTAACCTCTGATAGAAAGAGCAGTAATGGTAAGACGAGAAAGCTCTCGTCAAGTGTTTTCCTCATCTACTGTTAATGATTTATTCTTACATCCTGTCCCAGTCCAATTATCAAAAAATTCTAAGAGAGATCCCTTTAACTGACTTGTAATGAATTCCAGGGTCACATTCCAGATATTGTTTTCCCCTGAAGTCGTGTAAGTGCACCTCAAAATACTATACTTTTGGTGTGAATCTGAGCCAAATTCTATTGTATTCTAAATAAAGTGAAACTCCTATCAGCCAATAGGGCACGGTATCAGTTTCAAATAAGACAAGTTGGTAAAGTCAGGAGAAATGACTTCCTCCTTCCTCCTGATGTGCTGTATATAGATGTATTAGCACTGCCTTTTAATATTTTATGTGTTCAACAGAGAGGGAACTAACATCTTGTTAATCCTCATTTGAAAACAATTTTGCGAATGTAAATGTAGCAGGGCTTTTGCCTTTTTTCCTTCTTCATGAAAAACAAGTAGTGCTTGGGGAGCAAGTGTTCCTGTTCAACTGCTGTCACTCATTCCCAGCTCTGTTTAGAAGAAATAAGCACAGATGGTTGGTCTACTACTTCCCCAACGAAAAATTTGCCTGTTGGCCGGGCGCAGTGGCTCAAGCCTGTAATCCCAGCACTTTGGGAGACCGAGGCGGGCAGATCACAAGGTCAGGAGATGGAGACCATCCTGGCTAACACGGTGAAACCCCGTCTCCACTAAAAATACAAAAAATTAGCTGGGCACGGTGGCGGACGCCTGTAGTCCCAGCTACTTCGAAGGCTGAGGCAGGAGAATGACGGGAACCCGGGAGGCGGAGCTTGCAGTGAGCAGAGATCGCGCCACTGCACTCCAGCCTGGGCGACAGAGCAAGACTCCGCCTCAAAAAAAAAAAAAAATTGCTTACCTTTTTTGTGTTTTATTCCATCCTTCTCATTGTCATGTGAACAGTATTTCAAGGGAAGAAACTTCTGTAGGGATCTTTGAAATGTTTATCCACTGCTTGTGCATGAAAGAGAAAAAGAAGAAATTAATGATTTATTAAAATTTCATGAGGGGAACTCAAAAACGCTTTGTTACAAAAAAATTTAATTTAGAAACCGTGTATTTTGCATGCAAAATTAAAGTCTTCAGGGAAGTAAGTTTTTATATCAGACTTGCATCCTAAAGTACTCATTTAATGATGACAGAACCACTTCATCCATGTTAAAAATACCTGTGTGGGTCTTTTTTATTTATACTGTGGCTTAATGAAAATTTGTCTATTGTAAATATATTAAGAAAAAGAGCATAAAGACTTTTTAACATAATTTTCTAACGCTGAAAATACATACAAACAGTAAAATACCCAAATCTTAACTGTACAGCTCAATACTTCTTTTGTTTTTAAACAAACTTAGCCCTTCTGTGTATCCAGTACTCAAATCAGGAAATTTTATATTATTACTTCTTCTAGACACTATTTCATAGGATAGCTCTTATGGTGATTTGGAACATAACTGATGAGTTTTACAATTTTTAGTGAATTAGATCGTAGTATATGTTCTGTATCTTGCTTCTTTCATTCAATATTTAGTTTATAAGATTTGTTAATCTTTTTGCATATAGTTGTAATTTGTTAGGTTCTCATTGCTATATACTATATCATTATACAAATATAAGTTCAATTTGTGGTTATTTTGAATGGTGCCTCTCTGAGCATTCATGTATTTGTCTTTTGGTAAATATTGCTGGGTATATGCTCAGGGTCATAGAATATGGTCAGATTTAGCATACATGGAAAATGGTGGTGTCCATCAGTTTACATTTCCATCCACAATGGGAGAGAGTTCTAGTTGCTCCGCATCTTTGCCAACACTTGGTATCATTTCTCTCTTTCATTTGAACTGTTCTGATGTGTATGTATCACTATTTCAATTGTGGTTATTTTGAAGATTACAAAATTGGCAAAGAATAACTGATTTTATTAAATCATATTTCATTTGAAGTAACGTGGGTCTACTTTGCAGTATTTTTCCCTATTTACATGATTCATAAGAAGAGTGATCATGAGATAGTCAACAATATAACAGCTTGGAATGAGATTTTTGATCAGCTATAATTGTAATGTATTTTATCTAAATATTATTTAACTGTATTAGTAACTGTGATCATTAAGAACAGAAACAAAAGGTAAGCAAGTCCTTAGATTAACATGAAACAACATTCCTGCCTTTTGAAAGAAACTTTTCTGACCTGTGAGTAAATGATGTAAATCAATTAATAGCTTAACTGAAATTAAGAGATGAGTCTCAGCTTTCATTGCCTATATTATATCTGTGTTTCTGGAGAAACAAAAAAACAGTATGACAAACCTACAGTCTGCTAGTTTCTTCTCACCCTGCCAACAACTGTTATATTACTGTTTAGCTGGTTATGTGCAACCATTTGTTCAGGATTGTTTTGTTTTGCTTAGTTTTACTTTTTAAGGCAGAGTCTTGCTCTGTTGCCCAGGCTTGAGGTCTATGAGTTACACTCAGGGTCACATGGTCAACGAGATGTAATCACAGCTCACTGCAGCCTTAATCTCCTGGGCTCACGTGATCCCCCTGCCTCTGCTTCCTCAGTAGCTGGGACTACAGGTGCATGCCACGACACCCGGCTTGTTGAGCAGAGTTTTGATGAAAATCATTCTTCCCTTCTTAATCACAAACAGTGAAACCTTAGAAAATGTAATTAGAGAGAAAAATAACATTTTGCACCAAGCTAATTGTATCTTTACCTTTTATTAGTTGGTTTCAGGATTGGTACTTGTTGATGGTTCTGTTTTGGAGTGTGCGTTCCCTGGGTTTAACTCCTTGCAGCACACTTTATATACATTGTGTGGCCTTACTTGAGTAACTTAAGTTGCTTAACTTCTCCAGATCCCAGATTCTCAACCTGTAGAATGGAAGTAATTATAATACAAACATTATGTGGTGGGTTAGTCCAGGTCCTCCAAGAGGTAGATGTTGAAAACGAGTTAAACACAAGAGGATTTTATTAAGGGAAATCCCTGTGAGAGAAAATGGAGAGGAAGCTGAGTAAGCCTGGAAGAGGTCTCAGCTATGAGGCAAGTCTGACCTAGAATGAAGGAAAGAGGAAAGGAAGGTTGAGTGGAAGCATTGGAGCGTAATGTACAGTCTAAGGAAGGGTGAGAAAAGGCTTCAGGGAATCCTGAGCCAAGACTGGTCCTCAGAGAAGCCCTGTGTCTCCTAAAGAGGGATCTGCATTAGCCACCCTGTGGCCCTCAGTCATTGACTGAGGGGCAGATGCAGAAACAGATTTTAGAGTGAAGCAGCAAGTGGCCGTAGGCAGTTAGGCTTCCCATACTTTGAGGTCTATGAGTTTATTTATTTATTTATTATTTATTTATTTAAATTATACTTTAAGCTCTGGGTTACATGTGCAGAACTTGCAGTTTTGTTTCATAGGTATACACATGCCATGGTGGTTTGCTGCACCCATCAACCCGTCACCTACATTAGGTATTTCTCCTAATGTTATCCCTCCCCTACACCCCCACACCCCACAGGCCCCAGTGTGTGATGATCCCCTCCCTGTGTCCATGTGTTCTCATTGTTCAACTCCTGCTTTATGAGTGAGAACATGCGGCGTTTGGTTCTCTGATCTTGTGATAGTTTGCTGAGAATGATGGTTTCCAGCTTCATGCATGTCCCTGCAAAGGACATGAACTCATGTCCTTTTTTATGGCTGCATAGTATTCCATGGTATATATGTGCCACATTTTCTTAATCCAGTCTATCATTGATGGACATTTGGGTTGGTTCCAAGTCTTTGCTATTGTGAATAGTGCCACAATAAACATACGTGTGCATGTGTCTTTATCGTAGAATGACTTATAATCTTTTGAGTATATGCCCAGTAATGGGATTGCTGGGTCAAATGGTATTTCTAGTTCTAGATCCTTGAGGAATTCACACACTGTCTTCCACAATGGTTGAAGTAAATTACACTCCCACCAATAGTGTAAAAGCATTCCTATTTTTCCACAACCTCTCCAGCATCTGTTGTTTCCTGACTTTTTAAGGACTGCCATTCTAACTGGAGTGAGATGGTATCTCATTGTGGTTTAGATTTGCATTTCTCTAATGCAGGTCTATGAGTTTCTTATTCATGGTCACTAAAAGATGTTTATCATGAATTGAAATCTCCAGATAAGAGTAAAGCAATGCCTAATTCATAGTTACGCACTTATCAATTTATTTATTCATATTATTCATTATCGTTATGAATATTCAACACATTAATAAAAGAGTCACATGTGCAATCTACTTGGGGTATTGGGAGAGTAAAGAATAACATAGTGGTGCTACAGGTAATTTAAGAGATGGTTTCTCTCTCTCTCTCTCTCTCTCTCTCTGTGTGTATATATATATATATATATATATATATATATATATATATATATATGAGACACAGGTATAATTATTTTCCTTCTACTATTTGTTATTGATGTATACTGCCAAATCCCTAACGGATACTGGAATACTTAACTCTAAGCTCCCCCCACGCCTACAAAAGAAGTGGGTACAAGGTTATTTTTTAAATCAAAAGATTTATTAATAGTATTTTTATCATGTCCAATTGATATTATCATTATCAAAAAGTTTAATCACTTATTATTACTTGAAGGACCTCGTTAGGAAATATTCGATCCCCTTTTTTTGGTTTTTTTTTTTTTTTTTGAGACAGAGTCTCATTCTGTCACCCAGGCTGGAGTGCAGTGAGGTGATCTCGGCTCACTGCAAGCTCTGCCTCCCGGGTTCACGCCATTCTCCTGCCTCAGCCTCCCGAGTAGCTGGGACTACAGGCGCCCGCCACCACGCCCGGCTAATTTTTTGTATTTTTAGTAGAGACGGGGTTTCACCGTGTTAGCCAGGATGGTCTCCATCTCCTGACCTCGTGATCTGCCCGCCTCGGACTCCCAAAGTGCTGGGATTACGGGCGTGAGCCACCGCGCCTGGCCTGTTCCACTTCTTAAAACTGGTCACTGGAAGTACATCGTCTTGGGAAGAACTGGATATTTCTTGAAACCCCTTTCATATAGCCATATTCTCAAACATAGAACCTTCTTTTATTTTTTTCAAAGATTTTTTTCCATTACTGTAGAAAATTCAGAGGGTGTTTATGGATAGTGCAGTACTCCGCTCAAATACAGGGAACGAAAGTTACATTAAAATGATAATATTTTTTGCTGAAAAGTATTATGATATTTAATGTAAGCAAACAAATGACTCAGGTGATAGTGTTTTGTTTTCATTTTTTAAATGTCTTGGCCGGGCGCGGTGGCTCAAGCGTGTAATCCCAGCACTTTGGGAGGCCAAGGCGGGCGGATCATGAGGTCAGGAGATCGAGACCATCCTGGCTAACACAGTGAAACCCCGTCTCTACTAAAAATACAAAAATTAGCCGGGCGTACTGGCGGGCACCTGTAGTCCCAGCTACTCGGGAGGCTAAGGCAGGAGAATGGCGTGAACCCGGGAGGCGGAGCTTGCAGTGAGCCGAGATTGCGCCACTGCACTCCAGCCTGGGCGACAGAGCCAGACTCCGTCTCAAAAAAATAAATAAATAAAAATAAATAAATAAATAAATGTCTTACTTCAATAGCTTTTGGAGCACAAGTGGTTTAGGTAACATGGATAATTTGTATAGTGGTGAAGTCTGAGATTTTATTGCACCTGTCACCTGAGTAGTGTACATTGTACCAAACATGTAGCTTTTTTATTCCACACCCACCTGCCAACTTCCCCCTTATGAATCTCCAGAGCCCATTATATCACTCAGTGGAGAGTCTTCAACATTCAGGGTGGAATCTTCAGGGTGTGGCCCTCTATCCATTGCTTTCCAACGTTTGTACTCTCTGCTTTGTGAATAGAGGCCTGTTCTCCCTGTCTGCCTTGTTCAAGTACCTTTGCCGTTTTCCTTGCTGGGATAACATCCTTTGCCCTGAAGTTCTCATTAACCATACCATAGATGTCCTCTTCTTACCTCAATACATCCAAGGCTACCTCAAGTTATAACTTCTCCTTTAGTTTTTCCCTAGTGTCTGAGTTCAAATGGGCTTCTCTATATCCAGAATATCTACCACCTGTCTTATCTTTCCTCACACGTGGCACGTGCAGTTCCTTCCATCTACTTTCATAATGTTGTATTTTAACGGTTCAGTTGTGTTTATATTACACTCTTCTGTCAGGCAAACAAGGGTATTTATATGGCTGAAATCTACGATATTTTTTAAATGTAGTAAAATGTAATGAATAAGCATACAAATGAATGAGTTAATTAATCTGTTATATTCTTGGTTAAGTAATGAGCATTATGAGGACAAAAATTGAGTCTTACACCTTCTTATAATCCTAAAGACCTAGTACAGGACTTGGAATATAGCATTCACTTAAGACATCTTTGCGACTAATGAATTTAAATATTTTTATTAATTCTAAGTTGACGTATGATTGTAATTTGGGGAAGGTAGTGAAATTTCAAATGGCTTTCACCACCTGTGAAATGACCCTTTTTACCTACCACATGATTTACCAGATCTTTGTTTAGGTGAACCTAGGCGAAAGCAGATTGTTTCCTCTACTTAGGAAATACTTCGCACATTTTCGTTGCTTATAAATTTGATGATTTTAATTTGTACAGTTATAATTTATGATATTGACTTGTACAGTTATATATATTTTACATATAATAGATATTATATATTATATATAGATATACTATATATAATTTTATTTTCTAAAGTAAAGAATATCATTACACATTAACAAAATAGATATAACTGTTTTCTTTCTACTATTTGTTACTGGTGTATACTGCAAATCCCTAATGGATACTGAAATTCTTATCTCTAAGCCCCTCTATGACTATGAAAAGAAATGGGTTCAAGTTTATTTTAAAAATCAAAGAGTTTATTAATAACATTATTGTTATCATGTCCAATTGATACTATCATTATTAAAAAGTTTAATCACTTATTTCTTGAAGGACCTAATTAGGAAATATATATGTGTGTGTATATCTATATTCTATCTATATATATCCTATATCTATATTCCATATATATTCTATATCTATATTCTATATCTGTATTCTACATATATTCTATATATAGTCTATCTATATTCTATCTATATCCTATACATATTCTATCTATATCCTATATATAGTCTATCTATATTCTATCTATATCCTATATATAGTCTATCTATATTCTATCTATATCCTATATATAGTCTATATATATTCTATCGATATCCTGTATATAGTCGACATATTTTCTATCTATATCCTATATATAGTCTATATTCTATATATATCCTATATAGTCTATGTATATTCTATATATATCCTATATAGTCTATGTATATTCTATATATATCCTATATAGTCTATGTATATTCTATATATATCCTATATAGTCTATGTATATTCTATATATATCCTATATAGTCTATGTATATTCTATATATATCCTATATAGTCTATGTATATTCTATATATATCCTATATAGTCTATATATATTCTATATAGTCTATATATATTCTATATGTGTATCCTATATATATTCTCTATACATATTCTATATATATATAGACACACACACACACACACACATATATAGTAGCCTGATATTTAAAAAATAAGATTGGGACTGCATAAAATAAGCTCACCCAGACAATAGGGGTACAGACATATGTATAATTCAGCAAGAACTGGTAACAAAGTGAGATATGTCAACTCTTTGTAGCATATTGTTAAGTAGTATTAAAAAACAAGTAATTTTTGGTTGGGTCCATTGAGAGAATAACATTATTTTTAGAATGATCTAATGGCACAATAAGCATTTTAGCATTTTACCTGCAAAAGCATTATAGCTGTGCCAGTTTCTGTTCCAAGAAAAAAACACATTGGTGTATTCTCTAAAGGAGGAAATTCTGACCTCAACTATGTTCAGATAGCTGTGGCAGATAATACTCTGATCAGGTACTAAGTCATATATCTTTCACATTTCCCTTTGCTAGTTATACTCAGCATGTGGTTGGAAATGGAATCAAAGCCCAGTCTGGAAATCCTGAAGTCAAAGTCAAAGGAACTGATCCTGTGATAAATCAGATTATTGATAAACTGAAGCATGTTATTCAGGTAAGTCCTGATCCTATATTTTTTGGTATAGCCAATAATAAATAATAAGTGGTCACTTTCTGTTATACTTGATAAATTTGTTAACCCTATCAGATAATCCTGCCTAAAATATTGTAACACATTATTTGTATCAGGACTTTTGGGAATATTTAGTTTAATGATTTTTGTATGCAGTCAATATGCAGTGGTATTTTAATGTTGGACAATCTGTATATGTGAAAAGCAAGCCTCAGCCTCAGCATTTCAATAATGAGAATCTCAGGACATGCATTGTCTTCAGTGAATAAGTTTGAACGTGGGAATCACTGTGACCATTAAAGAAAACACATAGAAGACCATAGAAGATGCCAGAGTTTTCTTTCAGGTAATTCTCTGAATGTTGCTATGAAGGTTTTTGCAGCATTTCAATACAAATTAGGTCATAGATGAATAATATGTACTTCTAATATTTATTTCCTATATCACCTTTTATATGTTATCTTATAATCTACCTAATGGTTGTTTATGAAATACTTCTCTTTTATCTTCAATAATATTTTTCATCAAGTGAGTGTGTATTGCTGTTTTTAATACATGACAAATGAAGCATGAACATATTTATCAAAATAATATTTCATTGAAATAGTCTATTAATTAGAACCAAACATGATGTTGCGTGTTGTAAATATTACTCTGCATTCTGCATCTATTGATGTTTGGGGAAAGAAAGGCTATTTTTTTTTTTAGTTAATAGTCATTTTATAAAAATTTATATTTGAATATACTTTCATTTTTCCTAAGCAGAACTTTGCATGGCTAGTTGATGCTTATTTCTGGTATCGTGCATCAGAAACAATACTTAAATAGTACAGAGTTTTTATTGCATACAACATATTCCAGAGTCAGTAGTAGGCTTCTCATAATTGTTCTGCAAAGACAAAGCTTAAGTTTATGCAGAGCCAATTCCTGGGTTTCCATTTTTCACGAGTCCCTATCTCTCAAGGAGAGGATATGTAAGAAGGACTTGGGGGTTGGTGTCCAATACCGTAGACTTCTCCCTTCTGTGAGGCAACAATGCTTATTCTACCACTGATACCTATGGAAAACAGCTCTCACCCTGGCTGGCAAAACCAAAAATAAATTCTATTGGAAAAGTCTAAGAGAAACGTGGTATCATGACTACTGATGAGTTAAACCTTCCAGCCTCTGCTGAGCTGGTCCAGTTGGTACCTCACAGTATCGTCCACTGTAGTATAATATGTACAGCTAGATTATTTGAAAATTCGACCGCATAATTGATAATAAAACCAAAAGGGCTTTAATATTAATGTTCTCTCATTGAGGAGTGAGTACAATCTCACTGTGAGGACACAGTGAAATCTTAGGGGTTTCTTAAGTGGGGTAAGCATTCCACAGAGGATGGAGGAAGAAAAACTAGAACTTAAATATATATTTATTCCATCTCATTCTTTTATATTTCTTTGGTTGTAGTAAGGTATATAAAATATGTAATATATTAGTGCAATAGCATATACATATAATTTATAAATACATAAATATACATATTTACTGGACATTTGTTCAGATTGTTTTTCTAAGATATATACATGATGAAAGCAGAACAGAGACCCTGTTACAGATAATAAGGATAGAGCTGTTCCATGAGAAGTGCAGTTATAAGAAAACACATTCACAGAGGAACACATAGATACCCAAGATAGAAAGGATTATAAAAACCCTTAGGAGGAGGGCTCATATATTTATTACCCATTCAGCAACCCCCCTCCCCATTTCTTGTTTTGTAGGTTTCAAAGCCTTTTCAAGGTGGCAGAGGGAAGTCATCCTGCCTTTCTTTTTTAGCTTCTGTGTGAACTTGAGTCCCATTCTTTATTCTTTATAGGAGTGTGCAGATCTCCAATTATTCATGCTTAAGTTTCATTCTGGGGTTGCAAGAGAATATCAAATGCAGTGCTACCTTTGAGGTCTATCATTTTAAGATCTACTAGATATATATGATAGAAATGTAGATTTTTATAGAGGACAGCGGAAAGTCATATCTTGCACAGGTGTCACTGAAAATTTACCTTTAATATCTAAGAATATGCCCTTTCATGAACTGCTCTCCTGGAGATGAAGAGAAGTGTTTTACTTTGCCAATTTTTTTTTTTTTTTTTTTTGAGACAGAGTTTCCCTCTTGTTGCCCAGGCTGGAGTGCAATGGCGCGATCTCGGCTCGCTGCAACCTCCGCCTCCCGGATTCAAGAGATTCTCCTGCCTCAGCCTCCAGAGCAGCTGGGATTACAGGCACGTGCCACCACAGCCCGGCTAATTTTTTTTGTATTTTTAGTAGAGACAGGTTTTCTCCATGTTGCTCAGGCTGGTCTCGAACTCCCGACCTCAGGTGATCCACCTGCCTCGGCCTCCCAAAGTGCCGATTACAGGCGTGAGCCACGGCGCCCGGCCTACTTTGCCAAACTTTTGACTACTGATGCCCTGGCAGGGATGGCCATTGTGCTGTCAGTATCAAGGGATGGCTAACAGCACCCACCACAATGTCAGCTATGAAAGGATTCAGAAAATAGCCTTCTGTAAGTCAGAATTTATTAATTAAGGAGTAGGGCCATGGAAGATGTCAACATAGGAATAGGTTTCAGATTCTAAACTGTAGATTTAGATGATCACTTCTTAGTGTTTGTATAAAATTTACTTTATTTTTTATTATAACATGAAGTTCGCTTTCCACCTTTATACTATGAAAAATGCCGTGTCTCACAATAGGGACATACCTGTGTTAAAGTATATGGAAGTAAATCAGCCACAATAGCAAACATTGCCTGCATGGACTCACCCAAAAATGCCTTTCTCGGCCTGCCATTGATCTGAACCTCATTTCTACCTTGCATTGTCTGCAATTAGAGTCACTAAGGAAGTAGATAAAGATTTTTACTTGGAAAATGTCACTTTTTAATGTTTTAATAATTAATTCGTTCAAGATACTCAACAAATGCTCACTGAGTTTCTAGTACGGTCCTGGTTCTGTACAGACACTAAGGTTAAAGTTGTGAATAAAGCAGACACAACCCTGCTCTCATGGGCTTTCCATTGTAAGAAAAAAGTAAATAAACAAACCAATGAAACCAGTATTGTAGCTGACACATGTTATGCACAAAACCAAACAAGGTGAGGTAAGGAAAGATATTTAAGAAGAGTGTGCTGGTGAAGGCCACTCAGGGGCAGATGTTTGGGTTGATGCTGAATAAGGAGAAGAAAGGAGTCATGGGAAAACCTGTGAGAACTGTGTCTGGGGCAGAAGGCAAAGTAGGTGTAAAGGCCCTGTGGCAGGAATAAGTTTATTTTATTCAGAGAACAGAAGGCCAGGCGGCTAAAACAGAGTGAGTTAAAGGGAGGAGATAAACATACATCATGTTTTGGGGAGTCCAGTAGGCTCTGGTAAAGAGTTTATATTTTCTCCTAAATAGACTAAGAAGTCATTTTAAAACTGTAAGCAGAAACTAGCTGCGCACAGTGGCTCATGCCTGTAATCTCAGCACTTTGGGAGGCTGAGGTGGGTGGATCACCTTAAGTCAGGAGTTTGGGACCAGCCTGGCCAACATGGTGAAACCCCATCTCTTCTAAAAATACAAAAATTAGCTGAGCACGGTGGAGCGTGCCTGTAATCCCAGCTACTGAGGAGGCTGAGGAAGGAGAATCGCTTGAACCCAGGAGTCGGAGCCTGCAGTGAGCCAAGATCGCGCCACTGCACTCCAGCCTGGATGACAGAGCAAGACTCCTTCTCAAAATAAATAAATAAATAAAAATACATCACAAATTTAATAAATAAATAAATAACTGTAAGCAGAAGCTGATACAATTTAATACATGTTTTATGAGGACTTCACTATGAAAACTGGACCCTGCGTACAAGAATGGAAAAAAGAAAGTAACACAGACAGAAGGCCACATAATTGGAGCTAGAATAATAAGAGTGGATAAGCTGAGAAGTGCATAGATTTAGACAAATATTGGAAGCGGGGTTTTTAGGATTTGTTAATGGATTGGAAATTTGGGAGACGGAAGAAAGATGATAGCGAGGTTTGGTGGGATGATAGTGTCACTAAGTGAGAAAAGGAATTCTGAGAGAGGAGCAGGCCTGGCGGAGGGTCCCTGGGATTGATTAGAAATCAGTGGTTTTGTTAACTGTGAGATGCTTGTTAGATGCCCAAGAGGGATGTGCAGAACTCAGGGAGACCACACAACTGGAGGTGTATGTTTGTAAGCATCAGCACGTGGATAGTATTTAAGCCCTGAGATTGTATAAGGTTGTCACCTTTCCTTTAGAGTATAAATTCACACCAAAACTATTGGTGGAGATGATAGGACAAGGGAATCATACAAAAAAAATTGTACTGCAAAAAGCTATGAATGAATAAAACATTTCATTAAATGTATTTGGCACCTTGTATATACTTAGTTGATCTAGGACAGAGAAGATAGTAACATTCATTTTTTCTTACTGTAAGAATAATGACCCAGGAGGCGGAGGCTGCAGTGAGCTGAGATCAGGCCACTGCACACTAGCTCTAGCAGACAGAGTGAGACTCCGACTCAAAAAAAAAAAAAAAAAAGAATAATGAGTGCTCATCAGAGGGAATTGAATTTTATTATTCTAGGAAATCTGATGGAAAAAGTGAAAAATAAATATTGATACCATTTATAAAACAATGAAAAGACTTATAAGAGAAGCCATCTAGGCTTTTCTCTATACTTAATTATACATATAAATACATCAGTACTTTACTTCAAAAAATAAGATCATAGGGTACATTTGATTTTATGATCTGAACTGCTCACCTGACCACACAAAACAAATACTTTACCATGACATTAAATAGTCTGCTGTCTGGTTGTTAGTGCTGGCATACTATTCTATCATATGGAAAAATTACAGTTTTCCTCCACCCAGTCACCGAAAGTTGGATATTTAGGATGCGACCAGTTTTTCATGATAATAAAGACTAATAGGAACAGCAGTAGACATAAGATGTTTTTGGCATCTTTTTTTTCTTGTAATACGTTCTACATATTGAAACTAATAATTGTATTTTGCTACATATTGCCACGTTTTTCTCAAGGAAAATTATAGCTAACAGAAAGTGTCAGCTTTCTCTGTGTGTTAAGGGTGTGGGTGGAAGCTCGGCAGTGACGCTGAGACATATTGGTATGGAACATCATTGGACTCTCTAGAGATCAAGGTAGCAGTCCTGTAGAAATGTTAGCCCGAGCTATGTGTCACCTGGGAGTACTCCAAGGACGGCCAAAAGAAATATTTTAGTTAGAAGACAATTTATAAGAAAAGTTTAGAGGCTTCCTAGAGAGGTCATAGCATACACAATTTTATTTCATCCTTTAGGGCAAGCCATATATATATGTTCTGCGCACATCTCCTCCTGCACCCTCCTCAAAAAAAAAAAAAAAAAAAAAAGCTGAGATCTGATGTAAATAGATAGCTGTGAATTATAGCTTGGTCCTTAAGGAATATCTCAGAAACTTCAATGTTCCTTCACCCCCTCCGCAAACCCTTCTGAATTGAGAATGGGAACCTTGGCAACAGAGGGGAGTCATGCACCTCCCTTTTCCATCTGTGACTCTGACATCTTCCTCCAGGTCAGCCATGGTGCAAACTCTCACAGTTACTTTCTGGCAGTTTCCTGCATTCCAAACCTGTTTCTGAAATGGGCAATATTTGTCCCCTTGAAAATCACCTGTGATAAATGTGGTATAGCCCATGGCCAGTGAAAATTTTCCTACACGGAGACATATTCCTAAGTGTTAACATTAACTTTTTCAGATGTTTGAGTCAGACTCAATTGCCCTTTCATATTATAGATTGAAAACAACACTTGGTTGATGTTAGTATATCTGATTGAGGAAATATGAGAGCCTTTTTAATTTAGATTTGCTCGCCTAGAAAACTCACTTTGAAACTTCTTGGTCATGTTATGTTTGCTTATGGCAAAGTTATCAGCAAAAAAGTCACTGTCATGCAGCAATTTATCTTTAAACACTAAATGACATCTATCGTTTTTCAAAGAAAATAATGTCAGCAGTTAAAATCCTAACTGCTTGAGCACTGTTAGTTGACAATTATAATGCCCCATTGCTTAGAAATTAATTGACCTACTTTCAATAAGAAACATAAAAAGTAATATCACAGCAATTTTCTGGATCTATTTTATTCCAAAACCAATAAATGTTACAGTGTTGTTAAAAGTAATAGATTTAAAAACATTTTATTTTCTTAAACTTAACAATTCAAATAACATAAAATAATATTACGTTTCTATTAAGTATTCATTTTTATACAGACCAAAAGTTCTTTAGAAAATGTCTTCATGTATAATATAAATTTGATTTTTAGATGTGAGAAAAGCAACAATCATAATCGTTGCCTAAATCCACAAAATAAGTAGATATTCTATAATATGTATTTCAGTAATCACAATGTATTGGATTCAGGCAGAGATGAGAGACACTCTGATTTTAGCAGAAAAAGACTGTGTTAAATTACCTCTTTGCCTTTTCTCACTCTGTTCCTAGGATAGCAATATAATAAATAGTAACTTTAGAACGGGGATACACTGAGAAAATGTTCTAATTTAAATCTCAATAGATGATTACACAGGTAGTGTTTACACACACACACACACACACACACACACACAATGACAGGAGTTTTTAAAGATATTAGTATCTCGGAATTTTTGAATTCTGAAAACTGTCCAAGCTTTTATCATTAAATCACTTGTTATGAAACCCATTTTAGAAACACGCTTTCCTATTTTTAATAGCCTATGATAGTCATACAGAATGAGTTAATCAAAATTGATTGGTCAATTGCTAATTGCAAATTCTTTGACCGTAGCATGTCAGCTGATTCTATGAACTTCTACAGACTCTTTCCCTTGGTCCGGGAATTGCCACAACACTCTGACTCCTTTCCCCACAACTCCCTTACATGATATTGTCACCTCCCCAGGCTTACGATACTAATATTCCAGAGAGACGAACAGTCCTTGATTTTGAATAGCAATGCAGTAGTGACCAAAACAGATTTAGTTTTGGTTCAGAAGAAAGTGCTGGATATGCCCTCAGTAACTTTCCATGATCATCTAATTCAGCAATTAGTTTGAGTAAATTCAATGGAAGGCTGCTTTCTGGAATGGGTAGTGTAATGTACTGACTTCCCTATTAGACATTTCATTTAAAAAAATCAATTGTCCGCATAAAACAACCATTTCAATCAGTGTACATTCAACTGGAAAGGAAAGTTAGAGGACTTTTTTTGAAAGTAATGGGATTGGGGTTGGCCGTTGCTAATTTCTTTTTGATTAACGCGTATGTAATTGTTTTGTGTTGGATAAAAATTTGACTTTTTATTTGCGCGGATGCTGCTGATCTTATATGTTATCATTTCCCATTCAGACTTGAGCTGTTTACCTGCCGGGTTTTCTGTTCATAAAATGTTGAAAGGACGTTAAAATGTAGAACTTTTACATTTTTTATTTAGGTGACTAGGACAAATTCTGGTAATTTGTAGGCTACAACTTAAATGTATTTCTGCTTAAAATATTTTGAAACATGGTTTATTTCACAAATGAGGTTCCAAACTATAACCAGCTCTCACTAAATTCTTATTTATTTATTTATTTATTTATTTATTTTGAGACGGAGTCTTTCTCTGTCACCCAGGCTGGAGTGCAGTGGCCGGATCTCGGCTCACCGCAAGCTCCGCCTCCCGGGTTCACGCCATCCTCCTGCCCCAGCCTCCTGAGTAGCTGGGACTACAGGCGCCCGCCACCACGCCCAGCTCATTTTTTGTATTTTTAGTAGAGACGGGGTTTCCCCGTGTTAGCCAGGATGGTCTGGATCTCCTGACCTCGTGATCCGCCCGCCTCGGCCTCCCAAAGTGCTGGGATTACAGGCGTGAGCCACCGCGCCCAGCCAAAAGATCATTTTTAAATTATGTATCTGGGAATATATTCTCAAACCAGGCCTGAAACTTATTAAAAAGATGGTAAAATCTAATTTAACTTCATTTAATACTCCTTTTCTCTTAGTCTTATAAAAGCAAATGAGCTTGTTGGCTTTTAATTATGAAAATATAATTTTAATTTATAAGACATATGTTACAAAGCAAGATAGCTGCTAAATTCACTCTATCCTAGTAACTTCTGGTACCCACCTGTGGTCCCAGCTGTTTGGGAGGCTGAGGTGGGAGGATCATGTGAGCTGGGGAAGTTGAGGCCGCAGTGAGCTAAGATCGGGCCCCTGCACTCCACCCTGGGCAACAGAGTGAGACCCTGTCTGAAAATAAAAAAAAATAAAAAACGGGGTTGAGAGACAAAAAAGGACATCCTTTTTTTTATTATTATATTTTGAGATGGAGTTTCGCTCGTTGCCCAGGCTGGAGTGCAATCATGTGATCTTGGCTCACTGCAACCTCCGCCTCCCAGGTTCAAGTGATTGTCGTGCCTCAGGCTCCCGAGTAGCTGGCATTACATGTGCCTGCCATCACGCCCAGCTAATTTTTGTATTTTGATACAGACGGGGTTTCACCATGTTGGCCAGGGTGGTCTCCAACTACTGACCTCAGGTGATCCACCTGCCTTGGCCTCCCAAAATGCTGGGACTACAGACATGAGCCACCGCGCCAGCCGAAACCTTCATTTTAGAAAAGGCTGGGTCAGGCATCATGCCTCATGCCTGTAATCCCAGCACTTTGAGAGGGCAACGCAGGCGGATCACCTGACGTCAGGAGTTCGAGACCAGACTGACCAACATGGTGAAACCCCGTCTCTACCAAAAATATAAAAATTAGGCGGGTGTGGTGGCACACACCTGTAATCCCAGCTACTCAGGAGGCTGAGGCAGGAGAATTGCCTGAATCTGGGAGGCGGAGGTTGCAGTGAGCCGAGATTGTGCTACCACACTGCAGCCAGGGTGACAGAGTGAGACGCCATCTCAAAAAATAAATAAAGGCTGGGTGCCAGATGTGGTGCATAGGCCTAGTTTGTTGACTCCTGTACTTAACATATAAAACTCTAAAGAACAGTGGGAAGGAGCTTCCCTCTAGAGGCACAGGAGCGGCCAAGTTGGTCCCTGAGCAGTGACTTTATAATAACATGTTACACTGTGTTTTTTGTTTTTGTTTTGTTTTTTGTTTGTTTGAGACGGAGTTTCGCTCTTGTTGCCCAGGCTGGAGTACAATGGCGTGATCTCAGCTCACAACAACCTCTACCTCCCAGATTCAAGCGATTCTCCTGCCTCAGCCTCCAAAGTGGCTGGGATTTCAGACATGCAACACCACGCCCAGCTAATTTTGTACTTTTAGTAGGGATGGGGTTTCTCCATGTTGGTCAGGCTGGTCTCGAACTCCTGACCTCAAGTGATCTGCCCGCCTCGGCCTCCCAAAGTGCTGGGATTACAGGCGTGAGCCACCACATCCAGCCTATTTTTTTTTTTTTTTTTTTTATACACAGTCTGACTCCGTTGCCCAGGCTGGAGTGCAGTAGTGCGATCTTGGTTCACTGTAACTTCTGCCTCCCTGGTTCAAGCGATTCTCCTGCCTCAGCCTCCCAAGTAGCTGGGATTACAGGCATGCACCACCACATCCGACTAATTTTTGTATTTTTAGTAGAGATGGGGTTTCACCATGTTGGCCAGGCTGGTCTCAAACTCCTCACCTCAAGTAATCCGTCCGCCTCGGCCTCCCAAAGTGCTGGGATTACAAGGCGTGACCCACCGGGCCTGGCCCTGTGTGTTGTTTTATGTATGTTTCTATATGTGTTATATTTCACAATAAACTAAATATTAAAACAAAGAATAACTGATAGCTATGCACAAAGGTATTTAAATTTCACCTTCACAATTTTTTTTTTTTTTTTTTGAGACAGGATCTCACTCTGTTACCCAGGCTGGAGTGCAGTGGCACCACCTTGGTTCACTGCAGCCTTGACCTCCCAGGCCCAAGCGATCCTTCTACCTCAGCCTCCTGAGTAGCTGGGACTACAGGCACACTCCACCACACCCACCTAATTTTTGTATTTTTGGTAAAGATGAGGTTTCACCATGTTCACCATGAAGCCCCTGCCTCATTCCCAAGTTCTCTCCTTTTCCACTGCCAGTACTTGGAAGGTTATGTGCCATGTGTGTCATAGGTTAAGGCTAGAGGAGTTTATTCTGACTGACATTGAACTTTATGGGAGCAACCAACAAACTTTGGTTTGGTTGAGCCACTGAGAATTCCAGTTTAGTATCTTCTTGTTGCTGCTGCTGTTTACCAACACAGTGGGATTTCTACAGGGCTCCAGCGGGCAGAGAAATTCCATGTGAACAAGAATATCTCATGTTGGGCTTCTGTATAAATTGTGCTGATGAAAAATGTTAAGCAGATAAAAATTTTAGAAATTCATTGCTCCACACTGTATCGATGCTATTTTTGTCTCAGTTGAAGCCATCCTAAAATTATATATTTAGATCATACTGTCTTCAATAGAATTGTTTTTACCGAGTTGCTTTTTGACGTTATAGATGAGCCTTTTGTAATTCACAACTGAGTTTATACACAAATGTTATTGAGTCTATTGCCCACCATGTTAGAGAGGTTTATGAGAGCTCAATGCAGAAATGCCTCTGAAGTGGGAAAATGTGTCATTTCTCTGAAGAAACTATTATAGTTTTAACAGAATGAGTGATGGAAAATAATAATATAGAAAATCATATGAAGGAGTAAGAAAGATGGGGCACTATTAAAGGGATTATTTGATGGCAATAAGGATGAAAATGTGTCATTGAAATTCTTAGGTTTCACATAGAAATTGCACCGGTTTATCCTAGCAGACATTTTGTTTAGAAGTTTTTAAGAAAATAAATTTCTGAATCATGGTTTACACTGTTTTAGGTCATTGGAACTAGTAAATATGTTTCACTATGCAGACTATTAGTCAACATTTAGATCATGCTTTTCAATAAAGAATGTCAAATTGTGAGAGGAGAATTAATAAACCTAATTGTCACAGTCACTCGGCTGACATGTTGAAGTGCCTGGAAAATTTCTCACATGAATAATGGGTGAAGAGTCAAAGAATGATTCACTTGGGGAAAAGAAGACCTGCCGGGTTTTGGAAAGGGTATGTGTATGCATTTAGTATTGTTTAGTGTGGTAGCTCTGTGGTCCTGACCTTCACATATTTATTGGGCTGCCATGTGTTAGGTGGAAACACAAAACTGTCATTTTTTTGTAGGACAAAAAAGGCTGAATACTGACAATTTCATATGGTTCCACCTAATAGAATAGGAAACAGAGTTATCTCTGAATTGTTTATCTAAGGTAGAATTTGGGGAAGTACTTAGAATTTATAAAAATTAAATTTTAGACTAAAATATATAGATATATCTAGAGTTGTTCAAAAATGAAAATAGAGCTGAAATATCAAGTGCTATAATGGAGTTCATATGAGAATTCCATGCTTTATATTTGAGGTTGGATATGTGCTTTTTCTTTATCCCTTTCATTTATATGGATCTAATCTTCTATAATGCTTCAAACATTTTGACAGAGATCTTCTTTGGTGTTCTTTTTTCTCTTGATTTAAAAATCTGCTTTACAACCAAACAGTAAGATTAAACAAAACCAAACAATGCCCATGGCTTCATGGTCACTCTACCCATCTAGAAAGGCCTTGTGCATGGCCTATTATGGTCATCTTGAAATTCTTTGTAAGTTTTTATCAAAGGGTTCTACATTTTCACTTTTTACTGGGCCCTGAAAATTATGCACCCAATCCTCAATCCTTGGTCTTCTTAAATTTGCATGCAGATTAGAATTATAAAGGTACATCAATTCTAGGCCATCAAAGGCTAGCTTATAACTCAAATTACATTTGGGAATTGTTCTTACATAACAGCATTTATTGCTCCAAAGATCATTGTGTAATAACTACTAAATAATCTATATGAATGTACATTTGGAAAACCATGAAAACTTTCTGAAAGAGCTCTGCTGTTTTATGTAACAATCATAAAATATTTCCAAAGGCATAAATAAAAATAATTACAACAGAAAATCTGAGAGACAAAAAGAAAATCTATGATAATATACCAATGCAATTTATTGAAAATAGATACACATGGAACAAAGAATAAAGGAACAGCAGGAAAATGTGCCACTATTGTGGTTACAGCTTCGAGGCAACACATTAAAATGCCAACCAGACACAGGTAGCAACAGATGTATCTACCACCAAAAAATAAAGTTAAATTAAATCAAGTGAAAAATTTCAAATGAAGTAACTGTTCAATGAAAAGGAAAAAAGAATAAAAATCACATCTGCTTACATGGCAATGAAAGGTGAAAGAGTCTGCTAAAAGTTTATGTTGAAAATTAAGATGGAGGTAATCTATGCACACTCATCCAAAAATAGAAAACAAGGAATTAGTGGACCAATGCCAATGTTAATTTTGAAGACCTCAAAAAGACGAAAATTAAGATATGGTTGATAGGTTCTCTACAATATAGCAAGAAAACTCTGCCCAAATTCTAAAGGATACAAAGTCTACTCAATTTAATAACAAATGGCACGTTTCTGTTTCTTAAAAGACATATGCAGAATCTGTGAGTGCATTTTCTACTTTAGGGACCATTTGAATTAAAATCCTTAAGTTCTTATGAATGTTTGAGAAATACATACAGTAAATGAATAAAGCCCATAGTTATTTAAGGATAACATTTAAAATTATTTCCTAAATATTTAATATTAAAATAATAGTACATGCCGTCCAGTCATAATCAAAAAAGCCAAAGTGATTATGGAGTATTGAGGCTGAAAAGAGTTAGATCTAAACCAACCTCTTCTGGACTTCACTGTCAAGGAGAAGAATTGAGAGGAAAATTTTCAAAAAACATGTATATTTGTGAGATTGGTGATGAGAAAAAACCTGTGAAATATTGCCATTTCTTTGGAGTAAAAATTTTAAATGATTGGTTAGCACGATGTCCCTTTCTCGTCACACTCACATCTTTCTGATTTGCTCCTCACATCTCGGGCATGCTGAGGCTATAATGCCTTTCCATCTACCTTAGGTTTACTATTTTAAAATTGGTTTTTGATGTTGTGAACATGAATTGTGTATTAATACAGGAGAATGGGGTGTGTATTTCTGAAAGTCCAGAGTTGTAGGGGCAAAGAAGAGATTTCTGGAGTCCCCTGCGTGCCTGCTTACAGAGGTTTCCTTCCTGACATTGTCAAATTCCAGAATTCTTGCCCTGGCTCCATTTTAAAGCCCAGAGCACAGTTAAGTGTCTTTTCCTGACCCTCATTTATACTACCATGAGGCTCCTTTGTAACATGAAATGTGCAATGTGACCAATTGTTGGCTGCCCAAACAAGCATATGTTAGGACTTTTCACTCTGGCCCCCTATACTGACACATCATTCACATTTAGTAAAGGAAGGTGCACTCTGCTAAACTCACCACATTCTTTACTTTATGGAGTCATAAGAGATATTCCACTAAGTCCTTTTGCTTGATCCCACAGAGACCATCCTATGAAAACTGAATTAATATGAAAGCAGGTAGAGTGAATATTCATTTAAGTCATTTACAACAACATCAAATAGTGTCTCCAAGTGGAACAGATAAGTAGAGACCAATTTGGCAGGAGATAGGATGGGGAAAGAGAGTGGCTGATGCATGCTGAGAAGTAGGAGGAACAGTCCAGTTTTTAAAACATTGTTCTTCTTGTTAAGGGTCTGTTTATCAGATTAAACACAGTCAAGCGGTCAGCTGAGTCTAATAATTCAGCAACTGAGAACAGATGGAGAAAACCTGGATATGTGTCTGTGTGTACACTCACATGCAAAATCAGTTGCCCTGACTTTATCTTATTTACATCCATCTATTTATTGATTTTGATAGGAAGAGTATGTATTTTAGATACCTCAAGAATATCTCCTGAAATACTTCCATGTTCTTGCCTTTTGAAGAATCTTTTTAAAGAAGAAAAATAATTATTAGCAAAGAATCCACATTCCCAATGGCTCCATTTTCATCTCCTTAATCCAGTGTTAAAATTCATGGCTTGGGAAAAGTGGGATGTTTACAATGCCTATCTATACCATTTATCTATACCATTCGTTTTAATAGCCTGTTCACTTGAACAATTTCTAAGTATGTGGCAAAAGAAACTAAACTAAAATAATAATGCATTATATTTGAAAACATCAGTATCCTGTACACAAAACTTCCATAAGTAATTCTTCCTAGATTGAGACTAGAACTAATCCATTTCCAAAATCATCTACATTTTTCTGAAGACAAAAAAAAATGTGGCTACAGATAATTGCCATAGGCTGCAAATATTCTAATTCATCTGATATTTCTCTCCTGTTGCATGTTGTATAGATAAATATAATGCATCAATATTAGGATAGCAGGTATTTTATTAAATGTTAATGCAGAATTCTAAATTTTCTAGATTTCACAGAAAAGCAAGCTACCGATAATAAGTAGTATTTAAAGAGAACTCTTATCTACTACAATCAATTGAGAAATCCAGGATATTAAGACCACAAAAATGATTGTTTAGAAGATTTAATTATAGCACAACAGGCTTTTCTGCTGATAATGTTATAATGATGTTTTCATAACCCAATCTCAACAAACATAACTAGAGTACAAATGATGAGCACAAAAATCCATCTCATTTGTAGCTCAGACTAGTATTTCAAGTGTAATTTCTCTATTACTAATTTAGTCTGATTTTTATAATTCATCAGAATAAATCAATAACTGACTTAGAAATCACTTCTATGATTTTAAGTAATTTTCCACAGAAACATTAACAATACCACAAGCATTAAAATGTTGAGAAATATTTGTGTATGATGATGTCAGTGCATGTTCCTTTCCTCAGCTAATAAATTCTAGTATAAAGTTTTCAGATCTGTACACAAAAATGGATCATAAAAATATAATCATGGTAGAAACTATGTAGCAATTTTATGAATGTGGAAAAAGAGTTCAAATAGTACTTTTGCACTGTACTGTGTCCATGCAAAGCTTCATTCAAACAAACAAAAACAATACTGAATTTATTATGTTAAAATCTTTAAGGACACTCTGGTAGATGAGATCATTTTCCTGCATTTGTTCACACTCTCTCCTATCTCCATCTCTAAGGGACAGATATAATTCCCCACTCCTTGACTTTGATCCTTGCTGTGTGACTCTGCTTAAGCCAAAGGGGTATCTTAGAGGATTTAAGGCAACAGAAGCCTGGCATGTTTTTGCACAGGCAGGTTGCACTCCTGACTTTGGCCACAACAATAACATGCTTCAAGTACCCGGGAGGGCTGAGGAGGATCACAAATACATGGAACAGATCTGGACACCAGCTGCAGCTTCAAGCCAATGCTAGCCAAGCCCAGCCTACATCAGTTGAATTGCGTCTGACCAGCGGTGCATGAACAAGGAAGGCAACGCGTGGACCTGGGCCAGATGAGCAGCTTCTACATTGGCCTGTGTTCCCGCCTCCACTGCAACATCTTCTCCTACGACTACTCCGGCTACGGTGCCAGCTCGGGCAGGCCCTCCGAGACGAACCTCTACGCCGACATCGACGCCGCCCGGCAGGCCCTGCGCACCAGGTGAGGGCGACCCCGGGGGCAGCTCAGCCTGGGCACACCGGAGAGGGGACCAGGCCGGGGGCCGGGGGGAGGGGCGGGCTTCCCTGGGAGGAAGGTGGGCGGCCCTGCAGGAGAGGAGCCACAGTGGACGCATGCGGCCAGAGAGCCGGAAAGGTGAGCTCAGGCGTGCGGGTGCCGCCTCCACATGGCTGAGGTGTGGCCAGGTCCCCCCACACCCTGGCCTGTGGAGCCAGGCTCCCTGGGATCCCCTGGCCTGAGGACAGGAAGGGGCTGAGCTTGTCACAGGGGCGTGGACGCCACCCGGCGGGAGGGGGTGGGTGGTGTCTGGGGGGGTCTGTGCACGTGTGGCTGGGAGCCCAATGGCCGAGGCAGCACTTGGGGCCAGGTGAGGCGAGGCTGCTGCATCGAGGTCCCGAGGCCTGGCCCATGAGGCCCTGTGGCTGTGGAGCTCGGCCATCCCGGGGCAGGGCCTGCTGGGTCAGGTGCAGACCCCCAGCACACACCTGAGGTCTGGGCCAGCCTCCATTCCAGATCCAGCCCTCCTAAACATCCAGCTCCCCAGCCCTGCGCTTTCCTGGGCCCTTCACTGGTGTTTGAGCACCGCCCACCGCCCGGGCCAGTGCTGCTCTGGATCAGAAGACCCGCGTGGGCCTCTGGAGGCCTTTCCTGCTTGCCACCCGCTGGGGCTGTCTCGTCCTGGCCCTGCCCCCCACTGGTCTGCCCCGCTCCTGCAGGGGCCAGGCGCAGCTCTGAGAAGTCAGAGGCCCTGGGGAGGTGGGGTCCTCGTTGCCTTGGCGATATCCCAGGCAGTCCCTTCTGTGGGCCTGGGAGCTGGGTCCCCTGGCACCACCCTGGCTCTGGGGACCTCCTGGCAGTGTGGGCGCAGAAACCAAGCACCACTTCATGCAGCTTCCTCGGCCCCTCCTGTCTCTACTGCCCAGGGCACTGGCAGAGTCACACCCGCCATGGCCAGCTCTGAGCTCTGTCTGCTCGGCCATCTGTCCTGCTGCTGCTTTGTCCTGCAGGAACCTCGGCCCAGAGCCGTGAGGGGGAGGCCAGATCGCGCTCAGGGCCTCCACTGAGGATGTGTCTTGTTTGATTGTCTGAGTGGTGACATCCAGGTGGCAGCTGGGGGCTCCTGCCTGGAGCAGGTGACAGGGCTGGGCTGGCTCAGCACACTACTGGCCTTGGCTGCCAGGGAGCAGGCCAAGGAGGCTGAGGCAGAGCTGGGGCCACAGGCACCAGCCAGGCAGCATCCTTTGGGGCATGGGTGAACAGTGAGCTGTGGAGTGCTGCCAGGAGGCTGGGATTCCAGGCCAAGGAGGGGTACAGCCCTGCTGGTGGAGTCCGAATGCCAGGCAGACGGGACGCACACCTGTCCATGCTCCTGCCTCGCAGGAGGGCATCTGCCTGGGATCAGAGCCTGGAGCGTGTGGGAGGAGAGTTCTGGGGTTGCGGCATCGACAGGGTGGCAGGTGGGTCCCGCGTGGTTGGGACTGGGCACGAGGAGGCCTTGGTACTGGTGCTGGACCAGCTGGGCCAGGGGCCGCACACCAGTGACCTGGCGGTGGGGGTGGCCCTGGGTGGGAGCTGGTGGTGCTGAGGTGGCCGAGGACTTGTCCACTCCCAAGGGAAGGCGCTGGTGGGAGGAGGTGCTGCCCCCGCAGCCGCCACCCTCGATGTTGACCTGGGTTGGGCTGGCACCTCATTGAGCATGGGACTCCGAGAGTCCAAAATTGGGTGGAGACATGTGGGGACACAGCTGCCTGAATTCCTCATGGCCAAGGGGGTGGGCAAGGGCTGCAGGGAGGAAGAGTGTACCCTGTTCCGGCCAGTGCACCAGGAACGGCTTTCTAACCTGGGCAGGAAGGCGTGAAGCATTCAGGATGTGGGGGGGCACACAGTTCCCAGTGTGCGCCCAGGGATGACCAAGAGAAGGAGAGGCGCCAGGGCTTCCCCTACCCTAGCCCGAGGGGGACTCCCTAGCCAGGATCCAGCAGATCCTGGCTAGGAAACGCCAGTGAACCATAGCGCCAGGGAACAGGACCAGGCCGCCGGCTCCGCCCACCGCTGCGGTCTTGGGGGACTGGGGGTGGCCCTTGGGACTGCTGTGGAGCCTGGGCCTGACCCACTGACTAGGCTGAGCCGGGAGACTGGAGAGTCGCATCTGGAGCTGGGCCCGGGGACGCCCGCTGGCGGGAGGGGTGCGCGCGAGTCGGAGGCCGCGGCTGACCCTGCTCCGGTGCCGCCAGGTACCGCATCAGCCCGGACAGCATCATCCTGTACCGGCAGAGCATCGGCACAGTGCCCACCGTGGACCTGGCCTCGCGCTACGAGTCCGCCGCGGTGGTGCTGCACTCGCCGCTCACCTTGGACCTGAGCGTCGCCTTCCCGACACCAAGAAGACCTACTGCTTCGACGCCTTCCCCAAGTGAGCAGGCTGGGGCAGGGACAGGGGCGGGGACGGGGACTGGGTCGGGGACGGGGGCGGGGCGGGGCGGGGCCCGGGCCCGGAGAGTTCTCACCCGCCCCACGCCCCTCCCGCAGAATCCAGAAGGTGTCCAAGATCACGTCGCCCGTGCTCATCATCCACGGCACGAAAGACGAGGTGATCGACTTCTCGCAGGGGCTGGCGCTCTAGGAGCGCTGCCCCAAGGCTGTGGAGCCGCTGTGGGTGGAGGGCGCCGGGCACAAAGACATCCAGCTCTACAGCCAGTACCTGGAGCGCCTGCGCCGCTTCATCTCCCAGGAGCTGCGCAGCCAGAGCGCCTAGCGGCCGCCGGGGCCCCAACCGGCCGGACCTCAGCAATAAGGCGGCCCCCGGACCTCACCCCGCACCGGCCTCCTGGGGGCTGCATGTGGACCCCCAGGTGGCCCGGGGGACCCCGCCCGGATCCAGGGGCCGTGGACGGTGTACAACAGAGCTACCCACTCCTTTCCTTTTGGAAGCAAGAAGAAATATGTGAAAACGGAAATTAAAGATTAAAAATTTTTTTTAAAAAAAACACAATGTTTATTAATATACTCCAAAGTTGTGTTCTTTTTTTTTTTTTTTTTTTTTGAAATGGAGTCTCACTCTGTCGCCCAGGCTGGAGTGCAGTGGCGCGATCTCAGCTTACTGCAACCTCCACCTCCCAGGTTCAAGCGATTCTCCTGCCTCAGCCTCCCGAGTAGCTGGGACTACAGGCGCGTGCCACCATGCCCAGCTAATTTTTTGTATTTTTAGTAGTTACGGGGTTTCACCGTGTTAGCCAGGATGGTCTCCATCTCCCGACCTCGTGATCTGCCCTCCTCGGCCTCCCAAAGTGCTAGGATTACAGGCGTGAGCCACCGTGCCCGGCCGTTTTGCACAGATTTTTTAATGCAGAATCATGTTGGCAATGGGTAATGGCTACCAAGGTGCCATCGTTCCACATTCCTGTTATTCAGTCATCACATCTACTATGTGTGAGCCATAATATCTTCTAAAATGAATTATAACTATGTTCGAATTGTTATTTCACTAAGTAATCTCTGCTAATTTAGTCTCTATTTCATCTCAACGGAATGCCTTCTGAGTTCCTATAATTGTGACTAATTCTCTGAGACAACATCAGCAGTATCACTATAAACTATGAAACCTACAAAGGGAATTTCCTCTTTTTCCTTTTTATTATAGAGATGCTTTTTTGTTTGTTTTCTGCAAGCAAGCACAGTCTTAATCAATTTTGTATGCCCATACCTAGGAGAGCCCCTGATTCATAATAAGACCTCAATAAGATTTGTTGAATAAAGTGAAAATAGGATTTTCAGCTTTCCCTCACCACTTTCTTCAAAACAGACTAGTTCATAACTGAAATAGGCATTGTTTCTAGAAAACGGTCACTCCAGCTGATCCCTTCGTTTAATCATTTTTGTACTCCCTGAATCTATGATGATACCTGGCACATAGTGGGTAAGTAATCAATATTTGTTCACTGAACTAATGGAAGGATGAGTGAATGAAACAATACAGGCATTTTAAAATTATAATTCAAAATTAACATATTACTTGTTATTAGAGTGATTTTAAACAGTTAAGTATATGATAATTAGGAAGATTTACTTTCCTGCTTCATTTAAATTTTAAATATAGTGATCAAGGTAATCATGATTTTCATTCATTTATGCAATAAATGCATATTTAATATTTTTTATCTCACATGATAGATTGCTGCTGGTCAAAGACATTACGATGGTATTATACATAAAGATTTGTTTTAAATTTACAGTATCTTGAAATTTTTCTCTTGTTAATCCACAAAGTATATTTATACATTGGGAAATATACTTTTTAAAATGTCAGTTAATGATATTTTTATTTTCTATTTTATCTTATTATTATTGATACAAGATCTCACTATGTCACCCACTGCTGGAATGCAGTGGCATAATCATGGCTCACCACAACCTCAACCTCCCAGGCCCAGGTGATCCTCCTACCTCAGCCTCCTCAGTTGCTAGGACTACAGGTGCCCGCCACCTTGCCCGGCTAACTTTTTCCTTTTTTTTTTTTTTTTTTTGGTAGAGATGAGTTTTCACCATGTTGCCCAGGCTGGTCTTGAACTCCTGGGCTCAAGCAATCTGCCAGCCTCAGCCTCCCAAAGTGTTAGGATTACAGGCATGAGCCACCACTATGGGGCAGATAATGATATTTTTTCAGGAATCGGTAAAACATTGTCCTTCAATGAATTAGTGCAGAAGCATGAAAAAATCTATTCTGAGCAAATCTGTGAAACAGACATTGAAATTAGTATTCTAATAAGGCTTTTGTGCTTTTTGATGATATAAAATAATTTTGCTATGACAATACAGTTACTTAAATGAGAAGTATGAATAACTTGCTTTGATATGTTTGTGGTATGTTTCACTTATTTTTTAAGAAGGGAAATTATTAAATTTAAACTCTCTATATATGTAAAGAGTGCACATCAAATATTTTAAAGCCCTGAAGAATTAGGTCTTCATTTCAAGAATTATTAAGTGTCTTAAGAACATATTTATTTTCTAGAAATGTTGAGCCTCTTCTTGGGTAATGTGATTCTTTTAAAAATTTTGAAAGGATTTTCTTATTACATTAAAAATGAATGTATGCAATAGGAAGTTACTAGGATAGAGTGAATTTAGCAGCTATCTTGCTTTGTTACATATGTCTTATAAATTAAAATTATATTTTCATAATTAAAAGCCAACAAGCTCATTTGCTTTTATAAGACTAAGAGAAAAGGAGTATTAAATGAAGTTAAATTAGATTTTACCATCTTTTTAATAAGTTTCAGGCCTGGTTTGATAATATATTCCCAGATACATAATTTAAAAATGATCTTTTGGCTGGGCGCGGTGGCTCACGCCTGTAATCCCAGCACTTTGGGAGGCCGAGGCGGGCGGATCACGAGGTCAGGAGATCCAGACCATCCTGGCTAACACGGGGAAACCCCGTCTCTACTAAAAATACAAAAAATGAGCTGGGCGTGGTGGCGGGCGCCTGTAGTCCCAGCTACTCAGGAGGCTGGGGCAGGAGGATGGCGTGAACCCGGGAGGCGGAGCTTGCGGTGAGCCGAGATCCGGCCACTGCACTCCAGCCTGGGTGACAGAGAAAGACTCCGTCTCAAAATAAATAAATAAATAAGAATTTAGTGAGAGCTGGTTATAGTTTGGAACCTCATTTGTGAAATAAACCATGTTTCAAAATATTTTAAGCAGAAATACATTTAAGTTGTAGCCTACAAATTACCAGAATTTGTCCTAGTCACCTAAATAAAAAATGTAAAAGTTCTACATTTTAACGTCCTTTCAACATTTTATGAACAGAAAACCCGGCAGGTAAACAGCTCAAGTCTGAATGGGAAATGATAACATATAAGATCAGCAGCATCCGCGCAAATAAAAAGTCAAATTTTTATCCAACACAAAACAATTACATACGCGTTAATCAAAAAGAAATTAGCAACGGCCAACCCCAATCCCATTACTTTCAAAAAAAGTCCTCTAACTTTCCTTTCCAGTTGAATGTACACTGATTGAAATGGTTGTTTTATGCGGACAATTGATTTTTTTAAATGAAATGTCTAATAGGGAAGTCAGTACATTACACTACCCATTCCAGAAAGCAGCCTTCCATTGAATTTACTCAAACTAATTGCTGAATTAGATGACCATGGAAAGTTACTGAGGGCATATCCAGCACTTTCTTCTGAACCAAAACTAAATCTGTTTTGGTCACTACTGCATTGCTATTCAAAATCAAGGACTGTTCGTCTCTCTGGAATATTAGTATCGTAAGCCTGGGGAGGTGACAATATCATGTAAGGGAGTTGTGGGGAAAGGAGTCAGAGTGTTGTGGCAATTCCCGGACCAAGGGAAAGAGTCTGTAGAAGTTCATAGAATCAGCTGACATGCTACGGTCAAAGAATTTGCAATTAGCAATTGACCAATCAATTTTGATTAACTCATTCTGTATGACTATCATAGGCTATTAAAAATAGGAAAGCGTGTTTCTAAAATGGGTTTCATAACAAGTGATTTAATGATAAAAGCTTGGACAGTTTTCAGAATTCAAAAATTCCGAGATACTAATATCTTTAAAAACTCCTGTCATTGTGTGTGTGTGTGTGTGTGTGTGTAAACACTACCTGTGTAATCATCTATTGAGATTTAAATTAGAACATTTTCTCAGTGTATCCCCGTTCTAAAGTTACTATTTATTATATTGCTATCCTAGGAACAGAGTGAGAAAAGGCAAAGAGGTAATTTAACACAGTCTTTTTCTGCTAAAATCAGAGTGTCTCTCATCTCTGCCTGAATCCAATACATTGTGATTACTGAAATACATATTATAGAATATCTACTTATTTTGTGGATTTAGGCAACGATTATGATTGTTGCTTTTCTCACATCTAAAAATCAAATTTATATTATACATGAAGACATTTTCTAAAGAACTTTTGGTCTGTATAAAAATGAATACTTAATAGAAACGTAATATTATTTTATGTTATTTGAATTGTTAAGTTTAAGAAAATAAAATGTTTTTAAATCTATTACTTTTAACAACACTGTAACATTTATTGGTTTTGGAATAAAATAGATCCAGAAAATTGCTGTGATATTACTTTTTATGTTTCTTATTGAAAGTAGGTCAATTAATTTCTAAGCAATGGGGCATTATAATTGTCAACTAACAGTGCTCAAGCAGTTAGGATTTTAACTGCTGACATTATTTTCTTTGAAAAATGATAGATGTCATTTAGTGTTTAAAGATAAATTGCTGCATAACAGTGACTTTTTTGCTGATAACTTTGCCATAAGCAAACATAACATGACCAAGAAGTTTCAAAGTGAGTTTTCTAGGCGAGCAAATCTAAATTAAAAAGGCTCTCATATTTCCTCAATCAGATATACTAACATCAACCAAGTGTTGTTTTCAATCTATAATATGAAAGGGCAATTGAGTCTGACTCAAACATCTGAAAAAGTTAATGTTAACACTTAGGAATATGTCTCCGTGTAGGAAAATTTTCACTGGCCATGGGCTATACCACATTTATCACAGGTGATTTTCAAGGGGACAAATATTGCCCATTTCAGAAACAGGTTTGGAATGCAGGAAACTGCCAGAAAGTAACTGTGAGAGTTTGCACCATGGCTGACCTGGAGGAAGATGTCAGAGTCACAGATGGAAAAGGGAGGTGCATGACTCCCCTCTGTTGCCAAGGTTCCCATTCTCAATTCAGAAGGGTTTGCGGAGGGGGTGAAGGAACATTGAAGTTTCTGAGATATTCCTTAAGGACCAAGCTATAATTCACAGCTATCTATTTACATCAGATCTCAGCTTTTTTTTTTTTTTTTTTTTTTTTTTTTTTTTTTTTTGAGGAGGGTGCAGGAGGAGATGTGCGCAGAACATATGT
Organism: Homo sapiens; assembly: GCF_000001405.40. NCBI lineage: Eukaryota > Metazoa > Chordata > Mammalia > Primates > Hominidae > Homo > Homo sapiens. The sequence continues at coordinate 4,133,646 of NW_021160017.1, forward strand.
ATATGGCTTGCCCTAAAGGATGAAATAAAATTGTGTATGCTATGACCTCTCTAGGAAGCCTCTAAACTTTTCTTATAAATTGTCTTCTAACTAAAATATTTCTTTTGGCCGTCCTTGGAGTACTCCCAGGTGACACATAGCTCGGGCTAACATTTCTACAGGACTGCTACCTTGATCTCTAGAGAGTCCAATGATGTTCCATACCAATATGTCTCAGCGTCACTGCCGAGCTTCCACCCACACCCTTAACACACAGAGAAAGCTGACACTTTCTGTTAGCTATAATTTTCCTTGAGAAAAACGTGGCAATATGTAGCAAAATACAATTATTAGTTTCAATATGTAGAACGTATTACAAGAAAAAAAAGATGCCAAAAACATCTTGTGTCTACTGCTGTTCCTATTAGTCTTTATTATCATGAAAAACTGGTCGCATCCTAAATATCCAACTTTCGGTGACTGGGTGGAGGAAAACTGTAATTTTTCCATATGATAGAATAGTATGCCAGCACTAACAACCAGAGAGCAGACTATTTAATGTCATGGTAAAGTATTTGTTTTGTGTGGTCAGGTGAGCAGTTCAGATCATAAAATCAAATGTACCCTATGATCTTATTTTTTGAAGTAAAGTACTGATGTATTTATATGTATAATTAAGTATAGAGAAAAGCCTAGATGGCTTCTCTTATAAGTCTTTTCATTGTTTTATAAATGGTATCAATATTTATTTTTCACTTTTTCCATCAGATTTCCTAGAATAATAAAATTCAATTCCCTCTGATGAGCATTCATTATTCTTTTTTTTTTTTTTTTTTTGAGACGGAGTCTCACTCTGTCTGCTAGAGCTAGTGTGCAGTGGCCTGATCTCAGCTCACTGCAGCCTCCGCCTCCTGGGTCATTATTCTTACAGTAAGAAAAAATGAATGTTACTATCTTCTCTGTCCTAGATCAACTAAGTATATACAAGGTGCCAAATACATTTAATGAAATGTTTTATTCATTCATAGCTTTTTGCAGTACAATTTTTTTTGTATGATTCCCTTGTCCTATCATCTCCACCAATAGTTTTGGTGTGAATTTATACTCTAAAGGAAAGGTGACAACCTTATACAATCTCAGGGCTTAAATACTATCCACGTGCTGATGCTTACAAACATACACCTCCAGTTGTGTGGTCTCCCTGAGTTCTGCACATCCCTCTTGGGCATCTAACAAGCATCTCACAGTTAACAAAACCACTGATTTCTAATCAATCCCAGGGACCCTCCGCCAGGCCTGCTCCTCTCTCAGAATTCCTTTTCTCACTTAGTGACACTATCATCCCACCAAACCTCGCTATCATCTTTCTTCCGTCTCCCAAATTTCCAATCCATTAACAAATCCTAAAAACCCCGCTTCCAATATTTGTCTAAATCTATGCACTTCTCAGCTTATCCACTCTTATTATTCTAGCTCCAATTATGTGGCCTTCTGTCTGTGTTACTTTCTTTTTTCCATTCTTGTACGCAGGGTCCAGTTTTCATAGTGAAGTCCTCATAAAACATGTATTAAATTGTATCAGCTTCTGCTTACAGTTATTTATTTATTTATTAAATTTGTGATGTATTTTTATTTATTTATTTATTTTGAGAAGGAGTCTTGCTCTGTCATCCAGGCTGGAGTGCAGTGGCGCGATCTTGGCTCACTGCAGGCTCCGACTCCTGGGTTCAAGCGATTCTCCTTCCTCAGCCTCCTCAGTAGCTGGCATTACAGGCACGCTCCACCGTGCTCAGCTAATTTTTGTATTTTTAGAAGAGATGGGGTTTCACCATGTTGGCCAGGCTGGTCTCAAACTCCTGACTTAAGGTGATCCACCCACCTCAGCCTCCCAAAGTGCTGAGATTACAGGTATGAGCCACTGCGCGCAGCTAGTTTCTGCTTACAGTTTTAAAATGACTTCTTAGTCTATTTAGGAGAAAATATAAACTCTTTACCAGAGCCTACTGGACTCCCCAAAACATGATGTATGTTTATCTCCTCCCTTTAACTCACTCTGTTTTAGCCACCTGGCCTTCTGTTCTCTGAATAAAATAAACTTATTCCTGCCACAGGGCCTTTACACCTACTTTGCCTTCTGCCCCAGACACAGTTCTCACAGGTTTTCCCATGACTCCTTTCTTCTCCTTATTCAGCATCAACCCAAACATCTGCCCCTGAGTGGCCTTCACCAGCACACTCTTCTTAAATATCTTTCCTTACCTCACCTTGTTTGGTTTTGTGCATAACATGTGTCAGCTACAATACTGGTTTCATTGGTTTGTTTATTTACTTTTTTCTTACAATGGAAAGCCCATGAGAGCAGGGTTGTGTCTGCTTTATTCACAACTTTAACCTCAGTGCCTGTACAGAACCAGGACCGTACTAGAAACTCAGTGAGCATTTGTTGAGTATCTTGAACGAATTAATTATTAAAACATTAAAAAGTGACATTTTCCAAGTAAAAATCTTTATCTACTTCCTTAGTGACTCTAATTGCAGACAATGCAAGGTAGAAATGAGGTTCAGATCAATGGCAGGCCAAGAAAGGCATTTTTGGGTGAGTCCATGCAGGCAATGTTTGCTATTGTGGCTGATTTACTTCCATATACTTTAACACAGGTATGTCCCTATTGTGAGACACGGCATTTTTCATAGTATAAAGGTGGAAAGCGAACTTCATGTTATAATAAAAAATAAAGTAAATTTTATACAAACACTAAGAAGTGATCATCTAAATCTACAGTTTAGAATCTGAAACCTATTCCTATGTTGACATCTTCCATGGCCCTACTCCTTAATTAATAAATTCTGACTTACAGAAGGCTATTTTCTGAATCCTTTCATAGCTGACATTGTGGTGGGTGCTGTTAGCCATCCCTTGATACTGACAGCACAATGGCCATCCCTGCCAGGGCACGCGTACACCATCAGTAGTCAAAAGTTTGGCAAAGTAGGCCGGGCGCCGTGGCTCACGCCTGTAATCGGCACTTTGGGAGGCCGAGGCAGGTGGATCACCTGAGGTCGGGAGTTCGAGACCAGCCTGAGCAACATGGAGAAACCCTGTCTCTACTAAAAATACAAAAAAAATTAGCCGGGCTGTGGTGGCACGTGCCTGTAATCCCAGCTGCTCTGGAGGCTGAGGCAGGAGAATCTCTTGAATCCAGGAGGCGGAGGTTGCAGCGAGCCGAGATCGCGCCATTGCACTCCAGCCTGGGCAACAAGAGGGAAACTCTGTCTCAAAAAAAAAAAAAAAAAAAAAAAAAAAAAAAAAATTGGCAAAGTAAAACACTTCTCTTCATCTCCAGGAGAGCAGTTCATGAAAGAGCATATTCTTAGATATTAAATGTAAATTTTCAGTGACACCTGTGCAAGATATGACTTTCCGCTGTCCTCTATAAAAATCTACATTTCTATCATATAAATCTAGCAGATCTTAAAATGATAGACCTCAAAGGTAGCACTGCATTTTATATTCTCTTGCAACCCCAGAATGAAACTTAAGCATGAATAATTGGAGATCTGCACACTCCTATAAAGAATAAAGAATGGGACTCAAGTTCACACAGAAGCTAAAAAAGAAAGGCAGGATGACTTCCCTCTGCCACCTTGAAAAGGCTTTGAAACCTACGAAACAAGAAATGGGGAGGGGGGTTGCTGAATGGGTAATAAATATATGAGCCCTCCTCCTAAGGGTTTTTATAATCCTTTCTATCTTGGGTATCTATGTGTTCCTCTGTGAATGTGTTTTCTTATAACGGCACTTCTCATGGAACAGCTCTATCCTTATTATCTGTAACAGGGTCTCTGTTCTGCTTTCATCATGTATATATCTTAGAAAAACAATCTGAACAAATGTCCAGTTAATATGTATATTTATGTATTTATAAATTATATGTATATGCTATTGCACTAATATATTACATATTTTATATACCTTACTACAACCAAAGAAATATAAAAGAATGAGATGGAATAAATATATATTTAAGTTCTAGTTTTTCTTCCTCCATCCTCTGTGGAATGCTTACCCCACTTAAGAAACCCCTAAGATTTCACTGTGTCCTCACAGTGAGATTGTACTCACTCCTCAATGAGAGAACATTAATATTAAAGCTCTTTTGGTTTTATTATCAATTATGCGGTCGAATTTTCAAATAATCTAGCTGTACATATTATACTACAGTGGACGATACTGTGAGGTACCAACTGGACCAGCTCAGCAGAGGCTGGAAGGTTTAACTCATCAGTAGTCATGATACCACTTTTCTCTTAGACTTTTCCAATAGAATTTATTTTTGGTTTTGCCAGCCAGGGTGAGAGCTGTTTTCTATAGGTATCAATGGTAGAATAAGCATTGTTGCCTCACAGAAGGGAGAAGTCTACGGTATTGGACACCAACCCCCAAGTCCTTCTTACATATCCTCTCCTTGAGAGATAGGGACTCGTGAAAAATGGAAACCCAGGAATTGGCTCTGCATAAACTTAAGCTTTGTCTTTGCAGAACAATTATGAGAAGCCTACTACTGGCTCTGGAATATGTTGTATGCAATAAAAACTCTGTACTATTTAGGTATTGTTTCTGATGCACGATACTAGAAATAAGCATCAGCTAGCCATGCAAAGTTCTGCTTAGGAAAAATGAAAGTATATTCAAATATAAATTTTTATAAAATGACTATTAACTAAAAAAAAAAAATAGCCTTTCTTTCCCCAAACATCAATAGATGCAGAATGCAGAGTAATATTTACAACATGCAACATCATGTTTGGTTCTAATTAATAGACTATTTCAATGAAATATTATTTTGATAAATATGTTCATGCTTCATTTGTCATGTATTAAAAACAGCAATACACACTCACTTGATGAAAAATATTATTGAAGATAAAAGAGAAGTATTTCATAAACAACCATTAGGTAGATTATAAGATAACATATAAAAGGTGATATAGGAAATAAATATTAGAAGTACATATTATTCATCTATGACCTAATTTGTATTGAAATGCTGCAAAAACCTTCATAGCAACATTCAGAGAATTACCTGAAAGAAAACTCTGGCATCTTCTATGGTCTTCTATGTGTTTTCTTTAATGGTCACAGTGATTCCCACGTTCAAACTTATTCACTGAAGACAATGCATGTCCTGAGATTCTCATTATTGAAATGCTGAGGCTGAGGCTTGCTTTTCACATATACAGATTGTCCAACATTAAAATACCACTGCATATTGACTGCATACAAAAATCATTAAACTAAATATTCCCAAAAGTCCTGATACAAATAATGTGTTACAATATTTTAGGCAGGATTATCTGATAGGGTTAACAAATTTATCAAGTATAACAGAAAGTGACCACTTATTATTTATTATTGGCTATACCAAAAAATATAGGATCAGGACTTACCTGAATAACATGCTTCAGTTTATCAATAATCTGATTTATCACAGGATCAGTTCCTTTGACTTTGACTTCAGGATTTCCAGACTGGGCTTTGATTCCATTTCCAACCACATGCTGAGTATAACTAGCAAAGGGAAATGTGAAAGATATATGACTTAGTACCTGATCAGAGTATTATCTGCCACAGCTATCTGAACATAGTTGAGGTCAGAATTTCCTCCTTTAGAGAATACACCAATGTGTTTTTTTCTTGGAACAGAAACTGGCACAGCTATAATGCTTTTGCAGGTAAAATGCTAAAATGCTTATTGTGCCATTAGATCATTCTAAAAATAATGTTATTCTCTCAATGGACCCAACCAAAAATTACTTGTTTTTTAATACTACTTAACAATATGCTACAAAGAGTTGACATATCTCACTTTGTTACCAGTTCTTGCTGAATTATACATATGTCTGTACCCCTATTGTCTGGGTGAGCTTATTTTATGCAGTCCCAATCTTATTTTTTAAATATCAGGCTACTATATATGTGTGTGTGTGTGTGTGTGTCTATATATATATAGAATATGTATAGAGAATATATATAGGATAAACATATAGAATATATATAGACTATATAGAATATATATAGACTATATAGGATATATATAGAATATACATAGACTATATAGGATATATATAGAATATACATAGACTATATAGGATATATATAGAATATACATAGACTATATAGGATATATATAGAATATACATAGACTATATAGGATATATATAGAATATACATAGACTATATAGGATATATATAGAATATACATAGACTATATAGGATATATAGAGTATATAGACTATATATAGGATATAGATAGAAAATATGTAGACTATATACAGGATATCGATAGAATATATATAGACTATATATAGGATATAGATAGAATATAGATAGACTATATATAGGATATAGATAGAATATAGATAGACTATATATAGGATATAGATAGAATATGTATAGGATATAGATAGAATATAGATAGACTATATATAGAATATATGTAGAATACAGATATAGAATATAGATATAGAATATATATGGAATATAGATATAGGATATATATAGATAGAATATAGATATACACACACATATATATTTCCTAATTAGGTCCTTCAAGAAATAAGTGATTAAACTTTTTAATAATGATAGTATCAATTGGACATGATAACAATAATGTTATTAATAAACTCTTTGATTTTTAAAATAAACTTGAACCCATTTCTTTTCATAGTCATAGAGGGGCTTAGAGATAAGAATTTCAGTATCCATTAGGGATTTGCAGTATACACCAGTAACAAATAGTAGAAAGAAAACAGTTATATCTATTTTGTTAATGTGTAATGATATTCTTTACTTTAGAAAATAAAATTATATATAGTATATCTATATATAATATATAATATCTATTATATGTAAAATATATATAACTGTACAAGTCAATATCATAAATTATAACTGTACAAATTAAAATCATCAAATTTATAAGCAACGAAAATGTGCGAAGTATTTCCTAAGTAGAGGAAACAATCTGCTTTCGCCTAGGTTCACCTAAACAAAGATCTGGTAAATCATGTGGTAGGTAAAAAGGGTCATTTCACAGGTGGTGAAAGCCATTTGAAATTTCACTACCTTCCCCAAATTACAATCATACGTCAACTTAGAATTAATAAAAATATTTAAATTCATTAGTCGCAAAGATGTCTTAAGTGAATGCTATATTCCAAGTCCTGTACTAGGTCTTTAGGATTATAAGAAGGTGTAAGACTCAATTTTTGTCCTCATAATGCTCATTACTTAACCAAGAATATAACAGATTAATTAACTCATTCATTTGTATGCTTATTCATTACATTTTACTACATTTAAAAAATACCGTAGATTTCAGCCATATAAATACCCTTGTTTGCCTGACAGAAGAGTGTAATATAAACACAACTGAACCGTTAAAATACAACATTATGAAAGTAGATGGAAGGAACTGCACGTGCCACGTGTGAGGAAAGATAAGACAGGTGGTAGATATTCTGGATATAGAGAAGCCCATTTGAACTCAGACACTAGGGAAAAACTAAAGGAGAAGTTATAACTTGAGGTAGCCTTGGATGTATTGAGGTAAGAAGAGGACATCTATGGTATGGTTAATGAGAACTTCAGGGCAAAGGATGTCATCCCAGCAAGGAAAACGGCAAAGGTACTTGAACAAGGCAGACAGGGAGAACAGGCCTCTATTCACAAAGCAGAGAGTACAAACGTTGGAAAGCAATGGATAGAGGGCCACACCCTGAAGATTCCACCCTGAATGTTGAAGACTCTCCACTGAGTGATATAATGGGCTCTGGAGATTCATAAGGGGGAAGTTGGCAGGTGGGTGTGGAATAAAAAAGCTACATGTTTGGTACAATGTACACTACTCAGGTGACAGGTGCAATAAAATCTCAGACTTCACCACTATACAAATTATCCATGTTACCTAAACCACTTGTGCTCCAAAAGCTATTGAAGTAAGACATTTATTTATTTATTTATTTTTATTTATTTATTTTTTTGAGACGGAGTCTGGCTCTGTCGCCCAGGCTGGAGTGCAGTGGCGCAATCTCGGCTCACTGCAAGCTCCGCCTCCCGGGTTCACGCCATTCTCCTGCCTTAGCCTCCCGAGTAGCTGGGACTACAGGCTCCCGCCAGTACGCCCGGCTAATTTTTGTATTTTTAGTAGAGACGGGGTTTCACTGTGTTAGCCAGGATGGTCTCGATCTCCTGACCTCATGATCCGCCCGCCTTGGCCTCCCAAAGTGCTGGGATTACACGCTTGAGCCACCGCGCCCGGCCAAGACATTTAAAAAATGAAAACAAAACACTATCACCTGAGTCATTTGTTTGCTTACATTAAATATCATAATACTTTTCAGCAAAAAATATTATCATTTTAATGTAACTTTCGTTCCCTGTATTTGAGCGGAGTACTGCACTATCCATAAACACCCTCTGAATTTTCTACAGTAATGGAAAAAAATCTTTGAAAAAAATAAAAGAAGGTTCTATGTTTGAGAATATGGCTATATGAAAGGGGTTTCAAGAAATATCCAGTTCTTCCCAAGACGATGTACTTCCAGTGACCAGTTTTAAGAAGTGGAACAGGCCAGGCGCGGTGGCTCACGCCCGTAATCCCAGCACTTTGGGAGTCCGAGGCGGGCAGATCACGAGGTCAGGAGATGGAGACCATCCTGGCTAACACGGTGAAACCCCGTCTCTACTAAAAATACAAAAAATTAGCCGGGCGTGGTGGCGGGCGCCTGTAGTCCCAGCTACTCGGGAGGCTGAGGCAGGAGAATGGCGTGAACCCGGGAGGCAGAGCTTGCAGTGAGCCGAGATCACCTCACTGCACTCCAGCCTGGGTGACAGAATGAGACTCTGTCTCAAAAAAAAAAAAAAAAAACCAAAAAAAGGGGATCGAATATTTCCTAACGAGGTCCTTCAAGTAATAATAAGTGATTAAACTTTTTGATAATGATAATATCAATTGGACATGATAAAAATACTATTAATAAATCTTTTGATTTAAAAAATAACCTTGTACCCACTTCTTTTGTAGGCGTGGGGGGAGCTTAGAGTTAAGTATTCCAGTATCCGTTAGGGATTTGGCAGTATACATCAATAACAAATAGTAGAAGGAAAATAATTATACCTGTGTCTCATATATATATATATATATATATATATATATATATATATATATATACACACAGAGAGAGAGAGAGAGAGAGAGAGAGAAACCATCTCTTAAATTACCTGTAGCACCACTATGTTATTCTTTACTCTCCCAATACCCCAAGTAGATTGCACATGTGACTCTTTTATTAATGTGTTGAATATTCATAACGATAATGAATAATATGAATAAATAAATTGATAAGTGCGTAACTATGAATTAGGCATTGCTTTACTCTTATCTGGAGATTTCAATTCATGATAAACATCTTTTAGTGACCATGAATAAGAAACTCATAGACCTGCATTAGAGAAATGCAAATCTAAACCACAATGAGATACCATCTCACTCCAGTTAGAATGGCAGTCCTTAAAAAGTCAGGAAACAACAGATGCTGGAGAGGTTGTGGAAAAATAGGAATGCTTTTACACTATTGGTGGGAGTGTAATTTACTTCAACCATTGTGGAAGACAGTGTGTGAATTCCTCAAGGATCTAGAACTAGAAATACCATTTGACCCAGCAATCCCATTACTGGGCATATACTCAAAAGATTATAAGTCATTCTACGATAAAGACACATGCACACGTATGTTTATTGTGGCACTATTCACAATAGCAAAGACTTGGAACCAACCCAAATGTCCATCAATGATAGACTGGATTAAGAAAATGTGGCACATATATACCATGGAATACTATGCAGCCATAAAAAAGGACATGAGTTCATGTCCTTTGCAGGGACATGCATGAAGCTGGAAACCATCATTCTCAGCAAACTATCACAAGATCAGAGAACCAAACGCCGCATGTTCTCACTCATAAAGCAGGAGTTGAACAATGAGAACACATGGACACAGGGAGGGGATCATCACACACTGGGGCCTGTGGGGTGTGGGGGTGTAGGGGAGGGATAACATTAGGAGAAATACCTAATGTAGGTGACGGGTTGATGGGTGCAGCAAACCACCATGGCATGTGTATACCTATGAAACAAAACTGCAAGTTCTGCACATGTAACCCAGAGCTTAAAGTATAATTTAAATAAATAAATAATAAATAAATAAATAAACTCATAGACCTCAAAGTATGGGAAGCCTAACTGCCTACGGCCACTTGCTGCTTCACTCTAAAATCTGTTTCTGCATCTGCCCCTCAGTCAATGACTGAGGGCCACAGGGTGGCTAATGCAGATCCCTCTTTAGGAGACACAGGGCTTCTCTGAGGACCAGTCTTGGCTCAGGATTCCCTGAAGCCTTTTCTCACCCTTCCTTAGACTGTACATTACGCTCCAATGCTTCCACTCAACCTTCCTTTCCTCTTTCCTTCATTCTAGGTCAGACTTGCCTCATAGCTGAGACCTCTTCCAGGCTTACTCAGCTTCCTCTCCATTTTCTCTCACAGGGATTTCCCTTAATAAAATCCTCTTGTGTTTAACTCGTTTTCAACATCTACCTCTTGGAGGACCTGGACTAACCCACCACATAATGTTTGTATTATAATTACTTCCATTCTACAGGTTGAGAATCTGGGATCTGGAGAAGTTAAGCAACTTAAGTTACTCAAGTAAGGCCACACAATGTATATAAAGTGTGCTGCAAGGAGTTAAACCCAGGGAACGCACACTCCAAAACAGAACCATCAACAAGTACCAATCCTGAAACCAACTAATAAAAGGTAAAGATACAATTAGCTTGGTGCAAAATGTTATTTTTCTCTCTAATTACATTTTCTAAGGTTTCACTGTTTGTGATTAAGAAGGGAAGAATGATTTTCATCAAAACTCTGCTCAACAAGCCGGGTGTCGTGGCATGCACCTGTAGTCCCAGCTACTGAGGAAGCAGAGGCAGGGGGATCACGTGAGCCCAGGAGATTAAGGCTGCAGTGAGCTGTGATTACATCTCGTTGACCATGTGACCCTGAGTGTAACTCATAGACCTCAAGCCTGGGCAACAGAGCAAGACTCTGCCTTAAAAAGTAAAACTAAGCAAAACAAAACAATCCTGAACAAATGGTTGCACATAACCAGCTAAACAGTAATATAACAGTTGTTGGCAGGGTGAGAAGAAACTAGCAGACTGTAGGTTTGTCATACTGTTTTTTTGTTTCTCCAGAAACACAGATATAATATAGGCAATGAAAGCTGAGACTCATCTCTTAATTTCAGTTAAGCTATTAATTGATTTACATCATTTACTCACAGGTCAGAAAAGTTTCTTTCAAAAGGCAGGAATGTTGTTTCATGTTAATCTAAGGACTTGCTTACCTTTTGTTTCTGTTCTTAATGATCACAGTTACTAATACAGTTAAATAATATTTAGATAAAATACATTACAATTATAGCTGATCAAAAATCTCATTCCAAGCTGTTATATTGTTGACTATCTCATGATCACTCTTCTTATGAATCATGTAAATAGGGAAAAATACTGCAAAGTAGACCCACGTTACTTCAAATGAAATATGATTTAATAAAATCAGTTATTCTTTGCCAATTTTGTAATCTTCAAAATAACCACAATTGAAATAGTGATACATACACATCAGAACAGTTCAAATGAAAGAGAGAAATGATACCAAGTGTTGGCAAAGATGCGGAGCAACTAGAACTCTCTCCCATTGTGGATGGAAATGTAAACTGATGGACACCACCATTTTCCATGTATGCTAAATCTGACCATATTCTATGACCCTGAGCATATACCCAGCAATATTTACCAAAAGACAAATACATGAATGCTCAGAGAGGCACCATTCAAAATAACCACAAATTGAACTTATATTTGTATAATGATATAGTATATAGCAATGAGAACCTAACAAATTACAACTATATGCAAAAAGATTAACAAATCTTATAAACTAAATATTGAATGAAAGAAGCAAGATACAGAACATATACTACGATCTAATTCACTAAAAATTGTAAAACTCATCAGTTATGTTCCAAATCACCATAAGAGCTATCCTATGAAATAGTGTCTAGAAGAAGTAATAATATAAAATTTCCTGATTTGAGTACTGGATACACAGAAGGGCTAAGTTTGTTTAAAAACAAAAGAAGTATTGAGCTGTACAGTTAAGATTTGGGTATTTTACTGTTTGTATGTATTTTCAGCGTTAGAAAATTATGTTAAAAAGTCTTTATGCTCTTTTTCTTAATATATTTACAATAGACAAATTTTCATTAAGCCACAGTATAAATAAAAAAGACCCACACAGGTATTTTTAACATGGATGAAGTGGTTCTGTCATCATTAAATGAGTACTTTAGGATGCAAGTCTGATATAAAAACTTACTTCCCTGAAGACTTTAATTTTGCATGCAAAATACACGGTTTCTAAATTAAATTTTTTTGTAACAAAGCGTTTTTGAGTTCCCCTCATGAAATTTTAATAAATCATTAATTTCTTCTTTTTCTCTTTCATGCACAAGCAGTGGATAAACATTTCAAAGATCCCTACAGAAGTTTCTTCCCTTGAAATACTGTTCACATGACAATGAGAAGGATGGAATAAAACACAAAAAAGGTAAGCAATTTTTTTTTTTTTTTGAGGCGGAGTCTTGCTCTGTCGCCCAGGCTGGAGTGCAGTGGCGCGATCTCTGCTCACTGCAAGCTCCGCCTCCCGGGTTCCCGTCATTCTCCTGCCTCAGCCTTCGAAGTAGCTGGGACTACAGGCGTCCGCCACCGTGCCCAGCTAATTTTTTGTATTTTTAGTGGAGACGGGGTTTCACCGTGTTAGCCAGGATGGTCTCCATCTCCTGACCTTGTGATCTGCCCGCCTCGGTCTCCCAAAGTGCTGGGATTACAGGCTTGAGCCACTGCGCCCGGCCAACAGGCAAATTTTTCGTTGGGGAAGTAGTAGACCAACCATCTGTGCTTATTTCTTCTAAACAGAGCTGGGAATGAGTGACAGCAGTTGAACAGGAACACTTGCTCCCCAAGCACTACTTGTTTTTCATGAAGAAGGAAAAAAGGCAAAAGCCCTGCTACATTTACATTCGCAAAATTGTTTTCAAATGAGGATTAACAAGATGTTAGTTCCCTCTCTGTTGAACACATAAAATATTAAAAGGCAGTGCTAATACATCTATATACAGCACATCAGGAGGAAGGAGGAAGTCATTTCTCCTGACTTTACCAACTTGTCTTATTTGAAACTGATACCGTGCCCTATTGGCTGATAGGAGTTTCACTTTATTTAGAATACAATAGAATTTGGCTCAGATTCACACCAAAAGTATAGTATTTTGAGGTGCACTTACACGACTTCAGGGGAAAACAATATCTGGAATGTGACCCTGGAATTCATTACAAGTCAGTTAAAGGGATCTCTCTTAGAATTTTTTGATAATTGGACTGGGACAGGATGTAAGAATAAATCATTAACAGTAGATGAGGAAAACACTTGACGAGAGCTTTCTCGTCTTACCATTACTGCTCTTTCTATCAGAGGTTAAAGACAGAATGGGGACCATGTTGTGGTTGTTATTCTTGTTGTTTGATTGGTTTGTTTATTATGTTCTTGCATGACTTGGTTATGTGGCTGGATATGAAAATTCTTTCCATTTCCAGAGTCATAAATCTCCTAATTTCTAGGAGATTAAATACTGGTTTTATCTTTGGCTCCAGTAAAAATGTTGCTATCTTGGATTAAAAGAAGGTTGGGAAATACGTTGTGTCTATTCACCAGTGAATGGGAACCCCTTCTACAACAACAAATTTTCCATTCAAACCATTTCTAGGCCTCCCTTCCTGGTTCTGATAGCAAATGTGAAAGCAAGTACTAGAGATTTGGGTTTTGTAAGTTTCCTCAAATACTTGGGAAATACTGGATTCCGTTGCCAAGTGTTGCCTTTTGTACATTCAGCTTCTACACAGCACGTTTTCTCTATGTTGAAAGTCCTAATCCTTGAAATCTCAGAATGGAAAAGAGTTATATGACTAATTTTATGTGCCAGGATTATGGGAATAAACTTTCATGGAAGATAGGAAGCTTACAGGGCATTTAGAGAAAGGAGACATCTGTAGAATCAATTCAGAATGATTAAGCCCCTTGTGATCTCACTATCTCACTTCAATTGTTAAGCCACAAAACTCTTTTTAAGTTAATCTCTAACATTTATTTGGCTTTATAATTACATATAAATAATGTCTAAATTTGACACCTATGTTTCCAAACTTAATAATGAAGTCAAAATAAACAGAATTAAGGAGAGCTTATTACGATCTTTATTGTTATTTATATATAACAAATTTCCTATTAAGAATATAATATTTTATGATATCTTATGGATGTCATTAACATTGCTTTAATAAAGGTATTATCATGCTTTGTACAGCAACCAACACGAAAATGTTAGTATACCACTGCAATAAATAGAATAAAAACATGTTCAGAAAGACTTAGAAACTCATTAAAGAACGGACGTTAATCACTTTTCACCCTAACTCCTCATTTGGCAAGGCATGAATCTATGCATTCCAGTTTAGACAGGTGGCAAGTAAGTAGTCCCATTGCATTTCATAAAATAAGCAGCTGCGTGAATTTGAAAGATACTATTTCCACATGAAAAGCTAATGACTGCACATGTAAAATCAGTAGTGTTTAGGAAGCTGTCATTTAAAAAACAACAAACTACCTAATTAAAAAGTAGCACAAATGAACTTTTGCCTATGTAAAAAATAGAACATTGCTTAGCCTTTTCTTAAACCCCTCCCCAATTCTTACCAAGAAAGGATAAATACCTTTATTATAGTCAAAGCTCTGTTTTTATGGTTTTTGAATTTTTTAATCTAAAATTCAAAGCAAATAATCAATCTTTAATTTATATTTATCCCAGTTTGATTCAAAGTGACGGTCCAAAAGTAAAATGATCAATTATAACTATAATCAATCACAAATAATGCTATGTGAGTTTGAAATGTTAATCTAAGTTGCCTTTTCCAGGTATGCGTTTTAAAATTAAACTCTTCTCAGTAAGATCAAGGCTATCCTTCATGGATTTATGATGTTTGATAATCACCACGTTGTACTGATTTGCTGTCTCACTTCACTGTTTGATATCAACATATGAAAGTAAAAATGCTATTTAGGGGATAACTATTATCTGAGCACTAATAAATTAAATGCTATTTTAAGCCAACAACAAAATTGTTTAGGGTACAATTTTTATTTAACCAACTGTCCATTATAAACATTATAAAATTCTGAAAGATCCTAGAATCTTATATAGCTTTTTTGTATTTTTTCAAATGTAGTTGACACCAGCATGAATTAAATTTCATATTTAAAAAGCTTCTGACTACATTACAACATACTTTAAAATTACTTGCAAGATATGATAATTCTAAGATTACCCACATATCATGCAAATGAAACAGCCAGGTACTTCCTACCAACACATGATACAATAAAATCCAGAAGAACTTCTGAATTAGAGTGTAGTAGTTGCCTAGGGCCATCATACCTAATTATCACACACTTGGTGGGTTAAGAGGACAGAAATATATTCTCTCATAGTTCGGAAGCCTGGACCTCTGAAATCAAGATGTTGGCGGGGCCACACTCCCCCTGAAGACCCTAGGGAAGAATTCTCCCTCGCTTCTTCCTGGCTTCCAGTGGCTCCTGGCAATCCTTGACCTTCTTTGATTTATGACTGCATAACTCCAATTTCTGTCTCCATCTTCACATGACCTTGTGTGTGTCTTTTCCTGTATGTTATAAGGACATTTACACTGGATTTAGGGCCCACCTTCACCCAGGATGACCTCATCTCAATCACTGGGTTAATTATATCTGCAAAGACCCTACTTCCAAATAAAATCACATTCTAAAGTTCCTAATGGACATAAATTTTGGAGGTACGGTATTTAAATCACTACACAGAACATGTAAAGACAAAAATCTGGAAGCTACCTGAATGAAAATGGATATTCCCTTGAACTTCGACAAAATCATATTCTATTTTTCCATGAGAAACATTTTATTACTCTAAAACAATATTCATATTTCACAAGTACGCCTCTTAAATTATAGCTTGGACTTAAGAAAAATAATTAGCTTTGGAAATTATCAGTACATGATATCTAGTATTTCCTATATTTTTAAGAACTTCTACCTCCTAGCAAAAATAAACAATGCAATGGATAATTTCTGTGTTCTAAATTCACACACACAAACAGGAAAGGGACGTTAAAAATGATTTGTTCTCTTTTAAAGCAGAAGCCCAACCACCTGCTCTGAATCAAAAAGTTTCCTGAAAGCAATGAAGGGCTAGTTTATTATGAAGGTGTTGATAGCTGATTCTGTGGAGACTCACACAGAAACAAAGAATAAATTTTAATCACACTTAATGCTAATGTGGTAGTAAGGTTGTGACAATATTCAAATATGACTAATTTCATTGAATTAACTACACTCGGGCTTAGCTTAGTTGTCCAAATTTATTACAAATAGCTCAAACTAAATAATTCAACTCTTCTGTTTTCTATTTATTTTTTGTTGATGCTTAAGAGTAAAAAGATATTTCAACTGAATTTTTTTTTTTTTTTTTAGCAATCAGTTCTCTTGTTTTATCACCATAAGACTGTAAACGGCCGTAACAGGTCACTGAATCTAGCACTGCCTTCAACAAGAAATGCACCTAGAGCAGGAATATAGTACTTGGCACTCATCTCTAGACCTATAACCTAACAGATTTTTTTTTTGTCTGTCTTTGGTGAAAGTAACGTAAATTTAGAGCTGGAAAGGACCTTAGAGGTCATCTAGTCCCACCCAAGCATCTTTGAAAACAAAATAAAGACGTGTGTTGGCCTGATGCGGTGGCTCACGCCTGTAATCCCAGCACTTTGGGAGGCCAAGGCGGGCAGATCACAAGGTCAGGAGATCGAGACCATCCTGCCTAACATGGTGAAACCCCGTCTCTACTAACAATACAAAAAATTAGCCGGACATGGTGGCAGGTGCCTGTAGTCCCAGCTACTCGCGAGGCTGAGGCCGGAGAATGGAGTGAACCCAGGAGGCAGAGCTTGCAGTGAGCCGAGATCGTGCCACTGCACTCCAGTCTGGGCAATAGAGTGAGACTCCGTCTTAAAAAAAAAAAAAAAAAAAAAGAAGCATGTTTATTTCATCATTTTGTACTTATACACTGTGTATTTCCAGAAAAGCCCCTGAGACAGCTTAGAATGAAAGGCACAGACACTATAAAACAAGCGCAAAATGACAGAATAATGAAGAGAAAGAGGTGACAATTACATGGGACAACCTAGGGAAGGAAACACTACCCTTCAGCCTAAAATTTAGTCCTAAGCCCCTTGTTCTTAAAGGCCAAAAGGAAAACCAGAATTCAAATAGGTATTGTTAGTTAATAAAATAGTATCTGGATATATCAGCAACTATTTTTTGGTAACTCTAAACTCAAGCAAAATATATGTCTTTAAGCAACAGACAATGGACAATATAATAAAAATAATCTTCCATAGCAATTTCCAAACTTTTAAAGATGTAAGAACAAATGATCTTTTCTTACAGGATGCTTAGTTGAAAGCTGCCCGCATGATGGTATTTTAAACTACATGATGTTAAATTCCCTGCATGATGGTATTTTATTGGGACCTGGTTATATGATTTGGTGAAGAATGTAACCTTTGAGAACTTAGAAGAGTGAATGGTTAATATTTCTCTGAATTTTTTTGTTTTTAATTGATATTTTATTTTATCCCTCATAGACAATATATGTCTGGGAAATACACTGAAGTATAGTAAAAAAGAATCTAAGGGTTAAAGTGTTGAGGTAAATGAGAAAGCAGAGGTTGTGTCTGAAGAACCGTGTGGTCGCACTGCACCACACAGCAAACAGAAATATGGGTGAGCACAGGCCGGGCGCGGTGGCTCAGGCCTGTAATCCCAGCACTTTGGGAGGCCGAGGAGGGCGGATCACGAGGTCAGGAGATCGAGACCATCCTGGCTAACACGGTGAAACCCCGTCTCTACTAAAAATACAAAAAATTAGCCGGGCCTGGTGGTGGGCGCCTGTAGTCCCAGCTACTCGGGAGGCTGAGGCAGGAGAATGGCGTGAACCCGGGAGGCGGAGCTTGCAGTGAGCCGAGATCGGGCCACACCACTCCAGCCTGGGGGACAGTGAGACTCCGTCTAAAAAAAAAAAAAAAAGAAGTTCACCCTATGCAGGCACTATAACTACGAGTCCCTCCCATCTGAGCCTTGCCTTCCAGACAACCCCACCAATACATAAGACAGAAAAAAAGCACCTTGCACCTTCCAGACTGACTTGTTTGCCAGCCGCATAGCACTGAGTCACCCTAGTTAATGATATGAGAGAGGAAGAATCACTCAGACGAATCCTGCTGGAATTTCTCACCTATAGGATCCATGAGATACAATGAAGTGGTCGTTGTTTTACCTTATTAAATTTGGGGTAGTTTCTTTTTTCTTTTTTTTTTCTTTTTTCTTTTTTTTTTTTGAGACGGAGTCTCACTCTGTGGCCCAAGCTGGAGTGCAGTGGCGCAATCTCGGCTCACCGCAAGCTCCGCCTCCCGGGTTCACACCATTCTCCTGCCTCAGCCACCCGAGTAGCTGGGACTACAGTCACCCACCACCACGCCCGGCTAACTTTTGTATTTTTAGTAGAGACGGGGTTTCACCGTGTTAGGCAGGATGGTCTCGATCTCCTGAACTCGTGATCCGCCCGTCTCAGCCTCCCAAAGTGCTGGGATTACAGGCGTGAGCCACAGCGCCCGGGCCATTTGGGGTAGTTTCTTAAGCAGCAATAGTAACTGTAACACTGACTCACTTCTACTGCCACCAATCACTATCCTCCTTTCCTGATTTACTTCCTCGTATGTACCATCTTTTAAAAAACAAATAATTAGGCCGGGTGCAGTGGCTCACGCCTGTAATCCCAGCACTTTGGGAGGCTGAGGCGGGCGGATCACGAGGTCAGGAGATCGAGACCATCCTAGCTAATATGGTGAAACGCCATCTCCGCTAAAAATACAAAAAATTAGCCAGGCGTGGTGACCGGGGCCTGCAGTCCCAGCTACTCGGGAGGCTGAGGCAAGAAAATGGCGTGAACCCGGGAGGCGGAGCTTGCAGTGAGCTGAGATCGCGCCACTGCACTCCAGCCTGGGCGACAGAGGGAGAGTCCGCCTCAAAATAATAATAATAATAATAATTAGTGAAAACTTCAATAACTTTTGCACCGGCCTAATAGTTGTAAAGAAACTATAAGCAAGTTCACAAAAGTTAAAACAAAAAATCAGCTATGAGAAGCAAATATGAATTATACCACTAACTGCTGAAAAGAAAGACTCTAAGACTGAAATTACCAAAAAAAAAAACCCTCAGCTGAAAACAAAACAAATAATCAAACTCTATTACTCTACTCTATTTCCATGAAGCGTACAAACTGTTCCTGTAAGTTTAACGATATTAAAATGTACAAAGATTAATAAAGTAAAAATCAAAGACTATTTATAACATCATCGATTTCACATAAAGTAGAATTTTAAAGGAAAAGGTATCCCATGGAAAACAATAAAATATTTAATATTACAAAGCAAAACACTAAATGAACGTCACATTTAATTGTGAAATCATTAGCATGTTTCTCCGTTATGACTTATTAAAGGATAAAATTTGAGCAATATAATGTATAAGACTTTTTGGCCGGGCGCGGTGGCTCACGCCTGTAGTCCCAGCACTTTGAGAGGCTGAGGCGGGCGGATCACGAGGTCAGCAAATCCAGACCATCCTGGCTAACACGGTGAAACCCTGTCTCTACTAAAAAAATACAAAAAAATTAGCCAGGCGTGGTGGCGGGCACCTGTAGTCCCAGCTACTTGGGAGGCTGAGGAATGGCGTGAACCTGGGAGGCGGAGCTTGCAGTGAGCCCAGATTGCGGCACTGCACTCCAGCCTGGGCAAGAGAGTGAGACTCCCAATCCAAAAAAAAAAGAAAAGAAAAGAAAAGAAAAACCGACTTTCATTAAAGCCTCCTGCAGAAATTTGCATAAGTAACAAGGAGCCAAATGTAATCACCAAGACAATGGGGAAAATGTCTCCAGAACATTAAAGACCTTAACACCTTCACGGCAGCTCTTTCCATCACAGGCTCAAAAGCCTAGTATGGAAAAATGATTTCCTGGAGCAGGTCCAGGTCCCCCTGCTGTGTGCAGCCTTGAGACTTGGTGCCCGGCATTCCAGCCACTCCAGCCATGGCTGGGGTGGGAGACACCAGGCTACAGCTCAGGCCATGTCTTCGGAGGTTGCAGCCCCAAGCCTTGGCAGCTTCCACAAGATGTTGAGCCTGCAGGCGCACAGAAGTCAAGAATTGAGGTTTGGGACCCTCCACCTAGATTTCAGAGAATGTATGGAAACACTTGGATGTTCAGGCAGAAGTTTGCTCTGGTGGGGTGCGGGGGCAGGAGCAGGGGCTCATGAAGAACCTCTTCCAGGGTAGTAGAGAATTGAAATGTGGGCTCTGTCTCCCATACAGAGTCCCTACTGGGGCAATGCCTAGTGGAGCTATGAGAAGAGGGCCGCTGCCCTCCAAACCCCCAATTGGTAGATCCACAAACAGTTTACACTGTGTACCTGGAAAAGCCACAGACAATGCCAGCCAGTGAAAGCAGCCAGGAGGGAGGCTGTACCCTGCAAAGCCACAGAGGCAGAGCTGCCCAAGGCCATGGGAGACCACCACTTGCGTCAGTGTGACCTGCATGTGAGACACGGAGTCAAAGGAGATCATTTTGGAACTTTAACGTTTAATGACTGCCCTATTGGATTTCAGACTTGCATGGAGCCTGTAGCCCCTTTGTTTTGACCAATGTCTCCCATCTGGAACAGGTGTAGATACACTGGGGGTACCCAATGCCTGTACCCCCATTGTATGTAGGAAGTAACTAACTTGCTTTTAGTTTTACAGGCTCATAGGTGGAAGGGACTTGTCTCAGATGAGACCTTGGACTGTGGACTTTTCAGTTAATGTTGAAACGAGTTAAAACTTTGGGGGACTGTTGGGAAGGCATGATTGATTTTGAAATGTGAGAACATGAGATTCAGGAGGCGCCAGGGGAAGAATGATATGGTTTGGCTATGTCCCTACCCAAATCTCATCTTGAATTGTAGCTCCCATAATCCCCATATGTCATGAAAGGGACCCAGTGGGAGGTAACTGAATCATGGGGATGGGTTTCTCCCTGTGTTGTTCTTGTGAAACCGAAT
The DNA here is from genome assembly GCF_000001405.40 of Homo sapiens. Classification (NCBI taxonomy): domain Eukaryota; kingdom Metazoa; phylum Chordata; class Mammalia; order Primates; family Hominidae; genus Homo; species Homo sapiens. Next base: position 4,155,072 of record NW_021160017.1, read on the forward strand.
AAGTCTCACAAGATCTGATGGTTTTATAAAGGGGAGTTCCCCTGCACATGCTCTCTCTCTTGCCTGCCACCATGTAAGACATGTCTTTGCTCCTCCTTTGCCTTCTGCCATGATTGTGAGGCTTCCCCAGCCACGTGGAACTGAGTCCATTAAACCTTTTTTTCTTTATAAATTACCCAGTCTCAGGTATTTCTTCATAGCAGTATGAAAGTGGACTAACACAGTATCAAACCCTGGTTTGGGGTAATAATCACTACCTTCTAGGTAACCAGAATGGAAAAAATATAACAGAAAAAAAATCCTAAAAATCATCCTGCGTACAAGAAAAATGAAACTGTATGCTGAATTCTCAGGGGGAGAAAACGTATTTAAAAATATATGACTTTCAAACCACAAGAAACTATAGACCATTGCTTTAAACTATTTGTCTATGAACAGTATGTAGAAACACATGGAATTTAGGAAATAGGAGATGAAGGCTACAATAACAAAAGAGGCTCATATCACAAAATGGGAGATAGCTGAGATGAGGCTTCTATGAAAACTAAAGTGCAAGGGCAGATTTTCCATCCACAGGGAAATCCGTGGAGAAAGAAACTGACACACTGAAAAGTTCAAGCAGCAATTGAATCAGAGCTCTGGAGGGCAAAGGAAGAGATGAACTAATGACAGAGAAGAAGGCGGATGGGTATGCCAGAGACCACAGGTTCCACCTCGAGAATAGTTTGTGTACTGGGGAAAGACACAAGGGCAAGGAGATCTGAAACAATAATCAAAGCTATCACTGAAGTACGAATAATAAAAGCACCAACCAGCTTCTAGGCAGGGAGGGGGAAGAAACAAGGAAGAGTTCTCCATATTTAAATAACAACTAGCCAAACTCCTGAATTTTACAAATAAATAAAAAAACTTCCTTAAAAATAAAAAGTCAGGCTTAGATAAGACTTTTTTTCTTCTCTGTTAACATTATTAGAAGACATAAAGATTTTAAGAGAATAAAAATATGATCAAGAGGATCATAAATATCAGGTTGTCTTTACCTGAGTACGAAGCAATGGCATCTGTATATCCAGCACTGATTTGTCCTTCCAATAAAAATTTACTCAAAGACATATGGGTACATATTAGAAAAATAATCAAAATTAATATTTCAAGGATTAGGAAGTTGTGAAGCCAAAATCCTGCAAGGGGACAATTGATTCAGTTAATGGAAAGATTTATTTTTCATATTTTATGATTATTTACCAAAATAATATTTTTAAAGTATAATTATAAAATAAAAATAAAATATTTAACAATACTATAATTATAATCATGTTCCAAGTTATAAAACAAGATAGTGAGAATTGTCAGTAAGATAGTAAGAATTCTAATACTATCTCAAAATAAAGGATACAGAAGGTTTCAGGGCAAGAGAAAGGGAAAACCTTCTATATCCTTTAGTTTGAGATAGTATTAAAGCTTTCTGTAGGCTCACTCAAAATGTCCGGATTCTGACCACATTTGAATGAGCACTCCCAACCTGACGATTCCTAGTCTAAGCCACACATATTTCCTCTTATGGTTATTGCAAAAGCTCCCTAACTGGTCTCCCAGCTTCTGCCGTTGATTCCTTTCAGCTATTTTTTACACAAGTGCCAGAGAAATCTCAGAAATGCAATTCAGATGATATCACTTCTTTGCTTATATCTTTCAATGTTGTTCCCCTCTACGTGTTCATGTATTCTCCCCTTTGACTCTCGCTTCTAAGTGGGAACATTTGGTTTTCTGTTCCTGCATTAGTTGGCTAAGGATAATGGCTTCCAGCTCCATCCATGTTCCTACAAAGGGCGTGATCTCATCTTTTATGGTGGCATAATATGCCATGGTGTATATATACCACATTTTCTTTATCCAGTCTACCATTGATGGGCATTTATGTTGATTCCATGCCTTTGCTACTGTGAATAGCGCTGCAATAAACATATGCATGCATGTGTCTTTATGACAGAACAATTTATATTCCTTTGGGTGTATACCCAGTAATAGGATTGCCGGGTCGAATGGTAGTTCTTTTAGGTCTTTGAGGAATCACCACACTGTCTTCCACAATGGCTGAACTAATTTACACTCCCACCAACAGTGTAGAAATGTTGCCTTTTCTCCACAATATTGCCAGCATGTTATTTTTTGGCTTTTTAATAATAACCATTCTGAATGGTGTGAGATAGTATCTCATTGTACTTCTGATGTGCATTTCTTTAATGATCAGTGATGCTGAGCTTTTTTTCTATGTTTGTTGGCTGCATGTATGTCTTATTTTGAAAAGGAGGGTGAAAGCTGGGAGGAGGGAGAGGATCAGGAAAGACAACTAGTGGGTAGCAGGTTTACCATGTGGGTAACAGAATAATCCGTACAACAAACCCCCATGACACAAGTTTACCTACATAACAAACCTGCACGTGTACCACTGAACTTAAAAGTTAAATTTAAAAAATAAAAAATAAAAAAATCTTTCAATGGTCCCATGTCAGTTTGAGGAACAGCCAAAGTCCTTAAAATGACGTACAAGGTGCTCGTTCCATCATCCGTCTTCTCATGTTTATTTCTCTGCCACCATCTACTAATACTCTTCCCCCTTCTCATTCTACTCCAGCTATAATGGCTTCCTCGATGCTGTTCTAAGAATAAGTCCACATGATTCCGACTCAGGGCTTTTGCCCAAGCTGTGGTCTCTCTTTGGAATGCTCTTTTTTCAGCAGAGCACGATTCCTCCTCATTTCCTTCAAGAAGTCTGTCGCCAAATGCCTTCTACCTGGTGTGTAATTGTCATGTGTGGCAGTTTTAAACATAGTCCAAAAACAGGTTGATATTCTTCTCATCAAAAAATAGGTCTATGTCTCCCTTCCCTAAATCTGGACGTGCTTGTGACTGCTACAATCAATAGAGTATGACAAATAATTCTACCTGACCTTTAAGGTGAGATAAAAAGAGACCAGGCCTTTTCCACCTGGTTCCCTTGGAGTGTTTGATCTGCGGAAAGCCAGCAGCCATATAAGAAGTTTACCCTGTGCAGGCCGGGCGCGGTGGCTCAGGCCTGTAATCCCAGCACTTTGGGAGGCCAAGGCGGGTGGATCACGAGGTCAGGAGATCGAGACCATCCTGGCTAACACGGTGAAACCCCGTCTCTACTAAAAATACAAAAAAATAGCTGGGCCTGGTGGTGGGCGCCTGTAGTCCCAGCTACTCGGGAGGCTGAGGCAGGAGAATGGCGTGAACCCGGGAGGCGGAGCTTGCAGTTAGCCGAGATCGGGCCACACCACTCCAGCCTGGGGGACAGTGAGACTCCGTCTCAAAAAAAAAAGAAAAAAAAAAAGTTTACCCTGTGCAGGCACTATAACTAAGAGTCCTTCCCATCTGAGCCTTGCCTTCCAGACAACTCCACCAATTTATAAGACAGAAAAAAAGCACCTTGCACCTTCCAGACTGACTTGTTTGCCAGCCGACTAGCACTGAGTCACCCTAGTTAATGATGTGAGAGAGGAAGAATCACTCAGATGAATCCTGCTGGAATTTCTCACCTATAGGATCCATGAGATATAATGAAGTGGTCGTTGTTTTACCTTATTAAATTTAGGGTAGTTTCTTTTTTCTTTTTCTTTTTTTTAATTTTTTTTTTTGAGACGGAGTCTCCCTCTGTCGCCCAGGCTGGACTGCAGTGGCGCGATCTCGGCTCACAGCAAGCTCCGCCTCCCGGGTTCACGCCATTCTCCTGCCTCAGCCTCCCGAGTAGCTGGGACTTAAGGCGCCCACCACCACCAGGCCAGGCTAACTTTTGTATTTTTAGTAGAGACAGAGTTTCACCGTATTAGGCAGGATGGTCTCGATCTCCTGAACTCATGATCCGCCCGTCTCAGCCTCCCAAACTGCTGGGATTACAGGCGTGAGCCACGGCACCCAGGCCATTTGGGTTAGTTTCTTAAGCAGCAATAGTAACTGTAACACTGACTCACTTCTACTGCCACCAATCACTATCCACTTTTCCTGATTTACTTCTTCCTATGTACCATCTTTTAAAAAACAAATAATTAGGCCGGGCTAAGTGGCTCACGCCTGTAATCCCAGCACTTTGGGAGGCTGAGGCGGGCGGATCACGAGGTCAGGAAATCGAGACCATCCTGGCTAACACGGTGAAACTCTGTCTCCACTAAAAATACAAAAAATTAGCTGGGCGTGGTGGTGGGTGCCTGCAGTCCCAGCTACTCGGGAGGCTGAGGCAGGAGAATGGCGTGAACCCAGGAGGCGGAGCTTGCAGTGAGCCCAGATGGCGCCACTGCACTCCAGCCTGGGCGACAGAGCGAGACTCCGTCTCAAAAAAAAAATAAAAATAAAAAATAAATAAAAAAAGATTTTTAATATATATATACAAGAATATGTGAAACAGTATGTTTTCAAGTTTCCATTGAATATTTTAAAAATAGATTATATAAAACCTCAATATATTTTTTAAAATAAAAACCACACAGGTCACATTACCTACTCAAAATTTAATTACATTAGAAATTAAGACAAAGTTAAAACAGGACAACCAGCACCCCTAGTATCACCCTCCTCAGAGTATTTAAAAATAGATTCCTTTAAATTATCTCTTTTTTTACAAGAATAAAATCTAATCAATTATTAGAAAGATAATCTCAAACTGAACTCAAAAGAAGAAGCAAAGCATCTTCAAAGTCAATAAGGGTGCTATAAATGCTTCTTGGACTCTGAAACTCTCTGACTTCCCATTCTACTCTCAGTTGTAGAAAACTCCCTGATTGTTAGGTTTTGGTGTGATTAGGTTAGGTTTACCCAGGTACTCCCCCCGTCTTAAGGCTGACGGATTATTAGCCTTAGTGACATGTGCAAGACTCCTTTGCCGTGTGAGGTATCAACAGGGTAACATGAGGAAATGAAGGTCATAGGGGCTATCTTAGACTTCTTCCTGCTACAACCTCTATTCACTTATTTTGAATCCTCAGAGTTTAATGAGCTCCTACTATGTTCTAGGTCCTTGCAATAGGAGTACAGCAGTGAACAAGACAAACATGGTTCTGGTCCTTGGAGTACAAAGTAAATGCTGAAAATTTAATAAATGGGTCAGTAGATAGATAGATGTATAAAGGTCTAAATGCACATTCAGAAAATAGCAGGAGAAGACTGAGACTCAGTATTATTGAATATGCTTTAAAGGCCCATGTGTCGTCTTGAATGAAAATGTTGCTCAATTTCTGATGAGGAGACTAATTCATCAATATCTGTTATCATTGACTGATGACCTCACATAATAAAAGATCTTGACTTGAGTGTACGTTAATAATCAACATAATGGGTAATGTATCAAAAGAGTATATGGAAGATAATAAAAAGATATAAATTGAAATCTTAAACAGTTTTGTGCTAAAATATGTTTAGAATTGCTTGAACCCAGGAGGCGGAGGTTGCAGTGAGCTGAGATTATGCCACTACACTCCAGCCTGGGCAACAAGATCCAACCTCCGTCTCAAACAAACAAACAAACAAACAAACAGAAACAACCCAAACAAACACAAAAAATTACTATAATTGTATCTCTTTTGACTATAGCCTGGAAGAAATCACTCTCTCCCCAACTTAAGGAAGGGGAGACTTATCTCTAGCCAAGCTTTGAGTATAAACATATAAAAAGTAATTTTCATTTTCTTGAAACTGACTGCATGAAAAGGCATATGGTGTTCCCAAAAAATGTCTGATGAGTGAGAATATTAAAATGACTAAACTGATGGGACATATTTAATTTAATATTTAAACTTGATAAAAAATAGTTAAGCATTTAACTCAAGAATTTCAAAATGGTACAGCAAAGCATACAAGCAAAATTAAAAGGAATGCTAATTACATATTAAGTTAGAAGGCAATAAATTATAAACAAAAACAGTAACAATTTATAAACATACACAAGTTCATTCTTTAACAAATAACCCATGATACAGAAAAATACAGCAAATGTGATAAAACAAAAACTGAGAAAACATAAAATTTAAAGTGAAAAAAAAAACAAAACATGCAGAAATTGTTTTAAAGACAAAAAATACTATCTTAGAAAATTAAATACGTGTTTCACTAAAATAAACATGTACTGCTTAAATGAATCTTAATTTAATTTTAAAAATAGTAAATAGGTTGCAGGCATCAATGTTTGCAAGAAATGTAAAACATTATTTTAAAAATTTTTATTAAAGTCCCTATAACCAGTGTTTTTAATAAGCATCTGTTTAAAACATCTTGTAAAATGGACCCCAGACTAGGAAATATGGATAAAGTTATAAAAAGTGGCTTCCTTTCAGTTCATTTTACAAAGCAAATATAACTATTACTAACTCTTGATGAAGTGAATACAAAAAGAATAAAATTACTAAACAGTATCCCTTATAAACATAGTTAAAATATTCTTAACTGAAAGAAAAAGGAACTGAATTCTACACTTACTAAGAAATCACCCACCCCAGTGATTTGGCATACAAAGATTTAATACTAGAAAATATGTATTAATATAATGCAACACAACAATAAAGCTATTTACCTTATATTGTACATTTACTGCTACAGACTAAATGTTTACATCCCTCTCAAATTCATATGTTGAAATGCTAACCGCCAGTGTGAGGGTTTTTGAAGGTGGGGCTTTTGGGAACTAATTAAGTCATGAGAGAGCAGCCCTCATTAATGGGTTTAGCACCCTTCTAAAGCAGCCCCCTGAACTCCCTTGCTCCTTCCCCAACTGAGGTTATAGAGAAAGGGCAGCCTTCTTTGAACTAGAACAAAAGTTTTTCCCAGACACCAGATTGGCTAGTACCTTGGTCTTAGATTTCCCAGACCCCAGAACTGTGAGAAATTCCTTTCTGTTGTTTATAAGCCACCAAGTCTATGGTATTCTGGTACAGCAGCCCATTTTTGATATTTATTTAATGATATTTAACATGCATGACTGATGAAATTTAACAAAGTAGTTATAGATATGTCCTTACCATGATTAAAAATAACTCTTAAATTGATGCATACTTTTATTATCTAGTTCTAGCCAAAGCCATAAGATGAAAACACAAATAAGAAACCACCTATATGGCACATGTATACCTATATAACAAACCTGCATGTTCCGTGCATGTATCCCAGAACTGAAAATCATATTTTAAAAAAATTTATTTATATAGAAAAAAAGAGAGCAAATGATATTTTTCAAAAACTGATAATTTAATTATGGTAAGTTCTGTGTGATATGTGCCTGATATGTGTGATATGTGTCTGATGTGATATGTGTGAGATGAAAAACACTAAGGGGGTATGTGATTTTGGGCATTCATGTGCCCATAAATCCTTGTTAGAATTAAAATATCACATTAAACCTCTCTCTTTCTTTTAATGTCCATGGTTTCTTTTATATGTTTTAGTAAGTGACACAGAGGAAAATACCGAGCGGACACCGTTTCTAAATTGGTAAACTGCCCTGAACTGCCACTTTACTCTTTTCTACAGCAAGTGTGGAAGATTAGAGTTCAGGCAAACATGTCATGTAAGTGGTGAAGATTCCCTTTTTCCACTGGGACAGCAGTAGAACTGAAGGGAAATCAGACAACAGCTACCTCAGCAGGAGAGCCTCAATGATGACACTTTTGCCTCAACAGTGGAAGCTGGTAGTTTCCAAAAATAGAGCTAAAAAGTGAATCAAGTTTTAAAGCACATTGAAAGTCACACGTAAAATTCATTATTACAGAAAAGCTATAAACCAATCACAGTAAATGAGTGAATTTAGAAATTAAATTTTAATATGAAAGGTTCATGTTGTCAAAACTGACTATGTTAGTCCATCTCAATGCTATAAAGGAATACCTGAGACTGGGTAATTTATAAAGAAAAGAGGAGTATTTGGCTGATGGTTTGCAGGCTGTACAAACAGGCCACCAGTATCTGCTCAGCTTCTGCTGAGGCCCGGGAAGCTGACAATCATGGCTTAAGGCAAAGGGGGAGCTGGCATATTACATGGGGAGAGAGGGAGCAAGGGAGATGCCAGGCTCTTTTAAACAACAAGATCTCTCGTGAATTCATAGAGCAAGAACTCACTCATTACCGGGAGGACAGCACAAAACCATTCATGGGGATCCACCCTTGGGAAACAAACACCTATTACTAGGCCCACCTCCAACACTGGAGGTCGCATTTCAACATGAGATTTGGAGGGGACAAACCATCCAAACCATATCACTAACGGAAAGTGATTGTTTAAATTGCTGTATTCAGTCCCTTGGCCTTTTTGAGAAATGCCATTCATTTCAGCCATCAAGCAAATTATTATTTGAGACATTTATACCTCTTCATCCTTTAAAAGTTTCAGAAGCATGAATTTAAAAAGTATTCATTGTAAATTTGAGGCTAGTCAAATTGATGTGGCATCTAAGTAGCACGGTGACGGGATGAGGAGACAAAGTCACGAGGGGAGGTAGGAAGAAGCAGAGAGAAAAAGAGAAATAGGAAGAGAGAAAAAGAAATGAGAGAGTATAAGAAAAATGAAGAAAGAGGAAAAGAAAAATGGTTTAAATGAGAGGCAAATGTCATCTGATGTTTTACCATGGGGCCATAGGGTATTTGAAGTTTCAGAAAATTCATAAGTTATTAAAAAATGTGACTCTAGGGTAGTGAGGTTATAACTTGTAAGAAAACAAGAAGTGATTCCTTTTAAGAGAACCTTCTTGGCCGGGTGCTGTGGCTCACGCCTGTAATCCCAGCACTTTGGGAGGCCGAGGCGGGTGGATCACGAGGTCAGGAGATCGAGACCATCCTGGTTAACACAGTGAAACCCCGTCTCTACTAAAGATACAAAAAATTAGCTGGGCGCCGTAGCGGGCACTTGTAGTCCCGGCTGCACGGGAGGCTGAGGCAGGAGAATGGCGTGAACCCGGGAGGCGGAGTTTGCACTGAGCAGAAATCGCGCCGCTGCACTCCAGCCTGGGGAACAATGGGGAACAAAGCAAGACTCCGTCTCAAAAAAAAAAAAGAAAAAAAAGAAAAAAGAAAAAGAGGAACTTCTTAAAGATGCGGTTGTCTTTCTTATGCTTCCTTTAGCTCTTTTTTACCTCTCCACGGATACAGATTTTTATACCAAATAGCTGGCATTAGCTAAACCAATGTCTAGGAGAACTGATCCTCACGAAGGAAAATCATAATTTATTATTTTTTTAATTCATGGCATTTATTTGTACAAGAAATATATTTCTATTTAAGAGAAAGTAGAAAACAAAGGAGAACAGAAACAACTTTTTTTTTTTTTTTTTTTTGAGACAGAATCTCGCTCTGTCGCCCAGGCTGGAGTGCAGTGGCACGATCTCAGCTCACTGCAAGCTCTGCCTCCCGGGTTCACGCCGTTCTCCTGCCTCAGCCTCCCGAGTAGCTGGGACTACAGGCGCCCGCCACCACGTCCGGCTAATTCTTTTGTATTTTTAGTAGAGACGGGGTTTCACTGTGTTAGCCAGGATGGTCTTGACCTCCTGACCTCGTGATCCGCCCGCCTCAGCCTCCCAAAGTGCTGGGATTGCAGGCGTGAGCCACAGCGCCCGGCCGAAAAAACTTTTTAAAATTTGTTTGGGGATCTCCCATATTTGCCAAAGTAATCCCACAAAAACAATTAACATTTGACTTTGAAAATTAAGACAAAAAATACAATGATGAATATTTTCTTGTAAAAGCAAAGACAGTAAAAATATTCAGATTTAAAATAAGCCTGAGAAAAAGCATGATTTCCTTGAGCTTACCTAAGTAAACTTATTTACAAGTGACTGTATCAATAATTAGCAAAAGTAAAAGTCATTATGAAATCCTCCAAATCTTTCAAAGTAAAGTACTATCTTACATTCAAGCATTGAGTTTGCCCATAAAATTATTTAAGCTCAACCTTTTCCTCAATCTCCAAAACTCTGGCGTGTAACTACACAAACACTTCAATAGGGGACAGAATCTCCTTTTATCATTCATTCTACCAAACATCAACTTCATAAGAATTAGAATCAAGTGTAATAAGAATGAACTATATAGAATCATTGATATAAATTTATAGGTGTTCAGACATAACCTTTAGACATATTTGTCAGTGTACATGTAAACAATACTCAATAACTTCTTTAATAGAGTTCTCCAGAGAAACAGAACCAATTGGATGTGGGTATATAACTCAGTTATATATTTCATCAGCTTCCTTTTTATGTAATAGAAACTAACTACAGCTAATGATGAATTTTTTTCATTCATTCATCATTAAAAGGGGAGAGAGAAATCCAGGCTGGGTTTGTGCCATTTTTCTTCCCTCACAGTTCTCTTCTTGCTGCATGATTCTTCCTTTCAGATATTAACCAGAAGGAATGGTTAGCCTGACTATAGCTCTAGAGGAGCAACACAGGCTCTGGATAATGAGGATGCACAGGCTTTAATCAGTCCTAGCAGGAGGTCTTGGCTTAGACAACTATGTAGTTGATGGTATCCCTATAGGAAAAAAAAATATATATATATATGTTTTTGTGGTAGCAGGACAGAGTCAGTTTCAGACATTTGTTCAACAACTGTTGGTGTTCAACATATATTAGTATTTTGCACTAGGTACTATGTGCTAAAAGTATAGTAAGGAATAAAAATAGGGAAATAAACAAAAACAAAATAAAGAAACAGAGAAAATTCCTATTACCCTTTAGGAAAAACAACATAAAATAAAGTAACAGAATCTAGAAATAGAGAATAACAAGATAGAAGCCTACTATATACCACCATTATCAACCTGTCAAAATAAACATTGTCAGTAATGAGACAAAATGGAATCATGTACCACCTGATAGGATGCAATGAAAAAAACGCAGCATCAATTCTGTGATATTCTTGCCAAAATGCATTGCCTGACTCTAGTCACAAGGAAACCTCAGAAAACCTAAAGGGAGCCATTCAAAAAAGAAGGAAGGGAAAAGGAAAAAGTAAGGGAAAGAGGAGAGGAGAAGGAAGGGGAGGGGGAAGGGAAGGGGAGAGGGAAGAGAAAAAGGAAGGGGAAAGCGAAGGAGAAAGGAAAGGAGAAAAGGAAGGAGAAGCAAAGCAAAGGAAAAAAAGAAGAAAATATGGGCCAGAAATCTTGGTTAAGTTAGGTCTAAAGATCTATTCTTGATACAAGGACATTAAAAAGACATGACAATGAAAGGCAATGCATGATTCTGAACTTGATCCTTTTGCTATGAAACATTATTGGGACTATTGGTGAATTTTTTTTTTTTTTTGAGACGGGGTCTCCGTCTGTCGCCCAGCCTGGAGTGCAGTGGCGCGGTCTGGGCTCACTGCAAGCCTGGCCTCCTGGGTTCACGCCATTCTCCTGCCTCAGCCTCCCGAGTAGCTGGGACTACAGGCACCCACCACCACGCCCGGCTAATTTTTTCCTTTTTTTTTTTTGTATTTTTAGTAGAGACGGGGTTTCACCGTGTTAGCCAGGATGGTCTTGATCGCCTGACCTCGTGACCCATCCGCCTCGGCCTCCCAAAGTGCTGGGATTACAGGCGTGAGCCACCGTGCCCGGCTGACTATTGGTGAAATTTTAATGCGGACTTGATAATTAGATGTAGCAATATATTAATATTAATTTTCTGGTTTTGTTCGTTGTACTGTGCACGTATTGCATTTGGGGGGGCACATATATTACTGTAATAGATTTGTAATATATAGAATTATATATATGTATATACATATATAGACACAATTGTGTTTGTAGAAAATATATATGAAAGCAAGGTTTTTCAACTTTGGCACTATCGCTTCTGACATTTGGGCCACATAATTCTTTGTTGGGGGCATTTCCTGTGAATTGCAGGATGTTTAGCGACTTGGTTTGCCTTTAATAACTAAATGACAGTAGCATCCTCCTCACACCTTTCCCCAGGCTAACAACTAAAAATATCTTGAGATATTATCAGATGTTTCCTGGAGGGCAAAACTCCCCCTGGTTGAGAATCAGTCTACTAAAGTATTTGGAGATGACAGAGCATCAGGTTCGTTTCTATATATTATTAAAGTATCTTTCAAAGTTGAAGGTAAAATTAAGACATTTTCGGAAAAATTAAATGGGCCAATTTGTCACCAGCAAATCTGTACTACAAAACATGCTAGCAGAAGTTTTTTGGCCTGAAGGGAAATAACATCGAATCTAAACTCCAGATTAGAGGAAATGAAAAGCATAGAAATGGTAAGTATATGAGTAACAGGAAATACTTTTTTTTAATCTGTCGATTTTGTTGAAGGGAAACTGACTATTTAAATTTAAAAAGATATCATTTTATTGTGGGGTTTATGATGTGGATAGAAAAACTTATACTAAAAAAAATCACAAAAGACAGAGGGGGAATAAAGGAAATGTTACCGTCATCAGTTTTTGTTGTTGTTGTTTTGGGTTTTTTTAATAGACTTTATTTTTAGGGCAGTTGTAAGTTCACAGCAAAATTGAAAGAAAGATACAAAGATTTCTCATACATCATTGTGTCCACACAGGCACAGCCTGACCCCTTGCTGTCATTCTCCTCTGGAGTGGCACATTACTTACCGCTGATGAACCTGCACTGGCACATCCTTATCACCAAGGTCCATAGTTATATTAGGGTCCACGCTTGCTGTCATACATTCTATGAGTTTAGGCAAATTCATATACCAGTATAGTATCATGCAGAATAGTTTTCTGCCCTGAAAGTCTTCTGTGCATATGAATAGGATAGGTGGAGCACAGATCACTTTTTAGGAAAATGTTGCCTTGTTTTGATTTGACAAAGTAGGCAACACTATCAATCACTGGAGAGAATGTAAAAATAGAACAGATGTCATCAGTTTTTTACATTATATATGAAGTTGTCAAAAATTACCTCGAAGTAAAATTTAGATTAGTTAAGTATAAATTGATGATTATTGTAATACAAATAACTCAATACAAAAAAGCGTTGCAACTAACTCATCTATGCAATTTAAAATGAATACTTAAAATACAATTAAACAAAAATACGAGAAGAGAAACAAGAGATTGTACAGTTTTTAAAAGTGGCAACACATTTCATTTAACATATTTATGAACTAAATTATTCAATTACAAGGTAGAGACTGTCATATTAGACAAAAGAATGAGACCCAACTAATGTTGTCTACCAGAAACATATATTAAACATAAAGACACAGATAGATGAAAAGTAAACCTACAAGAAAAGATAAACCATATACACAGCAAGCATTAGGAAGCTTGTGTGGCTATATTAGCAAAATGCAATGTAGACTGGAAAAGAGGGTGCATTATAAGAGAAAATGGGGGCATTTCATAATTATGAAATAACCAATTCATCGGAGGACAATAATATAAGCAATATTATTGTCCTCCGATGAATTGGTTATTATATTATTGTCCTAATATGACATATATGTCCATAATTATGAAATGCCCCCATTTCATAATTATGAAAGGGACACCAACTTAATAATAAAGCCTCATAATTCATGAAGGAAAAAGCAGAATTGAAGGGAGAAATGGATAAATGACAATAATAATTAAAGATTTTAACATCCCTCTGTTCATCACTGATTGAACAGTAAGACAAACCATTCGTATGGCTATAGAACATTTCAACTTCATTATAAATCACCTTGATCTTATTGACATTTATAAAAACTACATTTCAAATGCTGAATATACGTTGTTTTCTTGTGTATTGAAAGCACCACCAACATAGGCCAAATGCTGAATCAAAGAGTAAGTTTAAATGAATTTAAGCTTTAGATTTTATAGAATATATTCTCTGATCACAATAAAATTTAATTTGAAATCGATGACATAAGAGATTCCTAGGAAACCCCCAAATAGTTGTAAATAACATGAAACACTATTTAACTCATAGTTCATAAAAGAAATCAAAAGATAATTTAGAAAAAATATGAAATAAGGAAAACAGTATATTAAATAAACATCTGCACCTAGATGTTTATTGCAGCACTATTCACAATAGGCAAGATATGGAATCAACCTAAGGGTCCAGCAACAGATGATGGTTAAAGAAAATGTGGTATATAGGCCGGGCACGGTGGCTCACGCCTGCAATCCCAGCACTTTGGAAGGCCAAGATGGGTGGATCACTGGAGGTCAGGAGTTCGAGACTAGCCTGGCCACCATGGTGAAACCCCATCTCTACTACAAATATAAAAATTAGCTGGGCATGGTGGCACGTCCCCAGCTACTCGGGAGGCTGAGGTGGAAGATCACTTGAATCCGAGAGGCAGAGGTTACAGTGAGCCAAGATCACACCATTGCACTCCAGAGCAAGACTCCATCTCAAGAAGGGAAAGGAAGGAGAGGGGAGGGGAGAGGAGGGGAAGGGAGGGGACAGGAGGGGAAAAGGAATAGATACACAATGAAGTACTATTCGGCCATAAAAGCAACGTGCATAGAAATGGAGTGTATTATGTGAGTGAAATGAGCCAAGAAGAGAAAGTTAAACATTACAGCTTCTCACTCATATGTGGAAGCTAAAATATTTTGATCTTATAGAAGTTAAAACAGAGGATGCTAGAGGCTGGAAAGTATAAGAGGGAGGGAGGGATAGGGAGAGATTTGTTAAAAGATTCAAAATTAAAGCTAGATAGGAGGAATAAGTTCTAATGCTCTATACCATTATGGTATGACAATAGTTAACAATAATATATAGCTTCAAATAGTTAGGAAAGGATATTGAATGTTCCCAAAACAAAGAAATGATAAATGTTTGCAATGATGGATATGCTAATTACCATCACCTCATCAGGGTAATTAAATATATACACTATGAGTACTGAAACATCACTATGTACCCATAAATATGCACAATTATTATGTGCCAATTAAAAAAATAAAATAAAACAAAATTATGATAATAAAAGCTTCATATTTGTGGTGTAGAGTTAAATTGAGAGGGTAATTTATTATTTGAAATTCTTCTATTAGAAAAATACATAGGTTTAAAAGTCAATGAAAAAATAAACAAATAAAACGTAATTTGAAAAAATAAAATAACAGGTAATGAAAGAAATAAATGAAATTGAAAGTAAATAAATTCACAAAGTGAAAAGTTCCTTTGAAAAAATCAGTAAAGTTGTTACATACTAGTAAGACTAAGAAAAAAGGACTGATAAAAGAAGAAATATCATTACAGAACCTCTATATTTAAATGATAATAACTATTATGAACAATTCCATACTCAAGAATTTGGCAGCTTAAAGTTCTTTAAAGAGACAAATTACCAAAGCTTATTTAAGAACAAATTCATAATGTGAATTTTTCTGTATCTATATGTATCCATATAGTCTAGGTTTTCTAATTTCTGGCCTATGGTTGCTCATAGTAGCCTCTAATGATCCTTACAATTTCAACAAAGAAATTCAGAAGAAATTGAAAAATTTATTGAAGCAGATAAAAACGGCAACACAACATACCAAAACCTATGGGATACAGCAAACAGCAGTAGTAAGAGGGAAATTTATACCTATAATTTCCAAGATCAAAAAAGTGAAAAACCTCAAATAAATAACCTGATGATACATCTTTTTTTAAGGTCACTATAAATTTTAATCTATGATATAAAATATTACCTACAGATATAATTGAACATCAGGTATCAGAAAATAAAACATAACAATGAAATGCAATTTTGTAAATACTTCTATGGTACAAGCATTATTTTCCTCAGATTCAACCTTTTAATTGTGTTTTGTTTGCTTTCTGAAAATCACACTTTATAAAGAACACAAGTAGAGCTTGTTAAAATGATTGTCACAGATGTACTGTTTACTAATTCAAAAAATACTACATTCATTCGCTCATATCAATTTTATTCATTAATTATGAAGAAGAAAATATAATATTCCATGCTTGTCATGAAATAGCGGTTTCTTCTTCCAGTCTAATCAGGGAACTAATAAATGCTTAGTTCATGGCAAAACTTCCATTTGATTTACATTGACTTAATTACCTCTTAGGGTCTAGCCTCATCAATGGAGAAAAAGCACTTTTTCTTGAGGCAACAGCACATTAACAGCACTGAATACAAAATATGGCAAATTCAATGGCTGTCAGCATTGCTTTAGGAATTTTGAGACTATAAAAAAACTATAACCATGAATAAAAGAAAAGGGCTTATTAATATCTTCTTTTTGGGAGAGTGATACATTCTGAAGGTTTCTTGTTATTCTGTTGAATAGCAAGGACTTCCAAACTTAAGTGTCTTAAGGCTGAAAATTAGTTACATTCCTCAGATTTTAGCCTTATTAATGAAATTCCAAAAGTATTATAAGATTTAGTATGTCTTGAAATTATAAATTTGTAACAGATATTTTTCAAAATACATGCCTTCAAACAACTTAAATGCAAAAATCATTCATTCTTAATAATACCTAGCAGTTCATCCCTTGCTTCCCAGAAGTACTCATACAAACATGTGAATTTAAAAAATAGATTTTTCTGTTCAAAAAATAAAGCTTCTGCCCTTTTAAAAACTTGTCAGGCTTTCATTTGCCAAAATGTTGAAAACTGCACATATTCAAACATAGTTCCCGTAGGAACACATATTCCTCAACTCTCACACCTTTGAAGACACAGGAGACGGGCAATATAAATGTTCCCTTCTTTCCAGCTGATGTTAAATAGTTAGGTTTGCTTCATGAGATTATCGGAATAAAGGGTTAAATTTTCATTTTCCATTACTCTATCTAGTAAAATTAGACTTAAAGTAGGTAGAATACTACCAGAGGAATTACACAGTGATTGGCAAACTGGCCTAAAATAATCAGGCTTTTTATTTATACTTCCCTTTTTAAAGTTGTCATTTGACAACAGCTTCCATCTTTAACAGCAGGCAAAAGAAAATGAGGTGCCATGCTATATTAATTAAAATATTCCACAATGAAAGAAAATACAAAACCTGAAAATAACTTCAGTGCTATAGACATTTAAAAAGTTACAATGGTTAAAACTCTGAATAAAAAGATCTTGAGAACAGGTACATTTCAAAGCAATATTTTACACGCTTTGGAAAAAATAGCTATTTTTCAAATAACTTGATATATGGTTTACATATTTCATGCAGTCTCTGAGGTTTTTTTTCTCTACAATACTGTTTTGCATTAAAGTCTCTCATGTTGTTTACCAGTAATTGTTTCCTTAGGCTGAAATAAAACTTTGCTTGTTCATTAGTTTTCTGTATATCCCATTTGGTTTTGAAAGCAGCTCTTCGTGTTTTCCATATTCAGTAATTTTTCCTTGGTCAAGAACAGCAACCATATTAGCATTCTTAATGGTGGAGAGATGATGGGCAATAACTAACGCTGTTCTTCCATCCATCAGTGGATCTAGAGCTTCTTGAACAAGGTACTCATTTTCAGCATCCAGCGCACTGGTTGCTTCATCTAGGAGAAGAATTTTGGGATTCTTCAGCAGAGCACGGGCAATTGCAATCCGCTGTTTCTGCCCACCTGAGAGGAGAACACCCTTTTCTCCAACCACAGTGTTGAACCCTTGGGGGAAATTCCGGATCAAGACCACTGCATTGGCCACTTCAGCCACTCTCTGGACTTGCTCAGCGGTCACAGAGGAAGGCCATCAGCACCATAAGCAATGTTCTCAGTGATAGAGCAAGAAAACAAAATGGGTTTCCTGTCTCACTGTCCCAATCTTGGATCTCAGCCACACTGGGTTTAGCTGACGGATGTCATGGCCATCAAGACTGATAGTTCCAGAAGCAGGGTCGAACAACCTCAGCAGGAGCGAAAGCACTGTTGATTTGCCAGAACCACCTGGGCCAACCAGTGCCGTGACAGATCCTGACGGAATGGAAAGGCTGAAATCCTGAAATATGGGCGCCTCTGGGCAAGCGGGATCGGCAAAATGCACGTTCTTAAACTCCAAAGCACCCTGGAAGCTTTTCTCATTTAAGATAACCCTTCCCCCTCCTTAAAAGGCAGATTGGGCTCTCTCTCCAGGAGCTCCCAGAGGCGCCCCCCGGCACCCAGTCCTTTCATCAGCTCCGAGTAGAAAAAGCTCAGACCTCCAATGCTTATTCCAACCCCGAAAGCATACATAGGAAGGAAGAGAGTTCACCCATGGTCATGTGGGCACTGCCCATCAGCAGCCCCCCTTTGTACAGGACAGAAAGCACAATCAGGTTTCCGGACAGCCTAGTTCTCCAAAGAAGCCAGCCTGAGCGAATGCCGCTTTCCTTGCTGACTACATCACATGGTCCACTTTGCTGGCCTATTTTTCTATTTCAGTCATTTCTTTCCCAAAAGCTCGAACAGTTCTTAACATTTCCAATACGTTCCTCCTGAGTGGCTTGTGCCAGCGAATCCTGGGTGACTTTGGTCAGTTTCCGTAGATATCGTCCATAAATTACATCAATGATTGACACTAGAGGCACCACACTCACAACAAAGGTGGCCCGATTAGGTGAGACACAAAACATCGTCCTGATGCCTACAGAAGCCCGGGCCCCGGCCCTGAGCCCATCTGAGAGGTTTTCAGTCACTGAGCGCCCCAGGAGTGCAGTGTCCGATGAGAGGCGGTTAATCAATTCCCCTGTGCCAGCCTTGTCAGAGAAAGCAACCTCCTGCCCCAGAATGGAGGAGAATAACGAAGTTCTCAGCCTCTTCACAACGCGCTGACGTGAAGTTTGCATGAGGTAGACACGAATGGCATTGGCGGCAGCACCACACAGAAACACGCCACTGAGGCCAAGGCAGAGGCGGGTCAGGTTGTCGCTGTAGTCCACAGTGGGGTTGGTATAGATGGCATCGATGATCTTCCCCAGGAAGAAAGGGGCAGACATGGAGATAACACCGGACATCGGAGAAATCCAACCGCAGCTGCCAGCCTCTGGCGCTCAGGGAACTCCAGCCCCAGGAGCTTCCCGGCCTCCGAGAGTCCGGGCGCCATGGGTCGTAGCCGCTGGTCGTCCCGGGAAGGCGCCGCCCGCCCGCTCCGCCAGGCCTCCTCCCCTGCCCAGGCAGTGGCGGTGGGACCGCCCGGGAACCCGGCGCGCGGGAGCCGAGGAGCGCCCGGCCGGCAAGAGCCCCGCACCTGCAGCTGCCGGGCCCAAGCCCACAGCCCCGGGAGCCGTCCGAGGCCCGCGTGGCCCCCCGAGCCGCCCAGACCCCCGCCCCGGCAGCAGCTCCTCCAGCGGCGCGCGGCTCCAACGCCCCAGAGCAGCGCCGGCCCCGCGCCCCATAGCCGCGCCAGCCTCGGGGCAGTGAAGGGCGATATGGACTGGGGGCGCGGCTGGCCGGGGCCCACACACAGGCTACCGGCAGGAGCCGCCCTGGCTCTGCGGGGCCCGTGGCGCCGATACATCTTAAAAGAACTAGAAAAGCAAGAATAAACCAGACCCAAAATAAGTATAGAAGAAAGGAAAGAATAAAGATAAGAGCAAAAATTAATGAAATTGAAATGAAAAAATACAAAATATGAACAAAACGAAAAGTTCGTTTTTTAAAAAAGATAAACCAAACCAGTAACCTTTAGCCACACTAAAAAAAAAACAAAAAACCCTAAATAAATAAAATCAAGATGAAAACGGGGACATTTTCATTGATACTGTAGAAATTCTAAGGATCATTAGAGGCTAGTATGAGCAACTATAGACCAATAAATTAGAAAATCTAGAATAAATGGATACTTTCCTAGATACATACAACCTAGCAAGAATGAACCACAAAGAAATCCAAAACCTGAAAAGACCAATAAGTAGTGAGACGGAAACAATTTTCCCAGGAAAAGCCGGGTGCAGTGGCTCACGCGTGTAATCCCAGCACTTTGGGAAGCCGAGGCGGGCGGATCACGAGGTCAGGAGATGGAGACCATCCTGGCTAACACGGTCAAACCCCGTCTCTACTAAAAAAAATACAAAAAAAAAAAAAAAAAATTAGCTGGGCATGGTGGCGGGTGCCTCTAGTCCCAGCTACTCAGGAGGCTGAGGTAGGAGAATGGCGTGAACCTGAGGGGCGGAGCCTGCAGTGAGTCGAGATCAGGCCACTGCACTCCAGCCTGGGCGACAGAGCGAGACGCCCTCTCAAAAAATAAAAAAAAGTTTCCCGGGAAAGAAAAGCCCAAGACCCGACGGCTTTACTCCTGAATTTTACCAAATATTTTTAAAAGTAGCACAAAATGCAGCAGCAGGATTCTCCTGCCCCAGCCTCCTAAGTAGCTGGGGCTACAGGTATGCACCACCACGCCTGACTAATTTAAAACTGTTTTTGTAGAGACAAGATCTCACTATGTTGCCCAGGCTGGTCTCAAACTCCTAGGTAAAATGATCCTCCCACCTCTGCCTCCCAAAGTGTTAAAATTGCAGGCATAAGCCAATTTTTTTTTTTTTTTTTTTTAGTAGAGACGGGTTTGACCGTGTTAGGCAGGATGGCCTCGATCTCCTGACCTTGTGATTTTCAAAGCTGTTCGAGGGCATTTATCAGGCTTTTAACTCTAGGTACTCTTTCCCACAGTGTGAAGGCCAAGAGAAGGGATCCTGGGCTCTCTTCCCTGGCCCCAGGATGGGAATTCAGGGGGAAAAGGTCACCTATTCTCCTATTCTTATCCCACAAAAGAAAACTTATGCATCAGTTGTCAAGCTAAGGAGCTTCAGAGTCCACAAATAGGGAAATTGCTAAGAGCTTATCAGTAGTGTCCACTACCCATCCCCACCTGGGGTCACGTGGAGAATGATGGTGGGGGCGACGATCTTGTCCTACTTCAGGTGAAAAGCAGGGGTGTGGGGGGGTTTCATTGTGAAGGGCTCCTTTGTTAAAATTCCTTCCAATTCCAGGAAAAACATGCACTCGAAAGCCATTATCTCTTTTACTTCTTACTAGGGAACTTCCAGGAAAGAGACGGGGGGGGGGGGGGGGGGGTGGGGGGTGGGGAAGAAGAGGGCAAAACAGCTGAGTGAATGTAGTCACCTCTCCGATTGCTTTTCTTGTTGCAGAATATTTCACATGCCAGGATTTTCCTTCTTGTCCTCCGGACTGTTGATACACCCAACATCTTAATACGCTTTCAATCACAAGTTAAAGACATCCAGAGCCAGATTGCTTGAGCCTAGGAGTTCCAGACCGGCCTGGACAACATGGTGAAACCCAGTCATATATATTTTTTTTTAGGGGGAAATTTGCTCTTGCTGTCCAGGCTGGAGTGCAGTGGCGAGGTCTCAGCTTGCCAGACCTCCGTCTCCGGGGTTTGGGTGGTTCTCCTGCCAAAGCCTCCCGAGTGGCTGGGATTGCGGTGTGAGCCACCATGCCCGACTAATTCCTTAACTGTGCAACTACAAGGTCACTAAACAAATAAACTCAAGTCACAAAACATATTTTTCCTTAAATAGTAAAAAATAATATAATGCATGTTTCAATTAAATAACAATCTTTGTTTCTCGCTTCTATAATATGCTTCTCCCTGCACAGATCTCCCCCTTCGCCCCACATAATGCTTGAAAGGTAACTCTTGGTTCAGTGCTCAATCCTTTAAATGTTAATCCGACTGGGCCGGTGCACCTAAATAATTAATAAATGTCCTCCTAAACCCCATGAGTCTATCTAATTCCTTAAAAATCCCTCTACAGGACTGCAGGTGTGAGCCACTGCACCCCGCCTAATTTATTAATCAGAGAGGAATAGATCGGCCTGGCGTGGTGGCTCACGCTTGTGATCCAGGGACTTTGGATGATGGAGCACCGGGGATCACTTGAGCCTAGGAGATCCAGACTGGCCTGGGCAACATGGTGGAACTCGGTCTCTCTCTTTTTTTTGTTTTTTTGGAGGCAGAGTTTTGCTCTTGTTGCCCAGGCTGGAGTGCAGTGGTGCAGTCTCGGCTCCCTGCCACCTCCACCTCTTGGGTTTGGGTGGTTCTCCTGCCTCAGCCTCCCTAGTGGCTGAGATTGCAGGTGTGAGCCACCATGCCCGGCTAATTTTCTTTTTTTTTTTTTTTTTTGGTACACACAGGGTTTCTCCCTGTTGGTCAGGCTGGTCTCAAACTCAGGACCTCAGGTTATCCGCCTGCCTTGGCTTCCGGGGATGCTGGGATTGCAGGCGTGAGCCAGCGCGCAAGGCCCAATTGATTAATCAGAAAAGAATAAATCAGCCTGGCGTGGTGGTTCACGCTTGTGATCCCAGGACGTCGGACGGCCGAGCGCTGGGGATCACTTGAGCCTAGGAGTTCCACACCGGCTTGGGCAACATGGTGAAACCCGGTCTCTCTTTTTTTTGGCGGGGGGGGTACAGGCAGGGTTTCTCCATATTCATCAGGCTGGTCTCAAACTCCCGACCTCAGGTTATCTGCCCACCTCCTCGGCCTCTGGGGATGCTGGGATTGCAGGCGTGAGCCAGCGCGCCCGGTCCAGTTTATTAATCATAAAGGACTAGATCGGCCTGGCATGGTGGCTCACGCTTGTGATCCCAGGAATTTGGACAGCGCGGCGGATCACTTGAGCCTAGGAGTTCCAGACCTGCCTGGGTAACATGGTGAAACCTGGTCACTTTTTGTTTGTTTTGAGGCGGAGATTCGCTCTTGTTGCCCAGCCTGGAGTGCAGTGGTGAGGTCTTGGCTCAACGGGCCTCCGCCTCCAGGGTTTGGGTGGTTCTCCTGCCACAGCCTCCCGAGTGGCTGGGATTGCACGCGTGAGCCACCATGCCCAGCTCATTTTGTTTTTTGTTTGTTTTTGTTTTTATTGTTGGAGATGGGGTTTCTCCATGTTCATAAGGCTGGTCTCAAACTTCCCACCTCAGGTTATCCGCCCGCCTCGGCGTCCGGAGGTGCTGGGATTGCAAGCGTGAGCCAGCGCGCAAGGCCTAATCTATAAATCAGAAAGGAATAGGGCCGGGGATCCCTTGAGCCTAGGAATTCCAGACAGGCCGGGGCAACACGGTGAAACCCGCTCTCTCTTTTTTTTTTTTTTTTTTTTTTTTTTTTGCGGCAGTTTCACTCTTGTTGCCCGGTTGGAGTGCAGTGGCGCGGTCTCAGCTCCCCGCGGCCTCCGCTTCCCGGATTTGGGTGGTTCTCCTGCCTCAGCTTACCAAGTGGCTGAGATTGCAGGCATGAGCCAACATGCCCGGCTCTTTTTGTATTTTTTTTTTTTTTTTTTTTGGTATAGACGGGGTTTCTCCCTTCGTCAGGGTAGTCTCAAACTCCTGACCTCAGATTACCCGTCTGCTTCGACCTCCCGGGGTGGTGGGATTGCAGGCGTGAGCCACCATGCCCAGCTTATTTTTTTTTCTTTTTTGGTAGAGACGGGTTTCTCCATGTTGGTCAGGCTGGTCTCAAACTCCCGACCTCAGGTGATCCGCCCGCCTCGGCCTCCCAGGGTGGTGGGGTTGCAGGAGGGAGCCACCGCGCCGGGCGCAATTTATTAATGAGAAAGGAACAGATGGGCCTGGCGTGGCGGCTCATGCTTGTGATCCCAGGACTTCCGATGGCCGAGCGCGGCGGATCGCTTGAGCCTAGGAGTTACACGCCGGCCTGGGCAACATGGTGAAACTCAGTCTCTCTCTCTCTCTCTCTTTTTTTTTTTTTGAGAGGGAGTTTCACTCTTGTTGCCCAGGCTGGAGTGCAGTGGCAGGGTCTCAGCTCCCCGCAGCCTCAGCCTCCCGGGTTTGGGTGGTTCTCCTGGCTCAGCCTCCCGAGTGGCTGGGATTGCAAGCGTGAGCCACCATGCCCTGCTAATTTTTTTTTTTTTTTTTTTTTTTTTTTTGGTAGAGATGGGGTTTCTCCATGTTACTCAGGCTGGCCTCAATCTGACCTCAGGTTATCCGCCCGCCTCAGCCTCCCGGGGTGCTGGGATCGCAGGCGTGAACCACCGCAACCGGCCCAATTTTTAATCAGACAGGAATAGATCGGCCTGGCGTCATGGCTCACGCTTGTGATCCTAGGATTTTGGACGGCTGAGTGTGGCAAATCGCTTGAGCCTAGGAGATCCAGACCCGCTTGGGCAACATGGTGAAACCTGTTTTTTTTTTTTCTGAGACGGAGTTTCCCTCTTGTTGCCCAGGCTGGAGTGCAGTGGCGCGGTCTCGGCTCGCCGGGCCTCCGCCTCCCGGGTTTGGGTGATTCTCCTGCTTCAGCCTCCTGAGTGGCTGGGATCAAGGGCGTGAGCCACCAAGCCTGGCTACTTTTATTTATTTATTTATTTATTTATTTATTTATTTATTTATTTATTTATTTAGGTTGAGATGGGGTTTCTCCATGTTGGTCGGGCTGGTCTCCTGCTCCTCACCTGGGGAGATCCGCCGGCCTCGGCCTCCAGGGGTGGTGCGATTGCAGGCGTGAGTCACTGTGCCTGGCCGGAAACCCAGTCCCTTAACGGAAAAACAAAACAAAAACCACAAAGATTAGCCAGACCTGGTGGGCCCCCCTGGGTACTCCCAGCTACCCTGAAGGCTGATGCAGGAGGATTGCTTGAGCCCGGGGTGGAGGTGGCAGTGAGCCATGATGGCGCTGCTGCAGTCCAGACTGGGTGACAGAGCAGGACTGTGTCTCAGGAAAAGGGAAAGGAAAAAAAGAATAATAAAGAAAAAGAAGTATATAAAATTGCTAAATCCAGGAACAGCTTCACAGTATATTGAGAGAAATAGAGGCAAAGGTTAGCAGACACCAATGTTCACTTAGTGGAACTGCAGTTGTCCCCAGACAGGAGGCTGCTACTTTTACAAAAGAAATCTATTATTGACAAAAAAAAAAAAAAGGTGGTTTGTTACAATACACAAATAGCTAAACTTTATATAGCCACGACCCTCTTCTAGCACTGCTCTAAGCCTTTTCCTGCTCTGGAATAGCTACTATTGTTACCTCCATTGTAGAGAAAACAGATGGGGGAGGTTGTTGTGGAAGGACCAGGGAAACTGACTATGAAATTGACTTGTAAGTTGAGGACTTAAAGGTTCTTCCTGCTTTGCTCCTTACATTGCCACATTTTAGTTAACATACCTCTTAAAATACTGGTCCTTTCTGTATTTGGAGGGACTCCTCTTGCAGTTTGAAGTTTTTTCTTACACTAAGCATCTGGTTAGAAGATCATCTCCATTTTATGTCAGTTTAAGTTTAGACATTGTTCAGTAAGGAATGTAAATATGAGCAAACAGTTATCTGATTGAAATAGATAAACTAGAAAAAAAATCACCTATGAGAAAGTCAACAAAATGTCAACTCTGGATTTGTGGCTATTTTCAGAATATTAATTTTTTGATATTTAATGGCATTGTGAATATATTTATTTTTAAGAATTCCTTGTCTTCTACAGATACATATAAGGTAATTAAAAATGATAGGATGTATAGGTTTTACTTCAAAATCATTCAGAGGAAGAAGGAATGTATATAAATGAAGTGGGAATATAAATGAAACAAAACTGGCTGTGGCCAGGTGTGGTGGCTCACGCCTGTAGTCTCAGCACTTTGGGAGACCGAGGCAGGTGGATCACCTGAGGTCAGGAGTTCAAGACCAGCCTGGCCAACGTGGTGAAACACCATCTCTACTAAAAATACAACAATTAGCCGGATGTGGTGCCGGGTGCCTGTAATCCCAGCTACTCGGGAAGCTGAGGCAGGAGAATCGCTTGAACCTGGGAGGTGGAAGTTGCAGTGAGCCAAGATCATGCCACTGCACTCCAGCCTGGGCAACCACAGCAAAATCCCACCTTTAAAAACAAACAAACAAACAAAAAACAACCAAAAAAAAAAAAAACTGTCCATACCATGAATGAAAAATTGTTGATGATGTGTATATGTAGGGCAATTATATCATTTATTATATATAATATATATATTATTTTTCTCAACTTTTTTTTACATCTGAAACTTTCTATTGAACACATGGACATGTCCCTTGATAACTGGGGCTGCTTCCCCATTATTCTCTCAGCAGCCCTTCTGATTTTCACTCCATCTTCATTCTTAGAGATTCTGGATTTTATTTTTTTTTTGGGGAAGTTCAAGTATGTCTTTGCAAGGATTATCCAGCATGTCTACCTACTCAATCATATTATCAGAAACAGAAAAAGTGTCCAGATTCTTGTCTTGTCCTGTTCAGATTTTTTAAATTCCAAGAACAGTCACCTTCTACCAGACACTCTGATGTTGGAAGACAAAGCATATTTGGTAAGTGGCATGATTTCTGGGCTCCGATTTAGAACAGTCACAGCTTTCAACAATCCAAAAATAGCTGACTGTGACTCACCATATTTAGAAAGATGGAGATTATTAAAAAAAGAAAACCTTAATTTATTATGTGACCGCTAAGTGTCTCGGCTGAAAATTGTAAAGATAGAAAGGTAAATCAAAAGATACAGAGACTGTAATCATGCACTTAATAAAGCGCTAAATCAAAATATATTTGGCATATGTGAAAGAGTTTAATTTTATCCCATTTTCTACTGGCACTATAGGTATTTGTAAGTACATATAAAACTACAGTGTTACATATAAACTACCAAAAAGGAACTTAAGAAACGAGACTAATCTAGCAACTTTATTTAAAAGTTTATCTTAAGGGAATAATTAAGGATGTCCATACAAAAGGATTTAGCCATGACACGAGAATGTTCTTCCTGGCAAATCAATGGAAATTATTAAATGTGCAAAAGGGAACTGTTGGAATAAATTCTAATGCCTTCATATGATCGTATGTCGTAACCTTTTAAAATGATATTAAAGAGTTGCATACATTGACTTAAACAGATATTCATAACACATCACTGAATAGGAGAAATACGGGCCAGCAAAGAACATAGAGTTGGTCCAATTTCTACAAAAAAAAGAAGACTAATAGCATGACAGCAGGGAAGGGGGAATATGTCAATGTATGTGCGTATATATATGTATGCATAGCAAGTATGAACTTGAAAGGATATATATCAAATTGTTTACACAGATTACCTCAGAGAGGTAAATAACTGGCCTTTGGTGTTCTGTGTTCCATAGATTCTGAATTTTCTTTTTTTATTTAAATAGAGATGGGATCTTAGCCAGGAGCAGTGGCTCACACCTGTAATCCCAGCACTTTGGGAGGCTGAGGAGGGCGGATTGCTTAAGGCCAGGAGTTCAAGACCAATCTGGCCAACATGGCAAAACTCTGTCTCTACTAAAAATCCAAAAATTAGCCAGGCGCAGTGGCTTATGCCTATAACCCCAGGTACTCGGGAGGCTGAGGCATAAGAATTGCTTGAACCAGGAGGTGGAGGTTGCAGTGAGCAGAGATTGCACCACTGCACTCCAGCTTAGGCAACAGACCGAGACTCTGTCAAAAAATAAAAACAAAACAAAACACCACCACCAACAACAAAACAGTAATAAAGAGAAAATCTTATGGACAGGAGCAATGTCTCATGCCTGTAACCCCAGTGCTTTGGGAGGCCAAGATGGGAGAATCGCTTGAGCCCAGGAGTTCAAGACCAGCATGGGCAACATAGCAAGACCTTTTCTCTACAAAAAATTTAAAAATTAGCCAGGCATAGTAGTGCATGCTTATACTCCCAGCTACCTGGGAGGCTGAGGTGGGAGGATCACTTGAGCATGAGAGTTGGAGGTTGCAGTGAACTGTGATCACACCACTGGGAAGCCATGACCCCATCCCTGCCTTCTTCCTCTGTCCTATGCTAGCAATAAGTAAGTTTCCCAGCCACAAATAATTATTAGAACCTCCTCCCCATGTGCCACCTCCGACCACCGCTAGGTATGATACAGGGGTGGCCCTACCCTCTGGAATATACAAAACCTTACACAGACACAATATATACACCGGGGAAGGGGGGCCACCCCAGCAGCCCATGCCTTCGCCTGGTCCACAGTTAGCCCCACTGTCCTGCCTCAGCTACCTCTCTGAATAAGAAGATTGGAGCCCCCACTGAGGGAAAAGTTGCTGTGGTGAGAGTAAGGAGGCCATGAGGCCTCCTCCAAACAAACCAACTCCACCAGCCTCTGGCTCTTAAATAACAATATCATCCAGAAATTTAAGGACTCAGCTCTGGTCAAGGTGGCAAAGGGTCTGTTTGTCTTTCCTCGTTAGACAGTGGTCTTGTCTTGCTACCCTAATTGTAAAGGGGTGACTGGGAAGGGGAGATAGGGACAGTGTGGTGGTGGAGAGACCCCAGCCCCACTTCTCCAGGCTTTGCTGACAGGGGCCTGCTTTTAATTTTAATTTTTATTTTTATCCCATGCCTTTTTTTTTAAATCCCATAACTTCTTTTTCATAACTTTTTTTGGTAACTTTTCATAAAACTTTCTTCTACTTTTTGGTCACAAGATTTTTTTGCCACAACTTTTTTACATTTTTTATCCCATAACTTTTTCACCCCATAACTTTTGTTAATCCCATAACTTTTTTATTTTGTGTTCTTTTAATAAACCCTTGCATAGTTATATTACAATTTTGTAAAAATGAAACATTATCTCATGCCAAGCATGCTCAGCATTTGCACAGTATCAATACCTTTAATACTATATTTTTCAAGACACACAGAATAAAATTTTAAGGCAAAAACAGCACTTTGCAACAACTTAATAATTTATTACATTACAGTAGCATCACACCAGCAGTCAATAATGCCACTTTAGGCAAAAGTCTTTCAGTATTTCCGTTTTACATTCCGCTTACAAGAATTCATAAATTGGTAAAATTCATTCCAAGAAAACTTGGCAAATAAAGCTTTGGACTGGAATTGGCATTTCTTTCTCTACTTTTCCTTCCCACCATTTATTTCCTTTACAGTATTCATATTTTAAAATGTTTTAACTTATTTCAGAACATTAAGATAGCAGTTACATTGTTTAATAGTTATTTTAAAATGACTCAGATAAAGTTTTAGAGAAACTATAGTATGGATAGGGCTGATTTACATTTTCAAATTTTCTAAAAATCAGCTTTGGTTTTAGAGCTGATTTTTGTTCATTTCTGGAAAACCTATCAGATTTAATCCAATACTTTAAAAATGATTATTATATATTGCACTCTTTAAATCGGTGATTTGATTCTTCCTACAGAAATTCAAATTTATTGAATTGAACTCACATTTTAGAATTCTGTTTCTGATGAACTCTAACCTTCCAATGTTGCCTTCTAAGCAAATTGAAAGCTGCCTTATACCGAATGAGGAAGAATACCAATACTTGGCTGAATGAGGTATCGCAAAAGACTGCATGCACTTTGAAGAAAGACTTAAGTTATAGTCATGCGATTTCCATTCTTTTTAGCTTTTTCTTAAATATACGACAAATATCTACACAAAGAGTGGTATTTCTGTTAATATAGTCAATTTATTTTCCAGATTGACATTCAGCTTAAATATGCCAGTATGTGATTTAATCCATAGGCACCTGATGAACACATTATTGTCAGATTGGTTGCAGATGCTCGTAGTTGTCTTTAAACTGAACTCAAAGAATGCAAAAACATCAAGTTCAGAAAATAAAAGGCAAGGACAGGACTTTAAGTGCATTTTAAACCCACGGGCTAGAAATCGTACCACTGTTAACTAGCCGCATTATTTGGTCTAACATTTTTTCTTTATCATTCTGAAACTGGGTTTATCTAATACATTGATACATTCATACAATTTGGAAGAGTCCGTTGAAGTCACAAGGACCCGATATTTGCACTCTTTCAGTGATTGCCGGCAAATCTGTTATTCCATCGGCAAAATCGTACTGCTGCTCTCCTGTTAATGTCGTATTTATAAAAGTATCATGAGGATGCCAACTGCTAAAAATGGAGATGGTCTAGTAACTAGAAATCCCCACCCCAGGGAGCACACATACATATCTCCCTACATCCTAATAATGTGATGTGTTTTGGAACACAGACATTAGAACTTCATGAAGTTTTAACTGTTGAGTCTTTCCCAAGCATCATCAAGTTATGATTTAGGCAATGTACAACTGAAATTCATTCATTCATCATGCATAGGCACAATCACATAAATACTGCACAAAATATGCCCGTAAGTGAAACCCAGAGGTACAGAAACACATTTCACTCTTCACAAAGAAGTTTGTGAGGAAATATAACTCTGTGATTGTATAGACATGTTTCCTGATAATACACTGACATTCACCAACAGTAGATTGCACTGCAGTTTGTACACATTTTAAGTTGCATAAACTTCTCCTTGATTTTCAAAGATAGTATAATACTGTCTACTAAAACTCCTTTTTGTTTCAACTAAGCACTCTCACATATATTAGTTTATAACAATGTTTATTATTATTTCAAAGTGTTTTCCATTCAAGGAAAAGAAGTCAATTCCTATGTCAAAGTAACCAAGGTGGTTGAAGAATAGGCAGAGTGGTCTAGATGGTAAAATCAATCTTCAAGCCTCAAAGAAGCTCCATGAACAGAGGAATGCCAGGTGTCACACAGCTTTCCTTCACTCTAATTCATTCTTGACTAGAGCCTGTGTGCGTGTTCCAGGGACATTTAAACTCTTAAAGGATTTCTTCTGATCTTTACTAAATACATTAAGAAGAATGCCAACCAGTGCCCTTTTGTGTACTGGGACATGCAGTCATGTGATTAAAACAGGTAACATGAACTCTGACTTTAAAATATAGATACAAATGCTCTAAGCTAGGAAAGGTTTTCCACATCCATAGTCAATGATGGGAACCTTTCATTCCTCAGAAATAAGCCCTTTTTAGGTCATCAAAAAAGAGTACAACTGCTGCAGCTCATGATGCAATATCTTCATGAGCCCAGAGCACATACAAATCCTAAAGGAACTACAATAGTACAGCACTAATTCTTGGCAACAGAACAAATGAAACACACTCTATCTTGCACATACCTGCCAGAGCAGGCAACTTTCCTCTTCTGTGAAATTTAAAAAGCTCCCCCAAAATGTTATTACTCCCATCACCAATACACAGAAAATGAGGGAAAGGCTGTTTCCAGTTCTCGGCCTTTAAACAACTCTAAATGTCAGTACTCTTGGTGGCATATTACAAAGTATTAAATAGTGCACACTTGGGGCAAACCACATATTGTGCTAATGAAGAGCTCACTGTGATTAAGATTAGATCAAACAATAGCAGAACATAGGCAAATTTTATCTGAATTCTGTAATGAATATACATGCTGCAATAACATTAAAAACACATGGCAGCCTATTCCAAACCAGCAAGAATAGTTTTGTGCAAATAGTGGGTCTTTGTGTGTTTGAACCCCACCACGTAAGGGCAAACTCAATATGCATGCTAATGACCTACAATCATGAAATTGAAAAAGAAAATTGCGAAAGTATGCCAGAGTGAACATCAGTGAAAGCCACAGAGACCCACTCTCTTTTAACTATTTACAAATAAACTTAAACTATAAATTAGAAACACAAATAATCATAAGTGGCTATAACATTCAAACGAAGTAAATGAATTGTGTAGGAGATTAACCCCATAACTTTGTTTCTTTTTTAAAAATTTCTTGAGCAGCTCTTTGACGATGGTGATGTTTATCTCCTTCTTCTTGGCAGCCAAGCCCAGCAAAAGAATGGCACACAGCAGTTGCTGCCCAAGCCTGGGTGCTCCTGGTGGTCCTGCACGATCGGCTGTGCAGTAGGGTTGTCGTGGGGAGAACCCTCCCTGGCCTCTACTTGCACAGGCTCCACGCTGTCAGTGAGGCTCACCTCACAAAGATCTTTGGAGAGAGGGAGGTGGGGATCTGAGCTCAGTGAGAGCCCCCCTGCTCCTGCCTGCCCACCCCGCCTGAGGGCTCTACTCACCACCATGCTTGTGGGCAGCCCCAAGCTCCTGGGGGGCTGGGGCTCCTGGACTGGGCTCATGAGCAGGGTTCTGGGCAGTCACCAAGAATTTGCTGTGTCCCTTGTAGTCGCCACCAGCTGCAACACCATCTCCTGCAGCTCCAGCAGCTTCACCTGGAGGGAGGGGTGCTCAGCTGTCACGCTGCTGCCAGCGCTCACCGTCACAGCCACCCCCACCCCCGCAGAGATGTTGCACACTCTACCTTCATCTCCTCCCTGTCCAGGGCCAGCCTGATGGTGTCCTCCTCCCGGTGCTGCATCTTTGGCACTGCCCCCTGGCTTTGTTATAGGGTGATAAACTTTCCTGCGGGAGGACAGGGCTCAGACGCTGGGGCCCCTCCAACAGCCCTGCAGCTCCCCCTGCCATGCCCTGGCCTCCCACTCACTGATGGCATCCCTCTCTGTAGTACTGGAAGAATCCAAGTTCTTCTTTCTCCACCAGCTCACTCAGGTCTGCCTTCTCCTCCAGGTGGTCCATAAAGCCGCTCTGGAGCCAAAATAATGGGGTCACATCTCGCCAGCGACCTGCCCTCAGGTGGCATTTTCAAGTCATGGAGAAGGCGGAGGTGAGTTCCGGCATGGGCCAGCTTCTCCATGACTTCCTGCAGGGCCCGGTGGGTCTCCCCACTCACAGACTCGCCCCCAGGCCCTGGGGCTGGGACCGCTGCCTCTGGCTCCTTCTGGGCCGAGGCCACTGGGTGAGCCAGGCGCTGGCAGCACACCCTCTGCTCTTTCACCTGCTCTTGTAACTGTGCCTGCTTCTCCTGGGCACTAGCTCCAGCGGACTTGAAAAATGCCACCTGAGGGCAAGATGTGAGCATTCTTCTAGGGGCATACACAGAAGAAATGGGGCAGAGAGGTGGAGCGCAGCCCCTTCCCTTGGGGCCCCAGAGACTGCACATGTTGGTCACAGGTGAAATGGTGTCTGACCACTGGCTCTCGGAAGGGGTGAGGGTCCAGAGAAATCAGAAGGCAGGGAAACGAAGAGCATAAAGGGGTCTTGGAGGGACCACAGAGAAAGGTGGCAAAATGGGTGCAGGGGGAGTCAGGCTCACCATGGCCTCCCTGCTCTCCAGGTCCTCTGGGACACTCGGCATGGGCCGAGGTGCCTCCTCCCCCTCACTGTCCAGATGTTCTCCTCCGTGTCCTGTGGGGGGTGGCCAGAGGGGTCTTCAGACAACTCAACAAGGGAAGTATTGTGGGCCCACCTCTGCCTCCACCCTCATTGTGTAACCCTGAGCCAGGCCCTCCCCAGAGAGGAATGAGCTGCTGTTATTTATTTTTACTTTGAAGAACCAAGATCTTGCTATACTGCCCAGGCATATTCCCACTACTGGTCGATGTGGGAGTTCTGACCTGCTCCCTTTCTGACCTCGGCCAGTTCAGCCATCCTTAGGCAACTTGGTGGCCCCCCGCTCACAGGAGGTCACCATATTGATGCTGAACTTAGTGCAGGCACCCGGTTAGTATAATGACCAGCTGTTCTAAAGGTCTCTTCCAACTCCTCAATCCTATGCTGCTAGCAGTCCCCCCTTCCTCCTGGGGCTCTCTCCTCTTCCTCTGAGCGGTCTCCCGTACCTTCCCCAGGGAGAGCCATGAGGCTCAACTGGGCCGTTAGCTGCTGTTTCTGCTGGCTGGCAGCTTCCAGACGCTCCTAAGGGGCCAGGAAAGAGTGAGAAGGCACAGAGTTTGCCAGCTCGTCCCCCTCACGGCCCCATCCTCGGCAGCTCCCTCCCCTGGGCCTCCTGCAACTTTTGGCAGGCCATCTCGGCCACCGCTTTGCCCCAAGCTTCCTGCTGCTGCAGCTGGTTCATTAGCTGGGTCTGCTGCAGTCACTGCCTGTACAGCGCCTCCTTCTCACAGGTCAGCTGCTGATAGGTGGCCACCTGCTGCTGATAGGTGGCCACGTACTGCTGCAGGTGACCCAGGTAATGGTCTGGCTGCTGCTGCAGACTCTGAGCCTCTTGGCTCTTCAGCTCCACCTGCAGGAAGACCCTGGGTGTGAGGGGACGTGGTGGCTGGTTTGCAGATTCTGGGCCCATTAATAGGGTAGCGAGGGCACTGTGGGGCTCTGTCGCCTGCCCAGGCCCCTGGCCCCTTACTCCAGGCCTAAGTGACTGCCTCCCTTTCCTAGAACCCCATGCCTCCTTCCCCAGCCTCAAATCTCATGTCCTCTTCCCACCATTTCAACTGTAGGCCACAGAATGGTAGAAAAGTAGTGGGAGCCAACCACCATCTGCTAAATGTGCTACAGGCCTAATGCTTCCCATGTATTATCTCATTTAATCCTCAGCACCTCTGTAAGGAAAATGCTAACTTCCTTTTGAAGTTAAAGAAACAGAGACTTAGAGATGTGAAGTACTTGAATGGTGACCAGTGGAACTGAGGCTGGAATCCAGTTTTAATCTAAGGAGTCTTTTTGTTTTGTTTTGAGACAGAGTGTCACTCTGTGGCCCAGGCCGGAGTGCAGTGGTGCAATCTCAGCTCACTGCAACCTCCACCTCCTGGGCTCAAGCAATTCTCGTGCCTCAGCCTCCTGAGTAGGTGGGATTACAGGCATGCGCCACCACCATGCCCCACTAATTTTTCTTTCTTTTTTTGTTTTTTGTTTTTGTAATTTTAGTAGAGATGAGGTTTTACCATGTTGGCCAGGCTGATCTCAAACTCCAAACCTCAAGTGATTCTCCTGCCTCAGCCTCCCAAAGTGTTGGCACTATAGGCGTAAGCCACCGCGTCTGGCATAAGAAGACTGTTATACCACTCTGTCTCTTCCCCTGTGATTGGGGGTGCTCCATGTCTCTAGCTGGAATGATGATGTCCAGACCTGGGAGGAGCCCAGGGCTACCCACCTCTAAAATCAGAGGGCAGGAAGCAAGAAACAGCCACAGGACTGCCCTGGAGGGTGCTGGGGTCACCTGCCCCTGGGCTGGAGCTGCCTCTGGCCTGGCACCTCCCCTCCCCAGAGGCTGGTGCCCACCTCCCAGACCTTCTTGGATGGGGTGGAGGTTACCGTCTCCTTCACCTTGCCTAGCTTCTCCTGCAGCTCCTTTACTTGCTGCTCCAACTGTAGTACGCTCTTGTTCTCATTGTTCTGGACAGAGAGAAGCAATCAGCAGCCACCCACTGCAGCTGGAGACCCCAGAACTTGGTGACTGCCTCCCATGGCACCGGGAAGGGTGGAGGCAGGTTAGAAAAATCATCCCCTGTCTCCCACAGCCACCAGAGCAGGGCTCTGGCTCACAGGTGCCTTTAGGAGTAACATTTCACTTGAGGGCTACACTGCCCCATTTTATAGGTGGGGAAACAAAGGCCTGGAGGGCTAGGGAGGAGGGCAGGCTCCCCAGCTGGGGCAACGCACCAGCTCCTTGAAGCTGTTCTGTGGCTCGGCCAGCTGCTGAAGCCTCTCCTCCTGCTCTGGAAGCCTCTCCTGCTGCTCCTGAAGCCTCTCCTCCTGCTCCCGAAGCCTCTCCTTTTGCCCCTCATTCAGGAGACTTATGCGCTGATTGTACTCCACCTGGGCCTGGAGCTCTCCTGCCACTCTCTCTAGTTCCTTCCTCAGGTGCTGCAGCTCCACCTCAGAGGGCACTGCTGGGGGCTCCGGGGGCAGAGGTTCAGCTGAGAAAGGAAGCAGACAATAAGAGCCTCTGGATTCCAAAAAAAAAAAAAAAAAAAAGAAAAGAAAAGAAAAAACCCTCCTCTTGGCGCACAGCTCCTCTCCGGCTCCTCAAACTTAGCCTCACTGCTAATGATTCCTCGCACCCAGATGGGTAGCCAGTCTTCCAAAGCACTTTCAGAGAAAGAGCACTGCGGGTGGCTGACAACGGGCCCTCTTTGCTGATGGGGACACTGAGGCTCATTGAGATGACAAGACTTGCCGTCTCCTGGCACAGACCTCTTTCCCTCTGCCTCAAAGCCCTTCCATCCACCCACCTCGCTGGGGCACTCCAAGCCACCCTCACAGCCCTCTGATGCCAGTCCTGCTGCCAGGTCACGCCAGCCCCATCTTACCCATCTGGTTTTTGAGTTTGGACAAGCTCCTCTCCAGCTTCTCTACCCGATATTTATCATGCTTCTTCTCCTTCTTCAACGAGCAAACCTGCCCAAAGCACAGGGGGAAAGGGCCCTGGAGAGAGGGGCTGGAGGCTGGACATGCTACCATCTCTCTCTCTGCCCCCACCTCCACAAAGCCCAGACCCATGACCACCTCTGGCTGTACTATTCCCATTTTACAGGTGCCCAGAAAGATCCAGTGACCTATCTAATGTGGGGGGGCTGAAGGGTCAGATCTCACCTCCTGCGACATTTTTCTCATCCTCTGCTGCCACCGGGCCCTCTCTCCTTTTAGATGTTCAGCATATTCATCCCTCTCTAGCTGGACTTCTTTAAGTGACTCCTTCAACTGCAAGAATGGGCACAGAAATTAGGAAGGGCTGTCACTGGTCCTCACCTGCTCCTGGTTACCTGGGGTCATCTTCCTTCCACATCCCTCCCTCTGAACACCTCACCTGTGTCAGCTGCGCTTTCAGCAGTGCCTGCTCCCGCATGGACTGCTCTAACTTCCACTCCATACGTGCTTTACTGCGGCTGGAGAACTGCTGAAGAGTGAGAAGTTTCAATCTGGGGAGGCCGGGCCATTCCACACAGTGCCCCTTAAAAGGGCCAGGGCTAGGCCCAATATACAACTCGGTCAGTAAAGATCAAGGCATTTCCAAGCCCGTGGTTTGGTTTTTAAAGAACTCAGTAAAGTTGGAAGGGACAGGGAAAGAGATCGAATTTATAGCTGGCTAACAGAGGCCCAGAGAGATCAGATAATATTGCTATTGTTATTACTGTTATTATTACCACTGTTTGAACTTTTATGGAGTGCTTCACCAGATACCATGCTAGCAATCCCATTTAATCCTCGCAACCACCATGGGAGACAGTTACTATGATGACCTCTATTGTGTAGATGAAAAAACATGGAGTATTTGAGGTTAAGTGCTTGCCTAAGATCACTTAGGCAGAGCTGGGATTTAAACACCCAGATCTATCCAATTCTCTAAGCCCATTTTTCTTGCTGGGGGTGGGGGCACAGCTAGGAAGGGGAAAATTAATCTTTTGTTCACTTTTTGAAAGGATAATACATTCACATAGTCCCAGACTCAGAAGGTACAGAAGGGAAGTATCTCCCAGCCACCCTGTTGCTCTCTCCTGAGTTTTTATGAACACTTGCAAACATATTTTATGTATATTATCATAATATGTACACACACACACACGTTTCCTCTCTCTACAGAAATGGTAACATACTAAAGGTACTCTTCTGTACCTTCACAGTACAAGTACCCAATACCCACTGAGGACTTGGCCAAGACCACAGCCAGGTAAAGGCATGGCAGGCACTTGGCCTCCAAGCTCTACGTCCTGTGCTCTCTCCCCAGAGTGCCCCCCAACTCACCCACAGCAGCTGACTCAGTCCCAAGCTGCCGCTAACAACCATACAAAAAAGCAGTGAGAAATGGCCATGCTGCCTTCTGGGCAGGACACTCCATCCTGCAGAAGGGACCTTTAGGCTCACTCCTCTGTCTGCGAAGCCAGGCTCCCAGGGGACGGGGCAGGTGGTTGGACTCACCCTCTCCGCCTTCTTCTTCTGTGTGGCGGTGACAGCAGAGAGAGCCCGCTCTAACTCTCCTTTACGCTGCAATGAATGTTGCAGACGGACGGCCAGATCCTTGGACTCTTCTGTAATGAGAGAGTTGAGATGGGGCCCAAAGGACTCCCCCTGAAGACCTGTCAAAGTTCCAGGTTGAAGGATGACAGGGTACCCAGATTCCCACCTTCAAAGTATCTGAGAGAACGTTTCGTGTGGTACAGGTCCGTATTTAGTTTCCCTTTCTGTATGTTCAATCTCTGGATTTGAACCTTTGGGAGAAAAGCCAAGCAAGTGCTGAAAGAGAAGGAAAGAAACATTCTCCGGAGGACAGGAGGAAACTGCACACCGTCCACTCACCTCTAGCTCCCTTTCGGCTTTCTGTTTCTCGTTGTTTGCTTTCTTTTCCTGTAGGAAGAGGAAGACAGAGATCTAACCAGGCGGAGGCAGAGATGGTACTGCAAGAGACATGTCCCCAGAATGCCACCACTGCCCCTGCCCCGGGACAGGCCCACCCATGGGACCGGGTTATCAGAGACCCTGTGGGGGATGGGGTGGACTCTGGGGGGTGAGCCTTCTTCCCCAGGCTGGGAGTGGGTGAGACGAGACTCGGGGCCTCTACATCTGAGTGTCCCCCAAACCGAGCAGTCATGTCGCGAGCAAACAAAGAAATCATGTTACTTCTTCCAGCTGATGTTCCACTTGTTTCTTCTGTTGTTTCTGTGGGGAGAGTCACATTAAGGTGATGGAGGGTGGCCCCCTCAACTCTATTCCCCAGAGCAGGAAGTGGTAGGCAGGGACCAGGAATGG
The DNA here is from genome assembly GCF_000001405.40 of Homo sapiens. Classification (NCBI taxonomy): domain Eukaryota; kingdom Metazoa; phylum Chordata; class Mammalia; order Primates; family Hominidae; genus Homo; species Homo sapiens. The sequence goes on from NW_021160017.1 coordinate 4,193,356, forward strand.
ATTTTAAAGGCAAAGTTCTCAGACCCAGTGGGAACTCGAACTGGTAAACTCTCCTCAAGCTCCCAAGGACAGAGGATTTGGGTCTTTGTTGGCTTTTGCCCACAGCCACAGAACTCAAGGTCTGAATCTGGAATCTCTTGAGAGGACAGCAATATAAACCTCTAGAGATGGAGTTTGAGAAAGGCCCCCCCTTCTGCCAGCTTGTGATTTAGAAAAGTGCATTCATTCAATAAACATTTACTGAGCACGTACGGGCCAAGTACGGTTCTTCACAGAAGATTTAGGGCGGAAAAGGACAGACAGGAGCCTTTGGCCCTGAGGTTTCCATTCTAGGAGGCCTTTAAATCTCAGACTCGAGAGCTAACAGAGACCTTTGATACTCACTACTTCCTCTGGAAACATGAGCCCAAAAAGGAGAGGTGGCTTGTCCAGAATCAAAGAGCAAATTAGGGACTGAGTCATGGCAGAAATACAGGGCCCCTGACAACCAGTCAGGCTAGCACTTCCCCAAGAGGCAACAATCCCAGGGCGTGTGTAGCAAGGACTCGAGCAGGGGCGTCTGGAGAGGGGAGAGTCAGCAAACAGGGCAGCAAAAAAAGAGCCATGCTGCATGCTCCGGGGTCCCTCCAGGTGAGGCCTGGGCGCCCCAGCTCCCTATTCGCCCTTGGCACCAGGGGCCGCCGTCCCCTTTCTTCAGGGCCCCAAGGGGAAACTAGAGCCCAGGATTGGCAGCGTGGAATCAGGGGACCCCAGTGGACTCTTACCAAAGATTTGATGGTGTTCTTCAGTTGACTGACTTTTACGGACCTCGAGTCTGGGACTACTGCTAGTTCTTGGCACGGGCTCTGAGGCGCATGCAGAGAGGAGGAGGTGGAGGAGGAGTGGGGGGAGAGGTAGAGAGAGCAATCATTAGGGCTGGGGTGTGTGTGGACTGTCTCAGCTGGCAGAGGGGCACCCCGTCCCACCTGGAGGAGGAGGTTGGAGGGCTGGCCTGCAGGGTCACTGCACCTCTGCCCAGAGCCTCTTACCTCCAGATCCTTCAGGGTAGCAGATGATGTAGGGCTCTCCCCGTGGATACCTGTTGCTGACTACAAGAGATGAGAGTGCACATGAAGATGTTCTGTCCCACTCAGTATCTAAGCCCTCTGACTTCTTTTCTTCCCCATCAACTGGCACAATTTTCTTTTCTGCCTATCTTGGACCCTTTGTCCCATAACTCCTTTGTGCCAACTTCTCTCATGGTTCTTATCTCCCCACCACAGCACCCTGCGGCCCTTTCAGTGACTCCTGTGCCAAGTGACTGTTCTCATTGTCCTGGCTTCCCCTTGAGACTGGGGATGAGGAAAATCGAACAGCAATGACCATATCCTGGGTGTTCTGGGTGTTTACAGCAGGCCATGTACTAGGGATTAACATAAAAACAACAATAACAAATCTCATTTAAACTTCACAAATGGAAGTGAAACAATACCACCTCTATTATACAGATGTGAAAAGAGAGGCCCGATGAGGTCAAGCAACTTGCCCTAATTCATATCCCTAGCAGACAAAGAGGCAGGATTCAAACCCAGAATTCTTCACAGGTACCCAACAGTCCATCCACAATCTTAACAATTACCCTCTAGTGCCCCTTGGGTCCCCTGTCCCCAGGAACCTAGTCAGCCAAGACTCACATCTCCAGGTGAGTGGCAACCACCAGAAGTGGCTGTCTCATGGATGCTGCCATTTGTTTTCCTGTTCCTCTTGGCTCCTGCTGGAACACCAGGGCTGTTTCTCTGCCAATATTCTTTTAACTGTCAGAAACAAGAGCAGTAATACTCATGAGAACTATCAGCCCCTGCAGCCACATCCTCCTTTACAGTTTTTATAAAATACTCTTATACACCATCTGATTTAATGATACCAACAACTGTACAAGGTGTTGTCACAATCATTTAGTGACTCAAAGAGATTGATATCATGGCTAGAAAAAAAAAGAAGAAAAGAAAAAGGCGACAGACGAACTTTGAAACTCAGTCTTCTGACTCCAAACTCTGGGGTATTACCAAGAATCAGCAGCTGCCAGGGACCAAAACCAGAGGCAGAGGTAGAAAAGTAAACATTAAGTAGGCAGGAACTGTATGCCATGTGGTTTAGAGTCATACATCCTCACACGTCTGTTAGTGTGAAGAAGTGCACCAGTACCTCTCAAACTCTTATATCAATGTATCCTCATGGCAGAAGGCAGCCTTTCTGTTAAATCTGGGAATTTATCAGAAAGAGGACAACCCAAGCCTCATTTCAGAGAGAGGTCTGGTATACTCTTAGAAACCTATGTGACTGTCATCCCTAAGTACATTAATGTTTTTTCTCTTGATCTCAAGAGAATCAATGGAAACTGATGCTTCAGAAAGATGTCCCATATGTATCCTGTGGCACTCAAAGTACCCCAGGTTTACATAATATGAGGAAGATTCAAGCTGTCAAGTTCAGTTTCCCAAGATCTATTCCACAGAAGATGAGCAAATCTCACTTCACAGACCACTGACTGAAGGGCAGTCTGGTCCCAGAACCATGGAGAATTAGAATGTGAGGTGGAGAACTCACAAAAAATTTGTTAAAATCTCTCTGGAAAGTAGAAGCCTGGGAGAAAACCAAACCAAGTCAAACCCATTCTCCAGTTGCCATCCAGAGGTACTGTCAATGTTTTGAGCTCACAGGGGAAGTGTAGGCTTTTCCCGCTGTCAATGTTTATGTTAAGGGAGTGAGGCAGCCTGAAACCTCTTGCTCCTAGGTCCCAATCTCCATTCCCCTTCCAGCTGGAAATTTGTGCTGTGACAAGAGGAACCAGAAATGGGGTGGCAATGCTTAGGGGACTGGGTCATAAGATCAAAGGCCAGTCTTGCAGTAATGACAGTTACTGGATGGACCGTGACATCACTACATTCCACTCTTCCTGGTGAGGGGGAGGGACCACATCAGCATGATGTCCGAGTCACCGCTCCATGATAGGGGAGGGAAAAACAGAGCTGGGACCCAGGTCCTTGGAGACGCCAGTGCACACAGCCTAGGGAGGTCCACCTTGAGGCAGCAGGAGGGAAGGGAAGAGTCAGCAGCAGGGAGCCCCAGGATTCACCAGCCTAAAGTCACCCAGGGATGACTGGTGAGGGTGGGGTCTGGGGCTGTGGGACCCAGGTCCTTGGAGATGTGAGCCCAAAAAGCCCTGGGAGGTCAAGCTTGGGGTGGCAGGAGATGAGGGCCTAGTAAAGGAGCGGGGAGCCCCAGGATTCACCTGCCCAAAGTCACCCTGGGGTGATTGGTGAGGGCAGAGACTGGGCTGCTTGCTGAAGGGGTGGGGCTGACTGGCAAAACTTTGGTGGGGGTAGCCCAGAGGCACCGGTGTGGGGGTCCCAGTCCGGTGAACCTCGGGAGTGGTATGGACTCTGGCAGCAGTCTTGTCGTTGGAGAGGATCTGTGGCTGGGTTGGGGGTCCGTGACCTGGTGTGTTTTTACCTTTCTCTTGGCTGCTGCCAATTTACTTTGTCGAGTTTCTTCTGCCATCGCAGGGTGGGGAGGGAGGCGGGCTTGGGGCCACATCAGCAAAATCCCACCAAGCACTGATCAACACCTCCAGTCACCTACCAGGTAGCTGTGCGACTGAGCCAGAGGAGGCGTAACCAGGGATGCAGTAGAAGGCAGAATAGGGGCGTGGCCTTAATGCTCCAAGCCCATTGGTTAATGAGAAAGATGAAAGGGAAAGGGGGCGTGGCCAGGCATCATGTGTCCAGAGGGACCTTTGGCTCACAAGGAAAGCTGCCCATGCAACCACTGTCCCCACCCACCCTAAGAGAGGGGAGAGGCCGCCAACTCTGGGAGAGGGGCAGGGCCGGCTTTTGCTTTAAAAGCTTTTAAAAAATATATATGTGTATACTTTATATATATGTGTGTCTGTGTGTGTGTACCTGTGTGTTCCTCCAGAGCTGTCTTCATGATCCAGCTTCTATGCAAGGTCTATGATTTTGGCCTATATTTTTCATAGAGTACAAAAATTACCAGTATTACCTTAACCGAGATACAGATCCTGTAAAAATGGAAAATCCATAGCATGCTTGATGATTACTGAAGCAGACTATATTATCCAACATTCCAATAAGATAAAATAATCACAATGACTTCTCTTTTTTGGAAAAATGTTTCTCTTATTCTCCTACGTTATTGTGAAGACTTTTTTTCTTAAACAAGAAACATGTCTAATATTTGTAAAAACACAAAGCTTTTGGGCCGGGTGCAGTGGCTTATGCGTATAATTCCAGCACTTTAGGAGCCTGAGGCTGGTGGATCATGAGGTCAGGAGATTGAGACCATCCTGACTAAAAAGGTGAAACCACATCTCTACTAAAAATACAAAAAAATTAGCCAGGCGTGGTGGTGGGTGCCTGTAGTCCCAGCTACTTGGGAAGCTGAGGCAGGAGAATGGCGTGAACCCAGGAGGCGGAGCTTGCAGTGAGCTCAGATCGTGCCACTGCACTCGAGCCTGGGCTACAGAGCGAGACTCCTTCTCAAAATAAATAAATAAATAAATAAATAAAACTTCTATTTCTTTCACTTTCTAATATAATTTTAATATCTCCTCCTGGGATTTCACTAAGACACATTTTGGACCTCATTCTGATCTTCCTCTCCCCTCCAAGCCCACCAACTTCTGCCCTATCATCTATCCTCATGTCTCTCTGTGTGACATGCTGACTTACTTTTTGGAGAGAATCGTCTAAACAATTAATTCTTTCTTCTCGTGTCTAATCCATCCACTAGTTTCTTATTTCAACAATTACATTTTTATTTCCTTATTTCATTTTATTCTGAGACTGAGTCTCATTCTGTCACACAGGCTGAATTGCAGTGGTACGAACCTGCAGACTCGGCCTCCTGGGCTCAAGTGATCCTCCCACCTCAGCCTCTTGAGTAGCTGGGACTATAGGCAGGTGCCCCATACCCAGCTAATACCATACCCACACAGCAGAGACATAAAAGATTTCCATCCTCAAAGAAGGTTCCATTGAACAGCACTGCTCTAATTCAATAAAAAATACCACTGAGCACAACATAGTAATAGAAAAGATTGAAGAGGCAGTGCTGATACTTAAAAACCTGGTATTTTCAGCCAGGCATGGTGGCTCATGCCTGTAATCCTGGCACTTTGGGAGGCTGAGGTGGGAAGATCGCTTAAGCCCAGGAGTTCTAGACCAGCTTGGGCAACATGGTGAAACCCTGTCTCTACAAAAAATACAAAAAATTAGCTGGGCATGGTGGCATGTGCCTGTAGTCCCAGCTACTTGGGAGGCTGAGGTGGGAGATCACCCGAGCCTGGGAGGTCAAGGCTGCAATGAGGTGAGATGGCACCACCACACTCCAGCCTGGGTGACAGAGTGAGACCCTGTCTCAAAAACAAAAAACAAAAAACAAAACAAAAACACCTGATATTTATTTTTAAGTACACTATTTTCAAACATTCAGAAGTTATTTCATCCTACCTTCATGGTTTCCATTCTATGCCTGGTTTAGAATTGGGATCTGATAAAATAAACGTGTTCAACAGAACCACTTCTCATGGCTGTATAACAGATGATCAATATGTATTTGCTGAGGAAATCATACAATTTTCTTAATTTTTTTTTAACAAAAATTGTGCTTTCAAGGGACCAAACTTGAATACTACACCTTCATGTTCTAAGAATCAGGGGACTTATATAAAACCTCAGTTGCCTGATAAGGACTACATCAAAGTGAAAAGCCATGGGAAAGAACTAGAAAGTATACTTTTGACCCTAGTTCTGTAAAGTTTCCTTATGCCACAGGTAATACACATCGCAATTCCTGCCAAATTCTTTCCCTCACCTCTGTTTATGGTCTCGATTCCATAAATAGGAGAAGGGCATGAATTTGCTTTAGTTAGATAGACAGATAGATGGATAGATAGATAGATGGATGGATGGATGGATGGATGGATAGATAGATAGACAGAGATAAAGATAGAGACAAAGATGGAGACAGAGATGGACATAGAGACAGATTTGCAGAAGATAAGTTCTAGGTGAACTAGTGTCAACATTAAAGTGGTATGCCTACATCTAACTATTCTGGAGAGAAAAACATACCTCAAAGAAATTGACTTAAATATATACAGAGAAAAAGTTTAAGCTGAAAGCTACTGCCTTTTTATATGAGACACTTTAGGAAATTACTTGGGGGGCAAGAGAGAAAATGGGTGGACATAGCTCAGAGGTTACACAGTAGCAGATATGTAGGATGAACAAGCCTAGAAATATAATGTACAACGCGAGAAATATAGGTAATAAAATTGTGCTGTATTGGGATTCACGCTAAATGAGATTTTAAGCTCCTCTTGCCATCAAACAAAAAGAAAACGGGTAACTATCTGAGTTGAAGGATACGTTAATTTGCTTCACTGTAGTAATTTTTTTAACCATCTATATGCATCCCACAAAATCATGTTGTATACCTTAAATACACAGAATACAATTTATTTAACATAAAAAACTACTCCAATATTTTCTGCATTTTTAATATGCTCACCCAAAGAAAGCATTAATTTGCATCTTTGATGTTAAACAGATAGCCTAATCAAGTCACTATCAAGATCAAGACTAAAAGTTACAGCTTTTTTCTTTTGATGCCTTTCAGATATATCTATTTATATATAAAAATATATATACACACACACATACATACACACACACATATATATGTAGTTATGTGTGTGTGTATATATAGTTATAGTTTTGGCCAGGTGCAATGGCTGACACCTGTAATCTCAGCACTTTGGGAGACCAAGGCTGAAGGCTTGCTTGAGGCCAGGAGTTTGAGACCAGCCTGGGCAACGAAGCAAGACCCTATCTCTACAATTTTTTTTTTAACAAAATTAGCCAGGGATGATGGCATGCACTTGTAGTCCCAGATACTTGGGAGGCTGAGGCGGAGGATCCCTTGAGCCCAGGAGTTCAAAGCTGCAATGGGCTGTTACTGTGCCACTGGATCCCAGTCTGAGCAACAGAGCAAGACTTTGTCTCAAAAACAAAATTTATAATTAAAGATAAATAGTTATAGTTTTATGAACCTTGACTGCAACTGAGGGAAAATCCCGTAATTGGCAAAATGAATTCTGCCTGCTTGCAAAACTTCTGACTAATACGGAATGAATAATAGGAAGCCCATATTAGAGGATCCACATCAGTTAAAAAGTTTCCAAATAAGAGTGACTCTGAGTTCTGCAGAGTGAAAAGATTGGGTTCAAACCAAACACTTGCAAGATCTTGAGTAAGATACTTAATCCCTCTGTGACTCACTGTTCTCAAATGTAAGTGAAGATAATTTGTAACTCAAAAAAAATGAAAAAGTTTTCTCTAAGATTGCAAATCCTAAGGATAATTTCATTTTAATATCAGTTATTTAGTCTGGATACACCATAATGCAGACTAATTTTCCCTCTGCTTAAAGACCACACAAAAACATTACCAATAAAATTTACTTGTGTATCAACTTTTACTCCTGAGACTTCATCGTTTGTTTGGTTAAAAAAAAAAAAAAAAAGCGCACTAGACCGGGCACAGTGGCCCATGTCTGTGATCTCACTTGCGGAGGCCAAGGCAGGTGGATGAGTTTGAGAACAACCTGGGCAACATGGAAAAACCCCGTCTCTACAAAAAAAATATATAAAAATTAGTCAGGTGTGGTGGCACATAACTGTGGTCCCAGCTACTCCAGAGAGTGAGGCGGGAGGATTGCTTGAGCCCACGCAGAGGTTGCAGTGAACCAAGATGGCACCACTGCACTCCAGCCTGGGTGACAGAGCAAGACCCTGTCTCAAAAAAAAAAAAATCACTATAAAATTGAAATTCACAACAAAATGTGCATACTTAACCTTCTTTTTATTTATTTATTTATTTATTTTTAATATTTTGAGACAACATCTTGCTATGTTGCCTAGGCTGGTCTTCAACTCCTGGGTTCAAACCATCCTCCAGTCTTGACTTCCCAAAGTACTGGGACTACAGGTGTGAGCCACCAGCCCCGCCAGCCCTGTTACACTATTCTTGGCCCCTCAAGTGACTGTATGAATTTTAGGATCAGCCTCTCGAGTTCCACAAAAAAATTCTATTGGGATTTGTGTAGGAATTTCTTGAATTTATAGATTAATTTGTTGAGAAGTAGTATGTTTATAGCATTGAGTCCTACGATTCATAATATATATGGCATATATTTCAGTTTAGTCAGTTCTTCCTTTAAGTCCCTGGGTAATTTTTATATTTGTCTTAGTCCCTTCATAGTGCCATAACAAAACACCTGAGACTGGGTAATTTACACAGAGCAGAAGTTTATTTTCTCAGTTCTGGAGGTTGGGAAGAACAAGATCAAGACTCCAGCAGACACAGTGTCTAGTGAGGGCCTGGTCTCTGCTTCCAAGATGGTACGTTGAATGCTGCTTCCTCTGGAGCAGGCAAATGCTATGTTCTCATGAGGCAGAAGGGACAGATTTACCACCACCCACAAGCCCTTTTATAAGGAAGGCACTAATCTCATGCATGAGGGCTCACCCTTATGTCTTAATCACTTCTTAAAGGCCCCACTTCTTAGTACTATCATCTTGGGAATTAAGTTTTAATACATGAATTTTGGGAGACACATTCAGGCTATGGCAATACTCTTCATGAAAGGCCTGTGTATACTTTGCTAGATATATTCTCAGGGTTTTGTTGCTATTGTGAATAGAATCTCTTTTTTTTTTTTTTTTTTTGCCACGGAGTCTGGCTCCTTTGCCCAGGCTGGAGTGCAGTGGCGCGATCTCGGCTCACTGCAAGCTCTGCCCCTCCAGGTTTAAGCAGCCTGTTGCCCAGGCTGCAATGCAGTAGCATAGTCATAGTTCAATACAGCCTCAAACTCCTGGGCCCAAATGATTCTCTAAGCTAATATTTTTAATTTTTTAGAGATGGAGTTTCATTCAAGGATCACTAAAGGCCAGTGATCCTCCCGCCTCAGCTTCTGAAATTGCTGGGATTACAGGTGTGATTGAGCCATGGAGCCTGGCCAGACATGGGCTATTGATTCTCGCTGTTACTCTTTTCCCTTTCCTTCTAATCCTTGTATTGGGAAGAAAACAGTATGGAAATTTTATTTCTTCATTTTATTGATACGTAGATCTCTGCTTAGAAGACAATTTTAGTTTTAAATTATAAATGTTTCGTTCATTATTCATAGAAAACTAGATTTGCCATGGGATATTTATAAGTGTTGCACGAATGAAGGGTTTTCTAGTCAAATAAGTTGAAACACATTACGTTAAACAAACTTGGACAGTTTTGTTTCCGGTCATTTTTAGAGTTCTAAATTATGATTCTACTCAAGAGGATATTGTATGCGGTATTTTCAAACCAACTCATCCTGCGTCAGGTTGTGGTTACGCTTTGGGAGAGGAAGCTATAATCTTATACTGAGACTGTAATGAATGTATTAAGGTAATTTTCGTAGCTTTCTCTTTTTGGAGTTACCTGAGAAATTATGACACCCTTTTCCAAACAGGCCAACCTGCTTTGCAAACACGATTTCCATAATTTTAACAATGGTGAGGCCAGGCACGGTGGCTCATACCTGTAATTCCTTCCAGCACTTTGGGAAGCCTAGGCAGGAGGATCACTTAAGCCAGGAGTTCAATACCAGCCTGGGCAACATGGCAAAAACTCATCTCTACAAAAAATACACATATTAGCCAGGCGTGGTGGCACACACCTATAGTCTCAGCTACTCAGAGGTTGAGGTGGGAAAATTGCTTCAGCTCAGGAGCTCGAGGCTGCAGTGAACGGTGATCACGCCACTGCACTCCAGCCTGGGTGACAGAGCAAGACCCTGTCTCAAAAACAAACAAAACAAAACACAAACCAAGGGTGAGAGAGATGTTAGATGTTTTTGTCCTTGTTACAGATGTAAATGCTCAGTTGGAAAGAGGGAACTATTTAGAGTGAAAAAGTTTCGGTGGAACACACACAAAAATAGGAAGATCAGGTATAACTGTTCCAAAAAAAAGAGTATGGCAGTATAGAAGAAAAGGTCTCCATGAAAATGCAGAAGAACAATTTCACAGCTGGTGCTGGCATTTCAGAGACCTTGAGCTGGGAATCAAAAGATGGGAATTTCAGTCTCGGATGTGCCACTCCTTAGAGGTTTAATATCTACTAAACCCGGCGGGCTCCACTTGGTGGTGTTTGCTATTTAAAAAAACAAAAACATGTGGCAATGATCTTCCACGTGATTCTGACTTGAGCCCCACGCGAGTCTGCAGACTTACCCTTCCACTGCTTTGCCCTTCAAGTTTGTGCCCATTAGCAAAGAGAAATTTTCTCTTTGGGATCACTGCTGTGTTGATCTCAGGAATATTTGGCGTTGAATTTAACATATTTTTCATATGTGTGTGCAATAGGGAGGCTGAGAAAGTTGTCTTTTTTTTAAGGTGTTCATTTTTGGGGTACAGGTAGCAGCCTGCTCTACAATCCACACAGAAGCTGGAAATAGCCTCTAGAGAATTTCCACGTTTAGAGAAGATAAATTTATACATTTGTATCTAATCAACATTTTTTAGCTAACATAGTAGTCTAATTATACTATGTATAATTATACTATGTATAATTATGGGTACTGAAATGACACCTGGCATATGCTGTATGCTGTGTTATATATACATATATATTTACACATATACATATATATTACACATATACATATATATTTACACATATATATTTACACATATACATATATATTTACACATATATATTTACACATATACATATATTTACATATTTTACATTTACATTTTACATTTATTTTACATTTTACATTTACATTTGACATTCTACATTTATTTTACATTTACATATTTTACATTTACAAATATTTACATATTTTACATTTATATATACATATATTTACATACATATATTTACGTACATATTTTTACATACATATTTACATGTGTATATATTTACATACATTCACATACATATTTACATATATATTTACATACATACATATTTACATAATATTTACATACACATATTACATACATATATGTACACATATACATATATTTACACATATACATATACTATGTATAATTATGGGTACTGAAATGACACCTGGCATATGCTGTATTTAAAAATGTGAGGTTCAGTGAGAACACATGGACACAGGAAGGGAAACAACACATACTGGGGCCTGTCAGGGCGGGTGGGGGAGGAGCATCAGGAAAAATAGCTAATGCGTGCTGGGCTTAACACTGAGGTGATGAGTTGATAGGTGGACCAAACCACCATGGCACACGTTTCCCTACGTAACACTCCTGCACATGTACCCTAGAACTTAAAACAAAATTTTAAAAATAATAAAAAATAAAAATGTGAAATTCAGCACATAAACTGTTGGTTTTATTATTCATATTTTCTTAATTCAGAAATTATTTTCTGAACTATGGTTTATTAGATAATTTTGACGTAACAATTTTTTAAGAGGAAATTTAAGTTTTACTTTTTAATTGGGGCTCTTGGTTCTTTTTAAGAAAGACAGAGATAAATCATTTATACATTTAATTAGAAGAGACTGGGCTTGAATTTTTAAAAAGTACTAGAAATCGTAGCCACTATATATGTTATCTTTGAAATGTTTTAGACAATAATTACCTAAACAAGGAGCAAATAAGTTAAACCTCTTGGATTTTAATAAGAACTAAAATGTACAGTTGTATTTTCTGGTTTTTTAAATTGTTACAGTCTAAATTTATTCTTCCTAATGAAGAAATGTATGTGCCGTCAATATCAGGTTCTTTGTGGGTACTCACAGTTCCCTTTGCCTTTTACGCAGTGAATGTGGGCAACATGCGTGGAACAGAAATGATGTCGTTTTCTTTCTTTTGAATATCACTATGAATCTAATAATTCAAAGATTCCTAACTTTCTGAATGCCATTATTAATTGGATTCACAATGACTTACCAGGTACAGAGTTGTCCCGTGTGTCTTGGGGTGAACTACTGAGAGTGGTATGAGGGAAGCGATTCTCAGCTAGCGCTGAGTGGGGCCACTTCCAAAGAGGTGATGGGGTAAGAAGCACACACAATGTGGCATTTTCACTGCAAAGGGAGGTTTGTGCTGCCTCTCCTCCTGTGGCAGGTCTGCTCGCAGGGGAGGCTCCAAAGTTTGGCTTTGCTGGGTTTGGCATGTGAGAACTGATGAAATATCTGTATGTAGTATCTTTCAAGGATTTATATCGGTTGGATTTCTGTGTAAATTTGCATATCCCTTTGACTGCTTTACCCCATAGAAGCTTTGTATGCTTAACAAAATCTGTAACTTTTCTGTCACTTTCTCATTTAGCATCTGCCTTTCTGGCTTTTTACTTTATCTTTTTATTATTGTTTTTAGTTTAATGAGATTATGGTTAGAGAGAAAGATGGGTGCATGATTCCGCTTCTTTGGAATTTGTTGAGATTTTCCTTATGGCTCAGTACATATGTACTTGGGGGGGTGAATGCTGTCACTTTGGAGAGATATGTTTTTTCTGTACATTAAGTCAAGCTTGTTAATTTTCTAGAGAGATGTAAATCTTCTATGTCTATGCTGATTGTTTTTTGTCTCTTTTATCAGACACTGAGATATGTATTTAAATTGCCCTCTGAGGGTTGCAATTTTGTCATATTTTGCTTTCATGTATTTTGAGTGCTAGTTATTAGATACATTAACATTTTAGATTACCTTCTCCCTTGGTTTATTAGAATTTTTATCATTATATTGTGGCCTTAAAAAATCTCCCATATTGCTTTTTGCCCAAAGCCTATTTTATCTGATAATAATATAGCTTCCAACCCTTCTTTGGGTTAGGTACATATGACAGGTGTATCTTTTTTCAATCTCTCTCAGTCTTTCTGTGACTTTATGTTTTAGATGTCTTTTCATACTGTTTATTTTCTGTTTTTTGTGTTTTTTTGTGTGTTTTTTTTTTTTGATACGGAGTCTTGCTCTGTTGCCCAGGCTGGAGTGTAATGGTGTGATCTCGGCACTGCAACCTCTGCCTCCTGGATTCAAGCGATTCTCCTGCCTCAGCCTCCTGAGTAACTGGGATTACAGATGTTCACCACCACGCCGGCTAATTTTTGTATTAGCAGAGATGGGGTTTCACCATGTTGGTCAGGCTGCTCTCGAACTCCTGACCTTGTGATCCCTCCGCCTGCCTCATCCTCCCAAAGTGCTGGGATTACAGGCATGAGCCACCACGCGTGCCCTAATTCTGTTTTATAGTCATTTTCTCTTAATTATTCAGTCTATTTACATTTATTGTGATTGTTGGCATAGTTTCTTTTATAACTTTCATCGTATTTTGTGCTATTTGTTCCATCTGTTTTTATTTCTTCATGTCTTTTTTGTTTCGTTTTTGCTAATTCCTTTTATATTCATGGTTATTCTGCTCTTGAAATGTATGCTATGTGAATATATTTGTGAGTTGACAATACTTTATTAGCAATTAAATATACTATTTCTCTTTTTTTTTAGAACTTGCTCAAATGTTACATAACCTCAATATCCTTAGTATCTAAATTAAACTGACTTTCTGAACAATCATCATTTTAAGGCAGTTACCACGATCTACTAAAAAATAAAAAAAAATTAGCCGGGAGTGGTGGTGGGCGCCTGTAATCCCAGCTACTCAGGAGGCTGAGGCAGGAGAATCCCTTGACCCTGGGAGGCAGAGGCTGCAGTGAGCCGAGATAGCGCCACTGCACTCCAGCCTGGGCGACAGAGAGACTCCGTCTCAAAAAAATAATAATAATAATAATAATAATAAAGGAATTTAAAAAAAGACTGGGTTTAACCATGTTGCCCAGGCCGGTCTGGAACTCCTAGGCTCAAGCAATCCCCCACGCTTGGCCAGTCCAAAGTCCTGGAATCAAAAGCGTGAACCACCACGCCAGGCCGATCACGCCTGTCATCCCAGCACTTGGGGAGGCGGAGGTGGGTGGATCACCGGAGGTCAGGAATTTGAGACCAGCCTGGCCAACATGATGAAAACCCGTCTCTACTAAAAATACAAAAAAAAAAAATTAGCCGGGTGTGGCGGCAGGCGCCTGTAATCCCAGCTACTCAGGAGGCTGAGGCAGGAGAACCACCAAAACCCGGGATGCAGAATTTGCCGCGAGCGGAGACCCAGCCACTGCACTCCAGCCTGGGCAACAAGAAGGAAACTCCGCCTCAAAAAAAAAAAAAATAATAATAATAAGAGACAGATTTTCACCATGTTGCCCAGGCAGGTCTGGAACTCTTAGGCTCAAGCAATTCCCCACGCTCGGTTGTCCAAAGTCCTGGGATCGAAAGCGTGAGCCACCACGCCAGGCTGATCTATTTCTTTCTGATTAATAAATTGGGCCGGGAGCGGTGGCTCACGCCTGCAGTCCCAGCACCCCGGGAGGCCGTGGCGGGCGGATCACCTGAGGTCGGGAGTTTGAGACCAGCCTGACCAACATGGAGAGACCTGTCTCTACCAGAAAAAAAAAAAAAAAAAAAAAAAGAGCCGGGCATGGTGGCTCCCGCCTGCAATCCCAGTCACTCGGAGGCTGAGGCAGGAGAACCACCCAAACCCAGAGGCAGAGGCCGCGGGGAGCCGACACCGCACCACTGCACTCCAGCCCTGCAACAAGAGGGAAACTACGCCTCAAAAAAAAAAAAAGAGAGAGAGAGAGAGACCGGTTTTCACCATGTTGCCCAGGCTGGTCTAGAACTCCTAGGATCAAGGGATCCGCCACGCTCGGCCGGTCCAAACTCCTGGGATCAAAAGCGTGAGCCACCACGCCAGGCCGATCCTTCCTGTCATCCCAGCACTTTGGGAGGCCGAGGTGGGTTTACCTGAGGTCCGGAGTTCGAGACCAGCCTGGCCAACATGATGAAAACCCATCTCTACTAAAAATACAAAAAAAAAAAAAAAAAAATTAGATGGGTGTGCTAGCGGGTGCCTGTAATCTCAGCTACTCAGGCGGCTGAGGCAGGAGAATCGCTTGAACCTGGGAGGCAGAGGTTGCAGTGAGCCGAGACAGCGCACCACTGCACTCCAGCCTGGGTGACAAAGTGAGACTCCGTCTCAAAAGTATATATATATAAAAATAAAAAATGAAATAAAAATAAATTGGGTGTGTGCGCTGGCTCACGCCTGCAATTCCAGCATCCCCGGAGGCCGAGGTGGGCGGATAACCTGAGGTCTGGAGTTTGAGATCAGCTTGCCCAGCATGGAGAAACCCCGTCTCTACCAAAAACAAATAAAAAAAAATTAGCAGAGCAATGTTGGTCAGGCCTGCAATCCCAGCCACTCCGGAGACTGAGGCAGGAGAACTACTAAAACCCTGGAGGCAGAAGTCGCTGCGAGCGGAGACCCAGCCACTGCACTCCACCCTGGGCAACAAGAGCGAAACTCCGCCTCAAAAAAAAAAAGAGAGAGAGAGAGAGAGAGAGAGAGACCGGGTTTCACCATGTTGCCCAGGCAGGTCTGGAACTCCTAGGCTCAAGGGATACCCCGCGCTGGGCCATCCGAAGTACTGGGATCACAAGCGTGAGCCACCACACCAGGACGATCTATTCCTTTCTGATTAATAAGTTGGGCCGGGAGCGGTGGCTCAAGCCTGCAATCCTAGCACCTCGGGAGGCCTAGGCAGGTGGATCACCTGAGGTCGGGAGTTTGAGACCAGCCTGACCAACAGGGAGAAACCCCATCTGTACCAAAATAAAAATAAAAAAAAAATACAAAATTAGCCGGGCTTGGTGGCTTATGCCTGCAATCCCAGCCACTCTGGAGGCTGATGCAGGACAACGACCGAAACCCGGGAGGCGGAAGTCGCGGCAAGCAGAGACCCAGCCACTGCATTCCAGCCTGGGCAACAAGAGCGAAACTCCGTCTCAAAACAAGACAAAACAAAAAGACCAGGTTTCACCATGTTGCCCAGGCCTGTCTGGAACTCCAAGGCACAAGCGATCCACCCTACTTGGCCGTCCAAAGTCCTGGGATCACAAGAGTGAGCCACCACGCCAGGCAGATCAAAGCGTTGAGCTGAATAAAGAGTTATCTTTTAGCATTTTGTGGAGCCCGGGTAGATCTGTGCAGGGGGAAGCATATTACAGAAGCGAGAAACAGAGAGTTATTTAATTGAAGCACGCATTATGTTTTTTTTTTTTTTACGTTTTTAGGAAAAATATGTTTTGTGACTTGCATTTGTTTGTTTAGTGACCTTGCAGTTGCACAGTTAGGGAATTAGGGTTTTGATAATGCCTGGGAAGGGAGCGATAAGGCTCACTAGCCATAGGAAAACAGGTAGTTTTTTTAAAGGACTAAGGCTCTTTCTCATTCTCAGGGGGAATTGGGTTTTTTTTACATACAGCTGAGTTTTTGCTTACACATTTTTTCATTTCTTTTAATTCCTGTTCCAATCCCAGCATCCTTGCGGTGCGGTTTCCCAGCGGCTCTCTTGCCTTGCAGCTTGTGTCGGGAGTTGCAGACAGCCATGGCCCATGGGCCTGGCGCTGACGGACCCTGGAGCGGTGTCTGAGGGAGGTGGGCAAAGCCACTGGCTGGCCCGAGTGCATCCTCACGTAAGTGCACAGATCCCGGGCTCGGGTGCGACTGCGGTCGCACGTGGACACGGGTTGCAGACCCCTGGCAAATTGTGGAGCTGGGGGAAGGTAAGGGGAAATGTAAATCACTTTTCCCCACATTTCAGAGGACCTAGGCTATCAAAATTTTAAAAATTGTTAAAACTTTTACAGTATGGATCTCTCAGTTGAATGTTATTGAAATCAACCTAACCTCAGTTATTCACGCCTATAAGCTCCCCTTGAGGCTTATTACGGCCCCCATCCCCCTACACACAACTGTGTTGGTTTCTCCTTCCGCCTGTGCTCCTAAAGCACTCAGTGTTTACCTGCCATCATACTTTATTGAAAGCACAAACTTGTCACTTGTCTGTCTACCCCACTAAGCTTCTTGAGAATTAGAACTTTCATGTCTCTTCCCAACACAAACGTTTTATGTGTATTTTGTTGAAGAACTTCAAATATGACCTATAAAATTATGACTCATTTATGTTTCAAACTCCAACCTCTCCCTTGAGTTCCTTGCTCACAAGCAACTCCAGACTGAGCTTAGTTGGAATTCAGTAGCGCACAACTGGGATATCCGCACCGTACGGCTTTTAACAATTTTTTAAATTTTGGTCCTCTCAGCATCACAAATTCACCGTGTCCAAAATACAGTAGAATGTTGTTTCTACCCACCTACACTCTGCCATCCGCTGAAGTCCTTTCCCCTTGCTCCACCACTCAAGCCTTGCCTATCGCAGTAAATGGCAGTTCTGTCTCTCCAGTTGCTCGCACATAAAACTAGGCTGCTATTTTGATGTCTTCACTTTTCTCTATTCTGTATCTAATTCCTTAGCAATCCTGTCAGTTCTACCTCCAAACTGTACTCAGCATATTCACTGCTCTAACTCCAGCTTAAATCACCATCATCCTTTGCCTGGAATGCTGCATCAACCTTCTAATCACTCTACTTTCCTCCTCCTCCTTCCTCCCTTTCTTCTTCCTTCGTATAAATCATCATTTCATCCTTCTGCTTAAAATCTTCTCACATTTTCTTATTACACTTAAAACGGCAAACTCTTACCCTTGAGCCCTGCAGAATTTGGCTCCCATCAGTCTCTCCGACTTCACCTTCTGCCTCCTTCACGCTATAGCCATGCTCACTTTTTTATTCCTCAGGCTTACCAAGCTCAATTGCATCTTAGAGAATTTGTTCTTGCTGTTTCTTCTGCCTGGAATACATGTTTCCCAATCTTTATAAGACTATACTTGTCTGTAAGTTTCACCTCAGATGTCACATCTAGGAGAGGTTTTCCTTGACCACTGTAAGCCAAAGCAAATGTTGATCATTGAGTGAATAAGGGAATGAATGAATGGAGTGGTATATAATGTAGCAGAGTAGAAAATTTAAGGCTAATTCTCTATACATCTCCAAGCAAATAGATTTGTAATGCTTTTCCTGCCAACAATCTATACAGCTGATTCACAAATACTTGGTTGACAGGTTTTATATATCATTGTGGCTCATCAGCTTATATATTGTTGGGGCCAGAATCTATACTTACACTTTATTCAAATTTGATTTTACAGAAGAGTTGAGGTTTTTATTTTTCTTTTAATTAAGAGGGCTGTGAAATTATTATCTATAATTCTAAATCTCATTTAATTCCTCCCAATAGGTTTCAAGCTGGATTGGAACCAAAGTTCACTTCTTTAACGAAAGTGCTTTATGACTTTAATAAAACAGTAGAGAATGGTAGAATCCATGGCAGCTCTTTACAAAAACTTGTGATAGAAAGTTTTGATGATGAGCAGACTTTGCAACAACTGGAATTGCAAAATGAAGCAATTTTACAGTGCTTCCAGAATGCGGTTAGTGAAAGAAAGATGAAGATATCAGTCTTCTCCCAGAGAGTGAAGAACAGGAGCATGAAGAGGCTGGTTCAGAAACAGAGGCTGATGGCCAGGAGGACTTAGAAGATTTAGAGGAGGAGGAGGACGTGTCAGATATGGGTGGTGACAATCCTGAAATGGGTGAGAGAGCTAAAAACTCAAGCAAATTCAGGGCCAGGCGCGGTGGCTCACGCCTGTAATCCCAGCACTTTGGGAGGCCGAGGCAGGCGGATCACGAGGTCAGGAGATCGAGACCATCCTGGCTAACAAGGTGAAACCCCATCTCCACTAAACATACAAAAAATTAGCCAGGCGTGGTGGCAGGTGCCTGTAGTCCCAGCTACTCGGGAGGCTGAGGCAGGAGAATGCCATGAACCCGGGAGGTGGAGCTTGCAGTGAGCCTAGATCACGCCACTGCAGTCCAGCTGGGCGGCAGAGTGAGAGACTGCATCTCAAAAACAAAAACAACAATTACTTAACTTTAGGATGCTCCAATAATCAAAATTGATAGTGGCTTGTGAACAGATAGATTACTTGAATAGAATAGAGCCCAGAAATAAACCCAAATGCTTCTGGGGGAGTTTGGTACATTATAAACATGACATTTTAAATCAATGAGGAAAAGAAATCATTTGCAGCTCACCCCACCATACACAGCAGGAATAGGAAGTCATTGGCAGAATAAAAAGATGGTAAGAACAGAACAGAATTGTAGAACAGTACATTTCTTGCTTCCCCACTTTTCAAAGTATTTTTTGCTTTTTCACAAATGTAAGTGTAATTTTATTTTCTAAATGTATACTAATTCTTTTCTTCTCTTTCTTAGATGAATGACAAAAATTACATCTTTAGAAAAAGAGTTGTTAGAAAAAAGCCTTGGCTGCATGTGGGGGAAGTGACAGCACAGAAGAGACCAGAGAAGAGCCTCCTGGAGGAGAGCCTGCACTTTGACCATGCTGTCCGGATGGGTGCAGTGCTCTTTTCTGCAAAGTGTTCACTTCTCTGCTTTTTCTGTGGTCCCATTTCATAGAAAGATTTGGGGTGATGTTTCTTTCCCTCAACTTTTATTTTGAAAACTTGCAAACACAGAAAAGTTGATAAAATCATACAGTGAACATCTGTATGCTATTCAACTGGATTCACTAGTTAATGTTTTGTCACACTTGTTTTCTGTCTTCTGCGTATGGAAGATTGTATATGTGCCCTTTTTCCCCCTGAATCATTTCAAAGTAAGTTGGCAGTATCAGAGCATTTCACTGTTAAGTACTTTCGCAGATATCTTCTAGGAACCAGGACTTCTCCTATATAATCACAATACCATTAATCCACCCCCAAAATTTAACATCAATACACTAATGATACCTACTGTATAGATTATAATCAGCTTCCTTGCAGCAATCTGTTTAGAAGGCTTGCATCCTGTCACTGTCCACTGATTAAATTTTGAACTCTAACTTGAAACCCTGGTCATCTCATTGCCTTCTTTCTTATACCCATTAAGTCAAAAGGAGCTCTCATTTTATTTCAACAGAAAAAAGAATGGAAAAGAGGGGAAGAGTCCCTAGTACCTTGGATAAAGTATGAGCACTTACTACCATATGTATTCTAGTTCTGTAGTTTTCAAACTTCAGGGAGCATCTCAAGGCTTATTAAAGCACAGATAGCTGTCCTTCCCCACTTTCTGATTCAGGAGGTGTGGGGCTGGCCCAGGAATTTGCATGTCTAACAAGTTCCCACGTGTTTCTGATGCTGAGGGTGTAAGGACTACAATGCGTGAATCCGTGGTTTAGTGGATCCACCTAATGAATACATGTTGTATTTCCTTTGGCACCCGTGATTACAGAGGAAACACCTTTCAACTGGAAGGTATCATTAAACAGAGGATAAGAGATCAGGTCAGTAAGAATTAAATTTCACTTAATTGAAATGTCACTCAAATGTTTAGAAATAATATGACAGGCCAGGCACAGTGGCTCATGCCTGTAATCCCAGCACTTTGGGAGGCCAAGGCAGACGGATCACTTGAGGTCAGGAGTTCGAGACCAGCCTGTCCAAGATGGTAAAACTTCCTCTCTACTAAAAATACAAAAATTAGCTGGGCATGGTGGTGCATGCCTATAGTCCCAGGTACTCGGGAGGCTGAGGCAGGGGAATCGCTTGATCTCGGGATATGGAGGTTGCAGTGAGCTGAGATGCGCCACCGCACTCCAGCCTGGGCAACAGAGTGAGACTCCATCTCAACATAAATAAATAAATAAATAAATAAATAAATAAATAAATAAATAAGATAAAAATAAAAATAAAGGGAAGATGGGGCAGCTTTGTGTATTGCATGTCCTGAAAATGGGCTGATTTCTCTCAAGAGGCAGGGATTTAAGCTCTGTAGCCTATGTGGGATACATACAGGAGAAAAAAGAAGAAAAAGAAAAGAAATGTAAATATAAATAAATGAAAATAACACTTTTCCATGATTATAAAGGAAATCACATTGTTTTTGTAATAATTTGGATGACAAAATGTAAAGAAAAATCTTTAATTTTGCCACTCAAAACATTCCGGTTTGTTGCTTTTCACACTTTTTATGCTGTAAACATTTTAAAAAGTAGAATCACAATACATGGTCTTTTGTCACTTACTATATTTTAAGCATGTTTCTATGGAGAAATATACCCTGGCATCATCACTGGATGTATGTTAAGTGAGTCATTGCCACCCCAGAGGTGGATTTCCTTCTATATATATTTTAATGGACTCGAGTGAGGATTTTTGCACTGAATTCATAGAAGTAGAATTTCTAGAGGAAAGTAATATAAAACAGTTTTAGGATTTTTAAAAGAAATGTTCAAATCATCCTACAGGAAAATTGGTTGAGTTTATGCTCCCACCAACAGGGACAGAGCTCCAGGTTCCCCCTTCCATTTGTCATCTTCGCTGGTCTTTAAGCAGAAAATCTCATTGTTTTCATTACCTTTCTTTGATTTCTAGTGCTTTTGAATCTTTTTCATTTGCTCATTGGCCATTTTTATTCTTGTGGGAAGTGCTGGTTTCTCCATTGCCCATTTTCTGCTGCAAATCATTCATTTTTTTTTCTGAGTAATTTTAAAGATTTCTTTATAGGCTAAGGCTACAAACCTTTAATCTGTCATTGAGGTTACAAAGATCTTCTCCCAGTGAGTAATTTGTCACTTCACTTTATTTATTTATTTTTTGCTAGCAAAGCACCAAAGTCAAATTTCACTTAATTTTTATCCTGCTGAATGAACACATTTTAAGTTAGTGATTTTAGTGGAAACAGGAGCAGGACAGAATGTAATAATTAGATCTCGCTCTGTCACCCCAACTGGAGTGCAGTGGCATGATCATAGCTACTGCAGCCTCAAACTTCTGGGCTCAAGTGATTTTCCCACCTCAGCCTCCCAAGTAGCTCTAGGACTACAGGTGTGTGCCGCCAAGCCCAGCTAATTTTTAAATTTTCTTTGTAGAGATATGAATTCGCTATGCTGCCCAGGCTGGTCTTTAACTCCTGACTTACCCCACCTTAGCTTGCCAATATGCTGGGAGTACGGGCGTGAACTACTGCTCCCGGCCAAGAGCTTACTTTGGTTTGCTAGCAAGGTTCTTGGTATCTTTTTATATTTGAGGCTTTCGTGCTAGTGCTGAAGTATTACACTCACCATCTGAGGTTTACAGGACTTTTGTTTTAATATTGAACCGAGGGAACTGTTTAGTTTTGCATCTTTGCAGGTATACAAAATGTGCCTACCAGGACTCTGCTTTATATCCATTGAAAAGCAAGAAGTAATACAGTAAAAGTTTGCCTGGCTACAGGCTTTGGAAGAATGGAGTATTCTGGTTTAATTCTATTAACTTGGAAGGATGAAGGTGGAAAAAATTCAAAACTTTAATTTCCTGTTGAATGCAATTTGAAAATATAGCCAATGAGTCCACTTTTCTTCTCTAGTAAGTTTGGACATTCAGATCTACTTGGTCTTTTATCATAGAACTCCTAGTGCGCCTGAGTCTTACGTTGTGAAAATCCTTTTCTAAAACTTTAGATGTAAGAGGATAGAAATGATATTGGATGAGATCAGGCTGGATGAGAACTGATACCTGTAGATATATTTTTTAGATGAAATCTCTGATTGCCACACGTTTTCTTATTGAACTCATAAAAATAAAACACACTGGCTGGAGGGTGGAAGTAGGAAGGAGATTTATGTCTTTTAATTGCATGTCATTGTTTCATATTGAGACAGAACATATAGTATCCCTGGCTTTGGACCTACAGAAGGAAACACATTTTTCTACCTGCTGTATGGCAGAGGTTCCTGAGCACCTGGAGGGATTATTGCAGCACGGATTGCTGGGCCCTACTGCAGAGTTTCTGATTCATTCGTGTCTAGGGTGGGGCCTGAGAATTTACATTTATAAGAAGTTCCCAGGTGCTCCTGGTCCGGAGACTACATGTTTGAGAGCCACCCTTACATACTAACTGTAAATTGTAGAACTCTAGAAAAAAGCGTAGTTTGGACTGGGAGAAGAAGCACACAGGTAATGGAGCAAATCATGAAAAAGTCAACCCTTGATCCCAGGTAACAAGCAATACACAGTGACATAACACAATTCTTGGTTTTCATGATTGCAAGTCATAGCCAAGTATCGAGTGAGAAATTCAGTTTCATTTTCAGGGCTTAGAGGCCAGGTGATTCTAGAAAAATCGGATTTAGTGATTAACTCATGAGAGTAGGAGTTATTTATGTCCTTTTTCTCTCCCCCATCACTTAGCATTTAGCCTTACTTTAGAAGGGTCCTGTATTTGCTTTAACCTTGTAAAGAACTTTGAGTGCTTATTAAATGGAAAGCCTTGTGTGTGTGTGTGTGTGTGTGTGTGTGTGTGTCTGTGCGTGTGTGTGTGTGTGTGTGTATTTAGAGACAGAGTCACATTCTGTAGCAGCCCAGGCTGAAGTGCAGTGGCATGATTTTGGCTCACTGCAACCTCTGCCTCACAGGTTCAAGGGATTCTCCTGCCTCAGCCTCCCAAGTAGCTAGGATTACAGGCACCTGCCACCATGCCCAGCTACTTTTGTATTTTTAGTAGAGACAGGATTTCATCATGTTGGCCAGGCTGGTCTTGAACTCCTGAATTCGGGTGATCCACCCGCCCCAGCCTCCCAAAGTGCTGGGATTACAGGCATGAGCCATCACGCCTGGCTCAAAGCTTTGTATTTTTAAAGATATTAGACATGTTTCTTGTTTGTTTGTTTTTTTTAAAAAAACTAAACGCTAATGTAGGAGAATAAGAGAAAGTTTTTCCAAAAAAGAGAAAACATTGTGATTATCTTATTGGAATGTTGGATAATAAAGTCTGCTTTATCAATCATCAAGCACACTATAAAATTTCCATTTTAATAGGACTTGTACCTCAATTGAGGTAATAAAGTTTTAAAGTTTTTAAAGTGAAAGCCAGCCCCGCCCCTCTCCTGGAGTGGGCGGGGACAGCGGTTGCATAGGCAGCTTTCCTTGTGACAACACAGGTCCTTGATGACACGCTGCTGTCTGGCCACACCTCCTTTTCCTTTCATCTTTCTCATTGACCAATGGGCTTCAAGCATGAAGGCCACACCCCTATTCTGCATTCTAGTGCAGCCCTGGTTACGCCTCCTCTGGCTCAGTCACACAGCGACGTAGAGGTGACTGGAGGTATATACTTGTCCTCACCTGGATCATGCTGATGTGGCCCCAACCCCACCTCCCTACCCATCCCCACCTCCCTACCCATCCCCACCTCCCTACCCATCCCCACCTCCCTACCCATCCCCACCTCCCTACCCATCCTATGATGTCCAAAGAAACCAGACAGAGCAAATTGGCCGAGGCCAAGGAACAGGTAAACGCACCAACACCCCAACCCAACCCGAGGCCCCCTCTGACAGCCGAACTGCTGCCAGAGTCTGTGCCACTCCTGAGGGACACCAGGCTGGGCCCCCCACCCCAGTGCCTCTGGGCTCCCCACACCAAAATCTTGTCAGCCAGCCCAACCCCCTCATAAGTCCTGCCCCTGCTCTGCCCGGCACACCAGGGTGACTTTGAGCAGGTGACTCCTGGGGCTTCCAACTCCATACTCCGCCCTTACCTCCTGCTACCCCAAACCCGACCTCCCTGGGCTCCTTGAGCTCACATCTCCAAGGACCTGGGTGCCCCAGAACCTGCCCTCACCAGTTGCCACAGGGTGACTTTGGGGATGTGACTCCTGGAGCTCCTTGCTCCTTAATTGGCCCTCACCTCCTGCCGCCCCAAGCCTGACCTCCCGGGGCTCTTTGGGGTCACGTCTCCAAGGACCTGGCTCCCAATTTTGTGACCCCCTCCCCAGTCTCAAAGCGGCAACTTGGGCATTGCACTCATGTGTCCCCCCCAACCACTCCACCGAGGAGTAGAATGTAGTGATGTCACAGTCCCGCTACAAACTGTCATTACTACCACAAGACCGGCCTTTGGTCTTAGGACCCAGTCCCCTAAGTGTTCTTGCCCACTTCTGTTTCCTCTGGTTGCAGCACAGGTTTCCAGCTGGAAGGGGAATGGGGACTGTGGGACCTAGAAGAGAGAGGTTTCAGGCTGCCTGACTTCCTTACCACAGACCTTGACAGTGTGAAAAGCCTACACCTCCCCCATGAGCTCAACACGTTGACAGTGTCTCTGGGTGGCAATGGGAGAACGGGTTTGGTTTGGTTTTCTCCCAGGCTTCTACTCTCCAGAGAGATTTTAACATTTTTTCTCAGTTCTGCACCTCAGATTTGAATTCTCCATTGTTCTGGGACCAGAGTGCCCCTCAGTCACTGGTTCTGGAGTGAGATCTGCTTATCTTCTGTGGAACAGATCTTGGGAAACTGAACTTAGCTTGAGTCTTCCTCATCTCATCTCAACCTGGGGTACTTTGAGTGCCACAGGATAAATATGGGGCATCTTTCTGAAGCATCAGTTTCCCTTGATTCTATTGAGAGGCAAAACATTAATGTACTTAGGGATGAAAGTCACGTAGATTTATAAGCGTATACAAGACTTCTCTCTGAAATGAGGCTTGGGTTGTCCTCTTTCTGTTAAATTCCCAGATTTAGCAGAAAGGCTGCCTTCTGCCATGAGGAGACATTGATGTAAAGGTTTGAGAGGTACTGGTGTACTTTTTAACACTAACAGACGTGTGAGGGTGAATAACCCTAAACCACATAGTGCACAGTTCCTGCCTACTTAATATTTGCTTTTCTACCTCTGCCTCTGGTTTTGGTCCCTGGCAGCTGCTGATTTAGGGCAAAATCCCAGAGCTCAGAGTCAGAAGACTGAGTTTAAGTTCCATTACTGCCTTTTTTTTCAGCCATGGTATCAATCTCTCTCAGTCACTAAGTGATTGTGACAACATTTCCTACAGTTGGTGGCATTAAATCAGATGGTCTATAAGAGTATTTAGTATAAACTGTAAAGCAGGATGTGACTGTAGGAGCTTGTAGTTCTCATGAGTATCACTGCTCTTCCTTTCCACAGTTGACAGACCATCATCCCCAGACCAACCCTAGTGTTGGTACAGCAGCAAGCGACACCAAAAAGAAGAAAATAAATAATGGCACTAACCCTGAGACAACCACTTCTGGTGGTTGCCACTCGCCTGAGGATGTGAGTCTTGGCTGGCCGGGCTCCTGGGGACAGAGGGCCCAAGGGGTGGTGGAGGGTAATTGTTAAGATTGTGGAAGAACTGCCAGGTACTGGCTAAGAATTCTGGGTTTGAATCCTACCCCTCCATCTGCTAGGGACATGATTTAGCGCAAATTGCTTGAGCTCTTTGGGCCTCTCTTTTCACATCCGTAAAATACGAGTGGTATTGTTTTCCTTACGTTTGTGAAGTTTAAATGAGATTTGTCATTGTGTTTTTATGTTAATCCCTCGTCCAGGACCTGCTGTAAACTCTCCTTCTTGGGCTTGCGTTTCCTGAGGTAGAGTTAGAGAGTATCAGAGGTTTCTGTTAGCTCTGAGAGCCCGAGAGTTAAAGGCCCACTAGAATGGAAACCTCGGGGCCAAGGGCTCCTGTCTGCCTTTTCTGACCTCTATTCCCGCTGTGAAGAACCGTCCCTGGCCCGTATGTGCTCAACGTTTGCTGAGTGAATGCACCTTTCTAAATCACAAGCTGGCGGAAGGGTGGGCTTTTCTCGCACTCCACCTCTGAAGGTTTCTGTTACTGTCTTTTCAAGAGAATCTAGTTTCAGACTTTGAGTTCTGTGGCTGTGGGCAAAAACCAAAAAGACCCAAATCCTTCTTCTTTGGGAGTTGAGGAGAGTTGACCAGTTCATGTTCCCATTGGGTCTGAGAACTGTGCCTTTTAAATCCATTCCTGGCCCCTGCCTATCGCTTCCTGGCCTGGGGAATAGAGTCAAGGGGGCCACCCTCAGTCACCTTCCTTTGACTCTCCCCACAGAAACAATAGAACCGAGCTCAGCTGGAAGAAGTAGTGTGATTTCTTTGCTCACGACATGACCGCTGGGTTTGGGGGCACTCAGATGTAGAGGCCCCAGCCTCATCTCACCCACTCCCAGCCTGGGGAAGAAGGCTCACCCCCAAGATTCCACCCCATCCCCACAGGGTCCCTGATAAACTGGTCCCATGGGTGGGCCTGTTCTGGGGCAGTGGTGCCATTCTGGGGGCATGTCTCTTGCTGTGGATCTCTGCCTCCCCCTAGTAAGAGCTCTGTTTTCCTCTTTCTATAGGAACAGAAGGCAAGCCACCAACATCAGGAAGCCCTAAGGAGGGAGCTAGAGGTGAGTGGAGGGTGTGAAGTTCCCTCCTGCCCTCTGGAGAATGTTTCTTTGCTTCTCTTTCAGCATTTGCTTGTCTTTTCTCCCAAAGGCCCAGGTTCATACCATACGAATCCTTACATGTCAGAAAACTGAGCTTCAGATGGCACTCTACTACAGCCAGCATGCTGTCAAGCAGTTGGAAGGTGGGAATCTGGCACCCCATCATCCTTCAACCTGGCACTTTGACAGGCCTTTAGGGGGAGTCCTTTGGGCCACATCTGAATGTCTCTCATTCCAGGAGAGGCCAGGGATCTGATCAGCCGCCTGCATGATTCATGGAAGTTTGCAGGAGAGTTAGAGCAGGCTCTCTCTGCTGTCGCTACACAGAAGAAGAAGGCGGATAGGGTGAGTCCAAACACGGCCCCGTCCCTTGGGAGCCCAGCTTCGCAGATGGAGGAGTGAGCCTAAAGGTCCCTTCTGTAGGATGGAGTGTCCTGCCCAGAAGGCAGCATGGCCATTTCTTGCTGCTTTTGTGTGTGGTTGTTAGAGGCAGACTGGGGCTGAGTCGGCTGTTGTGGGTGAGTTGGGGAGCACTGTGAGGAGCGAGCACTGGACATAGAGCTCAGAGGCCAAGTGCCCGCCCTGCCCATATTTGGCTGTGGCCTTGGCCAAGTCCTAAGTGGCGGTTAGGGTACTTGTACCATAAAGGTACAGAAGAGTATCTTGAGTATGTTATTATTTGTGTGGAGAGAGGGGGCAGGTGTATATGTGTGTGTGTGTACGTATTATGGTAACATACATAAAACACGTTTGTAAGGATTCATTAAAAAACTCAGGATAGAGGCACAGTGTTGGGGGGAGATATTTCCCTTCTGGACTTTCTGAGTTTTGGACTATGCGAACGTATCATCCTTTCAAAAATTCAACAAAGGATTAATTTCCTCCTTCTTAACTGTGCCCCTACCTCCAGCGGAAGAATGGGCTTAGAGAATCAGATATACCTGGGTGTTGAAATCCCAGCTCCAAGTGATCTTAGGCAGCACTTAACCTTTAATACCGCATGTTTTTCATCTACACAATAGAGGTAATAATGGTAACCGTCTCCTATGGAGGTTGTGAGGATTAAATGGGATTGTTAGCATAGTGCCTGGTGAAGCACTCAAGAAAGGTTCGAACAATGGTAGTACTAACAGTAATAACAATAACAATATTATCTGATCGCTCTGGGCCCCTGTTAGCCAGCTCTAAATTCAATCTCTTTCCCTGTCCCTTCCACATCCACTGAGTTCTTTGAAAAACAAATGAGGGCCAGGTGCTCTCGCTCACGCCTGTAATGCCAGCACTTTGGGAGGCTGAGGTGGGCGGATCACCTGCGGTCAGGAGTTCAAGACTAGACTGACCAACACGAAGAAACCCCGTCTCTACTAAAAATACAAAATTAGCCCGGTGTGGTGGCACATGCCTGTAATCCCAACTACTCGGGAAGCTGAGGCAGGAGAATTGCTTGAACCCAGGAGGTGTAGGTTGTGGTGAGCTGAGATTGTGCCATTGCACTCCAGTGAGGGCAACAAGAATGAAACTCTGCCAAAAAAAAAAAAAAAAAGAAAGAAAGAAAGAAAGAAAAACAAATGAGACCATGGGCTTGGAAATGCCTTGAGAACACGTCAGGTGTGATTGAGAGTGAGGAAGTGTTACTGTGGAGTAGTCACTGTAGCAGTTGTTCCTGGTCGTCCAGCTACTGCTGTGCCTGCTCTATCCTGACTTAACCTTTCTCTATTTGCAGTACATTGAGGAGTTAACAAAGGAGAGGGACGCCCTGAGTCTGGAACTGTACAGGAACACGTAGGATGGGGGAAGGTGGAATGGGAGGTCTGGGGGCCCTTAGCATGGGTGGTGTGCTGGGAGGTGGGGGGTCCAGGTGAGTGTGGGGAGAGGCTCATACATGTTTTCATGTGTGCACACGGAAGCTCTAGTGCTGGCTGTGCCACTGACTCATGGGGTAGCCTCAGGCAACTCATGTCTTCTCTCTGGCCTGCCACCTGGGACTTTTAATTCCTGGGGTCCCTTCCAGCGCCACGGTTCTGTGGTTGTGGGGCGAGGGTAGGGGGTCAATCACCAAAGTGGTCTTTTATGTTCTTCATTCATTCCTTTCTCTACTGCCTCTGGCCATAGCATAACTGATGAGGAGCTGAAGGAGAAAAATGCCAAACTACAAGAAAAACTTCAACTTGTAGAATCTGAAAAGTCTGAGATCCAGCTCAACGTAAAGGAGCTAAAAAGGAAACTGGAGAGGGCCAAGCTCCTGCTGCCACAGGTGAGCAGCTGCAGCCCCGGGGGTTGTGGGAGACCCATCCAGCTGGGACCATGGTCTAGGGATCATGCAGGGTATGGGGAGGCTCCAGCCAAGAGCTGGAAAATTTGGGTCCTTGTTCTGGTCCCGCCATAGAATCCTCTAGAGTGTACTAAAAATGTACAAATTGGGGCCCTGCCTGGGGAATCAGAATCTCAAGAGTTAGGGCTTAAAAATATTTTTTTAAAGGATCATGGATGAAAACCATTATTTTATAGATTACATTTATTTATTTATTTATTTATTTATTTATTTATTTATTTGAGAAGTAGTCTCACTCTGTCACCCAGGCCAGAGTGCAGTGGCGCAATCTCGGCTCACTGCAAGCTCCACCCCCCGGCTTCACGCCATTCTCCTGCCTCAGCCTCCCAAGTAGCTGGGACTACAGGTGCCCACCACCACACCCGGCTAATTTTTTTGTATTTTTAGTAGAGACGGGGTTTCACTGTGTTAACCAGGATGGTCTCGATCTCCTGACCTCGTGATCCGCCCACCTCGGCCTCCCAAAGTGCTGGGATTACAGGCGTGAGCCACCGCTCCCAGCCTATAGATTACATTTATGTGGCTAGCTCATGATTCTGCTTCCTTCTGAGGTTCAAAAAAACACTTTCACTATTCCAGCAGCAGCTGCAGGCGGAGGCTGACCACCTGGGTAAGGAGCTGCAGAGTGTGTCAGCAAAGCTCCAAGCCCAGGTGGAAGAGAACGAGTTGTGGAACCGCCTGAACCAGCAACAGGAGGAGAAGATGTGGAGGCAGGAGGAGAAGATACAGGAGTGGGAGGAGAAGATACAGGAGCAGGAGGAGAAGATACGGGAGCAGGAGGAGAAGATACGGGAGCAGGAGGAGAAGATGCGGAGGCAGGAGGAGATGATGTGGGAGAAGGAGGAGAAGATGCGGAGGCAGGAGGAGATGATGTGGGAGAAGGAGGAGAAGATGCGGAGGCTGGAGGAGATGATGTGGGAGAAGGAGGAGAAGATACGGGAGCTGGAAGAGAAGATGCACGAGCAGGAGAAGATACGGGAGCAGGAAGAGAAGAGGCAGGAGGAGGAGAAGATACGCGAGCAGGAGAAGAGGCAGGAGCAGGAGGCGAAGATGTGGAGGCAGGAGGAGAAGATACGGGAGCAGGAAGAGAAGATACGGGAGCAGGAGAAAAAGATGTGGAGGCAGGAGGAGAAGATTCACGAGCAGGAGAAGATACGGGAGGAGGAGAAGAGGCAGGAGCAGGAGGAGATGTGGAGGCAGGAGGAGAAGATAAGGGAGCAGGAGGAGATATGGAGGCAAAAGGAGAAGATGCACGAGCAGGAGAAGATACGGAAGCAGGAGGAGAAGGTGTGGAGGCAGGAGGAGAAGATGCACGACCAGGAGGAGAAGATACGGGAGCAGGAGGAGAAGATGTGGAGGCAGGAGGAGAAGATAAGGGAGCAGGAGGAGAAGATACGGGAGCAGGAGGAGAAGATACGAGAGCAGGAGGAGATGATGCAGGAACAGGAAGAGAAGATGGGGGAGCAGGAAGAGAAGATGCAAGAACAGGAGAAGATGCGGAGGCAGGAGGAGAAGATAAGGGAGCAGGAGGAGAAGATACGGGAGCAGAAGGAGAAGATACGAGAGCAGGAGGAGAAGATATGGGAGCAGGAGGAGAAGATACGAGAGCAGGAGGAGATGATGCAGGAACAGGAAGAGAAGATGTGGGAGCAGGAGGAGAAGATGTGTGAGCAGGAAGAGAAGATGCAAGAACAGGAGGAGAAGATGCGGAGGCAGGAGGAGAAGATGTGGGAGCAGGAAGTGAGGCTGCGGCAGCAGGAGGAGAAGATGCAGGAACACCAGGTGAGGCTGCAGGAGCTGGAGGAGAGGCTGGGGAAGCTGGGGCAGAAGGCCGAGCTCTTGGGGGGAGCAGGCGGAGGTGTGTGCAAACCCTGGAGATCATACAGAACGACCTCACCACAACTTAGCAGATGGTGGTTGGCTCCCTCTGCTTTTCCACCAGTCTGTGGCCTACAGTTTAAATGGTGGGAAGAAGGGTGTGAGATTTGAGGCTGGGGAGGGAGGCATGGGCCTCTAGGCAAGGGAGGCAGTCATTTAGGCCTGGAGGAAGGGGCCAGGGCCAGGGGCCTGGGTAGGCGACAGAGCCCCGCAGTGCCCTCACTACCCTGTTTATGGGCCCAGAATCTGGAAGCCAGCCACTACCTACCCTGACGCCTATCCTGCAGGTGGAGCTGAAGAGCCAAGAGGCTGAGTCTGCAGCAGCAGCGAGACCATTACCTGGGTCACCTGCAGCAGTACGTGGCCGCCTATCAGCAGCTGGCCTCTGAGAAGGAGGCACTGCCCAGCTGCAGCAGCAGGAAGCTCAGGGCGAAGCGGTGGCCGAGATGGCCCACCAATAGTTGCAGGAGACCCGGTTGAGGGAGTTGATGAGGGCGGGGCCCCAAGGGGGATGATCTGGCAACCTCCGTGCCTTCTCACTCTCTTTCCTGGCCCCTTAGGAGCACCTGGAAGCTGCCATCTAATGAGCACATGACAAGAAGGCAAAGACAATAAACATGTAAAAGCCGGCAGCAAGGCCTGGAGAAGAGTAAGCCGCCATGTGACTGTTTAGAATATAGTCTGAGCACAAACCTGAAAAAAAAATTTTATTTATTTTAAATTGTGGCAAAATACTGGCCAGGCATGGTAGCTCACGCCTGTAATCCTAGCAATTTGGGAGGCCGAGGTAAATGGATGACCTGAGGTCAAGAGTTCAAGACCAGCCTGGCCAATACAAAAATTAGCCGGGCATGGTGGCGCATGCCTGTAATCCCAGCTACTTGGGAGGCTGAGGCAGGAGAATCGCTTGAACCTGGGAGGCAGAGGTTGCAGTGAGCTGAGATCGTGCCACTGCACTCAAGCCTGGGTGACAGAGCGAAACTCCGTCTCAAAAAAAAAAGTTTCTTCCTTACATGTATGTTTCTATTAGTTTTCTTCTTGGTCTTTCTCATTTAGTCTTGTGTTGTCTTTTGACATTCATAGTAAACTTTTATCTGCCTCCAGAGAGTATTGACTTTGAGTTTATGGCACACAATTGGAGTAAGGGCAGATCGCCTTCATCTACTTTGGGACTAAGCTGGTTCAAAGCAGGTTTTAGGTTTTCTGATGGCTGGTCTATGTTTTATTCATTTGGACTCCCAGGGGTGGCCCTTCCAGGGTCCCCACCAAGGTCCCATCTCCTTCCTGGGACCCAAATTCTCATTAGGTCATTTCAGCCCTGTGAGAGTGCCAAACATTCAGCTAGGCTCTCCAGCCTCTTAACTACCACTTCATACTCAGTTTCTTAGCCTCTTAGCCCTCTACTGTTGACCAATCACCAAATGTGGGAAAGCACTACAGACTGTCAGGATCACCTCCTAGGCCTGGTCACTCAAGTCCTGACTGAGGTCTCCAATTACCTTCCAACAATTGTTTTTGATTGGGGGCGGGGCACATTTTTATCCAGTTTTTCTAACTGCTCTTGTGGGGAGGCGAATCTGTAACAAGCTCCTCTGCCTTTACTGAAAGTTGAAAACCTTCATCTGTCCTTTTTTTGTTGTTGTTGAGATGGAGTCTTGCGCTGTTGCCCAGGCTCTAGTGCAATGGCACGATCTCTGCTCACTGTAACCTCTGCCTCCTGGGTTCAAGCAATTCTCCTGCCTCAGCTTCCCGAGTAGCGTGTGCCACCATGCCTGGCTAATTTTTTTTTATACCTTTAATAGAGGCAGGATGTCACCATGTTTTCCAGGCTGGTCTCGAGCTCCTGACTCAGGTGATCTACCTGCCTCAGCCTCCCAAAGTGCTGGGATTACAAGTATGAGCCACTGCATCCGGCCCATCTGTCTTTTAAAACATGTTTTTAATTGGAGGTATAATTTCTATTAGTGAAATGCACAGGTCTGGTTTACATTTTGATGAGTTTTAACTCATTTAACATTACTATGGAACCCACCTCCTTTGAAGATACAGAGTATTTCTATCATCCAGAAAGTTCTCCTGTGCTTTCATGCTGTCCCGCACTCCCCCAGCAGCTGATGAACATGCTGAGGACATTGGTACTGGATTCTGGCCGCCCCAAAAGAGCCGCTTTGACCAGGCTTACCCAGCACTAAATCCCTGCCTGCTCTCTCAAAATTTCCATCTTTAAACTGGTTGTACCTATAACCCTCCCTCATCAAGTCAATAGATAAACAAACCCTGAAAAATAAACAACTCTTCCTGGCCCAGCAGCCCACAGCCTAATATTTACTGTATTCCCAGGCTTTCAGAAATGTAACTCGCCTGCCGGTTCACCCTCACTAGGGCGGCAGCTGCACGGGAGCAGCTGGGCTCACCCATTAAGCAAGAAGCCAATAGCTGGACAGTGACACTCAGACCCCAGCCTGGGCGAGCCTGGCTGAAAGCCCCCTTCTTTCCATCCGACTGTGGAGAAAGGGGGCGGAGCACACACAACTCTACTGCCCTCCACATCCTTCACCTGTGCTTCCTCCTGGGAGAGGGAGCCGCTCCTTAATTTGGCCAAAGCCTTCTTGAGGGCTGTAGGTTTCACAGGCTGGGTGTGTGGGGGCCACCGTGCTAGAGACAGAGGCTGGTGTGTCAGAAGGCAGCCACCTGGCCAGAGGGGGGTCAACCCCCTTGGTGACCTCCTTCCCCCGGCTGGACACAGTGCCCTGCACTCTCTACATGTGACTGTTCCCCTCAGAGCTGCTTCCAGGGGAGGGGTTCTAATCCTGTGGGTGGGGACATTGTGTTACTTTACAGTGGGCCATGGCTCCCTCTGACATCTCCAACTCAGAGGCAGTAGAGAGAAGATGAGAAATTCCCTGCCCCTCCTCCCTCAGCACCCCCACCTCTGCACACGTCCACATGTGGAGACCCTGACAATGGGCCCTGGGAGTGCCGCCATCTGTGCCTGCTTTCCATGCCTGCAGCAGCCATGCCCACTCTCCAGACCCTCACCCGCCTGGGTCAGTAGACGCTTCACTGCCTGTGGTCCTGCGCCTACACCTGGGCCTCTGTACCCGTCAGTTCCCCCAGTCTGGTTCTTATTCCCTGCAAAGAGTAGGGAGCCTGTAAGGTCACCTGTTGAGCAAGCTGGGGGAGAAAAGTAGGGTGGGGATGGGAGGATCAGGATGAGAAGCTCATGGTCGTGCTGGAGACTCAGCTGAGCAGAGTCTCTGCAGGCCCATTGGCTGCCTAGCCAGTGGTGATCTCGCTCCCACCCTCATTTCTTCTTTGTTAACAAAACCATGACCTCATTAAATACTGGACACCTATAAACCTCATGGACCCTCCTCCAGCCTCCCCACCGTGTACCGGTGAGTCTAAGTCAACTCTAGTCATTTCATTCCTCTGGACATTGACTGCTTAGGGCTTGGGCATGAGCTGCCTCTTCACCTGAGCCTGAGCCACAGGTACCCTCTGCACCTACCACGCTGATGCACTGGGCCAGGGAGAGCGCCGTCTGGATGGAGATGAGCTGTGAGGAGCTGGTGGCTGGGCGGATCAGGTTGTTGTAACAGGTTTTGTTCAGAAGGTCGTCCATCAGTTTCTGCTCGGCATGGGCCATGCGGCAGTCCCCTGGGTAAACACACAGACATGCTGGGCCCTTGTGCAGCTGTCTCCCACTGCAGCTGACAGCTATGAAGCAGGAGCTGAGAGGGCCAGGGAGCACAGACACCCTGAGAGCTGGCTGAAGCAGTGAAGGTGCTGGCCGGCCTGGCTTTCCCTGGGGACTTCAAATGACATTCACGACAGAGCTCAGCTACCTCCTCCCCATGCCATACCTCTTCCTCCTCCTCCTCCCTCCGTCAATGAACAGCATCCCACGCTCTACACATCTGATACAAAACTGGGTGTCTCTTCCTGACTCCTCCCTTGGTTCACCCAAGTGGCCACCAAGTCCTGTCTGTCCTCCCATCTCCACGGCTACAGCCATGTCCCTGCCTCCCCCGCCCTGCCCACCTTCTATTCTCTCCACCTGCACTCTGCCCCTGCCATCCATGTGCCATACAGTGGCAGACTGATCTTTCTACAGCAAACTGGACTAGGGCCCTTCCCTACCCACAGCTCTCAGAGCTGGAGGTGGAGTTGAAGCTCATGTTTTGGCTTGGCATTCAGAGCTCTTTCCCCCTCAGCACTGGCTTATCCAGAGTGCTCACAGTGCAGGGCAGGAGCCTCGTGACTCAAATGTGGGTTTGGTGCAGAACTGGGTCTGAGGTGGTGCTTTCCCTGTGAAGAGACAGGGCCGACATGGGGGAATTTTCTGGGTTCAAAGTTAGACCTAGAGAGTGCAAAGTTTCTCTGAGGCACCAAATGGAGGGGTCCAGCTAGCAGCTGGCTCCTGGTCTGGAGCTTCAAGGAGAGGTCTCAGCTCAGAGCCACATTCAATAGCCAGCTTACATGTGGCCTCCTGAAGGGAGCCCCTGGAGCTTCCACAGCCTCCGTTCTGCCCCTCTGCATACCCCAGATCTCCTGCTAAGTGGCGTTTGGGTCTTCATGTCATCTCCCTCCCATGTCTGGGAGTAAAGGTGAGGTGCAGGGACTTGCGCTTGTGTACTCTGGTGTCTTAAGGGAGACTGTGTCAAGTAGAGTGGAGGCGGCTTGGAAAGAGGGAGACTCAGAGGAGAGTGAAGGACACATGACCAGGCGAGCCTGGGAGCAGGAAAAGAGAGTGAGCAGAGGCAACTGCTGGGTCAGGGGAGCGGATGGGAGGATCAGGGAATGCGGGGGGGCTGGAGAGGTAGGGGTGGGGACGTTGGCGAGGGGCTGCCTGGCTCGCCAGGCTCAGGAGTCAGTTACATCCTCCCACAAGGGCCAGCTCACCTGGTCGCCCCAAAGACCTCCCTCTGTGGGTGGGACCAGAGGGCCAAGAGCACGGATAACCCAATTGAGCAGGACTGAGGCGGACTCAGGTGGGTGCTGGGCCGGACTCCTGGCTGTGGGGAGCAGCCGCCACCCTGCCTATTGCATCCACTTTCCAACTCGCTGCCTATCTGAGCAGATGCGATATTGGGCACCTTGTGAAACATGCTCCTGGTGCACCTGCTGCCTGCTGCCCCTCCTGCAGAGTGCCCGGGCTCTCCAGAGGGGATTCCTATGGAGGCTTGGCCTAGATTCTGAGTCCTGCCTCTCATACCTGGGGCTGCTACCCCAGAGGCCAGCTGCTTGAGTACCCCGGAAGCCAGTCTGTAGCCCCAGGCTACAGCTGGGTCCATCCCACAGCCCTTCTCTAATGTACCTATTTGGACTGGCTGCTCATTTCATAGAGAGGGGTGTGTCTTGCCCCAGACCATCTGGCATGTCTAAGGCAGCTGTGGGGTCAGAATCTGCAGCTCCCAGCCCTCAGCCCAGCAATAGTAGGAAAGGCTGGACCCCACATCTCTGAAGTCCCACTGGGTTGGTGCGAGCGGGCTCCCGAGTACAGGGCTGCTCTGCAGGCTGTGGGGCTCATGCGCCAGCTCTGAGCCCACCTGATGTGCTCACGTTGCTCACCTTTGGGCCTGTCCGGCCTCTCAGGCATTCGGCTGACCCTGAGGGCCTCTCCCTCATCTTGACCACCAGCTACGGGCTCTGATTTAGAGGTTCCCAGAACCTTAGACCATTTGGCCGGCCCCCCATTTCTCACCTGAGGAAACTGAGACCAGAGAGGGATAGCAACTTTCTCAAGGACCCCCAGCAATTCAGAGGCAGAACCAGGTCTAGGAGCCTCTT
The DNA here is from genome assembly GCF_000001405.40 of Homo sapiens. Taxonomy (NCBI): domain Eukaryota; kingdom Metazoa; phylum Chordata; class Mammalia; order Primates; family Hominidae; genus Homo; species Homo sapiens. The sequence continues at coordinate 4,230,740 of NW_021160017.1, forward strand.
CTCGATAGAGGTTCCCCCTGTCCCCTGAGCCTTCGTTAGTGCCTCATTAACTTCCCTGTAAGGAAACTGCCCCGCTGAGGCTGGAAATGGTGCTGTCCAGAGTGGTGTGTGCCAGTGACTGTGCTTGTGTTTGTACTTGTGAGTGTGTATGGGGGTGGGGATGAGGGGTGGGAATAAACGGCAGGGATGCTGGGGGCTGGATGCACTCCACCTCACCCCAAAAAGGGGCGCAGGAGAGCCCAGCCAAGCACAGCACATGCTTCGACTTTCCAATCTGCTGAATGCCTGTGAGGCCGGCTGGGCCCAGAAGACAAGGGACAGGCCTTTCCCCATAGATGGCAGGGGGGGCCCAGGATGGGTGGAAGCTTCTGCCGCAGCTTTGGGGGTCACAACCCAGCCCATGGGCTGACACTTAAGCAGAAAAGCCACCTCTAGGGGTCAGTCATAATCTAGTGATTCTGATGAGGAGGGCCCCACCAACCTCTGTCCAGGGTCTTGTCTGGGAAAAACTGCTCCCTGGCAGAAAGAGGCTAATAATTTGAGAGGAAGCCATAGCTGAAACCCTAAGCTGTGTGAGTGCGTGTCCAGTTTGAGAAAGCATATCCGACTTAAACATTTGTATTGAAAAAATGGAAACATATTCCCCTTGTTTTGGAATACAAACTGCAGAAAGCAGCAGTTAACAGAATCTTATCGGAAAGGTCAGATTCTGCATCTGGAAAGGCACAGTGATTTTCAACTGCGGTGTGTGTCCTTAACTGAGGAAGGGAAGGTGAGATTTATGTTTAGTAAAAGGCAGCTATGAATTTACCTTTTATAAAGAGCTTGCTATATACTATTAGTGCTTTTCAGTCATGTCAGAATCAGCCAGATGCCTGTGGAAATGCAAATTCCCAGGCTTCATTCCCAGAGATTCTGGTCCTGTGAGCCTAGGGTGGGGCCCAGAAATCTCTATGGGGTGGTGCAGCCTGCCCCAGGACCACACCAAGAAACACTGCAACTGGCCCACACACATCCCAGTCCACAAATATGTAGGCAGGCATCTTATCTCCACGGAACAGATAGGGAAACTGAGGTCAGAGTGGGGAAAGAAACGTCATGGGGCCACCCAGCAAGTAGTAGCAGAGCCACGATACACCCACTGCCTGCAGACACCATCTCTGATGACAGCTCCACCTCCCCACAGGAATCTTGCCTACCCCCACCCCTACCTCCTGCTGCCCCTATGGTGGGTCTCTGTCCAAGGAAGATGTATCCTAGGTCCTCTAGGCTGACTGCGGCTCAGAGGAAACCTTGGCCCAGAGTGTAGGAGCTAGAGGGGTCCTTGGAATTCACGTGGGGAATTTGAGGCCCAAAGAAGGCAGTCCTCACATTTGAACTCTGTCTGGAGAAGGGCTAGGTCTTCTTCCTGAGTGGTAGTTTTGACTTCACCAGCCTGGCCCTCAGTCAAGCTGGCTGTCCAGGCCCGCCACACCTCGGGGTGGGTGACCAGAGGCGGTGGTGCCATAAAAACACGTTTCCTGGGAGATCCACCCCCAAAGCTCAAAACATTCCAGGGCTGGTGATTTGGGCAAGCCCCCTTCCCTCTCAGCCCAGTTTCCCCATCTCTGCAACAGCCGTGCTGGTGGAGACTTCTGATACTGAGCTGCAGATTTTCTCCTGGGTGCCTACACAGCCCAGGTTGCCGGCTCCTCTGTGCCCACTCTTCAAGAAAGTCAGCTCTTAGGTAAGGAAGGTGCCTTGGCCCTATCAGGAGCAGGAGCCGGTGCACCCCCAGCTTCCCAGACCAGTGGGGATGACCCAGGCTGCCTACAAAGCTGCTGCCCAGCCCAGAGACACCCGCCTGGGAGGGTGGCCCTGGCCCTTGCAGCGGCTCTGAGAAGAGTCGGCCCCCACTCCAAAACTGGCAGAGCCACCCATGCCTTCCCTCAGCCCAAAGAGGCTTTTAGGAACATGAATCGTCTCAAGTTCAAACCCATGGGGTTGCTGAAAGACAAGACAGTGCAGGGTGAGCTGGTGCGAGGGAGCGCTGCTCGGTGCAGACTTTGCAGGGAGGGCACTTAGGAAAAAGGACTGGAGTCTGGGAGGGTTAACTAGCTTAGGGTTAAAGGGAGGGGATGGAGCTGGAGTGAGCTGGCCTCGTCCTCCCCCTTGGGCCTTCCAGCCTGGGCTCAGGTGATTCAAGGGAGCAAGCACCTCCCTCTCCCAGCCAGGGAGTTCTCGCCACATTCTGCAATCAGTACCATTCCCCTGGGGGCTGGGTGACAGCCCCCACCTCTGGACCTGGCTGGAACTGCTGTCTCAATTCTAGATCCAAAAGAATCTCTGGCAGCTTCTCCATCTCCCTCTCAGTCCAGCCTCACCTCTTCGCCCGTGGAGGAGCTCCAACAGCAAATCTGGCAACTGGAGGAACAAGGCAGGAAGGGCAGGGTCTGAGGAAGGAACCACCTTCAAAAGGCAGCTCTGCCACCTTCTCTCCAGGACTCTCAGGCTTGCTTTCCTATTGCTCCCTCGACATCCTTTTGCTATAATCTGGCATGTTGACGTATAGTCTTTAAAAGCAACAATGCTGTTGACGTGGAGCAGACTTCCCATTTGGGATGGTTTGGAGAAGTTAGGTTTGAGGGCATCCTCTCTTCTGCAAACTGCAGCAGTAATAGATGAGATATACAAAGTAAATAAAGGCTGGGTGCGGTGGTCGTGCCTGTAATCCCAGCACTCTGGGAGGCTGAGGCAGGAGGATCACTTGAAGCCAGGAGTTCGAGACCAGCCTGGCCAATATGGCGACACCCTGTCTCTACTAAAAATGTAAAAATTAGCTGGGCATAGTGGTGCACACCTGTAGTCCCAGCTACTCAGGAGGCTGAGGCAGGAGAATCACTTGAACCCGGGAGGCAGAGGCTGCAGTGAAATGAGATCCCGCCACTGCATTCCAGCCTGGGCGACAGAGTGAGACTCCATCTCAAAAAATAAAAATAAAAAATAAAGTAAATAAAAAAGACATGCCCAGGCTGAAAAATAAGTTAATTATCTCCATGAACGAAAAGCAGACAAGAAATGCAAAGTGGTTGGAGGCTGAAGAGCCTGGACCCTCCTGGGCTTTGGGAACCAAAGATGGTGGCAAGTCCTTTGGGATAAAGAGGGACAAAATGACTCCTAGCTAGAAGCTGGGAGCTTGGGTGTACCCCAGTACTTGAAAGGATGCTAGCTGGGCGCGGTGGCTAATGCCTGTAATACCAGCACTTTGGGAGGCCGAGGGAAAGTAACTCTTATGTCAGTGTGAAGCAAATCAGACAGGACAGGGGAACATGGAGGGGAGGAGAGCCAAACCAGGGCCTGGTTCCAGACCCACCACACCCGCCCCGTTGAGCCAGGAGCACAGGTGGCTCTCTGCACAACATCAAGAGCGAGGACATGCTTTCAGCTCCACTTTAACTCAGGTTCCTAATGTGACAGCAGGCTTGTCAATCCCACTTGCCCCCGTGTCTCACACCAGAAAACTACCAGCAGTGTGAGTAAGGACAGAAGCAGGAGACAGAGGAGCCAGGGTTGGGGAATCCCATAGCAACCCACAGGCCCTCATCACACACGGCAAGGATGCGCCTTCACTGGGCTCACCACCACCACTCGACATCACCTTCACTACATGATACCCTGCCTGGATAACACCACTGTAACACAAGAAACAGGTCTAGAATCTAGCATGTATGCTACACCTGAAGGAGCAAGAGACGGTAATACAATACAATGAAATTTTTAGTTTATTTAATATAAAATTTAGAGCCATAATCAAAATGTGTAATTCTGATGGGATTCACTACTTATAAAAACTTCGCAGCGCTCTATTTTCAAATGTAAATGGTATTCTGTGGCTCCTCGCCAGCATGTAAATAACGATCTACTCTGAAATACATTTCACGGCTTATTTTTGGCAAGCAGCGATTTCTCCAACCCACGTTTTCCAAGGGAAAAAAGGACATGAAATGTCTCCAAAAGTCTCTTACGATCTTTAGATAAACTACTGTTCAACAACTGCATCTGCCAAGTCAACACATCAAGAATCCTTCACTCACAAACACTTAAGGTGAGAAAACAGTGTCTACCCATGCAGGAGAGGGACACATGATCCATGCTGATGAAGACAGCCTGGATATCGGCTACTGGAAAGCTGCGAATGCATTTTTCTTTTTCTACTTTCCAAAAGTTTTGTGAGGTGATACTTATTTCTATGTTTGTGTCTATTCTTTTTATTTTGTATTTTTTAGTAGGTACATCCTTACTATAAATCTGCTGTAGAACCAATGTCCCATACAGGACCCCACGTGCCACAGGAACCAAAAAGTCACACGCAGCGAAGACGAAGACACAGGAGACAACCTGTGTGGACAGCACAGAGCCACCTGCCCAGGACACCAATGGAGCCACAGGTGCAATTCAAAATGTTCTTAGTCGTATTAATAAACATGGCCAGGTGCGGTGGCTCACGCCTGTAATCCCAACACTTTGGGAGGCTGAGGTGGGCAGATTACCTGAGGTTGGGAGTTCAAGACCATCCTGGCCAACATGGTGAAACCCCATCTCTACTAAAAATACAAAAATCAGCCAGGTATGGTGGCATGCTTCTGTTAGTCCCAGCCACTCAGGAGGTTGAGGCAGGAGAATCATTTGAACCCAGGAGGCAGAGGCTGCAGTGAGCTGAGATCGTGCTACTGCACTCCAGTCCAGGCAACAGAGTGAGGATCCATCTCCGGGTGGGGAAAAAAAATTGTTCTTAGTCACATTAACAAAAGTAAAAAAAAAAAAAAAAAAAAAACACCAAGAAGAAAAACAACAACACATAAAATTAATTGTAATAATGGCTGGTTGCAGTGGCTCATGCCTGTAATCCCAGCACTCTGGGAAGCCAAAGCGGGCAGATTACTTGAGGTCAGGAGTCCGAGACCAGCCTGGCCAACATGGTGAAACTCTGTCTCTACAAAAATACAAAAATCAGCCAGGCGTGGTGGTAGTGCCAGCTGCTCGGGAGTCTGTAGTCCTGTAGTCCCAGCTGCTCAGGAGGCTGAGGCAGGAGAATCACTTGAACACAAGAGGCGGAGGTTGCAGTGAGCCAAGATTGCACCACTGCACTCCAGTCTGGTCAACAGAGTAAGATTCCATCTTAAAAAATAAAAATAATTTTAATAATGTATCATAGTTATTCCAACAGATCAAAAATATGACCATTTCAACATGAAATCAATCTAAGAAAAATTATTGAGATATTTTACATAGGTTATTTCATATTAAGTCCTCAAAAACCATCTGAGTAGCTTACATATGTAACACATTTCAATTTGGACCGTGAAATTTGCATTGAAAACATCTGATCTCCATTTAGACTCATAAAATACACAGTTGACAAAGTAGACTCCCAAGGCCAAGTGATTCTAAACATACTTAAGTGCTTTCTAATAACAGAATCAAATTTTCAAACCTGCATTTTAATGAATAAAAATTAAACAGATAAAATATTCAGTGTCTCAGCTATGACGGACAGACTTCAAGTGCTGATCAGCAAACGGTGTTGAGTGTAGCCAGATGGGCCAGCGCAGGCTACACAGCTGCAGCTCAAACAGCACAGCTGCAGGTCAAACAGGCCAGTCTCTCTGCGCACGGGAACAGTCTGGGCAAGCAGGAGACGGGGAAAACGGGCACTGCCCTCGTGAGAACAAAGGACCCACAACAGGAACCCTGCACTCACCCCCTGCCAAAGACCAACAGCCCCACGAAGCAGCCACTTCAGAAAAGGGAGAGGCATTCAAGAACTTAGAAAAGCACCTCTGGAAAATGCTCACTTTAAAACTTTGCATGTAACTGTACATTTTAATTACAAGGTTTTTAACATCCATTTTCTCATGTATTCTTAATTAACTCTGTGAAAGTAAACACAGCTTTTATTCTTACTCCCATAGTTACTGTGTTGGAAGTCCACCTATATGAACAAACTGTTGTAACTGAAATTTTCTGAGAACAAATCCCAAGCTCTTTCCATCGACACAAACTATATTGTTTAGTTCTCTTTATTTCCATTTGTTAAAGACCAGAATGTGTGAAATATGCATTATCAGATTAGAAAAACAAAACAAACATCAGAAAAAGGTTTTGCAAAATAGCATTTACTAAAATCTATGACAGAAACTAGCTCTAAAACTTCCTGTTTCAAAATTTCACTGTGTGTGCACTAAGTTAGTTTTTCTGGCTGTGGACAGCAGGCCCACCCCATGCCGCGGGCCCACCCCATGCCGCAGGCCCACCCCACGCCGCGGGCCCACCCCACGCCACAGGCCCACCCCACGCCACAGACCCACCATGGCCCCATGAACAGGCCAGCTGAGAGCTGCAGCCACTGCCCAGGGCTCCCTGGTCTGTACTCGGCTGCCTGACCCAAGCTGCCAGGGCTCTGCTTTCTCTATGTGTAGAAACAAAAACCAGGAGCATCAGTTGACGAAAAGCAGATTTTTATTGAACAGAGGTATAAATGTGTTTCATTTTCTAATAAATCTCTTTCACAAATCACCTTGCTGTTTCGCTCTTCTTGAATGATCATTTTTAGACAACACTGTCTGACTGTTTTGGCTTCTGCCAAGGTTAGCGTCTGTTCACAGGCTGAGTCTGACTTCTTCCTCCCACCTCCTCCTAGTCTGGCCTTCCAAAATAATGCTCACCATTCTATCACATTGACTTCAGTTTTGAAAAGAAAAGTTATCTTACAAAGTAGTATGTATAACTCTGTAATATATAAAGTGAGGCAATGATAGAACCAGTTTTAAAAATAACCTTCCATGATGATTTTCATTTGCATCCACCTGCTTATTAGTAAGAATCTTTTTACATGTTTACTGCACGCCCCAATTTCTCTTCAGTGAAAAACTTTTGAGTATCATCACACCCTCCAACTTCTCCTCTCACCTATATTGAAAAGGGTCTGCTCTTTATCCTAACATCTATACTAGGTAATTTTCAGAATATTCCTTCAATCATCAAACAAATTTTTGAGATCCTTGCGCTAGATTTCACTATCTTAATATGAAAACCAATAATCACCTATTAAAATACAATACAGGCCAGGCACAGTGGCTAACACCTGTAATCCCAACATTTTGAGAGGCCAAGGCAGGTGGGTCACCTGACGTCAGGAATTTGAGACCAGCCTGACCAATATGGTAAAACCCCATCTCTACTAAAAATACAAAAATCAGCCAGGTGTGGTTGCAGACGCCTGTAGTCCCAGCTACTCGGGAGGCTGAGGCAGGAGAATAGCTTGAACCCAGGAGGCGGGGGTTGCAGTGAGCCAAGATCGTGACACTGCACTCCAGCCTGGACGATAGAGCAAGACTCCATCTCAAAAAAAAAAAAAAACAAAAAAAAAACACCATTAATAAGTAAATAAATAGGCCAGGCGTGGTGGCTAATGCCTGTAATCCCAACATTTTGGGAGGCCAAAGTGGATGGACCACCTGAGGTCGGGAGTTCAAGACCGGCCTGACCAACATGAAGAAACCCTGTCTCTAACAAAACTACAAAATTAGTGGGGCATGGTGGCGCATGCCTGTAATCCCAGCTGCTCGAGAGGCTGAGGCAGAGGAATTACTTGAACCTGGGAGGCGGAGGTTGCAGTGAGTCAAGATCGCACCACTGCACTCCGGCCTGGGCAACAAGAGCGAAACTCTGTCTCAAAAAACAAAAAAGTAAATAAATAAAACACAATACAATACAGCTAATATGATTTACCTAAGAAGCTGTTGTATGAGCTGAACCAGAGGCAAACACTGTTTGCCAGAAGACTCACAGATCCCCGTATTAATAAGGCCTTTATCCAATGGAGTCCTCCTTCTATGAAATGTTGAGGCATTTGCTTCCTGTTCATAAATTTCTTTTTCCTTCCGTGCTTCTTTTTTTGTATCCTGTAATTGATAAACAGAAATTGTTTACAAGTGATCTCATTACCAGGTGTGAAGGCACACAGGCTGGCTGAGCCCTGACCCCAGTGCCAAGCTATCCCAGCCTCTGTGGCTGCCACACCCATCCACCCACAGGCCCCCACCTGCCCTGTTGAAAACCCCAACTCATTTGTGCAGTTTCAAACAGTGTCTTCTTTTTACAGATCCAAGGTCTAGGCTGCCTCTGCTGATGCTCTCCAGCCTCCTTCTGTGAAGTCCCTAAAATCCTTAACCCTGCTAATGGCTCACACAAAACCCAATGTGATCGGCTCCACACACGCAGCATCCAGCTGCTCTGTAAGGACAAGAAGGAGCTAGAATTCTCACACACAAAAGTCCTGGTTCAAATGCAAATGGCAAAGCCACTTTGGGAAACTATGAACACACACTAACCCCAGGACCTAACAAATTCCACTCCAAGTGTTTATCCAAAGGGAGAACATATGTTCACTGAAGTACTTGTTCACAGCACAATTGTGGCAGCTCTACACGGCCAAAAACCAGAAAGCCTGGGCGCGGTGGCTCACGCTTGTAATCCCAACACTTTGGGAGGCCAAGGTGGGGGGATCACTGGAGCCCAGGAGTTGAAGACCAGCCTTGCAACACAGTGAAACCTTGTCTCTACAAAAAAATCAAAAAACTAGCCGGGCATGGTGACATGTATGTGGTCCCTGCAACACAGGAGGCTGAGGTGGGAGGATCATTTGAGCCTAGGAGTACAAGGCTGCAGTGAGCCAACATCAGGTCACTGTATACAGCCTGGGTGACAGAGCAAGACCCTGTCTCAAAAAAAAAAAAAAAAAAAAAAAAAAAAGAAAACAAAAACCAAAAACAATTACATGTCCTTCAATAGGAGAATGAACTAACAAACAGTACTACACCTATAAAATGGAAAACTTCCCAATAATAAAAACGAAGTCGCAATACACACAACAGTGAGCGAATCTGAAAATCATTCTCCAAGGCAAAGCAGGAAAGAGTGCATACTATACAGTTATATTGCTGCGACACTCAGAGCAGGAAAAATGAATCTAATCTCAGGGCAGGGGAGTATCCTGGCTGCAAGTGCCAAGGAGCACAGGGATCTTTCCGGGTGACGGGAATGGTCTACATGAGGAACAGGTTACCTGTTAACTTCACTGAAACAGACAACATGCAGTATTTTATCACAATTAAATCATCTCAGTAATTTTTAAAATTAGCACAAAAAAGAATTTTAATTTAAAAAAATACTTGGATATAAGTTTAGTGTTTTACTGTTTTCAGTTATTCTTCACATGTGTGAGTGTGGTATTTCCGATCTCAGCCCACCACCAGGTCACGTGTGCCTCCAAGGCCATACCTGGATCTCTGCAGTAATGGCTGCGTGTAAGGCTGACTCCAACCCTCCAGCAGCCATCAAGCTGCCCACCAGAAGATCAATCACCAATCGATGACCTGGACTTATGCTCACTTCATTGCCTGAAACTGAAATAGAAAGTGTGTGCCAATTTGAGTGAAACGCCATCCCCTCCCAGCACCCTGACCCATGGCCTCTCCTGTTCCTTCCCCGAGCCCACCTCCGCAGGGCAGGAGAGCAGAGTGCCCGGGCCTGCTTCTCAGCGGTGGGCAACAGCATGGACCAGCCGCTCTGCAGCATGGCCTGGGAGGCCGACTGCTCGGTGCTCAGCACGTCTGCGCTGCTTGCCAGGGTCACCACCGTCTGCTTCAGGCTGTTCAGGAAGACGTCCACACCTATTAAGGGGGGGGCTGGTACTAAACACAGTGACAGCTCAGGTGACATGCCCTGCACAGAGCCCAGTACAAAGGAAGGGCCAACAAAGCAAGCCACTATTTTCGTTGTTCTTTTCTGGTATTGATTTAAAAGTGCATGTTTCAAGCTTGGTTCTGTGCTGACAAGGAAGTCGGCGCGCACTGATCTGAGTCTTCTCCACAAACAAGTGGCCTCCCACACCTGTCTCATCTGACTCGCTGCTGTTACCACCAAACACACAGACACCAGAGAAAAACACTGCCATGCACAAGCACGCTGGTCTTGCGTAAAAAATAACTAGACTCGAGTGCCACCTAAACACAAAGTTCCATCATGACACTCACGTGCATGTCGCCCTCGGAGTGGGGTGCATCCTTCCTGCAAATGATGCTCTGGAACCTTTGCAGCAAGGGCAAAAGCGGGGCGCTGGTGCCCTGGGCGGAACGCTCATTGTCAGTCTCCTGTGCCCCGCTGTCCCACAGCTGAAGCAACAACAGGATGGCAGACAACATTTGGCTAAAGAAGAAAACATATTTATTCCTAGTAAAAACAGATTAACTTTTTTTTTTTTCATGGTTGATCAAAAATAAAAGCAAACAGCTAGATAGAAGTGAAGAAATACTTGGGATATGAAAGGAAACGAAAGTAAAGCCGTGGTAGTTAAATCACTGAATTGACACTGAGATTTTAGCACAAGACATCGCCTTCTGCTGATAGGAAAGACCAGTTAAGAAGCTCAAAGAGCACATTTACATGAAGATCTAGGGTCTTAAATTCATGGAATAAAAATAATTAAATGAGGAAAACTGAAAGAAAAAAAAAGAAGAACAGTTCCCAGGCTAGAAAACTGAGCATAAAACAGGAAGTGAAGAAAAGGAAAAGAGAGAGCCCTGGGACATGGTTCTCTGTAGAGCACCACACCTGCTGCAGTCACACGATTCAGTGAAACGCACACAATGCAACAGGTATTTGGATACAGAGGCGCTTCCCCAAAGCATTCCCGGTCTGCACCAGCCCTCACCTCAGCATGCCTCTCTGCACAGCCAGCTCCAGCAGGATGGCCAGGGCCAAGTGCTGGTCCTGTAGGGGGATGATTCTGGCCCTTTAGTGCCTGGTATTCCGTGAACATCCCTGAAATGAAAACAGTGGATGCAGGAACGAAGCGACCTCCAGAAAGACAGCATGCTTACAATCACAGTAACACATTTGCTACATGCTCCCTCCCAAGGAAGGATGTATCTTTAATATTTAGAATCAAGCTTCTGAGACTTGCTACTCAAATTTATTCACAGATTTTTAAAGTATACAATTAATTTACAGAAATGTATTTTATTTAAAGTATTCATTCAGATACTATATTACAGTAGATGACATACTCCAAGTGTGTGAAGCATAAAATAATTTATCTCATTATCCAAAACATGAGTAGGAGAATATCTAGCTATCTTTTCCAGTTTCAATGACGTGTAAGACTATACCAGTATCAACCTTCTCCCACAGAATTAGAGAACCAATTTCTAAAACCACTTGAGGATCTGGAGGCAAAATGTCTACACTAATTTCTATCTCTGATCAAAGATTACCTGGTTGCTTACTCCATACCCAGCTCTCCAGAATTGACTTGGCCCCATATACAGGTGCAGGAGTTTCATCTTTTTTCTCTCTGTCATCCAGATCTTCTTTCTTTGTTCCACTTGGTTCAACACTATCATCTGCAGAATTAAAATTTTTTTAATCTGTAACCGCTTTTCAGAATGCCATACCATCTGTCAGTCTCTGCAAATGTCCCTCCCCGAAAAGTTACAACACACATCATTAACTGAATGTTTGACAACTTAAAAATAAAATACATCAATCGTACCTGTAACAGATCCAGTATAATTTTCATAAAGCAATATATCGGCCGGGAGTGGTGGCTTACGCCTGTAATCCCAAGCACTCTAAGAGGCCGAGGTGGGTGGATCACGAGGTCAGAAGATGGAGACCATCTTGGCTAACATGGTAAAACCCCGTCTCTACTAAAAATACAAAAATTCACCAGGTATGATGGTGGACGTCTATAGTTCCAGCTACTCAGGAGGCTGAGGCAGGACAATGGCATGAACCCAGGAGGCAGAGCTTGCAGTGAGCCAAGATGGCACCACTGCACTCCAGCCTGGGCAACAGAGCAAGACTCCATCTGAAAAAAAAAAAAGAAAAGAAAAGAAAACAAACCAATATATCAAATTATTTAAAGCATGTCTTCCAAAATGATATTTCATTAGCTTCCTAGTAGATTTCACAACAGAGAAACTTAGTCTTTGATATTTACCTACTTCAGTTTCACACCAATTGCTTTTATCCAGTGAGTCCCAATGCATGTGCACCCATGGGAAAAGGGAGGGTGTAGAACAGGAGTATGATTCAAAAATCTTTTAACTCTTTACAAGGCCCTACTCCACTGCCAACTGGGAAGCAGTGCTATGCAGGGGCACTGTGACTGATAGCATAATTCAAGAGCACTGGGACACAAAGGAAAAGCTGAGAAAAATGACTTTAGGCCACTGACAATGTCAAGTTTCAGTCAAAAACAACTGTCATAAAACTCCTTACACAGTAAGCGAAGAGAAGAGAGAACCTTAACCTTGAAGTGTAAACACACTCCATCACAGAAGGCTGTGACTAAATGTCTAAACAACATAATTAGAAAAATGTATCTCAATCGGTGAAAGACATGATATCCCATCCAGATTACAAATAATGAGTATCTAAAAATCTCTAAGGAAACAGTTCCTCTGTTTACAACACTTCTGACATCAAACGTATGGACTTTTGCACCAAGCAGTTCTCCAGTTCTTTGTGACACCCAGCTATGTGTCCCACAATGCAATTCGATTCTGAAACTAACTACCTAGAATTAGCACAGACCCCACAGGTTAATAACAGGAGAGAAAAGGTGAATGCTGAAAAAAATATCCAAAGAACTAATGGCTGAAAACTTCCTAGGTTCAGCAAATGACATAAACCCAGGCAGATTAAAGAATCTGTGCAAAGCCCACACAAGATAAATCCAAAAGAAGCCATGACAAGGCACATCATAATCAACTGCTAAACACTAAGGACAAAACCCTTCAAAAAGTGCCACAGAGTGTAGATATATAAGAATGTCTTGTGTGGCCTGAAATGAAGACTAAATATTATGTGCTGCCTTGACGTCGGTAAAATCAAGAAGGCCTCAAATAGCCTAACCACAAGGTCTCCTCCAAGCTCTGCTCCCACAGATCAGGTCCCAAAGCCAAACAGCCTCCTTATGGCGGAGAGCTGACTCCAGTCTGCTCATCCCTGCCGGCCCAGAGTTATTCAAACAAGCCAATCACATCTTCCCATGGAAGCAAGGTCATCTCACCCTCCTGTTACTACAAATTTTGCCTTCCACAGCCCCTCGTGGTTCACTCTGTTCCCAAGTGCAGCCCCCGTGTGGCATGCGGTGTCCCCCACCCCAGGGCTGTGAGCATGCATGACTAATAAACTGCTATTTCATCTGTCCAGTGTCGGTGTCCTACGTTCAGCCATCCCATATCCCTAGGGCAGGAATCTTCTAGGGTTATAAACAGAACTTTAATCAACCTCTCCTTGGTTATTTTACTGGTTCCATGATACAGCTTTTTCTGTGCAAAAGATCTGAACAGAAACTTCACAGAGGATACAAGAGTGGCAAAGAAGAACACGATACTCAGCATTCTTAGCCATTACGGAAGTGCAAATTAAAACCACAATGAGATCCCACTAGACTTGTTAGAATGGCTCAACTAAAAAACACTGATAACACCAAGTGCTAACAAAGACACAGAGCAACAGAAACGTGACAGATTGCCAGTGGGAATGCAAACTAAAACAGCCACTTCGGAAAACAGTTCAGCACATGACCCAACTTTCACACTACTAGGTCTTTATCCTAGGGAAATGGAAACTATATTCACACAAAATCTGTACAGAAATGCTCACAGCAGGATTACAATTGGGAAAGAAAAATGGAAACAACCACAAGGTCCTACAATAGCAGAATGGATAAACACCATGTGGTACATCCAAATGATGAAATACCATTCAGCAATAAAAAGAACTATTAATACACAGAACAACAACAAATCTCAAACATATAACTAGGAATAAATGAAGATGGTTTCAAAACGTTACTTAAAATATGGTTCCACTCACATGACATTCTCAAAAAGAATACCCTATACTGATGGAGAACAGATCAGTGGTTGCCAGGGTATGAGACCAGGGAACAGGTGATAAAAAGGAGCAGCACAAGGGAGCTTTTGGGGTGATGACACGTCTCCGTCCTGATGATGATGAGGGTTACATGAATCTATAGAGATCAAAATTTACTCAACTAGATACCACAATAAAATAAATTTCATATAAGTTTTTTAATAAAAAAAAATGTTGGCTGGGTGCTGTGGCTCACACCTGTAATCCCAGCACTTTGGGAGGCCGAGGCGAACAGATCGCAAGGTCAGGATTTCGAGACCAGCCTGGCCAACAAGGTGAAACCCCGTCTCTACTAAAAATGCAAAAATTAGCCAGGTTTGGTGGCACGTGCCTGTAATCCCAGCTACTTGGGAGCCTGAGGCAGGAGAATCGCTTAAACCTGGAAGGCGGAGGTTGAAGTGAGCCGAGATTACGCCACTGCACTCCAGCCTGGACCGCCAAGTGAAACGTCATCACAAAAAAACCAAAAACAAAAACACAAAAAAACAAAGAAAATATCTAGGTCCAGGTTAGGGAAGACAGCTGGAATACAGTCTGGTGGAATCATGTCAGAGCAGGGAGCTGGGTCTGGAGGGCTGGAGTAGGGTGTGGCCCCACTCTAGGAAGGAACTAGGAAACACATCCTGGGTAAAGCAACAGCAGAGTCTCGTTCTGCAACAGGTGAGCATTTATCCTGATCTGAGAAACTACATGCAAATTTAGTATGTCTCACTTAGCCTCTTATTTTCCTTAACAACATGGAAAATGAGAGAACAAACAATTCAGAAGGTTAAGACATGAAACACATTGAATTCAGAAATCATACACAGAAAGGTAGGAAATAAATGGGGGATAAAAGCAGCTAATGAAAAGTGAAAATGGGCCAAGTGCAGTGGCTCACACCTGCAATCCCAGCACGCTGGGAGGCCGAGGCGGGCGGATCACTTGAGGTCAGGAGTTTCAGACCAACTTGGCCAGCATGGTGAAACTCCAACTCTACTAAAAATACAAAAATTGGCCCGGCGTGGTGGCAGGCACCTGTAATCCCAACAGCTCGAGAGGCTGAGGCAGGAGAATTGCTTGAACCAGGGAGGCAGAGGTTGCAGTGAGCCAAGATCATGCCACTGTACTCCAGCCTGGGCAACAGAGCAAGACCCTGTCTCAGAAAATAAAACAAAATATTCATAGCCTTAATAATAGAAAATAAAAACATTTACTGAATGCCAGAAAATCTCCCTAAAAACCCCAATCAGTTGGGATCTACATAAAGAACAATTATGCTCTGCTTTCTAACCACGATTTTTAAAAGAACAAAGGACAAATATATTCATCAAATATGGGCCGGGCGGGGAGGCTCAAGCCTGTAATCCCAACACTTTGGGACGCTGTGGCGGGCGGATCGTGAGGTCAGGAGTTCAAGACCAGCCTGGCCAATATGATGAAACTCCATCTCTACCAAAAATACAAAAATTAGCTGGGCATGGTGAAGGGTGCTTGTAATCCTAGCTACTCAGGAGGCTAAGGCAGAGAACTGCTTGAACTAGGGAGGCAGAGAACTGCTTGAACCAGGGAGGCGGAGGTTGCAGTGAGCCAAGATCATGCCACTGCACTCCAGCCTGAGCGACAGAGCAAGACACCCTCTCGAGAGGAAAAAGAAGCAAACAACAAATTCATCAAAGGTAATAAATAAAACATATACTTTGGATTTTTCCATGTACTTAGCTTTTCTTAGAGCATCTTTTAGAATTATTGTTTCACAAAAAACACTTCGGGAAACGTTTTAATTTATTAACAAATACTGGAGGGCTAGAAAGAAGAGGTTAAAACTTTTTAAAATATACAGAATGAATCACAGATACGTGAAAGAAAAAAGAAAAAAAGGTTGCTGACTCCTGCCATGGAAGGCACTATCATATGGACACTCTTAGCCTCAGCATCCGGAGGTCCAGAAAGCGAAAATTTCAAGTCAGAGAGAATTCTATATATACCATTTATTTGGAACCTTCAGCCCTTAAGATCCCAACATCATGACTTCAGTTTCAACACAATTATCCTTAGACCTTGTACTGGCTACAAACACAAAACAAATAGCTCGACTGAACTAACTCACCTCTCCAGAAACACAAACACAAGACCTCATAAAGTCAGTGAGTTTCTACAGGCCATAATTACTGCAACTTACTTCTCCAATTTTCCCCTCCACAGTTAACTCAACAGCTCAAAAACGATCAGTAACAAACAACAGTCACCATGATATGGTTAGGAGTGTGGCAGATTTCTTAACCAGTAATAATAAATAGGAAAAAAATTTTGCCTACTAATAGATCTCAAGTTTCGTGCACTTACAAGAAACTAATTAAAAGGCAGCCGCGCACGATCTACAAAAACAGCCATAAAGACTGTTACATTTTAAGTTACAGGAAATAAACCTGCTCCTCTAATTCAGCAAGATACAACTGACTTCCCCTTACATACCCTAAAAAAAAGCTTTACACGAGAAATTTAAACATGGAAGCAGAAACACACCAAGAAAAAGACATGTCAAACCCCACCTGTATATCTGTTTTCAACCATTTGGAGTCGAGGCGAGCCCGGGCAGCCAAACACAAAGATTCAGAGGGCATCTTTTCTCCAGCTTCCTCCCAGGTCTCAGGCCTGCAAGTAAACACATACGTTGAAGACCTAACGCTTTTTAATAGTTTACAAAGACACTCCCGAAAGGTTCAATGCAGAAAGGAAAAAAGAGAGAGAGAACAGAAAGGGGGGAGAGAAGAGCTGGTGGAGGGGAGAGAAGGGGAGAGAGGGAAACAGGGAAGAGATGGAGGGAGAGGGAGGTGGGGAAGGGAAAGCCTCCTTCCAAGGTAGGCAGGGTGTGCCGAGTTTCTGCACCACGCTGACGAGACCTTGAGAATGGACGGTCACAGGAAGCCAAGTCACAATGTCATCCCCCTGCCCTCAAATCCAAGAAGTACACACATAACAGGGAGCCCATCGTTTTAACGACAAATGACAGCAGCATGAATCTGCCGCTTTACCCCACAGCAGGGCGCGTGCGTGAAACAAATTACTCAAAAGGATCGCCTGCAGAAAAACCCACAGCCACCACCACTTAAGAGATGGAGAGAGGCCCGAGGCTGCCCCGCGGGTGGTCCGCGCAGGCCCCGGTGCGGCCGCGCCCACGCCCGCCTCCCGGGCTCGGCCGCCCGCCAGCCCCACGCCCGTACCGCCCCCGCCACCGGCCGCCCAGGTGCCCCAGGCCAGGACCTGACGCGCAGGGCCGGGCCGCCTCGCCCCGCCGGCGTGCGGACGCAGCCTCCCAAGAGCCGCTGGCTCAGCCGGCGCCCGCGATCCCGGCGCCTCTCGCGGCCCGAGGGGCGGGCCGACGCGGGACTGCCGCCCCCCGCGTACGGCCAATCGCAACGAGGCTGCTCCGTGGGCGCAGCCAATGGGGAAGAGGAGCCCTTCGCCGCTCCTCCCGACTCTCCCGCTTCCAGCAATCCCGCTTATCTTCCTACTTGGAGCGCCCTGGCTGCGGCCAAGGCCAACAGCGGGCGCCGGAAGGCGGGATTTCCGCCGCACGCACGCACTCCCGCACTCCCACGGGAGACTGGTTGGCCCGGAGCGCTCTTGATCACGCCGCGGCGGGTGGTGGCGCTCACACTAACTATAGCTATCCAGGGCGCGGGTCGAGTGGCGAGACCAGCTCCCCTGGGTATGAGAACGCATCTTTGTGCGGTCGGCTGGCTGGGGCCTGAAGAGCTTCCTCCTGTGTGTTCAACTGAACGCAGCAAAAGTCTTGGGCAGATTCCATGGAGCAGCTGTGGAAGCACTGTGCAGGGAATCGAAGAAGGAAACACCTCCAGCGACCACAAAACAAAATTGAAGAACTATAAAACAATATAGGCCGGGCATGGTGGCTCACGTATGTAATTCTCAGCGCTTTGGGAGGCCGAAGCGGGAGGATCCCTCGAAGCCAGGAGTTGGAGGATCCCATGTTGCCAGACTGGGCAACATAGCAAGACCCCATCTCTAAAAAATAAAAATAAAAAAATTTAACAATTAGCCAGGTGTGGTGGCACACACCTGTGATCCCAGCTGCTCGGGAGGCTGAGACAGGAGAATCGCCTGAGCCTGGGAGATCAATGCTACAGTGAGCTGAGATCGTGCCACTGCACTCCAGCCTGGGCGACAGAGTGAGATCCTGCCTCTAAGAAAGAAAAATAACGGCCGGGCGTGGTGGCTCACGCCTGTAATCCCAGCACTTTGGGAGGCCAGAGCAGGTGGATCATTTGAGGTCAGGAGTTCAAAACCAGCCTGGCCAACATGATGAGACCCCTTCTCTACTGAAAATACAAAGATTAGCCAGGTGTGGTGGCACGTGACTGTAATCCCAGCTACTCGGGAGGCCGAGGCAGGAGAATCGCTTGAACCCGGGAGGCGGAGGTTGCAGTGAGCCGACATTGCACCACTGCACTCCAGCCTGGGGGTCAGAGGCTGCACCACTGCAGCCTTGACTTACCGGGTTCAGGTGGTTCTCCACCTCAGCCTTGCCACTAGCTGGGACTGCAGGCACATGGAACCACACCTGGCTAATTTTTGTAGTTTTTGTAGACGGGATTTTGCCATGTTGCCCAGGCTGGTCTCGAACTCCTGGGCTCAAGTGATCCGCCCGCCTCAGTCTCCCAAAATGCTGGGATTACAGGTGTGAGTCACTGCACTCGGCTAATAGTAATGAACTTTGAACAGAAGGAAAGTTGTTATTATTTTCTTGGTTATGTTCTATTTATATTTTCTAATTTTTCTAAACATGTAAAGATAAAATTCTAAAAACTCAGTAAGACCTCAGAACAAAAAAATTAGAGTATAAATATTTATTTTAGTTAACTTGTACAAATTTGGTTTCTGGAAAAAGAATGGAATAGATTTTCTGAGAAAAAAAATCCACCACTTTGGCCGGGCGCAGTGGTTTACGCGTGTAATGCCTGCACTTTGGGAGGCTGAGGCGGTGGATCACCTGAGGTGAGGAGTTCAAGACCAGCCTGACCGACATGAAGAAACCCCTGTCTCTACTAAAAATACAAAAATTAGTCAGGCCTGGTGGCACGCACCTGTAATCCCAGCTACTCAGGAGGCTGAGGCTGGAGAATCTCTTGAACCCAGGAGGCAGAGGTTGCAGTGAGCTGAGATCGCACCATAGCGCTCCAGCCTGGGTGACAAAAGGAAAACTCTGTCTCAGAAAGAAAGAAAGAAAAGCAGACTGGCTGAAAGGATTGAAGAACAAAATATGATCCACCAATGTGCTATCTACAAGATAAACATTTTAAATACAGAAACAGATTGAAAGTAAAGGGATACAAAGATACAATTAAAATAGTAACCAAAAAAGAGCTGAAGGGGCTGTACTAATATCAAATGTAATACACTTTAAATTAAAGCAGGGCTGGGCATGGTAGCTCAGGCCTGCAATCCCAGCACTTTGGGAGGTGGAGGCAGAGAGATACTTGAGCCCAGAAGTTCGAGATCAGCCTGAGCAACATGGCATAATCCAATCTCTACAAAAAATACAAAAATTAGGCGGGCATGGTGGTACCCACCTGTGGTCCCAGCTATTTGGGAGGCTGAGGTGGGAGGATCATGTGAGCTGGGGAAGTTGAGGCCACAGTGAGCTAAGATCGGGCCCCTGCACTCCACCCTGGGCAACAGAGCGAGACCCTGTCTGAAAATAAAAAAAAATAAAAAACGGGGTTGAGAGACAAAAAAGGACATCCTTTTTTTTATTATTATATTTTGAGATGGAGTTTCGCTCGTTGCCCAGGCTGGAGTGCAATCGTGTGATCTTGGCTCACTGCAACCTCCGCCTCCCAGGTTCAAGTGATTGTCGTGCCTCAGGCTCCCGAGTACCTGGCATTACATGTGCCTGCCATCACGCCCAGCTAATTTTTGTATTTTGGTACAGACAGGGTTTCACCATGTTGGCCAGGGTGGTCTCCAACTACTGACCTCAGGTGATCCACCTGCCTTGGCCTCCCAAAATGCTGGGACTACAGACATGAGCCACCGTGCCAGCCGAAACCTTCATTTTAAAAAAGGCTGGGTCAGGCATCATGCCTCATGCCTGTAATCCCAGCACTTTGAGAGGGCAACGCAGGCGGATCACCTGACGTCAGGAGTTCGAGACCAGACCAACATGGTGAAACCCCGTCTCTACCAAAAATATAAAAATTAGGCGGGTGTGGTGGCACACACCTGTAATCCCAGCTACTCAGGAGGCTGAGGCAGGAGAATTGCTTGAATCTGGGAGGTGGAGGTTGCAGTGAGCTGAGATTGTGCTACCACACTGCAGCCAGGGTGACAGAGTGAGACGCCATCTCAAAAAATAAATAAAGGCTGGGTGCCAGATGTGGGGCATAGGCCTAGTTTGTTGACTCCTGTACTTAACATATAAAACTCTAAAGAACAGTGGGAAGGAGCTTCCCTCTAGAGGCACAGGAGCGGCCAAGTTGGTCCCTGAGCAGTGACTTTATAATAACATGTTACACTGTGTTTTTTGTTTTTGTTTGGTTTTTTGTTTGTTTGAGACGGAGTTTCGCTCTTGTTGCCCAGGCTGGAGTACAATGGCGTGATCTCAGCTCAAAACAACCTCTACCTCCCAGATTCAAGCGATTCTCCTGCCTCAGCCTCCAAAGTAGCTGGGATTTCAGTCATGCAACACCATGCCCGGCTAATTTTGTACTTTTAGTAGGGATGGGGTTTCTCCATGTTGGTCAGGCTGGTCTCGAACTCCTGACCTCAAGTGATCTGCCCGCCTCGGCCTCCCAAAATGCTGGGATTACAGGCGTGAGCCACCACACCCGGCCTATATTTTTTTTCTTTTTTTTTAGACACAGTCTGACTCTATTGCCCAGGCTGGAGTGCAGTAGCACGATCTTGGTTCACTGTAACTTCTGCCTCCCTGGTTCAAGCGATTCTCCTGCCTCAGCCTCCCAAGTAGCTGGGATTACAGGCATGCACCACCACATCCGACTAATTTTTGTATTTTTAGTAGAGATGGGGTTTCACCATGTTGGCCAGGCTGGTCTCAAACTCCTCACCTCAAGTAATCCGCCCGCCTCGGCCTCCCAAAGTGCTGGGATTACAAGGCGTGACCCACCGGGCCTGGCCCTGTGTGTTGTTTTATGTATGTTTCTATATGTGTTATATTTCACAATAAACTAAATATTAAAACAAAGAATAACTGATAGCTATGCACAAAGGTATTTAAATTTCACCCTCACAAATAATTTTTTTTTTTTTGAGACAGGATCTCTGTTACCCAGGCTGGAGTGCAGTGGCACCACCTTGGTTCACTGCAGCCTCCCAGGCCCAAGCGATCCTTCTACCTCAGCCTCCTGAGTAGCTGGGACTACAGGCACACTCC
This sequence comes from Homo sapiens, assembly GCF_000001405.40. NCBI lineage: Eukaryota > Metazoa > Chordata > Mammalia > Primates > Hominidae > Homo > Homo sapiens. The sequence goes on from NW_021160017.1 coordinate 4,252,125, forward strand.
ACCACACCCACCTAATTTTTGTATTTTTGGTAAAGATGGGGTTTCACCATGTTGGCCAGGCTGGTCTCGAACTTCTGGGATCAAGGAATCCTCCAACCTTGGCTTTCCAAAGTGCTGGTATTACAGGCGTGAGCCACTGTACCCGGCCAAGAATAGTTTCTTCTCCTTACCTAGGTAGAGACCTCTGCAGAAATGCTGGGAGATCTTTGGAGAGGGGAGATTTTTTAAATAAAAAATTTAATACTTGGAGGGGCGTGGTGGCTTACCCCTGTAATCCCAGCACTTTGGGAGGCCAAGGCGGACAGATCAGGAAGTCAGGAGATTGAGACCACCCTGGCTAACACGGTGAAACCCCATCTCTACTAAAAAAAATACAAAAAATTAGCTGGGCATCGTGGCGGGCGCCTGTAGTCCCAGCTACTCGGGAGGCTGAGTCAGGAGACTGGCGTGAACCTGGGAGGCGGAGCTTGCAGTGAGCCGACATCGGGCCACTGCACTCCAGCCTGGGCGACACAGCAAGACTTCGTCTCAAAAAAAAAAAAAAAAAATTAATGCTTTGGGATGCCAAGGCAGGTGGATCACGAGGTCAGGAGTTCAAGAACTGCCTGGCCAAGATGGTGAAACCCCGTCTCTACTAAAAATACAAAAATTTGCCGGGCTTGGTGGCAGGTGCCTGTAATCCCAGCTATTCAGGAGGCTGAGGCAGGAGAATTGCTTGAACCTGGGTGGCAGAGGTTGCAGTGAGCCAAGATAGCACCACTGCACTCCAGCCTGGGCAATAAGAGTCAGACTCTGTCTAAAAAAAAAAAAAAATTGATCTAGTTCAAAACCTCACTTTGAATCCACCCACATTGCTCTAAAATACTTTCATCTTTCCTGTGGCTAAAACCTTAAAGCCTTGCCAGTAACTCCCATTGCACTTAAGGAAATCCAATCTCCCTTGTTGTGGCCCCTGAACAGGCTGCTGCTGGCCCACCACGGTGCCTCTAGTTTGTGTAAAATGCATATGTTAATTTACAATAAATCATATGAGGCTTTTTTAGCTCTAAAAGGCTATTATTCACTAGTTGCTGTGTGAATCAGTATTTCTGGGTGCAGTTAGAAATTATTAGAGTTGATGCCCAAGACTCATCTCCATCAGCACGGGGGAGGCATCTGCTCGTTTTATGGTCAGTGACTCTGGGCCTCCTGCTGGGCTTAGTCCTGAGGTGGGTCTGACTCAGGTCAGGGCTGTGCACCCCGGCCCTCCTCCTCAACGTGCATGAGTGCTCTTTAGGATGGAGCTGAACACTGGCTTCTCAAAACCACTTGGCCCCATCACAGGCCCTGAGAACTGATTGGGTCACTCTGGTGGGCTCCCCAGCCCTAGCCAAGAAGGGTTTCTCTAGGGAGCCTGGCCCCCCACTTATGAGATCTGGAGCCCCAAAGATCCTGACCAGGGGCCTGCCTCCTCCAGGGAGGGGCCACTCGCCCCCACCAAGCTCCCTTCACAGAGACCCATCCAACAGAGCTGAGGAAAACCATGCCTCATAAATGAATAAATACATAAATAAGGATGCCGGGGACCTGTGGATTTTGTAATTCCTGAAAGAAGGCAGAGTGGCTGGCTCACAGCAAGCGCAGTAGGAGATACTGCTCCCCGGCCAGGCTGTTCTCTGTCTCTTTGGAGGGAGCCCTAGGGTACAAGAAAAGCCAGAGGAGACCAGCTGGCCCAGAAGGTGCCTCTCCACCCCTTCCCCAGAGTTTCTGGGAAACAAAGCCCACCCGAGGGACACATGCCTTCTTGGGAGTTGTACCAGGCCTCCTTCCTCATCCGGCCATGCAGTGGTTTTCAGTGCCCGAAACAGATGAATAAAATAGGCCCTTTACTGGATGTTCTTCAGGAACATGCGCACTTCTTTGGATCTTACCATCGTTTTATCTCTATTTAAAGTTAAATGCTGTGTTATACAGAGTATTGGTAAAGATGTAGAGCTACAAGAACTGTCAAGCTGGCAGTAGCATAAAATTGTATAAGCACATTGGAAACCTGTTTGGCAGCTTCCACTAAAGCTATATCTATGCCTACCTTCAGAAATTCCATCCTAAGCATGTACACAAGAGAAACGAGTGCATATGTCCACAAAAAGACTTATATAAGAATGTTCACTGCCATTTTTATTCATAAGAGCCCCAAATGAAAACAACCTAAATGTCCATCAACAGGAGAGTGAATAAATGGTGATACAGTCACATCATGGAATACTACACAGCCAAAAAAGAAAAATGAAGTGGTAGGAACACTCAACGACATGGGTGAATAGAGGGAGCCAGGTATGAGAGACAGTGCACAGTACCAGCCCACCTAGATGAAGCGCAGGAAGGCAGAACTGACGATGATTGAAGTCAGAAGAGTAGTTTCCTTTGTGGGAAAGTGTAGGTCAGGAAGGAGCCTTCTGGGGTACTACAAATCTGCCGTATTTTGGCTGGGTGCAACAGCTCACACCAGCACTTCGGGAGGCATAGGCAAGAGGGTCACTTGAGCCCAGGAGTTAGAGACCAGCTTGGGCAACACAGCGAGATCCCATCTCTACAAAAAAATTAAAAATTAGCGTGGCATGCTGGTGTGCACCTGTAGTCTCAGCTACTCAGGAGGCTGAGGCAGGAGGATTGCTTGAGCTTAAGAGTTTGAGGTTGCAGTGAGCTCCCAAAGTGCTGGGATTACAGGTGTGAGACACTATACCAGCCTGATTTTTAAATACTGACCAAGCCTTGTGTTACTGGGATAGGCATCACTTGGCCACAATTTACTACTCTCTTTCTTTTTTTTTTTTTTTTTGAGACAGAATCTCACTCTGTCACCCAGGCTGGAGTGCATTGGTGCAATCTCAGCTCTCTGCAACCTCTGCCTCCTGGGTTCAAGCAATTCTCCTGCCTCAGCTTCCTGAGTAGCTGGGATTAGAGGTGTGCACCACCACACCTGGCTAATTTTGTTTGTTTGTTGTTTGTTTTTAGTAGAGATGGGGTTTCACCATGTTGGCCAGCCTGGTCTCCAACTCCTGACCTCAAGTGATCCACCCTCCTTGGCATCCCAATATTCCTATGATTACAGGCGTGAGCCACTGCGCCCGGCCCTATTCTGTTTCTATATTGCTAAATTTGACTTGCTAACACGTTTTTGAGGATTTTTCTGTTGATGCTCATCAGGGATGTTGGTTTGCAGTTTTCTTTCTTTGTATTACACTATCTCGTCTGGCTTTCTGTCAGGGGAAAGCTGACCTTATACAAAGTATTGGCATGTGTTCCCTCCTTTTCCATTTTCTCTAAGGGATTGTGTAGAATTAGTGTTATTTCTTCTTTAAATGTTTTTGAATCCATCTGAACCTGGAGATTTCTTTCTAAAAGATTTTACGCCGGGCGCGGTGGCTCGTGCCTATAATCCCAGCATGTTGGGAGGCCGAGGCAGGTGGATCACCTGAGGTCAGGAGTTTGAGACCAGCCTGGCTAACATGGTGAAACCCCGTTTCTACTAAAAATACAAAAAATTAGTCAAGCTTGGTGGCGTGCGCCTGTAATCCCAGCTACTCAGGAGGCTAAGGCAGGAGAATCACTTGAACCTGGGAGGCAGAGATTGCAGAGAGCTGAGATTGCACCAATGCACTCCAGCCTGGGTGACAGAGTGAGACTCCGGCTCAAAAAAAAAAAAAAAAATTTTTACAAATTCAATTTATTTAACAGATACAGAACTATTCAGGTAACCTGTTTGTTTCTAGGAGGATTTTCCTGGTTTGTGGCACTCGGACATTGCTTTATTTCATCTAAGTTGTCTGATTTTTAAGTGTCAAGTTTTCCTTAGTGTTCTCTTGCTAACCGTCTGAAGTCTGTGGGGCCTGCAGTGATGTCCCTTCATTCATTCCTGATACTGATAATTTGTATCTTTTCTGTTTTTTTGTCAGTTTTCCTAGAGTTTTTCAATTTTGTTGATCTTTTCAAAGAATGATCTTTAAGTTTCATTAATTTTTCCCTTCTTTTTTTGCTTTCAATCTCATTAGTTTCTGCTTTTATCTTGGCATTTGTTCCTTTGGCTTGTTTTGCGTTCACTTTGCTCTTTTTCTGGTTTCTTAAGGTGGAAACTTAGATTGCTGATTTAGACCTATCTTTTTTGTAATATATAATGATTTGATGCTATAAATTTTCCTCTAAGCAGTGCTTTAATTAAACCCACAAATTTTGGTGCATTTTCATTTATGTTCAAAATATTTTCTCATTTCTTTGGAGAATTGTTCTTTGACCCATGGATGATGATGATGATGATGATTATTATTATTATTATTATTTTTCTTCAATACGGAGTTTCACTGTTGTTGCCCAGGCTGGAGTGCAATGACATGATCTCGGCTCACTGCAACCTCTGTCTCCTGGGTTCAAGCGATTCTCCTGCCTCAGCCTCCTGATTAGCTGGGACTACGGGCACCCGCCACCATGCCCGGCTAATTGTTTTGTATTTTCAGTAGAGATGGGGTTTCTCCATGTTGGCCAGGCTGATCTTCAACTCCTGGCCTCAGGTGATCCCCCCAACTTGGCCTCCCACAGTGTTGGGATTACACGCGTGAGCCAGTGCGCCCGGCCTGACCCATGGATTATTAAGTATGTGGTTTTATTTTGAAGTGTTTGCAGATTGTTTTGTTAATGATTTCTAGTTTAATACCATTGTGATTGGAGAACAAACTGCATATGATTTCATTTCTTTTAAATTTGTTAAGATTTATGTGTCAGGTTATGTTCTCAGTGAACATTCTGTATGTGCTTAAAAAGTATATGTATGGTCTGTATATGTATGGTCTGTATATACATATATGTATACATATATGTGTAAAAAGTATATGTATGGTCTGTATGTGCTTAAAAAGTATATGTATGGTCCAGCACTTTGGGAGGCCGAGGCAGGCAGATCACAAGGTCAGGAGATCGAGACCATCCTGGCTAACAGGGTGAAACTCCGTCTCTACTAAAAATACAAAAAAAATTACCCGGGCATGATGGCGGGCGCCTGCAGTGAACTGAGATCATGCGACTGCACTCCAGCCTGGGCGACAGAGCTAGACTCCATCTCAAAAAAATAAAATTTAAAAAAAGTATATGTAAAGTATATGTATGGCCGGGCACGGTGGCTCACGCCTGTAATCCCAGCACTTTGGGAGGCCAAGGCAGGTGGATCACGAGGTCAGGAGATCAAGACCATCCTGGCTGACATGGTGAAACCCCATCTCTACTAAAAATAAAAATTAAAAAAATAATAATAATTAGCCAGGCGTGGTGGTGAGCACCTGTAGTCCCAGCTACTCAGGAGGCTGAGGTAGGAGAATGGCGTGAACCCAGGAGGCAGAGCTTGCAGTGGGCTGAGATCGTGCCACTGCACTCTAGCCTGGGCGACAGAGCGAGACTCTGTCTCAAAAAAAAAAAAAGTATATGTATTTTGCTGTTGTTGGGTGAAGTGTTCTATAAATTAGATCCAGTTTATTGAAGGTGTTCTACAGTTCTCCTAGATTTTTGCCGATTACTTGTTCTCTCACTATGAAAGATATTGTGTGTGTTATATGTGTCTAACAATTCATTGTCTAGTTAGAGTTGCTATTATACCACTTCAAGTGGATGGAGAGCCTCCCTGCCATCCATTAATGTGCATTAATCATTTTGAGAGTGAAAAGATTTTTTAAAATGTTTTTACTCTTTTAGGTATGGCCAAGTGAGATGGGGCTAGTGAAATGGGTGGGAGAATTGGAAGCTGATAGTGTGTGAGCTAGACACCCATGAATGCTTTTCCACTGGGCAGTTAGAGGGATGATAGGTAATAATATAAGGCAGCTCCATCACACAAGCTGGTGACTCCTGTGCGACAGACCAAGAGCTGCATTTGGAGATTCATTTCCGATTGTTGCGTTTCCTCTTAGAGCATTGCTTGGTCATCGTGTTCTGAGTGGTCCATTGGCCTCCATGTCCCTTTTGGGGTGGATATTTGCTCAGTGACTTTTGAGCAGCTGGATCTCCTGCTTCGGCAGGTGAGTGAGGGGATGGATGGCTCCGCGGACTGGCCCCCGCCCCAGGAGAAAGAGTGCGTGGCCGTGGCAACGCTGAATCTTCCCCGACTTCAGGTATTCGTGATTTCCCTTCCTCTTGCTCCTTTTATAAGTGTCTTAGCGATTTGTAAGAAGGTTTATGTATTTTGAAGGACATAGGTTTTAGCCTGTTGGGGGAAGTATTTTAAAGTAAGATTGTAATGCACTAATAATGGACGCAAGGCTTAAAAAACTTGATCTGTTTATTTTATGTTTGTCCTGGAAGTCAGCCTCGGCATGCAGGAAGAGTGTATATGGATTGTGTTATTTTTGCTATAATCATTAGTTTGTTGGTATTCTTACTGTTTTACTGTTGTTGCGTGTGGAGAAATGACTGGGTGAGATCACAGGTGATGGAGAGAGACAGCGCTCAGCTGAGAGACCAGTGCTGGCCTGTCTCTCCTCTGTCCTGTGAAAACCCTGCTCCAGGAGGGTCCAGTCTTTTGGTTTCCCTGGGCCACACTGGAAGAAGAATTGTCTTGGGCTACACATAAAATACACTTATGATAGCTGATGAGCTTAAAAAAAGAATCCCAAAAATATCTCATGATGTTTTAAGAAATTTTACTTTGGGCCACATTCAAAGCTGCCCTGGGCCACATGCTGCCCTCGGGCCGTGGGTTGAACAAGCTTGATCTACTCAGTAAGCTCGGCTCCCAAAGCAATACCTTCCTTTCCTCACCATGAAGGCTGTGGTTAGGGTCAAAATAAAAGCTACAAAAGCCTTCCTCCCTAGCAAAACTAAAGCTGAAGTGTTTGATCATCATCTTTTGTCTTTGTAATAAAACCCTCTAACTTAATGACAAGAACCACGGTTTTCTCGACATAGTAATTTTTCCCTTTTATTACAGTGGTTTCTTGTAACAACCCGTCATGTCCCTCTTCCAGCCCCTCCCCTTTTTGCCCTGCTTCTAGAATGTACAGAACTGAGTGTAGTGTTTAGTTGCAGTAATGAACTGAGCAGAGGTCTGGAGCATGCTTCTCCTCTAGTCCTCTGTAGCACTCATTTATCACCATATCTGTGGCATCCTGGCGTTTGCGTGGTTGCGCCCCAGGTGTTTGCTGCCCCTCCTGGTTTGCGGTGAGGTGTCTGTTCTGGTCAGTGCTGTGGGGCGTGGCCTTGCGTATGTCTTAGGCTGTCGAGGTGTCCCAGCGTATGGTTTTGCATTTGCCTCTCCGGGGTCCTGAAGGTTCTGTAGGTTTCACAGACTCCAGGTGAGTTTCGGTGGTCATTTCCTGACCTGTGATATCTATACCTAGATGAGTGGTGTGCTTTTGATTTCACTTCTACTCACAGGGCAAGGCCGGGTCTCTGATTTCTCATGGGGCCTCTTGCTACCCAGAGCCTGGGACGGGCAGTGTGTTGCCCCCTGGCTGCGGTTGGCTGGCAGGCAGGTGATCCTGAGTGGCTCCCAGCCTTCTGCAGGAAGCTCGGGTTCAGTGGGTCCTTGTGTGCATTCCCGTGTGGGAGGTTGTGCTGAAGCCTGGCGGCTTGGCTCTGCTTTCAGAGCCCGGAACCTCTTGACTCCTGCTGTGTGTGCCCACGTGAATTTTGGTTTTGCACTTGAGGAGTTTCCCTGTGTACTCTCAGCTCCGCAGTCTAATTTTTAGCAGCTCTTTTTTTTTTTTTAGACAGGGTGTCACTTTGTCACCCAGGCTGGAATGCAGTGGTACAGTCTTGGCCTGCCAGGTTCAAGTGATTCTCCTGCCTCAGCCTCCCAAGTAGCTGGGACTACAGGTGTGTACCATCACACCCGGCTGATTTTTTTATAGAGATGGGGTTTCATCATGTTGGCCAGGCTGATCTTGAACTCCTGATCTCAAGTGAGCTTTCCCGTCGGCCTCCCAAAGTGCTGGGATGACAGGCATGAGCCACCGCCTGTGGCAGCTTTTGTGGTTACATTGTAGCCATTATTTCTGTGTTTGGTGCAGATTGTTGGGGCGGGGTGGAGGTTGCTGTTGCTAGTTGTTTAGCTCTTCTGCTCATCTTGAGCTTTTCCATATATGTGTTCATAGTGGGGTTAAAAAAAATTCCTCTAGAAAATACTTCAACTATTGTGGGTAAGAGTTTTTTTAGTCCAGTTTTTAAAAATACGTAAACTGAGAAGTTATTTTGTCTATTTAGATAATACTTCAAATTGACTTTTATTCAGTGTTTAATAAGACTTTGAAATTCACTCATTTTTAGGGGTTCTAAGTGAAAATTGTTTTTCTCCTTTCAGTTGCATGCTGCCATTAGTCACCAGGTTGACCTGGAATTCCTTGGTTTAGGTCTGGGCAGCGTCTTCCTGAACAGCCTGAAGCAGAAGGTGGTGACCCTGGCAAGCAGCGCAGACGTGCTGAGCACCGTGCAGTCGGCCTCCCAGGCCATGCTGCAGAGCGGCTGGTCCATGCTGTTGCCCACCGCTGAGAAGCAGGCCCGGGCACTCTGCTCTCCTGTCCTGCGGAGGTGGGCTCGGGGAAGGAACAGGAGAGGGCATGGGTCAGGGTGCTGGGAGGGGATGGCGTTTCACTCAAATTGGCACACACTTTCTATTTCAGTTTCAGGCAATGAAGTGAGCATAAGTCCAGGTCATCGATTGGTGATTGATCTTCTGGTGGGCAGCTTGATGGCTGATGGAGGGTTGGAGTCAGCCTTACACGCAGCCATTACTGCAGAGATCCAGGTATGGCCTTGGAGGCACACGTGACCTGGTGGTGGGCTGAGATCGGAAATACCACACTCACACATGTGAAGAATAACTGAAAACAGTAAAACACTAAACTTATATCCAAGTATTTTTTTAAATTAAAATTCTTTTATGTGCTAATTTTAAAAATTATTGAGATGATTTGTGATAAAATACTGCATGTTGTCTGTTTCAGTGAAGTTAACAGGTAACCTGTTCCTCATGTAGACCATTCCCGTCACCCGGAAAGATCGCTGTGCTCCTTGGCACTTGCAGCCAGGATACTCCCCTGCCCTGAGATTAGATTCATTTTTCCTGCTCTGAGTGTCGCAGCAATATAACTGTATAGTATGCACTCTTTCCTGCTTTGCCTTGGAGAATGATTTTCAGATTCACTCACTGTTGTGTGTATTGCGACTTCGTTTTTATTATTGGGAAGTTTTCCATTTTATAGGTGTAGTACTGTTTGTTAGTTCATTCTCCTATTGAAGGACATGTAATTGTTTTTGGTTTTTGTTTTCTTTTTTTTTTTTTTTTTTGAGACAGGGTCTTGCTCTGTCACCCAGGCTGTATACAGTGACCTGATGTTGGCTCACTGCAGCCTTGTACTCCTAGGCTCAAATGATCCTCCCACCTCAGCCTCCTGTGTTGCAGGGACCACATACATGTCACCATGCCCGGCTAGTTTTTTGATTTTTTTGTAGAGACAAGGTTTCACTGTGTTGCAAGGCTGGTCTTCAACTCCTGGGCTCCAGTGATCCCCCCACCTTGGCCTCCCAAAGTGTTGGGATTACAAGCGTGAGCCACCGCGCCCAGGCTTTCTGGTTTTTGGCCGTGTAGAGCTGCCACAATTGTGCTGTGAACAAGTACTTTAGTGAACATATGTTCTCCCTTTGGATAAACACTTGGAGTGGAATTTGTTAGGTCCTGGGGTTAGTGTGTGTTCATAGTTTCCCAAAGTGGCTTTGCCATTTGCATTTGAACCAGGACTTGTGTGTGAGAATTCTAGCTCCTTCTTGTCCTTACAGAGCAGCTGGATGCTGCGTGTGTGGAGCCGATCACATTGGGTTTTGTGTGAGCCATTAGCAGGGTTAAGGATTTTAGGGACTTCACAGAAGGAGGCTGGAGAGCATCAGCAGAGGCAGCCTAGACCTTGGATCTGTAAAAAGAAGACACTGTTTGAAACTGCACAAATGAGTTGGGGTTTCCAACAGGGCAGGTGGGGGCCTGTGGGTGGATGGGTGTGGCAGCCACAGAGGCTGGGATAGCTTGGCACTGGGGTCAGGGCTCAGCCAGCCTGTGTGCCTTCACACCTGGTAATGAGATCACTTGTAAACAATTTCTGTTTATCAATTACAGGATACAAAAAAAGAAGCACGGAAGGAAAAAGAAATTTATGAACAGGAAGCAAATGCCTCAACATTTCATAGAAGGAGGACTCCATTGGATAAAGGCCTTATTAATACGGGGATCTGTGAGTCTTCTGGCAAACAGTGTTTGCCTCTGGTTCAGCTCATACAACAGCTTCTTAGGTAAATCATATTAGCTGTATTGTATTGTGTTTTATTTATTTACTTTTTTGTTTTTTGAGACAGAGTTTCGCTCTTGTTGCCCAGGCCGGAGTGCAGTGGTGCGATCTTGACTCACTGCAACCTCCGCCTCCCAGGTTCAAGTAATTCCTCTGCCTCAGCCTCTCGAGCAGCTGGGATTACAGGCATGCGCCACCATGCCCCACTAATTTTGTAGTTTTGTTAGAGACAGGGTTTCTTCATGTTGGTCAGGCCGGTCTTGAACTCCCGACCTCAGGTGGTCCATCCACTTTGGCCTCCCAAAATGTTGGGATTACAGGCATTAGCCACCACGCCTGGCCTATTTATTTACTTATTAATGGTGTTTTTTTTTTGTTTTTTTTTTTTTTTGAGATGGAGTCTTGCTCTATCGTCCAGGCTGGAGTGCAGTGTCACGATCTTGGCTCACTGCAACCCCCGCCTCCTGGGTTCAAGCTATTCTCCTGCCTCAGCCTCCCGAGTAGCTGGGACTACAGGCGTCTGCAACCACACCTGGCTGATTTTTGTATTTTTAGTAGAGATGGGGTTTTACCATATTGGTCAGGCTGGTCTCAAATTCCTGACGTCAGGTGACCCACCTGCCTTGGCCTCTCAAAATGTTGGGATTACAGGTGTTAGCCACTGTGCCTGGCCTGTATTGTATTTTAATAGGTGATTATTGGTTTTCATATTAAGATAGTGAAATCTAGCGCAAGGATCTCAAAAATTTGTTTGATGATTGAAGGAATATTCTGAAAATTACCTAGTATAGATGTTAGGATAAAGAGCAGACCCTTTTCAATATAGGTGAGAGGAGAAGTTGGAGGGTGTGATGATACTCAAAAGTTTTTCACTGAAGAGAAATTGGGGCGTGCAGTAAACATGTAAAAAGATTCTTACTAATAAGCAGGTGGATGCAAATGAAAATCATCATGGAAGGTTATTTTTAAAACTGGTTCTATCATTGCCTCACTTTATATATTACAGAGTTATACATACTACTTTGTAAGATAACTTTTCTTTTCAAAACTGAAGTCAATGTGATAGAATGGTGAGCATTATTTTGGAAGGCCAGACTAGGAGGAGGTGGGAGGAAGAAGTCAGACTCAGCCTGTGAACAGACGCTAACCTTGGCAGAAGCCAAAACAGTCAGACAGTGTTGTCTAAAAATGATCATTCAAGAAGAGCGAAACAGCAAGGTGATTTGTGAAAGAGATTTATTAGAAAATGAAACACATTTATACCTCTGTTCAATAAAAATCTGCTTTTCGTCAACTGATGCTCCTGGTTTTTGTTTCTACACATAGAGAAAGCAGAGCCCTGGCAGCTTGGGTCAGGCAGCCGAGTACAGACCAGGGAGCCCTGGGCAGTGGCTGCAGCTCTCAGCTGGCCTGTTCATGGGGCCATGGTGGGTCTGTGGCGTGGGGTGGGCCTGTGGCGTGGGGTGGGCCCGCGGCGTGGGGTGGGCCTGCGGCATGGGGTGGGCCCGCGGCATGGGGTGGGCCTGCTGTCCACAGCCAGAAAAACTAACTTAGTGCACACACAGTGAAATTTTGAAACAGGAAGTTTTAGAGCTAGTTTCTGTCATAGATTTTAGTAAATGCTATTTTGCAAAACCTTTTTCTGATGTTTGTTTTGTTTTTCTAATCTGATAATGCATATTTCACACATTCTGGTCTTTAACAAATGGAAATAAAGAGAACTAAACAATATAGTTTGTGTCGATGGAAAGAGCTTGGGATTTGTTCTCAGAAAATTTCAGTTACAACAGTTTGTTCATATAGGTGGACTTCCAACACAGTAACTATGGGAGTAAGAATAAAAGCTGTGTTTACTTTCACAGAGTTAATTAAGAATACATGAGAAAATGGATGTTAAAAACCTTGTAATTAAAATGTACAGTTACATGCAAAGTTTTAAAGTGAGCATTTTCCAGAGGTGCTTTTCTAAGTTCTTGAATGCCTCTCCCTTTTCTGAAGTGGCTGCTTCGTGGGGCTGTTGGTCTTTGGCAGGGGGTGAGTGCAGGGTTCCTGTTGTGGGTCCTTTGTTCTCACGAGGGCAGTGCCCGTTTTCCCCGTCTCCTGCTTGCCCAGACTGTTCCCGTGCGCAGAGAGACTGGCCTGTTTGACCTGCAGCTGTGCTGTTTGAGCTGCAGCTGTGTAGCCTGCGCTGGCCCATCTGGCTACACTCAACACCGTTTGCTGATCAGCACTTGAAGTCTGTCCGTCATAGCTGAGACACTGAATATTTTATCTGTTTAATTTTTATTCATTAAAATGCAGGTTTGAAAATTTGATTCTGTTATTAGAAAGCACTTAAGTATGTTTAGAATCACTTGGCCTTGGGAGTCTACTTTGTCAACTGTGTATTTTATGAGTCTAAATGGAGATCAGATGTTTTCAATGCAAATTTCACGGTCCAAATTGAAATGTGTTACATATGTAAGCTACTCAGATGGTTTTTGAGGACTTAATATGAAATAACCTATGTAAAATATCTCAATAATTTTTCTTAGATTGATTTCATGTTGAAATGGTCATATTTTTGATCTGTTGGAATAACTATGATACATTATTAAAATTATTTTTATTTTTTAAGATGGAATCTTACTCTGTTGACCAGACTGGAGTGCAGTGGTGCAATCTTGGCTCACTGCAACCTCCGCCTCTTGTGTTCAAGTGATTCTCCTGCCTCAGCCTCCTGAGCAGCTGGGACTACAGGACTACAGACTCCCGAGCAGCTGGCACTACCACCACGCCTGGCTGATTTTTGTATTTTTGTAGAGACAGAGTTTCACCATGTTGGCCAGGCTGGTCTCGGACTCCTGACCTCAAGTAATCTGCCCGCTTTGGCTTCCCAGAGTGCTGGGATTACAGGCATGAGCCACTGCAACCAGCCATTATTACAATTAATTTTATGTGTTGTTGTTTTTCTTGTTGGTGTGTTTTTTTTTTTTTTTTTTACTTTTGTTAATGTGACTAAGAACAATTTTTTTTCCCCACCCGGAGATGGATCCTCACTCTGTTGCCTGGACTGGAGTGCAGTAGCACGATCTCAGCTCACTGCAGCCTCTGCCTCCTGGGTTCAAATGATTCTCCTGCCTCAACCTCCTGAGTGGCTGGGACTAACAGAAGCATGCCACCATACCTGGCTGATTTTTGTATTTTTAGTAGAGATGGGGTTTCACCATGTTGGCCAGGATGGTCTTGAACTCCCAACCTCAGGTAATCTGCCCACCTCAGCCTCCCAAAGTGTTGGGATTACAGGCGTGAGCCACCGCACCTGGCCATGTTTATTAATACGACTAAGAACATTTTGAATTGCACCTGTGGCTCCATTGGTGTCCTGGGCAGGTGGCTCTGTGCTGTCCACACAGGTTGTCTCCTGTGTCTTCGTCTTCGCTGCGTGTGACTTTTTGGTTCCTGTGGCACGTGGGGTCCTGTATGGGACATTGGTTCTACAGCAGATTTATAGTAAGGATGTACCTACTAAAAAATACAAAATAAAAAGAATAGACACAAACATAGAAATAAGTATCACCTCACAAAACTTTTGGAAAGTAGAAAAAGAAAAATGCATTCGCAGCTTTCCAGTAGCCGATATCCAGGCTGTCTTCATCAGCATGGATCATGTGTCCCTCTCCTGCATGGGTAGACACTGTTTTCTCACCTTAAGTGTTTGTGAGTGAAGGATTCTTGATGTGTTGACTTGGCAGATGCAGTTGTTGAACAGTAGTTTATCTAAAGATCGTAAGAGACTTTTGGAGACATTTCATGTCCTTTTTTCCCTTGGAAAACGTGGGTTGGAGAAATCGCTGCTTGCCAAAAATAAGCCGTGAAATGTATTTCAGAGTAGATCGTTATTTACATGCTGGCGAGGAGCCACAGAATACCATTTACATTTGAAAATAGAGCGCTGCGAAGTTTTTATAAGTAGTGAATCCCATCAGAATTACACATTTTGATTATGGCTCTAAATTTTATATTAAATAAACTAAAAATTTCATTGTATTGTATTACCGTCTCTTGCTCCTTCAGGTGTAGCATACATGCTAGATTCTAGACCTGTTTCTTGTGTTACAGTGGTGTTATCCAGGCAGGGTATCATGTAGTGAAGGTGATGTCGAGTGGTGGTGGTGAGCCCAGTGAAGGCGCATCCTTGCCGTGTGTGATGAGGGCCTGTGGGTTGCTATGGGATTCCCCAACCCTGGCTCCTCTGTCTCCTGCTTCTGTCCTTACTCACACTGCTGGTAGTTTTCTGGTGTGAGACACGGGGGCAAGTGGGATTGACAAGCCTGCTGTCACATTAGGAACCTGAGTTAAAGTGGAGCTGAAAGCATGTCCTCGCTCTTGATGTTGTGCAGAGAGCCACCTGTGCTCCTGGCTCAACGGGGCGGGTGTGGTGGGTCTGGAACCAGGCCCTGGTTTGGCTCTCCTCCCCTCCATGTTCCCCTGTCCTGTCTGATTTGCTTCACACTGACATAAGAGTTACTTTCCCTCGGCCTCCCAAAGTGCTGGTATTACAGGCATTAGCCACCGCGCCCAGCTAGCATCCTTTCAAGTACTGGGGTACACCCAAGCTCCCAGCTTCTAGCTAGGAGTCATTTTGTCCCTCTTTATCCCAAAGGACTTGCCACCATCTTTGGTTCCCAAAGCCCAGGAGGGTCCAGGCTCTTCAGCCTCCAACCACTTTGCATTTCTTGTCTGCTTTTCGTTCATGGAGATAATTAACTTATTTTTCAGCCTGGGCATGTCTTTTTTATTTACTTTATTTTTTATTTTTATTTTTTGAGATGGAGTCTCACTCTGTCGCCCAGGCTGGAATGCAGTGGCGGGATCTCATTTCACTGCAGCCTCTGCCTCCCGGGTTCAAGTGATTCTCCTGCCTCAGCCTCCTGAGTAGCTGGGACTACAGGTGTGCACCACTATGCCCAGCTAATTTTTACATTTTTAGTAGAGACAGGGTGTCGCCATATTGGCCAGGCTGGTCTCGAACTCCTGGCTTCAAGTGATCCTCCTGCCTCAGCCTCCCAGAGTGCTGGGATTACAGGCACGACCACCGCACCCAGCCTTTATTTACTTTGTATATCTCATCTATTACTGCTGCAGTTTGCAGAAGAGAGGATGCCCTCAAACCTAACTTCTCCAAACCATCCCAAATGGGAAGTCTGCTCCACGTCAACAGCATTGTTGCTTTTAAAGACTATACGTCAACATGCCAGATTATAGCAAAAGGATGTCGAGGGAGCAATAGGAAAGCAAGCCTGAGAGTCCTGGAGAGAAGGTGGCAGAGCTGCCTTTTGAAGGTGGTTCCTTCCTCAGACCCTGCCCTTCCTGCCTTGTTCCTCCAGTTGCCAGATTTGCTGTTGGAGCTCCTCCACGGGCGAAGAGGTGAGGCTGGACTGAGAGGGAGATGGAGAAGCTGCCAGAGATTCTTTTGGATCTAGAATTGAGACAGCAGTTCCAGCCAGGTCCAGAGGTGGGGGCTGTCACCCAGCCCCCAGGGGAATGGTACTGATTGCAGAATGTGGCGAGAACTCCCTGGCTGGGAGAGGGAGGTGCTTGCTCCCTTGAATCACCTGAGCCCAGGCTGGAAGGCCCAAGGGGGAGGACGAGGCCAGCTCACTCCAGCTCCATCCCCTCCCTTTAACCCTAAGCTAGTTAACCCTCCCAGACTCCAGTCCTTTTTCCTAAGTGCCCTCCCTGCAAAGTCTGCACCGAGCAGCGCTCCCTCGCACCAGCTCACCCTGCACTGTCTTGTCTTTCAGCAACCCCATGGGTTTGAACTTGAGACGATTCATGTTCCTAAAAGCCTCTTTGGGCTGAGGGAAGGCATGGGTGGCTCTGCCAGTTTTGGAGTGGGGGCCGACTCTTCTCAGAGCCGCTGCAAGGGCCAGGGCCACCCTCCCAGGCGGGTGTCTCTGGGCTGGGCAGCAGCTTTGTAGGCAGCCTGGGTCATCCCCACTGGTCTGGGAAGCTGGGGGTGCACCGGCTCCTGCTCCTGATAGGGCCAAGGCACCTTCCTTACCTAAGAGCTGACTTTCTTGAAGAGTGGGCACAGAGGAGCCGGCAACCTGGGCTGTGTAGGCACCCAGGAGAAAATCTGCAGCTCAGTATCAGAAGTCTCCACCAGCACGGCTGTTGCAGAGATGGGGAAACTGGGCTGAGAGGGAAGGGGGCTTGCCCAAATCACCAGCCCTGGAATGTTTTGAGCTTTGGGGGTGGATCTCCCAGGAAACGTGTTTTTATGGCACCACCGCCTCTGGTCACCCACCCCGAGGTGTGGCGGGCCTGGACAGCCAGCTTGACTGAGGGCCAGGCTGGTGAAGTCAAAACTACCACTCAGGAAGAAGACCTAGCCCTTCTCCAGACAGAGTTCAAATGTGAGGACTGCCTTCTTTGGGCCTCAAATTCCCCACGTGAATTCCAAGGACCCCTCTAGCTCCTACACTCTGGGCCAAGGTTTCCTCTGAGCCGCAGTCAGCCTAGAGGACCTAGGATACATCTTCCTTGGACAGAGACCCACCATAGGGGCAGCAGGAGGTAGGGGTGGGGGTAGGCAAGATTCCTGTGGGGAGGTGGAGCTGTCATCAGAGATGGTGTCTGCAGGCAGTGGGTGTATCGTGGCTCTGCTACTACTTGCTGGGTGGCCCCATGACGTTTCTTTCCCCACTCTGACCTCAGTTTCCCTATCTGTTCCGTGGAGATAAGATGCCTGCCTACATATTTGTGGACTGGGATGTGTGTGGGCCAGTTGCAGTGTTTCTTGGTGTGGTCCTGGGGCAGGCTGCACCACCCCATAGAGATTTCTGGGCCCCACCCTAGGCTCACAGGACCAGAATCTCTGGGAATGAAGCCTGGGAATTTGCATTTCCACAGGCATCTGGCTGATTCTGACATGACTGAAAAGCACTAATAGTATATAGCAAGCTCTTTATAAAAGGTAAATTCATAGCTGCCTTTTACTAAACATAAATCTCACCTTCCCTTCCTCAGTTAAGGACACACACCGCAGTTGAAAATCACTGTGCCTTTCCAGATGCAGAATCTGACCTTTCCGATAAGATTCTGTTAACTGCTGCTTTCTGCAGTTTGTATTCCAAAACAAGGGGAATATGTTTCCATTTTTTCAATACAAATGTTTAAGTCGGATATGCTTTCTCAAACTGGACACGCACTCACACAGCTTAGGGTTTCAGCTATGGCTTCCTCTCAAATTATTAGCCTCTTTCTGCCAGGGAGCAGTTTTTCCCAGACAAGACCCTGGACAGAGGTTGGTGGGGCCCTCCTCATCAGAATCACTAGATTATGACTGACCCCTAGAGGTGGCTTTTCTGCTTAAGTGTCAGCCCATGGGCTGGGTTGTGACCCCCAAAGCTGCGGCAGAAGCTTCCACCCATCCTGGGCCCCCCCTGCCATCTATGGGGAAAGGCCTGTCCCTTGTCTTCTGGGCCCAGCCGGCCTCACAGGCATTCAGCAGATTGGAAAGTCGAAGCATGTGCTGTGCTTGGCTGGGCTCTCCTGCGCCCCTTTTTGGGGTGAGGTGGAGTGCATCCAGCCCCCAGCATCCCTGCCGTTTATTCCCACCCCTCATCCCCACCCCCATACACACTCACAAGTACAAACACAAGCACAGTCACTGGCACACACCACTCTGGACAGCACCATTTCCAGCCTCAGCGGGGCAGTTTCCTTACAGGGAAGTTAATGAGGCACTAACGAAGGCTCAGGGGACAGGGGGAACCTCTATCGAGAAGAGGCTCCTAGACCTGGTTCTGCCTCTGAATTGCTGGGGGTCCTTGAGAAAGTTGCTATCCCTCTCTGGTCTCAGTTTCCTCAGGTGAGAAATGGGGGGCCGGCCAAATGGTCTAAGGTTCTGGGAACCTCTAAATCAGAGCCCGTAGCTGGTGGTCAAGATGAGGGAGAGGCCCTCAGGGTCAGCCGAATGCCTGAGAGGCCGGACAGGCCCAAAGGTGAGCAACGTGAGCACATCAGGTGGGCTCAGAGCTGGCGCATGAGCCCCACAGCCTGCAGAGCAGCCCTGTACTCGGGAGCCCGCTCGCACCAACCCAGTGGGACTTCAGAGATGTGGGGTCCAGCCTTTCCTACTATTGCTGGGCTGAGGGCTGGGAGCTGCAGATTCTGACCCCACAGCTGCCTTAGACATGCCAGATGGTCTGGGGCAAGACACACCCCTCTCTATGAAATGAGCAGCCAGTCCAAATAGGTACATTAGAGAAGGGCTGTGGGATGGACCCAGCTGTAGCCTGGGGCTACAGACTGGCTTCCGGGGTACTCAAGCAGCTGGCCTCTGGGGTAGCAGCCCCAGGTATGAGAGGCAGGACTCAGAATCTAGGCCAAGCCTCCATAGGAATCCCCTCTGGAGAGCCCGGGCACTCTGCAGGAGGGGCAGCAGGCAGCAGGTGCACCAGGAGCATGTTTCACAAGGTGCCCAATATCGCATCTGCTCAGATAGGCAGCGAGTTGGAAAGTGGATGCAATAGGCAGGGTGGCGGCTGCTCCCCACAGCCAGGAGTCCGGCCCAGCACCCACCTGAGTCCGCCTCAGTCCTGCTCAATTGGGTTATCCGTGCTCTTGGCCCTCTGGTCCCACCCACAGAGGGAGGTCTTTGGGGCGACCAGGTGAGCTGGCCCTTGTGGGAGGATGTAACTGACTCCTGAGCCTGGCGAGCCAGGCAGCCCCTCGCCAACGTCCCCACCCCTACCTCTCCAGCCCCCCCGCATTCCCTGATCCTCCCATCCGCTCCCCTGACCCAGCAGTTGCCTCTGCTCACTCTCTTTTCCTGCTCCCAGGCTCGCCTGGTCATGTGTCCTTCACTCTCCTCTGAGTCTCCCTCTTTCCAAGCCGCCTCCACTCTACTTGACACAGTCTCCCTTAAGACACCAGAGTACACAAGCGCAAGTCCCTGCACCTCACCTTTACTCCCAGACATGGGAGGGAGATGACATGAAGACCCAAACGCCACTTAGCAGGAGATCTGGGGTATGCAGAGGGGCAGAACGGAGGCTGTGGAAGCTCCAGGGGCTCCCTTCAGGAGGCCACATGTAAGCTGGCTATTGAATGTGGCTCTGAGCTGAGACCTCTCCTTGAAGCTCCAGACCAGGAGCCAGCTGCTAGCTGGACCCCTCCATTTGGTGCCTCAGAGAAACTTTGCACTCTCTAGGTCTAACTTTGAACCCAGAAAATTCCCCCATGTCGGCCCTGTCTCTTCACAGGGAAAGCACCACCTCAGACCCAGTTCTGCACCAAACCCACATTTGAGTCACGAGGCTCCTGCCCTGCACTGTGAGCACTCTGGATAAGCCAGTGCTGAGGGGGAAAGAGCTCTGAATGCCAAGCCAAAACATGAGCTTCAACTCCACCTCCAGCTCTGAGAGCTGTGGGTAGGGAAGGGCCCTCGTCCAGTTTGCTGTAGAAAGATCAGTCTGCCACTGTATGGCACATGGATGGCAGGGGCAGAGTGCAGGTGGAGAGAACAGAAGGTGGGCAGGGCGGGGGAGGCAGGGACATGGCTGTAGCCGTGGAGATGGGAGGACAGACAGGACTTGGTGGCCACTTGGGTGAACCAAGGGAGGAGTCAGGAAGAGACACCCAGTTTTGTATCAGATGTGTAGAGCGTGGGATGCTGTTCATTGACGGAGGGAGGAGGAGGAGGAAGAGGTATGGCATGGGGAGGAGGTAGCTGAGCTCTGTCGTGAATGTCATTTGAAGTCCCCAGGGAAAGCCAGGCCGGCCAGCACCTTCACTGCTTCAGCCAGCTCTCAGGGTGTCTGTGCTCCCTGGCCCTCTCAGCTCCTGCTTCATAGCTGTCAGCTGCAGTGGGAGACAGCTGCACAAGGGCCCAGCATGTCTGTGTGTTTACCCAGGGGACTGCCGCATGGCCCATGCCGAGCAGAAACTGATGGACGACCTTCTGAACAAAACCTGTTACAACAACCTGATCCGCCCAGCCACCAGCTCCTCACAGCTCATCTCCATCCAGACGGCGCTCTCCCTGGCCCAGTGCATCAGCGTGGTAGGTGCAGAGGGTACCTGTGGCTCAGGCTCAGGTGAAGAGGCAGCTCATGCCCAAGCCCTAAGCAGTCAATGTCCAGAGGAATGAAATGACTAGAGTTGACTTAGACTCACCGGTACACGGTGGGGAGGCTGGAGGAGGGTCCATGAGGTTTATAGGTGTCCAGTATTTAATGAGGTCATGGTTTTGTTAACAAAGAAGAAATGAGGGTGGGAGCGAGATCACCACTGGCTAGGCAGCCAATGGGCCTGCAGAGACTCTGCTCAGCTGAGTCTCCAGCACGACCATGAGCTTCTCATCCTGATCCTCCCATCCCCACCCTACTTTTCTCCCCCAGCTTGCTCAACAGGTGACCTTACAGGCTCCCTACTCTTTGCAGGGAATAAGAACCAGACTGGGGGAACTGACGGGTACAGAGGCCCAGGTGTAGGCGCAGGACCACAGGCAGTGAAGCGTCTACTGACCCAGGCGGGTGAGGGTCTGGAGAGTGGGCATGGCTGCTGCAGGCATGGAAAGCAGGCACAGATGGCGGCACTCCCAGGGCCCATTGTCAGGGTCTCCACATGTGGACGTGTGCAGAGGTGGGGGTGCTGAGGGAGGAGGGGCAGGGAATTTCTCATCTTCTCTCTACTGCCTCTGAGTTGGAGATGTCAGAGGGAGCCATGGCCCACTGTAAAGTAACACAATGTCCCCACCCACAGGATTAGAACCCCTCCCCTGGAAGCAGCTCTGAGGGGAACAGTCACATGTAGAGAGTGCAGGGCACTGTGTCCAGCCGGGGGAAGGAGGTCACCAAGGGGGTTGACCCCCCTCTGGCCAGGTGGCTGCCTTCTGACACACCAGCCTCTGTCTCTAGCACGGTGGCCCCCACACACCCAGCCTGTGAAACCTACAGCCCTCAAGAAGGCTTTGGCCAAATTAAGGAGCGGCTCCCTCTCCCAGGAGGAAGCACAGGTGAAGGATGTGGAGGGCAGTAGAGTTGTGTGTGCTCCGCCACCTTTCTCCACAGTCGGATGGAAAGAAGGGGGCTTTCAGCCAGGCTCGCCCAGGCTGGGGTCTGAGTGTCACTGTCCAGCTATTGGCTTCTTGCTTAATGGGTGAGCCCAGCTGCTCCCGTGCAGCTGCCGCCCTAGTGAGGGTGAACCGGCAGGCGAGTTACATTTCTGAAAGCCTGGGAATACAGTAAATATTAGGCTGTGGGCTGCTGGGCCAGGAAGAGTTGTTTATTTTTCAGGGTTTGTTTATCTATTGACTTGATGAGGGAGGGTTATAGGTACAACCAGTTTA
Source organism: Homo sapiens (assembly GCF_000001405.40). Classification (NCBI taxonomy): domain Eukaryota; kingdom Metazoa; phylum Chordata; class Mammalia; order Primates; family Hominidae; genus Homo; species Homo sapiens. Next base: position 4,273,758 of record NW_021160017.1, read on the forward strand.
AAGATGGAAATTTTGAGAGAGCAGGCAGGGATTTAGTGCTGGGTAAGCCTGGTCAAAGCGGCTCTTTTGGGGCGGCCAGAATCCAGTACCAATGTCCTCAGCATGTTCATCAGCTGCTGGGGGAGTGCGGGACAGCATGAAAGCACAGGAGAACTTTCTGGATGATAGAAATACTCTGTATCTTCAAAGGAGGTGGGTTCCATAGTAATGTTAAATGAGTTAAAACTCATCAAAATGTAAACCAGACCTGTGCATTTCACTAATAGAAATTATACCTCCAATTAAAAACATGTTTTAAAAGACAGATGGGCCGGATGCAGTGGCTCATACTTGTAATCCCAGCACTTTGGGAGGCTGAGGCAGGTAGATCACCTGAGTCAGGAGCTCGAGACCAGCCTGGAAAACATGGTGACATCCTGCCTCTATTAAAGGTATAAAAAAAAATTAGCCAGGCATGGTGGCACACGCTACTCGGGAAGCTGAGGCAGGAGAATTGCTTGAACCCAGGAGGCAGAGGTTACAGTGAGCAGAGATCGTGCCATTGCACTAGAGCCTGGGCAACAGCGCAAGACTCCATCTCAACAACAACAAAAAAAGGACAGATGAAGGTTTTCAACTTTCAGTAAAGGCAGAGGAGCTTGTTACAGATTCGCCTCCCCACAAGAGCAGTTAGAAAAACTGGATAAAAATGTGCCCCGCCCCCAATCAAAAACAATTGTTGGAAGGTAATTGGAGACCTCAGTCAGGACTTGAGTGACCAGGCCTAGGAGGTGATCCTGACAGTCTGTAGTGCTTTCCCACATTTGGTGATTGGTCAACAGTAGAGGGCTAAGAGGCTAAGAAACTGAGTATGAAGTGGTAGTTAAGAGGCTGGAGAGCCTAGCTGAATGTTTGGCACTCTCACAGGGCTGAAATGACCTAATGAGAATTTGGGTCCCAGGAAGGAGATGGGACCTTGGTGGGGACCCTGGAAGGGCCACCCCTGGGAGTCCAAATGAATAAAACATAGACCAGCCATCAGAAAACCTAAAACCTGCTTTGAACCAGCTTAGTCCCAAAGTAGATGAAGGCGATCTGCCCTTACTCCAATTGTGTGCCATAAACTCAAAGTCAATACTCTCTGGAGGCAGATAAAAGTTTACTATGAATGTCAAAAGACAACACAAGACTAAATGAGAAAGACCAAGAAGAAAACTAATAGAAACATACATGTAAGGAAGAAACTTTTTTTTTTGAGACGGAGTTTCGCTCTGTCACCCAGGCTTGAGTGCAGTGGCACGATCTCAGCTCACTGCAACCTCTGCCTCCCAGGTTCAAGCGATTCTCCTGCCTCAGCCTCCCAAGTAGCTGGGATTACAGGCATGCGCCACCATGCCCGGCTAATTTTTGTATTGGCCAGGCTGGTCTTGAACTCTTGACCTCAGGTCATCCATTTACCTCGGCCTCCCAAATTGCTAGGATTACAGGCGTGAGCTACCATGCCTGGCCAGTATTTTGCCACAATTTAAAATAAATAAAATTTTTTTTTCAGGTTTGTGCTCAGACTATATTCTAAACAGTCACATGGCGGCTTACTCTTCTCCAGGCCTTGCTGCCGGCTTTTACATGTTTATTGTCTTTGCCTTCTTGTCATGTGCTCATTAGATGGCAGCTTCCAGGTGCTCCTAAGGGGCCAGGAAAGAGAGTGAGAAGGCACGGAGGTTGCCAGATCATCCCCCTTGGGGCCCCGCCCTCATCAACTCCCTCAACCGGGTCTCCTGCAACTATTGGTGGGCCATCTCGGCCACCGCTTCGCCCTGAGCTTCCTGCTGCTGCAGCTGGGCAGTGCCTCCTTCTCAGAGGCCAGCTGCTGATAGGCGGCCACGTACTGCTGCAGGTGACCCAGGTAATGGTCTCGCTGCTGCTGCAGACTCAGCCTCTTGGCTCTTCAGCTCCACCTGCAGGATAGGCGTCAGGGTAGGTAGTGGCTGGCTTCCAGATTCTGGGCCCATAAACAGGGTAGTGAGGGCACTGCGGGGCTCTGTCGCCTACCCAGGCCCCTGGCCCTGGCCCCTTCCTCCAGGCCTAAATGACTGCCTCCCTTGCCTAGAGGCCCATGCCTCCCTCCCCAGCCTCAAATCTCACACCCTTCTTCCCACCATTTAAACTGTAGGCCACAGACTGGTGGAAAAGCAGAGGGAGCCAACCACCATCTGCTAAGTTGTGGTGAGGTCGTTCTGTATGATCTCCAGGGTTTGCACACACCTCCGCCTGCTCCCCCCAAGAGCTCGGCCTTCTGCCCCAGCTTCCCCAGCCTCTCCTCCAGCTCCTGCAGCCTCACCTGGTGTTCCTGCATCTTCTCCTCCTGCTGCCGCAGCCTCACTTCCTGCTCCCACATCTTCTCCTCCTGCCTCCGCATCTTCTCCTCCTGTTCTTGCATCTTCTCTTCCTGCTCACACATCTTCTCCTCCTGCTCCCACATCTTCTCTTCCTGTTCCTGCATCATCTCCTCCTGCTCTCGTATCTTCTCCTCCTGCTCCCGTATCTTCTTCTCCTGCTCCCGTATCTTCTCCTCCTGCCTCCGCATCTTCTCCTCCTGTTCTTGCATCTTCTCTTCCTGCTCACACATCTTCTCCTCCTGCTCCCCCATCTTCTCTTCCTGTTCCTGCGTCATCTCCTCCTGCTCTCGTATCTTCTCCTCCTGCTCCCGTATCTTCTCCTCCTGCTCCCGTATCTTCTCCTCCTGCCTCCACACCTTCTCCTCCTGCTCCCGTATCTTCTCCTCCTGGTCGTGCATCTTCTCCTCCTGCCTCCACATCTTCTCCTCCTGCTTCCGTATCTTCTCCTCCTGCTCGTGTATCTTCTCCTTTTGCCTCCATATCTCCTCCTGCTCCCTTATCTTCTCCTCCTGCCTCCACATCTCCTCCTGCTCCTGCCTCTTCTCCTCCTCCCGTATCTTCTCCTGCTCGTGAATCTTCTCCTCCTGCCTCCACATCTTTTCCTCCTGCTCCCGTATCTTCTCTTCCTGCTCCCGTATCTTCTCCTCCTGCCTCCACATCTTCGCCTCCTGCTCCTGCCTCTTCTCCTGCTCGCGTATCTTCTCCTCCTCCTGCCTCTTCTCTTCCTGCTCCCGTATCTTCTCCTGCTCGTGCATCTTCTCTTCCAGCTCCCGTATCTTCTCCTCCTTCTCCCACATCATCTCCTCCTGCCTCCGCATCTTCTCCTCCTTCTCCCACATCATCTCCTCCTGCCTCCGCATCTTCTCCTCCTTCTCCCACATCATCTCCTCCTGCCTCCGCATCTTCTCCTCCTTCTCCCACATCATCTCCTCCTGCCTCCGCATCTTCTCCTCCTGCTCCCGTATCTTCTCCTCCTGCTCCCGTATCTTCTCCTCCTGCTCCTGTATCTTCTCCTCCCACTCCTGTATCTTCTCCTCCTGCCTCCACATCTTCTCCTCCTGTTGCTGGTTCAGGCGGTTCCACAACTCGTTCTCTTCCACCTGGGCTTGGAGCTTTGCTGACACACTCTGCAGCTCCTTACCCAGGTGGTCAGCCTCCGCCTGCAGCTGCTGCTGGAATAGTGAAAGTGTTTTTTTTTGAACCTCAGAAGGAAGCAGAATCATGAGCTAGCCACATAAATGTAATCTATAGGCTGGGAGCCGTGGCTCACGCCTGTAATCCCAGCACTTTGGGAGGCCGAGGTGGGCGGATCACGAGGTCAGGAGATCGAGACCATCCTGGTTAACACAGTGAAACCCCGTCTCTACTAAAAATACAAAAAATTAGCCGGGTGTGGTGGTGGGCACCTGTAGTCCCAGCTACTTGGGAGGCTGAGGCAGGAGAATGGCGTGAAGCCGGGGGGTGGAGCTTGCAGTGAGCCGAGATTGCGCCACTGCACTCTGGCCTGGGTGACAGAGTGAGACTACTTCTCAAATAAATAAATAAATAAATAAATAAATAAATGTAATCTATAAAATAATGGTTTTCATCCATGATCCTTTAAAAAAATATTTTTAAGCCCTAACTCTTGAGATTCTGATTCCCCAGGCAGGGCCCCAATTTGTACATTTTTAGTACACTCTAGAGGATTCTATGGCGGGACCAGAACAAGGACCCAAATTTTCCAGCTCTTGGCTGGAGCCTCCCCATACCCTGCATGATCCCTAGACCATGGTCCCAGCTGGATGGGTCTCCCACAACCCCCGGGGCTGCAGCTGCTCACCTGTGGCAGCAGGAGCTTGGCCCTCTCCAGTTTCCTTTTTAGCTCCTTTACGTTGAGCTGGATCTCAGACTTTTCAGATTCTACAAGTTGAAGTTTTTCTTGTAGTTTGGCATTTTTCTCCTTCAGCTCCTCATCAGTTATGCTATGGCCAGAGGCAGTAGAGAAAGGAATGAATGAAGAACATAAAAGACCACTTTGGTGATTGACCCCCTACCCTCGCCCCACAACCACAGAACCGTGGCGCTGGAAGGGACCCCAGGAATTAAAAGTCCCAGGTGGCAGGCCAGAGAGAAGACATGAGTTGCCTGAGGCTACCCCATGAGTCAGTGGCACAGCCAGCACTAGAGCTTCCGTGTGCACACATGAAAACATGTATGAGCCTCTCCCCACACTCACCTGGACCCCCCACCTCCCAGCACACCACCCATGCTAAGGGCCCCCAGACCTCCCATTCCACCTTCCCCCATCCTACGTGTTCCTGTACAGTTCCAGACTCAGGGCGTCCCTCTCCTTTGTTAACTCCTCAATGTACTGCAAATAGAGAAAGGTTAAGTCAGGATAGAGCAGGCACAGCAGTAGCTGGACGACCAGGAACAACTGCTACAGTGACTACTCCACAGTAACACTTCCTCACTCTCAATCACACCTGACGTGTTCTCAAGGCATTTCCAAGCCCATGGTCTCATTTGTTTTTCTTTCTTTCTTTCTTTCTTTCTTTCTTTTTTTTTTTTTTTTGGCAGAGTTTCATTCTTGTTGCCCTCACTGGAGTGCAATGGCACAATCTCAGCTCACCACAACCTACACCTCCTGGGTTCAAGCAATTCTCCTGCCTCAGCTTCCCGAGTAGTTGGGATTACAGGCATGTGCCACCACACCGGGCTAATTTTGTATTTTTAGTAGAGACGGGGTTTCTTCGTGTTGGTCAGTCTAGTCTTGAACTCCTGACCGCAGGTGATCCGCCCACCTCAGCCTCCCAAAGTGCTGGCATTACAGGCGTGAGCGAGAGCACCTGGCCCTCATTTGTTTTTCAAAGAACTCAGTGGATGTGGAAGGGACAGGGAAAGAGATTGAATTTAGGGCTGGCTAACAGGGGCCCAGAGCGATCAGATAATATTGTTATTGCTATTACTGTTAGTACTACCACTGTTCGAACCTTTATTGAGTGCTTCACCAGGCACTATGCTAACAATCCCATTTAATCCTCACAACCTCCATAGGAGATGGTTACCATTATTACCTCTATTGTGTAGATGAAAAACATGCGGTATTAAAGGTTAAGTGCTGCCTAAGATCACTTGGAGCTGGGATTTCAACACCCAGCTATATCTGATTCTCTAAGCCCATTCTTCCGCTGGAGGTAGGGGCACAGTTAAGAAGGAGGAAATTAATCCTTTGTTGAATTTTTGAAAGGATGATACGTTCGCATAGTCCAAAACTCAGAAAGTCCAGAAGGGAAATATCTCCCCCCAACACTGTGCCTCTATCCTGAGTTTTTTAATGAATCCTTACAAACGTGTTTTATGTATGTTACCATAATACGTACACACACACACATATACACCTGCCCCCTCTCTCCACACAAATAATAACATACTCAAGATACTCTTCTGTACCTTTATGGTACAAGTACCCTAACCGCCACTTAGGACTTGGCCAAGGCCACAGCCAAGTATGGGCAGGGCGGGCACTTGGCCTCTGAGCTCTATGTCCAGTGCTCGCTCCTCACAGTGCTCCCCAACTCACCCACAACAGCCGACTCAGCCCCAGTCTGCCTCTAACAACCACACACAAAAGCAGCAAGAAATGGCCATGCTGCCTTCTGGGCAGGACACTCCATCCTACAGAAGGGACCTTTAGGCTCACTCCTCCATCTGCGAAGCTGGGCTCCCAAGGGACGGGGCCGTGTTTGGACTCACCCTATCCGCCTTCTTCTTCTGTGTAGCGACAGCAGAGAGAGCCTGCTCTAACTCTCCTGCAAACTTCCATGAATCATGCAGGCGGCTGATCAGATCCCTGGCCTCTCCTGGAATGAGAGACATTCAGATGTGGCCCAAAGGACTCCCCCTAAAGGCCTGTCAAAGTGCCAGGTTGAAGGATGATGGGGTGCCAGATTCCCACCTTCCAACTGCTTGACAGCATGCTGGCTGTAGTAGAGTGCCATCTGAAGCTCAGTTTTCTGACATGTAAGGATTCGTATGGTATGAACCTGGGCCTTTGGGAGAAAAGACAAGCAAATGCTGAAAGAGAAGCAAAGAAACATTCTCCAGAGGGCAGGAGGGAACTTCACACCCTCCACTCACCTCTAGCTCCCTCCTTAGGGCTTCCTGATGTTGGTGGCTTGCCTTCTGTTCCTATAGAAAGAGGAAAACAGAGCTCTTGCTAGGGGGAGGCAGAGATGGCACAGCAAGAGACATGCCCCCAGAATGGCACCACTGCCCCAGAACAGGCCCACCCATGGGACCAGTTTATCAGGGACCCTGTGGGGATGGGGTGGAATCTTGGGGGTGAGCCTTCTTCCCCAGGCTGGGAGTGGGTGAGATGAGCCTGGGGCCTCTACATCTGAGTGCCCCCAAACCCAGCGGTCATGTCGTGAGCAAAGAAATCACACTACTTCTTCCAGCTGAGCTCGGTTCTATTGTTTCTGTGGGGAGAGTCAAAGGAAGGTGACTGAGGGTGGCCCCCTTGACTCTATTCCCCAGGCCAGGAAGCGATAGGCAGGGGCCAGGAATGGATTTAAAAGGCACAGTTCTCAGACCCAATGGGAACATGAACTGGTCAACTCTCCTCAACTCCCAAAGAAGAAGGATTTGGGTCTTTTTGGTTTTTGCCCACAGCCACAGAACTCAAAGTCTGAAACTAGATTCTCTTGAAAAGACAGTAACAGAAACCTTCAGAGGTGGAGTGCGAGAAAAGCCCACCCTTCCGCCAGCTTGTGATTTAGAAAGGTGCATTCACTCAGCAAACGTTGAGCACATACGGGCCAGGGACGGTTCTTCACAGCGGGAATAGAGGTCAGAAAAGGCAGACAGGAGCCCTTGGCCCCGAGGTTTCCATTCTAGTGGGCCTTTAACTCTCGGGCTCTCAGAGCTAACAGAAACCTCTGATACTCTCTAACTCTACCTCAGGAAACGCAAGCCCAAGAAGGAGAGTTTACAGCAGGTCCTGGACGAGGGATTAACATAAAAACACAATGACAAATCTCATTTAAACTTCACAAACGTAAGGAAAACAATACCACTCGTATTTTACGGATGTGAAAAGAGAGGCCCAAAGAGCTCAAGCAATTTGCGCTAAATCATGTCCCTAGCAGATGGAGGGGTAGGATTCAAACCCAGAATTCTTAGCCAGTACCTGGCAGTTCTTCCACAATCTTAACAATTACCCTCCACCACCCCTTGGGCCCTCTGTCCCCAGGAGCCCGGCCAGCCAAGACTCACATCCTCAGGCGAGTGGCAACCACCAGAAGTGGTTGTCTCAGGGTTAGTGCCATTATTTATTTTCTTCTTTTTGGTGTCGCTTGCTGCTGTACCAACACTAGGGTTGGTCTGGGGATGATGGTCTGTCAACTGTGGAAAGGAAGAGCAGTGATACTCATGAGAACTACAAGCTCCTACAGTCACATCCTGCTTTACAGTTTATACTAAATACCCTTATAGACCATCTGATTTAATGCCACCAACTGTAGGAAATGTTGTCACAATCACTTAGTGACTGAGAGAGATTGATACCATGGCTGAAAAAAAAGGCAGTAATGGAACTTAAACTCAGTCTTCTGACTCTGAGCTCTGGGATTTTGCCCTAAATCAGCAGCTGCCAGGGACCAAAACCAGAGGCAGAGGTAGAAAAGCAAATATTAAGTAGGCAGGAACTGTGCACTATGTGGTTTAGGGTTATTCACCCTCACACGTCTGTTAGTGTTAAAAAGTACACCAGTACCTCTCAAACCTTTACATCAATGTCTCCTCATGGCAGAAGGCAGCCTTTCTGCTAAATCTGGGAATTTAACAGAAAGAGGACAACCCAAGCCTCATTTCAGAGAGAAGTCTTGTATACGCTTATAAATCTACGTGACTTTCATCCCTAAGTACATTAATGTTTTGCCTCTCAATAGAATCAAGGGAAACTGATGCTTCAGAAAGATGCCCCATATTTATCCTGTGGCACTCAAAGTACCCCAGGTTGAGATGAGATGAGGAAGACTCAAGCTAAGTTCAGTTTCCCAAGATCTGTTCCACAGAAGATAAGCAGATCTCACTCCAGAACCAGTGACTGAGGGGCACTCTGGTCCCAGAACAATGGAGAATTCAAATCTGAGGTGCAGAACTGAGAAAAAATGTTAAAATCTCTCTGGAGAGTAGAAGCCTGGGAGAAAACCAAACCAAACCCGTTCTCCCATTGCCACCCAGAGACACTGTCAACGTGTTGAGCTCATGGGGGAGGTGTAGGCTTTTCACACTGTCAAGGTCTGTGGTAAGGAAGTCAGGCAGCCTGAAACCTCTCTCTTCTAGGTCCCACAGTCCCCATTCCCCTTCCAGCTGGAAACCTGTGCTGCAACCAGAGGAAACAGAAGTGGGCAAGAACACTTAGGGGACTGGGTCCTAAGACCAAAGGCCGGTCTTGTGGTAGTAATGACAGTTTGTAGCGGGACTGTGACATCACTACATTCTACTCCTCGGTGGAGTGGTTGGGGGGGACACATGAGTGCAATGCCCAAGTTGCCGCTTTGAGACTGGGGAGGGGGTCACAAAATTGGGAGCCAGGTCCTTGGAGACGTGACCCCAAAGAGCCCCGGGAGGTCAGGCTTGGGGCGGCAGGAGGTGAGGGCCAATTAAGGAGCAAGGAGCTCCAGGAGTCACATCCCCAAAGTCACCCTGTGGCAACTGGTGAGGGCAGGTTCTGGGGCACCCAGGTCCTTGGAGCTGTGAGCTCAAGGAGCCCAGGGAGGTCGGGTTTGGGGTAGCAGGAGGTAAGGGCGGAGTATGGAGTTGGAAGCCCCAGGAGTCACCTGCTCAAAGTCACCCTGGTGTGCCGGGCAGAGCAGGGGCAGGACTTATGAGGGGGTTGGGCTGGCTGACAAGATTTTGGTGTGGGGAGCCCAGAGGCACTGGGGTGGGGGGCCCAGCCTGGTGTCCCTCAGGAGTGGCACAGACTCTGGCAGCAGTTCGGCTGTCAGAGGGGGCCTCGGGTTGGGTTGGGGTGTTGGTGCGTTTACCTGTTCCTTGGCCTCGGCCAATTTGCTCTGTCTGGTTTCTTTGGACATCATAGGATGGGTAGGGAGGTGGGGATGGGTAGGGAGGTGGGGATGGGTAGGGAGGTGGGGATGGGTAGGGAGGTGGGGATGGGTAGGGAGGTGGGGTTGGGGCCACATCAGCATGATCCAGGTGAGGACAAGTATATACCTCCAGTCACCTCTACGTCGCTGTGTGACTGAGCCAGAGGAGGCGTAACCAGGGCTGCACTAGAATGCAGAATAGGGGTGTGGCCTTCATGCTTGAAGCCCATTGGTCAATGAGAAAGATGAAAGGAAAAGGAGGTGTGGCCAGACAGCAGCGTGTCATCAAGGACCTGTGTTGTCACAAGGAAAGCTGCCTATGCAACCGCTGTCCCCGCCCACTCCAGGAGAGGGGCGGGGCTGGCTTTCACTTTAAAAACTTTAAAACTTTATTACCTCAATTGAGGTACAAGTCCTATTAAAATGGAAATTTTATAGTGTGCTTGATGATTGATAAAGCAGACTTTATTATCCAACATTCCAATAAGATAATCACAATGTTTTCTCTTTTTTGGAAAAACTTTCTCTTATTCTCCTACATTAGCGTTTAGTTTTTTTTAAAAAAACAAACAAACAAGAAACATGTCTAATATCTTTAAAAATACAAAGCTTTGAGCCAGGCGTGATGGCTCATGCCTGTAATCCCAGCACTTTGGGAGGCTGGGGCGGGTGGATCACCCGAATTCAGGAGTTCAAGACCAGCCTGGCCAACATGATGAAATCCTGTCTCTACTAAAAATACAAAAGTAGCTGGGCATGGTGGCAGGTGCCTGTAATCCTAGCTACTTGGGAGGCTGAGGCAGGAGAATCCCTTGAACCTGTGAGGCAGAGGTTGCAGTGAGCCAAAATCATGCCACTGCACTTCAGCCTGGGCTGCTACAGAATGTGACTCTGTCTCTAAATACACACACACACACACACACACGCATAGACACACACACACACACACACACACACACAAGGCTTTCCATTTAATAAGCACTCAAAGTTCTTTACAAGGTTAAAGCAAATACAGGACCCTTCTAAAGTAAGGCTAAATGCTAAGTGATGGGGGAGAGAAAAAGGACATAAATAACTCCTACTCTCATGAGTTAATCACTAAATCCGATTTTTCTAGAATCACCTGGCCTCTAAGCCCTGAAAATGAAACTGAATTTCTCACTCGATACTTGGCTATGACTTGCAATCATGAAAACCAAGAATTGTGTTATGTCACTGTGTATTGCTTGTTACCTGGGATCAAGGGTTGACTTTTTCATGATTTGCTCCATTACCTGTGTGCTTCTTCTCCCAGTCCAAACTACGCTTTTTTCTAGAGTTCTACAATTTACAGTTAGTATGTAAGGGTGGCTCTCAAACATGTAGTCTCCGGACCAGGAGCACCTGGGAACTTCTTATAAATGTAAATTCTCAGGCCCCACCCTAGACACGAATGAATCAGAAACTCTGCAGTAGGGCCCAGCAATCCGTGCTGCAATAATCCCTCCAGGTGCTCAGGAACCTCTGCCATACAGCAGGTAGAAAAATGTGTTTCCTTCTGTAGGTCCAAAGCCAGGGATACTATATGTTCTGTCTCAATATGAAACAATGACATGCAATTAAAAGACATAAATCTCCTTCCTACTTCCACCCTCCAGCCAGTGTGTTTTATTTTTATGAGTTCAATAAGAAAACGTGTGGCAATCAGAGATTTCATCTAAAAAATATATCTACAGGTATCAGTTCTCATCCAGCCTGATCTCATCCAATATCATTTCTATCCTCTTACATCTAAAGTTTTAGAAAAGGATTTTCACAACGTAAGACTCAGGCGCACTAGGAGTTCTATGATAAAAGACCAAGTAGATCTGAATGTCCAAACTTACTAGAGAAGAAAAGTGGACTCATTGGCTATATTTTCAAATTGCATTCAACAGGAAATTAAAGTTTTGAATTTTTTCCACCTTCATCCTTCCAAGTTAATAGAATTAAACCAGAATACTCCATTCTTCCAAAGCCTGTAGCCAGGCAAACTTTTACTGTATTACTTCTTGCTTTTCAATGGATATAAAGCAGAGTCCTGGTAGGCACATTTTGTATACCTGCAAAGATGCAAAACTAAACAGTTCCCTCGGTTCAATATTAAAACAAAAGTCCTGTAAACCTCAGATGGTGAGTGTAATACTTCAGCACTAGCACGAAAGCCTCAAATATAAAAAGATACCAAGAACCTTGCTAGCAAACCAAAGTAAGCTCTTGGCCGGGAGCAGTAGTTCACGCCCGTACTCCCAGCATATTGGCAAGCTAAGGTGGGGTAAGTCAGGAGTTAAAGACCAGCCTGGGCAGCATAGCGAATTCATATCTCTACAAAGAAAATTTAAAAATTAGCTGGGCTTGGCGGCACACACCTGTAGTCCTAGAGCTACTTGGGAGGCTGAGGTGGGAAAATCACTTGAGCCCAGAAGTTTGAGGCTGCAGTAGCTATGATCATGCCACTGCACTCCAGTTGGGGTGACAGAGCGAGATCTAATTATTACATTCTGTCCTGCTCCTGTTTCCACTAAAATCACTAACTTAAAATGTGTTCATTCAGCAGGATAAAAATTAAGTGAAATTTGACTTTGGTGCTTTGCTAGCAAAAAATAAATAAATAAAGTGAAGTGACAAATTACTCACTGGGAGAAGATCTTTGTAACCTCAATGACAGATTAAAGGTTTGTAGCCTTAGCCTATAAAGAAATCTTTAAAATTACTCAGAAAAAAAAATGAATGATTTGCAGCAGAAAATGGGCAATGGAGAAACCAGCACTTCCCACAAGAATAAAAATGGCCAATGAGCAAATGAAAAAGATTCAAAAGCACTAGAAATCAAAGAAAGGTAATGAAAACAATGAGATTTTCTGCTTAAAGACCAGCGAAGATGACAAATGGAAGGGGGAACCTGGAGCTCTGTCCCTGTTGGTGGGAGCATAAACTCAACCAATTTTCCTGTAGGATGATTTGAACATTTCTTTTAAAAATCCTAAAACTGTTTTATATTACTTTCCTCTAGAAATTCTACTTCTATGAATTCAGTGCAAAAATCCTCACTCGAGTCCATTAAAATATATATAGAAGGAAATCCACCTCTGGGGTGGCAATGACTCACTTAACATACATCCAGTGATGATGCCAGGGTATATTTCTCCATAGAAACATGCTTAAAATATAGTAAGTGACAAAAGACCATGTATTGTGATTCTACTTTTTAAAATGTTTACAGCATAAAAAGTGTGAAAAGCAACAAACCGGAATGTTTTGAGTGGCAAAATTAAAGATTTTTCTTTACATTTTGTCATCCAAATTATTACAAAAACAATGTGATTTCCTTTATAATCATGGAAAAGTGTTATTTTCATTTATTTATATTTACATTTCTTTTCTTTTTCTTCTTTTTTCTCCTGTATGTATCCCACATAGGCTACAGAGCTTAAATCCCTGCCTCTTGAGAGAAATCAGCCCATTTTCAGGACATGCAATACACAAAGCTGCCCCATCTTCCCTTTATTTTTATTTTTATCTTATTTATTTATTTATTTATTTATTTATTTATTTATTTATTTATTTATGTTGAGATGGAGTCTCACTCTGTTGCCCAGGCTGGAGTGCGGTGGCGCATCTCAGCTCACTGCAACCTCCATATCCCGAGATCAAGCGATTCCCCTGCCTCAGCCTCCCGAGTACCTGGGACTATAGGCATGCACCACCATGCCCAGCTAATTTTTGTATTTTTAGTAGAGAGGAAGTTTTACCATCTTGGACAGGCTGGTCTCGAACTCCTGACCTCAAGTGATCCGTCTGCCTTGGCCTCCCAAAGTGCTGGGATTACAGGCATGAGCCACTGTGCCTGGCCTGTCATATTATTTCTAAACATTTGAGTGACATTTCAATTAAGTGAAATTTAATTCTTACTGACCTGATCTCTTATCCTCTGTTTAATGATACCTTCCAGTTGAAAGGTGTTTCCTCTGTAATCACGGGTGCCAAAGGAAATACAACATGTATTCATTAGGTGGATCCACTAAACCACGGATTCACGCATTGTAGTCCTTACACCCTCAGCATCAGAAACACGTGGGAACTTGTTAGACATGCAAATTCCTGGGCCAGCCCCACACCTCCTGAATCAGAAAGTGGGGAAGGACAGCTATCTGTGCTTTAATAAGCCTTGAGATGCTCCCTGAAGTTTGAAAACTACAGAACTAGAATACATATGGTAGTAAGTGCTCATACTTTATCCAAGGTACTAGGGACTCTTCCCCTCTTTTCCATTCTTTTTTCTGTTGAAATAAAATGAGAGCTCCTTTTGACTTAATGGGTATAAGAAAGAAGGCAATGAGATGACCAGGGTTTCAAGTTAGAGTTCAAAATTTAATCAGTGGACAGTGACAGGATGCAAGCCTTCTAAACAGATTGCTGCAAGGAAGCTGATTATAATCTATACAGTAGGTATCATTAGTGTATTGATGTTAAATTTTGGGGGTGGATTAATGGTATTGTGATTATATAGGAGAAGTCCTGGTTCCTAGAAGATATCTGCGAAAGTACTTAACAGTGAAATGCTCTGATACTGCCAACTTACTTTGAAATGATTCAGGGGGAAAAAGGGCACATATACAATCTTCCATACGCAGAAGACAGAAAACAAGTGTGACAAAACATTAACTAGTGAATCCAGTTGAATAGCATACAGATGTTCACTGTATGATTTTATCAACTTTTCTGTGTTTGCAAGTTTTCAAAATAAAAGTTGAGGGAAAGAAACATCACCCCAAATCTTTCTATGAAATGGGACCACAGAAAAAGCAGAGAAGTGAACACTTTGCAGAAAAGAGCACTGCACCCATCCGGACAGCATGGTCAAAGTGCAGGCTCTCCTCCAGGAGGCTCTTCTCTGGTCTCTTCTGTGCTGTCACTTCCCCCACATGCAGCCAAGGCTTTTTTCTAACAACTCTTTTTCTAAAGATGTAATTTTTGTCATTCATCTAAGAAAGAGAAGAAAAGAATTAGTATACATTTAGAAAATAAAATTACACTTACATTTGTGAAAAAGCAAAAAATACTTTGAAAAGTGGGGAAGCGAGAAATGTACTGTTCTACAATTCTGTTCTGTTCTTACCATCTTTTTATTCTGCCAATGACTTCCTATTCCTGCTGTGTATGGTGGGGTGAGCTGCAAATGATTTCTTTTCCTCATTGATTTAAAATGTCATGTTTATAATGTACCAAACTCCCCCAGAAGCATTTGGGTTTATTTCTGGGCTCTATTCTATTCAAGTAATCTATCTGTTCACAAGCCACTATCAATTTTGATTATTGGAGCATCCTAAAGTTAAGTAATTGTTGTTTTTGTTTTTGAGATGCAGTCTCTCACTCTGCCGCCCAGCTGGACTGCAGTGGCGTGATCTAGGCTCACTGCAAGCTCCACCTCCCGGGTTCATGGCATTCTCCTGCCTCAGCCTCCCGAGTAGCTGGGACTACAGGCACCTGCCACCACGCCTGGCTAATTTTTTGTATGTTTAGTGGAGATGGGGTTTCACCTTGTTAGCCAGGATGGTCTCGATCTCCTGACCTCGTGATCCGCCTGCCTCGGCCTCCCAAAGTGCTGGGATTACAGGCGTGAGCCACCGCGCCTGGCCCTGAATTTGCTTGAGTTTTTAGCTCTCTCACCCATTTCAGGATTGTCACCACCCATATCTGACACGTCCTCCTCCTCCTCTAAATCTTCTAAGTCCTCCTGGCCATCAGCCTCTGTTTCTGAACCAGCCTCTTCATGCTCCTGTTCTTCACTCTCTGGGAGAAGACTGATATCTTCATCTTTCTTTCACTAACCGCATTCTGGAAGCACTGTAAAATTGCTTCATTTTGCAATTCCAGTTGTTGCAAAGTCTGCTCATCATCAAAACTTTCTATCACAAGTTTTTGTAAAGAGCTGCCATGGATTCTACCATTCTCTACTGTTTTATTAAAGTCATAAAGCACTTTCGTTAAAGAAGTGAACTTTGGTTCCAATCCAGCTTGAAACCTATTGGGAGGAATTAAATGAGATTTAGAATTATAGATAATAATTTCACAGCCCTCTTAATTAAAAGAAAAATAAAAACCTCAACTCTTCTGTAAAATCAAATTTGAATAAAGTGTAAGTATAGATTCTGGCCCCAACAATATATAAGCTGATGAGCCACAATGATATATAAAACCTGTCAACCAAGTATTTGTGAATCAGCTGTATAGATTGTTGGCAGGAAAAGCATTACAAATCTATTTGCTTGGAGATGTATAGAGAATTAGCCTTAAATTTTCTACTCTGCTACATTATATACCACTCCATTCATTCATTCCCTTATTCACTCAATGATCAACATTTGCTTTGGCTTACAGTGGTCAAGGAAAACCTCTCCTAGATGTGACATCTGAGGTGAAACTTACAGACAAGTATAGTCTTATAAAGATTGGGAAACATGTATTCCAGGCAGAAGAAACAGCAAGAACAAATTCTCTAAGATGCAATTGAGCTTGGTAAGCCTGAGGAATAAAAAAGTGAGCATGGCTATAGCGTGAAGGAGGCAGAAGGTGAAGTCGGAGAGACTGATGGGAGCCAAATTCTGCAGGGCTCAAGGGTAAGAGTTTGCCGTTTTAAGTGTAATAAGAAAATGTGAGAAGATTTTAAGCAGAAGGATGAAATGATGATTTATACGAAGGAAGAAGAAAGGGAGGAAGGAGGAGGAGGAAAGTAGAGTGATTAGAAGGTTGATGCAGCATTCCAGGCAAAGGATGATGGTGATTTAAGCTGGAGTTAGAGCAGTGAATATGCTGAGTACAGTTTGGAGGTAGAACTGACAGGATTGCTAAGGAATTAGATACAGAATAGAGAAAAGTGAAGACATCAAAATAGCAGCCTAGTTTTATGTGCGAGCAACTGGAGAGACAGAACTGCCATTTACTGCGATAGGCAAGGCTTGAGTGGTGGAGCAAGGGGAAAGGACTTCAGCGGATGGCAGAGTGTAGGTGGGTAGAAACAACATTCTACTGTATTTTGGACACGGTGAATTTGTGATGCTGAGAGGACCAAAATTTAAAAAATTGTTAAAAGCCGTACGGTGCGGATATCCCAGTTGTGCGCTACTGAATTCCAACTAAGCTCAGTCTGGAGTTGCTTGTGAGCAAGGAACTCAAGGGAGAGGTTGGAGTTTGAAACATAAATGAGTCATAATTTTATAGGTCATATTTGAAGTTCTTCAACAAAATACACATAAAACGTTTGTGTTGGGAAGAGACATGAAAGTTCTAATTCTCAAGAAGCTTAGTGGGGTAGACAGACAAGTGACAAGTTTGTGCTTTCAATAAAGTATGATGGCAGGTAAACACTGAGTGCTTTAGGAGCACAGGCGGAAGGAGAAACCAACACAGTTGTGTGTAGGGGGATGGGGGCCGTAATAAGCCTCAAGGGGAGCTTATAGGCGTGAATAACTGAGGTTAGGTTGATTTCAATAACATTCAACTGAGAGATCCATACTGTAAAAGTTTTAACAATTTTTAAAATTTTGATAGCCTAGGTCCTCTGAAATGTGGGGAAAAGTGATTTACATTTCCCCTTACCTTCCCCCAGCTCCACAATTTGCCAGGGGTCTGCAACCCGTGTCCACGTGCGACCGCAGTCGCACCCGAGCCCGGGATCTGTGCACTTACGTGAGGATGCACTCGGGCCAGCCAGTGGCTTTGCCCACCTCCCTCAGACACCGCTCCAGGGTCCGTCAGCGCCAGGCCCATGGGCCATGGCTGTCTGCAACTCCCGACACAAGCTGCAAGGCAAGAGAGCCGCTGGGAAACCGCACCGCAAGGATGCTGGGATTGGAACAGGAATTAAAAGAAATGAAAAAATGTGTAAGCAAAAACTCAGCTGTATGTAAAAAAAACCCAATTCCCCCTGAGAATGAGAAAGAGCCTTAGTCCTTTAAAAAAACTACCTGTTTTCCTATGGCTAGTGAGCCTTATCGCTCCCTTCCCAGGCATTATCAAAACCCTAATTCCCTAACTGTGCAACTGCAAGGTCACTAAACAAACAAATGCAAGTCACAAAACATATTTTTCCTAAAAACGTAAAAAAAAAAAAAACATAATGCGTGCTTCAATTAAATAACTCTCTGTTTCTCGCTTCTGTAATATGCTTCCCCCTGCACAGATCTACCCGGGCTCCACAAAATGCTAAAAGATAACTCTTTATTCAGCTCAACGCTTTGATCTGCCTGGCGTGGTGGCTCACTCTTGTGATCCCAGGACTTTGGACGGCCAAGTAGGGTGGATCGCTTGTGCCTTGGAGTTCCAGACAGGCCTGGGCAACATGGTGAAACCTGGTCTTTTTGTTTTGTCTTGTTTTGAGACGGAGTTTCGCTCTTGTTGCCCAGGCTGGAATGCAGTGGCTGGGTCTCTGCTTGCCGCGACTTCCGCCTCCCGGGTTTCGGTCGTTGTCCTGCATCAGCCTCCAGAGTGGCTGGGATTGCAGGCATAAGCCACCAAGCCCGGCTAATTTTGTATTTTTTTTTTATTTTTATTTTGGTACAGATGGGGTTTCTCCCTGTTGGTCAGGCTGGTCTCAAACTCCCGACCTCAGGTGATCCACCTGCCTAGGCCTCCCGAGGTGCTAGGATTGCAGGCTTGAGCCACCGCTCCCGGCCCAACTTATTAATCAGAAAGGAATAGATCGTCCTGGTGTGGTGGCTCACGCTTGTGATCCCAGTACTTCGGATGGCCCAGCGCGGGGTATCCCTTGAGCCTAGGAGTTCCAGACCTGCCTGGGCAACATGGTGAAACCCGGTCTCTCTCTCTCTCTCTCTCTCTCTCTTTTTTTTTTTGAGGCGGAGTTTCGCTCTTGTTGCCCAGGGTGGAGTGCAGTGGCTGGGTCTCCGCTCGCAGCGACTTCTGCCTCCAGGGTTTTAGTAGTTCTCCTGCCTCAGTCTCCGGAGTGGCTGGGATTGCAGGCCTGACCAACATTGCTCTGCTAATTTTTTTTTATTTGTTTTTGGTAGAGACGGGGTTTCTCCATGCTGGGCAAGCTGATCTCAAACTCCAGACCTCAGGTTATCCGCCCACCTCGGCCTCCGGGGATGCTGGAATTGCAGGCGTGAGCCAGCGCACACACCCAATTTATTTTTATTTCATTTTTTATTTTTATATATATATACTTTTGAGACGGAGTCTCACTTTGTCACCCAGGCTGGAGTGCAGTGGTGCGCTGTCTCGGCTCACTGCAACCTCTGCCTCCCAGGTTCAAGCGATTCTCCTGCCTCAGCCGCCTGAGTAGCTGAGATTACAGGCACCCGCTAGCACACCCATCTAATTTTTTTTTTTTTTTTTTTGTATTTTTAGTAGAGATGGGTTTTCATCATGTTGGCCAGGCTGGTCTCGAACTCCGGACCTCAGGTAAACCCACCTCGGCCTCCCAAAGTGCTGGGATGACAGGAAGGATCGGCCTGGCGTGGTGGCTCACGCTTTTGATCCCAGGAGTTTGGACCGGCCGAGCGTGGCGGATCCCTTGATCCTAGGAGTTCTAGACCAGCCTGGGCAACATGGTGAAAACCGGTCTCTCTCTCTCTCTCTTTTTTTTTTTTTGAGGCGTAGTTTCCCTCTTGTTGCAGGGCTGGAGTGCAGTGGTGCGGTGTCGGCTCCCCGCGGCCTCTGCCTCTGGGTTTGGGTGGTTCTCCTGCCTCAGCCTCCGAGTGACTGGGATTGCAGGCGGGAGCCACCATGCCCGGCTCTTTTTTTTTTTTTTTTTTTTTTTCTGGTAGAGACAGGTCTCTCCATGTTGGTCAGGCTGGTCTCAAACTCCCGACCTCAGGTGATCCGCCCGCCACGGCCTCCCGGGGTGCTGGGACTGCAGGCGTGAGCCACCGCTCCCGGCCCAATTTATTAATCAGAAAGAAATAGATCAGCCTGGCGTGGTGGCTCACGCTTTCGATCCCAGGACTTTGGACAACCGAGCGTGGGGAATTGCTTGAGCCTAAGAGTTCCAGACCTGCCTGGGCAACATGGTGAAAATCTGTCTCTTATTATTATTATTATTTTTTTTTTTGAGGCGGAGTTTCCTTCTTGTTGCCCAGGCTGGAGTGCAGTGGCTGGGTCTCCGCTCGCGGCAAATTCTGCATCCCGGGTTTTGGTGGTTCTCCTGCCTCAGCCTCCTGAGTAGCTGGGATTACAGGCGCCTGCCGCCACACCCGGCTAATTTTTTTTTTTTGTATTTTTAGTAGAGACGGGTTTTCATCATGTTGGCCAGGCTGGTCTCAAATTCCTGACCTCCGGTGATCCACCCACCTCCGCCTCCCCAAGTGCTGGGATGACAGGCGTGATCGGCCTGGCGTGGTGGTTCACGCTTTTGATTCCAGGACTTTGGACTGGCCAAGCGTGGGGGATTGCTTGAGCCTAGGAGTTCCAGACCGGCCTGGGCAACATGGTTAAACCCAGTCTTTTTTTAAATTCCTTTATTATTATTATTATTATTATTATTTTTTTGAGACGGAGTCTCTCTGTCGCCCAGGCTGGAGTGCAGTGGCGCTATCTCGGCTCACTGCAGCCTCTGCCTCCCAGGGTCAAGGGATTCTCCTGCCTCAGCCTCCTGAGTAGCTGGGATTACAGGCGCCCACCACCACTCCCGGCTAATTTTTTTTTATTTTTTAGTAGATCGTGGTAACTGCCTTAAAATGATGATTGTTCAGAAAGTCAGTTTAATTTAGATACTAAGGATATTGAGGTTATGTAACATTTGAGCAAGTTCTAAAAAAAAAGAGAAATAGTATATTTAATTGCTAATAAAGTATTGTCAACTCACAAATATATTCACATAGCATACATTTCAAGAGCAGAATAACCATGAATATAAAAGGAATTAGCAAAAACGAAACAAAAAAGACATGAAGAAATAAAAACAGATGGAACAAATAGCACAAAATACGATGAAAGTTATAAAAGAAACTATGCCAACAATCACAATAAATGTAAATAGACTGAATAATTAAGAGAAAATGACTATAAAACAGAATTAGGGCACGCGTGGTGGCTCATGCCTGTAATCCCAGCACTTTGGGAGGATGAGGCAGGCGGAGGGATCACAAGGTCAGGAGTTCGAGAGCAGCCTGACCAACATGGTGAAACCCCATCTCTGCTAATACAAAAATTAGCCGGCGTGGTGGTGAACATCTGTAATCCCAGTTACTCAGGAGGCTGAGGCAGGAGAATCGCTTGAATCCAGGAGGCAGAGGTTGCAGTGCCGAGATCACACCATTACACTCCAGCCTGGGCAACAGAGCAAGACTCCGTATCAAAAAAAAAAAACACACAAAAAAACACAAAAAACAGAAAATAAACAGTATGAAAAGACATCTAAAACATAAAGTCACAGAAAGACTGAGAGAGATTGAAAAAAGATACACCTGTCATATGTACCTAACCCAAAGAAGGGTTGGAAGCTATATTATTATCAGATAAAATAGGCTTTGGGCAAAAAGCAATATGGGAGATTTTTTAAGGCCACAATATAATGATAAAAATTCTAATAAACCAAGGGAGAAGGTAATCTAAAATGTTAATGTATCTAATAACTAGCACTCAAAATACATGAAAGCAAAATATGACAAAATTGCAACCCTCAGAGGGCAATTTAAATACATATCTCAGTGTCTGATAAAAGAGACAAAAAACAATCAGCATAGACATAGAAGATTTACATCTCTCTAGAAAATTAACAAGCTTGACTTAATGTACAGAAAAAACATATCTCTCCAAAGTGACAGCATTCACCCCCCCAAGTACATATGTACTGAGCCATAAGGAAAATCTCAACAAATTCCAAAGAAGCGGAATCATGCACCCATCTTTCTCTCTAACCATAATCTCATTAAACTAAAAACAATAATAAAAAGATAAAGTAAAAAGCCAGAAAGGCAGATGCTAAATGAGAAAGTGACAGAAAAGTTACAGATTTTGTTAAGCATACAAAGCTTCTATGGGGTAAAGCAGTCAAAGGGATATGCAAATTTACACAGAAATCCAACCGATATAAATCCTTGAAAGATACTACATACAGATATTTCATCAGTTCTCACATGCCAAACCCAGCAAAGCCAAACTTTGGAGCCTCCCCTGCGAGCAGACCTGCCACAGGAGGAGAGGCAGCACAAACCTCCCTTTGCAGTGAAAATGCCACATTGTGTGTGCTTCTTACCCCATCACCTCTTTGGAAGTGGCCCCACTCAGCGCTAGCTGAGAATCGCTTCCCTCATACCACTCTCAGTAGTTCACCCCAAGACACACGGGACAACTCTGTACCTGGTAAGTCATTGTGAATCCAATTAATAATGGCATTCAGAAAGTTAGGAATCTTTGAATTATTAGATTCATAGTGATATTCAAAAGAAAGAAAACGACATCATTTCTGTTCCACGCATGTTGCCCACATTCACTGCGTAAAAGGCAAAGGGAACTGTGAGTACCCACAAAGAACCTGATATTGACGGCACATACATTTCTTCATTAGGAAGAATAAATTTAGACTGTAACAATTTAAAAAACCAGAAAATACAACTGTACATTTTAGTTCTTATTAAAATCCAAGAGGTTTAACTTATTTGCTCCTTGTTTAGGTAATTAGTGTCTAAAACATTTCAAAGATAACATATATAGTGGCTACGATTTCTAGTACTTTTTAAAAATTCAAGCCCAGTCTCTTCTAATTAAATGTATAAATGATTTATCTCTGTCTTTCTTAAAAAGAACCAAGAGCCCCAATTAAAAAGTAAAACTTAAATTTCCTCTTAAAAAATTGTTACGTCAAAATTATCGAATAAACCATAGTTCAGAAAATAATTTCTGAATTAAGAAAATATGAATAATAAAACCAACAGTTTATGTGCTGAATTTCACATTTTTATTTTTTATTATTTTTAAAATTTTGTTTTAAGTTCTAGGGTACATGTGCAGGAGTGTTACGTAGGGAAACGTGTGCCATGGTGGTTTGGTCCACCTATCAACTCATCACCTCAGTGTTAAGCCCAGCACGCATTAGCTATTTTTCCTGATGCTCCTCCCCCACCCGCCCTGACAGGCCCCAGTATGTGTTGTTTCCCTTCCTGTGTCCATGTGTTCTCACTGAACCTCACATTTTTAAATACAGCATATGCCAGGTGTCATTTCAGTACCCATAATTATACATAGTATATGTATATGTGTAAATATATGTATATGTGTACATATATGTATGTAATATGTGTATGTAAATATTATGTAAATATGTATGTATGTAAATATATATGTAAATATGTATGTGAATGTATGTAAATATATACACATGTAAATATGTATGTAAAAATATGTACGTAAATATATGTATGTAAATATATGTATATATAAATGTAAAATATGTAAATATTTGTAAATGTAAAATATGTAAATGTAAAATAAATGTAGAATGTCAAATGTAAATGTAAAATGTAAAATAAATGTAAAATGTAAATGTAAAATATGTAAATATATGTATATGTGTAAATATATATGTGTAAATATATATGTATATGTGTAAATATATATGTGTAAATATATATGTATATGTGTAATATATATGTATATGTGTAAATATATATGTATATATAACACAGCATACAGCATATGCCAGGTGTCATTTCAGTACCCATAATTATACATAGTATAATTATACATAGTATAATTAGACTACTATGTTAGCTAAAAAATGTTGATTAGATACAAATGTATAAATTTATCTTCTCTAAACGTGGAAATTCTCTAGAGGCTATTTCCAGCTTCTGTGTGGATTGTAGAGCAGGCTGCTACCTGTACCCCAAAAATGAACACCTTAAAAAAAAGACAACTTTCTCAGCCTCCCTATTGCACACACATATGAAAAATATGTTAAATTCAACGCCAAATATTCCTGAGATCAACACAGCAGTGATCCCAAAGAGAAAATTTCTCTTTGCTAATGGGCACAAACTTGAAGGGCAAAGCAGTGGAAGGGTAAGTCTGCAGACTCGCGTGGGGCTCAAGTCAGAATCACGTGGAAGATCATTGCCACATGTTTTTGTTTTTTTAAATAGCAAACACCACCAAGTGGAGCCCGCCGGGTTTAGTAGATATTAAACCTCTAAGGAGTGGCACATCCGAGACTGAAATTCCCATCTTTTGATTCCCAGCTCAAGGTCTCTGAAATGCCAGCACCAGCTGTGAAATTGTTCTTCTGCATTTTCATGGAGACCTTTTCTTCTATACTGCCATACTCTTTTTTTTGGAACAGTTATACCTGATCTTCCTATTTTTGTGTGTGTTCCACCGAAACTTTTTCACTCTAAATAGTTCCCTCTTTCCAACTGAGCATTTACATCTGTAACAAGGACAAAAACATCTAACATCTCTCTCACCCTTGGTTTGTGTTTTGTTTTGTTTGTTTTTGAGACAGGGTCTTGCTCTGTCACCCAGGCTGGAGTGCAGTGGCGTGATCACCGTTCACTGCAGCCTCGAGCTCCTGAGCTGAAGCAATTTTCCCACCTCAACCTCTGAGTAGCTGAGACTATAGGTGTGTGCCACCACGCCTGGCTAATATGTGTATTTTTTGTAGAGATGAGTTTTTGCCATGTTGCCCAGGCTGGTATTGAACTCCTGGCTTAAGTGATCCTCCTGCCTAGGCTTCCCAAAGTGCTGGAAGGAATTACAGGTATGAGCCACCGTGCCTGGCCTCACCATTGTTAAAATTATGGAAATCGTGTTTGCAAAGCAGGTTGGCCTGTTTGGAAAAGGGTGTCATAATTTCTCAGGTAACTCCAAAAAGAGAAAGCTACGAAAATTACCTTAATACATTCATTACAGTCTCAGTATAAGATTATAGCTTCCTCTCCCAAAGCGTAACCACAACCTGACGCAGGATGAGTTGGTTTGAAAATACCGCATACAATATCCTCTTGAGTAGAATCATAATTTAGAACTCTAAAAATGACCGGAAACAAAACTGTCCAAGTTTGTTTAACGTAATGTGTTTCAACTTATTTGACTAGAAAACCCTTCATTCGTGCAACACTTATAAATATCCCATGGCAAATCTAGTTTTCTATGAATAATGAACGAAACATTTATAATTTAAAACTAAAATTGTCTTCTAAGCAGAGATCTACGTATCAATAAAATGAAGAAATAAAATTTCCATACTGTTTTCTTCCCAATACAAGGATTAGAAGGAAAGGGAAAAGAGTAACAGCGAGAATCAATAGCCCATGTCTGGCCAGGCTCCATGGCTCAATCACACCTGTAATCCCAGCAATTTCAGAAGCTGAGGCGGGAGGATCACTGGCCTTTAGTGATCCTTGAATGAAACTCCATCTCTAAAAAATTAAAAATATTAGCTTAGAGAATCATTTGGGCCCAGGAGTTTGAGGCTGTATTGAACTATGACTATGCTACTGCATTCCAGCCTGGGCAACAGGCTGCTTAAACCTGGAGGGGCAGAGCTTGCAGTGAGCCGAGATCGCGCCACTGCACTCCAGCCTGGGCAAAGGAGCCAGACTCCGTGGCAAAAAAAAAAAAAAAAAAAAGAGATTCTATTCACAATAGCAACAAAACCCTGAGAATATATCTAGCAAAGTATACACAGGCCTTTCATGAAGAGTATTGCCATAGCCTGAATGTGTCTCCCAAAATTCATGTATTAAAACTTAATTCCCAAGATGATAGTACTAAGAAGTGGGGCCTTTAAGAAGTGATTAAGACATAAGGGTGAGCCCTCATGCATGAGATTAGTGCCTTCCTTATAAAAGGGCTTGTGGGTGGTGGTAAATCTGTCCCTTCTGCCTCATGAGAACATAGCATTTGCCTGCTCCAGAGGAAGCAGCATTCAACGTACCATCTTGGAAGCAGAGACCAGGCCCTCACTAGACACTGTGTCTGCTGGAGTCTTGATCTTGTTCTTCCCAACCTCCAGAACTGAGAAAATAAACTTCTGCTCTGTGTAAATTACCCAGTCTCAGGTGTTTTGTTATGGCACTATGAAGGGACTAAGACAAATATAAAAATTACCCAGGGACTTAAAGGGAGAACTGACTAAACTGAAATATATGCCATATATATTATGAATCGTAGGACTCAATGCTATAAACATACTACTTCTCAACAAATTAATCTATAAATTCAAGAAATTCCTACACAAATCCCAATAGAATTTTTTTGTGGAACTCGAGAGGCTGATCCTAAAATTCATACAGTCACTTGAGGGGCCAAGAATAGTGTAACAGGGCTGGCGGGGCTGGTGGCTCACACCTGTAGTCCCAGTACTTTGGGAAGTCAAGACTGGAGGATGGTTTGAACCCAGGAGTTCAAGACCAGCCTAGGCAACATAGCAAGATGTTATCTCAAAATATTAAAAATAAATAAATAAATAAATAAAAAGAAGGTTAAGTATGCACATTTTGTTGTGAATTTCAATTTTATAGTGATTTTTTTTTTTTTGAGACAGGGTCTTGCTCTGTCACCCAGGCTGGAGTGCAGTGGTGCCATCTTGGTTCACTGCAACCTCTGCGTGGGCTCAAGCAATCCTCCCGCCTCACTCTCTGGAGTAGCTGGGACCACAGTTATGTGCCACCACACCTGACTAATTTTTATATATTTTTTTTGTAGAGACGGGGTTTTTCCATGTTGCCCAGGTTGTTCTCAAACTCATCCACCTGCCTTGGCCTCCGCAAGTGAGATCACAGACATGGGCCACTGTGCCCGGTCTAGTGCGCTTTTTTTTTTTTTTTTTTAACCAAACAAACGATGAAGTCTCAGGAGTAAAAGTTGATACACAAGTAAATTTTATTGGTAATGTTTTTGTGTGGTCTTTAAGCAGAGGGAAAATTAGTCTGCATTATGGTGTATCCAGACTAAATAACTGATATTAAAATGAAATTATCCTTAGGATTTGCAATCTTAGAGAAAACTTTTTCATTTTTTTTGAGTTACAAATTATCTTCACTTACATTTGAGAACAGTGAGTCACAGAGGGATTAAGTATCTTACTCAAGATCTTGCAAGTGTTTGGTTTGAACCCAATCTTTTCACTCTGCAGAACTCAGAGTCACTCTTATTTGGAAACTTTTTAACTGATGTGGATCCTCTAATATGGGCTTCCTATTATTCATTCCGTATTAGTCAGAAGTTTTGCAAGCAGGCAGAATTCATTTTGCCAATTACGGGATTTTCCCTCAGTTGCAGTCAAGGTTCATAAAACTATAACTATAAATTTTGTTTTTGAGACAAAGTCTTGCTCTGTTGCTCAGACTGGGATCCAGTGGCACAGTAACAGCCCATTGCAGCTTTGAACTCCTGGGCTCAAGGGATCCTCCGCCTCAGCCTCCCAAGTATCTGGGACTACAAGTGCATGCCATCATCCCTGGCTAATTTTGTTTAAAAAAAAAAATTGTAGAGATAGGGTCTTGCTTCGTTGCCCAGGCTGGTCTCAAACTCCTGGCCTCAAGCAAGCCTTCAGCCTTGGTCTCCCAAAGTGCTGAGATTACAGGTGTCAGCCATTGCACCTGGCCAAAACTGTAACTATATATACACACACACATAACTACATATAGATGTGTGTGTGTATGTATGTGTGTGTGTATATATATTTTTATATATAAATAGATATATCTGAAAGGCATCAAAAGAAAAAAGCTGTAACTTTTAGTCTTGATCTTGATAGTGACTTGATTAGGCTATCTGTTTAACATCAAAGATGCAAATTAATGCTTTCTTTGGGTGAGCATATTAAAAATGCAGAAAATATTGGAGTAGTTTTTTATGTTAAATAAATTGTATTCTGTGTATTTAAGGTATACAACATGATTTTGTGGGATGCATATAGATGGTTAAAAAAATTACTACAGTGAAGCAAATTAACGTATCCTTCAACTCAGATAGTTACCCGTTTTCTTTTTGTTTGGTGGCAAGAGGAGCTTAAAATCTCATTTAGCGTGAATCCCAATACAGCACAATTTTATTACCTATATTTCTCGCGTTGTACATTATATTTCTAGGCTTGTTCATCCTACATATCTGCTACTGTGTAACCTCTGAGCTATGTCCACCCATTTTCTCTCTTGCCCCCCAAGTAATTTCCTAAAGTGTCTCATATAAAAAGGCAGTAGCTTTCAGCTTAAACTTTTTCTCTGTATATATTTAAGTCAATTTCTTTGAGGTATGTTTTTCTCTCCAGAATAGTTAGATGTAGGCATACCACTTTAATGTTGACACTAGTTCACCTAGAACTTATCTTCTGCAAATCTGTCTCTATGTCCATCTCTGTCTCCATCTTTGTCTCTATCTTTATCTCTGTCTATCTATCTATCCATCCATCCATCCATCCATCCATCTATCTATCTATCCATCTATCTGTCTATCTAACTAAAGCAAATTCATGCCCTTCTCCTATTTATGGAATCGAGACCATAAACAGAGGTGAGGGAAAGAATTTGGCAGGAATTGCGATGTGTATTACCTGTGGCATAAGGAAACTTTACAGAACTAGGGTCAAAAGTATACTTTCTAGTTCTTTCCCATGGCTTTTCACTTTGATGTAGTCCTTATCAGGCAACTGAGGTTTTATATAAGTCCCCTGATTCTTAGAACATGAAGGTGTAGTATTCAAGTTTGGTCCCTTGAAAGCACAATTTTTGTTAAAAAAAAATTAAGAAAATTGTATGATTTCCTCAGCAAATACATATTGATCATCTGTTATACAGCCATGAGAAGTGGTTCTGTTGAACACGTTTATTTTATCAGATCCCAATTCTAAACCAGGCATAGAATGGAAACCATGAAGGTAGGATGAAATAACTTCTGAATGTTTGAAAATAGTGTACTTAAAAATAAATATCAGGTGTTTTTGTTTTGTTTTTTGTTTTTTGTTTTTGAGACAGGGTCTCACTCTGTCACCCAGGCTGGAGTGTGGTGGTGCCATCTCACCTCATTGCAGCCTTGACCTCCCAGGCTCGGGTGATCTCCCACCTCAGCCTCCCAAGTAGCTGGGACTACAGGCACATGCCACCATGCCCAGCTAATTTTTTGTATTTTTTGTAGAGACAGGGTTTCACCATGTTGCCCAGGCTGGTCTAGAACTCCTGGGCTTAAGCGATCTTCCCACCTCAGCCTCCCAAAGTGCCAGGATTACAGGCATGAGCCACCATGCCTGGCTGAAAATACCAGGTTTTTAAGTATCAGCACTGCCTCTTCAATCTTTTCTATTACTATGTTGTGCTCAGTGGTATTTTTTATTGAATTAGAGCAGTGCTGTTCAATGGAACCTTCTTTGAGGATGGAAATCTTTTATGTCTCTGCTGTGTGGGTATGGTATTAGCTGGGTATGGGGCACCTGCCTATAGTCCCAGCTACTCAAGAGGCTGAGGTGGGAGGATCACTTGAGCCCAGGAGGCCGAGTCTGCAGGTTCGTACCACTGCAATTCAGCCTGTGTGACAGAATGAGACTCAGTCTCAGAATAAAATGAAATAAGGAAATAAAAATGTAATTGTTGAAATAAGAAACTAGTGGATGGATTAGACACGAGAAGAAAGAATTAATTGTTTAGACGATTCTCTCCAAAAAGTAAGTCAGCATGTCACACAGAGAGACATGAGGATAGATGATAGGGCAGAAGTTGGTGGGCTTGGAGGGGAGAGGAAGATCAGAATGAGGTCCAAAATGTGTCTTAGTGAAATCCCAGGAGGAGATATTAAAATTATATTAGAAAGTGAAAGAAATAGAAGTTTTATTTATTTATTTATTTATTTATTTTGAGAAGGAGTCTCGCTCTGTAGCCCAGGCTCGAGTGCAGTGGCACGATCTGAGCTCACTGCAAGCTCCGCCTCCTGGGTTCACGCCATTCTCCTGCCTCAGCTTCCCAAGTAGCTGGGACTACAGGCACCCACCACCACGCCTGGCTAATTTTTTTGTATTTTTAGTAGAGATGTGGTTTCACCTTTTTAGTCAGGATGGTCTCAATCTCCTGACCTCATGATCCACCAGCCTCAGGCTCCTAAAGTGCTGGAATTATACGCATAAGCCACTGCACCCGGCCCAAAAGCTTTGTGTTTTTACAAATATTAGACATGTTTCTTGTTTAAGAAAAAAAGTCTTCACAATAACGTAGGAGAATAAGAGAAACATTTTTCCAAAAAAGAGAAGTCATTGTGATTATTTTATCTTATTGGAATGTTGGATAATATAGTCTGCTTCAGTAATCATCAAGCATGCTATGGATTTTCCATTTTTACAGGATCTGTATCTCGGTTAAGGTAATACTGGTAATTTTTGTACTCTATGAAAAATATAGGCCAAAATCATAGACCTTGCATAGAAGCTGGATCATGAAGACAGCTCTGGAGGAACACACAGGTACACACACACAGACACACATATATATAAAGTATACACATATATATTTTTTAAAAGCTTTTAAAGCAAAAGCCGGCCCTGCCCCTCTCCCAGAGTTGGCGGCCTCTCCCCTCTCTTAGGGTGGGTGGGGACAGTGGTTGCATGGGCAGCTTTCCTTGTGAGCCAAAGGTCCCTCTGGACACATGATGCCTGGCCACGCCCCCTTTCCCTTTCATCTTTCTCATTAACCAATGGGCTTGGAGCATTAAGGCCACGCCCCTATTCTGCCTTCTACTGCATCCCTGGTTACGCCTCCTCTGGCTCAGTCGCACAGCTACCTGGTAGGTGACTGGAGGTGTTGATCAGTGCTTGGTGGGATTTTGCTGATGTGGCCCCAAGCCCGCCTCCCTCCCCACCCTGCGATGGCAGAAGAAACTCGACAAAGTAAATTGGCAGCAGCCAAGAGAAAGGTAAAAACACACCAGGTCACGGACCCCCAACCCAGCCACAGATCCTCTCCAACGACAAGACTGCTGCCAGAGTCCATACCACTCCCGAGGTTCACCGGACTGGGACCCCCACACCGGTGCCTCTGGGCTACCCCCACCAAAGTTTTGCCAGTCAGCCCCACCCCTTCAGCAAGCAGCCCAGTCTCTGCCCTCACCAATCACCCCAGGGTGACTTTGGGCAGGTGAATCCTGGGGCTCCCCGCTCCTTTACTAGGCCCTCATCTCCTGCCACCCCAAGCTTGACCTCCCAGGGCTTTTTGGGCTCACATCTCCAAGGACCTGGGTCCCACAGCCCCAGACCCCACCCTCACCAGTCATCCCTGGGTGACTTTAGGCTGGTGAATCCTGGGGCTCCCTGCTGCTGACTCTTCCCTTCCCTCCTGCTGCCTCAAGGTGGACCTCCCTAGGCTGTGTGCACTGGCGTCTCCAAGGACCTGGGTCCCAGCTCTGTTTTTCCCTCCCCTATCATGGAGCGGTGACTCGGACATCATGCTGATGTGGTCCCTCCCCCTCACCAGGAAGAGTGGAATGTAGTGATGTCACGGTCCATCCAGTAACTGTCATTACTGCAAGACTGGCCTTTGATCTTATGACCCAGTCCCCTAAGCATTGCCACCCCATTTCTGGTTCCTCTTGTCACAGCACAAATTTCCAGCTGGAAGGGGAATGGAGATTGGGACCTAGGAGCAAGAGGTTTCAGGCTGCCTCACTCCCTTAACATAAACATTGACAGCGGGAAAAGCCTACACTTCCCCTGTGAGCTCAAAACATTGACAGTACCTCTGGATGGCAACTGGAGAATGGGTTTGACTTGGTTTGGTTTTCTCCCAGGCTTCTACTTTCCAGAGAGATTTTAACAAATTTTTTGTGAGTTCTCCACCTCACATTCTAATTCTCCATGGTTCTGGGACCAGACTGCCCTTCAGTCAGTGGTCTGTGAAGTGAGATTTGCTCATCTTCTGTGGAATAGATCTTGGGAAACTGAACTTGACAGCTTGAATCTTCCTCATATTATGTAAACCTGGGGTACTTTGAGTGCCACAGGATACATATGGGACATCTTTCTGAAGCATCAGTTTCCATTGATTCTCTTGAGATCAAGAGAAAAAACATTAATGTACTTAGGGATGACAGTCACATAGGTTTCTAAGAGTATACCAGACCTCTCTCTGAAATGAGGCTTGGGTTGTCCTCTTTCTGATAAATTCCCAGATTTAACAGAAAGGCTGCCTTCTGCCATGAGGATACATTGATATAAGAGTTTGAGAGGTACTGGTGCACTTCTTCACACTAACAGACGTGTGAGGATGTATGACTCTAAACCACATGGCATACAGTTCCTGCCTACTTAATGTTTACTTTTCTACCTCTGCCTCTGGTTTTGGTCCCTGGCAGCTGCTGATTCTTGGTAATACCCCAGAGTTTGGAGTCAGAAGACTGAGTTTCAAAGTTCGTCTGTCGCCTTTTTCTTTTCTTCTTTTTTTTTCTAGCCATGATATCAATCTCTTTGAGTCACTAAATGATTGTGACAACACCTTGTACAGTTGTTGGTATCATTAAATCAGATGGTGTATAAGAGTATTTTATAAAAACTGTAAAGGAGGATGTGGCTGCAGGGGCTGATAGTTCTCATGAGTATTACTGCTCTTGTTTCTGACAGTTAAAAGAATATTGGCAGAGAAACAGCCCTGGTGTTCCAGCAGGAGCCAAGAGGAACAGGAAAACAAATGGCAGCATCCATGAGACAGCCACTTCTGGTGGTTGCCACTCACCTGGAGATGTGAGTCTTGGCTGACTAGGTTCCTGGGGACAGGGGACCCAAGGGGCACTAGAGGGTAATTGTTAAGATTGTGGATGGACTGTTGGGTACCTGTGAAGAATTCTGGGTTTGAATCCTGCCTCTTTGTCTGCTAGGGATATGAATTAGGGCAAGTTGCTTGACCTCATCGGGCCTCTCTTTTCACATCTGTATAATAGAGGTGGTATTGTTTCACTTCCATTTGTGAAGTTTAAATGAGATTTGTTATTGTTGTTTTTATGTTAATCCCTAGTACATGGCCTGCTGTAAACACCCAGAACACCCAGGATATGGTCATTGCTGTTTGATTTTCCTCATCCCCAGTCTCAAGGGGAAGCCAGGACAATGAGAACAGTCACTTGGCACAGGAGTCACTGAAAGGGCCGCAGGGTGCTGTGGTGGGGAGATAAGAACCATGAGAGAAGTTGGCACAAAGGAGTTATGGGACAAAGGGTCCAAGATAGGCAGAAAAGAAAATTGTGCCAGTTGATGGGGAAGAAAAGAAGTCAGAGGGCTTAGATACTGAGTGGGACAGAACATCTTCATGTGCACTCTCATCTCTTGTAGTCAGCAACAGGTATCCACGGGGAGAGCCCTACATCATCTGCTACCCTGAAGGATCTGGAGGTAAGAGGCTCTGGGCAGAGGTGCAGTGACCCTGCAGGCCAGCCCTCCAACCTCCTCCTCCAGGTGGGACGGGGTGCCCCTCTGCCAGCTGAGACAGTCCACAGACACCCCAGCCCTAATGATTGTTCTCTCTACCTCTCCCCCCACTCCTCCTCCACCTCCTCCTCTCTGCATGCGCCTCAGAGCCCGTGCCAAGAACTAGCAGTAGTCCCAGACTCGAGGTCCGTAAAAGTCAGTCAACTGAAGAACACCATCAAATCTTTGGTAAGAGTCCACTGGGGTCCCCTGATTCCACGCTGCCAATCCTGGGCTCTAGTTTCCCCTTGGGGCCCTGAAGAAAGGGGACGGCGGCCCCTGGTGCCAAGGGCGAATAGGGAGCTGGGGCGCCCAGGCCTCACCTGGAGGGACCCCGGAGCATGCAGCATGGCTCTTTTTTTGCTGCCCTGTTTGCTGACTCTCCCCTCTCCAGATGCCCCTGCTCGAGTCCTTGCTACACACGCCCTGGGATTGTTGCCTCTTGGGGAAGTGCTAGCCTGACTGGTTGTCAGGGTCCCTGTATTTCTGCCATGACTCAGTCCCTAATTTGCTCTTTGATTCTGGACAAGCCACCTCTCCTTTTTGGGCTCATGTTTCCATGAAGTAGTGAGTATCAAAGGTCTCTGTTAGCTCTCGAGTCTGAGATTTAAAGGCCTCCTAGAATGGAAACCTCAGGGCCAAAGGCTCCTGTCTGTCCTTTTCCACCCTAAATCTTCTGTGAAGAACCGTACTTGGCCCGTACGTGCTCAGTAAATGTTTATTGAATGAATGCACTTTTCTAAATCACAAGCTGGCAGAAGGGGGGGCCTTTCTCAAACTCCATCTCTAGAGGTTTATATTGCTGTCCTCTCAAGAGATTCCAGATTCAGACCTTCAGTTCTGTGGCTGTGGGCAAAAGCCAACAAAGACCCAAATCCTCTGTCCTTGGGAGCTTGAGGAGAGTTTACCAGTTCGAGTTCCCACTGGGTCTGAGAACTTTGCCTTTAAAATCCATTCCTGGTCCCTGCCTACCACTTCCTGCTCTGGGGAATAGAGTTGAGGGGGCCACCCTCCATCACCTTAATGTGACTCTCCCCACAGAAACAACAGAAGAAACAAGTGGTACATCAGCTGGAAGAAGTAACATGATTTCTTTGTTTGCTCGCGACATGACTGCTCGGTTTGGGGGACACTCAGATGTAGAGGCCCCGAGTCTCGTCTCACCCACTCCCAGCCTGGGGAAGAAGGCTCACCCCCCAGAGTCCACCCCATCCCCCACAGGGTCTCTGATAACCCGGTCCCATGGGTGGGCCTGTCCCGGGGCAGGGGCAGTGGTGGCATTCTGGGGACATGTCTCTTGCAGTACCATCTCTGCCTCTGCCTGGTTAGATCTCTGTCTTCCTCTTCCTACAGGAAAAGAAAGCAAACAACGAGAAACAGAAAGCCGAAAGGGAGCTAGAGGTGAGTGGACGGTGTGCAGTTTTCTCCTGTCCTCCGGAGAATGTTTCTTTCCTTCTCTTTCAGCACTTGCTTGGCTTTTCTCCCAAAGGTTCAAATCCAGAGATTGAACATACAGAAAGGGAAACTAAATACGGACCTGTACCACACGAAACGTTCTCTCAGATACTTTGAAGGTGGGAATCTGGGTACCCTGTCATCCTTCAACCTGGGACTTTGACAGGTCTTCAGGGGGAGTCCTTTGGGCCCCATCTCAACTCTCTCATTACAGAAGAGTCCAAGGATCTGGCCGTCCGTCTGCAACATTCATTGCAGCGTAAAGGAGAGTTAGAGCGGGCTCTCTCTGCTGTCACCGCCACACAGAAGAAGAAGGCGGAGAGGGTGAGTCCAACCACCTGCCCCGTCCCCTGGGAGCCTGGCTTTGCAGACAGAGGAGTGAGCCTAAAGGTCCCTTCTGCAGGATGGAGTGTCCTGCCCAGAAGGCAGCATGGCCATTTCTCACTGCTTTTTTGTATGGTTGTTAGCGGCAGCTTGGGACTGAGTCAGCTGCTGTGGGTGAGTTGGGGGGCACTCTGGGGACAAAGCACAGGACGTAGAGCTTGGAGGCCAAGTGCCTGCCATGCCTTTACCTGGCTGTGGTCTTGGCCAAGTCCTCAGTGGGTATTGGGTACTTGTACTGTGAAGGTACAGAAGAGTACCTTTAGTATGTTACCATTTCTGTAGAGAGAGGAAACGTGTGTGTGTGTGTACATATTATGATAATATACATAAAATATGTTTGCAAGTGTTCATAAAAACTCAGGAGAGAGCAACAGGGTGGCTGGGAGATACTTCCCTTCTGTACCTTCTGAGTCTGGGACTATTTGAATGTATTATCCTTTCAAAAAGTGAACAAAAGATTAATTTTCCCCTTCCTAGCTGTGCCCCCACCCCCAGCAAGAAAAATGGGCTTAGAGAATTGGATAGATCTGGGTGTTTAAATCCCAGCTCTGCCTAAGTGATCTTAGGCAAGCACTTAACCTCAAATACTCCATGTTTTTTCATCTACACAATAGAGGTCATCATAGTAACTGTCTCCCATGGTGGTTGTGAGGATTAAATGGGATTGCTAGCATGGTATCTGGTGAAGCACTCCATAAAAGTTCAAACAGTGGTAATAATAACAGTAATAACAACAGCAATATTATCTGATCTCTCTGGGCCTCTGTTAGCCAGCTATAAATTCGATCTCTTTCCCTGTCCCTTCCAACTTTACTGAGTTCTTTAAAAACCAAACCACGGGCTTGGAAATGCCTTGATCTTTACTGACCGAGTTGTATATTGGGCCTAGCCCTGGCCCTTTTAAGGGGCACTGTGTGGAATGGCCCGGCCTCCCCAGATTGAAACTTCTCACTCTTCAGCAGTTCTCCAGCCGCAGTAAAGCACGTACGGAGTGGAAGTTAGAGCAGTCCATGCGGGAGCAGGCACTGCTGAAAGCGCAGCTGACACAGGTGAGGTGTTCAGAGGGAGGGATGTGGAAGGAAGATGACCCCAGGTAACCAGGAGCAGGTGAGGACCAGTGACAGCCCTTCCTAATTTCTGTGCCCATTCTTGCAGTTGAAGGAGTCACTTAAAGAAGTCCAGCTAGAGAGGGATGAATATGCTGAACATCTAAAAGGAGAGAGGGCCCGGTGGCAGCAGAGGATGAGAAAAATGTCGCAGGAGGTGAGATCTGACCCTTCAGCCCCCCCACATTAGATAGGTCACTGGATCTTTCTGGGCACCTGTAAAATGGGAATAGTAGAGCCAGAGGTGGTCATGGGACTGGGCTTTGTGGAGGTGGGGGCAGAGAGGGAGAGGGCAGCCTGTCCAGCCTCCAGCCCCTCTCTCCAGGGCCCTTTCCCCCTGTGCTTTGGGCAGGTTTGCTCGTTGAAGAAGGAGAAGAAGCATGATAAATATCGGGTAGAGACGCTGGAGAGGAGCTTGTCCAAACTCAAAAACCAGATGGGTAAGATGGGGCTGGCGTGACCTGGCAGCAGGACTGGCATCAGAGGGCTGTGAGGGTGGCTTGGAGTGCCCCAGCGAGGTGGGTGGATGGAAGGGCTTTGAGGCAGAGGGAAAGAGGTCTGTGCCAGGAGACGGCAAGTCTTGTCATCTCAATGAGCCTCAGTGTCCCCATCAGCAAAGAGGGCCCGTTGTCAGCCACCCGCAGTGCTCTTTCTCTGAAAGTGCTTTGGAAGACTGGCTACCATCTGGGTGCGAGGAATCATTAGCAGTGAGGCCAAGTTTGAGGAGCCGGAGAGGAGCTGTGCGCCAAGAGGAGGGTTTTTTCTTTTCTTTTCTTTTCTTTTCTTTTCTTTTCTTTTCTTTTTTTTTTTTGGAATCCAGAGGCTCTTATTGTCTGCTTCCTTTCTCAGCTGAACCTCTGCCCCCGGAGCCCCCAGCAGTGCCCTCTGAGGCGGAGCTGCAGCACCTGAGGAAGGAACTAGAGAGAGTGGCAGGAGCGCTCCAGGCCCAGGTGGAGTACAATCAGCGCATAAGTCTCCTGAATGAGGGGCAAAAGGAGAGGCTTCGGGAGCAGCAGGAGAGGCTTCCAGAGCAGGAGGAGAGGCTTCAGCAGCTGGCCGAGCCACAGAACAGCTTCAAGGAGCTGGTGCGTTGCCCCAGCTGGGGAGCCTGCCCTCCTCCCTAGCCCTCCAGGCCTTTGTTTCCCCACCTATAAAATGGGGCAGTGTAGCCCTCAAGTGAAATGTTACTCCTAAAGGCACCTGTGAGCCAGAGCCCTGCTCTGGTGGCTGTGGGAGACAGGGGATGATTTTTCTAACCTGCCTCCACCCTTCCCGGTGCCATGGGAGGCAGTCACCAAGTTCTGGGGTCTCCAGCTGCAGTGGGTGGCTGCTGATTGCTTCTCTCTGTCCAGAACAATGAGAACAAGAGCGTACTACAGTTGGAGCAGCAAGTAAAGGAGCTGCAGGAGAAGCTAGGCAAGGTGAAGGAGACGGTAACCTCCACCCCATCCAAGAAGGTCTGGGAGGTGGGTGGGCACCAGCCTCTGGGGAGGGGAGGTGCCAGGCCAGCGGTAGCTCCAGCCCAGGGGCAGGTGACCCCAGCACCCTCCAGGGCAGTCCTGTGGCTGTTTCTTGCTTCCTGCCCTCTGATTTTAGAGGTGGGTAGCCCTGGGCTCCTCCCAGGTCTGGACATCATCATTCCAGCTAGAGACATGGAGCCCCCCCAATCACAGGGGAAGAGACAGAGTGGTATAACAGTCTTCTTATGCCAGATGCGGTGGCTTACACCTGTAGTGCCAACACTTTGGGAGGCTGAGGCAGGAGAATCACTTGAGGTTTGGAGTTTGAGATCAGCCTGGCCGACATGGTAAAACCTCATCTCTACTAAAATTACAAAAACAAAAAACAAAAAAAGAAAGAAAAATTAGTGGGGCATGGTGGTGGCGCATGCCTGTAATCCCACCTACTCAGGAGGCTGAGGCACGAGAATTGCTTGAGCCCAGGAGGTGGAGGTTGCAGTGAGCTGAGATTGCACCACTGCACTCCGGCCTGGGCCACAGAGTGACACTCTGTCTCAAAACAAAACAAAAAGACTCCTTAGATTAAAACTGGATTCCAGCCTCAGTTCCACTGGTCACCATTCAAGTACTTCGCATCTCTAAGTCTCTGTTTCTTTAACTTCAAAAGGAAGTTAGCATTTTCCTTACAGAGGTGCTGAGGATTAAATGAGATAATACATGGGAAGCATTAGGCCTGTAGCACATTTAGCAGATGGTGGTTGGCTCCCACTACTTTTCTACCATTCTGTGGCCTACAGTTGAAATGGTGGGAAGAGGACATGAGATTTGAGGCTGGGGAAGGAGGCATGGGGTTCTAGGAAAGCAAGGCAGTCACTTAGGCCTGAAGTAAGGGGCCAGGGGCCTGGGCAGGCGACAGAGCCCCACAGTGCCCTCGCTACCCTATTAATGGGCCCAGAATCTGCAAACCAGCCACCATGTGCCCTCACACCCAGGGTCTTCCTGCAGGTGGAGCTGAAGAGCCAAGAGGCTCAGAGTCTGCAGCAGCAGCCAGACCATTACCTGGGTCACCTGCAGCAGTACGTGGCCACCTATCAGCAGCAGGTGGCCGCCTATCAGCAGCTGACCTGTGAGAAGGAGGCGCTGTACAGGCAGTGACTGCAGCAGACCCAGCTAATGAACCAGTTGCAGCAGCAGGAAGCTTGGGGCAAAGCGGTGGCCGAGATGGCCTGCCAAAAGTTGCAGGAGACCCAGGGGAGGGAGCTGCCGAGGATGGGGCCGTGAGGGGGACGACCTGGCAAACTCTGTGCCTTCTCACTCTTTCCTGGCCCCTTAGGAGCGTCTGGAAGCTGCCAGCCAGCAGAAACAGCAGCTAACGGCCCAGTTGAGCCTCATGGCTCTCCCTGGGGAAGGTACGGGAGACCGCTCAGAGGAAGAGGAGAGAGCCCCAGGAGGAAGGGGGGACTGCTAGCAGCATAGGATTGAGGAGTTGGAAGAGACCTTTAGAACAGCTGGTCATTATACTAACCGGGTGCCTGCACTAAGTTCAGCATCAATATGGTGACCTCCTGGGAGCGGGGGGCCACCAAGTTGCCTAAGGATGGCTGAACTGGCCGAGGTCAGAAAGGGAGCAGGTCAGAACTCCCGCACCGACCAGTAGTGGGAATGTGCCTGGGCAGTATAGCAAGATCTTGATTCTTCAAAGTAAAAATAAATAACAGCAGCTCATTCCTCTCTGGGGAGGGCCTGGCTCAGGGTTACACAATGAGGGTGGAGGCAGAGGTGGGCCCACAATACTTCCCTTGTTGAGTTGTCTGAAGACCCCTCTGGCCACCCCCCACAGGACACGGAGGAGAACATCTGGACAGTGAGGGGGAGGAGGCACCTCGGCCCATGCCGAGTGTCCCAGAGGACCTGGAGAGCAGGGAGGCCATGGTGAGCCTGACTCCCCCTGCACCCATTTTGCCACCTTTCTCTGTGGTCCCTCCAAGACCCCTTTATGCTCTTCGTTTCCCTGCCTTCTGATTTCTCTGGACCCTCACCCCTTCCGAGAGCCAGTGGTCAGACACCATTTCACCTGTGACCAACATGTGCAGTCTCTGGGGCCCCAAGGGAAGGGGCTGCGCTCCACCTCTCTGCCCCATTTCTTCTGTGTATGCCCCTAGAAGAATGCTCACATCTTGCCCTCAGGTGGCATTTTTCAAGTCCGCTGGAGCTAGTGCCCAGGAGAAGCAGGCACAGTTACAAGAGCAGGTGAAAGAGCAGAGGGTGGCTGCCAGCGCCTGGCTCACCTGGTGGCCTCGGCCCAGAAGGAGCCAGAGGCAGCCAGAGGCCCTGGAGCCCCAGGGCCTGGGGGCGAGTCTGTGAGTGGGGAGACCCACTGGGCCCTGCAGGAAGTCACGGAGAAGCTGGCCCATGGCAGGACTCACCTCCACCTTCTCCATGACTTGAAAATGCCACCTGAGGGCAGGTCGCTGCCGAGATGTGACTACAATATTTTGGCTCCAGAGCAGCTTTATGGACCACCTGGAGGAGAAGGCAGACCTGAGTGAGCTGGTGAAGAAACAAGAACTTCGCTTCATTCAATACTGGCAAGAGAGATGCCATCAGTGAGTGGGAGGCCAGGGCACGGCAGGGGGAGCTACAGGGCCGTCGGAGGGGCCCCAGCGTCTGAGCCCTGTCCTCCCGCAGGAAAATCCATCACCTTTTATCAGAACCAGGGGGCCGTGCCAAAGATGCGGCACTGGGAGGAGGACACCATCAGGCTGGAGCTCAGGGAGGAGATGAAGGTAGGTTGTGCAACATCTCTGTGGGGGTGGGGGTGGGGGTGGGTGTGAGGGTGGGCGCAGGCAGCGGCATGGCAGCTGAGCACCCCTCCCTCCAGGTGAAGCTGCTGGAGCTGCAGCAGATGGTATTGCGGCTTACAGCAACTACAACAATGGGCACAGAAAATTCCTGGCCGCTGCCCACAACCCTGCTGATGAGCCCGGTCCAGGAGCCCCAGCTCCCCAGGAGCTTGGGGCTGCAGACAAGCATGGTGGTGAGTAGAGCCCTCAGGTGGGGTGGGCAGGCAGGAAGAGGGGGCTCCCACTGTGCTCAGATCCCTGCCTCCCTCTCTCCAAAGATCTTTGTGAGGTGAGCCTCACCTCCTCTGCCCAAGGAGAGGCCAGGGAGGATCCTCTCCTTGACAAGCCTACTGCACAGCCGATCGTGCAGGACCACCAGGAGCACCCAGGCTTGGGCAGCAACTGCTGTGTGCCATTCTTTTGCTGGGCTTGGCTGCCAAGAAGAAGGAGATAAACATCACCATCATCAAACAGCTGCTCAAGAAATTTTTAAATAAGAAACCAAGTTATGGGGTTAATCTCCTACACAATTCATTTACTTCCTTTGAATGTTAGAGTCACTCATGATTATTTGTGTTTCTAATTTATAGTTTTAAGTTTATTTGTAAAAAGTTAAAAGAGAGTGGGTGTCTGTGGCTCTCACTGATGTTCACTCTGGCATCCTTTAGCATTTTTCTTTTTTAATTTCATAATTGTAGGTCATTAGCATGCATATCGAGTTTGCCCTTACGTGGTGGGGGTTCAAACACACAAAGACCCACTCTTTGCCCAAAACTGTTCTCGCTGGTTTGGAATAGGCTGCCATGCTTTTTTAATGTTATTGCAGCATGTATATTCACTACAGAATTCAGACAAAATTTGCCTATGTTCTGCTGTTGTTTGATCTAATCTTAATCACAGTGAGCTCTTCGTTAGCTCAATATGTAGTTTGCCCCCAAGCGTGCACTGTTTATTACTTTGTAATATGCCACTATGAGTACTGACATTTAGAGTTGTTTAAAGGCCAAGAACTGGAAACAGCCTTTCCTCCATTTTCTGTGTATTGGTGATGGGAGTGAAACCTTTTGAGGGAGCTTTTTAAATCTCACAGAAGAGGAAAGTGGCCTCCTCTGGCAGGTATGTCCAGGATAGAGTGTGTTTCATCTGTTCCGGTGCCAGGAATTAGCAGTGTATTATGGTGGTTCCCTTAGGATTTGTATGTGCTCTGGGCTCATGAAGATACTGCATCATGAGCTGCAGCAGTTGTACTCTTTTTCAATGACCTAAAAAGGGCTTATTTCTGAGGAATGAAAGGTTCCCATCGTTGACTGTGGATGTGGAAAACCTTTCCTAGCTTAGAGCATTTGTATCTACAATACATTTTAAAGTCAGAGTTCATGTTACCTGTTTTAATCACATGACTACATGTCCCAGTACACAAAAGGGCACTGGTTGGCATTCTTCTTAATGTATTTAGTAAAGATCATAAGAAATCCTTTACGAGTTCAAATGTCCCTGGAACAGGCATACAGGCTCTAGTCAAGAATGAATTAGAGTGAAGGAAAGCTGTGTGACACCTGGCATTCCTCTCTGTTCACGGAGATTCTTTGAGGCTTGAAGATTGATTTTACCATCTAGACCTCTTTGGCTAATACCTATTCTTCAACCACCTTGGTTACTCTGACATAGGAATTTACTTCTTTTTCCTTGAATGGAAAACACTTTAAAAAATAATAGAAACATTATTATAAACTAATATATGTGAGATACTTAGTTGAAACAAAAGGGAGTTTTAGTAGACGGTATTATACTATCTTTGAAAATCAAGGAGAAGTTTATGAAACTTAAAATGTGTACAAACTGCAGTGCAATCTACTGTTCGTGAATGTCAATGTATTATCAGGAAACGTGCCTATACAATCACAGAGTTATATTTTCTCACAGACTTCTTTACAAAGTGAAATATGTTTTTGTATCTCTGGGTTTCTGTTCGGGACATATTTTGTGCAATATTTATGTGATTGTGCCTATGCATGATGAATGAATGCATTTCAGTTATGTATTGCCTAAATCGTAACTTGATGATGCTTGGGAAAGACTCAACAGTTAAAACTTCATGAAGTTCTAATGTCTGTGTTCCAAAACACATCACATTGTTAGGATGCAGGGAGATAGGTGTGTGTGCTCCCTGCGGTGGGGATTTCTAGTTACTAGATCATCTCCATTTTTAGCATTTGGCATCCTCATGATACTTCTATAAATATGACATTAACAGGAGAGCAACAATACGATTTTACCGATGGAATAACAGATTTGCTGGCATTCACTGAAAGAGTGCAAATATTCGGTCCTTGTGACTTCAACTGACTCTTCCAAATTTTATGAATGTATCAATGTATTAGATAAACCCAGTTTCAGAATGATAAAGAAAAAATGTTAGACCAAATAATGCGGCTAATTAACAGTGGTACGATTTCTAGCCCGTGGGTTTAAAATGCACTTAAAGTCCTGTTCTCGCCTTTTATTTTCTGAACTTGCCGCTTTTGCATTCTTTGAGTTCAGTTTAAAGACGGTTACTTTAAGAGCATTTTAAACCCTCGGGCTAGAAATCGGACCACTGTTAATCAGCCACATTATTTGGTCTAACGTTTTTTCTTTTATCATTCTGAAACTGGGTTTATCTAATACATTGATAAATTATTTCAAAGGTACTTTTATCGTTGAAATCACTTCACTTTTACCCTGATAAATATCAGTGACTAGGAATGACCTTCGGATAGCGTTTAGCATCTGTAACCAATCTGACAATAATGTGTTCATGAGGTGCCTATGGATTAAATCACACACTGGCATATTTAAGCTGAAGGTCAGTCTGGAAAATAAATTTACTATATTGACTGAAATACCACTCTTTGTGTAGGTATTTGTCATATATTTAAGAAAAAGCTAAAAGGAATGGAAATTGTATGACAATAACTTAAGTCTTTCTCCAAAGTGCATGCAGTCTTTTGCGATACCTCATTCAGCCGAGTATTTGTGCTCTTCCTCATTCGGTATAAGGCAGCTTTCAGTTTGCTTAGAAGGCAACATTGGAATGTTAGAGTTCATCAGAAACATAGAATTTTAAAATGTGAGTTCCACTGAATACATTTTAATTTCTGTAGGAAGAATCAAAACACCTATTTAAAGATGGCAATATATAATAATCATTTTAAAAGTATTTGATTAAACCTGATAATTTTCCAGAAATGAAAAAAAAATCAGCTCTAAAACGAAAGCTGATTTTAGAAAATTTGAAAATGTAAATCAGCCCTATCCATAATATAGTTTCTCTAAAACTTTATCTTAGAGTCATTTTAAAATAATATAACTATTAAAAATGTAACTGCTATCTTAATGTTCTGAAATAAGTTAAAACATTTTAAAATATGAATACTATAGTATAAAAGAAAGAAACAGTGGGAAGGAAAAGCAGAGAAAGAAATGCCAATTCCAGTCCAAAGCTTTATTTGCCAAGTTTTGTTAGAATGAATTTTACCAGTTTGTGAATTCTTGTAAACAGAATGTGTAATGGAAATACTGAAAGATTTTTCCCTAGAGTGGCCTTATTGACTGCTGGTGTGATGCCACTGTAATGTAATAAATCATTAAATTGTTTCTAAGTGTTGTTTTTGCCTTAAAATTTTATTTTGTGTTTCTTGAAAACTATAGTATTAAAGGTATTGATACTGTGCAAATGCTGGGCATGCTTGACATGAGATAATGTGTTTCATTTTTACAAAATTGTAATACAACTATGCAAGTGTTTATTAAAAACACAAAATAAAAAAGTTATGGGTTTTTTTATTAAAAAACTTTTATTAAAGTTTTATAAAAAGTTATTTTATTAAATAACTTTTTATTAAAAATGGTTATGGGGTGAAAAAGTTATGGGATAAAAAATGTAAAAAAGTTGTGGCAAAAAAACTTCTGGGAAAAAAGTAGAAAAAAGTTTTATGAAAAGTTACAAAAAAAGTTATGAAAAAGAAGTTATGGGATTTTTTTAAAAAGTCATGGAATAAAAATAAAAATTAAAAGCAGGCCCCTGTCAGCAAAGCCTGGAGAAGTGGGGCCGGAGTCTCCACCGCCACCATGTCCCTACCACCTCTTCCCAGGCACCCCTTTACAA
The DNA here is from genome assembly GCF_000001405.40 of Homo sapiens. NCBI lineage: Eukaryota > Metazoa > Chordata > Mammalia > Primates > Hominidae > Homo > Homo sapiens. The sequence continues at coordinate 4,318,035 of NW_021160017.1, forward strand.
TTAGGGTAGCAGGACAAGACCTCTGTCTAATGGGGAAAGACAAACAGACCATTTGCCACCTTGACCAGGGCTGAGTCCCTAAATTTCTGGATGATGATGATTGTTACTTAAAAGCCAGAGGCTGGTGGAGTTGGTTTGTTTGGAGGAGGCCTGATGGTCCCCTTACTCTCACCATGGCAACGTTTCCCTCAGGGGGGCTCCCATCTTCTTATTCAGAGAGGTAGCTGAGGCCAGAAAGCGGGGCTAACTGTGGACCAGCGAGGGCATGGGCTGCTGGGGTGGCCCACCTTCCCCGGTGTACATACTGTGTCTGTGTAACATTTTGTATATTCCAGAGGGTAGGGCTGCCCCTGTATCATACCTAGCAGAGGTTGGAGCTGGCACATGGGGAGGAGGTTCTAATAATTATTTGTGGCTGGGAAACTTATTTATTGCTAGCGCAGGACAGAGGAAAGAGGCGGGGATGGGGTCGTGGCTCTCTGGTGGTATGATCACAGCTTACTGCAACCTCCAACTCTCAGGCTCAAGTGATCCTCCCACCTCAGCCTCCCAGGTAACTGGGAGTATAAGCATGCACTACTATGCCTGGCTAATTTTTAAATTTTTTTGTAGAGAAAAGGTCTTACTATGTTGCCAATGCTGGTCTTGAACTCCTGGCCTCAAGCAATTCTCCCATCTTGGCCTCCCAAAGCACTGGGATTACAGGCATGAGACATTGCCCCTGTCCATTAGGTTTTCTCTTTATTACTGTTTTGTTGTTGTGGTTGTTGTTTTGTTTTATTTTGTTTTGTTTTTTTGACAGAGTCTTGGTCTGTTGCCCAGGCTGGAGTGCCGTGGTGTGATCTCGGCTCACTGCAACTTCTGCCTCCTGGTTCAAGCAATTCTCATGCCTCAGTCTCTCGAGTGCCTGGGGTTACAGGCATGAGCCACTGCGCCCCTGGCTAATTTTTGAATTTTTAGTTGAGACAGAGTTTTGCCGTGTTGGCCAGATTGGTCTTGAACTCCTGCCTCAAACAATCCGCCCTCCTCAGCCTCCCAAAGTGCTGGGATTACAGGGGTGAGCCACTGCTCCTGGCTAAGATCCCATCTCTATTTAAATAAAAAAAGAAAATTCAGAGCATGTGGAATACAGAACACCAAAGTCCAAAGTTATTTACCTCTCTGAGGTAATCTGTGTAAACAATTTGAAATATATCTTTTCAAGTTCATACTTGCTATGCATATACATACATATACACACATACGTTGACATAGTTCCCCTTCCCTGCTGTCATGCTATTAGAGTCTTCTTTTTTTGGTAGAAATTGGACCAACTCTATGTTCTTTGCTGGCCCATATTTCTCCTATTCAGTGATGTGTTACGAATGTGTGTTTAAGTCAATGTATGCAACTCTTCAATATCATTTTAAAAGGTTAAATATACAATCATATGAAGGCATTACAATTTATTCCAACAGTTCCATTTTGCACATTTAATAATTTCCGTTGGTTTGCCAGGGAGAACATTCTCATGCCATGGCTAAATCCTTTTGTACGGCCATCCTTAATTATTCCCTGAAGATAAACTTTTAAATAAAGTTGCTAGATGAGTCTCATTTCTTAAAAAGTTCTTTTTTGGTAGTTTATATGTAACACTGTAGTTTTATATGTACTTGCAAATAGCTATAGTGCCAGTAAAAAATGTGATAAAATTAAACTCTTTCACGTATGCCAAAAATATTTTGATTTAGTGCTTCATTAAGTGCATGATTACAGTCCCTGTATCTTTTGATTTACCTTTCTACATTTACAATTTTCAGCCCAGATACTTAGAGGTCACATAGTAAATTAAGGTTTTCTTTTTTTTAATAATCTCCGTCTTTCTAAATTTGGTGAGTCACAGTAAGTTATTTTTGGGTTGTTGAAAGCTGTGGCTCTGTTCTAAATATGAGCCCAGAAATCATGCCACTTACAAAATATGCTTTGTCTTCCAACAACAGAGAGTCTGGTAGAAGGTGACTGTTCTTGGAACTTAAAAAGTCTCAACAGGACAAGAACAGAATCTGGAAAATATTTCTGTTTCTGATAATACGGCTGAGTAGGTAGACATGCTGGATACTCCTTGCAAAGGCATACTTGAAATTGCCACACCAAAAAAAATCCAGAATCTCTAAGACTGAAGATGAAGTGAAAATCAGAAGGGCTACTACAAGAATAATGGGGAAGCAGCCCCAGTTATCAAGTGACGTGTGCATGTGTTCAATAAAAAGTTCCAAACCTAAAATAAGTTGAGAAAAATAATGTAATTGCCCTACATATACACATCATCAACAATTTTTCATTCATGGTATGGACAGTTTTTTGGTTTTTGTTTTTTTGTTTTTTTTTTTTTAAAAGGTGGGATTTTGCTGTGGTTGCCCAGGCTGGAGTGCAGTGGCATGATCTTGCCTCACTGCAACTTCCGCCTCCCAGGTTCAAGCGACTCTCCTGCCTCAGCCTCCCAAGTAGCTCAGATTACAGGCACCCAGCACCACATCCGGCTAACTGTTGTATTTTTAGTAGAGATGGTGTTTCACCACGTTGGTCAGGCTGGTCTTGAACTCCTGACCTCAGGTGATCCACCTGCCTTGGTCTCCCATAGTGCTGGGATTACAGGTGTAAGCCACCACACCTGGCCACAGCCAGTTTTGTTTGATTTATATTCCCACTTCATTTGTATACATTCCTTCTTCCTCTTATTTTGAAGTAAAACCTATACATCATATCATTTTTTAATTACCTTATATGTATCTGTAGAAGACAAGGAATTTTTAAAAACAAATATATTCACAATGCCATTAAATACCAAAAAAATTAATATTCTGAAAATAGCCACAAATCCAGAGTTCACATTTTCTTGACTTTCTCATAAGTGATTTTTTCTAGGTTATCTAATTCAATCAGGTAACTGTTTGCTCATATTTACATTCCCACTTGAAAAATGTCTAAACTTAAACTGACATAAAACGCAGATGATCTTCCGACCAAATGCTTAGTGTAAAAAAAAAAACTTCCAACTCCAAGAGGAGTCCCTCCAAATACAGAAAGGACCAGTATTTTAAGAGGTATGTTAACTAAAATGTGGCAATTTAAGGAGCAGAGCAGGAAGAACCTTTAAGTCCGAAACTTACAACAAGTCAATTTCATAGTCCGTTTCCCTGGTCCTTCCACAGCAACCTCTGGCATCTGTTTTCTCTACAACGGAGGTAAAAATAGTAGCTGTTTCATTAGAGCAGTGCTAGAAGAGGGTGGTGGCTATATAAAGTTTAGCTATTTGTATATTGTAACAAACCAACTTTTTTTTTGTTTTGGTCAATAATAGACTTCTTTTGGAAAAGTAGCAGCCTCCTGTCTGGGGACACCTGCAGTTCCACTAAGAGAACATTGGTGTCTGCTAACCTTTGCCTCTATTTCTCTCAATAATATACTGTCAAGCTGTTCCTTGATTTAGCAATTTTATGTACTTCCTTTTCCTTTCTTTTTTCTTTTCCCTTTTCCTGAGACAGAGTCCCACTTTGTCACCCAGTCTGGACTGCAGCAGCGCCATGATGGCTCACTGCCACCTCCCCCCGGGCTCAAGCAATCCTCCTGCATCAGTTTTCAGAGCAGCTGGGATTACCCGCGGGGCCCACCAGGCCCAGCTAATCTTTGTGGGTTTTGTTGTGTTTTTCCGTTAAGAGACTGGGTTTCCGGCCAGGCGCAGTGACTCACGCCTGCAATCCCAAAACACCGGGAGGCCGAGGCCCGCGGATCACCGGAGGTGAGGAGCTGGAGACCAGCCCGACCAACATGGAGAAACCCCGTCTCTACCAAAATAAATAAATAAAAAAGTAGCTGGGCATGGTGGCTCACGCCTGCAATCCCAGCCACTCAGGAGGGTGAAGCAGGAGAACCACCCAAACCTGGGAGGCGGAGGCCCGGGGAGCCGAGACCACGCCACTGTACTCCAGCCTGGACAACAAGAGGGAAACTCTGCCTCAAAAAACAAAAAACAAAAAACAGGTTTCACCATGTTGCCCAGGCTGGTCTGGATCTCCTAGGATCAAGCGATTCGCAGCACTCAGCCGTCCAAAGTCCTGGGATCACAAGCGTGAGCCATGACGCCAGGCCGATCTATTCCTGTCTGATTAAAAATTGGGCCGGGCGCGGTGGCTCACGCCTGCGATCCCAGCACCCCGGGAGGCCGAGGCGGGCGGAAAGCCTGAGGTCAGATTGAGGCCAGCCTGAGCAACATGGAGAAAACCCCATCTCTACCAAAAAAAAACAAAATACAAAAGTAGCCGGGCCTGGTGGCTCACGCCTGCAATCCCAGCCACTCAGGAGGCTGAGGCAGAAGAACCACCCAAACCCGTGTGGTCGAGGCTGCGGGGGGCCGAGATCCTGCCACTGCACTCCAGCCTGGGCAACAAGAGTGAAACTCCCTCTCAGAAAAAAAAAAAAAAAGAGGTAGAGAGACTGAGTTTCACCATGTTGCCCAGGCCGGCGTGTAACTCCTAGGCTCAAGCGATCCGCCGCGCTCGGCCATCCGAAGTCCTGGGATCACAAGCGTGAGCCGCCACGCCAGGCCAATCTCTTCTTTTCTGATTAATAAATTGGGCCTGGCGCGGTGACTCACTCCTGCAATCCCAGCACCCCGGGAGGCCGAGGCGAGCGGATCACCTGAGGTCGGGAGTTTGAGACCAGCCTGACCAACATGGAGAAAACTGTCTCTACCGAAAAAGAAAAAAAATAAAAAGCTGGGCATGGTGGCTCATGCCTGCAATGCCAGCACCCCGGGAGGCCGAGGCGGGCGGGTAACCTGAGGTCAGGAGTTTGAGACTACCCTGACGAAGGGAGAAACCCCCCGTCTGTAGCAAAAAAAAAAAAAAAAAGTACAAAATTAGCCAGGTATGGTGGCTCATGCCTGCAATCTCAGCCACTCGGGAGGCTGAGGCAGGGGAGTCACCCAAACCCGGGAGGCGGAGGCCGCAGGGAGCTGAGACCGCGCCACTGCACTCCAGCCTGGGCAACAAGAGTGAAACTCCACCTCAAACAAACAAACAAAAACAAAACAAAAAAGCGAGACCGGGTTTCATCATGTGGCCCAGGCCTGTCTGGAACTCCTAGGCTCAAGCGATCCCCCGCGCTATTCCTTTGTGATTAATAAATTAGGCCTTGCGCGCTGGCTCAAGCCTGCAATCCCAGCACCTCCAGACGCCGAGGCGGGCAGATAATCTGAGCTCGGGAGTTTGACACCAGCCTTATGAACATGGAGAAACCCCATCTCCAACAACAAAAACAAACAAAAAACAAAATGAGCTGGGCATGGTGGCTCACGCGTGCAATCCCAGCCACTCGGGAGGCTGTGACAGGAGAACCACCCAAACCCGGGAGGCGGAGGCCCGTTGAGCCAAGACCTCACCACTGCACTCCAGCCTGGGCAACAAGAGTGAAACTCCGCCTCAAAAAAAAAAAAAAAAAAAAAGAGAGACCGAGTTTCACCATGTTGCCCAGGCCTGTCTGGATCTCCTAGGCTCAAATGATCCCCAGTGCTCTGCCATCCAAAGTCCCTGAATCACAAGCATGAGCCATCATGCCAGGCCGATCTGTTCCTCTCTGATTAATAAATTAGGCGGGGCGCGCTGGCTCACACCTGCAATCCTGTAGCGGAATTTTTAAGGAATTAGATAGACTCACGGGGTTTAGGAGGACATTTATTAATTATTTAGGTGCACCGGCCCAGTCGGATTAACATTTAAAGGATTGAGTACTGAACCAAGAGTTACCTTTCAAGCATTATGTAGGGCGAAGGGGGAGATCTGTGCAGGGAGAAGCATATTATAGAAGCGAGAAACAAAGATAGTTATTTAATTGAAACATGCATTTTTTTTTTTACTATTTAAGGAAAAATATGTTTTGTGACTTGAGTTTATTTGTTTAGGCACCTAGATTTATTTTGTTTATGGAGATAATAGTAGGTACCTCATAGGGGATTATTAGATCACGCTTAAAATTGGACCATACTTAATACTTTAACTGGGGCTTTAACCATCATCATTTACATCATCCATATCCCATTATCTTTCCTTTTGGCAGAAAGGCATATAGTGAAATCTATGCAAATTAAATGAACATATGGGAAACTCTTTTTTGCAGAAGGTGTTGTGGGGCTCCCTCTACATGACCTGAAAAGTACCTATATGGCTGTAAGACACTTTACATATCACCTAGTTTATACCCTGGCATGCCCATATGACCTACTAAATCATACAAACACACCAGGTTCTAATATACAGTAATATTCATTTTTTAACTTTTCAATTAACATATAATCCTAAATTGCATGCTTTATGTTGAAGAAAAAAACAGCAACTAATATACCATCATAGTGACATATTAAATGCTAGTTTAGCCTGATTCTCCCAGTGTAACAATGTATTTAAAATTTTGTAGATATATTCAGTATATGTTTCAACATGTCTTTGGGCCATATGTATTTTGTGCTAAAGTTTCTCTTTATAAAAAAGCAAAGCAGGAGATGAGAGTTTTATGGTGGGAAATGAATTCAATTATTATATTCTAAGGGAGATTAAAGAGAAAAATAAATTTTCCTGTTAATTCTGTGACCAACAAAAGTAAGCAATATAGCTGAGAAATTCATCTGAGCTCACAGTTGATTATATATATATAATAATTTTTTTTTCTCTAACAGAGCCACAACCAATGAGACAATTATAGTTTCACCAAGTCAAATGTCAGCTAGAGGACTTACAGTTTTTACACTTGGCAAGGCAAAGCAAAGAAATGTGAAGAATCCTCATTTACTTGTTAGCCAAACTTAGTGTCAAAAAAAAAAAATATTCATCATTGGTTGTCAAACACAGGGTAGTTCTCTGTCACTGGAAACTTCTGCAGACAGGATAATTACTATGATTAAATGGCAGTGGATTTAAAATATTTCGGTAGTGGTTAAAGTAACTTGAATACTGATGGTATAATATCAAATCAAAGCTGCAAAACTGTCCGCTAATTATCCAGAGTATAAAGTATCTGATGCTGTGTAAGTATAACGCCAAAGCACATTCACAGGTACAGAAATTGATGAGGGCTTAATCATGCTTTTTGGAAATATAGTAAAGAAGATAATGTTTTTTCTACCTTAAAAAATAAATTTTAGACCATGTCCTTCAAGCTATACAGTTTGTATTATTGACAATTGGCTCTGATTATATAATTTACTCTAGCCATTGCTTTCAATTTATTTATCTATATTTCTGATTATTCCTCTAACACAAAGATACTGAGGGCTTTCTCTGTGTTAGGCAACAGCTGCAAAGCTAACTCTTGGAATACAGAGATGTGAAACAATGCTAGCATGGCTCAGAAATAGTTTATTGCCTCATGAAATTTTTAGCTTAGTCCTATTCCCATAAACATTTCTATGTGAGTGGTGGGGACTGGGGGGGCACCTCACTCTCCTCCAGGGACAGGCCATGTCCTAAGCAGTAGTTTGAAGGTATCACTTTGGAGAATTTAGGTCTGGAGACTCTGTAGAAATCAGTGAGGTTTCAAAGCATCATTATTACATTGCAAAGTCACATGGGCAGGAGTAGATAAGAAGTAATATGTTATATTTCCTCTTTTGTAGTGTGAGTTAGTTGATCTAAATGTTCACTGTGTTTTCTCTATCTTTGAATTATGTGTAACAACGTAGATAGCAAAGAGCTGTCAAGAGGCCATGAGATTTCAAATAAACAGTTAAGAGCATACTCCAGGAAACTGTAAAAGAACTAATTAGAGTCCACGTGTTCAGTGTCAGTTCAAAGACACAGAGAGATAGGTGCTCAACAGATGGAATATGTTAGAACCCGTAAAAATGACCAAGATGGGATGGCACAAAATCAGCAGAGCTATAATCAATAACCAATGAATTGGGACTCTCTTCTGTCTTTTCCACTGTATTTGGGTCTTCGTAGGTTATTCAATCATGTTTGAAGTGATGAAAAACCATTATTCATTCTCAAGGCAAAAGAACTAGATATGCTTTTGGGAAAAAGAGGATAACGGAAGGTTTTTAAACTTTTACAATGGGCCATTCTACATGCAGTGTACAAATCATCTAAAATTCATTTTTCCCCTAGAAAGACAGATCTTAAACCAGCTAGAAGTTATAAATAATGTGGTTCATCAGAGCTGTATACTCTTAAATTCAGATTTTCTGAGTCCATCCCACATTATCCTAGTTCCACAAGATAACTGCAAAAATGTCTCATTGCCAAATACATTCAACAGTGAACTATATAGTTGCCTCCAAGAAATTCATTGCACATTGGTCTGTTCATTGCATTAAGAAACCTTGCAGTTAAAAACAAACAAAAAATGTACTTAGTATGTTTTAAAATATAGCATCTCCAATATTATTTAAAACTTACTTTCCTTGTTGTTTCTCTGAATATTTCTCAAAAGAACTATTGGAAAATATTGCTTAACATGATTGATCTTCCATTTGATTGACCTGCGTTTACGCCCATGCCTATTTTGTGCAGGTGATCAATTCATTTGTGAAGAGTGCTTTCATAATTATGCATTGAAATGCACAAGGTTGTCATCCCTCAAAAATGCTACTATTATCACCCATAATTAAGTCTACCAAATTTACACTAGAAAACAAACACAAAGAGAACAGTGGGTAGTTGTTAGATCATTTAGCAATCAGAGGTAAAAATTAGTAGCAGAAACAAAATTATTGTCATTTCTCAAATTATTTTCAAAGACAATGTTGCCTTATTACTAATATTTGATTGGGAACATTTACAACCATTAATCTAGAAAAGAAATTCTTCTACTGCAATGCACCTCCTCTATTTACGTGTGTGAATGAGTGTCCATTTTCTTAAAGTTCCAAGTTACTTATTCATTCATTAGGTAATCTTTTTTCACATGGAACGAAATTTTTGTGGTAATTTATGATAGTTGAAAAAAAGATTTGGGGTGATTATAACCCTATTTAGATATTTCTGCCTGCATCTACATCATATCAAAAAAAGTAGGGCCTCCTCTCCCTTCCCTGAATTAACTATTGGAGGGGGCCAGGCATGGTAGCTCACAATTATAGTACCACCACTCTGGGAAGCTGAAGCAGGAGGATGGCTTGAGCCCAGGAGTTTAAGACCAGCCTGGGCAATATAGTGAAACCTTTTCTCTACCAAAAAAAAAAAAATTTTTTTTTAAATATTAGCTGCACGGGCCTGTAGTCCCAGGTACTTAGGAGGCTGAATCGGGAGGATCGCTTGAACCCTGGAGTTTTGACTGCAGTGAGCTATGATCCCATCACTGCACTCCAACGTGGGGGACACAGCAAGACCTTGTCTTAAGAAAAAAAAGAAAGAAAAAGTATTGGAGAAGTTTTTAATCTGTAGCATCCTTAGTCTTCAAATTTCATACCTTTATTACCACTGTCATGTTTCATGTGCTCAACAAATGTTAAAATAATGAATCTCAGCATGATTTCTAGAGATCGTACTGAGCAGGATTTAGAGGGGCAGGGGGGTTTCCCCACTTGTATTCCTGTCCTTCATATCTGTCTCTTCTGGATTTTTTAGTTTATTACTTTTCAGGGACAAGCTTTTCGTTTTTCTCCTCTAGATCAGCATAATCTGAAAAATATTAAAATTAAAATAACTAATAATAGACTGCATTAATAGATTAGTTCCTTGTACAGCTTTCATCGTTTTAAGTGAAAACTTTCTATAAGTTATTTAGGGTTTTGAATTTATAATACTGTAATTAAAATAAGGGTTTTTTCCTCCCACTGACAGTAAAGCTGTCACTGCCACAAGATTTGAGCTAAAAGAAAATCGTAGATTTTGTACTTCTTTGTCAGCGCTGCCAAAAAAAAAAAAAGAGAGAGAGAGAGAAAGAGACATCTTGACAACTTTTAATTCAATCAGAGAACTTGAGTGAATCGAGCTTTCTTCTGAAGCACCATTCATCGAGCAAGACCCCTGACGGTGCCAGGTGGAAACTTAATGGATCCTTTCCACCTGGTTTGTTTTCAGTGTTTAATCCTATTAGTATCAGCAGGATGTAAGTCAGGGTATCAGGTGCAGAACCTGTGGAATCAGCCAATTTGGCTTGCTCGTTTACTTTAATAAGGTCCCATAATGAGTGAGAGTACAAAGTTCAAGCCCTGTTGAGGGTCTGCATTAAACTCTCAGAAGTATTTAGAGTGTGCCAGGAGCCGCGAGGGTCTGGTTCGGGTGGTGGCGGGAACTGTGTTAGAGCGCTAGGTACGGCGCGACAAAGTCTGTCCAACCCAAAACGGTGCTGAGGCATGGGGTCTGAGCTCCGGTACTCAGAAAAGCACCTCAGCCGGTACTCAACAGATCCTCGGGGGCTTGGGGGCCCAGCATTGGCAGTGAGGGCATGAAAGATATAAAAGACAGGGCACTACCTGTGGGTATTTTCTGTTCTCCAAGGAGGAAGTAGCAAAAATTAGGATGCTGGAATATCCTGTGTTGTAGCAATCCCAGAACAACTGGTGCTCAGCAAATACCACACAAAACAAATTTTTAAAAATTTAATCTCGCCGGCTACAGTGGCTCACGCCTATAATCCCAGCACTTCTGGAGGGCGAGGCGGGCAGATTACCTGAGGTCAAGAGTCCAAGACCAGCCTGGCCAACATGGCAAAACCCCGTCTCTACTAAAAATGCAAAAATTAGCCTGGCATGGTGGTGCACACCTGTAATCCCAGCTACTCGGGAGGCTGAGGCAGGAGAATCACTTGAACCAGGGAGGCGGAGGTTGCAGTAAGCTGAGATCATGCCATTGCACTACAGCCTGGGTTACAAGAGCGAAACTCCGTCTGAAAAAATAAAAATGTGATCTCTTTGTATCTGTTCTTTTTCTTTTAATTTTTTTCTTGACCCAAGCATGTGAACTCATAGTATACATTTTGATATCGAAGATACACTAAGAATTAAGTACTAGACCCAATCCCAGATAACAAAAAGTGACATAAATAGTGGAAGAAAGGACTATTTATTGGGTTTATACTATTAGACAGCGTGCTAGGAACATCCTTTATTGTCTTGTCTAGACCTTTTAAACATGCAGTAAGATGCAGATACTCTTTCCCAGTTGTACAGAGGAAACTGAGGCTTAGAGTTGCAGACTTAAAAGTATCTAACTGACATGTGGGAGGATGGGAAACTCATCCAGACTTTAGAGGAAATGAAGGATTCATTACACAGGTGAGTGTTTCTTGCAGCTGTTCTAGATCAGAAACAATTACCAATCTAGACTTTCATGTGATAAAGTCATTCGATAGAAATCCAAGCGGGCTGGGCATGGTGGCTCACGCCTGTTATTCCACCACCTTGGGTCAGGAGTTCGAGACCAGCCTGGCCAACATGGCGAAACCCTGTCTCTACTAAAAATACAAAAATTAGCTGGGAATGGTGGTGCTCCCAGCTACTTGGGAGGCTGAGGCAGGAGACTCGCTTGAGCCCGGGAGGCTGGGGTTGCAGTAAGCCCAGATGGCGCCACTGCACTCCAGCCTGGGTGACAGAGCAAGACTCCAAGACTCCGTCTCAAGAAATAAACAAAGAAAGAGAGAGGAGGGAGGGAGGGAGGGAAAGCCAAGTAACCACTCTCCTTCAGGGCTTCTAGTTTATGTATACACTATGTACTCAGCAAATATTTTTCTCTTAAGTGTGGTTGTTTCGATCCTATTTTCAGGAGGTGAATGTACAGCGTAAGTCCCCTCCTTTTCTGTTGATATGACTGTGTTGATTGGTAGTGCCAGCCACTTTCCATCTGAGCAGTTCTAGGTACATACTCGGTTGGTACGCAAAGGAAAACTATTCTGCATGCCATTAATGCTGGAATAAAATGTGTTTAGGAAGTGTGGCTGTTTTCCCAGGTCATGTTTAATTGAAGGATTTCTGTCACATACTTGTTCTTGTTGATGTGTTCCTGGGGCCTGGAGAAATGCTGCCCACCCCGTCACTTCTCTGGAGAATCTCAGGGCTGCATGGATGGTATGATGCTGCCCGGGCTGACCATTCTGAAAATACTGCTGGCTGGTCCCTAGCAGCAGGTCAGCACCTTGGTTACACGGTGTTTACAGAGGCATGCCCAAAGGAGATACATTGACTATTCCTGGTTATTTTTTGTCCTGTAAATAGAGACATTGTTCAAAGTCTTTTTTCCCCTAACATTTAAAACAACACGTTAGGCCTTTTAAGTGTTTGCCAAAGAACCTGGAGTTTTACTGGAGTCTTGACTAACCTGCTGAACTTTTCAAGCTGAAACCCTGAGGGTTACAGTATAAAAATTTAGAACCTACTTAGAGCAGCAGTCTCCTCATGCTGTTACTGGTCTCCTTAAAGTCAGAAACAAGATCTACAGCTGCTGCTGTCGGTCACCTGAGAGACCAGGCTGAGGCAGCCCAGCGACCTCCCAAGGAGCCTTTTAATTACTAGGTTCAAGTGTGGTTTGCAGTGAACGTGGCGAAGGAGGTGTGGGCTGCTGTGCAGTGAGGCAGAGGCAGAGCACTCAGTGCGCATTTGTGCCCTGCCTGTTCCTCCTGGCAACTCCAGGATGTCATCAGCCTTGCAGGGAGGGGGCTCACCTTCTTAGTGTGGGAAACTGGCCCCAGGGCATACCCCCTTGAGCGTTTCGTAGTTAGAAACTTGTGTGCAGCTTCCCAAGGGACCTTCCTGTGTACAGATGTCCACTCTGTGGAAAAGGATACAATGGGAAGCTTCCAGTGTCCTGTGCAGCTTCTTAGATTCCATTTGGGATTCACCTGGAAAAAGCAATGCCTTACCCCTTGAAGTTTCTCCATTTAAACTCCAGTTAGGTAAAGGGGAGAAAAGTAGAAATATTCACCTTTTGTGTTCCCCATCTTTTAATTTTTTGTTGTTTCGGTTAATAAAAATAACATATTCAGCATGAGAATTTGGAAAATGCAGAAAAGTAGAAGACAATTAAGCCCCCAGCCCCCCACTCGATGCTGTGGTAACAAGCATTCTTGCTCTGCGGCCAACCTCATACCCTGTATGCAGCTTGTATCCTGCCTTTTCCCCTTTTAGAAACTCTTGGCCAAATAATCTTAACCATAAGCATAGTATTTCATATTAAAATTTTGTTGGTTTTCTTTTAAAACATTGTTTTTAATATCTTTTGCCAGGTCAGCTTCAATAAGATATAATTGTACCCAATGAAGGTCATCACTTTCAGGTATGCAATTTGGTAAGTTTTGACATCTGTGTACAGTCATATAACCACCACTATGATCAAGATATAGAACTCCATCACTCCAGAAATTTCCCTCATGCCCCTTTGGAGTTGATCCTTCCCCCAACCCCCACACAGATCCCAGCAGCCATTGGTCTTCTTTCTGTCCCTGCGATTTTGTCTTTTCCAGAATGTCATATACCTGGAATCATGTGATAGTTAGCCTTTTGAGCCTTCCATTTAACTTCTTTCATTTAGCATGATGCATTTGCGATTTGTGGTGGTGCGTGTATCCTCAGTTCACTCCGTTTTACTGCTAAGTGGTATTCCACTGTATGCAGGTATCACTATTTATCCATCACCCAGGGGAAGGACATTTAGGTTGTTGCCAGTTTTTGGCAATCAAGAATCAAGCTGCTATAAATATTTGTTTACAGGTTTTTGTATGAATTAAGTTTTCATTTTCTTTGGGTAAATATCCAGGAGTGGGATTGCTGGGTTATATGGTAACTGTATATTTAACTTCATAAGAAATTGATACACTCTTTTCCAAAGTGGCATCACCATTTTGGATTCCCCCCAGCAGTATACAAGGCTTCAGCTCACTCTGCACCTTCACCAATACTTGATATTGATACACACCCCTTTTGCTTGTTTGTTCAGCAGTTCTAATGGGTATGTAGTGGTATCTCATTGTGGCTTTGGTTTTTATTTCCCTAATGACTAATAAGCATCTTTTCCTGTGATTTTTTGCCATCCGGATTTCTTATTTGGCGAAATATCTTTTCATTTTTTCCCTTTTGTCCAGGGTTGTTTATTTTCTGACTGCATTTTGAGAGTTCTTTATAGATTCTGGATACAAGTCCTTTTAAGCATTTTACAAATATATTCTTCTAGATTGGTTTTTCTTTTCATTTTGTTGTTGGTGGTGGTGGTGGTTTGTTGTTGTTGTTGTTGTTTTTGAGACAGAGTCTTGCTCTGTCGCCCAGGCTGGAGTGTAGTGGCACGATCTCGGCTCACTGCAACCTCCGCCTCCCGGGTTCAAGCGATTCTCCTGCCTCAGCCTCCTGAGTAGCTGGGATTACAGGCGCCTGCCACCATGCCCAGCTTATTTTTGTACTTTTTTAGTAGAGATGGGGTTTCACCATGTTGGCCAGGCTGGTCTCGAACACCTGACCTCGTGATCCACTGGCCTCAGCCTCCCAAAGTGCTGGGATTACAGGCGTGAGCCACTGCAGCCAGCCTCTTTTCATTATTTTAACAGTGTCTTTTGAAGAGTGGAAGTTTTAAATTTTGATGAAGTCCAGTTTATCAGATTTTTCCCCTTGGATTTTACCTTTGGTGTCATATCTAAAAAATCTTTGCGTAACTCTAAGTTGCAAATATTTTCTTCTATGTTTTCTTCCAGAAGTTTTACAGTTTTAGGTTTTACAATTAAAATGTACAGTTCAAGTTAATCTTTGTATATAATGCAAGCTATGGATTAAGGTCCACTGTAGCAAGCGGCAGATGTTCTTAAGTATCTCCCTCCCTCCCTCCCTCTCTTCTTTCCTTCCCTCCCTCCTTCCTTCCCTCCCTCCCTCTTTTTTTTTTTTTTTTTTTTTTTTTTTTTGAGACAGTTTCACTCTGTCACCCACCCAGGCTGGAATGCAGTAGCACTATCACAGCTCACTGCAGCCTTGATATCCTGGGCTCAAGTGATCCTCCCGCCTCAGCCTCCTAGGTAGCTGGGACCACAGGTGTGTGCCACCACACCTGACAAATTTTTAAATTTTTTGTAGAGGCAGGGTCTCCCTGTGTTGCCCAGGCTGGTCTCAAACTCCTGGGCTCAAGCCTTCCCTTATCAGCCTCCTAAAGTACTGGATTACAGGCATGAGCCACCACACACAGCCAAGTGTCTGTTTAAAAAGAAAAGTTGTTCCTAAATGATTCCTTACACTCCAGTAAAACAGGGCTGTGAAAATGAGTTATGTGGAAAGCTGACCGTAGCTGCTGCTTTTTAAAAACCATACCTTCTTATCCGCCCGTTTTGAGACTGGCCCTTTGTTGATCTACAGCTCTCCTTTTCTGGAAGATGCTGGAAAGAACACTGTTAGTGGCCTTCATTTCCCCTCTGGTCTGGGTCTCCTGTAGATGGCTTCTACGATTCTGGCCCCTCTGTACACATCATTCTCGCTCAGCAGCTGCACAGGTAGACAGTGAAAACTAGCATCTTTTTGATTATAGACTGTTGGCTTCCTGGGGAACAGCCATGTTCCATGTTGGGTCAGCTTATTGATAAGGGGAAGAGACCTAGCATTCATTAAAAACTTACCCAGCAACTTTGCTGTGTCACAGAAGTCCTATATAGCATAAAATAGTACTAGGTCCATCTTAGATGAAGCAGTGAGATCTGTTCAAGGTCATCCAGCTAGTAAAATGGTTCAACTTGACTTGCCTTACTCCAGAACTTTTTGCTTATGCCATTATTTCCTGTTAGCTCTTCATGGAACCACTTCCTGTGTGTCTGATGGCTCACTGTGCACTCACACACACACCCCAACTAATGGCAGGTGCAGATTGGCAGGTGCAGATGACAAGTATTGCAGTGCAGTTGCTTTTAGCAATTTATCTTCCTTTTTCTTCTGAGCTGGATTTAATTTACTTTAGTTTCCCACATTTGGCATTGTAGCTTTTACCTTTAGAATGGCTAATTGGCTACTGCAATATTTCTTTCATATGTGAATTATAAAAGTGGCCTTAATGGATGTTTCTTTTCATCCAGTTAGGTGTTTATTGTATCAGTGTGTGACTGGGAAGGCCAGGCTAGCTGCAGGTTATCACAGGCCTCTTGCAGTACTTCACTGGACCCCTTGAGTCCTTTTCAGTGGATCATCTCCTGCCCATCTTCACTACTCCGGAGTGGTCTCACCATCTTTACTGGGAGTCCCAGAACGTGTCTGTTCAGAGCGATGAGACCCAGGGCAGAAAGATTCCGGTTACCCTTTCCCGGTCTCCTCATCCTAACTCCTTGGATCTTATCACAGTAAATGATCAGAAGTGGAAATTCTCATGTTAGCTGAAATTCTCTTCATGTTTTTTTCTTGTGTTTAGACCTCGTTATCTTTAGGCATCCCTGTTACTGATGATAACCACTCTGATTCCCTAGTTTGTAAGACACTGCACCCCCTCCATATTTAAAAGTTATTTGCCATTGGAGGTATCATCAAAGACTACTCTCCCTTTCTAAAATCTTGGTGTTAGCAGCTAGAAGAGAGACTGCCAGTCTTCCCCGCCAGCCCTACTTTATGACTTAATGCATGGCACCACTTGTGCAGCTGATGCCTGGTCGGGCCACACTTTCCATTATGAACATGCTCTTTCCTGACTTCCCTCACATTCATTGAAGTCCAGTCCCGGCTCAGTTGCTGGCCGCGGCTGCTTCTATTGTAGAAAGTGGAATGAATAAAAATGAAGGGCTTCTGACACTGGGGTGAAACTTTGTCACTGAAGAGATCTTTTCAATCCAAGAAGAGGAACCCAGCCAGCTTCGCCAAAGCTGGAAAAAGCTGCAACCTTCTTTTGCCCCTGTTGAGATATTGGAACCCCCACTGGTTGGCTTCCCTCTGCCCTACAGCTGCCCACCTGAGATTTCTCACCTGGGCAGAGCCACAGCACAGCACAGAGAAACTCAGTTTCCGGGGACTTTGGCAGGGATCTTGGTGCTGTGGGAGGATTCAAACCCCATCTCAGCCACTTGCTAGCTCTGTGCATCTGGTCATATTACCCCACTTCTCGCAATCTGTTCTTGCATCTGTAAAATGGGGTAGTGTTACCACCTCGGTGGGCTTTTAATGAAGATTATATGAGTTAAATGCCCACTGTATTGCCAGCAAAGAATCCAGCATGGTGCTCAGTGAGGAATACCGTGCATGGCTACAGTTTAACTCCTGTGAAATAAATAGATGCTGGAGGCAGGGAGGTGCTTCCTCCGCCCCCCCGTGATGTTTCTGTGGTTTCACCTTCCCATGCTGGGCACTGCCCTCCCTAGACAAGACCTGTCTGTGGACTGTTTCCAGTACAGCTGTTTAGCCAGACGCTGGCCCCGTCTGCAGCCATCACAGGCCCTCTGTCTCTCTGCTGGTCATGTCATGCTCTCCTCAAGGTGCCGTCCTGCTGTTCATATTGTTTCATTCTTTCCCACCAGGAAGCATCTGGACGAACAGTCCTGCCACGCTCTTTGAAGTTCCCGACACATGGTAACCAAGACCTGAGGGCAGCAAACCGCTGGTGCTGTCTCTGTGAGCAAGAGCCGGGTGGCACATTTGGAAGCCATACTGTATTTAACTTAATCAAATGTGGTATGGGAGGGGTTGGAAACCAAGTTGTCTCCTGGGGGGAAGAAAAGACAGGTTTTATTTTTGTGGCTGTGTTTTTTTCCCTTTTTAATCTAACTGCCTGTTGATGTTGACACTCATCAGGGTTGTAGGCTGTCATGAATGTGTACGTGCTTAACCAGTGAATTCCATGTTGCTCGTGTGAGGCCTTTCCTGTCATGACCCACTGTGCTTAAGAACCTGCCTGATGGGGAGTGTCGGCTGTGAAATCTGCAAAAAGAGCTGACGTTCCGGCTGCCGTGATCATGAATTGGGGGTGTACTCTCCTGCCTGTGCATCTTCTCGCGCTGAGATTTTGAGGCGGTTGCAGCCCTCGGTTAGTCTCCCAGTGGAGAGAAATCAGTTGTGCCTCCCTGCTTCCCACCATAGCTGCCTGAAAACATGACGCTCTTACGCTTGTCCTTCCATCAGGAAGGTGTCCACTCACGCCCACCCATGAGGGGGCTTGCCGTATGCCCTGGCCTTTGGGCATATTTATGTAGAGTTCCTTTCTCCTAAGACGTGAGTTTCTGATGGGGGATGTACGAGTAAAAAGGTTAACTTCTGTTCTTATGCGTGGCGCTGTGTTCACTTTCCAGAGTCTGTTTGGATGGCGGTCTCGGGGTACGGCAGCGTGTGTGTGTATGTGTGTTTGTGTGTGTGTGTGTGTGTGTGTGAAATCGTGCAAATCTACATGTCCCAGCCCATTCTCTGTTGAAACAGATCACAGCAACGACAAACACTCATGGCGCCGCTTCACTCCACCCGCTTCAGATAGATCATTGTTAGATATTTCACATTTTTGTATGGTGGAAATAAAAATGAAAAATGTATTTCCAAAAGATGAAAATTAAAGACATTTTCATAGGACTCTGGTTTTCTCCTCTCTTTTTTTAAATAAGTGAATGATGTTTTCACTCTCTAGTAATACACAGATAAATTTCACACTCTTAAAAAATCTGCTAAGCCACTAAGGCTGATGTTCATGGATTTTTTTCTTTTTCTTTTTACCCCTAACTGCTGTACCTGCCACGATGGGTCAGCTCCTCAGTGCAGAGCTGAGCCCTGGTGTTAAGTGGCCTTGTAGGAGGGTGGGAGGAATGAGGACCCTTAGCACTCACGCTGGAATCCCAGGACGTTATGCAGATTCCGATTTGTAAGACAATTTCCCCAATCAAGAGCCTCTGTCACACCTGTAAGCTGAGATGGGAGGATCACTTGAGCCCAGAAGTTCAAGACCAGCATGGACAACACAGTGAGACCCTGTCTCTTTAAAAAAAAAAGAAAAAGAAAAAGAAAGAAAAAAAATTTCTTTTTTTTTTTTGTTAAGCATGTTAACTTCTCTTTAAGCATGTTTAAAAAAAAAACAACTTCTCTTTTTTTAAGCATGTTAACTTCTGGAGTTTTGTAGCCACAAAGTTAGAAACCCAGGCTTGGCTGGAAGGACTGCCCACCCCTCCTGTAGTCAGCACCCACGGCTCAGTGGAAAGTGTGAAGGTGGGATGGAGACAGACAGTAAAGGAGGGTGTATGCAGGAGTGTGTAGAGAGGGCTGCCAGACTGCCGAGTCAGCAGCACTCACAGGGAGAAATGAGGAGAGTCTGACCCTTCTTTTTGAAAGAAAAAGAGGGGGCCCAGCACAGTGTCTCAGGTCTATAATCCCAACACATCGGGAGGCCAAGACAGGAGGATCACATGAACCCAGGAGTTCGAGACCAGCCTGGGCAACATAGGGAGGTCCCATCTCTACAAAAAATACAAAAATTAGCCGGGCATGGTGGTGCATGCCTGTGGTCCCAGCTACTCAGGACCACAGGAGAATCGCTTGAACCTGGGAGGTGGAGGTTGCAGTGAGCTGAGATTGTGCTGCTGCACTCCAGCCTGGGCAACAGAGCAAGAATCTGTCTCAAAAATAAAAGGAAAATAAACAACTTCACAGGGTAGTTGTGAGGATTAAATGAAATTACATACAATGCCCAGGACGCGCAAGTACATAGTAAATTGTAGTTATATTTAAAAGTCATGGTTTTGATCTGAAACCCTTACTGCATTTGCTTCTATCAGTGGGAGCAGACATAGTCACTGGAATGTGGCTTAGAATGAAACACCCAGAGGAGCTTTCATACATGCCCAGAACTTTATTTTCTCTGCTGCATCAAATGACTTAAAACAAGTGAGCTGTGGCTCATGCCTGCAATCCTGCCACTTTGGGAGGTGGAGGCAGGTGGATCCCTTGAGCCAGGAGTTCAAGACCAGCCTGGGCAACATGACAAAACCCTGTCTCTACAGAAAATTTAAAAATTGGCCGGGTGTGGTGGTGTTCGTCTGTTGTCCCAGCTACTCAGGAGGCTGAAGCAGGAGGATTGCTTGAGCCTAGGAGGTTGAAGCTGCAGTGAACTGTGATTGCACCACTGTGCTTCCAGCCTGGGTGTCAGAGCAAGACCCTGTCAAAAACAAAACAGGTGAGCTGGGCTAACCCACTTCCTCCTCCACACACACACACCGGGCTTTCTTGACATATCTTTTGGGCATAAAATCCTAGGATGGTACTTCTGGCCTTTTGATACCGAGGCCCAGGGGCATATTATGACAACAAGGCTATGGTCTGGGGGCTTCTTGAATATGGTAGCCAGATCTGGAGGCAGGCGTCAGAGTGGGAACTTCCGTGTTTCCCTGCAGATAGTTCTGTAGTCCTTTGATTTTGGAGCTGGGCTGGAGACCAAGCGCTGTGGCTCTGTCCATTTTCATAACTGTGTATTTCTCCAGTTTTCCCCTTGAGATTTTATTATGAAGATTTTCAAGCATACACCACCTAGGTCATCATTACCATTTTGTTATACAGTCATGCCTTGCCGTCAACAATGGAGGTCCCACTAGATGATCTTAGAGCTGGGAAATTCCTATCAGCTCCAGTGTATCTGTGTTTTAAGCTAAGTGTTTTTACAAAGGGGTCAAATAGTTGAAAAAAATTTAGAAGTTTATTAAGTAAAGAAGTTACAGTAAGCTAAGGTCATTTTCTTCTTGAAAGGAAAATTTTTTTAAAATTCAGGGTAACCGTGAGTCCCAGGCCTTCACATTCACTCTCTATCACTCACCAGAACGCCTTCCAGCCCTGCAAGCTCCATTCACGGTAAGTGCTCTACACAAATGTATCATTTTTATTTTTTATACTGTATTTTTATTATAGTTTTTCTATGTTTAGATACACAAATACCATTGGGTTACAGTTGCCTACAGTATTCCATACAGTAACATGTTGTAAAGGTTTGTAGCCCAGGAGCAATAGGCTATACTATCTAGGTTTGGGTAAGGACACTATGATGTTCATACAATGGTAACATTGCAGGCTGGGCATGGTGGCTTACACCTGTGATCCCAGTGTTTTGGGAGGCCAATGCAGGAGGACTGAGTTCAAGTCTGCAGTGAGCTATGATCACACCACTGCACTCCAGCCTGGGGACAGAGTGAGATCCTCTCTCTAAAAATAATAAAATAAAAATCCTTCTATCCACGTTTGGGAATATTAAATTTTTTTAAATCACCTAATGACACATTTCTCAGAAAGTATCCCCATCATTAAGTGACATGTGACTGTATTTGCTTTATTACATATCCTTCCATTCCTCAATTTATCTTTTCTTTCTTTCTTTCTTTCTTTTTTTTTTTTTTTTGTTTACAGACAGTCTCACTCTGTTGCCCAGGCTGGAGTGCAGTGGCATGATCATAGCTCACTGCAGCCTCGAACTCCTGGCCTTGAGCAGTCCTCCCACATCAGCCTCCCAAAGTGCTGGGATGACAGGCGTGAGCCACAGTGCCCAGCCTACATAACGTTTTTGAGATTCATCAATGTTTTGTAGGTATCAGTACTTCCTTCCTCTCTATTTCTGAGTATGGCTCTACTGCTGCTTATTTATTCAACTGATGAACACCTAGGCTATTTCCAGTTTGGGGCCATTATGAATAAAGCTGCTGTGAACAGTCTTGTACAAGTCTTTGAGAACAAAATCTTCAATTTGGGGGAGTAAATGCCAAGGAGTGGAACTGTTGGGTCATGGGATAGGTGGTCTATTTAGAAACTGCCAGATCTTTTTCCAAAGTGATCATGTAATTTATACTGTCACCAACAATGTATGAGAGTTCTATTATCTCCCTTCCTTAGCAACATTTGGTGGTGTCAGACTTTAATTGAGCCATTTTGATGGGCGTATAGTATATCTCTTTGCAGTTTTCGTTGTCATTTATCTGATGACTCCTAATGATGTACTTACTGGCCACAGGTATATCTTCCTTTGTGAGTTAGCTGTTCAATTATCTTGCCCATATTTCATCAGATTGTTGGTCGCTTCATTAAGTTGTAGAAGTTGGCCAGGCATGGTAGGTCACGCCTGTAATCCCAGCACTTTGGGAGGCTGAGGTGGGAGGATCACTTGAGGTCAGGAGTTCGAGACTAGCCTGGGCAACACGATGAAACCCCGTTTCTACTAAAAATACAAAAATTAGCTGGGCATGGTGGCAGGCACCTGAGCCTGTAATCCCAGCTACTTGGGAGGCTGAGGCAGGAAAATCACTTGAACCTGGGAGGCGGAGGTTGCAGTGAGCTGAGATCACGCCACTGCACTCCAGCCAGAGCAAGACTCTCTCAAAATCAAACCAAAAAAAAAGTTGTAGCAGTAAGTTGATTACATATTTTGGACATCAGTCCTTTGTCAGATAGTTGTTTTGCAAATATTTAGTCCCAATGTATGGCTTGCTTATTTTCTTTTTTTTTTTTTTTGAGACGGAGTCTTACACTGTCACCCCAAGGTGGAGTGCAGTGACGCGATCTCGGCTCACTGCAAGCTCTCCCTCCTGGGTTCACGCCATTCTTCTGCCTCAGTCTCATGAGTAGCTGGGACTACAGGCGTCTGCCATAACGCCTGGCTAATTTTTTGTATCTTTAGTGGAGACAGGGTTTCACTGTGTTAGCCAGGATGGTCTCGATCTCCTGACCTCGTGATCCACCCACCTCGGCCTCTCAAAGTGCTGGGATTACAGGCTGGAGCCACTGTGCCCAGCTGGCTTGCTTATTTTCTTAACAGTATCTTTTACTGGGCAGAAGTTTTTAATTAGGATGAAGTCTGTTTTATAGACTTTTTCTATGTCCTGCCTAAGAAACCCCCAAGTTATATTCATCCATGTTTCCTTCGAGCTTTCTAGTTTTAGCATTTATGTTTAAATCTATGATCTATCTTGAATTAACTTTTTATGGATGGTACGACACTAGATTTGAGATTCCCTCATTCCATATGGTTGTCTAGTTATTCCAGAACCATCTGTGGAGAAGACCTTTTTGTTTAATTGTTGTGCTGCTTTGGTCAAAATTCTGTTTACTTAATTATAAGCATGGATCTTGAGGGGGTGTGTGTGTTTCATTTTATTTATTTTCATTGACAAATAATAATTGTACATGCTCATGGAGTACATAGTAATGTTTCTTTTTTTTTTTTTTTTTTTTTTTTGGACAGAGTTTCGCTCTGTCACCCAGGCTGGCGTGCAGCGCCCCAATCTTAGCTCACTGCAACCTCTAGCTCCCGGGTTCAAGCAATTCTCCTGCCTCAGCCTCCTGAATAGCTGGGATTACGGGCATGCATGACCATGCCCAGCTAGTTTTTTGAATTTTTAGTAGAGACGGGGTTTTGCCATGTTGGCCAGGCTGGTCTCGATCTCCTGGGCTCAAGTGATCCTCCCACCTCAGCCTCCCAAAATGCTGGGATTGCAGGAGTGACCCACTGCCCTTAGCCAATAGTAATAGTAATTTTTTGTTTGTTTGTTTTTTGAGACAGGGTCTCGCTTTGTTGCCCAGGCTGGAGTGCAGTGGCGTGATCTAAGTTCACTGCAGCCTTGACCTCCAAGGCTAAAGCAACCTTCCAACCTCAGCTTCCAGAGTAGCTGGGACCACAGGCATATGCCACCACACCTGGCTAGTTTCTTGTGTTTTGTTGTTGTAGAGGTGGGGTTTCACCATGTTGCTCAGGCTGGTCTCGAACTCCTGGGCTCAAGTGATCTGCCCGCCTCAGCCTCCCTCCAGAAGTGCGGGATTATAGGCGTGAGCCACCACGCCTGGCCTGGATCATATGATGTGCTATTTGTAGTGTTTTGAGGAGCCTCCATGCTGTTCTCCATAGCGGCTATACTAGTTTACATTCGTGAATGTGAGTTTTTTATTTATTTATTTATTTTGAGACAGAGTCATATTGTAATTACATATATAACGTAATGAGGTGATGGATATGCTAATTACCCTTATGTAATCATTATACATTATATGTGTGGAAACATTACATCCGTGGTTCACCCAGGCTGGAGTGTAGTGGCACAATCTCAGCTCACTGCAGCCTCTGCCTCCGGGCTCAAGTGATCCTCCCACTTCATCCTCCCAAGTAGCTGGAGTTATAGTCACATGCCACTACACCCAGCTAATTTTTGTTTTGTTTTGTTTTGTTTTGTTTTTTGAGATGCAGTCTCGCTCTGTTCCCTAGGCTGGAGTGCAGTGGCATGATCTCAGCTCACTGCAACCTCCACTTCCCGAGTTCAAGCAATTCTCCTGCCTCAACCTCCCAAGGAGCTGGGATTACAGGTGTCCGCCACCATGCCCAGCTAATTTTTGTACTTTTTAGTAAAGACGGGGTTTTGCTGTGTTGGCCAGGCTGGTCTCGAACTCCTGACCTCAAGTGATCCACCCACCTTGGCCTCCCAAAGTGCTCGGATTACAGGCGTGAGCCACCGCGCCCAGCCCCTGAGTGTGTGTGTGTGGTTTTGTTTTGTTGTTTTTTGTTTGTTTGTTTGTTTGTTTTTGAGATGGAGTCTCGCTCTGTCACCCAGGCTGGAGTGCAGTGGCACAATCTCAGCTCACTGCAACCTCCACCTCCCAGGTTCAAGTGATGCCTGCCTTAGACTCCTGAGTAGCTGGGATTACAGGCATGCGCCACCACGCCCGGCTAATTTTTGTATTTTCAGTAGAGACAGGGTTTCACCATATTGGCCAGGCTGGTCTCGAACTCCTGACCTCATGATCCACCAGCCTTGGCCTCCCAAAGTGCTGGGATTACAGGCGTGAGCCACCACGCCTGGCCGAGTGTGTGTGTTTTTAAAGCGTGCATCATTATTACTGAACAGCAGCACCAAGAGAGTCTCACAGTTCCTGTGTGTTCCCACTTGGACTATTTTGCAACACTCCTCTTGACGTTGAAAAGAAAATGCTATGACACTTGGTTACTGCTGAGGCGAGGCCAAGCCACCCTCTCCAGACCTGGGAAACCAGTGAGTATTAAAAATAGTTCAATCTTTTTCGCTACTTTTTTAAAAATCTCATGAGTTCAGCTGAAATCTTTTTCCCCAAAATGATTCATGGAGTAAATCAATGCATCTGATTTTTGCTGAGGAGGGGAAATAGGACACCTGAAGGCCAGTTCATGTTTCCCCTGGTTGTGAGCCATCCTCTCCTCCAAGTTGCCTGATCCCTGCAAACAGCAGTTCTGTTTGTCTTCAGCTGCCTGCTTTTTCTAGTCGTGCTGTGAACTTGAACTTGAGAAAGCTTGATGCTGACTGGGCCTGGTGAAAACGCTACACGTTCAAGTTGAGGGTCTTTTTAAATGGAAATCTTTTAGACTGGCTCATGTCTGTAATCTCAGCACTTTGGGAGGCCGAGGCGGGCAGATCTCTTAAGGTCAGGAGTTCGAGACCATCCTGGCCAACATAGCAAATCCCCGTCTGTACTAAAAACACAAAAATTAGCCAGGCGTGGTGGCGCATGCCTGTAATCCCAGCTACTTGGGAGGCTGAGGCAGGAGAATCACTTGAACCCAGGAGGCGGAGGTTGCAGTGAGCCAAGATCGCACCACTGCATTCCAGCCTGGGTGACCAAAAAAAAAAAGAAAAAAAAAAGTTTTCCAAAAATAAAGGTTTAGACAGATGATTCTTGTCAAAAAAGGACAACAAAGAAGCACCTTTTTTTTTCTGTTTTAGGGGGTGAGGTGGGGAACTTAAGTATGTTTCATAAGGAAAGAGTGAACCCTCACGGTGATATTTTTTAAGCTTGAAAACATAGGAAAATGCTAAATCAGAAACTTGAAGCCAGGGAGCCTTGCCTGTGTGTGCAAGCGTGGACTTGAGCAAAGCGAAGCCTTAGGCACCTGTGCCAGGCCCGTGCAACTTTTCCGTGGACACGTCTTCCCATATTTCCAATAACAACCAGAGAACCAGTTACCCGCCTTTTGCTGCCGTCCTCTTCCTGCAGGAGGAAGGGTGGGGGGACAGGATTCTTCCACCCAAGTGCCCTTGCAGGTGTCTAAGCCTGGGCGGTGGATTCTTGGTTCCTGGCAGGCCTTGGTGGGCAGGCAACAGCCAGAATGCCAAAAAACACCCAGTTAGATTGAATGTGGTTCCCTAGTTGCGGCTGTCGGTAGGGAGGAAACTTAAGTCTCCTTACACATCTCCTCTCTGCGCGCTGCGGTCTAGTTTGCGCAGCCTCTTCTTATTCCTAATAACCCAAAATCTGAGAATTTAGAGTCCTTCTTGTTACTTAGGAAGGACTAATCTTCCCCGGCAGGTTGTCCTGCATTTGTTGAATGGGGTAAAAATTGCATAGCATCTCGAGTGCTGTGCCTACAAATTACCTTGATAAACGATTGTGACTCAGCAAAGCTTAGGCTTTTGCCCTAGTTTTGGAGGCTGGGGCTAACTAGGAAAAAATGGAGGGTCTGTTGGGTGTTTCTGCTGTTTTTACAAGGCTTCAGAATTCCCCACTGTCTGCGTGTGTGTGAATCAGCAAGTGCTTCGCATCCTGATTGGGTGGTGTGATGGGAGCACCCACCTCGCAGAGCCTCAGAGCCCTCATTGTCTCCCTTTTCCATTTGCTCATTCCTACTTTGGCTAGTGGCACCCTGAAAGAGTTTTCATCAGTAACAGTGTTGAGGAAACCACGCATTAGAGGCAGCGGGGCCACACTAATCAGCATCTGGGCTGGGTGATTGCTCAGATCTGAGCTCGGAGCTTGCTGTGCTGCTCACCAGCTGTGTGAGCCCGAGGATGCTGTCCCGGCTCCCAGCCTCGGTTTCCTCAGCTGTGGGACTAGACGGGACTAAACCAGGGGGAGAACGGAAAGCACCCACGGGTAGTAAGTGCTCACCGAGGCATTTTCCCAGATTCCTGCCATTGTTTACTGACACTGGGAAGCACCCACAGCCTCCTCCTGGAAAACACACACCCCCTGCTCTCAAGAACTTTCCATTTTAAAACAGACTTGCCCTCTGGTGTGTCATCCTTGCTTTCTGAAAGTGAGTTTTCTTCTCTACGCCACTGTATGTTTTTTTCTGATAGCAGTAGGGAACTGTGTATTGGAGCTCACTCTATGGGAAGCGTTTTGTACTCTTGACGTTTAGGCATGATTATCCCCATTTGAAGGTAAACGGAGGCTCAGGCGGGTTCAGTAACCTGCACTGGAGGTCAGGGTCAGTGGCAGAGCTGGAATTCAAGCCCCAGGATGTCTGACTGCAACGCCCATGTGCCTAACCACGATTTGATACCGTCATCCAGATGAAGGACATCACAGGGTAGGGAGATAAAGATAGAAGGAGGTGGAGGTGCCCAGCAACTGAGGGTGGCTGGGATCCCTTCATAAACCTGGCTCATCTATGTAGAGCATGGATCCTTCTGGAGTCAGTGCACCTGGATGGGGCCAGAATCCCCCCTCTTCCCACTCTCTCTGTCTGTAGCTCTAGAAATAGAGTTATACACATACCTGCAACTTCCCCTTTCTGCATGCCACAGGCAGACATCACACTTTGTCCATCTCTTAGATTATTCTTAAGAGATAGCTTCCAGGAAGGGGGATTACAGCACCAGGAAGCAGAAACATTTCAAAGGCTCTTGATACATGTGGCCAAACTGTTTTCCAATTTACTCATCAGCCAGAGGACTACAGATCCTGCAGTGCAGCATTTAAAACACCCACCTCCCAAACCAGCCAATCATTTCTTTTTTCTTTTTTTTTTTTTGAGATGGATTCTCGCTCTTGTCACCCAGGCTGGAGTGCAATGGCGTAATCTTGGCTCACTGCAACCTCCGCCTCCCAGGCTCAAGCGATTCTCCTGCCTCAGCCTCCCTAGTAGCTGGGATTACAGTTGCATGCCACCACACCCAGTTAATTTTTGTATCTTTAGTAGAGACAGGATGTTGGCCAGGCTAATCTCAAACTTGTGACCTCAGGTGATCCACCCACCTCAGCCTCCTGAAGTACTGGGATTACAGGCGTGAGCCACTGTGCCCGGCCTTTTTTTTTTTTTTTTTTTTTTTTTTTTTTTTTTTTTAAGAGATGAGATCTCGCTCTGTTACCCAGGCTGCAGTGCAGTGGCACAATCATAGCTCACTGCAGCCTCGAACTCCCAGGCTCCAGCAATCCTCCCTTCTCAACCTCCCAAATATCTGGGACCACAGGTGCATGCCACCACGCCCAGCTAATTTTTTATTTTTTATTTTTATTTTTATTTTTTATTTTTGTTTTTTTTGAGACAGAGTCTCCCTCTGTCCCCCAGGCTGGAGTGCAGTGGCACGATCTTGGCTCATTGCAAGTTCCGCCTCCCAGATTCAAGCCATTCTCCTGCCTGAGCCTCCCGAGTGGCTAGGATTACAGGTGCCCACCACCCCGCCTGCTAATTTTTTGTTATTTTTAGTAGAGACGGGGTTTCACCATCTTGGCCAGGCTAGTCTTGAACTCCTGACCTTGTGATCCACCCGCCTCGGCCTCCCAAAGTGCTGGGATTACAGGTATGAGCCACCGCACCCAGCCTAATTTTTAAAATTTTCATAGAGACAGGGTCACGCCATATTGCCCAGGCTGGTCTTAAACTCCTGGCCCTGAGTGATCCTCCCACCTTGGCCTCCCAAAGTGTTGAGATTACAGGTGTGAGCCACTGTGCATGGTGAAATATGTTTTTATATATTGGGACAACTGAGAATATTAGAATGTGGACAGGCTATTAGATGATACTGAAATGTGTTAATTGTGCTTAGGAGTGACATGTCTAATGTCTAACTTATCTTTAACCTCACAGAGTGAGATGAAACAAATACAGAAAATAATAATTACCAAATCTAGGTAGTGGGTAGATAGGTGGGTTTATGGTACACCTGGGATGACAGGTGTGAGTCACCGCGCCCGGCCTTAAACATTTCAATTACAAGGGGGATATGGGGGCCCACAGCGACAAGGGGTTTCACCTCCAGGAAGAAACAGACATGGAACCTGCTGGCTGGGCTTTGAAACTCCTTGTTCTCAGCATGTGGCCCCAGTGGAGCAGCATCAGCCTCACCTGAGACCTTGCTAGAAATGCGCATTCTTGAGCCCCACTTCAGTCCTACTGAGTCAGGAACTCCAGGGCCAGGGCCCGGCTGTCTGCAAACAAGCCCTCCAGGTGATTCTAGTGCCTGTGCAAGTTTGGGAGCTGCTGGTCTGCAGAAAGCTAGGTCAACTGAAAGAGGAAATGTACCACACTTATTTATAACCAAATGTGTGCCAGCTGGGAGCAAGTCCAAGGGAAACGTCACTTCCATCTCTCGTTCACATGATGAGTTGGCGCCTCTTAACTCAATAGTGTCTTTAGTTTGGATGATTTGACCACATGGAAAATGTCCCTCTGTCCCTCATGCTAAGGAGCCTAGCCCTCACAAACCGTTGTTCTTCATACCGAGGCCTATGATGGCCTAGGCACGTTATTATTAATATCCCTGTTGTTCCCTCGGGAGGGGATATGAAGGCTTAGAGCAGTTTATTTTTTTTAATTTTTTTTCCAAGACGGAGTCTTGCTCTGTTGCCCAGGCTGGAGTGCAGTGGTGCGATCTTGGCTCACTGCCATCTCTGCCTCCTGGGTTCAAACAATTCTGCTGCTTCAGCCTCCCAAGTAGCTGGGATTACAGGTGCCCACCACCACCCCTGGCTAAATTTTGTATTTTTAGTAGAGACAGGGTTTCACAATGTTAGCCAGGCTGGTCTCAAACTCCTGACCTTGTGATCTGCCCACCTCAGCCTCCAAAAGTGCTGGGATTACAGGCGTGAGCCGCCACACCCAGCCCTCAGAGAAGTTTAGAAACAACCCAATGTCCCACAGCTATTAAGTGGCAGAACTGAAACTCAAACCCAGTCCATCTGCCAGAGACGGAGCTTTAACGGCCACACAAGCTGAGAGAGAGAAAGAGAGTTGAGACACTTATATAAGGTGGGAGCCCTGCAAATGATTGGGTGTGGTGGTGTTCTGGAATCTTCTGAAGCTCTGTATTGAGTGCTGTGAGGCATGGCTTTCCCCTGCCCCTTCTAAACTTAGACCCTGACACATCAAAGCCAGTCTTGGGCACATGTGGCTCTTGCCTGGTTGACAGTCCCCATCAAGCTGGTGAGGTGGTCTTGTCTTTTTTCCCCAACCTGTTGTAATTTGACTCTTAGGAATTGTGCCGTGAGCACTGAGACTTGTAGACATCCCATTGTAGGGGTCTTGGTTGTGTATCACTGTGCCCATGGCTCTTAGGGTGACACACACCCAACTCCCAAATCCTGTCCCGAATGACAGGTGGGATCCAGAGGCACTTGAAAGCCCAGGGAGTCTGAGGGACAGGGATGCTGACAGTGGGCACTGGTGGTTTGTCTGTTTTACTGTTTCAGGGGAATGAGCCCACCATGTGGAATTCAGATGGGCCTTCTGGCTACCCCAGGGGCCTCCGGCTCAGCTTCCTGGGCATGTCAGAGAGCCGTGCCAGGGGCCAGAGCTGAGGAATGAGGCTCGGCTTACTGCCCACCCAGGAGGAGTCCCTCTGGAGAGCCTCAGAAAGTACCTGCAATGGCAATACAACAGAAGAGCCTCTAAATATTTCCTTTTGGGGATACGGCAGGAAAGCCAAAGGAAATGCGAAGAGGTGTCTGAACGCCCAGAGGAAATCAGTGGGCCCTTCCAGAAGTTCTATTTGTGGTAAGAAACCTTGGCACGGGGCCCCCAGCTCTCCTGCAAAAATAGACCAATGTGCTGAGAAGCAGCTCAATTCTGGGAGCAATTCCCCTCCATGGGGAAGAGAGCTTGCACTGGGACTTAGAAGGATCTGCCCCCTCTCTTCTGCTTGCCCCTGGACTCCAGAACCAAAAACAGGGAGAAAAAAAGGTAAACATTTTTTAAAAAAGAAACTCTTGGCCAGGTGGAGTGGCTCACACCTGTAGTCCCAACACTTTGGGAGGCTGAGGCAGGAGGATCACTTGAGGCCAGGAGTTTGGGAGCAGCCTGGACAACATGGCGAGAACCTGTCTGTATCAAAAAAATACAAAAATTATCTGGGTGTGGTGGCACATGCCTGTAGTCTCAGCTACTTGGGAGGCTGAGGCAGGAGGATTGCTTGAGCCTGGGAGGTCGAGGCTGCAGTGAGCTATGATTGTGCCAGTGTACTCCAGCCTGAGTGACAGAGTGAGAACCCCATCTCTTAAGAAAACAAAAAACCAGAACTTATGAATGTATCCATGACTTAACTCAAAAATGGGCCAGTGGAAACACAGGGCAAAGGAAGGTTTCAAATAAGCACCTGGACACAAACAGACCCAGGAGGTGACACACGGCATTGAGGACCCACTCCCCATCACTAGGTCCTTTGGCCCCAAATGAGTGAGATGACTAAGAAAATAGGGTACCATGTGCAGCAGAAGGGAGGGTGGCTAGACAGAAAATGATGGCCTTGACTGTGATGGTCATCACAGACAGGACCCCTAAGAAAGGTGGCCAAGGGGGTCTGGGGACCCATCTTTAGAATACCAGGCTGACAGCATAACAGGGGTTTGGGACACCACCATGAAAGAAGACAATGAAGCCAGGTGCAGTGGCTCACGCCTATAATCCCAGCACTTTGGGAAGCCAAGACGGAAAGATTGCTTGAGCCCAGGAGTTTGAGACCAGCCTGAGTGACATAGCAAGACCCCCATCTCTACTAAAAATTTAAAAATTAGCCAAGCATGGCTGGGCACGGTGGCTCACACCTGTAATCCCGACACTTTGGGAAGCCGAGGCGTGTGGATTACGAGGTCAGGAATTTGAGACCAGCCTGACCAACACGGTGAAACCCCGTCTCTACTAAAAATACAAAAATTAGCCAGGTGTGGTGGCAGGCACCTGTAACCCCAGCTACTCAGTAGGCTGAGGCAGGAAAATCACTTGAACCCAGGAGGTTCAGTAAGCCAAGATCATGCCATTGCACTCCAGCCTGGGTGACAGAGTGAGACTCCGTCTCAAAAAAAAAAAAAAAAAAAAAGCCAAGCACAGTGGCATGTGCCTGTAGTACCAGCTACTTGGGAGGCTGAGTGAGGAGGGAGGATTGCTTGAGGGCAGGAGTTGGAGACCAGCCTGGGCAACATAGCGAGACCTTGGCTTGGAAGTAAGGAAGGAAAGAAGGGAGGGAAGGAAGGATGAAGGTAGAAAGAAATGGGACAAGATGGACTCCTGAGGCCATCCTAATTCTGGAACACAATACAATGGCCTCTGTATGTTAGGAGGGCTCATTTGGCTTCTCTCTAAGCCAGCGGTCCACATCTTTTTGGCACCAAGGACCAGTTTTGTAGAAGACAATTTTCCATGGATGGGATGGTGGGGGTGGGTGTGGGAGGGGATGGTTTCAGGATGAAACTGTTCCACCTCAGATCATCAGGTGTTAGATTCTCATAAGAGGTGCCCAACCTACATCCGTCGCACCTGCAGTCCACAATAGGGTTTGTGCTCCTATGGGAATGTAATGCCACACTGATCTGACAGGAGGCGGGGCTCAGGTAGTAATGCTCACTCACCTGCCGCTCACCTCCTGCTGTGGGGCCGGTTCCCAACAGGCCATGGAATGCTTACTGGTCCACAGCCCTGGACTTGGGCACCCCTCTTCTAAGGCACAAACTTCTACTGTCTTAGGAGCAGCACCCTGGCCTCCACAGCAGGGAGAGAGCAGGAATACCCAGCCACAGATATTGATGAAGATATTGATCAACTTCCTACCGTCATGGTGGAGCCATGCCTGGAGGCCTCTGGATGGTCATCAGGTAACCCCAGCACATTTTCCTGTCCCAGACTCCTGGCCACGCTGAGGTTGCTGTGAACAGACACGATGTGCAGGGTCATGGATGTGAAGCTAGAACTCCTTGACAAGCAGGAGCTTTATTTTATGGCCCAAGCAGTTTGGAAACAAAATCATAAAGTGCTTACCCATCCAGTGTCTCCCCAGCCTGCACTGGGAGGTATCAAACTGACCAGATCCGACAGCCCCTTCCGCCCGCAGAAGATGGGTCTGCGTTTCTCTGTCTTTCCCTCTTGGTGGCCAAGAACTGTCAACATCCAGCTGTGGCTCTGCACTCAGCCGCCACTCAGCCTGCTCAGGTTGAAAGGTCAAATGTTGTCTGGAATTGGCAGCCCAGCTTACTAGCAGCTCTTCTGTCTTCAGAGTGCAGCGAGGGGAGCTGTCAGAGGGCTGAGGCAAGGACCAGAGAGGCAACTCCTGCGACAGAGAAAGCTCATCCCTGGGTATGTTCTGGAGGGAGAATAGCAGGGTCTGTCCCAGGAACTTTATTAGCTAGCGGTTAAGATCCTCATCCCCAGAAAAGCCAATAGGAATTAGCTGGGTGATGTGTGCCTATGGTCCCAGCCACTCAGGAGGGTGAGGAGGGAGAATTGCTTGAGCCCAGGAGGTTGAGGCTGCAGCTAGCTATGATTGTGTCACTGCGCTCCAGCCTGGGTGACAAAGCAAGATCCTGACTCAAAACAAAAAAAAAAGGAAGAAAGAAGAAAGAGAGAACGAAGAAAGAAAGGAAAGAAAGAGAAACAGAGAAGGAAGGAAGGAAGGAGAAAGGAAAGAAGGAAGGAAGAAAAGGAAGAAAGAATGACAAAAGGAAGGAAGGAAAGAAAGATGAAAAGAAAAGGAAAGGAAAAGAAAAGAAAAAAGAAAGGAAAAAAGAAAAGCAGATAGGAAAGTGAGGGGAGAGGGCCAGGAAGACAGAAGACAGGATGGGCAAGAAGGATGGGAAGGATTCCCACACCAGATTCAGGAGTGGCTCTGCATTGGGAAATCCTTCTACAACTGCTGGGGACTTGGTTTTGCAAACATGCACAGAGAAACCTTCATCCACCTCTGTGCAATGTTGGACTGAAGTAGAAATGAGCTGCTGTTTTCTGGAAGCACCCCATTTCTTTGAGCTGATCTTCTCTAATAATGAATTCTGGTGAAGCCTGCCATTCACAGCACCCCGCCCTCCCGTCTGTAGGAGGTGGGCACAGGACCCAGGCCAGCTGATCAGAGAGCTCCCTTGCCCTGGGATGAGCACGTGACCCAGATGGCTCAATCACGGGGAAGATCCTCTTGCCTGTTGTAGCCACTATGCTGGAAGAACAGGATTTGGGCTTGTTGGCCGCCATCTTCCAGTCCACACTGGGAACCCATTTGCAGGAGGAGGGAAGGAGGACAACCCAGTTTGAGGGAGCATATGGACAGCAGCTGTGGAAGGCTCCATATGTGCCCAATACTAGATCTACCCCATCCCTTCCTGTTCCATAAATCCATACATCTTCTCCCACTTTTGCTTACCCTAGTTTGAGTTACATTTCTGACACCTGCCACCATAAAAGCCCAAATGATTACAAGGAATATTTGGCTGCAGAAAAGACCCTGCAGTCTGTGAAAAAAGAGGCTGCTGGTGCATAGTCATCACAGACCAGTGCAAAGAGTGAAACAGAAACATCCAGCTTAATCTGCAAAAGCCTTTTTGGATCTTTGAGAGGCGTTCATTAACTTACAGCAAATTGATGAGCTGATATTCTTCTTTCATCCAGGTGAGTGCATTAACTAGGTTAATTTTCCTGTCTCAAGGGACTGCTGTAGGTTAGGGTGAATGAATGAAAGAAGCAAGTTTTTAAACAGGAAAAAAGCTTCAGAGAAGTTGAGGTGACAAGCATCGCTTCACCCCCAATGGAAGGTGAGCTTGTCTGTTAGGTGCCAGGGACTGAACTGGAGTTCCGTGGTTAGGGGATGACCCATCTCAACAAGAAACTTCCATCATCCTCCCGTGGGGATCTGATTAAGATCTTCTCCAGAAGGAGATGGCCTCATGAGTTGGGGCTTTTCAATCTCCCTGTCCCTCCTCTAGAAGGGCATTGCTACTGGCCTTGCCCTGCCAAGTCTTCAGTCTACAACAGCACTGACCCGCTTCCGACACAGCCCAGATCCTTCCCAGACACGCTGTTATTCCGACTTTTTGCCCTTTCAGTCCAGCCTTCCCTATCACTTATGCTGAAATTGGGAACATTTCCCAAACCAACAGTTTCCCAGTCCACAATGTTCCCTTGCTGAGTGTCCCCACAGGACAGGCAGGCAGCCTGATAAATAAAACCAGTCATAAAACCTCCCTGCCTTAGCAAAGGGACTGCTTTGCCAGGCTGCTGTCACATAGCACTCCTGTCTCCCGTTTGACTTCACATAGTGAAAATTGTCTAAAAGATAAGGCAGGAGCTCTGGTTGACACCACCACCCCCATAGATCTCTCTCTAGAAGCATTGGAAGAGGCCGTCTCAAAAAAGAAAAAAAAATAGAAGCATTGCAGGAAAGACGTGGTTTGTAGTGAAACAAATTGGAAGTCAAGCTCAGCCTCAACCACTTACTTGCTTCTGACCTTGGGTAAGTCCTATGTACCTAGGAACCTCGGTTTTCTTTTCTTTCTTTTCCTTTTTTTTTTTTTTTTTTTTGAGATGGAGTCTTGCTCTGTCACCCAGTCTGGAGTGCAATGGTGCAATCTCAGCTCATTGCAACCTCTGCCTCCTGGATTCAAGCGATTCTCGTGCCTCAGCCTCTAGAGTAGCTGGGACTACAGGCGTGTACCACCATGCCCAGCTAATTTTTGTATTTTTAGTAGAAACAGGGTTTTGCCATGTTGGTCAGGCTGGTCTCGAACTCCTGATCTCAAATGATCCACCCGCCTCAGCCTCTCAAAGTGCTAGGATTACAGGCACAAGCCACCGCGCCTGGCTGGAACTTCGACTTTCTTCTGTACAATGGAGGGGGGACAGTAATACTGCAATATTTACAATTAGGTTCAACTGAGAGTAACAGAGGTCTGAATACAGTAGCTGAAATGGGGTGGGCAGATCACTTGAGGCCACAAGTTCAAGACCAGCCTGGGTAACATAGTGGCATACTATCTACAAAAAAATAAAAATTATCCGGGCGTGGTGGCACAGGCCTGTAATTCCAGCTACTTGGGAGGCTGTGGTGGAAGGAACACTTGAGCCCAGAAGGTTGAGGCTGCAGTGAGCTGTGATTGCACCACTACACTCCAGCCTCGGTGACAGAGTGAGACCCCGTCTCTAAAAAAATAATAATAAAAAAAAAATTTGGCCATGCCTATCTGCAAGAACATCTGGGAAAGGTAGCTGCGGTAGGTAGCCTCAAAAATGCCTCCAATATCACTGGGTGCAGTGGCTCACACTTTGGGAGGCCAAGGCAGGAGGATTACTTGAGCCTAGGAGTTCCAGACAAGCCTGGGCAACATAGTGAGACCCTGTCACTACAAAAAATTTCAAAATTAGCTGAGCATGGTGGTGCATACCTGTAGTCCCAGATACTTGGGAGGCTGAGGTGGGAGGATCACTTGAGTCCAGGAGTTCAAGGCTACAGTAAGCTATGATCACGCCACTGCATGCTAGCCTGGGTGACAGAGTGAGATTCTGTCTCAAGGGAAAAAAAAGCCCCTTCTCCACTCCCCAAAAGTCCCCATTAATCCCTTTATTCCAGCATTTTCCCCCTTGTGAGGAAGAGGGGAAATTTGTATTTGTATTTGTATTCCCACTTGCTTTGAGTGTGGCTGGACCCAGTAACTTTCTTCTAACCAATAGACTATGGCTAGAAGAATAGAATTTAGTCACATAACCATGTCTAGCTGCAATAACATCTGCATTAGTCTATTTTCATGCGGCTGATAAAGACATACCCGAGACTGGGAATAAAAAGGGATTTTATTGGACTTACAGTTCCATATGGCTGGAGAGGCCTCAGAATCACGGCAGGAGGCAAAAGGCGCTTCTTTCATGGTGGCCCCAAGAGAAAAATGAGGAAGAAGCAAAAGCGGAAACCCCTGATAAACCCATCAGATCTCATGAGACTTATTCACTATCACAAGAATAACACGGGAAAGACCGGCCCCCATGATTCAGTTACCTCCCCCCAGGTCCCTCCCACAACATGGGGGAATTCTGAGAGATATCATTCAAGTTGAGATTTGGGTGGGGACACAGCCAAACCATATCAACATCTGTGGTAAAAGTGATGGGATGTTCCTTCTGAGATTAGGTTTCAAAGAGATGACAGTTCTGTCTTGGGCATCCTGTCTTGCTCTGAGGAAAACCAGCCACCAGGTAGTGAGGTGCTCCCTGGAAAGGCCCACATGGCAAGAAACTGATGCCTCTGCCAGGCAAAGTGACTCACGCCTGTAATCCCAGCACTTTGGGAGGCTGAGGTGGGTGGATCACTTGAGGTTAGGAGTTTGAGACCAGCCTGGCCAACATGATGAAACCCCGTCTCTACTAAAAATACAAAAATTAGCCAGTGTCGTGGTGTGACAGAGAAGGAATCTGTCTCAAAAAAAAAAAAAAAGAAAAAAAAAGAGAAACTGATGCCTCTGGTCAACAGCTAGCAAGGACCTGAGGCCCTTAGTGCAACAGTCTTATCATGAGTGAGCTTGGGAAGAAGATCCTTCCCCAGATTAACCTTCAGATGATGGCAGCCCTTGCAGAAATCTCAGTGCGATCTCACAAGAGACCTGAGCCAGAGGACTCACTGAAAACATGAGATGCCAAACTTTTTTGTTTTGATTTCAGGAGCTAAGTGTTGTGCTTATTTGTTACACAGCAATAGCTAACTAATACAATAGTTTTCCAGCTAGACACATTTCTAGGATTCTGTTACTAAGAAGGAAGGGAAGGCTGGAGACAGGGAAGCAATGAATAGTCACTGTCACCAAAACTGAGGGGTTAATTTGATCAGGTCTGGCTGCCCCGCTTGCTTTGGTCACTTGCTTGTTTTATTAATTTTTCTTTTTTCTCCTTTTTTCTTTATCTTCTTTCTCTTGCTTTCTCTCTTTCTCCTTCCTTCCTCCCTTCCTTCTCCTTCCTTCTTTCCTTCCTTCCTTCCTTCCCCCTTCCCTCCCTCCCTTCCCTTCCTCCTTCCTTCCTTGCCTGCTGTGTCAATTTTTTTTATTATAATAGAGACAAGGTCTCACTATGTTACCCAGGCTGGTCTTAAACTGGGCTTAAGCGATCCTCCCACCTTGGCCTCCCAAAAAACTGGGATTACAGGCATGAGCCACCATGCCTGTCCTTTTTCTTCTTTTCCTATGAAGCTGAAGACAGTCATAGCTGAAGGCTGTGGTAGCTGAATACCGTGGCGTTAAATGCTGAAATGTACCCTTCACTAGCTTCTTTAGAGATCACATTCACAGGTCACTATGGTAATGTTTGCTTCCGTTGTTTTTCAGGAACTTAGGCCAGCTCCCATCCAGTTCAATCAGGTTGGGACCACCAATTCTTCAATGGGCCTGCCCAAATGCCCAAGAAGTGGACTTTTGATGTCAGAGGGCCAAAGATCCCACCCTCAGATCATGCTAATGCCACCACTTTCTGTACACATGTCCTGTGAAATGCCACAAACCCTGACTACTACGCTTGTGCAGAACAAACCTATCAATTAATTTTTCCCTACTGCCAATCACCTTTCCCCATGCCTTACACCACCGTGTTTCCCTAACGCATAAATATCCCTAAGCCTTATCTTCAGGAAGCAGGATGTGAGAGCTGTTCTACCACCTTGTTTGGTGGCCTTGCAAATAAATCCTTTCTCTTTTGCAAAACCCATGTCATAGTCACAGTGACTGATTTACTGCACGCGGGCAGGACAGACCTGCACCCGGCCAATAACACCACTCATACCTACTCCAAAGGGCCGTTGTGAGGATGGAATGAGGTAAATCTGTAATGTACCCATATCCAGTTTGCCAGCACCCAGGAAGTGACTAACGAGACATGGTTTTTTAATTATTATTTTATTATTATTATTATTATTGTATTTTTAGTAGAGACGGGGTTTCCCCATGTTGGTCAGGCTGGTCTCGAACTCCCAACCCCAGGTGATTTGCCTGCCTCGGCCTCCCAAAGTGCTGGGATTACAGGTGTGAGCCACCACTCCTGGCCGGAGATGTGGTTTTTAGTGAAGGGCCACTATCTAGTGTCTGCTTCCCAAGCTTTTCGCCAAGCTCCTCTAGGAGACAAGGTGGGCTGTGTCTAACATTCAATTTTCCTGACTTCTCCCCTTTGACAGTTCAGATTCCCCATGCCCTCCAGCCAATTAGTACAATTACTACTTCTTTTTCTTCTTTTTTTCTTTTTCTTTTTTTTTTCTTTTGAGACGGAGTCTTGCTCTGTTGCCCAGGCAAGAATGCAGTGGCACGATCTCGGCTCACTACAACCGGGTTCAAGTGATTCTTCTGCCTCAGCCTCCCGAGTAGCTGGGGTTACAGGTGCCTGCCACCATGCCTGGCTAATTTTCGTGTTTGTAGGAGAGACGGGGTTTCACCATGTTGGCCAGGCTGATCTTGAACTCCTGACCTCACGTGATCCGCCCACCTCAGCCTCCCAAAGTGCTGGGATTACAGGCGTGAGCCACCGCACCGGGTGTTACAATCACTATTTCTTCAAAAATAAAGATCCCCAAGCCCAGCAGGAGGGTTCACAGAATGGTAAGATTTCAGAGGGAAAAGGGCTAGAGCCCTTCTAATTCAGTTCCCCCACTCACCATTGTGAACCCAGACACTTGCACAAAGTCACAAAGCAACAAGCAGGGGTGGGACTTGGCCCCTCTGGAGAGATAACGTAGCTCTGTGTTCCTCCCTCTCTCCAAACTGCTAATGCTCAGGCAGAGGCTGGTGTATGCAGCATTTTACAAAGTTTCCTATACAAGCACTTTGGGAGGCTGAGGCGGGTGGATCGCTTGAGGTTAGGAGTTCAAGACCAGCCTGGCCAACATGGCGAAACCCTGTCTACTGAAAATACAAAAAAATTAGCCGGGCATGGTGGCACACACCTGTAATCCCAGCTACTCCCAGCTGAGGTGGGAGAATGGCTTGAACCTGGGAGGCAGAGGCTGCAGTGAGCTGAGATTGGGCCACTGCACTCCAGCCTGGACTGCAGAGTGAGACCCCGTCTCAAAAAAAAAAAAAAAAAATGCCATAAAGTTTCCTATAGAAAAAAATAAATGTGCACTAGTTCAACCCAGTTTTTTCTCCCTGAGAGGAGTTGAGGTCAGGTTTATGGGACATGCGGTGCTTTTTGAGTGAATGAGCGTCATAAAGGGAAACCTTCTGGTTTCCCTTTAGGCTTTAGGGGGCCCCTGCTCTTGTGTCTTTGGCTTGGCAGGGAGCTGAAGTCCTTGCAGTCACAAGCCTGTCCCTCGTGGATATAACTGGGAGAAAAGTCTAGAAAGTGCTCCCTGGGGTCCCAGGATAATGTGTCCACCTACCGAAGGCAAGAATGCAATCTATATTATTGCCCTTCCCCAAGGGTGCAGGATTTATGTCACCCTGGAAGAATGCGAACTCCTGAATCAGTTCACATACAAAGAAACCCCAGTTTTTCAGAATAGATTGAGACCAAAGCCTTTC
The DNA here is from genome assembly GCF_000001405.40 of Homo sapiens. Taxonomy (NCBI): domain Eukaryota; kingdom Metazoa; phylum Chordata; class Mammalia; order Primates; family Hominidae; genus Homo; species Homo sapiens. The sequence continues at coordinate 4,358,365 of NW_021160017.1, forward strand.
AGTGAAAATGAATGTTTTGGGCAGAAAAAAAAATTAATGAAAGTCCTAAGATTTTTTTAAAGTATTAATCTAATAATGGGAGATATAATGTGCCAGTCTCCCTGCTGCTTATTTCCGCTAGTGAACTGGGCTATATGGGAACTTAATAAAATATTCACAGAAGGCGGCTGGGCACAGTGGCTCACTTCTGTCATCCCAACACTTTGAGAGGCCAAGGTGGGTGGATTGCCTGAGGTTGGGAGTTCGAGACCAGCCTGGCCAGCATGGTGAAACCCCCATCTCTACTAAAACTACAAAAATTAGCCGGGCATGGTGGCAGGCACCTGTAATCCCAGCTACTCAGGAAGCTGAGGCATGAGAATCACTTGAACCTGGGAGGCGGAGGTTGCAGTGAGCTGAGATCATGCCATTGCACTTCAGCCTGGGCAACAGAGAGAGACTCTGTCTCAAAAAAAAAAAAAAAGAAAAAAGAAAAGAAAAAGAAAACAAAACAAAACAAAAACATTCACAGAAGGCTCAACTGCAATATTTAAAATCTTTACCAGTGGCCGGGTACAGTGGCTCACACCTGTAATCCCAGCACTTTGGGAGGCCAAGGCGGGTGGATCACCTGAGGTCAGAAGTTCGAGACCAGCCTGGCCAACGTGGAGAAACCCCGTCTCTACCAAACATTAGCCGGGTGTGGTGCTGCATGCCTGTAATCTCAGCTACTCAGGAGGCTGAGAGGGGAGGATGACTTGAACCCGGGAGATGGAGGTTACAGTAAACTGAGATGGTGCCACTGCACTCCAGCCTGGGCAACAGAGCAAGACGCTGTCTCAAAAAAAAAAAATATTTACCAGTCATGTGTATTTCATAAACAGCAGCAATTTCATTAAAATCAGTGCATATGGGGAAAAGGGATGCGTAGGTACTGTCCTATCTTCTTGATTAATGCTGTTAACATATTTTTGCACATTTAAAAAATTGACATTGATAAATTTTTAGCATGAAGTTGCAGAAGTTGACCTGGGTCCTAACTGTAAAATGCAGAGGAACTCTACCCATGAGGAAGCTTTGTGAAGTTGATTCATTACTAATGTCCCTGTGAGTACCTAACTTAAAAAGTCCAGTGTAGCCAGGCATGGTGGCGCACACCTGTAATCCCAGTTGCTCGGGAGGCTGAGGCAGGAGGATCACTTGAGGCCAGTAGTTCGAGGCTGTAGAGCATGGTGATTGTGCTTGTGAATGGCCACTGTACTCCAACCTGGGCAACATAGGGAGATCCTGTCTCTATCTAAAAAAAAAAGTTCAGCAAGAACTGGAGGGCTGTGGAGGACTGAGCATTGAGTTTAGAAAATTGTCACTACAGGGCGGGCATGGTCGCTCATGCCTGTAATCCCAGCACTTTGGGAGGCTGAGGTGGGGTGATCGTTTGAGCCTAGGAGTTTGAGACCAGCCTGGACAACATGGCAAGACCTCATCTCTACTAAAAATTTTAAAAATTAGCCAGGCACGTGGGCATGTGCCTGTAGTTCCAGCTACTTGGGAGGCCCAGGTGGGAAGATTAGTTGAGCCCAGGGGTTCGAGGTTGCAGTGATCTGAGATCACTCCACTGAATTCCAGCCTGGACCACAGAATGAGACCCTGCATCCAAATAAAAAAATAAAAAGTAAAAGAAAGTTGTCACAGCAAAATGAGGCACACGGAGTTTGAACACCTCTCTTTTTGGGAGAACACACTGAGTAGACAACACCGTGTGTGTGCGTGTGTATGTGAGTTCATCTGTGAGTGTGTGGGGGGTGCTTTGGATGTGGAAGAGTGTGAAGGAGGCCATGAATCTTTTTATTCTGATAAAGAGCAGGACCAGGCACAGTGGCTAACACCTGTAATCCCAGCACTTTGGGAGGCCAAGGCAGGTGGATCATTTGAGGTCAGGAGTTTGAGACCAGCCTGGCCAATGTGGCAAAACCCTGTCTCTATTAAAATTACAAACAAAAAAAAATTAGCCAGGTGTGGTGGCGCACACCTGTAATCCCAGCTATTCGGGAGGTTGAGGCAGGAGAATTGCTTGAACCCAGGAGGCAGAGGTTGCGGTGAGCCGAGATCGTGCCACTGCACTCCAGTCTGGGCGACAGAGCATGACTCCGTCTCAAAAAAAAAAAAAAAAAAAAAAAAAAAAAAAAAAAAAAACAGGAGTATTTTTGAAGCAGCCAGGAGCTGGATATGTGTCCAGCTTGCATCTTTGTGATAAGCATTTAATAACCATTGAGCTTAGCAATAGAGTTACGGAACTGGTACTTAGATGTTTTTCTTTTTCTTTTTTTTTTTGAGATTGTGTCCTGCTCTGTCACCCAGGATAGAGTGCCATGGCGCGATCATGGCTTACTGCAGCTTCAACCTTCTGGACTCAAGCTATCCTCCTGCCTCAGCCTCCCAAGTAGCTGGGAACACAGGTGCACACCATCACACCTAGCTAATTTTTAAATTTTTGTAGAGATGGGGGTCTTGCTATGTTGCCCAGGCTGGTCTCAAACTTCTGGCCTCAAGCGCTTCTCCCATCTCGGCCTCCCAAAGGGTGGGGATTACAGGTGTGAGCCACCGCACCTGGACTGTGATTGCTTTTCTTAACATGGTACTCTGCCATTATATTCTCTATTAGGAATTTGATATGCTCAGAAGATATAGTGAGTTGCCTGTTTACTAACATCAGGGTCCTTTCAGGTAGTGTCCACCACAGGAAACATTACTATTTGGGTATTGTGACCCATGGCAACGACCCAGCACTCACCTTTCCAGACCTCATCTGGTGGCCTTGTAACCCTGGAGCTGAAGCTGCATGCGCACAAGCAATCAGTCGCAGTGTATCCACACAGGGTCCCAACCCACTCCAGGATTCATTTCGGGATGGCTTCCCCTCCCTCAGCCGGGTCTCCAGCCCCATTGCTCTCCAGGCATGCCCATCTCCATCTCCACGGCGATCATGTGTTTGCAGGGAGACATCAATATCCTCTTCTCTTGCGCTTTCTGAATGGGAGAGTCAATGTCAACCGGAAGCTAGCAGGGACTTGGGTGGACAGGTGTCTCACGCTGGATGGGGGAATCCAGGTGGGAGGGGAGGGTGGGCTTGCTCTCATTTGTGGGTGGGTAATGGGATTTGCTATGAAGCTGGAGGGAAAATCTGGACCCCTAAAGAGGGGTCCCTTCCCTTCCTAAGGGAAGGCCTCAGCTTCGAGACTGCAGGAGGAGCTGGGTAGCCATTGGATATGGCTAAAGCACATGAATCATGACCGTGGTGCACTGTTTGGACAGCAAGTCAGTGGCCCAAGGAGAGAGAGGTTAGTGATGGGAAGCGTCCTGGGACTCACCGATGCATCTTTATATTTTTCTCTTTAAACATTAGGAGGAGGCCAGGTGCCGTGGCTCACACCTGTAGTGCCAGCGCTTTGGAAGGCTAAGATGGGCAGACTGCTTGAACTCAGGAGTTTGAGACCAGCCTGGGCAATATGTCGAGACCTCATCTCTACAAGACATTTTAAAATTAGCCAGGCATTGTGGTAGGTGTCTGTGGTTCCAGCTACTCAGGAGGCTGAAGCAGGAGGACTGCTTGAGCCTGAAAAGTTGAGGCTATAGGGAGCTGTGATCTTACCACTGCACTCCAGCCTGGGCAACAGAGTGAGACCCTGTCTCAATCAATCAATCAAGCAAGCAATATTAGGAGAAGAATTTGTTGATGTCTCTTTTCTGTCATAAGCTCGGCTCTCCAAGAGCCTTTTCTTCCCAGGAGGACATGCTGGTGTTTCATGAATCTAGGACTTCTTGCCTGAAGCTTGTAAAGTGCTAGATGGAATGAAAACGGCAATAGTAAGAGCAGGCTCTTATGCCACCTTGCTACACACAAGGCATTGCTCTAAGTGCTTTGCAGGGGTTAAGAGATGCAGTTGAGTAGCTGAGGACAGTCTAGGGGTGGGGTTTCCAGAGGCTGTCAGGGGAGTGGCCCCCAGCCTTCCTGGTGGAATCCCTGAGCATTAATCACACACATAAGTTTCACTCCACAAACATGGGTTGTGAAAACATTACAATCTAGCCAGGCGCAGTGGCTCATGCCTATAATACCAGTATTTTGGAAGGCCAAGGCAGGAGGGTTGCTTGAGGAGCCCCTGACCAGCCTGGGCAACACAGCAAGACCCCATCTCTACCAAAAAAAAAAAATGGCCGGGTGTGTTGGTGTGCACATATAGTTCCAGCTACTTGGGAGGCTGAGGCAGGAAGATTGATTGAGCCTAGAAGTTCAAGGCTGTGGTGAGCTATGATTACACTACTGCACTCCAGCCTGAGCAACAGAACAAGACTCTGTTTTTTTTTTTAAAGCCATAATACATTATTTTTTTCTAAATTAAATGGAATGTGTTGTGAACCACAATCATTTATTTTATTTACTTATTTGTTTATTTTTGAGACGGAGTCTTGTTCTGGCGTCCAGGCTGGAGTGCAGTGGCGTGATCTCGGCTCACTGCAACCTCTGCCTCCTGGGTTCAAGCAATTCTCCTGTCTCAGCCTCCTGAGTAGCTGGGATTACAGCTGTGCACCACCACACCTAATTTTTGTATTTTTAGTAGAGATGGAGTTTCATCACGTTGTCCAGGCTGGTCTTGAACTCCTGGCCTCAAGCGATCCACCTGCCTCAGCCTCCCAAAGTGCTAGGATTACAGGCATGAGCCACCATGCTTGGACCTAGCCACAATTATTTAATACCAGGGCTCCCTGCCGTCGCTCCCCAGAGCTGGGAGAAGGTCTCAGGAGCATATTGGGTCAGGTATGTGTGGAAAGGCCCTCCAGGCTCAAATTCACACTGGGCCTACTCTGTGCCCTGACTCCAAGCTCCAGGAGCCCTCAAAGGTGGCAGCTCCATTGCTCATGAGCCAAGCTTAGGGACCGGGGCCCTTCCTAGCAGCCAGAAAGAGCCTTATTCTTAGCATTTTTTTTTTTTATAGAGACAGAGTCTGGCTGTGTTGCTCAGGCCAGAGTGCAGTGGTTCAATCTCATAGCTCACTGCAACCTCAAACTCGTGGGCACAAGCAATCCTCCCACCTCAGCCTCCTGAGTAGCTGGGACTACAAGCGTGCACCATCACACCTGGCTAATTTTTAAATTTTTAAATTTTTAATTTTCTGTAAAGACAGGGTCTTGCTATGTTGCCCAGGCTGGTCTCAAACTCCTGGCCTCAAGCGATTCTTCTGCCTCAGCCTCCCAAAGTGCTGGGATTACAGGCATGAGCCACCTTGCCTGGCTCTGTTCTTAGTACCAAGGGCCCTCACACCCCCTGTCTTTTCTTGGGACTCTGCCAAGCCCCAGGCTCCTTCTCAGGCTTGGGGACGGTACCCAAATCAGCACATCCACTTCCATCTCCCCACCTCACCCCAAACCCTTCTCTCCGGCATCTAGAGCCACGCCGAAGTTTCTCTTCTTGAGTCTAGCCCTCCTGGGTATGCTTGGGGACTGAAATGCTCAAATTGGCCTCACCTCTTGACACTGTAATTGTTCCTTATCGCCTATTAAACAGGAACCCTGCTTTGTGTAGTTCAGTGCCTGCTGCCAAGTCAGAGCTGTGACCTCAATGAAAGTGGCCCAGCCACACCAAACCTCAGTTTCCGTAACAGTCCTGGGATCCAATGTGGCTTTCACATTACATATCACTTCACTCTGTTATCTCCGATGGAAAACCAACTCAAACTGGCTTAAGCAAAAAGGGTACTCACTGGGCCATGTAACCAAAAAGTGTAAGCATAGGTGTGGCTTCAGGAACGGCTGGATCAAGGCACCCACATGTGGCATCGGGAGTCCCTCTCCTGGCTGTTGGTTTCAGTTTTCTCTGCAGGGGTTACATTCGAGCATTGGTTCCCTCCTCATAGTGGCAAGGTGGCTGCGCAGGACAAGAGGCATATAGCCAAGGGCTCAGCTACTTAAGGATAAGTTCCATCAGAAGCCCAAGTTGAGGCTGGCCTTGGTGGCTCACACTTGTAATCCTAGCAGTTTGGGTGGCTGAGGTGGGTGGATCACTTGAGGTCAGGAGTTCGAGACCAGCCTGGCCAACACAGTGAAACCCTGTCTCTACTTAAAAAAAAAAAAACAAAAAACCATGAAAATTAGCTGGGCGTGGTGGCACATGCCTGTAATCCCAGCTACTTGCAAGGCTGAGGCAGAAGAATCACTTGAACCTGGCAGGCAGAAGTTGCAGTGAGCCGAGATCAAACCACTGCACTCCTGCCTGGGCAACAGAACGAGACTCCGTTGGCAATGACTGGGTCATCTGTCCAGTCCTGAACTGGTCACTGTGTGAGGTAGAAGCATTGTTTGATTGGCCAGGCCTGGGACACACGGCCATCTCCAGACCTAGGAATGGCATCATCTCTACCCAAACCCCGTGAACCAGGAGGTGGGGAGGAGCAAAGCTTCAGAAGAAACTCCGGGCCCTGCCATCAAGCAGAGGAGGAAAGGAAGCCACACAGACTGAGACATCAAGTACCCACTGTGCCCTCACCACCAGCTCCTGCCCTGGTCAGTGCACTCCTGGACCATTTCTCCTCCCCGTCTTGTTCACAGTCACCCTCTCACCCCAGCAGAGATCAGGCCAGGGGACTGGTGGCAAGTGAGTGAAGGGTTTCAGCCTACCTTCCAGGCACAGTGTAAGCGGACCCCCCACACACAGGGGCTCTCCTGGGTTACACAGTGTCCTCCCAAAATTCACATCCACCTGGAACCTGCAAATATGACCTTATTTGGAAATGGAGTCTTTGCAGATGTTGTCAAGATAAGATGAAGTCATACTGTTTTAGGATCGGCCCCATATGTGGTACGACTGGGGTTCTTATACGAAGAGGGACCCTGGCACACGGATGCATACAGGGAGAGCGCTGTGTGATGAGAAAGGCAGAGATTGCAGTGATGCTGCCACCAGCCAAGGAGCCACCATCAACCAGGAGACGGGCATGGATCCGATTCTCCCTGCGAACCTCCAGAAGGAGCCAACCCTGCCAGCACCTTGGTTTTGGACTTCTGTTCCCCACAACTGTGAGACAATACATTCTGTGGTTTTAAGCTTTATGATAATTTGTTACTGTAGCCCTGGGAAAGGAATACAAGGGTAGACAGACACTGATCAAGTAAGCAAACAAATGTGAAATTGCCCTGTGACAAGGGAGGTGCAGGGTGCCTGTGTTGGGGAAGAATTCTCTGAGGCTTGAAGTCAGAGAAAGAGTTAGCTAATGGGGCTGACAGGGGTCTGCACATGCAGCTCACGGCCCAGATCTCGTTGGCCGAGTGTTTTTGCAGGGATTAGGAACTAAGAATGGTTTTGCAAGAAGAACATCCCAGGCCGAAGGGACGGCATGAGCAAAGGCCATGAAGTGGGAGGCGCCCTCTGTGAAACCAACAAGCTTTCAGCCACGTGGGTCTCTCTGATGCGTTGTCTCCGCCACAGAGGGCTTTAAAAAGCCCCGAAACTGGACAGGTGTCACTGCCTGTGGCAGTAGCGGCCATTTGGCGCCTGTGGTTTCAACTCCACCCGTTTCACATGTCTATGTTACCAGACTGGCCCCTGAAGGGGATCTGCGTGCCAGGCCCTGACCTGCCGGGCTTTGGAAACATCCTTGCCAGTGTCCCCTGACCTGCGCCCCGCCCTGTGGAGTGAGGCCTGGTTGCCCAAGCTGGCTGGGCCGGGCTGTTTGCTGCTTCCAACAAACATAGGAGAGAATGTATTGCTGCTTTTGATTGCCAGTGAGAGCTCCGCGAGGCCTGGCCCGAGATGTGGCTGGCGTGAGGGGTCCCGGACCTGCTGTGGTGGGGACGCACCCAGTTCTGTGGCGCTTGGTCCAGCGAGGACTCGAGCCCACTGGGGACGGGGCCTCGGGCTGCAGGGGCGGGGCCCCAGCCGCCTGGGGGTGGGGCCTCAGGTTGTTTGGGGGCGGGGCCTCAAGCTGTCTGGGGACGGGGCCTCGGGCCGGCTGGGGGCGGGGCCTCATGCTTCAGGGGCGGGGCCTCGGACTGCCTGGGTGTGGGGTCTCCAGCTTCAGGGTCGGGGAGCCTCGAGCCGCCTGGGGACCGGGGGATCTGTTGGGGAGGAGGTTCTCGAACTGCTGAGGAGGATCACAGTGCTTTTGCTTCCTCTAGGAGACCAGCTGCACAGGCTGCAACATGCCATCTCTGTGCCTGTTTTCCCGTCGATAAATGCAGAGACATTACTCTCATCATTTCTTCCTCTGTAACACAATATTCATCTATGTAACCCCTTGGTAAAGCAGTTGTAAGAATTAAACAAGAGGAATTGCGCTTTCATTCAGCAAATATTTTTTGAGCAGCTACTAGATGCCAGGCACTGTTTTAGACGCAAGTGATACTTCAGGAAACATAATCAGACAGACAGGCAGACATGCCCTCCTGGAACTGGCATTGTAGAACAAGGGTCTGCATCCTGTGGCTCACAGGCCAGATCTGGTTGACCGTCTATTTTTGCATGGACGTTAAACTAACAATGATTTTTGCATTTTGATTTTTATTTTATGAAAAAACAATTGGGGGTTGGGCGCGGTGGCTCACGCCTGTAATCCCAGCACTTTGGGAGGCCAAGGGGGGTGGATCACCTGACGTCAGGAGTTCAAGACCGCCCTGGCCAACATGGGGAAACCCTGTCTCTACTAAAAATACAAAAATTAGCTGTCATGGTTGTGGGCACCTGTAATCCCAGCTACTTGGGAGGCTGAGGCAGGAGAATCGCTTGAACCCGGGAGGTGGAGGTTGCAGTAAGCCGAGATCGCGCCACTGCACTCCAGCCTGGGCAACAAGAGTGAAACTCTGTCTCAAAAATAATAAAATTAAAATAAAATAAAAAAGAGTGGTCTCTGGACCAATAGCTCAGTATCACCTGGACATTTGTTAGAAATCCAGACCTACTGAACCAGAATCTGTATTTTAGCAAGACCCCCAGGTGATCTGTGTGTACATTAAAGTGTGAGATGTTTTTGTAGCAACATGCATGGAACTGGAGGTCATTATCTTAAGTGAAATAAGCCAGATACAGAAAGACAAATATTGCATGTTCTCACTCCCAAGTGGGTGCTAAAAAATGCATACACATGGCTCCACAGAGAGTGGAATAATAAACAATGGAGATTCAGGAGAGTGAATGTAAATTCTGGCAGTTCATCCACCACTGTGAACCATGAGAAATAGTTTAATGGCTGCCAGGTGAGGTGGCTCACACCTGTAATCTTAGCACTTTGGGAGGCCAAAGCAGGAGGATCACTTGAGCCCAGGAGTTCAAGACCAGCCTGGGCAACATGGCAAGACCCCATCTCTACAAAAAATGCAAAATATTAGCTGGGCATGGTGGCACGCACCTGTAGTCCCTGCTACTCAGGAAGCTGAGATGGGAGGATCGTTTGAGCCTGGGAGATAGAGACTGCAGTGAGCCATGATTGCACCACTGTACTTCATCCTAGGTGACAAAATGAGAACCTGTTTAAAAAAACAAAAATAGGCTGGGCACGGTGGCCCACGCCTGTAATCCCAGCACTTCGGGAGGCTGAGGCAGGTGGATCACCTGAGGTCAGGAGTTCGAGACCAGCCTGGCCAACATGGCAAAACCCCGTCTCTACTAAAAGTACAAAAATTAGCCGGGCGTGGTGGCGGGCACCTGTAATCCCAACTACGCAGGAGGCTGAGGCAGGAGAATAGCTTGAACCCGGGAGGTGGAGGTTGCAGTCAGCCGAGATTGAGCCTGCACTCCAGCCTGGTGACAGAGCGAGACTCTGTCTCAAAAAAACACAGCAGCAAGCAACAACAACTAAAAGAAATCACTGAATGGGTACAATGTATGTTATCGGGATGATGGAGATCCTAAAAGCCCTGACCTGACTATTACACAATCTATGCATGTAATGAAATTGTATTTGTACCCCATAAATTTATGTAAATAAAACATTTTAAAAAGTGTGAGATGTGCAGGTCGAAAATGATGCAGAATGCTCAGCACAGGGCCTGACACTTAGCAAGAGCTCCATGAATGTTAGCTAATGCGGTGGATGGACTCATGGTCCCCCAAAGAGGTCCACATCCTAATCCCCAGAACCTGTGAAAGTGGTAATTTACATTGTAAAAGGGGCTTTGCAGGTGTGATCAAATTAAGTCTCCTGAGACGAAGGAATTCACCTGGATTATCCCCGAGGGGCCCAATGATGCAATCACAAGGGTCTTTTTTTTTTTTTTTGAGATAGCGTCTCACTCTGTTGCCCAGACTGGAGTGCAGGCTCGATCTCGGCTCACTGCAACCTCTGCCTTCTGGGTTCAAGCGATTCTCCTGCCTCAGCCTCCTGAGTAGCTGGAATTACAGGTGTGCACCACCATGCCCAGCTACTTTTTGTATTTTTAGTGGAGATGGGGGTTTCCCCATGTTGCCCAGGCTGGTCTCGAACTCCTGACCTCAGGTGGCCTTGGCCTCTCAAAGTGCTGGGATTACAGGCATGAGTCACCACACCTGGCCACAATGGTCCCTATAAGAGATGGTGGGCAGGGCAAGAAGAAATGTGAGATGTGAGGCTGGAAGCAGAGGGTGGAATGCATGCTTTGAAGGTGGAGGCACCTGCTCTGCGGCAGGCCTGTAGAATCGGGAAAAGACAAGGACTCAGATTCTCCCTCAGAACGCCCTGGAGGAAACAAGCTCTGCTGACACCTTGATTTTAGACGTCGGACCTCCAGAACGGTAAGAGAATAAATGTATCTTATTTTAAGTCACTAAGTTTGTGGAAGCTTGTTGGAGCAGCAATACAGAATGAATATAGCTGCCATTCTTATTGTTATCCTGTTTGTCGTAGGCTGGCTCTGCCATCTTCCCATTCAGTTGTTTCAGGCAAGTTATTGAGTCTCTCTGAACTTGAGTTTTCTGCTCTGTAAAATGGAGACAAGAAGTTTTCCTACTTCTGGTCAAATGAGATAATGCATGTAAAGTGACTCCAGCTGTCATGATTGTTGTTGCTCTTGTTTAAGTAGAGGCAGTGGCCATGGCTGGCTCTGTGTGACCTGGGGCAAGTTATGAGACTTCTCTGAACTTTAGTTTCCCCGCCTACAAAGTGGGGGTCATGACAGCATCTACCTCCTGAGGCTGTCGTGAAGCTGGAAGGAGACCCTAAGCATAATTTCTGGGCCCATGCCTCGCTTGAGGAGGACGTAGGTATAATTCTGGCCGAATTGGAGAACGTGATCTCTAAACTGGGTGGGCCCCTCTAAGCTGTCCTGACTCCGGTCCTCTGTGCTGGATCACAGCCTCAGCCTGGCTGGCAGGGGAGTAGATCATTCCTATTCCCTTTGCCTCCCCAGCTCTTCCCAAGTGGACACCACAACCCCATTGCTTTTTTTAGAGACGGAGTCTCCCTCTCTCACCCAGGCTGGAGTGCAGTGGTGTGATCTCGGTTCACTGCAACCTCCGCCTCCCGGGTCCAGGTGATTCTCCTGCCTCTGAGTAGCTGGGATTACAGGTGCATGCCACCACTGCCGGCTAATTTTTGTACTTTTAGTAGAGATGGGGTTTCACCATGTTGGCTAGGCTGGTCTCAAACTCCTGACCTCAAGTGATATGCCCACCTCAACCTCTACGTGCTGGGATTACAGGCGTGAACCACTGCGCCTGGCCCCCATTACCTTTTGTTGTGACTGCAGCAGACTCACTGGGGGGCTTCTGTCCCCAGAGGGCGGGGAGCTCAAGTTAGTTCATTGAGGAGGGGCAGGGGCCATAGGGCTGGGGCGGGGCCTGGACATCCCAACACGAGGGTCCTTCCTGTGCTGAGGTTCCAGACTGAGGCGGGAGTCAGTCTGAGGCCTGGCCGTGCGGCTTGGCGTCTATCCAGGCTGGAATTTGCAGGATTTGTGCTGTGGTGCTGGAATCGGCTCCCTCGGAGTGTGTGTCTCACTGGATTGGATCTGTCTGTGTCTTGGGGGTGTTCTTTAAAGGGAAGAACCTGACAGACTTCACACTGCAGTGCCCCGTGCAGGGCCTGGCACACAGAAAATATCTATTGGACCAGTGAATGGATCATCCAAGGGACTGAACGTCCCCAGTGCAAACAGGAAGGGAGTTTGTGTCAGTGGGGAGTCTCCCAGGCCCCAGTAAGACTGGTTGACCAGGTCCTCCCTAAGTTCTGGGTGTTGCTGAAGTGGCCTTGCTGCTCTGAAAACAGCTGTGTGCATCTCAGCCTCGCCTCTCCCGGAGGAGGGCCTCTCACTTCCTACGAAACCAGGACTGCAGCCTCAGAGAGGTTTGAGGGTGTGCCCAGGGCTACACACTTAGAGTGAGTTTGGGGCGTGAGGCAAGGATTTGTGGGGTGGCTGCCCAGCTAAGCACCTGGACACTGTTCTGTAGGAAAGGAGAGCCGTTAAAGAATTTGTATCTACCTCTTTTTTTTCTTGGTTTTGTTACTTTCCCCCAACATTTTATTATGAAAATTTTGAAACAGCAACATCAACTCACTAACATTTTACTAAATTTGAGTGATCGCACATCCATCCGTCAAAATTTTGGGTGCATTGTCTCTTTACTTTTACTTTTTCTTTTCTTTCTTTCTTTTTTTTTTTTTTTTTTTTTTTTTTTTGAGACAGAGTCTCACTCTGTCGCCCAGGCTGGAGTGCAGTGGCACGGTCTCAGCTCACTGCAACCTCCACCTCCCGGGTTCAAGCGATCCTCCCACCTTGGCCTCCCCGGTAGCTGAGACTACAGGTGCCCACCACCATGCCTGGCTAATTTTTGTATCTTTTAGTAGAGATGGGGTTTTGCCATGTTGGCCAGGCTGGTCTCAAACTCCTGACCTCAGGTGATCCGCCCACCTCGGCCTCCCAAAGTGCTGGGATTACAGGCATGAGCCACCACGCCTGGCCCACCCCAGTTATTTTTTTATCCAAGCACCCTGTTCTTATCCTTCATAGGATGATTACAATTAGATACACACTATTTGTTTCCTTTTGGGTGGGGCTAGGTCTGTCTTGTTCCCTCCTGTGTTCCCCAGTCTGTCGTAGGTTGCATGTTCTGTAAGTATCTGCTGAACGAACAGATGAATGAGGGAGATGTTACTGGTCTTTGCTCCTCCAATGCTGCCCCCCACCCTCCATGTCATGTCTCGACATGTCTGATTTCCTGAGAGTGGCTTACGTGCCTGGCATGGTACTGAGCCTTCTTTGAAGCAGCCCTCTGAGCAAGGGATCCCTAGATCGTACATTCACAGATGCGGCAGCTGAGGCTCAGAGAAGTGAAGTGACAGGCCCCGGGTCACACAGCATCGAGGGGGCAAGTCAGGATGTGATTGCAGTTGCTCCGACCCCAGGCCCATGCCCTGAGTCTCTGCACAGCCAGACTCAGAGATCCCAAAGTGGGTCCCCATCATGTCCTGGCTCTCCCCACTTCAGAAGCAGGACCTCGAAAATTTCAAGGAGCCCCAGATACCCCACCTGGACGGCATCCTGGCTCGGGGCAGACCTGCCTCCCAGGCTCCACCTTATGTTCTGCTCCTTCTCATTGCCTCCCAAATTAGTTCCATGTTCAGCCTGGGGCCTGTGGATTCCACTTTTTTCTGTAACCGGAGTTCCCCCAGTGCTTGGCACCAAGCTCGGTGACTTGGCTTCGGCTCAGGTTCCTGATTTCCTTGGACAATTTCAGATGATTTCACTGGCAGAGAAAAGCCCAGCCAGGGGTCAGTGAGCGGATCACTCCCGTTTCCTGTAATCAGGTAGAAAAGGATCACAGATGACGAGCAGTGCCTCCCAAGACACACAGGCTGTAGGAACAGGCCTCCTTTTCTACTTTCACCCTGGAAACCACCTTGCAGGATGGGCCTTGTGATCCCCACTTCACAGATGGGGAAGCTAGGGCTCAGAGAGGTTGGGTGCTTTGCTGAGGGTTGCACAGCAAATGAGTGGCAGGGCAGAATCTGTCCCCTAGTCTGCTGGCCCCAACACACAACCTCTTCCTCCCAGATTCCTTTCTGGCTCCAGGCTGCAGCAGGAACCTGGCCCTGGGGACTCAGAGTGGCGAAAACTCAGACCTTGCCCACGAAGACCTCAAAGTCAAGCAGAAAAAGACTAGATTGAGTGCAAACAGTGATCAAAGCAGCACCCGCCAACATGAGACAATATGTATTTTTAGACAGTGAGTCAGTCCTGATGATTCACAGGCCTGGCTAGGCTTGCAGGGCAGCCCCAGGACACCAAGGGCAGGGTAGGAGATGAGCTACCCGCGGGCCAGGAGACCAGAAGGGGGTCCAGGGCTGCACCTCCTTATTCTCCATTGTGTTGTCAAGGGCTGGAGGTGGGGCTGGACGCCTTCCTACTTGATTGGAAGATGCATTTTCCAATAAGTACTTAACTAGCTCATGGTCACAGAATTAGAATGTGACACAAGCAGCCTCCCATCACTTTATAAGCATCTGCTCTGGACTGGGCACTGTGACGGGTGCTCGGGAGATGGCAGACCATGAAACTGATGAAGTTCTAACCTCATGCAACTGACCTTCCAGAACAGGTGTGGGCACACTTTCTCCATAAAGGGCCACATAGTAAATATTTTAAGCCTCGTGGGCCATGACAACTCTTAAGGCTGCAGTTGTAGCTGGAAGGCAGCCATATGCAATACGTAAATGAGGGGGTATGGCTGTGTGCCAATAAAACTTTATTTACAAAATCAGGCCAGCCGCGGTGGCTCACGCCTGTAATCCCAGCACTTTGGGAGGCCGAGGTGGGTGGATCACGAGATCAGGAAATCAAGACCATCCTGGCTAACACAGTGAAACCCCATCTCTACTAAAAATACAAAAAATTAGCCAGGCATGGTGGTGGGTGCCTGTAGTCCCAGCTACTTGGGAGGCTGAGGCAGAAGAATGGCGTGAACCCAGGAGGCGGAGCTTGCAGTGAGTGGAGATTGCGCCACTGCATTCCAGCCTGGGTGACAGAGGAAGACTGTCTCAAAAAAAAAAAAAAAAAAATCGAAGAGCAGCTAGATTTGGCCTGTGGGCTATAATTTGCTGACCCCTCTTCTAGAAGATGCCTTCCTCCACACCCGGGTTCCCCTCATTTGCCCTCTACTGTGTGACTTTGGGACCCCTGATGGCCCTTCGGACTGTGGCCTCCAAGGCAATGTGCTGGTTCTGCAGGTGAAACGGCGACAGTGCTCTGTGTTCCTTGAAGATGTGTTCGCATTAGGCCTCACAAGCCCCCACATGTGGCTCTTTCTGAGTCATGTTGTACTGTGACCTTTTGGGCACCAGCATCCGTGTGTCACTTGGTTCAACCTAGTGCTTGGTCCATAGCGGGTGATGGATGAATGTTTGTAGAATCTGCAGAATGAACAGACCCAAGGCTGTGCCTAGTCCTGTGTATCTTCACTTTAGTGAGAAACTGGCAATAGAGGGGGGTTGTGACAGAGACCAGGGCCCCCTCTGGTCTTCCTCCTTGTCCTCCAGGGGTCTGGGTACTGCACTGTCTCACCCCCACCCTGTGCTCACATGACAGTCCAGGAGGAAGGTGCAGGGCAGTGGTGAGGGCCTGGCTCATTGTGGGCACCAGTGCTGAGCCCCAGCTTCCTGATCTGTGAAATGGACGGGGGCGATGAGGCTCACGTCTCTCACAGAGGTTGCTCATGGGCTCAGGTAAATCCCTGTGCCTGCTCAACCACCAAAATTCAAGATGAACTGTCTTAGGTGTGCCTCTCAGCTCTTCTAAGAGGTGGAGTTAGGCTGGGCGCGGTGGCTCACGCCTGTAATCCCAGCACTTTGGGAGGCCAAGGCGGGTGGATCACGAGGTCAAGAGATCAAGACCATCCTGGCCAACATGGTGAAACCCTGTCACTACTAAAAATACAAAAATTAGCTGGGCATGGTGGTGGGCACCTGTAATCCCAGCTACTCGGGAGGCTGAGGCAGGAGAATCACTTGAATCCCGGAGGCAGAGGTTGCAGTGAGCCAAGATTGCGCCACTGCACTCCACCCTGGGCGACAGAGTGAGACTCCATCTCAAAAAAAAAAAAAAGAGTTGGAGTTAGCACCAGTCTCACAGATAAGTTAACAGAGACTGGGGCATCCAGGGACTTGCTTGAGGTCACAGCTTGCAGGTGCAGGGTAGGGTTCAGACCCAGCCTCTCTGTGCCTCCCTTGACGATGGGTCACCCTCTGTAATCAGCAACAGGGTGGCCGGAAACCTGCTGGGCTCTTTTCTGCCCCTGTATCTCTAGCAGATGGTCTTGGATAAGGTGGTCTTATCTCATGCCTGCCTGCCCCTCTACCCATGTCCCTGCCTTCTGCCTGCACCTGTTCAGTGGCCAGGTCAGGGGACGGACGAGGCTCCTTACAGCCGCGTGGGTGTTTGGAGAGTGGGGCAGGCAGCCCGGCAGAGCTGTTAAGCAGCAACCCCACCACCAGTGCTTCCGGATGCCTGGACTCTGGGGCAGGAGCTGTGGAACTATCATTCTCAGATTCGGGCTCAAGTCCTGTATCAGAGGACAGCTAGCCTTGTGACCTTGGAAAGTCATGGAAGTCTTCCAAGCCTGTTTCTCACCTGAGTAATGGGAATGGTAGATGACATGCATTACACATAGTGGATGCTTATTAGTGGTAAACTCCCTGCAAACACTGAATTAGCAGATCTGGAGCCATTGCTTCTAGGGAGAAATACAGGTTAAGTTCTTACAAGCCTCTGGTCACATTTTCATCAACCAATCAATACCTAACCTGGTTTTATGTGTTTCTCTGTAGACACTTTATTTAATATATAAGTGATTCATTAACATCGAACATGTTGGCTGGGTGCGGTGGCTCATGCCTGTAATCCTAGTATTTTGGGAGGCTGAGGTGGGCAGATGGCTTGAGCTCAGGAGTTTGAGACCAGCCTGGCCAACACAGTGAAACCTCATCTCTACTAAAAATACAAAAATTAGCTGGGAGTGGTGGCGCATGCCTGTAATCCCAGCTACTTGGGAAGCAGAGGCATGATAATCGCTTGAACCCGGGAGGCGGAGGTTGCAGTGAGCCGAGATTGTGCTGCTGCATTCCAGCCTGGCGACAGAGTGAGACTCTGTCAAAAAGAAAAATAGGCAAGGCACGGTGGCTCACGCCTGTAATCCCAGCACTTTGGGAGGCCAAGGCAGGTGGATCACGAGGTCAGGAGATCAAGACCATCCTGGCTGACATGGTGAAACCCCATCTCTACTAAAAATAAAAATTAAAAAAATAATAATAATTAGCCAGGCGTGGTGGTGAGCACCTGTAGTCCCAGCTACTCAGGAGGCTGAGGTAGGAGAATGGCGTGAACCCAGGAGGCAGAGCTTGCAGTGGGCTGAGATCGTGCCACTGCACTCTAGCCTGGGCGACAGAGCGAGACTCTGTCTCAAAAAAAAAAAAGTATATGTATTTTGCTGTTGTTGGGTGAAGTGTTCCATAAATTAGATCCAGTTTATTGAAGGTGTTCTACAGTTCTCCTAGATTTTTGCCGATTACTTGTTCTCTCACTATGAAAGATATTGTGTGTGTTATATGTGTCTAACAATTCATTGTCTAGTTAGAGTTGCTATTATACCACTTCAAGTGGATGGAGAGCCTCCCTGCCATCCATTAATGTGCATTAATCATTTTGAGAGTGAAAAGATTTTTTAAAATGTTTTTACTCTTTTAGGTATGGCCAAGTGAGATGGGGCTAGTGAAATGGGTGGGAGAATTGGAAGCTGATAGTGTGTGAGCTAGACACCCATGAATGCTTTTCCACTGGGCAGTTAGAGGGATGATAGGTAATAATATAAGGCAGCTCCATCACACAAGCTGGTGACTCCTGTGCGACAGACCAAGAGCTGCATTTGGAGATTCATTTCCGATTGTTGCGTTTCCTCTTAGAGCATTGCTTGGTCATCGTGTTCTGAGTGGTCCATTGGCCTCCATGTCCCTTTTGGGGTGGATATTTGCTCAGTGACTTTTGAGCAGCTGGATCTCCTGCTTCGGCAGGTGAGTGAGGGGATGGATGGCTCCGCGGACTGGCCCCCGCCCCAGGAGAAAGAGTGCGTGGCCGTGGCAACGCTGAATCTTCCCCGACTTCAGGTATTCGTGATTTCCCTTCCTCTTGCTCCTTTTATAAGTGTCTTAGCGATTTGTAAGAAGGTTTATGTATTTTGAAGGACATAGGTTTTAGCCTGTTGGGGGAAGTATTTTAAAGTAAGATTGTAATGCACTAATAATGGACGCAAGGCTTAAAAAACTTGATCTGTTTATTTTATGTTTGTCCTGGAAGTCAGCCTCGGCATGCAGGAAGAGTGTATATGGATTGTGTTATTTTTGCTATAATCATTAGTTTGTTGGTATTCTTACTGTTTTACTGTTGTTGCGTGTGGAGAAATGACTGGGTGAGATCACAGGTGATGGAGAGAGACAGCGCTCAGCTGAGAGACCAGTGCTGGCCTGTCTCTCCTCTGTCCTGTGAAAACCCTGCTCCAGGAGGGTCCAGTCTTTTGGTTTCCCTGGGCCACACTGGAAGAAGAATTGTCTTGGGCTACACATAAAATACACTTATGATAGCTGATGAGCTTAAAAAAAGAATCCCAAAAATATCTCATGATGTTTTAAGAAATTTTACTTTGGGCCACATTCAAAGCTGCCCTGGGCCACATGCTGCCCTCGGGCCGTGGGTTGAACAAGCTTGATCTACTCAGTAAGCTCGGCTCCCAAAGCAATACCTTCCTTTCCTCACCATGAAGGCTGTGGTTAGGGTCAAAATAAAAGCTACAAAAGCCTTCCTCCCTAGCAAAACTAAAGCTGAAGTGTTTGATCATCATCTTTTGTCTTTCTAATAAAACCCTCTAACTTAATGACAAGAACCACGGTTTTCTCGACATAGTAATTTTTCCCTTTTATTACAGTGGTTTCTTGTAACAACCCGTCATGTCCCTCTTCCAGCCCCTCCCCTTTTTGCCCTGCTTCTAGAATGTACAGAACTGAGTGTAGTGTTTAGTTGCAGTAATGAACTGAGCAGAGGTCTGGAGCATGCTTCTCCTCTAGTCCTCTGTAGCACTCATTTATCACCATACCTGTGGCATCCTGGCGTTTGCGTGGTTGCGCCCCAGGTGTTTGCTGCCCCTCCTGGTTTGCGGTGATGTGTCTGTTCTGGTCAGTGCTGTGGGGCGTGGCCTTGTGTATGTCTTAGGCTGTCGAGGTGTCCCAGCGTATGGTTTTGCATTTGCCTCTCCGGGGTCCTGAGGGTTCTGTAGGTTTCACAGACTCCAGGTGAGTTTCGGTGGTCATTTCCTGACCTGTGATATCTATACCTAGATGAGCGGTGTGCTTTTGATTTCACTTCTACTCACAGGGCAAGGCCGGGTCTCTGATTTCTCATGGGGCCTCTTGCTACCCAAAGCCTGGGACGGGCAGTGTGTTGCCCCCTGGCTGCGGTTGGCTGGCAGGCAGGTGATCCTGAGTGGCTCCCAGCCTTCTGCAGGAAGCTCGAGTTCAGTGGGTCCTTGTGTGCATTCCCGTGTGGGAGGTTGTGCTGAAGCCTGGCGGCTTGGCTCTGCTTTCAGAGCCCGGAACCTCTTGACTCCTGCTGTGTGTGCCCACGTGAATTTTGGTTTTGCACTTGAGGAGTTTCCCTGTGTACTCTCAGCTCCGCAGTCTAATTTTTAGCAGCTCTTTTTTTTTTTTAGACAGGGTGTCACTTTGTCACCCAGGCTGGAATGCAGTGGTACAGTCTTGGCCTGCCAGGTTCAAGTGATTCTCCTGCCTCAGCCTCCCAAGTAGCTGGGACTACAGGTGTGTACCATCACACCCGGCTGATTTTTTTATAGAGATGGGGTTTCATCATGTTGGCCAGGCTGATCTTGAACTCCTGATCTCAAGTGAGCTTTCCACGTCGGCCTCCCAAAGTGCTGGGATGACAGGCATGAGCCACCGCCTGTGGCAGCTTTTGTGGTTACATTGTAGCCATTATTTCTGTGTTTGGTGCAGATTGTTGGGGCGGGGTGGAGGTTGCTGTTGCTAGTTGTTTAGCTCTTCTGCTCATCTTGAGCTTTTCCATATATGTGTTCATAGTGGGGTTAAAAAAAATTCCTCTAGAAAATACTTCAACTATTGTGGGTAAGAGTTTTTTTAGTCCAGTTTTTAAAAATACGTAAACTGAGAAGTTATTTTGTCTATTTAGATAATACTTCAAATTGACTTTTATTCAGTGTTTAATAAGACTTTGAAATTCACTCATTTTTAGGGGTTCTAAGTGAAAATTGTTTTTCTCCTTTCAGTTGCATGCTGCCATTAGTCACCAGGTTGACCTGGAATTCCTTGGTTTAGGTCTGGGCAGCGTCTTCCTGAACAGCCTGAAGCAGAAGGTGGTGACCCTGGCAAGCAGCGCAGACGTGCTGAGCACCGTGCAGTCGGCCTCCCAGGCCATGCTGCAGAGCGGCTGGTCCATGCTGTTGCCCACCGCTGAGAAGCAGGCCCGGGCACTCTGCTCTCCTGTCCTGCGGAGGTGGGCTTGGGGAAGGAACAGGAGAGGGCATGGGTCAGGGTGCTGGGAGGGGATGGCGTTTCACTCAAATTGGCACACACTTTCTATTTCAGTTTCAGGCAATGAAGTGAGCATAAGTCCAGGTCATCGATTGGTGATTGATCTTCTGGTGGGCAGCTTGATGGCTGATGGAGGGTTGGAGTCAGCCTTACACGCAGCCATTACTGCAGAGATCCAGGTATGGCCTTGGAGGCACACGTGACCTGGTGGTGGGCTGAGATCGGAAATACCACACTCACACATGTGAAGAATAACTGAAAACAGTAAAACACTAAACTTATATCCAAGTATTTTTTTAAATTAAAATTCTTTTATGTGCTAATTTTAAAAATTATTGAGATGATTTGTGATAAAATACTGCATGTTGTCTGTTTCAGTGAAGTTAACAGGTAACCTGTTCCTCATGTAGACCATTCCCGTCACCCGGAAAGATCCCTGTGCTCCTTGGCACTTGCAGCCAGGATACTCCCCTGCCCTGAGATTAGATTCATTTTTCCTGCTCTGAGTGTCACAGCAATATAACTGTATAGTATGCACTCTTTCCTGCTTTGCCTTGGAGAATGATTTTCAGATTCGCTCACTGTTGTGTGCATTGCGACTTCGTTTTTATTATTGGGAAGTTTTCCATTTTATAGGTGTAGTACTGTTTGTTAGTTCATTCTCCTATTGAAGGACATGTAATTGTTTTTGGTTTTTGTTTTCTTTTTTTTTTTTTTTTTTTTCTGAGACAGGGTCTTGCTGTGTCACCCGGGCTGGATGCAGTGACCTGATGTTGGCTCACTGCAGCCTTGTCCTCCTAGGCTCAAATGATCTTCCCACCTCAGCCTCCTATGTTGCAGGGACCACAGGCATGTCACCATGCCCAGCTAGTTTTTTTATTTTTTTGTAGAGACAAGGTGTTACTATGTTGCACAGGCTGGTCTTGAACTCCTGGGCTCAAGTGATCCCCCCACCTTGGCCTCCCAAAGTTTTGGGATTACAAGTGTGAGCCACTGCGCCCAGGCTTTCTGGTTTTTGGCCGTGTAGAGCTGCCACGATTGTGCTGTGAACAAGTACTTTAGTGAACATACGTTCTCCCTTTGGGTAAACACTTGGAGTGGAATTTGTTAGGTCCTGGGGTAAGTGTGTGTTCATAGTTTCCCAAAGTGGCTTTGCCATTTACATTTGAACCAGTGTGTGTGAGAATTCTAGCTCCTTCTTGTCCTTACAAAGCAGCTGGATGCTGCGTGTGTGGGGCAGATCACATTGGGTTTTGTGAGAGCCAGTAGCAGGGTTAAGGATTTTAGGGACTTCACAGAAGGAGGCTGGAGAGCATCAGCAGAGGCAGCCTGGACCTTGGATCTGTAAACAGAAGACACTGTTTGAAACTGCACAACTGAGTTAGGGTTTCCAACAAGGCAGGTGGGGGCCTGTGGGTAGGTGTGTGCGGCAGCCACAGAGGCTGGGATAGCTTGGCACTGGGGTCAGGGCTCAGCCAGCCTATGTGTCTTCACACCTGGTAATGAGATCACTTGTAAACAATTTCTGTTTATGAATTACAGGATATTGAAGCCAAAAAAGAAGGACAGAAGGAAAAAGAAATTGATGAACAGGAAGCAAATGCCTCAACATTTCATAGAAGGAGGACTCCATTGGATAAAGACCTTATTAATACGGGGATCTGTGAGTCTTCTGGCAAACAGTGTTTGCCTCTGGTTCAGCTCATACAACAGCTTCTTAGGTAAATCATATTAGCTGTATTGTATTGTGTTTTATTTATTTACTTTTTTTTGTTTTTTTTGAGACAGAGTTTCACTCTTGTTGCCCAGGCCGGAGTGCAGTGGCGCAATCTTGACTCACCACAACCTCCGCCTCCCTGGTTCAAGTAATTCTCCTGCCTCAGCCTCTCGAGCAGCTGGGATTACAGGCATGCGCCACCACGCCCCACTAATTTTGTAGTTTTAGCAGAGATGGGGTTTCTTCTTGTTGGTCAGGCTGGTCTTGAACTCCCGACCTCAGGTGATCCACCCACCTTGGCCTCCCAAAATGTTGGGATTACAGGCACTGGCCACCACGCCTGGCCTATTTATTTACTTACTAATGTTTTTTGTTTTTTTTTTTTTGAGACGGAGTCTCGCTCTGTTGTCCAGGCTGGAGTGCAGTGTCACGATCTTGGCTGACTGCAACCTCTGCCTCCTGGCTTCAAGCTATTTTCCTGCCTCAGCCTCCTGAGTAGCTGGGACTACAGGCGTCTGCAACCACACCTGACTGATTTTTGTATTTTTAGTAGAGATGGGGTTTTACCATATTGGTCAGGCTGGTCTCAAATTCCTGACGTCAGGTGACCCACCTGCCTTGGCCTCTCAAAATGTTGGGATTACAGGTGTTAGCCACTGTGCCTGGCCTGTATTGTATTTTAATAGGTGATTATTGGTTTTCATATTAAGATAGTGAAATCTAGCGCAAGGATCTCAAAAATTTGTTTGATGATTGAAGGAATATTCTGAAAATTACCTAGTATAGATTTTAGGGTAAAGAGCAGACCCTTTTCGATATAGGTGAGAGGAGAAGTTGGAGAGCGTGATGATGTTCAAAAGTTTTTCACAGAAGAGAAATTGGGGCGTGCAGTAAACCTGTAAAAAGATTCTTGCTAATAAGCAGGTGGATGTAAATGAAAATCATCATGGAAGGTTATTTTTAAAACTGGTTCTATCATTGCCTCACTTTATATATTACAGAGTTATACATACTACTTTGTAAGATAACTTTTCTTTTCAAAACTAAAGTCAATGTGAAAGAATGGTGAGCATTGTTTTGGAAGGCCCGACTAGGAGGAGGTGGGAAGAAGTGAGACTCAGCCTGTGAACAGACGCTAACCTTGGCAGAAGCCAAAACGGTCAGACAGTGTTGTCTAAAAATGATCATTCAAGAAGAGTGAAAAAACAAAGTGATTTGTGAAAGAGATTTATTAGAAAATGAAACACATTTATACCTCTGTTTAATAAAAATCTGCTTTTTGTCAAATCGTGCTCCTGGTTTTTGTTTCTACACATAGAGAAAGCAGAGCCCTGGCAGGTTTGATCAGGCAGCCGAGCACAGAGCAGGGAGCCCTGGGCAGTGGCTGCAGCTCTCAGCTGGCCTCTTCATGGGGCCACGGTGCATCTGCGGCGTGGGGTTGGGCCTGCGGCGTGGGGTGGGCCTGTGGCGTGGGGTGGGTCCGTGGCGTGGGGTGGGCCTGCTGTCCACAGCCAGAAAAACGAACTTAGTGGACGCACAGTGACATTTTGAAACAGGAAGTTTTAGAGCTAGTTTCTATCATAGATTTTAGTAAATGCTATTTTGAAAAACATTTTTCCGATGTTTGTTTTGTTTTTCTAGTCTGATAATGCATATTTCACACATTCTGATCTTTAACCAGTGGAAATTAGAGAACTAAACAATATAGTTTGTGTTAATGGAAAGAGCTTGGGATTTGTTCTCAGAAAATTTCAGTTGCAACAGTTTGTTCATATAGGTGGACTTCCAACACAGTAACTATAGGAGTAAGAATAAAAGCTGTGTTTACTTTCACAGAGTTAATTAAGAATACATGAGAAAATGGATGTTAACAACTTTGTAATTAAAATTTAAAGTTACATGCAAAGTTTTAAAGTGAGCATTTTCCAGGAAGAGGTGATTTTCTAAGTTCTTGAATGCCTCTCCCTTTTGTGAGGAGGCTGCGTCGTGGGCTGTTGGTGTCTTTGGCAGAAGGTGAGTCTAGGGTTCCTGTTGTGGGTCCTTTGTTCTCACGAGGACAGTGCCCGTTTTCCCCGTCTCATGCTTGCCCAGACTGTTCCCGTGCGCAGAGAGACTGGCCTGTTTCACCTGCAGCTGTGCTGTTTGAGCTGCAGCTGTGTAGCCTGCACTGGCCCGTCTGCCTGGCACTCACACCGTTTGCTGATCAGCACTTGAAGTGTGTCTATCATAGCTGAGACACTGAATATTTTATGTTTAATTTTTATTAAAATGCAGATTTAAAAACTTGATTCCATTATTAGGTAGCATTTAAGTATGTTTAGAATCACTTGGCCATGTGAGTCTACTTCGTCAACGGTATCTTTTATGAGTCTAAGTGCAGATCAGATATTTTCAATGCAAAT
The DNA here is from genome assembly GCF_000001405.40 of Homo sapiens. Taxonomy (NCBI): domain Eukaryota; kingdom Metazoa; phylum Chordata; class Mammalia; order Primates; family Hominidae; genus Homo; species Homo sapiens. The sequence goes on from NW_021160017.1 coordinate 4,383,027, forward strand.
TTCACTGTCCAAATTGCAATGTACTACATATGTAAGCTACCCTGATGGTTTTTGAGGCCTTATTATAAAATAACCTATATAAAATATCTCAACAATTTTTCTTATATTGATTTCATGTTGAAATGGTAATATTTTCAGTCTGTTGAGAGAAGTATGATACACTATTAAAAATATTTTTATTTTTTGAGATAGAGTCTTGTTCTGTTGCCCAGGCTGGAGTGCAGTGGCACAATCTTGGCTGGACAGCACCCTGGACAGCATCATTTCCCACCTGGCAGGGCAGTCTCCTTACAGGGAAGTCAATGAGGCACTAAAGAAGGCTCAGGGGACAGGGAGGACTTCTGTTGGGAAGAGGCTCCTAGACCCGGTTCTGCCTCCGACTTGCTGGGGGTCCTTGAGAAAGTTACTTCCCCTCTTTGGTCTCAGTTTCCTCAGGTGAGAAATGGGGGGTTGGGTCAAATGGTCTAAGGTTCTGGGAACCTCTAAATCAGAGCCCGTAGCTGGTGGTCAAGATGAGGGAGAGGCCCTCAGGGTCAGCTGAATGCCTGAGATGCAAGACGGGCCCAAAGATGAGCAACCTGAGCACATCAGGTGGGCTCAGAGCTGGCGCATGAGCCCCACAGCCTGCAGAGCAACCCTGGACTTAGAAGCCCGCTTGCACCAGCCCGGTGGGACTTCAGAGATGTGGGGCCCAGCCTCTCCTACTATTGCAGGGCTGAGGGCTGGGAGCCGCAGATTCTGACCCCACAGCTGCCTTAGACATGCCAGATGGGCTGCGGTGAGACACACCCCTCTCTATGAAATGAGCAGTCAGTCCAAATAGATACTCCAAAGAAGGGCTGTGGGAGGGATCTAGCACCACTGCACTAGAGCCTGGGCAACAGAGCGAGACTCCGTCTCAAAAAAAAAAAAAAAAAAAAAAAAAAAAGTTTTCAACTTTCACTAAAGGCAGAGTAGCTTGTTATAGATTAGCTTCCCCACAAGAACAGTTAGAGAAACTGGACAAAAATGTGCCCCCCCATCAAAAGCAATTGTTTGAAGGTAATGGGAGACTTCAGCCAGAACTTGAGTGACCAGGCCTGGGAGGTGATCCTGACAGTCTGTAGTGCTTTCCCACATTTGGTGATTGGTCAACAGTAGAGGGCTAAGAGGCTAAGAAACTGAGTATTATGAAGTGGTAGTTAACAGGCTGGAAAGCCTAGCTGAATGTTTGGCACTCTCACAGGGCTGAATGAGAATTTGGGTCCCAGGAAGGAGATGGGACCTTGGTGGCAACTCTGGAAGGGCCACCCCTAGGAGTCCAAATGAATAAAAAATAGACCAGCCGTCACAAACTAAAACCTGCTTTGAACTAGCTTAGTCCCAAACTAGATGAAGGCAATCTGCTCTTACTCCAATTGTGTGCCATAAAGTCAAAGTCAATACTCTCTGGAGGCACATAAAAGTTTACTAGGAATGCCATAAAACAAAACAAGACTAAATGAGAAAGACCAAGAAGAAAAACAATAGAAACATACATAGATATCAGAGTCCTCAGGTAGAAACTTTTTTTTTTTTTTTTTTTGAGATGGAATCTCGCTCTCATCCAGGCTGGAATGCGGTGGTGTGATCTTGGCTCACTGCAGCCTCCTGAGTAGCTGTGATTACAGGCGTGCACAACCACGCCCGGCTAACTTGTATTTTTAGTAGAGACGGGGTTTCATCATGTTGGCCAGGCTGGTCTTGAACTCCTGACCTCAGGTGATCCACCCCCTCTAGGTCTCCCAAAGTGCTGTGGTTGTAGGTTTCGGCCACAAGGCCTGGCTAGTATTTTACCACAATTTAAAGTAAATTTTCTTTTCTTTTTTTTTTTTTTTTTCAAGTTTGTGCTCAGACTATATTCACACAGTGACATGGCGGCTTATGCTTCTGTAGGCCTTGTTGACAGTGCCAACTTTTAGATATTGATGATCTTCATCTTTCTCTTGTCTCCTCGGTAGAAGAATGGGATGCAGGAGGTACTGCCTAATCCTGGGCACTGCTGGGCGTTCTTCATCCCACAAAACAGCTGCATGATCTCCTGTGCAGTGGGGTTGTCCTGCGGAGAACCCTCCCCAGCCTCTCCTCCTGCAGGCTCCACACTGCCAGTGTGGCTCATATTACAAAGAACTTTGGAGGGAGGGAGGCAGGGCTCTGAGCACCGCTCCTCGTGCTCTGGCAGCCTCTCCTGCATCTTCTCTTTCTGATCTCGTATCCTCTCCTCCTTCTCTCGCATCATCTCCTCCTGCCCCCACATCTTCTCCTCCTGCCCCCACATCTTCTCCTCCTGGCCCCACATCTTCTCCTCCTGGCCCCGCATCTTCTCCTCCTGCTCCCGCATCTTCTCCTCCTGGCCCCGCATCTTCTCCTCCTGCTCCCGCATCTTCTCCTCCTGGCCCTGCATCTTCTCCTCCTGCTCCCGCATCTTCTCCTCCTGCTCCCGCATCTTCTCCTCCTGGCCCCCGCATCTTCTCCTCCTGTCCCCCGCATCTTCTCCTCCTGCCCCCCGCATCTTCTCCTCCTGCCCCCCGCATCTTCTCCTCCTGCCCCCGCATCTTCTCCTCCTGGCCCCGCATCTTCTCCTCCTGCCCCCGCATCTTCTCCTCCTGCCCCCCGCATCTTCTCCTCCTGGCCCCACATCTTCTCCTCCTGCCCCCACATCTTCTCCTCCTGGCCCCACATCTTCTCCTCCTGCCCCCACATCTTCTCCTCCTGCCCCCACATCTTCTCCTCCTGCCCCCGCATCTTCTCCTCCTGCCCCCGCATCTTCTCCTCCTGGCCCCGCATCTTCTCCTCCTGGTCCCGCATCTTCTCCTCCTGCTCCCATATCTTCTCCTGCTCCTGCATCTTCTCGTGTTCCCACAGCTTCTCCTTCTGTTCCGGTAGCCTCTGCTGCTCCCACATCTTCTCTTCCTGCTCCCACATCTTCTCCTCCTGCTCCCACATCTCCTCCTCCTGCTCCTGCATCTTTTCTTCCTGCTCCTGCATCTTCTCCTCCTGCTCCCGCATCATCTCCTCCTCCTCCCGCATCTTCTTCTCCCGCTCCCGCATGCTCTCCTCCTCTCGCATCTTCTCCTGGTCCCATGTCTTCTTCTCCTGCTCCTGCGTCTTCTTCTCCTCCCGCATCTTCTCCACCTGCTGCCACATCTTCTGCTCCCGCATTCTCTCCTCCTTCTCCCGCAGCCTCTCGTCCTGCTCCCACATCCTCTCCTTCTGGTCCCACATCTTCTGCTCCTGATCCCGCATCTTCTCCTCCTGCTTCCGCATCTTCTCCTCCTGCTCCCACATCTGCTTCTCCTGCTCCTGCAGCCTCTCCTCCTGTCTCCACATCTTCCTGCTCCCGCATCTTCTCCTCCTGCCCCCACATCTTCTCCTCCTGCCCCCACATCTTCTCCTCCTGGCCCCACATCTTCTCCTCCTGGTCCCGCATCTTCTCCTGCTCCCATATCTTCTCCTCCTGCTCCTGCATCTTCTCCTGCTCTTGCATCTTCTCGTGTTCCCACAGCTTCTCCTTCTGTTCCGGCAGCCTCTGCTGCTCCCACATCTTCTCTTCCTGCTCCCACATCTTCTCCTCCTGCTCCCACATCTTCTCCTCCTGCTCCTGCATCTTCTCTTCCTGCTCCCACATCTTCTCCTCCTGCTCCTGCATCTTCTCTTCCTGCTCCTGCATCTTCTCCTCCTGCTCCCGCATCATCTCCTCCTCCTCCCGCATCTTCTTCTCCCGCTCCCGCATCCTCTCCTCCTCTCGCATCTTCTCCTCCTGGTCCCATGTCTTCTTCTCCTGCTCCTGCGTCTTCTTCTCCTCCCGCATCTTCTCCACCTGCTGCCACATCTTCTTCTGCTCCCGCATTCTCTCCTCCTTCTCCCGCAGCCTCTCGTCCTGCTCCCACATCCTCTCCTCCTGGTCCCACATCTTCTGCTCCTGATCCCGCATCTTCTCCTCCTGCTCCCACATCTGCTTCTCCTGCTCCTGCAGCCTCTCCTCCTGTCTCCACATCTTCCTGCTCCCGCATCTTCTCCTGCCGCCACATCTTCTTCTCCTGCCCCCACATCTCCTCCTGGTCCCGTATCTTCTCCTCCTGCTCCCATATCTTCTCCTCCTGCTCCTGCATCTTCTCCTGTTCCCACAGCTTCTCCTTCTGTTCCGGCAGCCTCTGCTGCTGCCACTCCTTCTCTTCCTGCTCCCACATATTCTCCTCCTGCTTCTGCATCTTCTCCTCCTGCTCCCGCATCGTCTCCTCCTCTTCCCGCATCTTCTTCTCCCGCTCCCGTATCCTCTCCTCCTCTTGCATCTTCTCCTCCTGGTCCCGCGTCTTCTTCTCCTGCTCCTGCATCTTCTTCTCCTCCCGCATCTTCTCCACCTGCTCCCACATCTTCTCCTGCTCCCGCATCCTCTCCTCCTTCTCCCGTAGCCTCTCGTCCTGCTCCCACATCCTCTCCTCTTGGTCCCGCATCTTCTGCTCCTGCTCCCGCATCTGCTTCTCCTGCTCCCACAGCCTCTCCTCCTGTCTCCACATCTTCTCTTCCTGCTCCCGCATCTTCTCCTCCTGCTCCCACATCTTCTCCTCCTGCTCCTGCATCTGCTCCTCCTGCTCCCGCAGCTCCTTCTGCTCCCGCAGCTCCTTCTCCTGCTCCCGCAGCTCCTTCTCCTGCTCTCGCAGCCTCTTCTCCTGTCTCCACATCTTCTCCTCCTGCTCCCGCATCTTCCCCTCCTGCTCCCGCAGTCTCTCCTCCTGTCTCCACATCTTCTCCTCCTGCTTCCGTATCTTCTTTTCCTGCTCCCGTAGCTCCTCCTCCTGCCTCCACATCTCCTCCTGCAAAGTGTTGGTTTGAACCTCAAAAGGAAATAGACTTATGAACTAGCTATATAAATGTAATCTATAAAATAACAGTTTTCATCTATGATTCTTTAAAAAAAAATTTTAAGCCCTAACACTGAGGTTCTGATTTCCCAGGCAGGGCCCCAAATTTGTAGATTTTTAGCACACTCTAGAGGATTCTATGGTGGGACCAGAACAAGGACCCAAATTTTCCAGCTCTTGGCTGGACCCTCCCCATACCTTGCATGATCCCTAGACCATGGTCCCAGCTGGATGGGTCTCCCACAACCCCTGGGGCTGCAGCCGCTCACCTGTGGCAGCAGGAACTTGGCCCTCTCCAGTTTCCTTTTTAGCTCCTTCACGTTGAGCTGGATCTCAGACTTTTCAGATTCTGCAAGTGGAAGTTTTTCTTGTAGTTCGGCATTTTTCTTCTTCAGCTCCTCATTGGTTATGCTATGGCCCGAGGCAGTAGAGAAAGGAATGAACGAAGAACAGAAAGGACTGCTTTGGTGATCAACCCTCTACTCTCGCCCCACAAGCACAGAACCGTGGCACTGGAAGGGACCCCAGGAATTAAAAGTCCCAGGTGGCAGGCCAGAGAGAAGACATGAGTTGCCTGAGGCTAACCCATGAGTCAGTGGCACAGCCGGCACTAGAGCTTCCCTGTGCACACATGTAAACCTGTATGACCCCCTACCATGCTCACCTGTACCCCCCACCTCCCAGCACACCACCCACGCTAAGGGCCCCCAGACCTCCCATCCCACCTTCCCCCATCCTACGTGTTCCTGTACAGTTCCAGACTCAGGGCGTCCCTCTCCTTTGTTAACTCCTCGATGTACTGCAAATAGAGAAAGGTTAAGTCAGGACAGAGCAGGCAGAAGAGCAGCTGGCCGACCAGGAACAACAGCTACACTGATACTCCACAGTAACACTCCCTCACTCTCCATCACACCCGACATGTTCTCAAGGCAATTCCAAGCCCATGGTCTCATTTGTTTTTCTTTTTTTTTTCTCCTTTTCTTCTTTTAGAGATGGAGTTTTGCTCTTGTTGCCCAGGCTGGAGTGCAATGGCGCAATCTCGCCCCATGACAACCTCCGCCTCCCGGGTTCAAGCAATTCTGCCTCAGCCTCCTAAGTAGCTGGGATTACAGGCGTGCGCTACCACACCTGGCTCTCACTTGTTTTTCAAAGAACTCAGTAAGGGTAGAAGGGACAGGGAAAGAGGTTGAATTGATAGCTGGCTAACAGGGGCCCAGAGCGATCAGATAATATTGTTATTGTTATTACTGTTATTACTACCACTGTTGGAACCTTTCTTGAGTGCTTCACCAGGCACTATGTTAACAATCCCATTTAATCCTCACAACCTCCATAGGAGACGGTTACCATTATTACCTCTATTGTATAGATGCAAAACATGGGGTATTAAAAGTTAAATGGTTGCCTAAGATCACTTTGACAGAGCTGGGATTTCAACACCCAGGTGTATCTGATTCTCTAAGCCCATTCTTTCCCTGGGGGTAGGGGCACAGATAAGAAGGAGGAAATTAATCCTTTGTTGACTTTTTGAAAGAATGATACATTGGCATAGTCCAAAACTCAGAAGGTAGAGAAGGGAAATATCTACCCCACACACACTGTTCCTGTCTCCTGAGTTTTTTATGAATCCTTACAAATATGTTTTTATGTATGTTACCATAATACGTACACACACACACACACACACACGCACACGCACACTTATGTGTGTTCCCTCTCTCTACACAAATGGTAACATACTAAAGATACTCTTCTGTACCTTCATGGTACAAATACCTTAACCCCTGCCTAGGACTTGGTCAAGGCCACAGCCAAGTATGGGCAGGGCAGGCTCTTGGCCTTGGAGCTCTGTGTCCAGTGCTCGCTCCCCACAGTGCCCCCCAACTCACCCACAGCAGCTGACTCAGCCCCAACCTGCCTCTAATAACCACACACAAAAGCAGCAAGAAATGACCCATACTATCTTCTGGGCAGGACACTGCATCCTGCAGGAGGGACCTTTAGGCTCATTCCTCCATCTGCGAAGCTGGGATCCCAGGAGACTGGGGAGGTGATTGGACTTACCCTGTCTGCCTTCTTGTGCCGTGTGGACACAGCAGAGAGAGCCCGCTGTAACTCTCCTGCAAAGTGCCAGGAATGATGCAAGCGGCCGGCGAGATCCTTGGACTCTCCTGGAATGAGAGAGGTTGAGACACAGCCCAAAGGACTCCCCCTAAAGGCCTGTGAAAGTGCCAGGTTGAAGGATGATGGGGTGCCCAGGTTCCCATCTTCAAATTTCCTGGCAGCATCCTGGCTGTAATAGAGCGCTGTCTCCAGTTCAGTTTTCTGACACGTGAGAATTCGTATTGTATGATCCTGGGCCTTTGGGAGAAAAGACAAGCAAGTGCTGAAAGAGAAGCAAAAAAACCTTCTCCAGAGGACAGGAGGGAACTTCACACCCTCCACTCACCTCTATCTCCCGCCTTAGGGCTTCCTGATGTTGGTGGCTTGCCTTCTTTTCCTATAGAAAGAGGAAGACAGAGCTCTTACTAGGGGGAGGCAGAGATCCACAGCAAGAGACATGCCCCCAGAATGGCACCAATGCCCCAGGACAGGCGCACCCATGGGACCAGGTTATCAGGGACCCTGTGGGGATGGGGTGGAATCTTGGGGGTGAGCCTTCTTCCCCAAGCTGGGAGTAGGCGAGATGAGACGGGCCTCTACATCTGAGTGCCCTCCAAACCCAGCAGTCATGTCGTGAGCAAACAAATCACGTTACTTCTTTCAGCTGCGCTCGGTTCTGTTGTGTCTGTGGGGAGAGTCAAAGGAAGGTGACTGAGGGTGGCCCCCTGGACTCTATTCCCCAGGCCAGGAAGCGGTACGCAGGGGTCAGGAATGGATTTTAAAGGGCAACGTTCTCAGACCCAATGGGAACATGAAGTGGTAAACTCTCAACTCCCAAAGAAGAGATTTGGGTCTTTGTTGGTTTTTGCCCTCAGCCACGGAACTGAAAGTCTGAAACTAGATTATCTCAAAAAGACAGTAACATAAACCTTCAGAGATGGAGTGTGAGAAAAGCCCACCCTTCTGCTAGCTTGTGATTTAGAAAGGTGCATTCATTCAACAAGCATTGAGCAAGCACATAGGGGCCGGGGACGGTTCTTCACTGCTGGGATATAGGACGGAAAAGGCAGACAGGAGCCCTTGGCCCCAAGGTTTCCATTCTAGTGAATCTTTAAATCTCAGACTCTCAGAGCAAACAGAACCTCTGATACTCTAACTCTACCTCCTCAGGAAACGGAAGCCCAAAGAGGAGGGGAGCTTACAGCAGGCCCGGGACTAGGGATTAACACAAAAACAACAACAACAAATCTGATTTAAGCTTCACACATGTAAGTAAAACATTACCATCCCCATTTTACAGGTGTGAAAAGAGAGGCCCAAAGAACTCGAGCAATTTTCCCTAAACCGTGTCCCTAGTAGTTGGAGAGGTAGGACTCAAACCCAGAATTCTTAACCAGTACCCGGCAGTTCTTCCTTCCACAATCTTAACAGTTACCCTCGACCTCCCCTTGTGCTGTGCCCCTTGTCCTCAGGAGACCGGCCAGCCAAGACTCACATCCTCAGGCGAGTGGCAGCCCCCCGAAGTGGTTGTCTCAGGGTTAGTGCCATGATTTATTTTCTTCTTTTTGGTGTCAGTTGCTCCGGTACCAACACCAGCAATGTTCCACTGACGATAGTCTGTAAACTGTGGAAAAGAGGAGCAGTGATACTCATGAGAACTACAAGCTCCTACAGTCACTTTACAGTTTATACAAAATACTCTCATAGACGATCTGATTTAATGCCACCAACGACTGTACGAGGTGTTGTCGCAATCACTTAGTGACTGAGAGGGATTGATACCATGGCTAAAAAAAAGGCAATAATGGAACTTAAACTCAGTCTTCTGATTCTGAGCTCTGGGGTTTTGCCACAAATCGCAGCTGCCAGGGGCCAAAACCAGAGGCAGAGGTAGAAAAGTAAAAAGTAGACAGGAAAGTGTACACTGTTTCGTTTAGAGTCGTACATCCTCACACATCTGTTAGTGTGAAGAAGTGCACCACTACCTCTCAGACTTTTACATCAATGTATCCTCAGGGCAGAAGGCAGCTTTTCTGTTAAATCTGGGAATTTAACAGAAAGAGGACAACCCAAGATTCATTTCAGTGAGAAGTCTGGTATACTTTTAGAAATCCGTGTGACTGTCATCCGTAAGAACATTAATGTTTTGTCTCTCTCAAGAGAATCAAGGGAAACTGATGCTTCAGAAAGATGCCCCATATGTATCCTGTGGCACTCAAAGTACCCCAGGTTGAGATGCGATGAGGAAGATTCAAGTTGTCAAGTTCAGTTTCCCAAGATCTATTCCACAGAAGATGAGCAAATCTCACTTCAGAGATCACTGACTGATGGGCAATCTGGTCCCAGAACCATGGAGAATTCAAATATGAGGTGGAGAACTTAGAGAAAACTGTTAGTCTCTCTGGAGAGTAGAAGCCTGGGAGAAAACCAAACCAAACCCGTTCTCCCATTTCCACCAAGAGACAATGTCAACATTTTGAGTTCACAGGGGGAGGTGTAGGCTTTTCAAACTGTCAATGTCTGTGTTAAGGGAGTAAGGCAGCCTGAAACTTCTCGCTGCTAGGTCACATGGTCCCTACTCCCCTTCCAGCTGGAAATCTGTGATGCAACCAGAGGAAGCAGAAACAGGGTGAGAACACTTAGGGGACGGGTCCTAAGATCAAAGGCCAGTCTTGCAGCAGTAATGACAGTTCCTAGAGGGACTGTGACACCACTACATTTCACTCCTCTGTGGGGTGGTGGAGGGCCAGGGACACATCAGTGCTATGCCCAAGTTGCCTCTTTGAGGTTGGGGAGGGGTTCGCAGGGTTGGGACCCAGGTCCTTGGAGACGTGAGCCCAAAGAGCCCAGGGAGGTAGGGCTTGGGGCGACGGGAGGTGAGGGCCAAGTATGGAGCGGGGAGCCCCAGGAGTCACCTGCCCAAAGTCACCCTGGGGCGACTGGTGAGGGCAGGTGCTGGGACACACAGGTCCTTGGAGACACAATCCCAAAGGGCCCAGGGAGGTCAGTTTTGGGGTAATAGGAGGTGAGGGCGGAGTACGGAGTGGAGAGCCCCAGGGTTCACCGGCTCAGTCACCCTGGGGTCACTGGCAAGGGCCGGGGCAGGACTGCTGAGGGGGTGGGGCTGGCTGAGAAGATTTTGATTGGGGGAGCCCAGCGGCACTGGGGGGGACCCAGCCCAGTGTGCCTCTGGAATGGCATGGACTCTGGCAGATGTTCTGCCATGGGAGGGGGCCTGGGGCTGGGTTGGGGTTGGGGTGCCGCAACCCAGTGAGTTTTACCTTTTTCTTGGCCTCAGCCAATTTGTTCTGTCTGGTTTTTTCTGACATCATGGGGTGGGGAGGGAGGTGGGGTTGGGGCCACATCAGCGTGATTCAGACGAGGACAAGGATACACCTCCAGTCACGTACCACGCAGCTATGTGACTGAGCCAGAGGAGGTGTAACCAGGGCTGCACTAGAATGCAGAATAGGGGCGTGGCCTTAATGCTTCAAGCCCATTGGTCAGTGAGAAAGATGAAAGGGAAAGGAGGCGGGGCCAGGCAGCCACGTGTCATGAAGGACCTGTGATGTCACAAGGAAAGCCGCCCATGCAACTGCTGTCCCCGCCCACTCCAGGAGAGGGGCGGGGCTGGCTTTCACTTTAAAAACTTTAAACCTTTATCACCTTAATTGAGATACAAATCCTATTAAAATGGAAAATTTACAGCATGCTTGATGATTAATAAAGCAGACTATATTATCCAACATTCCAGTAAGATAATCACAGTGATTTCTCTTTTTTGGAAAAAGTTTCTCTTATTCTCCTACATTATTGTTAAGTTTTTTTGAAAAAAAAAACAAGAAACATGTCTGATATCTTTAAAAACACAAAGCTTTTGAGCTGGGTGCAGTGGCTCATGCCTGTAATCCCAGCATTTTGGGAGGCTGAGGCGGGTGGATCACCTGAGGTCAGGAGTTCAAGACCAAAATTTTAGTATGTATTTTAGTATTTATTTTAGTATTTAATGCATCATTTAGGGCTACATGTAGTCACAGAAAAAATAAATCTGATTCAGTGACTTAAAGAAATATAGATTTCATGGCCGGGCGCGGTGGCTCATGCCTATAATCCCAGCACTTTGGGAGGCCGAGGCGGACGGATCACGAGGCCAGGAGTTCAAGACCAGCCTGGCCAATATGGTGAAACCCCATCTCTACTAAAAATACAAAAATTAGCTGGGCATGGTGGCGTGCATCTGTAGTCCCAGCTACTCTGGAGGCTGAGGCAGAAGAATCGCTTGAACCCAGGAGGCAGAGGTTGCAGTGAGCCGAGATCATGCCACTGCACTCCAGCCTGGGTGGCAGAGCGAGACTCTGTCTCAAAAAAAAAAAAAAGAAATATAGATTTCATTTTTGTCACTTAAAACGTGCAGAGGAAGGCAGTCCAGGGTTCTTTTCCGTTTCCTGATACTTCCTTAGCCATGTTTTTATTTTTGTGGTTACAATGTGGCTGTTGTTTTTCCAGGCCTTGGATTGCCTTCCAGGGAGGGAAAGAGGAAAGGTCAAAAGGCTGAGTCTGTCTCTTTTTAGCTGAAAAACATAGATTTCTCAAAAGTTTTAAGATTATACTGATATTCAATTTTCATCTGTTTTTTTGTTTTGTTTTGTTTTTTTGAAACGCAGTCTTGCTCTGTTGCCAGGCTGGAGTGCAGTGGCACGATCTCGGCTCACTGTAACAACCTCCTCCTCCACGGTTCAAGCAATTCTCCTGCCTCAGCCTCCCGAGTAGCTGGGACTACAGGCATGTGCCACCACGCCTGGCTCATTTATTGTACTTTTAGTAGAGACAGGGTTTCACCATGTTGGCCAGGATGTTCTCGAACTCCAGACCTCGTGATCTGCCTGCCTCTGCCTCCCAAAGTGCTGGGATTAGAGGTATGAGCCACTGCATCTGGCCTGCAGTTTTCATCTTTTGGCTGCAAATAAGTTGTGTCATTATTCTCAGCTATGGGAGTGTTTAACTGGGCATGTTGCTTCCTCTCTGTTAGATAGGTTTTAGGATTTATGAATAGGTACTGAATTTTATCAATTGCTTTCTTCTTTCTTGATTGAGCATTTTTTTCTTATCTTTTTATGTTGATAAGGTAACTTAGTGATTGGCTTTTGAATGTCTAACCTTGCATTTCTGGAATTAAATCAACTTTGTTGTGATATATGATTAATACCATTTTATATGTGGTTGAGATGGGCTTGCTCATAGTTCATTTGGTAATTTTATACTTAACGTTCACAAGAGGAAGTGGAGTCTCAGTTTTTTTCCTGGTGATGTCTTGTTAGGTTTTTTTTTTTTTCTTTTTTGTGAAGAAGTCTTGCTCTGTTGCCCAGGCTGGAGTGCAGTGGCGCGATCTGGGCTCACTGCAAGCTCCACCTTCCAGGTTCACGCCATTCTCCTGCCTCAGCCTCCCGAGTAGCTGGGACTACAGGCGCCCGCCACCACGCCTGGCTAATTTATTATAGTTTTTAGTAGAGACGGGGTTTCACCATGTTAGACAGGATGGTCTCGATCTCCTGACCTCGTGATCCACCTGCCTCGGCCTCCCAAAGTGCTGGGATTACAGGCGTGAGCCACTGTGTCTGACCTATAACCAATTTTATAAAGACTCGAATATCTCTCCCCTAGTTAAGCATATAACTCTATTATAATGCTACTTCCAAAGGAAAACCCAATTAAACTTAAGAAAACCACTTCCATTTAATTAAAATGCCTTTTCCAGAAATTCAACCTGCTGTAAATATGAGGTTCTCTTATAAACTACAAAATCTTTCCTTTCTTATTTTAACTATCATGTATACATATATATGTAACATACATACATGTGTGTGCTTCTATATTCTATATATATGAGCCTGATGACTCGTGACTGTCCCTGCACATCTGGCCTTCCATCTGCAACAGGGACAGTGGCAGATTCAATGCTTAGCTAATTTTTCCTTGAACAGACTCCATTACTCACTCGTATATTTCACTGACTCTGAAAGAACCAAGCAAATGATCTGATGGTTTTGGTAATTAAAAAACTTCCTGCCAGCATGCATTTTCAGCAACTGTCAAAGGTATTCCAGGGTGATAAATTGCTCCTGCAAGGGCCTGATCAATTTATTTCTCTTGATCATCAGGTTCAAGGGACTTCTTGTCTATAAAACAATGTCCCTACGAATATTTTGATGCAGCTGCTAGCAGTATCCTTGGAAGGCTGACTGGGTACGCATTCCTTCATAACAGTAAGTCTCAGGCTGAAAAAGGACTCATAACTTTCTCTCAACTCCAAAATATGTAAAGTTGTTCTTAATCACCGGTTCGGAACCCTTTGAAGAAGTAGAGCAAGAAGCGTCTTGTTTCTAATCTCTGCAAAAGAAATAGATGCTACTTCTAGTACTCTCTCCGTTCTTAGTCATTTGAGGTGCACAAAGGAGCTAGGGAATATTGGTTGGTGATATTCACCAAGCAATATTTCAGAAGTCAACATGAGGAAACCCGTATGTCAAAACTGATTTGTCGAATACTTCTCTCTTTTCTTTTTTTTTTTTTTTTTGAGACGGAGTCTCGCTCTGTCGCCCAGGCTGGAGTGCAGTGGCGGGATCTCGGCTCACTGCAAGCTCCGCCTCCCGGTCTTTTCTTTTTTTTGAGACGGAGTCTCGTGCTGTCACCCAGGCTGGAGTGCGGTGGTGTGATCTCGGCTCACTGCAAGCTCCACCTCCCGGGTTCATGCCATTCTCCTGCCTCAGCCTCCCAAGTAGCTGGGACTACAGGCGCTCGCCACCACACCGGGCTAATTTTTTGTATTTTTAGTAGAGACGGGGTTTCACCGTGTTAGCCAGGATGGTCTCGATCTCCTGACCTCGTGATCCGCCCGCTTTGGCCTCCCAAAGTGCTGGGATTACAGGCGTGAGCCACCGCGCCTGGCCTATTAATTTTCTTATTTAGTATAAAGAGGTGAAAAGTAGGAGGCTGAGGCAGGAGAATGGCGTGAACCCGGGAGGCGGAGCTTGCAGTGAGTCGAGATCGCGCCACTGCACTCCAGCCTGGGCGACAGAGCGAAACTCCGTCTCAAAAAAAAAAAAAAAAAAAAAAAAAAAAAAAAAGAGGTGAAAAGTAGATCCTATTTACTGTAAAAATATAGTAACTCATCATTTAAAAAAATCATTGTATCACCCATGATCATCTCATTGATTCTGAGATATTAAGATGAGTGTAAGAGACAAGAATTAGAAATAATTTCTTTTCTTTTTGAGTTGAACATTTTGTACTGCACATCACTCTACCTATTCCAATGCAGCAAATTAGGAAAGTCAAATTAGAAAGGCATCCTTCATTTTAAGCTAGATATCTTTGTATTTGATCTTTATCTCCATTGCTGTGTTGATTAGAGAGGTCTGAAATATCTTGTTCTTTATTTCTATAATAACAAGGATATATTCAGTGAATAAATAATAATGAGGATATATTCATTGAATTTATTCATTATGATAATATGTCTACTTATGTCAGAGAGAAATTGTCAAAATATCTGGTGGAAGGAAGGAGAATCTTAGCTGTTTGTCCTTGTCTGCTCCTTGCTTGGAACTTGATTGTAAAGGTAGAGCTCTCTGTCATTTACCAATAAGCCACACCCCTATCTTTACAAACTATCCTGTCAGTAGATGTTATTGCCACACAGAAGACCTGGAAAGATGTGGAAAAATTTATCCTCGTTTCCTACTATTTTCTGAAAAACAACTAATACTTAGGCTGAGGTTGCGGGGGTCAGGCCTTCATATGTGAAAGCAATCTACTAAAATATAAAGTCTGGGGAAACCTCAGACAGTACAGGGTTCAGTTTTGAAATCCGGTCACTGGCTATGAAAGCATGCTTTTCTTTTAAATACATCAAATCTTCTGTTAGAGTTTATCACGATTAGACAGTGTAATGTTTTCAACTTTTTAATGGTAATTTTCAACACTAATTTTTAAATTAGTTAATCTTAATTATAAGAGATACAGTACACTAACTTGAATCTTTTTATGAACTCTGTAGACAAAAATCCCCAAATGTCTGTGATAAAATCCATACTCAGGTATTCTTATGTGGTAGAAATATTTCTCTTCCAATTTTTTGCCATGCTATGTCATGCTTCTCCCACAAGGACAATGGTTGCCCTGTGTGGGATTATTAAAGACCAGCAGCGTTCATAGACTTGGGCAGGACATGGTGTAAAACTAAACAATTAGAATATATCATCTAGGTTATTTTAGTCATCTGTGCTGTAATCTGTCTTTGTCCTAAAATCTAATAATTCTGAAGAAAAGCAAATAAAGATGACTCTTTCCAGAGTTATGAATACTGTTAAATACCTTTCAGCTTGCAAAACACTTGCATGTATATTTGTATGTATATAAGTGACATCTATCTGAAATTGTATTTGTGCCTTATGAGAACTCCATGAAGAAGGTATTATTTGAGATGGGTATTTTTTAATTTATTTTATTTTATTTTATTTTTTGAGATGGAGTCTCGCTCTGTCACCCAGGCTGGAGTGCAGTGGCGCAATCTCAGCTCACTGCAAGCTCCACCTCCCAGGTTCACGCCATTCTCCTGCCTCAGCCTCCCGAGTAGCTGGGACTACAGGCGCCCGCCACCACGCCTGGCTAATTTTTTGTATTTTTAGTAGAGACGGGGTTTCACCGCGTTAGCCAGGATGGTCTTGATCTCCTGACCTCGTGATCCGCCCGTCTCGGCCTCCCAAAGTCCTGGGATTACAGGCGTGAGCCACCGCGCCCGGCTGAGATGGGTATTATTAAGAAATTAAGATGTGGATTACCAGGGTAAGTCATATTTCAATGTGCAACCTCTGCAAGTCCACAGGGTGTGATATGGACATTAAGGAGATCTATGGACGAATAGCGTATGATACCTTGACAAGTTGACAAAATGTAAAATAGTTGAATGGCCATAGAAAAAAACCAGCTTTTTAGCCCCATAGGCCGAGGGATTCAGGAGGGCTGGCTACGGGCATTTTGGAATAGAAGATGTTGTACCAACAAATCAAGCTTAGGTTCCTGGCAATTTGCCCACATATAATATGTGAAAGTTCAGATGTGAAATAAATCTGCGGCTAATAGTAAGAACCTAGCCACAGGAGTTAAAACTTACGGTTCTGGGACCAGATGGACTGCCTTCTAATCTTAGTCTTACTACATTTTAGCAGTAAAACCTTCAGCAAGTTATTTAGCCTCCAGCATCTCAGTTTTCTCATCTGTAAAATGGTGATAATGCTACTCTTACATTGGGTTGTAGTAGGATAAAAGGAGAAAACGTATGTAAAGGATTTAGTAGAAACTTATTAAAATTAAACAATTATTATTTCTCAATTCTAAGATTCTAACCTGCAAAAGGCATAAGGCAGCTGCTGAGAACAGGGTGAGAAGATAGGGATTCGGTCAGGAAAAGTCTTGTTTCCCTGTTGCTGTTGGTGGTTTTGTTTGCTCATTTGTGTGTTTTTTTTATTAATCATTTTCACTTGTGTTTATTGACAAGCTTAATCAATAATGCCATTGACATTTAGTAAAAGTAAATTTCCTTAAGTGATCTCCCAGGTAGCAATGTTTATTCATTATGTGTGGAGTAGAGATAGGAATTATTTTATTGCTGCAAATATTTTATTATTGGTTTTTCAAGTTTTAAAAGTAATTTTAATTTTTTAATTTTTGTGAGTATATAGTAAGTGCACATATTTATGGGGTACATGAGATATTTTGATACAGGCATATGATGTGTAATAATCACATCAGGGTAAACAGGGTAAGCATCACCTCAAGCATTTGTCCTTTTTTGTATTACAAAGAATCTAATTATACTCTTTTAGTTATTTTTAAATGTACAATAAATTATTGTTGACTATAGTTTTGCCACTGCAAACAATAGAAGGCTTCCTGATACAGCCTCCTAGTCATTGGAGTTCTATGGCAGAATTCCTAAAGTTTTTAAGTTTCATGAGATGGCTAAATTTTGGTAAACATGATACTTTCTTTGAACAGATGCTACAGAGGCCAATATAAAGGAGTGTAACAGAGTGACACCTGTGATCAGTATCTCTCCAACTACAAAGAGTGTCCCTTAAATTTCTTCTGTGTGGCTCCTCTTTTTTTTTTTTTTTTTTTTTTTTTTTTGAGACGAAGTCTCGCTCTGTCGCCCAGGCTGGAGTGCAGTGGCGCGAACTTGGCTCGCTGCAAGCTCCGCCTCCCGGGTTCACTCCATTCTCCTGCCTCAGCCTCTCAAGTAGCTGGGACTACAGGTGCCTGCCACCACTCCCGGCTAATTTTTTTTTGCATTTTTAGTAGAGATGGGGTTTCACTGTGTTAGCCAGGATGGTCTCCATCTCCTGACCTCATGATCCAGCCGCCTTGGCCTCCCAAAGTGCTCGGATTACAGGCGTGAGCCACCGCGCTCGGCCTGTGTGGCTCCTCTTATGTAATACTCTGCTTGGTCCATATAAGCAGAGGTCAGAACTGGCTAAGAATTTCTTTATGTGTGTTTATCCTGATGTTTTCCTACTGTCACTTTTCTTTTCTTATGGATTAGCATTGAGGGAATGGTCAGATGGTGCCTGCGTGAGTCTGATTGAAACATTTTAGCGGCGGGGTGCGGGGGTTGATGGCATGTGCAATAGTTTAGGATATTTGAGTTAGTGGCAGAATGTAGACATGAGGGTGAGTAGAGAGTGCGTAGCAGAGCAGGCAATTCAGGAATCTATGTTGGTTGTTTAATTACTTTTGTTTTGTGGACATTTTATTCTACCTGAAAAGATTATCTAGGAACTACAGAAATTAATGACGTGTAGTGGAAACTTTGCACAGTGTAAGTGTTATCCATTTACTTCTCTTAGTTTCCAATACAATGACTCTCCTGGTAGCTGTCATACATGATAAATATAATTTCGTTAATAAAATTATATTTTATATAATTGCGTACTTTAAACAAGTGATCAATATAACTCAGTTATAAATGTACAGTAACAAAGATCAATGGATAATAAATACTTCTGCGTTCATTTTCATGGATACATTCTATTTTTGTTTGTCTCACAAGCAGTAATCAGACTATGAATCATGATATAGCTCCATAAACACTTACTTTATAGCAATTCACTGATATATGCTCCACCAAAAAAAATTAAGAGACGGATACAAGCAATTTAAAGCTTCTGTGTGTGTGTGCATGCAACCGATGTGTATGGCTTTTTTTTTTTTTTTTTTTTTTGACACAGAGTGTCGCTCTGTCGCCCAGGCTGGAGTGCAGTGGCGTGATCTCCGCTCACTGCAAGCTCCGCCTGCCTGGTTCACGCCATTCTCCTGCCTTAGCCTCCCAAGTAGCTGGGACTTCAGGCGCCTGACACCACGCCTGGCTAATTTTTTGTATTTTTAGTAGAGACGGGGTTTCACCGTGTTATCCAGGATGGTCTCCATCTCCTGACCTCGTGATCCACCTGCCTCCGCCTCCCAAAGTGCTGGGATTACAGGCTTGAGCCACCTCGCCCGGCCATGTATGGCTTTTCATGTGTATGCCTGAGTGTTTAGGTTCATAGGTATGGTTTTAGGCAGAGTTTTGCTCATAATATGTGCAACTGCCACATGCCCATTTTAATATTAGCCTTCAAATAAATAAAGATTGCTTTGAATGAAACCCTATAATGAAAACTTAACAATTACGCTCACAGCTGACAGCTGTCACTGAATGTGGTGCATAAAGGTCCTCAAGCATTCGGCTGGGTGCGGTGGCTCACATCTCTAAACCCAGCACATTGGGAGGCCGAGGCGGGCGGATCACGAGGTCAGGAGATCGAGACCATCCTGGCTAACACGGTGAAACCCCGTCTCTACTAAAAATACAAAAAATTAGCCGGTTGTGGTGGCAGGCGCCTGTAGTCCTAGCTACTCTGGAGGCTGAGGCAGGAGAATGGGGTGAACCCGGGAGGCGGAGCCTGCAGTGAGCCGAGATCGCGCCACTGAACTCCAGCCTGGGGGACAGAGCGGGACTCCGTCTCAAAAAAACAAACAAGCAAAAAAGGTCCTCAAGCATTCAGTGCTCTTTTCACCATGTGTTTGAGCTGAGCAGAGTTCATGTAGGCCTTACCTTTCTTTATGTCTATGGTGAAGCTGTGGGTTTAAAAACACTCTGGCAAAGAGTAAGTCCTCAAAGTTGCAGGCCATCCTATGGAGAGGCTCATGAGGAATAGCTGGCTTGACCCCCACTGTTGTGGTTTTCTCTGCTTTAAAATTATTACTTTTGATACATGAAAACCATAATTTCTCCCTGTTTATAAAAAATAACTATAGCTGGAATATGTAAAATCTATCAAAATGATGCATTTAAAAACTAGTTTTGGCTAACTGATGTAATTAGATTTTCAGGCTTTTCCAGATCCCGCTAAGTGAGGATGTAATGTGAACTAATAAAAATAAAGCCTGAGAAGCTTAATGGCATATGGCATATGGCAGGTCATTTTCATTGAAGAAAAAAAGGATGTTTTTACAGCATGTAAGAAAATGAAAGAAATCTGTTCGAAAAAATGGGCATTGGATCAGAAATTCAAGTTAAAATAATTTAAATCCAGATAATACAGGAATGCCTTCAAAGTTTAAAACCTGGGTTTAGGATTCTACATAGTCCCTGGTCCCTAATTTTCCTTGCTCTTCACCGCATTATATGCTTAAATACAGCTGCCACAAAGTATCAATTAAATTGCAATCCCATATAAAGCCCCAGAAAACCTTGATATATAGGGAAGTGAAGCTGGGGAAGCAGTTAAGGGTGGGATTGATGATTGATGAATTGAGAATACTGCAGTCAACAGGCTGGACGTATAGGATGTGGTATATCAAAGAGTGGGTGTTTAAAACACAACTGTTAGAGTTCATGAAATTATTGGAGATGGCACCGTTAATGTGTTAGGCTGAGTTTTGCAGTGGGAAAAAGTACCAGTGGAAGGTAGCTCCTATGTAAATCTCTAAATGCTACAAAT
The DNA here is from genome assembly GCF_000001405.40 of Homo sapiens. Taxonomy (NCBI): domain Eukaryota; kingdom Metazoa; phylum Chordata; class Mammalia; order Primates; family Hominidae; genus Homo; species Homo sapiens. The sequence continues at coordinate 4,403,050 of NW_021160017.1, forward strand.
GAAAGCTTCTCTGGGCCTATTCACCAGCACACCACTGCGTATATCTGAGAAGATGCTGGGGTTTGTGGGAGCTGTCTTCACTCTCAGTATCTTTGGATTATCCTTGGGCTGCAGCCTGAGGTATGGAAAAGAGTGGTCTTTAGAATCCCACCCCACCGACTTCCTCCCTGCATGTTCATAGGAAAGAGCTAACTTCTTTGAGCCTCAGTTATAAAATCAGCTTTTTTTGAAGGAATTAGAAAGAAGTAATGTGTGTAATGTCATAGCACAGTGTCTAGCACATACAAGAACCTGAATGACAACGTCTGTTTCCTTTTAAACTGTGTTGGTGGGATGGGAAGAATAAAGCCAGATTTTTAGGAAGTTCTGGTAAAAGAACATAGGAAAATGTGTTTACCCATACCCTTTTAAGTGACCATTCCTAATAGCCCCAGATGGGTATATTTATTCTGTCTCATTTTTAAATCACGTGTGATGCAGAGGAAGCTGGTTCCCATCTATAGCACAGTGTTATCCAATAACACAGAGCAAGGATAAATGTAGTTAGAAGCAGAGAGAATATCAAACACTAATGTAATTATCTCAAATGGAGTTTATGCAGTCAAAAGGTAAAATAATCTTTTAAGTGTGGTTAGATTCTTTAATGTTATGTCTCATCTGAAGAGATAAACTATCTGAGAAAGGATAGAGCTTGAGTAACTTGAAACATTAAGCAACATTGAATTGAGGTAGCACTCAAAACTGAGAAAGCATTAATGACACATGACTGGCCTCTGTGACAGCAAGGCATGTACTTTTTCTTAAAATTTCATTTAGATGTACATTTATTAAACTGTCATTTAACTTTCTATCAACATATAATATACTTATACTAAGGAAAAAAAGGGTTTTCCTCCCTTGTAGACTTTTACAAGCTAACTAGACAGGAACATTAGATGACTTGGAATGTGGGGCTCCACAAATGAGATCCAAACCTAGAGTCTTAGTTTCTTTAAAGAGTAATGGTCTTCACTTTCATTTTTGTGCAAACCTCTGGTTAATCTCCCAAATAAAACCTCAGTTGATATTAGAAAACATCAAGTTATTCTACTGTTTTGTACTGTTTTACTAAGGATTAGAGGTCTATTGAATCTGGCATCATCGAAAAAGCTCTATTTCTTCAAGGCATTCCAGGTTCTTTGCAATCTGTTGGATTTTACCGAAGACGTCAGGAGAAGCATTACATGTCAGTGACAGCGGGTCTATGGAGAGCTATCTTCCCAGATATCCACATGAGTAATTACTTAGATATTGCAAGCTAAACATGCTGTCTCTTCCCTACTACATTTCTGTTTACCCAAGTAAAGCTAGACACAGTGTTAGAATTAGACACAATAATTCTAGAATTAGAATTGTTAAAATGATGTTAAATGTGAAATGTTATAGACATCGTTTTAAAAATTATTTCCTCCCCTCGAAACAACCATGTACTTTTTTAAGAGAATAAAACTGACTTACGCTTTTGAAGATTATGTTAGTTTTTATTTGTAAAGCAAAGAGATTGATGTTTGGATAAACAATGGATATCTTTGGTTAACTGATGTTTAGGTAAACTATAGATAACTCATTTATTAACTGAAAGTAATAAATGCAAACACATATGAGAAAGAAGCTCGATTGCAATGAAATTTATTATGTAGCTACTGTGTTGAAGACGGATTTTGCAGCATTAATATGAAACTAGAAAAAAACTACTTTTTTATTTTTTGTGCTTTTTCACTTAAAACTACCTTAGTTGAAACTGCAAAATGATGACTTCATTCTTGGAGTAAGAATGTAATAGAGTAAAAATACATCTCTAGACTTGTAGTTACATATCTAGGCTTATACTTTTACCATTTCTTAGATAAAAATTATAATTCTATTAAAACAGTTACTTGGGATTATATTTTAACTGCTGAAAATTACCAGAAAGTTACATAATCTACCTCAGATATTTTTAAAAAAGGAAAGCAGGGTTTGGTAATGCACAGTTAAAAACAGCAATCAAAATGTTGTAAAGGAACATTGCTGTTTATAGGTTGCTGAGTTAACACTCCTAAAAACAATTACAAATGTCATTTTCTCTGAGCCTCGTTCTTTCAGTCCATAAAGAGTTAGTGCTACCTGAGTGATTCAACAATGCATAAGACACATTCCTTTAGCTTAAGGGTCTAACACGTAGAATGGGTATAAACATACAGACATAGACAATCAAAGTAGAAGTGCAGTGTGACAAGGAGAATGACAGAAAGTGGAATGCTATGGAAGTTTAGAGTGCAAAGTGATTTATTTCCATCCAAGGAACCTATTGTGATATTTTAATTGGGCCTGTGAAGATGGGGAGTATTTTGTCAGATTCTGAAAAAGTGAGAATTTCTCCATAAAGGATAAAATATGAGTAAGGTAATAGGAAAAATCAGGTACAAATGTCTTATAGTTATTTGTGTGGACTGAAATGCAGGAATTAGCATAGATAATATTGAGGGTTTTAACCAGACTGGACAACTGTGGACTGGGAAAGATATTAATGGGTGATGAGAAGTCTCTGAAGGGTTTGGACCTCACACAAATATGAGATCTTATAAACTGGCATGAGTGAGGAGCACTAGAAATGGCTGGTGAGAGATCTGTCTGGGACTTTTTTAAATGGTGTGCAGGTAGAAATAACAGGAGATAAAAAAATAGATATGAGACCCACTAGAGAGACAGAATGAAAATAAATTAGCAGTTAGTCACACAGATAAGGAAAGAGTAGTCACCTGTGTGTAGTGGAGATCAAATGCATCAGAGCTAAGATACCATTCTGGATGGATGCAGCCATGACATTGCAAAGCTAATGTCTTCATGCGTGCTGTAGAAGTCATGAGGCATAGGTTGTTGTGGATTCAGAACCATGAATAAAAAACCATGTGTATTAGCCCATTCTCATGCTGCTATAAGGACATATCCAAGACTGGGTAATTTGTAAAGAAAGAGGTTTAATTGACTCACAGTTCCACATGGCTGGAGAGGCCTCTGGAAACTTACAATCATGGCAGAAGGGGAGGCAAACACATCCTTCTTCATATGGTGGCAGGAGAGAGAAGTTCAGAGTGAAGAAGGGAAAAAAGTCCCTTATAAAACCATGAGCTCTGTGAGAACTCACTCAGTATCATGAGAACAGCATGGGGAAATCAGACAAAAATAAAAATAAAAAATAATAATAGTACAACAGTAAAATTACAAATCAAAATACAGTATAACCACTTTTTATATAACATTAGCTATTATAAATAATTTACAGATGATTTAAAGTATACAGGAGGAGATGCATAAGCTGTATGCAAATACTACACTGTTTTATATAAAAGACTTGAGCATCCATGGATTTTGATATTCTTGGGAGTCTTGCAATCAACCTCCCAGGGATGTGAGGGATGACTGTATTATTATATACCAGGGCACTTACTAAGGAAAAGAACATATCAGTGAAACAACTCCGAAGGCAGACCACGTAAAATTCTATACTTAATTAGAATGGGGCATGAAAGAGCTAAACATGCTTTCTGTCTTAACATAAAACAACAACGTGATTCTTCTTAATTCAGAAGACATCTTTGAGTCAGTAAATTTGCATGGAAGAACATCTAAGCTAAAAATATAGATTCCTTCAGGTTCTAGATGGGGATAACTTTGTCTCTTCCAAATTAATGTATCTAGACACACAGACTTGAAAAATAAAAGAGTATCATTTTAATGGCATATATGTTTTAGTACTTAAAAATATAAACTTGAAAGTTTAATAAGAATATGTGAACTTAGGATATCTAGCCTTTATATTAAGGAATAAAAGTTGCTCAGGCAGATGTTTCCTTTATGCGATCACTGCTAGTCTGGATTTCTTCATTAGATCTGTTAGTAGATTTCTGAATATTAGCATAGAGATAAATTTTTTCAGTAACACAGCTGGGACTCTTGGCTTCCAAGTATTTGGAACACTCACAAGATTTCATTTCTTTCAGTTTTGTCATTATTTTCCTTATCTATTTTTTATCTCTTTATGTTGTCTCCAGTCCTATTCCAAGGATTTTCAGACTTGCTAACATTAAAAAATGCGTACAAAGTGTTTAGAAGGAAGAGAATGACTCTAAATAAATTTCTTTGCTTACCTTTATTGGGTCACTTCAAAATAATTTAGAATGAAAATAATTAGGGCTTTATATTCTAAATTAATGATTCTCTAAACTGGGTCCAACAACATTGATGTTACTAAACTATATTTTACTTTTGCTAAAATATTTCCGTTTCCATACCTATAATTCTTCATATATTCCTGTAAAGGCTTTATTTGTAGGACTTGTCAATTTTTAATATAGGTAGAGATATAAATATATAACTTTTTGTACTATAATTATTGACACGTGGAAGACACTCTAAGACGGTGGTGTTCTTTAGTGAATGTTGAATGTCCATGAATATGGGACTCTAGAACTTATTGTACATACAATGTTCTCTATGATCTCAAATATTTATAAGATTGCTCTAGGATAGATGTACTTTCATATAACAACAACAACAAAATGAGAATCAAATAGGTTAAATTATATAGCCAAATTCCTCAAAGGAATTTGTGTTTTGAAATATTTTCAAACCCAGAATATTGTCAGAGGTCATCCAGAGTCAGCAATATTTGGTTCTTTCTGCAACTATGGAGGAAATGAGTTCTGTCATTTACTTTACAGCATTTTTGTACTCTTTTCTTTTTTATTCATAATTTTAAGCTATTGTTTCACACTGCACTTCCAAAATGTAACATGTATCTAACATGAACCTATTGGTTTTCCATTGACAAGGAAGAGATGTAATATTTATTAAGACATTTACCTAGTTCAATATGAATCTGTACCAACTAAAAGCAATATTTTAGTCAATATTTCCTGAGGTGAATTGATTTATATTGTTTTCTTCTATTAAAAAAAAAACACATTCCCATGTGTTTCCTTTTCCTTCATGGTTTTGAAAATATGGAATCAAGTTTTCTTTTTTTTTCTTTTTTTTTGAGACGGAGTCTCACTCTGTTGCCCAGGCTGGAGTGCAGTGGTGCGATCTCAGCTCACTGCAAGCTCCGCCTCCCAGGTTCACGCCATTCTCCCGCCTCAGCCTCCCAAGTAGCTGGGACTACAGGCGCCCGCCACCACGCCTGGCTAATTTTTTGTATTTTTTTAGTAGAGACGGGGTTTCACCATGTTAGCCAGGATGGTCTCGATCTCTTGACCTCATGATCCACCCGCCTCGGCCTCCCAAAGTGCTGGGATTACAGGCGTGAGCCACCGCACCCGGACATCAAATAACTATTTGAAGTAGAAAATATGCTAAGTAATATTTGGTCATAGTTTTTAATCTTGAGTTATTGAAATGTGATTTTTTTTCCTTCTAATCAAACAAAGCAAAATAGATTCTTCAAGTGCTGTGAATATACCCACACTAAGTGTAAGAAAAAAATGAGAGCCTAACCTTTTGCATATTTACACTATTTGGAGCTGTTTTGCTATTTTATTTTATTTTATTTCATTTATTTTGAGATGGAGTCTCGCTCTGTCGCCCAGACTGGAGTGCAGTGGTGCAATCTCGGCTCACCGCATCCTCCGCCTCCCAGGTTTAAGCAATTCTCTGCCTCAGCCTCCCGAGTAGCTGGGATTACAGGCGCCCACCACCACGCCCGGCTGATTTTTTTTTTGTATTTTTAGTAGAGACAGGGTTTCACCATCTTGGCCAGGCTGGTCTTGAACTCCTGACCCAGTGATCCACCCACCTCGGCCTCCCAAAGAGCTGGGATTACAGGCATGAGCCACCATGCCTGGCCCTAAATTAACTTTTAATGACACTAATTTAGCATCTTAAGTTTCAAATATCTTTAGCTGAAATAACATTGTCAGTGTTTTCCCAGGATTTTAATAAATTAAATGTCACTTGTTTTCTTTTTTTTTTTTTTAAGATAGAGTCTCGCACTGTCGCCCAGGCTGGAGTGCAGTGGCACAATCTCGGCTCACTGCAAGCTCCGCCTCCTGGGTTCACACCATTCTCTTGCCTCAGCCTCCCGAGTAGCTGGGACTACAGGCGCCCACCACCACACCTGGCTAATTTTTGTTTGTTTGTTTGTTAGTAGAGATGGGGTTTCACCAGGTTAGCCAGGATGGTCTCCATCTCCTGACCTCGTGATCCGCCCGACTCGGCCTCCCAAAGTGCTGGGATTACAGGCGTGAGCCACTGCACCCAGCCCACTTTAGTTTTAAGAAATGAAGGCACAAATTATTTCATTCTTACTAATGATAGTGCAATTGAAATCATCAGCGACCAGACATCTATTTTTAAACATAGAAAGAAAAACGCAATTTTATTGTTTTGTTAAATAAAAAAAGACATGAAGCACTGCAAAAACAGAAGTACAGTTTTTGAAGTATAAATTTTGCTCTTTGTGTCCTCCCACCAAAACTTTATTTCTACAAATACTGGAGCTATTTTTTCTTTCCTAAAATTGAGTCTCTTATTGCTTAATGTCATGTAATTTTGCTTCCTTTCTTCTGCACAATTCATTTCTTTCTCCCAGTTTGTTCTAATAGGCATGCATGTAAACATTGACTAAAATACCGCCTAGCTTAAAGGCAACTAACCAAACATACATTCTTTTTTAATACAATGTTTCCTCCATACATCCTGGCTATTGTTTTACCTCCCTAGTCTTCATAGCAAGGCTTGTTTTTAAGATTTTGCTAAATGATATCCTCTTTCTTATCTTCCAGTTTCTCTTTAACCTATTCTCAATCATGACCCCTTCAGAGTTTCCTCACAACAATTTCCATCCTGTACATCCATGAGAAAATGTCCTCCTGCATCTTATTTGACTCAGCAGCACTCTACAATACTGAACATTCTGATCTTTGTTTTGCTTTTCTTGGCTTCTGCCATCCATCCACACTCTGTGTTTTTCACTGTGTTTCATGGGCTGATCTTTCTGAGAATCCTTGGTTACTTCTCATCATACAATTTCCAAATCTTGGTAAAACCTGGGACTTGATCCTGAGACCTCCTTTTCCCCACATTCTTCTTAGGTAATTTCATGCTTTTTAAAATTAGGTCATATCTCTAACAACATATTTTATGGATTCCACATGGCCCTAGATATATGGCAAACTGCATTCTGTGAACTGGAGTACTCTTTTCTGTAAATAAAGTTTTATTGGAATACACCCGTACTTGTCCATTTACACACTGTCACACTGCTTTGACTACAACACAGAGTTGAGTAGTTCTGACAGAGGCTAAATTAAAATATTTACTATCTGACCCTGTAAGAAGAAAATTCCCAACCCCTAGTATAGAATAAAATTTTTTTAGCAGGATATGAAAGGCTTTTCATGACTTGTTTCTTAACATTCTTTTGAGATTTATCTCACAGCTGTGTTTTTAGTCCAAGAGTTCCAAAGAACTTGTGGTTCCTTAAATGTTTTACATCTTTGTGCTTATAATTTTTTGTGTCTCATATGCTTTCAGAAACTATAATCACTTGGAAAGTTATATTTTTACCCTTCAAAACAATGGATAAGGCACCTTATTTTCAAAACTTTTAAAATCTCCCAAATAATTATTACTGTTTATGTGCTATCACGTATACTCTTCTAATGTTGTATATATCTCACCGTATTTCAGTTACTTGATTACACTCAAGTTTTTGAAATTTCAAAAAAAAGATAAAAAGGAAATTAAAAATTCTCTAAATATTACTATTTTCATTTTGAAATATATAAAGTAAAAATGTTCTTTCCATTCCAGCCCTTCAATTTGGTATGTACCTTTTTCTATTTTTTTATACTCATGGAAAAATGATATAGATAGACCAATATATAATAAAATAGGATAATATACAGTTTTTAAATCACATTTGAAAATACATACTGTTAGTTCACTTCTATAGTACATAAACATCTTTATTTAGTAAAGTAGTAACATTGAATTTCCTCATGGAGATGTTTATTATAAATTATTCAACCAGCTCTATATGATGGTTAGGTAATACCTTTTTTTTTTTGCTATTGTACACTCTCATAAACAACTTTGCTCATTTATCTTTTTCTGCTAGAATTTATGTAGCCATTTTTTTTGAAATGAAGCTACACAATTCTGTAAGAATTTTTTCTCTTATACTTACCTCATAGATTTGGGGCTGTGATACAAATATGTGAACTTTGCTTTATGTCTAAACAGTACCAGGTTAACTTTTGGTCCAGAATAAAATGTATGTGAATACTTTTTCTTATGTCATTGTCAACAATGGATGGAACTAATCTTTCAAAGTTGACAATTTTATGATTCATGTTTTCAAACTTTTTTAGTGTATTTAATTACCTTTTATAACCTTTTATAATTATATTTTATATAAATATAGTGTATTTATATACCTTTTATGTTTCTATTAATTGCAGATCTTTATTAAGTTTACATTTGTCTATTTGGTTGTTATATTCATATTTATATATAGGACTTCCTAATTTAGTAGACAAATAACCATTTGGTCTGTTTATACTCTTCAAATGCTTCTTCCAAGTTTATATTTTATCATTAGACTTTATAATTACTCTTATTTTATCTTTGCAAATGCTGCATTACTTGATTTATTTTCAGAGGCTTTACTCAAAGAATATAAACATTATTTTTCTAATTGTCTTATGTAATGCTTGGACCTCTTATCCATTTGGAATATGTTTTTGTATATGCTGGGTAGTAGCATATACTTTCCTAACTAAATTGAAATACCACTATATTTACATATCTGATTTTACTTCTGTATGCTACTAGGTAGTAATTTTCTATTTGTTGATTATGTTCCCATGTCAAACAATTTTAATTATAGTAGCTTTATTTTTTTAGACATCTGTTTCTACATTTTGCTTCTTATTAGATTTAGATTTAAATTCTTACTGAGAAGGGCTTTCTCACTAATCTCTTTGGTCCAAGGCTTACTGTGGTTTTGACAGACAGATTCTATCACTAAATCATGTCTAACTTATTGACTTGGAACTCTATTGCTCTTTGAAATTTCTGTTATTCCATGTTGGCCAACATATAATGGAAGACAGCATAAGAGGCAGAAAGAAACAAAGTATCTACAAAACAACCAGAAAACAATTAACAAAATGGTAGTAGTAAGCCCTTGCCTATCAATAATTACCTTGAATATAAATGCATTAAATCCTACAAAAAAGAGAGTAACTGAAAGGATAAAGAAACAAGCCCCAACTATTCGCTGCCCGTAAGAGGCTCATCTTGTATTTTAGGACACACACAAACTGAAAATGAAGGGATGGAAAAAGATATTCCATGCAAATGAAAACAAAGAGAAAAGCTCAAAAACTGAAATAGGAGACACATAAGAACATGATATGATGATAAAGGGTCAATTTATGAAGAGGATATAACAATAGCAATTACACATATGCTCAACGTTGGAGCACTTAAAATATAAAACAAATATGAAATGCTCTTGAGAGAGAGAGAGATTACCATACAATCATAGTAAGGGACTTGAATATATCACTTTCAACAATGGACTGATTATTCAGGCAGAAAATTAATAAGAAAACATGAGACTTGAACGACGCATTAGATCAAATGGACCTAACACACATATACAGAACATTCCATCCAATAGCAACAGCATACACAATATTAAGCTCACAGAGAACATTCTCCAGGATAGATCACCTGCCCTGCCCAGTTTACTAATCAGAAAGGAATAGATCGGCCTGGCGTGGTGGCTCACGCTTGTGATCCCAGGACTTTGGACAGCCGAGCGCGGATTATCACTTAAGCCTAGGAGTTCCAGACCGGCTTGGGCAACATGGTGAAAACCAGTCACTTTTTTTTTTTTTTTGAGGTGGAGTTTCACTCTTGTTGCCCTGCTGGAGGGCAGTGGCGAGGTCTCGGCTCCCCGCGGCCTCTGCCTCTGGGTTTGGCTGGTTCTCCTGCCTCAGCCTCCCGAGTGCCTGGGATTGCAGGCCTGAGCCACCATGCAGGGCTCATTTTGTTATTTATTTATTTATTTATTTATTTATTTTGGTACAGACGGGGTTTCCCCATGTTGGTCAGGCTGGTTGGTCTCAAATTCCCGACCTCAGGCTATTCCCTGCCTCGGCCTCTCAAAGTGCTGGGATTACAGGCGTGATCGGCCTGGCGTGGTGGTTCACGCTGTTAATCACAGGACTTGTGACGGCCAAGCGCGGCAGATGGCTTGAGCCTAGGACTTCCAGACGGGCCTGGGCAACATGGTGTAACCCGGTCCCTTTTTTTTTTTTTTTTTTTTGAGAGGGAGTTTTGCTCTTGTTGCCCAGGCTGGAATGCAGTGGCGCGGTCTCTGTTCCCCGCAGCCTCCGCCTCCCGGGTTTGGGTGGCTGGGATTGCAGGCCTGAACCACCATGCTAGGCTCATTATATATATATATTTTTGTTGTTTTTGTTGTTGGAGATGGGTTTTCTCCATGTTGGTAAGGCTGGTCTCAATATCCTGACCTCAGGTTATCCGCTCTCTTCGGCCTCCCGGGGTGCTGGGATCGCAGGCGTGAGCCACCGCGCTCAGGCCAATTTATTAATCAGACAGGAATAGGTCGGCCTGGTGTTTTACATACATCAGTTAGCTCAAGTTCACTGATGATGTTGGTCAAACTTTCCAAGGCTTGCTGAGTTTTAGAAATTATTCAATCATTTGCTTACAGGGACACCTAGTGGTTCAAAATACTACTAAGTTAACCCAAGTTATTACACACTGGATATTCAATGAAGATCAATTAGTTTGGTTATTGGTGAATGATTTTTCTCCCTTTTGAAAAATAATAGCCACAAATATTTTGATGAGGAAAGGGGACAGAAAATGCACTAGGACATATTTTACAAGTATTTTAACCTCTTATTTTAACAAAAATCTCCCAGGAGGCACAATATGGATTAATTCTGTTGATTCTTACTCTGTGGCCTTTCCAGTGCATGCTTCCATGCAACACAATTTCCAGCTTCTATCTACCAATATCTTTCTTACTCGGCATCTGAAGGAGGTATCATGGCTCAAATGTGTGTGTGCGTGTGTGTTCTTTATCCCTGTCTTTCTCTCTCTCGGTAACTGTCTGTCTCTAGTTTGCCATACATATATTAAGTTCAAACATTGTGTTTAGTCTATATGGTTTCCTTAAGAAAGTAGAAAGCAATTTTGTATAAAAAAAAGAATAATTTCACCTACTTTTTTTTATTGCAGAAACACATCACCCAGTTACCCATTATTCCCCTCACAAATGTTTAATACACATTTTCTGTTGAAGTGTAACATATATACAAACATTTATTCTCAAATAATAAGTACACAGCTTTATAAATACTCACAAATTGAATACACAAATGCAATCATATCATTTAATGAATTATAATTAACATAATTATCATAATTAACAGCCCAAAGAAGTCCCCTTCCAATCACTAAAATTGTTACCTATTTTTATGTTGGTTTCTAACAGTATAGATTGATCTGGACTTTTTTTTTTTTTGAGATGGAGTCTTACTGTGTTGCCAGGCTGGAGTGCAGTGGCGAGATCTCAGCTCACTGCAATTTCCTCTTCCAGGGTTCAAGCGATTCCCCTGCCTCAGCCTCCCGAGTAGCTGGGACTGCAGGCACGTGCCACCACGCCCAGCTAATTTTTTGTATTTTAGTAGAGACAGAGTTTCACCATGTTGGCCAGGATAGTCTCGATCTCCTGACTTCGTGATCCACCCGCCTCGGCGCCCCCAGAGTGCTGGGATTACAGGCCTGAGCCACCGTGCCCCGCTGACTATTTTTAACTGTATAACTATGCAGTCATAAATTATGTGGGTTTGTTTCTGTATCCAGCTTCTTTTACTTATCCTTAAATCTGTGAGATACACAGTTATGTTTTTTCATGGAGATGTAGTTTATTCATTCTCATTGTTGTATGCTTGACATTTATGTATACATAAAAAATTCTAAACATTCTACTAAATGTTGATGAACATTTAGTTTTTCTCCAGTTTGGGACCATTAAAATAGTGCTTTATGAATATCCTAGTACATGGTGGAGGTGGTGTCTAGCAGAATCATTCCATTATTTTGATTACATGCCTAGAGGAAGTGCTGTGTCATAAGTTTAAAAAATTCTGAGGCTGGGTACAGTGGCTCACACCTGTAATCCCAGCACTTTGGGAGGCCGAGGCGGGCAGATCACGAGGTCAGGAGATCGAGACCATCCTGGCTAACACCGTGAAACCCCGTCTCTACTAAAAATACAAAAAAAAAAAAAAAATTAGCCGGGCGTGGTAGCGGGCACCTGTAGTCCCAGCTACTCGGGAGGCTGAGGCAGGAGAATGGCGTGAACCCAGGAGGCGGAGCTTGCAGTGAGCCGAGATTGCGCCACTGCACTCCAGCCTGAGTAACAGAGCAGACTCCTTCTCAAAAAAAAAAAAAAAAAAAATTCTGTATTAAAACAAACATTTTTCCAAAGTAATTATACCGGAAATGTACAATTATGTTGGTTACACCATATCCCCTCCAACAATTAATAGTTTTGGCTTTCTCATTATATGGATAGAATCCTCCAGAGAAACACAACTAATAATGAAATATATATATCTATGTATTTATAGATATATATAATAGAAAATTAGCTTTCACGATGGTGGAAGCAGAGAAGTCTCAAAATCTGCAGTCCAAAAAACTAGGAGCCTAGAGAGTCAGTAGTGCAGCATGAGTCTGAGTCTGCAGGCAGGAAAGCCAGGAGAGCTGATGGTGTAAGTTCCAGTCTGAGTCTGAAGGCAGAAGACTGATGTCCCAGCTTGGAGACAGTCAGGGAGAGAGAAAATTCTCTCTTCTCAGCCTTTTGTTCAATTCATGCCTTCAGTGGATTAGCTAAGGTCCACCTACACTGGGGAGGGCAATCTTCTTTACTCAGTCCACCGATTCCAGTGTTATTATCATCCAGAAACACCTCACACACACATAGAATAATGCCGAACTAAATGTCTGGGCATTCTGTGTCCCAGTCAAGTTGACACATAAAATTAACCATCACAAAGCTACTGCTTGTCAATTGTTTACTCATATGCATGTCATTAAACCATACTTAATTTCCAAATGAAGATAATAACAAAGTCATAATTTGACCTAACATGATACAACGATCATGCATACAACCAAAAATGCACTAATTAATACCCTTTTCAGAAGAAAGATTAAAGTCTTTGAGTACTCCTTCTCCCCTTGATATCCCATAACTTAAATATTATGACATTAAAATACTATGATATAAAGCTAATACACATTTGATAGATAAGAAAATAAGAGAAAAAAAATATATTTGTTACATACCCAAAAGCACATTTTAACAAAATAAGGAGATGCTCATGATCATTACAAAAAATTCTTCTTTCTATAAATTGTGGCAAGGATGTTGTTGGTATTTGTAACTATTTTCTTCTGCTGCCTATTCTGTACTCCCCTTGCCTTCAGCAAGCACCTCAGCTGGTTGTGGTTGTTTACTTCATAGGTTACCCAACATTTCATTCCTAAAGGATCTTGACAATCAGTAGTCCTGCCTAGGCTAGGACGCTGTAGTTTTCTAATCACTTTAATTGAAGGATATCACGTTACTAAGAAATGTCTAACAAATCCCCTATATTCCAAATATATTCTTCCATACTTCCATTGTGGAGGAGCAGGTCAATTTCCCATTGGAAATCTATCAGTCACTCCAGGTGGCACCATAACTCTCTTCTTTGCCTGTTGATTCAGACATGAGAAGTCCGAAGTGATGGAGTGGCAATCTCAAATTCTAGTCTGATTGAATTATGGTTGTGTCTTCTGGTGGAAGCATTCCTTTGGAAATAAAAACTCTAGGCCACACAAGCAAAACGTCATAAGAACAGTAAGAAAAAAATTAGTGGGTCGCTAGGAATAATAGTATGTTGTGCTGAAGCAGGATATTTCCCTGCTGCATTCCCATTCCACCCCTCATGGGAGGGAGCACACATGTGAGTGGGTACAGGAGCCAGGGCAAGCACTTTTGGGTGCAGGCAGGAGCAAACTCCATACAGGCCCTGCAGCAGCATCTAGGGGGTGTGCCCACGACCCCTGAAGCCCCAGAAGAAGTGTTATGGTGCTCTTTTCGCTCAGCCATCTGCAGACGGCTTAAGTGTTAACAGCTCAGCGGAGGGTTAGTGTGACAGTCTTTTGCACCTGCACTCACGGCACCCAAGTTCTTGTCTGGAGTCCAGGAGGAATGAAGTTCCACAAACGAATTGAAGATGGTAAATGTAGGGGATTTTATTGTCAATGAAAGTGGCTTTGAGTGGGAAGGGGAGCTGAAAGGGGGAGGGAGTGGGAAGGTAATCATACCCTGAAGTCCAGCCATCCCCGGCCAGACTCCTATCCGAAGCTACACCATCAACCGTCCCTCTGAAGTCAAGCCGCTTCTCTCCAATGGTCAACCATAGTCTCCTGCTGTTCACTGCCCTCTCTGGCTGAGTTTTGTGTTTTTTATAGGCACAGAATGGGGAGCAGTGTGGGCCATGGGTGGTTTTGGAAAAGGCAACATTCTAGTGGGAACACAGGGATATAAATTCTCACTTTGGACCATGGTATCAGGGCTTTCAGCTTGAGGGTCAGGCCCTCGCTGGGGACCCACCCTCTTCTGCCCAGAATTTCCTTGCCTCCTGTCCCTATCAGTGCTTTTCCCATTTCCACCCCTTAATTCATGGATCCATGGATCCTAGATATCAGAGAAACTGTACCATATATTAGACCCTAATTTAAAATATATACAGTCTGTTGGAGAACCTTGCCCCAGCCCTACAAAGTATTGCCTGTTAGCTACTGTTGTGACTCAGTCAACTTTTGTAAAGGCCATTTCACTGTTCCATGAAGCCAGTTGCTTCAAGGTGGTGGGGAACATGGTAAAACCACTGAATTCCATGAGTATGGGCCCATTACCACACGTCTTTTTGGTGAAGTGAGTTCCATGATTAACAATGCTGTGTAGAATTACCATGATTGTGGATAAGACATTCTGTAAGTCCACAAGTGATAGTTTTGGCAGAAGCAGTACATGAAGGAAATGCAATTTTATTTCCAGAGTGTTTATTCCAATAAGAAAATAAACACTGGCTCTTCCTTGATGGAAGTGGTCCAGTTTCTTTAATATGTCACAAGGTAGCCAGCTGATTACCTGGGAAATGGTGCCATAATGGGGGTACAGTGCTGCTGGTAGATTGGGCTCTCCGCAGTGGCCATAGTCACGTCAGTCTTGGTGACTGGAAGTCCATGTTGCTAAGCCTATACTTAACCCCCTTCCCTGTCACCATAAACACTTTGTTCATGAACCCAATGGATGATGACATGTTACTGGGAAATAGGCTGACTAATATCCAAAGAACGAATCTTCTATCCATTTGATTATTAAAATCGTCTCCTCTTAAGGTCACCGTTTAGTGAGTATTCACATGGGCAATAAATATCTTCGTGGTTTTTGCTCACTCAGAGAAGTATATTATCAGACCTCTTTCTCAAACATCTTTGTCACCAATTTTTCAACAATTTTCCTTCCAAGTCCCTGAATATCCTGCCAAACCATTGGCAGCAGCCCATGAATCAGTATATAATTGCATGTCTGGCCATTTTTCCTTCCAAGAAAGTGCACAACTAGGTGCACTGTCTAAAGGTCTGCTGACTAGGCAGATTTCTCTTCACCATTGTCCTCCAGAGATGTCCCAAACAGAGGCTGTAGTGTTGCAAATGCCCACCATTGTGTAGTGCCTGCATAGTATGCAAAACCATCTGTAGACAGATCCTAGCTTTTAATTTCTCTGTTGACTGGTCATAGGAAGTTCCCTTAAGACCATGCATTCAGTGGGGAAAGAGAAGGCCGTTTAGTAGGAGTGGAGACCATGGCATTTTGACCACTTTTTCATTTAACTTATTTGTGCCTTGGGGCCTGTTCTGGCTCAATCATATATAAACCCCTTGCATTTCATAATGTTGCTGCTGTCTACCTGAAATTTCTGGCCAGGTGGGTCAGATGACACATAGTTCACCATGGGTAGCTGAGGTTGCATGGTAAGTGTTCTGCTAACACCCAACTGCAGACCAATAACTGTTTCTCAAAAAAAGAACAGTTATCTGAGGAGAATGATAGAACTTTGCACCAAAATCCTAAGAGCCTGTGCTGTGATTCACCTAAGGAGACCAGCCAAAGACACCCAACAACATTTCTATCTGCACTGGCACTTCAGACACCAGTGAATCTGCTGAATCATGTGGCCCAGTTGTCAGAGAAGCTTGTACAGCAGCCTGGACCAGTTACAGAACCTTCTTTTGTTCTGGAGCCCACTCAAAACTCATAGCTTTATGAGTCACTCGGTTAATGGGGTTGGGTGGCATACGCAATTGATGTATGTGTTGCCTCATTATCCAAACAGTCCCTCTAGACATTGTGCCTCTTTTTCTTTTTTTTTGTTTGTCGTAGGAAAGGCCAGATGTAACAACTTATTAATTCATCTTAGAAAGATAAATGATCATGCTCCACACCACTGGTGCCCTGGTAATCTCACTTAGGTAGAAGATCCCTGAATTTTAGGTGCATTTATTTCCCATCCTCTGACAAGAAAATATTTTGCCAATAAGTCTAGAGTATTTACTACTTCTTGCTCACTAGGTCCAGTCAGCCTAATATCGTCAATGTGATAGGCCTGTGTGATATCATATGGAAAGGAAAGACTGTCAAGATTCTTGTGAAGTACATTTTGACATAGAGCCGGAGAGTTTATTTTCAGTAAATTATCACTTAAAGTCATTCTGATAAGTTCTTGGAAAAATGTGACTTTAAGCAAAACAACACACAGCAGGTCCCCAAATAACATTGTTTTGTTCAACGGCTTTTGTTACAACATTGATGAGAAAAAATGGTTTTGTTATACATCGTTTTGCTTAAAGTTTCACTTTCCAATAAACTATCAATGGCATTAAGTGAAGACTTACTGTATCCCTGAAGTGGGGCAGTGAAGATGTATTCCTTGCCTTGCCCAGCTGAAAGCAAACTTCTAGTGAATCTGAATGACAGGGAAGGAGAAAAAGGCATTTGCTAGATTAATAGCTGCATACAACTCACAACTCACCAGGTCATGTAATAATTTGCTCAGTCAATGGAATTACATCTGGTACAGCAGCTGCATCTGGAGTCAACACCTGGTTAAGCTTTCAATAATCTGTGGCCACATTCCGAGATCCATGTGTCCTCAGCACAGGCCAAATGAGAGAACTAAATAGGGATATGGTGAGAATCACCACCTGTGCATGCTTCAAGTCCCTGATGGTGAAAATAATTTCTGCAATCATTACAGAAATGTGCAGTTGCTTTTGGTTTACTATTTTCATACATAGCACCGGTTCTAGAGGCTTCTACTTGCCTACTTGCCTTTCTTATCATAATAATGACCATCTCTCTACACATTAGGAAACCAATGTGGGGATTATGCCAACTGCTCAGTATGTCTGTTTCCATCATGCATTCTAAAATTAAACAAAGAAAACACGCAGGACTGGTTCAGAGACCTACTATGAGACAGACCTGAGCTAAAACTCCATTGATCACCTGACTTTCATATATACATCCTTACTCTAGAGTATATGAAACTGTATACAGTGATGGTTTGAGTCTCCTGAATTAGTGTCAGTTAGGAGATAGTGTCAAGTAGTCACCAAAAAGGTCTAATTATTTTACTTTCCTAATGCACAATAATCTTAGTAAAAAGCTACGGCTTTCTTTGAGGAAGGCTGGGATAAATATGAACAGTATAAATTGTTGGTAGTATATCATCCTCAAGGGGAAATAGCGCTCTTTAATTCAAGGGGTTCTGGGTCTGTAACATGACTCAAATCTTGGAATTGACGGAGATGCCATTACTGTTTTTATTATTAAAATTAGACTTTTGTTCACTTAACCTATAATTTTTTCTGCTTATATATATCAAATAAGAATTTAATAGACTTTCTATCTATCTCATCTCTAAGAACACTATGATCAACTAGCCAATGCCATAGGTATGCATGAGTCAGACTTTTATAACTGCTGCTTTGAATCTGCTGTCCTTCACAGTAACCATGCTTACCTTATGGTTTGTGATTGATTCCTGCCAGTTGGCCTCTAGTATCCTTGGACCTAATATTCTCATTGTATTAGTTTTCATGATTTAGTGGCTGTAGTTTCCACTGTAAGGTCTGGCTTACAGAGGACTGATCACAGAGCTTTTGAAGGATGCTGGGCTCCTCTCACAAATTTATGTCTCACATGATTGGTGATAGGTATGGTTTTTGGACCCTCCCCCTGTGGATGAGTAGGTCTTATAGGACCAATTTATTCTAACATTCCAATCTCTGTGTTAAACCAAGGGGGATCCAGCATTTCCAGCTTGCTCACAGAGGTCCATCTTTGATCCATGTTTTAGCCAACCAACCCACCAGTTAGAGCTCTTTTTAATTCCCTGAGCTGCAATGTTAAGTGCAGAATTTCTGCTTAATGAGCCTGTATTAAAAAATTAATACAGATTCAACTTTTTATTTCTTGCCTCATTGGACCACACCCTTAATATCTATTCCCCTACACACTTGCCGGATTTCTGCTTGCATAAATTAGAAAACCACATTCTTGGAGACTGTTAGTCCCTACTGCAGTTAGATACTCTATTTTGATGGTTGTTTGCATGCATGCGTGTGTGTGTGTGTGTTTGTGTGTGTGTGTGTTCTGTGTGTGTGTGTGAGAATATAGTCATGGGAAATCAGAATTCAATCCCAGAATGCAGCCTGCTTGGGTGCACTCTTCAAAAGTAGTCTGAATATAATTAGGAGCCAATGGAACAAAGGAAAGTGATATTCTTTTGTAATGCTGTTTGGCTGCAGTGTTCTTTGCAGTCTGGAAAGTTTTGGACTCTCCATGGGTCTTTGAAACATCGTGCTGTATTACAGTTGGGTTCATTTTGCTGCTGAACAGGAAAGTGAGATGGAGCTCTGCATATGCAGGCTTTGATGCTGTTGTTCTCAACAGGGTCAGGCCTGGTGATTATGTGATGTCCTTCTTTGGTGTGTTTGACCCAGTGTTGTTTGGAGTCTGAGGAGGTTTGGCCTTAAAAAATCAAACTACCATGGAAACTGCTTTACCCAAAATTTTGTTTCCCAGCCTTCACAAGATTGCCTACTGGGGAGAGTTTAGTTATGTGAACATATTCATAAACTGGTGAGTTTGTAATGCTACCTTACAGCTAGAATTCTGAGGTCAAAGGTATTGAATCTTTGTATGTCTGTATATGTTTCTGGATATTATGTGTTGTTTTTATAAGGTACCCAATTGACTTATAAGTAAAAGATCACTCATAAGTTAAGTAAATAAGTCCAAGCATTTAAAAAGTTCATTTGACATCGGTAAATCTTTACTAAACAAGATGGCTTTAAGATTCTTGGTAAAATAAAAATGCTTTTGAAATTGTTGGCATACATTTTTGCCTGGATTTTATATTTGTCTCTGCTAGGTATTTTAAGGTGTCAGGGTTTGGCACAAAAGTTTATAAGATTGTAAACCCAGCCAAGAGGAAAATGATCTGTGTTTGCGAGATTTTTTTGAGAAATAAGTCTAATTTAATGAGGCTGGTTTAATAAAAGCCACTGAATCTTCTGAGTTATTAGCAATGATGTCCATTAGTTAATTTTAAGCCTCTTACTTAGGTAAAGATTTAATATGTGCAGGTCATAAGGATGGTGAAGAAGAAAATAACTACATTTTTCTGATATCTCAGTTCTCATAAATAATCTAGATAAACTGCTAAAAATAAATAAAATATAGATGAGATAATTACTGTAGGTGACCTTTTTGTGTAATTTAAAGTATTGAAATTGTTTTGGATGCAAATCCAAACATATCTGGGTCATTTCAAATTAAGAAAATTATGATATGGGGAAACATTTTTTAAAAAAAAATTGTTAAATCGTCTAACCTGCAAAATGCTAATATCTGATAGACAGTTCAGGATTTTTTGCTTCCTAAATATTGCAGTAAAATTTAAGGTTACTAAGAATAAGAATTCTAGTTATTATACAATCCTGTATATAAAATATGCTAAAAAGATATGTTTGTATTGAAAAAAATAATTTTGTCTAATTCAAAAGTTATTCAAACTATAGACTTGAGAGGATTATTTATGAACCAAGGTAAAATGGAAGCTGTAAATAGGGGAGAGAGATGTAAAAAGATTAACATCGGCCCTTTTTGCTAGAGCAAGTCTTCCTTAAAATATTGATTTGTTCTTGATAAAATTACAGGAAGTTTTTATTTTGATTCTATACTCTTGCTACTTTTTGAAAACTTCTCAAATTCCTATATCAGAAGTGCAACTTTGCTGTGTCTTGCTGCTTTCAGCTTTTATTCTCCACTTAAAGAGGCCTCAGATAATAATAATTCTCTTTGTTTTTTTGAGACGGAGTCTCGCTCCGTCACCCAGGCTGGACTGCAGTGGTGCGATCTCGGCTCACTGCAAGCTCCACCTCCCGGGTTCACGCCATTCTCCTGCCTCAGCCTCCTGAGTAGCTGGGACTACAGGCGCCCGCCACCACGCCTGGCTAATTTTTTGTATTTTTAGTAGAGATGGGGTTTCTCCGTGTTAGCCAGGATGGTCTCAATCTCCTGACCTCGTGATCCACCCGCCTCGGCCTCCCAAAGTGTTGGGATCACTGGCGTGAGCCACTGGGCCCGGCCAATAATTCTCTCTTACAAAGGTTTCATAGGCTTCTGTAATGTTTTTCCTTTGGTTCTAGCTGCTGTTGTGGCCTGATGCTGAAATGTTTACCTCGAATGTTTATCTAGAAAAGCAATGTTTTCCTCTAGGATAACTTGATTCTGTACTCTTGGCTTTTCTTGATATGTCTAAGTTTTTTATCAGGTTTTGAGACAGCCAAGTGTAAAGGGGTCCCCGGAGAAATTCCAGCCAGGTGGTGCACTGGGTGGACTGCGCACTGGGAGGACTCCACACTGGGGTGGAGCCACAGAAGTTTGTGCCCTTCACAGTGGGGGGAGCCTGGCCCCTCCGCCTCTGGGTGGAACCTGAGATTCATCTGCAAGGCAGGAAGCAAACTAGCAGGACTCTGGCTTTGTGGAGGGTCCCTGTTTCCGCTTTTTTCCCAATAAATTCCATTTTTTTCTCACCCTTCAAAGTGTCTGCAAGCCTAATCTCTCATGGCTGTGTGACCAAAACCCGGCTCTTAGCTGAACAAAAGAAAAAGTCCTGCAACAGCTTTGTTGCCCAGAACATGGGGCTTGAGAAGGGGTGAGGGAAGTGGGTATTCAAAACTTCTCACTATTGCTTCCGAGCCTTTTGGTCCTGTGGCATTCCTCTTCTCTTTTTTAGTAATGGCACCTCTTTTTTCTTTTACAATACTGGAAGGGGTTCACATCCACCCCAACATCCACAGGTGTGCTGGTGAGATAGGCGGGGCAGCTCTATGCTCCCGCTTTCCTATCAGCTGGGGTGCATGGCCTTATCTGCCACATGTCTGCATGGTGTCCAAACATGGACCTGCAAGGCGGGAATCAGCCACAGTGGCTGTCTGGGCCCCAAGGCGCCCCACGAGGCTGGCTGGCGTTCCCTGCCACATACCCTGGCCAGGGAGGCCAGCTCTTTTTCACAGCAATTAAGCTTTTCTCCCTGATGGAGGAACCAGTTACATGAGAATAAGAGGTTCTTCCCCCAGGAATCCTTTTTTCTTTCTTTTTTATTTTTATTTTTATTTATTTATATATATTTTTGAGACGGAGTCTTGCTCTGTTGCCCAGGCTGGAGTGCAGTGGTGCCATCTGGGCTCACTGCAAGCTCCGCCTCCCGGGTTCACGCCATTCTCCTGCCTCAGCCTCTGGAGTAGCTGGGACTACAGGTGCCTGCCACCACACCTGGCTAATGTTTTTGTATTTTTAGTAGAGATGGGGTTTCACCATATTAGCAAGGATGGTCTCGTTCTCCTGACCTCGTGATCTGCCCGCCTCCACCTCCCAAAGTGCTGGGATTACAGGCGTGAGCCACCGCGCCCGGCCGGGAATACTTTTTTCTTCTCCACCCTGTCAGCAGTTAACTTTTAAAGGCGTTTCTTTTTTTTTTCTCTCTCTCTCTCTTTTGGAAGACATTTTACTAGGGTAAGAATGATAAGGATCCCTGTTTATTTTCTCTGTAAAGTTTTGGTTGTGTGAAAGGATCTTGTGGGGACTGGGTTTTCTCCTGCCTGTCTGTGTAATTGTATATGTGTGTTGTATGTAATGTCTATAAAAAATCGCTAATTAATTTGGCCAAAAGGAAGACAAGCACTGGGTCAAATTTTTTTTTTAAAGGGAAGATAAAAGCTATGGTAGCTTTCCATGTGACTTTAATCTTTGAGTGATAAAAAGAGCCTTAAAGATTATTGGTAAAATGCAGGTGTCTTTAAAATATAAATAGGTGGACTAAATTATGCAGGTCAGATGCAAGGTTTGCTAAGTGTTTTAAGGTTATAAACTGCTTTTTGGGTTTTGAGAACTATTTGACTTCCCTGCTGTACAACTGGTAAGTCCTGGGGACATATAGAACTAACCGCACTTTCAATTATGCTGGAAGGAGTAAAACCTTGGCTGCACCAAGCACAAAATTAAAACAACTTACCAGGTTTTACGTTTAAGTTAAAACTGCTAGGAGTTACCATTATAACATATAATTGAAACTACTGGAAATAGATTTACATGTGAGGTGTGTGAGAACAGTAAAATGTGTTTTTAGTAAAAGGTTATAAAAAGGCATGAAAATGTAAATTTTTGCCTAGGGTTAAAGGATTGTTTTTAATGGTCAAGGAAACTTATTTTGAACTATTTGTGGCTTTTAATAATTGTGTAAAGTAGACTCCTCTGAACAAAATTTGGAGCATGTTTGTTTCTCTCTGGCTGGTTCCTCCAGAGATTGGAAACTATCTGGGAGTATTCTTAACTTATGGCAATATAGTTGTTTGCCTCAGTGCAATAAGAATCCATTTTTCTTTTGCAACATGACACAATTGGAGAAACTGGTTATTTTGCCGAAGCTTTGACTGGAAAGGTATGCTTCCCTTTAAGGAGTCAATCTCAACTTGCAGAGCCAATGAAACCTCTTGGGGACACTGGCCTGATACCCTTGCCTACACAGTCCCTGTACAGGGTTCCTGACCTGTGGTCAGTAAAGAATGTCACTTTCTAACAGGTCCAGGAGCACCAAGTTTATCTTGGGACCCTAAGAGGAGAGGATCACCCAACTAACAGGTATTTGAGGATACAAACCCATGGCTGGGCTTGGCTTTAAAAGACCTTTTATCTGAGACTCCTTGTGCAACAGAGTTCCTTCAAAGACGATCTAAAAGGCCTATGTAGAAATAGTTATTCTTGTTGCACTTTATGCAAATAATCAGGCCAAGTATAAGACCAAAGTCTATTTTGCAAACCACTCAGTCCTGTGATCATTTGTTTTTTAACAAAAATGAGGACTGGAGAGAGAAATTATGATTCAAAACTTATACATTTGTCATTAAATTCTAAAATCTTTAGTTGTTATTAAGTTTTGCCTACGTTTTAGACTAACTCTACTTGTTCCTGTTAACCAACCAGAAATCTCCAGCTGCAGCTCAGAAAGAACAAGAGAGATGGGTAATGTAAAAATCTGGATCAATAATAGAGTTCTGAGCAATTATCCTGCAAATCCTGGGAATAAATAGGGTGCCCATCACCCAGAGGTTTCTTTTTTGGGAAAGTAAGACCAAGGGAGCTAACCAAAGGCAAGCACCATGCATCCCAATCCTAGCAAGCATAACTATAGCTACCAGTTTTCTGGGTGTGGTTTGTAGTTTTCTTTTTTGGTTATATCCTCTCCTGGTTTTGGTATTAGGGTGATGCTGGCTTCATAGAATGAATTAGGGAGGGTTCCCTTTTTCTCTGTCTTGTGGAATAGTGTCAAAAGGATTGATACCAATTATTCTTTGAATGTCTGGTGGAATCCTGCTGTGAATCTGCTTGGTCCTGGACAATTTTTTGTTGGTAATTTTTAAATTGCCATTTCAATCTCACTGCTTGTTATTGGTCTGTTCAGGGTATCTAATTCTTCCTGATTTAAGCTAGGAGGGTTGTGGTTGTATTTTTCCAGGAATTTATCCATCTCTTCTAGGTTTTATAGTTTATGTGCATAAAGGTGTTCATAGTAGCCTTGAATGATCATTTGTATTTCAGTGGTGTCACTTGTAATGTCTCCCGTTTTGTTTCTTATTGAGGTTATTTGGATTTATCTTTTGTATATGTTTGTTGTTGTTATTTCAATTTCATTTAGTTCTGCTCTGATCTGAGAAGAAGTTCACAGTCAGCTACAGTCCAAAACTAACTGTTTTAGGGAAGTTTATGAAAAAGATTCTTTTTTTTTTTTTTGAGATAGAGTCTTGCTCTGTCACCCAGGCTGGAGTGCAGTGGCGTGATCTCAGCTCACTGCAACCTCCGTCTCTCAGGTTCAAGCAATTCTTCTGTCTCAGCCTCCCGAGTAGCTGGGATTACAGCCATGTGCCACCACGCCAGGGTAATTTTTGTGTATTTTTAGTAGAGACGGGCTTTCACCATATTGGCCAGGCTGGTCTCAAACTCCTGACCTTGTGATCTGCCCGCCTCAGCCTCCCAAAGTGCTGGGATTACAGGCTTGAGCCACCGCGCCCGGCTGAAAAAGACTCTTGAATGCAGGTTTCTGATTACTTTGAAGACTTTGGAGTAGAAAAAAGAAAACTTCCAGGACTCTAATTAAAAGGCGGATAGGTTCAAAAGGAGCTAATCCAGTCTGACAAAAACCCAAGTTAATTGCATGCTCTAAACTAATACAGGATGAAAATAATTTTATGGATTTTTTAAAATTTGCTGATTCTTTTTGTTTTAAGAGTTAAAAGTGCTTTTTTTTAACTACGTATTACCTGTAACAATTTAGTAGAATATACTCTTGTAAATAAAATTTGAAGCATCTTTCTCTCTACCTGATTTCTCCAGATTTTGAAAACCATTTGTGAATATTTTTAATTCATGGAAATATAGTTATTTTATAAATTAATTAAAATCTGTTTTCTTTTATAACAGGACGCAATTGAAGACATTGGTTATTCTACCAAGGCTTTGACTGAAATGACATATATTTTGGTAAGAGAAGATCAATTTGAGAAGTGGAAATTGACTTTATAGACCTGATAAATCTGCGTGGAAAGATTGGCCTGGTACTTTGTTGAAATGGTTTTCTTTTCTTTTCTTTTTTTTTTTTTTTTGAGATGGAGTCTCACTCTGTCGCCCAGGCTGCAGTGCAATGGTACGATCTCAGCTCACTGCAATCTCCGCCTCCTGGGTTCACGCCATTCTCCTGCCTCAGCCTCCTGAGTAGCTGGGACTACAGGTGCCCACCACCACGCCTGGCTAATTTTTTGTATTTTTAGTAGAGACGGGGTTTCACCATGTTAGCCAGGATGGTCTCGATCTCCTGACCTGGTGATCTGCCTGCCTTGGCCTCCCAAAGTGCTGGGATTACAGGCGTGAGCCACCGTGCCCCGCCTAGATTAATCTTTGATTCCTGATTGGCAACCTAGTCACCCATGATGTAGAGTTGCAGCTGTGCTGCATGCAATTATTAACAATAAAAGTTACCAACACAATTTAGAAATAAATTCAACTCCTAGGGAGTTGGTTCACTGGATGCATAAAAATGTAAACAAATAAGGAAAAAGTGAAATATTCAGTCTCTTGGTTATTGTTATCCGTAAGAGCTAAAGTAAGAGTGCTGAGTTGGACCCTGAAGCCAGACCAAATTCAGACATGGGTCTGTCTGAACTGAGATCACTAGTTTCAAGGCTACCCACAAAAGGGGGAAATCATGCCAGGAAACCAGAATGTACCTCTGAGACCTGTGGTTTCTAACAAGGTAGTCAATGTCAGGGAAGGGCAAAAACAAGTAACTACTGAAACTGGAGGGTATAATGTTTTTTAAAAAATGTTCCATTTTATACATTGGTATCATCAGCTTCCTGAGGAAACTTTACTAAAATTGATTGTAATATTGGAGCAATGTCTTTGGTTTTAAACATTGCAGAATGGAAGAGCATGTTTTGGTTGATGCATGACCCGCACCTGACTACTGAATTGTTGCAGATGGAGATATATGTATATGTATGCGTGTGTGTGTGTGCATGTGTCTATATATGTGTGTGTGTATATATATATAATGTGTATATATATGTTGCAGATGGAGATGTGTGTATATATACATTCATATATATATTCATTCCAGACACACAGGAGGTTATTTCTGAGAGAAAGCCAGCCTGGTGGACTAGATGAAAGTCACTGTAAGATCTGTTGATCCTGAGAAGAGGAATTGCACAACTCCACCTGTCAATGCCAAGTGGAGCACCCAGACGACGCAGCTGATAGACTTCCTATGCAAGCCATGGGGGATTAGCCTGATGACAGGAATATTAACCTTACTTTTTGACTTTTGGGTTTCGGCTATTAAGTTGTTTAAAAGGGTTTTAAGAATTAATGGGTGCCTACCCACCTTCATTCCTGTCTGGCCTAACATGTTTACTTGGATATAAGTCTTTTCACTCTAAGTCTCTTGGCCATAGGTAGTCTCATTGAGAGACAAGTTGGACTCAGGCCAATAGCCACAGCAACTTGGCAATAATATGGTACAAAATAAAAGCTTTGCCATGATGCTCTCTCTTGCATGTCTTGACCATGAGGGGTCAGACTAAAATAAAGTTCTAAGTGCCCCACTGACTGAATGGACCTACTTGTGCCAAAGGGACCACAGTTGTCAAGACACAACCTTACCTAGGAATACGTCTTTTCTCTTGCTTTGCTGAAGATACAATAGCCCCCCTAAAGTGAGTTGCCTCTTCCCCTTCAAAACATTTTATGAGAGACTACTTCTCTGAACTCCCCGAGACTTGTGGATTTTTATCATATATAAAACAGTTAAAAATATACTGACTAGTCTTCCTGAATTTGCTTCTGAAAGGCTCCAGTTTCCTAAAGATGTGCCTCTTCACTCTTTAACACCAGGAACCAAGTCCTGCTGAAGACCTGAAAATCCCACCTGGGTGAAGGCCAGCTGCAGCCACAATGGCCCAGTCCTTTTGAGATGCTGCTGATCACCCCCTCATCTGTCAAGTTAGCCAGCATTAAACCATGGATTCATCACACTTGGTTAAAACCTGTCCCTCTGGGATCCCTACAGGAAAAACAATCACAGTCTTATAAACCTCAGTGATTGGCTTTCTGTAAGGCAAACAGTCACAGGATTTGTGTATGTGATTTTTAGCAAGTTCAGCCCTGTAGCTACTGCAGATGAGAGTCTTTTTAAGAGCACAGATAAATTTTTCTAGTTGTTTACGCTGCACTTGAGCTAGGAATTCTAATCCCTGATGTCACTCTTTCAGCACTTTGTCCGGTAACTTTAGAAACAACCAGCCAACCTCATTAATCATGTGTCACTTAACAATGGAGATACATTCTTTCAAATGTGTTCTTAGGTGATTTTGTTCTTGTGTGACATCATAGAGTGTACTCACACAAACCTAGATGGCATAGCCTACTACAAACCTAGGCTGCATAGTATAGCTTATTGCCCCTAGGCTACAACCTGCAAAGCATGTTACTATATTGAATACTGTAGGCAATTGTAACACAATGTTAAGTATTTGTGTATCTAAAAATGTCTAAATATAGAAAAAGGAATGCATTGCACTATGACCTTATGACAGTGTATCACTAGGCAACAGAAGTTTTTTAGCTCCATTGTAATCTTATGGGGCTACTCTTATATATGTGGTCTGCTGTTGATCAAAACCTCATTATGTGGCACATTGCTGCATATTTGTTGTTTCTCCAAAAGTGTTCAGAATTATATGCGCATTGATACAGCTTCTTGCTTCTTCTAAGTGTTTGATTAGTAGTATCCAATGAAGATATTTGTATATCTCTATTGCCAGATCATGCCATAGACTATCTGTGTTTTCTTTACTACTATAAATAGAGTGATTGGTGTCTTTAATCAGATTAGAGGGTCAATTCCAGAAACCCCAAAATCAATTTAGAAAACTCATTCTTAAAATTCTGTTCCTCCAGAACCACTCTTGTTACAAAAATCAGTGTTCTCCACAGAAACAGAGCCAATAGGAGATAGATTGGATGTATGGATAGATAGATAGATAGATAGATAGATAGATAGATAGATAGATAGATTAGACAGATAGATAGATATACAAGATTGCAGTCCTGTGTACTGGGAGACCTGATGGTATAAATTCCAACCTGCGTCTGAAGGCAGAACAAGACCCATGTCCCAGCTTAAAGACCTGCTGGGAGAGAGTGAATTTGCTCTTGATCATCTTCTTGTTTCTGTTCAGGACTTCTTGGATTGTATCAGGCCCACCCACACTGGAAAGCACAATCTTCTTAGTCACCAATTCAAATGTTTAGCTCATCCACAAACATGCTCACAGACGCACCCAGAATAATGTTTAACCAAAAATCACAACTCATGATTCAGTCTAGCTGACACATGAAATTAATTCTCACATGGATTTAAACTATTTTATTGAATATTTGGTCCCATGCTGGAATAATTTTGCATTAACCTGATCATTACTGACATTGAGTGCATTTTCATATGTTTATTGACATTTCAATATGTACTTTTGTGATGTGTCTACTGGAAAGTCTACATTTTTCTTATTGATTTTAGGAATTTTACAAATATTATGCACATTTGTGGATATATGTATTATAATTATTCTGTGTCACAATGTGTCTTGATTTTTTACTTTCTTTTGATGAAGAGTAGTTATTAATTTTAATAAAATCTAATTTAGCAATATTTTATCTTGATAATGTTTTTGCTACTTTTAAATAAATGTTTGACAAATCCCAATGTCATGAAGATACTCCTCAATGTTTTCTGTGGAGAGAGAAGTTAAAACATATATTGCTGTAATGTGTATTACAATAACTGCACAAAGAAGAGAGAAAATGGAGTGACATTGTGGCAAAGTTGCTGTGTTTCATCAGGCAGATATCATTATAAACCTAAAGAAGTTTGGGATAAGTATAGATGTAGGTATATTCCGAGAACAAATTCTAGGAAAATATGTTGAAAAATAGAATTAGAAATCAACAATTGAACTAAAATAATACGCTACAAATATCTGTTAGTAAAAGGGAGAAAAGAACAAAAATACATGAAAATTACAGAAAGCAGCAATATGGTAGATATAAATCCAATATCAATAATTGTATTATATCAAAAATCATAAATGTTCAGACTAGATTTTTTAAAAAGCAAAGCTGAAGAATATGCTGTCTGCACAAGACATCCTTCAGATTAAATGTCGCAAATAGATAGAAAGTAAAACGATAGAGAATGTGGACCATGCAAACAGTAATGATGGGAGAGGTGAAGCACCTATATGAATATCAGACAAAATACAGTTTAAGACAGTAAATACTACTACAGACAAAGACATTTCTTTTTAATTTCACCTGTTTTTTTAAATTTTTTATTTATTTTTTATTATACTTTAAGTTTTAGGGTATATGTGCACAATGTGCAGGTTAGTTACATATGTATACATGTGCCATGCTGGTGTGCTGCACCCATTAACTCGTCATTTACATTAGGTATATCTCCTAATGCTATCCCTCCCCCCTCCCCCAACCCCACGACAGTCCCCGGTGTGTGATGTTTCCCTTCCTGTGTCCATGTGTTCTCATTGTTCAATTCCCACTTATGAGTGAGAACATGCGGTGTTTGGTTTTTTGTCCTTGCGATAGTTTGCTGAGAATGATGGCTTCCAGCTTCATCCATGTCCCTACAAAGGACATGAACTCATCAGATATTTCTTAATGATAAATGGTCACACATAGATATAACAATGACAACATCATACATGCTTGAACAAGAGAGTCCCAAAATACATGAAGCACAACTGACAGAATTGAAAGAAGCAATAAAGAGTTTAACAATCACAGTTAGATATTTTAATATATATCCTCTAGGAGTTGATTGAAGAATAGAAATAAAATTAGTAAGGATATAGAATATGTGAACAACACAATAACCCAACTCAATTTGACATTTGTAGCATACAACATCCCCAAACAGCCGAAATACCCATTCTTCCTAAGATAACATGACACATTCTCTGGATAAATCATATCCTAGGTCATAAAACAAGTCTCACCATATTTGAAAGGAGCAATTGTACAAAGTATGTTCTCTGATCACAACATAATTATATTAAAAATAACTAAATTTATTTTGGAAATCATTTAATAATTTAATTACATAGATTTTAATTAATCAAAAATTGCAAGTAAATTAGAAAATATTTTCACTGTAATAAAGATAAAAACAAAATATTACAAACTGTATGAGACACACCTAAGTAGTTCTCAGAGGGAAATTTGTAGCTTTAAATGCTTATATGAGAACAAGTAAAACATCTAAAAATCAATAATATAAGATGCCACATTGTGAAGCCCCAGAATGAGTAGAAAATTAACTTGAAGTAAGTAAAATAAAGGAAAAAATAAATATCAGAACAGAAATCGTCAAAATAGAAAACAGAAAAACAGTTAAAAATATCAAAAAAAAAATCAGTGAAACCAAAAGTTTGTTCTTATCAATGGTTTATTTGGGGGGAGGCAGGATTAAAATATATATAGCTGTAATGCACATGTCAATATACATGTAGCCAAAAAAATGAAAAAATATTCAACATCATTAATCATAATGGAAATGCAAATTAAAACCACAATGGGACACCATCTTACACCAGTCAGAATGGCTATTATTAAAGCATAAAAAAAACCCAACAGATTGTGAGGATGCAGAGAAAAGAGAATGCTTATCCACTGCTGATGGAAATGTAAATGAATGCAACCTTCATAACAGTATAGAGACATCTTAAAGAACCAAAAACAAGACTGCCATTTAATCCAACAATCCCACTACTGGGTATCTACCCAAAGGGAAAGATATCATTGTATCAAAAAGATACCTGCATTTGTATGTTTATCACAGCACTATTCACAATAGCAAAGTCATGGAACCAACCTAAGTGTTCATCAATGAAGGGTTGGAGATATATATATATATATATATATATATATATATATATATATATAAAATACAAACACACACACACAGAGCATGGAATAATATTCAGCCATACAAAATAAAATCATTCATTTGCAGCAACATGAATGGAATGGGAGGCCATGATCCTAAGTGAAATGACTTAGAAGCAGAAAGCCCAATACTGCGTGTTTTCACTTATTAGCTGGAACTAAACATTGAGTACACATGGACATACAGAGTGAAATAATAGACATGGGAGACTACAAAAGGCGGAAGCATGGAAGAGGGGTGAGGGCTGAAAAATAACCTATTGGGTATGATGTTCACTATTCACGTAATGGATGCACTAAAAGCCCAGACTTCACCACTACTCAATATATGCATGTAAGAAATTTGCACTTGTACTCTCTAAATATGTAAAAATAAAAATAATTTGAAATTAAAAAACATTTTTTTTCATAATAAAGTAAAAATCAAATACTTAAGAGGACATTTTTCAAAAAAAAAGAAGTGTGGGACTTGTGTGTTGAAAGCAACGAAACTTGCACAGCAAAATTAAAGATCTAAATAAACGGAGATAAATGCATGAATGTGAATTGCATGACTCGATATTATTAAAATGGCAATTCCCCAGTTGATCTATAGAGGTAATGCAATCACTATCAAAATTTAAGTAGTTTTTGTCTAGAAACTGATGATCTAATTTTACAGTTTATATGGAAATTTAAAGAACCTAGAATAGCTAAAACTATTTTAAAAATAATTCTACTACCTGATTTCAAAACTTACTACAAAGCAATAGCAATCTAGACGAAGTGGTCCCGGCATAAAGATAGACATATAGTGAATGCAATAGAATTGAGTGTTAGGAAAAGCATGGATCATTAACTTCAATATAAGACCTAAAATTATAAAACTTCTAAATAAAAACTTAGTAGAAAATCTTTGTGACTTGGATTAGGCAAAAACCTCTTAGTTATGATTTACAATCCTTAAAATTAAAAACAGAGAGAGAGAATTGAGCATCAAAATGTAGCATTTTATTCTTCAACAAACCATTAAAAATAAAAAAAAACATGCACGGAATGTGAGAAAATACTTGTAAATAATATATCTGTCAAAGTAATTGTATCCAGAATTTATAAAGTACACAATATATTATAGCAAAGTAAGAAATTGGCTGGCAGTTATAATCCTAGCCACCGGGAGGTTGAGATGGGAGGATCGCTTGAGCGCAGGAGTTTGAGGCTGCAGTGAGCTATGAGGGTGCTACTGCGCTCCAGTCTCAGTGACAGAACGAAACCCTGTCTCTTTAAAAACAAAAAGTTTTGAAAAAAATGGACAAACTAAATATATGTCATCAAAAATAACAAATATATTGATTATTAGCACAGAAAAAGTTGCCAATCATTATTGGCTGATTTACACTGTAAATCAGTGTACACACACTCTAGAGTAAATATAGTCCAAAGCACTGTCAGTACTGCCTTGGTGTGGCTGTGTAAAACTGAAATCTTTATACATTACTGGTAAGGATGTAAAATGGTACCCCTGCTATGGAAAGTAATTTGGAAGTTTCTCAGAAAGTTAAGCACATGCTTGTTATACAACCCAGCAATTTCATATCAAGAAAAGTGAATATATGTGTCCTCAGAAAGACTCAAGCATGAGTGTTCATAAGCATTGTTCATAGTAGCCAGACACAATTCAAAGGTTTTTCCACTGATTAATAAACTTTGCAGCATGTTTATACAATATAATATACTACTTAGATGTAAAAAAATTGTGCTAACTGAAAAAAAAAACAGACAGACATCTCATTGTAAGATTCAATTTACATTAAATTTTAGAAGGGCAAATCTGTAGAATAAAAACCTATACATTCCCGAGTCTGAGTATGAGAGTGGGGATTGACCATAAACAGCCACGGAGAAATGTTTTGGGGTGATGCAAATGTTCTAGAACTGATTTATGGTAATGGTTGAAAAACTGTACGAATTTACTAAAATCCATAGTAATGTACATTTGAACTGTGTGGATTTGGTGGTATACAAATCATACATCAATACATTTGTTTCTTTTAAGTGCATGCAACAAGGGAGTGACATTAGCAAGATGGCAGAGTAGGAGACACAGCCTTTACTCCCCACAAAATAGACAAACAACGATTAGCTAACCACGAGCAACATTGCTCTGGGAGAGCTCAAGAGTCCAGTTAAAAAGCTTTACCAACACAGTGGAGAAAAAAAATTGAGAAAACTGCACAGAAAAATGTTGGAAGTGGAGTTTCATTTTGCCTGCATCAGCCGATGCCCCGGCCTGCATAGCTCAGCACTGAGAGCAATTTCCTTGGCCCATGAGTTCCCCTCACAGCAGAGAAGGAGAGCAGGGTGAGTGACCAGCTTCCCAGCTTTTGGGGGTACCACTTGAAGGGCTTCCCCTGCCAAGATTGCTGGGGAAGACAGCCATAGCCAAGATGTCTGCAGATGGCTAGGGACAAAGAGAAAAGTGAGGCTATCAGCATCAGCCACACGGTGAAGCCACCATGGCCCCCAGCCTGCTCTACAGAGGACCGCAGCAGTCTTTACCACTGAGGACCTCAACAGCCACAGCAAAGGCTTCATCTCTCACCATTGAGGACCCTGCAGTAAGCACTTTAAGAGGCTTCCGTGGGCTTTTCCATGGAAGACTCCAGCAGTTTTCACCTTTGAGAAAACCAACAGCCTAATCTTGTTAAAATGAGAAAATCAAATTCTGCCTTTGCATTAGTGTTTTATTGAAGCTAAAGCTAATTTTAATAAAACCTTATAAACAAGTCCATCCAATATCAGTCAATTGTGATCACACAAGAAAAGGTTTTCATAAACCTTTTATAAAGTCTTATACTTTTTTTTTTTTTTTTTTTTTTTTTTTGAGGCGGAGTCTCGCTCTGTCGCCCAGGCTGGAGCGCAGTGGCGCGATCTCGGCTCACTGCAAGCTCCGCCTCCCGGGTTCACGCCATTCTCCTGCCTCAGCCTCCCGAGTACCTGGGACTGCAGGCGCCCGCCACCACGTCCAGCTAATTTTTTGTATTTTTAGTAGAGACGGGGTTTCACCGTGTTAGCCAGGATGGTCTCCATCTCCTGACCTCGTGATCCGCCCGCCTCAGCCTCCCAAAGTGCTGGGATTACAGGCGTGAGCCACCGCGCCCGGCCTAAACTCTTATATTTTTTATTAATGAGCAGATCCATGCTCCAAGAAAACCCTGTTACTCGGACACAGTGGTCCAGGCTCTGGCCGTGCATCGGTCTGCTTTTCATATTTAGGTTTAGTTTTTAGAAAAACTAAATGACCTCTTTTTAATTTCAGCCCACATGATCATACACAAAATTATTTTCACAAGATCACTCTTTCACAAACTTTCTACAACTTGCTTAAACCTTCAGTTATGTGTATCATGTCTTACCATTTTATCCTAGGACAAAGGTTTACTTTATTTTCCCCCTTATTATTACGACCACACAGAATTCTCTCTCATGTAAATGAAAAACTACTCTCTCTCCCTCAACCTCTCTTACATTTTAATTTTCCTTTAACAAAAACCACATTCTCTTGCCTTCTTACAATCTTTTTTAAATTAAAAGTGCATTCTGTTTTCTTTAGAGCCTTTGGATGTAAAATTGCTTTTCTTATGTCTAGTAGTCTTAATTACATAAATTACTTACAATGTAAACTCTTAGTAACCCTTATGTTCAGTGACAAGCCCAGGAAGCAAGCAGTTTTAATTATGTGTCAGTAGCCCAGGACAAAGCACCAGACTTGGGGATAGGTCTTATCATGGCCTAAAGGCTCAAATCTAAAGGCGTAAGTTTATAGAAAATTTAAGCAAGTATCAAAAGCACTACAGAAGCAACCATTCTATGATCTTAAAACATCTAACAGAGATAGTATCTGACCAATACATCTAGGCAAAAATGTCCAAATTCAATTCTGAAGATGCTTTTATTTTAAGAACAATTTTGAAACTATCTTTATTTACTGAATATCATTATTAAAATCACATTAACCTGAAAAGCATTTAAATTTATGTATTTAATTTATGAATACTCTTTTATTTATAAGCCAATTTGCTATTGTAGACAACATGCAAAGACATACACACCTGCATACATAAAGATCAAAACAGACATAAACAAAGCCCCTAGACTCTTGATTTTAAAACTCTAGCTATTAGACTGGCAAAGCTCACCAGTCCAAAAATGGCAGCTGGATTCCAGTTCCATCTCTATAAATGGAACAAGTAAAAATCCACCTGTTCCACATGGCTCAAGCCCTCACCAGATCCCAGAGGAAACAAACTGGCAATGCATATCTCAAAACAGAGAGAGAGAGACAATTTATTCTCCTTTAAGAAAGAGTTTAAGGCCGAGGCAGCCAGATCACCTGAGGTCAGGAGTTCGAGACCAGCCTGGCCAACATGATGAAACCCTGTCTCTACTAAAAATACAGAAATTAGCTAGGCATGGTTGCATGTGCCTGTAGTCCCAGCTACTCGGAAGGCTGAGGCAGGAGAATCGCTTGAACCTGGGAGGTGGATGTTGCAGTGAGCCAAGATCACGCCACTGCACTCCAGTCTGGGCGACAGAGCAAGCCTCCATCTCAAAAAAAGAAGAAAAAAAAAAGAGTGTAGGCTTTGTTAAAGAAAGACTGAAAATGGACACCAAAGCAACACAAAATCACAGGAACTTACCATAAGATTTTATAAGGCAAGTTTTCTCTTAATACGGAGTGATTTCTGGTACTGCAAAAGCCGAAGAGAAAAAGTGGAGTAATTTTAGATCTGGGAGGACTCTGTCCTCTTGAGATTCCCTGAGGAAAAACAGAAGTTCCTCCCCAAAAGAGGAATCCACCACATCTTTTTCTGTTTTCCTTAAGGAATTTCAGTCTGTTAGAAAAAAAATTTTCTTGTCCCCTCATGTGGCACCGATGGTGGCAAGATGCAACAGGGGCTGACAGAAGGAAAAGGAGAAACAGGCAGAGGGAGCACATATGTGACTGCCATGGGTGCAAGGAGAGAGAAATTTAGCCAATGGAGAAATTCTTACAAAGACAGAACAGAGGACTTAAAGACTCTTATGCATAACACATGTGCACACGTGTATGCGCACACACACACAACGTACATATAACCTAAATAGCAGTTTCAATTAAGTTGACTTTTGACTATCCAGCTCTTTAAAAATCCTTTCAAACTTCTTATTAGAGAATTTTAACAGGACAAACAGCTGATATGTAAGACTTTGTATCCTTTTTATTTTTATCTTATTTATTTATTTATTTATTTATTTGAGAGGGAGTCTTGCTGTCGCCCAGGCTGGAGCGCAGTGGAGCAAACTCAGCTCACTGCAAGCTCCGCCTCCCGAGTTCACGCCATTCTCCTGCCTCAGCCTCCCCAGTACCTGGGATTACAGGCGCCCGCCACCACGCCTGGCTAATTTTTTTTTTATTTTTTATTTTTTTATTTTTAGTAGAGACGGGGTTTCACCGTGTTAGCCAGGATGGTCTGGATCTCCTGACCTCGTGATCCGCCCGCCTCTGCCTCCCAAAGTGCTGGGATTACAGGCGTGAGCCACCGCACCCGGCCATATCCTTTTTATTTCTTAAAGGTACCGTTTAAGTTAAGCTTCACCAAGATTATGATTTAACCAAGGACGTATGAGGTGTCTCCAGAGAGGCGGAAAGCAGTATTCACAAGATCCAAACCCACCCTGTCTTTTGACAGTTCAAAGAAATGAAAACTTTGCTAGCTACAAATGGAGTATAATCCACATTCTTATTTCCCAAATTCTCTAGAGTCTCAGGTTCTTAGTTGACTATCTGCACACAAGGCTCAAAAGCCTCATATACCCCCACAGATGGAAATCAAAAGCTGTCCATGAAAGAAAAATGCATCAACAAATGGCAAAAATCTCACAAATAGCAAACCAAAAGGACTTGTTCCTTGGCTGGGAATCAAACTCAGGCTGTCACGGTGAAAGGGCAGAACTTTATTTAGCTGGTGGATTATAGGATGGGACTGTCTTCACTATTGTTCACAGAGATGATTTGAAGTGGGCAGTT
Source organism: Homo sapiens (assembly GCF_000001405.40). NCBI lineage: Eukaryota > Metazoa > Chordata > Mammalia > Primates > Hominidae > Homo > Homo sapiens. The sequence continues at coordinate 4,440,429 of NW_021160017.1, forward strand.
CTAGGCTTGCAAATAATTTTAACTTTGTTTTAGGTCAGATTTTTGCTCTTTGATTTAGTCAAGAGAATTCCTAAGGCTAACCATCACACTATTATGTGTCCTTTTTAAAATTTGATTTTCCCATCAATTGTTTAAGAGATCTCTAAAATCTTTTTAAATTTAGGAATCTAAAGGATCCCTTTTTCAGGTTTTCCTCTGGAGTCTAAATAATATTGTGGCCAAATAGTGCCGCAATAAAAAAATCTTATTCCTTTTTATGGGTCCAAAGCTAAAATGTCTCGCACCCTACAAATAAATATCTTCTTTTCTCCTAATGAAAACCTTGGTGTTGATGTTTGGACATAATACCCGGGGCAAGTGGACCTCAGTTTGGTTTGATAACAGTTGGTGACTGCAAGATACAAAAGTCCTGAGTGGGCGTCTCATTTATGGCACACTGATCCCTGGCTGCAGCATTGTATTAATGCACCCTAATGGACTACAAGGAGGAATAGAGCTCATGCTTTCTTTTTTAGATGACAAAGCCTTAGGTGACAAACCCTTAAGGACTCAGCTGGGCTTTGGACAGAATTTCAAGAAAGCAAATCAAAATAAAAATGCAATTCCTCAAGGTCTTGATCCCTCCAGTTCTCTGTAGAGTATTCCCCACTAAATATGCTCTCATTCAGCAGAGCCTTGTGCCTTTCCAAAGCACATCTGGGCGACAGCAGATGTCCTGCTGAAGCAGAACCCAGCATCTAAAGGAAAAATTGCTTGGGGCCGTTGTTCACAAACTCCACTTACCAAAAACAGTGCCTCATTTCTGACACTGCAAAAAGTAAAGCACCAACAGATGCTGGCGAATATGTGGAGAAAAGGGAAGCTTCAAACACTGTTGGTGGGAATGTAAATTAGTACAACCACTATGGAGAACAGTTTGGAGGTTCCTCAAAAAACTGTAAATAAAGCTACCATGAGATCCAGCAATCCCACTGTTGGGAATATACCCAAAAGCATGGAAATCCATATATCCAAGAGGTATCTGTACTCCCATGTTTGTTGCAGCACTGTTCACAATAGCCAAAGTTTGGAAGCAACCTAGTCTGTCAACAGATGAATGAATGGATGAAGAAAATAAGGTACGTATATACAATGGAATACTATTCAGCCATAAAAAAGAACTAGATCCTGTCATTTGCAACAACATGGATGGAACCGCAGGTCATCATATTAAGTGAAATAAGGCAGGCACAGAAAGACAAAAATTTGCATGTTCTCACTCATTTGTGGGATCTAAAAATCAAAACAATTGAATTCATGGAGATAGAGAGTAGAAAGATGGTTACCAGAGGCTGGGAAGGGAAGTGGGGGTAGGGTGGGAGGGAGGTGGGGACGGTTAATGGGTACAAAAAATAAAAAGAATAAGACCTAGTATTTGATAGCACAACAGGGTGACTATAGTCAATAATAATTTAATTGTACATTTTAAAATAACTAAAAGCATAATTGGATTGTTAGTAACACAAAGAATAAACACTTGAGGGGAAGGACACCCCATTTTACATGATGTGGTTAATACATATTGCATGCCTGTATCAAAACATGTCATGTACTTCATAAATATACACACCTACTATGTACCCACAAAAGTTAAAATTAAAAATTGAAGGCCAGGCACGGTGGCTCATGCCTGTAATCCCAGCAATTTGGGAGGCCAAGGCAGGCAGATCACGAGGTCAGGAGATCAAGACCATCCTGGCTAACACGGTGAAACCCCGTCTATACTAAAAATAATAAAAAAAAAAATTAGCCAGGCTTGGTGGCGGGTGCCTGTAGTCCCAGCTATTCGGGAGGCTGAGGCAGGAGAATGACGTGGACCCAGGAGGCAGAGCTTGCAGTGAGCCAAGATCACGCCACTGCACTCCAGCCTGGGTGACAGAGCAAGACTCTGTCTCAAAAAAAAATAAAATAAAATAGAAAGAAAGCACCATAGGCCTTTCTTTCATAATGGTGGTCAGTTGCCAGATGCAAGAATCCATCCCTGAATACAATCATTCAGGCAGCTTCTGGACAGGGTTTGAGCATGGCTGCAGCCAGCAGCCCCTGTGCCACAAGTGAGATGCCCGCTCGGGACTGTTGTTCCTTTGCAGTCACGGTTATTACCAAACCAAACTGAGATCCACTGCCCACGACAGTAAGGCTAAATGTCCACACTGAGGTTTGCAGCAGGAAAAGAGGAGGATGTTTATTTACAAGGAACCAAGCAAGAAGACTCAGGCAGGTCTTGCTTAAGTTCTGAACTCTCTAATTGCTCGCAAGTGAAGGATTTTAAAGGTAGGGGTAAATTTCAGGAAAGCAGAAGTAAAAGGTGAAAATCATAAATCAACATATGGATGTTACACATTGGTTTGGCCTAAAAGGGTGAGATATCTTGAAGTGGGGGCTTACAGGTCGTAGGTAGATTCAAAGATGTTCTGATTTGCAATTGGTTAAGAAAGAGATACTTTGTTTAAAAACTTGGAGTCAGCAGAACAGAAGGTTAGCTCTAACTCCTGGGTATGACTTCCTTCAGGCCTCTCAGGAAGAAATTTAGAAAAAAGAATGGCAGTCACAGTTTAGTCCTCAATTCTCCCTTGATTGAGGTCTATATGCCAGTGGAGCAATTTGGTGGAAATTTGGGTTTCTGAAAAACAATAACAAATGTTAAGATGTTACCTTAGTTTCCATAGGGGATTCCAACTTCTTTGGATATTGTTTTAAGCTATAATTACCTTATTGCTTATCAAGTCGCTTATATACGTCTCAGGGCTACCATGAAAGAACTGAAGATTTTCCTTTATTTTCATGCTTGAGGCAACCCACAGGCCCCTAAGAGGAGTCCAAGCTCCATCTTATATACCAGGATCATTGTCTAGCAAAAAGTGAGCTCAGAAAACATGTTAGAATTCCTAATATCAAAGGAAGAAACAATAAATATCCCATTGCATATTTGTTAGTGCCTTAGGAGGGGAGCCCATGGGCATTGTTGGGGAAGCTAAGTGTCCAAGGAAAAGTAATCTCCAGTGCAGGAAGTGAAGTCATCTCCAATGGTGAAGTATTGGTTTGGGGCAATGTTCTCTGAAGCTAAGTCATCTCCAGCAGTGAATTCCTGGACTAGGCAGACCACTGTCATCTGGGATGTGAGACTGGGGTATCCTTCCCAAGTTGGATAACCACTAGGGTTGATGTGAATCATGTTTTTGTTCCTCTATTGTATTATAACAAGGCTGAGCCACTTGTGGAATTTGAAGGCAATGTTGTGCCTGGGAATTTGACTTGCAAATATTCTTAAGGTCAAGGGGCTTTGTGGGTGCACGGCTAGCTAAGGTAATGTCTGCGTCTAACATGCTGCTGTAACTGTACCAAAGTGCTGGAACTTGATTGGCACAATTAACACTATAATTAGTAGCGTCTAAATCTGAATCTCCCAATAGTCCAAGGTTTTTCTCAGATGGGTGATAAGAAACATTTTACTACAAATAGGTTTTAAATCACACAGCTTGATTTGAGTGTATGTTGTTAATAAGGTGGCAGGTTTTTTTGCCAATTAAAATCTTGAGGCTGAGGTTGGATATCCATCATTAGATTGTAGGCAGGTCCTCCAATTTAGTCACTTAGTATGAATCCTTTTCCCCAGTTGCTGGTTTGTTGGTGATAGGCAAGTGGATGAGGTTTGGGGCTGTATTAGCAATACTTGATGGCTTGTGGACCACAGCATTTGCTATGTCTGTTTGAAACAATGACTTACTTGGAGGGTTTGGAGTACCAGATTGCAAACCAGTGAAAGCACCCAAATCAATAGTAATAAAACCAATTGTCAACAAAATAGTGTGCAGCAACACTTGACACTTTTGTTATCTAATGATGATTATTTTTCTAGCATATATAATTACCAGGGCAGGAATATGCAAACCTACCCTCAGAGGCTGAGGGAGCTGAGGCCAAAGAAAGAGGTTGACAAATCCAGTTTCTTAGAAAGAAACATTTAATATGAACAGAAGCTATGTTTCAGGTGGCCACGAGAGGGCGAATCTTCACACTCGCCCTCTAGAAAGTATTCTTTATATAGCAAGCCTTCTTTGGGTAAAACATATGCAACTGGTTATGTCTGAGACCCTTTAGAGAAACTGGTGATTACTGGGGAGGTTAGATAAGCATCTTTATGAAGGGTTAGCTATGCTGCTGGCATTGTTTCTTCATGAGGGATTAGTTATGCTGCAGGCATTGTTTCTGTATGAGGAGTTAGCTATGCTGCAGGCATTGTTTCTTTATGAGGAGTTAGCTACGCTGCAGGCATTGTTTCTTTATGAAAAATTAGCTATGCTGCAGGCATTGTTTCTATATGAGGAATTAGCTATGCTGCAGGCATTGTTTCTTTATGAGGAATTAGCTATGCTGCAGGCATTGTTTCTATATGAGGAATTAGCTATAATGCAGGCATTGTTTCTATATGAGGAGTTAGCTATGCTGCAGGCATTCTTCCTATATAAGGAATTAGCTATGCTGCAGGCATTGTTTCTATATGAGGAATTAGCTATGCTGCAGGCATTGTTTCTATATAAGGAGTTAGCTATGCTGCAGGCATTGTTTCTTTATGAGGAATTAGCTATGCTGCAGGCATTGTTTCTATATGAGGAGTTATCTATGTTGCAGGCATTGTTTCTATATGAGGAATAAGCTATGCTGCAGGCATTGTTTCTTTATGAGGGGTTAGCTATGCTGCAGGCATTGTTTCTATACGAGGAGTTATCTATGTTGCAGGCATTGTTTCTATATGAGGAATAAGCTATGCTGCAGGCATTGTTTCTTTATGAGGGATTAGCTATGCTGCAGGCATTGTTTCTATATGAGGGGTTAGCTATGCTGCAGGCATTGTTTCTATATGAGGAATTAGCTATGCTGCAGGCATTGTTCCTTTATGAGGGGTTAGCTATGCTGCAGGCATTGTTTCTATATGAGGGGTTAGCTATGCTGCAGGCATTGTTTCTTTATGAGGGGCTAGCTATACTGCATGCATTGTTTCTATATGAGGAATTAGCTATGCTGCAGGCATTTTTTTTATTATACTTTAAGTTTTAGGGTACATGTGCACAACGTGCAGGTTTGTTACATATGTATACATGTGCCATGTTGGTATTCAGAATAGCAAAGACTTGGAACCAACCCAAATGTCCAACAATGATAGACTGGGTTAAGAAAATGTGGCACATATACACCATGGAATACTATGCAGCCATAAAAAATGATGAGCTCACGTCCTTTGTAGGGACATGGATGAAGCTGGAAACCATCATTCTCAGCAAACTATCGCAAGGACAAAAAACCAAATACCACATATTCTCACACATAGGTGGGAATTGAACAATAAGGCATTGTTTCTTTATGAGGAATTAGCTATGCTGTAGGCATTGTTTCTTTTTTAGGGGTTAGCTATGCTGCAGGCATTGTTTCTATATGAGGAATTAGCTATGCTGCAGGCATTGTTTCTTTATGAGGGGTTAGCTATGCTGCAGGCATTGTTTCTTGACCTTGCTGCTGGAATGCCTTGGTATGCTGTAGTGAAACATCAGTCCTTATGGCAGTTTTGCTTCAAGATGGCATTACTCTTGCCATGCAACAGGCTGTTTTCCTACAATAATTTTGGAATATAGTGTTTATTCTTTTACTATCTGAATGTCAGTTTAAGTTACTAAGTGGAGTTTTCTATCTTTCATTCTACCATTTTTGGGACTGGCTTTTGGGCAGTAATTTTAATTTCTGAGTGTAATCAGAGGACGAGCTCAGATAAATTTTCCATCCCTTATAAAATGAATATTGAGGAAGATTTTGGGGAGTAAGTTTAGGTTCAAGTGAGTTCCATGTCAGATGAACAGGTGCCTGACTTGTGAAACAATCTGATTAGCAAAAGTACCTAAGAAAGTGGTATCCTCAATCTGGGATCCGTTTGAATCTCCCTTTAAATATAGACAATTGTGATGGGAAGATTTTTTAAAGTTGCTATAAGTCAGTTCTGCATCTTTAACTTAAGAGAGATTAAGGTCTGGGGCAAGATAGAGGCCATTTAGGAATTCATTTATTATTTTTTAACTTAAGTAGGAGTCATTGAAGAGCCCACAAGACTTCTCAATTAATCCAGCTTCCTGGGGCCTAATGGGAAAATATAATTTCATTGAATGTTGTTTCTAAGAGCCCACCATTGTATCTGAGAGTAAAATGTGTACCTTGGAGCTACAGACTAAGTGTTTGTGTCCTTCCAAAATTCGTGTGTTGAAATCCTAACCCCAAATGGGATGGTATTGGGAGGCGGAATCTTTAATAGATGATGACAGCAGAGCCATCACAAATGGAATTAATGTGCTTATAAAAGAGTCCCCAGAGAGCAAGCCTGACCCTTCTGCCATATGAGGACTCAATAATATAGTACCACCCATGGATGGGAAAATTAACCCTCACTGGACACAAACTTGCTGGCACCTTGATTTTGGACTTCCCAGCCTTCAGAAGGTGAAAAATACATTTCTTTTGTTCATAAACTATTCAGGCTATTGTATTTTGTTAGAAAATCCCCCAAAGACTAAGACAGAATATTGGTTCCAAGAAGTTAGGGTGTTGCTGTAATAAATAATGGAAATGTGGTAGCAGCTTTGAAACTGGGTAATGACTACGAGCTGGAATAGTTTTGAGGTGCATGCTAGCAAGCACCTATGTTTCCACGAGTGGCCTTAAATGATTAATTCCAGTGAGGGCTCAGAAGGAGAGGAGGAGAGCTGCAGAGAAAGGGTAAATCTTCTTTGAGAATGCCAAGATGGCCATAAACCCAATGTTCATAGAAATATGGGTGATAAAAGCCATTTTGAGGAGGTTTCAGACAGAAATGAGAAACATGTAATTGGAAATTGGGGGAAAGACAATTCTCATTATAAAGTGACAAAAAAATTGGATGAACTGTGTTCATATTCTAGTGTTTGATGGAAGGTAGAACTTTTGAGAAAATGAATGGATATTTTACTCAGGAAATTTCTAAGCCAAGTGTTGAAGGTGGAGCTTGGCTTTTCTTGAAGGCTTATAGTAAAATTCAAGAAGAGAGAAATAGCCCAAAATGTTATTGTTAATCAAAAGGGAAGCAGATCTTAAAATTTTTGATTCTCAGCCTATCCACATTGGAAAAAAATAAGAAAGCTGGCCAGGTGTGGTGGCTCACATCTATAATTTCAGCACTTTTGGAGGCCAAAGTGAGAGGATCATTTGAGGCCAGGAGTTCAAGATCAGCCTGGTCAACAGAGCAAGACTCTCTCTCTACAAAAAATTTTAAAATAATTAAAAAATTTAGTCAGGCATGGCAGCACACACCTGTAGTCCCAGATATTTGGGAGCCTAAGGCAGGAGGAATAGTTGAGCCCAGGGGTTCCAGACTGCAGTGAGCTATGATTGCACCATTGTACCCTAGCCTGGGCAACAGAGAAAGACCCTGTCTAGAAGAAGAAGGAGAAGGAGAAGGAGAAGGAGTCATCCTCCTTTTAGGGAGAGAACAAGGGCATGGTCAAGTGACCATCTGATAAGGAGACTGCTATGGATTGGGAATCTAACACAAGACAAGGGCTGTTTCTCAAAACAATGACAGAATAACCAGGAAGGAATTTTGGAGATTATGGAATCTGTCTCTCTCATTACAGGCTTATGTAAGGACCTGGAGGGAAGAATGATTTCAAAGCTCTGCTCCCTGAATTTGAGCACAGTTGTCCTGGGCCACACCGGCTGTGGCTCCAGTGGGCCCAGGTGCAGCATAGGCCATGGTGGTCTCCCCTCCACACAGCATAGATGATAAACCTTGGCAGGGTACATGTGGTGCCATCTCCAAAGAAGCACAAAATGCATAAACCATGGGGGTGTGTCTACTCCCACATAGATTTTGAAGAATGAAGCCAGGGAGACCCTCAGGCTCAAGACTCAAGCAGCGAGCTACCGTAAGGTTGTGGCCAACACAGAGAGTCGCCACTAGGGTTATACCTAGCAAAGCCATGGGGCCCCTCCTCCAAAATTCATATGTTGAAATACTAATTCCCAATGTTGTAGTATTAGGAGGTAGAGTCTCTGGGAGGTGATTAGGCAGAACTCTCATGAATAGTATTAATGCCCTAATAAACAGACTCCAGAGAGCTAGCTCACCCTTCTATCATATAAGGACACAACAGAAAGGCACCTTGTATGCATCAATGGGCCCTCACCAGATATCAAATATACCAGCACCTAAATCTTGGACTCTCCAGCCACTGGAACTGTGAGAAGTAAATATCTATTCTTTATAAAGTACTCAGTCTTTACTATTTTGTTATGGCAGCCTGAATGGACTAAGATACCTGTTTCCGGAGAAAGCTGGATTTAGTTAAGATCTTTCCTGCAAAGATTGTGTGTGATGAGGAAGGTTTTGAGGTACCACACAGTAGTCCAGAAGGGCCTATAGTATCCCTTTGGGGGTGAAGCCAAACTGAGGCTGAGAAGTTTTTGAAATAGATACTGAACAATACATATTAGCCACTTCCATAATAGGAAAATATTTATTGGTTGCCAACTGAATAGAATCAGAAATGTAAATACATAGGGTGATGGGCCCCCCCCACCAGGTTACTTAAGGGTGTAGGTCTTCTGCTTGGCCCTTGAAGGCCAAGTGGTGAGCCAAGGCAATGGTTTCCAGCTGAGGAACAGGTGTTTCTGGGAACCCAAACATCCTGGAGTGCACAGGTAACCTACCAAGAAAAAATAATCCATTGCATGCAGTAGGCAATGAGCCAAAAATTAGCTTAAAAGCAGCTTAGAAATGTCTGGTAGGGAAGGTCTCTGGAGTTTTCCTGTTGCTGCCCAGGAATGTCCTGTATGTAAGTCCTAAAAGCCTCATGTACTCATCAAGCTGGACTTGTCCAACTTATTATTTTGTCACTTAGCTCCTTCCCAGGTTGTGGGGGCATTCTTCTAAATATTCCTGTTTTATTCTCATAACAAAATAATTTTGGGTATTGAATATGGGAGCCTTAACAAATGGGACCATAGCATTTTAGCTGTAGCAGTCTACTATGAGGCAATCTTCATTCTTCCCAGGTTTAAGAATTGGCAAAATTGGGCTGTTAAAATGGAGAAGCAATGGGAATGATCATTCCTTTACTAATTTTCTTTTATATAAGAGATTTTAATCCTTGAAAAGTCTGTTTTTAGTTATATTTATCTTTATAAACTATTTTAACCTGGGGCACATGGGGTCCTGTTTTATCAATCCAATTTGTAAATGCCAAATAATTGCTTTAAGTTTAATTTGTTATTCATTGTGTTGGAACATAATTTAGAACAATGGGTATTCTGATTGGGAAATTTAGGAAAAGATATAACGTGAAACATACTTATTTTTCTCTATTTTATATTTAGCTACTCTCATAAAATGATTAGGGCATCTTGTTTAAATCTAGTGGGATCCCCAGGTGTAACTCTAATTTGAGCTCCAGTATTAAAGTCATGAAGTTTTGTCAACTGCTATATTTAAGCCAATACTAAATTTAATTCAGGAATTATGTTGTAGAGGTATGAAAGCCAATCAGTGCACTTTTATCTCTGTTATATAAATTATTTTAGTACATTTTGGATTTCCAATTGGGTTAAATTACAAAACTTTGTTTCATCATCAGCATCATCATCAATGCATTATCTTAGGAGTATCAGTAGTATTTCTTCCCCTTATATAAATACTTTTTCTTTCTTTCTTTCTCTCTTTCTTTTTTGTTATGGGTTTCTAGCCACCTAAAGACATGGTTTTGTTTCTATTTGTGTCTGATAACTCATAGTACTGAACTTCTAGGTGGTTACAGAAAAGGGGAGTGGAAGAGCCCCAGTGGACCACCTTATGGGTATCTATCTCTTGTTCCAAGGCTTCCTAGTTCACTTCACAGAGATTGGAGTTTGTACCTTGAGATTTATAGTGGTCTCTCACTGGGGCAGCACAAGTTAGCTTCTCTGTCCAAGGTATCAGTCTGTTAGGTTAACATGCAGATGCATTTACTAAAACCCAAACAAATGGTTAGAGGTCTTGCAATATTTAAGCAATGGTGTAACTTTATCAGGTGTTCTGGTAGGGGGTTGAGACATTAGATATTTTTCCTTGCCCCTTTGGGTTAAACCCTGGGTCGTTGGTCTCCAAGGGTGTGACCAATGATAGTCCTCAGCGTCTGGGGAGCTTGAAGATTGCTGCTGATAACAGTGAAGTACACAGCAGCAACAAAGATAGGTAGGCCACTACCTCTATCTGAGCAATATTGATGAAATCAAGGTGTCATTTCTGTATGTTGGGTTAGTACAATCAATACCTTCTTCCACAGGGATCAACTGAAACACAGGGGAAAACTAGAGTTCTTCACTCAGATAATAATCGTCTTAGTCTGTTTTGTGCTGCTGAAACAGGGCCAGGGTTATTGGTCTCATTGTCTAAGGTGTTATCTGAGCTCATTATCTCATGACTGGGAAAATTAATGAGCATCAACACAGAAGGTGAGGTTGGAGTGAAAGTTTAATGAGCAAAAGAAGAAAGCTCTCTGCAGCAGAGAGTGGGAGCCCTAGTGGGTTGCTGTTTTTACAGTTGAATTCAAAACGTTTTATAAGAAACTCCTCTCATCTCTGTAGCCATTTGAGTAACTTCTCTTATCTGAAAATCTCTCTGCACAACTCCCCCTCATCTATGTAGTTGTGGGTATGTCTCTAGGCAAGCACAAAGCACCGTATTCTTGTTTGTGTAACTGTGGGTTTGTTTGAGGTAAGCCCCACTCCTCCCTGTGTAAGTTCCCATGGAGCCCACCATGTACATATCGGAAAAGGGGAGGAAGCTTTTTCCTACGGGCCTGCCAATTACACAAAGAACAAAAGGCTTTGATGCTGGACCCACCTGCTCATCTGTGCAGGTGCAGCCTGAGTTTTCAGGCTGCTGTATGTTTGCCTGTAGCTGTAATTTTTCAGGCAGACTGTTTCTCTGAGGACCAGCCTTAACTGTTTGCTTAATTGATTTTTCCTTTCTTCTCCCTCATTCCATGCCCCTTCAGGGGTGGAGACCCTAACTGCTGTTAGGAAGATTGGTTGTTGATCTTTCTGGCTACTTCCTACCGGAGAGGGGCATTGTGTGGAGAACAGCAGGTAGGATTCCTCCTGGGGCTGGTATAAGGGCCCTCAGAAGAAAGGCATGTTTATGTGTGGTTTCATTTGCATTGTCGTTTGGAGCTTGATAGCCTCTCGGTGAAAAGAAACAATTTAGGTTATTAGAAGACATGTATTAAAATGAGAAAAGGAGGGTAAGGACAGCTTAAAAATCTTGAGGTTGCTGAAATACCCTGATAACTTGTTGCTATAGTTATGCTTGTTAAGAGTTGGGTGAATGGGGCTTGGCTTTGGTTAGCTTCCTTTGTCTTATCCTTCCAAACAAAGAAACCTCTAGGTTATGGCCACTCTATTTACGCTTATTACCTCGCAGTATTTGTAGGATAATTGCCCAGAACTAGAACATCGTTCCAGATTTTTACATTGCCCATTCCTTTCTGTCTCCTCAGAGCTGCAACCAGAGATTGCTGGTTGGTTCACAGGAATACACGGGGTTAGTTTAAAGTGCAGGCAAAAACATAAAAACAGCCAATGAGACTAGATGTTAATGACAAATGTATGATAAGTTTTGAAACATAATTTCTCTCTCTCCATTACTCATTTTTTTAAAAACAAATCAAAATAGGACTGAGCTGTTTGCAAAAGGGACTTTAGTCTTATATTGGGCCTGATTATTTGCATAAATTGCAGCAAGAATAATTCTTTTTACATACACCCTTTTAGATCGGCTTTAATGGAACTCTGTTCTACAAGGAATCTCAGATAGGATTTTCTGAAGCTGCACCGAGCCATGGGTTTGTGTCCTCAAATACCTGTGAGTTGGGTAAACTCCTCTTTTTTTTGAGGTCCCAAGAGCATGTGTTTCCTGGGCCTGTCAGAAAGTGACGTTCTTTACTCACTGCAGGTTAGGAACCAGGTACGGGGACTGTAGAGACAAGGTATGAGGTCAGTTTTCTCAAGGGGCTTTTTTTTATTGGCTCTGCAAATGGAGCTTGACTCCTTGAAGAGTCTCCTTAAAGCCTTGGTAAAACAACCAGTTTTTCCAATTGTGTCTTGTAGCGAAAGAAAATGAATTCTTATTGGACTGATGTAAACAACTATATTGTTATAAGTCAAGAATACTCATAACCAGTTTCCGAATTCTAGAGGAACCAGGCAGAGAGAAACAAGCATGTTTCAAATTTTGTTCACAGGAGTATACCTTACTTAGTTGTTAAAAGCTGTAGCTAGCTCAAAAGAAAGTCCCCTCAACTCTGAAAAACAAAATAAGGATCAGCAATGTTCCAATCAAAAGTCAAAAAGATTAGTTCAATTTTCTACTAGTTCAATCCATTCAGTTAACTCTTGTCCTGCCTGATACTCCATAACATCTCAGCTTTTCATGAATCTGGTGCATTTTTCTGTTATCACAAACCTGCATTTGAGACTACCTGTTAAAGTCCTACAGCTGATTATAAACCATCCTTTAAAGGGGATTAAAACAAGACAACAATTGTCTGTAAACAACAAAATGTCCAGGGTGGTTACTGTCAGAAACATGTTTGACAAAGAAATTTGGTTATTTCTGTGGTTTACAATAGCTTAACATAATAATCTTAATTATAATTGATAGCATATGTTCAGACATTATAACCTTAGATATTGCATATGGTTTTGGAACATATATTTTTCTTTTTTGTTTTTATTTGAGACAAAGTCTTGCTCTGTTGCCCAGGCTAGAGTGCAGTGGCACAATCTTGGCTCACTGCGATCTCCATCTCCTGGGTTCAAGTGACTCTCCTGCCTCAGCCTCCCAAGTAGCTGGGAATACAGGTGCCTGCCACCGTGCCCAGCTAATTTTTGTATTTTTAGTAGAGACAGGGTTTTACCGTCTTGGCCAGGCTGGTCTCAAACTCCTGACCTAGTGATCCACCCACCTCAGTCTTCCAAAGTGTTGGGATTACAGGCATGAGCCACTGCACCCGGCCGGAACATATGTTAATATTTTGCCCTAAAATATAACCTGAGGATGATTAAATATCATTTTGGAAATCCCACATATCCAAACATGTCAAATAATCCTGTTTACCTCTCTTCTGGGTGCTCCAGGGGCTCTCTGTAGCACTCAAAAGCTAGGGGTCAGGAAAGACAACTTTGAAGTTTGATTTGGGGAAGCTTGTTGAATATATTAGAGGTTTAAAACACTTGATATTATGAAATACAATTTTAGATTATCATAAGTCATTTATTTTGCCAAAATGATGACTCAAAAATTTGAAAAGGCAAAAACCTTTTATTAGCCTTTACTATTACATGAAAATCCTGTTCAAGAGACAGAAGGCCAAATTTCACCATTGCATTAGCCTACTATTAGTGTTAACCCCAATTTTTAGTGAAACCTTCTAGACAATTCTATCCAATCTTAACAAGTTTGACAATGAGGTGAGATTTTCACAAACCTTTTATAACACTTTACAAGTTTTGCTAAAGAGCAGATTAGTGTCTTAAGATAACCTTGTTGTGCTTTTATTTCAGTGCTCAATTTACAAAAAAAAATACCCCTTTTGAATTTAGTCAATATGCTCATACAGTTTTCTTTGCAAGGTTAATTGTTACAATTTTTCCCCAATTTACTTAAACCTTCAGCTTTACTGCATCTCATTTAAGACAATCCTTTATCCCTAGGCAAAATGTACATTTTGCTTAAACCTTCAGCTTTATTTTATCTCATTTAAGATAAGGTAGACCTTTGTCTTAAACCTTCAGCTTTACTTTAACTCATTTAAGACAATCCTTTATCCCCAGGCAAAATGTACATTTCCATGTCTTCTTATAATCTTTTACTAAAAACACACCTTACTGTTTGTACACAGCTTACATGGAAATCTATTGTCAATAGTCTCAATTACATGTCATAATGGTAACTCTTAACAATTTTTAACTTTAATGTAAACCTGGTAAGTTGTTTTATTTATGTACTAGGTGCAAATAAAGTCTGACTCCTTCCAGCATAGTTAGGGGCATGGTTAATTCCATATGTTTCCAGGCCTTACCAATTGTGAAGCAGGCAAGTTGAACAGTGCTTCAAGGCCAAAGGAGAAGTTTACAACCTTAAAACATTTAACAAACCTAGTATATGACCTGAATAATGTAGACCATCTATTTACATCCTGAATACATTTTTATTTTACCAATAATCCCTAAGACAGTTTTTATCTTTAAAGATCAAAGTCACTCGAACCAAGAGGCATTACAGCTCTTCATTTTCCTTTAAAAAATATCTGATCTAAGCACTTACAGGCCAATGAATTAGAGCTCTTTTTTTATAGACATCACACACATATCACATATATGACTGCAAAAACAGACAGAAGAAGATCCAGCAACTCAGAGTGGAGCCTTGAAAGTACAGGGCTAGGAAAACATGTAGCTTCTGGGGCTTAACAAACAGGCATGACTGAAAGACAAAAACAGATTTCAAGAGGAATTTATCAACCTCTAATTCCCAGGGTTCCATGAAGAAAATAGAGATTTTTCTCAAAGTGGGATCTGTAGTCCCCTTTGTGTTTTCCCAAAGAGCCCCAGGTCACCAGAAGTCATCCTAGGGCCTTTGATACATGCACCAAGAGTGGCAAGACAGAGTGGAGAAAAGTAATTCAGTCAACTGAGAAAAACCTTTTCCAGAATAACAAGATCTACGAAGAGACAAACATAAAGACCTTTTAAATATACGTATAGCAGCCAGGTGTGGTGGCTCATGCCTGTAATCCCAGCACTTTGGGAGGCCAAGGCGGGCAGATCACAAGGTCAGGAGATTGAGACCATTCTGGGCAATATGGTGAAACCCTGTCTCTACTAAAAATACAAAAAAAAAAAATTAGGTGGGCATGGTGGTGCACACCTGCAGTCCCAGCTACTCAGGAGGCTGAGGCAGGAGAATCGTTTGAACCCAGGAGGTGGAGGTTGCATTGAGCTGAGATCATGCCACTGCACTCCAGCCTGGTGACAGTGTGAGACTCTGTCTCAAAAAAATAAATAAATAAATAAATAAAATTTTTAAAAAAATAAACAAATATACCTGTAGCTTGGATTCCACTTTCAATTACACTGAACAGTCTTTAAGAAAATCCTTTTCCATTGATCAGAACTTTATAGAGAATATAAAGTGATCCTTATCATTACTTTTACCAGTTAGCACCACTACCTGTTCACAATCATGTTCAGGTTCTCCAGTTTCCTCTGGGAGGAAAGTGGTTGGGTTCAAGCAAGGACAGATTTTAAATAGACTGTAGATCCCTCTGGAAGCACAGCTTGATATTTGAGGAGGTGATTGTTAACCAGAGACTTTCCTTAGAGGACAGCAGTCCTGCTGTATGGGGTGTAAACAAGTTATTTTCCCATGGTTAACTTAGTGGCCTCTGGCACCAGCAAAGCCACTGCTGCCACTGCTCAGAGGCAGGCTGGCCATCCTTTAGGTACCAACTGACTTAGGTAAATGATGGCTGTTGAGCTGGACCTCGAGCCTGAGTCAAAACTCCCAGGGCTATTCCCTTCCTTTCTGGTAGATAGAGACTGAATCCCTTCCCTATGTGAAGACTGAGGGCTGATGTTTTAAGTAAGGCTTACTTTAGCTGGTTAAAGGCTGAGCCTCAATTTCCCAGGTCAGAGGGTGAGTTTTAACTGCTTGAATTTCTTTTATGAGGTGATATAAAGGGCAAGCTATTTTACCATAACCAGGTACCCACAGTCTGCAAAAGCCTGTAATGCCCCAAAATCCTCTTAGCTGTTTATGAGTTTTGGAAAAGGGAAAGGAGGAAATGGGCTTAATCTTTTCCTCACCAGGTGCTGTGGTCCCTTTTGATAAGACTAGACCTACATACTTTACTGAAGTCTGACAGAGCTGAGCTTTAGATTTTGAGATGCTATATCCCCTTTCAGCTAAGAAACTGAGGACAGCCTCAGTGCCTCCCTGACTTCCTTGGTTGGGGCACAGAGGAGAGTGTTATTTACATACCACAGAGTTTCAACGTGGGAGTGAGAAAAATTAAATAGATTTTTGGACAAAGTTCTGCTTCAGCAACTTCCTTCTGATATCAGGAGCTGCCTAATAAATCTGTTCCTTATTGAATTGGGAGACAGGGAGGTGTGTTTCACTAAGTTCTCTCTCAGTCTTTCCATAAAGGCCATGAAATTTTCATCTGGTTTTTTATCTATCATGGATAACTTAGGGTAATTAAGAGGTTTGGCACTGGTTCTTTGCAAGCCTTTTAATATGCACATCAGAAAGTGTTTTCTTTTCCATGCAACTATGGGATTGCTAGGCTCCAATTAGGGTTTTCAAGGGGACACTATCTCTCTTCCTGTTGGGAATGGAGATGCTGTCTCTTTTTCACCCTCTTTCCCCTTTTGACTGGGTTTCTTTTTTTGACTGGCTATAGGGGACATGCTATTTGTCTCTGAATTTTTCTGCTGCTGGTAGGGCTGCCTGTTTCTCAGCAGCAGTTAGGGTTTGGTGTAGGAGTAACACAACATCTCTTCATGTAAGATCAAACACTTGAATTAGATTTTGGAAAGCCTCTCTATATATCTATTGCGGTCATCAGAGAACTTGCCTAGGACCCCCCTTTTTTTGTCTAAGTTCCTACAATGAGAAGGGAACTTGAACTCTAGTAGCACCATGTCCATTGGACATTTCCTGCAGGGGCAACAGCAGAATTGGGGGTTGCTCAGAGTGAACTTCAGGGTCTGAGAGTTAAAGAAGATTCAAGCTGCACTTGAGGGAAGTGCAGGATTGAAGATAGGTTGTTACCCATCTAAAAAAAAGAGTAGGAGACAAGGCATCCCTAAGCTTCCTTCTTTTTTTGGAGTGACCCAGGGTAGAGAGAAAGATGAAAGGGAATCCCCCTTCACTACTTTCCTCCCATCTTCTGGGTCCCAGTGACCGTCACAGGTGCTGCCCATGGATGCAAGCATGGCTTTCACCCATGCATCCAGAGAAGCTATTTGGCAGGAATAATCACACTTAACTGTTCATAGCCCTAGTCTTCCGTGGGTGCTTCCCCTTTAACTTCCTAATCTTGCATGACCAGTATGGCCACTAGGTCCCCCAGGTAGGGGGAGACAAATTGGATGGGTCCTGGGAAAAACTGCGTAATAGTTGTTGCTGGGCAAGTCCCCTTAATGAAGGGAGGGTTCTGGCTCTACCTCTATATTCCACTATTATGGCCCAGACTAAAGTATTCATTCATAGAGAATAGGTCCAACTGACTTCCAAACATAAAACCCCTCTTTGTTTAAATGCCAATGTAGTTGGATGCAGAACAGGTGTCTCAAAAGAACATAAGGATGAAATGGCTGTCGTCCCTTTGATGGGGACAGTACTGAGGCTAGAATTTGTCTCTCAAGGGTAGCTTCCTCCAGATATTGAAGGAGGAGTTTTTCTGTCTACAAATGGGGCATGGAGCCTGGTACCCAGTAGAGGGAATAGGAGGGAAATGAATTGGGAAATGAGAGGTTTTGGCCAACGGGCCAATAGGGCCCCCATGGAGAAAAAAATCCCATTCCACTAGGTGGCATGTCAGAGATTGGAACACCAAATAGTAGTCTCCAAATGCTCTCCAGACAAAGCTTAGAGAGGGAAGTTTGAGGAGTGATAGGCCATCTTTTCAACATGCTCCCAGCAAGATAAACAATAGTCCGTCTCATAGAGAGGTTGTCTAGTTCTTCTGGACAGTGCTGGCTTCTCACATGGAAAAAGAAACAGCTTAAATGGATCGGGGTTGGGGGGATAGTCACTCAGGGAGAAATAACCGCCCATCCAACCCCAGTGAGTGCTATTATTGGGAAATAAATAGGTCTCAGAATCCCCCAATTTCAAGAGAATCACAGAGACAGCAAGTTTTTTAATTACATTCTTGATTACTCAGGCACTGGCTGACTTTACCCAATAAGATTATATCCCCAGGTTGTAGAAACACCCACAACATTGCATACAAAGAAGGGATAGGAGATATAATAGCAATGAAAAGAAAGGAAGAAAATGTGATATAACAGTCTGGAGGTCCTGTTGTCAACACTCAATGGGCAGTCAGGAACTGGAGTTAGTTCAGGGGTCTTCAGGTAACACCAAGGTGTAGCTTCAGCCAGAAAATTTCAGTTGCCCCAGGACCTCCTTGCAGCCCCACACGATAACCAGGCCCTCAGTGAGAAGAAACTGTATTGGAACAGAGCCAACATTCCCAACACTCAAGGGCAATTCAGCCTGTTGCCTGAATTTTAAGGCTGGCAGCCACACTAAATATATCTAAATGGCTAACAGGGGCCCAGTGTTTTTTTTCACTCTTGAGAGGGAAAAAAAAAAAAAAAACAGAGGGCGAGAAACCCTGGAAATAAAACTAGAGTTATGGTTCTGCTCCTGCTCACCCTTTCGATAGATCCGAGATGAGCCCCCACTAATGAAACAGACCAGGGTCACTGATCTTGTTGTCTAAAGTGTTGTCTGAGCTCATTGTCTCATATCCAAGAAAATTAAGAAGTGTGATTGCAAAACATGAGGTTGGAATGAAAGAGGAAAGCTCTTCCAAGCAGAGAGGGGGAGCCAGAGTGAGTTGCCATTTTTACAGTGGAATTCAAAGTTTTTATAAGAAATTCCTCTCATCTCTGTAGCTATTTGAGTATCTTCTCTTATCTGAAAAGCTGTCTGCACAACTCCCCTGTGCAGGACCCTGCCTGCTTATTGTGCAGGTACAGCCTGAATTTTCCCTAGGCTGCTGTATTTTTGCCTGTAGCTGTACTTTTTCAGGCAGGCTGCTTCTCCAAGGACCACCCTTAGCTGTTTACCTGATTTTTTCCTTTTGTTCTCCCTCACTGTTATAACAGAATACCAGAGATGGGTAATTTATAATGAAAATAAATTTATTTCTTATAGTTCTGGAGGCTGGTAAGTCCAATATTGAGGGGCCAGCATTTGGTGACCTTCTTGCTACATAACATGACAGAAAGGATCACATGGACAAAAGAATGAGCAAGAGATCAAACTCACAGCCTCAAGCCCTTTTATAATTTGCATTAATATATTCATGGTGGTGGATAGCTCATGACATAAAAACCTCCCAACACTTGCAATGGGGATTAAGTTTCCAACACATGCTTTTGGGGAACACATTCAAACCATAACATTTTGTCCCTGGCCTCCCAAATCCATGTCCTTTTCACATATATAATATATTCATTCCACCCAATAACCCCCAAATCTTAATTTATTCCAGCATTAACTCAGAAGTCTGAAGTCCAAAGTCTCATCTAAATAAGATATGGGTGAGACTTAAGACACAACACACCTTGAAGCAAATTCCCCTCTAGCTATTGGCTTGTGAAATCAAAACAAGTTAAGTGCTTCCAAAATACAGTTATGGGACAGGCATGGGGCATACATGTCCATTCCAAAAGAGAGAAATGGGGAAAAAGAAAATAACAGACCCTAAGCAAGTCCAAAACCCAACGAGAAAGATAACATTAAATGTGAAAACTTCAAAATAACTTTTTACTCCATGGGCTACCTTCTGCACACTCTGGGGTAGGTTGGGCCTGCAATGTTTTCAGCAACCTCAGCCCCACGGCTTTACTGGGCTCAACCAATGCTTCAGCTATCTAAGGTTGAAGTCTCATTCTGTTACAAACTACAAACTGTTAGGCTCCCCATGTAATGGAAGTTAACACGGGGCCAAGCAGATTTCCCAGATAAGGCTTTAATTGTGGGGCTTGAGCTCAAGTGCAAGAGAGACAGCAGAGGCACAAGGACCTTCTGGATGGCCCCTTTAAAAAAGCCGGTAGAAATTTTTTAATCAAAGCGTAGGCATTGAAATCAGGAGTGGGTTTGCGGTGGGTATTTCTTCCCCTTGTATACAAGGTTGAACAAAACATGTGAGGGGTGGGGTATGTAGGTCAGCATATCTGGTTGTGATGTATCTTAAGTAATGGTCCACTTGGTGGTCTGGATGGTGGCAACAAGGCTATAAATCAATTGTTCAGCATTCTTTCCTGAGGTAGGACACTCCACAATCTTGGCTATTTCCTAAGGCATGTTCCTGGAATTCTTTGAGTCAAAGGACTATTAGTGGGTATGGTATCAGTGAGGTAGTGGTGTGGGTTTTGTGATCAGTGGGAATGCATGAAAGAATGCCCTAGTGGGAGTGAGTTGAAGCCAAGTCCTTTCCCTACTCTGTTTCAATCCTCCCTGAAAAATTTTATCCTCCTTATTTTTAGAGACAAAGGTCTGAAGGTCTCCTCTTCTGAATCTGCTTCCCACTAGCCAGGGACATCATCCCTGCCTAATTTTTGAGGTCACAAAAAATCCCTTACTGACTAATTGAATGTGTTATAGGGGCTTAGCTCCTCCCCGTAGGATATTAGGGTTTGAAATCCTTGCACCACCATCAGCTTGACGTGGACTGCTGAGACCTAGAAGAGATAAACTTTAACAGTCTGCACCTCTGTTGAATATAACAAATAATTATTTTAAAAATCAAATAGCACCCAATGATCATTAATAAAATGCTTAAGCCTAGTTTAACAATGCTTGTAAGAATAGATCAGATGTCATTTAGAATCTAAGTGAATAGACTGGAAAACCAATCTCTTGTTGTCTGAAATATAAGGCAAACAGATTTTTAGTAGAGGTATTTCTATAGAAACAGAAGAAAAACAAATGTTAATCATGGGCATAATGTATCCAGATGTTAGACTCAATGCATTTTCAGTTACAGAGGAGGAAATCAGTGGCATTCTGGCACATTATTCTCATCTATGTTACAAGGAATAAGCTTCAGGTTGTAGGGTCTTAGAAAAAAGGTAATAGCAATTCTATTAAGTTTAAGTCAGAAAATTGGAAGGTAATTTTTTAAATGTTAGTGTGGAGACCTGTAGCCCAGAAAGGATTTAAGATTCAGTCCAAATTGCAGAAAATAATAAAAACCAATAAAAAATGGACAAGGCTGGACTCTAATAACAGTTGTCTTATAAATTGTTGTTGTAGCATAATTTTCTCTCTCCAGTCTCTCATTTTTATCAAAGACAAACCATGATAGGACTGATCTGTTTGCACAATAAGTTTCAGTGTTATTATGCATGACCTTATTTGCATAAAGAATGGCAATAATAATTATTTTCCTTATGGGTTCTCTTCTTACTTGGCTTTTCTAGAACTTTGTTCCATAAGGAATCTCAGATAAGACTTTTTAAGGTCATGAGGTCAGCCACATATTTATCCATGCCTGCAAATACTTGTATGAATTGGGTAAATTCTTCTGCTCTCAACGCCTCAAGATAACTTCAGGCTCTTGGACTTGTTAGAAAGTGACATTCTTTACTTACCGAAAGTCAGAAACCCTCTACAGGACTACATAGGCAAGGCATGAGGCCATTTGTGCAAAGGGACTTTTATTGGCTTTGTGAATCAATCACATGTTTTAAAAAGTAGTTTGAAAGCAGGCTACTCCAGTTTACAGATGCCATGGAAATGTCAGGAAGTTGCCCTATATGGTCTAAAAGGGGAGGAACCCTCAGTTCCAGGAATCACTCACCCATTTCCCAGAAAACTCATGAATAGTCTACTCTTTCTTTAGCATGTAATCAAGAAATAACTAAGACCAGCCTGGAAAACATGATGAAACACCATCTCTACTAAAAAATACAAAAACTAGGCAGTTGTGGTGGCTGGCACCTGTAAACCCAGCTACTTCGGAGGCTGAGGCAGGAGAATCACTTGAACCTGGGCGGTGGGGGTTGCAGTGAGCCAAAATCACACCACTGCACTCCAGCATGGGTAACAAGAGCGAAACTCCATCTTGAAAAAAGAAATAACCATAAAAATGGCAACTAGCAGCTCAGGCTGCTGCTTTACCTATGGAATACCCATTCTTATTCCTTTACTTTCTTAATAAACTTGATTTCACTTTAAAAAATAAAAAAACACTTGATATCAATAAATAAGATCACAGATCATTCATTTAGCCTAAATTATTACTCAAAAAATTTCAAAAAGGCTGAAACCTTTAAAAATAACAAGATCCAATAAAGACAGCATGAGGCCAACTGAGTCTGTCTCTTCTTTCTCCCCTCTTTTCCCCTTTTCTTCTGCAGTTTACTCTAAAGGCAAACAAAAATATTTCACTATTTTTAGCATTATATAAAAATAAAAAAGAAATAAATCTATTCAATTTTAATTAGTTTGATCACAAGGTAAGATTTTTGTAAACCCTTTATAATTTTTTAATTAAAAAGCCAATTAATGCTCTACAAAAATCCTGTTATTTAGGCAGAGAGGCCCAGATTCTGGGCCTGCATCAGTGTACTTTTTACATTAATGTGCTGTCCATAGAAAAACTAAATTATCCCCTTTATATTTTGGCCAACTTGCTCATACACAGGACTTCGCTTCTAAGATCAATATTTTATAGATTTTTTTATAACTTACTAAAATCTTTTTTTTTTTTTGAGACAGAGTCTCACTCTGTCCCCCAGGATGGAGTGCAGTGGCATGATCTCAGCTCACTGCAACCTCTGTCTCCCAGGTTCAAGTGATTCTCCTGCCCCAGCCTCCTGGGATTACAGGTGCCCACCACCATGCCTGGATACTTTTTATATTTTTAGTAGAGACGGGGTTTCACCATGGTGGCCAGGCTGGTCTCGAACTCCTGACCTCAGGTGATCTTCCCACCTTGGCCTTCCAAAGTGCTGGGTTTATAGCATAAGCCACCATGCCCAGTCTTAAATCTTAAATTTAATCTTATCTCTATTTTCAAATGTTATTTTAGGTCTGGGGCACATATGCAGGTTTGTGATGAAGAAAAATTGCATGTTGTGGGGTTTGGTGTACAGATTATTTTGTCACCGAGATAATAAACACGATACTAGGTAGTTTTTCAATCCTCACCCTCCTCCCACCCTCCACCCTCAAGTAGATCCTCGTGTCTGTTGTTCCCTTCTTTGTGTCCATATGTACTCAATGCTTAGCTTACACTTTAAATGAGAATTTAAAATCTCCAAACTAGACAATATTCATTCTCTTTAAAAAGTCACACTCCTATGCCTCTTTATAATATTTTACCAAAGGCACATAACTCTTATTTTTAGTGAGAAACATAGGAGGGAAATCATTTTAATTATACATCGGGTGCACAGCCTAGAACACAGGAAAGAACTTCAGATAATGTCTGACCCTTTTCAGCACAGCTAGTGGGCATGGCTAACTCCACATGTACCCAGGCCTTACCTGGAATCTAGTCACCCTAATGCAGCCAAGTTGAACAATTATCAAAAGCCATAAAAGCAGCTTATAACCATAAAGCATCTAGCAAAGACAATATCTGACCTGCTTGATTTAAACCAAATGTCTAAATTTTGAAGACTTTTTATTTATTTTACCAATAATCTTTAAAACTGTCTTTAATTACCAAAGATTACTGAAGTCATGTGAACTAAAGGTATTAAAGTTTCCGTTTCCATTTTTCTGACAAAATATTTTAAGTGCTTATTTTTCTTTAAGTCATTAATTTTATATAAATATTCCACATACAACATGTATAAATAGACAGAAGCAGAACTAGTAGAATTATAATATTTCTTACTTTCCAGTGTTTAAGTTTCTATTTTCCATTTTAGACCATCAGTCTCTTGATTACCTGTTCCTTGCTGTGAACAATTGTCAGCTAGAAAACTTTAAATTTGCATTACTAAAGGAAAACTTTTAGGTAAAACAGGATAGAGGATTTATATTTTACTCTAAGAAAAAAATGGTGTGAGTGAAAGTTCAGCTAAGATGTCCAGGAAAGCAGACATTCTAATACATGAAGATTCCCTTAAACATGTCAATGTTTTCATTGTATTATTGGCTTTAGGGCAGAGCTTTTCAAGGAACAGGGCCAAGAAAGCACGTGGTTTGTAGGGCCTAATAAGCCAGCACAGCTGAAAGGCGAAACAGTTCCCCAGGAATTAAGGACGTGATTTTTACACCAAATCCTGGGTCCCCCAAAAGAGGGAAATGCTACGGGACAAGACAGTGCAATGCTTGCACAATGTATATCATTTCAAAGACATTTCTCCAAGGCTGTGGGCAACCCAAAGCCAATCAACCCATTCTGTAATCAGTCCATTCCCCCATTTCATGCCTTAAAGGGTGCCCAAGTGCATGCTTTTCTCACTTAAATGTGTGTAGAAAGAAGTATTAGCCTGTAATAACCACTCACTGTAAGCAACCGCCATTAGCCATTCCTAGAAGTATATCTTCTACCTGTATATCAAGACTAAAATTTCTTTCATAATGAAAAGTAATTTCTGATGCTCCCCAAACTCAAAAAAGTTAAGTATCGATGAAAAGCAGAGCAGAGGCTCAGATTTTGAAAGGGATCTGTCCACTTAAAATTCTTAGGGTTCCATGAGAAAAACAGGTTTCTCCAAAAACAGGGCCTATGGCACCACCACTCTTCTTCCCAAGGTCCGCCAGGCTGTCAGAAAATACCTTAGGTCCCTTTGTGTGGGCATTTAGGATGGCAAGAAAACAGACAGAAATCAATGGAGAAATTGTTCAGCTGACTGAGAAGAAGAAAAACTTTTTTTCTCAAAAAACAAGATTCAATAAGAGAAAAAAG
The DNA here is from genome assembly GCF_000001405.40 of Homo sapiens. Lineage (NCBI taxonomy): Eukaryota > Metazoa > Chordata > Mammalia > Primates > Hominidae > Homo > Homo sapiens. The sequence goes on from NW_021160017.1 coordinate 4,465,196, forward strand.
CATAAAGTTCTTTTAAATATATGTATAACTTGGATATCTTTCTTAAATTAAGCTGACTTTTAACTATAGAGCTCTTTAAAACAAACAAACAAACAAACAAACAAACAAACAAACAAAAACCTTTTAAATCGCCCATTACCAAACTATAGCTAAGACAAATAGCTGACACCTCTGGCTTTTAAGCTGCTTCCCGCCCAGGTATTCTCCCAAATGAAACCAATAAGCCTTAACTATGATTAGGACATAACCATAGATACATGAGGTTTTTCCAAAGAAATGGCAGTGGTTCTTGCAAGATTTATAATCACTGTTAATGTAGCTCAGAAAAAAAATATTAACACTGTAAATTAGAAGCTGTCCATGGAGGGAAGATGAATCAATAAATGGCAAAAGTCCTACATGCATCAAAGCAGAAAGAATTCACTCCCTAAGCCAGGAATTGAACCCGGGGTGCCATCATGAAAAGATAAGAATCTTAGCTACTGAGCTACAGCAGGAAGCGGTTGCCAATGTCTTTCCCAGAAAGAGTTATAGCAGTCATTTCTGAGCCTGCAAAAGATGTTAACTGCTCAAGAGAATTCTTAAGGCTAGCCATGACATTATCATGTGTTCTTTGAGACAGGATGTCCGACGTAAACCTGAAAATTCCCACCCTCCAGATGGCCGAGACCAAGAAAGAGTACCTCAATATGGTTGCAAAGTCAATTTCTCAAGGACATAAAACAAGACAGAAGGGAAACCTTACCAGTTTTGCTTCTGGGACCTGAAGCAAAGTTTGTAACTAACCAGTCGGCTGGGCCAACTTGAACAGCAGGCTTACAAGGTCCTAGGCCCACGTTCTATCCTGTGGTACCCCTTTCCAAGACAGAACAACACAGAAACACAATTGCACAGCACAAAGTACACCAGATTTGCTATAGCCTCCCCGTTTTTTTGTTTTTTTTTTTTAACCATTAATTAAAATCATGCAGAGGAGACAAACAATGGTTTTTACCATTCACCTAACTGGTTTGCACAGAGAAAGGCCAGAAGCCTGGCTGGTAATAAACTCTTATTGTTTTGCCAGCATTCCAGGATTCCAGATTCCCTTTCTCTGTAACTTCCAGAAAAGTAGAGTGGCTTTTGATGATCCTGCTCACTGCACCATAGCTGTGGGGGCCAAGCTGTGTTACAAAGTCTCTCATTTTTGCAAGATGCTGTCCAATGGGTTGCATGGAGAAAAAAAGGTGTCAAATTAAACACACAAAAGGAAAAGCAGATCAGGATGTCAGTGATGCAGACTTCAAACCCACATGCTGTCACGTTCTCTCCTCACAAAGACAGCACAGAGTCAATAGGCTCACAGGCTGGAACAGACAGATGACAGAACAACCCATAGACTTCCCTTCTCCACAAAGTGTGGCAAAGGGAGGAAAAGTACTTAGAAGACTTAAGAAGATTACAAAGTTCAAGCCAGGGTGCCAGACAGAGTTTCCTATCAACTGAACCAATTGGCTGTTTCAATCCATCCTGCACGATGCCTATTAAGACTGAGCCAACCGACTGTTTCAGCCCGTCCCTCACAGGTACCTTTTCAGGTGAAGCCGATGAAGTTAACGAAAAGCAAAGAAGAAAGGAAAGCTGGAAGAAGAAGGAAAAAGACACAACAAATCGGGGACAGGAGGGGAGGGAAAGTGTTGTCTGCAAGGTTGGAAAGGAGACTTCAGGAAGCTGGAGAAAAACTCACCAGTTGCCTCAACGTTGAATCAAAGATCCAGGCAGCCGCTCTTCAGCTGTGAAGGGGTCATGTCTGGGCATCCCACTGGCTCATGAACCTCCCTCTCCAGGGAGGAAAATTCTCCCCACATCCCATGGCCTACTGCAGTCACCAGAGAATCTGTTACAGACCCATATAATGGAAATTAACATGGGGCCAAGCAGATTTCCCAGACAAGGTTTTTATTTCTGGGCTTGTATTCCAGTGCAAGGGAGACAGTGGAGGTGCAAGGATTCTTTAGCTGGCCCTCCAAAAAGAGCCAGTATAGAATTTTTAGTAGGCAAAGCATGGGAATTGACATCAGGGGTAGGGTATGGAGGCTGGGTTGGGCACAGCACGTGAGGAGTAGGGTACACAGGTCAGCATATCTGGTTGCGATGGTTGTCTTGAGTAATGGGCCACCAGGTGGTCTAGTCAACAGCAGCAAGGCTGTAAATCAGTTGTTCAACATTCCTTCCCAAGGTGGGACACTCAGCAACCTTGGTTCAGTATTTCTGATCTCCTAAGGCCAGTTCCTGGAATGAAGTAAAAGGACTATTCGCAGATATGGAATCAATGAGGTAGTGGTATGGGTTTTGTGATCAGTGAGAATGCATGAAACAATGCTCTAGCGGGGATGAGCTGAAGCCAAACCCCATCCCTGCTCTGTCTCAATTCCTGTGTCTCTTCCAGGTTGGCATGGCACACTGGTAGTTCAACAGTTCTGGGGTCTCAGTGGCACCCCAACCCCTGTGGCTACCCTAGGCATTGCCCTAATGGAGACTTTCTGTGGTGGCTTTGCCCCATGTTTCTGCCCCTAGATTTTCCATAGCATCCTTTGAAATCTACTGGTCAAGCAAAGTGTGGCATGGTTTTTTTTTTTTTTCCTCTTAGAGTAAAATGAGAGAAGGGAGAAATTATTTAAAGACAGAATTTATAATTCAAATGGAATCAGAACGGAAAGATGTAGAAAACCCTAAGCTTGGCCATGTAAAGAATAAAGAAATACGTTCAGGAGAGAATGCTAATGGTGTGGCAAAGTGACCATTTTCTAAAGAGATTAATATGGATAAAAGAAAGCCAGGTTCTAGTCATCAAGCAATTGGAAAATGAACTTGAAGGTAGTTCAGAAGAATCTTAGAGGCAAGGTAGGACCTGGAGGCTACCAGGGAGCCACAGCTCTTGCACGCTGCACACCTCTAGAATTAGCACCATGTGCACGCTGCACACCTCTAGAATTAGCACCATGTGCACGCTGCACACCTCTAGAATTAGCACCATGTGCACGCTGCACACCTCTAGAATTAGCACCATGTGCACGCTGCACACCTCTAGAATTAGCACCATGTGCACGCTGCACACCTCTAGAATTAGCACCATGTGCACGCTGCACACCTCTAGAATTAGCACCATGTGCACGCTGCACACCTCTAGAATTAGCACCATGTGCACGCTGCAGAGTTTACTGCTTCTACTTTCGGAAGCAGTAAGTTAAGCAGCACTTGAGCCCACTTGAGCCAAGGCTGGGGTGACCAAAGAGTGCTGCCCCAGAATGTGGGGAACAGAGTCTTGAGGTAGCCCGGGGTAGCCAGTTCTGAGATCTTGTATATGCCTCTTTTTGAAAATGTAGCCCTCAAGGTCCTACCTTGCCAGAAATCCTATTGCTCTAAAGTTCTGCCTTCCAGAAAGTCCTAGGACATGAACAAAATTATGACAAGTTCTTTGCAACCATTTAACAAGAATGGCCTTTAACTCCAGCTTCCAATGCCTTGTTCCTCAGTTCCATCTAGTATTTTGTCAGAATAACTTTTACTGTTTATATTTTGACCAGCATTCTAATTATTACCACTTAAGTGATACCTAAGAAATTCTAGATTTTGGCTGGGCGCAGTGGCCCATGCCTGTAATCCCAGCACTTTGTGAGGCCAAGGTGGGCAGATCACCTGAGGTCAGGAGTTTGAGACCAGCCTGGCCAATGTGGTGAAACCCCATCTCCACTAATAATAAAAAAGTCGCCAGTTGTGGTGGCATGTGCCTGTGATCCAGCTACTTGGGATGCTGAGGCAGGAGAATCCCTGGAACCTGGGAGGCAGCGGTTGCAGTGAGCCCAGATCGTACCACTGCACTCCAGCCTGGGTGACAGAGTGAGACTCTGTCTCAAAAAAAAAAAAAAAACAAAACAAAAAATTCCAGATTTTCCCTGCAGTTCTCTTTTTCTGAGCCCTCAACAGAATGGGTCCCTAATGCTCTGTTCACAGTGATACAGTCTTTTTCTAGCCTATTTCTCCAAATTCTTTCAGCCTCTGCCCATTATGCAGTTCCAAAGCCACTTCCACATTTTCAGGTGTTTGTTATATCAACACTCCCATTTATTGGTATGAAATTTTTGTCTTATTCCATTTTGTGCTGCTATGTCAGAATACTACAAACTGAGTGATTTATAAACAATTGAAATTTGTTTGATTCATAGTTCTGGAGGCCAGAAAGTTCAGGGGGCTGGCATCTGGTAAGGGCCTTCTGGCTGAATCATAACATAAAGAAAGGTATCACATGGTGAGAGAGATCAAACTCATAGCCTCAAGCTCTTTTATAATCCACATTAACCCATTCATAAGGGTGGAACCCTTATGACCTAAACACTTCCCATTAAGCCCCACTTCCCAAAACTTTTGCATTTAGAATTAAGCTTCCTTCACATTGTTTTTTAGAGGACACATTTAATCCATATAAATAACTAAGAAATACTGACCCCTGAAATAGGTCTTTGCCAAACACAGGCTGTGACCAGAAACATACCAGAATGCCCAGCCCTGGAAACTGTGGCTTCAGTGGCCTGTCATTTTTTTTTTTAGACAGAGTCTTGCTCTGTTGCCCAGGCTGGAGTGCAGAGAGGTGCGATCTGGGCTCACTGCAAGCTCCGCCTCCTGGGTTCACGCCATTCTCCTGCCTCAGCCTCCCGAGTAGCTGGGACTACAGTCACCCGCCACCATGCCCGGCTAATTTTTTGTATTTTTTGTAGAGGTGGGGTTTCACCGTGTTATCCAGGATGGTCTCGATCTCCTGACCTCGTGATCTGCCCAGCTCAGCCTCCCAAAGTTCTGGGATTACAGGCGTAAGCCACCACACCCAGCCTGTCATTCTGATTGCCCTAGGGTGCGTCACCAACTGAGCCGGTATCTAGCCCCCAAAGTTTAACCAATTAGTAAAGTTCATTATTAATATTGTAACAACTAGAAAACTTGGGCAAAGAACAATGTGGCAAACACCAGAAAGCACAGAAACAAGCAACAAGGCTAAAGCACAAGCTTGCCATAGGTGGAAGTTCTGTACCAAGCCTCTTTTATGGTGGACTGGAATTGATTCACAAGCCAAGTGAAGTCCCTCCCTGCAGCCATGCAAGATTCCGTGGTCATGGCCATCCTGTTTGAGATGCCAACTGCTTTTTAAGATTAAACAATTATTTTGATGGCAGGACACAACACAATAACACTCAAATAGAAGAGAAGTAGAAGTTTTTGTTATATACAGCTCCAAAGGAGAGGAGATTGCCAGGTAGGGTGAAACAGGGGATTGCATCAGAAGACAGGGTAAGGTAATAGCAACATGGAACTGTAGGGGGAAACTTACATATGGCAAATAGGGTGGGGTTAGCTAGGTTTTGTGAACTCCTCATGGATTGTCTAATTTGAATACTCTTTTAGGCCCCAGGGTATAGGAGCTGTCCCTAGATGTCTGGTACCTGAATCCGGTGCACTTAAGGCTGATGCATGATGGCCCAGAGGGTGAGATTCTAATAAGGAAAGTGGTTGGGGTACGGACTTACTGAGCTGTTTAAGAAGAGGAACTGACCAGCCTCTAGCAAGAACCTCAAAATTGAGTGAAGATTAAAAACAATCAAACAAATGAAAACCCCACTATATAACATAGATATTCTGTCCTAGCTAACTCGATGACACAGGATGAACCTCTCACCCAAAACTGGGTTTAGATATCCGAATTGATAAGACTCACACACAACTCAAGAGGGTATAAATATGTTTACTGCTCACATAATGAAGATTTCCGGGGAAAGCAAGGCAGCTCCAAAGCAGGTCCAAAAATGGCTTAAGAGAATGAAAAAAGAAAATGGACTTGTGGTTTTGAAGGTAGTTAGGAGTGTGGCTGGGATGAGCATTCCATTGCATGGTTTTAATTTCCTGCTCCTGCACCAAAGGATGGAGTACCCACATTTTCTTATCATATTGTCTATATGTGAGGTAGAAATGGAAGCGTGAGCTATGGAACTTGAAAGCTGTCAGAAGTCAAATATCAAAAATGAATGATGCCTTTTAGACACATAGCTTGAACTACAGAATATGGCTGAACTATGATGCAAGATAAACACCTGCCTTTATTGTCCAAGATTAAACAAAGTATCTCCTTAAGGCATTTCAGCCCCGCATCAACTATAGCTTCTAGAGACCATAGACTTCTACCAATTTTTCATTCGTTGCAAAAAAGTAATTGAGAGATTGAGAGGCTACATAGGGACTGCAAGATAGCAAGCAAGGCCTTTTGGAATATAAGCTTTTAGGTGTTAAAGTTGCATTTTAGCTTTAGGTTTGAAATTGCATTTATTAGTGTACTTAGGCAAATTTCATGTTGAATATGAATGAATATTGCATTTTCATGAATGAATATTACAATTTACATTTTTATATCTGTGGTTACTGTAGTTTTTATTCTTTATCCTTTCTAATAAGTTTCATAGATTTTTACAAAAAGAGTTATCAATTTTGACATTATTGACAGGAAATGCATAAGAAGCAAGTTTGTTCCATTTGGATTGTACAATCTTTTTTTAAAAAATTGTGTTCTGCCTGGGCACGGTGGCTCATCACTGTAATCCCAGCCCTTTGGGAGGCCGAGGCGGGTGGATCATGAGGTCAGGGGATCGAGACCACCCTGGCTAACACGGTGAAACCCCATCTCTACTAAAAATACAAAAAATTAGCCGGGCGTTGTGGCGGGTGCCTGTAGTACCAGGTACTTGGGAGGCTGAAGCAGGAGAATGGAGTGAAACCGGGAGGTGGAGCTTGCAGTGAGCCAAGATCGCACCACTGCACTCCAGCCTGGGCGACAGAGCAAGACTCCATCTCCAAAAACAAAACAAAACAAAACAAAACTGTTTTCTACTACTATATCCTCAACACAGATAACTTCTGATATCAGATATGTGGGGATCTTTCCCCATACACCACGAAATTCTCTAGCAAACTCACAAAAGCTAGGAAAACAGTTTACTTATTATTGCTAACTTATTACAAAGGGCATTTCAAAAGATACAGATGAATAGCCACATAAAGAGATACATAGGGTGAGGTCTAGAAAGGTCCCAAATGCAGGAGCTTCTGGCCTCATGGAATTGGGGTGTGCCACTCTCCTGACACGTGGAAATGTTTCTATTCATTAGCCCGGAAGCTCCCCAAGCCCCATACGTTAGGGATTTTTCTATTTTTTTTTTTTTTTGCTGGATGCATCATCACATAGGGATGATCAATTATTAACTCAATTTCAAGCCCAATTAGTCATTAACAGTCAGTCCATTTCATCACACAGTGTGACCAGAATGTTTCCTAGAGGGATGCCACTCAGGTTTGCAGGCTGCCATTCAACTTTGTCAGGTTTCAAAAGCAGGGGTGGTCTTGGAAAACACATTGCTTCACCCTTCTGGGCATCTGGTATAATTGTGCTAGGAGATAATATCATTCTCTTGCTCTGAGCCTCTCTTGAGGTATTAATACAACATTAGGCTTCTCTCATTGCATAATCCACTTATTTAGTCTTTTACCCTCAGCTATTATTTCTCCTTCTCTCCATTTGACATTTATTTTTACTCAAACTCTCCACCTTTTAGAGGGATAATGTGCTCAACCACTGTCTTGGTCTACAGTACTGCTAGCAATACTATTCTACCAAGTGCCTTGCTCTCAGCTCAGTCCCACTGATACAGGCTGAGGTTACATAGAGATAAAAATACGAGCTATTCTAACCACTAGGAAACATGGTAGCATTCACTGTCAACCCCAACTGTGCCAGTCCATCCTTCAGGCTTTTGGAAATTCTGGCCTAAAGTTTAAAGGTATAGGTATAGTTTCTTGCTTAGGAATCAGCCTGCTTCCAGTACCTGCAGTTGCACCCCTGGTCTTGGAATCACTGCATCAGGTAGGAAAAAAGACAACTGAGGAGATATGGGGAAGAATTGTGTAGTTGTATTAGAATCCTTCCCCAACCTCTTGGTATGGTTTGGATTTGTGTTCCCTCCAAATATCATGCTGAAATGTGACCACCAATGTTAGAGGTGGGCCTAGTGGGGGGCATTTGGGTCATGGGATTGGATCCCTTATGAATGGCTTAGCATCATACTCTTGATGATGAGTGAGTTCCTTCTCAGTTACTTCACACAAGATCTGGTTGTTTACAAGAGTCTGGGAGTTCCTCTTCTCTCTCTTGCTGCCTCTCTCACTGTGTGACGTGCTGGCTCTCCCTCACCTTCTGTCATGATTGTAAGCTTCCTAAGACCCTCACCTGAAGCAGATGCCAGCACCATGTTTCCTGTACAGCCTGCAGAACTGCGAGACAAAATAAACCTCATTTTCTTTGTAAATTACTCAGCCTCAGGTATTTCTTTACAGTGTAATCAAAAAGCTGGTTCAGTCACTCACCACTTGCAGAGCCCAACTGATAAGAGTGAAGTTTGGTATAAAGAAAGTGACTTTGTATTCCAAAGCTAGCTTAGGGGAAAAATTTCCAGCTTCCTGCTTTTAGGGTATCACTTCACTTTTGGAGAAGAATGTGAGCACATTGAAAGGGTACCTAACATGAACAGCATGTGGGTGGTGGGAAAGCAAGCAGGTGAGGGGTCTGCATGTTAGCTTAGTGTTTTATCTACAGCGTGGTCAAGCTGGTGACTGCTGGCATCTTCACGGGCAGGCATACTTTGGGTTGTAAATTGACTGTTATCTCTCGAGGCAACCTGCTGGTGGGTTAGAATTCCTTTTGGGATCTCCTAAGCATGTAGTTAGATGAACTTGCTCTGTAGGGAGTGTCTGGTGAAGGGCAGGTAAAATGCTATATTTGTAATCCTAAAGGGCTAAATAGAAATTGGGGAAAATGAGGAAAGAGAAAAGAAGAGAGAAAGATAATTAAACTCTCTCTTTGAAAAATGGGGGCACTTGGTTACAATTTCCTACTGCCAAGTTCCATTTTTTTTTTCTGTGGGATTTTTGTGTCATATTTATTCTGGCTACTTCCTGCTGAAAGAGGGTATACTCATTGGGTGTCAGGATGAAACTGATCTCTTTGGAGTTGGAAATATTCACAATACCTGGACTTACAGAGGATACTTTTGGACCATTATGGTGCAAGGTCTCTGGGAAAGCCTGTTGTGTATTCTTATTACAGAGGGTGCAACAGCAGAAAACTTCACAACAGAGGGAAATGTCTACTGCAACCAGGGCCAATGTTACAAGCAGCTTTTTCCACCAGGATGGTCCTGACCTGAACCAGGACACTAACCATTGGTCAAGTGACAATGTGGGATAAGGCATAGCTTTGTTTTATTGGTGCATATCTTGCAGGGCTATCTGAGACATTTTCCAAATTGCCTGGGATGTATACACAGAAGTTAGTCTTAATTATAAGGCATGCTCCCCATTTCTAATAGTAACTGGTTGTGATGAAAGATTGGCTAAGTGTATATTCAACAGGTTACAGGAAGAACTGTGAATACTCATGAAGGCAGTCATAATCCTGTCTAGTTCTTGAGAGTAGATTAGTTTTGTAGTTGCATCCCATCTAGGAAGTGACATTGCAGATGGGTGAGGCCTCTGTATATAATGAAGGCAAACAGATTTTTAATAAGAGACCTTTCTATGGAAACAGAAGAAAAACAAAGTGTAATGTTAGGCACAATTTATCCATATGTCAGACTCAAAGCATCTTCAGTTATAGAGAGGGAAGGTGGTGGCAGTCTGACAATTTTTTCTTGCCTGTATTACAAGGAATAATGTAATAGTCATTTCATTTAGTCAAAATCTGAAAAATGGAAGAAAAATTTAAAAGTGTTAATTTGAGACTTATATCCCAGAAAGAATTCAGGATTCAGGCCGAATTGCATAGAATAATAAAAAAACAGTGGTCAAGACTGGAGTCTACCAAGTGTACTATAGTTTTTAACCGAAACATATTATTCTCTGTTCAGTCCCAGTTTTTACTAAAGACAAATCATAATAGGAACAATTGATTTGCAAAATAAGTTTTAGTCTTATTACGCTTGACCTGAGTATTTGCAAATAGTGCAGCAAGAATGATTATTGGCCACATACGTTCTTTTTAAATTTGGCTTTGCTGAAACTTTATTCCATAAGGAATCTCAAATTAGACTTTAAAAGCATTTTGAGCCCAGCCATGGCTTTATCTGTGCCTGCAAATATTTGTATGAATTGAGTGAATTCCTCTGCTTGTGGTCCCAAGATAATTTGGGACTCCTTGCTCTGTCAGAAAGTGACATTCTTTACTTACCATAGGCCAGAAACCCTGTGCAGGGACTGCCTAGACAAAGTATGGGGCCAAATTTCCCAAGAAGCTTTTATTGGCTTTATAAGTCAACTTTGATTCTTTAAAAGAGTCTGTTTGTATCTGAAAGTATGCCATTCCAGTCAAAGCCTTGGTAAATAACCAGTTTCTCCAATTGTGTCCTGTTACAAAAGAAAACAGATTCTTATTGGATTAGGCAAATAACTAGACTGCCATAAATTAAATATGCTTACAAGTAGTTCTTACATTCTGGGGAAATCAGGGTAGAGAGAAAGAAATGTCCCTCAAGTTTTGCTTAACGGAAGTGTATTTTACCCAATTGTTAAAAGCTGCAAATAGCTTAAGAGAAAGATTTTTAGACACTGAAAAGCAAAACAAAAAGAATCACTAAATGTTTTAAACAAAAAGAATCACTAAATGTTTTAAACAAAAAGTCACAAAAGATTATTTCGCTCTTCTATTAGTTCAGTCTATGTAATTAACTCCTGTTCTGTGTGATATTCCTGAACACATTGGCTCTCTATGGGAGTCTTGGAAGTTTATTTCTTCTATTTTAATGTCACAATTTCCAAAGTTATGAGAAATTTGCATTCAAGAGTGCCTGTCAGAGTCCTATATCTGTATTATAAAGCTGCCTTTGAAAAGAATCAAAGTAAAATAACTGTTATGGATGATAAAAATCTCAGAGCAGTCACAGTTAAAATCTGGTCATCTCTGTGGCACACATAATTTAATAGAGCTATCATAATTATTACTGATAACATATACTGAGACATAACAGAATTATATGAATCTTATACAATTTTGGAACACATACTAATAACACACTTACATGAATATATCCTAAAGAAAGTTAAATACTATTTTATATTTGACAATGTTTACTTTGTGATTTTAATATACCAAATAAGTCCCATATGTCTCTTTTGGGCTTGAGAAAACCTAGTATCTAATAGGATTAACCAGATCAAAAAAGGCTTAATTTAGAATTTAACTTTGGAAAGTTTTTCAAATATCAAAGGTTTAAACACTTGATATTATAAATTAGAAACCCAGGTCATTATAAATTAGAGGGAAAATATTTAGCCATTGATAGAGGGCAGAATCACCTTTCCAAACAAAACCCAATACAAACTCTGTGAGGCCAACTGAATCTGTCTTTTTTTCCCTTCCCTTTTTTTCTTCTGTCATTTATTCAAAAGGCGAACAAAACTCTTTCATTATCCTTTACTATTAGATGAAAATCCTGCTCAAAAGAGGAAGCCAAATTTTACCTTTGCAACAGTGTTCCATTAATTAAACCTGATTCTTAATAAAACCTTATAAACAAATCTATTCAATCTTAATTACTTTAACCATAATGTAAGATTTCAATAAGCCTTATATAACCCTTAAAAATTTTTTGTTAAGCATCAGGTCAACTCTCTAAAAAAAAAAACCATGCTATTCAGACACATGGACCTAGATTCTGGCCCTGCATCAGTGTGCTTTTGTTCTAATGTTTAATTTCCAGAAGAATGAATTAATCCCCTTCAAATCATAGCCAACTTCCTCTTATCTACAGAACTCCCTTTACAAGATCAAAATTTAACAAATTGTTTACAACTTGTTTAAACCTTCGGTTTAGTCCTGTTACTATTTTAGGTTAGGACATCTTTAAAAACCTCTGAAACAGACAAAATTATATCCCCTTTAACAAAATCATATTTCCATGCCTTCTTAAAATCTTTTACCAAAAACACATTCTACTTTCCCTATACACCTTGCATGCAAAACTATTTATTCAGTAGTCTCAAGTACATATTAAGTACATATTAAAATGTTAACTCTTAGCAACTTTTAGTTCTAGTGAAAAATCTGGTAAGTAGCAATTTTAACCATGTATCAGATTGCAGAGCCCAGGACAAGGACCAAGCCACAGGCAATGACACTTTCCAGCCTACCCAAGGGACCTGGCTGACTCCACATGTCACCAGGTCTTACCTAGAATCTAATGGCTATAAAATAGACAAGTCAAATAATTATTAAAACTCATAAAAGCAGTTCATGACCTCAAAGCATCTAGCAAACAGTACCTGACCTGCCTAATTTAAACCAAACATCTAAATGTCGAAGAATTGTTTATTTTATTTACCAATAACCTTTTGAACTGTCTTTATTTTTCAAAGGTTATTAGGGTCATGTGACCTAAAGTCATTCAAGTTTCTATTTTTTCTGACCGGTATGTTTCATTTAAGCACTTATTTTTCTTTAAGCCAAATAATTAGAGCTCTTATATATACAAGTTCACATACACAACACAAATATATAAATACACAGACAGGCAGAAGAAAATCACTAGTTGCACGATTTTTCATTTGCTGGTTTTTAAGTTTCTTAATTGGATTGCTGGCTTCATGGTGGAGCCCTTTGACGAACTGAGAAGGCATGCAGTTTTTTTTTGTTTGTTTGTTTATTTTTTTGAGATGGGAGTCTCGCTCTGTTGCCCAGGCTGGAGTGCAGTGGCGCTATCTCGGCTCACTGCAAGCTCCGCCTCCCGGGTTCACGCTATTCTCCCGCCTCAGCCTCTCGAGTAGCTGGGACTACGGGCGCCCGCCACCACGCCCAGCTAATTTTTTTTTATTTTTAGTAGAGACGGGGTTTCACCATGTTAGCCAGGGTGGTCTCGATCTCCTGACCTTGTGATCTGCCTGCCTCGGCCTCCCAAAGTGCTGGGATTACAGGCGTGAGCCACCATGCCCGGCCCGGCATGCAGTTTTAAGGACGTAACATTTACATACCTGAGAAGGAGGCACTGCTAGAAAGCAGAACAGATTTAAAAAAAAAAATTAAAGACCCCATTTTTATACTGAATCCTGAGTCTCAAAAAAGAGCGAAATGCTACAGAACAAAGTGCAGTGCTTTTACCATGCATCTCACGTCAAGAACATTCCCCCATGGCTGGTGGGCAAAGCCAAGCCAATCAGCCCATTCTGTAATCAGCTCATCCCCCATTCCATACCTTTCAGTTGCCCTAGAGCATTATTTTTTCATTTAAGCATGAGAAGAAAGGAATATCAGCCTACAGTAATGACCATTCACTGTAAGCAACTGCCATTGGTCTTCCCTAAAAACACATCTCCTACCTCACTATTACACACCAAGGCTAAAAGTCCTCTCATAATGCAAAGTAATTTCTGTTGTCCCCCCCAGAGTCAAAAAACGCAGGTAACACGATGCAAAATAGAACAGAGCCTTAGATTTTGAGAGGGATCTGTCCATTTATAATTTCTGGGGTTCCATGAGGAAAACAAAGGTTTCTCCCAAAATAGAGTGTGTGGCACCTACTCTGTTTATCTCAAGGAGTCCCAGACTGTCAGAAATTACCTTAGGTCCTCTAATGTGGGCATCAAAGGTGGCAAGAAAGCAAACGGAATTCGATTGACTGAAAAGAAGAAAAGAAAAAAAAAAACACTAAAAAAAAAAAAAAGAGATCCAAGAAGAGGAAAAACATAAAGGCGTTTTAAATTTATATATACAGAGAGAGAGCTGGCTATCAATTTTCAGTTAAGCTGACTTTTTTTTCTTTTTTTTTTGAGACGGAGTCCCACTCTGTCGCCAGGCTGGAGTGCAGTGGCGCAATCTCGACTCACTGCAACCTCCACCTCCCAGGTTCAAGCAATTCTCCTGCCTCAGCCTCCTGAGTAGCTGGGACTACAGGCGCGCACCACCACGCCCAGCTAATTTTTGTGTTTTTAGTGGAGACGGGGTTTCATCATGTTGGCCAGGATGGTCTTGATCTCTTGACCTCGTGATCCGCCCGCCTTGGTCTCCCATAGTGCTGGGATTACAGGCGTGAGCCACGCTGCCTATCCTAGTTAAGCTGACTTTTAACCATAGAGCTTTTTAAAGAAAATCTTTTAAAATCTCTTATTACGAGACTCTAACTGGGACAAATAGCTGATACTTCTGACTTTTAAGCTCTTTTTTTTCCCCAAAAGTTGTGCTCCCAAGTGAGCCCAATAAGCCTTCACTAAAGTTATGACTTAACCACGGATGCGTGAGGTGTCTCCAAAGAGATGGCAAACAATTTTCACAAGGTCCAGAATTGCCCCAGGGTAGCTCAGATAAAAGAAAATTCAAGACAGAAAATCAGAAGCTGTCCCCGGAGGGAAAAACAATCAACAAGAGGCAAAAGTTTCACAACTATGAAAACAGAAATGACTCATTCTCGAATCTAGGAATTGAACCTACCATTCCCATGTGAAAGAGCAAAGCCTAAGCTACTGAGCTGTAGCACAAGGCAACAGCTGGTGCTTTTCCCAGATGGTGTCTAAAGCAGTCATTTTTGAGCTTGCAAAGGATTTTAACTACTCAAGAGAATTAAGGCTAGCCATAATATTATCATGTCCTCTTTTCAGACTCAAGAGTCAAAGCCTTATAATTTAACAGCATGAGAACTTTTAAAGCAACAGACAGTTACATGGAGGCAATAATGTTTTCAAGTCCATAATTTGAATGAACTTTTAGATAACTTTCAAATTAGACAATGTTCTTTTTCTCAATAAGAAGATGTCTTCTTCGGCACATTTGATACAAACCTAGGAAGCAAGAAATCCTAAACTGCTTATCAGATATTAGCATTTTACAGATGAAAACCATTCCACAATTTTGGAACATGTTTCCCGTATAATAACTCTTTCTTAGCTGGAAATAACCCAGACATCCAATAACCATTCAAAATGATTTTAAGATTTTCAATTATACAAAAAGTTTACTGACAAGCATTTATATCATTTATATAAACCTAATTTTCCCATTTTTAACCATTTATTATATTACTTCTGAAAACTGATATTTTACACAAGGTCAGTCATTATTTAAAGTTACTTCCATGTTAACCATTTTTAAAGCTTGTGAACATCAGGTGTTTATCTAAGTAAGAATTGTAAAGTTAAATACGTGGGCATTTTGTTGATAACTCAGAAGATTTGGCTGTTTTCATTAAATAATATCAAACGTCTTATAAAAATTATAGAAAGATCTTTCTGTTTGGGGCTGGGTCTGTATTTTGTATGTTGGCAATTCTCAAGACATTTCTCATATTATTTTACCAATAATTTTAAAGTCAGCTTATTTATTAAAGATTTTACTTAAGTCACGTGAACTTGTAAAGCACTGGGGCTTATTCACTTAATTTATGAATACTCCTTAACTTTCCTATAGCTTCTATTTCAGAACTCTAGCCATAAGATATCAATACAAACTCACCAGTTTCCAAAAAAAAAAAAAAAAAAAAAAAAGTTGGATCCAAACAGTGGTTTTATCATTGCACCAGCAGAAAAGTAACAGCAGATTTAAAGCATGCAGAAAAGAAAACAGAGAAAGCTGTAGCCTGGCCGACCTCTGCATAAGAACCAACTTCTACAAGTAGAGTGTGAGAAAGAAAAGAGGGGAACAAAAATACTCAAGCAACCAACAGGAAATTCTGGAGCCTTCCAGCCCCTAGAAAGTGTGGGGTGACTGCCCCACCATTCTCATTTATCTTCCATCAGGAAGTCTCAGTACCCCAGGTGGGCAGCTCTCCCAGATGATCAGGAGGGTGAAACTGGAGGTGGAGAGTACAGGAGGAATCAAGGCACACACACAAAGTAATCTATCAACACATGCAAACAAATAGCATGCTTCCAAATGAGTCCGCAGTCAAGGGGTTGGGTGAGGTCCTAAATCCTGCTCCCTAGGTCCAAATGTCTCCATAGACAGCTGAGTCCAAGCTGAGCAAAGCTCCTATGGTACTGCACAGGCAGACAAATACAAATGCTCAAATGGTGTCACCAGCAGCCAAGTCTTAAGTACAGCAGGTCCCCAACAACACCTCAAAAGAGGCAGAGAGTGGTCGGGGGCATTCTGACCAACTTAATCCATTCCAAAGTTTGCCCATTTTTTTGGAGGTCACTTTCTTTGTACCAGCAAAGTGTTGAAGGCAGCAGACATTTATAGGAGTTAAGAATAAATTACTTAGGCAGATAGTAAAGGTATAGGAGTCCTTGGTAAGGCTTTTCTTTTTAATGAAAACCAGCTCCAAGTTATTTTCCTTTCTAATGAGGATCAGCCTGTAAAATCGAGCGGCAGACATAGATACCAGCAGTTGTGCCAATCATGTTCAAGATGGCAGCTCCATCTTCCTTTCTCTTTGTCAGCCAAGTTTACAGTAAGAAGAAAACAAGATGGCACCCATCAACTGGAAAGTCCATTTGCATAGTAAGATTAGGGTGCCTATAAAATTTGTTGTGGCCTGTCCCCTCCCTGCTTTTTGGATGTCTCTCTCTCTCTCTCTCTCTCTGTCTCTCAGAGCTGCTCTCCTCTCTCCTTTCTTCTATTAAACTTTCCACTCCTTAACCCACTCACATGTGTCTCTGTCTTGAATTCTTTCTCAGGGCAAGACAACAAACCCCAGGGTATATACCCCAGACAATGTAGCTGTTTCAGTACATACCCCTAGACAACGTAGCCATTTCAATATCATGTCAGGAGTCAAAAGGGAGTTTTCCCAAAAACAAAAGCATTTTTGGCACTTTTGTCTGATTTATCCTCTTTGGAATGGGGATATCTACCTAATGCCTGTACCACCATCATATCTTCGAAGTAAATAACTTGTTTTTGATCTTACAGGCTCATAGGTGGAAGGAATCTACCTTGAGTCTCCGATGAGATTTTGGACTTTTGAGGTGATGCTGAGAGGAATTAAGACTTTGAGTACTGGCAAGGCAAAATTGTATTTTGCAATGTGAGGAACACATGAGATTTGGAGGGCCGGGGTGGAATGATAAAATTTGGATGTGTGTCCTTTCCAAATCTCATGTAAAATGGGACCTCCAATGTTGGAGGTGGGCCTAGTGGTAGCTG
The DNA here is from genome assembly GCF_000001405.40 of Homo sapiens. NCBI lineage: Eukaryota > Metazoa > Chordata > Mammalia > Primates > Hominidae > Homo > Homo sapiens. The sequence continues at coordinate 4,482,393 of NW_021160017.1, forward strand.
TTTGAGTTATGAGGGTGGACCCCTTATTAATGGTTTAGCCTTTCTAGCCAGTGGACACCCTCCCTTGGGCCCCCTCATGTTGAGTGTGAGCACACACTTGTGAAGCAGGTCAGCCAGCTCCCTATGCTTTTTTTTTTCTTTCTTTTGAGACAGAGTCTTGCTCTGTCGCTCAGGCTGGAATGCAGTGGCCCAATCTTGGCTCACTGCAAGCTCCATCTCCCAGGTTCACGCCGTTCTCCCATCTCAGCCTCCCAAGTAGCTGGGACTACAGGCGCCAGCCACCACACCTGGCTAATTTTTTGTTTTTGTATTTTTAGTGGAGACAGGGTTTCACCGTGTTAGCCACGATGGTCTCAATCTCCTGACCTCGTGATCCACCAGCCTCGGCCTCCCACAGTGCTGGGATTACGGGGTGAGCCACCATGCCCGGTCAACCAGCTCCATATGCTTTTATCTCCCCCTGTTTTAAACAGCAACTATTTTGACTGCCTGTTCCAATTTTCTATTAAACCATTACTCCTAGGATGATATGCAACATGATGTGTTCATTTGATGTGACATCTTTGCCCCTTGTTGCATGCTATCGGTTTGATTTGACAAAATGTAACTTGAGGTCCCAAATTGGTACAGTAGCTGCTGTTCTGATTCTTTAATAGTATTTTGAGCATTTGCGTCTACAACCAGGTATGCAGAACACAGCAGGGTAAAAATCTATTCCTGTCAGGACAAATTTACAGCCCCCAGAACTATTGGCATTGGTCCAATGTAATCAACTTGCCAGCTATGTGCTTCTCCCTGGGTGACCTTCCCCATAGCCATCTTTGGTCTCTGTTTCTCTTGCTGGCACACAGAATAGTTCTTGCTGTCATTTTGTGCCTCAGCTTGTATAAGAGTAACATGTCTGGATTCAGCCATCCCTGCATTGCTGCAGCATCCCCACCCCCATGTTCACTCATTCCGTGGATCTCAGGGGAGCACGTCAAAGGGTCCACTTGGTGGTTCCAATCACTCGGCAAACCTGGAAAGGAGTTCTCTTGATGGGCATTAACAAGTCTTACTGTAATGCCCCCTTAAATTCACAGAAAGACTTTCATAGGGCTATGGCCCATGCAGGCATCCCTTTAATGGTCCAGTTCTCCATCACCCAGCTACCTGACCATATGATCAGGATTTGGGCTCTGCCCACGAGTCTGTAAAAACCCAAACATTGGAGCCTGTGCCATTGTTAATGTCTTCCATCACTGCTAGGAAAAAAGCATGCAATTCAGCCTATTGAGCTGATTTATTCTCATCTTCAATCAGAGCCTTTCCACCCGCTGGTCTTTAGGCTGCAACTTTCCGAACAGGATGTTGTGTGTTCATCATGTAACCGCCATTTTTAAACCAAGCAACAGCTTGTTAGTCAATCAAAAGCTGTTCTTCAGGTTCTGTTGATCCAGCAGCTCCTCTGAGGGTTCCAAAGTTGGTCCTGGGGGAAAAGGTGCCATCTGCTCGGGAATATGATGGTTTTCTCCTTTCATTCTCCAGTAGTATGCTTCTGTTTGAGCCATTTCCTTTTTATCATGGAAGTCTTCTGGACACTGCCTTCCTTACTAGAGTGTTTCTCTGATATCACCCAAAATATGGATTTCTCAGGTTTCATGATTATTTTGTGTCCTTCAGTCATTGAGGCAGTCTCAACTGATGCCCAATAGCAAGCTAGCAATTATCTTTCAAATAGTGTGTGCCAGGTAGCAGCATCTGGAAATTTCCTGGCCCCAAATCCCCTCAGTCCTTGCAGGAAGAGATCACAGGCTTTTGACATAAGCTCCAGTCTGCGTAAGTGTCAGTGGTAGATACTTCCAAAATCATTTCTGAGTGGACATTAAGAGAGAGTCCACGCCATATGGACTGCACAGATAGGCCACAGTAATCCCCTGTCAGTCACAGTGTGACTTCCTGCTCTAAACCCACCAGTTGGGACTCCCCACAGGAAACCTGCCTAGCGATGCCATGGATCCCAGGAAAGGCTTTGGCTCACAGGTCATTTGCTCTTTCTGTCTCTTGCTCTCCTCACACTGGTTGAGTTCCCTGCAGCCCCTGTGGACAGCCCTAACCTCTCTGGGATTTGTAAGTAACAAATTGCTGCATTTCATGGCTTTTGGTTTCCCTTCCTCATTATGTCTCACCTGACCCACACACCCAAACTGAACTCCACCTCTGCCCCTTGTCAGGACTTCCCTAGAGGTAACCATCTTGGCTTATTACCACTGTCAACAAAGAAACTTCAAGGTCAAGTTGGAAAGAAACCATAACAATAAAGATCATAAAAATGGGTGCAGTGGACAGGGTACGTGGTCAGGACCACAAGAAAGGAAACAGAATGCTGGTAAGTTGCACATCACTTCCCAGCTGGCTCTCCTGCCTGTGTAACACCATCCAGATGGTTCTGCTGCTTGCTGACTTGCGTCTGTGCTTCTGTGCACCACCCCTTGTTGCATCTGTCCAGTGTGACCAAGACTTCCGACTATAAACTGTGGCTTTTAAAAAACTGAGTCCTCTCCAAGATCTACAAATTGCCAGCCTTAGCACTGCAAGAGGGGCAACCATAGTTGCTGTCATTCCCCTAAATGGGAACTACTGGTCAGAATCAAGGTAGCTAAACTATTCAAAGGTCCCAATTTGTGTCATAAAGTTCTGGGAGAAGAAATTGGCAACCCCTACCTTGGTGCTGAGGCTATTGGGCACAGACACCAGGTGCTTGGCAAAACCTAGACACAGAACCTGGGAGACTCCCATGTATTAGAGCCCAGTGTTGGTGGATGGTGTATTCGCACCATCCAATAAGTGGGGCCCCCTCCACAGGAATCCATGAACTTCCACAGGCAGTGGTGCTGCTAGGCTCTGCGAGCCTTATGTCACTGTTTTTCCTTGCTTCTGTAGCTCCTTGCAGCCTATTCAATGCAATGCAGACACCCTAGAGAGGGAGGTGGCTGCCTACAAATGGGGCTGACGGAAACCACAAATGGAGACCACTGATCACAACAGGGACCACCTGGGACCCACCAGAAGCTTGTCAGATAAACATTCAAAGAGAAAGGAAAAAAAATAGCCACTTAAAGATATAAGCCCTTATAAGGTTTTATTTAAAAATTGGGGGAAAAAAGAAGAAAAGGGGCTGATAGCTGGGGAAAGAATGTTGCTAAGAGACACTGGGTCATTTTCTCTTCCCTCTTTTATCAGCCAGAGACAGAACTAGGAATCATGGTTTCAAGTGGCTAAAAACCTAAAACAGAAAACAAGACAAACAAACAAAAAAAGATTGCCACTTTATGCGATTACAAGTCAGAAAAAAAAAAATAAGAAGATGAACTTTAAGTACGGAACAAATACCAGTAAGGCAAATATAATAATAGCCCTAGATCATATCCCTAGACACAGAGGGGAAAGTAAAAGATCAATGCATAAATTGTGTATACATATATTTTAATATAAATATATAATAAATTAATAACTTGTATATATAAAATATAAATTTAAAGAAATTTTTATAATTTTATCCAACTGGAAACAGGATTTTATATAAGTAATTCACATAACAAAAAGATAAAATGGGACACTGATAGGCTTTTGTGCCTCTATGACATAGATTCTAACTCACCTTTAACAACTGCTAAAATGCACCAACTGATAAAAAAATTAATGGACTTAATACTGTGGCATAAATTAAAAATCAATAGACACTCCTGTTAGTGCTTTCAAAAAAAGAAAAAAAACCCTTTTATGGCAAAGGCTTTGACAACCTCTTCCCAGGCCTCCTGGAGTCTCTGAACCACTTATAATGGTCATTAATTGCCCCAGGCTTCTAATGGAAGAAATTGCCTCTCTCAGCCTCGTGCTATACACCATTAAAACAACAAATGACTGGCTGGAAATAGAGGCTTTCACAGAACAGATCCTGAGCCTGTGACCTTCCACATCCAGCTGCCCATTATCCTTTGGTTCACGGAAACAGCCCTGACAAGCTCAGCATGGCTACAGAGGCCTCCTAAAGAGAGGGTGGAGCGAAACCTGGGCCCTCTGATATATGCACCTGTGGACGGAGACTCTTCCCTGTCCTCTATCCCTTGTCAGATGCCAGGGTATTAGATATGGCTATCCTTTCCCCACACCTCTTTACCATCTGGGAAGCCCCTTGGGATTCACTGAGTGAATAGCAATGGAAGTTTGTACACTAGGCAGATAGCACTGATGAACATTCTATGTGGTGAGGCTAAGGGGAGAGCTGCTGCTTCCCATCCCTTAGCCAGGATGTCTCTGATAAATGATGGGACAAAAACCAACAGACTTGGACCAAGTTCAGGCAGTCATCTTAGCACTGGATGCCCTGACGAAGTGATGACCCCATCCTCATGTTTATCATAAACTATTAGGCCATTACTTAAAAATTGTTCTCTCCAAGGTAAAAAAAACAAAACAAAACAAAACACAAAAACACTTTAGTAATCTTTTGCCTGATGGACACCCAAAATATAAATAAAAATCACATCTCCACCTATAACAAGGCCACAATACAAAACTTTGCCAGGACATCCCTTTTTCCCTTCAGAGTTACAGGCTTTGTTGGTACTAACCAAGACACACATAGCACTTCTTAGAACACACCATGCTGGGCTCTTGAGGAAGGCACTCAATAGACCTTCCATGTCCCTGATAGGAACCAGTAACTGCTTTAACTGAGAGACAGAATAGTCTCCTCAAACAACTTCTTTTCAAATTCCAGTACAACAAATAAACCTCTAAACTTCTCTATCTTAACTCTCTGACCTTAACCTATCATTATACATTTTTGATCTTGTCCCTGTCCCACAAGGATTGGAGGTGAGATCAAGGGCACATTCTCTCCTAGGAATGATTAACCATAGACTCACAACTAGGCAGCTGCTCATCTGATATGGGATCCATTTGAACCTAAACTTCCACCAGAAACAAAAGCCCTGTTGGGTGCAACTATACACCATTCTATTAACTCCTGGTGTTATTACTACCAATTTGAGCACTTTCATTGGTTTGCAATCTGGTGACCCGACTGTGAACCAAGTAAGATTGTAAACTAACGTAAGAGTGGGTACACACTTTAAAAGGATACCCTAGTCCCACATCCCAGATGACATCACCCTGGCCCAAAATCCCACCCCTGATGACGACATCAACCTCAGACAATATTGCTCCAACCAAAGACCCTGTCATTGCAGATGACTTCGCCCTCTGCATGGAAATAATTTCACCTGACACTAAAAACTCTGCCCCACCAACACCTATGGGCTGCCTCTCCTAAGGCATGAATGGACACAGGATTTATTTTTGCTTTTCTTCCTGGACTCACTCTCTGCTTAGCCAATGATCCCAGTATACTCCTTGCTGTCTGCTCACATGTCCACCCATACATTCCCATACCTAAAGGAGAATCTGTTACTAAAATCAATGAGATTATTTCTTCCCCCTGGGTGGCACCTGCCTCATTTAAGGCAATCTCCTGGGAGAGAGGACCATCCACTCCATGATGGGTTTCCTACTACACCCTCCAGCTTTCTGCCACAATCTCTCAATTTGCATATCCAAACAAATCTCTCAATTTGCATTTCCAAACAGCTCTGCCCCTTGGTTTCATGTAATGCTACTAATCTTTACATATACTTTATCAGTTCAACATAACACAAAACAACATAACTTCCCTACTAAAATGCATAAATTGTTTGTTAAATGATACTGTTCCCCTTATAGTTTGTATCTCCACCACTCAAACTGTAACTGTCTTACATTCAGAAGGTGATTCCAGGGACTAAAGGAGGGATTTTCATACATTTGTTTAATATCAGTGCTGAATATTATTTAATTTGACTTCCCTTTTCAGGCCTGACAGAAGTTGTTTGACACCCAGGGCTACTCTGTCACCTTTGGCGGAGTTAAAATCTCGTCCTCCTTCTGCGGCTGCTTAACCCACTTGTTCCTCACGCCACTGACCCAGCCCAAGGAACCCCAAAGCTGCTGACCATGAGCAAACCTAATGGCCCACACCGGAGTCATGTAAATAAGTCCCCTCTTCACACATGTTTACTTTAAACTCCCCAGTCCGCAACTCCAGCAGGAAAGCCTAAGGGATAACGCCCACGGAGCTTAGGCCTGGCCCCACAGGCCCTCCTCCTCTCCCCCAACTCTCCACACACTAGGAGAGCTATCTGCCACTCCTGGACATCCTATCAGCGCCCCCAGAAGCACTCCCGACCTCTCTGGAACTGTGAGTAACACATTTCTCCTGTTTCATTATACTTCAGCTGACCAACACATCGAAGCCTAATGTTCCCCTGGTTAGAGCTCCCTGGAGAGAGTGGCTATCTTGACTTACAGCCACTTCAGGAGAGAGACCTCAAATTAGAAAGAAACCATAAATTATCCGGGCATGGTGGCCAGAGCCTGTAATCCCAGCTACTTGGGAGGCTGAGGCAGGAGAATCGCTTGTACCCGGGAGGCGGAGCTTGCAATGACCCAAGATGGCGCCACTGCCCTCCAGCCTGAGTAACAGAGCGAGACTCCATCTCAATCAATCAATCAATAAATAAAAAGAAACAGTAACAATAAAAATCATAACATTTGTACTTTTGGAATTTTTTAAATGTAGGTTTATCATATAGGCACAATGGATTATGAACTCCCTTTCTAGCCCCTCTTGCCTCCCTGGAGAATGGAGTGGAGCGTGGGGCCGGGGGTAGGTGGAACTGAAAGTTCTAAGCTTCAAAGCTTCAAACGGTGACTTGGTCTTTCTGGTGACCAGCCCCATCTAGGATCCCACCAACGGTCACCTTATTAAAACAAAAGATGCTCCTATAACCCAGAAAATTCCAAGGGATTTAGGAGCTCTGTGCCAGATACTTTTACCACTCAGGAAATTACAGAGGTTTTAGGAAACCTGTGTTAGAAACTGGGGTCAAAGACCAAATATTAAACAGAAGCTTTTCGTAGCACCCTTATCACTCATAAAATTACGAGATTCTAGGAGCTCTGTGTCAGGAACTGAAAACACACACACACATACACACACAAATACACATTTTATATATATATATATAATATATATAATTTCTTATTTCACAGTACATACATTATAGATATGAAACATCAGCTGGTACAAAATTACTAAGAAATGTGATATGTGATTTACAGAATGTAAGTTAAAGCTGTAACTGCAGTGGTCCTGTAAAGAATTTATATTAGAAGGAAATACTTTGATTTAGAATTATAAATAATAATTTAAATAGTATAATGACTAAGTAGTCATGTTGAGATATAATTCACATGACATACAATTCACCCATTTAAAGTGTACAATTCGATGTTTTTTTAGCATGTATGTGTTACCATTACCATGGTCAGTTTTATGTATATTTTTTCAACTCTAAAAGAAACTCTGTATTCTTTACCTATCATCCTCTTGTTCCCCACACCCTTCCCAGCCCTAACCAATCACTAATCTACTTTTTGTCTTTATAGATTTCCCTACTCTGGGCACTTCTTATGAACACAATCATATAATATGTAGCTGTTTGCAATTGGCTTATTTTGTTTTGCATAATGTTTTCAAGGTTCATAATTCATCCTATATCCATACTTCTATCCTTTTTTATGGCTGAGTAATATTCTGCTGTGTAAATATACCAAATTATTTTTATCCATTCATCAGTTGAGGCATTTGGGTTGTTTCCACCCTTTGCCTGTTATGAATAATGCTGCTATACATATTCTTGTTTTGTTTCTCTACTCCTAGGAGTAGAATTGCTGAGTTGTGAAGTAACTTTGCCATTATTTGAGGAACTGCCAGACTTTTTTCCAAGGTGGCAGTAGTATTTTACATTTCTTCCAGCAGTATATGAGGATTCTGATTTCCCCACATTCTTCTCACACTTGTTATCTGGCTTTTTTATTCTAGTCATTCAACTGAGTACGAAGTGATAGCTCACTGAGGTTTCCATTTGCATTTTCTTGATGATTAATGATTTCAAACATCTTTTCCAGTGCTTATTGGCCATTTGTGCATTTTACTTAGACAGATGCCTATTCAAATCCTTTGTCCATTTTTTATTGGGTTCTTCCTTCTTTTATTGCATTGTAAAGATTACTTATATACTCTCAGTACAATGTGTTATCAATTGTACGATTTGCAAATGTTTCTGATGATCTATGTCTTGCTTTTTCACTCCTATATGGTGTCATTTGAAGAACAAGTATTTTTAATTTTGATGATGCCTCACTTACCTACCTTTTATTTTGTTTCTCCTGCCTTTGTTGTCAGAGTCTAAAAATCCTTTGCCAAATTTGAGGTTATAAGATATACCCTGTGTTTTCTTCTAGGAGATTTAGTTCTTTCAGGTAGGTAGATTTCTGATCCATTTTAATTTTTGTATATGGCGTAAGATAATGGTGCAGCTTTACTTGCCCTAGCACCATTTATTGAAAGACTATTTCCCCCTTGAGTGGTTTTGGCTCTTGTCAAACACCAATTGATCATAGATGTTATGGGGGTTTTTCTGGACTCTCAATTCTATTACATTGCTCTATATGTCTATTTGTTGCCTGTAATATAGTGTCTTGATGTACCATTACTTAGTACTAAGTTTTGAAATCAGAAAGTGCAAGACCTTGGAGTCTGCTTATTTTCAAGATTGTTTTGGCTATTTTGGGGTCCTTCGCAGTTTCATATGAATTTTAGAATCAACTTGTACATTTCTACAAAGAAGTTGTCTGGGATTCTGATAGGGATTGTGTGGAATTAGCACATCTATTCGGGAAGTGTTGCCATCTTAATGTTAAGTCTTCTGATCAATTATGGAATGTATTTCTTTTTTATTAATATACTATTTAATTTATTTCCACAGTGTTTTATAATTTTCAAAGCAAACGTTTTGAACACTTTTGTTAAATTTATTCCTAAGTATTTAATATAATTTTGGTCTCGTTCTGTCACCCAGACTGAGTGCAGTGGTGCAATCTCTGCTCACTGCAGCCTCCACCTCTTGGGTTCAAGTGATTTATGCTGCCTCAGCCTCCTGAGTAGCTGGAATTACAGGCACACACCAACATGCCTGGCTACTTTTTGTATTTTTAGGAGAGATGGGTTTTCGCCATGTCGGCCAGGCTGGTCTCGAACTCCTGACCTCAAGTGATCTGCCTGCCTCAGCTTCTCAAAGTGCTGGCATTACAGGCGTGAGCCACTGTGCCCAGCTGAATTGTTTTCTTAATTTTATTTTTGGCTCGTTCATTGCAAGTGTATAGAAGTTCAATTGATTTTGCACATGTATCTTGTATCCTGCAAACTTGCTGAGTTAGTTTATTAGTTCTACTAGTTTTTTTGGTGGATGCCTTAGGAATTTCTATATACAAGACCAAGTCATCTGTGAAATGGGTTAATTTTACTTTTTCCTTTTCAAACTGGAAGCCTTTTTTTTTCTTTTTATTGCTTAATTGTCCTGACTAAAACATACAGTACAATGTTGAATAGAAGTAGCAAGAGCAAACATCCTCCTCTTATTCCTGATATTATGGGGAAAGCATCCACATTTTCATCATTAAATATGATTTCTTACTGTGTACTTTTCACAGATTGTTTTTATCAGGTTGAGGATGTTACCTTCTATTCCTAGTAGGTTAAGTTCCTTTAACATGAAAGGATGTTGAATTTTGTCAAATGTTTTTTCCTGCATCTATTGAGATGGTGGTACAGGGCAGGCCAGCAGGCTGCAGACCCAGATAAGACTCTATGTTGCAGATGGAGCCTGAGGACAGTCAGAAAGCAGGATTCCTGCTTCCCCAGAGTGCCTCAGTCTTTTCTCTAAAGATCTTTAAATAATTGGATGAGGATGAGGCCTACCCAATTTATGGGGAGTAATATGCTTTATTCAAAGCCTACTCTTTTCAGTGTTAATCACATGTTAACAATGCCTTCAGGCCGGGCGAGGTGGCTCACGCCTGTAATCCCAGCACTTTGGGAGGCCGAGGCAGGTGGATCACAAGGTCAGGAGATCGAGACCATCTTGCCTAACACGGTGAAACCCCGTCTCTACTAAAAATACAAAAAAATTAGCCAGGCGTGGTGGCAAGCGCCTGTAGTCCCAGCTACTCGGGAGGCTGAGGCAGGAGAATGGTGTGAACCCATGAGGCGGAGCTTGCAGTGAGCCAAGATCATGCCACTGCACTCCAGCCTGGGCAACAGAGTGATACTCTGTCTCAAAAAAAAAAAAAAAAAATTATGTAAGTTAAATATATCACATTGTATATGATAAGGGGATATGAGAGTGAGAAAACAAAGATATTTGCATGAGTTATATATATGTGTGTATATATATGTGTATATATGTGTGTGTGTATATATATATATATATGCCACTCAAACAAATGAATTTATAACAAAATAAGAAAAATCCTAATTAAATCCTGTGTTTCTGTAAATGGTCATGTGTTCATAGTTGGGATTTATAACCACCTTCCACTTCCCATTCCTTAGTCCTGTGCTCTCAGCAGGTTATGCTTTTTATCTGTAGAATAACCAGCTGAAGTTTATGTTTTTTATCTGGTAGAGTAACTAGTCCTGTGCACTTTAGCTTGTTATGGTTTTTATCTGGAAGAATAACTCAAAGCTTCACTCCTGTAGGGTCTCAGCCATTAGTAGTCCTGCCTGGATTGGGTTGTTATGGTTTTATATTGACTTTAATCAAAGGGCATGGTAGCATTAAGAGATACCCTAGCAGTGTCATGTTAGTTTATATTCAAGACATACTCTTCCAAAACCTCCACTATGGAGTGTCAGTCTAATTTCCCCTTGGCAATCAAGATCAGTAACCTCAGAGTGCAGGTCTCCTTTCTTTGCCTATTGATCCTGGGCATAGGTAGTCTAAAGTAGCCAAGTGTCAATCATAATTTTCAATTCAATGGAATCATGATATCCATTGGTAGAAGAATTCCTCCCTTTGGAATTAAGACCTTCAGGTCAGCAAAGCATAAGGTCATGAGAACAGAAAGAAAAAAAGCCTGTTAGTGAATTACTAAGGGTGATAGTAAGTGGTGCCACTTGCATTTTTACATTTGATTGCTGGACTCATGTACCCCGGCTATCAGAGAAATAGCACTGTATATCGAATGCTGATTCAGAGCATATACAGCTCCCTGGAGAACCTTGCTCCAGCACCTCAAGGTACTACTAATTAGCTGGTCCTGTAACTTAGAATTGAAAAGGCCATTCCAGTTTTCTATCAAGGCTGCTGCTTAAGGATAAAGGGAACATAGTAAGACCAATAAACTCCATGCACATAGACCCATAGTCCCATTTCATTTTCTGTAAAGTGACTTCCTTGACCAGAAGAAATGCTCTGGAAAATACTGTGGCAGTTAATAGTCATCCAGTAAATCCATGGATATTAGTTTTGGCAGAAGCACTGTGTGCAGGAAAGGCAAATATGTATCTAAAGTAAGTGTCTAGTCCAATAAGAACAAAACACTAGCCCTTCCATGAGGGAAGCACTTTAATATAATCAACCTGCCACTGGGTAGCTGGCTGATCCCTCCAGAAAGTGGTGCCATATCAGGGACTAAGTGTTGGTTTTTCTCCTTTTAGACAAATAGCTGGGTGAACTGGCCAAAATTCTGCCCACAGAGAGGATTTCCCTTCATCGAGTTCCTTTACGGATGTCCCAGAAAAGAAGTTATAGTGCTGCAGATGTCTATTTTTGGGGGTAGTTGCATATCATATACAACCGTCTGTAAACCATGACTGAGACTTATCAACCTCTGTCTACTGATTATAAGAAACTCCCCAGTGAGGAGGCCATAGGTGCAGGCTGGGAGACAAGAGGCAGTGTAGCAAAAGTGTGGTCCATGGGCATTTAGGCCACTTCTTTGTGTAGCTTACTTGTGCCTTTAGTACCTGCTAAGACCCGATCAGATATGTGCTACTTCCAATTGATGAAGTGTTGCTGAGCACATCCAACTTTATTACTTGTTGGTCAGATTACACATGGGCAGCAAATGTTGCAAGGTTACTGGTGGGCCAGAGTTAAGCATTCAGTCTCAGCTAAGACCCCATGGTAGGCCAACAGCCATTTCTCAAAAGAGAGCAGTAACCTGTGGAGGAAGGCAGGGCTTTGCTTCAAAATCCTATGGATATGTGCTGACATTCGCGTGTAGAGGCCTGCTGCAGACACCAAACAGCATCCTTATCTGTCACGGATACTTCAATTACCAGTGGATCTGCTGGATCATATGGTCTGAGCAGCCAAGCAGCTTGCACAGCAACCTGCATCTGTTGCAGAGCCTTCTCTTACTATGAGCTTTACTCAAATCCAGAAGCCTTTTGGTGTCACTCTGTAAATGGGCTGTACAAACACATTAAAATGAGAAATACGTTCCGTCTAAAATTCAAGGAGCCCAGTCAATGTTGTGCCTCTTTTTTTTGGGTGGGGGAAGTATAGGAAGGGTTAGATGTAAAAACTTATCTTTCACCTTAGAAGGGACATCTCAACATGACCCACAACACTGACTACCAGCAATTTCACTGAAGTAGAAGGCCCCTAATATGCATCATATTTATTCACTCCTCTCTGACTGCAAATGTCTTATCAATAAGTCTAGAGTAGTTGCTTTGTTTTGCTCACTAGGTCAAATCAGCATCATATCATCAGTGTAATAGACCAGTATGATGTCTTATGGAAGGGAATGATTATCAAGATCCCTGAAAACTAAATTATGGCATAGGAATGGAATATCAATATAATGCTGAGGTGGGACGGTAAGAGTGTATCACTAACCTTGACAGCTGAAAACAACTACTTCTGGTGGTTTTTGCAAAGACAAATTAAATCAGCTCCCAATCTTTAAAATTGTGAAGTATTACATAAAAATGTAACTTTTAGCTTCCTGTGAAAATTTAGAACTGGCACTCCTGAGCCCAAATTCTCATATAGCAACAACTGGCAATGGCTCAGTAGTATCTGCCCTTTTCAGACTTGGACAGATCCTTCCTCATTCTCACCAGCCATTTCACTCATTTACTTCCCTGGATCTTGTTTGCATTAATTTTTTCTACCCTACTAGCACTTTGAAGTTTACACAGGGTAATCAAACATATTAAGAACATCTTCTTAATTCTGATGCTTTGACATCTGGGGCCTTACTGAACCTGAAGAGATACCCCAACCAGGGCTAACAAATTTCTAAATATAGTAAAAGATGAGTGTGATTTTCCTACGTAAACTAACCAATCCAAAGCCTGCTTCTCTTGCCTTTTGATATCCTTCCTACAGAAGCCACAATGAAGTCTATTGTCCACGTTTTCCTCCCACTCCCTCTGCCTCCTGCTTGTCCCTGGCACAGCTGCTATTTGGGCATTGGTCAGGTGGCTGTGGATTCAAATCCTAAATTCGAAACTAGAAAGCTGAGTGCTCCTGAGTTCTGGTCTGAGTGTGCTACTTGCCTAGATTCTGGGATAAGGAACACTCTTTTGTTTTTGTTTTTTTTTTTTGTTATGTTTTTGTTGTTGTTTTTGTTTTTGTTTTTAAAGAGACGGGGGTCTCGATATGTTGGCCACCTTGTTCTCAAATTCCTGGCCTCAAGCATTTCCTCCAGCCTCAGCCTCCCAAAGAGCTAGGATTATAGGTGGGAGCCACCATGTCCTGCCTCCTAGTTTTTATTGACTAGGTAAGTTCTTGAATGGCACCACCAGAGGGGACCAGGTGTGACTTTCCTCCAAGGACCATGAAATGGACCTGATCAGTCAAACAGGCAGCACAGATTAATATTGAGACAAGGAAAGTTGCTATTTTCCTGTACATTTCAGCCTGCTCTGCTTAGTAGAAGGAGTGTGATCTTTGCAGCACTAATAAGTTGCGAGCCACACATGGGATCAGTGTTTGCCTTTACCTCCAGGACCGTGCCACCCCACAAAAGATGTTGTTCTGGATGTAACCTGTTGTGTTGTTATTTGCCTTCTTGCTATTGTATTTCGTCTCTAAATGCAGTGGGATATGGCGGATCCCATCCCTGGAGACTAGTGGCTCAATATTTAACGGAAAGGGGGAAAGGAAAGCAACATTTGGTTCTAGTTTCTCTCAAGCCTTCTGAAGAGGTGACTCATGAACGAAAGATTGCAAAACACTCAATCAATGCTCACAGGCTCTCTTAAGTGCTGCTGCTTACCATCATACAAAGGGTCTCATACTCAAAGAGATTGAAAGAAAACCAAGGCCACACTTGCTGTCCTGGATATTGAGACCAGCCATGCCTCTGAGGTTTAGTGGGACACCCAATAAAGGGAAGATGCTACTCATAGCAGACATTATTCAGACTGCCACAAGTTTATCAGGTAAACACCAAAAGGATAAAAAAGGGGGAGGTGGGGATCAGGAACAGACAGAAGATAAAAAAGGATGAAATATTATCTACCTAGAAATACAAGCCATTCTAACAAGTTGACAAAAAAGAAAGAAGAAAAGAAAAAAATAGATGAGGAAGGGGACTGATTCAACTGTGTAAAGGTTTGGACCCAAGAGGAGGCTTCTGTCTAAAGGAGGACACCAAGATCCTTCCACTCCTTTCTTTTTCCTCTTATTAGCCAGAGACAAAAACTAAAAACTGTGGCTTCAGGTTGCTAAAAACTAAAACAGAAAAAAAGAGAAATCTCTAAAAACAAGAGGAAAAATAAAAAGTAAATAAGTATATTACATTTTATTGATTGACTGGTTGATTTACTGACTGACAGGCTGGCTGACTGACTCAGGTTCTCACTCTGTTGCCCAGGCTGGAGTGCAGTGATGAGATCTTAGCTCACTGCAGCCTCAAACTGCTGGACTCAAGTGATCCTCCCACCTCAGTCTCTTTAATAGCTGGGAACACAGGTGTACATCATAGAGACAAGGTTTTGCTATGTTGCCTAGGCTGGTCTCAAAACTCCTGGCCTCAAGGAACTTTCCACCTTGGCCTTCCAAATTATAGAGATTACAGGTGTGATTCACCACATCCCCCCTCCCAGTTTTTACTGACTAGATAAGTTATTGAATGGCACCACCAGAGGGAACCAGGTGTGACTTCCCTCCAGGTGTGACTCACACCTGCTAGGATTATAGGAGTAAGCCATTGTGCCTGGCCTATTTTAATGTTTTTATAAAATAGAGTAAATAAATTTCATACATATAAAAACTAAATTAAAACAAAGATTCATAATTTAATCCAATTGGAAATCTGAAAGAAGCTTTTTACCCCTCTTCTAGGATTTTCAGTTTCACATCATAAATTTAAGTTGTTAGTCCATTTTGAGTTAATTTTTGTGCATGGTGTAATCTAAGGGTTCAGTTTTATTCTTTTTTAGTATAGGTATCTAGCATTTCCAGCTCGTTTCTTTAAAGAGACTATCATTTCCCCATTTTGTATTCTCAGCACCCTTGTAGAAGGACAGTTGCCTATATATGGAGGAGTTGATTTAAGATTTCCATTCTGTTTCATTGGTCTGTATGTCTGTTTTTATGCCAGTATTTTACTGTTTTAATTACTTAGCTTTGTACTATGTTTTGAAATCAGGAAGTGTGATGCCTCTAGCTTTGTTATTATTTTGCAAGATTGCTTTGGCTATTCAGGGTCTTAGTGGTTCTATATTAATTTTGGGATTGCTTTTTTATTTCTGTAAAATAATGTCATTGGAATTTTGATGAGGATAGTATTAAATCTGTAGATCATTTGGGTATTATGGACATTTTAACAATATTAAGTCTTTCAACCTGTGAACATGGGATGTCTTTCCTTTTATTTGTATCTGCTTTAATTTCCTTCATCAAGGTTTTTTAGTTTCCAGTGTACAAGTCTTACACTTTCTTAAGTTTATTCCTATTTTATTATTTTTAATCCTATTGTAAATGGGATTCTTATGTCCTTTTTGTATAGTTTATTTTTAGTATATAGAAATGTCACTGATTTTTGTATGTTTTGTATGCTGCAACTTAATTTATAAGTTTTGTTTTATAGTTTTTTGATAATTTATTATTAGTGTATAGAAACATCACTAATTTTTGTTTATTGATTTTGTATGCTGCAACTTATTTTATTAACTAACAGTGTTTTTGTGAAGATTTTAAGATTTTCTACATAAAATATCATATTTATAAACAGATAATTGTCTTCTTTCTGATTTGGATGCTTTGCATTTCCTTTTCTAATTTCTCTAAGACTTCTAACACTATGTTGAATAGAAGTGACAAGAGTAGGCATCCTTGCCTTGTTCCTGATCTTAAAGCTTTCAGTTTTTCATCATTGAGTGTGACGTTAGCTCTGGGATTTTTATATAAAGCCTAAATATGTTGAGTTATATTTATTCCATAACCAGTTTGCTAAGAGTTTATCACAGAGTAGTCAATATTGTCAAATCCTTTTTCTGCAGCTATTGAGATGGTCAAGTGACTTTTATTCATTCAGTTAATGTGGTATCTCACATTTACTGATTTCTATGTGTTGAATCCTTCTTGCATCCCAGTAATTAATCCTACCTGGTCATAGCATATAATTTTCATGTGGTTCTGGAATTGGTTTGATAGTATATTATTGAGGATTTTTGTGTCTATATTCATCAAGGATATTGGCCCATAGTTTTATTTTCTTGTAGTGTCTTTATATGGCTTTGGCATCAAGCAATGCTGGCCTCATAAAATGAGTTTGGAAGTATTCCTTCATCTTCAGTTTTTTGGAAGAGTTTGAGAAGGACTGACATTGGTTCCTTCTTAGATGTTTAGTAGAACATACCAGTGAATCATCTGGTCTTTGGCATTTTGTTGTTGTTGTTCTTGGGAAGTTTTTGATTACTAATTCAATCTCTTTACTCATTACTGATTTGTTACGGTTTTGATTTTTTTTTCCTGTTTTAGTTTTAAGGTTTTACGGTTTTAGAAATGTATTCATTACTATGTTATCCAATTTGTTGTCATATAATGACAGTAATCACTATGATTCCTTTTCTCAGTAACATCAGCTGTAATATCTCCTCTTTCATATCTGATTTTGAGTCCTCCTTTTTTTATTTGTGTATCTAAAGCTTTATAAATTCTGCTTATGTTTCAAAAAAAAACTAAATTTTATTGATTTTTCTGTTGTTTTTATTCTCTATTTTATTTACTCCTGCTCTAATATTTATTTCCTTCCTTCAACTAACTTTGGCCTTAACTTCTTTTTCTAGGTCATTGTGTTATAAAGTTAGGTTGTTTGTGATATTACTTCAACTGATGCTGAGTGGGATGTTCTGTATATATGTTATAGGTCCATTTGGTCTATAACATCATTAAAGCCTGCTATTTCCTTATTGATTTTCTGTCTGGATGTTCTATCCATAACTGAATATGTGACATTAAAGTCTCCTTCTACTATTGTATCGCTGTGTACTTCTGCCTCCAATTCTGTCATGTTTGCTTTATATATGTAGGTATTTTGATTGGGGTCCACATATAATTATAATTTTATATTTCCTAATGAATTGAGCATTTAATCATTATATAATATGTTTCTTTCTCTTGTGATAGTTTTGTATTTAAGGTCTATTTGGCCTGTTATAAATATAGCCACTCCTGCTTACTTTTATCAGTTGTATGGGATATCTTAGTCTATCCTTTTACTTCCAGCCTATGTGTCTCCTTACATCTGAAGTAAGTCTCTCTCGTAGACAGCATGTAGATGAGTCTTGTGTTTTTATAATCCATTCAACTATGTGATTAGTGAGTTTATTTTGTTTTTACTTAATAATTGATGTTGAAAGATTTACTATTGTCATATTTTTAATTATTTTCTGTCAGTCTTGTAGTTATTTTGTTCCTGTTTTCCTCTCTTGCTGTCTTTCTATGTGTTTTATGGAATTTTTTGCAATGATATGTTGTGATTCCTTTTTCTTTCTCTTTTGCATATCTTCTGTAAGTATCTTTATGGTTACCATGAGGCCTACATAAAACATCTTTTAATCAGCAGTTTTGAGCTGACAACATTTAACTTTGATCACAAACAAAAACTCTATAACTTGGCTGGGCGCAGTGGCTCATGCCTGTAATCCCAGCACTTTCGGAGGCCAAGGTGGGCAGATCATGAGGTTAAGAGATCGAGACCATCCTGGTCAACATCCTGGTCAACCCTGTCTCTACTAAAAATACAAAAAATTAGCCGGGCGTGGTGGCAGGTGCCTGTAATCCCAGCTACTTGTGAGGCTGAGGTAGGAGAATTGCCTGAACCTGGGAGGTGGAGGTTACAGTGAACCAAGATCGTGCCACTGCACTCCAAGCCTGGTGAAAAAGCGAGACTCTGTCTCAAAAAACAAAACAAAAAAAACCCTCTATAACCTTACTTCTTCCCCCACACATTTTGTTATTGATGTCACAATCTACATGTTTTATATCATATATCCATTAACATATTTTTGTAGTTATAGTTATTCTTTATGCTTTTATCTTTTAACTTTTATACTAAAATTAAGTGATTTATACACCATCAATAGAGTATATGTATCTGTGCATTTGTATGTATATGTATATTTACCTTAACCAGTGTGTTTTATACTTTTGTGTTGCTGTTTAGCATCCTTTTGTTTCAACTCAAAGTACTCCCTTTAGCATTTCCTGTTAGGTAGGTCTAGTGGTGATGAACTCCCTCAGCCTTTGTCTGGGAAAGTCTTCATCTCTCTTTTGGTTTATAAGGACATTTTTTTCTGGGACTAGTATTCTTGGTGCTTCTTGTCGGGAGGGGAATCTCAGGGTTATGCCTTTCACCCAGTCTTTCAGAGCTACCATTCTTTTTCCTAGCAATGCACTGAGAGGTCTGCATGCTGGATGCTGGTCCACCCCCCTCCTTTTCCCCTGAAAGGCCCTTGAATCGCCCCATGCTAGTGACTGAATGTTTGTGTCCCCCACCCCAAATCCATATGTGTAGTATAGTGGCCCAATGTGATGGTATTTAGAGGTGGCACCTTTGTGGGGTAATTAGGTCAGGCAGGTAGAGTGCTCATAAATTGTATTAGTGCCCTTACAAGAAAAAATGAGAGAGGTGATTTCTCTCTCTGCCATGTGAGGATACAGAGAGAAGATGGCCATTTGCAAACCAGGAATCAAGCCCTCACCACAGACTAGATTTGCCACTTCCTTGATCATGGACTTCCCAGGTTCAGAACTGTGAAGAACTGGGAGAAACAAATGGCTTTTGTTTATTTGTTGTTTATTTGTTTAAGCCACCAGTCTATGGAATTCTGTTATAGCAGACACATGAGTTAGGTAATTATTGCCTTTTGGATAGGGTTGGCCTGCAGTTTTACAACTAGGTTAAGTTATCTACAGACATATTTACCTATTTTCTCTCTCTGTCTCTCTCTCTCTCTCTCTCTGTCTCTCTGTGTGTGATAGATATTGTATAAATTTTCACTTTGAAAATTATACTCCGCTGTCAGTGTTGCTTTGAATATACAGAAATACTGAAAACATTATTTGTGCCAAATAAAATGTGCAGCATATTAGTCCATTTTCATGCTGCTGATAAAGACATACCCAAGACTGGGCAATTTGCAAAAGAAAGAGGTTTAATAGACTTACAGTTCCATGTGGCTGGGGAAGCCTCATAATCATGGCAGTAGGCAAGGAGGAGCAAGTCATGTCTTACATGGATGGCAGCAGGCAAAGAGAGAGAGAGCTTGTGCAGGGAAACTCTGCCTTATAAAGCCATCAGGTCTCATAAGACTTATTCACTGTCACAAGAACAGCATGGGAAAGACCTGCCCCCATGATTCAGTTACCTCCCACCAGGTGTCTGCTACAACATGTGGGAATTTAAGATGAGATTTGGGTGGAGACACAGCCAAACCATATCATGTATGTATAAAGGGGATGCTTTGGTTCATGGATACCAGTACTGTTTATAAGGATTTGTTATTTCTACTTTTCATATTTTACCTGGTGTCAAAATGATAAATCTTTTTCTTAATTCCACCCAGCAATATGAATGTGCTTCCTGAATAATATAAAGCAGTTTCAAAGGACAATATGTAAACATGCTTAGTTATTTTAGAGCCTAAATAGCCAAAGCTATCCTAAGCAAAAAGAACAAAGCCAGAGGTATCACATTACCTGACTTCAAACTATATTTTAAGACTACGGTTACCAAAACAGCACGGTACTGGTACAAAAACAGATGCATAGAGCAATGGAACAGAGCAGAGAACCCAGAAAGAAAGCTGCACATCTATACTCACTTGATCTTTGAACAGAATTGACAAAAATAAGCAATGGAGGCTGGGCATGGTGGCTCACGCCTGTAATCCCAGCACTTTGGGAGACCAAGGCAGATGGATCACCTGAGGTCAGGAGTTTCAGACTAGCCTGACCAACATGGAGAAACCCTGTCTCTACTAAAAATATAAAATTAGCTGGGTGTGATGGTGCATGCCTGTAATTCCAGCTACTCGGGAGGCTGAGGCAGGAGAATCATTTGAACCCAGGAGGCGGAGGTTGTGGTGAGCCGAGATTGTGCCATTGCACTCCAACCTGGGCAAGAAGAGTGAAACTCCATCTCAAAAAATAATAAATAAATAAATAAATAAATAAAATAAGCAATGGAGAAAGGACTCCTTATTCAGTAAATGGTGTTGGGATAACTTGGTAGCCACATGCAGAAGAATGAAACTGGACTCCTACCTCTCACCATATACGAAAATTAACTCAAGATAGATTACAGATTTAAATGTAAAACCCCAAACTATACAAATCCTAGAAGAAAACCTAAGCCATACCATTTCTGGCCATTAGCCTTGGAAAAGAATGTATGACTAAGTCCTCAAAATCAACTGTAACAAAAACAAAAATTGCCAAGTGGGAACTAGTTAAACTAAAGAGCTTCTGCACAGCAAAATAACTATTGACAGAGTAAATAGACAACCTACAGAATGGGAAAAAAAATTTGCAAACTATGCATACAGCAAAGGTCTAATATCCAGAATCTATAAGGAACTTAGTAAGAAATAAACAACCCAACTAAAAAATTAATATGTTAGATGGGCAAAAGACAGGAACAGACACTTTTTTTCCCCTCACTCTGTCTCCCAGGCAGGAGTGCAGTGTTGTGATCTCAGCTCACTGCAACCTCTGCTTCCTGGTTCAAGTGATTCTCCTACCTCAGCCTCCCAGGTAGCTGGAGTTACAGGCATGCAGCACCACACCACACCGCCGCCATATGAGACACGCCTTTCACCTCCCACCATGATTGTGAGGTCTCCCCAGCCATGTGGAACTGTAAGTCCAATAAACCTCTTTCTTTTGTAAATTGCCCAGTCTTGGGTATATCTTTATCAGCAGTGTGAAAATGGACTAATACACTAATCTTCAGAGAAATACAAGTCAATACCATGAGATACCACCTCATATCGATCAGAATGGCAATTATTAAAAACTGAAAAACAAACAAACAAAACACCAGATATTGGTGAGGCTACAGAGCAAAGAGAATTATACACTCTTAGTGGGAATATAAATTACTTCAGCCATTGTGGAAAGCAGTTTGGAGATTTCTCCAGGAACTTAGAACCACCATTTGACCCAGCAATCCCATTCCTGGTTTTATATCCAAAAGAAAATAAATCATTCTATCAAAAGGACACATGTATGTTCATCACAGCACTATTCACAATAGCAAAGATAGAGAATAATCCCAGATGCCTTACAATGGTGGTCTGGATAAATAAAATGTGGTACATACATACCATGGGATATTATACAGCCATGATAAAGAACAAAATTATGTCCTTTGCAGCAACATGGATGTAGCTAGAGGCCATTATTTTAAACGAATTAATGCAGGAACAGAAAACCGAATACTATATATTCTCACTTACAACTGGGAATTAAATATTGGTTATTCATGGACATAAAGATGGGAACAACAGACACTGGGTACTACTAGAGTGGGGAGGGAGGAACGGGGAAAGGATTGAAAAACTACTGGGTTCTATGCTTACTAGCTGGGTGACATGATCAATCATATCCCAAACCTCAGCAACGCACAATATACCCATGTAACAAACTGGCACAGGTATCCCCTGAATCTAAAATAAAAGTTGAAATTATTACTATTATTATTATTATTATTTGAGACAGAGTTTCACACTTGTTGCCCAGGCCGGAGTGCAAGGGTACGATCTCGGCCCACTGCAACCTCCACCTCCCAGGTTCAAGCGATTCTCCTGCCTCAGCCTCCCAAGTAGCTGAGATTACAGGCGCCCACCACCATGCCCAGCTAATTTTGTATTTTTAGTGGAGACGGGGTTTCTCCGTGTTGGTCAGGCTGGTCTCGAACTCTAGACCTCAGGTGATCCGCCTGCCTCAGCCTCCCAAAGCGCTGGGATTACAGGTGTGAGCCACCATGCCTGGCCGAAATTATTATTATTATTATTATTATTGTTATTATTTTCTGAGATGGAATCTTGCTCTGTCACCCAGGCTGGAGTGCAGTGGCGTGATCTCAGCTCACTGCAAGCTCTGCCTCCCAGGTTCATACCATTCTCCTGCCTCAGCCTCTGGAGTAGCTGGGACTATAGGCACCCGCCACCATGCTCGGCTAATTTTTTGTATTTTTAGTAGAGATGGGGTTTTACCATGTTAGCCAAGATGGTCTTGATCTCCTGACCTCGGGATCTGCCTGCCTCGACCTCCCAAAGTGCTGGGATTACCGGCGTGAGCCACCGTGCCCGGCCGGAAATTATTTTTTTAAAGATGACAAGTAATAGCAAGACTGTGGATGATATGGAGCCCTTATGTATTGCTAATTTAACTATGGAATACAGCAACCACATTAAGAAACTAGTAGTTTCTCAGAATGTTATACATATAATTCCTTGCAATTCCACTCCTGGGTATGTACCCACAAAAAGGAAAACACATGGCCACATAAAAGCTTGTGTGAATGTCCACAGCAGTGCTATTCATAATAGCCAAAATGCGAAAAAAACAAAAAACAAATATCTATCAACTCCTGAAAGGAGAAACAATATGTAGTATATTCATACAATGAAATGTTCTAAAATCAAAGTAAATGAAATGATATGTACAGAATGAACCTCGAAATGTAAAGTGAAAGAATTCGGACACAAGAGACCACACATCACATGATTCTCTTTATAAGAAATATCCATAATTGGCAGATTCATGGAGATGGAAAAAGATTAAAGTTTAGCTAAGGCTGAGGGTGAGAATATTCCAAAATTATATTGTGAATAGGGTTGCAAAAATCTATAAATCTATTAAAGTCATTGAATTATGCATCTAAAACATTTTATGATGGTATGCCAATTATATATGAAGAAATTTTTAAAAAAAATATTTAATGGATTTAAAAAATCGTATCTTGTATACCAATGATGTCTAAGGTTAAATTCATTATAATTATTTTAATTTCTAATGCTAAGGACAATTTTTTCTTAATAGTATTGATTCATATCTTAAGGTCTGTTGTGTCCTATCCCTGTGTCATATGAGGACATTAAGAAAAAGACTGAAAAACCACAGTTTCATTTTACTGATATCAAAAAGGACTTGTTGATAAAAGGAATCATAGAGCTCCTATTTTTTTCAAAATTATTCTTGATATTTTATTTCGTTTAGTTGAAAATAATCTTGAAGTTCCCAAAACTTCACTGATTATTAGAGAAAAATATTCCTTTTTTAAGAACAAGGAAATTCTATTCTTATTGTCCTAAGAGTTTTCTCATAAATAGCTATTATTTTAACAGAAAAATATGGAATTTTGAGACCTTATTACTTGACTTTTCTCATTTAATATCTTTTTTTTTTTTTTTTTTTGAGACAGTCTTGCTCTGTCACCAAGACTGGAGTGCTGTGGCACAGTTTTGGCTCACTGCAACCTCCACCTCCTGGGCTCAAGCAATTCTCCTGCCTCAGCCTCCCAAGTAGCTGGAATTACAGGCACTTGGCAGCTGATTTTTGTATTTTTAGTAGAGATAGGGTTTCGCCATGTTGGCCAGGCTTGTCTTCAACTCCTGACCTCAAGTGATCCACCCGTCTTTGTCTCCCAAACTGCTGGGATTACAAGCTTGAGCCACCTTGCCTGACATAATATCTTAATGTGATTATTGACACTATTGATTTTCAAATATTTAAATTACCTTTAATAACTAGAATGAATCCTTCTTTGCATTTTTTAATCTTTTGTAGATTTGCATCAAAGATTATGAGCAACATGGATCTGTAATGTTCTTTCTTAAAAAGGTAATAGAATTTATTGTGAAACTCTCTGGTCCTAGAGTTTTTGTTTTAAGAAAATTGTTAATTGTAATTAATTTCCTTTAATAGCTAGAGGGCTATTCATTTTTACCATTTACTTTTGTTTTACTTTTGATAATTTGTGGGTTTTCTAGAAAGTTAACCATTTCAAGTACATTTCCATATTAATGACCTAAGTTGTATATATCTTTCTACGATCTCATTAAAGTCTGTATGCATATTAAGGATGTCATCACTTTTTATTCTTCATATTGGTTAGTTGAGTAATCATCATTTTTCTTCAGTGAACCTCACCAGAGGTTTATCAGTTTTACTAACTGTTTTCAAAAATTGATATATAATAGTTGTAAATATTTTGGGAGTACATGTGGTATTTTAATACCTGTATACGAATCCTTTTAAAGAACCAAACTCTCACTATTCTTCTTGTTATATGTTTGGACTTTAAAAATTAATTTCTGTTATTTTTCTTATTTCCTTCATATATTTTATTTTGTTTAAATGTCTTATCTTTTTTGTAAATTTCTGAATTGAATAATTATGTCAGAGGAAATCAGAATTTATCATTTTGTAATGTATTACATATTAGAAACATGTATTATATATCCTGTTATAAAATTTGCCCTAAAAAGCATTGCTTTTCAACTAGCACACAAAATTTTATATATAGCACCTTCATTATTAGTCAAATTAGAATATTTTCTGAATTATTTTGTATTTGTTCTTAGACATGTGGGTCATTTAGAAATATAGTTATTAATATCCAAATAAAGAATCTATTTTCTATTTATATTTTGTGATTTCTGGTTCCATTTCAATCTAGAGTCAGAATATACTCTGAATTATTTCGATCTTTGGAATATGTGGGGACATGCTTTAAGTTCAATATGTCATAACTTTTTATATATTGCACACTCTAAAAAGAGGTGTAAATACTCCTACAACCACTTAGTTTTAAGATCGTAAAAGATATTGCTTGTAAACATTTTACTGATTTATCTATATTGTACTCAAATTTTCAACTAATCTTCTGGATACTTTTCTACAGATGTCAAGAATTAAACTACATTTATACGTTAATGTGGTTAACAGAATTTTGTCATATTGCTATGACAAAGTAGAGTGTTTTTACATACATCAATTATGTCAGTAGTATTAATAAGTGAATAAATATCTTTACATTACTGTGGTCTTTTCCCTTTGTTATTCAATCAATTACCTATCCACCCTCTCGTGGTCATATATATTAATGGACTTTCTAATCTTTTATGTAGGACATGAACTTCATTGTCTGGTCATGCAGGTATGATTGTACGACTGTACGACTGTACAATTTTCTTTACTGACTGCCTGAACATTTTGGAGGAGGAAAGGAACATGTAAAATTATGAGTATTTTTTTTAATGAAAATTGCTCATTCTCCAAGCACCAAATTCCAGTTAATTCTGTCCTTTTTCCCAGTGGCCTCAGCATGCAGATCTAAGTGTACGAATGGCACATGGTTTATGAGGATGCACCTCACTGGACCTTTTCCTGAAGAGGAAGGAGAAAATAGGACTCCATCATTTTCATTTGACATTCTTCCCATGCCCTGTCTTCATTTTGACATTTTTCCCCTTTTTGGAAATGGGCCTTTTTCCTTTCTTGCGAATGCATTTAAGAATTTAAGAATGCATTAAATTTTGCCTCTAAGCATGACTTTAAGTGCAACCTAAGTCTTTTAACATGTTATACACTCATTACTGTTCAGTTGAAAATATTTTCCAGTTTTCTTTGTGATTGCTTCTACCACCCACAGGTTATTTAGGTTACTTAAGGCCATCTTTTTTTTTCCCCTGAGCACTCACCACATTAACTATTTCCTGTCTTTTAAGCATTTACTTCATGTATAGTAACCAGTTTCTATCCTTGTTCCGGATAAAAATACTAGCTTGAGATAAGTTATTTCATCTGACTACAAATTGGACATTAAGCATGTTTTGTATGTATAAAATACAGCAGTATGACAAAATTCTGTTAACCACCTTAAAGTTGAAATGTAGTTGAATTTTTGACATCTGTAGACAGAAGATTTCTTGAAAATTTCAGTGTTTGATTACAATATAGAAAAATCAGTATAAGCAGTATCTTTTATGATCTTTAAGTGGTTGTAGGAGTACTTACACCTCTTTTTCATATTCATATTGAAATTTAAAGCCATTTTAAAGTAACTTTTTGTTATCCAGTTATTCACTCAGGGTGATCAGATGTCTATTCAAAACAGCCAACAATGAGCTAAAGGAGTGCTGTTCCAGCCAGAATCCTACTGCTACCACAAGTGATGAAAGCACAAGAAATCCTCCACAAAGGTATTCTACAACTAAACTTCTGAACTAAGGGTTGGAGAAAACTGGCTCTTTAAATTTCAAAATAAAAATCAGTTTGTCTATCAATATAAGGCAATAAATACTCATTCACCACCTCTCATGTGCCAGTAATTTCTAGGGCCCCTATAGAAATCTGACTGCTGTGCACATAGAGGGACTGACACAAAGACTTCAGTCACAGGATTCTTTGGGTGGTTCTAAAATAGAAGAGACACTTACAGGTATCTTAAAGATCAGGCATCGTTCCAATCACTTTATAAGAATTAATGAATTATTATAAATTAATTAATACAGCAAACCTGTGAACTAGTCGGTGTAATTCTTGCTGTTATTATTCCCGTTGTCAGATGGGATAAAAGAAGGTAACTAATTTGTGACAGGGGAAAGTCTCAGATAGTGACCAGTGGATTCAGGATTTAAACCCACAATGCCCGATTCTGGACACTCGCGTTTAATTTCTGCGGCCCTTGCAGCTGCCGGCGCAGGCGCTGCACCCAGCGCTGCTCCGCGCGCCCAGCCCCGCTGGGTCCTGGACCCCGCCGGCAGCCGGCAGTGCCTAAAGGTTAGATCTGAAGGATAGGAGAGTGCTGAGAAGGATAATGCTTTTAGGCAATTAATTGTGTGTTCTTTAAATACGGACATGTTAACCACACGGGGCTAGGCAGCGCATGCCTGAGCTGTTTGGAGTAAAAAACTGCAGGACTTTGCAGCTTCTCTCCATCCTGCAGTTCACTTCTGAACTTGCTCCCTCCTCTTAGGATATTCTTAGACTGCCCGGACTTCACCTCAGCTCTGCCATCGCCCAGCCTTGCACTCATTCCATTCGGACCCCCAAATGCTGACCGGCCAGGGGATCCCATGCTACCCTGCAGACTGGTGTGTGCACAAGGAAACCAGGTCCCAGCCTCTGAGGCTGTCAGTGTTTTGTTAGAAAAGAAGGCACAGCTGAGCCAAATAACTAGACAAATGACTAAATGTCTACTTTCTGAGAACTGTAAAAACAATATTGATGCTCAAAAAATATACATATGTATATATCATGGCAGGAATATAGACAATGGCAGTCAGAGGAAATGATCTCTGAAGACATTTGGATAGGATGGGAACTAGTTTATTTTTCTCAAGATGCACTGCCCAGTTATTTCCAGTTATTCAATTTTTTATGGTATTTAAAATCATGGGATACAATATTGGCTTATAACAGTTTATATGAAATATTGTCACGACAAAACTAAAAGATAAAGTCACTATCAGACTATAAGACATGAACACCAGTGGCAGCCACACAGGTGGGCATTTGGAAGCAAACACTGCCTGGCACCAGCTGCATAGCCTTGGGCAGGTGAGGAAACATATGCTTCTCAGTTCCCTTGTGTTAGGAGATGAGATGGTCAAATATTGTATAGAACTTCACTCCAATGCAGTAACTACTAGCCTCATGTGGCTATTTAAATTTATAATTTAAAAAATGGACATTCATTTCCTCCGTCACTCTAGCCTCATTTCAAGTGCCCAAGAACCCCATGGGGCTAGCTTTCATACTGTACAGCATGCATATATATAAATTCTTCACAGAAAGTTCCTCTGGACAGTGCTGGTGCATCAAGAGAGGGTCAAATATGATTTAGATACAGTGCTGGGAAAATATCACAATTAAGCAAATAATAGATGCAGTGCTAGGAAAATATCACAATTAAGCCAGTAATAATTTTATATTCAGGATTCTTATGTTTGTGAATTTGTAGAGAGCTTGGCGTAGAAGCCTGAGAGCTGTGCTGCAAGTCTTTTTCTTGTAAAAATCACTGGGGCTGACAAACAAATCCTGATAAAGAGAAAGTTTGTTTCAGAAAGTTCAAGTGAGGCAGACTTTGGGACAGCTTGCATGCAAAATATAAAACTTGGTAACTATGAAAAGGAGAAAGATAAATCCAACATTTCCTACATTCACGATGAATAATCAGCACCATTTTCAAATAATTATCAAATTAGGAAAAGACTACCTTTTAAAAACATTGAGCCTTCTACTGACCGACTATAAAGACTATATATAAAGTATCCCACAATTTATTTAGGTCTTCTGAAGCTAAAATGTTTTTAATTTTATTGTATAACCTTAATTAGTTTAATTCCTAGGTTAGCTAACTTTTAATGTTGTTATGAATGTTATTAATTTTAAATGTTTACTTCAAATGTTATTGATGATAGAGAAATAAAAATGATTTTCATATATTGGACTCCTGTCCAGTGTCCTTGCTAAATGTACCTATTAAATCTAATAGCTTATCTGTAAATTATTCTCAATTTTCTGTTGCATTCCATCAATAATTTCTTTCCAGTTATAACATCTTTTATTTCTTTGCTATTACACTAGCTAGGACTTGCAATAATAAATACAGATTTTTTTTGCCTTTAGATTTATTTCAGAGAGAAAGTTTTAGAGACCTTTATTTAGATAATTATCTAAATTACAGATGTAATTTAACAGATCCATATTCACATGTATTTCTGCTCCTGTCATTTTTACTAATAGATGTTTCCACCAATATGACTATTTCATGTAACTTTTCAAGTTTTATCTCCTAACTTTGTTCCTGATATTCTCTAATGATTTTTAATGTCTGTTATTAATGTAGTGATAACATATTTGAAATTACTGATCTTGGGTATTAGAGCCTTCTTCATTTTTCCTTGATAAATTTCACCAGAAATTATCTGGCTTCAATAAGCAGTTTAAGGGATTTTACTTAATTTATTTCCCTTATTTAATATTTGTTTTTCTTCATTGCTTTTCTTGCCCTTATTATTTGCTTCATTCTGCTTTCATTGCTTTTACCTACTTAATTATAATTTAATTTGTTGACTTGGGTGATTATAAATATTCAGATATGTTTCCACTTTACAGATTTAGGCAACAAAATTTCCTCAAAGAAACTTATAGAAAAAAAATCCAATAATATATAAAATGATATATCATGACAGAAGGGCTTCTTATTAGAAACAAATTGGTTAGTTAAATATTTGAAACTCATAGCTGCAAATAATCACATTAAGAGAATAAAGGGAAAAACAAAATTGTCTCAAAAAATGTATAAAACTACATAACAGAATTCAGTATGCAGTCATGATACATACTCTCAGCAAAGTAGGAATACAAAAAAATGATTAATCTACTACATTTATCTGCAAAAATGACAAAACGCTCATACATGGAAATTAAAGACCATTCCTTTGTGGATAATATGGCACAGGATATGTTATGAAAGGCTGTCCTGCCACAACACAGCACAGATGGGGTTGAAAGAAAGGAAGGGAAACAAAGGGCTGCCATGAATTAAACCAGTAGAGAAAATAAAAGCCTGGGTCATGCAGGGGACAGTGTCTTATTAGGCCAGCATCAGGACTGGTTGAAGTCTGGCGCTTCTAACACAGTGGGAAAATGAGCATAGTAATCACAATAAAGAAAGACATCTGAAAGGTGCTAACTTAGCCTCGGATCAGAAGTGCTCTCTGCTAATGCCTTGCTGGTGAAAAGCGTATCCAGTGTAAGCCCTCAGAAATCCCAGAAAACAAAGACCAAAAGAAACGGCGCCTTGTCAACCGAACGAATTGAAAAAAGCTTCCTGCCGCGATCGGGCATTAAAAGAAAAAAACCACAGACATAAGATGGAGTGAATAAAAAAAGAATTTATATAATTCATGGATGAAATGTTTCAGAATCTATAGGATTATATTTTTTTTAAGGCAGACAGATACGAAAATACAACGAAGCGTGCATGACCGAAACCAGAAGAGATTAAAGTAAAACCTCATTCTCCTGAGGAAATCGTGTGAGAAGGGACTTAGGGACTGCCGGAACACAGCGAAGCAGAGGCAGAAGGCAGACAAAAGGGGCTGGGTTGGTCCCCGCCTGTGTGAACGAAAAAATATGTCAGATTGGAAAATTGCGGTAAAAACCAGGCAGAGCACGTACGTTGCCCCCACAGGAAGTGTCCGCCATGCTGCCTGTGCCCGGAAGTAGGTAGGAACACACAGTCAGAGGGACCCAAAAGCAGGGGGGAAGGAAAAAGAGATGCACACTTCCCCCAGAGAAGCCTCCGAGCGCGGCCGCCATTCCGGGCCTCAAGCCCATAAAGAAAAAATACCGGAGAGGTTCTGGCACCATTTCGGGGTGCCAAAGCAGCCATGGAAGAGCCTGCAGCTCCCTCAGAAGCCCACGAGGCAGCCGGGGCCCAGGCAGGTGCTGAGGCAGCAAGGGAGGGTGTGTCTGGGCCGGACCTTCCCGTCTGTGAGCCCTCCGGGGAATCTGCTGCTCCAGATTCAGCCCTGCCACATGCGGCAAGGGGCTGGGCCCCCTTCCCTGTAGCTCCAGTCCCTGCCCACCTCCGCAGAGGAGGCCTGAGGCCTGCCCCAGCCTCAGGAGGAGGAGCCTGGCCCAGTCCGTTGCCAAGCCGAAGCAGCGGCATTTGGACAAAGCAGATCATCTGCAGGTATTATATACATGGGCAGTGCAAGGAGGGGGAGAACTGTCGCTATTCGCACGACCTTTCTGGTCGGAAGATGGCCACTGAGGGTGGCGTTTCGCCGCCTGGGGCCTCTGCAGGTGGAGGCCCTAGCACGGCTGCGCACATCGAGCCCCCGACTCAGGAAGTGGCGGAAGCCCCCCCGGCTGCATCCTCCCTTTCCTTGCCTGTGATTGGCTCGGCTGCTGAAAGGGGTTTCTTTGAAGCCGAGAGAGACAATGCAGACCGTGGAGCTGCTGGAGGAGCAGGTGTAGAAAGCTGGGCGGATGCCATTGAGTTTGTTCCAGGGCAGCCCTACCGGGGCCGCTGGGTTGCATCTGCCCCTGAGGCTCCTCTACAGAGCTCAGAGACTGAGAGGAAGCAGATGGCTGTGGGCAGTGGGTTGCGGTTTTGCTATTATGCTTCCAGGGGAGTTTGCTTTCGTGGGGAGAGCTGTATGTACCTCCATGGAGACATATGCGACATGTGTGGGCTGCAGACCTTGCACCCCATGGATGCTGCCCAGAGGGAAGAACATATGAGGGCCTGCATTGAAGCACACGAGAAAGATATGGAACTCTCGTTTGCTGTGCAGCGTGGTATGGACAAGGTGTGTGGCATCTGCATGGAGGTTGTCTATGAGAAGGCCAACCCCAATGACCGCCGCTTTGGCATTCTTTCCAATTGCAACCATTCCTTCTGTATTAGGTGTATCCGCAGGTGGAGAAGTGCCAGACAGTTTGAGAACAGGATCGTCAAGTCTTGCCCACAGTGCAGGGTCACCTCTGAATTGGTCATTCCCAGTGAGTTCTGGGTGGAGGAGGAGGAAGAGAAGCAGAAACTTATTCAGCAATACAAGGAGGCAATGAGCAACAAGGCCTGCAGGTATTTTGCGGAAGGCAGGGGTAACTGCCCATTTGGAGACACATGCTTTTACAAGCATGAATACCCTGAGGGCTGGGGAGATGAGCCTCCTGGGCCAGGTGGTGGGTCATTCAGCGCATACTGGCATCAACTTGTGGAGCCTGTGCGAATGGGAGAGGGCAACATGCTCTATAAAAGCATTAAGAAGGAGCTTGTCGTGCTTCGGCTGGCCAGTCTGTTGTTTAAGCGGTTTCTTTCACTGAGAGATGAGTTACCCTTCTCTGAGGACCAGTGGGACTTGCTTCATTATGAGCTGGAAGAATATTTCAATTTGATTCTGTAGCATCGTGCTGTGGCATGTGGTCTAGTCTGCTGAGGTTCTGTCGTCTGCTATTGCCTGTTTTCCCTGTGTTGACACTCTTACTGCTTTCAGGGGCTGTTGAGGCAGTGCTTCTGTTTTCTTGTCTATTCTGCATATCTTTCCCCCTAGGATTATGGTGATTATCTGTGTTAAAAAATAAGTCCTTAAAGTTACTGTTTTGGTGAAATTAATATTAATGTCAGCTTATGGCTTTTTTTTGTCATCTCTGTTGTCAACAGGATTAACTCAGTTCTAGTGTAGTGTTTACTGAATTTCCACACTTATTTTGAAGACCCTCAAGAGTAAATGTGGCAGAGTGAAAGGAGAAGTTTTAATTGAACTAGTAGCTTTGTGCTATAATAGCCTTAACAAATGGACCCTTGCAGGGCTTTGCAGCTGCTCATCTGTTTGTTTACAGTTTGTTCTTTCCCTCCTTCCCCTTCAAGTGCACTTGTTAAACTGTGATGAACTTGTGATTTTGTGTTTTACTTGACCAAAACCAAGTGTATATGTTTACATGTTTTTATCCTGTTTAGCTTGACATGAAATAATTTATATTTGGAAATATATATTTAAGAATTATATATATAAAAATATATATGTATAAGAGTTATGTATTTGAAAAAAATATATAAAAGAATATACATCACAATATAATATTTATGTTTATGTAATAAAGTAAATACAGAGCTGAAAGCTGAAGGTCAAAGCCTAACAGGATTGGCTGTTGTGTGGATGTGAGTTGTGTGAATAATCTTTCTGTCCCTCGCACAGAAGCCAGTAATTAGCATCTAATGAAAAGGACTGTTCAAGTGGGTCTGGCCAAATGTGACAGATGCAGATCTTAGAGGACTTACAAAGCACTATATTGGTAATTCTTACAATGGCATTAATAGCTTACTCTATAAATACAGAAATGGTTTTCCTATGCAGTTTAGCCACCTTCTCATTAATTCTTTGTAACAGCAAATCCTAGGCTCAGAGGCACAGTGCTTTGTATTTGATATACAAAGTCTCTAGACTTTTCCAACAAGGGGCTTTTGACAAAAGAGTTCAACATAAAAGTAACAAGATTATAAAAGGGAAAATAGAACAAAAATATTAAAACCAATGAGAATAAAAGAATGGAAAGATAAAATAATAAAATATAGAAAGCACTAAAAACTAAGTGTAAGAGTAATATAGAAAATTTACATACAACTTAATTAGATTAAATGAAAGCAGTTTAAAGACTGAAAGTCAAAGGCTATAAGACTTCATTACAATCAGAATGAAACATCCTGTTTAAAATACACACAACATGAAAATACAGAAACACTCAAAGTAGTAGGATGGGAAAAAGCCGAACAGGTGCTGTGACTCTCTTGATTGTAGACAAAGTTTATAGTAAGGATAAACACTTTGCTGGAGATAAAAAGGAATGGTACATAAACATTAAATTGTAATTCACAGGAATATATAACTTCAAATTTTGTATACATTTAATAACATTGTATCAGATACACAACTGATGAAAATCCTAAATCCAGACTCTTAGTGGACAATTTTAATACATCTTTTTAGTAACCAAACAAGCAAAGAAAAAATGAATGTGAAAGAGAATGATGCCATTTTAATGATTTACCTGTACAACGTATGATCTGCATCAACTGCAAATGCACTTATCTTGGCTGAAGTAGCTGAAAAATATGCTGGGAGTCTGAATCTTGAGTCCCAGGTTATTCACACTGTCCTGACTGTCCAACAAAGATGGCACATTTACAGAGTTTATACCATGTACTTTGCATGCAAAAGGATGAATTTGTCAGAACTACCTAATGTGGTACTTGCTATAGTTTTTCTCATTATCATGATGAGGTAAATAATAGAGAATTTAAAGGTTTTGCCCGTAGAGTTTACAACCCATAGCTGTGAATTAGTGGAACAAAGACTGGAACTCAAGCAGTATTTGTCCAGAGCACTCGCACTTACCATGTTCACTAGGAGCAGGTCGACCAGCTGAATGTAGCTGCTGGAGATGCAAGTACAGCCTTTAAATATGGATGATTCAGCCAAGTGGAGCAAAGATGGACTTGAATAAGCTCCCACAGAATGTAGGAGCCATGGGGCTTTTATCTATAGGCTGCCAGCTCAGTGATTTTAGTCCACTGCTTCAGAGTGTGCCTCAGCCTCCTATACTTTTACATTGCCTCTTCCTTCTTACATGACTCCTGGTTCTCCTATTAAGTACCTCAGCCTATTTGCCTGGACCTTTTGCCATATTCCTTTCCTCTTGATTCCTCTTAGCCAAAGAATTCACCAATCAGGACACCCTTGATGCCTGACTATCACTGGCATGCAAGGTGAGTGACAGATTCCAAATAAATTCCAAACATCTGAGGTCCCTGCCCTGCAGTCGTGCAGGAGAAAGAGAGATTAGATGAACTAAACAACCAAAGAATGAGACCAGATGGTGCACTCTCAAAGACTGTGCCAACACCAAAGTCTCAGAAAATAGTGGCAAAGCTTTCAGAGAGGGGTTTTTAAGCTGAGCCCAGAAAGCTGTGGAAAGTTTCTCCAAATGTACACTTCCCTGCATTGTGAAATATTGTGTTTTTATTCAAATAGTATCTTGAACCAGATAATCATAAAGTTCAGTATTTATAGTAGGACAATCGTCAGTAGAAAATAAAGTGGCTTGAGAGACCAAGGATAGTTAGAATCCTGACTCTGCTTCTTACCAGCCATTCAGTTTCACAGTCTAAGCAAGTTACTTAAATTTTCTGTACTTCAGTTTCTTCATATGAGAAATGGGTACAGTTCCACCTACTTTTGCAGGATTGTTGTGAGGATCAAATGTAGTCTGGACAAAAAGCTTGAAACATAGGTTTTTTTTTTTTTTTAGTGATTATATATAGATGTGAGATTTGTGCATATTTTTGGACATGAAAAGGTGATTGCACAGAAATTAATCACCAAGATTTTCTTTTTGAGAATCTCTGGAACTTGTATTAATGTAATGTTATCATTTAATGATTATTTTGGTAAGCAAGGGGTATATTACCCTCACATTCATAATTTCAAAAAGATGAAGTATTTTTTCAGCAAAAATTATTCATTTGAAACTAAATATGTGCTATTCAGTTACTTAAAATATAACAAAAGAAATACATATTTTTGGCAGAGTTCTAGGTGAGGAAAATAACAAAGGGACATTTTTAGAATATATGGGATTCCTTGTTCCCTCATCAGTTCATTCAGAAAAATGTCAAATAACAGAAGTATTACTGCCACCAGGTCTGGGTGAAATGTTACCAAGGGCTTTCCCACGATCTGACCACTCCCCTGCTGCAGTCAGGAACAAAGAAGCCTTTGCCACACAAAGGTCTGCTCTGTGAGTGATTCAGAGTGTGTGCTGGCCCTCGCCCCTATGAGGACTCAAGGACTCAGCCCTGGGGTCCACAAAAATGGTATCATTTCAGCTACAACTTAAAAAGCCTAAAACAAGTCAGGTTTGCTTTGCTTAGGTTTCATGTGTCTCGATTTGATGGATATCCACACATGCAAATATACTAAGAGAAATTTACCTAGTAATTCCTCCCCTTTGAAGATATGGAAATCACTTTGTCTCATGGCTCACATGTCACTAAATCAATTCACTGAATTTCACTGACAGGGAAACATTTTCAGTCTGTGGTCTATGTCCATATGCTCTTCCATTTTACAGTTTTCCAAATGTCATAGAGGCATGGTTTCTGTTGCCACAACTAATACTAAACTACAACTTCAGTGCGGGATAGAGTTAGGGTAGGGCTGGGAACAGGGATGTGTGGGAAATAAGCCAGTACTAGTGCAAAGAAGTAAACTAATTCATGTCAATTTTTGCCTTGAAAATATATATCACATTTTCCAATATTAATGGAACAATAACAAAAATAATTGTGAAATAGAGTACAGTGAAACTGTCAATTAGATCTAGATATAAAAGTAGTACAGGCAACATTTTCTGAGGTCAATATAAGAAAATAAGCTACTACCGGCTGGGCACAGTGGCTCACACTTGTAATCCCAGCACTTTGGGAGGCCGAGGCGGGCGGATCACGAGGTCAGGAGATCGAGACCGTCCTGGCTAACACAGTGAAACCCTGTCTCTACTAAAAATAAAAAAAAAAAAAAAAAAAAAAAAAATTAGCCAGAGTTGGTGGCAGGTGCCTGTAGTCCCAGCTATTCAGGAGGCTGAAGCAGGAGAATGGCGTGAACCCGGGAGGTAGAGCTTGCAGTGAGCCGAGATCGCGCCACTGCACTCCAGCCTGGGCAACAGAGCAAGACTCAGTCTCAAACAAAAAACAAAGAAAAGAAAATAAGCTACTACCACTTTTAATTGTCTCTCATAAATAATTTGATGTAGGAGTGAATTCAAAATCATTTAGAAGAATATAATATGACAATGACAAATTATACACACCGTAATATACAGGATACTTTTGGATCTGTACTCAGAGTATAACTCCTAATTTTAAATACTAATGTATATTGTCTTAAAAACAAAGAGCCTAATTAACTAGGTATTCAAACCTAAATTTTAAAAAGACCACAACATGAACACATGCACACATATACACAAACACATACAAACACAACTAAAGTAAGCAGGAGGAATTAGGAAATATTAAACTAAAAATTTGTTGAACAGAGAATGAAAATGTAAAGGCTGATTTTTTTTTTGTAAAAATAATTAGTAAACAGATAAACCACTAACTTAAAAAATAAAGGATAAAGTGCAATTAAAATAGGACATGTTAATCAGAGGTAATTAGAGCTAAAAAGACACTAAAGAAATGGGAAATAAATCCTTGTTATACCTGAGGGAAATGTACTTGAAAATATGAAACAAAATTTAACAGTTTCAACATAAATATAAATTTCCAAACATCAATCCAGAAGACAAATCTAAACGAACCTATTACTAACAACAACAAAAAAAGAAGTTGTCTAAAATTCACTTACTCCCTACTCCACACAGAAAGAAACAGAAGACATTATCCCCTGAAATTTACTTAAACATTTAATTAAATATATTGCAATGCTGTATAAACCATTTCTTAGTCCATTTGAGCTACTGTTAAAAAATATCATAAACTAGGTGGCTTATAAGCAACATAAATTTATTTCTCACAGTTCTGGAGGCTGAGAGGTTTAAGAGCATGGCACCGGCAGCTTGGTTCATAGATGACCATCTTCTTAGTGTCCTCACATAGTGGAAGGCACTACCAACCTCGTTGGGACCCCTTTAATTGTGCTGTTTTAATGTACAATAAAATGTATTAAAAACTAAATAATTACATAAATATATTTGTTTTCTTTTTTATGGGTAGTTTGTTTTTCAGTGGAGAAGTGCTTGAAGCAATGTCATATGATAACGTTATAGTGAAAGTTTTATGCAAGTTCATCAAGAATACAATACAAACGATGAGGGAATCACAGTTGTGGGGGCTTAGACACAAAGCTGTATATACCATTTGAGCTGGCAAATTGGAACCTCTTTTATTAAGGGCACTAATTCCACATATGAGGCCTCCACCGTCATGACTCCAACACCTTCCAAAGGTCCCATCTCCTAATACCATTACCTTAGAGATTAGATTTCACCGTAGAAATTTTGGAGATACACAGACATTCAGTATACAGAACTGCTATGGTATGGATATGGTTTATTTAGCCCGCCAAGTCTCCTGTTGAAATTTGATCCACAGTGTTGGAGGTGGGGCCGAGTAGGAGGTGTTTGAGTAATGGGAGCAGATCCTTCATGAATGGCTTGCTGCTCTCCTCACGAAAGTGAGTGAATTTTCACTCTGAATTCCCATTAGAACTGGTTGTTGAAAAGAGCCTAGGCTGGGCACAGTGGCTCATGCCTGTAATCCTAACACTTTGGGAGACAGAGGCATAAGGAATGCTTGAGGCCAGGAGTTTGGACCAGCCTAGACAACATAGTGAGACCCCATCTCTATAAAAAAAATAGAAACAATTAACCAGACATGGTGGTACATGCCTGTAGTCCCAGCTAATCAGGATGTTGAGGAGGGAGGACTGATTGAGCCCAGGAGGTCGTGGCTGCAGCGAGCTATGATTGTACCACTGCACTCCGGTCTGGGCTGCAGAGTGAGACCCTGTCTCTAAAAAAATAGGAAAAGAACCTGGCAACTCCTTTGCCTTCTCTTTCATGATGTGATGTCTTCTCCTCTTCCTCTTTCATCATGAGTGAAAACTTGCTGAGGCCCTCACCAGAAG
The DNA here is from genome assembly GCF_000001405.40 of Homo sapiens. Lineage (NCBI taxonomy): Eukaryota > Metazoa > Chordata > Mammalia > Primates > Hominidae > Homo > Homo sapiens. Next base: position 4,521,064 of record NW_021160017.1, read on the forward strand.
CAGATATTGGTGCCACGCTTTTTTTTTTGTTTGTTTTTTGAGATGGATTTTTGCTCTTGTTGTCCAGGCTGGAGGGCAATGGTACACTCTTGGCTCACTGCAACCTCTGCCTCAGGGGTTCATGCAATTCTCCTGCCTTAGCCTCCCGAGTAGCTGGGATTACAGGTGCCCGCCACCACGCCCAGCTAATTTTTGTATTTTTAGTAGAGACGGGGTTTCACCATGTTGGTCAGGCTGGTCTCGAATTCCTGACCTCAGGTGATCCACCCGACTGGGCCTCCAAAAGCGCTGAGATTACAGGCATGAGCCACCACACCCAGCTGGTGCCATGATTTTTTTACAGACTCCGGAACCATAAGCCAAATAAGCTTCTTTTAAAAATTATATTCAGTTTCATATATTCCTTTATAGAAACAAAAATGGACTAAGACAGAAAATTGGTACTGAGGAGTGGAACGTTGCTATAAAAATACCTAAACATTTGGAAGCAGCTTTGGAACTGGGTAATGAGCAGAGGCTGGAAGAGTCTAGAGGGCTCAGAAGAAGATAGGAAGGGAAAGCTTGTAACTTCCTAGAGACTGGTTGTGACCAAAATGCTGATAGAAATACAGATAATAAAGGACATGCTGAGGAGGTCTCAGATGGAAATGAGGAACTTACTGGGAACTGAAGCAAAGTTATACCCTAGCAAATAATTTGGCTGCATTGTGTATACACTAGCACTTTGTGGAAAGCTGAACTTAAGAGTGACGGCCTAAAGTATCTGGCAGAAGAAATTTCTAAGCAGCAAAGCATTCAAGAAGTGGTGTGGCTGCATCCAACAATCAACAGATTGGGAGCAAAGGAAGGACTTAAAGTTGGAACTTTTGGTTAAAAGGGATACAGAGCATAAAAATTTGGAAAACTCAAGCCTGTCCATGCAAAAGAGAAGGAAAGAGCATTTTTCAGGAGAGGAAATCTGAGGGGGGGCGCAGCTGAACAACTGCTTGCTAGAAAGATTAGCACAGGTAAAAAGAGAGCCAGTTGGTAATAGAACAGTGAAAAAAGTCCAAAGGCATTTCAGAATCTGAGTTTACTCCTCCCATTACAGGTCCACAGGCCTAGGAGGACAGATGACTTCTGGGCCAGGCCCAGGGTGCTGCTGCCCTGTGCAATCTTGGGAAGCTGCTTCCCACATCCTGGCTGCTCGGACCACAGCTAAAGCTCAAAGGGCTCAAGCTACTGTTTAGACCACTGCTTCAGAGGGTGCAAAGTGTAATGTTTGGGGCTTCCATGTGGTGCTAAGACTGCAGGCACACAGTGTGAGATTGGCTGAGCTCTTTGTGGGTTGGAGCCCCCACGTAGTGTCTCCACCAGGCACCACCTAGTGGAGCTGAGGGAGTAAGGTTGCCATCCTCCAGACCCCAGAATTCTAGAGTCACTAGCAGCATGCACTCTCAGCATGGAAAAGCTGCAAGCATTGGATTCCAGTACATGATAAGAGCCACATGGGCTTCACACATCAAAGCTACTGGGACAGGGCTGCCCAAGGCCTTGGGAGCCCACACTTCATACTGTTGTGCCCAGGATGTGGGACATGGAGTCAAAGGAGAACATTTTGGGGCTTTAAGTTTTTATATCTGCCCTTCTGAGTTCTAGACTTAATGTGGGGAGTATTACCTCTTTCTTTAGGCTGATTTCTCCCTTTTGGAATGGGAATGTCTAACCAATGCCTGTATCACGTTTGTATCTTGGAAGTAAATATCTTGTTTTTTATTTTACAGGTTCACAGCTGTAAAGAACTTGCCTGGAGTCTCAGATGAGACTTTGGACTTTGGACTTTTGAGTTGATGCTGGACCAAGTTAAGACTTTGTTGATAGGATGATTTTATCTGGCAATGTGAGAAGAACCTGAGTTTTAGGGGGTCGGGGCAGAATGCCATGGTTTGGATATGGTATCTTTGGCCCCACCGAGTCTCATATTGTAATTTGATAACCAGTGTTGGAGGTGGGGCTTGGTGGGAGGTGTTGGGAATATTGGGGTGCATCCCTCATGAATGGCTTGGTGCCATTCTTGCAGAGATGAGTGAGTTCTTACTCTTGAGTTCTCTAGAGAACTGGTTGTTAAAAGACCTTGGCATTTCCTCCTCTTCTCTCTGGGTTTCTCTCTTGCCATGTGATGCCTACTCCCCTTCCCTTTCTGGCATGGGTGGAAGTTGCCTGAAGTTCTCACCAGAAGCAGGTGTTGGTGCCATGCTTCTTGTACAGTCTCCAGAACCATAAGCCAAAGAAACCTGTATTTTAAATAAATTACCCATCCTCAGGCATTTCTTTATAGCAACACAAACAGACTGAGAAGCACTATTTTATAAAATAAAGGTGCACCTATATAACTTATGAATGGTATATAACATGGTATCAAAATATTGCCAGTTCTAGTTCATTTTGTGCTGCTGTAACAGAATACACATGCTCCTTGACTTATGATGGGGCTGTGTCCCAATAAACTCATCATAAGTAGAAAATATCATAGTTGAAAATGCATTTAATGTCCCTATAAACCCATTATAAAGACAAAAAAATCATAAGTCAAACCATTGTTAAGTCCAGATGCTCATTGATTTACATTGGGGTTATGTCCTGATACACCCATCGTAAAGTTGAGTAATCATAAGTTGAACCATCATAAACTGGGGCCCCTCTGTGCCTGAGACTGGGTAGTTTACAGTGAACAGAAGTTTATTGGCTTATTGTTATGGAGGCTGGGAAATCTAAGATTGAGGGGCCAATATCTGGTGAAGGCCTTCTTGTTGCACCATCCTGTGGCAAAAGGGCAATGAGAGTGAAGAGAGCAATAGCCTGAACTCAAAACTTCAAGCCCTTTTATAATTGGTATTAATCCATTCATGAGGGTAGAGCTCTCATTACCTCAACATTTCCCATTAGGCCTTACCTTCCAACACTGTTATATTGGGGATTAAGTTTCCAACACATCCTCTTGCGGGGACACATTCAAACCATAGTACCAACATAGTATAATACAAAAATAACTAGAGATCTATCTCATTTATAAATATTGATGCAAAAAATATGAAATGAAATATTAGAAAGTGAAAGAATAGCACTGTTAAAAAATAAGACTTCAGGAAGTAGTGGATTATATTCCAGGAAAACAAAGATGGTACAATATGAAAAAATATTTTTTCTTAATATATCAAAGGAAATAATCATATAAGCAACTTCATATATCTCCCAAATTTGTGATCAATTTGCTTTAGTGTATATAATACAGCTATTTAGAGCATAAATATATTTATATGTGTATATTACCCAAATCTAAATTTTTGAGAAATGAACACACAAAAACACATAACTAATGAAAAGAAATAAAAAATATAGGAAGATTAAAATATTAAATATAAAGGCTGAGACTTTGAAAACAATTAATAAAATAGATAAACCACTAACTAAATTAATGAGGAAAATGAGAAAAAATAAAAACAAAATCACATACACACATTCAATAGGAGGAATTCACAACAGATATTCTATTAAACAAACATAAGAAATCATCACTCAACTAGATGAAGATTAATTGCAAAACTGAAATTGATGATTTTCCAGGCATTTATAATTTATCAAACATTGGCTACAAAACATGACAATGTAACCTACTAGTTAACATAAAATTAATAAAATGGTTATCACAATTTTAATAGGGATTGTCATAAAACCTTTAAAGAACAAATCATTAAAGTGCTATGTAACACAATCCAGAAGTTTAAAATGGAAGGAAGGGTCACTGACTTGTTTAATTATGAATGACACGTAATTTTATATCAGAGTGTAACTAAGGTAGTGAACACACACAAACACATTCACAAATACATGCAAACTAATGATCAAGTTTATGAATAATGATGCAAAATTTTAAGAAAATATTAGAATAAAAATATTTCAGCATTGTATTTATTTAATTAGCCAAAAAAGGTAATCATATAATCATCTCTTTTGATCAGGCAAAAACAATTAGATTTTTCTCTCCTTTCTTCACTGTTAGTTATTATTTTGATGTATCAATCAATGCAATTGTATACAAGGCCAAAAAATGAGACATATAAATGATACATCCTTCAAAGAAGGATTTAAATTCCTCTCTCTGAGATGTTGTATGTTGAAAATCTGAAAATTTCTGTAAAACCTTAAAAAATAAAAATCAGTAAAATTCTAGGAGAAAAATAATAAATGTGGATAAGTTTCGTATAATATAGAAAATGTAATGAAATGCCTATTTTTGTTATCACAACAATAATTTAAAGTACACAAGAACCATGTACTTTAAATTTAGGAATAAATAAAAACTGGGAATAAATTTAAAAATGTGTTAAGTGCCTTCAGGAAACCATAAATACTTAAACAAATGATAATATATACTATATAATTTGATAGGGAACTTTAACATCACCAATGTGTCAATTTTTTAATGAATTTACAAAATTTCTAATAAAGTACTGCTTAGGGAAAAGTCTTAAACTGTGTCCTTCCTGTGCTCTCAATCACAACAATCATCAATGCAGAAAATGTCAGTGGCTAAATGTGGGGGCATTTCACACACACCAAGCAGCAGACACCAGCTGGGCATCCTCCAATTTAATTCCAAGGCTATCTACCTGGAGATAGTGTCAGATCCTGCAGGTGAGGGGCCGGCCTCAAGACTCCCCCCACTCCCTAGACACCAGTCACAAAGTCCAGGCCTCTGAAGTTCTGACCAGTGGGCTTCAAGTTGGCATTCCCACGACCCACTCTTTGGATTTGATTAATTTGCTGGAGCAGCTCACAGAACTCAGTGAAACACTTATGTTTACTGATTTATTATAAAGGATATTACAAAGGATGCAGATGAAGAGATGCATTTGAGGAAGCTATGGGGGAATGGGGTGGAGCTCCCATGCCCTCCTGGAGTGCCACCCTCCAGGAACCTCCCGGTGTTCAGCTATCCAGAAGCCTTTGAGCCCAGTGCTCTGGGGTTTTTATGGAAGCTTCATGACATCAGCATTCCTTCCCCCAAGGTATGGGGGGTATGACCCTTTATCAGATGAGGATCTTATGATCCACATCAGAAAGGTTGGGGGAGATTGGAATCCTCCTGCCTTGAGGTGGGTGAAAAGAGGTCAGGAGAAGGTCAGAGAGATTCTCTTTCCTAAGGCCTGCTCCTGAAGCCTAACACACGCAGTATTTTTTTAAAAAGACTGTAACAAGGGCTATGGGAGTTATGAGCCAAGAACCGTAAATGAAAACGTGTGTGTGTGTTTGTGTTTGTGTGTGTGTATCTCATAACAACACAAGTACAAACTAGTTCTTTATAACTAAACAAAAAACTATTGTGAAAGTTGATCTGTTGGGGGGGGGGCAGGAAGCCAACAGGACCAGAATATTTTAGAATTGAAAAGCATCCATTCAATGAACTTTACCAGGTCTTCAAACAGTGTCATATTGCCAGCAATATGAAAAGCAGATAGTGGGACTTGAATTGATAAAAAATATATGCTAAAAAGGTTCATAAATGGACATATGTATTGAGTTGATGATAAAGATAAAAATAACAGGATTATTTAATAAAGGTTGTCGGGTGAATTCAGGAGTCATGGGCTCCAAATACCATATTTTAACAGCAGTATAAATTCCACTTACATCAAAATTTCAGACAAATACAAAACCAGGAAAGGATTTTCTTTTTATTTTAAAGTCTTGGAGTCAAGAATGTCTTACAATGACATATTCTATAAAACTCTTAAAAGTTTGACCATAATTGTAGCAATAACTGCATAGGGTCTACTGTGTGCCAGGCGCTGTTCTGAGATGGTTTATCCCATTTAATCCTTCCAACCATCCCAAGAGGTAGTCACTATTAACCCCTTGTAGCAGCTGAGAGCACTGAAGCTGAGGGAGGCTCGTAGACATGTCCATGGCACACAGTTAATAGACTCGCCCATCTGACTGCAGGGCGGGACTCACACCAATTGCTCTGCCTTACAAATGGAACCAGTTTAAAATGAGCTAATGAATTTGACATGAGCAACTTCCCCACCCCTAAAAAAGTATCAAACTATAAAAAAAGTCATAAAATGGGTTGAGAATTTATTTCTATAATACATAAAGGCTTCTTAATCAACAAAAACCTTAACAAAAAGTATACCTCTTGCACATAAACAAAATGCATATAGTTTGAAGGAGGGGAAAAGTTGTCAAGCATCACTAATAATACTTATTAAAATTGATGAAGTTTCAGTTTCCTCTCAATTTGTCAAAAACCCAGATGTTTAAAAACACACTCTGTTGGGAGAATAGGCATACTTTGCTTGCAGGAGTATAATTGGTACAATTTCCATGGAGGAACATTCGATGAGAATCAAATCATGAATTCACATATGCATACACATTGACCAAGCCATTCTATTTTTTAAAAATGTGACTTGCAGGTTTATTCTATACATACAAAATCTTTCAGGTACAAGTTTGTTAATCTCAGCCTGCATTATAACAGGTGCAGTGGCTCACATCTATAATTGCAACACTTTGGGAGGCTGAGGCAAGGGGCTTACTTGAGGTCAGGAGTTCCAGACTAGCCTGGCTAACATGGCCGAAACCCCGTCTCTACTAAAAATACAATACAAAAATTAGCCAGGGGTGGTGGTGCACACCTGTGGTCCCAACTACTTGGGAGGCTGAGGCACAAAAACGGCCTGAACCTGGAAGGCTTAGGTTGCAGTGAGCCAAGATCGTGCCACTGTTTTCCAGCCCGTATGACAGGGCCAGACTTTGTCTCAAAAAAAAACAAAACAAAACTGGAGACAGAGACACATATATATATTTTATACTCATAATTTTGTTTTTAATCTTTTTGATATATGTTATTTTAGGTTTATCTTGGATCTGCATTTATATTTTTAATACATATAAAAATATGAGTGAAGATGGTGCCACTGCACTCTAGCCAGCGTGACAGAGCCAGACTGTGTCAAAAAAAAAAAAAGAAAAAATTAGAAAAGACAAATCCAACAATAGTTAACTGGTTAAAAAATAGCATTGACATACAATGGAATATTATAAAACAAGATTTTAAAAGTAAACAAACATAAAAACAGGAAATTTGCTTGGGCTGACCTGGAAATATTGTGGCAAGTAGGAAATATACATGTGCTAAAGTTTATAAATCATTTGTATATAAAACCAGTGATAGGCCTGGCACGGTGGCTCACACCTGTAATCCCAGCACTTTGGGAGGCCGAGACGTGCAGATCACTTGAGGTCAGGAGTTTGAGACCAGCCTGGCTGACATGGTGAAACCCCATCTCTACTAAAAATACAAATATTAGCTGGGTGTGTTGGTGGGCGTGTGCAATCCCAGCTACTCGGGAGGCTGAGGCGGGAGAATTGCCTGAATCTAGGAGGCAGAGGTTGCAGTGAGCCAAGATTGCGCCACTGCACTCCAGCCTGGGTGACAGAGCAAGACCCTGTCTCGAGGAAAAAAAAAAAACAGCAGTGATAATCAGATATGGTGTCTATGCTTGTGTGTGCATAAGTCTCCTGAAAAATCATACATAGGTGAAATTTATCTATCTATCTATCTATCTATCTATATCTAAATATGTACACACCCAACCCAATGTGTATAAACATACTTTAATATGTAAGTGTGTGTACATATCTATATATAAATACAGGAGAATATGTGTGTGTGTGTGTATATATATATATATATGCATGTAAAATAAAGCAGAGCTTAAAATTGAATGTCAATTGTTAAAACATTTCGTTCCTTTGTGAGTGTGAGTTTTTGTGAAGAGGGAAAAATGTGTTTGATTAGACTGCAGTGAGAAAAATTTAAGTGGTTTAAGGTAAATATCGTGAGGACACAGCAATGATTTTTTGCTGCTAAATCACTATGATGCCACAGCTGGCTCTCAGTGCTCCTACAGATATAGACATAGGTTTACTGATCAGGCTTGGGACTGTCTGATATTGCCATGTGAGAAAATCCGTGAATCAGATATGCAGGTCTTTCTACTCAATATTCTATATTCTCCTGAGCCTCTCTAAACAAGATGTTTTTCTGAAAAATTATTGAAATAGTGACTAAAAATCTGTGAAAAAGAATAAAAACAAATTTGGAAGAAGGTAAAGAAGTGAAAATTGACCTAGAACAAGCAAGATAAATAGAAATAAAAAAGTGATATTGGAAATTAAACACAAGTAATCCAAAAGAAAGATTTTCTAAATTTACTTATATTTGACAAAGTGATTTTTTTTTTTTTTTTTGAGACAGAGTCTTGCGCTGTCACCGACAAAGTGAATTTTAAGGCACAGGTATTAGTAGAGAAAATGAAAAAACAATCAATGACTCGGAAATTTAAGAGAATTTTAAATTTTTATCCACATAATTACATAGCCTCAGAATATACAAAGAAAAAATGACAAAACGGCCGGGCATGGTAGCTCACACCTGTAATCCCAGCACTTTGGGAAGCCGAGGTGAGTGGATCACCTGAGGTCAGGAGTTCGAGACCAGGAGACCAGTCTGACCAACATGGTGAAACCCTGTCTCACGAAATACAAAAAAATTAGCTGTGCATGGTGGCACATGCCTGTAATTCCAGCTACTTGGGAGGCTGAGGCAGGAGAATCACTTGAACGCTGGAGGCAGAGATTGCAGTGAGCCAAAATTGTCCCATTGCACTCCAGCCTGGGCAACAAGGACAAAACTTCTCAAAAAACAACACCCCCACCAAAAAAAAAAAGAAAAAGAAAAAAATGTCAAAACAATTACGGGAAATCCATGAGCCTACAAACTTAGCAGATATTTTTAACATATGCAGTAGTCACTTATTTTAAAATACTGTTATATTTGGATGACACGATGAATACAGTGGACCTAATTGTCATGTTTAGACGCCTACACTCATCATTGGAGAAAAGTCACTTCTCATGGTATGACAGTAGACAAAAAAGGGAAGATGACCTAGCCAAAAGCTCTGAATTCCAGATGACCTCTCTGATAAAAATAGATCACATAAGTTTACTGTGTAGTAGGCAATGTGCAGATGAGTTGATAAGGATAATCTAATTCTTATAACATCACTCAGAACAATATGCTAGTTAAGAAACTTTTTTTGTTTGTTTTGTTTTGAGACTGAGTCTTGCTCTGTTGCTCAGGCTGGAGTGCAGTGGCGTGATCTCGGCTCACTGCAACCTCTACCTCCCGGGTTCAAGCAATTCTCCTGGCACAGTCTCCCGAGTAGCTGGGATTACAGGCATGCACCACCATGCCTGGCTAATTTTTTGTATTTTTAGTAGAGACGGGGTTTTGCCACATTGGCCAGGCTGGTCTCAATCTCCTGACTTCAGGTGATCCGCCCACCTCGGCCTCACCTGCTGGGATTACAGGCATGAGCCACTGCGCCCGGCCAAGAAACTCTTAACTTCTCAATGCTCAATGTCAATCCCACACTGAGAAAGTTGTGGAGCCAGGATTTGAACTTGGGTTATCTATATTCAGAACACCTAAGTTGACTTCCTCCTTCTTTCCTGCTACCCTTTTGATCTGGAGGGTGTTGTGGGGAAGAATCTGCCTACAAAAAGCTGCTTGGAGAAAAGCACATTTTCTTCATTGTAGATGGGCCAGACACAAGAGAAGCGCCGAGTTGCTGGGAATAGAAGACTGCCAGATCCACCTGGTCTTATCTATTCATCTCATCTTCCTCTAAACAAGGTTACTTGTTCTACTGCCTGCACTATGCCTAGTTCCTCAAATTCATACAACAGCACTCTCCTTGCTCTGCTTCCTTGTTTCCTGGTCCAGTGGTTTAGTCTCTTTAACTGTGGCTTTGCTTATTTCTTTGAATATTGTCTCTTTCAACATATTGCCCAAATTCTTAACTAGGGGTAATAATTTGGGTATTCTGAGAAGCAGACACCAAGACAGGATTAAATGAGCAAGGATTTTACTTGAGGGCATTCCCATGAGAGAAAATGGGGAGCACGCCAGAAAGGCTTTGATATACTTTGGACCACACTGCATGTCTGTTTCTGCGTGAAGGAGAGACAGAAGGCAGGCAGGATAGAAGCACTGCTATGTAATCTAGTAGAGGCTCAGCAAGGCCATCCCTGAGCCATAGTCTGCCATTACTGGAGTTTTATATCTCTCAGAAATAGGCCTGGTCACATTTAGTTATTAGCTGGGAGCAGCCCATGGAAGTATGGCTTTGACAAAAATGTGGTAATGGATTTCAGAGAATACTAACTGGGCCTCCTGGGTTAATTAAAACTCCCTGTAGTTGAATGATCCAGAAGGTATTGAATGTTCCAGCTATGCTGCTAGGCATGGTGATTGTATTAGGATTCTCCAGAGAACCAGAATCAGAACCTACATTCTCAGGATTCTTCAGAGAAACAGAACTTTTATCAAAATACCACAGTTCAGTCTAGGTCCTGCTGCTCGCCATACAGAATGCCAATTGCTGGGGCAACAACTATTGCCAGGAAGAAGGCTTTAATCAAGTGCTGAACCTGGGGAAAATGGGAGATGAAGTCAAATCCGTCTCCCCAACCAAGTAAAACTGAGGAGGTTATGGAGTGGGAAACGTGGAAAAACAGGAATTAGAGAGGGGTAAGGAAACAATCATGATGGATGAGGGGTCTGGTGTCTCATTGGATGTAGTGGTCTGATGAGTTTCAGTTCCTTGCCAGAGGGTTTGTTTCCTAAGGAAGGAAGTCAGTAAGACAAATGTAAGTTTCAAATTTTAAGACTAGAGAGGGTCAATTTCTGTTTATTCCAAAAAACCCATAAATATCAGTTATATGGGATAATAGGGCTGGTTATAGTCCCCCACCTTTATCCGTCCCTCAATGTCGGGAACCCTGTTGTCGATCCTTCTCTCTGCCTCATGCTGAGGAGGGGCATCATGGGATAGTGACGAGGAATGAAAATGTAGTACCTGGTTAGCATCCAGCTTGCTGAAGAACCATAATTAAACACACATACACACACACTTGTGGAACCCAAGAGAACAAACCTAAGCCTCCCAAAAAGAATTCCTGATTCATCACATCCACTTTCAGAAAGCTGTGGTTTATCCTTTAGGGGAGAACAATAACGAACTGAAAGTGTGTGGTCCCTTAATGATTTCTTATTTTGGGTCTTTGGGCTTTGAATGCTAACTTAAGGCTGTCTTTAAGGGTTCAAAAGACCATGACTGTTTCCCTTGGAGGGACCCCAGAGGGACTGGTTTTACCTGAGTATGGTGAATTTATGGCTTAACACCAGCTAACTTGAACTAGAACCTGTTGGAAGCAAACTCAGACTAGTTAATTTATTTCCAAAACATAAGGTTAATATCCCTGTCATTATAAAGCCAGTCCCAAGGATTTGCATATGAAGCATATCAGCTGCTTCATCCGGGCTGCTCCACTTGGCTTTGATAGGTTCCCTCCTCTCAGAGTAAACAGATCTTGCAGTGGCTTTTATCCAGTCCACCAGCCTGGCTGTTCTCTCAGGAATAACCCTCTGTGTGTCTGGATTACATATACCCATCTGCAATTGTTCAGTAGTGAGCCGTGGGTCCTAGATGAACCAAAAAAACGCTTTGCAATTCTGCAGCATTTAAAACCAAAGACATTGCTCCTAAATTAGTTACTTTCACAATCCTCTGTAGTAAAGGGTCTTCAGGAAGCTGTCGATACCAATCTGTAAAATGGAACAATTCCTTCACATTATACCCTCTGGTTTCAGTAGTTAATTGGTTCTGCCCTTTCCTCACATTGGAAACCATAGGTCTCAGAGATACTTCTTGGAAACCACAGGTCTTAGAGATACTTTTTGGTTGCCTGGCATAATTTTCCCTTTTTGTGGGTAGCCTTAAAGCTGGTGATCTGAGCTCAGACAGACCCAGGTCTGAGTTTGGCCTAGCTTTTAGATCCAACTCAGCACTCTCTTACCTTTATTCTAGCTATTATAGATAATAATAACAAAGGGATTGAATATTTCACTTTTCCCTATGAAGTTTGCATTTCATTATGCATCCACTGAATCAACTCCCCAGGACTTGAATCCATCTCAGAATTCCATTGGTAACTTTTACCTTTAGTAACTGAATGCAGCACAGCTGCAGCTCCACACCATGGGTGACCACATTGCCACTCAGGAGTCAAAGGTTAATCCAATAACAGGTGTACTACAGCTTTGTTCTGAAACATAATTTTTCTTTCCTTAGTCCTCCATTTTTAACAATGACAAATCATAGTGGGACCAATTTATTTACAAAATAAGTTTTAGTCTTATATTTGACCTGATTATTTGTACAACGTGCAGCAAGAATTATTGTAGGCTCTTACAAATTGGCTTTGCTGGAAATTTTCCTAAGGTAGCTCTGATTTGGATTTTAAAGGCCTTTCAAGCACAGCCAAGGATTTATAAAAAGTAAAGTAGAGGCTCCTCTTCAAAGACTTTCCTCCCCGTCTAATTAGGAATAAATGGTAACTTCTCTTAGAAGCAAAATGTATTCACGACTGTGCTAATATTCTTAAATATCTGCTAGCCGTAATAAAGAAATGAATGTACTTCATGTTCTTAGCACCCACAATTTAGCCTAAATATTTGCCCTGGCATGCTTATACTGGTCCAAGCAAGCATTAGGTCATAGCGTGTTCCTCTTCCTTATTTGAAGGTGTTTTTACCTTTCTCCAGATTCCAAAAGTTACTTCCTCCTTCCTTTGTTCTCCTCTGCCTTTGCCTCTTTTAAAAAGTTCTAAGTTGCCAGCCAATCAGGACAAACATGGAATGTGAGGTCCTGTTCCAGCCAATGGAAACCGGACACAGCAGTGGGGTGGACGCATCAGGGTATAAATGACCCTGTCTCCTTTGCTCTGTGTACTCTCGTGGCAAAACTGCTGGCGAGTGTACCCTTTCTGCAGAAAGTAAAAATGGCCTTGCTGAGGAAATTAAATTTATGTTCAAGTGCTATTTCTTAATGACACCAGGGAACAAGCATTTCTAACAGATTTATCTGTGCCTGCAGATACCTATATAAATTGGGTGAATTCCTGTCTTCTTGAGGTCTCAAAATAACAGGAGGTTCCTGATACTGTCAGAAAGTGGCATTCTTTGTTTTCCACAGGTCAGAAAGCCTGCGAAGGAACTGTATAGACAAGGTATAAGGCCAGGCTTTTCAAGAAGCTTTTATCGGCTCCATAAGTCAACTTCAGTTTCTCAAAGCATTCTGCTCATATCTGAAAATATGTTATTCCAGTCCGAGCCTTGGTAAAACAATCAGTGTCTCCAGTTGTGACCTGTTATAAAATAAAACAGATTCTTATTTAACTTATACAAATAACCATATTGCCATAAATTGAGAATACTTGTAAATAATTTCCAAAATCTGGAGAAATCAGCTGGAGAGAAAAAAAATACTTCAAATTTTGTTTACAAGAGTATACTCTATTAGTTGTTAAACACTATAAATAGCTCAAAAGAAAAAGTTTTCTTTACTCTAAAAAACAGAACAAAAAGAACTGGCAATCTTTCAAACAAAAAAAGCCATAAAAATTATTTCAGTCCTCTATTAGTTCAGTCCATGCAATTAACTCTTGTTCTGCTTCATACTGGGTTAGCAGTCTTTATGTACACATCAGCCTTTTAATTAGAGTCCTGCATGCTTTCTCTCTAGTCCAATGGCACAATCTCCAAAGTAATCAGAAACCTGTATTCAAAAGTCCTTTCCATGAACCCCCCTACAGCAGTAAGTTTTGGACTGTAGCTGATTGTAAGCTGCTTTTTGAGAAGAATCAAAGTAAAACAATAATTGTGGATGACAGATGTCTTAAGACAGTCATAAAGACAACTTGTCACTGGTAACTTGGGATCTTTCCTTACTTTGTACCAGTTGCAAAGAATGAACACCCAGCTGGAAACAAAGTGAAGCATGTTTTATTCCTGGCCAGGAAGGGAGAAGGCAAACTCTTGCTCCGAATGCACCTTCTCCCTGAACAACAGAAGGCATGGGGTTTTAAAGGACTGCATACAGGGAGGGAGAGGAATGTTAGCATGTGCAGGGTGGGACTCCAGACCCACAGGCTCAGTTCATAAACATACATCTTCATACAATCCATGTACATAAAATAGTGGAGATTTTCTTTTGTGTGTGTGTGTTGCGGGCGGCGGGGGTGGTGGTGGTGCAGAATTTTGGCATTATAATATTTTAATGATCTGAAGGCAACTAGGATCATCTGTTCCAGCTTGGGTGCTTTGGGGGTCTTACCTCCCTCTGGTAGCTGGTCAGTGGTCATGACGTTCTGGCACCATCCCAGGCCCACTGGGTTCTTAAGCTGCTATGCCTATAAGTAAGGGACTAAAGAAAATCAGTAAGAAAAAGAGTCTTCCCAAGTTATTTCATCAGGGTTGCCCTAGATACAAAATCCCTCCTCTGTTTGCTCCTCATTCTTGATGGCTGCTGAGGGGTGGGGTCCATCTTCTAGAACTGCTTTCTGCTGTGTATAGGCATTGTCATTTCATAAGTTAGAGGAGAAAAACTCTTCCTTTGCTATTCTAAGGTAGGTCTGACTGTCACCAGGCTGCAACCCTAATTGCCAAGATCCCTTCTTGATTACCCTTTGTAGCTTGATTGCTTCCACTTCCTTGCTGATAAAGATTACTGAAAGGTTAAGAATACAGGGCCAAAAACCAGTAAAAGTATGATCATCACCAGTAGGCAAAGGACACCTTTTACTGCATTCCAGGTGTCGTTAGAGCTAATCTTGGTTACCCCAAAGGAGTTAGAGCCATTCTGCTTGTTTAAACATTTCCATTATATTAACTTCTATCTCCCCAGAGGTGTTTACTCAGGTGCAACAGGAGGTATTGGTGATCACACATACTTCTTATTGTTTTGCTAGTAGATAGTCTAAGGCCAACTGATTGTCCAGTACTACACTGGCCAGTGAATTGAAAGAAGGCTGTATATTTTGAAGAGACTTCCTGGTATTACCTGTGAGATTTTTTGACTGGGTTATATTTCTTAGGGTAGCCTCATGATAGGCGAAGCCCCTCAAGGGGCAGCCAACCGTACAGCAAGTACTATACCTACCAGGATCAGCCCAAGAGCCCTCTTAGACTTAATTGCAATGGCAGGTTTTGGTATGAATGGTTATTCCATTGGGTCCCAAAACACCTATTATATATTGTCCTGTGTGTATTACATTATCTACACAAGGGTGAACTACCACTAGCGATGGAAAAGAAAAGGTAGCAGCAGAGGAGCTATTAGGGAGGTGGTGGTGGGGAGAGCCACAAATGAACACACACCCTGCGGATGCACACACCCTTGTGGGAATGGGGAAGTTTAGCCAATGAAGTAATTAAGAGCCCTGAAGGGGAGGGTGAATCTTCTGACAATGAGGGCACAGGGGGCCTTTTTGAGTCCAGGTGAAATTTATTTTTATTACTGAAGCTATTGCTGGAGGTGGGTAGTGGAGTCCCCAGTATCCCTTGTTGGCTGAGGTAGGTGCTGGACCATATGAGTCTTTGACTCTTGGAGTAAGATCCATGCAACCCATAGACAGGGAATCGCACAGAACAGGTGTGGGTTGGACTTTAGATTTTCATGGCACCTGTGTAAGGTTGAAATCACCTCCCCAAGGACACACAGTGTGCAATGTTCCTCAAGTCTGGAGGTGCCTGTGATATGTCCGGCATTAAGACAGATTGTTCTGGCTGGCTATAATGTGGTAGAAGTTGACTATTGCCTTTGTGCCCCAGAGTTCTTTGGCTGCTGAGATCAAAATCACCAAACAGCATAAGAAAAAAAGAAAGAATACATTTGTATTTATCTAGACTAAGCACTCAGAGGTGGCTCAGAGATGAGGATGGTATTAGGCGAAGGGTCACTAGTTTAAGGAAACACCATGGGGCTTTCAGGGAGTGCTTGAGGGATTGTGGTTGAGCTATATGCAGTGTTTTATCAAGATGCCAGAGGGATATCAATCAGGACTAGCATGGTCAATATGTTCCAATACAAAAGGAAACAGCGCCCTAAGCCAGGGACCACCTGTGTGGACTACAGAACAAGTCCTAATGCAATCAGAAGCAGACAGCACTAAAGTGACACCAAGAACTCTCCTGGAAGGTAGAGACGTGTAAGTTTTATAGCAGTGACCTCTTTAGATGGGTCTAAGTATTCTTATCTTTTGGGAGTCCAGGTCGGGTTTTCAGAACAGCCATTTTAAATCCGAGATGGGTTCAGCCCAGTACAGCCCAGTATGAGGGAGTTTCCTGCACTGGTGCATCCACCTGTTTCACTCATGTGTGGTGAATCTGTGGGGTGACGCCCTTAAGTTTTAAGGCAGAATGTGTGGTCACAGTCACTAAGTATGGTCGCATCCGTTTTGGACCTAATTGCCTCTCTGGGCTTTGGACCTTCCAGGTTTTCAGATACGCCCAATCTCCATGGACATAAGGATGCAGAACCAGATCTGTCAATGACAGAGAAGCCTAGTTTCTGTAAGCTTCAAAAACATAGGCCACCTCCCTGATATGTAATGCATATTTTAGTTGTTCCTGTTCCTGTGGACTCAGCCCCTTCCCTGTGGCTGCCTCTGGGATTGGTCGCCCACACATCAGTTCAAATGTACTCAGTTTCTAAGTTCGCCTTTTGGGGCAGTCCTCATTCTACGAAGAGCCATGAGTAAGAGAGTGAGTTTTCCTGTTTCTTGGTACAGTTTAGCCAGGGTTCTCTTTAAGCTTTCGTTGGCTCTTTCCACTTCTCCTGAGGATTGGGGTCTCCATGCTATATGAAGTTTCCAGATGATTCCTAGGCCTTGGGCTACCTTGGGCCGCAGATACCACTGCAGATCTTCTCCAAATAAGGCGAGCCTAACTAATGGGGCCCAGGGCATGTTTGCCAGTGCAGATGGGAATTTGGAGTATCCCTGCCTCAGTGAGAGAAGCTGCAATGTGGAGGGGATAAGTCGTCCTTAAGGGTGTTGAGGGAAGGAAGGAAAAAATGGGAAGGAAGAAAAAATGTATTGCTTTACAGACAGGGTGATGATAGGCCAAAGCAAGGGAAGAGAGGTGAGTAGGCAGGGTAGAGAGCACAGCCATGGGCAGCGGCAGGAAGGCAGACATGGCAGTGGTTGAAGCAGTGGGACACAGGCACCAGGAGGGAGGCAGAGGCTGCAGCAGCAGAGACAGAAAAAGAGAAGAAAGATGATTTAAACCATGCACAGGACTAACACCATTGAGCTCAGGCATGCCTGGCACTTTCCTGAGGTCCAATCAGGCATCCCCAGTCTCCCAGTCTGGTCCATCTGTTTCAGATGGTCTTCCCTAGATGCCTCAATTAAACCATGGGTATTTCTTTCAATTCCCAGAATGTGATCCATAAACCTCACAATGGAGATATCTTCCAATGCCCCAAAAGTGAGATTTGCCCTTTCCTGATGCCTTTTCCCAATTTGATAAATGCCCATGTTACCAGCTATCGCAGTCCTCTCAGGGTTGTGGCCACTGGCCTGATGAGGAGAGGACTGACAGGGTGATGGGCTTCGATACAGAGTAGCATGGTCATGGGCTCAAGCCCCACCTGCAGACACTCCCAGCAGACACTCCAAGCCATGACAATTTGACTTGGGTGTTGGCCCAAGATAAGCTGCTACTTCCCACTGCTCCAGCTGCTGGGAGTCACTGGTTAGGAGGTGCCACTCAGTCCCCAGCTGAGGGAGGCCATGGCCATCCTGGACAAGCATCCAGAAATTGTCACTGTTGAGTGAGTTCTTTCCCTACTTTGTACCACAAAGAAAGAACACCCAATTAGAAACAAAGGCAAGCGGTTTTTATTTCTGGCCAGGAAGAGAGGAGACAAGCTCTCACTCAATATGCCCCTTCTCCAGAACAATAGAAGACAAGGGTTTTTTAAGGACTGGGTACAGAGAAGGAGAGGAATGTAAGCACATTTGGGGTTGGAGTCCAGACCCACAGGCTCCATTCATAAGCATACATCTTTTTTTTTGTTTTTTTAAGACGCAGTCTTGCTCTGTCACTCAGGCTGGAGTGCAGTGGCGCAATCTTGGCTCACTGCAACTTCCGCCTCCCGGGTTCAAGTGATTCTCCTGCCTCAGCCTCCCGAGTAGCTGGGATTACAGGCACCTGCTACCACACCCCGACTAATTTTTGTACTTTTAGTAAAGACGGTGTTTCACTATGTTGGCCAGGGTGATCTTGAACTCCTGACATTAGGTGATCCACCTGCCTTGCCCTCCCAAAGTGCTGGGATTACAGGCGTGAGCCACTGTGCCCGGCCCATACAACTTAAATATACAATGGAGGGTTTTTTTTGCAGGAGAGGGAACTTTAGCATTATAATAATATGTTAATGCTTTAAAGGTAACTAGGGGGTCTTCTGCTCCAGCTTGGACAGGTTTGGGGTCTTATCTCCCTCTGGTATCTGGTTAATGGTTATGAAGCTCTGGCACCATCTGATTTCTTGAAATAGCTGTGCCTATATATAAGGCACTAAAGAAAAATAGTAAGAAAAAGAACTTTCCCAGCTACTTCATCAGAGTTGCACTGGTAACAAATTGACAAGGAAATGTGGTTATTTCTGCAGCATACAACAATTTATCATAATAATCATAATTATTAATGATAACATAAACTAAGACATATCAGAATTTTAGGAATCTCATGCAATTTTGGAACACATTTCTAACACATTTATATAAATATAACTGAAGGAAAGTTAAACACCATTTCCTACATGACAATGCTTCCTATATAATTTTAACATACTGTGTAAGCCTCTTGGACTTCAGGAGGCCATAATATCTAAAAAGTTAGTTTGAGGTCAGAAAGACTGAAGTTAGAACTTGACATTTTGCTTTTGAAAAGTTTGTCAAATATCAAATGTATAAAACACTTGATATCACAAAATAGGATCATAGGTCACTACCAAATGTCATTCATTTAGCCAAAATGACAAAATATTTAAAAACACACTTTTACTCTTTGATAGTTTCCCAAACAGTAAGCCCTAATAAAGACAGCATGAAACCAACTCAGTCTCTCTCTCTCTCCTTTTTTTCCTGATGTTTACTCAAAAGTTAAACAAAAATCTTTCATTATTTCTTACTAATATTACATGAAAACTTTGTTCAAAAGAAAAAAACAATTTTGTTGTTTTGTTTTCTATACATTCTTTGTATATTATTAGTGTTAAAGCTAATTTTAATACAAATTTATAAATATATCTATCTAATTTTAATCAGTTTGACCATAAGATAAATTTGCCATAAACCTTTTATAACATTTTACAATTTTATATTAAATAGATCAGGTCTGCTCTGGTGGCTCATGCCTTTCATACTGACATTCTGGGAAGCCAAGGCAGGAGGATTACTTGAGCCCAGGAGTTTGAGACCAGCTTGGACAAAATTAGCTGGGCCTGGTGGTATATGCCTGTAATCCCAGCCACTCAAGAGGCTAAGGTGGGATGATCACTTGAGCCTGCGATGTCAAGGCTGCAGTGAGCCAGGATTGTGTCACTGCACTCCAGCCTGGGCAGACAGAGTGAGACCTTATCTCAAAATAAATAAATAAATAAATAAATAGCGCAGATCAGTGCTCCAAGAAAACCCTGCTATTCCAATACAGGGGCCCAGATGCTGGCTTTGCATTATTGTGCTTTCGACATTAATGTTTAATTCACAGAAAAACTCTGAATTATCTCTCAAAATTGGCTTTCAACATCTCATGCACCCACATCTTCCATGACAGTCTCTGGGCCTAGAGAGACGGAATAATATTAATTTCTGAACCTGTGTCTCACAAAAGCAGCTCATTTTGTTTGTTGCTTTCTCCCTGGTCTGAAGGCAAAGTTTTGAGTTGTGTCAATGTTCAAGATTGAGAAGAAGTTGGTGCCTTTTTCAGACCCAGGAATCAAAGCCCAGTAATTTAATAGCACAAAGATTATAAAACAGTAAAGAAAGTTATATGGATGTAAAAACCTTCTTTTAATCTCAGTTTTCGTAAATGATTAAAAACAACTAATAACAATGACATAGTAATTATCTTGATAAAATGTAAAACCTGTTTCTTAGGCCAGTTACTGTGGGCGGAGGATTACCTAGGTGCTGAGGCAAGAGACTAAAAGCACAAACTGTTTCAATATAATAAAAAAATAGTTAAAATAAAAATAGTCATAATACAAATTAAATATAAAGATGATCATAAACAATTACCAATCATTATTATAAACATTATTAATCATTAGTTTTTAATATTACTCTTTGTTACATTACTAATATAACGTAAAAATAACCGGCAAATATAAGGTCAAGTACTAAAGAGACATTATAAAACGTGACCTAAAAAACAAGAGGTGAGCCTTCTGTCACACCCACATAAGGTCCGCTTGTGAGCTCCTTAGTCAAGCGATAACGCCAGTGTCTAAAAAGGCACCCATTACTTAACAAACCACAAAAGAGAGTCTTCTTTCCTTAAAAAACTCAAAAAACTCTACTCCACCAACTTCTTATAAAAGGCTAAATATTATCCAGGCCTGCCCACAGTCATCCAGAGGCCTAAACCCCTCCCTATAGTACTGTGCTTCAATAGTCACGCTCCTTGTCCACTTTCATGTTCCTCCCATACTCCTAGTTCCTCCTCAAAGTTCATAATAAATAGTGACAAAATAAAAGTCTTAAAATCTTTAATCTTTCTTATAAGTGCAAAAAAAAAAAAAAAACAATAGAAACCATCTGACATATACTGCCTTCTCTCTCTGCTTCGGCTACCTAAAAGAAAAGGGCCCCTAATCCTATAATCACGTGACTTACTTCACCTTGTCAATCACTTAAAAGATTCACCCTTCTTACCCTACCACTTGTCTTATATACAATAAATATCAGCGAGCCCAGCCGTTCGGGGCCACTACTGGTCTCCACATCTTAATAGTAGTTGTCCCCCGGGCCCAACTGTTTTCTCTTTATCTCTTTGTCTTATATCTTTATTTATTACAATCTCTCATCTCCACACACACAAAAAAACACTCACTAAGCCCCATAGGACTAGACCCTACATCTGCTGCCCAACGAGTTACCAGAAGGCAAAGAAAGACCTTCTGCAGTGTGATTGCTTCTCCTTATGAGAAGCCCACTTAGACAACCTGAAAGTCAAACCTGATGAACAATGTAAACATAAAGAAAAAGGCTTTTTTAATTCTCCTGAGTACAGAATCAAGTTATACTGGAGGAAAGGCTTGCTTTTCTAGACCCTCAAGATAAACATTTCAGCATCGGGTCACAACAGCACTTAGAACTTGACAGAAAAAAATAATTACAGGAGTTGATGAAAAAGTTGGAGAGAATGATCATCTCAGTCTTTTTCAAGTAGAGCATAAAAGCTGAAAGCAGCAAGACACAACACAGTTGCACTTCTGAGCTATGAATCTGAGAAGTTTTAAAAAGAAGTAGATTATAGAATCAAAATCAAAACCTCTTGCACAAAACTGCTTCCCATACAAAATTATTCTCTTTTCCTTATAACCTTTCCTACCTGGATCACCTGGGCTCAAGTGATCCTCCCATCTCAGCCTGTTGAGTAGCTGGGACTACAGGTGTGTGTCACCACACCAGCTAATACATATTAATATCCACAATTTCTGTTTTCACATCTCTCTCCTATACTTACTGGTTCCTTTCTTCCTTGTTTCATAAATAACTTTTCCAAGTACATAACTTGAATCAACCTTTAGATAACTTCTGAATTATACAAAATTATCTTTCTCAATAAGAACACATCTTCTTCAGCACATTTTATATGCAAAATTATATAATAACTAGAATTTGTATTCTTAGTAACCTTAAATTTTAGTGAAAACCTAGGAAGCAAGAGATCTTGGACTGTCTCTCAGATTCACTCTGTTGCTCAGGCTGGGTGCAGTAACAGTGTCATGACTCACTGCAGCCTTGAATTCCTGGGCTCAAGTGATCCTCCCGTCTCAGTCTCCCGAGTAGCTGGGACTGCAGGTGTGTGCTGCCACACCCAGCTAATTTTTATTTTTATTTTTTGTAGACACAAGTTCCCTCTGTGTTGCAGGCTGGTCTCAAACTCCTAGGGTCAAGCAATCCTTCTGCCTTGATCTCCCAAATTGCTGGGATCACAGGTGTGAGCTACCATTCCTAGTCCATAATCCTTTTGAATGGAAAATAACACAGACATTCAACAAGCATCCAAGATAATTTCTTTTTTTTTTATTATACTTTAAGTTTTAGGGTACATGTGCAATATTTAAACTTACACAAGGAGATCACCTACAGCATTTACCCTATTTATATTTCATTCATTTTTAGCAATTTATTCAGATTACTTACAAGAATATAGATATTAGAGCTAGCCATTATTTCCTTGTTAACCATTTTTATAATGTGTGAATATCAGGTGTTCACCTAAGAAAGAAACTTAAAGTGAAATACATGGATCTTTTCACCAATAACTCAGAAGATTCAGCTGTTTTCATTAAACCAACAACATTAAATTAGTCTTACTTAAAAATCACACAAAAATTATTTTGTTCTTGCCTGGGTTTACAGTCTTACACCTTTTTGTGCCATACCCTGACCCATTAAAATAGCTAGCACAGACAAATATAAAATCTGGACAAAAATGTGTGCTGACAATTTCAAAGACATTTGAATTTTTATTTTATCAATAATCTTAAAGCCAGCTTATTGATTCAATATTTACTTAAGTCACATCAATTTGAAAAATACTTGGACTGACTGAATTTATGAGCACTCTTTTACTTATAAGCCAATTTGGTACCCAGTTAAAACAACACAAAACAAAATAAATGTTCATACACATAAACTCATCTAGACATACACACACCCATAAACAAAGATCCAATAGCTTTTACCTCAGAACTCTAACCATTAGATAAGAATACAAACTCACCAGTTTACATACATATTCATTTTGCAGAACGTTCTCCTTAGTTCAGCTAAAACCAGGTTCTTGTCACATAACCAGGAAAGATTAGGCTCACGGATACATAGAAGGGTTAGGAGCAGAATTTACTGGGTGAAAAGGAAAAAGAAAAAGAACTCAGCATAGGGACATGGAGTCCTGCTAACTGGCCCTCCACCTCATAGATTGAATCCCAGGTCCCCACAGGGGAAGTGAAGAGGCCAGGCTTCTCCCCGCTGCAAACAGCAGGAAAGTCCCGAGGCTCCACCCCGCCCTCCCAGTGCTCAGGTGGGCATTACTCAGAGAGAATCAGTGGGGAAATGGTGGGCTTCATCTGGGACCAGCGGTCCGGTTTTTCAGCCTTCAGGGTTTTAGGCTTGAAGGCAGGGTTTCACCAGGGACCCCTGGCCACCTCCTGTCTCTATTATTCACATGGATAAACTTTGCCCTGATAGGTAATTTGATGAAAGCTGTGAAACAACATTTTGGGTAAAGCAGTGGTAGCTTAATTTTAAAGGCCAAACCTTCCTAGACCCCAGAGAACACTGGAGACAAACATACCACAGAAGAGCATCACATACTAAGCAGGTCTAACTCTGCTTACAACAGCAGTATAAAATCCAGGATACATGAGACTCTATCCTACTTTCCTATTCAACAGCAAAACGAAGACAGCACTACAATTCAAAGACTTTCTGAGATCAGACAAGATAGCGCATGTTCAGAGTTCCCGTATGGCCTTAGCCATCAGCCCACATCTACATTCACATCAACCCCAGTGAGTGCAACTAGAGGGGGCTGCATCCTGGGATTGAACCTCAACCTCCCACAACTACATCAACAACCACACAATCAAGAAAATACCATTCGCTTGAACCTGGGAGGCAGAGATTGCAGTGAGCCGATATCACACCACTGCACCCCAGCCTGGGTGACAGAGCGAGACTCTGTCTCAAAAAAACAAACGGCCGGGCGCGGTGGCTTACGCCTGTAACCCCAGCACTTTGGGAGGCTGAGACAGGCGGATCACGAGGTCAAGAGATCGAGACCATCCTGGCCAACACAGTCAAACCCCATCTCTAAAAAAAAAAAAAAAAAAATTAGCTGGGCCGGGTGGCGGGCGCCTGTAGTCCAAGATACTCGAGAGGCTGAGGCAGGAGAATGGCGTGAGCCCCGGAGGTGGAGCTTGCAGTGAGTCGAGATCACTGCACTCCAGCCTGGGCAACAGCGCAAGACTCCGTCTCAAAAAAAAAAAAAAAAAAAAAAAAAACAGAAAGAAAGAAAAGAAAAGAAAAACAAACAACAACAACAAAGAAAATACAATCCAACTGCTGCAGCAATGAACAAGCCTCCAAAGTGTCCAAACTGAAACAGTATTTCCTCTCTCGATCAGATGGACTTGTTCAACCTGCAAACAGAAATTATTTTGCAATTTTCCAAATTGAGAGAAGCCCAACCTGCTCTCTGGTACCCACAAAAGATACTTGCCCTGACACACAAACAGTTACTAACAAGCCCCCAAGAGTGTCCAAACTGAAACAATCGGGTGTTTTCTCTCTCCGTCAGTTGGGCTTTTTAAACCTGCAAAATGCCTTTGGAATTTCCCAACTTGAGCGGAGCAGACCCCACCGTCTGGGCCCACAAAAGACACTCACCTGTCCAGATGCAGATGTCAAATTTCAAAGGCTGTTCTTCCTAGGCAATCAGGAATGTGGTTGAGGCCGGCACTGGCGATGCCAGAGAGAGAGACTAAAACTCACCTCCAGCCATAAAATGGCAGGCAGCTTCTTAGGAGGGCTTCTGAGACTCCCAGCCCTTGGCAGCAGCTGAGCCATGAGCAACAGCAATGCATTCCAGATCAGGGAACCAAAATCTGTTACCAAAATGCTAGGGGTTTGGTCTAGGTTCTGCTGCTCACCACCCAGAAAGCCAATCACTGAGACAATATCGCCAGGGAAGGAGGCTTTAATCAGATGGTACAGCCAAGGAGAGCTAGAGATGAAATCTCAAATCCATCTCCTTGACCGACTAAAATTGAGTTTATGTAGTGAGGAAGGTGGAAAAACAGGAATTAGAGAGGAGTAAGGAAGCAATCATAATGGATGAGGGGTCTGGCCTCTCATTGTCTGGATGCAGTGATCTGTCAATTCTTTGCCTGTGGGTTGGTTTCCTGAGGAAGAAACTCAGATGAGACAAAGGTAAGTTTCAAGTTTGAAGACGAGGGAGGGACAGTTTCAATATTTATTCAAAAATCCTGTAAATATCAGTTCTATGGGACAATTGGGCTGATTACAGAACCAGAACCTATAATAAATGATTTCTTACAATAAATTGGCTCACACAATTATAAAAGCTGAGAAGTCTCATGATTTTCCTTCTGCAAGCTGGAAATCCAGGAAAGCTGGTGGTGTAGTTCCATCCAAGTGTGAAGTCCTGAAGCTGGGAGAGCCAGTGGTGTAAATCCCAATCTGAGTACAGGAGAAGATGGAAGTCCAGGCTCAAAAATGAACAGGGCAAAGTCTCCCTTACCCTGCCTTTTGTTCTATTCAGAACTCCAGCAGTCTGGATAAGACCCAGCCACACTGGAGAGTGTTCTCTGCTTTATCTTGTCAACAGACAAAATGTTAATTTCATCCAGAAACATCCCGTAAAATATTTAACCAAATAGCTGGGCACTCCATGGCTGAGTCAAGTTGACACATAAAATTTAACCATCCACCTCTTGCCAACTTGCCACTCATACACATCTCCTTAAATCATATTTAATCTCCAAATGAAGGCAATAACAGGTCATACCTCCAGCAAATATGATGCAACTACACTGAATACCCTGAAAATGCATTAATCCCTTCCTCAGAAGTTGAGATATAATCCTTGAGTGATGTTTATTCTTCTCCATGACATTCTGTAACTTAAATGCTGGATGTAAAGTGAACAATACTTAAATACTATGATAATCGGTCAATACATCTTATGCTGCATGATAAGGGGTTAAGAAATTGAGTGTCATAGCTTGTTCATGTCAATACTGCCTCAGTATTCAGCTTGTCCTGTCTCTGACTTGTCGCCCTTGAGCTACATTTTTTGAGGCAGTCTCCACATTTTTCCCATTTTTGTGTTCTAGATACATAAGGCTCCATAACATAAACTGTTTGAACACCTTACTTCTGCTTTAAGCCTGGTGACCCTGATAATATATCCCCCTGTTTCTGCACTGAGCTTTTCCATTCCCTTCAAATTAATCAATCAACCCTTGTTGCAGGAAACCCACCTAGGTAATACCCTGGACCCCAATAAAGTCTTCAGCTTACAGATTCCTCTTTATCTCTCTTGCTTCCCACCCGCTAGTTGAGCATGTGGGTCCAAGACAGCCCCGCTTTTCCCACTGGCCCTGTGAGGCATGCTGCCCTCTTTGCTGAACTGAGTAATAAACTTATCTTTTGGCCATTTCAGTCTGAGTATTCCTCACTGTGCCACACGTGACTGTACCAAATCTAACTTAAATTATTTTAAAATTTGTAACAACTGGCCTCACTGTTGGTGAGGGACACCCTCGAAGTCCTTTTGACTGCTCTTGGCTGACAAACTGGCTGACCAGAGTGGCTATGACCATCTAGGAAGGCTCAATCACTTGCTGGCCTAGGACCACACTGCTGTGTGCTGCTGGGTGCTGCTTACGTAGAGTGCTAGCAAGACTCCTATCTTAAATTGTGGATTTGAAAATCAGAGTATATTTGGCCAGCTATGACCCAGAAAAATGGGAGGACCTCCTCCATCACTCCTGGGAGTAAATGGTTCTGAGTCACATTGGTTGCAGAGTAATGAAAGGTCCTTGCAAGCTAGCAAGATATTTTAGGGGACAGGTGGTGTACAGCTCCCACTGGCTTGAAGCTGTTAGGCAAGATATTGAGTTAGTGTTTGGAAATATATGGAGATGGGCCGGGCACAGTGGCTCAGGTCTGTAATCTCAGCACATTGGGAGGCCGGGACAGGTGGATTACCTGAGGCCAGGAGTTCGAGACCAGCCTGGACAACATGGCGAAAGCCTGTCTCTACTAAAAATACAAAAGTTAGCCAGGTGTGGTGGTGGGTGCTTGTAGTCCCAGCTGCTTAGGAAGCTGAGGCAGGACAATTGCGTGAACCTGGGAGGCGAAGGGTGCAGTGAGCTGAGATCGCACCACTGGACTCCAGCCTGGACGACAGAGTGAGACTTCATTTCAAAAAAAAAATACATATATATATATATGGAGAGGACAACTCCTTTACCCCCCATTCTGCTGTATCTGTGGATGGTATTGGGAACGATTTACAAAGGCCCTACTTAGAAAGAGGGGTGTCCCCACTAACTAGGGAGTCGTGATACCTCATAAAGGGTATGCTGTCGGGATCTGCCATCCCATTGCTGCTGCCTTTTCTGTTGCTATTGTTCTTTGCTCCCTAACTCTATGGGTTACTGAGGGTCTAACTCCTGATGCTCAGTGACCAATGACTTAACGACTCAGATTAAAGGGCTGGAATATCTCATTCCTATCCCTTGCAAGATCCCTGAGGAGATCAGCAAACTATTAAAGAAATTTAAGGCTGGGCGTGGTGGCTCATGCCTGTAATCCCAGCACTTTGGGAGGCCGAGGCGGGCGGATCACGAGGTCAGGAGATCGAGACCATCCTGGCTAACATGGTGAAACTCCGTCTCTACCAAAAATACAAAAAAATAGCCAGGCATCGTGGCGGGCGCCTGTAGTCCCAGCTACTTGGGAGGCTGAAGCAGGAGAATGGTGTGAACCCGGGAAGCGGAGCTTGCAGTGAGCTGAGATCGTGCCCCTGCACTCCAGCCAGGGTGACAGAGTGAGACTCCATCTCAAAAAATAAATAAATAAATGAATGAAAAAAGAAATTTAAAAATGCCCATCCAATGCACCTGGGCTCTGCTGGGGTCTGCAGCCAATCAACATGCTAAAGCCTTGGTCTCAGGCTCACAAGAGCTTGGGGCCTTGCCAGATGATCCTGCCACTGTTGCACTAGTGGGAACAAATCCAAACCCAAATGAGGTCAATTAGAATATCTGAGAGAGGCAGGTAGCTACCTACAAATAGAACCAATAAAAACCAAAAACCTTCCCAGAGGTCACTGGCAAGGTCAAACTTGAGGGTGAACAATAGAACCTAGAAGACAAGACCAGAAATTTTATCTAATTAGACGTTCAAATTATTCTTAAAGGTTTTAAGATGATGAGAATGTTATAAGTGGCAAGTATCAAACTCTCACAGCACCAAATATGTTACTGGCAGAAGATAACCAAGTCACCAGTGGGGAATCCCTATAGGTCTGCAGCAACCTCAATTCTTGCCTCCTCAGAAGAAAGAATTCGACTGAGGGGCATAAGGCAGAAAAAGAGACCGAGGCAAGTTTTAGAGCAGGAGTGGAAGTTTATTTAAAAAGGCTTTAGAACAGGAAAGAAAGGAAAGTATCCTTGGAAGAAACCCAGGCAGGCATGTGAAAGTCAAGTGCCGTGTTTAACCTTGATCCTAGGACTTTTTAGGCTGGCCCCTTTCCCATGATTCTTCCCTTAGGGTGGGCTGCCCGCATGCGCAGTGCCCTCCTTACGCTTGGGAGATGAGCACGCATAGTGTGTTTAGGAAGTTGTATGAATGCCCATCTGAGATTTCTTCCCTTTTCTGGTGAAGTGCCCCCAGAAGGTCATACTCCTGCCATTTTATCTCTTAGTGCGCATGCCCAGGCTCACTCGCCCAATACCTGAGATTTTATTGGAAGCCTCTTTTGCCTCTCCCTGGCACCTGCATTCAATTAACACTTTAATGCAACAGGTGTGGACCATCAGGATATGACCTTGCCCTGGTGCCTGCTGCCAGATTATCACTTTTAGAGAGGCAATGTGATAATTGCCTTACCATCACCTGACATTCCTAGTGGATGGGGGAGAGCCCTATCCTGCCCCACTCATGCCCGTCTGCCTACTGTAACAAGAACGTAGTGCTATTCGTATAACTTTATATTGACTGCCTCAGCATCCATTCTGAATGTGTTCAACTTTCTCATACCGCAAATGGAGCTCAGTCAACCTTAACACAGTTTCCAGTTCCCTGCGTCTTCCCCATTCCTCAGTTCAGTTAGTCCAGATATCGGCATTGTACAGCCTCCCTATGGGATAGCTACATACAACCTACTTGATTGGTCCCACTGACCTCCACACCCCATGTGGAATGCTTAGATATGCCACAGCGACTACCTCTCAGTCATGGCGTGACTTCCTGGAA
The DNA here is from genome assembly GCF_000001405.40 of Homo sapiens. NCBI lineage: Eukaryota > Metazoa > Chordata > Mammalia > Primates > Hominidae > Homo > Homo sapiens. The sequence goes on from NW_021160017.1 coordinate 4,550,329, forward strand.
CTCGAGCCTACTTGCTCTACATCTACCAGTTAAAACTTCCCACAGGAAGCCTGCCTGGGTAATGCCTTGGATCTCAATAAGCATTTTGGTTTTCAGGCCCTTTGCTCATTCCCTCTTGCTTCTCGCACAAGCGTGCATGTCCCAGATGCCCCCACCCTTCCCATCGGCACTCAGACACGAGCTGCCCTCTTCTCAATGGGACCTGTAAGGAATTTGCTGCTTCTGGTATTTCATGTGTTTTGCTGTGCTGCCTCCTCTGTGTCTTACCTGACTCACACACCCAAACCTGACTCTCCTTCTGGTCAGGGATCTCCCAGAGAGCGGCTATCTTGGTAGGAATAGAGTGGACACAGTCAGGAGCCTCCACAGCATTTGCCAGGACAAACAAGGTTCAGGTGAGAGGGACAGCTGGTCACTTGTCAGATTTTTAGGGATTCGGCTGTCCACCAACATAAAGAGGTATTCCATAAAGGAATATCGTCAACATCCACGACCACCTCCCCTGGAACCCCAGCAGGATATGGCTAAAGTTTATAGCCACTCTCCAGACAGAGAGAGAGACCTCAAGATGAAATTAGAGAAAAATCACAATACAAGAGGGAGCAGGTTTATTGTTACATACGTTTAATATAGGGTCAAGTTACTACTAAGGGATACTGCGGTGAGGCATATCCTCAAAATTAGGCATAACCAAAGACTTCCAAACCTGTAACTTATTAAAGGGTCCCATATATTATGAACCAAATTCTGACATGATTATCATGGCCCTCCAAGGGGTCAAACTAAATCTAGAGAAGCTGAACTCCCAAAATAGAAGGGAGGGTTATAGAATACTCATATGATGAGTACTGACCTTCAACCCAAAGAGAAGAGGAGGAATGAGCACGGCCCTTGCTTACTTGGGCTTTTAAGCCTGGAAGAGGCTCATCCCCTAATAGCAGACATTGCTGCTGAAGCACAGGGACAGTGGGAAACCACCAAGGACACTTGGTCCCTTTGAGGTAAAACTGGCATATGGTTTAGTGTGTATGTCATTTCTCTGAACACCCCAAATAAAAATGATAATGAATATATTTCTAACTCGGAGGAGGCCCCTTTTGACCCCAAGTCAAGAAAATACTTTTTTTCCCAAGAGGTATTGTCCAGCTACCATAAACAGTCCTCAGTTTGGTGAGGGCAGCTTACACTATCTATGAGGCATGGATGGAATTGATTTGCTGGCTGGCCATGAGGAAAGCATAAGTCCCAATTCTCAAATATTAGTGTACTCTCAGCTGGGTGCGGTGTAATCCCAGCACTTTGGGAGGCCGAGGCAGGTGGATCACCTGAGGTCAGGAGTTCAAGGCCAACCTGGCCAACATGGCAAAGCCCCGTCTCTACTAAAAAAAAAAAAAAAAAAAAAAAAAAAAAAATAGCCAGGTGTGGTGGCATGTGCCTGTAATCCCAGCTACTCTGGAGACTGAGGCAGGAGAATTGTTTGAACCTGGGAGGCGGAAGTTGCAGTGAGCTGAAATCGCACCACTGTACTCCAGCCTGGGCAACAGACTGGGGACTCTGTCTAAAAATAAATAAATAAATTAATTAATTAATAATAATAAAATACTAGTATATTCTCAAATAATAGTATGATAATAAGGGAGACTTGCCTTTTTATAGGAGGCCTGGACAAACCACACCAGTGCCACCGCCACAATCACCTCAACCACGGCACAGCCCATGAGCACCCCCCGAGCTCCTAATCACCCCTTACATTGGCAATTAAGGGAGACAGAGTGCCAAGCTATGTAATTTCAGGACAACTAGCATCCAGACTTCAACTAAAGATGCTCTAATAAGCCGGGCACGGTGGCTTACTTCTGTAATCCCAGCACTTTGGGAGGCCGAGGTGGGTGGATCACAAGGTCAGGAGATTGAGACCATTCTGGCTAACACGGTGAAACCCCGTCTCTACTAAAAATACAAAAAATTATCCAGGCGCGGTGGCAGGCGCCTGTGGTCCCAGCTTCTAGGGAGGCTGAGGCAGGAGAATGGCGTGAACCCGGGAGGTGGAGCTTGCAGTGAGCGGAGATTGCACCACTGCACTCCAGCCTGGGCGACAGAGCGAGACTCCGTCTCAAAAAAAAAAAAAAAAAACAATGCTCTAATACAATTACAGGCACAATTTCAACCTAGTCAGTTTGAAAAAATCTGCACAAAAGCCCTCTGCTGTTCAAGACAATAGCCTTACTCAGGCTGTGCCATTCCTGACTTGCACAAGGAGAGCCCTCTCGACCTCTATCATAGGGGTCTGTTGCCTCTGCAGGTCTTGGCCCACCACCCACAGACAATTGCCCTCTGGGGGTTCACTGGAATGGGAAAAACTCACAGACCTTTCTGACGTTATTAGATACAGGTGCCCAATTCACAGTACTTCTGAAAAATCCTAATAATTATAATGAAGGAACACCCTGTGACTTATAGGGGATTGCCAGCAAAACAATCTCTGGTAACAGGTGACCTTTGATGTAAGCATTGGCTCTATTTTTATTAAACAATTCCCAGTGGCCGCGGCCCCACTGGCTGTCACTTTCTCCACCGTGGGAATGGATACATGTTAGAGTCAAGTTAAATCCTTAGTGCTACTGGTGGGAGAAATGGGAACCAGTGCACTGCCCCATCCCAATAGAGATGGCACATAATCCCAATATCAAATAAAACAGGGTACTGAGGGCTACGTGATTACTGTCATTACCGACCTCCTCAAGGGGGGTGTCATTGTTCCTGCAAATTTCACCATTTAGTGGCCCCCTCTGGCCTGTACTCGAGGCCTCTATAAGCAAATAGAGATTAGCCATAGGCTGCCACAATTTAAGCAGTCAGGTCCATCCAATAAAGGTTTTAACTGTAAACATTGCAACTGATAATACCGGTGCCCTTTTTCACAGCCAATGACTTGGCCAACATGTTTTACTCAGTCCTATAGTAAAGAATCCTCAGAGCCAGGTTGCATTTTTTTTTTTTTTTTTTTTTTTTTGAGACGGGGTCTCGCTCTATCGCCCAGGCTGGAGTGCAGTGGCGCGATCTCGGCTCGCTGCAAACTCCGCCTTCCGGGTTCACGCCATTCTCCTGCCTCAGCCTCCTGAGTAGCTGGGACGACAGGCGCCCACCACCGCGCCCGGCTAATTTTTTGTATTTTTAGTAGAGACGGGTTTCACCGTGTTAGCCAGGATGGGTCTCGATCTCCTGACCTCATGATCTGCCCACCTCGACCTCCCAAAGTGCTGGAATTACAGGCGTGAGCCACCGTGCCTGTCTGCTTTCACTTTCAAAGATGCCCAATATATGTAAGTTCACATGGTTACCTCTGGGATATTTAAATTGTCCTGCCTTTGCTCGTAATCTGTGCGAACAGGATTTACAGAGACACTTTTTTTCATCTCCATTGCTGAAATGGCATTGATGTTATATTACTAATGGGAGTCTCCCAGGAGACAGTATGAACAGACCTTACTACTCTCAGAAGGTAGGGGGATGGGTCATAGCTACCCATAAAAGACAAGGGTTTTTGACCACTGTTACATTCTTGTGGATCATGTGGTCTCCAATGGTCAAGGCATTCCCATGACAGTGAAGCACCACATTCTCACAGGATACATCCCCAGGGGACTCAAACACACTCAACATCTCCTGGGGCTTTTCCTGTCCTAAAGGACATGCCCTCACCTGTCACTTATACTTAAGCCTACATCTTCTATTTAAGTCTCTTCTACTTAAGCCTATCTATGCCATTACACGAAAGCCCACTTCCTTCCACTGGGAGGGACCCCAACAGGCAGATTTACAATGAACACAACAGGCTTTACCATCTGTTCTCCAGGATCAGCCTTCTGGATCCAGTCCTTGACCACCTTAGAGTATCTATCATAGAGTCTCTACACTAAACATGATTATAACTGGCTGCTCAGGAACTTTTGAACCAAGAAGCTAAAATCAGTCACTAACCACTGTGCAGCTTTAGAACACCAGACTCTGTGGAGACTGAGGTGCTCGCACAGCCTGTGAGGCTGCAAAAACAAATTCCCTTTCTGCCTTTGGTGCAGATGTTTTCCAACAGTGGCTTGGCACAACCATTGACTCCTCCTTGTTAAAATAAAAATGGTACCTGCAAGAAAGGACAAAACCTGACATTAAAGGAATTTCCAAATTACAGGAGAATGTAGCTTCCCCCACACTCAGCCCTATGCCTACTACAGTTGGGGAATGGGGGATGACAACTCCATTGCTTCCTCCTTTTGCCAAGTGGGGTGTCCCTTGGGACCAGTGGTCTGACATGGAAAGAGAGTCTGTGTACAATCATGCACTGCATGACATTTAGGCCAACAACAGACTGTATATACAACGGGGGTCCCATAAGACTAATGGAGCATACATAGAAAGCCATCTAGGTTCCTGTAAGTACACTCTAAGATTTTCAAATAATGATGAAATCACCTAACAACCCATTTCTCAGAACATATCCCCGTGGTTAAGTTATACATGCCTACATGTCAACGGCACTGCCACCATTGTACACAACACAGACTGTTAATGGGCAGCAGCAAACCACCCAGCTGTAAACACCCACTACTAGAGGATGGCATCAGCATCCTTGGATCCACCCAATCAAAAGAACTTGTTGCAGTTCCCTTGGCTACAAGACATGCCCAAAAGTGGGGACTAGCAGAGTTTTACATCTTTACTGACTCACAAACTGTGGCCAACTACTTGGTTATCTAGATGGGACAGTGAACATTAAATAACCTTATTATACAAAATAAACCTCACTGGAGCACCTGCCATCTGGAAGGAAATGGCCACCATCACATATCTCCATTTCATCTCACATGTGTGGGCCCAAACCAATGCCACTAACCCATAGCTCATTTCAAAAATATTGCAGACATGCTTACAAAGCAGCAAGTCTGTAGCATCTTTCCAGACATTCTTTATCTTCCAGCAGAATGGGCACGTGCTAAGTTGGGACACCAAGGTATCTCTACACTGGACTGGACCTATCACTGGGGCATTCCATTAACTCCTTATTTAGCTAAAATGGTCACTTACAACTGCACCATGTATGCCAACACTAAGCTTTGGGCATTTTCCAGCTGGGACTGCATTCCTGGAGTGGATTGACCTTATTCACACTGGCACATTCACCACATTGGTCCACTTCCTCCCAGCAACGTAGCCACAAAGAATGCTCTCACTGTGATTGACGAGTTCACAGATTACTCTTAGCCCATCCCAGCAGACATACTGCTGCTTCCACAACCATGGCCAGACTCACCAATTCCATCTTATTGCATTTGGGTGCCTACAGGTCCTTGACTCAAACCAGGGCATTCATCTTTCAGCACTTGCTGTTCAACAATGGGCCAAAAACCAAGGCATACAGTAGAACTTTCACTTAGCCTACAGACCTCATGCACTAGTCCTAACTGAAAGACATAATGGCCTTTTCAAAGACCTATTACTCAAATTACAGTGAGTTTTTGAACTCTCAATGGGTGGCCACATTTATACAAGCTCTCATTCTCCTTAACTCTTGGACTACAGGTTTCCACGTCATGCACCAAGTACTTCAAACTCTTTCCCATGGCTCTGATATTATCAGGAGACTCCCCTCGCTCACTTCATTGTGGTAGAGGACTGCATCCACATTCATTCCTCAATAAAACTCATCACACACTTTTAATTTTTCAATCATCTGCCAAATTTCCTACATTGATGGACTAATTGTGGGTTGATAACAAAGTCTGACTCCCAACAGTTGAAAGAAAAACTGTATGTCCCTCATGCTTGCTGCTTGACCATTCATACCCAGAACCAGCTAGATCTAAGCCTGAGGCTTTACTCAAGTTTTAAGGATCTGAAATCTAGTTAATAAATCTAAGTTCCTTCTATGCCTCACAGAAAGAGATCACCGTTCCTGGTCCCAGCAGCAGCATGGTCTGGTCACAACTTTGGAGGCAAAAAAATTACATCTAGTGAATGCCAGTCATTTTAGAAAATGACTACCATTTGACCTATCGTGTTGGCCTGTGATCAGTACAAGGCCCAACACTCCATATGGGAAGCACCTATGATCAAACAGGCCCTGGACATATGTCTAAAGCAATCCACTGGGAGGATGTACAGATGCTTGCAGTCATAATTCAAGTTTCTCCTCCCAAACAAAAGCCAGGGAGACTTCTCCATTGCCTGTGTTCAGCTTGGTTTTGTGTCTTAGTCTTGTTTGCTGCATGGGTGCTGGGGTTACTCACCTACCCTCAGGGCTTGCTCCTGAGTACCATGGGACATGCCAGCAACATACTTTTTGCAAACAGCTGAACCACTGGGTGACAAAACAGAATGTTGGAGACCCCTCCTCATTTTTTTCCAGCCAGCTTGCCACCACACCTGGCTAAGGTATCTGCCTTCTATAGCACATGGAACAGATGTTCAATCATGCATGATTCCATTCCATCACATAACCTACAAGCCATTCTTCTAAAAATGAGAATGGCCTTCCGAATATAATCAAATTAAACTTTCTTAGCTAAACACTGTTCAAACATCCCAGCCTGGAACGAACATCCCAGCTCATTCAAACAGCAGCCATCGGACAAAATCTTTGACTGCTGAGAGGGACTCCAGAAGATTGCCCTTCAATTGGCATCAAATTGTGGCCAAAGTGTTTATCTACTGTAGATGGATGCTACAGGCTCATCTAGGCTGAAGGCAGTAAAGAACTTTGTGCTCTGATAATAAGCTTCTGGAGGTGACAGAGATCTGTAGTCCTAGCAGCCACCATGACGCCCACACAGCTATTCTTACCCGAGCCTCCAAATTATATAAGACCTCTGGACCACCATATCAGATAGACACTTATCCTTCATGGATTTCCACTTGGGAGGGATTGTCTTCTCCAGGGTGACATGCATCTACAAAGATGACACTGGCTGAGATGACAGTGCCCCAATCAGAGACACCATCAAAACTGGGCACTCTGGCTAAGTCAAGTTGACACACTAACTTAGCTATCACAGTGATGGACGTATAGTGAGATCTCAACCATGACCCTGCCTTTGGCCTTTGAGATGCTCAAACTCCATCTTAGGGACTGAATTTGTTAAACAACTAGAGAATAGGCCAGGTGTTATGTTCTCTGAGACTCTGTAATAATAAAAAAGCAGAATAAAAATGCTTCAGAAAAATCAGGGCAACATAGCAGGCTTGGGAAGTTGGGGAAAATCTCTTAAAGAAGGGGCGTATAGGCTGAGCCTGGACAGTTTTCAGGTTCTCCCCAGCTACAGTCCTCATCACTGGAAGTGTCATAATTTCTTTTACAAATATGTGTATGTTTATATGTGTGTGTGTAAATGGTACATAAAATATGTATAATATAAAATATAACAGTACCATTTACACGCACATATATACATGTACTATATTTACATGCATACATACATACATTAGTCTAGGTACATGGTATAATTATATTTTATATTATTCCAATATATTTAATATTACATATTCTAAATAAATCAAAGTTTTCTATATAAATACTAATACGTTATTTATATAGTATGTATGTATGTATGTGTAAATCATACCAGAAAAGTGGGATAAATTATAAAAGTATTTTTGGTGGCATCAGAGAGTTTTGGAAGCAACAAAAACTGTAAGAGTTAAAATTCTGAAGACAAAAACAACTTGCGAAGATGTATTAATGATATACTGTTGCTCTTTTTTCAGAGATATTTGTTGAGTGATGTTTCAGGCTGGAAGCGGTGAGCCACTGACAGGGATCAGAGAATTCCCCACAGAATTTGGCAGTCACATGCATGGATTTAGAAAGACAAAGTTGGAAATGAATTGTTGCAGCTAATTTCTCCCTCAAGACATTGTCTACATTCTGAAGCTAGATCTGGTGGCAGAGGAGACTAAGGAGCTCAGTATTTCCACATAGTAACAACAAACATTCTAAAAAGAAACAAGAGAACAATCTTACTTACAACAGCTTCAAAAAATAAAATATTTAGAAATAAGTTTAACCAAGAAGGTGAAAGACCTGTACACTGAAAAATGTTAATAACAAAAATTATAGAAGACACAAATAAATTGGAAGATATTCTGTGTTCATAGATTGGAAGAATAATGTTGCTAAAATGTCCATACTACCCCAAATGACTTATAGACTCAAAGCAATTTCTAACAAAATTGTAATGTAATTATTCATAGTAACAGAAAAAAATATAAAATTAATGTGGAACCACAACAAACTCTGAATAGCCAAAGGAATCATGAGTAAGAAGATGAAAGCTGGAGGCACCAACCACATGCATGATTTAAAACTACACTACAAAGCAATAGTAATTAAAACAGTGTGATACTGGCATGAAAATAGACTCGTTGGCTGGGTGCAGTGGCTCACGCCTGTAATCCCAGCACGTTGGGAGTCTGAGGCAGGAAGATCATGAGGTTAGGAGTTTGAGACCAGCCTGACCAACATGGTGAAAGCCCGTCTCTACAAAAAATACAAAAATTAGCCAGGCATGGTGGCACATGCCGGTAATCCCAGCTACTCAGGCAACTGAGGCAGGAGAATTGCTTGAACCCGGGAGGCAGAGGCTGCAGTGAGCCTAGATTACACCACTGCACTCCCGCCTGGGTGACAGAGCAAGACTCTATCTCAAAAAAAGAAAGAAAGAAAAGAAAAAGAAAATAGACTCATCAACCAATAGAATAGAAGATAAAACCCAGAAAAGAATACATGCATATGTAGTCAATAAATTTTTAACAAAGGTGCCAAGTATACATATTGGAAAAGGGACAGTCTCTTCAATAAGTGGTGTTGGGAAAAGTGCATATTCACATTCATAAGAATGTTGGATCCTTATCTCACACCCTGTACAAAAATAAACTCAAATTGGATTAAATACTTAAGCATAAGACCTGAAATTCTAAAACTACTAAGAGAAAACATAAGGGAAAAGCTACACAACATTGGTCTGGGCAATGAGTTTTTGGATTTGACCCCAAAATCACAGGCAACAAAAGCAAAAATAGACAAATGTCATTACATCAAAATAAAAAGATTTTGCAAAACAAAGGAAACAATTAATAGAGTAAAAAAACTACCTATTGTTTGGGAGAAAATACTTGAAAGCCATACATCTGATAAGGGGTTAATATCCAAAATATATAAGGAACTCAGCTCTACAGAAAAACAAACAAATAACCCTATTAAAAATAGAGAAATTACTTAAATAGACATTTCTCAAGAGAAGACATAAAAATGATCAACAGATATATGAAGAAGTGTTTGACACCACTAATCATCAGAAATGCAAATAAAATCTGCAATGAAATATCACCTCACACGTGTTAAAATGGTTATTGTCAAAACAATGAACAATTCGTGTTGGGGAGGGTGTCGAGGAAAGGGAACCTGTATGCACTGCTGGTGGGAATGAAAGTTAGAACAGCCATTATGGAAAAATAAACTAAAAATAGAATTATCATATGATCCGGCAATCTCACTTCTGGATATATACCCCCACAATTTAAAATCAGTGTGTTAAAGAGGTATGTGCACTTCCATGTTTGTTGCAGCACTATTTCCCAAAGCCAAGTTATGAAATCAACCTAAGGGTCCATCATCAGATGAATGAATAAAGAAAATGTGGGGAAAAAAGAAAACGTGGTATATATACCCAATAGAACATTATTAAACCTTAAGAAAGAAATTCTGTCATTTGTGACAACATAGACGGAATTGGAGAACATTATACTAAATGAAATAAGCCAAGAAGAAAGACAAATACTGTGTTACCTCACTCATATATGGAATATAAAACAATCAAAGAAGTAGAGAGAAGAATGGTGGTTACCAGAGGATGAAGGGATAGAGTTAGTAGGGAGATAACGGTCAAAGGGTATCAAGCCTCATTTAGATTGGACAAGTAAGTTTTATTTTCTTTGGAATGTATTGCACAGCATGGTGAATACAGCCAATGAAAATGTAGAGTACACTTCAAAACCGTTGAGAGTCAATTTCAAATGTTCTCACCACAAAAAACGGGTATGTGGGCTGATACACACGTTATTAAGTTTCATTTAATTATTTCACATTGTATTTAAGCATCATAACATTCCTTTGTATTCCATAAATATATATAATTTGTCAATTTACTGTTGAACAATAAAAATAAATCTTTACAACAACAAGAACAATAAAAAGTGAACACAGGGTGACTTATTTTCACCAGACAGATGAGGAAAGCTTCCCTGAGCAGATCACTTCAGATCTCAAGGCTATGAAGGCATTAGCCAGGATAACAGCAGCATGTGAAAAGTGTCTGTGACTGAAGGACGCATGGTGTTTTTGGGGAACCACCGTAAGGTGAGACAGCTGGTGCACAGAGAGAGGGTGAAAGGTGATCATGGTGGAAATGATGCCACCACGATGATGAGCGAGGATGATTCTTATAACTGACATCTCATAATGGAATGGAAACTTTACAGGAAACAGATGGAGGCTGGAAGTAAATATATGTACATACACACAAATAGGCCAAACGAGAACTGCTATGGTCAGAATCTTTGTGTTTTCCCAAAATTGATTTGTTGAAACCTAACCCCAAGGTGATGGTACTAGAAGGTGAGGGGCTTTTTGCTGGTGATTAGATCATGAGGGTGGAGCCTCATTAATGGGATTAGTGCCCTTATAAAAGGAACCTTGGAGAGCTCTTTCACCCTTTCCTCCATGTGAGGACACAGCGTAAAAACAGCCATTGGTGAACCAGGAAGCAGGCCCTCAGCAGACACCAAATCTGCCAGCACCTTGACCCTGGATTTCCCAGCCTACAAATCTATGAGAACTAAATGTCTGTTGCTTATAAGCCACCCAGTCTATGGTATTCTGTTATAGCAGCCTGAATGGATTAAGACAAGAGCTAAAGGAGATCCCATAGAGCAAAATAAATAACTTTCAGGAACTTTATAAAGCATTACTTATACCTAAATATCAGCAGATTGATTAGAGGGAAGGGTTCACAGACTTCAGTGATACCCACACCACAGGTTGAGGACACAGACACACTGTAAAAATTTGTATTTAATGCCATTCCTTGCACTGGTCTATTAGTTCCCAACCCTTCTTGCATATCCAGTGGTAGCCTTCAGTAATTCTCCCCTCTCTCTATATATTATTAATGTATCACACTTAATTAAAATATTCTCATGAACATAAAACTGTGCTGGAATTTCTTTTTTTAATTTTTACTTTAAGTTCTGGGGTACATGTACATAGCGTGCAGGTTTGTTACCTAGGTATACCTGTGCCATGGTGGTTTGTTGCACCTATCAACCCGTTATCTAGGTTTTAAGCCCTGCATGCATTAGGTATTTGTCCTAATGCTCTCCCTCCCCTTGTCCCCCACCCCCCGACAGGCCCTGGTGTGTGATGTTCCCTTCCCTGTGTCCATGTGTTCTTACTGTTCAACTCCCACTTATGAGTGAGAACATGCGGTGTTTGGTTTTCTGTTCCTGTGTTAGTTTGCTGAGAATGATGGTTTCCGCGTCCCTGCAAAGGATATAAACTTATTCTTTTTTTTTTTTTTTTTTTTGAGACAGAGTCTTGCTCTGTTGCCCAGGCTGGAGTATAGTGGCATGATCTCGGCTCACTGCGACGTCCGCCTCCTGGGTTCAGGCGATTCTTTTGCCTCAGCCTACTGAGTAGCTGGGACTACAGGCACAGACCACCACACCCAGCTAATTTTTGTATTTTTAGTAAAGACGGGGTTTCACCATATTGACCAGGCTGGTCTGGAACTCCTGACCTCGTGATCCACCCACCTCAGCCTCCCAAAGTGCTGGGATTACAGGCGTGAGCCACTGTGCTCGGTGAAATTCTTTTTTATGGCTGCATAGTATTCCATAGTGTATATGTGGTATATGTGCCACATTTTCTTTATCCAGTCTATCATTCATGGGCATTTAGGTTGGTTCCAATTCTTTGCTATTGTAAATAGTGCTTGTGCTGGTATTTCTTATCTCAACAGTAAAAACCTTTTAACCATAGTTCTATTATCAGCCATTGCCCCATATCTTTGATTCTCTTTAAAGTGAAACTCTCCAAAACATTGTGTATACTCACTATCTCCAATTCAGCTTTCTGTTCTCTCTCTCTTTTTTTTTTTTTTTTTGAGATGGAGTCTCACTCTGTCACTCAGGCTGGAGTGCAGTGGCACCATCTCAGCTCACTGCAAGCTCCGCCTCCGGGGTTCATGCCATTCTCCTGCCTCAGCCTCCCGAGTAGCTGGGACTACAAGCGCCCACCAACACGTCCAGCTAATTTTTTTTTTTTTTTATTTTTAGTAGAGACGGGGTTTCACTGTGTTAGCCAGGATGGTCTCGATCTCCTGACCACTTGATCCACCCACCTCAGCTTCCCAAAGTGCTGGGATTACAGGCGTGAGCCACCGCACCCAGACTCTGTCCTCTCTTAAAGCCACTCCACTCTGGCTTTCACCACTCACCTCTATTGGAGCTTCCCTTACTAAGTTCATGGATGATCTCCATGTTGCTGAATCCAATGGTCCATTCTCAGTCTTCATCTTGCTTTGCTACCCACAGTATGTGACACATCTGATGGTGTCTTCTTCAATGACATACCTCTTCCTTTGGCTTCTAGAAACCCCTCATCCCCTCGGTGCTTCTCTTACCTCTGGTTCCTCCTTCCTCCTTTTTTGTAGATATCTCCTCTGTAAGTTAACTTCCTAATGAAAAGTGCATCCAGGGTTTCATCCCTGTTGCTCTGCTCTACCGACAGTCACTCCCTCGATGACCTCATCAAGTTATATGGCTTTAAATAACATCTATATGTTGATGATACCAACATTTATATCTCTAGTACAAACCTTCCTCCTAAGTTCCTAAGTTTCACTTATATGCCCAACTGTCCATTCAGCATCTCTATTAACATGTCTAATGGATGTCTGATACCTTTAAAAGTCCGAAGAAGAACACTTTGTGCCCCATGAGTCCCTCAAAAACTGTTCCATCAGCAATAACTTTCCGCATCTCAATTGGTGGCAACTCCATCTTTCCAATTGCTCAGACCCTTGCATTTGTCATAAGGTGATTTATTTTTGTGTGCATAATCTATGGAGGCTGGTAGGAAATTTTGCAGGCTCTACATTATATATACATATACATATATATCTAAACACACATATATAATATATATATAGCCACTTTCTCAAAACCTTCATTCCTGTCACTCTGGTAAAAAGCCACCATCATTTCTAGCCTACATCATTGCAGTAGTTTTAAAGAAATTTCCCGGCTGGGCGCGGTGGCTTACACCTGTAATCCCAGCACTTTGGAAGGCTGAGACGGGCGGATCACGAGGTCATGAGATCGAGACCATCCTGGCTAACACGGTGAAACCCCGTCTCTACTAAAAATACAAAAAAAATTAGCCGGGCTTGGTGGCGGGATCCTGTAGTCCCAGCTACTCCGGAGGCTGAAGCAGGAGAATGGCGTGAACCCGGGAGGCGGAGCTTGCAGTGAACCAAAATCGCGCCACTTTACTCCAGCCTGGGCGACAGAGCCAGACTCTGTCTCAAAAAAAAAAAAAAAAAAAGAAAGAAAGAAAGAAAGAAATTTCCCTGCTTCCACTATCGTGCTGTTACAGTCTATCATCAGTGGGGCAAGCATAGCGATTATTTCAAAACCCAAGTCTTACGACTCCTCTGGTCAAACCTTCCAACAGCTCTCAATCTCAAAGCTAAAATCCTTGCAATGCTTTATTACCACATACTGACCTCATCTCCTACCACCTCTTCCTCTTTAAAAGCACTTCAGTCACGATGGCCTTCTGTTGTTCTTTGAACACCGGACATTCTTCAGCCTTCGGGCGTGTACACTGGCTTTCCCTCTGCACGGTGCATATTGTTAATGACCTCACCATCCTGGGGTCGTTGTTGAAATGATTTGATCTCATTCAAGCCTTCCCTGGCCGTTCCACATAAAATTGCAGCTCTTCCTGGAAACTTTGATCTACTTTGCCTTGATCTAGCTTTTTCTTTTTCTATAGTGCATTATTACTTTCTAAAGTATTATATAATTTATAGGTTTATCTATATTGCTAATTTTTTGGCTTTTCTAATAGAATGTAAGCTCCATGCAGGTACTACTTTTTATGTTTTGATCATTTTATATATCAAATCTCCCGGAGTCGTTCCCAGAACACAGCATAAAATATATAAATATTTACTTAATAAATGAGTACTTGAATGAATGAGTTGTGTGGCACTGCATTTTGAAGAGAATCAAGGAGAATAAAGCCCTCTTCTATGGCCCCTAACCCTTGCTTTCCTGAAATAGTTCTCAGTTATTTCAAAGAATCTTAACAAAGATCTTGCCTGGAAATTGTAGGAAGTTCTTAATTTTAGCAGACTTGAAAGAACACAAAAATGCAGTAGAATTTTAGAAACTCTAGGCAATAACTGTTTTTTTTGTTTGTTTGTTTTTTAAGATGGAGTCTCTCTCTGTTGCTCAGGCTGGAGTGCAGAGGCGCGATCTCCGCTCACTGCAACCTCCGCCTCCCGGGTTCACGCCCCTCTCCTGCATCCACCTCCCGAGTAGCTGGGACTACAGGCGCCCGCCACCACACCTGGTTAAATTTTTGTATTTTTAGTGGAGACGGGGTTTCACCATGTTAACCAGGATGGTCTCAATCTCCTGACCTCGTGATCCCTCCGCATCACCTCCCAAAGTGCTGGGATTACGGGTGTGAACCACTGCGCCCGGCTGGCTATAACTTTTAAAATCATCATAGTGAGGTAGCTATTGTCAGATTAATTTTATTTATGACATAATTGTGAATAAGTTTAAGTCTCCAATAAAGAAAATGTGGTACATATACACCATGGAATACTACACAGCTATAAAAAAGAACAAGATCATGACTATTGCAGGAATATGGATGGAGTTGGAGGCCACCATCCTTTGCGAACTAATGCAGAAACAGAAAGCCAAGTACCACATGTTCTCACTTATAAGTAAGAGCTAAATTATGAGGACACATGGACAGAAAGAGGGGAACAGCAGAGACTGGGGCCTACTTGAGGGGGGAAGGTGACAGGAGGGAGGGGATCAGAAAAAATAACTTTTGGGCAGGGCACGGTGGCTCACGCTTGTAATCCCAGCACTTTGGGAGGCCTAGGTGGGCGGATCACGAGGTCAGGAAATCGAGACCATCCTGGCTAACATGGTGAAACCCCGTCTCTACTAAAAATACAAAAAATTAACCAGGTGTGGTGGTAGACGCCTGTAGTCCCAGCTACTCGGGAGGCTGAGGCAGGAGAATGGCCTGAACCCGGGAGGCAGAGTTTGCAGTGAGGTGAGATCGCGCCGCTGCACTCCAGCCTGGGTGACAGAGGGAGACTCCATCTCAAAAAATAAATAAACAAAAATAAATAAATAAATAAATAACTTTTGGACACTAGGCTTAGTACCTGGACTATGAAATAATCTGTACAACAAACGCTTGTGACATGAGCTTATCTATATAACAAACCTGCACATATATTAATAACCCTGGACCTAAAATTAAAACAAAAAATTAAGTGAAAAAAAAGTCTCCAATGCTACAATGTCACTGATGAGTGGTAGAGCAAGATTCAAGCAGGTGACCTCTATATTTACTCCAAGTGCCTATGTGAACAGAGACACACCCTCACACAAAAACACATGTACACAGAAACACACACTCACTTACGTGTACACACTGACACAGAAACACTTGCATACACAAACACAAATACAAAAACACACCACATAGAAACACATTCACATACAAACACACAGATACCCTTTCACACAGACACACAGACACACGAACACTCAAACATACACTCACATACATACACACAAACACAAAAGCACACCACACACAAAAACATTCACACGCAAACACACCAATCCATGCAGTGTACATGCAGATAACACCCTTTCACACCGTCACCCAGTCACATACACCAACACACTAACACACATTCACACACAAACACAAACTAACACACAAACAAGTGCACACTTTTACCCAGAAACACACACATTAGTACATGTGCACTTACACACACATAGTCACACACAGTTACACACAATCACATAAACATAAATACACTTTGGCACACGTGTACACTCACACAAAACACTATTTCACACACAGACAAAAATTCACAGCCACACACATTCATACAAAACACGAACACACACACAGAAACATAGACACACACAGGACCACAAAGTGCTCACACTTTCACACACAACACATATTAACATGAATACATACACACACAAAAGCATAATCACACACATAGTTACATACTTTCACACACTCACACACATATACATACTCATGTACACACAAACACACACAAAATACACATTCACTGTACATATGAAAAACACCCTTTCAGAGACACACCAGAAGTCACACAGTCACACAAACACATAAGCCACAACTCACAAACACAAAACACTGAAACACACAAGAACACATACAAGTGCACACAGTTTCACATACAAACACATTAACATGTGTACATACACAGTTATACACACTCACACGTGTACACAGATACACAGTCACAAGTCACACACACTTAAATACACACCAACAAACACAAACACACATATTGACACATGCATACACACAAACGCACAAATTTAAACCTATACACACAAACATGTGTGAACACACTTGCACACAAGCGAACACAATTTTACACACACAAACACAAACACATACAAACACACACATTCTTTTTCACACACACGCACTCACTTCTGCTTGTCTTCCATCTATTTCCCTCGATTACCCTCTACCAGTCCCCTATTTAGAATTAATTTCTAGACCCTCGCTTCCATTTCTTCATGTTTTCTTTTTCTTATATCACTCTTATCAAATTCCCCTTCTAGTACCTTATTTCTGCTAAACCCGATTCATGACTTTCTATCACCATCTAAATCTGTGTGCAGTGCTTGATTGTCTCTCTGCCTGGATTCCTTACCATCACGTTTTCCCAGTGCCTCTGTGGTTCTTTTGAATCTTGTTTTCGAATTTTCTCTGTTGTAGGTCTTTCTTCCACTGCCTGCCTGGACTGGGATGCTTTCTAGAGTCCTCATCCTTGGCTTGTTTCTTGTCCATCTACTCAGCCTTCAGCGTCTCAGTCCCATGCAGGGTTTCATCCACTGTCTGTGCTGACTCCCATATTTTTCTATCCACTCACATTTGGAGCTAAATCCACAACCATATGTATGAATGCTTTCTGGAACACCTAAAATACTGTCCGGAATGAAGCAATAAACAAACAAATAACAACAACAAAAGACAACCACATCTACCTGTGTGACATTATTTCCTGGATATGCAATGCAAATGTCAATATCACAAATGGAATTTATCCCTTCTCTGCCATCTCAAGATCTCCCTGTCTTTCTTCACTTTTCCACTTAAAAACATCCATTCCTCATCCAGTTCCTCAAGCCAGAAACCTTGGCTCTATCATCATTTCCCTATGTCAGCCTTGACCTGGAGTGCAAGGTAATTAGCAAGTTCTGACTTCTTGAATTCTCCAATTCTGCCTTTTTTCTCCACCCCACTGCCACTGTCTTCGTTTAGCCGGCTTCTGCTCACTACTGGATTGTTGCAACAGCTTGCGTCTGGCTCCCCTGCCGTCTTAATTATCCCCACCACAATTCATTCACTTTACCCAAGTCAGGATGATCTTTGTAACCTAAGGAGAAGGACCCTCTGTCCTGGGAATGTAGGAATAGAATGTTTTGGAGTAGGCTTACAGTTATCCAGGTGGAAAAGTAACCAGTGTCCCTTGCCACAGTCATCTCCCTTGAAATGCTGTATCCAGGGTGCCTGCCTTCTCTCTGCCCAGAAGGACATGTTTTGGATGTAGCCTCCTGCCATGCAACAGCCATGGAGTGGAGCTCACCATTCCCATTACAGGTACTGATAATGTCTCACCTTCCCTCTACAAACCAAATAGCTAATAAACCACAAAGAATATTTCTACTTCGATTTTCTGTAGAGTTCTGCCAGTTACCACAAAGAGATGTAAAATTTGGAATCTGGGACAGAAACTATGGGTTGTGCGTTTCAGTCTCATTAGCACACTCCCACGTCCCATATCTGAGAGGCAGTCTCATGGGATGGTTTCATCATCTTGTAACTCGCATTTTCTCTGTCCCTTGCCACAGTCACCTCCCTCAAAATGCTATATCCAGGGTGCCTGCCCTCTCCTTGTCTGCCCCCACTTCGCCTTGTTGCATAATGGGATTCTGGTCACCAAGTGGCTTTTATACCACCTCTTATGACCACTGCTTCTTAGTCACTTTTGCTTCAGCTCAGTTTAAGCTGATTTAGCGGTTGGTGGAGAGAATGGTTAATTTGTTTTCCTAATTGTCTGCTGACTCTGGAAGGGAAGGGGAGGGATGCACTTTCACCCTAAGCATAGTGAAGGAAAGGGTCTCCTTTATGAACCATAGATAGTTCTCTTTCTAAGAATCTGAACCCATACAAAGGCATCAAAGGCAACCCAGCCTAGTGCGAATGGTCTTAACGAAGCTATGCATGCAAGCTCTTGGTTACTTTCAAAGCCCCCAAATGACACTGACACTCATTGGTGATTTTTCCAAATCAATTACACTTAAGCCCTAGAGTTTTTAACCAGACAAAAGGAGCACTAAAAGATGGAACGACTTAAGGAGAATGAAGAGAAGGTTGTTATTTTATCTCTCCCAAAAAGCAAATTTGATTAAAACCTTCAGAGGCTTCCTGTTGCTATTAGAATGAACAAAGGCCAAACCTATTACTATAATGCATGTTCTCTTTCATTGTATTATTTCTTCGTGTTTCCAGATGTACTGTTGTCTATATCCAACCCCTTCTCATGAATACGCACGTGTATGCACACACACGAATGCAAGCACACATGAAGCTTTAGCAACAATGATCTTATCGCAGTTCTTTAAATGCACCATACTTTCACCGAAGTACATCATTCCTATCATTCTTGATCTTTCCCTGCCTTCTCCTCGCCCCCATTTCTTCCCACCCATGCCCTATGATCTCTCTCTTCTCTGGGCCTTCATCCATGCTCTCCTGTTTGGAACATCTGATCCCCAGTATTTTAACACTCATTTGGCCAAGTTTCAATTTTAGTGACATTTCTGCTGGATAGCATTTCCTAACCTTCTTAAACTGATTAACTATTGCTGATTTGTGATTCTATAATCCATTGTACTTTCAGTATCATTAAACTTATATCATATTATGATTGCATTATATTGTCTACCTACCTATTACTCTGTCTTCCTTCCCACCCCTACTAGTCCGGGAACTCCAAAATACGTAGATCAAGTCGTTTTGCTCACCATGTACCTTATGCTATTCATGTCCTTAGGTGACTTTTCACTTAAAAGCCATCTCGCTTATCTAAGGATTGCTGCCAATACAAAGGATGAAGGCATAGTACATAAGTCTATATCATGTAATTTGCTCCCTCAAAGCTCAGTTGAGGCATAAACTTTAGGCTTTGGTTGCCAAGAATCGATACCCACCACCCTCTAACCACCAAATGGTCTATCCTAGATGGTGAAGTTGGGTTAATTGTTAGACACGGTGGAATCTTTATGGTCAACTTGAAGATCTGGGGCACAAAAACCTTAACACAATTCATTATTTCTGAAGAAGGTTCTAGGGACTTCATCTATGTTTCATAAACATTTGTCTCCGACCTGGTACAAACACAGAAAATGTACAGGCTTTGATGCCTGACTCTCATTGAGTTGAGCAATAAATGGCTACTGGAAAGTTATTCATTTATTCAACACATTTTATTGAGAACTTACTATAAGTCAGGCACTGCACTAAGAGCTGAGGAATAAATAATGAGGAAAGGAGACACTACTTTTGCCATCATAGAGCTTATAGCCTAGTAGGAAAGACAACTACATATCAGAGAACTCCAACAGTTATGGCATGTCCTATATAGCATGGACCATGTATGCACCCCTTTCCTGAATCAGAGGGTCCTTTTTTTTTTCTTTCCAACTTTTATTTTAGGTTCAAGGGGTACATGTGCAGGTTTGTTGAATGGGTAAATTATGTGTAACAGGGGTTTGGTGTACAGATTACTTTGACATCCAATTAATGAGCATAGTAACTGATAGGTAGTTTTTCAATTCTCACCCTCCTCTCACCCTCCACTTTTAAGTGGGTCCTGATGTCTATTGTTCCTTTTTTTGTGTCCATATGTACTAAATGTTTAGCTACCACTTATAATTGAGAACATGAGGTTTTCTGCTGCTGTGTTAGTTTGCTTAGGATAATGACTTCCAGCTCCATCCATGTTGCTGCAAAGGGCATTATCTTGTTCTTTTTTATGGCTGCATAGTATTCCATGGTGTATATGTACCACATTTTCTTTATCCAGTCCACAGTTGATGGACATCTAGGTTGATTCCATGTCTTTGTATTGTGAATAGTGTTATGATGAACATACACATGCATATGCCTTTATGGTAAAAAAATTTATATTCTTTTGGGTATATACTCAGTAATGGGATTGCTGGATCCAATGGTAGTTCTGTTTTAAGCTTTTTGAGAAATCTTCAAACTGCTTTCCACAATGGCTGAACTAATTTATATCCTCAATAGCCATCCTTTTTCTCTGCAACATCATCAACATGTGCTTTTTTTTGTTTGTTTGTTTTTTTTACTTTTTAATAATAGCCATTCTGACTGGTATGAGATAGTATGTCATTGATGTTTTAATTTGTATTTCTTTGATGATTAGTGATGTTGAGCAGTTTTTCATATCCTTGCTGGCCACGTGTATGTCTTATTTTGAGAAATGTCTGTTCATGTTCTTTCAGCATTTTTAAATGAGATTGTTTTTAACATGTTGATTTGCTTAAGTTCCTTATAGACTCTGGATATTGGGCCTTTGTTGGATGCATATTTTGTAAATATTTTCTCACATTTGTAAAAATAAGTATATGGCTTTATTTCTGGATTCCCTAACCTGTTCTGTTGATCTTTGTATCTGTTTTTGTGTCAGTACCATGATGTTTTGGTTACTGTAGCCTTGCAGTATAGTTTGAAGTTGGGTAGAGTGATGCCTCTAGCTTTGTACTTTTTGCTTGGGATTGCCTTGGCTATTTGGGCTCTTTTCTGTTCCATATGAATTTTGGAATAGTTTTTTTCTAATTCTGTGAAAAATGTCCTCGGTAGTTGGATAGGAAAAGCATTGAATCTATAAATTGTTTTGGGTAGTATGGCCATTTTAACAATATTGATTCTTCCTATCCATGAGCATGAAATGTTTTTCCATTTGTGTTGTCTCTGATTTCTTTCAGCAGTGTTTTTTAATTCGTGTTGTAAAGGTCTTTCACCTCCCTGGTTAGCTGGATTTCTATATATATTATATTTTTTGTATGTCTAATGTGAAGGGGATTGTGTTGTTGATTTGGCTCTCAGATTGGATGTTATTGGTATATAAAAATACTACTGATTTTTGTACATTGATTTTGTATCCTAAAACTTTGTTTAAGTTGTTTATGAGACCTAGGAAGCTTTGGACAGATAACATGGCGTTTCCTTAGGTATAGAATCATACAATCTGTGAAGAGAGATAGTTTGACTTCTTTTCTTCTTATTTGGAGCCTTTTATTGCTTTCTCTTTCCTCATTGCTCTAGCTGGGACTTCCAGTACTATGTTGAATAGAAATGGTGAGAGTGGGCATCCTTGTTTTGTTCCAGTTCTCAAGGGGAATGCTTCCAGCTTTTGCCCATTCAGTATGATGTTGGCTGTGGGTTTGTCACAGATGGTTCTTATTATTTTGAGGTATGTTCCTTCGATGCTTAGTTGATTGAGGGCTTTTAACATAAAGGGATGTTGAATTTTAGTGAGAGTCTTTTCTACATCTGTTGAAATAATCATGTGTTTTTTGTTTCTAGTTGGTTATGTGATTAATCACATTTTTTAAAATTTGCATCTGTTGAACCAACTTGGCACCCCAAGAATAAAGCCTACTTGATTGTGGTGGATTATCCTTTTGATGTGCTGCTGGATTCATTTTGCTTATATTTTGTTGAGGATTTTTACATCTATGTTTATCAGGGATATTGGCCTGAAGTTTTCTTTTTTCATTGTGTCTCTACCAGGTTTTGATATCAGAATAATGCTGGCATCACAGAATGAGTTAGGGAGGAGTCCCTCCTCCTCTATTTTTTGGAATAGTTTCAGTAGTATTGATACTACTGAATCTCTTTATATGTCTGATACAATTCAGCTGTGAATCTCTCTGGTCCAGGACTTTTTGGGGTTGGTATTTTTTAAATTACTGATTCAATTTTGAAACTTATTATTGGTATGTTCAGGTTTTCAATTTCTTCCAGATTCAATTCCAGGAATTTAACCATTTCCTCTAGGTTTTCTAGTTTGTGTACATAAAGGTGTTCATAATAGCCTCTGAGGACTTTTTGTATTTCTTTGGGATTAGTAGTAATGTCCTCTTTGTCATTTCTTATTGTGTTTATTCGGATCTTTTTACTTTCTTTGTCTAGCTAGCAGTCTACCAATCTTATTTATTATTTTAACGAACATGCTTTTGGTTTCTTTGATATGTTTTACATGGTTTTTCTCATCTACATTTCATTCAGGTCAGCTCTGATTTGGGTTATTTATTTTCTTCTGTTACCCTTGTCATCAGTTCGCTCTTGCTTTTCTAGTTCCTTTAGGTGTGATTTTAGTTTGTTAATTTGAGGTATTTCTAACTTTTACATGTAGTCATTTAATGCTGTAAACTTTCCTCTTCACACTGTTTAGCTGTGTCCCAGATATTCTGGTATGTTGTATCTGTGTTTTCATTAGTTTCAAAAAATGTCTTGATTTTTGCCATAATTTTATTGTTTACCCAAATTCAGTAGTAGATTTTTTAATTTCCATGTAATCGTGTGATTTTGAGAGATCTTCTTGGTATTGATTTCTATTTTTACCGTACTGTGTCTGACCATGTGGTTGGGATGATTTCATTTATTTTGAATTTGTTGCGAATTGCTTTGTGGCTGAGTGTGTGAGTGATTATAGAGTGTATATGCCATGGGCAGCTGAGAAAAATGTATATTCTGTTGTTGTTATGTTAGGTCTATTTGGCCAAGTGTCGAGTTTTAGGTCCTGAATAACTTTGTGAGTTTTCTGCTTCTATAATCTATCTAATACTGTCAGTGGGGCGTTGACATCTCCCATTATTATTGTATGGATATCTAATTGTCTTCTCAGGTCTCTAACAAAATGTTTTTTTAATCTGGATGTTCCAGTGTTGGTTGCATATATATTTAGGACAATTAAATCTTCTCATTGAATTGAACTCTTTATTATTATGTAATGCCCTTCTTTGTGTTTCATGATCATTGCTGTTTTAAAGACTGTTTTATCTGAAAGAAGAATAGCAACCCTGCCCCTTTTTTGTTTTCCATTTGCTTTATAGATTTTTCTTCATGCTGAATCAGAGTCTACTTTCTATAAGAGTCATTCTAAACTGACTGTGACTAGGTGCTTATTCTGCTATCATCTCCCACTGTATTCAAATAACTCACCCTTGGTCCTAGAATTATCTACAAGTGTCCAGAATCATTGGATACAAACAAGGAAGGACAGATAAGCATAAGATGCTCAATGGCTGATGGGTTGACTTCTCCCAAGAGAAAGTTCCAGGAGAAACAGACCTGAGCACTGAGTCAGGATCCTGCTATAAAAATGATTTGTGCTGTAAAAGAACATCCATTTGTATCCTACCATCAACCTCAGCTTTAACCTCACCTCTCGAGATCAAATTTTATCCATTCCGTTCTTTCTTCCATCAGCATGTTCTCTTCACCTCTTAGGACCATTTTAAAACTAACTCTGTAAGTGTGAAACAGAATATTTCTTTTCACTGTCTTTTCCGTTATCAAGTTTTACTCTTTGGAGTCAGAGTTCTGGTTGCTCCTTCAAAGTAGGTGACTCATGTCTGCAAGTGGTCTGACCCTCAGAGTACACATGGGAAGAGGGAGAGGAAAAATGTGAAACACCCAGATAAATATTTCAACGTATCATCAAGCCACATGTCCTTTCTTGGTTCAGTATTGAAATGTACAGAAACATACTTCTTATTTCAGGGACTCCATTTCTATCCCATCTTACCTGAAAAGGTGGCAACTAAAATTCTATCCCATGTATTTGCTCTTCTGGAATACTAATTCCCACTTGCTTCACAGACACATCATCAAGTACCAGCAAGATTCCGTAATTCCTGTGAGTCCATAACGGTAATGTGCCTCCTTTTCGTTTCCAAACGAGAATTCTCATTATGGTTATTTTTTGCTTCCCCCTATTGGCTGTTTGAAACATAACTTATCTTTTTAGTTCCTGGGTCCCTGACCTTGACAAACCACGGCAGAACTTGGTGGAGAAGGCTGAGTATAATTCTGAAATCCTGAACTTTGAGCTGGATTCAATACGTAGGTGAATTTTGGATTGTCTCCTCTAGGGAGAGTGTGTTCAACATTTAAAAGGAAGTGTAAAGTGGATATTTGATAAACACAAGGGCTACCATGGCAGAGGAGAACGCTGTGATCGCATCAAATCCTGTTTTCTCTTGGGCACACAGCTGCCCCACATATACCATCCCTAGCTGCAGTTAGTTGAGGTCATGTGACTGAATTCCAACTAATATAGGTAGAAATAAAGTACTCCACTCCCAAATACAGTTTATAAAAATCTCTGACATAATCCTCCACACTCTTTTACTTTCTCTGACAGGTGAACGGCATGGATTCTGAGAACCAGGAAGAGAGCCAAGTCATAAAAGGATCGGTGCCCGAGTGAGTCCTTGAATGGTTCATGGAACAGAACTTCTCAGTCTTCACTCCCCTTTACCCATACTGAAGTTTACATGATTAATATAATGTAATATATAACTAAGCCACTGAGATTTGCGAGTTTCTTTGATTGCAGCTGGTGTTTAATTTCTGAGTAACTAAGAAGGAATACATTTTTGAGGACATGGTATTTGGTCTGCAACCACCCATGGTTTTAGAGAAGAAGCAACCCATGTAGGTATGTGGGCACCAATTATTCCAGTTAGACAAACAACACACCCAAAGCCCAAAGTCTGGGAGAATGTGTTTAAGAAACAACACACAACGACGACAAAAAATAATATAGCTGGTTTCTAGTGAATGGAGAGGAGAGTGGTAGGAAATGAAGTTTAAGAGGAGTGTGGAGACCAGATCCCACAGGACTGTGTAAACAGTGAAAAGGAGTTCACATTTCATTATAATTGTGATGAAACCTCATTGGAAAATTTTAAGCAGAGAAAATCCATGATCTTACTATGATACACAGGTCTTTAAAAGATTGAGTTACTCTTTGTTGAATGAATTTTAAGAATCCAGAGAGGATGACAAGGGACCAGTTAGGAGATAATAATCTTCCAGGCAAGACATGTTAGTGACTTAAACAAGATTTATTACAATGGAAAGAGGAAAAATTGATATATCCCACTGAATCATTCAATTAATCAGGTCTAAAAAATATGGATTATACATTTATGTAATAATTATATTAAGATCTGTTGTGAGTCACTTAGGATAATGGCAAAAATATTAAAGGGAATATTAGGGAAAGTTATAGGAAATAATCACAAATCTTTTGAAAGGCCAAAAGCTTAAATAGCTTGTAATAATTGAACAGGCTAAAGGCAGCCGGTTCTTACCTTAGAGCACTAGGTCATAGGGTAAATACTAGGAACAATAGAGGATTCCCCAGTTACTTCTGTTTACCCTACCTCCATTAACTAATCTTTAAGCCAAATGGCCCTCTGGGTGGTTGTGGGTGGGGGTAGGGGCGGGGAGGTCAACTAGGGAAATTGCCCCCTAATGGTATTTACTTTAAACCGTAGTACCTAAGTTTTAATCATTTGTAAAACTACTTTCTTAACCATGTTAATTATCCTCAAGTGTGTTTACTCAAAGCTTCTGTTGTTCATTGTATACTAAATAAATGCCTGAAGTGCAAGCTGCTCAGGACCAGCCGCAGTGACAAACCTCTCCTGGTGTGCAGGCAGTCGGACGCTCAGCTGGACTGGCGAAACAAAGTATCTGTATGTCAATGTACGTTTTATTCATCCGTCTTTTGGGTCAGGGTCTGCGGGCAAACCCCCGCAGCTAATGCCCTCTGGTAAGACGCCATACCTCAACTGGTGCCCCGTGTAAGGTGCAATACCACAAAGATACAATACAATTGTTACATTAGCAAAACATATGGGTCATGAATTATGTTATGTTCAGGACAGTTGTAGACAGTCTGCAGGGAGGTCTAGTTTTAGCTTTTTTAGACTTAGTGTAAATTTAGTGAAGCCTGTAGTTGTTCACAGTAACAGAAAATACAAAAAACTGTTGGTTGATCTAGTGGCCACTAGATGGCCCGATAAACTCTACTTCATAGACCTCGGAGCTAGACACTGAAGTGACTGCAGTTTGTTGCTGAAAACTATATAGTGTAAAAAGCCTTTGTTGTTGTTATTGTGAATGGAAAATAATTATCAACATTATACAAATTAAACAGGTTCATATCGGAGAGGCTCTGCTATAGAGTCCTACAAAATGGAATTGAATATAATTTCTCTGATATAGAAAAACACTCATTTTAGAATGAAAAATAGTGATATGCATGTGTGTAAAATGTGTAATCTTAGTCTCAGGCTTCAGTTTCGTAATTTTAGATCACTTCCCTCTTTTTCATGAGAAAAGCTCCTAGACACTCCTATTTGGGAATTGTATAAATAGTGAATAATATAATGAAGAAAAAAGTCTAAAACAAGGACTTGCTGTACACTATCTACAGGTGTCTTGAACATGTTATATAAGGTATTCTTTTGCTTATTTATGAGTTTGGTTATTTGTTTTTATTTGCTGAATTGTAAGAGTTCTTTGTGTATTTTGGATACAGGTCCTTTATCAGATATGTGACGTGCAAATATATCCTCCAAGGTTGAAGCTTGTTTCTTCATTCCCTCAAGAGTTAATTTCACAGAGGGAAACATAATTTTAATAAAGTCCAATTTATCAATTTTTTTGTGGGTTGTATTTTTTATCATATCTAAAAATTTGTCAACAAACTCAAAGCCATGAAAATTTATCCCATATTTTCCTCTAAGAGTTTTGTACTTTTGCATTTTATATTTAGTTCTATAATCCACTTTGAGTCACTTTTTGTGTAAGATGTGAGATCTGTGTCAAAGTTCACTTTTTGAATACGGACATCCAATTTTTCCACCATCATTTGTTAAAAAAGTATTCTTTCACCACTGAATTGCCTTTGCACCTTTGCCACAAATCCATTGACAATATTTGTGTTCATTCATTAATGAGTTTTCTATTCTACTCCATTGATCTATGTGGCTACTCTTTCACCAATGTCATGCGGTCTTGATTTTAGAGGGAAAGCATTCTTTCTCTAGTCATTTAGAATAAAATTAGCTGCAAACTTTTCATATAAACCCTTTATTAGGTTAAGGAAGATCCCTGCTATTTCTAGTTTTCAAGACTGTATATCATGAATGGGTGTTGAATTTTGTTGAATATATCTTCTACATCTATTGACATGATCATATTTTTTCTTATTTATACTGTTAATAGGATAAATTATATACATCAGTATTTATAAATGTTGAATCAGCCTTGCCTTCCTGGAATGAACCCCATTTGGTCACATTATATTGTTCCTCTTATATATTGCTGGATATGATTTGTTAAAATATGTTAGGGAGATTTGTGTCTCAATTAATCAGAGGTATTTCTCCATAGTCTCCTTTTTTGGTAATGTCTTTATCTGGTTTTGGTTAATGCTAGCTTCATAAATGAATCAGGTAGTGTTCATATGAATATGCTAGCTTCATAAAATGAGTTAAGCAGTATTCCAACCTCAAACTTTCCAGAAAAAAAAGTGTTAATTTGTACTATTTCTTTTTAAAAATTTGGTAGAGGCTGGGTTGTGGTGGCTCACGCCTGTAATCCCAGCACTTTGGGAGGCCGAGGTGGGTGGATCACGAGGTCAGGAGATCGAGACCATCCTGGCTAACACGGTGAAACCCCGTCTCTAATAAAAATAAATACAAAAAATTAGCCGGGCGTGGTGGCAGGCGCCTGTAATCCCAGCTACTCGGGAGGCTGAGGCAGAAGAATGGCATGAACCCGGGAGGCGGAGCTTGCAGTGAGCCGAGATCGCGCCACTGCACTCCAGCCTGGGCGACACAGAGAGACTCCATCTCAAAAAAATATATATATATATTTGGTAGAATTCACCAGTGAAAGCATCGGGGGCTGGTGTTTTAGGTAGCTATTTCTCCTTGAGTGAGTTTTGGCAGTTGGTGTCTTTCAAAGAATTGCCTCATTTCATCTAGGTCATCAAGTTTATGACACAAGAAGGCTGGAGTGACGCTGGACTGGGTGCACTTCCCTCCCCCAAGATGGGATGAGATTTCGGTATTCCTGTCTAAAGCGAGCTCTTAGGGCTTCCTCCAGCCTAGGGTGCCCAGTGGCTTTTTCTCTGTGTCTTACATGCTGTATCTCCCTGGAGTAACCTTCTCTCTGGATTTCAGGGTGGCAGGTTGCCCTGTAACCTTAGTTCCCTGATGGGTTTAAAAAAAATCCTGTGTGCATGCTTACACCTGCTGCAACCATGAAGCCTCTGAGTCCCAAATACCATGTAAGAAAACAAGGGCTGAAAGTAAATAGTGATTCAGAAGTGAATCAAGTTTCATTGTAATTTATGGTCGTTGGTTATTGTAATATGTTTCTGCACGGTATTTTGCATTCAAAAAATTTCTATTTGAGTAAAATTGACTAGGGAGATGAGGTATTCCATCTCATGTTTGTCTTGAGGTTACTTGGAGCCTCCCCAGCACCCACCTGACCTGGGGACTCTACCAAAAGTCAAAGAAGCGGTGCTGGTGCATGAAACCAGGAATCTATGGCTACTTGGAGGAGAAACACGTAACTTGTTGCCCAAATCAGACTGCGGAATGCTTGGGATCAATTCAGATGCTTGTAGCTATAAGTAAAATACAACCCAACTAAAATTACTTTTTAAATGCCCTACAGGTAGGCCATTCCAGGATTTCTTGATACAGTGGCTCAACCGGATCACTGAAGCCATGGGTGGTTTCTGCCTTTGTTCCTGAGATTTTTGGTGATGTTTCTTTCACGACTGTGTG
The DNA here is from genome assembly GCF_000001405.40 of Homo sapiens. NCBI lineage: Eukaryota > Metazoa > Chordata > Mammalia > Primates > Hominidae > Homo > Homo sapiens. The sequence continues at coordinate 4,579,684 of NW_021160017.1, forward strand.
CTTACTAGGGCAGTTCCCGGAATCCCATGCAGATATTAGAGCATCAGTGCTGAAGACAAACTATTTTCAAATCTCTCTCTCTTTTTTTTTTTAGTGGAGTCTCGCTCTGTCACCCAGGCTGGAGTGTAGTGGCTGGCACAATCTCGGCTCGCTGCAACCTCTGCCTTTCAGGTTCAAGCGATTTTCCTGCCTCAGCCTCCCCAGTAGCTGAGGTTATAGGCATCTGCTACCACGCTTGGCAAATTTTTTGTATTTTTAGTAGAGACGAGATTTCACCATGTTGGCCAGACTGGTCTCGAACTCCTGACTTGACTTCAGGTGATCTGCCCATCTCGGCCTCCCAAAGTGCTGGGATTACAGGCGTGAGCCACCATGCCTGGCCGTCTCTTTTTAAAACAATGCTTTTATTATGGAGGAAAATATCCACAAACCCTTCCGACTAGATTTTGCCACATGTGCATGAATGGAGGGTGATACTTGAATTTATTATGATTAAGCTGACCCTGGATGAAGGAAGGGATTTATGATTAATGAATAAATTGGAGAGTAAACATCCTTACAAATCAAGTCTCTATCAGCAAAGAAGGAGACTGGATCAAGTGGAAAGAGTGGAAATGGGAAGCAATAGAGAATGCTACACACACTTAATGCTTTTTTTTTTTTTTTTTTTGAGACAGAGTCTTGCTCTATTGCCCAGACGGGAGTACAGCGGCGTGTGGCGCCATCTCAGCTCACTGCAACCTCCGTTTACTGGGTTCCAGTGATTCTCCTGCCTCAGCCTCTCAAGTAGCTGGGTGTACAGGCGCTTGTCACCACACTGGGCTAATTTTTGTACTTTTAGTAGAGACAAGGTTTCGCCATGTTGACCAGGCTGGTCTCGAACTCCTGACCTCAAGTGGTCCACCTGCCTCGGCCTCCCAAAGTGCTGGGATTACAGGCGTGAGCCACCAAGCCTGGCCAATGCATTACTCATTAATGGGGTATGGGGAAGGATGGAGTTGGATTCTGCCTAAATGATAAAAAAGTTTGGTCTCCTAACATAAAATTGACAAGCATGGGTGTCTGAGTACCAGCAAAATAAATTTAAAAATTGTTTATCCAATATCTGCATGGAATATTTTTCCCCAATACACTCTCTACCGATGATCACGCTGTTTCCAATTCAATTGTGAATTGGAGAATAGGAGGTTGGATAAAGCAGCTATCCAAAAGAGAAAAGCCTAAGTCATGATAATAGCTGTCATTGCCTACTTTACGGAAATGCATGGGGAGGCAGATTAAGCTCAGTAGAAAAGGCGTCAGGTAGATTGGACTGATAATGGGCATTTTGTAGGCAGATTTTGGCTTTCTGGATTTTTTTTTTTTTTTTTTGAGACGGAGTCTCGCTCTGTTGCCCAGGCTGGAGTGCAGTGGCGTGATCTCGGCTCACTGCAAGCTCCGCCTCCCGGGTTCACGCCATTCTCCTGCCTCAGCCTCCCGGGTAGCTGGGACTACAGGCGCCTGCCACCACGCCCGGCTACTTTTTTTGCATTTTTAGTAGAGACGGGGTTTCACTGTGTTGGCCAGGATGGTCTGATCTCCTGACTTTGTGATCCACGCGCCTCGGCCTCCCAAAGTGCTGGGATTACAGGCGTGAGCCACCGCACCCAGCCGGCTTTCTGGATTTTTACACCTGCTGCCTTATCCTAGCCTATTCAACTCTGATACTCACTCTGTTCCGGGCACACTTAAAATTGTCTTCTTCCCAATCCATGAATATCCCCTCCTATGAGACCACACACAAAAGGCCCCTGAATAACCTGCAATCACTAGCCAAAAGACCATGAAAGGAGAAAGCTAGCAAGACAGAAAACTTTCGGAGGCTAGTTTCCCTACTGGAGACAAACGCCCGTAGGAAAACTTGTGGCCCCACCCTCGACCCACTCAGCAGGACAGAGGGGAGAGCCTAGACTTCCAGCCTGGCCTGGTGATACTGAGGTAGCCCTCCCCTGCTGGTGTGGTGTCAGGGTGAGAATCTGGGACTTCGACGTTCACCAGGCAGTAACAAGCTGCCACAGTGTGGTGCCGACGGAGACAACCTGGGGAGCTTGAACTTTTACCTTCCTGCACCTTCCCTGCTGGGGTGCTGTTAAGGGGTGGCAAGTGAGAAGCCTTCCCATGCTAATGAGGCCTCCCTCCCCATTTTCTGTCCTTGGAGTTCACAGGCGAGCAATGAAAAGGGGCCTCTTCCCCTCTGAACAGGGTGGTGTCAGCAAAGGCAGAGTGCAGAAGCTGAACTTTTACCCCAGCTCTGTGCTGGAGAGCACGGCCTCCCGCTCACTGGGTGTCCATGGAGACCACCTGGGGGTCCCGGACTTATGTTCCTACCAGGCGGTACTGAGGTGGGGTCCTTATTTCCCACTCATACAGTCTCTTAAAAAGGAAAGTCTATTGAAAGAGAAGAATTTAATTAGATCCAAAGTCTCATAACACAACACCCAAAATATTTAGGATACAATAAAAAGTCACTCTTCACACCAAGAACCACAAAAATCTCAACTGGAATGAGAAACGAAAGTCATCAGAAACAAATGCTGAAATGATGCAAATGTGCTTCATTGAGAAATTATACACATGCTTTCCGAAGAACAGAAATCTCCATGCCCAGATGGTTTCACTGGCGAATTCTACCAAATGTTTAAAAAGGAATTAGCACCAACTTTACACAATCTCTTTCAGAAAACAGAAAAGAAGGGAACAATTTATTTTATAAAATAAATAGTGCCCAGATACCAAAATCAGACAAAAACAATCCAAAAAAGCCAAACTATGAACAAACATTCTTCATGAATATGGATGTAAAAATCCTAACAAAATATTAGTAAAGAGAATTCAGCAATTACATACATATAAAATGATCAAATTGTGTTTATTCTAGAAATAGAAGGCTGATTCAATGCTAAAAGATAAATGAAAATAATCCACCATATTGACTAGCTAAAAAGAAAAATATCACATCATCATAGCAATCAATGCAGAAAATACATTTGACAAAACTTCATACCCATTCATGACAAAAAGAAAAAAAACTCTAAGAAAAATAGAAATAGAAGGGAACTTCCTCAACTTGATATAGGGTACCTACACAAAACCTACAGCTAACATTATACTTCATAGCAAAAAACTGAATGTTTTCTTCCTAACGTCAGGAGCAAGGAATTCATATCTGCTCTCACCACTCCTATTCAACATATCACTGGAAATCCAGCATAATAAGGGACTTTTTACTTTAAAATTATACAAATAGGAAAGGAAGAAATAAAACTGTCTCTATTTGTAGACGACACAATGGTCTGCAAAGAAAATCCCAAGGGAGGCCGGGCGCGGTGGCTCACGCCTGTAATCCCAGCGCTTTGGGAGGCCGAGGCAGGTGGATCACGAGGTCAGGAGATCGAGATCATCCCGACTAACATGGTGAAACCCCATCTCCACTAAAAATACAAAAAAAAATGAACCGGGCGTGGTGGCAGGTGCCCGTAGTCCCAGCTACTCGGGAGGCTGAGGCAGGAGAATGGGGTGAACCTGGGAGGCGGAGCTTGCAGTGAGCCAAGATCGCATCACTGCACTCCAGCCTGGGTGACAGACCAAGACTTCGTCTCAAAAAAAAAAGAAGGATACAAATATGAAAGGAAGAAATAAAACTGTCTCTATTTGCAGATGACACAATGGTCTGCAAAGAAAATCCCAAAGGATATATGAAAACTCCTAGAACTAATATGTGAGTTCAGCAAGGTGCAAGCTACAAGATCAACATACAAAACTCAACCATTTTGAGTTTTGAGTTGAACAGGTGGAAACTAAAACTTATAATATAATATAGGGCCAGGCATGGTGGCTCACACCTGTAATCCCAGCACTTTGGGAGGCCCAGGCAGGCGGATCACCTGAAGTCAGGAGTTCGAAACCAGCCTGCCCAATGTGGTGAAACCCCATCTCTACTAAAAATACAAAAAAATTAGCCGGGCGTGGTGGCAGGCGTCTGTAATCCCAGCTACTCAGGAGGCTGAGGTAGAAGAATTGCTTGAACCTGGGAGGCAGAGGTTGCAGTGAGCAGAGATCGTGCCACTGCACTCCAGCCTGGGTGACAAAACTGGAACTCCATTTCAAAAAACATAATATAATATAATATAATATAATATAATATAATATAATATAATATACAATCACTCAAAAATAAACCTTATTTATTTTTAAATACTTATAAACTTAATAAGCATGTATAGGACATGTATGCTGAAAAATACAAGTGCTGATGAAAGAAACCAAAAAAGATCCAAATAAATGGAGCGATATACTGTGGTTATGGATTGGAAGATTCAATGCAGTAAATGTCAGTTCTCCCCCACTTAATATACAAGTTTAACTCAATTCCTATCAAAATTCCACCAAGACATTTTGTAAATATATGCAAGCTTATTTTAAAATTTATGTGAAAAATCAAAAGATCTAGAATAGCTAAACATAATTTTGAAAAAAGAATATGGGAAGAATCCCTATACTCAATTTTAAGACTTATTATATGACTGCAATAATCACGACAGTATGGCATTGGTGGAGGGATATATCTCTGTATAATACACATATCTATATCTATCTTTTAAATACCTATCTTATCAAGCAAATGGGACAGAATATAGAATTCAGAACTCAGAAATAGCACACGTAAATAGGGCTAACTGAATTTTTACAAATGTGCAAAAGAAAATATTCAATGTTGAAAGGATAGTATATAGTATTTTTAACAAATGTTAAAATGTTAATGAAACCACTGGACATCCAAAGGCAAAAACAAAACAAAACAAAACACAAACACAAACACACACACACAGCAAAGAAAGAATCTCAGCCTAAACTTTACGCCTTATTCAAAATTAGCTCAAAATCGATCATAGATTTAAATACAGAACATAAAACGATTACATTTTTAGAAGAAAACATAACAGAAAATCTTCGGCACCTGGGGTCTGATGAAGAGTACTTACATATATATGACACCATGATCATGACCCATAAAAGAAAAACAAAATCAATCAGACTTCATCGAAATTTAAAACTTTTGCTGTGTGAAAGGCCCGGTTATGATAACGAAAGCCACACTCAACACTGGGGAAAAGACTTGCAAAATGCATATATAATAAAGGACTCATATCCGGAATATAGAAATCATTCTCAAAGCCCAATACATTTTTAAAAAAACTCACTTAGAGCCTGGGCACCGTGGCTCATGCCTGTAATCTCAGCACTTTGGGAGGCTGAGGCGGGCAGATCACTTGAGGCCAGGAATTCGAGACCAGTCTGGCCAACATGGTGAAACCCCATCTCTACTAAAAACACAAAAAATTAGCCAGGCATAGTGGTGTGCGCCCGTGGTCCCAGCTACTCTGGTGGCTGAGGCATGAGAATCGCTTGAACCCACGAGGTGGAGCTTGCAGTGAACCAAGATGGCACCACCGCACTCCATCCTGGGCGACAGAGCAAGACTCCATCAAAAAAAAAAAAAAAAAAAAAGTCACTTAGAAAAACTAAGCCATTTTATCAATGAGGATATAGAAATGAGAAGCCGACAGAAAGATGTTCGACAACTCCAGCCATAAGAGGAATGTAAATTAAGACCACAATGCCATATCACCACACACCTATTAGGACAGCCGAATTAACAACAACAACAAAAAGATTATATCAATTGCTGGTGAGGTTGCAGAGAAATTGGATTTCTGGGGCCAGACGCGGTGGCTCACGCCTGTAATCCCAGCACTTTGGGAGGCCGAGGCGGGCGGATCACGAGGTCAGGAAATCGAGACCATCCTGGCTAACACGGTGAAACCCCGTCTCTACTAAAAATACAAAAAATTAGCTGGGCGAGGTGGCGGGAGCCTGTGGTCCCAGCTACTCGGGAGGCTGAGGCAGGAGAATGGCGTGAGCCCGGGAGGTGGAGCTTGCAGTGAGCTGAGATGGCGCCACTGCACTCCAGCCTGGGCGACAGAGTGAGACTCCATCTCAAAAAAAGAAAAAAAAAAAAAAAAAGAAAAGAAAAAAAAAGAAAGAAATTTGTTCTCATACATTGCTGGTGGAAATGTAAAATGTTACAGTCCCTCTGGAAAATAGTTTGAAAGGCTCTTTGAATAAGTAACCATAGACCTATCAAATGATACAGCAATTATGGCCATGGGCATTTGCCACAGACAAATGAAAATGTGTGTCCTTAGAAAAACCTGCGCTTAAATGTTCCTAGCAACTTTGCAGTAGCTAAAAAATGGAAATAGCCAATCCCACAAAACAGTAAATATTTTATTAGCATCAAAAAATGAATGACTGATACAAAAGTGTGGATGGATGTCGAGGGCATGATACTCAGTGAAAGACGCCAGTCTCAAAGGTATTAATGCTTTTAGAGCACATTCTTGAAATTACAAAGTTATGGAGATGAAGATCAGAGTAGTGATTGCCAGAGGTTAAGGATGTGGGGGAAAGAGATGGACACAGCTGTAAAGGAGTAGCGTGGGAGAAATCTTGGTGGTGGTGGAAGAGTGCTGCATCTTGATTGCAGTGCTAGTTACACTATCTACACACGTGATAAGATGGCATTGAGTTGAGCTGAACGTGCAGATGGTACAGTGTCCACGTCCTTGATGTTGTACTACAGCTATACAGGATATAAACACTGGGGGAAACTAGGTTAAGGGTATATGAGACTACCCTGCACAGTTTTTGCTATTTCCTGTGAATCTATGATTATTTCAAAACAGAATGTTTTTGAGGCTTTCTCGCAGAAGCTTGTTACAAGGCCAATATTTTGATTCCACAGCTTTGTGGCCCCATCCAGCTGGCTGTTTCAGGGGAAGATTCTGAGCCATTGGAGAGAAGCTCCAGGAAGTCTCCTGGGTCTAGAAAATGTTCTGTGGTGATTGCTTCTGTTAACAGCAGCTCACAAGCTGAATTCACTCAGAACAAGGGATAGCACAGAAAGCAAGTCTCATTGGGAGGTGAATGGGCAGCTTGCAGAACCAGACCATTTGCACAGAGAAGCGCATGCCGCTGACACAGCCAGGATGATCTATTTAGCGTCACTAATAAGAGTAGGAGGAAGCTGATAATGAAGAAGGCTCCTCGTAAGTGTCATCTCTTAAAAAGAGGCAGGTACAACTTTCAGAATCTCGACAGATTAGAGGATTGTACTACTTACTGTGCTAGTAGTGTTGTATATATCCCTTGGTGGAATTCACAATGGAACCCTCTGGGAGATCCGAAAGAACAAATTTGCTTGCACACAGGAAAATGTAGCTTGGGCCCTGTATATCAAGGCCTTTTTCCCTTTAGGACCCTCCTGGTGGTCTGCTTAGGCTTTCAATTCAGAATCCGAGGAATTCTTTGAGCTGTCCCACAGAGGGACCCCTGGCATGGTCTGTAGATTTCTCTGTAGGTAAACCTACTCTAACCAGCCGCTCCTGGACCCTCACGTGTGGAAGGTGAGCTGAGGGTTGCTGCACCTTACTCTAAGGAACACTGAAGGCCTTGAAATGCTTTAGGCAGGGAGAGGCATTATGAGGTGTGCACAGCTGTGTGGCGGCGGCACAGAGGCCCCTGTGCAGCCAATGTGGAGGTTTGATTAAGGGGCAGTACTGAAGGCAGAGACCATGAAAAAGGAAACTGCCAAGTTCTGGCAGGGTGCCGTGTCCACAGGGATGGAGAGGAGAAAAAACACTGACATACAAATTGGCAAAACGGGCAAGACCTGACAACCGATCAAATCAGAGAGAAAAAGGGACCCAGGCTTCCAGCCCCGGCAGCTAGGGGCAGGAGTGCAAGAATGATGTATCCTTTCAAGTATCATGACCATCGGGGTGAATTGCTGAGTTCTGGGGGTGCCTATAACTCTGAGGGCAAATCAATAATATAGGCTACATGCCCAGTAAAATGGATATTACTGCGGCCACAGGGCCCCGGCCCCTTAATCTTGAAAGTCCTCTGTCAATTGCAGCCACAATCCTTAACTCTCGTTTGCTGACAAGGTTGATTCACTGGTGGCTTTGAGAAACAACCGGTCCTTTTCTCTGTTGCTCTCAGGAGTAATGTCTTTGAGTAAAATTATTCCAAAATTCAGATCATCTTCTTAAGACAAATATCCTAAAATATTAACTTGCTTATAGTTGAACACTCGACATAGGAGCACATTGAATTTCATCACTTTGAGAACTATAGTTTTTCTTCACTAGAAATCATATATTTTACTGAGGTCATTTATGGCTTTGGAGAGTGTGCTAGCACCTAGTTTTAAAATTTTCAGGCACAGAGTGCAATGACTTCTCTACAGCCCATAATGGTGGATGCTGAGTCTTTCATTTTCTGTGTGTTGAAACAAACTACAAGTTGTTTTCTGAGGAAGCCTGTGGTTTTTTCAGCAGAAACTCACTGTACTCCCTTGACACTGTAGGTTTATATTGGGGAGGGGGGCCTGCTCACACCCTGATAAATTTCCCATATGTTCATGAACAGCTTTCTCTATGAAGAAGTCTTTGCCTTCTCTGTGGATTGTTCTCATTCAACATATTCCCAAATGAAGAATTTCTAGGTAAAATAGTATTACCATGTTAAAGCCTTTTGAAGACAGAGTTGGCTGCATTGATTTCCAGGCAAATTGTAATAACTTATACTTTCACTGGTTGTGTATAATGGTTCCAGTTTCATAACAATATCATTGACATTGGACATTACATGGGGTTTTAGTTTATTCTATGACAATTTAATAAATGAAAACTGGAATACAGATTTAATATTTCTATCTTTATTAGTGAGGTGTAACAGTTTCAACAGTTATTTGCCATTTTTTTCCTGTGATACATTTTGCCTATTACTAGGTTTGGGCTTTTTGCTCAATTTTATAGTAAAAGAGATTTGTGTTACATTTTCTACATTTTCTACATTTTAGCACTTTCAAATAAGTGGGATTTGAATTCGTTCCCACTGTTTTGTTTGTTTGTTTGTTTTTGTTTTTGTTTTTGTTTTTTTTGAGACAGAGTCTCACTCTATTGCCCAGGCTAGAGTGCAGTGGTGCGATCTCGGCTCACTGCAAGCTCCACCTCCATGATTCATGCCATTCTCCTGCTTCAGCCTCCCGAGTAGCTGGGACTACAGGTGCCCGCCCGCCACCACACCCGGCTAATTTTTGTATTTTTAGTAGAGATGGGGTTTCACCTTGTCAGCCAGGGTTGTCTTGATCTCTTGACCTTGTGATCCACCCTCTTCGGCCTCCCAAAGTGCTGGGATTACAGGCGTGAGCCACCGCACCCCCGGCCAGTTCCCGCTGTTTTTTAACCTGTATTTTTCTATATTCCTGGTCTTTGTTTTCTGCTTTTCACTGTCATGTTAGCTGCACTTTCTTAAACTTTTCAGTTGAATATCTAACTAGTTTACTCATTGGTAATGAACACATTTTTCATTGTTGCAATTTATATCTCATTACAATATAAACAAATTTAGGCTTTAAGTCCTTGGCATTACTTAAAGAAGGCCATTAGATATATGTCACGTGTGAGAGTGAGGTTTGCAGCTGGGAAGTAAGCCTCTCTACCATGGAGCAGAGCCAGCCCCCACCTTAAGTATGGCACCAAAGTCCCATGATGGGACAAAGTCCCAAATTTGGAACAAAGTCCCAAATTTTGTTCCACAAAGAGCATCTTGCTCAGGCACGCCATGAGTTAATGGTCTGGAGAAAACTTTATAAGCAATCATAAATAAACTAAACACAAACAAGAAATACTAGACCAATATGCCACTTTACTGGCCCAGCAAAACCTCCTTTGGGGACAGTTCTCAGCTGGGGCATTGCTGTCTCCTTCAATGGACATTTGCTGTTGTTGTAAAAATAAGTAAACATTGCTTGCGGACAAATGCGCAGGACTCTCTGACCCAAGGAGTTTATAGGAAACTGCCTCCCAGTTTTTGGACTACCTGACCACTTAGACAACTTGAGAAAGAGCTCCTGCGGCCTGGCAGGTCCTGGGGCGGGGATCATCGTCCTGGAAAGCTCAGTTCTGCGGGTGCTAGGAGTAGAGTCTGCATCTTGTGGGCTCCTCTCCTAGTCAGCTTCCTAAGTGGCAGCGCTGCAGGACCAAGGATAGAAATTGTTGAGTGAAGAGCGGATTGGACTTGAAAACAGATGCTACCTTGGCCTATAAGAGAAAAGAAGGAATCTCTGGGCACAGATATAGATAAAATTATGAGCAAAAGTGGTGAAGCAAGGAGTAGCTGCAATCCAAGTATATACATGGTTGTGAAGTTAAGCACTGTGGGAGGGGCTGTTGCTGCGGCAGCTGCGGTGGCACCTCTAATCTGCCGCTAGGTGGCAGGAGAATTCCACCATCGCCACTAACCGCATCTGGGACTTTGGCTTCACCCTAGAAGCGGGATATGGGATTGGATTTCTTCCTTCTGATAAGACAGTATGCGGTGGCAAGTAGGGCTGATGGTCCCCTGTCCACAGGAAGAGAGTATGACCACAAGAACGTCCTTTTGTGTACACCAGCCTGGTGTGTGCTTGAATATCCTTCCTCAAAACACTCAGGCCAGTTCATTCCCTTGTCCCTTTCCTGCCTAGACCAGGTTCATAGCCAAGGGCTGACCGCGGTTGTTCAGCAACTTCAGGCGTTGCCGGCTGCCTTCCCCTACAAGTTAGAATGACCCTTCCCCCCAGGACCTTCCCCTAGAACTCTATGTTGATAGGAATGCACCCTGCCACGCCCTCCCCTAACCCAGCCACTACTGCTGGCAATCTGCAGGGTTTCTAATTAAATGAAGACTGTTTTTTCCTTTTCCCTGTTATAAGCCTGGATATCCTGCAGGGAGCACGTTTCCATCCCGGTAGCAGTGTGTTGATGAAACCCAAATTTGAACTGCTGGACACCCCGCCACGGGCCACATGATTGACAAATACCCTTTTGGCCAAATTCTCCATGAAGCGGGACCACCTGGTTATTTGTAGTCCTGCAGGCAGATGGCCCTTCTTCTCCACATACCCTTAAGGACATTTCTGCTTCTAATAACAACGTTACCAGCTGGGCACTAACGTGTGTGCTTTAATTAATCTCCTGGAGAAATCTTATGTATAACCACCCACTGAAATCACTGCATCCTTATAAAGATGAATGGAGTACTCTCCTTGGAAAACAATTCCATCACCGTGGTTTTTACTATAACTGAGAGTAGTCTTGCTATTCATGTCTATTCAGAGAATACGGCAAAACTTGGCTTCCACCATCTAGTGTAAAAATTAGAATAAAGACAAACACTTCTGTTATGCTGAAAGTATATTTATATATATAGATATAGATATTTACTTCTCTGTAGACAGTTTTTACTGATGAGTCATTTGAACGTTCAAAGAACAACCGATTACAATGCTACATGAACTATACCAGAAATGAGATGGATAGCTTCTCAATTCATTTCACAAAGCCAGCACAAAGCTGATACCAAAACATAACAATTAAAACACAAAACAGAGAACCACAGATCTCACTTAAAAACACAGATGCCAAAATACAGAACAGAACAGTAGCCGATTGAAATCAACACCACATAAAAAATGTACAAAGCTTTGGCAGATACGAAACCAAGTTGAAAATCCAAACGTACACTCGTGGAACTGGAACACAAACACCAGGAACAAAAATGTCCCCCCACCCTGTCAGTGGCCTCTGGCCAGGGAAACACAGGAGCGAGATCTCTGCTACACCTATTAGCGGGGAGGGGGCCTGCTGGTGGGGCCGTGGGCACTGTCACCGGTGTCAGGTTCATCCTCATCTGTGTCTTCCCACTCACACTCTGCGAGCGCTTCAAGGTAATGGAATGGCCAGCTCTGTGGATCTTTCTTATGGAGCTTGGCCAAAAACCTCAGGACAAGCATCTTGCTGGTTTCCAGGAATGCTCGAGGGCCCCAGAGGAACTCATACTCTGCGGGCTCAGTGTAAGGGATTCGCCTGTACTCTAGGTACTTCTGCCTGACAAACACTTCGGTGATGAGCTTCTTAGTATTTCCAAAGAGACCGTTTGTCTCCCGGACATCCAACCCTAACTTGAACAGAAAATTAAAGATCAGATCCTCCCTGACACAGTTGCCTTTCATAAAGATGAGGCTCAAGACCACCATCAGAAGGCCAAACTTGGGCCTGTCTAAATAGGATGCCACCAAATTCCCTGTATGGTAGCCCAGCTTGTTGATGATAATATAGGCGTGGTTTTTGGTATCAATTTCTTTCAATTGATAACCAAAGGCACACTCCAGCTTATTGTTGGCACGGTTGATGATATCTAAGCACTCATCTTTATACTCTCGGAGGATGACTTTCACCATCTCCGAGCGCTGGACAGGCACCTTGGCTTGGTCCTTGACTAAGAGGAACTGCACCAACGCATTTGCCCTCTCATCCAAGGGAGACAAGGGCTGTGCCTCCACCTTGGAATTATCCTGGGTGGCACTGGATCCCGGAGAGACACTTGCGACCTCAGACACAACTACGGGCAGAGAGCTCCCTGGGCTTTCAGAGAGACCCAGGGCCCTGGAGGTGCTCGGGCCCTCCCAGGCACTCAGGGCCCAGGATGCGCTGGGCCCTTCCCAGCCACTCAGGATCCTGGAGGTGCTAGGGCCCTCCCAACCACTCAGGCCACGGGGGGTGTTTGGGTGCTCCCAGTCACCCGAGACCTGGATAGGGCTTTGGACCTCCCAGTCACTCAGATTTAGATTCTCCCAGGGCCTTGGGCCCTGCCAGTCATGAAAGGCTAGCGTGTGGCCACGGCTGTCCTCTTGGGCTTCCAGATGCTTCTTCTTCCGGGTGGCCTTGCCGGAGCGGCGTGGCGGCTCGACGGAGGTCTTGGAGGCCTCTTGAGTGGTGGCAGTTGCCTGGGGGGCAGCTGCTGTAGCCATCAGGAAGGTGGGCACTGCCTGCGATGCCTTTGAGGCATTCATATTGGGCTGTGGGACCCATGGAACTGCAGGCAGGGCCTCTACACAGGCAAAGGGATCCTGCAGAGCATATGGCAGTGACTTTGGGGTCTCTGAGGCAGCAGAGGGGCCTTTAAAGGCATTCAGAGAGGCAGGCTGAAACTGGGAGGTAGCTGGGAAGACACTTGAGGAGGGAGCAAAGGTCTCCGGTGTGGCAGGCAGGTTTTTCCAGGCAGCTGGCAGGTGTGCTCGCGCAGCTGACACTGCCTTGGGAGCACAGAAGGTGGCAGCAAAGATCATGCGGTCTTTTGAAGGGGCCCTGCGCTCCTTCGAGGAGGTCCTGCGCTCTTTAGAGGAGCCCCTGCGGTCTATAGAAGAGGCCCTGCATTCTCCTGATGGAGTCATCAATGATTTAGCGGAGCCCAGGGGAAAATTTGCCGCTGCTACCGGGGGTCCGGGCTGGGCCTGCAAGACTGCAGGCGGTGCCTGCCAGGAAGGCTGGAGCGGCAGTGTGGGCACCTCCGCTTGCGGACCCGATGCCTGGGCCTGCTGGGGGGGTAGCTGGATTTGCACGGCTTTTTGGGAGGGCGGGGCTCCCTGAAAGGGCTGCTCCAGCTGGACCAAGGGGGGAGCCTGCCTCTGGGCCTCCTGGGCAGGCAGGGGCTGCCAGATGTGAGTGGGGGCCTTCTGGGCCTGCCAGGCCAGCGCCTGTGTCTGCTGCACCTCCTGGAATTCCATTGACGTTGGAATCTCGTGTGGCACCGGGGGCTGACCTTTGGGGGCCTGCCAGATGATGGAAGGGCAGTGCACAGCCTGCGGGGCAGACAGTGGGGCAGACAGCGGGGCCGGCAGCACAGGCTGGGGCACCTGCGGGCCAGCGGGCGGCGCCGCGGGTACCTGCGTAGCAGGTGGGGCCGTAGGCACCTGCGGCGCCGCCTGCACCTGCGGGGCCGGCAGCCTAGCCTGCGGGGCCTGCCGCAGTGGAGGTGGGGGTGGCAGGGCCTGCCAGAGCGGTGGCTGGGTGGCCAGGACCTGTGGGGCAGGTCGGATGGGCGGCGGCGCCTGGCGGATCAGCGGCGGGGCCTGGCGGATCACAGGTGGAGCCTGGCGGATCACAGGTGGGGCCTGGCGGATCACAGGTGGGGCCTGGCGGATCACAGCGGGGGCCTGGCGGATCACGGGTGGGGCCTGGCGGATCACGGGTGGGGCCTGGCGGATCACCGGTGGGGCCTGGCGGATCAGCGGTGGGGCCTGTCGCACCGGTGGTGGGCCAGGGCGGATGGGTGGTGGGCCAGGGCGGATGGGCGGGGGCCCCTGGCGCATGGGCGGCGGCACCTGCCAGGTAACGGCTGGTGCCTGCCAGGTGACCTGCGTGGTCTGCCAAGTCAGGGGAGTGGCCTGCCAGCCTTGCTGCGTGGCCTGCCATCCTGGCGAGGTCGCCTGCCAGCCCGGGGGTGTGGCTAGCTGCGCTGGGGGTGCCTGCGGGCCCTGGGGAACCTGCGGAGGAGCCCTTATAACTTGAGACTGGATTTGCAGGATCAGAGGCTGAGCCTGCGGGGCCCAAGAAGCCATCGGCTGTGCAGGTGGGGCCATCGGCTGTGCAGGTGGGGCCGCCGGCTGTGCCATCGGTGCTCCTGAAGCTGGAGGCTGGGTCATCGGAGCTCTCGCACCTGGAGGATGAATCATCAGGACTCCTGGACCTGGAGGCTTGGCCATCGGTGCTCCTGAAGGCTGAGGCTGGGTCATCATGGCTGCTGGAGGCGGCTGGACCATCGGTGCTCCCGGAGCAGCAGGCTGGACCATCAGGACTCCCGGAGTCAGAGGCTGGGCCATCAGGACTCCCGGAGCTGGAGGCTGGGCCATCGGTGTACCCGGAGGGGGAGGATGAGCCATCGGTGTCCCCGGAGGTGGAGGATGAGCCATCGGTGTCCCCGGAGGGGGAGGATGAGCCATCGGTGTCCCCGGAGGGGGAGGATGAGCCATCGGGGTCCCCGGAGGAGGAGGATGCACCATCGGGGTCCCCGGAGGAGGAGGATGGGCCATCGGGGTCCCCGGAGGAGGAGGATGGGCCATTGGGGTCCCCGGAGGGGGAGGGTGGGACATTGGGGTCCCCGGAGGAGGAGGATGGGCCATGGGAGCTCCGGGAGCTGAAGGATGCACCATCAGGACTCCCGGGGTCGGAGGCTGGGCCATCGGGGCTCCCGGAGGTGGAGGATGCACCATCAGGACCCCGGGAGTCGGAGGCTTACCCATCGGGCCCCCCAGCGGGGGAGCCGGGACTATCGGGCCCCCTAGGGCAGGAGGCTGGGTCATCGGAACCACCGGGGCGGGCAGCTGGCCCTGTGGGGCCTCCCAGGCAGGCTGAGGTGCCTGCCAAGCGGCCAATGAAGCCTGCAAGTCAATTGGAGGTGGATCCCAAGGGACTGGCGGAGCCCGGGAGGAAGCGGGCGGGGCCCGCATCAGAACCGTAGGGCGGCTATAGACAGGCGGCTTCGGGGCCTCCGCCGGAGGACTCGAGTCACCCAGATTCTTACTTAGCTGCGACATGTCCCTTTGCTGACAGCTGGTGGGTCTTTTCCTCGGACAGCTGCTGGGCCTTTTCCTCCAGAGAGAAGAGAATGCCTACGTGGCTGTTCAGAGGCTCCCTCCCTGCTGAATGCTGAATAGGAAGTGAGTGCTGCTCGCTCCGCAGCTTTCCGCAGTAAGGAGGAGGGGGGAAGGGGGCTCAATCCCGCCCCTTCCCCGCCCCCGACCACCACAAGTGGATATTGCATAGGGGCGTCTACCGGAGTCCTGGCTGACACAGGATCCCTTCTCACTCTGTCCAGTCCCCAAATGCAGACCAGTCAGACTCCACATGGATGACTTTTCACAGGGGAGTGACAGGAACCCATCCATGTTTTAGAAAAATCACTGTACTGCAGTGTGGAGTGGGAGCAGACCACTGGAAACATGGAAGGTATCCAAGACGGCGGGGGGAGATGGTGTGGTCTGGGCTAAGATGTGAGGCGGAGAATGAAAAAAGCGCATTTACATAAGAGAGTTCCAGGAGTTATAGCAGACAGATACCTGTATTATAATTGAATAAAGGAGTCAAAGACATGGAAAAGGCACACAAGTCCCTGCCTGGAGAAAGTGGGAAGTTGCAGGGACTGTTACTCTCTTAGGGTCCCAGGAGAGGCACACGGGAAGAGAGGCTGATGAGTATTGGCAGACACAGGGCATTTGCGGTGCTGTGGGACTGCCAAGGAGAGATACCCTGTAGGCACTCCTGTATGATGTCTTGGGAGTCCTGCTTGGCTATTCCTCATGAAAATAGAGTTGTGGGAGGGAATGTGGTTGCACTGGGTCTTGAAGAACACAGGCATGTTAGAGACACATGGAGAAAAGGGACAGCAGCGAGTAGAGAGAGAGGAAAAGAAGTCACGGAACTGAGACATGCCACACATCAGTGGAAGACAGCATTTTTAGTATGGGAAAACTGCCTGTGGAATGGCTCGGATGCAGGAACAGAGTAGGTTTCTCAGTATTTTTCATCTGCAGAATGGGAAAGAAATTTAAAAAATGAAAACCAAATAACGCACCTGAAGATAACAAAATGGGTATATAAATAGATCAAAAATTGATATATTTGGATATATAGGAAAAACAGGCAAAGAATAAAAAAATTTCTGGGGAAACTTCTCGTGACAAAAATCAGTTTAAATATGAGACAAATCAAGTATTAACAGATAAAGCAGATGACAATAGTATTATTGGGCAATGCTATACAACTTTATGGTGAGAGGAAGTGATAATCTCAGTAATTGAAAAGCTTTCTGGAAATATACAAAGCACTAAATATCAAGGATGTTTCGTTTAAATAGGCTGTTGGCAGCCTACGGCAGGAGTCCAGAGTGACAAAACGTGCCACCAGGGGGCAGATGAGGACGATGAAGGGTACACCCCACTCCTTCCCAGGTACCCTTAGCCAGGGGTCCTCAAATTTGGTAATTTATGGACCCAAGAGAAGGTATGTACACACTCCCAATGTTATTATTGCCTTAAACAATAATAGAAGAATTTGGGGGTAAAGTTTCAGTGATTTTCTGGACACTTAAGGGATGTTGTTATTCCCAGGAAACTCTTTTCAAAACAGTCAGATTTTTAAGGGTGCTTGATGATACAGTAGCCCCCCCCACCTTACCTGCAGGGGATACATTCCAAAACTCTCGATGCCCGAACCTGGAGACAGCACCAAACCTTATATATACCATGTATCCCTTTCATTCTCCTTCTTCACAATTTCACAGATAGTTTTGTTTTTGCCATATATCTTAGCAATCTCAGCATGCGATTTTTTCTTTCCTTATTAAGTCAAGAACTTTCACCTTTTTCCTTCAAGGAAGCACTTCATAGCTTCCGTTTGGCATACCTAAATTGCCAGGATCACTATTCTTACATTTTGGGGCTATTACTAAGTAAAACAAGGGTTCCTTGAACACAAACACTGGGAAACCGATGGTAGATCTGATATCTGAAGCAGCTACTAAGTGGTTAATGAGCAGGTAGCGAATACAGTAGCACTCCTGTGCCTGCAGTTTCACATTGTGTGGTTTCAGTTACCTGCAATCAAATGCAGTCCAAAAAATTAAATGGAAATTTCCAGAAATAATTTATAAGCTTTAGATTGCATGCCATTCTGAGTAGTATTATGAAATTGTTCTGTTTCGTCCTGCCTGGGGCATGAATTATCCCTTTGTCTAGTGTATCCATGCTGTATATGCTACCCGCCTGTTATTCACTTAGTAGCTGTCTCGGCTATCAGTTGAAAACATCGTAGTACATATAGGATTCAGTACTATTTCCAGTTTCAGGCCTCCACAGGGGGGTCTCAGAATATATCCCCCAAGGATAAGGGTGGACTACTGGACATCACTCCTGTGTATCCCCAGAGAAGGCCATCTACCACAGCACACAAAAAGCTTCTGCAGAATGGATACTACCGTGTTTCATGGTTTTCGTTTCTCCCTTGGGTTAATGGCCCAGATCCACACAGGATTTCTCAGTTTCATGGGGGTTTGGAAACACTGTAGAAGGACAAACTCTAAATGCCTAACCCTCAGGACCTGCTATTATCAACTCTGCTACATGGCTGTTACTGGCTATGGATGGCTTTGGAAAAATCAGTTTATTTTTTAGCCTAGGGCATTTCTAAAGCATACTTTTTTTCCACTCTAATGCAAATGTATAAACTACACAGAGATTAAGTTCTCCCACTAACCGTTTATTTTCGGGAATTATGACAGGTTTGTCCTGCCGTCCACCATGCTGTTGGTCATCCCACACAATGAATGGCTCCCACTAGGGTCTGGCTATTCTCACTGATGTTGGAGGTCAGTGAATAGCACTGACATACAGTGTCAACTCCCACCGAATCTGTTCTATGAAAAGAGGTCCGGTTTATGTTAAGAGGCAACACCAAAGCCAGAAAGAAAAGATTAGGCATTATACAAAGGAAAAAACAGGTGCGTAGGAGTAGTTAGAAATGGAAGATGAATAACTTCTACACCAGCACTATTGCCACTGCTTGGAAACATTCTTTAACCGGCAGGGAAAAATCAGAGATTATGTATCCATTGATTCTATAGGAACAAGTAAAGAGGGTAAACCCAGTTTATTCTCCCTGGAAGAAACATCTGCTTATTTCAGATAGTCAGTGCTCTCAGACCCAGGCTGTTCCTGGGGCTCTCCCTAGCTATTTACAAATTACTTGTGAGCAAAATTCACCTGAGGAAACAGGGACATACGGGTCGTTTTTGAAAACTGACTGCCTTAATCACAGCAAAACATAATATTGCCCTGAGTCTAGTGAGGCATTAGACCACAAGTGTTGGGTCTTCCCAAATCACT
Organism: Homo sapiens; assembly: GCF_000001405.40. Lineage (NCBI taxonomy): Eukaryota > Metazoa > Chordata > Mammalia > Primates > Hominidae > Homo > Homo sapiens. The sequence goes on from NW_021160017.1 coordinate 4,598,552, forward strand.
CCTGTGAAACCTTCCTGCTTCCTGAAGCCCTCTTTCCCTTTCTGTGCATATGTTCTTCCTCCTCAACACCTTTGAACCAAGTGTTGTCAAAATTCCCTTTCCTCACTTTTATATGAAACAGCTTGAAAATTCAAGGTGAGTAGAAAACAAAAGGGAAAAACATACAAAACATCCATGAAATGTTGGCCTCTGTTCCCTAATTAGAAAGGACTTTTAATGGCTTACGTCAGTATATAACAGCAGTATACAAAATGATTTTTAAAAACAGGGAAGGGAGAACTGAAGTATTGTGATGGGAGTAGGAAAATTGCGGAACTAGGAGCAGACGGGAGCCTGTTTTGCTCACCTTGGTATCCCCAGCTCGCATTGAGTGGTCACTAAGGAGCTACAAAATGAAATGGTAAGATTAGCACCAGAACTGCCTGTCTTCCAATCTTCTGTAGCTGTTAGACTTTGTGTAAATATTCATAAGTGAGTAACAAAATCAGTTATGATTTTCATAAACTCTAAAATTACTTATTTATGAAATACCTTTTATTAAGCATTCACTATATGCCCAGCACTGTGCTATAGATAAGACTACAGAGAAAAATCTGATGCAAGTCCTATTTACATCTATTGTTAGTCACATAGGGACATTAATCTAATCTATCGTTAGTCACATAGGGACATTTCACGAATCTATTGTTAGTCATATAGGGATATTCATATGGTTTTTTAGTACAATAAGGTGTTGTCGCATTGTTTAAACCTCATATTGGTCATAGAGGATGAAAATAATCAAATACTCACTTCTGCTTGGAACATGGGGTGAGGGGAGCTGTGATGCTGATTGTAGCAGTGAAAAGAAAGAAAACAAACCTGAGGCTGTGAAAGATTCATGTGATCCAGATAGACAGTCTAAGTAGAAAAATTATTTAAAAAGCATAGGAGATATCATAAGTATGAGGTTTGAAAAAAAAAGAATTGGAAGGATTAAAATAGTGTAACTACTAGTTATCAACAATTTATTATTTGATAAAATACCATCCTCAGAGTATAATAGACTCTATTCATTGATTTCTCACAAAATCCATAAGTATTTGGCTTGATTTTACATGGCAAGAATTTGAGGCTCAGAAGATCTAGCAATACATATCAGAATTCAGATTTAAATCCCAATCTATTCGTTGTGAGAGCTTGCATTCTTTTTTTTTCTTTTTGCCGCTGACCACCAGGCAGGGTCTTGCTCTCTCACCCAGACTGGAGTGCAGTGGTATGATCATAGCTCACGGCAGTCTGAAACTCCTGGGCTCAAGCCATTCTCCTGCATCAGCCTCCTGAGTAGCCGAGACTGCAGACAGGCCATACCACACGCAGGTGATTTTTGTTCGTTTGTTTTTCGTAGCGATGGGGTCTCACTATTTTGCTCAGGCTGGCCTCAAACTCCTGGGGTTAAGTGAGCCCCCAACCTTGGCCTCCCAAAGTGCTGGGACCGTAGGCATCAGCCACTGTGCCCAGCCCATCACTCTTACCATTACACCAGGGCTGCCAAAACCTTTTAAAATATGTTAGATATAATTAACATGCAACAACATGCACAGATCTAAAGTATTCAATTTAATGAGCTTTGCCACTGAGTAATTAACACTCAAAACAATATAAATAATAGTTTTATTATCAAACAAAATTACCGTGCACCCTTTTCCAGTCAATTATTCTATCTCCAAAAACATACACTTCCTTATTTCTCTCACCCTAGATTATTTTGCCTGTTCTAAAAATTCATAAAATGGAATCAGCGTAGGAGGGAGGGAGGGAGGGAGAGAGAAAGACACACAGATAGAGGTCAATATTCCTTTGTTCAACATTTTTTAATGTAAATATGTTGCAAGTATTGGAAGTTTGCTATTTTTTATGCTGAAAAGTATTCCATTGTATTTATAACTCCATAATTTATCTGTTACCTGTTGGCATGTGAGACATTTAAAATCTGATGCTATTATGAGAAAAAGGCTGCATTACAAATTATTTTACAAGCCTTTTGTAAATATATGCTTCCATTTATCTTGGGTAAATGCCTGGGAGTTGAATGTCTGGGTCATAGGATAGACGGCTGTTTATAAGAAACTGTAAGAGTTCTCCATAGTTGGGTTAGACCATTTTACACTCTAACATAAGAATAATGTTAAGAATTAAGAATGCATACGAATTCCAGGTACTTGACAACCTTGCAAAATTTTGTAGTGTCAGTCTTTTTTGATTTTTGTTATTCAACTGGATGTGAAATGGTGATTGCAGTTTTACACTGCAATTAGCAAATATGAGGGTTCCAATGGATCCACATCATTGCAAAATTGATACAGTCAGTCAGCCATTTTTATTTTAGGCATTTCAGTATTTTAGGCAGTTCAGTAAATGAGAAATGGTATGTCATTTATTGTGAGTTTTGTTTGTGTCTTTTCTTTTTAATTAATGGATTATTTTTTAAAGCAGTTGTAGGTTTGCAGAAAAAATGAGAGGCAAGTACAGAGACTTCTCATGTATCCCCTCTCCTCTCCCACCATCCCTGTCCCCCTACCCCTGGCAATGCCCCTTATTTTTAATGTCTTGCGTTAGAGCGGTATATTTGTTACAGTCAACGAGCCAATATCATTAATTGAACTCCCTAGTTTACATTAGTATTCACTCTTTATGTATACATTTTATGGGTTTTCACACAATTGTGTGATAAATGGGTTATCACAATTGTGTGATAACAGATTTCTGTGTCCACCATTGCATTATTATATAGAAGAATTTTACTGCCCTAAAAAACCTGTGCTTTCTCCTACCAAACCCCTGGCAAATTTTGATTTTTTTTACCTTCTCCATAGTTGTGCCTTTTCCAGAATATCATATGTAGTGGGAATCATAAAATGTGTAGCCTTCCAGATTGGCTTCTTTCACTTAGCAATACACATTTAATATTCCTAATTTTGTGGCCTGGTAACTCATGTTTTTCTTCTTATCAAATAGACCTTATTTTGTAGAGCAGTTTTTGGTTCACAGCAGAATTAAGCCAAAACTACAGCAAGTTTCCATACACCCCTTGGTTCCCCCAGCACACACACGATCTGCCCCAATGTCAACGTCCTCCAGCAAAATTGTATGCTTCTCACAGCTGATGAACATCAATTGACATGTCATTATCACCCAAAGTCTGGAGTTCACATTAAGTTTCCTCTTGGTATTGTACATTCTGTGTTTTGACAAATGTCTAATGTAATACATCCACCATTATAGTATAACACGGGATAGTTTCCTAGCTCCCAAATCCTCCATGTTCTACCTATTCATCCCCTCCCCTCCCCTGCAGATACCTGGCAACCACTGATCTTTGTGCTGTCTCCATAGTTTTATCTTTTCTGGAATGTAAACTAGTTGGACACATATAGTATGTATCCTTTTCAGACTGGCTTCTTTCACTTAATAACATGCATTTTAGTTAACTTCCATATATTTTTATAGCTTAATAGCTCATTTCTTTTCAATGCTCAATAATATTCCATTGTCTGGATGTACCGAAGTTTATTTACCCATTCACCTGATGAAGGACACCCTGGTTGCTGCCAAGATTTGTCCATTACGAACAAACCTGTTATAAACATCCATGTGCAGGTTACTTTTTTTTTTTTTTTTGAGATGGGGTCTCGCTCTGTCACCCAGGCCGGAGTGCAGTGGCACGATCTTGGCTCACTGCAAGCTCTGCCTCCCGGGTTCACACCATTCTCTTCCCTCGGCCTCCAGAGTAGCTAGGACTACAGACAACCACCACCATACCCGGCTAATTTTTTTGTATTTATATTAGAGATGGGGTTTCACCGTGTTAGCCAGGATGGTCTCGATCTCCTGACCTCGTGATCCGCCTGCCTCAGCCTCCCAAAGTGCTGGATTACAGGCATGAGCTACCTTGCGCCTGGCCTATTCTGTACATTTTTCTAGTTTCTTTTTATTTTATTCCTGTTTTTTGCATTCTTAATGTATAAGCTTATGTCATTGATTTTAAATATATTCTCTTTTGTAGTACAGATATTTAAAGCTATAAAGTTATCTCTTAGCCCTATTATAGCAGCATCTTACACATTATGGTTTGTTATTTTTTAATAATTTATTTATTTATTTATTTATTTATTTTTGAGACAGAGTCTCACTCTGTTGCCAGGCTGGAGTGCAGTGGCGCAATCTTGGCTCACTGTAACCTCCACCTCCAGGGTTCAAGTGATTCTCTTGCCTCAGCCTCCTGAGTAGCTGGGACTACAGGCACCCGCCACCATGCCCAGCTAATTTTTGTATTTTTAGTAGAGACAGGGTTTCACCATGTTGGCCAGGATGGTCTCGATCTCTTGACCTCGTGATCCATCTGCGTCGGCCTCCCAAAGTGCTGGATTACAGATGTGAGCCACCGCGCCCGGCCAGTTATTTCAAAATATAATTTTTACTGTGATTTCTTCTTTGACTCATGGGCTGTTTTTATTTTTTGGTTTAATTTCCAAACATTAGGATATTTTATACAAATTTTAATAATATTAATTATGAATATAATACCATTATGATAAGAGTATGCCCGATTCGGCTTGAATAATTTTTATATTAGAACCTGGTTTAATGCCCAGCATTGAGTCTGTTTAAAATATTCTGTGAGCACTTGAAAAGAAAATGCATTCTGCTGTAGTGAGATATATCTATAAATGTCGCCTAGGTCTAGTTGGTTGAACATACTGTTCACATCTTCAGTATGTTTACTGATTTTTAAAATCTGGTCCTTCTATCAATCACTCAAAGAAGTATGTTAACATTTCCAAACACAGTTGTAGACTTATCTATTTTCCCTCCTTAGTTTGGCAATTTAACTTAGTGTTATCTCTTTTATTAGGTCATACACATTACATGTGTGACTATGTCTTTTTAGTGAATTGGTTCTTCATTCTCACAAAATATCTCCCTTAGTTCTGCTCATACTCCTTCTTTTGAAGTCTACTTTGTCTAATACTAGCAGAGCCACCCCAGCTTTCTTAAGCTTTGTAATTATGTCCTCTGTTTATTTGCATCCTTTTAACTATCAACCTGCCAAACTCTCTCTCTCTCTCTATATATATATATATGAAAGAAAGGGAGAGAAAGACATTATAAGGAATTGGCTCATGTGATTATGGAGGCTGGCAAGTCCCAAAATCTACACCGTGAGACTCAGCAAGCTGGAATCTTAGGACAGCCACTGGTTTAGTTCCAGTATGTGCCCAAGAGCTAAGAACTTGGAAGGCTGAGGGTGTAGTTTAAGTCCAAAGGCTGGCAGGCTCATAACCATAAAAAAGTCAATATGTCAGTTCCAATCCAAAGACAGGAAAACACCTGATGTCTCAGTTAAAAGGACATTAGGCATCTGAAATATCCTTTCAGAAACACACAAAATAATGTTTAACCAAATATCTGGGCACTGCATGGGCCAAATTCACACATAAATTTAATCATCGCACTGAGGTTATAATTTTTAAATCTATTTTAGAAATGTCTTCCATTTTTCATGGAACATTTAACGTAATTACTGATAGGGTAGAGTATAAGTTGACTGTATTGGTACTTCTTTTATCTGTGTGTTATCATTTGTTTCACATTTATGGCTAATTAAGTATTTTAGTATTCCATTTTATCTTCTGCATTGGCTTTTGGTTTATATCTTATTTGTTTTTTCAATGGTTACACATTATATAATATACATATTTAATTTAGTGCTGTCTACCTCAAAAATACTATCTACTTCATTAATAAGAGCTTTACAATGTATAATTCCAGTTAAACTTCTTACAACTGTTGTGTTCTCATTGTCATTTATTTTACATCTATATTTGCTTTAAAACCCCACAATAGGTAGCTATTCCTTTTACTTTAAATAGCCAGTGAGCTTTTAAAAAATTATATGTATATATACATATGAAGATATCTATGTATCTATCTGTGTATCCATCTATGTATCTATCTATCATCTATCTATCTATGTCTATGAAGTCCTTGCTTTAAACAAAACAATATTTAACTGACATTTACACACACAGGAAAAGTGTAACTTACTTTGCACAATTCTGTGGTAGCTGAGATCTTCTGCAAAGCAAAACACGCATGAGTTGCAGTCAACACACTATTGCGCAAAATGAGGACTACCTGGCCGGGCGCGGTGGCTCACGCCTGTAGTCCCAGCACTTTGGGAGGCCGAGGCGGGTGGATCATGAGGTCAGGAGATCGAGACCATCCTGGCTAACAAGGTGAAACCCCGTCTCTACTAAAAATACAAAAAATTAGCCGGGCGCGGTGGCGGGCGCCTGTAGTCCCAGCTACTCGGGAGGCTGAGGAAGGAGAATGGCGTGAACCCGGGAAGCGGAGCTTGCAGTGAGCCGAGATTGCGCCACTGCAGTCCGCAGTCCGGCCTGGGCGACAGAGCGAGACTCCGTCTCAAAAAAAAAAAAAAAAAAAAAAAAAAAAAAAAAAAAAAAAAAAAAATGAGGACTACCTGCATTATATATATGTGTGTGTTTAATTTTAATTATATAAATATTTGCATGTAATATATGTAAAGCATATTATATCAAATATATTAAACTAATATAAACATAATTGTGTGTACATTGTATATACCTTCTCATTAAGCAAAATTTACTGAGCACTTACTATATAACAAGCAGTCCTGTAGGTTCTGGAAATACATCATTGAAGCATACAGGCAAAAATCTCAGCCCTTCGAGAGCTCATATTCTAGTATAGGGAGAGAGACAATAAGTATAACAAGCACATTGTAGTACATGCTATAAGGTAATGAAAGCTATGGAGATAAAGAAACAGGAAGTCATTGCAGAGAATATGACATTTTGCAAAGTCTTGAAGGAGAGGCAGGCTAGATGCAACATTAAGATTCATGGAGGGATATATTTTAGCATATGGCAAAAAGTGGGTTGCCATATGAGAAAATCTGATTAAAGGCATTAGTGACTAGGAACCCATTTCAGCTATCTCTAGGAGAAGCCTAGAGACCTGGAGATTCACTGGGCAATGACTAGCACCTGGCTACTTGATGAAAAGGAAACTCAAGTGGCAACATCCAAAGCAGAAGTGAAGTAAGCAAAGTGGCCATGTTCATTGAGGTAATGGATTAAGAAATGATAAACTGGGTCCCAGCACTCTATTCACCTGGATGATCTTGTACAGTGGATGCAGGGCAGTGGTGGATTATCTCTAGATCCTACTCACTAGTCTGGAGGAAGTGTCCCAGTAATCCTATGGAGGCTTTGTATAATAGACAATCAGAAAGAAAGGCATGTGGGGTTTCTGTACTCATATCTGGGTACTCAGTGTTCTTTCTGGCAGTTTCTTGTTCATTCTTTAAATTCAGTTGGGTGTAATGAAGGGAAGATTCAGCTGTTTTTCATACTGTGCTTTTAAGAAGATAATTAGACTAAGCACATAACATGTCTTCATACTCGTATAATGCATATTAAATAATTGTAAATGCCTACTAGTGGCACGTTTTATTACACACACAGAAACACACACACACACACATGCACACATCATGTACTTTCTGGCTCCCTTCATACCTTCTGCATATCCAGGTTTCCATCACCTCTCAGTTTCTTTCAGCCTGAAAAACTTTCCTTAGCATTTCTCATAGTGTAGATCTGCATGAAACAAATCCCCTCAGTCTTTGTCTGATGATGACTTTATTTCACTTTCATTTTGTAAAGAAATTTTGTTGGATATAGAATTATAAACAGACAATCCTATTTTTCCTTAAACCAGACACATAGACCAATGGAACAGAATGAATAACACACAAATTAACCCACTCATTTAGAGCCAACTGATATTCAACAAAGGTACCAAAATATACAATGAGGAATGGGCAGTCTCTTCAATAAAGGTTGTCGGAAGAACTGGATATCCTTGTGCAAATAAATGAAATTAGACCCTTATCATTCACCAAATACAAAAATTGACTTAATATGGATGAAATACTTAAACGTAAGACCTGGAAATATAAAACTACTAGAAGAAATCATAGGGGAAAAGCTCTATGACATTGGTTTGGGCACTGATTTTTTGGATAAGCCTCAAAAGCACAAGCAACAAAAGCAAAAATAGATAAATGGGATTATATCAAACTAACAAGCTTCTGCACAGCAAAGGAAAGAATCCACAAACTGAAGAGACAACCTACAGAACAGGAGAAAATATCTGCAAATTATATATCTGACAAGAGGTTAATATCCAGAACTTATAAGAACCTCAAAGAGGCTGGTGTGGTGGCTCATGCTTGTAATCCCAGCACTTTGGGAGGCCAAGGTGGGCAGATCACTTGAGGCCAGGAGTTCGAGAACAGCCTGGCCAACATGGTGAAACCCCATCTCTACTAAAAAATACAAAAATCATCCGGGTATGGTGGCACACACCTATAATCCCAGCTACTTGTGAGGCTGAGGCAGCAGAATTGCTTGAACCCGGGAGGCGGAGGTTGCAGTAAGTTGAGATTGCACCACTGCACTCCAGCCTGGGTGACAGAGCAAGACTCCATCTAAAAAAAAAAAAAAAAAAAAAAAAAAAAACCTCAAACAATTGAATAGCAAAAATCCCAATAATCAGGTTTAAAAACGGGCAACATACATACATAGATATTTCTCAAAAGAAGATATACAAATGGTCAACAAGCATATGAAAAAGTGCTTGACATCATTAACCATCAGGGAAATGCAAATCAAAATTACAATGAAATAATATCTCACTCCAGTTAGAATGGCTATTATCAAAAAGACTATGCACCCCGGCAGAAACAAACAAACAAAAAACCAACAAATGTTGGCAGGGATGTGTAGAAAAGAAAACCATTACATTTTTTTGGTGAGAATGTAAATTATTATAGCCATAATGAAAATAGTATGAAGGTTTCTCCAAAAATTAAAAAATTGAACTGTCATATCATCTAGTAAATCCACTACTAAGCGTATGTTTAAAAATATAATCAAGATGTCAAGGAGACAGCTGCACTCCCATGTTTACTGCAGTGTTATTCACAATAGCCAAGATATGGAATCAACCTAAGTGTCCATCAATGGATAAATGGATAAATAAAATGTGTTTATATACACAGCTGAATACTATTCAGCCATAAAAGGAAGGAAGTCCTGTGATTTGCAGCAACATGGATGAATCTGGAGGAGATTGCGTTAAATGGGATTAGGCAGACACAGAAAGACAAATACTGTATGATTTCACTCATGTGGAATTTTAAAAAGATCACATAGAAGTAGAGAGTAGAATGGTGATTATCAGAGGCTAGAGTGGCTAGAAGAAAGGGAGGGTTAGGGATATGTTGGTCAAAGGATACATATTTACAGTTAGATATGAGGAATAAGTTCAAGAGATCTATTGTACAAAATGGTGACTACAGTTAATGGTGATATATTGTTTTCTTGAAAAATGGTTAACGGAGTGGATATTAACTGTTCTCATCACAAAAATGATAACTATGTGAGATAATGCATTTCTTTATTAGCTAGATTTAACTATTCCACAGTGTTATCTACGTATGTAGACATATACTGCAAAACAAAACAGTATGCTGTGTAGGATAAACATATACAATTTTATCTGTCAATTTCAAAAGTAAAATAAATTTGAAAATGAACAAAGATGTTTTGTCATTGTCTCCTTGCAATAAGACATCATTATTCTTTGTTTCACTGTATTGTAATGTTCTCTCCCATTCAGCTACTTTTAAGATTTTATCTTTGATTTTCAGCAGTTGGACAAAAATAAGCAAAAGCGCGAGTTTCTATGTATTTATCCTGACTGGGATTCACTGAGCGTATTGGGTAGGTAGGATAATACATTTCACCATTTTTACAAAATCCATGGCCATTATCACTGCAAAGAATTCTTCTCGCTTATTTTCTCTCCTATTGTCCTGTACCTCCGATTACAAATGTGTTATGACTATATTTTTAAATTGCCTCATGGCTCTTCAGTGCTTTCACTCTTTCTCTCTCTCTTCCTTTGTGTTTCAATTTGGATGCTTTTCATTCTGCCTTCATGTTCCCTGATTGTCTCTCTTGCTGCTGTATCCAGTCTGCTATGAAGCCTATTGAATGAATTAGTCATTTTGATGTTGTATTTTTCTTTAATAACATTTCTGTTTGTCCTTTTTGTAGTTATCTTTTTGCCGTAATCCTCATTTGCTCATGTATCTTGTCTACCTTTTGCACCAGATACTTAAACATATTTATCATAGTTCTTTTAAAGTTTTTCCTTGCCAATTCACACATTGAGATTACCTCTAAGACTTCTTCTACTGGTTGTTTTCTTGCTTGTTCATGCTTCACATTTTTCTGCCTCTTCCTATATTTCTTAATATTTTTTATCAGGAGATAATGTGTATGAACAAATAGAGACTGAAGAAAGTGATATTTACTCCCAGAAAAAGTGCAAGCTTTCTTCTATCAGACCAATAATACGTGGGACTGAAACAATCTAATACGCGGTTGAGTTAGATAAGATATTTTTTTGCAAGTATACTTAGATTCAGCTCCACACTGAGAATTTCACATAGTTTGAGGGTGAGAGGAAGACATTCCTTTAAGCGGAGCTTCAAATTTAAGACCAGAGAGACTTCAGATATCTCTGTATGCATTAGCCCCAGCGGCTTGTTTTATGTTTTATGAATATAGGGAATCTCTCTGTCTCTGTGTTTTGCTGTCCTCTCCTTTCTCCTGCTTGTATTTTTTTTCTTTAAACCCACTTGCTAGTTTTGTTGTTGTTGTTGTTATTGTTCAATGGAGAGTTTTCTTTACTCTCCAGCTCTTTTCCTGGCTTGTCCTGTAGCCTTAGGAGATTATTCTTCTTCCTAATTCTCTGCCTCTAGTCTTTGTCGGCCCATTGATGTGCACTCAAGGAAGCTTTTGTGCACCCTGGGAGGATTGCTTCAGTTCTCTTTTTCTGCACAAAATCCCTACGGGCTGCCACCTTGCACTTAGGTAGCATCTGTGCACCCTACAAGGTCTTTCTCAGCGTCCTGTATCATGGCAGCCTTCCCCTAGCCACTACCTTGCGTTGAGTAAAGAGTCCATGACTCTTCACCTCCCCAGCCCTGCTTTCAGCCATTGGTGTGCTCCTCTTATGCAGTTAGTGAAAGCCCTGAAGGAGTGATTTGGCAGGTGGATTTCAACTTCCTTCAGACTCCTTGTAATTCTAATCTGTCATGCTAAATAACACGCAGTCAATATAAATTAGTTAATAGTTCGGCCATTTCCTCAATGGAGCCATCCATGGTGAGTAGATTCCTATTTCTGCATCACATCCAGAAGGGATTAAAGTAGCAACAAGGCTCTTTGCTGTCTGATAATTTTATGCTTTATCCATATTTATCTTATGATTAGTGTGGAACTTTTAGCTTCCAACCCAGAAGTCCTTTCCAAACCTTTTATCCAAAGAATCCCCAAAAGGCATAGAGGATTCATCACTGTGAAATAGAACTGGAGATACCACTGTAATGACCCTGCTTACCCCTGAAATTTCCTTGACATCTGATGATTTATATTAAAAGTTTACCCAAAGTGGACATTCTACTTCAAAATATGACAGGGTCAAAGAATAAAGGTGCCAGTGTAAAAAACTTCATTTCAGTGTAAAAAACTTCATTTACACTTCATTTCAGTGTAAAAAACACTTTGATTAACTCTGCTACACTCTACTATCAGTCTGGGAACTACATATCTGTGCCCCAAGTTGTGAAACGCTTAGGGCAGCACAGAATAGGAAATGTGTGACAAAGAGCACTGTTGTTACTGCCAGTACAGAAAATCACTAAGTATATTCAGGGCATGAGTCTACAAAGGAGAGAGGGAGCAATTGGAAGGATATTTGGATGAGCTGAGAGAAAGTTGCTGTCTACAAGGAGATGTGATGTGGTGGTGGAAGAGTTGTATTTTTACTTAATAAAATGCACAAATGCAGAGAGACTGCGTCTAGGAACCACCTATGAACAGTAAAAGGACAAAACATTGAAGCGACTTCTCACGTTGTCTAGATTTCCTCATGAAATAGGACAGGGTGAGCTTGAGGACAGTGAGGGTAGATTGTAGTGTGCTGTTGGGAAGAGGATGCAGATTTGACTAGGGTCTGGCAGATGCATTTCCCAATGAGTTAGGAGTACACAAATGTGCAGAAGTTTTGATCCCCAGTGGACAGATGAAGGAAGGAGATATTGGACTCATTGGAGCTTGGGATTTGTTATATGCAAGTCACAGGCAATTGAGAGGAGCTACATGGAGGAAGGGTGCATAGAGCATACCACTTAACCCCTTAGTTCTTAAGTGTGATTTAACCCCTTAGCTCTTCCTTTCCACACCCAATCTTGTTTATTTATTTATTTATTTTTTGCCACCCTACTTCTCAGACAGTCTTGAAATATACAGTATTCTCAGGCCTGCTTCTCACTATCTGCCCTCCATTGCATTGTTAAGGACATCCTTGGGCTTAGCTATATGTTGAAAAGTTCTTTGTGGCTTCTCATCCCCACATTCTTTGGTTCTGTCATGAGCATCTCCTGAAAACTAAATTCCCATCCCAAGAGTTTCTGGAGAACCACGCATCTGATGGGAAGGGAGAAATGGAATCAGTCACAAGGTGGCAGAGTTCAGCCACACCCTTCACTAACAGCCTGGAGAGACCTCAATTTCTTCTTGAACCAATGTGGAGGGTTTTGGGGTTGAGGTTCCTCTTGTTCTGCTGGGTCTACTAAGAATGGAGAATGAGCATTGACAACAGCTCTACTGAGCTCCCTCAAGGCTGGGCTGGGATGAGGTTCCAGCGGGGGTGCCCATGAGAATGCATCTTCCAAGTACACCCAAGGAAATTTGCCTGGTGAAAGGTGAAGGGGAGTGGACAGAGCAGTATCACCTGCACATTCGGTTCTGCCTGGATAAGGGAATATTGAATTCCTCAGTAAACAAACAAGTAATAAAATAAACATGGAATGGAAGCTGATGGGTGTGTAAAGAGAGTTTCTGAATGAGCCATATCGGCTGGGGAGAAGGACGTGACCCTGGGCAGCTCTCTGCTACATTCCATCTCCCTCACCCAATTCCATCCACATGGGTCTCCTTGCAGACCTTGGATCCAGTCCCAGCACCTGGACAATTGCAGAGGCAATGTCCTCTGTTCCAAATGCTTTACTCCTTCACGAAGAAATTCGTGTGGCTCACTCCCTCGTGTCTTTCAGGGCTCTGCCCAAGGGTCATCTCCTCAGAGAGGCCTTCCCTGACAACCCTGTTAATGTTAGTCCCTTATTCTACTCTAAGACTTGTGGCTTGAAGTTTTCTTGTACTTTTAAAATTTGCATTACCTATCTTCTCCCACTAGACTCTATGGTCCATGCTGGCAGGGACTTCGAATCCTTCATTCAGTGCTGTAGCGCATGTTTCTAGAACAAATATTGGCACACATACATTTTCAGTCACTATTTTATTTATTAATCAATAAATGCATGAAAGCACACACACAAAAAGAAAACACACCAACATGCTGAGAGTGGCTATTTTCTCCTCCTGCAAGTGGGTTCTCTTTACACCTTTCAGAATTTTATTTTACATAATTTTCTAAATTCTGTACAGTTTCTAGGGCCAGACCACCTTGGATGAAAAATCCCAGTGAGGTCATTAACAAGCTAGTGATCAAGAGAATATGAGTTAACATCTATGTTTTTCAGTTTCCTCCTCTATAAAATGCTGGTAATAATAACACGTACTCTTGCTTGTTGAAAGGATCACATATTAAGTGTTTTGTAAGCATGAGCCATTGTGGTTCATATGATAATTACTATGCTATCATATCATGAAGACAGTTATGATTTTACAGACTTATAAAAGTGCATCCTTTCTCTTTTTATGACATAGCATTTATAATCTGCTTATTGTAAAATGTTGGATTTTAGTTTTCTCACATTATCTGGCACATCATGTATTCAAGAGGATGAATGCCATACTTTTCCCTTAAAAATAATTATTTAAAAAATGTAGTTCTGGCCGGGCACGATGGCTCATGCCTGTAATCCCAGCACTTTGGGAGGCCGAGGCGGGCGAATCAGGTCAGGAGGTTGTGACCATGCTGGCTAACATGGTGAAACCCCCTCTCTACTAAAAATACAAAAATAAACTGGACATGGTGGCGTGCGCCTGTAGTCCCAGCTACTCGGGAGGCTGAAGCAGGAGAATCCCTTGAACCCGGGAGGCGGAGGTTGCAGTGAGCTGGGATCGCGCCACTGCACTCCAGCCTGGGTGACAGAGCAAGACTCCATCTCAGCCGGGCGTGGTGGCTCACACCTGTAATCCCAGCACTTTGGGAGGCTGAGGCGGGCGGATCACGAGGTCAGGAGATGCAGACCATCCTGGCTAACACGGTGAAACCCCGTCTCCACTAAAAATGCAAAAATTAGCCGGGCGTGGTGGCGGGCTCCTGTAGTCCCAGCTAATCAGTAGGCTGAGGCAGGAGAATGGCGTGAACCTGGGAGGTGGAGCTTGTAGTGAGCTGAGATCGCGCCACTTTACTCCAGCCTGGGCGACAGAGCGAGACTCCGTCTCAAAAAAAAAAAAAAAGAAAAAAAAATATATAGTTCTATCTCTGGCACTACTATTAGCACTCGTTTATTTTAAATTTTCATTTTGCAATAATTTTAGACTTACATGGAAGTTGAAAAAATAGTATGGAGAGTTCCTATGTCCGTTTTGTCTAGCTTCTTCCAGTGATGCTAACTTACATAAGCATAGTAAAAATAATCAAAACTATGAAATTAACATTGGTATAATACTACTAAGTAAACTACTGACCTTGTTCCGATTTTGCCAGTTTTGAAATGCACTCATTTCTGAGGGAGCTTATAGTTCTATGAAATATTACATGGATAGATTTGTGTAACCATCAACATAGGATACAGAGCTGTTCCATCCTCACAAAGAAATTCTCTGTTACCCCTTTTCAGTCACAGCTGCCCACTAATCTTGGAAACCACTTATCTGTTACATTCAATGCTATAATTTTGTCTTTTCTAGAATGTTATTAAATTGGTATTGTAGAGTATGCAACCCTTTGATATTTCTTTTGCTCTGAATACATATAAGGTCTTTCAGATTTATTCAAGTTGCTATGTGTAACAATATTTAGTTCCTTTCTGTTGCTGAGTAATATTGTATTGAATATATGTACCACAGTTTATCCATTTGCATGTTGGAAAATATATGGCTTGTTTCTAATTGTAGGTCATTGCAACGTAGTTTTGGTATGAACATATGCCTTTATTTCTGTACAGTAAATAACCAAGAATAGAATAATTGGGTTACGCTTAAGGATGTGATAACTTTGTAAGAAACTGCTAAACCATTTTGCAGAATGGTGTATGTATGCTTGTACATTCCCCTGGCACTATGTGAGAGTTCCACTTACTTCATATCCTCTCTTGGATATGGACAGTATATTTCCTTTCTTTTTTATTTTTATTTATTCATTTTTTTTTTTTTTTGAGACGGAGTCTCGCTTCTGTCACCCAGGCTGGAGTGCAGTGGCACCATCTCGGCTCACTGCAAGCTCCGCCTCCCGGGTTCACGCCATTCTCCTGCCTCAGCCTCCCGAGTAGCTGGGACTACAGGCGCCCGCCACCACGCCCAGCTAAATTTTTGTATTTTTAGTAGAGACGGGGTTTCACCGTGTTAGCCAGGATGATCTCAATCTCCTGACCTCGCGATCCGCCCGCCTCGGCCTCCCAAAGTCCTGGGATTACAGGGGTGAGCCACCGTGCCCAGCCGACAGTATATTTTCTTTTGTCATAATTTACAGCATATTTTATTATATTTTACATTTCTGTGTATAGTGATACATTATTGTGACATTAGTTTGCATTTTCCTAATGGCTAATGGTGTTGACCATCTTTTTTTTGTTGTTTATGTGTTTGCCTTCCATCTACTGGTTCAATCTTTGACTATTTTCTAATAGGATTGTTTGTTTTCTTAATGTTGAGTTTAGAGAGTTGTTTATATATTCTGGATATAAATCCTTCTGTGGACTTGTGGTTTGCAAATACATTCCCCAAGTCTGTGTCTTTTTATTCTCTTAACAGTGACTTCGGCAGGGCGTGGTGGCTCATGCCTGTAATCCCAGCACTTTGGGAGGCTGAGGCGGGCAGATCACGAGGTCAGGAGATGGAGACTATCCTGGCTAACACGGTGAAAACCCGTCTCTACTAAAGATGCAAAAAATTAGAGGGGCGTGGTGGCGGGCGCCTGTAGTCCCAGCTACTTGGGAGGCTGAGGCAGGAGAATGGTGTGAACCTGGGAGGCGGAGCTTGCAGTGAGCCGAGATTGTGCCACAGCACTCCAGCCTGGGCAACAGAGCGAGACGCCGTCTCAAAAAGAAAAAGAAACAAACCAAAAAAAAAACAACAACAAAAAAAACCCCAGTGTCTTTGAGAGAATAATAGCTTTTAATCTTGTTGAGGTCAAATTGATCCGTTCTTTCTTTGGTGGATTATGCTTTTGGTGTCCTAAGATCTCTGCATCTAACACCATTTTATGACAATTTCCCCCCTGTGTTTTCTTTTAAAAGTTTTATAGATTCACATTTTCCATTTAGAGCTGTAATCCATTTTGAATTTATTTTTGTATGAAGTGTGGGGTTTATGTTGAAGGTTTGGGGGTTTGTTGGTGCATGCTGATGTCTAATTGCTCCAACATCATTTGTTGAAAAGGCTATCCTTCCATTGAATTACTTTTGCACCTTTGTCAAAAATCAGTTGGCTGTACTTGTGTGGTTCTAATTCTGAGTTATCTATTCTGCTCCAGTGATCTATGTGTCTATCCCTCTGCTAAATACCACTGTCTTGATTGCTGAATTGTGCCTTAAGCCTTAAAATTGGTAGAGCACACTTTTTTAACTTAATTCACTTTTTACAAGTTATTTTTTCTTTAGCTGTTCTAGTTCCTTTGCTTTTCAATATTAATTTTAGAATCAGCTTGTCTATATCTAAGGTGGCCAACTTTTTAGAGTTAACCCAGACAGAATAAATCATAATAATGTAACATATAATAATTATACACATTATTACTTTAATATAACATATAAAATAGAGGTTTCTTTGAAAATATCTATTATTCTATATCACTTATTTTTATGTTACACGAACTGCATTTATTTATTTATTTATTTATTTATTTTAGAGACAGGTTCTCACTCTGTCACCAGGCTGGAGTACAGCAGCTCGATCATGGGTCACTGCATCCTCAACCTCCCAGGCTCACATGATCTGCCCACCTCAGCCTCTGGAGTAGCTGGGACTACAAAGATGTGCCACCACACTTAGTTAATTTTAAAATTTTTTGTAGAGATGGGGTCTCACTATGTTGCCTAGGCTGGGCTTGAACCCCTGGCCTCCAGTGATCCTCTTGCCTCAGCCTCCTGACATTTTTTACACAAAACAAAGACTAATTAACAGTGCTAATTAGTAGTAATTAATGATAGGATTAATAAACAAGTAATATATATGAAAAATATAACAATGTTTTATATTTCTTGTTACAGCAATTTATTTTAATTCCCAATTGCATACTTATATATTGTAGGCTATATTCAGTTATTCTTAAAATATGTAATCATATGACTTTTAGGAGGAGAATGTAAATTAAAAATGACTATAGGATATTCTAATATTCAATTTAAAAGTAAGAATGACATTTTTATTTCTGTCCAGTGATACAGTGGGATATATATATTTTTTCTTCTTCTGTTTCCTTTTTAGTAATATTTCTCTATACTGCCTACAGCCTTCATGATATCTTTCTTTTATTTTATGTGGTGATAAAATTGAGTACAGTCAAACATATAATTCACTTTGACTTGCTGCTCTGTTCTCATCAAGTCCACATTACATTGATTCCAGTGGTAAGTCTGATGTAAAAACATAGCTAAATATGTTTACAAAAAGAGTGTTTGGACATAAGATATTTAGGATTTTACTTACCAGCAGCAGCAGAGTTTTGAATTTGACCAAATTCATGTCCAGCTTTCAAAAAAACACCACTCACTTTGTATTTAAAGGGTTATTTTCGTAGACTATCTGTTTGTTAATGAGATCATTTGCATCTAGAGATCCATCATATAGGCTGCTGACATGTAAAAAAGTCCATGATTTATGAACATTCATAAGTGTATTGGATGCTATCATAAGTTAACCCTCTTTGTCATGAAAATGGCTTCAAAGCACAGAGGTAATTTGAAGTTGTGAAATCAAATTTGTATTCTAAATAATTTACAATTTCTAAAAAGAAATTGAGAAAATTCTGTTTAAAACAGGCCTGGTGTGGTGGTTCACGCCTGTAATCCTAGCACTTTGGGAGGCTGACGTAGGCAGATTGCTTGAGGTCAGGTGTTCAAGACCAGCCTGACCCACATGGTGAAACCCCATCTCTACTAAAAATACAAAAATTAGCCAGGCATGATGGTGCACGCCTGCAGTCCTAGCTACTCAGGAGGCTGAGGCAGGAGGATGGCTTGAACCCGGGAGGCAGAGGTTGCAGTGAGCTGAGATCGCACCACTGCACTCCAGCCTGGGTGACAGAGCCAGACTCCATCTCAGAGAAAGTTCTATTTAACTTAGCTGATCTTTTCTGATGACCTTTTCTCGTGTTCTGAAATAGTATCATTTCCCTAAAACATGAGGGTTTTTGTTCATCCTGTTTTTGCTGTATTAGTTTTTGTTGCAACCAGAACACAACATCACGTAACTCAAATGCAGCCAGCTTATCATTTTCTAGGCTCCATATGACCTCTTCAAAGATCACCAACAGTTTTGGGAAAAAAGCATATTCACTTCTGTTGCATTTTTCTCCCCTTCTCTTTATTCTCATCCTTAATTTGCTTTCAGATTAGAGAACATTCTTCTTCTTTCATACTCTGAAAACATGATTTTATGGCAGGCTAACATTTTGGTATCTTTTCTACGGCTGGCCGCAATGCAAGCTGTCTTGTGGGCATAGGTGTAAGGATGCTATCTCCTTCCATTTCCATAAAGCCGAAGTTATGATTCTTGTTTCTGTATGTTTTAAGAAAACTGAAAAGTGGTGAAAAATTTTAATTATGAAAGCCTTAAAATCACAAGTAAGCACACCAGGCCCCTTTTTAGCAGTTCTATATTAAATGTGTGTGAGGCATTTAGTAGGTAATATCTTTTCTTTGATAAGAAGTTCATAGACTGAATGGAGTCTGGCAAATTTACATTTGTGCTGTCTGCCAGATATGCATATAGATGAGCAAATTCTAGTTCAGATTTGGAAAAGATGTTAATAAT
Source organism: Homo sapiens (assembly GCF_000001405.40). Lineage (NCBI taxonomy): Eukaryota > Metazoa > Chordata > Mammalia > Primates > Hominidae > Homo > Homo sapiens. The sequence continues at coordinate 4,617,940 of NW_021160017.1, forward strand.
CTTTTGTTTCATGTTTTCTGTGGTTTAATGAAAAGTTTCATAGAAACCAAAAGATAATTTAAAGCTCCATTTTTCAAATAAACATGTCTAAAATGTGGAGTGCATTTTTTTTTTGGTTATCATTATTTGACGCATCACTTGCTGTATTGTAGGCAGCATGATTGACAGTAAGACTTGTCAGAGTCAGCTCTACACTGTAAAGAACCAATGTATCTATTATCAAAATTTCCCATTTTGTTTGTTGAAAGACATTTTCAATGCAACTTGTAGGTTAACATAAATCAATAAAATGATATAATGATGTGTGCTGGTTTGTATTGTATACCAAAACTAATACAATGTTTTAGTTTTCCAGAATATCCACTTCTAGTTACTCTGCACTTTCTGGATAAATGGGTTGCTCCAGTGCAGGGCTATGATTCTCTGTCTTGAGCTAGGCATCTTTATTAACTGTGAACCTCATATCTCTTGTAGGATATGTCACTGAATGTTCGAATAATTTTAAAGGTAATGTAACTTTACTCATTTTCAAATAGAAATCAATAAAATGATATAATGATGTGTGCTGGTTTGTTTGGTATACCAAAGGTAATTCAGTGGCTGCCATTTTCAACTGAACATCAGTGTTTGTTTAGGAGACCAAAAATCCAAAAAATAACAGAAATAAAAGAAAAGAAAAGAAAAAGAGAAAAGAAACTTTTGTTCCTTTTAGAATTACGTGCTTATATCATCCTTAAATGGTAAAATTTAGTCTTCACACAGAGGGATGATAATGAAAAGACACAAAAAGAAGACAGTCATCTGCACCATCTACAAGCCAAGCAAAGAGACCAGGAACAGATCATGTTCTCACTGCCCCCAGAAGGAACCAACCCACTGACACCTTGATCTGGGACTTCCAACCTCCATAACTGTGAGGAGATAGATTTTTGTTGCTTAAGCCACCCAATCTATGGTACTTTGTTACGGCAGCCCTAGCAAAGTCACACAGATCATGTAACCTCCTCTACCATACCCAGCCCCACATTATTTTTCTGCCTATTGTGCAATATGCTCTGTTTTGTTTACTTACCTTTGTAATACAGTTGTCTGTGTCCTTCATGTACCATTAAAATAACACAATCATTTAGCCTTCTGGGCCTTGCTGCATTGGTATTGTAATTGTTTGTGTTTTTACTATCTGAATTATTAGAAAATATGGTCTCAAGGTTTGTAAAGTTAAAAACTGAACTAGCACAAAATTGATTCAAAGTAGAACAGTTAATCCACAGCTAAAGTCAAATACAGACAAACACTCATGATTACAACATGCTTCATTTACATATTTAAGTCACAAGAGTTAGAATGATTCACGATTTGCAGCTCACAGTAATTCACTGATCACTGTGAACTGCAAATCGTGGTTATACGCATTAGTGGTCAGGAAAAAAACAGTGACAGCAATTACAAGAAACAGATAATATGTGCTGTCTCCATTTGGCAGTAAAATGCATACAGCCCTTGTTTGGGTGATGCCATATGGGTTTTCTAGTTTTTTCTCCAATCTTCTTTACTCATGGCCAAAAATTTGGGGTTTTTCACATCCCACAGAGGGGATTCCTAGAAAGTGGGACTTCTGGTGCCAAAATCAAGACAATTCCAGATAAACTGCTGGGATTTTGATAAAAATTGCATGAATCCTACATGTCTGTTTGATCTGTTTACCATGTTGAGTCTTCTGATCTATGAACATGATATTTCTCTCCATTTATTTAGGTATTTTTTGATTTTCTAATCAGTGCTTTATAAGCTTTTCAAAATAGAGATCCTATATGTTTTGATGTATGTATTCATAAGTATTTTTGAGTTATTATAAATGGTACTGAGTTTTAAATGTTTAAATTTCTGTTTCCAAGAGTTATTGCTGGTATATAGAAATGTAATTGGTTTTGTGTGTTGACCCCGTATCTTGTGACATTGCTAAAGTCTCTTCTTAATTCAGGTATGGTTTTTTGGACATTATTTGAGATTCTCTACATAGACAATTATGCCATCTGCAAATAGAAGTAGCTTTATTTCTTCATTTTCAGCCTGTAAGCATTTTACTTCCTTTTCCTGTCTTATTGAACTGGCTAGGACTTTCATCACCAAGTGGAAAAGGAGTGATAAGAGTGGACAGCATACTCTACCCTTCCCTCCAATCTTAGAGGGAAGCATCCAGTTTTTGGTCATTAAACACACTAAGCAATGTTAACTATAGTAGTAGTTGTTGTTTCTTTTATAATGTGCTTTACCAGGTTGGTAATGCTCTTTTCTGTGCCTAGATTGCTGAGAGCTTTTGTTATGAATGGGAGTTGAATTTTGTCAGATGCCTTTCCTGCATGCATTGACATGATCATGTGGTTTTTCTTAAGATTACAGATATGATGAATATACTGAGACAGTCTTGCATTTGTGGAACAAATAAGAAATGCAGTGGTGGTACCTTGTACATATCGGTAAATTAAATTTTCTAATATCTGCTGGAGTCTCCCATGAGAGATTCTCCTGGGAAGATCCCCTGCCTTCTCCATTCTATGGGACACATCTGGGACTGTCTTTCTCTCTCATCACTTTCCTTCTCTGTCTTAAATTTTGACTTTCCCTGACACTCCTCTGGGAAAATAGAAGCACCATCAACTTTCTGCCACAGATACAACAGGTATACATCAATCAGTCATTTCATACTTCTGTCTCATTCCTATGGACGATGCATTCCCAATCCTGTATAGTAACTCCATTTTATAATATAGATCTCGCCATGTCTTCAATACTGGTATCTCTCCATCAACCATTGAATATATACATCATTTATATTCACATCCTGCTCCATACTTAATTCGCTGAAGTTTGGTTTCTGTTGACAACTATCCCATTGAAATTGTTCTTCATAAAATGAAAATAATCTCTTTATGAGTAATTTCAGTAAACACTTCTTAGTTATTTTATTGCTTCATGCCTCAACTAAATTTAACAACTGACCAATCCCTCCTTTGGCATTTCTAAAACTACATTCTCTAAATCTCACTTATTCCTAATCTCTTCCCACTGTTTCTTGATATTATTTGAGAGTTATCTTTCTGCTTTTCCATGTAATATTTGTTCTCCTCAATGCTCCATCCTGCACCTCTTCCCTCTCACTCTCCGAGATTCCCAAACTCATATGCCTTTAGGAACAAAAAGTAATGTAAGTACCTGAGGATAGCTGGTGTATTGCTTCTCGGCCTTTTGGCTAAGATCAAGTGTGGATAGCTGGTGTAAGTGTCTGAGATTAAGCAGAAGAGTGTCTGTCCTGCCTAAACTGCTCAGGTGAAGCAGAGAATACCTTTGCAAATCCATCCCTTCCCATCCATAGGTTCATGACATTTTAATCTGCATCTTTTCTTATGCATTTATCCCTAATCAAATGGACATCTCTGTTTAGATGCCTGGCATTTACGTTAAACTCAAAATATATAAAACTGAACTCATCCTCCTCCCACGTAAATCTGCTTTCTCTTTTCTCACAAACTCAGTAACTGATACGACACACAAAATTGTGCATGTCAGAAACCTGGCCATAAACCTGATTCCTCCCTGTTTTTATTTCTAGCATTTCATCAATCATCCATTTTTGGCAATGTAACCCCCAATTATTTCTCAATTTTTCAATTAATCTCCATCTTCATTATTCATTCCCTAGTTAAAGTTACCATTATCTCTCACCTGAGTGAAGGGTGAACACGCGTCATGCCTTTGAACTTAATCTCCTTTATTCCCTTCTCTTATCAGCAAAGATCCTACTAAATGCAAATAAACCCCTCAAATACTTCTAATAACTCAACAGTGTTTGACACTATTGGCCACTTCCTTTGGCTTGAAATGCTGCTATTTTGATTCTCATCTCTATCACTCTCCTGGCTTACTTTCTATCTCTTAACCAGGTACTGTTTTTAGTCTCCGTAGCAGCTTTTCCTTCAATACTACACGTGGTAATGTCTTAGTTTCCCAGAATATCCGCTTCTAGTTACTCTGTGCTTTCACTCTGGATAAATGGGTTGCTCCAGTGCAGGGCTATGATTCTCTATCTTGAGCTAGGCATCTTTAATAATTGTGAACCTCATATTTCTTTTAGGACATGTCACTGAGTGTTTGTATGAACTCTTTACTGTTTTCATCCAAAACCTGTTTTTCACCTCCCTTCTCCATTTCATCAAATCACACTTATGGCCAGGTGCGGTGGCTCACCATCTATAATCCCAGCACTTTGGGAGGCTGAGGATCGCTTGAGCCCAGGAGTTCGAGACCAGCCTGGGCAACATGGTGAGACTCCGCCTTTACAAAAAATACAAAAATTAGCCAGGTGTGATGGTGTGCTTCTATAGTCTCAACTACTTGGGAGGCTGAGATGGGATGATCACTTGAGCCTAGGAGGTCAAGGCTGCAATGAGCTATGATTGTGCCACTACACTCCAGCCTGGACAACAGACCGAGACTCTGTCTCAAAAAAAAAAAAAAAATCACACTATTCACCGAGTGCTCAAGCCTGAAACCTGAGAATCCAGATCTAATCTTCCATGTCCCTTACCTATCCATCCTCCATTCCTCAATTGAGCCACAAATATACCCTCCTTCATCATGTCTACATCATCTTCATCTCTTAGCAGACTCTCAACTTTGATGCTTTCCCTTCTCAATTCATTCTGAGTATACTAAGGAGGGCAATATTTTAAAAGCCTAATGTCAATTAGATGAGTCTGCAAGTCGTTAGTGGTTTCCATTTACTCTTTAAATACAATCTGCCTGCTTACCATTGCCTACAGGGCTGCCCTGATACCTTCCTCTCTCTCCTGGTTCTGAGCCTTTCTTTCCCCTTCGCAACCCCAGAAAGCACCACCATTATTAGTATGATTTCTTGAGCAAATAACAAAACTGGCTTATAAATAACAAGCTGAATTTTTAAAAAAATTATACATTTTTCTGAGATAACTCTAAATGCCAAAGTGGTACAAACTTCAGAGCCAGAAGCCCTAATTCTATTCTCATGAACATTGCCATGAAATGAATGGAAGTTCTAATCTACATGACCTGATTGCCCAGAACTGATTAAGTTCTCATATCTGATCTAAGAACTGCAGCAAGGAGATAGAATTACTCTGCTTGTCATAACCTAATCGGGGTCCACCTATGGTCAGTAATACCCTCATGTGAGTACCAGACACAGAATGGGAGACGAGAAAAGAATTTTTTGGAGACTTTACCAGTTAGGGATGCTTTGAGCTGCACAAAGCAAGCAAAAAACCCACAAGACAATAGCTTAAAGAATGAGATTTTATTCTACATGCCAAAAACTATAGATACAAGTAGGTGGCTATTGGTATTTGTCCAGCAGTTTGTAGATGTCAGGCTCAACCTCTCTATGATTTCTTTAGCTGTTTTTATACTGCCATCATACGAGCAACAATAGCTCCTGACTTTCCTTATACATTCCCTGAAAGAGAAAAAGGATGTAGGAAGGAAAAGCACAGATAAACCTCTCTGTACATCTCTTGACTGGAACACAGCTGAAAAACCAAGAAGTTAAATATTTAACTTGTGCAGCCTCAACTGTGGAGACAGACAAGAAAAGACAACTGGGTGTCACATGCTGCTCAGCCCATTTATAATGCTATTTCTCATGGTAAAGGCCACCAGAAAAATCTAGGTGATTCACTCTGGCCCTTCATATATATGTATATATATTATACACATATATGTGCATATATATGTATATATATTATACACACATATGTGCATATATATGTATATATTATACACACATATGTGCATATATGTGTATATATTATACACACATATGTGCATATATGTATATATTATACACACATATGTGCATATATGTATATATTATACACACATATGTGCATATATGTATATATAATACACATACGTGCATATAAAATACACATATGTGCATATATGTATATATTACACACATATATGTGCATATATGTATATATTACACACATATGTGCACATATGTATATATATGCACACATATGTGCATATATATGTATATATTATACACACATATGTGCATATATATGTGTACTTATTATACACATATATGTGCATATATATGTGCACATATATGTATATACTATACACATCTATGCGCACATATATGTATATACTATACACATCTATGCGCACATATATGTATATATTATACACATCTATGCGCACATATATGTATATATTATACACATCTATGCGCACATATATGTATATATTATACACATCTATGCGCACATATATGTATATATTATACACATCTATGCGCACATATATGTATATATTATACACATCTATGCGCACATATATGTATATATTATACACATCTATGCGCACATATATGTATATATTATACACATCTATGCGCATATATATGTATATATTATACACATCTATGCGCATATATATGTATATATTATACACATCTATGCGCATATATATGTATATATTATACACATATACATATATATGAAGGCCCAGATGGGATGATGTGCATATATATGTATATATATTACACACATATATGTATACATGCGTAATTTATATATACATACATACATGCCTGGATTTATCTTGATCTTCCCTTTGATCTTTGCTAACTCTCTTGTTATCCTTCAATTAATTATCAGCTTAAATTTCACCTTTTCAGAAAATTATTTCTTGGGCTTCCTGCCTTAGTTTGTCTTCTCAACCATTCTCTATCAATTTAACCACGTCATTTATTTAAATTAAACTTTTTTTGTAGAGATGGGGTCTTGCTATGTTGCCCAGGTTGGGCTTGAACTCCTGGCCTCAAGCAATTCTTACATATTGGCCTCCCAAAGTGTTGGTATTATAGATGTGAGCCACTCTGCCTGGCCCATTTTTTTCATATATCTTATCCAATCATATAATTTGTATTTGAAGTTTCATTTGTACCTCTTTGTTGTGCTCTATCAATGCAAAATTTATCAATAAGCCAGGTGTGGTGGCTCACTCCTTTAATCCCAGCACTTTGGGAGGCCGAGGCGGGTGGATCACAAGGTCAGGAGATTGAGACCATCCTGGCTGACACGGCAAAACCTTGTCTCTACTAAAAATACAAAAAATTAGCCGGGCGTGGTGGCAGGCACCTGTAGTCCCAGCTACTGGGGAGGCTGAGGCAGGAGAATGGCATGAACCCAGGAGGTGGAGCTTGCAGTGAGCCAAGATGGCGCCACTGCACTCCAGCCTGGGCAACAGAGCCAGACTCCATCTCAAAAAAAAAAAAAAAAAAGTTTATAAACAAACTACTTGAGGCCAAGAGCCATCTTGTTTAATTCACCAAATTGTACCAGTTCCTAGCACAAGTCAGCCATATAGTTGAAGTTCAAGAAATCTCTATTGAATAAATACATAAACAAACTAATTTATACAGCAAACAGGAATCTTAAAGATTTTTTAGTATAAAGTTGGTGGGCTAATAGAAGAGACATGAAACCGTTTAGATATGGGAAAATATGTAATATAGTTAAGGGCTCCAAACCCTGAGTAGCTGAACCCAAGAATAATTGGGCAAATAAAGAGATAAGGAGGGATGTTTTAGACCCCTCATCAGAAAGCAGACAACAACAGCAGCAATAAAAAAACAAAGGTGTCTGTTCAAAAGAAGGCTATCCTTCAGCATGGCTTCTTCTAAATCTGTTAGCCTTTCATGTGATTCATATGAGCCCTCTTCTTTGTCACATCCTTGAGGAAATTGACTGTATCTTCAGCCAGCATGTTTTTTTTTCCTAGCCTCTAGCCAATTCTGAAATTTGTTTATTTCCCTTCTCCTTTTTACTCTATTTATTTTGAGAAACTCATTATATAGCCCCGTATGCTTGTGTGTGTGGTCACACAGCAGATCCCGGGACACAAAGAGAGCCTCCTCCCAACTTCACCCTTCCACACACCGTTTTCACGTTGCTAATTGCTTCTCATCCTATAGAACCAATTTATGCCTCACCTCTCTAGGACAGTCTGAGTCGTGTGCACCTGTTTGTGCCTCTTTAGGCCCCACACTTCTCTTAGGATGGCACTCACTGCGCTGAAATGTAATTATTTTTATTCACCTGCTTCTTTCAATTCAGTGAATGCTCGGCAAGCACAGGACAATGTCTATTCTGTTCACTCTTGCATCCCTAACTCCTAGCCCTGCATCTGCCGCATATTAGGTACTCAGTAAGCACTCTGAATGAATGCATAAAATAGCATGTAGTAATTTATACAACTATAGCAGGGTCCAAGGATGCCAATTTCAATTCACTCTTGCTAGTACAGGATATTCATTTTTATTGTATCTTTGATCAATTCATATACACAAAGTATCTTTACTTAATCAGTGAGATTGTATTTGTTTTTCATTTTCTCATTTGATGTTTGTGTTTCCTATTAAGGCACTGACCTCTCTGTGTCCTTGGCCCATTTATCTAGTAATAAGTTGCTTCTTTTTTTCTTTTGTATACTTTAAGTTCTAGGGGCACATGTGCACAACGTGCAGGTTTGTTACATAGGTATACATGTGCCATGTTGGTTTGCTACACCCATCAACTCATCATTTACATTAGGTATTTCTCCTAATGCTATCCCTCCACCAGCCTCCCACCTCTCGACAGGCCTCGGTGTGTGATGTTCCCTGCCCTGTGTCCATGTGTTCTCATTCTTCAGCTCCCACCTATGAGTGAGAACATGCGGTGTTTGGTTTTCTATCTTTGTGATAGTTTGCTTGGAATGATGGTTTCCAGGCCGGGCGCGGTGGCTCACGCCTGTAATCCCAGCACTTTGGAGGCCAAGGCGGGCGGATCATGAAGTCAGGAGATTGAGACCATCCTGGCTAACACGGTGAAACCCCGTCTCTACTAAAAATACAAAAAATTAGCTGGGCGTGGTTGCGGGCGCCTGTAGTCCCAGCTACTCAGGAGGCTGAGGCAGGAGAATGGCATGAACCCGGGAGACAGATCTTGCAGTGAGCCTAGATCGCGCCACTTCACTCCAGGCTGGGCGACAGAGTGAGACTCCGTCTCAAAGAAAAAAAAAAAGACAATGGGTTTTCTAGATATACAATCATGTCATCTGCAAACAGGGACAATTTGACTTCCTCTTTTCCTAATTGAATACCCTTTATTTCTGTCTCCTGCCTGATTGCCCTGGCCAGAACTTCCAACACTGTATTGAATAAGAGTGGTGAGAGAGGGCATCCCTGTCTTGTGCCAGTTTTCAAAGGGAATGCTTCCAGTTTTTGCCCATTCAGTATGATATTGGCTCTGGGTTTGTCATAAATAGCTCTTATTATTTTGAGATACATCCCATCAATACCTAACTTTTGAGAGTTTTTAGCATGAAGGGCTGTTGAATTTTGTCAAAGGCCTTTTCTGCATCTATTGAGATAATCAGGTGGTTTTTGTCAGCCCAAAATCTCCTTAAGCTGATAAGCAACTTCAGCAAATTCTCAGGGTACAAAATCAATGTGCAGAAATCACAAGCATTCTTATACACCAATAACAGACAAACAGAGAGCCAAATCATGAGTGAACTCCCATTCACAATTGCTTCAAAGAGAATAAAATATCTAGGAATCCAACTTATAGGGATGTGAAGGACCTCTTCAAGGAGAACTACAAACCACTGCTCAATGAAATAAAAGAGGATACAAACAAATGGAAGAACATTCCATGCTCATGGGTAGGAAGAATCAATATCGTGAAAATGGCTATACTGCCCAAGGTAATTTACAGATTCAATGCCATCCCCATCAAGCTACCAATGACTTTCTTCACAGAACTGGAAAAAACTACTTTAAAGTTCATATGGGACCAAAAAAGAGCCCACATTGCCAAGTCAATCTTAAGCCAAGAGAACAAAGCTGGAGGCATCACGCTACCTGACTTCAAACTATACTACAAGGCTACAGTAACCAAAACAGCATGGTACTTGTACCAAAACAGAGATATAGACCACTGGAACAGAACAGAGCCCTCAGAAATAATACCACAATCTACAACCATCTGATCTTTGACAAACCTGACAAAAACAAGAAATGGGGAAAGGATTCCCTATTTAATAAGTGGTGCTGGGAAAACAGGCTAGCCATATGTAGAAAGCTGAAACTGGATCCCTTCCTTACACCTTATACAAAAATTAATTCAAGATGGATTAAAGACTTAAATGTTAGACCTAACACCATAAAAACTCTAGAAGAAAACCTAGGCAATACCATTCAGGATATAGGCATGGGCAAAGACTTCAGGTCTAAAACACCAAAAGCAATGGCAACAAAAGCCAAAATTAGCAAATGGGATGTAGTTAAACTAAAGAGCTTCTGCACAGCAAAAAAACTACCATCAGAGTGAACAGGCAACCTACAGAATGGGAGAAAATTTTTGCAATCTACTCACCTGACAAAGGGCTAATATCCAGAATCTACAAAGAACTCAAACAAATTTACAAGAAAAAAACAAACAACCCCATCAACAAGTGGGCAAAGGATATGATCAGACACTTCTCAAAAGAAGACATTTATGCAGCCAAGAGACACATGAAAAAATGCTCATCATCACTGGCCATCAGAGAAATGCAAATCAAAACAACAATGAGATACCATCTCACACCAGTTAGAATGGCAATCATTAAAAAGTCAGGAAACGGCAGGTGCTGGAGAGGATGTGGAGAAATAAGAACACTTTTACACTGTTGGTGGGACTGTAAACTAGTTCAACCATTGTGGAAGTCAGTGTGGTAATTCCTCAGGGATCTAGAACTAGAAATACCATTTGACCCAGCCATCCCACTACTGGGTATATACTCAAAGAATTATAAGTCATGCTGCTGTAAAGACACATGCACATGTATGTTTATTGCAGCACTATTCACAATAGCAAAGACTTGGAACCAACTCAAATGTCCATCAATGATAGACTGGATTAAGAAAATGTGGCACATATACACCATGGAATACTATGCAGCCATAAAAAAGGATGAGGTCCTGTCTTTTGTAGGGACATGGATGAAGCTGGAAACCATCATTCTCAGCAAACTATTGCAAGGACAAAAAACCAAACATCGCATGTTCTCACTCATAGGTGGGAATTGAACAATGAGAACACTTGGACACAGGAAGGGGAACATCACACACTGGGGCCTGTTGGGGGTGGGGGGAGGGGGGAGGGATAGCATTAGGAGATATACCTAATGTAAATGATGAGTTAATGGGTGCAGCACACCAACATGGCACATGTATACATATGTAACAAACCTGCACGTTGTGCACATGTACCCTAGAACTTAAAGTATAATGAAAAAAAATATATATATATGTATATGTATATATAAAGAATGATGGCTTCCAGCTTCACCCATGCTCATCATCACTGGTCATCAGAGAAATGCAAATCAAAACCACAATGAGATACTATCTCACACCAGCCGGGCGCGGTGGCTCACGCCTGTAATCCCAGCACTTTGGGAGGCCAAGGCGGGTGGATCACTAGGTCAGGAGATCGAGACCATCCTGGCTAACACGGTGAAACCCCGTCTCTACTAAAAATACAAAAAATTAGCCAGGCGCGGTGGCAGCGCCTGTGGTCCCAGCTACTGGGGAGGCTGAGGCAGGAGAATGGCGTGAACCCGGGAGGCGGAGCTTGCAGTGAGCCGAGATCGCACCACCGCACTCCAGCCTGGGTGACAGAGAGAGACTCTGTCTCAAAAATAAAAAATAAAAAAAAAAGAAAGAAAAGAGATACCATCTCACGCCAGTTAGAATGGCGATCATTAAAAAGTCAGGAAATAAGTTGTTTCTTTGTACTATTTTTCCTTTCTAAAAAAACTACTAGATATTGGGTTATTTTGTTAGAGTGTTTGTAGCAGTGATTCTTGAAACAAGTTTTTGCTTCCATTGTTTTTCTGCCTTCTGTTTTTTTTTCTTTCACTAATTTCAACTTATCTACATTACCTCCACTTTGCTTTTTTTTTTTTTTGGAGACGGTGTCTTGCTCTGTCACCCAGGCTAGAGTTTAGTGGCATGATCTCGTCTCACTGCAACCTCCGCCTCCCGGGTTCGAGGGATTCTCCTGCCTTAGCCTCCTGAGTAGCTGGTACTACAGGCACGTGCCACCACGCCCAGCTAATTTTTGTGTTTTTAGTAGAGACAGGGTTTCACCATGTTGTCCAGCCTCGCCTTGAACTTCTGACCTCAAGTGATCCGCCCATCTCGGCCTCCCAAAGTGGTGAGATTACAGACATGAGCCATCGCGCCCGTCCTACGTTACCTCTATTTTATTATTATTATTATTATTTATTTTTTGAGATGGAGTCTGGCTCTGTCGCCCCAGGCTGGAGTGCAGTGGCGGGATCTCAGCTCACTGCAAGCTCCGCCTCCCGGGTTCACACTATTTTCCTGCCTCAGCCTCCCGAGTAGCTGGGACTACAGGCACCCGCAACCACGTCCGGCTAATTTTTTTGTATTTTCAGTAGAGACGGGGTTTCACCATGTTAGCCAGGATGGTCTCATCTCCTGACCTCGTGATCTGCCTGCCTCGGCCTCCCAAAGTGCTGGGATTACAGGCATGAGCCACCGCGCCCTTTAAATTGGCTAATTTTTGTCAGCCACATATGGTTTTGTTTTCTTGTGTGGATGGGTAGGTCTTTTCTAATATGTTGAGTTACTTAACTTATATAACAAATATGTATCAAGTGCAGCCCTTATGCCCCATCCTTACCTCAAGTGTCAAGCAAATAATGAACAGGATAAAGACAATTCTAACCCTTAAGTATGTAACAATCCAGGAGGAGAGAAATAAAAGGCACATAATTATAAACAGCAGGTGTATTTTGGGTGCATTTAGAACATGGCTGTGCTTAGAGGTTAGGGAGTGTGTTCTCCCAGGAAATAGTGTTCATGAGTTGGTCAGGTAAGACTCAGGTTGGAGAAGGACATAAAAGGGTTTTCAAGCAGAGGAAATATTTAACTGCATAAGAAGTTCACTTAAAACATTTCTATTTAATAATGATACTGCTTAAAGTTATTTATTTCCTCTCAGGACAACTTACACCAGGTGTCTTTATATTTTATATTAAATTTATAAAGATCCCTTTTCCCTTCCTTTCATAAAATGAAATTAACAAATCAAAATATGTTTGCAGGTGTTTGTGAAGAAATGAGGTTCCAGTTGGCAGGTAAAAGTTGACATGTTATGGGGATTTAGGAAAGTCTCTCCCACCCACAGCAGTCTGGGCTTCAGCACACTGTCATGTTGGACTGCAACACTGAGGACCAGCTGACCCCTTCCTGATTGACCTATCCCAGGACCTTGTAGGTGAATCTTTTGGTAAATATTTGACAAACCCTCCAGTCTTTCTATTTAGAGCCCAGCATGAAAACCCAAGAGAGCTGCTGGGTTCTCTCTCCCCATGCCCCAAGCTGCTATCTCTGCAGGATCAGGTGTCATGAAGTAAACTCATTTCACATCTGGAAGCCTCTTTCTCTAGGTCTGGCTGCCTCCTAGGCAGCATTAGGGACGAGTCGCTCTGCCCCATGCCTTACTCCTTTCTCACATTCTCACATTCTCACATTCTGTTTCTCCTGCAAGGGCTAGGTCCTCTATGGCCTGGCTAGGGTGCCTGTGTGAGTGAGCTTGGGACAGCTTTGGAAAGGGTGGTTCTCCCTGCCTCTGACAGCAGAGAGGAAAGTGGACACAACATAAGGAGTTAAACGGGGATGTAAGGAGACTGTTTGCCTGGTGATTTCTGGGCTTGACTGCAAGAAGCGCACAGGGGTTACTGCTCCTGCAAGGCATCAATCCAGCAGTGAGGGAAGTATTAAGGCATTAGAGAAGATGACCAGCACCATGTGTGGCAGGAACAACAGCCCACAGTCCTACTCCAGAAATGAAACATCCTGGATATCCCCACAATTTTAAATGATAACGGGCAGGTTTATTTTGATTCTGGAGAAACTTTTCGATGGGTTGTGGGGAGGTAAGATTTCCAAACAATCCTAACACTTCTGAACAGGTGAGACACTCACATTGGTTTTGTGTAAGAGGTGCCATCAAAGCCAGGTCACCCCTGCCTGGGTGATTGCAGAAATGTCCCCCTTTCTCTGCAGAACCCCCTTGAAAATCTTCACAGGAAGCTTTTAAACCGGGATGGATTTCATCTCAGCATGAACAGGGGCTTCCTAAGCATTTCCAGCACCTGCCCCCACCTGTTAAGTAATGCCAGTAAGTGTTGGCAATTCCAAATTATAATTCCCTCACCCTAATAGGACTCCCAGTTTACTTCTTTGGGGTGTTATGTGACATGTGTCCTCTTCATTATCCATCTTCCACAGAAAAGTTTCTGGCTTTGGCCAAATGGTCTTTCCCACTCTTTTGTAGTTTAAAGGACTTCTAGTCTTATTAAAGCCCCCTTTCTCCCCGCTACCCCTTGCAGGACTAAAAATTCACAGTGAGATTTTTCTTCAGGCATTGCCCCTAATGCCCACCCGCAGCCCACCCCATCCTCTGAGGATTACCTAGTGGCTCACCGCAACTGAAGGGCTGCAAGGCCACAGACATCCTGATGGACAACCCACCTCCCTCTCTCAGGTGTCTTGTGTGTTTGTCAGAGAAGGTGCCTTCACCTCCAACCCTCAGGAGAGATTGTTTCAAATCCTAGCTTCACTGCTAAATAGGAATATCACTTTGTTAGGTTAATTAACCTCTCCAAAAGTAAGTTTCTTAATTTGCACAATCAGAATGATATTGCTTTCTCCAAAATATCATGAGAATTAGAAAAATAAAATTCCTAGCCTTTTTGTATGTGTGGCCCATGAACCCATGTGATTGTAGGCTCCCACATAAAATGTAAAAATAAATTTAAAAATAAATAACCTAAAAGCCACGGGGTATAGGGCAGTCGTAGGCAGGTGGAGACAAATGTGGGCTCTGGATTCATTCTGAGTTCAAGTCCTAGCTCCTTCTCTTATTAACCTTTATGAGCTATGGAAAGTTCATTACCTACATTATTCCTGTGTTTCCTCCATGGTGCAGAGGCAGTAGGTGCCTGCCTGACAGGCCTGTTGCAAGGATTAAAGGAGAAAAATACATGTTAGGGCTTAGCACAATGTCTCACTCTTTTATATTATAAATATGTTATATGTATATTAATAGATGTCACAAGACATCTATTAATTTTGATAAAATGTAGAAACTTAAGGGAAGGAAATTATTTTTGTTTTTTATTCCCATATGATGTGATTACAGACAATCTTACTGTTTTGTTTTGTATACTTTTCTATATTTGTGAATGTTTTTGAAATAAACATGAGTTACATTTAAAGACAATAGAACTATAAACTTCACAAATTTAGGAGTAATCATGAGTAGCGATTTTTCCCACCCTATTAGGGGAAATAGTTGTATCTGTATACACTGTAAAATAGAGAATTGTCTCATTCCCAACCATACTGCTTTGTTAAAATGATAAAGTACACTTTTCCAAAAATGATTGTATCACAAGAATCTTTAATGTTTACTTTAAAGTTGACTCACGGTGGGGTTGTATATGTGTTTAGTAAAGTGTGCCAAGTGCTCACACTGAGACCAGTCCAGTTCAAATTAGTGTACTCCACGAGGGTGTTTTCTGTGCCCAGCAAGGTCATGAAGGGCCTTGACTTTTCTTGGTTAGGCCGGCTTTGCTGGTGACTTCTTCCAAACTCTGCAGGAGCAGTCTACCCCAACACACATCATCAGTCCCATATAAAAGAATAAGATGGAAACTTTCTCAATGTATTTCATCAGTTTAGCACATCTCTGGTACAAAAATCCAAGAAAGGTAGCACAAAAGCGAAAGCACCAACCAAGCTTACATATAAACAAACATGCATACATCCTAAATACTACACAATAGTACCCAAATGAATACAACATTGCATTAAAGGTATAAAAGCACTGTACTGAAAACTTAAAAGTTACACGTGAATACTGCACTGTAAATCCTGAATACTATAATGACCCACCCCCACCCTTCCACAGCCCTGGTGAGGGTCAGAAACCATTCATCTGCCTCCAGACTTTGCTAGTCCTCAGAGACACTGCTGCGAGGGTAGTGGGCAGTGGGATTAGCCTCCCGCAGAGCTCTGGCCTCCTCCAGAGCTTCTCTGTATCGGGAGGGCCAGGCCTGGGGGTCTTTCTTAAAGACCCTGGCCAGGAACTCCA
The DNA here is from genome assembly GCF_000001405.40 of Homo sapiens. Classification (NCBI taxonomy): domain Eukaryota; kingdom Metazoa; phylum Chordata; class Mammalia; order Primates; family Hominidae; genus Homo; species Homo sapiens. The sequence continues at coordinate 4,634,202 of NW_021160017.1, forward strand.
TGATTTGCATCTTGGTGATTTCGCGGCTGGCCCGGGAGCCCCAAAAGAACTCGTATTCGGGCGGCTCCACGTATGGGACGCGCTGGTACTTCAGGTAATTCATTTGGACGAACTCCTCAGTGATGAGCTTCCGCACGTCCCCGAAGGTGGAGTGCTTCTTCCAGGGCCGCAGCCCCAGGATGCGCAGCACGTTCCAGACGGCGCTCTCTCTGGCGCCGCGGCCCTTCACGTAGATGAGGCTCAGGATCATGAGCAGGAGGCCTGTCATGGGCATGCGGTTGCTCAGCGCCACCCTGTCCAGCTCCTCGGGCTCCAGCGCTTTGACCAGCGCAAACTCCATGGTGTGCAGGCTGGTTAGCCTCAGGTGCAGCCCGAACACCCGGGCGAGGATGAGGCTGGTGCGCCGGAGGATGCTCCTGCACCACTTCTTGTAGCTGCCGATGACATCTTTCACCATGTCTGGAAACCAGATGATCATCTTCTTCTGGTCCTTGACCAGCACGTACCACATGAGCTCGTGCGCCTTCTGCACCAGCTGCGCCGGGGCTGGCGGTGCCGGGCCCGGCTGGGCCGCGCTCGGGGCCTGGTGGGCGCGGCCCTCCTCCGCAGCCTGCTGCAGGGCCTTCGGGTCGCCCTCGTCGTTCGGGGCCTGGGGAGGCGGCGCGGCCTGCGGAGCGGCCGTCGGGCCTAGAGGAGGGCTCTGCGGCTCTGCCAGGGTCGCGGACGGAGGAACCCCCTCCGAAACCCCAGGGCTGCTGTGCACCTCGGAGTTGGGGGCCTCGGCTGCAAAGTTAGGGTCGCTCAGATCCTTACTTTGTTCTGACATGTCTGCGCCGTCTGGCAAGGGCAGGGCCTCTGCGTCCAGGAGCTCTTCGAGCCTGCGCTCCCTCCGCGGATTCCTGGAGAGGAAGTGCGCGTTGCTGCGCGCAGCGCCTTCCGCAGCGACGGGCAGGGCGGGGCGGCGGCGGGACGCGGCACTGCGCCTGCGCGACCGCGGCCTTGGCCAGCGGCTGGGGGCGGGCGGGGCAGCGCGGGGCCCCGACGGGGAGGGTCCATGGCGAGGCTTCACCTGCTGGGAGAGCGATCCCGGGGTTTCCTGTTTGGGCTGAGAAGATCTAGGGCAGGAGAGAAGTGAGATGGATGCGTACTGGAGAAGGGGCCAGTTTAAGGGAAAGATACCTTAAGTTTTTGGGATGTTGGGGTCAAGTTTCTTGGGAAACGCTTACCTGGGTATATCCAGAATTAAGTTAAATATGAGAGTCCCAGAGAAAGGTCTGGGCGGCTTTGTAAACATGAGCTTTATGCGAACCAGTGAGAGGAACAGTCGGGCTTGTCCAAGAAAATGTGTAAACTGTAAAGTGGATGTCTGAGGTTGGAATCCTGAGAAATTCCAATAAAAAATGATCGACTCCCTACCAAATCAGATAGGCTATAAGAAAAGGGGAAATGCAGTGTGTCGTTAACGTAATTTCCTATCAACCCATGTGAACTATGAACTTTTTAAGTAGGCAGTGGACTTAGAGCATCATTAATGCTTTAACGGGCATAAATTTGGGTTTTACACTTCCTTTGGGTAACTTTGATTCCATTTTATTTTTTTCCATACTTAGTCCATAGCAGAAGGATTGCTATATCTTTTAGCACAAACTTGTATGATAATGTCTTTTCCCTCTGCCCAGCACCCTCATTCTTCAATTCACCTTCTCTCAGGACCCTCTCTGAAGCTACTGAGTCCTCCACGTTGGAAGCCACACCCAAGTCTTTCCTGAGATTTAAAAAAAAAATAGGTCCCATGGGTAATATCTGGTAGTGTCTCTGAGATGACCAAAGGGTAGCAGGGGAAACATAGGTAACCCTGTTTTCCAGGTATGGAAAACAGATTCCCAGTGGGCAAAGACAAAACTGTCACTCCTACAGGCTCTCCATGAAAAAAAGGGTCATTGCCTGAGCATCTGAAACCAGGGACCTTAATGCTGCTTCAGCATCCTTGGTCTGGGCTGATGTGGTCCTTCAGCTCTTCCCGGGTTTCTTCTCATCAGCAGCTTCTTAAATATGCTGTCTTGAATCTAGTTATTGCCACTCGAAGCCAAAAGCATATTTAAAAATTGTCTTGACATGTCTAGAGTCCTCACTGTGAGTATGTATCTTTTCCCACTTTATTTTTCCTCAAGCAGGTTGATGTTGAAAGGTTTTCTGTGCTTTCTCTCTTTGGGTTTGCACGCACATAACACTTTTGGCAGAGCCATTACCACACCAGTCCCTCCAACAGGACTCTTAAGCTTCCCACTTCACCAGGGTAATTCCTAGATATCAGTCTTAGTTGGAATTATTTCAACACTTTTCTCCTCCTCCTCACCCTCCTCCACCTCCTCCTTCTCCTCTCCATCTACTTCTCCTTTTTCTCCTTCTTCTATTTATAGATATCTACCATTTTCTTGGGAACATCTTACAGAAATATGCTAATTATATTCATTGTTTTTAAGAATGTCTCTTGAACAGACTTATTACCCCCATGCTTCATAAATATAATCCTCATTTATTGCATTTAAATCTCCATCAATATTATTCTTTATTTTGTTTGGGTATGTATTATTTTCTAACTATTTAAATAAAATATTTAGGCCAGGTGCGGTGGCTCACGCCTGTAATCCCAGCACTTTGGGAAGGTGAGGCGGGCAGATCACCTGAGGTCAGGAGGTCGAGACCAGCCTGGCCAACGTGGCAAAACCCCGTCTCTACTAAAAATACAAAAATTAGCCGGGTGTGGTGGTGGGCACCCTTAATCCCAACTGCTTGGCAGGCTGAGGCAGGAGACTCGCTTGAACCTGGGAGGTGGAGTTTGCAGTCAGCTGAGAGCATGCCACTGCACTCCAGCCTGGGCAACAGAGCGAGACTGTCTCAAACATTAAATAAATAAAGAAATAAAATATTTAGTTCATTTGATATATTTTTTAATAAGAAAAGTGTTTGAACCTACTATTTAAATCTCAACTTGGCTTTGGCCATAGGCTATGGTTTTTAACATTGTGATCTCATTAAAACTGCATTCTCACATGTCACCCTCCGAGATGTAATGGATTCTTGAAATTAAAGTGCAGGCTTGGGGCATGACAACAATAAAAGGTGGCTCTGCTGAAGTGAGTATCAGCGCTCTGGCCAGAGAGCTGCTTGGACTTCAGTTGCTGCCTGGGCAGGACTGGATAACTTCTACCTGGACTTCATTCTAGTGAAGTTGCCAGCATCAAGCAGACTGTGCAGAAGGCCTCTCCTGCAGCACACAACACACTACACTTCTGACAGAAGGGTTGTCCAATGCTGTACCAGGGCCTGTCGATTAAGACCACCCTGAGAGATTACACTTGGAAGGCTTAAAGCCTTAGGTCTGATGCACAAGTCTGAAATGAAGCACAGGCTAGACCTGGAGCCCAACTGTACACCTGCTAAAATGATATCATCTTCTTCCTGAAGAATGAAGAGGTTCAATTCCCCCCCAAAATCAAATTACTGGGAGTAGAAGTTTGGGTAGGTGGGGTAGTGGGACAAAATAAAGCCTGGGATAGCCTGTTAGTGGGGAAAGCACACATGCGCAGGTGCAATGGGATAGACGGGTCAGTAGCTTGATGGCTGCCTAATAAGGTGTGTGCCCACGAACCAGAGATTCCGACCTTCAGAGTAATAACAAAAAGGACCAAAGACACTGTGAGAAATGAGACGAAGCTAGTACTTGGAAGGCATCCACAACTACCTTGACCCAAGGCTCAAGATCTGGGATGGAGCTCTAATGCTGTCCTGAGAGTCATGGGGATAATAAATCTTGCTGGGTGTCTCCAGGGGGGCCCCTATTTGAGTTGGGCAATAAGTCCTCTCAGGGCCAGCAGCTTAGTAGAAAAGTGTGAAGACTACAAAAATATATCTCAACTACTCATTAAATCAAAATTCTGTAAATAGAAGTTCTGTGAATAGACACAGAAAATATACGGAGAAGCTGTAACTTAAAATATTCTGGAGCAGACAGTTTTGCTGGTGGGTTACTTCGAACTCTGTAATACGGAACAGATTACACAGCTGTGGAATAGGCTGTTCTTGGCAGACCCAGGAACAGGAGGAGAGGCCAGTCCCAGCCTTGGTTTCCATAGTGAACGGAGGAAGGGGGGTCACCCCAGAGCCTCTAGTGGGAAGTGCGCATGCTCGCAGTGCAGGGGCCCAGAGGCCCTGGATGAAATGTGAATCCTCTGGCTCTTCCCTGTCCACATAGGCAGCAACCTCCACCTTGTAGCCCCTAAATGGGCCCCAAATGCCTTTCAGGCCAAGGATCTTAAACGGAATTCACTTTAATGTGTTCAGCAAATATTGAGCAATATCCGTCATGTGCCTGAAATATTTGCATTTCAGAAAAGTCTCAGTCTGAGGGAAAAACCCATGGCAGCTGGGCCCCTTTTTTTGTTAGAAAACATTAAGAAGTTAGGACAGGCAGTGCTGCTTTCCAAAGTTGGGAGGGTGTAGGGAGGGACTGGACCCTGGCCCCTCATCCCCAGCCTCCCTAGGGGGCCACTGCTCATGCTCATCCATTCAAGGTCCATCGCATGCACTGAAATGGGAGAATTTTCTGTTCTGCACAGCCCCAAGGAGCAGCTCTCTCAGATAGTTAAGGAGTCTAGGGTGTCTTCTGAAAAGTCACCTGCATACAGAGTAAGATTAGAGTTTGGGGCAGGTGGACAAGCAGAGGCAGGGAGTCTCATTAGGGGTCCCTTCCCAGGACTCCATGTGAAAATGGGTGATGGCTTGCATTTCATCTTCATTCGCCAACTGTTTACTAACATTACATTTCAGGCCTTGTGCCTGGGGATACAATGAGAAGAGACATGGTCTCTGTAATCTGTACTGAGGGAAAGTGGTGGAGAAAAAGAGCGTTAAAAGAGAAAACAAATGCCTGATCAAATCATATGTTATGATGCATATTGTGAAGCAATATTATCACCAAGAGTGGGACAGAGGGAGCCGAGGTTCAATAGAAATGCCAGGTTCAAAAGATATAAACAGCAATGGAAGGGGAGGGGAGACTGTGAATAACAGGCACATCCAGGATTCTGTCTCAGGCAGCCAATTGAGCAGGACAGTGCAGCTATGAGATGCAGGTGCCATTTCCTGAAACCATGCAGAGAGAAGGACCAGAAGATTCTGGGAAGACCGAACGGTCTTACCCAGCGGATATCTGGATTGACACAACTCAGCAAAAACGCCTGCACTGGAAAGTTAAGTTTGGAAGGTAAAGAAGATAAATCACATCACCCTGAGAGTGTCTGGAGCAGGGCTCTTTAATGATCTGAGAATGGCGTAATGTTTCATTGTGTGAGAACATAGCACATGCCACAGAGGCTGTCTCCCTTCACATGCACACATAAATGCCCTCCAGACATGGGAAAACTAACAGGAAAGTGGAGAAAAGAGAAAAGGAACCATGCCCACACACCACCAAAAGCCCTTTTATGGGCAGCGCGGTCCCCAACTGAGAACCACAGAAAATAACAAGCAGAGAGGAGTGAGGAGAGACAGGCATAGCAATAGGCCCAGGTGATTTAAGCCTCTTTGCAGACTATCCTATGACCATCCAATTGGAGCTATTTCTGGGACATATTAAAATAGCTTGCCTCATCTTAAACACTCTTCTCTAAGATAAACTCTATTCAAGAAGATGTTGGGTTCCAGTTTGTCCTGTATTATTCCTTTTACATGTCACCGAATTTAATTTGGTAATATTTAGCTGAGAGTTTTTATTTATATGCTCAACAGTGATATTGGTCTATAGTTTTCACTTTCTGTAATGTCTGTATCTGGTTTTGACATTATAACCTCATAAAACTACTGGTCCCTCCTTCTCTTCAGCTTTATGGAATAAATTGTGTAGAATTGTTTTTATTTCTTCTTCAAATGCTTGGTAGGAATTTTCAGTGAAACCATCAGTGCCTGAAGTTTTCTTTTTCAGATAGTTTGTAACTATTTGTTTTAATTGTAAGCCTATTCAGATTATCTTTTCATAATGGATGGGTTTTGGTACTTTGTGGTCTTAGGGTGTTGGCTCATGTATTAGTTCATTCTGGAATTACTATAAAGAGCTACCTGAGACTGGGGAATTTATAAAGAAAAGTGGTTTCATTGGATCATGGTTCTGCAAGCTGTACAGGAAACATGACTGGGGAGCCTCAGGGAACTTACAGTCATGGTGGAAGGAAAAGGGGAAGCAAGCACATCTTACATAACCAGAGCAGGAGGAGGAAAGCCAAGAAGAAGGTGCCACGCACATTTGAACAGCCAGATCTCGTAAGAACTCACTCACTATCAGGAGAACAGCAAGGAGGAAGTCCAGTCACCAACCCATGATCCAATCACCTCCCACCAGGCCCCTCCTCCAACACGAGAGGTGAGATTTGGGCAGGAACACAAATCCAAACCATATCTGGCCATTTAATCTAATTTGTCAAATTTATGTGTGTCCTGGTGTTTGCGTATTTCTTGTTATCCTTTTAATGATAGAATTATCTACCAAGCAGTCTTGGGTTCCTTATCTATATTGGGAACACACACGTGCAAATACGCAACACACACACATGCACCACCCATGTCATGGCTATTCCTCCAGATAGCCCTGAGTCCTCAGGGTATACCATAGACTTCAGGGATTGCTGAGAACTCTCTTCACCTTTTCAGATCTTTTGAAATATCTTTCTCCAGCCATCCTCTAAAAGTTGAAGTTTCTGGTGGTCCTATCTCACCTCTTCTGTTCCTGTCACCTTGTATTCTGAGCAACACCATCTCCCAGAGCTTGAATTTTACATCTATACACAAATGAGTCCAAAATTCATTTCTCCAGACTCAGATGTCTCTTTTATGTTATATAACTGGATATCCAACTGCCTAAATGTCATCTTAACATTGTGCCTTTGAGTTTTATTTTATTTTATTTTATTTTATTTTATTTTATTTTTGAGACAGAGTCTCCTTCTGATTGCCCAGGCTTGAGTGCAATGGTGTAATCTCAGCTCACTGCAGCCTCAATCCCCCAGGCTCAGGTTATTTTCCCACCTCCGCCTCCTGAGTAGCAGGACTGCAGGTGTGTGCCACCACGCTTGGCTAAATTTTCATATTTTTAGAGATGGAGTTTTACCATGTTTCCCAGACTTGTCTTGAACTGCTGGACCCAACTAATCCACCTGCCTCAGACTCCTAAAGTGCTGGGATTACAGACATGAGCCACCACACCCAGTCTGAGTTTTAAATTCAACATTTTACTCTACTTCATCAGTGTCTGCCTGAAACCTTCTGCTGCCAGTGTGTTCCCTACCTCACAGTACATGGCATAGCTGTCCACCCAGGGTCCTGAGGAAGAAAAGAGGACACCACTGATTCTCCTGTATCCTTCATATCTAGATAATCACATAATTCTCACCTTCTGTAAGCCACTTACTGCCATCCACGACTATATTCCACCGCTCTTTCACAATTGGATCACCACCGTGGACACCCTCTGTGCCTTCTCACTAGTTTATTCACTGCAGTTTACTTTGCACACTGAAACCAGTACATTTTCTGAAATTAAAACATTTCTCCCATATTTGTTTCCTAAGGCTGCCATAAAAAATCACCACAAATTGGGTGGCATAAAATAACAGGAGTGTATTCTCTTGTAGATTTGGCAGCCAGAAGTTTTAAATCAAGGTGTTGGTTTGGCCATGCTCCTACCAAAGGCTTTAAGGGAGAATCTGTTCCTGCCCTTCCTGCCATCTAGAGGCTTCTGGCATTCCTTGACTGGTAGCAAAATAACTCCAATCTCTACCCATCTTCACAAGGATCTTCACAAATGGCATAGAGTACTGTGGGATTTCTAAGTAACCACAGGGTTTTTCACATTCATAGTCAATGAGGCTGGAAAAGACTGCTAAATAAAGTCCAATTCTAGCGTTTCTCCTAACTTCCTGGTTACTGGTACAGCACAGTCATATTGATCCACAATAGGCTGGTCTCAAGAGAAAGGATGTTTGCTGTTTCAATATTGTTAGGTTCAGGTGGCTATATTCTGGAGTCTCATGAAAAATAGCCTCAAATCCCACTTATCCATTGAAAAGTCAGGAGCATGCATTCAGGTACCAGCTTTTGGAATATGGAAGGCTCTTAGGTTCATTAAGATGGGACCCCATCATCCCCAGTTGGATCAGACTTGTTAGTTGCTTCCACCTGCTGATGTTGTCAGGGATTAATTTTTTATAATTACATAAAATTATGTGAAATAATTTTTATAATCATGGCCTTATATGCCCCCCCCCAGTTATTACTAATGTGTCAATTAGGGAAATAAATGAGCTCCATTCTGCTTTAAGTTTATTGCGTCATTTCTACTTTGTTGAATTATGGTCCAACTGGGTGTACCATAATTCAAATCTTACAGTAATCACACAAATTTAGTGCAGATCCTACAAGCTGAAGTGTGTGACCCCCAACAAGAATGTTCTTCCAATGCCAGCTGTACTTCAGGGGCCCTCAGGACACCCACACTTCCAACTAACTACCTACATATTTGGAGATTCCCATGACCCTAGTAGATTTAATAATTTGCTATACTGACTAACAGAACTCACTGAAAGTGCTGTACTTATGATTATCACTTTCTTAGAAAAGAAACATGTTTGGGAGGGGGTCTTGGAGGAACAGCAGAGATTTATGACCTCTCCATGTGGGATCAGGGCATGCCACTCTCTAGGACCATCCATTTGTTCACAAAAACCAGGAATCTCCACTGAGCTACATTGTTCAGAGTTTTTACTGGGGCTTCATATGTAGGCATGATTGCTTAAATCATGAGCCATGTGATTGAACTCAGCCACCAGGTCCCCTTACTACTCAGAAGGTCAGGCAACTGAAGTCCCAACTCTGTAATCATATATTTAGTCTTGTGACCAGCCCCATTTTAAAGTTTTGTATTGATCCATCATGAGTTACCTTATTAGCATAGCAAAGACACTCCTATCACTCAAGAAATTCCAAAGGTTATAAGCAAGGAACTTAGGACAAAGATCAGGTAAATTTTTTATTGTAACACAGGCTCTGATAAGATGACTTGAATTTATCCACCCTGCTTCCTGGTATTCTAGCTTCCTCTATTTGATGCTTACTGTAGGCTCCTTTGGACAGAAGTTTGTACCCTCAAAGGAAAGCTGAGAAGCGCCAAGACCAGCTTGGTCATGGAGACCCTAACCCAGCGACACTAGAGGAATTAAAGACACACACACAGAAATATAGAGTGCAGAGTGGGAAATCGGGGGGCTGACAGCCTTCAGAGCTGAGAACCTTGAACAGAGTTTGGCGCACATATTTATTGACAGCAAGCCAGTGATAAGCATTATTTCTATAGATTATAGATTAACTAAAAGTATTCCTTATGGGAAACAAAGGGATGGGCTGAAACAAAGGGATGGGCTCTGGCTAGTTATCTGTCCCAGGAACATTTCCTTAAGGCACAGATCGCTCATGCTATTGTTTGTGGTTTAGGAACTCCTTAAGTTGTTTTCCACCCTGGGTGGGCCAGGTGTTCCTTGCCTTCATTCTGGTAAACCCACAACCTTCAGCGTGGGCATCATAGCCATCAGGAGCATGCCACAGTGCTGCAGAGATTTTGTTTATGGCCAGTTTTGGGGCCAGTTTATGGCCAGATTTGGGGGCCTGTTCCCAACACATTCCCCCTTTTTGCTTTTGCAACATGATAAAAGGACAAAGGCAGCCTTATCACAGTGAGCTACTTCTTGCAGGAATTGGGATCCACATCTGCAGACTATACAAAGACAAACAACACAGATTAAAAGCACAATCATCATTGAAATCACAGAGCCTCCAAGTGTTTTTATCCATTTTATTGGGTTACTAGCTGCTAATCCATCTGCAGCTCCTTCAAGCACTCCAGTTCCTGGCATAATGGTCAGGTGTGCCTGGGATGCTTTAAATATTTGTTCTTTTAATTTTGCAGTATCTAAAGACAAGTTTGTAGAGTGTCCTTCTATATGATTTTTTATTCTTTCCCAAATTTTGATCTTATTAAGTGCCATTAATAGTTTCCACAAATTCTTATGTTTAGCTCCTACAGTGGGCCATATCATTTGAAGTTGAGGTGCCACTATACTGCCATGTTTCCAGATAATAGGAACTCTTGCCGTGTTTCTTACCATTTCTACCATCTGACCATTTTGTTTAGACCAGCTGAACATAGTGTGGTCGTGGGACGCAGACTGAGAGGTGCAATTCAAGCTAAACATCCCCTTAGGGGACCAATCAATAATGATTCCATAGGATTCGTTGCCAGCACCTCTGCCTGTTCTGCAATGAAATCTTCCCAAACAAGCACGTTCATTATTTCTGGTCAGGTCCAATTCTGTTTACAAATAGGTTTTTGAGGGTGGTATCCCTCAATTATAGGAGCAGATTTATTATGGTAAATACTGAGATCAGAAAGCATGTGTAACTGTGTTATAGAGTGATTACATCCAGGCATTATTGCCATTCAAGATTGATAAATATGCCCAATAAGTATAATTGTTCTCTGTGTCAGCCCTCATTGAAGGAATACTCATGGCAGTGGTGATCACCGCTATCATAGCTACAATTAAATTACTCGTTGTGACTGGTTGTCCCACTTTCCTCAGGTTTTCTTCCACCATCTGTGACAGCTTCTTGATCTGTCCCCAGATAGGTGGCTGTGTTTGACAGATGTTGCTCATGACAGTTGGGGTCCTTCTCAGCATCAGTCTCGACATGGCTGCAACCAGGGGGTCCTCAGAATCCTCCTGGAATCTCTTCCTCAGCATCTGGCTCATGATAAGGTTTCAGGTGTTTTGATGGTATCCAAATCGGCTGCTGGTTTTGGCCTGGAGAAACACAAGCATAACCTCTACCCCAAGTTATTATTTTACCTATTTCCCAACTTTTTGTTATCGGGTCTCTCCACTAAACCAGTTGTTCTGCTTCTGTCTTTGCAGCTGGTTTCTGTAGATGTTGTTCAGCTGCTGATAGCATCTGGCCTTTAGGCAGGCTCAAAAAATTTAAAGTCAATAATACTAGATTCAATTGCATATATGGGGTGTCCCACAGTCCCTGTTTCCCCCCACTTTGCTTTTGCAACTGCTGTTTCAGGGAGAGATTCATTCATTCCACTATTGCTTGTCCTTGAGAATTATATGGGATACCAGTAATGTGTTTAATATTCCATATAGAGAAACATGTAGCAAGAGCTTTGCTAGTATAGCCTGGGGCATTATCTGTTTTAATACAAGCTGGAATGCCCATCACTGCAAAACACTGCAAAAGATGATGTTTAACACAGGCAGAAGACTCTCCTGATTGGCACATAGCCCAGACAAAGTGAGAAAAGGTGTCCACAAATATATGTACATAAGCTAGTCTCCAAATGAGGGAACATGTGTGACATCCATTTGCCAAAGAGAATTAGGTTCCAATCCTCGAGGATTAACTCCTCCTGTGAAAGATGAGGAATGTACCATTTAGCAAATTGGGCATTGCTGGATAATAGCTTTAGCTTCTTTCCAGGTAATGCTGTATCTGTGTTTGAGACCAGAGGCATTAACATGGGTTAAATTGTAAAAGTGTCTGGCATTATATATTGCAGTAGCAACTAGGCGATCAGCCATTTGATTCCCTTCAGTTAAAGGTCCTGGAAGAGGTGTATGAGCCCTAATGTGAGTGATGTAAAAAGGGTGCATTCTACTCCAGACTGCTGTTTGCAATTGGGTAAATAAAGTCATCAGTTGTTCATCTGTATGAAATCATAACTGAGCATTTTCAACTAATTGTGTGGAATGAACCATGTATGAAGAATCAGAAACACATTAATAGGTATATTAAAAGCAGTAAATACCTCAATTACAGCTACAAGCTCTGCTTTCTGAGCTGAAGTATAGGGTGTCTGAAAAACTTTACCTTTTGAGCCAGAATAAGAAGTTTTATCATTACTAGACCCATCTGTAAAAACATTCTCAGCACCTTCAATTGGTTTAAATTTAGTAATTTTAGGGAGAATCCAATTAGTTAATTTCAAAAATTGAAACAGTTTCATTTTAGGAAAATGATTATCTAGAATACCCACACAGTCAGCTAAATGGGTTTGTCAAGTAAGACTGTTTATAAAAGCTTGCTGTATTTGTGTCTTTATGAGAGGGACTATAATTTATCCAGGATCATATCCATGTAATTTAACAATCTGAGTTCTCCCATTTCCTATCATAGTAGTGATTTGATCCAAATAAGGAGTTAGAGTCCATGAATTAGCATGTGGAAGAAAAAGCCATTCTACTAAGTCCTGCTCTTGGACAATAACACCAGTGGGTGAATGATGAGTTGAAAAAATTAGCAAATCTAGAGTCTTCTCTGGATCTGTTCTATTTATTTGAGCCTTATGGACTTGCTTTTCAAGCAGCTGTAACTCTGCCTCAGCCTCTTTTGTTAATTGTCAAGGACTAGTGAGACTAGGATCTCCTCTAAGGATAGAAAATAGATTACTCATGGCATAGGTAGGAATGCCTAGAGCAGGTCGTATCCAACTAATGTTCCCTAGTAATTTTTGAAAGTCATTTAATGTTTTCAATTGATCCTTACGTATGGTTACTTTCTGTAGCACAATGGTAGTGTCATTTACTAAGGTCCCCAAGTAGGAGTAAGGAGTAGTAGTCTGAATTTTGTCAGGAGCTATAATTAAACCAGCATGAGAAATCAAATTTTGCAAGTGATCATAACATTAGAGTAATATTTTTCAAGTGGGGGCAGCACAAAGTATATCATCCATATACTGAATAATGTAACACTGTGAAAATTTTGTATGAGTAGGTTCAATTGCTTGCCCTACAAACATCTCGCAAATTGTTGGACTGTTTAACATGCCTTGTGGTAACACTTTCCAATGAATACGCTTAGCAGGCTGCAGGTTTTGTAAATGCAAACTGTTCACAGTCTTGCTCAGCCAAGGGGATAGTAAAGAAACAGTCTTTTAAATCTATGACTATGAAAGGCCATTTTTTCGGAATCATAGCAGGAGAAGGCAATCCTGGCTGTAATGTCCCCATAGGTTGTATAAGTGAATTAATGGCTCTTAAGTCAGGTAACATTCTCCATTTACCTGATTTTTTCTTAATTACAAAAACTGGAGAATTCCAAGGGGAAAATGTTGGAGCTATGTGTCCATTTTCTAATTGTTCAGTAACTAAGTCCTCTAAAGCCTCCAGTTTCTCTTTACTTAGCAGCCATTGTTCTATCCAAATTGGCTTATCTGTTAACAATTTTAAAGGTATACGTTCTGGAGGCTTAACAATGTCTGCCATCAAAAATGATACCCTAAACCTTGGCGGGAACTTTGTCTTTCCACTTGAAGTGGTTCCTTCAAATCTTGCAAATATTTTCTAGTCCCATACCAGGGACACACCCCATTTCATGCATCATATGTTGACTTTCAGGGCTATATAATTGTTCTGGAATTAGAACTTGTGCTTCCCATTGTTGTAATAAATCTCTCCCCCATAAATTTATAGGTACAGAAGTTACAATTGGTTGAATAGTCCCAGTTTGTCCACTGGGCCCTTCACAGTGCAAAATATAACTACTCTGATATACTTCAGGGGCTTTACCAACTCCAACTCTGTTAAATTGAGTGGATTGAATTGGCCACGTGGACGGCCATTGCTGTAGAGAAATGATTGAAATGTCTGCTCCTGTATGTATCAAACCTTTAAATTTCTTTCCCTGAATAGTTATTTCACAGGTAGGACATTTATCAGTAATTTGATTCACCCAATAAGCTGCTTTGCCTTGTTGATTTGTGCTTCCAAATCCTCCTGTTCATTTAATTCACTTTTCCCCATTTCCACATACGGCACAATCAGGAGCTGTGCTATATGCTCTCCTGGCTCTGCTTTCCAGGGAACAGTAGATATAACAATTTCAATTTCCCCATTGTAATCTGAATCAATTACTCCTGTATGTATTTGTGCTCCTTTTAAATTTAACCTTGATGGCCAGGCACTGTGGCTCACGCCTGTAATCCCACCACTTTGGGAGGCCGAGATGGGCGGATCACAAGGTCAGGAGATAGAGACCGTCCTGGCTAACACGGTGAAACCCTGTCTCTATTAAAAATACAAAAAATTAGCTGGGTGTGGTGGCGGGTGCCTGTAGTCTCAGCTGCTGTGGAGGCTGAGGCAGGAGAATGGTGTGAACCCAGGAGGTGGAGCTTGCAGTGAGCCGAGATTGCACCACTGCACTCCAGCCTGGGTGACAGAGTGAGACTCCCTCTCAAAAATAAATAAATAAATAAATTTAAACTATATATACCTAGACGTAATCCTATTGCCCCCACTGGCAACATCTGACCGGAGACAGTAACATTCTTTAACAGTCCCATTACAAAAGGAGAACATAGTCCATATTGATTAAGGGCTTGCTTAAATTCTTTAAGTATTTTAAAAGGAAAAGGCTCAAATGTAGCTATAATATTTCCCTGTTGATCTGGGGGGTGTATCCCAAAAGGGAACTGCCAAGCCTCTATATCACCCTCACATCTAGCTTGCTGGATTCCTGCCTGAATAGAACTGAGAGCGGTACTCGAGGCACTGCTCAAACAGTCACTGGGGCACCTTTCACCCCGTGTCCTCCGGAAAAGAAAGATCTGGAGGGTCAGGCCACTCTTTTTCTTCAAAATAATGAGGGGGTGCAGAAGGGTAGGGATGAATCTCTTCCTCCTTTGCCGCTTTAGCTTTAGCTGGGAAACAAACCTTCTCTGTTACCTCTTCTTTTACTTAGTTATACTTTCCTTCCTCCTCCTCATCAGTGTGAAAAGGTTCCCAGGTGGAACGAACCAGATCCCACACTTGTCCCATTGTTACCCTGATGCTTCCAAGCTCCCCTTCTTACTCACCATGGGGATTGCTTAAGAGTACTCGGGTGTCCTCCAGCTTAGTTCCACCTTCTCCAACCATCGCTCCAGCAACCCTTCGACCCGGGTTCCAGCCCCAGGTATGGGCACCCCTTGACAAGACCAGCTTGGTCATGGAGACCCTAACCCAGTGGTGCTAGAGGAATTAAAGACACACACACAGAGAAATACAGAGTGCAGAGTGGAAAATCAGGGGGCTGACAGCCTTCAGAGCTGAGAGCCCCGAGCAGAGTTTGACCCACATATTTATTGACAGCAAGCCAGTGGTAAGCATTGTTTCTATAGATTATAGATTAACTAAAAGTATTCCTTAAGGGAAACAAAGGGATGGGCTCTGGATAGTTATCTGAAGCAGGAACATGTCCTTAAGGCACAGATCACTCATGCTATTGTTCGTGGCTTAGGAACGCCTTTAAGCGGTTTTCCACCCGGGGTGGGCCAGGTGTTCCTTGCCCTCATTCCAGTAAACCCACAACCTTCAGCGTGGGCATCATGGCCATCACGAACATGTCAGAGTGCTGCAGAGATTTTGTTTATGACCAGTTTTGGGGCCAGTTTATGGCCAGATTTGAGGGCCTGTTCCCAACAGATAAGAGACTTTACTATTCATAGAACATAAGGGTCTAGAACCACACATCTCCCTTAGGGGCATTGGAACCCTGTTCATTCATTACAGGGCAGAGATAAACAGGCATAGATGCTGTTTAATATATACCATTGAAAACCTTGACTTTCCTGTGTCTTACTTTCTTCACCACTGACACTTCCCACAGGTGAAGCTCCAGAGCTTATTTTTAACAGCTTTATTGAGGTGTAATTGATATATGATAAACTGCACATATTTAATGTGTATAATTTGACAACTTTTGACATATAAATCCATGCAACCATTACCCCCATCAAGATAATGAACATGTTCGCCACCCCCACATGCTTCCTCATGCCCCTCTGTAATTTCTCCCCCACCCACTCTATCCTACTTTTTCAGTAACCAGCGATCTGCTCTCTGCCACAATTGAGTAGTGTGCATTTTCTAGAATTTTATATAATGAAATCCTACAGTGCTTAATCTTTTTTATCTGGCTTCTTTAACTCAGCATAGTTATTTTAAGACTCTTTCATGTCATAGCATATACTAAGAGTTATTCATTTTATTGCTGAGCAGTATTTCATTGTAGAAATATACCACAGTTTGTTTGCCATTTTTCTATTGATGAGGTTTTGATTGTTTCCACTTTGGAGCTATTACAAATAAAATTGCTAAGAACATTCATGTAAAATACTCTGTATGGAAAAATGTCTTTATTTCTCTTACTAGAAATCAAATGGCTGGATCATATGGTGGGTGAATTTTTAACTCTTAAAGAAACTAAAAAAAATTTTTTTTCTCAAAGTTATTGTAAAATTTTAAATCCAACAGAAATGAATGAGAGTTCTACTTCCTCCACATTCTTACAAACAGTGGATACAGTCAATTTTCTTAATTTTAGCCATTTTAATAGGATAGTAGTGGCATTTCATTCGAAGTTTGATTGTATTCACCTTATGGCTAATGATATTGAACAACCCTTCGTGTGCTTCTCATCATGAACATATAATCTTTGGTGAAATGTGCTTTGCAAATATTTTATTCCAATTTGTGGCCTTTTCATTCCCTTAGCAGTATATTTTGAGAGCAGAATGTTTCTATTTTGATAAAATTCAACAATGTGTACATTAATGTATTTTGCCTTTTGATGCCATAGCTAAAAAATATTTTGCTAGCCCAAAGTCTCAAAGAATATCTCCTATGTTTTCCTTGAGAGATTTTGTAGTTTTAGCTTGAATATTTGGGTACAATTACAATGCACATAGTACATTCATAATTATCTATTTTTGATAAAATTTTGTATAAAATATTAGTTATGAATCAAGTTCACCCTGTTAAAAAAATTATTATTTCACCACTATTATATTATGAGAAATGATGCAAGCTTTCACCGTTAAGTATCGTGTTTTTCTGCCCTACTGGGATGATTTTTTTTCTTTGTTACTTTGTTACTAATATGGGTTACATTAATCAATTTTCAAATGTTACAAAAACCTTACAGATATCTCTCTCTTATTGATCTCTAACAGTTTCCTTAGTCGGAATTATTTTAACTAAAAATTCTTCTTATTTAATGGATATATACATATATATATATACATATACTGAATAGGGTTTACTAGTTTTTGTCACCCTAGGACTTTGTCCATCTCTTAATTGTGAAGTTTATTCATTTTATTTCATTACGATCCGGTTAATAATTTTTAACCTTTAGTGCTGCTGCCTTCCTCATTATTGATATTGGTAATATTATTTGATCCTTCTCTGATTTGATCCTGAGCAGTTTGACTAGATAATTACCAATTTTCTTAATTTTTCAAGAAACCAGGTTTTTCTTTTTTTGTTGTTTCATTGACACTCTCTATTGTTTTTCAGTGTTCTTCATGACATTTATTATTTCATTTTTTCTACTTTCTAAGTGTATAATTTGCTATTCCTTTTTTGTATTCCTAAGCTAAGGTCATTGATTTGAGACCCTTCTTATTCATAATATAGGCACTTAGTTCTATAATATTCCTCCCAAAGACTTCTTGAATGATATCCCATACATTTTGATTTTTCCCCATTGATATTTGTTTGGTGTGGCCCATGGTTATTTAGAAGTGTGGGATTTACTTTTAAAAAGAGTAGGGAATATTGTGAATTCTTAATTTAATTCCCTTGAGGTCAGAGAATAACCATACTTTGTACTTCTTGAATCCTGTTTTTTTTTTTTTTTTAATGGCCCAGAACAAGGACCCTTGCACATGTTAAATGTGTTTTGGGAAATAATAGAAATGTTGGTGTTATTTGACGACATGTTATATAAATGTCAGGTAGGTCAATTTGGTTTATAATGTTATTCAATGCTTTTTGTACTTTGGATATTTGTCTGTCTGCTTTTTCCATCAATTATTCAGAGAAAAATATTGAAATTGTCAATTATAAATATAGTTTTATGCATGTCCTCTTGCAGATTCTCATCTTGGGTTAATTTGTTTTCTGGATAAATAGTATATTTATATTTGTATTTATGTTTGTATTTGTAAAATTATCTTCTGGAAGTTTTCTTTCCTCTGAAATCGACTTTGTCCAATATTGAAATAGGCACCACAGTTTTGTTTTACTTAGTACTAGCATGGAATCTATATTTTTCCATCCTTTCCTTTTAACTTATTTATGTCATTATATTTAAAGTATTATGTTTGGGCCAGTTGTGGTGGCTCAGGCCTGTAATCCCAGCACTTTGGGAGGCCGAGGTAGGCTGATTGCTTGAGGTCAGGAGTTTGAGACCAGCCTGGCCAACATATTGAAACCCTGTCTTTACTAAAAATACAAAAATTAGCCGGACGTGGTGGATCATGCCTGTAATTTCAGTTACTTGGGAGGCTGAGGCACAAGAATTGCTGGAACCTAGGAGGCAGAGATTGCAGTGAGCTGAAATTGCACCACTGCACTCCAGCCTGGGAGACAGAGTAAAACTCGGTCTCAAAAAAAAAAAAAGTATTATGTTCATAAGTAACATATGGTTGAATCTTGCTTTTTATATCCAATCTGACAATGTTTGCAATTTTAATTTTTTTATTTTGAAATAATTTTAGACTTACAGAAGAGTGAAAACGATAGTACAGTGAATTTGAGTACACCCTTCACCGCGTTTCCCCTAAGGCTAGCATCTTACATAATCATGCCACATTTACCCAAACTAAGAACTTAATATTGGTGAAATACTAATAACAAAACTAAAAACTGTATACATATTTCATCCACTTTGTATTCTTTTGCTAATGTCTTTTTTCATTTCGGAGTCTAATCAAGGATACACACTGCGTCAGTCACCCTTTCTTCTTAGCCCCCATCTGTGACAGTTTCTCAGTCTGCACTTCTCCTATGTGACTGTGACACATTTGAAGGGTCCAAGTGAGGCATTTTGAAGAATATCTACCCACTTATATTCATCTGATGTTTTCTCATGATTATGCTTTGGCCATGGATTTTGGGGAAGAATAACATGGAAGTCAGGTGTCCTTCTCACCATATCATATTAGAATGTATGTGTTATCAACTTTATCTATTGCTAATATTAAGCTGAATCACATAGGATGATGTCTGCTGGATTCTTGACTGTAAAGTTACTATTTTCTCTTTCCATTTGGTAGAGGGAAACCACTAACTCCAGACCACACTCAATGACTAGGAACTAAGTTTCACTTATTGGAGGGAATGATATGAAAGTATGTATGGACATATATTAAAATAACCACATTAACTGATACATTTTTTAGTGAAAATTATTCGAGGCCATGTGAATAACCTGTTATTCTATTTCTTTTTAAAGTCTCACCCAGGAATTTTATCATGTATCATGAGTCTTGCCTGCAGCATTTTTTACTGTGGTATTTTAGTGGTGGTTTTCTGTTGTCATATATTTTTCTACATTTATTAAATAAAATTCTTTTATGCATAAGATTTGTCTTTTTCTCCTCATTTGTTAATTTATTCAAGCATACATTTATATCAGTATGGACTCATGGATACTTATTTTATCTTTTGGGTTATAAATTAACACATGTGAAATTTATTTTGTTGTTTAAGTTACTTCAGCTTTGGCCCTTGGCAGCTCTTTTAGATTGGTTCGTGTGTGTGTGTTTGTGTGTGAGTGTGTGTGTGTGGTTTATTCCTTAAATCTTTATACTACTCTTGTCTAATTGGTGATGCTGCACATTTCCTTCTGTTTTTATCTTCCTTCCATTCTGTCTGTGGAACTTCCTTTATCACTTCTTTTAGGTGGGAATGTATGTCTTTCACCTTTATTTCTGAAAGATATTTTCACTGGCGTTCCCCTTCCTTCTGATCTCCATGGTTTCACATAGAAATCCACGGTATTTTCAAGACCTTTTTCTACATCTGTAGTTTTCTTTTTCTTTTCTTTCCTTTTCCTTTTTTTTTTTTGGCGAGTGGGGACGGAGTCTTGCTCTGTCGCCTGGGTTGGAATGCAGTGGTGCGATCTTGGCTCACTGCAAGCTCCGCCTCCCGGGTTCATACCATTCTCCTGCCTCAGCCTCCTGAGCAGCTGGGACCACAGACGCCTGCCACCATGCCTGGCTAATTTTTTGTATTTTTAGTAGAGATGGGATTTCACCATATTAGCCAGGATGTTCTCGATCTCCTGACCTCGTGATCCACCCTCTTTGGCCTCCCAAAGTGCTGGGATTACAAGCGTGAGCTATCGCGCCCTGCCTTCTTTTTTTTTTTTTTTTTTTTTGTGAGACTGAATTTCCCTCTTGTCGCCCAGGCTGGAGTGCAATGGAGTAATCTTGGCTCACTGCAACCTCCGCTTCCCGGGTTCAAGTGATTCTCCTTCCTCAGCCTCCCAAGTAGCTGGGATTACAGGTGCCTGCCACCACACCCAACTAATTTTTGCATTTTTAGTAGAGATGGGGTTTCACCACATTAGCCAGGTTGGTCTCAAACTCCTGACCTCAAGTGATCCACCCAACTTGGCCTTCCAAAGTGCTGGGATCACAGGCGTGAGCCACCATGCCCAGCCCTTTAGTTTTCAAATAAATGGATTGTGATGTAACTGGGTATGGATTTCTTTGAATTTTTCCTTCTGGAGGTTTTCTTAGCATCGTGAACTCATATACTTGTGTATTTTTCCAAATTTAGAAAGGGTAATGACATGAACTTTTCAGATACTTTTTCAGTTGTATACCCATTCTTTGCTTCTGAGACTCTAGAGATGAAGAGCTCGAGGTTTGGTCTGCCTCCCAAAGTACTAGGATTACAGGTGTGAGCCACCCCACCCAGCTTCATTCACTATCTTACATGTTTCATTCTACTCTCTTCTTGTACTTGCTTGCGTGATTTCTGATGAAAAGTCCAGTGTAATTCTGATCCGTGTTCCTCTATAGCTAGCATGCTTTTTCCTCTCTTTCTTCTTTCAGAATATTCTCTGTCTTTGGTTCTCTCAATTTTAATATGGTATGCCTAAATGTGAATTTTTTAGTATTTATTCTAATATCCATGGTTTGGTGTTTGTCATTAATTTTGTAAACTCTTGATAACTATTATTTCAAATATTTCTTCTGCTCCATTGTCTCTTTGTTTTCTTGTATTCCAACTATGTGTATATGACAGCTTTTAACTTTGTCCACCAATTCTCAAATGTTCTATTGTGTTTTTCCCATTGTTCTTTTTGCATTTTAGTTTGAGTAGCTTCTGTTGACATGCCTTCAAGATCAGTAATTCTTTCTTCAACCATGTTCCATCTACAGATGATTCCATCACAGGCACACTTCAGTTCCATTACAGTGCTTTGATTGCTAGCATTTTTTACATGTATATTATAGTTTCCATATTTCTGCTCACATTATGCATTTGCTCTTGCAAGTTGACTACTTTTTCCATTTGAATCTTTAATATACAATTCTCAGTTATTTCTCAGTAACTCAGGAAAGAGTTACTTTTCCTTTCCATCTGCTGGAGCTATGAGGGACATTTTCTTGGCTTTTTGCCATGAGACTCTTATGTTACCAGTAAACTCAGTAACCCTAAAAGATAGAATATTTTCTTGTTGGGTGACACTGAGCCAGTACACTCACTGAAAGTGAGTGTCAAGCAGAGTAAGCTTTATTTGATGGCCAAACAATGGAGAAGTGGGAGTGTGGCTCATAAATCAACTTATCTGCTAGTAGGGAAGAGGGGGTTAAAATATAGGGTTTCTATAATGAAGGGGTTCAGCCTTAAAAGTGCCTTTTCCAGAAATGGGCAGTGATCTTCTCAGAACTGGAGTGCTGCTTTCCTTTCTCTCCTTTTATGGCTTCTTCCAGTTGTTTTCATGGTGGTTGTCAATGGTTATGGCACTGTTGAGAATTGTTATTTAGCATGGGAATGAGATTATAATGAAGCCTGAGGTCTTTTTGAAGTCATTCGGTCAGCTATCTTGGTTTTAGACAGTCTCAGCTGGTCTGGTTACAAAGGGAACTTTTTAAGGTAGACATCCTATTTCTTAAAGATAAGCAGTCAGAGTGGGGTAGAAATCCAGCTGTCATGTAGGCATTACACTGGGTAACAAATCTCCCCTATCTTTATATTCACTCCTCATTCTTGAAGGGTGCTGACAGGCCAAGGTCTGTCTTCTATAGCTTCTTCAAGCTGAATTTGGGTGTTGATATAGGGCCCATTAGAAGGGTGAATTTTTTCCCTAGCTGGTCTTAGCTAGGACTGGTTATCTCCTGGGTGCAAGCCCAGATGTTTATATCCCTGAGTAACTGTCATTTGTAGTTGTACGACCTCAGTTTGCTTAGACACAAACAAGACCAGAAATTTAGGAGACAGGGCCAAGAAATCAAGGGTAGAAGCTACAGGGCCCTGGAAGGGTTAAATTGGTATAAACACTTGGCCTGATCATAGATTACTTTAATATAGCCATCCTTTTGACAGGTTAAAGGGAGACTGACCCAGATTCCATTGCCAGTGAGGTTTACACAAGGCCAAGATAATAAAAAGTCTTGTTCCAGGAAGATCACTAATGGGACTTCAGGTGGGTCCAGGCAAGATGGATTAAAGTTAGATGATTGATCACAGTTATTGGTCAGGCTGTTGATCAAGCTATGGGCCAAGGAGATTGGGCTTAGGGGTGTAGATGGGAAATCCAGCAGTTAATGAACCTTTAGCTATAATAGCTATAATTTTAACAAGGTTATTTTCACTCCATTATTCTGATAACTCTCCCCATATCTCAACCCATAGCAATAGGAAGAACAGGGCATGTTGATAAATGCACCACTGCGCTGTAGTTCCCAGGTGTGCACAGATGAGGTTTAAGGTGAATATGGTAGTGACTGATAGGAGGAGGCAAATCCCTAAATAAGGGGTAGGTTCTTGATGGAGTAAGATGAGAATACCTATAAGCAAGGCTAATAGACTAAGTCCTGGCAGGAAATGCATGTAGGCCTAAGGTTGCTCATCTGGCTGGGGATAAGTCTGTCTTTTTCAACAGGAATTTTAGATCTGAGAGTGGTTTAGCTGGGTACATGCGGCTTTTTTCCTTAGGTTCCATGGCTGCCTTGACCCAGATGTGGTGTATCCAAGGCGTCACTCCCTGTATTTTTTTTTTCTTTTTTGAACTAGAGTCTCGTTTTGTTGCCCAGGCTGGAGTGCAGTGGTGTGATATCGGCTCACTTCAACCTCCGCCTCCTATGCTCAATGGATCCTCCCACCTCAGCCCTCCAAGTAGCTAGGACTACAGGCGTGCGCCACCATGCCTGGCTAATTTTTTTGTATTTTTAGTAGAGATGGGGGTTTCACCATATTACCCAGGCTGGTCTTGAACTCTTGAGCTCAAGCGATCTGCCTGCCTCGGCTTCCCAAAGTGCTAGGATTACAGGCATGAGCCACTGTGCCCGGCAAACTCCCTGTAATTTTAAGGCAGAATTTTTTTGTGAGAACCACAAGATATGGGCCCTTCCATTTAGGTTCTAAATGACTGCGGTTCCCCTTCTCTCTAGGTTTTTAAGTAAACCCAATCCCTGAGTTGGAAAGGATGGAGGGTTATGTCAGATGGCGAAAGTAATGATTGATTTCCATAGGCCTGAAGGGCCTTCATTACTCCTCCAATTTGGGTGGCATACCATATTTTTTCCCCACAGCTCTGAGGACCTCCTGGTCACCTAGCCAGACTGGGACCCATTGGCGATATATCAGCTTGTAAGGGCTCAGTTTGATCTTTCCTTTTGGAGCTATTCTTATTCTTAACAGTGCCATGGAGAGTAATGAAATCCATGGGAGATGAGTTTTCTGGCGTAATTTAACTAAGGTTCTTTCAAGGGTCTGGCTAGCCCACTGTACTGGAAGACTGTGGTCTCCAGGGGACATGTGAGCACCGTTTTATTTCTAGGTCCCAAGAAGTACCCTCAGTAATGGAAAATATGAATGCTGGTCTGGTATCACTTTGGATTGACTGAGGCAACCTGAATCTGGGAACAATTTCCTTTAACAGCACCTTTGCTACCTCACGTGCCATCTCAGTGAGGGTGGCAAAAATTCTACCCATCCAGAAAAGCTATCAGTGAGGACCAGGAGGTACCAAGGCTCTGGACATAACTGCGGAATCAATTTGTCAATCTTTCCCTGGTTATCTACTTTGGTACTGGACCAGCTGAATGGCCCCCTCTGCACTCCCCTGTGGGGTGGATGTTAGGGTTATTAACATAGCAGGTGGAGCAAGTCTCAACCGCCTCTTTGATTAGCTCCCTGAAGTTTGGGACAGTCATGCTCTGGAAAAGCCAGTTACACAGGGCCTCCTGACAAAAGTGAGCATTTGTATGGGCTTTTTAACAGCCTGCAATGCAACTGCTTCTGGGAAAAGTTGTCCATGAGGGTTGATTAACCCTCCTGGATGGTAAGACTTTTGGTATATCCCCATTTGGAGGCGGTTTCCCATTCCTTTCGAGAGTAAAGTGGGGTAAAAAAGTAGGATTGGCATGGGGGGGGAGGAAAAAGTGGCATTTGAAAAGTGATCTTCCCTAAAGCCACATGATTTGACAGGAGATCAGCTTTATTATTTTCTTTAACTACTTCAACAACACCCTTCTGGTGGCTGTAGCAATGGATTACTGCCACCTGGGCTTGTTTATTACAGATACAAATAGCATCTTGGTGGATGAGCACCAGCTTCTGCAACCCCACTGAGAAGGACCATAGCTTATCCTGCCCTCCACTGTCCCTCCAGCATATAGCTGTGCCCATCAGTGAAGATCTTGGCTTTAGAATTTTTAACAGGTTCACTTTTATGGTCTGGTCCACTAGGGTACACTTCCTCCATCACCCCTAAGCAGTCAAGAGATAAGTGACTGTCTTCATATGGAAAGAGGATGTCTGGCTTCAAGATGTTACACACCTTCAACGTTATGTGGGTCGGCCAGGTGCGGTGGCTCACACCTGTAATCCCAGCACTTTGGGAGGCCAAGGCAGGCAGATCACTTGAAGTCAGGAGTTCGAGACCAGCCTGGCCAACATGGCGAAACACTGTATCTACTAAAAATACAAAAAATTAGACAGGTGTTGGGGTGTGTGCCTGTAGTCCTGGCTACTCAGGTGGCTGAGGCAGGAGCATCGCTCGAACCTGAAAGGTGGAGGCTGCAGTGAGCCAAGATGGCGCCACTACACTCCAGCCTGGGTGACACTGTGAGACTCCCTCTCAAAAAAGAAAAAAGTTATGTGAGGGTTATCAATAAGCATTATGTGTTACTGGAGAGCCCTGCCTGGGGACAGTCATTCTGCCCCCCTTTCCTTTATGAGGGTCTGGGTAATGGGGAGTCCAGATGGTTAGGGATTGCCCAAAGGTTAACTTCTCTGTCTCTTTTAAATGGAGGGCAGTGGCTGCCACTGACCAAAGGCAAGGAGGAGTGGTGGAAGGGGCATTTCCCAAAAGGGGAGAAACTCAAGCTGGAAAGAAAATGGGCATGCATATCCTTTGCTGGCCAGTGTTGTTGGGCACCAGTTTCCCAGTCTCTGAGGAGGTAAGGAGGCTTCCCAAACAGGGAAGTGAACTATCTATTCCACAGTCCTGTCACAGTTGCCTTTTTCTTTTTTCTTTTCTTTTTTTTTTTTTTTGAGACGGAGTCTCGCTCATTGCCCAGGCTGGAGTGCAGTGGCGCGATCTCGGGTCACTGCAAGCTCCACCTCCCATGTTCATGCCATTCTCCTGCCTCAGCCTCCCGAGTAGCTGGGACTACAGGCGCCCGCCACTGTGCCCAGCTAATTTTTTGTATTTTTAGTAGAGACGGGGTTTCACCATGTTAGCCAGGATGGTCTCCATCTCCTGACTTCGTGATCTGCCCACCTCAGCCTCCCAAAGTGCTGGGATTACAGGCGTGAGCCACCGTGCCCAGCCAGTTGCCATTTTTTAACCAATAAAGTTGGTAGCCTGAAAAGATGGGCTCTGTCCCCATTTGGTGTCACAGAGCCAATAAGCAACCGAAAGTGAGCATCAAGCAGAGCTATTCATGGCCAGGAAATGAAGAAGCAGGGATGTTTGTCACAAATCAGCTTCTCTACTAGTCGGGGGTGAGGAGGTTAAAATATAGGGCGTCAATATAAACAAAGGGACTGGACATTAAAAGTGATAGGATAAATAGTTATGTCTTTTCCAGAAATGGGCAGTGAACTTGGAACCAGAGTGAAGCCTTCTTTTTTGGCCTTCTGTGGCTTCTTGCAGTTGTTTTTATGGCGATGGTCAACTGTCATGGTGCTGGTGGAAGTGTCATTTAACACAGAAATGAAATTATAATGAAACCTGAGAACTTTTTGAAGCCATTCAGTCAGCTATCTAGGTTCCAGCCAGTTTTGGCTGGTGTAGTTACAGAGAGAACTTTGTACTGCATGTGTCTTCTTCTTTTTATAACTCTAATTTTAGGTTTAGGGGCACATATGCCAGATTACTATGTAGGTAAACTGCATGTTGTGGGGGTTTGGTGTACATATTATTTAGTTACCCAGGTAATAAGCATAGTATCCAACAGGTATTCTTTTTAAGCAGCATTTGGGTGGGGTAGAAATTCAGTTATGTCATGTAGCCATTACACCAGGTAACAATGAGGTTCATAGAGGTAGAGGTAAACCCACAAAGGTCGGGGAGGGCCCCTCAAGACTCTGACCTCCAGGAGCTTTTTACTCTATGCTAGTCCAAATTCACTGTCCAGAAATTCACTAAAATTACCGTTTAAGAATTCCTACCAGATTACGGCTCCAGTGGCTTCTGCTCCAGGTGTGAGAGCTCAGCTGTGTCTCTGTGTTCACCAGTCTCTTCAGATTTCAGGTGGCACTTTCTCCTGCGACCTCACATCTCTGATGGGTCTAAGAAAAGTTATTGATTGTAAGTTTTCCTCTTTTTGTAAGAATAGGAATGATGACTTCAGTGTCACTTGTAAACCAGAAGTTGACTTCCATTAAAAGAAACAAAACTAGTTGTCCTGGGGTTTACAGTATACATTTAAATGTAATCTGAGTGTACTTTTAAATAATATTATACCTCTTCACATGTCATATAAAGACTTCATGACAGTAAATTTCCAATCTCTCCCTCCCAGTATCACTTTGGATTGACTTTGTGCTATTATTGTCATATGTTTACAAATATATATAATTTTTGATAATATATGTATAATTTTATATATAAAATTATTTATATATGCTATGAACTATATATATGCTATGAATTACATATATATTGTTTATATATATAATTATATATATTCTGTTTCCAAATTATATATATGCTATGAATTATTATAAATTATATATATATAATTGTTTCCAAATTATATATATAGTTTATATATAATTATATATTGTTTCCAAATTATATATATGCTATGAATTATATATATGCTATAAATTATATATATGCTATATATATGCTATGAATATTTTTATATATAAAATTATTTATATATATATGCTATGAACAGATAAAACATGGTTACTATTTTTGCTTTAAAATGCAGGTTATGTGTCAGAATATAAAAATAAGAAAAAAAGGTTTCATTTACCTGTATTTATTCTGTTTCCAAAACTCTTACCTATTTGCCTACATTCAAATGTTTGACATTGATCATGTTCCTTCAGTGTTAAGAACTCCATTGAGGAGGAGCCAAGATGGCCGAATAGAAACAGCTCCGGTCTACAGCTCCCAGTGTGAGCGACGCAGAAGACGGGTGATTTCTGCATTTCCATCTGAGGTACGGGGTTCATCTCATTAGGGAGTGCCAGACAGTGGGCGCAGGTCGGTGGGTGCGCGCACCGTGGGCGAGCGGAAGCAGGGCGAGGCATTGCCTCACTAGGGAAGCGCAAGGGGTCAGGGAGTTCCCTTTCCTAGTCAAAGAAAGGGGTGACAGACGGCACCTGGAAAATCGGGTCACTCCCACCCGAATACTGAGCTTTTCCGACGGGCTTAAAAAACGGCGCACCAGGAGATCATATCCCGCACCTGAATCGGAGGGTCCTACACCCATGGAGTCTCGCTGATTGCTAGCACAGCCTTCTGAGATCAAACAGCAAAGCGGCAGCGAGGCTGGGGGAGGGGCGCCCTCCATTGCCCAGGCTTGCTTAGGTAAACAAAGCAGCAGGGAAGCTGGAACTGGGTGGAGCCCACCACAGCTCAAGGAGGCCTGCCTGCCTCTGTAGGCTCCACCTCTGGGGGCAGGGCACAGACAAACAAAAAGACAGCAGTAACCTCTGCAGACTTAAATGTCCCTGTCTGACAGCTTTGAAGAGAGCAGTGGTTCTCCCAGCACGCAGCTGGAGATCTGAGAACGGGCAGACTGCCTCCTCAAGTGGGTCCCTGACCCCTGACCCCCGAGCAGCCTAACTGGGAGGCACCCCCCAGCAGGGGCACACTGACACCTCACATGGCAGGGTACTCCAACAGACCTGCAGCTGAGGGTCCTGTCTGTTAGAAGGAAAACTAACAAACAGAAAGGACATCCACATCAAAAACCCATCTGTACATCACCATCATCAAAGACCAAAAGTAGATAAAACCACAAAGATGGGGAAAAAACAGAGCAGAAAAACTGGAAACTCTAAAAAGCAGGGCACCTCTCCTCCTTCAGAGGAATGCAGTTCCTCACCAGCAACAGAACAAAGCTGGACGGAGAATGACTTTGACGAGCTGAGAGAAGAAGGCTTCAGACGATCAAATTACTCCGAGCTACAGGAGGACATTCAAACCAAAGGCAAAGAAGTTAAAATCTTTGAAAAAAATTTAGAAGAATGTATAACTAGAATAACCAATACAGAGAAATGCTTAAAGGAGCTGATGGAGCTGAAAACCAAGGCTCAAGAACTACGTGAAGAATGCAGAAGCCTCAGGAGCCGATGTGATCAACTGGAAGAAAGGGTATCAGCGATGGAAGATGAAATGAATGAAATGAAGCGAGAAGGGAAGTTTAGAGAAAAAAGAATAAAAAGAAATGAGCAAATCCTCCAAGAAATATGGGACTATGTGAAAAGACCGAATCTACGTCTGATTGGTGTACCTGAAAGTGACGGGGAGAATGGAACCAAGTTGGAAAACACTCTGCAGGATATTATCTAGGAGAACGTCCCCAATCTAGCAAGGCAGGCCAACATTCAGATTCAGGAAATACAGAGAACGCCACAAAGATACTCCTCGAGAAGAGCAACTCCAAGACACATAATTGTCAGATTCACCAAGGTTGAAATGAGGAAAAAATATTAAGGGCAGCCAGAGGAGAGAAAGGTCGGGTTACCCACAAAGGGAAGCCCATCAGACTAACAGCGGATCTCTCGGCAGAAACTCTACAAGCCAGAAGAGGGTGGGGGCCAATATTCAACATTCTTAAAGAAAAGAATTTTCAACCCAGAATTTCATATCCAGCCAAACTAAGCTTCATAAGTGAAGGAGAAATAAAATACTTTACAGACAAGTAAATGCTGAGAGATTTTGTCACCACCAGGCCTGCCCTAAAAGAGCTCCTGAAGGAAGCGCTAAACATGGAAAGGAACAACCAGTACCAGCCACTGCAAAATCATGCCAAAATGTAAAGACCATCAAGACTAGGAAGAAACTACATCAACTAATGAGCAAAATAACCAGCTAACATCATAATGACAGGATCAAATTCACACATAACAATATTAACTTTAAATGTAAATGGACTAAATGCTCCAATTAAAAGACACAGACTGGCAAATTGGATAAAGAGTCAAGACCCATCAGTGTGCTGTATTCAGGAAACCCATCTCACGTGCAGAGACACACATAGGCTCAAAATAAAAGGATGGAGGAAGATCTACCAAGCAAATGGAAAACAAAAAAAGGCAGGGGTTGCAATCCTAGTCTCTGATAAAACAGGCTTTAAACCAACAAAGATCAAAAGAGACAAAGAAGGCCACTACATAATGGTGAAGGGATCAATTCAACAAGAAGAGCTAACTATCCTAAATATATATGCACCCAATATAGGAGCACCCAGATTCATAAAGCAAGTCCTGAGTGACCTACAAAGAGACTTAGACTCCCACACATTAATAATGGGAGACTTTAACACCCCACTGTCAACATTAGACAGATCAACAAGACAGAAAGTCAACAAGGATACCCAGGAATTGAACTCAGCTCTGCACCAAGCGGACCTAATAGACATCTACAGAACTCTCCACCCCAAATCAACAGAATATACATTTTTTTCAGCACCACACCACACCTATTCCAAAATTGACCACATAGTTGGAAGTAAAGCTCTCCTCAGCAAATGTAAAAGAACAGAAATTATAACAAACTATCTCTCAGACCACAGTACAATCAAACTAGAACTCAGGATTAAGAATCTCACTCAAAACCGCTCAACTACAAGGAAACTGAACAACCTGCTGCTGAATGACTACTGGGTACATAATGAAATGAAGGCAGAAATAAAGATGTTCTTTGAAACCAATGAGAACAAAGACACAACATGCCAGAATCTCTGGGATGCATTCAAAGCAGTGTGTACAGGGAAATTTATAGGACTAAATGCCCACAAGAGAAAGCAGGAAAGATCCAAAATTGACACCCTAACATCACAATTAAAAGAACTAGAAAAGCAAGAGCAAACACATTCAAAAGCTATCAGAAGGCAAGAAATAACTAAAATCAGAGCAGAACTGAAGGAAATAAAGACACAAAAAACCCTTCAAAAAATTAATGAATCCAGGAGCTGGTTTTTTGAAAGGATCAACAAAATTGATAAACCACTAGCAAGACTAATAAAGAAAAAAAGAGAGAAGAATCAAATAGATGCAATAAAAAATGATAAAGGAGATATCACCACCGATCCCACAGAAATACAAACTACCATCAGAGAATACTACAAACACCTCTACGCAAATAAACTAGAAAATCTAGAAGAAATGGATAAATTCCTCGACACATACACTCTCCCAAGACTAAACCAGGAAGAAGTTGAATCTCTGAATAGACCAATAACAGGATCTGAAATTGTGGCAATAATCAATAGCTTACCAACCAAAAAGAGTCCAGGACCAGATAGATTCACAGCCGAATTCTACCAGAGGTACAAGGAGGAACTGGTACCATTCCTTCTGAAACTATTCCAATCAATAGAAAAAGAGGGAATCCTCCCTAACTCATTTTATGAGGCCAGCATCATCCTGATACCAAAGCTGGGCAGAGACACAACCAAAAAAGAGAATTTTAGACCAATATCCTTGACGAACACTGATGCAAAAATCCTCAATAAAATACTGGCAAACCGAATCCAGCAGCACATCAAAAAGCTTATCCACCATGATCAAGTGGGCTTCATCCCTGGGATGCAAGGCTGGTTCAATATACGCAAATCAATAAATGTAATCCAGCATATAAACAGAACCAAAGACAAAAACCACATGATTATCTCAATAGAAGCAGAAAAGGCCTTTGACAAAATTCAACAACCCTTCATGCTAAAAACTCTCAATAAATTAGGTATTGATGGGACGTATTTCAAAATAATAAGAGCTATCTATGACAAACCCACGGCCAATATCATACTGAATGGGCAAAAACTGGAAGCATTCCCTTTGAAAACTGGCATAAGACAGGGATGCCCTCTCTCACCACTCCTATTCAACATAGTGTTGGAAGTTCTGGCCAGGGCAATTAGGCAGGAGAAGGAAATAAAGGGTATTCAATTAGGAAAAGAGGAAGTCAAATTGTCCCTATTTGCAGATGACATGATTGTATATCTAGAAAACCCCATTGTCTCAGCCCAAAATCTCCTTAAGCTGATAAGCAACTTCAGCAAAGTCTCAGGATACAAAATCAATGTACAAAAATCACAAGCATTCTTATACACCAACAACAGACAAACAGAGAGCCAAATCATGAGTGAACTCCCATTCACAATTGCTTCAAAGAGAATAAAATATCTAGGAATCCAACTTACAAGGGATGTGAAAGACCTCTTCAAGGAGAACTACAAACTACTGCTCAAGGAAATAGAAGAGGATACAAACAAATGGAAGATCATTCCATGCTCATGGGTAGGAAGAATCAATATCGTGAAAATGGCCATACTGCCCAAGGTAATTTACAGATTCAATGCCATCCCCATCAAGCTACCAATGACTTTCTTCACAGAATTGGAAAAAACTACTTTAAAGTTCATGTGGAATCAAAAAAGAGCCCGCATTGCCAAGTCAATCCTAAGCCAAAAGAACAAAGCTGGAGGCATCACACTACCTGACTTCAAACTATACTACAAGGCTACAGTAACCAAAACAGCATGGTACTGGTACCAAAACAGAGATATAGATCAATGGAACAGAACAGAGCCCTCAGAAATAACGTTGCATATCTACAACTATCTGATCTTTGACAAACCTGAGAAAAACAAGCAATGGGGAAAGGATTCCCTATTTAATAAATGGTGCTGGGAAAACTGGCTAGCCATATGTAGAAAGCTGAAACTGGATCCCTTCCTTACACCTTATACAAAAATCAATTCAAGATGGATTAAAGACTTAAATGTTAGACCTAAAACCATAAAAACCCTAGAAGAAAACCTAGGCTCTACCATTCAGGACATAGGCATGGGCAAGGACTTCATGTCTAAAACACCAAAAGCAATGGCAACAAAAGCCAAAATTGACAAATGGGATCTAATTAAACTAAAGAGCTTCTGCACAGCAAAAGAAACTACCATCAGAGTGAACAGGCAACCTACAAAATGGGAGAAAATTTTCACAACCTACTCATCTGACAAAGGGCTAATATCCGGAATCTACAATGAACTCATTACAAGAAAAAAACAAACAACCCCATCAAAAAGTGGGCAAAAGACATGAACAGACACTTCTCAAAAGAAGACATTTATGCAGCCAAAAAACACATGAAAAAATGCTCACCATCACTGGCCATCAGAGAAATGCAAATCAAAACCACAATGAGATACCATCTCACACCAGTTAGAATGGCAATCATTAAAAAGTCAGGAAACAACAGGTGCTGGAGAGGATGTGGAGAAATAGGAACACTTTTACACTGTTGGTGGGACTGTAAACTAGTTCAACCATTGTGGAAGTCAGTGTGGCGATTCCTCAGGGATCTAGAACTAGAAACACCATTTGACCCAGCCATTCCATTACTAGGTATATACCCAAAGGACTATAAATCATGCTGCTATAAAGACACATGCACACGTATGTCTATTGCAGCATTATTCACAATAGCAAAGACTTGGAACCAACCCAAATGTCCAACAATGATAGACTGGATTAAGAAAATGTGGCACATATACACCATGGAATACTATGCAGCCATAAAAAATGATGAGTTCATGTCCTTTGTAGGGACATGGATGAAATTGGAAATCATCATTCTCAGTAAACTATCGCGAGAACAAAAAATCAAGCACCACATATTCTCACTGATAGGTGGGAATTGGACAATGAGAACACATGGACACAGGAAGGGGAATATCACACTCTGGGGCCTGTTGTGGGGTGGGGGGAGGGGGGAGGGATAGCACTGGGAGATATTCCTAATGCTAGATGACGAGTTAGTGGGTGCAGCGCACCAGCATGGCACATGTATACATATGTAACAAACCTGCACATTGTGCACATGTACCCTAAAACTTAAAGTATAATAATAAAAAAATAAAAAAATATAAATAAATAAAAAGAACTCCATTGAATGTTTCTTATTTCTTATATAGTGGGTCTTCTGTTAATCAATTTCTTCAGCTTTTGTTTTGAGAATGTCTTTTCTAACCTTCATTTTTGAAGCATTTTCTTACTATGTAAAATAATGGAATAAAAGAATCCTGGATTGACAGTATATTTACTTTCAGCATTTAAAGATAGCACTCCATTGTCTTCTTTCCTGTGTAGTTTATGACAAGAAATCTACTATAATTCTTATCTTTGATCCTCTGTACAGACCATGCCTATGTTCTTGCTATACCCTCACTGTATAGAATACAGTGAAGAATCCCTATTTCTCTTGTGATACCTTGTGTTTAGAATACAGGCTTATTTATCATAAGGTTTTACTCAATGTCTACTCCCTACTTTGTTTTGCATTTTCCTCCTCAGCATTGAGTATTCCATTTGCACTGTTCCCTTGTAAGAATTTGTCTCTTGCAGTTCTCTCAGCTCTATTGCTCTACTACTTTTACTTAATGCTTGTTAGTCTGGTTAAGGGAAGACTTGAAGCCAATCCAATACTCCTATAGATTGTTTTTTGGATAAACATAGAAATTGACCCCTCTGTTTTCTTTTTGTTTTTTTTTTTGTTGTTGTTTTTGAGATGGACTCTCGCTCTGTTGCCCAGGCTGGAGTGCAGTGGCGCGATCTCAGCTCACAGCAAGCTCTGCCTCCCAGTTTCAAGCGATCCTATGAGTTCAACTTTTTAAGATTTCTTGTATAAGTGAGATAATATAGTATTTGTCTTTCTGTGTTTGGCATATTTCACTTATTTTATGTTCTCTTCTCTAGGTTCATCCATGTTGTTGCTAATGACAGAATTTCCTTCATTTGAAAGGATAAATAATATTTCATTGTGTATATATACCACATTTTCTTTATGCATTCATCTGTTGATGGATAGTTAAGTTGATACATGGCAGTGCAGATACCGCTTAAACCTATTGATTTCATTTTCTTTGGATATATACTCGGTAGTAGCATTGCTGCATGATATGGTAGTTCTATTTTTAACTTTTTGTAGAATGTCCATACTGTTTTCCGTATGTCTGCACTAATTTACATTCCCACTGACAGTGTACAAGGGTTCCCTTTTCTCCACATTTTCGCCAACACTTGTTATCACTTGGCTTTTCTATGAAAAACATTCTAACATATGTGGCGATATGTCATTGTGGCTTAAATTTGCATTTTCCTGATGATTGCTGATATTGAGCATTTCTTCCTATGTTTGTCGGCCATTTATCTTCTTTTGAGAAACGTCTATTCAGATCATTTGCTCATTTTTTAATTGAGCTACTTGTTTTCTTGCTACTGAGTTATGTTCCTTGTATATTTTGGATATCAACCCCTTATTAATGTATGGTTTGCAAATACAGACAGTCCTGTCTTGTGATGGTCCAGATTTTTCAACTTTACAGTGGTGTGAAAGCAATACACACTCTGTAGAAATCTTACTTTGAATTTTAACTTTTTTTTTTTTTTTTGAGATGGAGTCTTGCTCTGTCTCCCAGGCTGGAGTGCAGTGGCGCGATCTCGGTTCACTGCAACCTCAGCCTCCTGGGTTCACGCCATTCTCCTGCCTCAGCCTCCTGAGTAGCTGGGACTACAGGCGCCTGCCACCATGCCCGGCTAATTTTTTGTATATTTAGTAGAGACGGGGTTTCACCATGTTAGCCAGGATGGTCTCGATCTCCTGACCTTGTGATCCGCCCACCTCGGCCTCCCAAAGGGCTGGGATTACAGGCATGAGCCACTGCGCCCGGCCTGAATTTTAACTTTCAATCTTTCCCCATGCTAGCAATATGTGGTACAATACTCTCACTATGCTGGGCAGTAGCAATGAGATGCTGCTCTCATTTATCACATGATCATGAGGATTAAAAAAAAAATGCTCCACAGTGGACTGTGTTGCCAGATGATTTTGCTCAGATTAATATAGGTGTTCTGAGCATGTTTAAGGTAGGTCAGTTGTATTAAATGCATTTCTTACAACATTTCCAATTTTCATTTTCAATTTATGACAGGTTTATCCAAATGTAACTCCATGATAAGTTGAGGAGCACCTGTGTTTTCTTCCAATCCAGTGGTTGTCTCTTCACTCTGTTAAATTTTTCCTTTGCTGTGCAGAAGCTTTTTAATGTGATGCAATCCCATTTGCATATTTTTGCTTGCCTGTGCTTTTGGGGTCATGTCCAAGAAACCCTTTCCCAGACCCACGTCATGGAGGTTTTCCTCTATGTTTTCTTCTAGTAGCTTTACATATTCAGGTCTCATGTTTAAGTGTTTAATCCATTTCGATTTTTTTTTTTGTAAAAGGGTGAGAAACGAGTCCAATTTTGTTTTCTGCATATAGCTACCTGGTTTTCTCAACACGCTTTATTGAACAGACTCTTTTCCCGTGTGTGGTGTTAGAAACTTTTTCAAAAATCAATTGACCATGGATGCATGTGTTTATTTCTAGGCTTTTTTTTTTTTTTTTTTTTTGTAGTTTTAGTAGAGACGGGGTTTCACTGTGTTAGCCAGGATTGTCCTAATCTCCTGACCTTGTGATCTGCCTGCCTCTGCCTACCAAAGTGATGGGATTACAGGCGTGAGCCACCACGCCCGGCCTTCTAGGCTATCTTGTTCCTTTGGTTGATGTGTCTGTTTCTATGCCATGCCCTTTCGATTACTACAGATTTGTAATATATTTTGAAATCAGGTAATGTGATGCCTCCAGCTTTGTTCATGCTGCTCAAGATTACTCTGGCTGCTCAAGGTCTTTTGTGGTTCCCTATGAATTTGGGGATTGTTTTGTCTATTTCAGTGAAAAATGACATTGGAATTTTGACAGCAATTGCTCTAAATCTCTAGATTGCTATGGATAGTGTCCTGATATTTTAGCAACATTAATTCTTCCAATTCATGAACACAAGGGGTCTTTTCATTTATTCGTGTTGTCTTCAATGTCTTTTATTAATGTTTTATAGTTTACTGTATGCAAATCTGTCACATTCTGGTTGAATTTACTCCTAAGTATGATTTTTTGATGCTGTTGTAAATGGGATTGTTTTCTTAATTTTTCCTCCTGGATCATTCATTGTTAGTGTGCAGAAACAAGACTAATTTTTGCACATTGATTTCGTATCCTGCAACTTTACTAGATTTGTTTATTAGTTCTAAAAGTTTTTTTGGTAGCCTCTTTAGGGTTTTCTATGTATAAGAGTATGTCATCAGCAAACAGAGACAATTTTCTTCCTATAATATTTGAATGCCTGCCAGGCATGGTGCGTCATGCCTGTAATCTCAGCACTTTGGGAGGCCGAGTTGGGAAGATCACTCGAGGTGGGTAGTTCGAGACCAGCCTGGCCAAACAAAGTGAAACCACCTGAAGTCAGGAGTTTCAGACCTGCCTGGCCAAACATGGTGAAACCCCATCTCTACTAAAAATGCCAAAATTAGCTGGGAGTGCTGGTCCATACCTGTAGTCCCACCTACCCAGGAGGCTGAGGCAGGAGAATCGCTTGAACCCAGGAGGCAGAGGTTACAGTGAGCTGAGATTGCTCTACTGTACTCCAGCCTGGGCAACAGAGAGAGACTCTGTCTCAAAAAAAAAAAAAAAAATTGGATGCCCTTTTATTTATTTTTGTTGCTTAACTGATCTGGCTGATCCTTAGCACTCCCAACCTCCCTCCTGTGTTTTCCTGGCCCTCCCCCCAGTGGTAGGGCTTTATTTATGCTGTTACCCCCGTCCAGCTCCATGGGTTTTCTGTGAGTGCTCAATGGCTATAGTTTTTGTTGCCCTTTTCTCTGTAGATTTATCTATATTTGTTACTTAGGGGATTCATGAGGTTTATGTTTATTTAGAGGCTACTGTTCCTTTACCTAGCATGAAGCTTTTTCTGGAATCTCTGGAGTGTACCCTATGAGACCTAATGGAGTTCTTTTTTCTTTTCTTTTCTTCTTTTCTTTTCTTTTTTTTTGAGACAGCGTCTCGCTCTGTCACCCAGGCTGGAGTGCAGTGGCACGATCTCGGCTCACTGCAAGCTCCGCCTCCCGGGTTCACGCCATTCTCCTGCCTCAGCCTCCGGAGTAGCTGGGACTACGCGCCCTCCACCACGCCTGGCTACTTTTTTGTTTTTAGTAGAGATGGAGTTTCACCGTATTAGCCAGGATGGTCTCCATCTCCTGACATCATGATCCGCCCACCTTGGCCTCCCAAAGTGCTGGGATTACAGGCGTGAGCCACCGCGCCTGGCCAAGACCTAATGGAGTTCCTAGAGGAACTTCTGGGACAGAAAATCCATCAAGCAGAGGCAATCCCACTCCCCACATGTTTGTGGCCCTCAGGGGCTTCCCACTGTCCTAGCTCCCATTAGTCTCTGAGCTGAAACTAGAAATTCCAGTTTGGGCCTTAATTGTGGTATTTAAACCACTTATATTTCATGTGATACTGACATGGTAAAGTTTGAATATTTCATCTTTCTATTTGTTTTCTATTTGTCCTGTCTGCTGTCTGTCCCCATCTTCCCTTTAATTCTGCTTCCTACGTGTTATTTTCGTTATTTTCTTTTTTTCTTTACTTATTAGATATAACTCTCTATTTTAGTGGTTACTTTAGAGTTTAGAATATACGTGTTTACCTTATCACAGACTACCTTAAAATGATATTATACCACCTTATGTATACTATGGATAGTTCCTAGTAATAGTATGCTTTCTTTTTTCTCCTCTGACCATTGCACTGTGTTCTTACTTTTTATTTTATAAATGCTATACCCCCCTCTACAATAATTAACAATATTTGTTTTTACTGTAGTTTAACTAATCAATTATATTTTCAAGACATTTAAATTTTTTGAAAAAAACATTCTTATCATTTCCCATGCTGTTTTTCCCTTTGCATATATCATGTTTTCACAACCTTGGCGCTATTCACACTGTGGGATAAATAATTATTTTTTGATATAGGGGATTTTATACTGTTCATTGCGGTATTTTTAGCTCTATTCCTGCCCTCTACACACAGGATACATGTAACAAATCACCCTCCTCCCCCGTCATGACAGCCAAAAATAATTTCAGACATTACTAAACATACCTTGGGAGGCAAAATTGCCCCTAATTGAAAATCACTGGTGTCGTTTCATATTTCCATTTGGTATGAGTTTTCTTCTACATTAGAAGATTCTCTCTAACATTTTTAAAAATTGTAGGTGTGCTGGTAATTAATTCTTTCAGCTTAAAAAAATGAGTTGAAATTCATATAACCTAAAATTAACCATTTTAAAATGAACAACTCAACTGCATTTAGTAATTCAAAATATTATTAAACTACTACCTCTATCTAGTTCTAAAATATTTTCATCACCCTAAAATAAAACCTCTTATTAAGCAATTCCATCCCATTCCCAATGACTTATATGAATTTACTTATTCTGGTTATTTTACATGCCTTAAATCATAGAATATGTGGACTTTGCTGTCTGGCTTCTTTCACAGATCATAATATTTTTGAGATTCCTCTGTATTATGGAATATATCAGTACTTTGTTATATTTTATGGCTTAATAATATTCCATTGCACATATACATCACCATCGATTCATTTATTGCTGGACATTGGGGTTATTTCTGAAGCCTTTTGGCTTGTGATTACTTCTGCTGTAAGTATTCATATGCAAGTATTTGTGTGAAAATTTATTTTCTCATGGTGAGGAAAAGTCGCAGGATCATCTGGTGACTCTATCATCTGGTGAGGAAATGCCAGAATCTTTTTAGAAGAGGGCACACAATTTCATACTCTCACAAGCACCATACAAGTTGTCCAATTTTTCTGCATCCTTACCAACACATGCTAGTGGGTCCTTTTGAATGTTGCCATCCCAGGGGATGTGCAGAGTTGTCTCATTGTGGTTTTGATTTGCACTGTCCTAATGACTAATGATGTTGAACATTTTTTTAATGTGTGTATTAGCCATTTATGTTTCTTCTCTGAGGAAGTGTTAAGATCCTTCGCCCTTTTAAAAAATTGGTTATTCATCTTTATGTCATTTTGTTGTAATAGTTCTTTCTATATTCTAGGTACAAGTCCCTTATCAGAGATATGATTTGCTTCTAATACAGATGCAGATAATCTCAACAAAATACGAGCAAGTTGAATCTAGCAATATATAAGGAATTATACACCATGACCTAGTGGGATTGATTCCAAATATGGATTGATTCCAAATATGGATTGATTCCAAATGTGCAAGACTCCTTCCATATTTGAAAAATCAGTAAATTAATGTAATGCACCACATCAACAGACAAAAGAAAAATAATCATATAATCACCTAATACCTTGCTACTATCATTACTTTAAACAAAGTTATATTTTAGATCAATGATAGCTAAGAAATACAGACAATTTTATTTTACCTTCATGTATCCCTTCTCTAACACATTTTCTTTCTTTATCTAGATCTGAGTTTCTAAGTGATTTCCTTCTCCTTGAAATATTATTTTAACATTTTTTACAATGGGGGTCTGCTGGTGATGAATTCCCAGTTTTTCTTCACCTGAGAAAGTCTTTATTTCTACTTCACTTTCATTATATGGATAATTGTACAGGATATAGAATTTCTTCTCTCTTCTTTTCTTGTCTTTTTTGTGAGACAGGATCTCACTCTGTCACCCAGGCTGGAGTGCAGTGGTTTGATTGTGGCTCACTGCAACCTCCACCACTGAGGCTCAAGTGATCCTCCCACCTCCTCTTGAGTAGCTGGGACTGCAGGCACACAGCACCACACCCAGTTGATTTTTTGTGTTTTTGGTAGATACTGGGTTTCACCATGATGCCCAGGCTGGTCTGGAATTCCTGAGCTCTAGCAATCTGCCCTCATCGACCTCCCAAAGTGCTGGTATTACAGGCATGAGCCACACAT
Source organism: Homo sapiens (assembly GCF_000001405.40). Taxonomy (NCBI): domain Eukaryota; kingdom Metazoa; phylum Chordata; class Mammalia; order Primates; family Hominidae; genus Homo; species Homo sapiens. The sequence continues at coordinate 4,674,877 of NW_021160017.1, forward strand.
GGCCCGGATATAGAATTTCTGGGATATAGAATTCATTTACATGTAAGTAGTTTAGTGCCTGTTCTCAATATTGGAGGCCACATCCCTAGGAGTGGAATTGCTAGATCATATTCCATGGGCCATTCTGTTTTACTTTGGCAGGAAATGCCACACATTTCCACCATTGATTTACAAGGGTTACAGTCTCTCCACATCTTCAACACTGGTTATGTTTTTCCTTTTTTTAATTGTCACTATCCTAGTGGTATAAAGTGACATCTCATTGTGATTTTGATTTGCATTTCTCTAAAAATGAAATATTTTTAACATTGTTTCGTATGCTTATTTGCCATTCATATAGATACTTTGGAGAACTTTCTATTCACATTACTTACCAATTCTCTTTTTCTTCCATTGAATTGTAAAGGTTCCTTACTATGGTCTGAATATTTGTTTTCCCACCTTGATTCATATGTCAAAATTCTAATCCCCAAGATGATGGTATTAGAACATACAGCCTTTGATTGATGATTAGGTCATGAGGATAGAACACTCAGGGAATGGGATTACTTCCATTATAAAAGAGGTCCATGAGAGCCATTCATTCCTTCCACCATGTGAGGAGGGAGCTAGAAGGCACCATCTATGAACCAGAAAGTGAGTCCTCACCAGACGCCAAATCCGCTGATGCCTTCATACTGGACTTTTCAGTCTCCAGAACTGTGAGAAACACATTTCTATTGTTTATTAGCTATGCAGTTTATGGTATTTTGCTGTAGCAATCCACACAGACTAACACATTCATTATATATTCTGTATATTTGATCCTTATCAATGTATGATTTGCAATTTTCAATCCTTTTGCAGGTTTTTAAAAAATCACTTTCTGGCCATGGTGGGCAAAACAAATGCCAGTTTCTGCACTGCTCCATCAAGGAACTGCCTGGCAGGTTAAAACACACAGCCATCTTTTTCGTAAATATGTATCGCAAGGTCCATTTTTATTTATTTATTTTTTTGAGACAGTGTCTCTCTCTGTCGCCCAGGCTGGAGTGCAGTGGCGTGATCTCAGCTCACTGCAAGCTCCGTCTCCCGGGTTCACACCATTCTCCTGCCTCAGCCTCCCGAGTAGCTGGGACTACAGACGCCCGCCACCACGCCCTTCTAATTGTTTGTATTTTTTTGTAGAGACGGGGTTTCACCGTGTTAGCCAGGATGGTCTCGATTTCCTGACCTCCTGATCCGTCCGCCTCGGCCTCCCGGAGTGTTGGGATTACAGGCGTGAGCCACCGCGCCTGGCCACAAGGTCCATATTTTTTCCCCCGACACCACCAGTCCACACTAGGAACACTGTCTCCATGCCTTCTGTAGATCTGGTGAATGAGGGATGGTCTGTTGATAAGCAAAAAGTCCATGATGCTTTATAACCAAAATTTAGCCATCTCTTTCTTCATTAAATAATCCTGATTGCTGTAAGTTGTTTTATTTATTTTATTATTATTATTATTATTATTTTTAACTAGCTTCCAAAATTCTGAAAAAGTTGATTCAGTGTTGCCAGCCTCATTGTTGCTTCACTAAAGGGGCCAATTCTTGAGCTACTCCAGTTTCCATGAAGTCACTTCCCTCATTCAGCGTTTGTATGTGGGAAAAAAGTCTTCATTTCACCTTTTCTCTATGAAATGTGTTTTCGATATGTATGAAATTCTATGTCTACAGTTTTTTTCTCTCTTTGAGTATTTTAACGATTTTGCTGTCTTCTCCCTTGCACTTTTGCAGTGAGCTCTCTACTACCATTCTTGTCTTTGTTGCTATGTGTGGAATGTGTCTATTTCTCTCTGGCTACTCTTAACTTTTCTCTTTATCACTGAGTTTGAATATTTTGATTATGAGATGCTTTGTTTGTTCTTTTTTTTCATTTCTTGTTATTGGGTTCATTAGGGTTCTTGGACCTATGAGTTTACATTTTTCATCAAATTTTGACAAATTTTTACCATTACATCTTCAGTTATTTGAGGGAAATGGGTTCTTCATAAATTCTTCATAAATTGTTTTTCTCTTATGTGTTTGATTTGGAGTTCCTATTGCTATGATTTTTAATTCACTAATTTTTTCATGGAATGTTTAATCTGTCATTCCATTACACTTGATTCCATCTAGTGTAATTTCATCTCATTCATTGTAGTTTTCATGTCTGACAGTTTGGTTTTGATTTTTGAATAACTTTGATGTCTCTACTGAAAGTTTAAAACATACAGAATAGAGTTCTGATAGCGTTTCTAATATTACTTTTTGTGAATAATAATATGTGTGTCCATTCTGGGTTAATTTTGATGTATTGATTATCTTCTTCATTAGATGCTACATTTCCTACTTCTTTGTGTTCCTGGTATTGAGTGCCAGCCATTTTGAATTTTCTCTCTTCAGGACCAGTGTATTTTTTAACTTCATATTTTTGATTCACATGTTCTGAGATTTAGTTCATCTGCTTAGATGTTAATATCTTTTTTTAGGCTACACCAGAACAGTGCTCATTCTAAGGCTAATTGTTCCCCAAGATTCAGGAAAACCTTTTGATGTTACTATACCCAAAGCCTTACGAATTATGAAGTTTTCCAATATGGCTGTTGGAAAGAGACATTACTCTCAGTCTATGTTAGGCTCATACACTGTTAATTCTAATTCTTTTCTGACGGAGCTCCCTAGCCTTGAGCAGTTTCCTTTCATGTTGCTGTTTGAAGGATTGAAAATCTTGGGTGTTTTGTTTCTCAATTAATTCATCACTAACTCATCCTCAAGCTGAAACCCTAAATAAAAATCTATTTTTTTTTCTGTGTCTATCGCAATATTTCTTTCTTTCTTTCTTTCTCTTTTTTGGGGGATGGAGTCTTGCTCTGTCACCCAGGCTGGAGTTCAGTGGCACAATCTCGGCTCACTGTAGGCTCCGCCTCCTGGGTTCACGCCATTCTCCCTCCTCAGCTTCCCGAGTAGCTGGGACTACAGGTGCCCACCACCACGCCTGGATAATTTTTGTATTTTTAGTAGAGACGGGGTTTCACCTTGTTAGCCAGGATGGTCTCGATCTCCTGACCTCGTGATCTGTCCGCCTCGGCCTCCCAAAGTGTTGGGATTACAGGCTTGAGCCACTGCACCCGGCCGTCTATCGCAATATTTCTTAAGTCAAAATGACGAACACAGTTAACAAAGCAAAGATTTGTCATTACAGATTTTTAAAAATCCTTGAGAGCTTCTGAAAAGGACAACTGTCCTATTATCCTTACATTTGGTTTTGTTTTCCAGCTGGAATGCATCATTTAGGAACATTAGATCTCACAGTGCATTTTGGAACTCAAAGCCAAAGAATAGCATCATTCACCTTTCAGTGATTGCCCCCTCCTCACCAGTGTTTCTTACTCAGTGAAACTGGCTTTCTTACCAATTATCTCTACCATTAGTTTTGGTTCTGCTTAGCACAATTTATTGTATAGACAATATGTGAGAGTTAAGTCAGGGTATTCCATCTCTTTATGTATCTTGCCACTAGCCACCTATGGATTAATGTCACCCTGAAGCCAAATGAAGAATGGCAAACTCAGAGGTAACTTTATTTTGATGATAGTGAGCTTGGGTTCTGCCTTTTTCATATGAATAAAATATTTTATGAATAAATACCATATATACATAAATTCACAAAAACACACATATATCACTCTAGTTCTGAAATATTTCCTATCAACGAGAAGTAGTTGGACCCTTCTTTTTCTAAGTTGAGGCTTCCAAATACTGCTGAATTTTTCTCTTTATTCCTCTGAAATTCTGCTTCTACAAACAGCAATAATGACCAGATTAGAGGTTATGTAGGTGGAAAGTCCACAGGTCAAACCAACTCCCTGGGTAACAGAACAAGGGGTTCTTAAGTAATTTGTTTATGTTACTAAAGAATCTGCCTCCTTATACACTCTAAAGTAGCAAAAATGGAGCCGATTCTTCCCATTTTAACTTGTTCTATGCACCTCAAGCCTTGTCCACCTTTATTCCACATTTAATTTGCCAAACCTTGATGCTGTTCTGGTTGCTAGACCTTGCTGACTCCATAAATTCTATAGAAACATAATTTTTAATTATTTTACAAAGCACTGTTTACTAATTTTCTTTCATTTTAAAATTTTAAGTGATCTTCAAATGATGCAATGATAAACATCTCCATAAATAAATTATTGTCTAAAGTCCAATTGTTTTCTTTTTCTTTTTCTTTTTTTTTTCAGACAGAGTCTCACACTGTTGCCCAGGCTGGAGTGCAATGGCACGATCTCAGCTCACTGCACCCTCTGCCTCCCGGGTTCAGGTGATTCTCCTGCCTCAGCCTCCCAAGTAGCTGGGATTACAGGCACATGCCACCACACCCAACTAATTTTTTTATATTTTAGTAGAGACAGGGTTTCACTGTGTTTCCAAGTCCGGTCTCAAACTCCTGACCTCAGGCAATCCACCCACCTCGGCCTCCCAAAGTGCTAGGATTACAGGTGTGAGCCACTACGCCCAGCCCTGATTGTTGTCTTAATGCCAATTCCTGAATGTGAATGTGAATTTCTTAAAAAAAAACACAAAAAACAAAAACAAAAACAAAACGGCATTTTTAATGTACTTGCTAGGATTTGCCTAATTAATTCCCAGTGGTAAAGGTGCAAAAGATATGTTATCTCACCATCTTTGCAGTACATATGTTTTTAACATTTTTTGACAGTTGATATGTGGAAATGGCATGCCATTCTGCAGTTCTGAATTTGCATAACTATTAGGAAGCTCAAACTGTTTTTCTTATATTTATTATTTATATTTTTGGTATATATTGTTTATGTCTTTGCCCATTTATAAGAATGTTTATTATGTTCTTTATTTTAAAAACTATTGTTTCCTTATAAATTCAAAATATATTGTTAGAATATAAATAATTGAGAGAACACAGATGTAGAAAAACAGAAATTACTCCAGTAATTCCATTTCCATTTATATCACCACAATTTAGTTTATATATTTTTCCAACAATGTTGTGCCTGTGTATACTTTGGAAAAAATAATCGGATCATATATTTATATTTTTATACTACTTTTTTTTTTTTTTTTTTTGAGATGGAGTCTCGCTCTGTCACCCAGGCTGGAGTGCAGTGGCCCGGTCTCAGCTCATTGCAAGCTCCGCCTCCCAGGTTCACACCATTCTCCTGCCTCAGCCTCCCTAGTAGCTGGGACTACAGGTGCCCACCACCACACCTGGATAATTTTTTGTATTTTTAGTAGAGACGGGGTTTCACCGTGTTAGCCAGGATGGTCTAGATCTCCTGACCTCGTGATCTGCCCACCTCGGCCTCCCAAAGTGCTGGGATTACAGGCGTGAGCCACTGTGCCCGGCCTATACTACTTTCCAAATTGAATCTTTTCAAGTCAATATCTCAGACACTTTAAGCAATGCTCAATTATCTATCATGTTAACTAGGCAGAGATTCTTTAAAACATTTCTTATGGATAGACATTTAGGATTTTTTCCAATTTTTGCTAGTATTTATCCCCACAATATACATTCTTATTTCTGAACACTTATTGTACACAGTCCTAGACAAGGAATTGCTGTGTTACACAATATAATTATATATTTTTTTGTGACATATTGCCAGATTGCCTTCACATATGTTTCTACAAACCTGGAGATCCCTTCAATCTGGAGATCCCCACAGCTCACTGATGCCCACTTCTCCACACGTCAACACTGCATACAGTGAGGTTGGTCAACTCATAATGTATGTCTCTTGCCTCTTTCTAAATTACTTTTAAAAGGGATATTCCCTGAGCTTTCCATGTGTTTTACTTATTGATAGTGTATAGATAGTAACCACATATGATATGGGGTAACCTCTCTCCTTTTCTTTTCTTTTCTTTATTTCTTTTGAGAGGGAGTCTTGCTCTGTCGCCCAGGCTGGAGTGCAGTGGCGTGATCTCGGCTCACTACAACCTCTGCCTCCTGGGTTCAAGCAATCCTCCCGCCTCAGCCTCCAGAGTAGCTGGGATTACAGGCCAGCACCACCACGCCTGGCTAATTGTTTGTCTTTTCAGTAGAGATGGGGTTTCACTGTGTTGGCCAGGCTGGTCAGGAGCTCCTGGGCCTTAGTGATCCTCCCGCCTCGGCCTCCTAAAGTGCTGGGATTACAGGTGTGAGCCACTGTGCCCAGCCTCCTTTCTTAATTTTTATCTGCTAATGGTATTGCTATTTTTTGTTTAGAATGGTATTTATAAATCAAGTTAACTTCTTGTGACTGATTCTACTTTTTAACATATAGTTAGCCTTCTCTAGCTTATGCTTTCAGCTCAGTTATAAATTTAGGCCAGTAATGCACAGCTCGAACAATAGTCCATCCTTCAGAGTCATTGTCTTGGGCAGAGTCCTCGGTTAGTACCTCTGGAAACCCTGAGTGCATGTGAGAGGTGAAGCAGTGCTACTGGCTGGATTCGCCCGAGAGCCCACTCAACAGAGCAATGCAGCTTACTGGGTTTCAGTTAATTTTTATACAGATAGTTTATGTAAAATGTATACCTTTTTATGAAATTTGGAAAATATAGAAAATAAACAAAACATTTTTATAACCCCCATGGTGCGAATCCAATAACTTTGGATTTTGGAGAATTTTCCTATAGTCATCTTCGCCACGTCTGTTTGATGTGCTGCAGTGCCTGTTTTTCTGTTTTTTTTTTTTTTTTTTTTTTCATCAGCTGCTCATCACACATTCCACACTGCAATACAGCTCCTGCTTCCTGTGACCCTGTCTAAGTTGTCTTATAGCATATTCTCCTGGTCTGCTCTCCCCAACACCAGTCTCTACCCAGGGAGAGACTGTAGAGTTAGGTTCCCGGACTTGTGGTTTCTTCTGCTATTTGGAGAGGGGAGATAAATTTACCTTTGAATATTCTGTTAGACCCACCACCATCTCTCATTACTTGTCAACTCCACCCATTTATCCCCAACAAACAATTAAAAGGTGAACCTAACCTCCTCTCTCTTCTTTAATTTGAAAGGTTATTCATGAATTGTAATCCCTATATACCTGTTAACTATTAACCTTCCACAGGGGAACCAATACTGCAAACCATAATCTCATAGCAAAATCACTAGCATGGAGAAGACCAAAAATATTTAGAAATGAGTTTAACACCACTGCCCCCACCCCCCGCCAAAAAGAAAGAAGAAAAAGAAGAAAGAAGAGGGAAGATGGAAGGAAGGAAGGGAGGAAGGAAAGAGAAAGAAAGAAAGGAAGAAGAAGGAGAAGAAAGAAGAAGGGAAGAAGAAAGAATAAAAGAAGCAAAGAGAAGTTGATTTTCAGATTTAATTCAGGTCTGTGTATCCTATCATTCTTTCCCAGGCACTGGGAATGTAATTCAGGGTATAAGTTAGGGCCCATTCTCTGGTAGGAGTTCTAGAATGATCTCCCACAGTCTCCCTGTGTGACAGGGGGCAGGGTATCTAACCCCTTCCACTTCAGTCATCTCCTCTTTAAAATGAGGATACTAATGAAAAAATATCTCATATGCTGCATAAAAATATGACAAGAGGTAATTGCCCGGGTCTGATTAAGTAATTTGTAAACAGTACCTAATACTATTATTTCAAATTATTCCAATAGTCCGAAGGCCCGTGTAACATTTACTTTCTGTATTTTGGGATTTTTTTTTTGTGGTTGTTGTTTATTGATTTTGTTTTTGTTTTTTAGTTGTTTTGTTCCTGAGGAAAAGGAATCATTTTTCTTTTCTTTTCAGATATGGTCTTTCTATACAAAAATTATATATATAGTTATATATATGTAGTTTTGTACAGAAATTATATATAATAATATGTAATTTTTTGTACAGAAAGACTATATATATACACACACACACACAAAGTAACGTCAATTTTTCCTTTTTCTTTATCCCCGCATCCTCTGCCTTGGTTTAGAATTTCATCATCTCTCATTTACGCTATTTCAGAAGCCTGGTAACCCGTCTCCCTGGCAACAGTTTCCACTCTACTCATTGCCTAAGGACTGATTTCCTTCTCTCATTCCATTCCCTCCCACTCTTCTATCTTCCTGATCAAATGAATTTCAATGCCACACACATAATACATGTTATAATATTGTGTTCCTGGCTAGACCTTATTTGCATATGAATAAATGTTTTTTGAGTAGATGAAATGATAGCAATATGTAATTTATATTCTGATTTTCACCTGGCAGTAATTTCACAAGCACTTTTCAGACCACTAGATAGACCTAGTAATTATTTTTCTAGGTAATATGAGTATCTATAAGGGAGAAAAGACCATTATTCAATTAATTATTATACACTGTTATTAGAAATTCGGGTCACATCCAATTTGGGGGGTCATTTTAAATGATATTTCTTTGAACGTTTGCATATGCACTGGTATATTTCTAGTTTTTGTCATATTTCATTATAAGATACATGGGATTGTTTCAGTGGGGCAAAGGGTGAAATATTTTTTGAAAATATGTTTTATGGCATTTGATTATGATGCCGTCTGATTTCCAAATGTACTGGCTCAATCAATACTGAACCTTGTGTATTATGGCATCACTTTGCTACAAGACATAAGATTTGCACAATGTCATCTTAATTTTGCATTTAAGGAATAAAAAGTTTCTTAATCTGATGATTATGAATTGGAATCTTTGCTTTAGTTTAATGATTAGCAAAGTTAAAATTATTCACATTTTTCACTGAGTGTATAATTGTACGTGTGTGTGTATGTGTTTTTCAAAGAGAGAGATTTGGACTGTAACTATTTGTATCCCTTAATTATTTAGTATTAATTTATTGTTATAGTCAGTAGGAACACCTGAGGGGTGGAGAGAGTAATGTGTCTAATATTTCTTGTGTTGTTTCCCTTTGTTTTCATTGTTTTGTTTTTGTTGATGAAGGTAGGGCTTTTTTTAAACCCCTTATAGTCTTTAATGCCATTTAGTATCCCAATTCTTGTATTCTTTTCCTTGTAAATCTTCCCTAAAATCATTTGGCCCTATTATTATTATTATTTTTAAACATAGAGGAGAACAGGGGCAGTGTCATGATTTCTGGGTCTGATATTCTTCCTCTGTATTGAAGCTACTCCCTGCACACAGTGAGGCTCTCTATGGAGACCCAGTCCCTGTGTCTTCCCATGGTGAGTGAAATAATGGCACTGGACTGGTCTAGTCGCTCTAAGACTCTGAATAAATGAAATGTACAGAGTCAGGCACAGCTTCCAACAGGTGATTAGCACCACATCTAGGCTTTTTTCCCCCTCTTTCCTGCACTTTCTCTCTTTCTTGTATTCTGAGTGTGGCATGAAATTTATTTGATCAGGAAGATAGACGAATAGGAGGGGATGGGAAGGGAGGGAAGGAAATCAGTCCTTAGGCAATGCGTAGAGTGGAAACTGTTGCCAGGGAGACGGGTTACTAGGCTCCCTTAAGTTCCACATAAGTTTGCTGAGACAGGTCTATTGTAATTTGAGTTCTCTTTAAATGAATTAGTTCATCCTTAATAGTGTGAAGTCCTGGAGGACAGCGAGGGTGTTTTATTTAACTTTGTTTCCCTGTCAATTGTGGCTCAAAGAAGGACATTTAAAATTTATATTGAATTAAGGGACAGGGCATTATGCTCTGGGGTATGATGATTTCAGAAGGTAAATGTCAATGGGGAATAATATGTCCAAATGAAAGCGAGATGTATGCCCTGTAATGTGCTCTAAGGTCCTTTGAGATCCTAGTGAGAGAAAAAAGCAGTCTAGAGGTGAAGAGGACCCTAGAGAGATGCATGAGGTGGGAAAGAATAAGCTAGGAGGTATATGCCTAGTGAAAATAGGTTCCACAGCAGCATCACCCTGACTGCAGAGATATTAGCGCGGCTCCCTTTCTCCAATATCCAGATGTAGGCCTGAACCTGTGGATCTGGACAGGCTGCCAAAGGTGTGCTGCATATTTTTGCCAGGAACAATTTGAATGGGTCATTGTCAGTGGGTTAGCCTCATGTTTTGTTAAATTTATCCCTAAGTATGTCACATTTTGGGATGCTATTGTAAATAGTGTGGCTTATTTAATATTTTATTTTCCAAGTTTTTAATGCTAGTGTATAGAAATAGAAATGATTTTAACTCCAAATTTTGCAATAATTGTATATTTACAGGAAGTTATAAGGAGTAATGCTGAAGGATCCTGTGTACTTTCACTCAGTTTTTCCCAGTATCATAACCTTACAAAATTTCTAGTACAGTGTCACAAGAACACTGACGCTGATACTGCCAAGATGCAGAATAGCCCCATCACCACAAGGACCTCCACAGCACCCTTTATAGCCACCCCCACTCACTGCATGCCCAATGCATTTGTAACCACAAGCAACCACTAATCTGCTCTCCATTTCTATAATTTTGTCATTTCGAGGATTTTATATAAAGAGAATCATAGAATGTCTAACATTTGAATTTGGCTTTTTTCACTCAGAATAATCGTCTAGAGATTATCCATGCTGGCTGTTGTATGTATCAATACTTGATTCCTTTTAACTGCTGAATAGTTCAGGAAGTGCAGGTACCATGGTTGGTTTAATCAGGCACCAGTTGAAGGTATTTGGCTTGTTTTAAGTCTGGGACTTATTATGAATAAATATGCTATAAACATTCATGGATAAGTTTTGGTGCAAACCCGAAGTCTTCATCTCTCTAGGGATAACTTACCAAGAGTATAATGCCTAGATTATATGGTAGTTCTATGTTTAGGGGCTGCTGTATGTATTTTTTTCCTAACAGCATGGGACAATGATTCAGTTTCTCTGCATTTTGCATTGTCACTTTTTTCTTCGCAATTTTGAACAAATGTGTCATGGTATCCAATTGTGTTTTTTCGTTTGTATGTTTGTTTTGTTTTTGAGACAAAGACTCACTGTCACCCAGACCGGAGTGCAGTGGCGCGATCACGGCACACTGCGGACTCGACTTTCCAGGCTCAAGCGATCCTCTCAAGTGATTAGAGGCACAAGCCACCATGCCCAGGTCATCTGTTCACTTTTTGATAGTGCATTTCATTTTATTTTTTTACTTTTTGTAGAGACACAATCTCACGATGTTGCCCAGGCTGGTCGCTCCTGAGTAGCTGGGACTACAGGTGCACACCACCATGCCTGACTGATTTTTGTATTTTTTTATAGAAATAGCATCTCGAAACCCCGTCTCTACTAAAAATACAAAAAATTAGCTGGGTGTGGTGGTGGGCGCCTGTGGTCCCAGCTACTCGGGAGGCTGAGGCAGGAGAATGGTGTGAACCCGGGAGGCGGAGCTTGCAGTGAGCAGAGATCGCGCCACTGCACTCCAGCCTGGGCAACAGAGCGAGACTCCGTCTGAAAAAAAAAAGAAAAAAAAAGAAAAAAAAAGAAATAGCATCTCATCATGTTGCTCAGGCTGCTCTCCAACTCCTGGGCTCAGGCAATTGTCAGCCTTCCAAAGTGCTGGGATTATAGGTGTGAGCCACCATGCCCGGCCTCATTGTGGTTTTAACTTGCATTTTCTTCACAGGTAATGATGCTAACTATCTTTTTATGTGCTTATTTTCTATCTATATACCTTCTTTAGTGAAATGTCTCTTCATGTATTTTGGGCATTTTTTCTTATTTTTTGTTTTTACTTTTGAATTTTGAGAGTTCTTTATATATATATATTTTTGTCTTTTTTTTATTATTATACTTTAAGTTTTAGGGTACATGTGCACATTGTGCAGGTTAGTTACATATGTATACATGTGCCATGCTGGTGCGCTGCACCCACTAACTCATCATCTAGCATTAGGTATATCTCCCAATGCTATCCCTCCCGCCTCCCCCCACCCCACAACAGTCCCCAGAGTGTGATGTTCCCCTTCCTGTGTCCATGTGTTCTCATTGTTCAGTTCCCACCTATGAGTGAGAATATGCGGTGTTTGGTTTTTTGTTCTTGTGATAGTTTACTGAGAATGATGATTTCCAATTTCATCCATGTCCCTACAAAGGACATGAACTCATCATTTTTTATGGCTGCATAGTATTCCATGGTGTATATGTGCCACATTTTCTTAATCCAGTCTATCATTGTTGGACATTTGGGTTGGTTCCAAGTCTTTGCTATTGTGAATAATGCCACAATAAACATATGTGTGCATGTGTCTTTATAGCAGCATGATTTATAGTCCTTTGGGTATATACCCAGTAATGGGATGGCTGGGTCAAGTGGTATTTCCAGTTCTAGATCCCTGAGGAATTGCCACACTGACTTCCACAATGGTTGAACTAGTTTACAGTCCCACCAACAGTGTAAACGTGTTCCTATTTCTCCACATCCTCTCCAGCACCTGTTGTTTCCTGACTTTATATATATTCTTGATATGAATCTTTTGTCGGACATGTTGTTTACAAATATTTTTGCCCTGTCTGTTTTGTAGTCTGTTTATGCTCTTAACAGGGCCATTCACAGAGCAAAAATAATGATAATTATAATTTTAATAAAATTTCACATAATTTCTCCTTTTATAGATTTTGCTTTTGGTTTAAGAACTCTTTTTCTAGTTGGATATTCTGAAAATTTTCTCCTATGCTTTTTCTAAAATTTTACACTTACTTTTAATTCTGCAGTCCATTATGATGTCATTTTTGGATAAATTGTGAGTTAGATCAAGGTTCATTGTTCCATCTATGGATGTTCAATTGCTCTCATACTATTTGTTGAAAAGACTTCTATTTTTCCATTGAATTACTTTTGCTCTTTTGTCAAATATGGCCACAGTGATGAGGGGGTATGTTTTTAAGTTCTCTATTGTGTTTGATCAACCAATCATCTATCCTTCTGCCACTATCACATACTCTTTTTTATTGAGATACGACTCAAATACTATAACAATTATCCTTTTAGAGTGTACAATTCAGTGGTTTTTAATATATTTGCAAATTCGTACAACCATCACTACTGTCTAGTTCCAGAACATTTTCATTACCCCAGAATGAAAGCACACACACATGGCTGGGCGTGGTGGCTCAAGCCTGTAATGCCAACACTTTGGGAGGCCAAGATGGGTGGATCACCTGAGGTCGGGAGTTCGAGACCAGCCTGGGCAACATGGCAAAAGCCCGTCTCCACTAAAAATACAAAAATCAGCCGAGGGTGGTGGCGCCTGCCTGTAGTCCCAGCTACTCCAGAGGCTGAGGCAGGAGAATCATTTGAAACTGGGAGACGGAGATTGCTGTGAGCTGAGACGGCCCCACTGCACTCCAGCCTGGGCTACAGAGTAAGATTCTGTCTCAAAAGAAAAAAAAAAAAAAAGCACATACCCATTATCAGTCACTACTAATTCCCTCCTCCACCAAGAACCCTCCCACTTCGGCCTCCCAAAGTGCTGAGATTACAAGGGCGAGCCACCACTCTCAGCCTGATAGTGCATTTAAAATCACAAGTTCATGATGTTTAATTTATCCTTTTTTGTCACTTGTGCTTTTGATGTCATATCTGTGACCTATGACCACATGTGACCTTGCCTAATCCAAGAAAATGAAGATTTACAGCTACTTTTTCTTCTATTAGTTATTTATTTATTTATTATTTATTTTAGGTTGAGGATTGTTTTGTTTTGAGATTTATCTCTTAGTGGTTATATTTATTGTTTGGTCAAGATTCAGTTGATTGAGAGCTCCAATTTTATTCTTTTTCATCTGAATATACAGTTTTCTGGAACAACTTTTTGAAAACACTATTATTTAACCCATTGAATTGTTTTGGAACTTGTGTTACAAATAAATTGTCCTCAGATCGTAAGTTTATTTCTGTTCCCTCAGGTCTTTGTCTACACTCATGTGAATACTACGGTCTATTGATTACCATGTAGAAAATTTTAGTATTAGAAAATGTGAGTCCTTCAATTTTGTTGCTTTTCAGGATTTTTTGGCTATTATCAGCTCCTTCTATAAGAACTTTGAATTAGCCTGTCAATTTGTGAGAAAATAATTAGCCTGTCAATTTGTGAGAAAAAAAGGCCAGCATGGATTTTGGTAGGGATTGTGTTGAATCTAAAGATTTATTTGGGGGAGTGCTTTAATCTATTTTAGTCAATTTCTGTTGCTGTAACAGAGCACCACAGACTGGGTAATTTACAAAGAAAGAAATTCATTCAGCTCTTAGTTCTGGAGGCTGAGAAGTCAAAGAGCATGGCATTGGCACCTGTTGAGGGCCTTTATGCTGCATCATAGCATGATGGACGGGCAAGTGAGAACGTAAGACTGAGAAAACAGCATCAGGGACTGACTTGCTGTGTAACAATCCATTGTCATGATAACTAACCCACTCCTGCAATAAATACATTAATCCATTAATGATGATGAACACTCATGATTCATTTGTTTCTTACTATATTGCCCATCCCAACACTATTTCACTGGGGGTTAAGTTTTCAAAACATGAACTTTGGGAGGAGACCTTCAAACCGTAGCAGCATCTTAAAAATATGAATTTTTTCAATCAATGAACATGGATTATCTTTCCATTTAGTTAAATATTTGTCAATTTCTTTTTTCAGATTTTATTTTAGAATTGGGGGTAAATGTGCAGGTTTGCCACAAAGGAAAATATTTTGTGACGCTGAAGTTTGGTATGAATGAATCAATCATCCGGGTCGTAAGCACAGTACGCAATACGTAGGTTTTTTCAATACTTAACCCCTCCCTCCTCCATCTTGTATTCCCCAGTATCTATCATTCCCATGTTTATGACTATATGTACCCATTATTTAGCTCCTACTTATAATTGAAAACACGTGCTGGTTGGTTTTCTGTTTCTGGAAATGGTTACAATAATGGTTTCCAGTTGCATCCATGTTTCTGCAAATTTCATTCTTCTTTTATGGCTGTATAGTATTCCATGATGTATATATGCTACATTTTCTTTATCCAATCCACCACTGATAGGCACCTGGGTTGATTCCATTTCTGCTATTTTGAATAGCACTGTGATGGACATACAGGTGCAAGTGTATTTTTGGTAGGCTGACTCATTTTCCTCTGGATATGTACCCAGGAGTGGGATTGCTGAATCCAGTGGTAGTTAACAAGAATGCAATCCCATTTATAATAGCCACACACAAAAAAACCTAGGAATACAGGTAACCAAGGAAGTGAAAGATTTCTACAAGGAGAATTACAAAACAATGTTGAAAGAAATCAGAGATGACAAAAACAAATAGAAAAAATATTCTATGTTCATGTATTAGAAGAATCAATATCATTAAAATGGCTATACTGTCAAAAACAATTTACAAAATCAATGCTATTCTTCTGAATTTCTTTTAATGATGTTTTGTAGTTTTCAGCATGCAAGTGGTGTACTTCTTCTGTTAAATTTATTCGTAAGTATTTATTTTTGACATTGTAAATATAATTGTTTTCTTAATTTCCTCTCTGGATTGTTTATTATATATAACTGTTTTTTTTAATATTGATCTTTTGCAGTTTGCAAACTTGCTCTAGTAAATCATCTCTAATATTTTTGTAGGATCATTAGGAATTTCTGTATATGATACCGTGCAATCTACACTTAGAAATAGTTTTATGTCCTCCTTTTCAATATATATGAATTTCATTGAATTTCCTGCCAACTTTCCCTGGCTAGAACCTCCAGTGCAATATGAATATAAAGGGTGAGAGCATATCCCTTGTATATTTTCTGATTTTTAGGGAAAAATATTTAGTCTTGGTGGTGGTAGCTGTGACTTTTCATAGATGCCATTTATCAGCTTCAAGAAGCTCCATTTTTACCAAATTTCTTTACTGTTTTTATCATGAATTTGTGTTGCATTTTGTCAAATGATGGTTCTGTATCATGTGATCTTGTCCTTTATTCTATGAATATGGTGAATTACATTGATTTGTCTGTGTTGAGCCACTCTTGCATTATTGTGATAAATGTTGTTTGGTCGTGTCGTATAATCATTTTATGTGTTGCTGGATTTGGCTTCCTAGAATTTTGTTGAGGATTTCTACTTCTCCATTTGTAAAATATATTGGTCTACAATTTTAATTTCTTGTGATGTCTATCTAGTTTTAGTATTAGCATAACACTGGTCTCATAGGATGAGCTGCAAAGAGTTTCTACTTCTATATTTTTGTAAGACTTTATTGGTATTAATTTTTTAAACATTAGTAGAATTCTTGACTATATATTTGGTCCTGGTTTTCTGTTTGGGGGAAGTTTTATTATTATCACTAATTAACGTCTTTACTGTTTAGAAGTCTATTCAAATTTTCCAGGTTTCTAGTTAGTTCCAGCAGTTTGTGTGTCTCTAGCAATTTATCTTACCCAAGTTACCTAGGTTGATGTAGACTTTGTCATAGTATTCCCATATAGTCCTTATTTTTTAAGGTATTTCTTATAATTTCTTATTTTAATAATTCGAGTCATCTCTTTTCTTAGTCTAGCTAAATATTGTCAAGTTTGATTTTTTCAGAAACCAATTTTGGTTTGTTTGATAAGCTCTATTGTTTTTCTGTTCTATAGTTTATTTCCATGTTAATCTTTATTATTTACTTCCTTCTGCACATTTTGCCTTTAGTTTGTTTTTCTTTAGTTCTAGTATCTTTTTTTTTTTTTTTTTGAGACAGAGTTTTACTCTTGTTGTCTAGGCTGGAGTGCAATGGTGCAATCTTGGCTCACGGCAACCTCTGCCTCTCAGGTTCAAGCGACTTTCCTGCCTCAGCCTCCTGAGTAGCCGAGATTACAGGCTCACGCCACCACACCCGGCTAATTTTTGTATTGTTTTGTAGAGACGGAGTTTCACCATGTTGGCCAGGCCAGTCTGGAACTCCTGACCTCAGGTGATCCACCTGCCTCAGCCTCCCAAACTGCTGGGATTACAGGTGTGAGCCACCCCACCAGGCCGATTCTAGTATCTTAAGGTGGAAGATGAAATTATTCATTTGAGAATTTCTTTTTTCACATAGGTATTTATAGGTACGTATTTTCCACTAAACACTATTTTGTGGCATGTCCTACATTTTGGTATTGTGCGTTTTCATTTTCATTTCAAAGCATTTTCTAATTTTCTTTTTTTCTTTTACATCACTTATTTAGGAGTTTGTTGTTTAGTGTTCATGTATTTGTAACTTTCACATATTTTCTTGTTTCTTTGATTTCTAAATTCATTCCACTTTTGTTGGCGAACATACTTTGTATGATTTTAATAAGGCTTTATATTTATTGAGCATCATTTTGTGGCCTCACATATGGTCTGTGCCTGAATAATGTTCCACGTGCACTTGAGAAGAATAGATATTCTGTTATTGTTCAGTGGAGTGTTCAATATGTGTGCTACATCTATTTGGTTCATTGTGTTGTTCAAGTGCTCTATTCGCTTATTGATTTTCTGTCTAATTGTTCTGTCCATTACTGAAAGTGGGGTATTGAGGTCTCTGACCATTATCTCTGAGTTACATATTTCTCTTTTCAATTGAGTCAGTTTGCGCTTCATGTATTTTGGAACTCCATTGTTAGATAAATGTATCTTTATAATTGTTATATCTTTGTGACAGATTGAACATTTATTATTATAAAGTACCCTTATTTTTCTCTCATTATAATTTGTATTTGAAAGGTTAATTTTATAATATTTATTTAGCATTCTATTGTTGGGTACTATTTGCTCGATGTATCTTTTTTGATCCTTTTCTTTTCAACCCAAATCCTTTGTGTTTTTGAATCTAAAGCATGTCTCTTGTAGAAAGCATGTAATTATTTTTATTCATTTATCCAATATCTGCCCTTTATTTGAGTTTTTAATTGATTCACATTTCATGAATTACTGATAATGTAGAATTTGTCACTGCCCATTTGCTATTTATTTATATATGTCTCGTGTCTTTTTCCTCTATTCCTCCTGTAAACTTGTAAAACCTCTTTTGCATTAAATATGTACTTCTAATATACCATTTTAATTCCCTTGCCTTTTCTATTTTAAATTTTGTATGTATACATAATAGTTGTACATATTTATGGTCTACAAATGAAATTTTGATACAAGTATATAATGTGTCTTATTCAAATTAGGGTAATTAGGGTATCTATCACCTCGAGTAGTCATTTTTTTATTTTTAAAATTTTTGAGGGTACATACTAAGTGTATATATTTGTGGGGTACATGAGATATTTTGATACAGGCATGCAGTGTGAAATGCAAATCAAAACTACAATGAGATATAATCTCACTCCAGTTAAAATGACTTATATCCAAAAGACAGGCAATCACAAATGATGGCAAAAATGTGGAGAAGAGAGAACGCTTGTACACTGGTTGTGGGAATGTAAATTAGTGCAACCACTATGGAGAACAGTTTGGAGGTTCCTCAAAAAACTAAAAATAGAACTGCCGTATGATCCAGCAATCCCACTGCTGGGTTTATACCAAAAAGAAAAGAAATCAGTATATGGAAGAGATATCTGCACTCCCATGTTTGCTGCGGCACTGTTTACAATGGGTAAGATTTGGAAGCAACCTAAGTGTCTATCAACAGATGAATGGATAAAGAAAATGTACCATTTATTTGCATTAGGAACATTCCAATCTTTTAGTTATTTTGAAATATGTAATAAATTGTTGTTAACTATAATCATCCTATAGTAATGCCGAACACTAGATGTTATTCCTCTGATCTAATTATATTTTTGTATCCATTCAGTAACCCTTTTTATCCCCTCTCCCTATTCCTTCCCAGCTTCTGGTAACCATCATTCTACTCTTCAGCTCCATGTGATAAAAAAAAATTTTTTTTCTTTAAAAATGTTACATTAATTTATCTGTAGTACTGACAGTGTCTATTTTAAGTAATCTAAAGTATTATGTGTAGCTCCTCAGGTGACCTTCCAATACTTCTTTTTTTTTTTTTTTTTTTTTTTTTTTGTGAGACGTAGTCTTGCTCTGTCGCCCAGGCTGGAGTGCGGTGACACGATCTGGGCTCACTGCAAGCTCTGCCTCCCAGGTTCACGCCATTCTCCTGCCTCAGCCTCCCGAGTAGCTGGGATTACAGGCACCCGCCACCACGCCTGGCTAATTTTTTTGTGTGTTTTTGGTAAAGATGGGGTTTCATCGTGTTAGCCAGCATGGTCTCCATCTCTGGACCTCGTGATCCACCCACTTCAGCCTCCCAAAGTGCTGGGACTACAGGCGTGAACCACCATGCCCGGCCCCAATACTTCTTAATCCTATATTATTATTATTATACTTTAAGTTCTGGGGTACATGTGCAGAACGTGCAGTTTCAGAGCCACTGTGAGATGCCATCTCATGCCAGTTGGAATGGTGATCATTAAAGGGTCAGGAGACAGGAGGTGCTGGAGAGGGTGTGGAGACATGGGAGTGCTTCTACACTGTCGGTGAGAGTGTAAATTGGTTCAACAGTTGTGGAGGACAGTGTGGCAATTCCTCAAGGATCTAGAACTAGAAATACCATTTGACCCAAAAATCCCATTACTGGGTATATACCCAAAGGATTATAAATCTACTATAAAGACACATGCACACGTATGTTTATTGCGGCACTGTTCACAATAGCAAAGATGTGTTCAAATTTTTTTTTTATCTCCAACGTATGAGTGAGAATATGCAACATTTGTCTTTCTGTTCCTGGCTTATTTCATTTAACATAATGTCCTCCAGTTCCATCCATGTTGGTGCAAATGAGATTTTATTCTTCTTTTATGGATGAACAATATTTCATTGTATATATGCACCACATTTTAAAATCCATCCATTGATGAATACTTTGATTGATTCTATATCTTAGCTATTGTCAACAGTGCAGCAATAAACATAGGAGTGCAGGTATATCATTGATATACTGCTTTGATTTCTTTTGGATATATACCAAGTAGTTGGATTGCTGGATCATATGCTAGTTCCATTTTTAGTCTTCTGAAGAACAACATTTGTACTGTTTTCTATAGTGGTTGTACTAATTTACATTCCCACCAACTTTTTTTTTTTTTTTTTGAGACGGAGTCTCGCTCTGTCGCCCAGGCTGGAGTGCAGTGGCGCGATCTCCGCTCACTGCAAGCTCCGCCTCCCGGATTCACGCCATTCTCCTGCCTCAGCCTCCCAAGTAGCTGGGACTAC
Organism: Homo sapiens; assembly: GCF_000001405.40. Classification (NCBI taxonomy): domain Eukaryota; kingdom Metazoa; phylum Chordata; class Mammalia; order Primates; family Hominidae; genus Homo; species Homo sapiens. Next base: position 4,695,048 of record NW_021160017.1, read on the forward strand.
AGGCGCCCGCCACTACGCCCGGCTAGTTTTTTGTATTTTTAGTAGAGACGGGGTTTCACCGTTTTAGCCGGGATGGTCTCGATCTCCTGACCTCGTGATCCGCCCGCCTCGGCCTCCCAAAGTGCTGGGATTACAGGCGTGAGCCACCGCGCCCGGCCCATTCCCACCAACTTTATAGGAAGATTCTCTTTTCCCCACATCCTTGCCAGTATTCATTATCGCCTGTCTATTTGAACACAAAGCCATTTTACCTGGGGTAAGATGATATTTCATTGTGATTTTGCTTTGCATTTCTTTCATGATTAGTGATGATGAACATTTTTAAATAACTGTTGGCCATTTGTATGTCTTCTTTTGAGAAGTGTCTTTTCAGATCTTTTGTCTAGTTTTTAATCAGAGAATTTTTTTGTTTGCTATTGAGTTGTTTGAGACCCTTATATTCTAGTTATTAATCCCTTGTCAGATGGCTTGCTTGGAAATATTTTATTCCATTCCTCACTTTTTGATTGTTTCCTTTGCTGTGCAGAAGCTTTTTGGCTTTATATGATCTTATTTGTCTATTTTTTGCTTTGGTTGCCTGGACTTTTGGGGTATTCCTCAAGAACATTTTGCCCAGACTAATGTCTTGGAGTGTTTCCCTAATTTTGTTTTCTTTGGAGACAGAGTTTCGCTCTGTAACCCAGGCTGGAGTGCAGTGGTGTAATCTCAGCTCACTGTAACCTCTGCTTCCCAGGTTCAAGTGATTCTCCTGCCTCAGCCTTCCAAGTATCTAGGATTACAGGGGCGTGCCACCACGCCCTGCTAATTTTTGTATTTTTAGTAGAGACAAGGTTTTGCCATGTTGGCCAGGCTGGTCTTGAATTCCTGACCTCAGGTGATCCACCCACCTTGGCCTCCCAAAGTGCCTAATGTTTTCTTCTAGTAGTTTCATTGTTTCAGGACATACAGTTAAGTCTTTAATCTATTTTATCTTTTCTTTGACAATATATATTTAAACTATTATTATTATTATTTGAGATGAAGTCTTGCTCCATTGCCAGGCTGGAGTGCAGTGGCGCCATCTCGGCTGACTTCAACCTCCACCTCCTGGGTTCAAGCGATTCTCCTGCCTCAGCCTCCTGAGTAACTGGGATTACAGGCACACACCACCGCACCCAGCTAAATTCTGTATTTTTAGTAGAGACGGGGTTTCACCATGTTGGCTAGGATGGTCTTGATTTCTTGACCTCGTGATTCAATTGTTTTCTTAATGGTACCCTTGAGAATTATAATTAACAGCTTAATTTATCAAAATCTATTGTAGATTAAAACCAACTTAATTTCAATTGTATGCAAGAACTTTGCTACTTTATGGATCTGTTCCCTCCCCCTAATTAATGCTGTTATTATCATACAAATTACATATTTATACATTGCAATATCATCAACACAGATTTATAATCATTTTAGTAGAGACATTACATTGTATCTACAGATCTATTTCCGAGAAGTGACATTTTAGTAAAACTTAGTCTTCACATCCATTAACTTATGTAGGTAATTCTTAGTTTATCTCAGCAATATGTTGCAGTTTTCAGCACAGAACTCTTGCACATACCTTGTTAAATTTGCTACTAAGGATTTTAAATATATACATATATATTTAATGCCATTCTAAATTATATTTAAATTATACTTTCCAATTTTTCAATGGTAACGTATAGATATAAACTTTATTTTTAAACATTTTTGGATTATGTGGCTTGTTAAACTCACTTATTAATTTTATTAGTTTTTGTACATTCCTTAGAGGAAGATTCTCTACAGAGATAAACATTTTATGTAAACATAAAGGCAGTTTTACCCCTTATATTCTAATCGTTATGACTTTTTTTTTTTGCTTGATTGCAGTGACTAGGACCTTGACTACAATGTAGACTAACTGTAGGTGAGAAAGGACACCCTTGTTGTATTTCTCATCTTAAGGGGAAAACATTAAGTCTTTATTAGGTATGATGCTATCAGCAGGTTTTTCATAGGTGGTTTTTATCAGGTTAAAGAAGTCCTCTTTTACTCCTAACTTGTTAACAGGTTTGATCAAAAATGACTTTGGATATGTCAAATAAATTTTCCGCATTTACTGATATGATTCTATTTTTTCATTCATTATATATTATTGTTATGTGGTAAATTACATTTATTTATTTTTAGGTGTGAAAATCACCTTACGTTTTGGAGGTAAATCCTACTTAGTCCTGGTATGTTAGAAATTTGAAATATTTATGAATTAAATTAAGTAATATTTTATTAAATATTTTGCTTGCATGTTCATGAGAAAAGCTGCTGTGCAATTTTCTTTACTTTTACATTTCTGTAAGGTCTGATTTTTATATTGAGGTAATGATGCATTCATAAAACTATTAGGGTGTGTGCAGGAAAAGGTTAACCCATTATGCCTGGGCTGCTCAACTCTGAATATTTCCAAGAAAGGCTAGGCTTTCTGAACTGCCCCACAGCCTGATCATGGGAGATGAGCTCTCTAAGTCTTTGCAGCGCTCTGCCTAATAAGAGTGTTTTTCTTTTTCTCTTTTTTCTTTTTTTTTTGAGATGGAGTCTCACTCTGTCGCCCAGGCTGGAGTGCAGTGGCACTATCTCAGCTCACTGCAAGCTCCACCTCCCGGGTTCACACCATTCTCCTGCCTCAGCCTTCCAAGTAGCCGGGACTACAGGTGCCCGCCACCACTCCTGGCTAATTTTTTGTGTTTTGTAGTAGAGACGGGGTTTCACCGTGTTAGCCAGTATGGTCTCGATCTCCTGACCTTGTAATCCACCCGCCTCAGCCTCCCAACATGCTGGGATTACAGGCGTGAGCCACCGCGCCCAGCTGATAAGAGTGTTTTTCTAAGGCCTGAGTCCTCAGACCACACGATACTAATTTGATTAGATTGGTTAGGCTAACAACATGTTTTATGGTGAATGTCTTATTGTGCTCTGGGCAGCTGTAGTTTGAGTAGCCATGATTAGTCATGCAGGTCCCGCATGTCAATGGAAGTGACCCTCAATAAAAATCCTTGACTTGATACTTACATGAGTGTTTCTCCGTGACAACATGTCACATGTGTTATCACATGTTGTTGCTGGGAGAATAAAGTACAACCATGAGACTCCACTGGGTGAGGACAACTGGTAGCTTCCATCTGGTTTATCCTGGACTTTGTTCCATGTGTGTTTTCTTTGGCTGATTTTAATGTTTCCTTTCACTGTAATAAACCATAACTGTGAGTGTAACAGCTTTTCTGAGTTCTGTGAGTTCTTCTAGTGAATCATGGAGCCCGAGGATGGTCTTGGTAACCCAGTTCACGAGATGGTTCCATATGGGGGAGTCTCAAGGCTGACTCTGACCCACTGAAATATGATGGATGTATTCTTCTTCTTCTTCTTTTTTTTTTTTTTTGGTTAAAGGAAAAATAACAGGCCAGGAAATTAAACACTTCTGATGCATGGATGGCTATCACGTCACCCACTGTAAGATACAGAAGCTGCATTGTGATTGGTAATTGGAGGTAAACTTTTACCAAGATGATTTAGAAATGATACAACCAACTATTTAAGAGTTGGCTCACTGGATCCCTAGAGAAATGTAGAGTAATGAAAATACATGCTACATATACTATTATGTGGCCATTTTTATCTAAGATAGCTAAAATAAAAGAGGAGTGTTTCAGCAGATCCTGGACCTGCACCAAGCTTGGATTGTGGCCAGTCCTAGCTATTGCCACTAGCTTTATTGTTGCTTCCAAGGAAAAACTATTCCGGAACAGCAAATATCACCTCTATGACCTCTGATTAGCAAGATGGTAGTCCAGATTGGGGATAGGGAGCAAACCTAAGAAGGAACTGAAAGGAAAGACTACAGTACAAAGAATTTGTCTCATTTTGTACCTCAATATAACTAACTTTTTGAAGAACCTTTATTAAAATGAATTGTGACATGACTAACTCAGGAGCAGTTGCCTTGATTTTTAATGCTATAGTATGGAGGAGCATATTTGGTCAATCCTGGAGAATTGTCCATGCTCTAGTTATAAGAATGTATATTCTGCCTTTTTTTTTTGGATAAAATGTTCTGTTTATGTCTGCAAGGTATATTTGGACTAAAGTCCAGTTTACATCTGATGTTTCATTCTTGATTTTCTGCCTAATGCTGAGAATGAGTTAAAAGTGCCCCAATATTATTTTACTGGAGTCTATATGTCTTTTTAGGTGTAGTTCTAGTAATATTTGCTTTATGAATCTGAGTATTCCAGTGTTGTGTTCAATATATTTAGAATTGTCATATCCTCTTAATGCATTGATTCTTTAATTATATAATGACTTTTTGTGTGGGTATGTTTGTGTGTGTGTTTACTGTTTTTGACTTAAAGCCTGTTATCTAAGTATAGCTATTCCTGCTGGCTTTTGGTTTCCATTTGTGTGGGACATCTTATTACATGCCTTTACTTTCAGTTTATTTATGTCTTTAGAGGTATACTGCATTTCTTATAGGCAGCATATATTGGAACTTTTTAAAAAATCCATTCAGCCAGACTATATTTTTAAGTGGAGAATTTAATCTATTTAAATTTAAGGATATTATTGACATGAGGTTTTGTTCCTGTTAAAATGCTACTTTTTTCCCATTTGTTTTCTGTATTTTTTGTTTCTTTCCTTTTCTATTATTTATTGTCCTTTTTGTTTGCTGAGAGTCTGTGGTAGTTTGCATAATTTCTTTTCCTCATTTGTGCATTTCCTTTACCAGTAAGTTTTATATTTTCATGTGTTTTCATGATGCTAACTGCTGTCCTTTTACTTCCAAGCTTAGGACTCCCTTGCACATTTCTTTTTTTTAATTTTTTTTGAGACAGAGTCTTGCTTTGTTGCCCAGGCAACAAAGAATTAAGGAATTCTTCAGTCCCAGAATTTGTTTGCTTCTTTTTCATGATATCTATCTCTATGATAAATTTATTGTGCATATCCTGATTTTTTTTGCAATTTCTTTGTATTGTTTTTATGGAATTCTCTTGTATCTCATTGAACTTCTTTATTATCATAATTTTTTATTTTTTTGTTTAGGATTTTGTGAATTTCTTTTTGATTGGAATCTGTTGCTGGAGAATTGCTCTGTTCCTTTGAGGGTTAAATGGAAATTTTCTTGCGTTTTTATGTTTCATATGTTTTTACATTGATATCTGTGCAACTGGTGTAATCGTCACTTCTTTCAATTTTTTGAATATGCCTTCAAAGGCAAGAACTTCTTCCTGAAGATGTACCAATGGTGTTGGTTGGGTAGGCTCTCTAGATTTGATTCCAGGTATACACTGTAGTATAGTCTCCATATAATTTATTAGGCTGTAAGCAGCGTCGGTGGTATATGTGATTTCCCTGCTGATTTAGGTGTGATTACCAGTGTAAGTTATCACTGTGCTGTCCCCAGTAATCTAACTCATAGGGAGCACTACTCCTGGAGGAAAGGATGGCACAGTGCATCAAAAAGGTGGCTCCTGAGACAATGGAAATCATAACACATACTTTCCAGAGCATGAGCACTTCCTGTCTGGGTCTGTGAAAAGTGACTCCACCTCCAGTCATAGTACAAAGCCTCTTCTTGGCCTCATGGGTGGAGAGTTGGAACAAGGATGCCAGGTGGGCCAGTCTTCATGCATTGGGCCGAAATGCTTGTTCTTGGGCACCAGGACTGGGTATACTTGCACTGGTATTAATAGGACCAGGTTGGCCAATTCTTCAGCCTCCTGGTGTCTTGCTTGGGTGCTGGTAGTGGCGGCAATTGGCTTGGCAGATAAGCAGGTTCTCGAGTCTCTGGGAAGTCGGTGTGTTGTGAGCAATGTCAATAGCACTAGTTGGAAAATGCTTTGGGTCTTGAGTGGCCTTGGTGTTGGCAGTGGCTGTGATTTGGGGCCACCGCCCACAACCCCAGAGGTTCAGCTCTCAAGTTAATCTGCTTTTGGTGGCAACAGCACCACAGCACCACACACAGCAGAGAGGGGCTCTGTTCTTCACACGTTATCCTGAGCATGGACACCATGCTGCCAGTGGGGATGCAGTCACCACTCACAGCCCTAGACAGGCAACCCTCTGGCTTGCTTGTCCCAGCCTCCAGCAGCACAGAAGTAGCTTCAGGTGCAGCAGTGTGCAGAGCAGGAGGAGGGACCCTGCTCTCCATGTATGAGCCTGAGCAAAGAGTCCTCTGCTGGTGGGAGGGGATCTCACTCTCAGCCAGTGAGGCCAAGAACAGACTTTGTGCTATGACTGGGGGTGGAGTCGCTTTTCACAGACCCAGACAGGGAGTGCTCATGCTCTGGAAAGTGTGTACTGTGATTTTCTTTGTCTCAGGGGCCATCTTTTTGATGCACTGTGCCATCCTTTCCCCCATGAGTAGTGCTCCCTGTGAGCTAGATTACTGGGGTTAGCGCAGCAATTACAGAACCTTTGGGTCCAGTTAGTGCTGTGCCCACTAAGGTCCTCTCTGTGGACACTGAAGTATGTCAGTGGGAGATCCAGGATGTGGATATATGGGAGCCGTGGTTCCCAGGAAAGAATACAGTCCCATAATTGCTTTGCTCTCACTATGGCACCCTGCTGAAGCCACTTAGATCTCTGGGTATGAGTGAGTCAACACAAGTTCCTTTTCTGGTGTAATGCGCTTGCAAGGTCTCCAGTCCACTGCCCATGCTAGTGTTAGTGCTCATGTGGGTAGAGCAGCTCTCTTGTGGTTTGGATTGGAGCCATATACCCATGTGTGGATAAAATGGCCAAGGGGTGGAGAAGAGCTCATTTGGGGGCTCCTTGACACAAAAGCCTACTGCACTGTGATTTCAAAACCAATGGTTGAACTATCACAAGAAGTTAAAGTTAGGGAAAATATGGGGATGCAGCAGTTGATACTGTTAAGTTAAAAGTTTGAATAAAAATTGAAGTATGAACAGATTGTATGTGAAAAACTGATTGTATCTCCTTTACCTGAATGTAATATTGATGTGAATAACATATCTGACTGAAAGGATAGTTACCCTATCTAGAATTGTAATACAGAAGGCATGTAAGTTCTCCCCTCAGTCAGTATTAATCAGATTTTCTAAATGAGAACTAATAAAACTGTCTAAACTCACATGGGTAGTTAATTTGAAAGAGTAAAAAATGTGGAAGAGTAAAAAACTAGTTGAAAAAAATGAGATTACCACTTTTTTTTTTTTTTTCTTTTGAGACAGAGTCTCACTCTGTCACCCAGGCTGGAGTGCAGTGGCGCGATCTCGGCTCACTGTAAGCTCCGCCTCCTGGGTTCACGCCATTCTCCTGTCTCAGCCTTCCGAGTAGCTGGGACTACAGGCGCCTGCCACCACACCTGTCTATTTTTTTTTTTTTTTTTTTGTATTTTTAGCAGAGACGGGGTTTCGTCGTGTTAGCCAGGATGGTCTCAATCTCCTGACCTCATGATCCACCCACCCCGGCCTCGGCCTCCCAAAGTGCTGGGATTACAGGTGTGAGCCACCGCACCCAGCAGAGATTACCATTTTAATTAATGTCATTTTAGCAGCTGAAGAACTGGTACCAAAAAATTCTCTATACAGTATCCCTATGTGGATACTGAATGGTTTCCCAGAAACTGGAAGGCTCATGGAAACTAACAATAGATTATCAAGGCTTGAATAAGGCAATACTACCTACAATATTAGCAGTCACTGATATGGTTTCAATGGCAACACACACATGCATGTGCACACACATACACACACCCACACATACACATCCAAAGAGACTGGTACTCGATTTTTATTTTTATTTTATTATTTATTTTTTTGAGATAGAGTCTTGCTGTGTCTCCCAGGCTCTAGTGCAGTGGTGCAACCTTGGCTCACTGCAACCTCTGCCTCCTGAGTTCAAGTGATTCTCCTGCCTCAGCTTCCCAAGTAGCAGGGATTTCAGGTACCTGTTACCACACGCAGCTAATTTTTGTATTTTAGTAGAGACAGGGCTTCACCATGTTGGCCAGGCTGGTCTCAAACTCCTGGCTTCAAGTGATCCACCCACCTCGGCCTCCCAAAGTGTTTGGATTACAAGCATGAACCACCATGCCTGGCCCTCAGTGATTGATTTTTAAGATTTGTTTTTACTTCCAATCTCAGAAAGAGTCAATCACAGTTTTCCTTCATGTGAAAATGAGGATCCAATTTGCATGTATTGTTTTGCCACAGGGTTATGGAAATTTACAAGATTGCTCATTTAATTTGGCTAAAAGATACCTGGGACTTGATACAGATCCTAAGCATGATGATAAAACACACTGATGATATCGTGATAATATTTGAAACCAAAGAAGATAGGACTGACTAAATACAGTGGTGGCATGCATGACTAACATAGGATGGTTGATAAATCCAGCAAAAATCAAAGGGCCTGCCTGAGTCATGAAATTCTTAAGAATAACCTTAGCAGGGGCCACCTGTGGCATACCACAGGCAACAAAAAATAATATATTGTCTGTGTTTTTGTGTGTGTATGTGTGTTGCTACAAAGGAATACTCAAGGCTGAGTAATTTGTAAAGAAAAGAGGTTTATTTGGCTCACAGTTCTGCAAGACATACAGGAAGCATGGTGCCAGCATTTGCTTCTGGGTATGGGCTTGAGGCTGCTTCCATTCATGGTGGAAGACAAATTGGAACCAGCGTGTGCAGAGATTACATGGCAACAGAGAAGCCAAGGGGTGGTCAGGGGAGATGTCCAGCTCTTTTTAACAACTAGCTTTCCTGGGAACTAATAAAGCGAGAACTCACTCACCCCTAGGGAGGGCATTGCGGTATTCATGAGGGATCCACTCCATAGCCTGAACACCTGCCATTAGGCCCCACCTCCAACACTGGGAAACAAATATCAATGTGAGGTTTGGAGGGGTGAAACATCCAAACGATACCCTTGTCACTGTCTACCTGCTGTAATTAAGGAATAAGCACAACATCTGGTTGGGTTGTTTGGATATTGGATGATGCATGTTGCAATCCAAGAATATTGCTAGCTCTTATACATAAAATTACCCCAGAAAGGAAAAATTTGAAATTGGGAACCAAACAATAGTAGGTATGTATGAACTGCAAAAATGGTGGTTCACACAATCCCTTTGGAACCTTATGATCTGCATTCAGATATAATTTTGGAAGTATCTACAACTTGCATTCATGCAGACTAGAGTTTATGGCCAAAGCCTGTTGGTGTCACTCACCAGTGATTGTTAGGATTTGGGGCCATAAAATTTCCACACATAATGATACATTAACACCATTTGAGAGACAATTATTGGCTTGCTATTAGACATCAATTGGAGCCACCCTCTATGAATAAGGGGCATAAAATAATCTTGAAACTTGAAATACCATAATGTCTTGGATAACATCAGGGAAATGGTCTAACACGGAACAGAGTGCCCAGAAGAGCTCCATAATAAAATGAAACTGATTGAAACAGGTTTATGCATTCAGAAGAATACAAGAAGGCACTACTCATCAGATTCATGGACATGTAGCCTGTTTTCCTCTAGGGCCAAATTTGGAACAACTAAGGAGCTGCCAGATTTTATTGCCACATGAGTGGTGCCCTATTGAGAGGTGAAGCCGGATGGGCTTCTGGGTGGAGTGGAAACTTGGAGAACTTTTCTGTCTAGCTAAAGGATTGTAAATGCACCAGTGAGCACTCTGTGTCTAGCTAAAGGTTTGTAAATGCACCAATCAGCACTCTGTAAAAATGGACCAATCAGCACTCTGTAAAATGGACCAATCAGCCCTCTGTAAAATGGACCAATCAGCAGGATGTGGGTGGGGCCAAATAAGGGAATAAAAGCTGGCCACCTGAGCCAGCCCTGACAAGCCGCTGGGGTTACCGTCAACGGATGGAAGCTTTGTTCCTTCGCTCTTCGTGATAAATCTTGGTGTAGCTCACCCTTTGGGTCCACACTACTTTTAAGAGCTGTAACACTCACTGTGAAGGTGTGTGGCTTCTCTCCTGAAGTCAATGAGACCACGAAACCACCAGAAGGAAGAAACATTGGACACACCTGAACATCTGAAGGAACAAACTCCGGACATGCCGTGTTTAAGAACTGTACCACTCAGCGCGAGGGTCTGTGGCCTCATTCTTGAAGTCAGCGAGAGAAAGAACCCACTGGAAGGAACCAATTCTGGACACACAGTAAACAGCACTTGATTGGCCAACAGAAACCTATTTCGTTTACAAATGGTCGTTCCAAGGTGAATGGACAATATCCTGTTTGGAAGGCTGCCACACTATGACCAACTGTTGAAAAAACCCTGATTGACGATAAGAACAAAGCAGGTGAGTAGTCATAATTTCATGTTTTTTTTTTTTTTTTGTAGAGATGAAATAGTTGAACAATAGCAAGAACCTTAATATTTAGGTCTTTACCCACTTATCAGTGGCATTGGCCTTACCATATGTTCAGGAAGATGGGCAATGCAGAACTGAATTATTAAAGGGATTCTTGTATGGGGCGTGATTCCATAGAAATCACTCTGTGAATTTAAGGGACACGTTAAAGTGACACATATTCATGCCCATGAGAAGAATTCCCCTTCATGATCGAAAGGTAATTGGAACCAACTAGTGGACTTCCTGGCAGGCTCACTTGAGTTAGCCGCTTTGGTGGGTGAAATGAGTGGACAAGGGGAGCTACAAGATGGGATGGATAGTCTGATCATTGATACACATCTCTTGCACTCTTCGAGGCACAAAATGACAACGAAAACTTTTCTGTCTAGCGACAAGATAGACCCAAGACTGTAGATGGCTATGGGGTAGATTCCCTGGTGGTCGGGGGTAAGGGAAGGTCTCACACATAGCTGGCAAGCAAGACTATGTCTTACCACACTGTAGTTCCAGGGGACTATGTAAGAGTCCTGAAAGGAATAGAGACTCAAGTGTGCTTTGCATACAGCCTAGTGGTGGATGCAAATGCTCCAAACACTTGTATGAAATCAAAGTACTATACCAATGTGGACTACTAAGTTACTTTTTTTCAGAACAGGGAACATGCTTACAGCCCATGGTGCCCAACAGTTAAAAATATTTCACATCAAATGTACATATCACCTGTTGGAGTACTTGGAACAGGAATTTGAAAGGTGTTGTCTAAAATGAGAGAAGATGAGGGTGAAGGGCTAGCTTATATACTTTGATAAAGTGCACACCATCAGAAAGGCCAAAAGGGGGCTTCCACTTGGTAGATTCCTCTGCTTTTCTGAGGGATCTGGGCAAAAAGAAATGGGGGAGGTTGTTACAATTCTTACCCGTATCATCTTACCTTTCTTTTTCTCTTGTTTTCCTTTTTGACACATGGGTCATTCACACTTTGTTGTAAAATATCCAAATATTGAGGAGGATTTCAACACTTCTTTCTTATACTAATTTTCAGTTTAATACTGTTTATATTGGAAAACATGCTTTGTAGGATTTCAATCCTCTTACATATATTGAAAATTGTTGTTCAATGTCTGAGACCCATTGTTTCATACATTTTGACCAAAGTTCTTGTTTTTAAAAGGGAGTAGTACATGTCCAGAATTATTCACTCTGTCAGAACCCCTGCAGAAGTCTGTGATTATAATTTAAAAGTGAAGTTAAAAACCACAGTTGAACATCACTAATTGGCGAAATGCAAACTAAAACTACAATAAAATACCACGTTATACCCATTAGGATGACTACTATGAAATTAAAAAAACAGAAAAGTGTTGGTGAAAATGTTGAGACGTGGAAGCCTTGCACAGCGTTGGTGGGAATGTAAAATGGTACAGCTGCTGTGGAGAGCAGTCCAGCAGTTCATCAAAAAATAAAAATAAGATTACACGTCATCAAGTAATTCCCCTTCTTGGCATATGCCCAAAAGAACTAAAAGCATGCTCTCAAAAATATACTGGTACACCCGTGGTCATAGCAGTGTTATTCACAATCTCTTAAATATGGAAGCAACCCAAGTGTACACAGAAAGCCAAATAGATAAATAAAATATGGTGTATACATACGCTGGAATACCATTCAAGCTTAAAAAGGAGGAAAATGCTGAAGTATGGTACAACATTGATGAGCCTCAAGGGCATTACACTAAGTGAAATAAGCCAGTCACAAAAAGACAAATATTGTCTCATTCTGTTTAAGGAGGTACTTTAGAGTACTCTGACAAAGTCATAGAAACAGAAAATAGAATGGTGGCTGTCAAGGACTATGGGGAGAAGAGAATGGGGAGTTATTGTTTAATGGGTACAGAGTTTCAGTTTTACAAGATGAAATGTGTTCTGAAGATGATGGAAGCTACACATCTGAAGATGCATTAACAGTATATACGTGCTTAATGCCAATAAAATGTACACGTAAAAGTGGTTACAATGGTAATTTTATATTATGTGTATTTTATTGCAATAGAAAAAGTTATGCAAACTTAAAACACATGCAGAGTTGCCTGCTTTTCTTCAGCCTGTCTGAGTTTCAGGGCTGGGATAAACAGAAAACAGGAGGGAGAGACCATATGTGGATGCACTGGGCTGAAGTGATATGTATGGAGTAGGAAGAGAGGTGAAGCTAGGAAGAAGTGAAAACAAGATAAAAATAAATGCTCAAAGAACAGGAATTTAGTAGGTATCAAAGTATTGCTTACACTGATTTTCTCAGGCACGTGAGTGGGAAGTGGAGGTTGGAAATCGGGATGCTTGGAACTGAGATTTTGGAGATACACAGTTAATGAATGGTTGGAAATTAAACATAAGCATGGCTTTGCATTAATGGCTCAATTCTGCTCAACAGCGGAATTGTTGTCCACAGGGAACTGCATGGTGGTGTAGCTTTGGCGGGGCTTGTGGAAGCAAATGGCCAGTCTTTATCCCTGTGTAATGGAGGAGGATTCCTGGCGCCTCCTTGTGCTGCTTCATGCAACTGTTTCCTTCAGGTTGCTCTCCCCAAAGCGCCTGGGATTGCAGCAGCAGAGGTGCTTGATGGACTGTGCCTGTCTCTACCTGCCTTCCTCTCCCTGTGTCTGAGCTCCCTGCATTGGATGAGCTGCTTTTTGGTATTTTATTGATGAGTCCAGCCCAAGGCTTACTGCTCAAGAATGACCTCATTCTTTCATCTCACTAATCTTCCTGCAAGTAACTGCAGGTCCTTAGAATTTGGAATAGACAAGTAAGGTCCCTGATATAGGTGTACAAGGAAAGATTAAGCCCTCATTGTGTGTGTTATTTTACACAGAATGGAAAGGTTGCAGGGGTTTGACAAAGAGTGGGTTCAGAGCTTGACAGAGTGATAAAGCATCATAAAGCCTGCAAGAAGAAAACAGGTAGCAATGCCTTAGCCTCCTACATTTATGCTTTGGTCTCCTGCATGCACTATTTATTCCTGAAGTGCTGGGAAAGGATGCAGCACTAATGTTCAGTCCTGTGGCCCAGGTGCAAGGCAACAGCGTTTGAAATGAGGGCTGGGGTCGTCTGAGGGGAATCTGGTATAATAGCTCATTTTGTACAGGCTTTATTCCAGAAGACAAAGCCAGCTAGTGTCAAAGAGCTGGGAAGGAGAATGTAAGGGAGGAGAGAGGGACAAAAGGGGGACCCTCTGCCCTCAGGAGATTCTGCTAGGAGCACTGGCCACCCCTTTGTCTCTCAGCTCTCTTCTCTCAGAAGAAGGGATGGGGCGCAGAGAGATGGGGGGATGTTGGCTTGTGTGTTTTTGTCTTTTTTTTTAAACCCTCCCTGATCTTCCCCTTTTTCTTTCTCTCTGAGTTTAGGGTTGTGATGGGCAAATTGTATGGTGTCTCCACAGAACAGCCTGATTGTGGCCTCACATTATTGACTTCTTGGGTTTCTCTGGTTGATATCTACAGATATTTGTGGGTACTGTGCACCAGAGCGGATTAATTGGGCACCATGTAGGAGATATGTTAGAGACAATGCAAAAAGAGGAAAGGAAGTTTTAATTAGACAATCTGCGTAGTGATGGCTCAGAGGGCTGAAGTGGTATCAGAAATTGAAAAGAATAACTGTTGGTTTGGAAAAATTGCTTCCATTTCATAATCGTCTATTTCCTTAATAGCTTTCATTTCACACTCCAGTCCTAGAGAAAATTATTGCGTGGGATTCAGAAGACATCCCGCATAGATAAAACTACTGCAGAGCTCTTGAAATTAAGGCCCTTCAGATAATGTGGTGTCCGGGCTGGGCATTGGAGAGGTTGTACGTGAGAGGCAGCACGGAGTGCAGTGTGGGGAATACAGAAAAAGGGATGCCCTCTTTGTGCATCGAGGGGTCTCCACAGTGGGCTTTGTATACCGAGGGGTCCTCTTTGTGCCTCTGTTCTCTTCCTCATTCATAGAGAGGCTGGGGGAGGGGAGTGGTTGGGGGCTGGGGAGATGCTGGCTGTGCTGCTTCTCTGTTCTAACCCTTGCAGCCTATTCTTCTCTTTGGGCTCAAGAGCCCTAATCATCTATTTTATATTCTTTAACTGTTCAGACTTAAATTGCCTCCACTTAAGTTGCCTTGATTTGCTAATTTGCTGCAGAAAGTTCTAAAGAGATCTCTGGTTCATGTGTAGAACAAAAGGTTCACAAAAATTCTCGAGAGCCTCTGGTTTCAGACAGGAAATCACAGGAAGCTGGGGCTGGACAACGTGAGTTAAGAGTGTGAAGGAGAGCTAAGTCTCTGTCAAGACTGAATGAATAAATCAATAAAGCCTCAGGTAGCTCAATCAAGATTTCTGCAATACTGGCAGACACATTCATTGTCCCACATCTCCCAAACCCAATATTCTGTTGCCACTCACTGGCAGGGGTGCACTTCGGACGTGATGTCTTCACTGTTTAACAAGACTCAGAGCAGACTGTTTGAGATTGGGGGGATTCTCGGGAAACCTGGTATGCTGGTCTGTGTCTGTGAGAGCTTTGTTTCTGCAAAAAAATGTGTGGACCAACAGCTGGGAGGGGGAGTGTGTAGGAGGGAGGGAGGGGCAAGCCGTGAGCCCTCCCGTTGAGAGGAGGGGGCTTCCGGCCTTGCACTCTCTTCTTTGATGCCTGGCAAGTTCTTCATTGTGTTTGTGTCTCTTTTAGGGTCACAGCAGAAGCAGGGGTGGGAATAGCAGGGAGAAACAGAGGGCTAATGCGCTGCCGACCCTTCTAACCTGACATCCTCTCTTGTGGGCTGACAGCCGTTCATCAGCCATTTTCTGTTCTGTTCCTATGAAGGCAGACTTCAGTGCCTCCAAATAAATTGCCTTTATGCCTATCTGCTCCCCATCCAAATACAACTGTGGGTGTGGACATTTGGGATGGAATATTGGGGCCTTCGATTCAGGTGTGGATGAATGGAGAAGTCCTGATCATCTATGGTTTAAGATGTGGAATTAAAAGGCAGATGGAATTCGACAAGAGGTGAGTTAAGAACTTGATAGAGTCAAGGGTGACTTCAATAACAGCTCAAAAAATAAAATAAAAAATAAAGAAAAGAAAAAACATAGCCTTAGGAGGCCCTAATGTCAGAAATGCAAATTGTGCTCAATGAAAGCCTTTTGCCCACATTAACTTTCTGACCCCAGAAGCATGCCTAGCTCAGGGCTGGTACAGGGTACTGATGATATTCTACATGATCATCCAAGGAGAGCCCACAATAGCTGAAGTTTCGGTCTGCCCTGTGCCATATCTGTGCAGGTTTTTATTTTTTGTCCTTTTGATGACAAAGTTGATTACAATCTGCTGGAAGGGACAGTTTTGTTAGACATTTGCTATATTTTTCAATGTAGTAAGGCTTGGATGTTTGAAATTGGGATTCTTGAGTAAAAGCTGATTTCAGGCCTATGAGTAAAAATGCTGTGTTTTTGAGAACAAATCTCTTCGTGAGTCACTTGTGTCCATAGCAGCCAAAGGGGAGGGTGGGGGGGCTTGTGTCTGCGTCCTGGGAGGGGTCCTCTGGGAGCATGCGCACTCCCTCTTGCTGCATTGCAGGGTCTTTGTGCTCCTGCGTCAGCACTGGGAACTTGGTGGTGGGGTGGTTTGGAGAAGAGCGGAGGAGGTTGTGCGTTTGTCTTTATCCCCCGGCTTCTCCCTCCCTCTCAATGACGCCATGATTATTAATAAACCATTTCTCACTTATTGCTGCAGATGTAAACACTTCACCAGAATTGCGCAGCTCTTGCGTGCGCTTTCCTATTGACGTAGCTGGCGGGCTGGGATTTTGAGATGGGCTATGAGTATCCCAAATTTAGATGTAAAATAAAATACCCTGATCATTTGGGAATTATGATGTGGAATAAAAGGTAAAGTGATGTTTCACAAGGCGTAATTAAAGGCTTGGGGGTGTGGGGTGCAGATAAATCTGAACACTGCTTCCTGTGGACCCTCCCCTTGGTTAACCCTCTGAGACCCCCGAGCTTTGCCAGCCTGGAGCAGTGGTGGGAGGCTGAGCAACTACAGAAATCTACATGTTTACGTTGGGCCTCAATAAAGGGGAATCTGCAAGTTTCCCTTTTGGAAATAATGGTGGTGGCAACCGAATGGAAGCTTTTGGGGTAGAGAGTGTGAGCACTCGAGAATGAATCCACTGCCTCTGTTCTGGGACTACTCTCTCTCAAATCACAAAATGCTCACGGGGCAGGACGGGTTTTCCTGCAGTCATTGCTGTTGACTGTGAATGTGGGGTTGGAAGGGTGGTGTGGTATTGGTCTATGGGTTTTGACAAACGGAAAGTGCCACGTATCCATTATGACAATTATCACACAGGATCCTTTAACTACCCTCAAAAGAAATCCTCTGCACTTACCTATTCAACCCTCCATGTCCCCAAACCCCTGGCAACCATTGAGTCTCTATCATTTTGCCTTTTCCAGAATGTTATATAAATTGGATTGTGCAGTACGTAGTGTTTTCAGAGTGGCGTCTTTCTCTTAGTAATACACATTTAAACTTCCTCCATGTTTTTGCAGGCCTTGATAGCCCATTTCATTTGATTGCTGAATAGTATTCCATTATGTGGATGTACCACAATGCATCGTTCACCTACTGAAGGACATCTTGGTTGCTGACAGTTTTTCTCGAGTAGGAGCAAAGCATATGTTACCATTCATGTGCAGACTGTGTGTGTGGACTTCAGTTTTCAAAACAGTTGGCTAAATACCTAGGAGTGTGATTGCTGGATCATATGGTAATGCTATGTTTAGCTTTGTGAGAGGCTGCCAGATTGTCTTCTGAAGTGGTTGTGCCATTTTGCATTCCTGCCAAAAATGAATGAGAGTCCCTGTTGCTCTGCATCCTCTCATCAAATGGTGTGGTCGTTTTTTTGGAACTTAGCCATTGCCATAAATGTAGTAGTAACTTGTTTTAATTTGCACTTCCTAATGGCAAATGCTGTGTAGCATCTTTTCATGCTTTTCATTCCAATTGCATATTTTTTGAGAAAGCGTATGTTCAATGTTTTGCCTATCTTTAACTTGATTTACAAGTGTCCTCCTTTATCCACCATCTTGCTTTCCACAGTCCAAATACGTTAAATGGAAACTTCCAGAAATAATTCATAAGTTTTAAATTGCATGCCATTCTAAGTAGCATGATGAAATCTCAAGCCATCCCAGTCTGTCCCACTCAGGAATTGAATCATCCCTTTGCCCAGTGTTTCCTTGTTGTCCGTGTTACTTGCCCTTTAGTCACTTAGTTGTCGTCTCAGTTAATCAGACCCACTGTCATGGTATTACAGTGTTTGTGTTCAACTGACTCTTATTTTACTTAATAATGTAACCTCCCAATGGGTTCTCCTTGCCCGCTGCCCAGATAGAGGGGAATTGCAACAGAGACAGCAGATTTATCAAGACAGGAAAATTTCAATACAGAAAGAGTTTAGTTCACACAGACTTGGCTAAACAGGAGACAGGAGTTTTATTACTTAAATCAGTCTGCCACAGAATTCGGAGACTGGGGTTGTTCAAGGACAATTTGGCAGGTCAGTGGAGGGCAGGGAATGGGTCAGATTGGTCGGGTCAGAGGGGAAATCATAGGGGGTGGAACTGGGTTCTTTTTGCTGTCTTCTGTTTGTGAGTGGGATCGCAGAACTGGTTGAACCAGATGGCTGATCTTGGTGGCACCAGCTGGTGAATGAGAATGCAAGGTCTGATTCTGGAGCACCAGTCTTAGGTTTTATAATAAAAATGCTATCCCTAGAAGCAACTGGGGAGGTTAGGATTCTTGTGGCCTCTGGCTGCATGTCCTAAACCATAATTTCTAATCTTGTGCCTAATTTGTTAGTTTTACAAAGGCAGTCTGGTCCCCAGGCAAGGAAGGGGTTTGTTTCAGGAAAGGGCTGCTATCATCTTTGTTTCAAAGTTACACTATGAACGAAGTTCCTCCTAAAGTTAGTTTGGTGCATGCCCAAGAATGGGTGATACGATCTGGCTGTGCCCCACCGAAATCTCAACTTGAATTGTATCTTTCAGAATTCCCACATGTTGTGGGAAGGATCCAGGGGGAGGTAATTGAATCATGGGGGCCAGTCTTTCCTATGCTGTTCTCGTGATACTGAATAAGTATCACAAGATCTGATGGGTTTATCAAGGGTTTCTGCTTTTACTTCTTCCTCATTTTCTCTTGCTGCCACCTTGTAAGAAGTGCCTTTCAGGCCAGGCGCGGTGGCTCACGCCTGTAATCCCAGCACTTTGGGAGGCTGAGGCGGGTGGATCATGAGGTCAGGAGATCGAGACCATCCTGGCTAACACATTGAAACCCTGTCTCTACTAAAAATACAAAAAATTAGCTGGGCGTGGTGGCAGGCACCTGTAGTCCCAGCTACTCAGGAGGCTGAGGCAGGAGAATGGCATGAACCCAGGAGGTGGAGCTTGCAGTGAGCTGAGATGGCGCCACTGCACTCCAGCCTGGGTGACAGGGCGAGACTCCATCTCAAAGAAAAAAAAAAAAGTACCTTTCACCTCCTGCCATGATTCTGAGACGTCCCCAGCCATGTGGAATTGTAAGTCCATTTAAACCTCTTTTTCTTCCCAGTCTTGGGTATGTCTTTATCAGCAACATGAAGACGGACTAATACAGTAAGTTGATACCAGCAGAGTGGGGTGTTGCTGAAAAGATACTCAAAGATGTGAAGGTGACTTTGGAACTGGGTAACATGCAGAGGTTGGAACAGTTTGGAGGGCTCAGAAGAAGACAGGAAAATGTGGGAAAGTTTGGAACCTACAGAGACTTGTTGAATGGCTTTGCCCAAAATGCTGATAGTGATATGAACAATAAGATCCGGCTGAGGTGGTCTCAGATGGAGATGAGGAACTTGTTGGGAAATGGAGCAAATTTAACTGTTGTTATGTTTTAGCAAAGAGATTGGCAGCACTTTGCCCCTGCCCTAGAGATTTGTGGAACTTTGAATTTGACAGAGATGATTTATGGTATCTGGCAGAAGAAATTTCTAAGCAGCAAAGCATTCAAGATGTCACTTGGGTACTGTTAAAGTGATGAGATTTTATAAGGGAAGCACAGCATAAAAGTTTGGAAAATCTGCAGCCTGACTATGTGATAGAAAAGGAAAACCCATTTTCTGGGGAGAAATTCAAGCAGGCTGCAGAAATTTGCCTAAGTAACAAGGAGCCTAATGTGAATCCCCAAGACCACGGGGAAAATGTCCCCAGGCCATGCCAGAGACCCTCATGGCAGCCCCTCCCATCACAGGCCTGGAGGCCTAGGAGGAAAAAGTGGTTTTGCGGGCTGGGCCCAGGGAAACCTAGGGACTTCCATGCTGTGTGCAGCCTAGGGACTTGGTGCCCTGTGTCCCAGCCACTCCAGCCATGGCTGAAAGGGGCCAATATACAGCTCAGACTGTGGCTTCAGAGGGTGGAAGCCCCAAGCCTTGTCAGTTTCCACATGGTATTGAGCCTGTGGGTGCACAGAAGTCAAGAATTGAGGTTTGGGAACCTCCACATAGATTTCAGAAGATGTATGGAAATGGCTGGATGCCCAGGCAAAAGTTTGTTGCAGGGGTGAGGACCTCATGGAAAACTTCTGCTAGGGCAGTATGGAAGGGAAATGTGGGGTGGGAGCCCCCACACAGAATCCCTACTGGGACATTGCCTAGTGGAGCTGTGAGAAGAGGGCCACCATCCTCCAAACCCCAGAATGATAGATCCACCAACAGTTCGCACTGTGCACCTGGAAGAGCTACACACTCAATGCCAGCCTGTGAAAGCAGCCAGGAGGGAGGCTGTACCCTGCAAAGCCACAGGGGCAGAGCTGCCCAAGACCATGGGAACCCACCTCTTGCATCAGTGTGACCTGGATGTAAGATCTGGAGTCAAAAGAGATCATTGTGGAGCTTTGAGATTTGCCTGCCCTGCTGGATTTCAGACTTGCAACAAAGGCCCTGTAACTCCTTTGTTTGGCCAATCTCTTCCATTTGGAATGTCTGTATTTACCCAATACCTGTTGTAACCCCCATTGTATCTTGGAAGTGACTAACTTGCTTTTGATTTTACAGGCTCACAGGCAGAAGGGATTTGCCTTGTCTCAGATGAAACTTAGGATTGTGGACTTTTGGGTTAATGCTGAAATGTGTTAAGACCTGGGGGACTGTTGGGAAGGCATGATTGACTTTGAAATGTGAGGACGTGAGATTTGGAGGGGCCAGGGGTGGAATGATAGGGTTTGGCTGTGTCCTCACCCAAATCTCAACTTGAATTGTATCTCCCAGATTTCCTACATATTGTGGGAGGGACCCAGGGGAGGTCATCGAATCATGGGGGCCAGTGTTTCCCATGCTAGTCTCATGATAGTGAATAAGTCTCTTGAGATCTGATGGACTTATCAGGGGTTTCTGCTTTTGCTTCTTCCTCATTTTCTCTTGCTGCCACCATGTAAGAAGTGCCTTTCTTCTCCTGCCATGATTCTGACGCTTCCCTAGCCATGTAGAACTGTAAGTCCAATTAAGCCTCTTTTTCTTCCCAGTCTTGGGTATGTCTTTATCAGCAGCATGAAAATTGACTGATACAATGGACAAGGGCAATTTGGAGGTTAGAAGCAAGACACACAGTTGGTTAGGTCAGATCTCTTTCACTGTTATAATTTTCTCACTGTTACTTTTTTTTGCAAAGGCGGTTCTAATAATGGCTCCAAGGCACAAGAGTGATGCTGACAATTCTGATATGCCAAAGAGAAGCCTAAACTGCTTCATTTAAGTAACTAGGTAATAGTTCTTGACTTAAAGAGGAAAGAAAAAAATATGTTGAGGTTGCCAACATTTACGCTAAGGATGAATCTTAAATCCATGAAATTGTGAAGAAAAAAAGAAAGACATTCTACATAGTATTTATATATATATAGGGTTTGGTACTTTCTGGAGTTTCAGGCAACCACTGGTGGTATTGGAACATACTCCATTTGGATAAAGAAGGAATACTATATTTGATTTCTTTTTGTTGAACTTTAAGAGATCTTTGCTTTTTTTTTTCCAACAGGTGCACACCAACACATGTAGATTATTTATTTATGTTTTTTTAGAAACAGGGTTTTTGCATATTGCCCATGCTGGTCTTGAACTCCTGGCCTCAAGTGATTCTCCTGCCTCAGTCTCCCAAATTGCTTGGGTTGTGGGTTTGAACCAAGCCTGGCCTCTTATTTTGGGTATAAGTATTTTTTCTGATATGTGTTTTGCAATATTTCTGCTAGGCTGTGACTTTACATTTCTTGACTTTTTTTCACATGGCAGTTTTAATAATAATTTTAATAAAATCTAATTGATCATTTTTTAATTTTATGGAGTATGCTTTTGATGTTGTATTTAAAAATGTATTGCCAAATCCTAAGTGGCATAGATTTTCTCTTACAAATCTGTATTAGGGTTCTCTAGAGGGACAGAACTAACAGGATAGATGTATATATAAAGGGAAGTTTATTAAGTAGTATTGACTCGCACAATCACAACATGAAGTCCCACAGTAGGCCCTCTGCAAGCTGAGGAGAAAGGAAGCCAGTCTGAGTCCCAAAACCTCAAATGTGTGGAAGCCAGCAGTGCAGCCTTCAGTCTCTAGTTGAAGGTCCAAGAGTCCAAAAGCTGAGTCTGATGTTGAAGGGCAGGAAGCATCCAGCATGGGAGAAGAATGCAGTCCCAAAGATTAAGCCAGTCAAGTCCTTCCACGTTCCTCTTCCTGCTTTTATCCTAGCCACACTGGCAGCTGATTAGATGGTGCCCACCCACGTTGAGGGTGAGTCTGCCTCTCCGAGTCCACTGACTCAAATGTCAGTCTCCTTTGGCAACACCCTCACAGACAGATCCAGGAACAATAGTTTACATCCTTCAATCCAATCAAATTCACACTCAATATTAACCATCACTGTATTATTCTAGAATTTTTATAGCTTTGCAATTTACATTTAGGCCTATGATTCATTTTTGAGGTAATCTTTGTGAAAGGATGAAGTTTTTGTCTAGGACCATATTTTATTTTAATTAATTAATTATTTATTTAATTTATTTTTGAGATAGCATTTCGCTTTTGTTGCCTGGGTTGGAGTGCAGTGGCACGATCTTGGCTCACTGCAACCTCCGCCTCCTGAGTTCAAGCGATTCTCCTGCCTCAGCCTCTCAAGTAGCTGGGATTACAGGCATGTGCCACCACACCCAGCTAATTTTGTATTTTAAGTGGAGACAGGGTTTCACCACGTTGCTCAGGCTGGTCTCGAACTCCTGACCTCAAGGGAACCACCCGCCTCAACCTTCCAAAGTGCTGGGATTACAGGCATGAGCCACCATGCCTGGCCATTGTCTAGGTTCATATTTTAGCATATGAATATCCAACTGTCCCAACACTATTTGTTAAAACAAACAAACAACAACAAAAAACCACTGTTCCTTCTCCTTTGGATTGCCTGTGTGCCTTTCTCAAAAATCAATTGACTGTGAGGGTCTCTTTCTGGTCTCTCCATTCTGTTCCATTGATCTATGTCTATTTTTTTCAAGAATATCACACTGTCTGGATTGTTCTATCTTCATGTTAAGTTTTAGATTTGCTAGTATGAGTCCTCCGATTTAGCTTTTCTTCTTCAGTATTGTGTTGGCTATTTTAGGTCCTTTGTGTTTTTATAGGAATTTTAGAATACGTTGTTGATATCTAGAAGATGGCTCCCTGGGATTTTGATTGGGATTTCATTGAGTCTGTAGGTCCAGTAAGGAAGGATGTATATTTTATCAATACTGAGCCTATTAACCCATGAATAGTGACTAGCTTTCCCTTTAGTTAGATCTTGATTTCTTTCATCAGTGTTTTGTAGTTTTGTGCATAGAGATCCTGTAAACATACATAAGTACTTCATTTTTGTGTGCTATTGTAAATACTATTATTTTTTATATTTTAAGTTCCAATAGTTAATATTTTACTTATAGGAAAGCACCTGTATCCTCTGACCTTGTTATATTTGCCTATTAGTTCCAGGAACTTTATTGTAAATGTTTAGAAAATTTCTACATAGAAAATCATGTCCTCTTTTTAGTTTAGTGGTTAGTATGGGGAGAAAAAGAAAGTCATGTCATCTGTAAATAAAAATATCTTTCTTTGTATACTATTTTTTTCTTACTACATTAGTCAGGACTTTGAGTACGTTGTCAATTAAGATCCCATTACTGGGTATATACCCAAAGGACTATAAATCATGCTGCTATAAAGACACATGCACACATATGTTTATTGCGGCATTATTCACAATAGCAAAGACTTGGAACCAACCCAAATATCCAACAGTGATAGACTGGATTAAGAAAATGTGGCACATATACACCATGGAATACTATGCAGCCATAAAAAATGATGAGTTCACGTCCTTTGTAGAGACATGGATGAAACTGGAAATCATCATTCTCAGTAAACTATCACAAGAACAAAAAACCAAACACTGCATATTCTCACTCATAGGTGGGAATTGAACAATGAGAACACATGGACACAGGAAGGGGAACATCACACTCTGGGGACTGTTGTGGGGTGGGGGGAGGTGGGGAGGGATAGCATTGGGAGATATACCTAATGCTAGATGACGAGTTAGTGGGTGCAGCGCACCAGCATGGCACATGTATACATATGTAACTAACCTGCACATTGTGCACATGTACCCTAAAACTTAAAGTATAATAATAATAAATTTAAAAAAAATGTAAAAAAAAAAGATTTATAAGAGAAGACATCCATTCCTTGTTCCTGATCATAGGAGGAATGCATTTAGTCTCTCACCACTATAATGTTAACTATTTTCCCACATATACCCTTTACTAAGCTAAAGAAGCTCCCGTCTATTCCTGTTTTTTTGAGATTTTTTATTTGAATGGATAATAATTATTTTCAAATGATTTTTCTGCTTCGATTTATATGGTCATATTTTTTTCTTCTTTTTCAGTCTTTTAATATGATGAATTACCTAAACTGATTCACAAAATTTGAACCAGCCTTGCATTCCTGGCACTAATATCCCTGATAATAATATGCTGTCATTTTACTGGATATTGGTGGATGATACTATGTTAAGGTATTTTGAATATATTTGACTTTAGCTTTCTTTTCTTGTAATATATTTGTCTGATTTTGGTATTAGGGTAATGCTGGTCTCATAAAATGAGCTGATATGTTCTCCCACTGCTGCTATTTTGGGAAATATATTGTGAAAATGTGGAACTATTTCTTACTTAAAGAATTCACAACTAAAACCATCTATTCCTTGTGCTTTCTTTATTAAAAAGGTTTTAATTATTAAGACAATTTTTAATACATGTGGGGCTACTCAGGTTAATATATTTTTCTGTGTGTGAGTTTTCATACTTGTGATTTTTAAGTAATTAATTTATTTTATCAAAGTTACCATATTTGTGGACATAGAATTTTTCACAGTATGCTCTTATTATCCTGTTAATACTCATAAGATCAATAGTGACTCCTCTTTTTTTTTCTGATATTTGTTTATTCTGTTTTATTGGCTCTCCTAGCTAGATACTTTCCAATAACCATATTTTGGGTTGTTTTTCACTGTAATTCTTATCCTTGTTTTTTTATAGGTAAGATTTTTCTCCTCTGGCTTTTTAAAAAAGAGATTCTCTATTTTCCTTTGACTTTCTGATGTTTCAATAGGGGTGTGTGTGTGTGCGCGCTTGTGTGTATGTGTGTGTATATGTGTGTTTTAAGTGTTTATCTTATTTGGTACTTTTGAGCTCCTTGAATCTGCGGGTTTTAGGGAGGAATCTTTTATTAATTTTGGAAGTTATTGGCCATTATTATTTCAAGTATTTATTGTGCTCCATCCTTTTTTTCTTATCTTTCCAGTATTCCAATTATTAGTACTTATACCTTTTAAGACTATCACACAGTTCTTGGATGTCATTTCTATTTTTGGATTTTGTTTTCATTCCTTTTTTCCTCTTTGCATTTCACTTGTAAGGTTTCCTTTTTGTTTCAACATTTTTTTTTAGGTTCAGGGGGTACATGTGCAGGTTTTTACATGGGTAAATTGCATATCAGTGAGGTTTGGTGTATGAATGATCCTGTCACCCAGGTAGTGAGCATAGTAACCTGATAATGTATTTTTTCAGCCTTTGCCTCCTTCTCACCCTTTCCCTCTTAATAGTCTCCAGTATCTACTGTTCCTATTTTTATGTCCATGTGTACTCAGTGTTTAGCCGCTACTTATAAGTGAGAACACAGGATATTTGGTTTTCTCTTCTTGTGCTAATTTGCTTAGGATAATGGCCTCCAGCTCTACCCATGTTGTTGCAAAGGACGTGAGTTAATTCTTTTTTATGGCTGCATATGTACCATGATGTATAGGTACTACATTTTCTTTATCCAGTCCACCTAGATGGGCATCTAGGTTAATTCCATGTCTTTGGTATTGTGAATAGTGCTGTGATGAACATACAAGTACATGTGTCTTGTTGGTGAAATGATTTATTTTCTTTTGGGTATATACCAAGTAATGGAATTACTGAGTCATCCTGTTTTCAGTTCTTTGAGAAATTGCCACATTGCTTTCCACAGTGGCTGACCTAATATGTATTCCCACCAACAGTGTATGAGTGTACCCTTTTCTCTGCAACCTCATAAAGCATGTGGTGTTTTTTTTTTTACTTTTTAGTAATAGCCATTCTAACCAATGTGAGATGATATCTCATTGTGATATTGATTTCATTTCTCTAATGATTAGTCATGTTGAGCATTTTTCATATGTTTGTTGGCCATTTGTATGTTTTCTTTTAAGAAGTGTCTGTTCATGTTCTTTGCCTACATTTTAATGGGTTTGTTTGTTTTTTGCTTGTTGATTTAAGTTCCTTATAAATTCTGGATATCAGACCTTTGTTGGATTCATAGTTTGTGAATATTTTCTCTCATTCTCGAAGGTTGTCTGTTTACTCCGTTGATAGTTTCTTTCACTTAGCAGAAGCTCTTTAGTTTAATTAGGTGCCACTTGTCAACTTTTATTTTTGTTGCAATTCCTTTTGGGGATTCAGACATAAATTATTTGCCAAGGACAATGTCCAGAATGGTATTTGTAGGTTTTCTTCTAGGGTTTTCATGTTGTAGGGCTTGTATTTAACTATTTAATCCATCTTGAGTTGATTTTTGTATATAGTGAAAGGAAGGTGTTCAGTTTTGATCTTGTGCATACAGCTAGCCAGTGAGCCCAGCACTATGTAATAAGTTGGGAATCCTTTCCTTATTGCTTGTTATTGTTGAAGATCAGATGATTATGATTACAGATGATTAGGTGTGTAGCTTTATTCCTGGGTTCTTTATCCAGTTCCATTGGTCTGTGTATCACTTTGTGTACCTGTACTATGTTGTTTTGGTTACAGTAGCCTTGTAATATAGCTTGAAGTATGACCATGTGATGCCTCGAGCTTTGTTCTTATTGTTAAGGATTACTTTGGTTATTTGGGCTCTTCTCTGGTTCCATGTAAATTTTAGAATACTTTTTGATATAGTTTGGCTCTGTGTCCCCACCCAAATATCATCTTGTAGCTCCCATAATTCCCATGTGTTGTGGGAGGGACCTGGTGGGACATGACTGAATTATGGGGGTGGGTCTTTCCTTCCCTGTTGTCATGATAGTGAATGGGTCTCAGGAGATCTGTTGGTTTTTAAAACAGAAGTTGCCCTGTACAAGCTCTCTTTTTGCCTGCTGCCATCCACATAAGATGTGACTTGCTTCTCCTTGCCTTCTGCCATAATTGTGAGGTTTCCCCAACCATATGGAACTGTAAGTCCAATAAAACATTCTTTTGTAAGTTGCCCGGTTGGGTGTTTCTTTATCAGCAACGGGAAAATGGACTAATACCCTTTTTTTTCTATTTCTGTAAAAATGATGTTGATAGTTTGATAGGAATGGTGTTGAATCTGTAGAGTGCTTTGAGACATATGGCCATGTTAAAGATACTAACTCATCTGAACTGTGAGCATCGAATGTTTTCCATTTGTTTGTGTCATCTGTGATTTCTTTCAGCAGTGTTTTTTAGTTATCCTTGTAGATATTTTTTACCTCCTTGGTTAGATGTATTCCAAGGTATTTTGTTTGTGTGTGGCTATTGTAAATAGGATTGAATTCTTTTTTTTTTTTTTTTTTGAGACGGAGTCTTGCTCTGTTGCCCAGGCTGGAGTGCAGTGGCGCAATCTCGGCTCACTGCAAGCTCCGCCTCCCAGGTTCACGCCATTCTCCTGCCTCAGCCTCCTGAGTAGCTGCGACTACAGGTGCCCGCCACCACTCCCAGCTAATTTTTTGTATTTTTAGTGGAGACGGGGTTTCACCATGTTAGCCAGGATGGTCTCGCTCTCCTGACCTCGTGATTGGCCCGCCTCAGCCTCCCAAAGTGCTGGTGTTACAGGCGTGAGCCACTGCACCCAGCCAGGATTGAATTGTTGAATTGGCTTTCAATTTGAATGTAGTTGGTATACAGAAATGCTACTGGTTTTTGTATATTTATTTTGTATCCTTAAACTTTACTGAAGTTGCTTATCAGCTCTGGGAGCCTTTTGGGGGACTCTTTAGGGCTTTCTAGGTATAGAATCATATTACCAACAAAGAGAGATAGTTTGGCTTCCTCTTTTCCTATTTGGATGCCTTTTATTTACTTCTCTTGCCTGCTTGCTCTGGCCAGGACTTCCAGTACTATGTTGAATAGGAGTGGTGAGAATGGGCATTCTTATCTTGTTCCAGTTCTCAAGGGTAATGCTTCCAGCTTTTGCCCATTCAATATGATGTTGGTTGTGGGTTTGCCACAGATGGCAGTTATTATTTTGAGGTATGTCCCCTCTGATGTCTAGTTTATTGAGGGTTTTTATCATGGAAGGATACTAGTTTTATAGAAAACTTTTTCTGTGTCTGCTGAGATGATCACATTGTTTTATTTTTAATTCTGTTTATGTAGTGATTCACACTTATTGATTTGCACATGTTGAACAAGCCCTGTATCCTGCAAATAAAGTCAATTTGATCTTGGTCAATTAACTTTTTGATGTGCTGTTGGATTGATTTTGCTACTATTTTGTTGAGGATTTTTGAATCTATCTCCATCAAGGATATTGGGCTGTAGTTTTCTTTTGTTGTTTTTGTTGTGTCTTTGCCAGATTTTGGTATCAGAGTGATGCTGGCTTCATAGAATGATTTAGGGAGGAGTCCCTCCTCCTCAAATTTTTGGAATAGTTTCAGTAGGAATGGTATTAACTCTGCATTCTATGTCTAGTAAAATTGAGCTGTGAATCCATCTGGTCCAGGGCTTTTCTTTGTTGGTGTGTTTTGAATTACTAATTCAATTTCAGAACTCATTATTGATATGTCCAAGGTTTCAGTTTCTTTGTGATTCACTCTTAGGAAGTTGTGTATCTCCAGGAATTTATCCATTTTCCATAGGTTTTCTAGTTTGTGTACACAGAAGTGTTTATAATAGTTGCAGATGATTTTTTGTGTTTCTGTGGAATCTGGTGTAATGCTACCTTTGTTGTTTCTGATTGTCCTTATTTGGATCTTCTGTATTTTTTTCTTCTTTGTTAATCTTGCTGCTGGTCTATTGATCTTGTTTATCCTTTCAAAGAATAAGCTTTTGGTTTTGTTGATCCTTTGTATGGATTTTTGGGTCTTGATTTCATTCAGTTCTGCTCTGATTAGTTATTTCTTTTTTTATACTAACTTTGGGGTTAGTTTGTTCCTTTTTTTAGTTCCTCTAGGTGTGATGTTAAGATTATTAATTTTAGATCTTTCTAACTTTTTGATTTAGGCATTTAGCACTATAAACTTTTCTTCTTAACACTGCTTTGGCTGCATCTCAGAGATTTTGCTATGTTGTGTTTTGTTTTCATTTATGTCAAAGAATTTTTAAATTTTGGCCTTAATTTCCCTGTTTACTCAAAAGTCATTCAGGAACAAGTTATTTAATTTCCATGTAATTGTGTAGTTTGGAGAGATATTTTTATTTCACTATGACATGAAAGTATCATTGGTATGATTTCAATTTTTAAAAAAGTTATTCAGACTTGCTGTATGGCTGAGCATATGGTCAATATTAGAATCTGTTCCAAGTGCAGATGAGAATAATGTATATTCTGTGCTTGATGGGTGGAGTGTTCTACAGATGTTTATTAGGTCCAATTGGTTGTGTCAAATTTAAGTCCAGAATTTCTTTGTTAGTTTCTGCCTCAATAATCTGTCTAATGCTGGCAGTGGGGTGTTGAAGTCTCCCACTATTATTGTATGGCGACCTAGGCCTTTTTTTTTTTTTTTTAGGCCTAGAAGTACTTGTTTTATGAACAAGTACTCAAGACTTTTTTGATTTGCCTGGATTTAAGGCTGTGGCCTTCATAAAATGTTTCTTACTCTCTTCTGATAAAATAGGCTTCTCCTCTATGACTGATTCTGATTCCCTTCACTGGCTGCAACACTGAATTTCTTCGATGTTGGGTGCATATATATTTATGATAGTTAAGTCATCTTGTTGAATTGAACGTTTTATTATATAGTGCCTTTCTTTGTCCTTTTTTACTGTTGTTAGTTTAAAAAAATTATCTGACATAATAATACTGACTCCTGCTCCTTTTTGCTGTTTGTGTGATTGATCCTTACTTTGATTCTATGAATGTTGTTACGTTTAAAATGGATCTCTGGAAAACAGAAGATGTCTTTTTTTTTTTATCCAACTTGAAAAATATGGAATGCTTCACACATTTGCTTGACATCCTTGTGCAGGCGCCATGCTACCCTTTTGTGTATCCTTCCAATTTTAATATATATCCTGCTGAAGCAAGCACCAATTGTAAAGTTTCTATTTAATTATCTTCCAGTTCACTGATCCTTTCCTCAGCTATGTCAAAAGTCTATCAAAGAGATTTTTTAAAAATTTCCATTAAGGTGTTTGGTATTTCTAGCATTTCCTTTTTTTTTTTTAAGTTTTTAATCACTGTTTACATCTGTTCTTGAATGTTGTCTATCTACTTTTTTCATTAGGGACATTAACATATTAACCATAGCTGTCTTACATTCTCTGTCTGATAATTCCAACATCTTTGTCATATCACAGTCTGGGTCTGATTATTGAATTGTTTCTGTAGTCTGTGTTTTTCATTGTGTTTGGGCATGGACTTTTTGCAGTTAAAGCTGAACATACTGTATCAGCCAGTAGGAACTGAGGTAACTAGGATTTTAAATGTGAGGATTTATGTTAATCTGGCCAGGAGTTGTGATTTGTTTAATATTTGTTGAAGTTGTAAGTACCAAAGGCTTCAAAAAAATGTAGTGGCCTTGTTTTTGTCTCCTCTTTTATTTTAAGGGATTTCCTGTGTTCTACCACTTACAACTAGTTTGTATCTTGCAGCTGTTTCAGCTGTAATTTATTATTTTGGGGCTGCCTTGATGTGATCATAAGATATGAAGAAGAGGGTAACATTCTAAAATATTCTGAGTAAATCTCAGGCTTTTTTTGATTTGCCTGCACTTAAGGCTGTGGCCTTCATAAAATGTTTCTTACTCTCTTCTGGTAAAATAGGTTTCTTCTCTATGCCTGATTTCGATTCCTCTCACTGGCTGCAGCACTCTGATTTTCTTTCCTTGAATCCCACATTGACTATGGTTTTTGTTTTCTTTTGTTTTTCCTTTAGGTGAAACAGAAGGGGTGGAGTGTACGTTTCTCTGGTTATGTTTCACAACAGTTGCATTCCTCTTCCCAGACAGAGCTGAGTGTGGGTCTTTCTGAGATACTCACTTTGAGAACCTACTGGAGTTCTTGAAGGGAAATATTTGGGTTTGCTTCAAATCTTACTTCTGCCTCTAATTTCAAGAAAGTTTGCCTGATAAATGAGCAAAAATGATATACTAAAGTCTTTCTTTATACATAAACTCTAATAGGCAAATAAGACCCCTTTATCCTTGCTTTTTCCAATTCACTCTATATGCAATACATAATCTGCAATGGCCCTGGGACCTAAATGTGAAAGCTAAAACAATTAACCTTCTAGAAGAAATGAAAAAGTAGATTACCCCTATGACTTTGGGGTACAAAAATATTAATTAAATAATATTGTAAGGCAGCAAATATTTTTAAAAGATTGATAATTTGGACTTTGTTAAAATTAAGAACTTTACATCCCACAAAGGATTGTAGGCAGAACTTCAAATCAATAAAAAAAAAGGCAGGCAATCATATTTAAAATGGCCAAAATGCTGAATCAGAAACTTCAAAATGATAATGTTAAAGTGGCCAACAAACATATGAAAAAGTTCTCAATGCTATTACTCATCATGAAAAGGTAAAATTAGACTGTGAAATCACTAAACTTGAAGGGATTGACAATGTCAATTATGAAGGAAATTGGACTTTCATATACTGCTAGTGGGAATGAAAGTGGTACAACCGCTTTGGGAAAATGTTTGGTAGTATCTAGTAAACATAGATATACCCTATGACTCAACAAATTCTATCCTGAGAATATACCAAGAGAAACAAATACTTATGTTCATCAAAATATACTTAACAGTGATGTTGTAACGTCATTCATAATAGCTAAGTGTTGGAAATTATTCTGCTGTGTATCAGAAGTACGAGGGGACAATACATGGTGCTGTAGTCACACAGTGGAATACTACACAGCAATGAAAATGAAAAAGAAAACTATAAAGGTATGTAATACTGTGGATTAATCTCACAGACATAAAGTGGATTGAAAAGTGCCACATACTGTGTAATTGCATTCATGGAAAGCTCAACATTCAAAACAAATCTATGGTGATAAAGTTAGAATAATGGTTGACTCTAGAAGGCCAGTAGCCTAGGCACTGAGGAACCATCCCAAGCATTGAGAATGCTCTGTTGAGGTGACTGATTGCATGGGTGTACACTTGAGTAAACCTTATCAAGCTGTACATTTAAGATTTGTATATCTACCAGATAAAATTTATATTTTCATTTTAAAGAGACATTAACATTAACATTTGAGATTGGGGCTCTTAGATTTTCAGGCCCATCTCTGTTTGTGAAAACCAAGCAGGTGGAGAACAGCTTGTGTATCACTATGTAGGAAGAAGCAATCAGTAGTTTCTCTGTGTCCAGGAGTCCGTGTGAAAGGCTGTCCTCTAATCTTGCTGTACTAAGGCGACTTCTTTTCACCCATCTCCTGCAAATCAGTTGAGAGTGGCAGTGCTAGTTTGTTTGTCAGTTTTCACTTGCACTCCCTCTCTCTGAGCTCGTGGGTGTTAATGTGACATGTGCGAAATGTCACCAAAGAAACGATCATAAACATGACTTCCCACAAATGGTATTCTCCTGCCAGAAAAACAAATGTAACTATGGGGTGGTATAATTTGGTATGGGCTGTGGAGGTTCTAATATGCAATAGAATAAATCCCAGATATTTTGTGAACTATGAGTCAGAATGAATGAGTACTTACTGTAATTTAGTAAGTGGTACTTTAAAATCTGATGGGGTAAGGAGGAAAATTTGATTGAAGGGAGAAACAAAAAGGGAACCATTTCTCATTTTCATCTTCTGATGCCCCGTTCTGAATGTGACACCCAGGACATGTTTTATGAGACCACTGGATATATACCCAAAAGTTTGCAAGGAGCGTGTCTTAGAAAAGAAAGTTTTGCCTGCTGTGGAGATGTGGCAGCGTTGGACTGGAAAATGTTAAGGAATGTGAATTTTCTTCATGTGCTGGAAGGCTTTGTTGGCACTGCATCCTCCTCTTAGATGCATGGAGGGCATGAGAGTAAGATTGGAGTGGAAGCAGGAACATGATGGCTCTTGGCACAGAACAGACAGGGATGCCAGCAATGCTTTCTCTTCTTGCATGTCCTTTCTCCTCATAAGCTGTCACTGTGGATATAGACCAAGCTATCTTCCCTGTAAATAGCCCTGATCCACACACTGCCCTGTCCCATAGGTCAGCCATAGTGTACTATTCATAAATAGAAATCAAGTGACTGAGCAAACTCAGATAATATGTGATAGAGACCGGAAGTGAAAGGAGATAGGAGTTTGATAAATGGACATGTATTACACTGGAGGAGCTGCAGCTGAAGAAGAGAAGGCTTGATCCCCAAATGGGAAGGATGCCCATGCCATCCACATTCTTCACTGAACATGGCTGAGTCCCAGATGGTTTCTCTGTGTATGCGGCCCGACTTCAGAGGGAGAGAATCAATGTGAACTCTCTAATGTGATAGAATGCTCTAATTGGATTAAGCACATTCTGAGTAAAGGCTGGTGGCATCAGACCTACTGAGGCACCAACTGTGTTTCTGAGAGTTAAGGTGAAGAGGGCTGGTGGAGGGAGGGTGTAGTGTGGAGAATGCCAGGAGAGATGAGCATGTGGTATGGATCAGAGAGGTCTCTCTGGGCCACAGCTGTGCCTCCCTTTGACCTGTACAAGGTAAGAAGAGGAGGGACGAGTGCTGCCTGTTCATTTTTCTCCTTTTCTTTTTGAGCTCACATTTGTAGTAGGATGTTTCTCCTCATGGACTGACTCCTAAGTGTGACTGCAGATTAATCTACTCCATCAACTTTCACATATTCATCCACACACAAAACATAAAACTTAGACATAGGATAAAAGAGCCCACCTTGATCATCTATGAAACACGATGTGGGCCATGAGGCAACTGCACTTTCATAAAGGTTGCTTCAAGGCCTGTGTGGATAACATTTCAGGAGGACTGACTGGAGGCAGCCCTTGTGGGAGAACTAAAGCTCATCTATAAAATCTGTGCTCTGTTTCCTGCCCCCCTTCCTGACCCTGCTTGCTACTACCCACACATTTGTGCTAAGCAGGAACAGAGTTGAAGGGCTAAGGGGTCGGGTGTGTGTGGCTCATCCTAGTGGAAGGCAGGATGTTTGAAATTGGGTCCACAATATTCCAAACTGGGAAAATGCCCATTTTTCATAGGATCAGGAGATGCTCTGGCAGCCTGGACACCTGCTTCCTGACCTATATGGTTTGCAGGCCAGTCGTGCCTGAGGAAGTCCAGCTATCCACCGTCGAGTAGGAATCTTGCTCCAGCTCCTTATTCCTACTGCGAATTCATAGCATCACCCCCTGGCAGGCGGGGAGGGGGAAGAAGTGCTAACTGCTGGCTACAAAGTCAGGCCAGTACAGAGTTACTGTGAAACTGGTGAATCGGTGTCCTTAGATATAATAATTCTTTTCAGGGAAACTGCAGAGTCGTGATTCTGAACATGTTCAATGGGAAATTTGTTTGTGTAAAAGACAGGCACATTGGTTTTGTCCTTTCTGGGAGGCGTCCTCTTGATACTGGTCCGTTCTTTCTGGCGCACTGGAGAGATTTCTTCCTGCCTTTGCAGTTTTATGAGGGTGGGGGGTGGAGGGGTGAAAAAGGGGTGACTTTCCATGCTGGGGTCTTCCCGGATACCCCTCTTTGTTTTTCTAAGTCTACCTTGACTCACAGAAGGAGAAAAGAGGGAATTGTTCCTACCCGCACAACTTGTGGGTAGTAGCAAGCAGGGTGAGGAAGGGGGCTTGCTTTAGATTTAAATAAAAGTTGCAGTGGTGATACAGAGAGTTCCTGTATGCCCTACACCCAGTTTTCCCCATTACTAACATCTTGCATTAGTGGCATATTTATCACTACTAAGCGACCAATACTGACATGATTGTTAACTAAAGTCCATGCTTTATTGCTATTCCTTTAGTTTTTACCTAGTACCCTAATGTCCTTTATCTGCTTCAGGATCCCATCCAGGATACCACATTTATATCTATTTGTCATGCTTCCTTAGACGACTCCTGGTTGTCACAGGGACTCCAGTTTTGATGACCTTGATAGTTTTGGGGAGTCCTGGTCAGATATTTTGTAGACTGCCCCTCTACTGGAAATTTATTTATTTATTTATTTTTGAGATAGAGTCTTGCTGTGTCACCCAGGCTGTGTGTTCAGTAGCTCGATCTTGGCTCACTGCAACCCCTTCCTCCCGGGTTCAAATGATTATCCTGCCTCAGCCTCTCAAGTAGCTGGAATAACAGGTGTACACCACCACACCCCTGATGACTTATGTATTTTTAGTAGAGACAGTGTTTCACCATGTTGGCCAGGCTGGTCTCGAACCCCTGACCTCAAGTGATCTGCCTGCCTCAGTCTCCCAAAGTGCTGGGATTACAGGTGTGAGCCACCACCACCGGGAATCTATTGGAAATTCAGTGCTGTTTTTCTCATGATTAGACTGGAGTTTTTGGGTTAGCAAGGGAAGACCACAGAGGTCATCATTGTTTTCATAATATGGTATCAGGAGTGCATGCTGTCATCATGACTGATCGCTGTTGATGTTGACTTAAATCACATGGATGAGGTAGTGTTTTCCAGGTTTCTCCATGGTAAAAGCTCTTTTTCCCCTTTCCATACTGTAGTTATTGACAGAAAGTCACTGTGTGCAGTCCCCACTTCAGGGATTATGCTCCCCTCCCTGATGGCGGAGTATCTGCATATATTATTTGGAATTCTGCAAGCAGGCCTCTTTTTCACCCTCTGAATCTTAGAATTTTGAATGCTTAAAAGCGGTGGGCTGAGTGTGAGGTAAGAAAAATCAAGATGTTTAATTGGACATCTCTTGTATAACCTGGTAGCCAGTCTTAGATTTGTTGAAAGTGTGATATTTTTTTCTTCCTAAGGTAAGGACCAGGTGGTGCTCTGGGAGGGTGTTTAGAGAATGGAGGTGGAATGGGCTTCTTCCAGAGCCCACGCATGAACTGTGGGCAGTGGCTTGGTTACCCCAAGTTCCTGAATGTTTCCCTTGCAACATGGAAGGGGACAAGGAATATTGTGAAAGGGAAGATGTATATATGTTTGGTTTCTGGGGAAAAGGGACATTAGAAGTAGCCATGAGGGGCCGGGTGCAGTGGCTCACACCTGTAATCCCAGCACTGTGGGAGGCCGAGGCTGGCGGATCACCTGAGGTCAGGAGTTTAAGACCAGCCTGGACAATATGGTGAAACCTGGTCTCTACTAAAAATGAAAAAATTAGCTGGGCGTGGTGACAGGTGCCTGTAACCCCAGCTACTCAGGAGGCTGAGGCAGGAGAATCAGTTGAACCCAGGAGGTGGAGGTTGCAGTGAACCAAGATCACACAATTGCACTCCAGCCTGGGCAACAGAGCAAGACTCTGTCTCAAAAAAAAAGGACGCATGACAGGGCAGTACAAGGTGCTGGACCCTAACAAGATAAGGAAAGTGTCCAAGGACAGGGCCCAGCACTGGGATTGAGGAGGGCTGTGTGGAAGTCCATTCTCCAAGAGTGAAGTTCTGGTTTTCATTATCCTTCACCCATGTGCTGACTTAATGCTTCTACAATGTGTGATCACTCTCCCATAGTGGCTGCTGTCTTCTCCCTGTACCTCCCCACCTTGCTCAGACTCCCCACCCCACTGGCCCCCAACAGCTGCATTCTGTCCTCACAGCTTTCTGGCTCTAATACCCCATGTAGGGCCTCCACGCTCATGGGGAAGAATCACACAGAATTTCCCACTACCCAATGCTTCCCTTTGTGTGATCTGGACAGAGAGAGGTCAGGGGGTCTGAAACTTGGGCTATATGACAAAATGAGGTGTTAATGTTTAAAATCTGAGAAAAGGCCTGTTTTTCTCAGATTTTTGTTCTTGTAAACAAAACTCATGATTCCCTGAATAAATTGAACTTATGGCAGACATGCTAATCAACTTTAATAAGTTGTACTGCAGTATCAAAGACCCCTCAGAATTACGTTGATTTGCAATCACGAACACCTATTTCTTCTTCATGTATAAAAATAACAATGGTTGACTACTGCTTTGTTTCATGTATCTTCTGGGATCTAGGTGGCAAACACACCACATTACAGCAGAAGGAAAAGTAATCACACATCTTTGGATGCATATCTTCAAGTATCTACGTGGTCGTGGCAACCATCACTTCAGCTCACATTCTCAAAGGCAGTTGTAGGCCCAAGCAGAATGTCTGTGAGACATAGAGTATATCCTTTTTATAGGGAAGGGTGAGGGAACAATGAAAAACAACAATGGAAAGAACAATTCATCCTGAGGCAGAATTCCTCTCTAGCTGTGAACCTGTGTAATCGAACAAGTTATACAAAATACAACCGTCATGGTATAGGGTAGTCACTCCCATTTCAAAAAGGAGTAACAGGAAAGAAGGAAGGGGTGAATGGGTCCCAATCAAGTCCAAAATCTAGCAAGGTAAGCTCCATGAAATCTTAAGGCTCCAGAATTTAACTGTTTGAGGTCTTCATCAATTTTGGAAAATCCTCAGGCATTATTTCCTCAGATACTGCTTTGGTCCCATTTATCTCTCTTTCTTCTACTTTGCAGATTCTAATTCCAAATAATGTTCAAATCTTTACTGTTTCCTAAATGTCTCAAATATAGATTTTCAATAATTTATCTCTGTAATTACTTTAATATATTAGCTGTTGATCTTTCTATGTATTATTCACTCTATTATTCACTCATACAAAGTTCTTAATTTTAGCTACTGAAT
The DNA here is from genome assembly GCF_000001405.40 of Homo sapiens. Classification (NCBI taxonomy): domain Eukaryota; kingdom Metazoa; phylum Chordata; class Mammalia; order Primates; family Hominidae; genus Homo; species Homo sapiens. The sequence goes on from NW_021160017.1 coordinate 4,733,095, forward strand.
TTTTATTTTTATAATTTGAGTATTTTATGTGTTACTCACCTTTGGAAACTTTTCATATTTTCATCTTTTTATATCTTTTTTATAAAAATTTTGTCTTTTTAAGCAAACAAAAAAAAAAGACAAAGCAAAAAGGTTTTGTCTTTTTAAGCAAAGATGTTATTTAAAAATAGAAGTGGGAGTATCCACTTACCAACTTCCTCAGTACCTGTAGAAAAATTAGCTTGCCAGTTAGAAATAATAAGATGTACAGTAAAGTGTCAATTTAAGGTGTCAATCATTTAAAAAAACATTAACCTAAAGCACAGCTATCAATAATATTCAAGATAATTTTATGGGAAAATGACATTAAATTTCACTTTCATAAAAATACCAGAGAATGGTACTTGAGACCACTCACAGTACAAACCTGGTTACAAATATTGCTTCATTTCCCTTAAGTATGCAGAAGCCACTCCCTCCTTTAAGTGAACCCCCAGTGTGTCATCTAATCACACCATCAGACTTCAAGTCTTGGATCTCATATGGCACTTTAACTTTACTGTATAGGGTCTTTGGTATCTAGAGATTTGAAAGATATGTTGGCAGCTCCACACACAATCACACAATCCACATGTAATATTGGGGCAGGGTAATCTCGATAAATACTCGCTTTCAGAAAGGGGAAGGAAGGCGGCACTCAGCCATCAGTGCGTAACAAAAATTCTGAAATCTGTTCGGACAAACATTGTGAGGACCCCCAGCTAGTTGGTAGACAACCTTATTTCAACCATCCCAGTGTCTGCTGCCTTGGAGCAGGTCTCTAGTCGGTCATACTCTGAGATTCTTGGCTCCACACCCCGGGAAGTCCATCCTTCCCCATCCATTTCCTTGGCCACATGAGAATTGGGCATAAAAGAATATTCTCTCTTTGGGAAAAGAACAGAATATTGTTGGCTCAAAGGTAATTTTACTTCTCAAACAGCTACAGGCTATTTTGGCAGTACAACTCTCTCAAAGCCTAATTAGTTTTTGTTCTGCAAAATTCCAGTGTGCCGACAGTTATATCCACAATTCTTTTCATGACCTGTTCTACCTTAGCTTGAGGTAAGATGAAGTAAATTGAGGTAGCAGACTTCCAAGAAAGAGTCACACCCTTTGGCTTTTTTGTTCTCTGAGACATTCCGCATAAAAAGTGTTGACTTGATTTCCCTTCATTCAATTCAGAGGTCATAACAAAGGGCATGAGGCCAATGATTTGGTCTTTACTGTAACACTGAGTTTTGATCCTTGTTCCTCAATTTCAGCTCGCATCATTTGGAGAGAACAGTCAATTCCATCTTTTGACCTTGCTGTCAGATACACAATTTATTATCCGAAATTATCTTGTTCTTGTAATACCTTTTCTAAAGTAGCCAACAGCAGCTAAAACATGCTAGTTGCCTTCAGTCTCCCAGACTCTTTGGCTAAATTCATAAGCTCATTCCAACTTATCATACACACATTGTAGCAAAATGCCTTATCAATAAAAACACGAGTCACTCTTATTTTCCAGGAGTTAATAAGAGCTTTGCAACTGCCTATCTCCTGGACTGGAGATAAATGTTTTAGCTTTTCATTCTGGTGACACCTCATAACTGGTACTGATTTCTTTATTCATTCATTTTCACTAGGTTATCGCTATGGTAAGAAATGACCCCCAAAACTCAGATACTCATAATTAATTAATTTCTTGTTTATATACATGTTAGCTGTGGGTCTGGTGGGGGTCAGTTGCAGTTTTTTGCATGTCTTTTGGGTTCTGGGATCCAGATTGAAAGACATGCCATTCTTATGACAGCAGGAACAGAAGCAATCACAGAAGTACGTGATGGCTCTTAGGGTTATGCTTGGTTGTGGCATTCATAATTTCTTCTCAAATTCCATTACCTCTAAAGCATAGCACATGCCTATGCATTGGATGGGATAAGAAAATCTTCTTATAAGAAAGTGGGAGTCAATAACTGGTACCAATAATGCAATCTACTGCCACATGAGAAGGAGACGAGGAAGTGTCCCGATCTTGAGATATCATTGTAGAGCCTTCATGAGTTATTTGTGTAGTAAATATACTTTTTGTACCTGTGTTTTCCACTTTTTTTTTTTTCTAGAGCTAAGTAGTAGATACAAGGCTAGAGATACATGGAAAAAAGGAGGAAGCATCTTCTTGCCTTTTTCTCTCCTTGCTGGAACCAATGTATCCAAATAGACCCTTTTCTATCCTGTTGCTAGGGAGACAGAACAAAACATGGCTCAACATTTACTCACTGTTAACCACCTGTTTCCCTGCTGACATGCACTGTAGTCACTGGGCTTTGAAATGGATTAAGGCAATCCCTGATGAAGGTGCCTGTAGTTGTATAAGAATACTCAGATAATCAGCTATTTTAAACAATTCATAAAATGTGAAATTAAAGAAGCAAGTGAATGGATGAGACAAACAAAGAAGCACCTTCTCATGAACAAAAGGGCTGGGCCTTACAAAAAGCATTTCTGGCCATGTAGTGAAAGCTGTGTCCTGTGAGTCTCTATCCTCATCCTCTGTGCTCATTCCTAGAACCATTTTCTGGCTTCAGAATGGGCACAGCTGCTGAGGACATGCTATGTGATTCACACTGTTACAAGCCAGAACGTGTAAAACAGGGGCCAAGGTTTTTTAAAGTGGTTCTTTAGTACAAGCAATATTCAGGTCTTATTGTCCATATTTGGCTACTGACTACAAAGTTTAGGAGCCAGCACATGGGAGGATGCAGGTGGGTAAGCAGGGAAAGCCTATGTCTCTGATGGGGAATGCACAGTTTTTTGCTTGCAGTAAGAACATTCTGTCTACAGTCAGTCTTGACTCTCTTCAGAAAGATAGGTGGGATTGTCTCCAGGACAGTGTTAGCTGGTTATTTTCTCTGAGTCTGAAAAGTTTTTTTAACCAGGCAATTTGGAGAAAACTTTATATAGCTTGAATTAACCCATTTATTTATAATTTTTCTGAACGCTAGAAAAACTGTATAAGCACATTGCTCTTGGCATTCATCCATATACCACAGTCTATTTCTCAGTGATACTGGTCTCAAATACCGTTCACTGGTATTTTTATGGAACTGAAATTTAATGTCATTTTCCCATAAAATTATTTTGAATATTATTGATAGTTGTGCTTTAGGTTAATGTTTTTTAAATGATTGACACCTTAAATTGACACTTTACATATTATTTCTAACTGGCAAGCTAATTTTCTCTACAGGTACTGAGGAAGTTGGTAAGCTGACACTCCCATTTTTAATTTTAAATAATAACTTTGCTTAAAAGGGCAAAACTATTATAAAAGGAGATGGAAATATGAAAAGTTTCTGAAGGTGAGTAATGCATAAAATGCTCAAATTATAAAAATAAAAACACAGTAGCTAAAATTAAGAACTTCGTATGAGTGAATAATAGAGTGAATAATACATAGAAAGGTCAACAGCTAATATATTAAAGTAATTACAGAGATAAATTATTGAAAATCTATATTTGAGACATTTAGGAAACAGTAAAGATTTGAACATATTTGGAATTAGAATCTGCAAAGTAGAAGAAAGAGAGATAAATGGGACGAAAGCAGTATCTGAGGAAATAATGCCTGAGGATTTTTCAAAATTGATGAAGACCTCAAACAGTTAAATTCTGGAGCCTTAAGATTCCATGGAGCTTACATTGCTAGATTTTGGACTTGATGGGGATCCATTCATCCCTTCCTTCTTTCCTGTTACTCCTTTGTAAAATGGGAGAGTATCCTATACCTGTATGACCACTGTATTTTGTATAACTTGTTTGATTACGCAGGTTCACAGCTGGAGAGGATTTCTTCCTCAGGGTGAATTATACCTCATGGTTTGCCTATATCCGATTTAGACATTTAGATGAGACTTCAGACTTTAAAGTTAATACTGGAATGCATTAAGCCTTTCAGAGCTGTTGGGATGAAATGAATGTATTTTTCATGTGAGAAGGATATGAATTTTGGGGCAGGTCAGGGGCAGAAGACATTAGTCTGACTATGTCTACCTCAAAATTTGTAGGTTGAAAACCTAATCCCAGTAAGATGGTATTTGGAAATGGGACCTCTGGGCGATAATTAGACCATGGGGCTGGAGCCCTCATGAATGGCATTAGAATCCTTATAAGAGGCCAGAGAGCTAACTAGTGAGTGAGTACTTTTGCAACCCAGAAAAGGGCTCTCAGCAGAACCAACCATGCTGGTACCCTGATCTTAGATTTCCAAGCCTCCAGAACTGTGAAAAAATATTTCTATTGTTTAGAAGTCACCTGCTGCATAATACACTGTTACAGAAACACAAACTGACTAATACAAATTTCTTCCGTAAGGATAATCCCCAAGAGAAACACTGGAAATGTAGGAAGGCATGAAAGACAAAAGACTACATATGTAGGTAAACATAAATGGATATTGATGTTCAAAACAATGATACTAAGATCTAGTAGGATTCACAATATGAGTAGAATTAAAATGTAAAACAACAATAATGCAAAAGGCAGAAGAGTGGAGTTGAAGTATTCCATATTTTTATCATTATTGGGAAGATGATAAAAGTAGCTATTCAAATTAGGCTTTATTAAGTTAAAAGAGCATATTGTAATCCATTGTATAGCCAATAAGAACAATAAAATAAAATAATATTAAATAGAAATTTTAGAGTAAAAAATAAATGATTAAAATATTTGATTAATTTTAAAGTGTTTAAGACATAAGAGAAGAAATAAATCAAGTGAAACTCAGATATAACACTAATTACATTAAATGGACTACTTAAAAAAAACCCACAAAGATTGAAAACCAATTTTATGTTTCCACCTGAGGATGTACAGAACTCACATCAGTCCCACGCTGGAAATAAGAAAGAGACTTACTTCACATTCATAACTTTTTTGGAACGCATTGGCATTCTAAGTTTGCAAAGGAAACTAGTCAAAGATCTAAGGAAAAACAGTGCCTAAAGAAAGATACTAGATGTAAACATGTTGATCTAGAGTAAATGTAACCAGATGTCAGTAAAAATAATCCAGTTAGAATCCTGATACATTTGTACAGCCATTTATAATAGTATTAAAAAATCAAATACCTAGTAATAATTCATACTCAAATGTGCAAGACCTCTCAATGGAAACTTAAAATTTTATTTATATAAAAACATAAATAAGCGGAAATAAATACCATGGTCATGAATTGGAAGAATCAATATTATGAATATATCAATTCATAATTAAAGAATTGACTACACATCCAGTACGATCCTAGTCAAACTTCTGGCATTACGTTTCAGAAATTCACAGGTTGATTCTAGAATTTATACAGAAATATAAAGGCTGAAGAAAAACCAAAGCAATTTGAAGAAAAAGCACCAAGCTGGATAGCTTATACTACCAGATATCAAGGCTTGATTCAATACCGTATACAGTGCAGTAGTGGTACAAGATCATTGAACAGAGTACAGGCAATGGTCTACACATATATGGCCTCCTGCATTATCACACAAGTATCCTGTAAAGCAGAGGGGAAATAATTGTCTTTTCAACAATGTGCCTGAATCAACATGGAAAAATACCTCATATGCTCTACTATATACAATACAAAATAACTTACTACCGAAGTCATTCAGATCTAAATATTAATGGTAAAGCAAGAAAGCTTTTGCAAAATACAACAGAAGAATAACTTCATGATTTCTTCAACAGGACGCTTGACACGTATTCCATTCCTTGGCGGGGATCACCAGCTTTAGTATCAGGAACAAAATATGAGAAAAAAGGCCCTCACCTCATTTCCACAAACAGTCCCAGTTTCAGACACACTGACTTCTCTCTGTCTAAATTACACAAGATTTATTCATCACCCAATATGTCAAAATCACCAAAGTGAGAGATGCCATGATGAGGAATTTTGGTGACAAAACTCCATTCCCCTTTTTGAGTTCAGGTCTGTGAATCTGCAGACGAGCCTCGTTTTTCCATTCATGCTTCTTATTACAAACACCTGGAAAGAGCCAACGTGCCCAGATTTTTGTATACAATGGAATACTACTCAGCAACAAAAAGGAACTACTGATACATACAACAATATGAAAAAGCTTCAAAAACATTCTGAGTAGTAATCTAACACAAAATAGTACATACAATTAAATTACATTTATATGAGTTTTGAGAACAGGCAAAACTAATCTATTGTTAGGAAAAAATCAGAACAGTGGTTGCTGTGAATTAAATGGGAAGAGTTTGAGAGTATTTTCTGAGTTGATGGGAATTTTTCATATTTTGAAGGGTTTTGAGTTCCACGGTTGCATCCATGTGTCAAAACTCATCACTTAATAGTTGCACATTTCATGATAGGTGAAAGTTATCTTAAAAGTAAACAAATATTATGATCTCATTAATGATACATGTAAGGGTGATGTGTATGCCTATCTCCAATTTTCTTCAAAATGTATCAAAGAATAGGATGAGTTGAATGGAGGGATGGATATGGGGATAAATACTTGGTAGAAAACGTATAATAAAATGTCAACTGTGGAATCTAGGTGGTAGCTACACGATTCTTTAAACTTCGTTTGAAACTTTCATTACTAAATGGGAAAAAGAAAGGGGATTAAATTACATATCTAGGGTCAAGTGTTATATGCAATTAAATTTTTGATATTTGCTCTTTGGACTTTCACAACACACAACGTGGATTTTTTTTTTTAAAAAAATCTTATCCTACTTTAGCTGAATATATATTCTGTACTGCCATGGAATAAAATTGGAAAACCTTATTTGGTAATACAGTCAAAATGATAATAAAGAAGGACAACTTATTTGTTAATGTTTTTCCATTAAAAGTATTTTTTTGTGAAAGATACTTTGAGGCAAAAATGATAGTACCTTTAATAAATATTGGGGCCAAAATATGTAATATTTTAATACAGGAAATGCCATTGAGGATCTGCTTATAGTTTTTCATCTCTTATTTGGCTCATTTGTTTGTGTCTTTAGAGTAAATATGAGAGTCAAGTAACTACAAGCAGCAGTGTAGGATGTTGGGTGGAGAGGAAGCCAGTAGGTGCAAGGGGTCTCATTGGGAACAGAAAAACGTTCACAGCTCAGCACAGCATTCTCCACTGCCTCTGTGACTCCTGTTTAGCCCATTACCAGATGGAGTTCTGGAGGTGAAGTTATTATGGAACCGTGAATAAGAAGCTGAAAGTGATCCACGTCAGCTTCATTTCCAGATATCTTCATCTCCATCTCTTCCGGCCCACACTCTTCTCTTTCTGAGCATGCTCTTTGTGACCAAAGTTGTTCTTGGGAGCTGGGAATTAGAGCTCACTTTGGGGTTGTTGAGTGATGGAAATATCAATCACATTCTAACAATACGTGATTTAAGGTACTAGATGTAAGCTTCCTGTAGCTTCTCTTGATTATTAGCGAGATTTTACAGAAAAATCGGGACCTTCAAAATACGCACTTGCCCTCATATTTGCAGACCTGTGAAAACTTTCTTGCCTTTTTGAATGGCATCTTCTGGTCTTTAGCATTCTGTGTTTAGCATCTACTGGGCCTGAAAACATTAACCTACAATATCAGACCTCCTACCTGTCTTGTACCTGGGCAGTGCTGAGATTTTGGAAAGACGTGTGAGCATTAACAGTACTTTGTAGGTGCCAACACTTCCATGGCACTTCTGAGCTGCAAGGTGCTGTTCTGAGGATTTTGTACAATTAACTCATTTAAACATCGTTAGAACCCCATGATATCAGTAATATTATGTTCCTGCTGCAGATGAGACAGTGGCACAGAGGGGTTAAATGATTTACGTAAAGTCACTCTCCTGAGAGGCAGAATCAGGATTTGCACCGGGGTGTCAATGAGGCAGACTCTGTGTTCCTATCGGCCATGTTCTGCAGTTTCTCATAGAATCTAAAGTCACAATGAGAATGAGGCCTGGCAAGGGGTTAAGCAAGATGTAGAATAAAATGACAAGAACAGCTGCCCATGATCTATTTAAGACAAGGAATGGAAAATCCTGTGAAAGTTGACCAGGGGCGAAGTAAGAGCTCAGAGAGCCAGAGGGGCTCCTGTTGACCAAATGGCCAGAATAGCGGCACCTAAGGAATGGCCTTCCTGATCTCAGAAACCTGAGCCAGGCGCTCACCAGCTGCTCTCCTCACCCCAGGCCAAGGAGCCAGAGGGGAAGCCGTGGCTGCCTGATGTGATTGGGTTAGACCCACAGTTGGAAACTAGATACCTGGAGAGATGTAGTGTCCAGTGAAAATCTAAGCAGGTTGAGCCCTCAGGGGACAGAGGTAGCGATGTCTAACCAGGACAGGGCACATGCTGGGACAAGGCAGGTGGCAGCCCATGCTGCCAGGAGAGATCATCCATCAAAGATTCTTCCTCAATCCATCAGCTTCGTCATTTCAGCCCATGCTTTTCTCACATATCACTGTACAGGAGTGGAGAGGGAGGTTGTTTGTCTATTTTTCTCCCCACCTAGGTTGGCCCTTCTCTCCCTATGCACACCCAAAGCTCATGATTACTGGGGAGCTTTCTGCTGTGCATATGCTTTTTGAGGTTGATATACCTATCCATAGCTCTCTCGACATACAGCTCCTTGGTCCAGGACTTTGGGTGGGGATGTACGGACATAAGTATAAAGTGAACAAAATCTCTAATATTCCAGGATGTGAGCTGTGACCTGAAGAAGCAGTTTCAGAGGGGCAGCCTAAAGGGCTAATACTTGCACTTCAGGACAACCAAGTAAAGAAAACAGGATTGCTTAATAAATCCCAGCTCATGCCCTGTGTTCTCTGTTAGGAGCATTCCTGCCTTCTGGCCTTCAAGTCTCACAAACCATGGGGATTGACCAGCAAACATGGGATGGCGAGGACATGCTGTGCACCAGGAACATTAAAGGGTTCAACACTTCCTGTCTACACACATTTGGGATTGGCATCCCTAATTTTTCACATTTTTTTTTTCCTGAGAGTAATAGGGGTGATCAGGAAACTCCTCTGGGCTTAAGATGGGCCAGCAGGTTTTCCTGGAGCCTCTGCTCTGTACTCTATGTGTCCTGTAGTGGGTCTTCATTGTAGCTATGCTGTTTCCACAGCTCTCAGCAGATGTGGGGAGAAGGGCAGGGGGCTGGAAAAGCTGGAGGACTTGCCTGACCTTTCATCTCTTTTGGGGCAGCAATCATGTGTATTTTTGTTTGTTTTGTTTTGTTTGTTTGTTTTTTCCACAATGCAGACTCTCTTATTTGATTCCATGTAAGTTGCCCAATTCCAGTAACTTTTTAGCCTATCAATATGCAACCACAAAGATTTAGTTTTGAGGTGCCACTGTATCTGGTTAAGGTGTGAGGGGGAAATTAAACTCTGTTGGTCTCGGGTTTAAGATATGAAATAACCAAGTGGATGGAGTTTCATGAAGGGATGCTAAGAGTTCTGTGGGCCTGGTGGAACCCTCATAAGACTGAGTGAAGAGTGAAGATATGTTGTGTGTTCTGACTCCATCCGTTGAGGAGACATGGAGGCAGCAACACCCCAGCTGCCCTGAGCACATACAGCACCAAGATCTTGGCTTCTAAATAATATCCTCCAATAAAAGGAGACGGTTGGGAGGCTGAAGCTAAATAATATCCTCCAATAAAAGGAGACGGTTGGGAGGCTGAAGCTAAATAATATCCTCCAATAAAAGGAGACGGTTGGGAGGCTGAAGCTAAATAATATCCTCCAATAAAAGGAGACGGTTGGGAGGCTGAAGCTAAATAATATCCTCCAATAAAAGGAGACGGTTGGGAGGCTGAAGCTAAATAATATCCTCCAATAAAAGGAGACGGTTGGGAGGCTGAAGCTAAATAATATCCTCCAATAAAAGGAGACGGTTGGGAGGCTGAAGCTAAATAATATCCTCCAATAAAAGGAGACGGTTGGGAGGCTGAAGCTAAATAATATCCTCCAATAAAAGGAGACGGTTGGGAGGCTGAAGCTAAATAATATCCTCCAATAAAAGGAGACGGTTGGGAGGCTGAAGCTAAATAATATCCTCCAATAAAAGGAGACGGTTGGGAGGCTGAAGCTAAATAATATCCTCCAATAAAAGGAGACGGTTGGGAGGCTGAAGCTAAATAATATCCTCCAATAAAAGGAGACGGTTGGGAGGCTGAAGCAGGAGACTTGTTTGAACCCAGGAGGCGGGAGTTGCAGTGAGCCGAGATCATGCCATTGCACTCCAGCCTGGGCAACAGGAGCGAAATTTCGTCAACAAACAAACAAACAAACACACAAACAAACAAAAAAACAGGCTTCTCAAATAATTGGCTAATTCTAGGGCTAGGTCAAGAAAAAAATACAAGGTGAGGCTAAAACATCTTGGACTGCCAGAAAGTAAGGAAGTTTAAAAAAAAGATGGAGGCATGTTGTAAGGACCCAGAAGTAGACACAGAAGAGTTCCCAAGGGCCAAAAAAAAAAAAAAAAAAAAAGCTGCAACAACTTGAGCAGCAAAATAATTAAGGCTAGTTTTGAGATTATAACACAAATAATATAATAAAATAAATACCCATGAGTTCATAATGATATAAAATATGATTACATACATAAATAAATGGGAGATAAGGAGCAAATATTTTTTTAGAAAAATTCAAAAATTAAATGTAGAGACTTCCCAATGCTCATGGACTTAGTGAATATGAACCCACGTAGAAAGGACTTTTCTCTGCTTCATAATGTCTGGGGCCTCAACTGGGAAGACATCACTGGCTGAGAGTGAGTCAAACAGTTGGGGGCTGCAATCTTCTAGAGTTCCCTTCTCTTATATGGCTGGTGCCCTTCATTTGAATGTGGGCTTAGTAACTTCATTTTAGAAGCATGGAAAGAGAAAAATAGACACTCAACAGTGGAGAAACCTGGCAGACACAATCTTAACCAAGCGGTCAAGGTTAACATCACCAGTGACAGACACGTCATGTGGATATCACATAACCCCTAATTGTATGTGAGGTGAAGCAAACTTTACTTCTTGATATTCTCTCAAATCCATCATCTTTGTTTAATAAAAGAATATCAGAAAGACCCAAATGTAGGAACATTCTACAAAATACCTGACCAGTAATCTTCAGAAGTGTCAATGTCAAGAAAAGCAAAGAAAGACTGAGAAATTGTCAAAGATTCAAAGAGACAAAGGTGACTAAATTCAGCATGGTATACAGATTTGGCTACTGGAACAGAAAATAGGACATCAGTGGAAATCTCATGAAGTCTGAATAAAGACTCTAGTTTAAGATTTTGTACCAATTTTATTGTGTTGTTTTTGATAAACGTACCATGGTTAAGACGCTAACAATAGGGGAAGATGGAAGAAGAGTATATAGGAACTCTCTTTACTAGGTTTACCATTTCTCTGTAAGTCTAAAATTATTTCAAATCAAAAAATTTAAAAAGAGGTAATGGAATACTACTTAGCAATAAAAATGGAACAAACTTGATATATACATTATAGGTGAATCTCAAAAACATTATGCTGAGTAAAGAAACAAGACCAAAAAATACATACTATGTTATTCTATGTACATAAGCTTCCAAAAAATGAATACCAATTTACAGTGAACGAAAGTATGTAAGTGGTTGCCTGTTGGTGGGATTTTGGGTGGGATTACAAAGGGACACAAAAATTTAGGGGGCAGGTATCGAAACAACTGTTATTCTGTTTGTGGTGATGATTTCATGGGTGTATACACATGTGAATACTCATCAAATTGTACCATTTAAACATATGCAGTGTGTTAATTTTACCTGAATACAATATAGATAAATAGATTGATGGATGGGTAGATAGATAGATGAGTAGATAGATGATAGACACAGAGACACATGGAATTAGTGAGGGTTTTTTTTTATTGCTATATAATAACTACAGAAAGAGTCTATTTTTAACAAAAGTAGAAAAGTATTATTTTCCAACCCCAGTATAATAACTGACTCAGGTTGGATCATTGGTTGAAGCTACAACCATCTGGTGAAAAGTCCTTTGGTACCAGAATATTCACATGGTCTCAAAACACCACTCTACAGATAACTTATCCATCCCAGAAGGGAAAATGGACCTGTACAATGGGGTGGTGATCAAATGGAATGGAAACTGATGGATCAAACTGATGGAATGGAAACCTTAGCATTACATGTTTCCCGATATGATGGAAAAAGAGCCCAACATAACCATACATGTTGAACCTGAATCTAATCCGGAAGTAATAATCCAAAATGTGGAACATCCTACAAGACTGTCCTGGCCTCTTGGAAAACAATGTCATTTTTGAAAAAGACCTCTGTGGGTTGGGCACAGGTGAGGATGATCCCTATAGATTAAAAGACACTAAAGAGGCAAAACAGCCAAATAAAATGCATAAACCTTGCTTGGCTTCTGGATCCAAAAAATAAAATAAGCTCTAAAGGACATCTTGGGGCTGATAGGGAAAGTTTAAATATGGGCTTCATGTTAAATACTGAATTGATCTTAATGTTCTCAGATGTGATAGCATCATAGTTCTGTAGTAGGAAAGTAAATAAGTGAAGTTAGATGATAGGTAGGTGGTGGATGGATGGATGGAGGGGCAAATAGACTGCTAATATGTCAAACTATTAACAATGGGTGAATTTAGGTGAAGATATTATAGAGGTCTACAATCCTTTCAACTTTTTTGTGGGTTTGAAACTTTTCATAATAAATAATTAGAGAGAAGGGGGACATAGCTTGAAAACAGCAGTGTTGTTCTGTTCCTGGCTGTGCAGCCTCTGCTCCATCCTTGCTCCACTCCTCCCTGTCCAGGTCACTGGCCCCCAAAGCCTCTTCTGGGCAGGCTCGGGATTGGTTGTTGTGAAGTGGCCACATTGTCACCAGATTGTTTGAAATGGAGGCTTTATGCAGAGAGGTGGTGTATCCAGGCAAAGCGGGAAAGGCAGGATGGAGGGAGGAAGGAGAATGAGGCAGTTGCCATGGAGCACTAAAGGGCCCCCTTTGCTGGAGCTTGACGCTTGTTTATATTCCCGAGAGGCTATGGAGGCGGGGAAGTGAGAGGAAGAAAAATGGGGGCTTAATTTGCTCTCACCGATTCCGGCCGCCCACGGGGCTTATTATCCTTGATTGCCTGTTTTGTGCTTTCTGTCACCATGGAAACCAGCAAAAAACGTGACTCTGCTCAGATTTACGCAGTTTGCTCGCTGAAGGCCTAGTCCCCACGTACCTGCTGGGCCTCTGCCGTGGGACGAGGTCCCTGCGGAAGGTGTCTGTGCGAGGGCGTGTGATTAACTAGGGGCTACTGGGAGGGGTGTAATGAGGCAACGGTGGGGGTGGCAGGACGTCTTTAAGGGATTGGTGAGAAAAGAGTTGCCATCAGCTTCCTTCCTCAGGCCAGGCTAGGAACACTTGGAACTATTTTCAAGGCTGGGGCTGGGAGCAGCATGCTGTCCTTCCGAGGACAGTGTGTGCTGAGGCAGCCCACTCCAGGGCAGCACTTCCCGGAATTTCTAAGTGGAGGCCCTAAGTAGAAACATTTTATGGCTCCTAGCTGCAGATTTGGTTCCTGAGAACAGGTCAAGGTGACCCCATGAGCTGGAGTGGGGAGTCTGTGCTGAGGAAGAGCTTCACCAAGAGTAGCACAGCTTAGCACAAGGAGGGCCTCTGAGCTTGTGCTGCTTCTCAAATGCTGAGGATAAAATTGGCGCCAGGCTTCCTCAAAGGGTTTGACCAAGAGGGTGGGGAAAGGTAGATAGGGTACCTTGGAAGGCAGCCCACAATACTGAGAGGAATTTTCTGGGAGTCTCCTGGCATATGAGGATTATCACAGTGTCTCTGACACTTTTGTAGTTTAAGGAGCACATGGGGGTTGCAGGTGTGGGAGAGCAGGAGAGAGACTCTTCTTTGCTGTTGTTTGGCCTGCCTATCTCTGTCAGTGGCCCATGGTGTTGTATTCACCGTTTGGTGGTGGCATCCACAACTGGACAGGCTTCTGTGATTTCTGAAACCTGGAGGGGCTCCTCGTTTAGACAAGGGTGACCCTAAGAGTCCATGGCTTAAGAAATAGAATGATCATACTATCTAAAACAATCTACACATTCAATGCAATCCATATCAAAATTCCAATGTTATTTTTCACAAAAATAGACAAAATATCTAAAATTTGTATGGAACCACAAATGACCTCAAATACCCAAAGCAATGTTGAGCAAAAAGAACAAGGCTGGAGACATCATACAACCGGATTTCAAAATATGTACAAAGCTTTAGTAATCAAAACAACATGGCACTGGCCAAAAAACAGAAACATCAATCAATGGAACAGAATAGAGAGCTTAGAAATGGACCCACATGCATGCTTCTTATGGTCAATTGGTTTTTGACAAAGGTATCAAGAAAGCACAATGGGAAAAGGGAAGTCTTTTTAATAAATGGTGTTGGGAAAGTGGATATACACATACAGAAGAATGAAATTAGACCCCTATCTCACAACATACACAAAATTTAATTAAAAATGGATTAGGCCGGGCACAGTGGCTCACACCTGTTATCCTAGCGCTTTGAGAGGCCAAGGCAGTGGATCACTCAAGGCCAGGAGTTCATGACCAGCCTGACCAACATGGTGAAACCCTGTCTGCTAAAAATAAAAAAAATTAGCCAAGTGTGGTGGTGCATGTCTGTAATCCCAGCTATTCGGAGGGCTGAGGCACTAGAATTGCTTGAACCCGGGAGGCGGAGATCAGTGAGCCAAGATCACGCCCACTCCAGCCTGTGCGACAGAGTAAGACTCTGTCTCAAAAAAAAAAGGGGGATTAAAGACTTAAATGTAAGATGCAAACTGTAAACATACTATAAGAAAACAGGGGAAACAGCTCTGTGATATTGGTCTTGGCAATGATGTTTTTGGGTTTGACCTCAAAAGCACAGGCAACAAAAACAAAAATAGGGCCTGGCATGGTGGCTCAGGCCTGTAATGCCAGCACTTTGGGAGGCTGAGGCGGGCGGATCATGAGGTCAGGAGTTGGACCAGCCTGACCGATATGGTGAAACCCCATCTCTACTAAAAATACAAAAATTAGCTGGGTGTGGTGGCGCGTGCCTGTAGTCCCAGCTACTCAGTAGGCTGAGGCAGGAGAATCGCTGGAACCTGGGACACAGAGGTTGCAGTGAGCCGAGATAGCGCCACTGCACTCAAGCCTGGGCGACAGAGCGAGACTCAATCTCAAAAAAAAAAAAAAAAAAAAGACAAATGATATTGCATCAAACTAAAACTTCTGCACAACAATTAAAACAACAGAGTAAAGAGACAGCATATACAGATTGAGAAAACGGTTTGCAAACCATACATTTGATAAGAGATTAATACCCACAATACATGAGGAGCTCCACTCGATTGCATGAAAAAAAGTAAACCAATTGAAAAATGGGCAAAGGACATGAAAAGACATATCTCAAAAATAAGACATAGAAACAGCAAGCAGGTATATGAAAAACATGTTCTGCATAACTGATCATCTGTGAAGTGCAAATCAGAACCACAATGAAATACCACTTTGTATCTATTGGGATAACTTATCAAAAGAATGAAAGATGAGAGTTGCCAAAGGGGCGGAGAAAGGGAAACCTTGCACACTCTTGATGGGAATGTAAGGTTGGTACAGCAATACAGAAAACAACATGGAGGTTTCTCAAAACATTAAAAACAGAGCAACCACATGATCCAGCAATCCTAATGGGTATATGTTTAAAAGAAATGAAATCAGTATGTCAAAGTGATGTCTGCACTCCCATGTTCATTGCAGCATTATTCACAAGAGCCGAGATATGAAATCACCTTATATGTCCACTATCACATGAATGAAGAAAATGTGATACATATACACAATGGAATATTATTCGACCTTTGAAAAAAAGAAAATTCTGTTATTCTCAACAACATAGATGAACCTAGAAGATACTAAGGGAAATAAGCCACCAAGAGAAAGATGAATATTCCATTATCTCATTTATATATAATATATTCTGTAAAAAAAGCCAAAATCACAGAAATAAAGAGTATTATGGTGGTTACCAGGAGCGGGGTGAGGGTGAGAGATGGGGAATGAGGAGCTATTGGTCAAAGGGTACAACATTTTATTTGACAGAAGAAATACATTTTTAATATTTATCAAAATATTTATTAAATATAAATATTCATTAAGATATTTTAATATATATCGCATAGCATGGTGACCATAGTTAATGTATTATATATCTTGAAATTGTTAATAGAGTTCATTGAAATGAGCAATTAACAAGAGTTAATTTCTATTAACTCTACTATTCAATTTTCCTCACCACAAAAATTATAAATATTTGAGGTGATGAATATGTTAATTAACTTGATTTAATCATTACATAATGGTAAATAAATATCAAACATCACATTTTACTCCACAAATATTTACAATCATTATTTGTCAATTAAAATAAAATAGGAGGCTGGGATTGGAATGAATTGAGTTTTGGGGTGGGTGCTGGTTTTCTAGATATTTAAACAGAGGAAGATGAATCTTAGGAACTTTTGCCCAGTTCTGAGAAATAATGGGCAATGTTTCATCTCCAGTGTGTTGCTATTCCCTCATGTCCATCGGAAAGAAGTGTTCTGTGTGCATCTTCCTGCAGCGTATTCGTCTGTGCCTCTGGGTTGAGAGCAGCCATCAACAATGCCACACTGTCTTTCATGGCAGCAATACTTTTTTTCAGCATGAAATGTGCTGCTGCTCTACCCTTAGCAGCCCTGGCTACATCTGAGTCTGAGGTGTCATGGTTTGGAATGAGCTGTGGAATCCGTGTGGCAAATGTCTGGTAAAGAAGAAACATGAATAGTTTTCAGGATTCCTGTTTAATTATTGTGATGAACCTGTGCTGGGAATTTCATGAGATAGTGCAGGGCAAAGGAGGCTTTGTGAAGTCTGAGTACAGAGTACTAACAATCCTGGATGTAGAGATATGAGCCGTGTGCCTGATCAGCTACATTCCCCCTTTCAGGTTTCTAATTCCCAGAATCCCTTTCTTATATCAGGGTGGGAACATGACCTTGAGATATGGCTTCAAGTATCCATTGAATGCATGTGTGCATGTTTGAGTTGGCTGTTTTCTGAGAATTGTTGGCCAGGCCAGCAACACTATAAAATGGCAACAAGTGGCTCAGGAGTATGCCAGAAAATAGGACACTCCTCCTCCTTCTAGAAGTCTAGTGGCACCTGATCACCTTATTTGGAGCTTGGTGCACAGTGGAACACTGTGGCATGCTGCTTGGAGAACCTCCTCCCCTTGTAAACACAGCCCCGATCTCATTCTGTGCTGCTTTGCCATTCTGTGTGGAGTAGCTCCTTGGCCAAATCTCAGTGTGGCTCTGTGTTAGTCCATTCTCGTGCTGTTATAAAGAAATACCTGAGACTGGGTAATTTATAAAGAAAAGAGGTTTAATTGGCTCATGGTTCTGCAGGCTGTACTGGAAGCATGGTAGCTTCTGCTTCTGGGGAGGCCTCAGGAAGCTTCCAATCATGGTGGAGGGTGAAGGGAAAGCAGGCGCATCTTACATGGTGGAGCAGGAGCAAGACAGCAAAGCAGGAGGTGCCACACGCTTTTAACAACCAAATCTCCTATGAACGCGTTCACTATCGCAATGACAATACCAAGGGCAATGGTGCTGAACAGTTGATGAGAAACTGCCCCCTTGATGCAATCACCTCCACCAAGCTTCCCATCCCACACTGAGGATTAAAATTCGACATGAGACTTGGGCGGGGACACAGAATCAAAGTATATCAGGCTCCAACACCTATCATCCCTTCCTGTAACTGTCACTTCTGCCCTAGTGACTGTGCTGCTCAGAGACTCTGGGGAAGCCTAGTGAGAGGTGACAGCGTGCTGGCAGTCTTCACAGCCCTCGCTCGCTCTCGGCGCCTCCTCTGCCTGGGCTCCCACTTTAGGGGCACTTGAGGAGCCCTTCAGTCCACTGCTGCACTGTGGGAGCCCCCCTTCTGGGCTGACCAAGGTCAGAGCCGGCTCCCTCAGCTTGCAGGGAGGTGTGGAGGGAGAGGCACGAGCGGGAACCGGGGTGCGGGCGGCGCTTGCGGGCCAGCTGGAGTTCCGGGTGGGCATGGGCTTGGCGGGCCCCGCACTTGGAGCAGCCGGCCGGCGGTGCGGGCCCCAGGCAATGAGGGGCTTAGCACCCAGGCCAGCGACTGCGGAGGGTGTACTGGGTCCCCCAGCAGTGCCAGCCCACCGGCGCTGCTCTCGATTTCTCACCGGGCCTTAGCTGCCTTCCCGCGGGACAGGGCTCGGGACCTGCAGCCCGCCATGCCCGAGCCTCCCACCCGCTCCGTGGGCTCCTGTGGGGCCCGAGTCTCCCGGATGAGCGCCGCCGCCTGCTCCAGGGCGCCCAGTCCCATCGACCACCCAAGGGCTGAGGAGTGCTGGCACACAGCGAGGGACTGGCGGGCAGCTCCATCTGCAGCCCAGGTGCGGGATCCGCTGGGTGAAGCCAGCTGGGCTTCTGAGTCTGGTGGGGACGTGGAGAACCTTTATGTCTAGCTCAGGGGTTGTAAATACACCAATCGGCACTCTGTATCTAGCTCAAGGTTTGTAAACACACCAATCAGCACCCTGTGTCTAACTCAGGGTTTGTGAATGCACCAATCAACACTCTGTATCTAGCTACTCTGGTGGGGCCTTGGAGAGCCTTTGTGTGACACTCTGTATCTAGCTAATCTGGTGGGGAGGTGGAGAACCTTTGTGTCTAGCTCAGGGATTGTAAACACACCAATCAGCGCCCTGTCAAAACAGACCACTCGGCTCTACCAACCAGCAGGATGTGGGTGGGGCCAGATAAGAGAATAAAAGCAGGCTGCCTGAACCAGCAGTGGCAATGGGCTGGGGTCCCCTTCCACACTGTGGAAGCTTTGTTTTTTCGCTTTTTGTAGTAAATCTTGCTACTGCTCACCCTTTGGGTCCACAGTGCTTTTATGAGCTGTAACACTCACCACGAAGGTCTGCCCCTTCACTCCTGAAGCCAGCGAGACCAGGAGCCCAGCAGGAGGAAGGAACAACTCCAGACGCACTGCCTTAAGAGCTGTAACACTCACTGCGACGGTCTGCAGCTTCACTCCTGAGCCAGCGAGACCACGAACCCACCAGAAGGAAGAAACTCCAAACACATCTGAACATCAGAAGGAACAAACTCCAGATGCGCCACCTTAAGAGCTGTAACACTCACCGCGAGGGTCCCCTGCTCCATTCTTGAAGTCAGTGAGACCAAGAACCCACCAATTCCGCACACACTAGGAGGAATGGTGTCCCTTCATTGATCATCAAAGAACTAATAAGAAAAACTAGAGGGAAAAAAGAATGGGATTTGAACAGTAGCTAACCCCGGCATTAAAACAGGTTGTTGGACCCCCAACCCTGACCGGCTGAATGGGAAAATCCAAGGATGAGGCGCAGCAATCCATATTCCCAAGGTCACCTAGTGGTTCTGATGCATTGTCTAGTGCATTGAACTAGGCTATGGGTGGATCTAAACTTCAAGAAGAAGCAAATGAAAAGCACAGCTCTCTAAGGCTTACTGGAGAGGGGCTCTTATTTAATGGGGGGAAGAGGCGTTCTGTTTTGAGTGCAAAGCTGAGTCTTGCCCCCAGTGAATCCCTAGGGTTCCTGTGTCCGTGTTTAGACCCGATGTGAAGAGATTGGGGAGACAGAGAGAAGCCAGGTAGGTTTGCTTTTTGTTTTTTCTTTTCTGTTCTCCCCTTGCCTTGCCATTCATCCCTCTTTATCAATGTAGACGGCAGGCCGTTTCATACACAGTACTGTGATTCCACAGCCTCGTTGAATTTGGTATCCATGGAAGTGCCCAGACTCTACTGAACTCTTAAACCATTTGCAACCCAAGATAGGCTAGAGGCTACTGTAGTAATAAAGAAGTCTCCATGGTCAGATGGACTTATAAGAATA
Source organism: Homo sapiens (assembly GCF_000001405.40). Classification (NCBI taxonomy): domain Eukaryota; kingdom Metazoa; phylum Chordata; class Mammalia; order Primates; family Hominidae; genus Homo; species Homo sapiens. The sequence goes on from NW_021160017.1 coordinate 4,753,148, forward strand.
AAATTTAATTTACTAATCATACAAGGATTGATATTGGTCAGGCACACCTCCCATATGTTTTAGCCATGTCTTCTGGGATTCTAGGCTTCCAAGGCCACCACAGCAAGAGAGGAGTTGCAGGCAGCACACAGCCCTTGACTGATTATGCCTGGAAGTGACACACATCATTTATCATTGGTCAGAGTTCATATCATGGCCTCATCATTGGAAGGTAGGCTGGGCAAGGGTTGTACCTGAATATTTGCTGAGAAAGACCCATTATGCTCACATTATAGCACATATGTGTCAAAGAGCCTTTTCTTTATGAAAGCACTGAAATCCAAGCTTTTATGTGACACAGCAGCAGACGACTACTGCAACTCTCCCTCTGTATCTGGGGGTGCTTGGCTCATGGGACAGATATCTAAGTCCCTGGTAGGGAATGGGGAAATTTCTGATAGCAATTCAAGACACTGGTTAAAAAGTGAAGAGTTAAGAGTTGATGCAGCCAATGTATTTCCCCAGCACCGAATGAATAAGAACAGAAACTTGACTGGAATCCTTCACTTCTTGGCCACTATCTGGTGCCCAGGCTGTGTGCATTTTTTTTAAAACATTTTTTATTATTATTATTATACTTTAAGTTTTAGGGTACATGTGCACATTGTGCAGGTTAGTTACATATGTATACATGTGCCATGCTGGTGCACTGCACCCACTAACTCGTCATCTAGCATTAGGTATATCTCCCAATGCTATCCCTCCCCCCTCCCCCCACCCCACAACAGTCCCCAGGGTGTGATATTCCCCTTCCTGTGTCCATGTGATCCCATTGTTCAATTCCCACCTATGAATGAGAATATGCGGTGTTTGGTTTTTTGTTCTTGCGATAGTTTACTGAGAATGATGATTTCCAATTTCATCCATGTCCCTACAAAGGACATGAACTCATTTTTTTTTGACTGAGCGTGATGGCTCATGCCTGTAATCCCAACACTTTGGGAGGCCGAGGCGGGTGGATCACCTGAGGTCAGGAGTTCGAGACTAGCCTGACCAACATGGAGAAACCCCGTCTCTACTGAAAATACAAAATTAGCCAGGTGTGGTGGTGCATGTCTGTAATCCCACCTGCTCGGGAGGCTGAGGCAGGAGAATCGCTTGAACCCGAGAGGCAGAGGTTGCGGTGAGCCGAGATCATGTCATTGCACTCCAGCCCGGGCAACAAGAGTGAAACTCCATCTCAAAAAATATATATATATGTATTTCCATAGGTTATTGGGAAAACAGGTCGTGTTTGGTTATATGGGTAAGTTCTTTAGTGGTGATTTGTGGGATTTTGGTTCACCCATAACCTGAGCAGTGTACACTGCACCCTATTTGTAGTCTTTATCCCTCACCTCCCTTCCCAGTGTTTCCTGGTTTGGATCCCCAAAATCTATTGTGCCATTCTTATGCCTTTGCATCCTCATAGCTTAGCTCCCACTTAAGAGTGAGAACGTACAATGTTTGGTTTTCCATTCCTGGTAACTTCACTTAGAATAATAGCTTCCAATCTCATCCAGGTCATTGCAAATGACATTAATTAATTCCTTTTTATGTCTGAGTTTTCTGGGTCTTTGAACCCCAGAAGCATCATTTGTGAGGCGTAGGAGGTACCAAGGCATATTTGTAATTTCCAGAATATCCAGATCCTTTGAAATTGGGCTTTTTGTACAAATGAATCTCATAATTCTACAGACTCATTTTCTGAGAACAGAGGCAGAGGCAGGCAGTTGAAAGGGGAAAGCAAGAACTAGTCATCATTTGTGCTGGCCAAGGTCTTGCTCCAGTGTTTTGGAGAGACTACTTTGCACCCGTCTGTCCAGCTGTTTGTACCCTCAGGGGCTAAATTGTCAGAAGGGAGTGGGGAGGCTGCTGCTCTGCCTTTCCTCCTCAAGATCCTCCCTTCAGTTTCTTTCCCCTCACTATGGAAAGAAAACAAGTGGGGACGGCCAGGACCCTGTGCCAAATTGCTGCTTCTCTGCCCACAGGTACTTGTCCAGCATTGTTCTCAGTAGGCTTGTGAGGGCCTCATATTGAAAGTGACTTAGAAGTAGAAAGTAGAATGGAGGTTACGAGGGACTGGACTGGTTGGTGGGGGGTAGATATATTAGTCAAAAGATAAAAACTTACAGTTAGGAGAAATCAGTTCAAGAAGTCTAGAGTGCAGCATGGTGACTACCGTTAATGACAGCATATTGTATTCTTAAAAATTGCTAAGAGAGTAGATGCTAAGTGTTCTCACCACAAAGTGAAGAATGTATGAGTGAAAATGCACATTAATCAGCTAGATTTGGCCATTCAACAATGTACTTATACTTCAAAACATCATATTGCACAATATCAAAGACACGGAATCAACCCAGTTGCCCATCTACAGTGGATTGAATGAAGAAAATGTGCTCCACATATGCCATGGAATACTACACAGCCATAAAAATGAAATCATGTTATTGGCAGTAACATGGATGCAACTGGAGGCCACTATTCTAAACAAACTAATGGAGAAACAGAACAACAAATGCCACATGGTCTCACTTGAGAGAGCTAAACACTGGTTACGCATGGACATAAAGATGGGAACAACAAACACTGAGGAATACAAGGAGGGGAAGGAGAGAGGGAGGCAAGAGTTGAAAAACTATCCACTGTTCTCACTCCCTATGTGAAGGTTCAGTTGTACTCCAGGCCTCTGTATCGTGCAATATACCCTCGTAAAAAACCTTCACATCTACCCTTGGAATCTTAAAAAAGAGGGAAAAAAAAGCATACATTGTATTGTGCATAATACATGCATCAATTTTTATCTATTAGTTTGAAAATAAATAAATATAAAAAAGAAAGTATATGGAGAGCAAAAAACTAAATTCTGATAGACACATGTTGAACATGTTGAGATGGGAAGTTGCAAGGGAGCTGATGTCGGTGAGTGGTGAGGTGGTTTCCAGATGGCTGTGTGTGGACAGATCATCTCTTCCTTGCCAGGAGCTCTTCTGACCTATCCAGCCTCATTCCTTATTCCAGGCTGCTTTTTCCTTGAAGCGATTTTTGGTTACAGAGTCTGGACAAGATGTTGTGGATGTTGAGGTAGTACAGAGAAGAATGTTCAAAACCAGAGCCAGATTTGTTCTGTATTGGAGCCTTAGGATGTGGCTTGTGTCCACATGTCTCTGTATAGAACATGTTGCTGATCAGAGTTGGAGACATCCAGCTTGGGGCATTGTGGGTGGCTCCAGGGCACTCCTGTGGTTCTCTTGGCTGGCACAGACCCTAGGAAGATTTTTTTCTCGGTTCTCTATGATACCTCCTTCATGTCTGCACCCTGACCTTAGCTCTACTCACAAAGGAGGGATGTTGGGTGTGGTAGGCTTAATTTTTCTCTCCATACCTACTCCTCCTATTGTCTGAGCTCAGGGTTCGTCAGGATCTGTTTTGACCTTTTATTGTAAAAACAATTACCAAGATAACTTCCCAGAAGTTTCCCTTTTCAGCCCATCTGCATCCCCTCCACATGTAACTTGGAACTACTAGGGAAGGGTTCTGGAGGTTCTTCTAAGATGCAGATTAGAGAAGATACCCTAAAAACACATGACTTTGTATGTGCAAATGAAACAGCTTCAGCAGATGTGTGGTAAAGGCTTCAGAGGACAGAGGAGAGACCAGAGGATTTCTGAAGAGAACAACTGTGCCTGAGGAGCCTGATCTCTGAAAGTTGAGATGTCCTGTGGGCCTGGGTCTTCATGTCCAGGCGGCCTGGGTCTTCATGTCCAGGCTCTGATCTCCACAATTTTCCACAGTGTAGGGGCCGCTATGGGGCTGAAGTCATGCTGTGGAATGGACCCTGCTGGGGAAATCTGTTATAGACTCATCATCTTGTTATGTTTCCCATGGGGGGAAGCCGGTAGGAGGCAAGTGGAGGGAGGTGGGGCATGGAGAAGATTCTGCAGTCCTTTCTGCTGACGGGCTCTCCCTGGTGTCTGTGTGGTGCTCATGGGGGTTCTTGTGACTCTTCATGAAGTCTACAACCTCATCGTTTTTCACAGAAAAGGAGAAAGCTCGTGACTTAGGAGTTTGGGAGGAGTGGGCATGTCAGTTTCCCTTCAGTGCTCACCTGCACAGTGTCCCCTCTGAGCCCACAGTGCTGACGTGCGACGTTCTGGGCACTGAGGCAGAGACGTGTGGCTCCATTTGATCTGTTCCTCTCCACCAACCAGGTGCTCTAGGAAGTGCTGATACCAGCCTCTACCTTTATGTACAGAGTGATGTTGGATGTGGAATGGAAAGGAGGCAGCAATGAGATGAGGAACATTGCTTTGTTCTCAATACTTATGCTGTGCTCCTCTTTGTCTCATCTGCATGACAGGCCTCCAGTTTTCAGACCCATCAGGTTGGGTGTCAGGACGGGGTGATGGCAATTTGAATGTGATTGTGATTGGGGCATTTAATGACTTAGGTTAGGAATTTCGGTGTTTTTCAGAAATGTGGCATAAAAACTCAGGGATGGTTTTGTTTGTTTTGTTTTGTTTGTTTGTTTTGCTTTAATTTCTCCCAAGTAGACCTGATGATGGCCTCCAGGGAATTGGCAGGAGAAGAACAAGATCAGCCGTCTCTGTGCTATTCTTGACGCTCGTTAGCAGTTGAGGGCAGGGACCAGGGATTTGGGGAGAGAGGCCAGGAAAGACTGATGTCCACCTGTTCCTTCTCCTCACTAGCCTGAATAGCTCCAAATGAGCTCAGGGATCCTATGGCCCATCACTGTGAAAACACAGTGGATTGACATAGAATCCCACCTATTGGGCGCAGGCTGCCATGTAGCTCAGAGGATGCTCTGATCTGTGGACATGCAGGCCCTTCACACTTGGTTACCTTCATTCTCCATTTTTTGCTCGGTGGTTTCTGGTCCAGAATTGAAAAGCGACCAACAGCTCATTCCCACCCTGTCTCTCTCTTGGCTAAGAGGCATGTTCCTGGGGCCTGCACACATTTCTTTGCAAAATGGCAGATCTCCATAAAATAGAAAAGGTTGGCTGGGTCTCAGGAAAGTGATTGGCCATTTTATTCTCATAAATTCCTTCATCCCATATGTTTTCTAATCAGCAATTTTAACTCCTTTATTAGCATAACTCACATAAATATATTTCTAATTTCTTCTTCACCAAATCCTGGCCTTACTCAAAAATACTTGTTCTTTTTAATATGCATATTTCCCACATTTTAACATTTTTAAACCAATGGCATCTTGGAATACTGTCATTATGTAGTTAGCTACGCTTTTGTTTTTTTTAGTGTTACATAAAATAGTGGTGCATTTGAAGTGAATGCCCTCTTCAATGTAATGAAATACGTATTTCATTATGGAATATAAGGGTACCTGGTTGTGATATGGGGAATAAAAGACAAATTCTGAACCTTGGTGAATTAAGAAATGGAATAAAAAAGGAATCTGAGAAAAAGATGAAGTTCAAGTTGTTATGCTCTTGGGAAGATGGCCTTACACAGTGGACACCAACAGTACCTCAGGTAGCCCTCTTTGCTGAAAGATGTAACTGGGGTCTGGGGTGGTGCCCTCAGTCTGCACCTCAAGTAACCAAAAGGGCAAGACTCAGGGTTAATGCACTTGGATGAGCATGAGATTTGACCATACCATGTGGAAGCCGTGTATAATTGAATTTTCTGTAAATGTTAATATGAAATATCCGGGCTCTTAACAGTGTAGAACCTCTTTCTAGGACACAGCTGCTGAAGGCTAAGTGAGAGGCAGGAAAGGGGACCCACTTCTGACTTTGGTACTTGGAAGGGCCTTCATGGAGTATGAGTACTTCTGTTGGCATGCGGTAGGGGGTTCCTCACCTGCACCCTAACTTCCATTGCATAGAGATAAGTCTGGGAGGGTATCAAAAATAAGGAACTTCTAGTTGCCTTTCCTTTTCTGGCCTCTTCCCCTCCCTTAAGCTTGTGACTTTTTGGACACTATTTTCTATCTTACCTCTGTGGAATCTGAACAATATGTGGTCCAACTTAAATGCACGTGAGCTTGGACCCTAGACCGTCCCTCCACGTGTATTCAGCAACACTGGGCTGTGGAATCCTCATGCAGGTTTGTGGGGATGAGTGTGCCCTGGAAACACCATTCTTCATTTCAGGCTGCAGTTTCCTAAATCCTTTTCCAGTGATGGGCATAGGACAGGTGCTGGAAGCAACACTGCACAATTGAGCTTTGTCCACACCAGAGCCTGCACACACACCTCAGAGGCTTTGAAATTGCTGTCTGTGATGAAAACTGGTTTTCAGGTCTGTATGTGCAAGTTTTCCTCATGAGAATAGAGCCCAGCAGCAGGCGGCAGAGGAAGGAGGGAGGAATGGTGTGCACCTTTCTTTGCCCTAGGAGGAATTCTTCGTGCCACACCCAAGCTGGGCTCCCTCCACAAGACAGAGAGGATGAGGTGAGGAACATGGACTGGTTTTTCTCTTCCTGTTCCTCCCTCTGTCTTAGCTCATGGTTCCTACATGGATGCTTTGAGTAAATACTTCCATATCACTTGCCTCTTCCTTCCCATCTTCTGCACTATCCACTCCTGCAAAGACCAATGAGGAATAAAACAGCCTCTGGTGTCCACACCATTGATATTCCTGCATTTCAGATGTGCAGTTTCACCCTGCAAAAGTGGGGAGATGTTAACAATGTCAGTGAAGATGAAAAATGGCATTTCACATCACCAGGATCTCAGAAATCTGAGCTATGCAAGACCCATTCCTCCAGAGAAGTCCTGCCTGCTAGGATCAGGAAAGGGGCCTAGGCAGGAAAGAGAACTCCTAGATTTTGCCTAATGAAAGAGGGAATGGGCCAGGCATTGTGGCTCACATGTGTAATCCCAGCACTTAGGGAGGCTGAGGTGGGAGGATCCCTTGAACCCAAGAGTTCAAGACTAGCCTGGGCAACATAGTGAGACACCATCTCTACAAAAAAACAAAAAAAAATTAGCCAGGCGTGCTGGTGCCAACCGGTAGTCCCAGCTACTTGGGAGGCTGAGGTGGGAGGATTGCTTAAGACTGGGAAGTTAAGGCTGCAGTGAGCCGAGATTGCACCACTGCCTTCCAGCCTGGGCAATAGAACAAGACTCTGTCTCAAAAATGAAGAAGGAGGAGGATGGTGGGAGGGAGGAGGAGGAGGAGGAAGAGGAGGAGGAGGAGGAGGAGGAGGAATGTCTTATTTTAATTTTCTGAAGCAAACTGATACTCATAATACTACTTCTATGTTTAAATGTGTGTTCATGTTATGTGTGTGTTTCAGTTTGTGTGTTTGTATCAAAAAGTGTCTCAGTGTCAGTGTGCTGATGTATGTTTAAGTTGATGGTGTGTCAGTTTTTGTGTTTCTGTCAATGTTTGTTTCAGAATCTGTATGTTGGTGTGTGTTTCTGCTGAATGTGTTGGCCAGTGTGTATTTCTATTTCTATGAATGTTTGTCAATGTATATGTGCTTATGTTAATGTGTGTGTCAGTGTTTATATCTGAATGCGTGAAGGGTGTTTGTGCGTGGGGAGAGGAGGGGAAGAGATTGTAAAAAGAAATAGTCCATCTCCTGTGCTGAGATGGGTCTTCTCCAAGTGACCAGAAGTGGGTACTAAATGGAACTTCACTGGTTCTAAACCTCCTTTTTATTCAAGGTACAGCTGAGAATATTGGTGTAGGTACAAAGTATACAGTTTTCACTCTTCACTTTCTTTGTGATAGAACATCACAGTGGTTAAGAGAAAGCTATGGAGAAAAAATTCTTGTCTTAAATGAAGAATCTTTCTAACTCAGACAGTGTGGTATTTGCAGAAAGATAGAGAAATAAACCAGTTAAAAAAAAAAAAGAAGAAAGCTCACAAATATATACATGTATATATATAAGCAAATATTTATAAGAAAGATCAATGAAATAAAGATTAATTCTTCAATAAATATTCTAGAAATTTTGTATTTCTATAGGAGGGTAAATAGAATATGGCCTTTGACTTCATATTACGCGTAAAATCAATGTCAGGTTGATCATAGACCTAACTATAAAAACAAGTGAATAGAATATTCAGAATGTAATTTAGAAAATAATTTCCTGACCATGATGTAAGGTAAGATGGCTTAAACCAAACCTAGAAAGTACTTTTTGTATAATATAAAAGATATTCTAATGTAGTTGATGTGAGCAAGGAAATGGAGACAGATTGAGTCAAGCTCAGATTATTCTATTCCTTTACTGCAGGGCTTTCTGCTTAGATTCAGAGCTAGACCATGGGAGAGATAATAGTGGCTACCTCTTGAGTTGCTGTGAAGATTTAATGAAATAATAATACATAGAGCATGTAGACTGGTACCAGGTCTGTGTTAACCACTAAGTTAGTGCTGATATTGACAGCATTATCTAAGTAATTGCAAGATGTATTATATGCATCAATTATTAGATGCATCACTATATTCTGTTACCGTGACAGAATAAAAGGACAAACTATGACACAAATATTTCCTATCTCTTAGAATTTTTATCTTATAATAACACAGAAACTTTGTGCAACTTATATTAATGTGAGCATTTGTCATAAATCACTTCTATGATTACATGAGATGGAAAATATAAGAAAATACATTACCAAAGTATTTTCTAAAATTTATACCTTTCGGATTAAACTCTTCTGAATCACTTTTCAACTCATCTTGTCTGTAACTTTCCCCACAGTTTCATCATCTATGCTAATTAGAAGATTTGGCAATGCCACATTTCTTGAGTAAGTCCTGTGCTACTCTTTTGTGAATGTATTTTTCCAATCTACTGACAGACTCTGCAGGTTTTGTTTTTCGTTATCTCACCCAAAGGTATTCATAGAAGCTTTTCAGACCATGTTTGTGTATGTGCATGCAAAGACAATCACATTACGACTGTCTTCCCACCAGTAGTGTTTGACACTGTTAATTTTCACATGAATCTGTGTTTGAGATAGGTGGGATGTATGCAGTAACATCAATGGAATGCACTACTTTCTCTGCAATTGCTCATTCTCAGTGTATAGTCATTGCAGCTCATTTGCTGTATTCTGCTCTATCATTGAGGAAACATGCTTAAATATTGTTTCTGACTAGCTATTAGAGACAGTAAAATTATTAGTGGGCTACCAAATATCATAATTTACCTGAGGAGAGTTGCTTTTATAAACTGTGATTCAAGAAGTCCATGGAATAGGGAGATAGAAATGGCAAAAAGTTACTTGAAAGTATGCACAGGGGTGATAGCTTTCTAAAAACTTTCAGAAAGTTATATTTTGCAAATTTCTGCTCTAATCTTACAAATATGATCAATGTTCCCTATAAGCTGCATGCCAAAATCAATTCTTAAATCCATAAAACTTGGTTATATTTTCCTATTGTTCTTTCACCCTTAATCATTTGGATATTTATCATACAAATCATATTATGATCAGTTATTGCAAAAGTAGTTGCATTTGGTCTCCATAGAATGCTTTGCTCTGCCCACTTGCAACACTGACAAACTCTACTTCTGGGCACTTGGAGATTGGAACGGGCTTAGCTGTTCCCTGATGAATATACTTAAGAAGAAATTCATATCGTTCGTAATTTAGGATGTTGACTGAAATTGCACCTAGAGTTGCAGGCTTCAGGAAGGCTCAATTAAGTTTACAGTGTGTCCTGATCTCAAATATATGACCCATGAATCCACTGGGAACCATTCTCTATTCAGGCTACCGTGGGCAGACAGGGTAGTGGGGCCTTACTACATGATATGGTGTAAGACTTTGGGATGTTTGCGATGACAGATTTCTTAGAATTTGGGTGGTCAGGCCAGCATCTGTAAAATCAGGTCAGAGGTACAGCAGTCGGTTGTGGGAAATCATATATTCCAGGCTATCAGAGAGTAATGTCTGGGGACTTGGTGCCCAACACTGTGTCCTGTGACATCAATGTTAGCACAGTCTTATGTCTGTCACCTGCTCTGTCTTCATCCTGAGCACTCACTGACCAGAGCTCATTGACCCTCATTTGCTAAATGGAGATGGGTCTTTTCTTGTCCAGTTCTACTTGCAGCCTGTTTATGGCATTTTGCTATGCCTCTTTTTGGTGAAAAGTGTGTCAGGGGATAATCACAGTGTACATTATTATGGATTTTAGTGTATGCATTGGAATAAATAGGAAAAGGGGATTTGACAAGCTATTTGGCATTATAGAAAGTACAGTTAAAATTAAATAATCTGAGTAACCTTCCATGTTTTAAGACGAAACATTTAAGTGTGCCTGCCTGTCTCAAGGAGTGAAATATGAGCTTGGAGGAGTGAGGTTTCTTGAATTAGAAATGGCCACAATAACAGCGACTAAATAACTGCTATCCTGATCTCAGAAATGAGAACTCTGGTCCAGGTCAGGTGCATCTCTCACTGTAGGTCTAAACACTACAGGAGCTCATTTTCCCACTGAAGCTATAGATCTAGTATGGAGAATATAACCTATGATTACAGATCATAAAAGCAAGAGTCTTGGCTTTGTAGATGTCCATGGGATTGTGGCCATGCAGTCCCCCGACTTTGTAGGCTTTGTAGGCATGGTTGCCAGAAACAGCCCGGTGCTCCCCAGCAGAGTGCTGTGGTCTGTGAACAAGGAGCTGTGTGGTGAGTGGGTGGGCAGCCCTGCTTGCTGTGAGATTGCTTAGCTAGCACATATGCAGAGTCACCATTTATCCTATGTCCATCTCTTAGACCCGCGCATGGAGGTTTGAGAATATGTTGTACCATGTTGCTCTTTTGTTTATTTCACCAGGATTTCTTTACCTGTGCACAACACAATCTGAATCACTCACTTTCCTAAACCTGATAAAAACCTTGTGTCTAAAGCTTCATTTTCAGATATGAGTAAGCAGGGACTGGCTTAAATGAACATGATTGCAAATACTTCTCTTTTTTTACACCAAGACAGCCCACCTGCTACCAAGACTATACTTTTTTGTGGTTTTAGGGCTTGGTGCTGGTTAATGTAATTTCATGATGTGGCTGTTAACAGAATACGTGGTCCCAAATAATTCCTCATGGAGTCTCTAAAATGAAAAGAGCTTAATTATCACAGGATTTTTCAAAGGCTTGAAGGTACAGATGTGTTTTTAAATCTTAAGGAAGGAAAATCTGTAACCAAACAAGAAAAAAAATATCTTAAGTGCCTAAATATGATTTATTTTCCCTATTACTCCCGTTTCTCCATATTCACTTCTACTGTCCAGAGTCATGTCTTCCAAAGAGTCTTTGGTGGGATTCCGCAGATACAGGACTAGACGTTGTCTGAAATGGGTCTTTCTGTGAGGCACAGGCATCTATCTTTAAAGAAGTGGTTACTGACACTCACACAGGCAACTGGGTAATGAGGAGCGTGATGGGGAAGAAGAAAAGAGTAGGAGAGCCCTGGAACTTGATGATGTCTACCTGAAGAAGGTGCCCCTGGATTTGGAATGCTGACTAGATAAAGGAAGCAGCTTTGCATTCTTTCTATGTGCCTGTTCATTCGCGGAGCCCAAGTTTGTGTTTGTGTTCATTCTGGTGTTTGTTTGCATGTTCTTTTCTATCACAGTAATACCTTTAAAATAGTATTTTCATTTTTATAATGTTAGATTTATAGAAAGCTGCAAAAAGGATTCAGTGAGTTTCATATGCTCTTCAGCTTCCTGTAATGTTAATATCTGACATAGCCATAGTATATTTATGAAAGCTGAGACACTGATGGTAAAAATAGCTATTAACTGAATTAAAGACTTTCTTTATATTTTACCAGGATTTCCACTAATGTCATTTGTCTGTTCCAGGATCCAATCCAGGATAGCACATGACGTTTAGTTCTTAAGTGCATTACTTATTTATTGCTGCCTTGTAAATTACCACAAATTTACTGGCCTAAAACTGCAAAACGTATTGTCTCATAGTTCTCTGGGTCAAGAATTGAGACATAGATGATAGCCAAGGCTGAGGTCTCAACTAAAATCTCAGCTGGTGAAGAAGTTACTTCTTAGCTCACATTATTGCTGTTTGAACTCAGTTCATTGCAGGCTGTTGGTCAAAGCCTGCATTTAGTCCCTCCAGGTGTTGGCTTCTCCTACATGCCAGAAGCCTCCATCAAAGCCATTGAGGGACAGAGTTTGCAGCAAGACAGAAAAATCACAATCTTATGTAAAATGATCACCTAAGTGTCATCTCATCACCTTTGCAGTATTCTCTTGTTCAGTATTCAACTCAGCTTCTGGCCACATTCATGAGGAATTAGTATTCAAGGTTGTGTCATACCAAGATATGGGAATCATTTACCTTCTGTATCAGCTATTCTCCAATCTACAATCTTTACTTAGTTTTCATGACTTTGAACCTTTTGAAAAGTACTGGCCAGTTGTTTTGCAGTGTCCCACAATATGGATTTGTCTGATGGTTTCTCATGATTAGACTAAAAATATGGATTAATTTTGACATATTCATCCAAGATTAAAGATAAGGAAAGCTGAACTTCAAATTATTCTTCAAAGCTGTAGTTACCAAAACAGCATGGTATTGTTATAAAAGTAGACACAGACCAATGGAACAGAATAGAGAACCAAGAAATAAAGCCAAATACTTACAACCAACTGATATTCAATAAAGCACACAAAAACATAAACTGGGGGGAAAGGGCACCCTGTTTACTAAATGGTACTGGGAAAACTGGATAGCCACATGAATTCTTACTAATGCCCCTAACACCACATGATCTAATCCAGTATTGCACAAATCACTGTGTCCATTCCTACTGCTTGTACGTAACCTCCCACTCTAACCATAAACAGTTGGCTCCATTAACTTACTTTATCCCAAAATACATGGATATTGGTTTCAGAATTGTTCATCAACACCCCCACGGGACACAACTTTATCAAAAACGGTACAGTGCTTACATACACATTTTTTAGCCTTTAAACTTGGAATTTCCACTTATAAAATTATGTTACTCAGGTCAGCCTCCTTTCTTCCCTCTCACTCTCTTCAGAGAGGTTATTTCATATATTTGTAACATGGTTATATTATTTTGTATGTGTTACACCCTATGATCCCCTAACCTACTAAGTATTTTTTAAATTTGCATGCATATTTGCTCACTGTTCTACAACATTCTGCTGTATTTAAAAAATAGTTTCATGTACCCACATTACAATATTGTAGAGAATATTTTCACTGCCCTAAAGAAATTTACACATCATCTATTAAATATTTCTCTCCCTCCAGCCACTAGTAACCACTAATGTGTTTACTATCTCCATAGTTTCTCCTTTTTCAGAATGTCATATAAATGGAAGTAAACAATAGTTAGGCCATATTATGTGTATGGCATGAGGGAAGACTCCAGCTTGCACCAGGGTATTAATTTGTCCCGCATTATCTTTGACAAAAAAAAAAAAATCCACACTGAATTGTCTTGACTACCTTGTGAAATCAATTTACCATAAATGTTAGGGTTAATTTTTAGATGCTAAATTTTATTCACTGATCTATATATCTATCCCTATATAAGTACCATAATGTCTTGATTACCATTATTTTCAAGTAAGTTTCAGAATCCGGAAGTGTGAGTTGAGTACTCCAACTTTTTTTTCTAGATTGTCTTGGCTGTTCTGGATCCCTTATATTTCCATATGAATTTAAAAATCAGCTTGTCAATTAATGCAAAGAAAAGCAGCTGGAATTTGATAAGGATTGCATTGAATTATGGGTCCATTTGGAAAATATTGCCATCTTAACTATATTAAGCCTCCTGATCAATGAGCATGGGATATTTTTTTTCTATTAGCTCTTCTTTAATTTTTTCAATAATGTTTTGAAGTTTTCTGTGTACACATCTTAGGATTATTTTGTTAAGTATATTCCTGTAATCCCAACAATCTGGGAGGCCGAGGCAGGCAGATCATGAGGTCAAGAGATTGAGACCACCCTGGTCAGCATAGTGAAAACCTGTTTCTACTAAAAATACAAAAAATTAGCTGGGCATAGTGGCGTGCAGCTGTAGTTCCAGCTACTTGGGAGGCTGAGGCAGGAGAATGGCTTGAACCCAGGAGGTGGAGGTTGCAGTGAGCTGAGACTGCACCACTGCACTCCAGCCTGGCAACAGAGTGAGACTGTGTTTCCAAAAAAAAAAAAAAAAAACAAAAAAAAAATACAAACAATCCAGTTATATTTTTGTTATTGTTAAATATATAATTAAATTAGTATTGACTGTAGTCACTCTGCTGTGCTATCAAATACTAGATCTGATTCATTCCTTCTATTTTTTGTCCCCATTAACCAACCCAAGCTCCCCGCAACCCTCCATCTACTCCTCCCAGCCTCTGGTAACCATCATTCTACTCTCTATCTTCATGAGTTCAATTGCTTTCATTTTTAGCTCCCACAAATAAGTAAAAACATACAAAGTTTGTCTTTCTGTGTATTGCGGGATCTGGCCAGCAGCCCACAATGCAATGGGGCTCTTTCTTTGTTCTCAAGTGGATAGGCAGGTCAAGAAATAAGAGATACACACAAGATAGTGAAAGCTGGGTCCAGGGGTGTCACTACCTTCTGGTCCTGTGATGCTGCCAATGCACTGGATATACCAGCATTTATTATTGAGTTTAGTGAGGGCAGGGGTAGGTTAGTGAGGGATTTAGGGTCGTTTGATTATGAGGTGAGACGGTCACATGGGAATGAAGCAATTCTTTAACATAACATCGGTATGCAGAAGTACAGTATACAGAGATAAGAATTTACAACATAGTGTGTGCATCAGCAATTTCTAACAGAGCCTTAAAACAGAAACACAGTCTATCCATAACCTATGATTAGCAAGATATTAATCAGCAGTAACAGTTGCAGCAAAAGCTGGTTGCAAACAATCAATAGAAAGAGGACGTGAAGCTAGACAACCGGTTAGACCAAAAATTCTCAGAAGGGAGTATGCCTTAATCCTAAAGAGACCTAGAAGACCCGTGGCAAGATAAGGGCGTTTATAACCCTATCTTATCCATATGAACAGGCGCCCCTCATTAGTCCATTTATAGGCTCTCCACAAGGGTCTCATTCCATTCCCAGAGCTATGAACATCTGCTTTTCTGAGATAGGAATCTTGATCACAATTGGATTGGTGCTGTTGAGTCATTCTGGCAGCCCAACCTGGGATTGTCTTTACACAATCCTGCATGCAATTTTGTATTTACAATAATCAGAAGCATTTCATCTTTTATTCCGTAGCAATAGTTTCAGGGGGTCTCCCTATATCTGTGCATGGCTTATTTCACTTAACATAATGACCTCCGGTTCCAACCCTGTTGTTGCAAATGACAGGATCTCATTGCTTTTGATAGCTGATTAGCACTCCATTGTGTGTATGTACCACATTTGCTTTATGCATTTATCTGTTGAGGGACATTTCGGTTGTTTTCGAATTTTGGCTATTGTGAATGGTGCTGCAATAGACACAGGGGTACAGGTACCTCTTTAATATACTGACTTCCTTTCTTTTGGGCCAAGAACATACATTGGAGAAAGGTCAGTCTCTTCAATAAATGGTGCTGGGAAAACTGGAAATCCATATGCAGAAGAATGAAACTAGAGCCATAGCTCTCACCATATGCAAAAGTAAAAAATGTATTAAAGACTTAAATTTAAGATCTCAAACTATGAAACTACATTGGGGAAACTCTTCAGGACATTGGACTGCCTAAAGATTTCTTGACCAAGCACAGTCAAGCAAAGCAAAAAAGAACAAATGAGAAGATGCCAAGTTAAAAAGCTTCTGCACAGCCAAGGAATCAATCAACAAAGTGAAGAGACAACCCACAAATGGAAAAACATGTTTGCAAACTATCTATCTGAAAAGGGATTAATTTGTGCAAACTCTTCATCTGACAAGAGCTCCAGAATGTATTAGGACTACAAAAAACTCTATAGGAAAAAATCTAATAATCTGATTTATATATGGGCAAAATATCTAAATAGATATTTGTCAAAAGAAGATGTGCAAATGGCTCATCATTTTTAATTTAAAATGAGAGATGTGCAACTCTTCCTTTCACTTGAATATTTAGAGACAATTGTGAGGTTATTAATTGACCAAACTTTAATATTGTTGTGTCTCCAGGAATAAGAGCCCAAGGAGAAGAAGAGAGACAGGGAAAAGGTCATTTGGTACAGAACACACACAAGATCTATAGACTAAGTTCACTATCTGTTTTTTGTTTGTTCATTTGTTTTGAGATGGGATTTCTTTCTGTCACCCAGGCTGGAGTGCAGTGGTATGATCTTGGCTCACTGCAACCTCCGCCTCCTGAGCTCAAGCGATTCTTCTACCTCAGCCTCCTGAGTAACTGGAACTATACAGACATGGGCCACCATGCCTGGCCTAATATTTTGTATTTTTGTTGGAGATGGGGTTTTGCCATGTTGCACAGGCTGGTCTTGAACTCCTGAGCCCAAGCAATCCACCCTCCTTGGCCTCCCGAAGTGCTGGGAGTACAGGCGTAAGTCACCACACCAGGCTAAATTCACTGTCTTATATGGGTTCCATTCAAGGACCACAATACAATGGTAACATCAAAGATCACTGAGCACAGATCACTGTAACATTAATAATGATAAAATTTAAAATATTTTATTACCAAAATATAATACAGAGACAAAAAGTGAGCACATACTGGTGGAAAAATGATGCCAATAGACTTGCTCATCACAGGGTTGTTACAAACCTTCAATTTGTAAAAATCAGAGTATCTGCAAATGACAATAAATTGAAGCATAATAAAATGTGGTATGCCTGTAAACACAGTAGTAAGATTGCTGGGTCAAATGATAGTTCTATTTCTAATTTTTTAAAGAACCTGTATACTGTATTCCATAGTGGTTGTACTAATTTATATTCCCACCAACAGTATAGCAGGGTTCCTTTTGTTTATATCCTCACTAACACTTGTTATCTTTTGTCTTTTTTCATAATAGTTGTTCTCATGGGGGTGAGGTGATGTCTTATTGTGATTTTGATTTGAATTTTTGTGATTAGGAATGTTGAGCATTTTTTTCATATACGTGTTTTGTCATTTGTATGTCTTCTTTTGAGAAATACCTACTCAGATATTTTGTCCATTTTTAATTTTGTTTTCTTTTTATTCTATTGACTGTTTTGAATTCCTTATATATTTTGGATATTAACTTCTTCTCAGACATATAGTGTGCAAATATTTTCTCCCAGTCTGTGGGCCATCTCTTCACTCTGTTGATTGTTTCCTTTGTTGTGCAAAAGCTTGATTTGACGTAGTCTCATTTATGCATTTTTGCTTTTGTTGCCTGGGTTTTTGAAAAGAAAAATTAACTGTCATCCTTGTCACGGAACTTTTTCTTTATGTTTTTATTCTAGTAGTTTCATAGCTTCAGGTCATACATTTAAGTCTTTCATCCACTTTGAATTTATAGTTAGATATAGTGAGATATAAGGGTCTAATTTAATTATTCTGAGATTCAATTTTTCCAACATCGTTTATTGAAGTGCCCATATTTCCCCAATGTGTGTTCATGCACCTTTGTTAGAAATCACTTGTTTATAAATGCATGTATTTATTTATGGTCTGTATATTCTGTTTCCTTGATCTATGTGTCCGTTTTTGTTTTGTTTTCTTTTTTGGGATGGAGTTTCACTCTTGTTGCCCAGGCTGGAGTGCAATGGTGTAATCTCAGCTCACCACAATCTCTGCCTCCCAGGTTCAAGTGATTCTCCTGCCTCAGCCTCCTAAGTAGCTGGGATTACAGGCATGCACCAGCACACCTGGCCAATTTTGTAGGTTTTAGTAGAGGCGGGGTTTCACCATGTTGATCAGGCTGGTCTCGAATTCCTGACCTCAGGTGATCCGCCCACCTCGGCCTCCCAAAGTGCTGGGATTACAGGTGTGAGCCACTGTGCCCAGCCTGTGTGTCTGTTTTTATGTCAGTATCATGCTGTTTTGGTTACTATAGCTTTGTAGTATATTTGAAAGTCACCACAGATTTATCCATCTTTGTCCTTTTTGCTCAATATTTCTTAGGGGTTTTGGAGTTTTTCACAGTTCCATGCAAATTTGGGAACTTTTTTCTATTTCTGTTAAGAATGTAAGTGATATTTTGATAAGGATTACATTGAATTTGTCAGTTGTTTTCAGTAGTATGGACACTTTAACAACATGAATTCTTCTGATTCATAAACACTTATTTTGCTGAATTGAACCACTTATTATATAATGACCTTCTTTGTTTTTTAAAAGTTTTTGACTTCAAGTCTATTTTTTTCTGGTATAAATATAACCGCTCCTGTTTCTAAACTATTTGGAATATCTTTCTTTCAACCCCTCACTTTCAGACTATGTGTGTCATTACAGGGTATGTGAGTTTTTTTGTTTTTTTTTTTTGAGATGGAGTCTCGCTCTGTAGCCCAGGCTGGAGTACAGTGGCGCCGTCTCGGCTCACTGCAAGCTCCGCCTCCTGGCTTCACGCCATTCTCCTGCCTCAGCCTCCCAAGTAGCTGGGACTACAGGCGCCCGCCACCAAGCCCGGCTAATTTTTTATATTTTTAGTAGAGACGGGGTTTCACCGTGTTAGCCAGGATGGTCTCGATCTCCTGACCTCGTGATCCACCTGCCTCGGCCTCCCAAAGTGCTGGGATTACAGGCGTGAGCCACCGCGCCCAGCCGGATGTGAGTTTTTTGTGGGCAACATATATATAGGTCTTTACAGTCTGGCTTTGTCTGGTAACATTCTTCAACAGTAAGCCAGTCCAGAGATTGTGGACACGTCATTTGGTGTAGTGCCTAAGCCCATGAGGGCTGCAGCCATTGCAGTGCTAGGGGGCGCCCTAAGCCCAGGAGTGCCACAAGCTGGAGTCCCATGGCCTCTGACTCTGGTGCAGCACTGAGCAGGAATCCCATGGCCATTAAGGGTAGTGCAGTATTGAGGTGCACCTAATGCCCATAGCCACTGAGCTAGCACAGTACTGGGGTGTGCTTGGGGCCTGCGGCTGCTGAGGCCTGCCTGTTGCCATAGACTATTTGGAGCCCAAGGTCACTGTGGTCAGTCAGCAGTGAAATGGTTGGGAACTTGAATCCATGTTGCAGGGGCTACATATTTCTGTCTGGCCCCAGGGTAGATCTAGAGGTTCCATTTGTGGGTACCAGCCTGGAGACAGGACCATGGGAGTCTGCTGTATGCTGATTTTTACTGTGGCTGACTCAGTACTCAGATCCAAGGTAATGTCCTACAGTTGCTTCCCTCTCTTTACCCAGAGTGAACGATATCTCTTTCTGTACTGTGCTGACTGATGTTGGGGAAGGGGTGATTTGGGTAATATAAAACTTAATTTCCTACTCTCTTTGATGCATCTTTTCTTAATATCATGCTATAACCATGTACTATGATCTTTCATCTGTTTTCCTTAGCTTTTGTAACGGTATTTTTATACCGTGAGGGTACTTGTTAGAATTGATGTTTCTTTCTTTCTTTCTTTCTTTCTTTATTTATTTATTTTATTTTATTTTAAATTTTGTTATTATTATACTTTAAGAAAATTATCACAGGAGATCTAGTCTGCCATCTTGCTCTGCCTTCTGTTCATGCTATTTTAAATGAAATTGTTTTTGTTGTTTTATTATCAGATTGTTAATTGCTAGTATATGAAAAATATAATTGTTTTTAGTTGTTGAGTTTGTGTACTGAAAAGTTTCTGGACTCATTTTTAGTTCTAATAGTATTTTAGGGGATTCTTTAGGATTTTGTACACACATCACCTCACTGGCAGACAGAGATAGTTTGACTTTTTCCTTCCCCTTCTCAGTGACTTTTATTTGTTTTTCTAGCCCAATTGCCCTGGCTGCAACTTCCAGTACAATGTTGAATATAAGTGGCAATAGTGGACATCTTGGGGTAAGTATTGAGCTTTTCATGATATCATGTGCGTTTTTTTCTGGATGCCTATTTTGGGATGAGAAAGTTTACATCTCTTTCTAATTATTTTTGTTTGTTGCTTTTTGTTTTCATATGTTTTGTTTTGTTTTGAGATGGGGTCTTACTCTGTCATCCACAGTGGAGTGCAGTGATATGATCTCTGCTCACTGTAGCCTCGACCTCCCAGGCCCAAGCAATCCTCCCACCTCTATTTCTAATTTATTGGGTGTCTTTTTTTAATCAAAAATTGGTTTTGGATTTTGCAAATGCTTTTTTGCATTTTTAGATGATCATGTGGTTTTCTTCCTTCATTTTATTAAAATAATGTGTCACACTGTTTTTGTACATTGAACTCAACTTGCATTCCTGTGATAAATTCTTTTGATCATGGTGTATAATCCTCTGTACGTGTTGCCTGGGTTTGGTAGGCTAGTATTTTATTGATGATTTTTGTCTCTATGTGCAAAAGGTATATTGGCCTATACATTTTGTTTCCTTAATGTCTTCTAGTTGTGGTATCAGGGTACATTGGCCTCATAGATTAAGTTGGAAAGTGTGATCTTATCTTCTGTTTTTGTTGGTTTATGTGTTTATTTGCTTGCCTGCTTAAGAATTTCTGAAGGATTAGTATTAATATTTTAAAGGTTGGTATAATTCATTAGTACAGTTATCTTGGCCTTGGACTTTCTTTGTGGTAAGTTTGTCATTTACTATTTGAGTTTCTTTACTTGTCATAGCTCCATTCAGGTTTTTTGTTTCTTTTTAATCCAGTCAAGTATTTTTTGTCTTTCTGGGAATTTGTCTATTTCATCTGGGTCATCTAAGCTGTTGGCATACGATTGTTCCCAGTACTCCCTTATATTCTGGTTTTATTCACGGGAGGTTGGTAACTTTACTGCCCTCCCAGTGGTGTAACTCTGTCCCCCTGCGAGTTCCCTGTGCTGTTCACTACCTGCAAAGTTCTGAATCCATATTTTTTAATCCCTTTCTTCTATTTACTATGGGTTTTTCCCTCTTAAGTGACACAGAACGGGTGAGGGATACTGTGATAAGGAAAAATTGCCCCTATCAGCTAGGATGAGTTTTCTAAATTGTCCCTGGCAAGGTACTCCCACCTCCAAATGACTTTTTGTAAAGAAGGATCTGAGCATTGGAAGGAGAGTTCCTGAAAGTGAAAGTCCCTTCCAAGACTGTGGTCTCAGGATTCTCCACTGTCATGCCAGTCCATACTCAGCTTCCAGCTACTGTAAAAACTATTATTAAGTGTTCCTGCCCATTTAGGGCTCCATCACCTTCTGCTCCTGATCACGAGATCTTAGTAGCTGTATCTCTTTGGGCCTGCCTGTCTCTCCATATTTTGGGTGCATACTTGTGCTATGACCCTGGTTCCCTGATGGGTCCAATAAAAGTCATTTATTTTCAGTTCCTCCAGCTTTTTACTGTTACCAGAATAGGAGTGACAACTTTCAAGCTATTTACATGTCAGAGTTGAAAGCAGAAGTGTGGGATATGGAGTTTGGGAAGAAACTCATAGAAGTGAAGTGTCTTTCTCATTGTGCTATGTCAAGGATACATGGTGTCAACATGATGTTCACTGGTGATGTTGAACTTGATCACTTGGTTGAGATGGTGACTGCCAGATTTTTTCTCCGCAAAGCTAATGCTTTATTTGTCCATCCTCTGCATGTTAGAAGCAAGCCCATCCTATACACAAACAGAAGGGAGGAATTAGGCTTCATTTTCTGGAAGAAAGACTGTCAAGTAATTTAGCAAGAATATGTTAAAACCACCCCAATAAATAATATCTGGGGGAAGATATTTCTAGTCTTATAAACACCTTGTTTATCCCTAATGCATTGCCAATTAATTTCAACATTCATCAATGAATCTTGTCTTTGGTGATTTGTGTTATGGTGTTATCATGGTAATTTCCTAATTCCTTTTCTTTTTTATTTATTATTTGGAATTCTTTTCTAAAAAAGATTTGCTCCTACTTATCTGTATATGTATTGTCATATCCACATTTAACTTGAGATCTACACTCTTAACAATTTTTTTTTTCTTTGAGACGCAGTTTCACTCTTGTTGCCCAGATTGGAGTACCATGGCACAACCTTGGCTCACTGCAATCTCTGCCTCCCGGGTTCAAGCAATTCTTCTGTCTCAGCCTCCCTAGTAGCTGGGATTACAGGCGCCCGCCACAATGCCCAGCTGTTTACTGTATTTTTAGTAGAGATGGGGTTTCACCATGTTGGCCAGGCTGGTCTTGAACTCCTGATCTCAAGTGGTCTGGCCGCCTGGGGCTCCCAAAGTGCTGTAATTACCAGCGTGAGCCACCGCACCTGGCCTGTCTTAACAATTTTTAATTGCACAATATAGTATTGTTATCTGTAGGCTTAGTGTTGAACAGTAGATCTCTGGAACTTACTGATCTTGCATAACTGAAACTTTATACTCATTGAACAGTAACTCCCCATTTTCCCCTCACCTACCCCGCAGCAATCACTGTCAGTCATACTCTCTGCTGCTATGAGTTTGATCATTTCAGATACCTCATAAAAGTGCAATCATGCAGAGTTTATCCTTCTGTGATTATCTCATGTAACTTTACATAGTGTCCTCAGGGTTTATCCATGTTGTCATTAATAGTATAATTTCTTTTTTTATAAGGCTGAGTAATATTCCATTTTATGTATGTATACCCAGAAGTAGGATTGCTGGATTATATGGTACTCATATTTTTAATTCTTTGAGGAACCTGCGTACTGTTTTCCATTGTGGCTACATTGTTTCTCATTCCCACCAACAGTGTATGAAGGTTGTGATTTCTCCTTTTTTTTTTGCCTTTTTTTGATGCTAGCCATTGTAACAGATACAAGGTGATGTCTCATTGTGGTTTTGATGTACAATTAATTGATGATTTATAATGCTGTGCAACTTTTTATACACCTGTTGGCCATTTGCATGTATTCTTTGGAGAAATGTATATTCAAATCCCTTGCCGTTTAAAAATTAGATTATTTGGGATTGGGGAATTCTTTTTTCTCTTAAGTTGTAGGAATATGTTGTATATTTCGATATCAGCCCCTTATTCAATATATGGTTTGCAAATATTGTCTCCTCTTCCATAGATTGTCTTTTCATCCTGTTTCCTTCGCTATGCAGGAGTTTAGTTTGATGCAGCCCCACATTATTTTTGTTTCTGTTTTCTGTGTTTATAGTGTCATATTTTAGAAATCTTTGTCTAGATCTAGACCAATGTCATGAAGCTTTCCCCCTCCTTTTACTTCTAAGTGTTTTATAGTTTCAGGTCTTATGTCCAAATATTTATTCTCTTCTGAGTTGATTTTTGTATATAGTGTAAAATAAGAATCCAATTTTATTTTTTACTTTTTCGCATGTAGATATTACATTTTCTCAACACCGTTTGTTGAAGAGACTATATATTTTTCCCATTGCGTATTCTTGGGACCCTTGTTGAAGATTTTGACTGTATATATGTGGATTTATTTCTGGGACATCTATTATGTGTCTTATTTATTTATTTATTTGATTATTCAGTTGCTTATTTATATCACTATGGACTCATTGAGGTTTGCTTGCTTTTTTGTTTTTGTCGGTTTAGTACTTCCTTACTTACAGACACTGCAAAGATGCTTCAGCAGTATATTGCATTTTTTTCTGCCTTAGCCCTAGAATGAAGTATTTCTCCAAGTAGCTCTGTCTTTTGTTCTTGTTTGTTTTTAATTAGAGAATGGTATTTCAAAACTAGATGTGCTTGTTGACACTGTAGTGTTTCTTGGACCTCTCAGCAAAAAAATCTGGGAAATGTATGTATGTACTTATGTAAGCCTGTATATCTGTATTTATATCTGTATCTATCTATGTCTAAATTTATGTACACATATAGATTAAAACATAAACATATTTATGCTAATATCTACACTCTAGTTCAGGACTGAATTCATTCTAGACTTTCACCTTGATAACTTCTTTCTTTGACGATGACAAAACTACTCCTGAGCTCAAGATTTTTGTCATTTTTTTTTCTGTACATACAGACTCATTTAAATCCACCTTCATTTATCTTCCACTGCTGTCTAGCTTTTCACCACTGTGACTTGGGTTGGAATACTGGGTTGTTGGACAAGGTTGTAGGAAACATCAGACTTGATCATCTGTTTATAGATATAAAATTAAAAGCAGATTGGAACTTGGCAAAGAGTGAGTTGAGAGCTTAAAGGAACAAACACACTCCAAGAAGCCTCAAATATCTAAGCAGCAGGACAGAGGTTGTTTGGTCCATTCTCAGGTATGTTTGTGGTGACTTTCATGGTCTGAGCCTCTGACCCCAGGAATATTGTTGTGGTGGAACTCAGGCAAATGCTAGTGCATGCATATTGGGGCATCTATTTTGTAAGTGTTGAAACTGAACTTTCTGGGGAAATGTAGCATCCAATCCATGTAGATTTCCTTTCTGAGAACAAAAGTGGAAACAGTCATCGAGTGGGATGACAACTTGGAAAGGCTTTGTGGGCCTTTGTGACCTCATGGTATGCATCCCCTCAGGGTGGACTCATGCAGGTAACTGACCCTCCTGGCTTTCCTCCTCATCCTCCCTCTGAACTCATGCTTCTTCCTAGGCTGGTTTCTCTTGGTTGCTTTGGGAATGAACAGCACGTAGCCTGACACAAAACCATGTACCATGTCCACTTCTTTCTATTTCCACATTTTCCTTCTGGTTGAGGGGCACTGGGTTCCCCTGTAGATGTGACAGTGGCATGAGCATACATGCTTAATAATGAATGACCTCACGTGTACCCTGAAGTAGAGATGGGCACTGGCAAGCAATGATACCCGACGATGGCTCATGAATAGGACAGCTGGAGCCCATGAGGCGCTATTATGGGCCCTGAGGTCTGAGTTGCACCCGGACAGCCTCACCCTCAAGGATTGGCTGGTGTTTGCTGGAGGCCTCTTTATGCTAAGGGCTGAGGCAAGCTGCTGAAGACATGCTGTGTGATTTATCATAATACAGGATTAACTTTCAACATGCGGTGGTCATCAAAGAAATCAGTGTCTCTGGTGAAAACTCACTTTCAAGTCTAATTTTTGCTACTGAGAATAAGCTCGGTAACAAGTAGTAGTTGATAGAAGATAGCATGACAGGGGTTTGGAGAGGAAGGGGAATACATTTATGGCTGGGCTTGGAAAAGTCTGCATGAAGCCTGCACATATTTTGGGGGGAAAACCAAGTAATCCTCTTTGTGCCTGCAGGCTGCAGAAGGCTGTCACTGGGCTTTCTCCCTCTGCCTGCCCCTCCATTTGTCTAAGCCCATGGCCTTTTTTCTTTCCTTTTTTTTTGTAATAGCTTTATTGACATATAATTCACATAACATGCAATTAACCATTTAAATCCACATACCATACAATTAACCATTTAAATTCACATGCTATACAATTAACCACTTAAATTTACATATCATACAATTAACTATTTAAATTTTCACATCATACAATTAACCATTTAAATTCACATACCATATAATTAGCCATTTAAACCTAGTGATTTTGAGTATATACACAGCACTATGCAGTAATCAAAACAATCGAGTTAGAATCAAATTTAAAACAAATTTAGAACATTTAGAATAAAAAGAACCCCACTACCCTTTAATATTATTCCCTAATCCCCCATCCTTCCTAGCCCTAAGCAACAAGTCTACTTTTACCTTTCTATAGATTTGCCTATTCAGAATATTTCCTGTAAATGGAATCATAAAATATCTGATCTCGAGTGTCTTCTTCCACTCAAAAATGTGTTTTTGGCCTGGCGTGGTGGCTCACACCTGTAATCCCAGCACTTTGGGAGGCCAAGGCAGGTGGATCACAAGGTCAGGAGTTCAAGATCAGCATGGCCAAGATGGTGAAACCCCGTCTCTACCAAAAATACAAAAATTAGCTGGGCCTGGTGGCAGGTGCCTGTAGTCCCAGCTACTTGGGAGGCTGAGGCAGGAGAATCGCTTGAACCTGGCAGGCGGAGGTTCAGTGAGCTGAGATGGCGCCACTGCACTCTAGCCTGGGTGATAGAGCAAGACTCCATCTCAAAAAAAAAAATGTGTTTTTAAGGTTCATCCATGGTGTATAACATGTCAATACTTTTTTTTTTTTCCTTTTTATACAGGGTCTCACTCTATTGCCCAGGCTGGAGTGCAGGGGTGTGATCACAGCTCACTGCATCCTCTACCTCTTGGGCTCAAGTGATTTTTCCACCTCAGCCTTCTCAGTAACTGAGCCTCCACACACCTATAGTCTATACAGGTGTGTGTCACCATGTCCAGCTAATTAAAAAACATCATTTTGGTGGAAACAAGATTTCACTATGCTGGCCAGGCTGGTCTTGAACTCCTGGGCTCAAGCACCTCACACCTTGGTCTCCTAAAGTGTTGGGATTACAGGCGTCAACCACTGCACCCAGTCTTCATTCTTTTTATAGCCAAATAATGTTCTGTGATATGTATATACCACATTCTACTTATTTGTTCATCCAATTTCTTGATATCTAAGTTTTTTCCACCTTTTGATTATCATAAATATATAATATAGCTGTGAAATTATTTTTTTTTTTTGAGACAGAGTCTTGCTCTGTCGCCCAGGCTGGAGTGCAGTGGCACGATCTCGGCTCACTGCAATCTCTGCCTCCGGGGTTCACGCCATTCTCCTGCCTCGGCCTCCCGAGTAGCTGGGACTACAGGCGCCCGCCACCACACCCGGCTACTTTTTTTGTATTTTTAGTGGAGACAGGGTTTCACCGTGTTAGACAGGATGGTCTTGATCTCCTGACCTCGTGATCTGCCCACCTCGGCCTCCCAAAGTGCTGGGATTATAGGCGTAAGCCACTGCGCCTGGCCAGCTGTGAAAATTTATATACAAGTTTTGATGTGGTTATGTTTTCATTCCTCTTGGGTCTATATATAAGAGTGGAATTGCTGAGTCAGATGGTAATTCAATATTTAACTTCTTGTGGAACTGCCAAACTGTTTTCCAAAATGGCTGCACAATTTTACAGCCCACCAATGTACAAGAATTCCAATTTCTCCACATTCTCACCAACACTAGTTCCTATCTAATTTCTTACCTTATTTATATGAAATGTAGCCTGTTTCTCCGTGACTTTTCTTTACCTGTCTACAATATCTCCCCTCGTTCTGAAGCACATTCACATGTTTTGAGAAGTTGGCTCCTTACGGTTCCCATGATACATCGTGTTTATTCCTAGCTTGATTTATTTGCCCATGCTGTGCCTGCTGTTGTTTTTTAAATTATTTTTTAAAATTGTGGTAAAATACTCATAACATAAAATTTACCATCTTAACCATTTTTAATTTCACAATTTATTATACAACCATCACTGCCATCCATTTCCAGAACTCTTTTCATCTTTCAAAACTGAAACTCTGTATCCATTAAACAATAACTCTAATCCCTTTTGTCCAGCCCCTGGCAACTGCCATCCTACCTTTTTTTTTTTTGGCAGGGTCTCACTCTGTCACCCAGGCTGGAGTGCAATGGCCTGGTCATAGCTCATTGCTGCCTTAATCTCCTGGGCTTAAGTGATCCTCCTACCTCAACCTCCAGAGTCACTGAGACTACAGGCACACACTACCACACCCAGATAATTTATTTTTTATTTTTTCGGTAGAGGTGAAGTCTCACTATATTGCCCAGTCTGGTCTCCAACTCCTGGGCTCAAGTGATCCTCCCGCTTTGGCCTCCCAAAGTGCTGGGATTATAGACCTGAGCCACAGCACCCCGCCTCCACCATCCTACTTTTACATCTATAAATCTGACTACTTTAGGCACCTTGTATAAGTGAAATCATACAATATTTATCTTTTTGTGATGGGCTTATTTCACTTAGCAACATGTCTTTAGAACTCATCCATGTTGTAACATGTGTCAGTATTTTCTTCCATTATACAGCTGGATACTTTGGTTTACCTGTGAATTCATCAATGGAGATTTGGGTTACTCCTACCTTTTGGCTATTGTGAGTAATGCTGCTATGATCATGACTATACAAATATAACACTGACACCATTATTTCAATTATTTGGGGATATATATCCAGAAGTGGAATTCCTGGATCATATGATAATTCTAGTTTTAATATTTTGAAGAATCACTAGACCGATTTTTAGAGTGGCTTCTTCGTTTTACATTCTCACCAACAATGTACAAAATTTACAATTTCTCTACATCCTCACCAACACTCGTTATTTTCTGTAATTGGTATGAGATGATATCTCATTATGGTTTTCATTTGCATTTCCCTAATAATTAGTGGTGCTGAGCATCTTTTCCATGTACTTATTGACCATTTTAATATCACATTTGGGTCCTTTTATATTATCTTTGGGTCCTTTGTCCATTTTCAATGTGTTTTGTTTCTGTGGTTATTTTATTCTAAGAATAGCCACACCTGTGAAGGTTTGCTGAAAAATTATCTGAAATGAGAGTTATATGAGCAGCCATTGAACAGCCGTGGGACAAAATAAGTACACAAACAAAACACATTGAAAATGGACAAAGGAGCTGAATAGACATCTCCCCAAAGATGGATATATACTCCCAAAGAATTGAAATAATAGTGTAGATACAGTCCATTGTGTAGATACAGCGTAAAGGATAAGGTCCTAGAAATGTCTGAATCAATGTGGGCAATTAGTTGCAGCTCAAATTTCAAGGGAATGATTAAAGACCTATGGAGGTGAGAAGATGTAAGGAAATGTGAATCATGATAAATATAACAACTACAGTTTCCGTGATTACCTAAATCTGAGCTTCACTACTTGATGGATTCTTTCTTCTTTCAAAGATTTTTGGAGGCAAAGATGGGGACCAAGACTGCTCAACACTATGGAATGCTCCAAGCAAGAGTATTTTAGCTACATCCTTGGCAAGAAAATTTTTATCCAGACTTGTATTTCTGCATTTCACCCTCCCACACTGCAACAAATCTGGTAGTAGTCAAGTGAAGAGGGAGTGCAGAGATTGGGAGACCTCAGACCACCCTTTCTGTTTGGAAGGCCTTTGCAAAGTTCGGGCAGTGTTCCTTAAGCACTGCAGGGATCTTTCTAGGGTCTGTCTCTCTGTGACGAAGAACACTCTTAAGGAATTTGGGGGTAGGTGGGTTATAGTGGTTAAGTTTATAGAGTAAGGGAAGATTTTCCCATAACAGCATCTTGCTGCATATGTTCTCCATCTAAGCTTTGTAAGTCTTACTTGATCAGTACCTTAGTGGTCAATGTAAACATTGTTCCATCCTCCATCCACCACCAAATAACTAGTGGGCTTCAGCTTTTTGTGCACTGTTGCCCAGGCTGGAGTGCAGTGGTACGATCTCAGCTCTCTGCAAGCTCCGCCTCCCGGGTTCACGCCATTTTCCTGCCTCGGCCTCCGGAGTAGCTGGGACTACAGGTGCCCGCCACCACGCCCAGCACATTTTTTGTATTTTTAGTAGAGATGGGGTTTCAACGTGTTAGCCAGGATGGTCTCGATCTCCTGACCTTGTGATCTGCCAGCCTCAGCCTCCCAAAGTGCTGGGATTACAGGCGTGAGCCACTGCGCCCGGCGTGGGCTTCAGTTTTATTGGGCCAATTTAAATTAAATGAGGAAATAGAAATCTAATTTTCTATTATTTAAGAAGTAAGGTAAATAGGAAGCCTGAGTTTTTCAAGAAGCAAGTCAAGAGCCTAGAAAATATAAGCACCCTACAACCCACAATAAGGAAAAGTTGCATCTTAAGAAGAGCTTCTCTGACCTGAGAAAACTGAGTAATTCTCCCTGTGCAGTATATCACATTTGTATTAGTCCATTCTCATACTGCTATGAAGAAGTACCCAAGACTTGGTAATTTATAAAGAAAAAGAAGTTTAGTGGACTCACAGTTCCACATGGCTAGGGAGGGCTCACAATCATGGCAGAAGGCAAAGGAGGAGCAAAGGCGTGTCTTACATGGTGGCAGGCAAAAGAGCATGTGCAGGGGAACTGCCCTTTATAAAACAATCAGATCTCATGAGACTTATTCACTATCGCCAGAACAACATGGGAAAAATGCACCCACATGATTCAGTTACCTCCCACCACATCCCTCCCACATGTGGGATTGTGGGAACTACAATTCAAGATAAGATTTGTGTGGAGACACAGCCAAACCGTATCATCATGAAAACATTTTTTCTCTTTTCCTGGGCCATTTGCAAAGAGAACTTTAATGTATAAAATATCCCACTCAACTCCATGACACCTTGGCCACATGAAGCTCTCAATTATGAGGTGTGTTCCAATTATTGATTGCTGTGTAACAAGCTATCCCGAAAGAGCAACCACCTTGTTATGCTCATGGACACAGTGGGTATGAACCCATGTAAAAAAGACTTTTCTGTGCTTCGTAATGTCTGGAGCTTCAACTGGGAAGACATCAATGGCTGAGAGTAAGTCAAATAGTTGGGGGCTGAAATCATCTAGAATTCCCTTCTCTTTTATGTCTTATGCCTGAGCAGGGATGATCCAAAGATTCAAACTGTCACCAGGAGTCCTCTCTATTCATGTGGCTTGGGATTCCCCACAGAGTGGAATTCAGGTGGGATGTTGCACATGGTGGCTTAGATTTATAGAGTGAGTGTCCTTGTGAGCAAGGCAGAGCAGAATACCTTTTGTGACCTTGATTCAGATGCCACCCAGCATCCCAGTCATCCTGTGGAGCAGTCATAAGTCCACCTGGTTTCAAGAAGAGGGGCATAGACTCCACCTCCACCCCCACCTCTAGACGGAAGTAGTGTCAAAGCATTTGTGGCCCATTTTTTTACAACCACCACAAGTTTCAAAAGAGCTAAATTTCCCTTAGTGGAAGTATTAAATGGAGGGGAAAACCTGCTAATTCACCATTTAATATATTGTCTATGATTGTGCATTTTTAACTGACATATCATATTCTATGTTTTTTATTGTGTACAACATTCTGCTTTTAAGTATATGTATCTTGTGGAATGGTCAAATATGGACAACTAACAAATGCATTACCTCTCATAGTTACTTTGTGGTCAAAGCACATAACATCCACTTTCTTTACATTTTTTAAGCATACAATATATTATCATTAGCTATAGTCACCTTGCTGTTCAATAGATGTCTTGAAATTTATTCCTTCCATCTAAATGTAATTATGTATCCTTTGGCCAATATCTCCCCATTCTCCCCTCCCCTGAGCATCCTGTCTCCATTCTCCCCTTCCGCCTCTGTAAGCACCACTCTAATCTCACTTCTATGAGATCAACTGGATTCCAGATATGAGTGAGATCATGAAGTATTTGTCTTTCTGTGTGAGTCATAGTTCACTTAACATAGTTTCCTCTAGGTTCATCCTTGCTGTCACAAATGGCAGGATTTCATCTTTTTTACTGCTGAATATTATCGCACTGTGTATATGAACCACATATCTTTATCCATTCATCCACTGATGGACACTTAGGTCTATTCCATTTCTTGGTTATTGTAAATAGTGCTGCAATAAATATGAGAATTCTGATGCCTCTTAGACATAGTGATTTCATTTCCTTTGGATATATATACCCTGTAATGAGATTGCTGGATCATAGGGTAGTTCAATTTTTATTTTTGGAGGAACCATCATAGTGCTTTCCATAATGGCTGTTCTAATTTACATTACCACCAACAGTGTGTAAGAGTTCTTTTTTCTACACATACTTACCAGCATTTGTTATTTCTTGTCATTTTGTTAATAGCCATTCTAACTGGGGTGAGGTGATATCTCATTGTGGTTTTGATTTGCATTTCCCTGATTATTATTGATATTCAGCATTTTAATGTACATGTCGGCTATTTGTATGTCTTCTTTTGAGGAATGTCTATTCATGTTGTTGGTCAGTTTTTAAGCTGGCTTTTTATTTGTTTGGGTTTGCTATTGAGTTGAGTTCCTTAAATATTTTGGATAGTGACCCCTTGACATCATATGTATAGTTTGCAAACATTTTCTACCAGTCTGTAGGTTGTCTTTTCACTCTGTTGATTGTTTCCTTTGCTGAGCAGAAGCTTTTTAGTTTGATGTAATCCCATTTGTCTCTTTTTGCTTTTGTTTCCTGGGTGTTTTGGGGTCAAATAAAAAAATAATCTCCCAAACCAATGTTGTGTAGTTTTTTTCCTCTATGTTTTTATCTAGTAGTTTCATAGTTTCAGGTTATAAGTTAAGTCTTTAGCCCATTTTGAGTTGATTTTTGCATGTAGTGAAAGGCAGGGGTCTAGTTTTCTTATTCTGCATGTGGCTATTGGTTTTCCCAGCACCATTTATTGAAGAAATGATCCTTTCCCCAATGAGTATTCTTGGCATCTTTGTGAAAAATGGACTTTTGCATAAATTATTTAAATGAGAATTTGGAAGAAGGGGGCAGGTTCAGGATGCTACAGTTAATATAATAACCCTTATTTTGGTGGTATCCACTGTACCTCATGTGATTATGGATTTTCTACAAGACATTTCTTGTGGAAGATAGAGACAGGAGCTGGGGAGTTTGCTTTATTGTTTGGTCTAAATGATACAAGAATGTTTGATATTTTAAAACTTGTTTGTTTTGAGAATACTGTAGTTTGGGTCAACCTTTCTGTGAGCAGATCAAAACTGGTCATCCATGCTCAGCTGGGTTTCCTTGTGGCCTGTATTCTGTGCTTGGTGCACTGCGTGACTTTCGTGATTGTAACCTCTTGTCATCCCATCATTGGGAGAACTTTCTATCTCTTGACATGAAGGCTTCTGAGCTTGTTGACCTCATTCTCTGACTTTTTTGTTATAATTTTTAAAAATGATGGCTCTAGGCCATATGTACATTCACTTTCACTGTGCAACTATCCCCATGGTTTGAAATAATATTAGATAGAATTTGTTTAAAAAGATAGACTACTTGTTGATCAAAGGTTCTAGTAGAATAATGTTGAGGGGGGGATAAAAACAACAAAAAGTTTATTAGGAAGGTCATAACTTTAGCAGTCTGGGTCTCTGAGAAACCGTATAGCAGAGAAGCCTCTACCAATATGTGTAGGATGTTGTGAAATGTGAGAAAGAAATGAACTAATGTTGTGTTAAGCCACAGAGCCTTTGGGTTAAGTTGTTACCACAATATAACCTAGTCTAATCTAATGCAGAAATCACTGCAGAATTAGCATGCTACAATTACATGAAAACAAAAATGTGTGACATTAGCAGCAGTGGGGCTGGCAACAGAGACACTGATAATGTGAGCCTAAATGGATGGCTTGCTTTCCCTCCCTCCCTCCCTCCCTCTTTCCCTCCCTCCCTCCCTTTCTCTCTTTCTTTCTTTCTTTCTTTCTTTCTTTCTTTCTTTCTTTCTTTCTTTCTCTTTCTCTTTCTTTCTTTCTTTCTTTCTTTCTTTCTTTCTTTCTTTCTTTCTTTCTTTCTCTGCCTCTCTTTCTTTCTCTCTCTCTTTCTCTTTTTTCTTTCTTTTTTTTTTTTTTTTTTTGAGACAAAATCTCATGCTGTCGCCAGGGTGGCAGTGCAATGGCGTGATCTTGGCTCACTGCAACCTCCGCCTCCCAGGTTCATGTGATTCTCCTGCCTCAGCCTTGCGAGTAGCTGCGATTCCAGGCACACACCACCATGCCCGGCTAATTTTTTTGTATTTTAGTAGAGACGGGTTTTCACTAGCGTGGCCAGACTGGTCTCAAACTCCTGACCTTATGATCTGCCCGGCCCCGGCCTCGGCCTCCCAAAGTGCTGGGATTACAGGCGTGAGCCACTGCACCCAGCCGGCCATCTGTCTTTCACAGTGGTGAAATATAGGGTTATGCTGCTGCCTTCACTACATTGTGAACCACATGTTTTCTGAGCCAGCAGCTTAAAAAGACTTTGGGAAAGAGACTCGGTCATGAAGTTGGTTGCTGTTGTCTGCAGCAGTCAAGTATCACAAGAATGAAATTAGAGAACTAAAGAAGGGACCAGTTTGCAAGTAAAAAGAAGAAGTAAGAACAGAAAAATTAGATTTTAAATGACTTTTTAGGCTGGGCACGGTGGCTCATGCCTGTAATCCCAGCACTTTGGGAGGCTGAGGCAGGTGGATCACCTGAGGTCAGGAGTTCAAGACCAGCCTGGCCAACATGGCACAACCCCATCTCTACTAAAAATACAAAAATTAGCCGGGCGTGGTGGTGTGCACCTGTAGTCCCAGCTACTTGGGAGGCTGAGACAAGAATCACTTGAACCTGGAAAGCAAGGGTTGCAGTGAGCTGAGATAGTGCCACTGCACTCCAGCCTGTGTGACAGAGTGAGACTCCACCTAAAAAAAAAAAAAACTTTTAAAATAACATACTCATTAAAATCCAGCAATTTATTAACATACTTTCATAAAAATCTCAAAACATTGTAGTTTTCCTCTTTCAGTTCCCAATATATTAAAGGTACCTCTTTCCCCACTTTTAAATTGAAACAGAAAGGCATGGAAATGAGAACACAAATAAATAGAAAATTGGCAAATTCTCAAAAGTAATTGTGGGCATGGCTGCTCATACTAGGATCTGATTAGATGCACATAGATCGGAAGTCTACTTAGATTTAAGAGAGTTAAGGACTGGCCGGGCGTGGTGGCTCACGCCTGTAATCCCAGCACTTTGGGAGGCCGAGACGGGTGGATCACAAGGTCAGGAGATCGAGACCATCCTGGCTAACACAGTGAAACCCCGTCTCTACTAAAAATACAAAAAATTAGCCAAGCGTGGTGGCAGGTGCCTGTAGTCCCAGCTACTTGGGAGGCTGAGGCAGGAGAATGGTGTGAACCCGGGAGGTGGAGCTTGCAGTGAGCCGAGATCGCACTATTGCACTCCAGCCTGGGCGACAGAGCGAGACTCCATCTCAAAAAAAAAAAAAAAAAAAAAAAAAAGAGAGTTAAGGACTATGTCTTAACCAATGGATACAATCATTTTGAAAAATAGTCTGTTAGTTTCTTATAAACATGCAATTACAATAAGAATCAATAATCTAATTCTAGTTATTGATCCAATACAAATGAAAATATGTCTGCAAAAATACTTGTTCGCAAATATTCAGAGCCATTTTATTCCTCATAGCTGCAATCCAGATACAACCGAATGCCATTTACCAGGTGAATAGATAAACACATGCATGGCGTGTATTCACACAACCAAGTGCTGCTGGGCAGTAGGAAGGAGGTGCTGCTGACACGTGCCATAGCACAGATGACTATTCAAGCTCTGTGCTCAGGGAATGGAGAGAGAATCAGGATGTTTACTCTGTGATTCCACTTCTGTGAAACTGCAGAAAAGACAAACTCAGAAACTATGGTGACAGGAAAAATGCTCAAGAAGTCATAGATTCCAGTGAAATATCTGGGACTATCCCATTGTTATACAAAGTTACACAACGTTTTTACATGGGCTGAGGAGGGGAACAGGCATGAGTGAATTGAATGAGGAGACTCACTCCCTGCCAGAAAGTCCTTTCTTAGCGTTTTTTTTTTTTTTTCAGGAGTCTTTACTCACATTTTGCCCTCTAAGATCACTGGATAGGATTAAAGGTCTATCTTTTCCAACAACCTGATATATACCTCCACCTTCTATATTTGTTCTTGGCATATTTACCCCAAATACCACACACACCCCACCATGGAAAACACTTGCTTCGAAAGCGCTATTTTTCTGACACACACACACACACACACACACACACACACACCCCCAAGCAAAAGTCTTTTAAAATTGCATGCTTAATCCACCAATTTACCTCTGTTCATGTCAAATGTCAAATCTGTGTATCTGTGGAGTTGAAGTTTGGGTTCTGGGCTCTGGCATTGGATCTTGATGGATCATTATGTTCCTTTTTTCTTTCTTTCTTTGTTTTTTTGGCTTGTTTGTTTGTTTTTTTCTTGAGACAGAGTCTCGGTCTGTTGCCCAGGCTGGAGTGCAGTGGGGCAGTCTCAGCTCACTGCAAACTCTGCCTCCCCTCCCCTGAGTAGCTGGGAATACAGACACCAGCCACCACGCCCAGCTAATTTTTGTATTTTTAGTAAAGATAGCGTTTCACCATGTTGGCCAGGCTGTTTTCGAACTGACCTCAGGTGATCCACCTGCCTTGGCCTCCCAAAGTATTGGGATTACAGGTGTGAGTCACCATCCTCAGCCTTTTTTTCTAAAACAAAAACAAAAACAAAAACAAAAACATGTAATTCACTCATTTAAAGTGTACAGTTCCTACGATTGTCGGCATTTAAATGTATGTCTTCTTTTTATTTTCTTTGACCCCTTCTTCCTTTGAGTGTCTGTATTCTTTTGAGCAATCCCACTGCTGGGTATATACCCAAAGGAAAATAAATCATTGTATAAAACGGACACCTGCACTAGTATCTTTATCATGGCACCATTTACAATAGCAAAGTCCTGGAACCAACCTAAGTGTCCATCACTGGTAGACTGGATAAAGAAAATGTGTTAAATGTACACCATGGAATACTATGCAGCCATAAAAATGAATGCAATAATCTCCTTTGCAGCTACATGGATCAACCAGAGGCCATTATCCTAAGCAAGCTAACTCAAAACCAGAAAATCAAATATGGCATATTATCTCGCTTGTAAGTGGGAGCAAAACAGTGGGTACATATGGACATAAAGATGGAAATAATAGACTAAAATGGACTCCCAAAGAGGGGAAATTGGAGGTGGGGGTGAGGATTGATAAATTATTTATCACAATGTTCAGTATTTGGGTGACAGACACACAGAAGCCCAACCCCCATCATTACACATGTAATACCCATGTAACAAACAGGCATATGTACCCCTTGAATCTAAAATTAAAAAACAAATTCACAAAGCAAACTGTCTGTTCATGCCCTTTGCTCACTTTTTATGAATTTGTTTTGTTGTTGTTGAGTTCTTTGTGTTTCTTGTAAGTTCTGAATAGCAGTGTCTTGTTAGATACATGTTTTGCAAATATTTTCTCCCATTCTGCAGGTTGTCTGTTCCCTCTGTTGATTATTTCTTTTTCTATGGAAAAGTATTTTAGTTTAATAAGTCCCATTTGTCTATTTTTGCTTTTGCTGCTTGTGCTTTCTGAGGTCTTAGTCATGAATTCTTTGCAGAGAGCAATGTCCAGAAAAGTTTTCTCTAGGTCTTCTTCTAATATTTAATTTAAAGTTTCTTGTATATTCTGCATATTAGACCTTTGTCAGATAGGTAGATTGCAAAAAATTTTCTCCCATTCTGTAGATTGCCTGTTAGTTCTGATGATTTTTTTTTCTGTGCAGAAGCTGTTTAGTTTAATTAGATCCCATTTGCCAATTTTAGCTTTTGATGCAGTTGCTTCTGGTGATTTCATCATAAAATTTTTGCTGGTGCCTATGTCCTGAATGGTATTGCCTAAATTTTCTTCTAGGGTTTTTATGGTTTTGGGTTTTACATTTAAGTCTTGAGTCTGCCTTGAGTTAATTTTTGTATAAGGTGTAAGGAAGGGGTCCCGTTTCAGTTTTCTGCATATGGTTAGCCAGTTTTCCCAGCATCATTTATTAAATAGGGAATCCTTTCCCCATTGCTTGTTTTTGTCAGGTTTGTCGAAAATCAGATGGTTATAGATGTGTGGCCTTATTTCTGATGTCCCTATGCTGTTCCCTTGGTCTATATGTCTGTTTTGGTACCAGTACCATGCTGTTTTGGTTACTGTAGCCTTATAACATAGTTTGAAGTCAGGTAGCATGATGCCTCCAGCTTTGTCATTGGGGTTTTCTATACATAAGATCATATTGTCAGCATATAGAGATAATTCAACTTCCTATTTTCCAGTCTCGGTGCCTTTGTTTTTTCTTTTTCTTGCCTGATTGTTCTGACTAGGACTTTCAGTACTATGTTGGATAGGAGTGGTAAAAGTGGAATCCTTGTCTTGTTAAAGTTCTTAGGGGCATTGTTTTCAATTTTTCTCCATTGGGTATGATTTTAGCCATAAGTTGATCATATATGCTCTTTATTTTGAGGTGTGTTGCTTCTATGTATAGTTTGTTGAGGATTTTTACTATTATAAAAATAATAATCATAATAAAAGCGATGCTGAATTGTTTCTAATGCTGTTTCTGAGAATTGTAAATTAAAAGCAAACTGAGATATCATCTTACACCAGTCACAATGGCTATTACTAAAAAGTCAAAAATAACAGATGTTGGCAAAGGATGCAGAAAAAAAGGAACACTTATACACTGTTGGTGGGGATGTAAATTAGTACAATCTATGTGGAAAACAGTATGGAGATTTCTCAAAGAACTAAAAGTAGAACTACCATACAGTCCAGCAATCCTACTGCTGGTATCTACCCAAAGGAGAAGAAGTCATTAGGTAAAAAAGATACCTGTACTCAGATGTTTATTATAGCACTATTCACAACAGCAAGGATGTGGAATCATTTAAATGCCCATCAGCTGATAAACTGATAAATAAAATGTGGAATAGACACACATGATGGAATACTTCTCAACCATAGAAAATAATAAAATCATATCTTTTGCAGCAACATGAATGGAGCTGGAGTCCATTAGCTTAAGTAAAACAGCTCTTAAACAGAAAGTCAAATGCAACATGTTGTAATTGCAGTTTGTAAGCGGGAGCTAAATAATGTGCACACATGGCCATAGGTTGTGGAATAAGAGACACTGGACACTCAAATGTATGGGAGGGTGTACGGATGTCAGGAATGAAAAATTTCTTAATGGACATAGTGCACATTATTCAGGTGATGATTACACTAAAATCCCAGACTTCGGCACTGTGCAACATATC
The DNA here is from genome assembly GCF_000001405.40 of Homo sapiens. Classification (NCBI taxonomy): domain Eukaryota; kingdom Metazoa; phylum Chordata; class Mammalia; order Primates; family Hominidae; genus Homo; species Homo sapiens. Next base: position 4,792,003 of record NW_021160017.1, read on the forward strand.
CATGTAACAAAATTCGGTTGCACTCCTTAAATTTATGCACATAAAAAATTAAGTGTACGATTCTATTGGTTTTATAATAGCTGCAGATATGTGCAAACATCATCACAGGTAATTACAGAACATTTTAATTACACAAATTACCATTTGCTTTAGCTATCACCACCAACCCTAACTAACGTCTAATATACTTTTTTTGTTTGAGACGCGGTCTCACTCTGTCACCCAGGTTGGAATGCGGTGGCATCATCTCAGATCACTGCAACCTCTGCCTCCAAGGCTCTAGCAATCCTCTCACCTCAGCATCCCGAGTAGCTGCAACCACAGATGCCCACCACCACGCCTGGCTAATTTGTGTGTGTGTGTGTGTGTGTGTGTGTGTGTGTGTGTGTGTGTGTGTGTGTGTGTGTTTGTCTCTGTGTGTGTATTTTTGGTAGAGACAGGGGTTTTACCATGTTGCCCAGGCTGGTCTCGAACCCTTGAGATCAGGTTTTCCACCCACCTCGGCCTCCCAGAGTGCTGGGATTACAGGTGTGAGCCACCGTGCCCGGCCAGCAACTACCAATATACTTTATAGGCCTATAGTCTGCTTATTTTGGACAGTCCGTATGAATGGAATAATCTAATATGTGGTCTTTTGTGATGGGCTTCTTTCACTTAGTGTGATGTTTCCAAGGCTCATCAGTGTTGCACCCTATGTCAGTGCTTCATTCCTTTGTATGGCCAAATAATATTCCATTATATAAACATGCCACATTGTGTTGATCCATTATGTTATCTTTAAATAGACAGAGGACTGCAGATCTACTTGCGCTTATTGAGCACTTTGAAGAGTGAACATAATTTGGAAATACTAAGGGAAACAGTATCTAAGTTTATCACTACCCAGAGCAGAAAAAATACGAATTTTTTCTCTCTGCTACTCCTGTTATTTATTCTAGAACTCTAATAGTCTGCTAAATTCAAAGCAGACTGCTTGGAACATGCTAGATGATACAACAAGAGAATACAGAATATTAAAATTAAGGCCGAATTGGAGATTTGTTCTTGAATTGGTAAAAGCCATGGTATGGTGTGTATAGTGGAATAGCAAGAAATTTTGTCACCCTCTGAGCTTTGAGGGGTCTTCTCAGATTCTGTGCCATGTTTATAGCAAACATCAGGTGCTGTTAATTTTAGCTCAGGTATATTGAAGAGGTGAATTAAAAGGGTGGTAGAACTTCTGTTTCTTACCATTAAGAAGAGCTTAGACTGGACTTTTCCTCCTGCCATAAACAACTAGAAAACTGGGAGAAATATGTGAAACAATTGCTTTTAAACATTAACAGGAGGCAGCATAGAACTACATCTTTGAGAGAAAAGAAACAGACAATTGCTCCACTCTTGTCCCTGAAGCCCCTTTCAACTTCTAATGGAGGAAGCGGGATACTAAGAAACAGTAGTAACTGTTCTGATATGAGGAAACAAAGGCCAGGGCTCAGGGAGGTTGAGATGGCTGGGATTTATGGGACATAGTTACAAAGGAAAGAAAAATACGCAGAAATAAAAAGTTCCAACAATCTGCCTAGATTCCCATTGAGTCTGCTATCAAGCCATGCATATGCGGGAGAACACACCAGGAGGCTGGGCAAAAGCAACCACAGAGCTGTGAGCTGAGCGTGTTCTAAACATTATGCAGATCCGAAGAACATCCCATTACAGATCAGGCAAAACGGCTGGGCGTGGTGGCTCACGCCTGTAATCCCAGCACTCTGGGATGCCGAGGCAGGCAGATCACCTGAGGTTGGGAGTTCAAGACCAGCCTGACCAAGATAGAGAAACCCCGTTTCTACTAAAAATACAAAAAAATTAGCCAGGTGTGGTGGTGCATGCCTGTAATCCCAGCTACTCAGGAGGCTGAGGCAGGAGAATCACTTGAATCCGGGAGGCAGAGGTGGCAGTGAGCCGGGATCGCACCATTGCACTCCAGTTTGGGCAACAAGAGCGAAACTCCGTCTAAAGAAAAAAAAAAAAAAAAAAAAAGAACAACCAAGACATTCAGGGGAAATCCAGAAAAAATGACTCATTAGTAACGGAGCCAAACTTTCAGTAAAGTAACACCAGGCCTGCCTTAATAATGCCTCAAAACAAGCCTCAAAATGATTGAGCTGATTTGCAAGTTTCTTAATTCTCTGTGTGAACAAAGCCCAACAGAATCCAGATAATCAACACTGAAACATTCACAATATTCAGCATTCACTCAAAAATCACTAAACATGTGAAAAGCAGGAAAATATGACCCATAACTAGGAGAAAAATCTGTCAATTGAAATAGACTCAGATGTGGTGGGATTAGCGGACAGAATTTAGAATGTATAGTGTATATACTTTACTTTAAATAACTCTTTATTTATAAATGGCATGTTAATATATATTTTAAAATTCTAAGGAGTCTACAAAACATACAGTAAAAGTGAGCAGTGGATTTGACAAGATTGTAGGGCACAGAGTCAAAACACAAAAATTCATTGTATCTCTGTTTACCACTAGCAAACAATTTGAAAATGATAAATAAAACATTACCACTTATAGCAACCAACAAACACAAAATCAGGATATATTTAACAAAATATTTTCAAGACCTCTGCACTGAAAACTACAACAGTCACCAGGAGAATTTAAAGATCTAAATAAATGGAAATATATAGCATGGTCATGGCCATACGGGCTCAATATTGTTAAGATATCAAGTAGATGTATAATGTGCAAACTCATCAAAATAACAGCATGATTTTTAAATAAAATGATGTTCTAATTCAAAAATTAATTTGGAAATGCAAAAGACCTCGAATGACCAAAACAATTTTGAAAAAGAGGGTCAAAATTGGAGTATTCACAATGTCTGATTTTAAGTTACTATAATGCTACATTGATCATGACAGTGCATTATTGGTCTAAACATGCAGCTTCATGGAACAGTATGGAGAGTGCAGAAATAGACTTATACGTATATGGGTCAATTGTTTTCTGACATTTCCAAGGTAGTTCAATCAAGAACAGATAGTCTTTTTAACAAGTATTAGAACAATTGATTATCCATTTGGTGAAAAACTAACCTCGATCTTTATCTCACATCAAACACAAAATTAACTTGATGTAGACCATAGGACTAAACATAAAAGCGAAAGTTATAAACCATCTAGGAGAAAATAACAACAAAATACATTGTTTCATTTTCTACATTTTTTTTATTTATTTTTAACTTTTATGTTCAGCAGTACAAGTACAGGTTTGTTACACAGGTAAACTTGTGTCATGAGGGTTTGTTGTACAGATTATTTCAAAACCCAGTCATTAAAAATATTCATGATTTTAAGTGAGAGATACTTTGAACCATAAATGAAAACTTAATAGTCTGAACTTGATCCAAAAATTGTGTTCCTTGAAAGATGTTTTTAAGGAAATAAAATGACAAGACACAAACTGTGAGAAAGTATTTATAATACATATATCTGGCAAGGGAATTGTATCTACAATATGGAAACAAATCTTAAAATTAAGTTATAAGGCAAGCAATTCAATGAAACATGAAAAAAATACCTAACCAGACCCTAGAAGATAAGTGAATGGCCAATACACTCTACAAAGATTCACAACATAAGTAGTCATGAGAGAAATGCAAATTTTTAAAAACCACAGTGAAATGGTATTACACAACCAGTAGAATGGCTAAAATTTAAGAGGTTGGCAATACTGATTGTTGGCACTAATGTGAAACAAATGGAATTATTATATACTGCTGTTGAGATCATAAAATTATACAACTTTTTTTAGCACACAGTTTGGGAATTTATTATAGAGGTAAACATAGAGTTACCATATGAATAAGTTATAGCCCCAAACAGAGAACAACCAAAATTTCTAGCAACAATTGAGTGGGCAAATAATCATGTTATATCCATAAAATGGAACACTTCTAAGTTATGAAAAGGAACAAACTACCAAAACACACAACATGAATGAACCTCAAAAATATTTGCTAAGTAAAAGAAGTGAGACTGCATACTGTAGTATCAGTTTACATGAATTTCTAAAACTGATCTTTTGTAACAAAAATCCTATCATTTGCTTGCGTAGGGCTGGAACTTGGAAATTGAATGCAAAGGGGAGGATGAAATTTTGGGGGGATGATCAGAATTTCTATATCTTGATTGTTATTGTGGTCACACAGATGAAATCAATTTTTAAGATTCATTGAACTGTACACTTAAAATGGGTGACCTTTGTTGTATGTAAGTTATAATAATAAGGTTAATGATTTTTTAAAAAGTTGATGAATATGCCCACCCTATGTACCTAGGTTTCTTTTTAAATTAAATTAAATTAGATTTTTATTGACATTTAGTAATTGTACATTTATGAGGTACAATGTTATGTTTGGATATATGTGTACATTGTGTAATTATCAATGGTAATTAGTATATGCATCACCTTAACATTGATCACTTCTGTATTGTGAGAACATTAAAAATCCTCTCTTCCAGCTATTTGAAATATAAAATGCATTATTGTTGGCTGTCGTCACCCTACCATCAAATATAGTACCAGAACTTAGTCCTCCTATTGAACTGTAACAATTTTCTCATTGACCAACCTTGTCTCATTTCTTTCTCCCTCCTATTCTCCCCAGTCTCTGATAATCACTATTATATTCTCAACTTTTATAAGATTATTTTTTAAATTTGACATAGAAATAAGATCATGCAATATTTGTCATTCTGTGTCTGGCTTATTTCACTTAGTATAATGTCCTCCAGGTTCATTCTTGTCTCAAATGGCAGGATTTTTTATGGCTGAATAGTATTCCATTGTGTATACATACCATATTTTATTTGTCTGTTCATCTCTTTATGGACACTTAGGTTGATTCCATATCCTGGCTATTGTGAATCATGCTGCAATAAACATGAGAATGCAGATGTCTCTTTGACATGTTTTCATGGGTATATACCCAGTAATGGGATCATCTGGTTAGATTTATTTTTAATTTTTTTGGAGCGGCCTCCGTAGTGTTTTCTGTAATGGCTATACAAATTTACACTACCACCAACAGTGTGTAAAATTTCCTTTTTCTACACATCCTTGCCAGCATTTGTTTATTTTTTTGTCATTTTGATAATAGCCATCCTAACTTGGGTGAGGTGATATCTCATTGTGATTTTTATTTGCATTTCCCTGATGATTAGTGATTGTGAACATTTTTTCATATACCTGTTGGTTATTTGTATGTCTTGTCTATCTAAGTCACTTGCCCATTTTTTACCTAAATATTTTGATTTTTGCTTTTGAATTATTTGAGTTCCTTACACGTTTTAGATAATCCCTTGTCAGATGTACAGTTTGCAAATATTTTATCCCATTACATAACTTGTGTCTTCACTCTGTTTATTGTTCCCATTGCTGTGCAGAAGCTTTTTTGGTTTGATATAGTCAGTTTGTTTATTTTTGGTTTTGTTCATGCTCTTGAGGTCTTTCCTCTATGTTTGATTTCCTCTATGAGTGTTTCCTCCATGCTTTCTTCTGTAGTTTCATAGTTTCAGGTATTGCATGAAGACTTTACTCTGTTTTGAGGTGAATTTTGCATACGGTGAGAGATAGGTATCAAATTTCGTTATTTCGCATGTGGATATCCAGTTTTCCCTAACACTGTTTGTTGAAGAGACAGTTTTTTTCTCCATTGTCTTCTTGGCACCTTGTCAAAAACAGTTGGCTATAATATGTGGGTTTGTTTCTGGGCTTTCTGTATTGTTCCACTGGTGTATGTGTTTTTATGCCAGTACTGTGCTGTTTTGGCTATTGTAGCTTTGTAGTACATTTTGAAATCAGATAGTATGGTGCCTCCAGCTCTGTTTGTTTTTGTTTTGTTTGTTTTTTGTTTGTTTGTTTTTTTCTCAAGATTGCTTTGGCTATCCAGAGTCTTTTGTGGTTCCAAGAAAGTTTAATATATTTTCATTTATTTGTGTCCTCTTCATCTTCTTTTATAAATGTTTTATAATTTTCATTGTAAAGATCTTTCACCTCCTTCATTCAATATATTTCTAGGTATTTTAATTTTTTGGTAGGTATTGTAAATAGTATTGCTTGCTTCAGTTCTTTTCCAGACGGTTTGCTAATGGCATATACGTGGAAACTAAACACATACAAATACCTAGGTTTCTTAACCAGAAATTAGAAAAAAAACACTTGCTAGCTTAGAAATATCTCCACAAAGAGTAAACTTCCTTGCTCTGCCTATCTGCCACCATGTCTATATAAAAGTATTATGTGCCAGAATGGAATATGGTAATCTCAGATTTAATTGATATTCCATGCTATAAAACTAAAAGTGCAAGGTTGAATTTGAGCTCAGACCAAGATGGGTGAAACAAATTGGATTCACCAGGAATGCATGAAGGAAAGGACAGTGCCTGGATTTCCTGGCACCGTTCAGGCATGGGATGCATATTTTGTGTTCCCTTCTAATTGCATTTCTAGATGTAAGTCTCTGATCCCCACAAGCCTTGTCAGTTCAGATCCAGGGGTGGTTTCTTGTGCTGAGTATAAGAGTATGATTGACCGTAGGATGCATAGAATTTTTGGTTTGGGGACTTTCAGCAGAAATGTGCAACTCAAGCCTGCAGCTTTGAGTTCCTGAGGCCAAAGCTGTTGTCAGGCATTTGGGAAGGGGAGCAAGTACAAAGGTGGTAGATAAGTTGGGATGGATCTTTCTGGATCAAGTGCATCTTCATGGAGCAGGAGGGGCACCTTCTCAGTGCCAGCACTTCTCTGTTGATGGAAGCTGCATCAGGCAGTTGGAGAGAGAGACGAACTGAGAAGTGTGGAGGAGTTCCACTACCATTCCCTTCCTCCCAGCTTATTCCTCCATACAAATTGATCGTTTCTAATTCACCATATTTCCCATATAAAAGTACAAGATGAGAGTTAGCATAGTTTCATATATGTGGCCCATTTTACACAAAAATTATTTTACTTTTCACACATTTAATTATGTGGTACTATTATTTTATTGGGGAGAAGATTTCCTTGATTTGGGTCTGAAGTTAACCCCAGTATTTTACGGCTTGAGAAGTGGAAGAAAAGGAGTCTGGAATTTGGCAAAGAGTTAAGATCTCGGAGGTGAGTAATGGCTTCATAAAGACTGAATTAAGAAAACAGATGTATCCTAGGAAGCTTTGCCCAGATCTGAGAAATATGAGCAGTGCTCCCTCTCGACTGCTTTTCTGCTGGGTTACGGTCTGTCGCTGTAGGAATTAATAGGACTCTGCAGAAACCATCCTGCTCAACCGTCAGCACCTCTGGCCACATGAACCTCTGGGACCTTAGGGTTGGACATGGGCTTTGGGGGATCCTGAAGCAGATATTGAGTGATCAACAACTCATGCTATAAGGTGTTGATTGAGATGACACTTGAAGTTTCTCAGGCTTTTTAGGATGACTTTGGAGGCAGGGAAGTAGAATTATACTGCTATGAGCTGTGTACCTTGCTGGCTACATTCCTCTTTTCAGGCTTCTAAACCCAGATATTATTACTAACTAGAGAGTGTGCTCCAGATCCTCAAATATTAATTCAGGATTTGAGGTGAGCAATGAGAGTAGATTTGAAGTTGCCATTTTGGGGAAATCATTACATTGTGGCTTTATGTGATGTAGGGCGTGAGGGGGTCTGGTATGTTCCCAGGATGCCTCTAGAGTCTGCACATAGGCTTGTGCACCAAGGGGTCTTCTGCTGTTCCAGTGCTCTCCTGGCGACCTTTGTGAGACCACCTCCTTGCCCCTCATGACATAGAACCCTCCCCATTCACTGATCTTGAGCCTCCATCTGTCTAATCACTCTTTGATAAAAAAATGAGCATGGCTTCATGTCAAGCTGCCATATTCTTTCCACTCTCTTGACAGTCCTTTGGTGCCAATTGGCTACTGAGAGCCCCAGTGACCGATGGCGTCCTTAGGGTAGGTGCCAGTGGAATGCAAAACACATTGTGCATTGTGATGAAGGGTGGTTAATGAAAGGGGGGATGAAACAAGCCCATACGGTATTGTGGAAAGAAAATCTATACTAAATGAAACAAACAAAAAAAAGTTTTCCACAATTTAAGCCTCGAGAATTGATATTAAATTTTCCTGAGGGGTGAGGTCAGCATTTGGAGAGCCCAGATGCTTTAGGAAGGCTAAATGGAAAGAACAGCAATCTCTAAAGGGGGGAAAAGAAAGAAAGAGAGAGAGAGAAAGAAAGGAAAGAAAGAAAAAGAAGGAGGGAAGGAAAGAAGGAAGGAAGGAAAATAAAATGAAAGAAAGAAAGATGAAAGAAGGAAGGAAGGAAAGAAAGAAAGAAGAAAGAAAGAAAAAGAAAGAAAGAAAAAGAAAAACAGAGCTGTGTTTCCTGTGTGCTGCTCTCCTTCATCCAGGTCCCCAACTCCCTGAAGGGGACTAAAGCCTAGGATAGAATTTGGAGGATGAGCTGTTTTGTTTTGTTCTGTTTTATTAAAACAAAGAACAGTATTTCATGCTCTTGACAAGGGTGAACAGTCATATGACTCTGAGGTTTCATTCCTCAGCACTAGGGATGACCGAGGAGGTGTGATGGGGTGGGGTGAGCAGGCAGGCCTCCGTGGGGCACTCTATCCTAGGCCCACACCTGCTTCATGGACCTCTCCAGGGTATTCCTTTCTCCTATGTCCTTCTTTTGGGTGGCTGCATGGAAAGGGACTATTTACATTGTATCAGCCTTTGCACTTCCCCACCAACCCATCTCCCTATACCCCACATCAATGCTTGTGGATGTGAAAACACAATTTTCTGCCATTTCTATGTAGAGGGATGCTCTGACATGCATTTATAGAAATGTTCCTCTACTGTCTCTTCACAATTAATTATGCTTGGAGCTTTGGAGCCGTTCATGGGCTTCTCCATGTGTGCTTCAAGTCAACCAACTTGGGGATCTGCTTCAGGCCAAGTATATCCTGTTGGAGCAATCCTCCTGCAGGTAACACCCACTAAATACAGGTTGAGTTTTATATATGTAAATGCTTAAATATGAATGTTGTAACTATTTTACATTAATAGCATATTGATGTATTATTTCATATTAATATCCATATAATTGATATAGCAATGCAAATATTTGAAATGTTTTAAATATATTATTTAATGGTAATAATATGCATAATTTTAAATAGAAATATAAGATAAACTATAACAGCAACTCTCTGAAGACATTAGGGGGCAGTCAGAAACAGGCAGACACTTGGTTATAGGGGAATGGGACTGGGTGAGTTTCTCATTGTTTTATGGTTTTCAGCCTGGGGGAAGTTCCAAGTCCCTGCCATGAAGGACAGCTTAAATTCCAATGGAAAAACCTGCAGCTTCACTGGCATGAAAAACCAGAGGATGGAGTTTGGGGCAGTCACATGAGTTAGAAAATGAGGGGAGAGTGCAGTCTCAGAAAGAAGAGCGTCATGGTTGGGGGCGCCCTAAATCCTGTCTATATACGCTGCCCAACTCTGACTGTCCCTGAAATATGCACACAGGGAAGACTGTAAGCAATTCACCTGAGATTGAACAGAGACTTCAGTTTCCACCAGTGCAGGGGAGACCAAGTTTGCAGTTTTTGTTCAGCCAGGCTAGCTGACTGTTTATATATATAATATATGCATGCATACATACATAAGAACATATCACAGTTAGAAGAACATGTCATAATCAAGATTGTTTATAAAATTTCATTCACACTGTCTAGGAAGTCATCCAAAATGATGCAACATATGAAGAAACAGGAAAATGTGATGCACACTCAAAAGCAAAGACAATAAACAGAGACACAGCAAACCTTGACTGAGGATATGACCTTTAGAATGACTAGGAGGCTGATTTCAAAAGTAGTAACCAAAAGGCTTAAAGACTGGCTTCAGGCCACCTGAAAGACAAAGCGTGACCTCAGGTATGAAGGTTTGGAGTGCAGAAGTGTGAGTTTTGCTGCCATTAGCCTCAATTTTCATACAAGGCTTTCAATTTCTAAAAGCCTTACCCAGCTGGTGTCTCTGATGAGATGCTTAAAACATAGTACTGCATAAAGTGACCAGGTAGAAACGAGAATGTTTTAAATTGAGCCTGTCAAAAAAATAAATAAATAAATAACATCCATGCCTGTACCTGGTGATAAGGAGAAGGAAGGGCACATGGTCAGCAGGGGGTACAAAGCAAGCTTTCTGGGCTCGGAGGGATCGTGGGCAGGCAGGCATGTATTTCTTGATGGAACTCTGAGGTTCTTACTTGCACCCTTTCCTGGGCTGCCTCCTTATATGCGGAGCTGGGGCACTAGTTGTTATCAGTGTGTGTGTGTTGGGGGTCAGGGTATCTGTGTGTATGTGTGGGGGGTGGTGTGTGTGTGTCTCTGTGTGTGTGTGTGTTTTTGCTGGATTGTTTCTCTGCTTAAGCCCCTAAGTAATTTTTTGTTTCTGTTTCATATTTTGGTTTATTATTTTTTGCTAATTCATTTGCTTGTTGGCTTTCTTTTAAGAAAACTACATAAAATTGAATACTCTAAGGGTAAACACAGTGAATTTTCACAAGGTGAACACGCTTGTGTATCCAACACCCAGATCCAGAAAAACAGCATCCCCAGCAGCCCAGAGGCCCCTTGTGTTCTCTCCTTGAAGTCCCTCCCCAGATCATGCCCTGTCCTGCCATAAAGTATATGGATGTGTGCCACTAGGAGAGACAGACTGTAGTAGCCAAAGACAAAGAGGAGTCAGTCGCTAGCTATTAAGTGAATACCCCAATCAAGCAAACCTGGAAGAGATATGGGATTCACAGAGGGTAAAAAATGCACCCAGATAACCATGGAAAGGAAGGGCAGCTGCTTTTCATAAGGGAGTTATTTAAAGGTGGGTGACAAGAAGATTCTGAAAGGCTGAATAAACAGCTCAGCAGAAAAAAAAAATCGGTATGTGCACCTGGTCATCTCCATTCCTCTGTGACCACCAGAGGCCCCCATTGGCTGGGACATGGACCTGGGGTGAGGGGAGGAGGGAGGGCCTGTGCTGGGGGCATCACACTCTAGTCTAGTCTAGTATAATCCAGGACGTGCTAATTGCATCTGTTGAGGAAGTCTGTGGCTTTCAGAGCCGCTTTCCTGCAGACTCCCTGCCCCTTCAGCAAAGCTCACACCAGGCATCCAGAAAAGAGTTGCCAAGGGGATCAGAGAAGGAGAGTACTCTCTCCCTCCACCACTCCCACCCCTTCAAATCTTGCTGGGCCCCTGCCCTTGGTGCAGGGAGGACTCAAATAGGTGAAGGTTTGCAGTCAGGAACAAACATGAAGCTGGGATTTCACAAGAAGTGAATGATGAGCTCAAAAGCGGGAGTATGACTTCATTCAAGGACAGCAGAGCCTTGAGAGTGCAGGAAAAAGAGGCAGAAAAGTCCTGGCTAGTGTTTTCTTGAAGCCCAGGAGCATGCAGAGATGTGGGCAGGAGAGGGTCTGCTGGCAGTCAAGGGTTGCTGTATGGTCAACTCAGATGAGCAGTGACACGTGTCCCTTAGATTCCACAACATGAAGGAAAGCAGAGGACTAGGCAAGAGTCTTTGGTTGGAGGGATAGGAACGGAAACCCCTTAAAAGCAGGCTCGAAAGTGAAGGCTCTGTGACCACAGGAAGAGACACTTTATCTCCCTTTACACCACGCTCTCTCATGAGGAGGGTCAGAGGACACTGTTTCCAATTCAGACTTCTGTAAGAAACTTAACAAACCACAAATAAACATTCTCGTGCTCTATTCCTAACCCCCAGAAATCCTGAGGGAGCACGTGGTAACCTCTGACATATTTCAGTGACTCTGAAAGACATACCATCCCAGGCTCTATTCCTGCCCTGGCCAGGAGCCCAGAGAAGGCTTTGTGGATGGATAGGTCCAGCTGGATGCCTGAATAGGAGTGAGACCCTAGGGTGGACATTTCTATGTTTGGGTAGGACAGAGACATAAGAGAACTAATGATAATGTGACCCTAAAACTCATATTCATTAAATATTTGGTCAAGAGTTGTTTGGTGAGGGTGAACATAAAACTATTCTGTATTGGAAAAATATATGCATCTCCATTTTTACTGTGAAATATGGGGAATGTACTTCTCATGTTTTTCTGCATATACTCCTGATATATGATCTGAAAAGTCTGTAACATTTTAATTGTTTCAAAATATTTATTTCACAAATGTTCCAATGTTTATAACTTGTGACACCTCCAACTCCCTGCAGATAAAGGTAACAAAACTTTTTTCATTTATCTGTCATTTAAAATTTTCCTACAGTGCTTTATATAAGGAAGTCTTAAAGCATAAAAATACATTCACAATCATAAAAAACAATTAAAGGTTTGGAAAATAAAATGATTTACTTACTGTCCATTAACGTTGTTTACTTCCAGAATGTCAGCGTCCTGGTGACCCCGACCTCTGGCGGATGTCCTTGGTGTTCACAGGGCAGCAATGTGTGCTTGGGTACATTGTTGTAGAAGGACAACATGGAAATACAACTTGCCAGTGAACATGTTTAATCCTCTCCTATGTTGTGGTAGTTTTTCAAATAATTTGTCCATCTCCCCTGGCTTATGACTTTTTCTCTTACTGATGCATAGAGGTCTCTTATGTAATCTAGTTATAAAAGTTGCTGATATCTCCACCAAGATGGCTTTCCTTTCCTTTTCACTATTTTTTTACGCTACCTTTTGCTGATTTTATACCACTGGGATTTACTTTAGAAAGGATTTAAAATAGAGATTTAGCTGTCATTTTTTCAAATGTTAGCCAAATATTGCAACACAATATTTTCAATGTTTCAACTTTATCCTATTTAGAAGATTCCAAATTGCTTGAATAACTTTTGATGTACACTTGGATGAAACACAAATCTAATTTTTTATCTTATTATTCATATTTATAGAATCTTCAGAAGTAATCAACTAGAAAATCTGTAAATCAGAATCTTTGTAGGTACCAGCAGTCAAAAGTTCTTCCAATGAAACCACTTTTGGCAGATTTTTTCTCATAATGTAATAACAGCTAAATTCAGGATAAATTTTGAGGGAATATTTTTCTAATTGACCATTCTTGTCATTTAAAGTCTTTTTTTCTGATGCAAAATTTTAGCCATTTTATATCATTCATTTAAGTAAACCTTTCTTAGGCTGCCCTATCTGACTTATTTATGGAGATTCCAACATGGCAGGTCCCCAAGAAAAGTTTTATTTCCCCAAGACTGTGATTACTGGTTGGGATAATGGGTCTGGGGAAATGGTGAGTTAAGGGGGAGCACCTCAGCGTCCGAGTTCTTTGCTGTGGTCAGCCCTTCTCGTCAACGGAATCATCTGACATCTAACATCAACAGAAACATCTAACGAGAGCACTAACACCTCCTCCTTGAAGGAGAGGAGTAAATCCCAAACACATCCGAATGGACCGCTTTAAAATGATTTTCATTTCCATTTGAGTTATCTTTGTTGGGACAGTCTTCTTTCAATCAGGTTACAGCGCCATCTAGCATTCAAAACTGGGAGTCCTGGGCGAGAAGTGAACTGCTTCAGAAATGCCCTGGGAGCCGCTGGGGAAAGAGGTGCTGAATTGGAGCAGCTGGGTAGAGAGGTCAGGCCGACCGGACTCAGCATAGATGCAGTGGGGCTGAAGCCGAGGGTCTGAAGGCAGGGTGATGATGGACATCAGTGGAACAGGAATCTAAAACTGACCTGTGATTCTCATAGTTAAGGCAAATGGTCAAATAATCCAGCGTTGCTTAAAGTTATTAATGAGTGTCCTATGGTCAATTCCCCTTCTTCATTTAACTTAAAATTTGTGATCCTTTTTACAAATTGATCAGCATCCACAAAGGGTTTGATGCCTCTACAAATGTAATCAAAAGTGACTATAGAACAGGTTATTTTTAAATTACCAGTGAAATTTAAAATTGTTCTACTTTGTAAAATATCAGCTTATAGATCCTGCATTCTTTTTTCACCTCTATGATATGCAGTATCACATACACTGTATTTTGTTGTCAGCCATCTATTTATAATTAGATCATTGCTAATTTTTCCACTATCACAAACAATGTTGCATTGGGACATTCTTATTCTCTCCTCTTTAAAATATTATTTATGGAAAAATAAAATGGTTAAGTCTAAGTGTAGGCGTATTTTACATATTGCAAGCTGTTAAAAAAATATCTCTCCCAGAAGAGGCTTCTCTCAGGTCACATGAACAGAACCAAGGGTCCCAGGTAGCCTTGCCCTGATCTCAAAAAGGGAACTACAACTCCTGCCAGTCTCCATTGCTCATTCTAGGCAGCTGATCCCTTGAAGGCCTCCCTGGCTGTGGGACAGAAGTGGACTTCTGAGGACAGGCTCTGTGATTCAGACATGTAGAGACCAAAATATTAAAACTGAGGCCACCAATTGTGAAATTGAGGCCTTCTAGGGAAAACAAGTTCATGCCCTAATGTGTGCACATTTGGTTCCAGGGAAGCAAGGTTGGTGAACATCGTGTAGGATGGCTTCCTGAGGCAGGAAGAGGAGAGTGGCAGCAAGCCTGCACCTCCCTCTTCTGGAGTTGTCTTTCTGGTGCCTGTACAGACTTAATTATTCTTGACAAAGTCTTCATTGTGACGGCATTACCCTCTTTGTGCACACACACAAAAAAAGAGTTTGGGAAGATTGTTTCTGAGCCTAAGAATTTTGCTATGCCACTTTTTTCTTTTGCTATTTCTCCCAATCAACTCACGCTTCCTAAACTGTTATTTCATATTAAGTGTCTTAACCTTGAGACCTAAGTATTCACTTATTTAAAAATATTTCTCAAATACCCCTTACATATGAAGCACTGTCCCAGGAGCTTGGAATATATTAGTGTGCAAACTAAAGCTACCTGATCTCATGGAGTTTACAATCAGAATTTATACTACTATGCATTTATATTTTATGTATATTAAATTATATCGTAGGTAAGAAGTCAATGAGAGCGGTGAACAAAGTGCATGAAGGTAAGATGACTAGAGTACTTGATACCTCAGGTTTCAAAAGTAAATAGGGTGACCAAGACAGGATTCAGTTGAATTGAGCTTTGAGCAAAAACTTGAAGGAAATGAAAGAGTTAATCAACAGATGCAGAGTGGAGTGTGTCCTAGGGAGGGCAAAAGCCCTACTAGAGAGCTCATTTTTCAAGGGTTCTGCAAGGCCAGCGTGGCTGGAGTGCAGCTGACCTCGGAGGGTCATTCTTAGTGCGAAGGGCATGCCAAGGAATCTGGCTTCCACTCTGAGCCGAATACATGGCCATTGCAGGGTTTGAACAGAGAGGTTGCGCATGGTCTCATTCTCATTCAGCTGTATGAATGATATAGCTAGAGGGAGGGGCAGGGGTGGAAGCAGGGAGACATTTTTTGAAGCTCCAGGGAGAGATGATGAGGCTCCGATCAGGTTTCACCTGTGTCAGATTCCGTCTTCCTGCCATTCAGTCTGATGAAACTGTGTGGTTATGCGTTCCTGATAGAGGTGTGAAGAAGCAATCTAGGGAAGCTCTCCCTACAGTCTGTGTAAGAGAAACCCTATACCTTAAGAAGTATTGAACTGACGTGAGAAATAGGAGCTTTGCTGTGTTAGCCCAGATCTGTGCTTCCCAGAGAAGTCTTGTTTAGCTGGGTCTCTGAGACAGGATGAAGAAAGTGTGGTTTATAACATGGCCAGTTTGAAACCAGACTGTTTAAACATGAGCTGATTAGGGAAATGTGGTTCTTAGCCTAAGAAGAGTTAGGGAACAGCAGGGTAAGGATTTAGCGAGGACACAGAAGCGGGGAGGGGACGAGCAGGGACACTTGTGCTTTCTGCCTCTCCTTTTCTTGCTCCAAAACTCTGCTTTTGAATTGAGTCATCCCCTTCAATAAGACTCCCTTCAAAAGTAACTAGGCCTTCCGCCTGTGCTTCTGTCCTGACTTCTTGTATCTGTGAGATGTTAAAATCCAGAATAAGCTCAGTGTCTCATGGCTGTAGATGTGTAAATTTTAAGAACTGGTGGTAACAGTGACCCGGTGCACCTGTAATCCCAGCTTTTTGGGAGGCTGAGGTGAAAGGATGGCTTGAGGCCAGGAGTTCAAGACCAGCCTGAGCAAAATAGCGAGGCCCCCTTCTTCACACAAATAAAAAGAACTAGTTGAGTGCAGTTCAGATGCCTGTAGTCTCAGCTACTCAGGAGGATGAGGTGGGAGGATCGCTTGAATCTGGGAGTTTGAGGCTGCAGGGAGCTGTGATCCCGTTACCACACTCCAGCCTGGGCGACAGAACAACCTTGTCTCTAAGGTTAAAAAAAAGAAAAGAAACACTGGTTACCCGAAGCAGAAAAGGCAAAGCCAGTTGCAGGCCCTTAAGATGACATCTCTAGGGAGGAAGACTAAGGAGCTTTGAAGAATTCAGAGTGAAGAGAATCACAACCCAAGAAAGCCCTGTTTCAAGAAATCTGAGCCGATCTGACCTCGACCTACTGTCAGCACACTTTCCTGTTCTAAGATCTGTCCATCTGGGGATGGGGACAGGTGCTTAGGTGATGTCGCAGCAACACAGAACGTTCAAGCCACATTTGCGTAGGGAAACGGGTCTCACAGGGCCACCATTTTGAAAGGCCTTCATCCACCAGGCCACAGCTAGTGTCAATCACCTGGGAGGAGAGGTGGGAGGAAATGGGTGGAGATCAACTAATAGCCCAGAGGCAGGGGGGCCTTCTGGCGCATGCGCAGTCTCTCCACCGCACTGCAGGGGTCGGCTTCAGGAGGGAAGGGGTTTCTTGGCGCATGCGCACTCTTTATACACTGCAGGGGCTAGCTTTGCTCGAGGAGGGGGCTTCCTGGCGCCTGCGCACTATTCTTACAGCATTGCAGAGTCCACTTTGCGGCTGCGCTAGTTTGGCAACTTCCAGAAAGCTCGAGGGCTGGGAGGGGGGATCAGGAGGGGGTATTGGCCTGTCATTCTAGCCACAAGTGTTCCTTTTCTGATTTGTTACTGCGCCGGCAGGCGGCAAGCAAGTGTCAGAGGCATTGCCCCGTTCTGTTCTCTGACAACTTCTAATTGGGAAGTTTGTTAGGACTTGGAAATACGCTGTGCGGGTCACCAAAGTAGCATTAGAGTCAAATAACAGACCCTAATTTTGGAAAGAGAGCAGCTGCATGAAGGCAATGTGGGTAGATTGACAGGCCGGAAGTGAGCCGTCCTAGGGAAGCCTCGCCACAGCATCTGAGCCCTGCGCCCACCACCTTCTCTTCGCTGGGGGCTCCATCCTCAGTGGCCAGGGCTGATTGAACTTGTTAGAAACCAGATGCCTGGTCCACTCCTGCCCTGTCAGTCAGAAATTCTGGGAGTGGACCCGCCGATGTCTAACAAGCCCTGCGAGTGATTTTGATGCGTGCACTTGAGCTGGACACTGGGGCGGGGTGCTGACACTGGGGTGGGAGAGCTTGTGGTGGAAGCAGCCCAAAGAAAACTAGAAACTTTTCATTTCCAGGATCTCACTCTGAAGAGTCTCCCCTCCCAGCCTGGCTGAACTCCTGCGCTTTCTGAGAGGGAGTAGTGGCAGGAGAGGGACAGTCTGCCCGTCTGAAGCTTGTGTGCTATTGCTGTATTATGAAATCTCTGTTCCTGTGCCTCTCATGGCTGTATCAAAAGTGAGGATTCTGAGGGAGATTAGGAAGAGGCGATGCGTTTTTGAAGGCCTCTCACTAACTGCTCATTCTGTTCTGCTCTTTCCTCCCTGCTCTAACTGTGGCATTTTGCCTTATTATCGTGGCTTCTCCCTCATCTAAGATGTGGGTTTCGAAAACAGAAACTGGGAAGACTCAAGGACATTACAGATGTAACCTTACCGAAGTCCCGAGTAATTTAATGAGCAGAGATGTGACTGTGTCCTTGAATGGGGGAAATGAAGAGAAAAATACAAGGTGGAACAAAATAAAGTTATATCCCCAAGTATGTTCGTGCTACATCATTTGGTAGGTTTTTGCAGTCACTTAGGCAAGAGATGATAGTTGCTTGAATTACTTTAGTGATGAAAAGCACATAAATTTGTTCTTCTTTTCAAGGTAGATAGAATTTGAAATAGGAGAGTAGGTGGAGGGAGTGGGTTATTCAGAAGTATGGAGAATAAACTAGGTGTTGGACCTGCGATACTTATTCTAAAGGCAATGCCATTTATTGAGATGTAGAATGGTGGAGTGGGAGTAGCTTTCAAGAAGGAAAAATCAGAGTGCCATTTCTGACTTTTGATGCATGAAAGAAATCTGAAAATTCAAGTGGGTTTCAAGTTAGCTGTAAGATTTGTATGTGCAAAGCTTAGAAGAAGTTTGTATTAGAGATAACAAAACATGGGAGTCAGTCACATGCCTGAATATTTAAAGCCATGATGTATGTGTTGGTTTTCCCCATCCCCAAAATCAGTGGCTTAAAGTATTAATAATTTGTTATTTAAATTCTCTGTGCCTACTTGAGATTGTGCATGAGAAATAGTTTTATTTTCCCACCCAGCACATTCTGGTTCCTCTGTGTTTCCTCTAAATTTTGCCTATGTCCTAAGCAACTATTTCTTTAGCTCATCATTTTTTGTTGTTGTTTTATCTTATGATTAACTAAAGTCAATTGATGCTTGAAACATTGTACCTGAAAATAATCTTGCCAAGGTCCATGAATCATAGGTAGATCCTTCAGCTGGTGATAGTTTTACCAATTTTCCATTTTCCAGCCCATCCATGCCCACAGGAGGTTTGCTCACCTTTTCCTGACAGATTTCCTCACTGTGCTTTTCCTTTATACCGGCTGCTGCATCTCAGAGCCAGTGCCACAAGCGTATAGATACCCACTTCTAGGTATCTATGTATTTGTCCCATAGCTGTGTGGTGCATATCAATTTATCTCCCCAAATCAGTGGTTTAAAACAACAGCTACATTTCTAATGATCCTGTGGGTCATCTTAGTGGTTCTTCTGATCTGGGCCATCTCATCTGGCCCTAGATTGTCTGGAATGGCCTCATATATGTGAACGTTGGCTTGGTGGCAGCTTAGGGATGATTTGGCATTATGTCTGTTATTCTTAAGCAGGCTTGCCCAGTCTGCTTCATATAACCTCAGAGTTCAAAAGTAGCAGGAGAAGACAAGCCCAAACGTGTAAGCATTTTTTTCTACATCTATAGATGGGTCACATTTGCTATTGTTCCTAAGCAATGAACTGACCAAAGCAATGAACTTGGCCAGACCCAGAGTCAGTGTGGGAGAGAACAACCCAGTGGATTGGATACAGGGAGTGGAATTATTGCTGCCACATTTGCATGCATGGAAATGGATTTGTGTAGGGGCTATTACCATATCGAGTATTCCAACGTTTTAGACTTATGAACAGAGGAGGAGGAATCAATAAACAAAACTGAGTTAGACAAGTCAGAGAGTTCAGTGAATTACATGGAAAATGGAGGCTCAGAAGCAGAAAGGAGGCTACTTAAAGGGGAGGCTCAGAAATACGTGGATGCACACGAGCGGTCAAATAAGACGAGCACTGAGAAGTGTCCACCAGAAGGTTCACAGTGATGTTTGAAAGTTTTATTTCGATGGAGTGAGGGGAAAACACACCCAGAGAGGCATGAATACTTAGCTGCAAATAGGTAGTGTCTGTAGAGTAACCCATTATTGTTCATTATGCATAGACTTTCCTGTGTGGGACAAGAATTTTTTTTTAATTCTAACTCAAATTCACTACAAATATTTCAACCACATGAAAAATAATCACAGCATCTATTCTTGATTCATGGCAGTCAGAAAGCGCATGATAATCTCCAATACATTTCTATGGCTTTAAAAGACATGCCAGGCTCTATTCCTGTCCTGGCTAGAATCCTGGTGATGTAGTTGGTAGATGGATGGGCCCAGCTGAAAGCCTCAGCATCAAGCACCTTAGGTAGATATCTATGTTTAGAGTGGGAAAACCATGAAGAAATGAAGAACATGATGATACTTTAAGGCTTTTTTTTTTTTTTTGCAATTTTGTTAATGATTGAGGTATTGAAGACAAAGAGGAAATGATAAATAACAATACAACTTGTTCATTTACTCCTTTCAGTTGAAATTCAGGAATTTATCTTGTTCTCAGAACGCTCCAAAACATTCTAACTATTTGGATTAGTCTTTTCATTTCACAAATATTTCATCAGGCATAACTGGAATTAGCCATACTAGTTAATAACAGTCAAAACTTATTTTATCATTCACACTGGCATTATTTCCAACATTTTTGTAAAGCAGAATATTGAAATGTATACAGAATAAATAGAAGGCTGGAAAATTAAAGTATTCATTTATTTCCAATACATGATAGTATACTTTCATTATTTGATTCCAGAATTGCAGTAGTAGTTATAGTCACTATGCACAGTATTGTTAAACTCACTTTTATGAATATAGTGATGCATATTTTTTCTAGATTAATGAAATAGTAAATTATTCCCAAAATTATTTATTGTAACTTTGTTTCTGTGATTTTAAGCTTAAAAAAAAGTTGCAAGAATAGGACAAGGGACTCCTATACTTTCTTTACCCAGATTCATCATTTATATTTTGTTTAAAATGCTTCATTTTTGCTTCATTTGATTTATTATTTTTATCATTGTCTTTCTCTATACACATGGATAGATATATGGGTTTGCGTAAACATGTCACACCCACTACCCTCCACACACACTTTTTACAAATTATTTGTTAATAAATTAGATAAAGAATGTTCTTTTAATCCTAAATATTTTGGAGTACATTTCCAGTAACACTGACATCCTCTTACATAAACATGGTTCTGGAAATTTAGGATTGATTAAATGCTATTATCTAATTCACAATCTATATTCAAGTTTTGTCACTTGTCACAAGTATGTCCTTTACAGCCATTAGTTTAGAATCAAGGACAATATGTTGCATTTAACTATCTTTCTTTCAGCACCTTTTCTCTGGAATAAATCTTCAACATTTATTTGAGAATCATGACTTTTAGGTTTTTGAGGCCTATGGTCACTTATTTTGTGAATTATTTCTCAATTTCTGTTTGTCTAATGTTGTTCCATGATTAGATTTATGTTATGCATTTTTAGCAAGAATGTTATTGAAGAGATGCTGTGTCCTTTTTAGAGCATCTTTTCAATGAGGCAAATGATGTTGATTTTTACCAATATTGGTGATAGTAACTTTGATCACTTGATTAGGATAGATTTCTCCATAATTAACATTTCCATTTTGTAATTAATAAAGGTAATTTGTGGGAAGATACATAGTCACAATTTAACTTACTATTTTAGCATAAATTCATGACTTTGTAATTCCTTTATCATTTATCCTTTAGTTATTAGTCGGTATCCTACTGTCTGGAAGAGTTTTACTTTCACCTTCATTCATTCATTCATTCACTGATTTATATTGGTTTGGACTCATGATTCTCATTTCGATCATTGGGTTAAATCCCTTACTACCTTTTATCTATTTTTTAAAATTAAAGTTCTTGTAACACAGTTCTAAATTTACAGAAAAGATGGGAAAGTAGTAAAGAAATTTCCTATGTAGCTACTCAGAGTTCCTCCTAAAGATAGTCCAGAGTATCTGACACCCAGTTTTGCCCTTACTGACATCTTACATAGGTATGGTACATTTATTACAGTGAATGAACCAATATTGGTGTATTATTAACTAAAATGCACACTTATTCAAATTTCCCTGGTGTCCATCTAATCTGTGCTTTGTCTCTTCCAGGATCTCAGTCTGAATTCCAAACCCCATTTACTCATCATGTTTCCTTAGGATCCTCTAGACTGTGATGGCTTTTTTAGACTTTCCTTGTTTTTGATAACTTTGACACTTTTTAGAATTACTGGTCAAATATTTTGTAAAACATCCATCAATTGGGATCTATTTTATGATTTTCTCATTATTAGACTGGTGCTATGGATTTTGAGGGAGAAGGTTCATCAAGATAAACTGCCAGTTTTATAACATCCTATCAATGGTATATGTTATCAACATGAATTATCACTGTTGATGTTGACCTTCAACACCTGGTTTGGACAATGATTCTCAGGGTTCTCCACTGTAAAAGTATTTATTTTTCTCCATTTCCATACTATACTCCTTAGAAGGAAGTCACTATGAGAAGCCCACACTTAAGTCATAAGATATGCTCTACCTCCTCAAGGGGAGATTATCTATATAAATTATTTGGAATTCTGACTCCTTCAGGCTGGCTTCTGTAGACTTTGACATGTTCCCATGCTTTTTTCCAGCACTTCCTTACTGGAATATTGTTTTCCTTCAAAAATAAATTATTCAGTTCTTTTCTGATTTGTAGTATCTTATTTATATGAGTTTATATACTCACGGGCTACATTCAGCTTTATACTATTTTTCTATTATCCCTTTTTCACTAGCACTTGTTGACCATGCAAAAGTGACGAATGCATTAGTTAAATCATGAGGCAGGGTCTTCTGTAAGCCCATAAGCCCCTAGAAATACCCTAAAACAAAGTGGCTAATGGAAGATTTTGCTCATAGCTTAAAAATTGCTAATATTGGGAAATTCGCTTGTGCTTCAATAATTTGAGGGAAGTGACTGCCTTCTCTATTAAAGTCTTTCAGTTTAAATGTATACCTTTGTTTTTGTTCTCAACCCACAATTTTCCAGCACCTCTTCCACTACCTCTTCTATCCATTTTCTGCATATTCCAACTGAGATATACCGCAATTAAATCTTCCTCCAGGCTCACTGTTTATTATATTAATATTTCTGTCACTTTGGAGTTGGGGAGCCATCCTGTGTCCATAAAAATTACTGAATTGTAACAGAAACTGCTCTTAGACATTTGAGTGAGAAGTCATTTGAGTGAGAAGACATTTGAGTGAGAAGTCAAGAGAGTTTATTTTGCAGCTTTTTCTTAGCACAGGGATAGTGCCCTGCATTCCCCAGTTGCTAAAGCCCTTAAACTCTTCCTGTGAAAATTTACATTAATTTCTCTTCCTCGAAGAAAATGTGTGAACCCTGAGAACAACTCCATTTTTTAACGTTAAAATCCACTTCATTCATATGTGAGTTGTCAGTGTTAGAAATTTATGCAACTATCAGAAACCCATGTTGTAGCGCCATCTGTCATCCAAAAATGGAAGAATGAGAGCAAACAAATTTCTAAGAACCCAGGCTCCCAGCAGCTGCTGTAGATCGTGGTGGTGATTGTGAAGACAGAGTTCGGAGTCCTGGACAGAAACGATTCCAAGGAACCACTGTTGATGGACTTCAATGAACAGCAAATTATAATGTCTTTTAAATTATACAATTCGTACAATTTACTGTGAATATTCAAACGTACAGAAGATTACAAATTAAACATTAAAATGTATATACACAATATCCTTTTTTCCATTTAACTGCATACCATTATTATTATTATTATTTTTTGAGACGGAGTCTCACTCTGTCGCCCAGGCTGGAGTGCAGTGGCGCAATCTCGGCTTACTGCAAGCTCCGCCTCCCGGGTTCACGCCATTCTCCTGCCTCAGCCTCCCGAGTAGCTGGGACTACAGGTGCCCTCCACCACGCCCCGCTAATTTTTTGTTTTTTAGTAGAGACGGGTTTTCACCGTGTTAGACAGGATGTTCTCGATCTCCTGACCTTGTGATCTGCCTGCCTTGGCCTCCCAAAGTGCTGGGATTACAGGCGTGAGCCACTGGGCCCGCCGACTGCATACCATTTTTAACTGTGTTTATGTGTGCATATTTTCCAGTACGTCTACCAATGTATCCAAATGAACTTATATGTCTACCTACATAGAGATAGCAATTTAGATGTAGATACAGCTATAAATATAGATATTAGATTTTTCATAATGCTTTCAATGGCATTTAACCAGATCTATATCTACTAATGTATATGTTTCTATATATATTTAATAGATTGATCTAGCTATATATATATGTATATATAGCTATATAGGTGATATTCACATTTTATTTTCCAAATTGGTTATCTGTAGTATGTCATAGTGCTCTTTCCATATCATTAGATATCCACTGCAGTATTTTTGTTAGCACTTTGTATTCCAAAATACATATACCCTTCAATTTGCCTATGGCCTATTCATAAAAATTTAGTGTATTTTTATTTTTAAATTTTGCAGAAAATGCTGCAGAAAGCATTCTGATGAACCTTACACTTCAGTAATAATAAAATCAGTGAGTCAAAAAAGTATATAGCAATACATACCCTACATTAAAATGTGTATGTAACAGACCAGGCATCGTGGCTCACGCCTGTAATCCCAGCACTTTGGGAGGCGGCAGTGGGTGGATAACCTGAGGTTGGGAGTTCCCGACCAGCCTGGCCTGAACATGATGAAACCCCGTCTCTACTAAAGATACAAAAAATAGCCGGGCATAGTGGTGGGCACCTGTAATCCTGCTACTCAGGAGGCTGAGGCAGGAGAATTGCTTGAACCCCGGGGGCGGAGGTTGCAGTGAGCCGAGATCACGCCACTGCACTCCAGCCTGGGCACCAAGAGTGAGACAATGTCTCAAAAAAAAAAAGTGTATGTAATAAATTACATAGGCAATTCTCAAGCCTAAATATTAGTAATTCATTTTCTCCCCAGTCAGGCTAAAGTGGTTTCTCTAATTAGCTTATTTAATTTTGGAGGATACATAGTGTTTATTGTGTTATTTATGTTTTTCTGGAAAAGTGCCTGCTCATGTCACTTAATACATTATTTTTAAAATTAGGTTGCTTTTATTACTTATTAATTTTAGGTCATGATATTTTATTAGCATTATATTGGGTCCTTCACTGCAAATACATTACAAATATTTAACTATTATTTGTAGTCTTTCTCTAGTATGCTTAAACATTATTAAATAATTTTATGGACAAATGTAAATATTTCCGATTTCACGTGGACAGTTAGGAAATATTTTATTGCTGTTTAATTTTCTTTTAAGATGCATAGTCTTTTATTACATCTAGAATTTATATATATGGTCAAAGGTGGAGAATCTAAGGTTACTTTTTAATATATGGCTGGAAATTCTAAAATCTTTATACATCCACTCTGGATTGTAGATTTTTATTAAGTTTTATGTTATATACAAAATATATTCAGTGAAAAATTGTAACAAGAGTCTCCCTGAATAGTATGACAAGTGCTATTTTTTAAAACCATTTTTGAGTATTTTCTTCTTACTGTGATTTTGTTGGTACTGGTACATTTGTCTAAATACGTATTTTAGGGTGCACGCTACTTCGTAAGCTATTAACCTTTCAGATTCAGCTTTTCAGGACTGACCTGTAAGAATGCAGCTACAGAACGTATAAACTACAGGATTTTCTTTCCATGCAACCTGAAATGCTTTTTTCTGGAAGCAACGGCAAAAAAAAAGTTATTTTACACTTATTTTATGCTATGCTGAAAAGCAGCAAGGATATAGAAATCGATCGTGGGGTGACAGAGACTTTTGGAAACTGTTTATTCTTGACTTCTTAACAGCCCAGAGAGAAGACTCAATAACCCTCTGGTCTCCGGGTATTCCCGGTTTGTCCCAGGATGGTAACCATGGGTGCGCCTGACAGCGCACTGCCGCAGGAGCGCCGGTCAGACAGGAGGCGACCTCGCGGTGTGCTGTGGGAAGGTCATGTGGGCGGGGAGGCCTTCGGCTACGGGGGTCGGGCCAGGAGCTTCCGCTCAGCGCTGGTGAGGCGGAGCCAGGAGGAGCGGCTGCGCTCCTGCGGGCCTCAGGCTCTTGGGCCTTGGCCAGGTCCCTTTAAGATCAGGGCGCTTGCTAGGAATTTCTCGTCTCTGGTTTGCGCGGGGAAATTGAGATGGGAAATATCGCTCAACTCCCCTGACTTCATTCTTTCTAGGGTTTAGGCCCCCAGACGTGGATTTTGCTTGTTTGTTTGTTTCCTACCATATAAAGGGAGTGGCTTTTTTTTTTCTGGAAAACGTAAAAGTGTTGTTAATATCTATCGATTTTATATTCATGTGACGATCCACAAATAAAGTTTTTGTATTCCTTTGTATTATTAGCGCTTTATATTTCTACTTTAATTACATTGGTAAGACTTTTTTTTTTGAATGTTTAGATTGATGTGGAGTTTTTTGTTTAATGGGAAGTCAACATCAATTTTGATTTTAGATTTGGATACTGATTCTCTATTTTGTGTTCTTTGGACTTTTTCATCTACCACAAAAGCTCCAGAAGCAAAATTTCTTCATAGTTTTATACATTATCTTTAAAATCCTGTGACTATTACCAGTATATAACCTTATTTAAAAGTTTGTGATTTTTACCCCCAATCTTTTAATTTTCATTCCACTTAAACAACTTTATTAAATTCATTAATAGGAAAACTATTGAACTTCATTTTTGAACCACTTCTATATGAAACTCCTCCGACTTCAGAATTTTGTTTCTAACTTACCCCCACCCTTGTACCTCGTGTGCCATCTCCTAGCTCAGTCATCTGTTGCAGAAATCTCTTCACTGCCACCTCTCACAAAATAAGCAAGTGTAGGTCCTTTTTTCCTATGTGTTGTAAATTATGTGGAATTTACCTCCATGTTCTTCTGTATTCTAAAAGTATTATAAAAGGACATTGACAAAGTTAAGGGTGAAGCAGAGGCAGGAAAGAAATCCCAATAACAAAATTCCTGATATGACATTTAGGAATGATATTCAGCTGTCTTCTTATAGACTTAGAAATTTTCTTTGAGGAATATTCAGAACTATATGCGAGTAATTATTTTGCTGTGTTAACTTTCTAATTTTTGAGGGAAGAAAATATTTTGTTGATAAAAATTTAAATCTAGAAAAAAATTACATAATAATAGACTGTCATCTACTTTCTGAATCCTGAAATTTGCAACCACCTTCAACATTCATACCTGGGTGTCTGCGTTTTCAGATCTATGCTTGTAAATACCTATATACACAAATATGCATATTTCTGTTTTCCTGCGTGCAGTAGACTATACAAGGTTAATTGTGTTAATTTAAACTAGATATATCAAGTCATAGAATTGCCATGCGGTGTTATCAATGCTCCTTTAATTGGTTGGAACGTTATAACTAAAAAAATACATAGTATGCCTTCTTACATCCACTGCACAAGTGAGGACACTAAAATGTGATAGGGTAACTATTGAAAGGTTACAAAGGCATTAAGTGATGAAATCAGAATACCATCCCTCTGGTTCGCTGCACCCTACCATCCTCTTCACCACTGTATAGGAAGAAAAATCATCTCACTGTTCTGTTCTATAGTCTTTTACTGTGGATGTGTTAAATATTCAGAAATTACTGATTACCTCTAATATTTGTATGTTAATCTGTTGAAAGGGTGTGTTATAGTATATTTAAAAAATTATCCATTATTCTTTGATGGATATATACAGTAGTTTGTTTTCTTTTTGTATTTTGCCAAAAGAAACAGTATTGGAGTCCACATCCCTGTACATTCGTCTGTACTAGAGGTCTATTATTTTTGTAGAATATATTCATAGAATTTAAAATTCTGGGTCAAAGGATGTGCATCTCTGAAATCTTATATAGTAGCAAATTGCTACCCAAGTTATATTACTTTTTACTATAATGTACATCATCTTGTAGAGTTATGTTGTATATGACATAATATGAGAAACAGTTTTCATATTGAAAAAGTACATTTCCTCTCCTTTACTAATTAGAATACATAATTCAGTCATTTTGATTTAGCAGCTATTTAAATACTTTTTATTGCTTTTAACTAAACCTTTCACATGCCTTTGGTAAGTTTTTTTGGGAGTGGCCTGATTGGTTGACTCATTACAGATGGACAATAAACCAGAGGAAAGAGCAGAGAGAAAGCAAATGACAAAGACCGTGTTTAAAATAAACATTGAGAGGCATTCTGGGGAACTTTGGTGTGGGTGTTTGCTGTAAGTGCTGCCTATTTGTAATTCAAGCCTGAAGACCATGTTTTAAGAATTCTGGTATAAAAGAAAAATCTTAATCTCATTTCTTTAAGATGCAATGAGGATTTATTTCATATCACATCAAATATTCAAATCATCGTAACCATCTTGGACTGTTCTGAAAGCTCAGGTATGTCCTGAGTCCCAACCTGATTTTCTTTTCTACCACGCTCAACATGTAGACCTTCTTATTCCTCCAGTATTGGAGGATGAGTTGAGGTCGGTGATGGGGATTACCATTACATCTCTTGACAGATGGCATGTGTGGATTACTTGCTCAGTTGTAAAATACTGTATACTTGCTCAAACTAAACACCTACCAGTTAAGCTGTGGGTTTACTCCAGGGGCTTATCATTTTCTTGTAGGGAGAATCACCTTACACTGAGTCAGACCTGTAACAGTAGCCATGGCATGACGTGATTCATGGAAAACACATGGAACAATTCTTGACACGTAAAATGAATTGAATAATTGCTAGCCATTATCTTAATAGTTATTCACATGAATTTACACATCTTGTCTTAAAGATAAAAATAGAAAACAGCACTTAAAGAAGTTTAAAAACACAATACTCTAAGACTGAGAAAATATGTTTCTTAAGGTCACACTGTGTGTGACAAGACTATGATATTAACTGAAACAATGTCATAAAGCCAAACTCAATTTTAAGCATTAAACAGCAGTGATATTATGAGGCATTTGGCATACATTTTTTTCCTATGCCTCCCTATTCTTTGCTTCTTATTGTATCATCTCCCGTCCTGCAACCATGCATTTGTGGGATACCATGCATAAATATTACGTTGATCTCAAACTCAGGACCTGGTCACAGTCCTCATCTAGGACTATCATTAATAGTCATGAATGGAGAGTGGCAGACTACAAAATTAGTTAATTCCCAATATTGTGTTCACTGCAATGCAAATTTCTCAAGAGTAAAATAGGAAGTCTTGGTTTTGCCAAATCAGAGATGCAAAATTTGCTATCAAAGGCCACATTGCTGATTGGGATCCTAAAGTGAGAAAAGGATCCTGTTCAAAGTATATGTTTTGTGTACTTGAGAGAATGAAAGTACTAAGGAAATGAGCACACAAAGAACATGTTGCTTCTTGGTGGTAAACTGCTAGCAAAATAGAATTGTGAGCCATGTTTACCCATGACAAACCTAGCTGGCCCCCAGTGATAACATGTTATTTAACACAGTACAATTATCAAAACCAAGAACTTGACATTGGTACCATACTTTTTTTTTTTTTTTTTTTTTTGAGACGGAGTCTCACTGTGTCGCCCAGTCTGGAGTGCAGTGGCGCCATCTCAGCTCATTTTTAATGTTAAAGCATTTTAACATTAAAATGCTAAAATGCTAATTTTAAAAGCATTTTAAAATTAAAATGTTAAAGCATTTTCATTGCTTTAACAGTATCACCACACTGTCACTTCTGTGTTGTTTTTGAGAGGTGAAATCAGCTGGGCTTCTGGGTCCGGTGGGGACTTGGGGGACTTTTCTGTCTAGCTGAAGGATTGTAAACACACCAATCAGCGCTCTGTGTCTAGCTAAAGGTTTGTAAACACACCAATCAGCACTCTGTTAAAACACACCAATCAGCACTCTGTGTCTAGCTAAAGGTTTGTAAACAGACCAATTAGCACTCTGTAAAAACGGACCAATCAGCACTCTGTAAAATGGACCAATCAGCGCTCTGTAAAATAGACCAATCAGCAGGACGTGAGCAGGGACAAACAAGGGAATAAGAGTTGGCCGGGAGAGGCAGCAGAGGCAACCTGCTGGAGTTCTCTTCCAGGTTGTGAAAGCTTTGTTCTTTCACTCTTCACAATAAATCTTGCTGCTGCTCATTGTTTGGGTCTGCACTACCTTTACCAGCTGTAACACTGACTGTGAAGGTCTGTGGCTTCACTCCTGAAGTCAGCAAGACCACAAACCCACCAGGAGGAAGAAACAACTCCGGATGCGCCACCTTTAAGAGCTGTAACACTCACTGCGAACGTCTGTGGCTTCACTCCTGAAGTCAAACGAGATCATGAGCCCACCGTAAGGAATAAACTCTAGACACATCTGAACATCTGAAGGAACAAACTCTGGACATACCATTTTTAAGAGCTGTAACACTCACCATGAGGGTCTGCAGCTTCATTCTTGAAGTCAGTGAGACCAAGAACCTACCGGAAGGAACCACTTCCAGACACATTTTCATTGAGAAATCTGATGTTATCCTGATTTGTATTCTTTTCTTTTCCTTTTTTGAGATGGAGTCTAGCTCTGTCGCCCAGGCTGGAGTGCAGTGGCGCGATGTCGGCTCACTGCAAGCTCCGCCTCCCGGGTTCCCGCCATTCTCCTGCCTCAGCCTTCCTAGTAGCTGGGATTACAGGCGCCCGCCAACAGGCCCGGTTAATTTTTTGTATTTTTAGTAGAGATGGGGTTTCACCATATTATCCAGGATGATCTCGATCTCCTGACCTCGTGATTTACCCGCCTGGGCCTGCCAAAGTGCTGGGATTGCAGGCGTGAGCCACCGGGCTCGCCTGGCCTGATTTCTATTCTTTTCTACCAACATGCCTTTCTTCTGTCTAGGTGCTTTCTTTATCATTGTTTTGGAGCCACTTGGTCATGAAGTGCTTTTTAAATAGATATATTCATGTTTTTTGTGTTTGGGAACTCACTGAGTTTTTGAATGTGTGGGTTTATTACTTTGTATAAATTTGGACTCCAGTTACACATATGTGAGGCTGCTGGAAGCTATACTACAGCTCACTGATACTGTTTTCATTCATGTTTATTATGTTTGTCTCTTTTATTTTAGATGGGTTCCATTGCCATATCTTCAAGCTTACTAATCTTTTCTTCTGGAAGTCTAATCTGCAGTTAATACCATTCCCTGTACTTTTAAAACATCACTGACATTATAGTTTTCCTCCCTAGAAGTTTTATCTGGGTCTTCTTTATTTTCACCTCATCTCTATTAACTTTTCAACGTATAGAGTGCAGTGACAAAAACTATGTATGAAAAACACTAACTTTTAATGTTATATAACTGCTGTGTCACTTCTGGGCCGGTTTCAAATAATTAAATTATCTATGCATTCTGGGTGATATTTTTATATTTCTTTGCATGCCCAATATTTATTCGATGCCAGCTATTGTGAATTTTAGCTTGTTGGGTACTGTAAATTTTTGTATTTCAATACATACGCTTGACTATTCTGAGACATTTTTTGGGAACAGTTTCATTCTTTGCAATCTTGCCTCTTATGTTTGCTACTTGGACCCAGATACTGTATTTAATGTAGGACCAATTATTCTCTACTTCTGAGAGAAGACCCATCTGTGTCTTCTTTCCAATGTCCTATGAATCCTGAAGTTTACCAATTTGGCTGATGTAGTTTAAGAAAAGAAATTGTTTCCAACCTTGTGTGTGAGGCACCTCTAATCAAATTAGGTGATTCTTTGCCCAGCCGCAGTTAATTTCTTAACTCAGATGCGCTGCAGGAACTTTTGCCAATCTCTAGAGTTTTTTCTGTGACTAGACCTGTCTTCTTCAGACCTGTTCTAGAAAATAGAGCCACCTTGTTCTTTCAGACTTCAGATTCTTCATCTCAAATAAAAAAGTTTTCCAAGATCTTTGCCACTGGAAAATTTTTGGAATCATTAAACTGGGGGCATTACTAGGACAAAGGTCATTGTTTCAAATCTTTCACGTGTCACTGCACCGACCTTCAATATTTGATATACACTGTCTTGCAAACCATTGATTTACATATGTACCCATTTTTTATATGTTTACATGTGGTAAGACATTCAAACCATAATGATTTATCCACAACATTGTGATTCATTCATCTGGCGATTATTCAATTATTATTGTATCACTGGCTGTATGCTCCTAGTTGGCAAAATTAAGGTGAAGAAGGAACACTGTGAATCAAATTCACAGGGAAAACAGACAAGTGAACTGGCATTTGTAATGTGAAAGGGAAAGTGAGAACTTTTCTACTCACGATGTCTGTAGGAGCCTCCATGGGTTCATTCACTGTGTGCCACTGAATGAAAGATTTAACATGCATCTAAAATAAAAGATAAATATGACAGTCAAAATGTGACACAGTAAATAGCTTTATTTTATACTTATTTAAGAGTCCCTGTGGAATTATTAGAGTATACATTATATTCACATAAAAATGAAAACAACATGAAAATTCATTTGCCAATGAATTTTAAAGTATATTGATAGTCCTATTCTGATTTTGAATCAGAATTTGATTTAAAGAATGGATAACTGCAGTACATTTTGCAATAGCAAAGACATGGAATTAACCTAGATTCCCATCAATGGTGGACTAGATAATGAAAATGTGCCACATATATACACAGAATACTATGCAGCCATAAAAAATGAAATCATGTCATTTGCAGCAATATGGATGCACCTGGAGGACATTATCCTAAGTGAGTTAACACAATAAAACAAAACCAAATACTACATGTTCTAACTTAAGAGTGAGGAATAAACACTGAGTACACATGAACCCAAAGAGGGGAACAATAGACCCTAGGGTTTGCTTGAGCGTGGAGGGTGAGGACTAAAAATGCTACCTATTGGGTACTATGTGCACTAACTGGGTGACAAAATCCTTTGTATATCAAGCCCCAGTGACACACAGCTTACTCATATAACGAATCTGCACATGGACACTGTGAATCTAAAATAAAAGTTGGAAGAAAATAAAAAAGAAGCCAGAACATGGGAAAATAAAAAGTGCCAGAATTGAAATAAAATAAAATAAACAAATAATGGATATCTTAATCTCTCCTTTTGTGGAATGAAGAGTGGGGATAAAGAAATCATTTTTAATAAAGAAGGCTGCACCATTGTTTGTGTGATTTACACCTCTCCCTCCATTCTACCAGTGTTGATGCAGGTGGCCCTACCAGAAGGAGACAGAAGAAAATTCCAGAAAAGTTTCATCCAAGTGCAGATAATGAAAACCATGTCCTGACTCACACTAGCCAAAAAGCAAATGTGGTAAAAATTCAAAAACATGCATAATAAAATTAGTGAAATAGGGTAAATAATAAAGATTTGGAAATATTTATGAAGGGACCTATATTAATAGATATGAATCCAGAGAAGATGATTTTACATGCTCTAAGAGGGTAACATTGTCCTGCAGGACAGAAGAGGAGCAGATGAGGTAGAAGCAGCCTAACCCATGAGAGGGGCCCTGCAGTGGATTGAGGATGGAGAGGCTGGAGAAGAGGCTGAGGGGAAGTCAGGGCTCCCATCCTGGCCTGAGAACAGAAGGGAGCAAAACCAAAACAAAACAGAAACATGCTTATTGTCTAGTGCAAACCCTCTTCATATTAACATCCTTTGAGTTTATTGGGAAGTAGACAAGAATACAGGTGAGGATTTGGAGAGATTTATTAGTTCATTTGTGAAGTTAAATATAAAGAATCTTCTGTGTTGCTCTTTGTCCACTACATGTGTGGGGCTTACAGGGAAGGAGCATAGAAAAAGTTTTAAAATTATCTGATGTTTAAGTCCAGCGAGGATTTAGGAAACTTACAGACACCAAACTGTAGGTGGAAGAACTGCCCTTGCAAACTCAGGGGACAGGCATCAGACCTGGACTGGGATGGACAAGGGAGGTCTCCAGGAGGAGGAGCATTGGAGGAGATTCTGGAGAGTGAGAAGCAGTGAGTCCAGCCAGCAGGGGAGGGAAAGAGACGAGGAAACAATGTGTCCATGGCACAGGCCAGGGCATGAGAAGAGGGCAGTGGATTGGAAGGACCGCTGGGATGAGTAATACCTGAGGAGGTAGGAGCAGGAAGCGCTGACCAAGGAGGGACTGGGCAGGGAAGGGAGGGCTGCTCCCTGAGGACTGCATTCTGTGGGGAGGGATTTGAATATCTAGTTCTGGTTTCCTAAAATGGTTCCCCAGCGCACGAGGTCTGCTTGGAGGAAGACAGAATGAGTCAAGATGGTCCCTGGGCATTATCAGGAGGGGTTGGGTCTAGAGAGGAACGAGGGTGGAGAGAGAGGACCCAAGGCTCCCGGAAAGGGAGGCTCGGGTGCTTAGATGCTCTTGTTCCCGTTTCTCCATCGTTTAGAACCTGCACCACACGTCTAGCACTGGCCTCCGTCCCTTGGTCACTTTGCAGGTGTAGGTAGGATCCCCGCAGAACTTTAGAGCGGCGGTCTCATTCCGCCCCCTAGCGTCCATCCATCAGAAGCTGAGCGCAGCCTCACCGGAAGCTGTGGATGAAACCGGTGCCCAGCTGCGCAGAGTAAAGCGCCTGGCGCCAGGACGCAGGAGAGGCGTGTAGGAGATGCGCCAGATGCGGCGGCGGGCGAACCTTCACGGGACGTTTCTTAGCGCAGGTTCACCTGTGTCTGCGTTTCCTCCAACATGCTCTTTGATATTCTCATACAAATCTCATGATTTTCTCCTGTGTCTCAGAGCGTAACAAGTATTTTGATGTCTTGTCACCTGTGCTCGTTTTCATTATATATGTAGCAATGGTTGCTTACTTAAGTTTCTTACTGGTGGGTTATTCATAAAGTATTTCCCAGCTGAGTAAAAAATGAAATTATCTACTTTAATAAGCCTTTGGTTGATCATTTCTGAAGATTACTGTCTACTTATTTCACGAGGGTATCACCCCTGCATGCCTTAAGCAAAGATTCTATTTGGGGTTGTGTTTTCCTTCTTAAATTCGGATACTTCTGTGTTCTGGAAAGTGTTACGTAATTAATATTCATTTGAAAAATTCAGTTGGCGTATCTGTTACTTTGCTTTTACTATCTTTGCAGTCTCATATCTTTTCTTCTGCTTACTTTGTATTTAATTTGTTCTTCTTTTCTAGGATCCTAAGATGGAAACTTAGATTATTGTTTTAGATTTTTTCTTTTTCAATATATGTGAAGTATATCTTATATCTTTTAATTTAATTTATACGTATCTTTTTAAAATTAAAAGTGGGTGTCTTGTAGACAACACATAGTTTTTTAATTTGCCGTTTGTGTCTTTTAATTGGTGCACTTAGACCAGAGACGTTCATAGTGATTGTTGATACAATTGCATTAATACCAACCATATTTCTTACTGTTTTATATTTGCTGTTCTTGTTCTTTGTTTATATTTTTGTATTCTACTCTTTCTGCATTGTGTGATTTCAATTGAATATTTTATATTCCATTCTTATCCTTTATTAGCATATCAGCAATAAACTTGTTAAAGTAATTTCTCTAGAGAATAAAAGCTTTTATTTTTCCTTGTGTGAATTGATTCAACAGATAAGAGCTGGTTGAAAACAATAATAGCAACAATTGACTTTTTTATGTATGTTTATATATATGCTCCAATATAGGTGACATGAATGAATAATGATACAAGCTACAGGACAGAGGATTTAGGATTGTTCTCTTATTATAAGATACTCACAATACTTGTGAAATAATGTAGTTTTATTTGTAAATGTATATTGCAACTTCTGGGGCAG
The DNA here is from genome assembly GCF_000001405.40 of Homo sapiens. Lineage (NCBI taxonomy): Eukaryota > Metazoa > Chordata > Mammalia > Primates > Hominidae > Homo > Homo sapiens. The sequence goes on from NW_021160017.1 coordinate 4,827,590, forward strand.
GCTATTAGACCAAGGGCCTCAGCGCCTTGCTGGCTGTTGGCCTAAGGCTGCATTCAGTTCTTCTCATGTTGGTTTATCCCACATAGCGGAATGCTCCTCCAAAGCCATAAAGAGAAAGAGTTTGCCAGGAAGAAAGAAATCACAAACTTATGTAAGATCATCACCCAAGTCACATCGCGTCAGTCTTTTGGTATTCTGTTGTTTATAAGTCACGGTTCTTGACCACACGCACTGGGAGGGGATTAGAATACAAGGTTGTGTACACCAAGAGGTGGGCATCATTGGGCAGCATGTTAGGTTCTATCTGCCACATCAGGTCTTTTCCAGTCTGCAACAGTTTCTCAGTCTTCACTTAAATTTTTATCACTTTACCCTTTTGAAAAGGGTAAAGTAGTCAGGTGTTTTTGTTTTTGTTTTGTTGAGATGGAGTCTCGCTCTGTCGCCCAGGCTGGAGTACAGTGGCGCAATCTTGGCTCACTGCAACCTCCGCACCCCAGGTTCACACCATTCTCCTGCCTCAGCCTCCGGAGTAGCTGGGATTACAGGCGCCCACCACCACACCCGGCTAATTTTTTGTATGTTTTTTAGTAGAGACGTGGTTTCACCATGCTATCCAAGATGATCTCGATCTCCTGGCCTCATGATCCACCTGCCTCAGCCTCCCAAAGTGCTGGGATTACAGGCGTGAGCCTTGTTTTTGTTTTGCAAAATATCCTACAATATGGGTTTGTTTGGTTTCTCAAAATTAAATTAGGAATACGGATTTAGATACATTTAAGTTTGAAGGCAATAATCAGTTAATTTAGAAATAAAAATTTAGAAAAATAAGAATTAGGGCATGAGAGAATTTAAAATAATAATTACCTGCAGTGAGTAAGAAAGGGGCTGGAATTGGGGAGATGCACTCAGCAGGCATCAGGAATATTAATAATGTCCTGTACAGTAAGCTCAGCAGTGACTTAAAAAACACATAACTTTGTTTTTATTTTAGAAGAGTTTTAGTTTCAGAACAGTTGTGAAGACAGTACAAAGCACTAACATTTTCCACAGTTTCTATTATTTTCTTGCATTACTGTGGAACATTTGTCACAATGAAGCGATAGAATATTCACTAACATCCACACATTATTTGAATACTTTTAGTTTTCACTTAATGCCCATTTTTTATTCCAGGATCCCATTTTTTTTTTTCTTTTGAGACGGAGTCTCCCTCTGCCACCCAGGCTGGAGTGCAATGGCGCGATCTCAACTCACTGCAAGCTCCGCCTCCTGGGTTCATGCCATTCTCCTGCCCCAGCTTCCTAAGTACCTGGGACTGCAAGCGCCTGCAACACCACGCAGCTAATTTTTTGTGTTTTTAGTGGAAAGGGGGGGTCTCACGGTATTCGCCAGGATGGTCTCAATTCCCTCACCTCATGATGCGCCTGCCGCAGCCTCCCAAAGTGCCGGTAATTAACACAAGTTAACCCCACAGCACCGAGCCCAGCATGCCACGCTAGAAGCTACATTACATTTGATAATTACGTAGCACTTCTCCTTAAGCTCCCTTTAATTTTTTCCTGTGACAGTTCCGCAACAATTCCTTATTTTACTGTCCCTCCTTGGGGATGGAGCTGCCTTTTTCTCAGTGTCCACACTGGATTTGGATAGTTAGGAAAAAAAATATCATGGAGAACGACCATCCCTCATGTGTCCAGAATTTATTCCTTCCAGTGGGCTCTTGGTCTCACTGACTTCAAGAATGAAACCACTGACCCTTACCCTGAGTGTTACAGCTCTTAAAGATGGTGTGTCTGGAGTTTCTCCATTCCGTGGGTTTGTAGTCTTGCTGATTTCAAGAGTGAAGCCACAAACCTTTGCAGCAAGTATTACAGCTCTTAAAGGTGGCACGTCCAGAATTGTTTCTTGGTGGGTTCGTGGTCTAGCTGACTTCACGAATAAAGCCACAGACCCTCGCTGTGTTACAAGCTCACAAAGGTAGTCTGGACTTAAACAGGGAGCAGCAGCAAGAGCGAAAGAACAAAGCTTCACACCTGGAAAGGGACTCCAGCAGTTGCCGCTTCTGGCTCCGGTGGCCAGCTTTTATGCCCTTATTTGGCCCCGCCCACACCCTGCTGATTGGTCCATTTTACAGAGTGCTGATTGGTCTGTTTTTACAGTGTGCTGATTGGTGCGTTTAAAAATCTTTAGCTAGACAGAGAGTGCTGATTGGTGTGTTTACAATCCTTTAGCTAGACAGAAAAGTTCCCCAAGTCCCCACCTGACTCAAGCCCAGCCGGCTTCACCTCTCAATTACAACATACCAAGAGTGCTTAGACTATTGACATGCCTTATCACTGTTCATGTTAATTTGATCAGCTGGATGAAGTAGTTTTATCAAATTTCTCCTCTGTAAAATTATTTTTCCCATTCTGTTTTTGAATGGAAGGCACTATATGCAGCACATGCTTAAGAAGTGGAGAGTTATGGTCGGGTGCAGTGACTCAAGGCCTGTAATCCCAACACTTTGGGAGGCCAAGGTGGGCGGATCACAAGGTCAGAAGATTGAGACCATCCTGGCTAACATGGTGAAACCCCATCTTTACTAAAACTACATAGAATTAGCCCGGCGTGGTGGCGGGTGCCTGTAGTCCCAGCTACTCAGGAGGCTGAGGCAGGAGAATGGTGTGAACCCGGGAGGCGGAGCTTGCAGTGAGTCGCGATTGGGCCACTGCACTCCAGCTTGGGCAACAGAGGGAGACTCCCTCTTGAAAAATAAAAAATAAAAAAGCAGTGGAGAGTTGTGATCTACCTTCTTATGTGCAGAAAAAATACAAATATTATTTGGAATTCTTCACCATGGACAATTTGTCTGTTCTCCTTTGTTTATTTTATATTTATTCACTTATTTATTTAGATCAATATGGGATCGTGCATATTTATCTTACACTCTACTTAGGCCATTGCAAGGTCTTTCATTAGGCTCCTGTACCATTTTGAAATTCCCAGATCACTTCAGTGTAATTTTGTTTGATTGGTCCCTTGGTTGCTCTGTTGTTTAGCATTTTCTTACTTTCTAGTACTGTATGTTATATATGTATATGTAGTTACCCAGTTAATTTTGTTGACTTCATGTCCAAGACAAGTAGCCGCTGTTTCTTCAAGGAGCCTCAGTTCCTTTTACTGGAGAGTGGTATTAGAAACTAAGATTCGGATACCATACGTACTCATTGCTGTTTGAATGCCTGTTGATTCAAGGCTTTGTTAGCTAACAGAACAAAGAATCTATGTGTATATGCTAATTTATACTCATACACATATCTATAAATATTTCAACATGTGTCCATATGTATTTATATTAAATTAAACATGAATTGCTACTCATGTCTCCAGGACCACAGGATCTAATCCAGCACCACATAAATCAATCTACCCATTCCCACTACTTGCATGTAACCTCCGCTGTAACAGTGAGACAGTTGGCTCCATTAATTTAATCCTTCCATCCCTAAATACTGTAGATAGATATTGGTTTCAGAACTGGTAATTCATACCCTCAGGGAGAGCAACTTTACAAATAAACATAGCATATACATACATCTCCTTTGTCCTTTAGGCTTTGAATCTCCACTTATTTCCTAAATGTCTTCAGTGAGCCCTGATTGCTACCATTTTCTTCAGTGAGGTTATTTCGTACACGTTAATATATTTATATTTCTTTTTCTGCGTCCCTCCCTGGGATTCCCCCAACTTAGCACATATTTTATTTTTAATTTGTATACATTTAGGTTCATTCTTCGTGTTATACATTTCTGGCCAGGCGTGGTGGCTCAGTCCTGTAATCCCAGCACTTTGGGAGGCCGAGGTGGGTCGATCATCTGAGGCCAGGAGTTTGAAACCATCCTGGCCAACATGAAACCCCGTCTCTACTAAAAACACAAAAATTAGCCAGGCGTGGTGGTGCACACCTGTAATCCCAGCTACTCGAGAGGCTGAGGCAGGAGAATTGCGTGAACCCAGGAGGCAGAGGTTGCAGTGAGCTGAGATTGCGCCACTGCACTCCAGCCTGGGTGACAGAGCGAGACTCCATCTCAAAAAAAAAAAAAAAAATTCTGCTGGGTTTTACAAACAGTATCGGATATCCACCATTACAGTACCATAGAGAATTTAATTGCCCTATAGAAACCCACTGTACTTTCACTTATTTGACCTTCTTCTCTCTCCCAAGCCCCTTGTAACAACTAATCTCTTTATTATCTCTGTAGTTTCACTTTTTCAAGAGTGCCATATAAATGGAATGACAAAGTATGTAGTCTTTTCAAACTTGACTCTCTTTTACTTAGTAATAGGCCTTTCAGATTTGTGCAATGCATCTCATGGTTGTTTAGATTTGCATTTCCCTAAAGACTCAAAGTGTTGAGCATCTTTTCATGTGCTTATTGGACATTGGTATAGCTTATTTGGAGAAGTGTCTATTCAAATGATTTACCTATTTTTATTTGAGATTTTGCCTTTTTATATTTGAGTTTTTTTAGTAGTAAGCATATTTTATATATTCTGAAACATACACCTTTATCTGCTATATGTTTTGCAAATTTTTTATTCAGTTTCTGAGTTGTATTTTCACTTGTTAATGGTGTATTTTGAATAATAATTTTAAAAATTCTGTTAAGTTCAATATAGCCATATATTTTTTCTGTCACTTGTATTTTTGGTGTCATGTCATAGAAACTATTGTGTAACCTAAGACCACCAAGATTGACTCATATATTATCTTTCATGGGTTTTGTGGTTTTAGCGCCTACATTTTGATCTATGATCCGTTTTCAGTCTAACATGTACATAGTATTAGGGAGGAGTATAACTTTCATATGGGTATCTATTTGTCCCACATTTGTTGAAACAAACTTTTACCCTATTGAATTGTCTTGGTAATATTGTAAAATCAGTTGATCATAAATGTAAGGGTTAATTTTTGTACACTTGATTCTATTTCATTGATCTATATGTTTACTCTTACACCAGTATTACAATGTATTGTTTACTGTTTCATTGTAGTAAGTTTTGAAATCAGGATGTAGGAGTAGAGTACTCCAATTTTGTTATTGTTTTTAGATTGTCTTAGCTATTATAGACCTCTTGCATTTCCATATAGATTTTCACATCAGCTTATTACTGCACAAAAAGGCAGCTGGACTTTTTATAGGGATTGCATTGTATCTATATATCCTATTGGAAAGTATTGCTCTCTTAAAAATATTAAGCCTTCTCATTAATGGATATGTAGTATGTTTCAATTTATTTAGTTATTAAATTTAACTCAATATGTAGTTTTCAGTGTACATATCATACATTTATTCACAAGTATTTTTTCTTCTTGATGCTTGTTTAAATGAACTGTTTTCCTAATTTCATTTTTATGTTGTTAATTGGATTAATGTACACAAATGACACTGAATCTTTAATATTCACCTTGTGTACTGCAACTTTACTGAACTTATTTAGTTTTAACCATATTTTAATGGATTCCTTAGGATTTTCTCTATAGAAGATTATTTCATTTGCAAATAGAAGTATTTGACTTTATTTCCAGTCAGGATGCCTCATGTTTATTTTTCTGGCCTCATTGCCCTGGATAGAGTCTCCAATACAATATTGAAGAAACATGGTTGAATAGAAGTGGGAAGAGTCAACATCGTTGTCTTGTGTCTAATCTTGGGAAAATTGTGAGTCTTTCAAGAGAAATATATGAAGCCCTATGAGACTTTTGGGGTTGCCATTTTAAATAATGTTTCCTTCTATACCAAATCTTTCAGTATTTAACTAAACTTACATTTCTGTATTATATTTCCTTGATCATGGTGTATACTTATATTTATATATTGCAGGAATTAGTTTTTGCTAATATTTCCTTGAATATTTTTGCCATAAAGCAAAAGTAGTCATAGTCATGAGGAATATTGGGCTGTAATTTTATTCTCTTATCTTTTTCTAGTTTTGGTATGAAGATAAACTGGCCTTATAGAATGAGTTGGAAAGCGATTTATTCTATTCTGGTTACTTTTTGTTGTTGTTGTTGTTGTTTTGTTTGTTTTTGGTAAGAGTTTGAGAAGTATTAAGATTAATTCTTTAAACATCTGAAACAACTCACAAGTGAAGTCCTCTTGACCTTGGCATGAAATTGAATTCTAATGATTACATGAGATTGGAAGTGGATCCTTACCCAGGTGAGCCTTCGGTTGAGACCTCAGTCTTGGGCATCATCAATATCTGGGGTCCTGATCTGGAGAAACTATCAGTAGTATGTGTGTGGTTTTGAGCCACTAAGTTGCATGGTTATTTTTATGTAGAAATAAATAATATACCTGACAACTGAATGTAACGTGATAGCCTAGATTGGGTCCTCGAACAGAGAGTTGACTATGTTAAAACCTTGTAAAGCAGTCAGAAATTCAGGAGTTCAATTAATGGTTTTGTACCATTGTTATATCCTCAGTTTTCATGAATTTACTATGGTTATATAAAATGTTAACATTACAGTAAGCTAAAGGATATATGCAGCTTTCTATACTATCCTTGCAAAATTCTCTATTTCTAAAATTATTTCAAAATAAAATTGTTTTTAAAAGGTATTAACTTGGCACCAAAATAAGCAAAATCAAACCAAATATATAAATAAGAAACCTTGGGTTCAGAAGGTGAATGCACATGTTGAGAGAGAACAACAAATCACCTTCCCTTGTCTATCCACCATTCCAAAATCATGCACACCTGCTTCAGGAAAACAGCCACAACACTGGCGAATCTCTTTCGCTTTCTTCTTTCCCTTTAGACTCCTTATTACCCTGTCACTAGTCTGAGGGTCAGTAACCATTTCTTCAAAGATAGGTGCATTTACCTCCCATATCTCAGAGACTCCCATTTTCACACACCCTCTGGCAGTCTATCTGCAGACTCCCACTGAAGCCTAAGACATGACTGCTGGACATTAAAAGTCAAGATTGAGAAATTTAAGTGATAGGGAACATAAATCAAATTTCTGCATTCCACATAGTGTTTTCTTGGTAGAGGATTTCTTTCATAAAGTTTTCAAAATAAAGCTGTGTAAAAGCTTTGAGAAAACCCTGTTATAATTCAGGTTTTCTATTCTACAGATTCCATAATGATTTTATGGTATCGTGTATTCTGTGAAATTATATTATACATGGTCAAGCCTCAAAGCCACAGAATAGAAGGACTTCATGCAACAATCCATGCACCAGTCTAAGAGATGGACATGGGCTGAATGATGACTCTGCTTTTGTGCTGGCTAAACAAAAATCCCACAGCAAGGAGGGCTGTCCACCCACTCCCTACACAGCTCCAGCACTCTGCTGGAGAGCATTGGGTTGTTTCTGGGAAACATGCCTACAAAGCCTACAAAGTCAGGGGACTGCAGGCTGTGATCCATGGATATCTACAAAGTCAAGACTTTTGCTTTTATGATCTGTAATCATGGAGTATATTCTTTATATCACATTCATAACTGTATTGATGAAAGGAGCAGGCTGGAGACTTGGAGTGGGAGCTACACCTGCTCTGAACCACATTTTTTACTTCTGATATCAGGATAGCCATTATTTAGGTGCTGTTATTTTAGGCATTTGCACAAGAAACGTTTTCACCCCATGAGCTCATATTTTACTCGTTGAGAAGTGATAGGCTCATTTAAAATTTAAACCTTAAACATGGAGGGTTATTAAATTCATACCACTTTAATCACAGTATTTAAACTAAGTGACTTGTCAAATCCCCCTTTTTCTCTTCATTCTAATGCATACATTAAAATTTATTATGATGTATACATGGAATATGATCCTTCACCAAATTCTTCAGAAAAAGGCAGATTGGAAGGCCATAAAGGAGAAAGAAGTAGAAATGAAAAAGGAGTGACCCATCTCTAAGTGGTGAATGAGGTTCAATGAGCTCTGAGTACTCAGAGTGAAGACAGAACAGATGATAGACACAAAACCAAGCTAACACGATACCCCAGGCAAAGAGGACACAGTGCTGAGCAAAGTCCCTAAACTCTCTGACAGCATGAAGGATATGATTTTCCACAACCTAAACTATCTGTGGCCAGATTCCCCAGAGGTGTGCCTTTCCACCAGAATTCCCAGAAACATACCATGGCAAAGAACCAAAAGTCATAGCACACCATGAGGCAAGAACCCACTGCCTTGTGTCTACACTCAAGTCTGAAAAGAGCATAGAAGCAACTGGAGACATGGCTTATATGTTTGAGATCAGGAATTTATGTTAACTTTATTGAATCTTCCTGGAACCTAAAAGTCTAGGTAAAAACAGTCAACCTCCTAAATCATTAATTCTATGAATTCTATGGGTTTCTTTTTCTTCAATATATTCATCAGAGAACAACAAAGTCCATTCCAATTTCCAAGAACTCAAAAGTATATTTGGCCAGAGTAGCAAATGAACAGAGCAAAATATTGTATGAAAACCATGCTATACCTACTTATGCAGTGACTGAGTTTAAAATAACTTGTATGATCACTATCCATGTGATTAGACAAACAAATGGTGTACTAGTCTGTTTCGTGTTGCTATAACAGAATGCCTGAGACTGGGTAATTTATTTGTTAAAGGTTTATTTGGCTCACAATTCTGATGACTGAAAAGGCTCCAGATTGGGTGTCTGCGTCTGATGAGGGCCTCAGGCTGCTTCAGGTCTTGGTGGAAGGCAAAAGGGACCCGGTATGTGCAGAGATTACAGGATGAGAGAGGAAGCAGGAACCGGGGGAGATGCCAGCCTCTTTTTACAGTGGTATCTTGAGAGAGCTAATAAGGTGAGAACTCACTCTTCGGGAGAGAATTAATCTATTTATGAGGGAGCTGCCCCCCGGACCCAAACAGCTCTAATTAGGCTCCACTACCCAACATGACCATACTGGGGATGAAATTTCAACCTGAGATTTTTTTTTTTTTTTTTTTTTTGAGATGGAGTTTCACTCTTGTTGCCCAGGCCGGAGTACAGTGGCGCAATCTCGGCTCACCGCAACCTCCACCCTCCACCTCCCTGGTTCAAGCGATTCTTCTGCCTCAGCCTCCTGAGTAGCTGGGATTACAAGCATGCGCCACCATGCCTGACTAATTTTGTATTTTTAGTAGAGACGGGGTTTCTCCATATTGGTCAGGCTGGTCTCAAACTCCTGATCTCAGGTGATCTGCCCGCCTCGGCCTCCCACAGTGGTGCGATAACAGGCGTGAGCCACCGTGCCCGGCCCCTCACAGGAAACTTGTTTATGCTCGCAGATGCCCTAGTGGTTTTTGTCTGACCCACATCTCGTCTATTGCTACCATGATAGGCATTCTCTTTTATTTATTTATTTATTTTATTTTTTTGAGACGGAATCTCACTGTGAAGCTTAGGCTGGAATGCAGTGGCATGATTTCGACTCACTGCAATCTCCACCTCCCAGGTTCAAGCGATTCTCCTGCCTCAGCCTCCCAAGTAGCTGGGACTATAGGTGTGCACCACCATGCCCTGCTGATTTTTGTGTTTTTTTAGTAGAGATGGGGTTTCATCATGTTGGCCGTGCCGGTCTCGAACTCCTGACCTCAAGTTATCTGCCCGCCTCGGCCTCCCAAAGTGCTAGGATTACAGGCATGAGCCACCATGCCCAGCTATGATAGGCATTCTCTAAGAGAACGCTGAGTGAAAAAGAAGTTAGGTTTAGGTTTGGTTGTTAGGTTAAGTGAGACACACAGGAAATAACAGAACACATGAAAGCACAGGAACCGTTTATTACTTCCAGATAGAGAGAACAGGGCAGCATTCCCTTCCGGGGCAGCTGGAAGGGAAAATTCATCTGGGACGATTACAGGCAGCCAGCTGGAGGTGAGCAAGAGAGAGAAACAGGGAGTGACCAGAGGGCCAAAGCGTCTACTGGGGTTCAGAGCATGACTCATACAGGCTTCCATTGGGGAGTTCTAAGTGGTGGGTTTAGAGCAAGTAGGTAAGAGCTCTGGGGGGCACACTGTGACTGAGGGGGTCACTGAGGCATAACTGCATAGTAAATGTGGGTTGTGAGGGGTCAGCCAAGTGAGACAAGTGTTATACCTAGCTGTCCCACAGAGGCCATCACCAGGATGTGGTTGTGGAAGGTTGTGGAAGGGGTCTGGATAGACCCCACCAAGGAACAGGGAGAAGGTGAAAAACTAGCAACCTTGCCTTAGGTGATTAAACCCTGCTTTTTGAATGAGTAAGTTAAATCTCTATTCAAAATGGATGCCTGAGCAATATAAAGTTATAATAATTTACTATAGTACTTAAGAATTCCAGTAATCTACTAATAACTCTAAAATCTCTAATCCCTCAGTAGAAGACAAATGGAGTTGGCCAATATATATTAAACTATATTTAAGAATGTTTTCTCGGCTGGGTGCGGTGGCTCATGCCTGTAATCCCAGCACTTTGTGAGTCCCAGGTGGGCGGATCAGGAGGTCAGGAGATGGAGACCATCCTGGCCAACATGGTGAAACCCCGTCTCTACTAAAATACAAAAAATTAGCTGGGTGTGATGGCGGGCACCTGTAGTCACAGCTACTTGGGAGGCTGAGGCAGGGGAATTGATTGAACCCAGGAGGCAGAGGTTGCAGTGAGCTGAGATCATGCCACTGCACTCCAGCCTGGCGACAGAGCAAGACTACATCTCAAAAAAAAAAAAAAAGTTTCTCAATAATAGACCAAAATACAGCAGATAAACCCCATGATTTTACAGTGAGGAGGAAGGAGTCACAGAGAAAAAATAGTGTATTTCATTGAAGCCAGATTACACAACTCACATTTCTCAAATAGGGTTGTATCTCAAAAATGATAATGAAAACACCACTGTGAGGAGGCAGTCATGATGTGATTAGCCTCATGTGAACATGCACTTGGTCTAAAAACCTTCCATTGACACATTCCAGTGAGATCATCAACATCAAAAGTTGCAGAGGGGCTGTAAGTATTTTGGAAAGATAATCTCATGGAGACTGTCACGTGACCCTCATAACAAAAGTGGCATCATCACAGCTTCTGATAAGGACAAATGATGTTTGTATGGGACAAATCATGGAGAGGATGAATTAAAAACTATTTCAGAAAACTTTATCTTTTCACGGGAGATATTTCAGAATTCACTTTGTTAATGTATTCTGCTTATAGTTTCCATCTCATGTAATCACACGATTTATATAAGACAAATGTCTACATTTATATAGATTGAAAAGTTTTTTCAACAATTATAAGAAAAAATGTTAAGTGATAAGAATGATCTGTGGCATAATCGGTAAGTAGTTTTATTATTCCAGTGTCATATATAAAGTAATGATACATCATTCAATTGGTGCAAATGATACATATTGCAATTACTTAGAAAAAGCTGTCAGTATTATCAACTACTAATTTAGTAGTTAGTATATACCTTCTATTCATCACAGGCTTTGAGTATTATTAGTAATCCTCACAGCATGCCAAGATATAGGGATTACGATCACACTCATGTTTCAGTTCTGAAGCTGAGCCTAAAGATCCACAAGAAAGGAATGAAAGAAGCTTAGGCTTTATTCTGCCTATCTCTAGAGTCTTTGCTGACATCAACAATAGTAGCATACCTTTTTCCTCACATGAAACATACTTTCAGGTCTTACTTTAAGAAATATTGGCCGGGCATGGTGGCTCACGCCTGTAATCCCAGCACTTGGGGGACCAAGGCGGGCGGATCACTTAGGTCAGGAGTTCAAGACCAGCCTGGCCAACGTGGTGAAACCCCGTCTCTACTAAAAATACCAAAAGTAGCCAGGCATGGTGGTGCATGCCTGTAATCCCAGCTACTCAGGAGGCTGAGACAGGAGAATCACTTGAACATGGGAGGCAGATGTTGCAGCTAGCCGAGATTGTGCCACTGCACTTCAGCGAGACTCCATCTCAAAAAAAAAAAAAAAAAAAGAAAGAAAAGAAATATCACGGTAATAAAGTTATTTTCCTAAGTTAGGGTCTAACTACTGGAAATTGTTTTTGTATTTGAAGTTTGTGATCCACCTGGAATTGCTTTTTGTGTGTAACATGAGCTCAAAGGTCAGATTTTATTTCCCCTGTATGGATATTCCATTTCCTGGAACAGTATTGATAACTAGTCTTTTCCCAATTTTCTCCTTTTATAAATTGCTTAGATATGCATGTGTGTGTGTGTGTGTGTGTGTGTGTGTGTGTGTGTTTTAACTCTCTTATTTTTTTCATTGATTTATTTTTCTATCTCTGTGCACATACCACACTGTCTTGTTCTTAAGAAAGTTCATTTAACAGAAGAATTTTTCCCTCAAAGCCCATTTTCTTAAACACTGTGTTATGGTGTCATAAAGAAAAAGAAGAGTAAAACCTCCATGCCCTGTACCTACACTGATATTCCCAGTTGTACCGCAAATAAGGATATTTTAGAATTTTACAACACTACTAACTGTTGCTTATGTCTTTAACACCCTTGTGAATCTTAGGCAGTCCTCCCATGCCACTTCCAACTTTGTTTTTTTTTAGTACATTCTCGCTGAATTTCATTCAATCTCTCGCCTCCTCATTTCCCTTCCCTGCTTTCTGGAGCCTTAGGAACTTTCTACTCTGAGAGCAGCAGCCAGCAGGGAAGGAACATACACAGACACCTCTGCGTGTCTCCCTTGGAAGCACAGATGCTCCGATGGTTGGTCCTGCTCCTTCTCTGGACCACATCTGCCAAGGATGGGGCCACAGCCTGTGCATCTGAGCTCAGAGCCTGTTGTGGGATCTGCAGGAGCAAGACCAGTTGCCCCCTGCCTTCTCTCTGAGGTCGATTGGGCAATTCCATTATTTTGCATAAAGATCAAGTTTGTTCAACAATCATCTTGCTTGCTGACCCCAAACACATGCCCACTCAGGCCTTGCTTTGAAATATATGCTCTCGCTGTTTGTCTTGGCATGCACATATCTTCAACACTTATGTATATTTTAGGGGGGCATATATAAACATTATCTACAACTGAATTTGTATGTTTATATTGTATATTAATACCTTTCATATCTGTATTTAAAAATACATTCATAATAATGTTTCAAAAAATCTTTTTCAATTATTTTCATCTTTTCAAGCATCACTTTTTCCTAAGTTGAAAGGGAAGATCACTTTTATTAGGAAAGACAGATGGTGCACATTCTCTGTTAGTGTTTTCTAGAAACGCCTTCTGAGTGTGCAGAACCGACACTTTGCAAGTGTGAATATCATCATATTCTTTGCTTTTCTCCTTACCCAAAAGCTGTATGCATTGCCTGTCATACTTGATTCCTTGTACCACATTTTTGTAAATGTCTCCATAATATTATAGCTACTGGTACAGATGATCCATTATGTAGACATGTGTTCTTTCTTACTTTTCATTGAGTGAACGTTAAAATAGTTTTTAGTTAAAAAAACAAAACAAAAAAAAGCCACTCAGATAATGTGTACCTACGTCTCCAGCCAGCACATATTTTTGTAATATGGTCTGGTATAAAGGAATTGAAATATTTTATTTACTTTCTTTTATCTACTAGCATAATATTGTAAAAGGTTTTCATGTTTATGACCCTTATAGATGATCATTTTTGTTCACTTATTCAATAATTTACCCGCATTTTCTATTTAGTGGGTCTACTGATGTCCATTATTTTAGCCTGAAACTTTCGGGTGACTCTAATGAAGTTGGTATGTGATTAGATGGCTGAGTGTCTTGGCTTGTGATGATGGGATTTCTCACCTGAAACTACCAGGAGACACAAAAGCAAGAAGGCAGAAACAATTCAGAACTCCAACCAGAAGACTAGGATTTATTTCGGGTTTGCAAGGTTGTTGAGTGTCCCAGTGCCAGCACGACAGTGTTGAGGGGAACAAATTATCTTGTGAAAGAAGTTTTCCTTCAAAGTGGGTCTCTTATACTCTACAGCGTGTGTCTGCTATTCAAGTAATGAAATCCTCAATATATTTTTTGAATTATTTCTGGGGGAATGAAGGACATTTGTACAAGATTTATGAGATTTTAGCAACAAACAGAACAACAGCATTTAAAAAAATTAGAGACAAGCCTTGCTTTATTGCTCAGGCTGGAGTGCAGTGTGTTGATGATAGCTCACTGCAGCTTTGAACTCTTAAGCTCAAGCTATCCTCCTGCCTCAGTCTCCTGAGTATCTGGGCCTACAGGTGCATGCCACCATGCCTAGCTAGCACAGATACTTGATGAGTACTTTCACACCAAATTAATAGATGGGCATTTGTTTTACCAGGCAATGCCGCGGTTAGAGACACTGACCCTTAGTACTGTATACAGATAATTTCAAGACAGGATCCTAAAAGATTTTCACTCTATTGTTGAATTCAGGCCTGCCACCGTTTACCTTGATATAACTTAGTATAAAGAGCAACTCTATATTCCATGCTAACTACGTGGACTGTGGCATTTGTGTAGTGAAAGGCAAAGGAAGATGATTTCCCAATTTAAATGAAACTGGAGTTTTTCCGGGGAAATAAATAGAGGAGATACGCCTTACTGGTTTCTCCTTCTTTTGTTGATAATTGTGTTCTGCTCTTATAAATAGAAAGCTCTACTTAAATGTATTAATTATATAGTCTGCTACTCAAGTAATGAAATCCTTAGTATAATGGTCTTTAAATTATTCTGGGGAAATGAGAGACATTTGTACAAGATTTATGAGATGTTAGCAACAAACAGAGAAAGAGCATTTTAAACAAAATTTTTTCGAGGCAAGCCCCTTGTCTTTCTTTTAGAGACAACTCTATTGTTGAATTCAGGCCTGCCACCATTTGCCTTGATAAAACAAGGTAAATGTTACTCTTTTTTGACAATAGTAATATCAGCCATACATAACTAAATATAGTCTTTTTAAATATCAGCCACACATAACCAAAAATATCACAGGAAGTGCCAGGTGGGGTCCACGTGGGGTGGTTCAGCCTACTTACACACATCTTTTCCTGCATCAATAATGGATTGCCCTTCATCCTGGGCTTGTCATGCCCTAGCTGGCCTTGTGATATAAAGACCTCTGTCTGTTTTTCAGACAGGAGTATGATGAAAAGGTTGAAGGCCAAGTCCTTTTTTTTTTTTGAGACTGAGTCTCGTTTTGTCATCAGGCTGGAGCGCAGCCTGGAGTGTGCAATATTGGCTCACTGACTGCAACCTCCGCCTCTAGGGTTCAAGTGATTCTCCTTCCTCAGCCTCCCAAGTAACTGGGACTACAGGCATGCACCACCATGCCTAGCTAATTTTTGTATTTTTAGTAGAGACGGGGTTTCACCATGTTGGCCAGGATGGTCTCGATCTCCTGACCTCGTGATCCGCCCTCCTTGGCCTCCCAAAGTGTTGGGATTACAGGTGTGAGCCACTGCACCCAGCCAAAGGCCAAGTTCTTTCAAATGTCTTATGCTGTTTCCTGTTTTTCTGAACTGTTCCCATAGTTCTGTAACCCATATCTCATAGAATAATGATGGCACATAGCAACACTGTCTCATAAGAGCTGGTATGATTATTGTCTTTCATTCTTGATACTGGACGTGGAGACTGGCTTGATGCAATTTGATGACATTGATTTTCCAGGCTTTCAGTTCCATCTTCCGAATTCAGAAAGTCATCCAAGATCCTTGCCAAACCACAGCCAGGAAACTTTCTTAAAGCATCAAGCTGAGGAAATAGTAGGGCTCACATAAGTGTTTCATGTCTCTCTGGTATCAATGTCCTTCCTTGCTTGATGCACAGGATATTTTAAACCATGGTTTAATATACTTGTCCATTTTTAATCTTTATATGTAGTGAGGCAAATCTAATCCCTCAGTATTTCCAAAGGATTTTCATTCATTCTATCTACAATTATTCAATAATTGCTATACTTCTTGCTGTACACTTAGAACTGGCAATATTAAGGTGCATAAGGAACAATGAGAACAAACACAGAGAAAGACAGACAAGTGAACTGTCATTTGTAACACTTAAGAGGAGGTCAAGCCTGGTGCGGTGGCTCACGCCTGTAATCCCAGCACTTTGAAAGGCTGAGGCAGGTGGATCACCTGAGGTCAGGAGGTCGGGACCAGCCTGGCCAACATGGTGAAACCCCGTCTCTACTAAAAATATAAAAATTAGCTGGGTGTGGTGGTGGGAGCCTGTAATCCCAGCTATCGGGAGGCTGAGGCAGGAGAATCACTTGAACCTGGGAGGCAGAGGTTGCAGTTAGCCGAGATCGCTCATTGAACTCCAGCCTGGGCCACAGAGTGACACTCCATCTCAAAAAAAAAAAAAAAAAAAAGGTCAGAATTGATCAATTGATCAATACACTGTTTTTGTAGGAATCTCATTGGGGGACATCAACTCTATGTCAAATGAATGAAAGGTTTAAGATGGATCTAAAAGAAGGGATAATATCTGTAAATCAAATGATTATAAATACAATATCCTTATTTTATACATATTAAATGAGCTATTCTATAATTATAAAGGCATAAGTTATTCACATAAAAATGAAATCAATATTAAAATTAATTCATATATGTATTCATAAATATCTTGAAATTATGATTCTGATTGTTCTGAATTAGATTTTGATCCAGAGTCATGGATGACTTAACATCACTCTGTGTTGCAAGAAGATGAGACCTTTCTTTTTTTTTTCTTTGAGATGGAGTCTTGCTCTGTTGCCAGACTGGGGTGCAGTGGTGCAATCTCGGCTCACTGCAACCTCCTCCTCCCAGGTTCAAGAGATTCCCTTGCCTCAGCTTCCTGAGTAGCTAGGACTTACACTTGGCTAATTTTTTGTATTTTAGTAGAGACGGGGTTTCACCATGTTGGCCAGGATGGTCGACAATGAGACCTTTCTGAATATAAGAGGCCTCACCATTGTCCTTGTGATTTCCACATCTCCTGCTGACACCTATGTTCAAGTTTTGATGCAGATGATCTCACCGGAAGGGGGCAGCAGATAATTCCAAGACAAGTTCATCCATGTGTAGACAACAAACACCATGTCATGGCTCACAGGAGGCTAACAGTGATTCTGACAAAATTTGAAAAACAGCAATACTAAAATTGGTGACATAGGGTAAGTAATAAGCATTGGGAAATATTTATCAAGGGATCCATATTAATAGAGCAAAATCTAGAAAACAATATTTTACTTGGTGTGGTGGGTGGGCAGGCGGGGCAGGCAACACGGTCCAGAAGGACAGAAGGAATTCAGATGAGGCAGAAACAGTGTGGCCCATGAGAGGTGCTCTGCAGTGGATTCAGGATGGGGAGGCTGGAGAAGAGGCTGAGGGGAGTCAGGGCTCACATCCTGACCTGAAAACAGAAGAGAGGAAAAGAAACATGCCCATCTTCAATTTCAAGTCTTCCTCAGACTGAAAGAGACATGGAGTTTATTTTGAATTTAGCAAGAATAGACGTAGAGAGGGTCAGATTCTTATGAATTCACTAGTGAAACAATATAGAGGAGACTCTTCTGTGTTGCTTTTGGTGCATTTACATGTGTGGGGCACATAGGGGAACACATGGGCAAAGTTTCCATATTCTCTGATATTTCAGACAAGAGGGGATTCAGAAAGCTTGAAAGAATTCTAAATTGTAGTTTGAAGAGCTGCCCTTGGGAACTCATGGGACAGGCATCAGGCCTGGAATGGGATGGACAAGTGGGGCCTCCAGGAGAAGGAGCATTGCAGGAGATGCTGGAGAGTGGGGAGCAGTACGTCCAGCAGATAGGGGAGGTAAAGGGAAGAAGAAATAGTGTGTCTGTGGAACAGGCCAGGGCATGAGAAGAGGGCAGTGGATTGGAAGGACCGCAGGGATGAGTAATACGTGAGGAGGCAGGAGCAGGAAGGGACTGGGCAGGGAAGTGAGGGCCCCTCCCTGAGCACTGCACAGACTGCATACTGTGGATTTGAATGTCTGGGTCTTATTCCTTAAAATGGTACCCCACGAGGTCTGCCTTAAGAAAACAGAATGAGTCAGGACGGTCCCTGCTCACCGAGGAGGCTTTTGGGCATCAGCAGGTGGGGCGGGGTCTGAGGAGGAGCAAGATAGGAGAGGGGCAGGCAGGGTCCCTGCGCTTGCAGATGGGCAGGCTCAGGGACCTTGGATTCTCTTGTTCTCCTCCCTTTCGCTCAGAACCCACCATCCAACTCCCTTGCCCTAAGAGCCCCTCATCCCACAGGGGTGGAGGCTCTCTCCTCGGGTGCAGGTGGGGTCCACAGCTGAGGAAATTCAGAATTCAGGCTGACCCGCTCAGTGCGCCAACTGGCGTCCACACCGGATGGGCTGGGCGCAGCCTGACCGGAAGTGCAGAGAGCGGAGCGGCTGCGCTGAGACCAGACCCGGCAGAATGCACAGGCGAGGCGGACCGGGCGCGGGAAGCGGTGCGCAGGAAGGGGCAGAGGGCGCGGTGGCGTTCTGGGGTGCTTCTTTGTGGACATACGCACGTTCATCCATTTGTGTCTGTATGTCCTCAATCTTTGATATTTTCATTCAAAACCCATCATTTCCTCGCGTGCCTCTGAGCCTAAGAGATACTTGCAGTTTCCTCTTCTAAGACATGTCCCCCTTTACGTGTATGTATTTGTAGTTTCTTACCTAAATTTCTCCTTTCTTTCTTTTCTTTCTTTCTCTTTCTCCTTCTTTCTTTCTCTCTCTTTCTTTCTTTTTTTATTTTTTCAGAGTTTCACTCTTGTAGCCCAGGCTGGAGTGCAGTGGTGCTATTTCGCACACAAGCTGCAACGCCGCCCCCGGGGTTCAAGCGATTCTCCTGCCTCAGCCTCCCGAGTAGCTGGGATGACAGGCGCCCGCCACCACGCCAATTTTTGTATTTTTAGTAGAGATGGGGCTTCATCATGTTGCCCAGGCTGGTCTCGAACTCCTGACCTCAGGTGATCTGCGCGCCTCGGCCTCCCAAAGTGCTGGGATTATAGGCGTGAGCCACGGCGCCTGGCCTCTTACCTAATTTTTTTTATTGGTGGATTATATTTAAAGTATTTGCCAGTTTAGTAAATAAATGAAATAACCCTGCCTTAGCATGCTTTTGATTGGTTATTTTTGTTTTAGTTTTAGTTTAGTTTTGTTTGTTTTAAGACAAAGTCTCTCTCTGTCCAGTGGCGCGATCTCGGCTCACTGCAACCTCCACCTACCGGGTTCAAGCAATTCTCCTGCCACCACACCCACTTAATTTTTGTATTTTTAGTACAGACGGGGTTTCGCCATGTTGGTCAGGCTGGTCTCAAACTCCTGACCTCAGGTGATCTGCCCGTCTCAGCCTCCCAAAGTTTGGTCGATCATTGTTGAATATTACTGTTTCCCATATGGGGGCTCACCTCTGCATCCCCTTAAGGGGTGTTGTGTGTTTCTTGTTAAATTTGGGTACTTCTGTGTTCTGGAAATTATGAAGCGATCATTATTCATTTTTAAAACGCTGTGGCTTCCGTTCTGTTTTTACTGCCTTAGCATGTCTCTTTTCTTCTGCCTAATTTTGGAAATGTGTTCCCTCTTTATGGGTCCTATGGTTGAAACTTTGTTCATTTTTACTTCAGTTGTATCTTCCTTCCTCATACATGTATTCAGGGCTGGAAATTTAACCTCTGCTTTCATTCAATTCCACTCGTTTAGTTCAGAATATTTTTAAATCTTTTTTTTTTTTAACCTATGTGTTATTTGAAGTGTGTTTAATCACTACAAATTTTGGAATTTTTCAGTGTTTGTTCTCATGTTGATTTCGACTTTAACACCACTGTGGTCCAAGAGCAGACATTGCATGGCATTTACTATTTTAAATTTGTTTAGTTGGATTTTGTGGCCAAAAATATTGCCTAGCTTGGTTAATGGTCTATGTGGTCTTAAAAAGATTGTGCGTTTTTTCATTGTTGGATAAGATAGTTGATAGATAATAATTATATACAGTTGATTGATGGTACTGTCGAGTTCAGCTATATCCTTACAGATTTTCTGCCTGCTGGATTTGTCCATTTCTAATAGTCAAGTGGTGAAGTATCCAGGTATGATATTGGATTAATCTGTTTCTCCTTGTGGTTCCATCAGGATCTCCTTCACATAGTTTGATGTTCACTTTTAGGTACATACATGTTAAGGATTGTTACATCTTGGAAAATTAACCCATTTTTCACTTTGTAATGCCCTTCTTTATTCTTGATACATATATATATAGTATGCCTGAAATATGTCTATATCTATCTATATGCTTGATATGATCTGTGCATATATATGTATAAAAGCATTATTATACACAGGCAATAATGACAGCAACAATACAATGAATGGGAGGGAGGAATTGGGATTATTTTGGTGTGATATGGTACTCATCTTACCTGTGAAGCACTGTGTGAAAGGTAGCATGGGTTTGTTGTAGATGTGTATTGAAAACACAAAGGCAGTCTGTTGGAACAAGGGCCTCAATTTCTTGCTTGGCTATTGACCAGAGGCTGCTTTCAGTTCCATTCTATGTTGGCTTCTCCCACATGACAGGATACACCCTCATAGCCATCAAGGAAGAGAGCTTGCTAGTAAGACAGACATCACAATCTTATGTAACATAATCACCCACATGATATTTCCTTGCCTTTCAATATTCCATTTTTTTTCTGGTTAAATCTTTTATTTATTTATTATTATTATACTTTAAGTTCTAGGGTACATGTGCACAATGTGCCGGTTAGTTACATATGTATACATGTGCCATGCTGCGGCGCTGCACCCACTAACTCGTCATCTAGCATTAGGTATATCTCCCAATGCTATCCCTCCCCCCTCCCCCCACCCCACAACAGTCCCCAGAGTGTGATGTTCCCCTTCCTGTGTCCATGTGTTCTCATTGTTCAATTCCCACCTATGAGTGAGAATGTGCGGTGTTTGTTTTTTTGTTCTTGCAATAGTTTACTGAGAATGATGATTTCCAATTTCATCCATGTCCCTACAAAGGACATGAACTCATCATTTTTTATGGCTGCATAGTATTCCATGGTGTATATGTGCCATATTTTCTTAGTCCAGTCTATCATTGTTGGACATTTAGGTTGGTTCCAAGTCTTTGCTATTGTGAATAATGCCACAATAAACATACATGTGCATGTGTCTTTATAGCAGCATGATTTATAGTCCTTTGGGTGTATACCCAGTAATGGGATGGCTGGGTCAAATGGTATTTCTAGTTCTAGATCCCTGAGGAATCGCCACACTGACTTCCACAATGGTTGAACTAGTTTACAGTCCCACCAACAGTGTAAAAGTGTTCCTATTTCTCCACATCCTCTCCAGCACCTGTTGTTTCCTGACTTTTTAATGATTGCCATTCTAACTGGTGTGAGATGGTATCTCATTGTGGTTTTGATTTGCATTTCTCTGATGGCCAGTGATGGTGAGCATTTTTTCATGTGTTTTTTGGCTGCATAAATGTCTTAAAGCAGTCACATTTTCTGACCTCACTCAAATGGAAAGGATTTGAATATAAGGTTGTGTACATCAAGAGGAGGGGATCTTTGGGTGCCATCATAGGGTGTACCTGCCGTATCAAGTCTTCTGCAATCTGCAACAGTTTCTTAATCTTCGCTTATTTGTATATTTTTATTTGACCCTTTTGAAAAACATTGGTCAGGCATTTTATAGAATGTCCCACAATATGGGTTTGTCTGATGGTTTCTCACAATTAAACTAGGAATATGGATTAATTTAGACACTGGCATATATCTAAGTTTGAAGACAATAAATATTGAGTATACATTACTTACAAATACAAACCTAGAGAGAAAAATAATAAAGAAAAGCAGGAAATAAGAAATAGAGAATTCATCTTACCTTCAGTGGGTAAGGAATGTATGGAATTAGGGAGATGCACTCTGGGGGCATCAGCTATATGTCTTTTTTTATTTTTTTATTTCTTTTGAGATGGAGTCTCGCTCTGTTGTCCAGGCTGGAGTGCTGTGGCACGATCTCAGCTCACTGCAAGCTCCGCCTCCCAGGTTCATGCCATTCTCCTGCCTCAGCCTCCCGAGTAGCTGGGACTACAGGGGCCTGTCATCACGCCTGGCTAATTTTTTGTATTTTTTTTTTTTTTCAGTAGAGACGGGGTTTCACCGTGTTAGCCAGGATGGTGTTGATCTCCGGCATCAGCTATATTTCTAATAACTTGTTTACTAAACTCACAGTGAAATTTTTAAAAAAATGAGAACTATATTTTTTATTTAGAATAGTTTTATGTTTACATAACAGTTTTGAAAATAATTTCCACATACCAGCACATAGATTCCCTTATTGTTCACCTTTTACATTAGTGGGGCACATTTGTCATGATTAATGAACTCATATATATGATCATTCACTAACATCTAAACATTATTCCCATTTCCTTAGATTTTACTTAATGTCAATTTACTCTCCCAGATCCCATCCAGGATACATCACATTTAGATATCAAGTTTCTTTAGGCTCCTTTTGGCTGTGAGAGTTTGTCAGGCTTTCTGTGTTAGTGATGACATTGGCATTGCTCACGTGGGATTTGTCTGCTGTTTTTCTCATATTTAGACAGGTGTTAAGGGTGAAGGGGAAGAAGACCACAGAAGGAACGTGCCATTCTCTTCATACCATATCAAGGTTATGTACTATCAACATGCTTTATCATGATTGATATTAATTTGATCATCTGGATGGAGTAGTTTTATCAGATTTATACCATATGTAATCACCATTTATTCCCCTTTCTATGTGATATGTTTTGAAAAGAAGTCCCTGTGCCCTGCACGTACTGAGCAGAGGAGAGTCAAGCTCCACTTCCTCATGGGCAGGTTACTACAAAAACCATTTGGAATTTTATTCAGCTTTGATAATTTATCTGTTCTCCATCATTTTACTTATTTATTCATGTATATGAACATGAAATCTTGGATATTTATTTTATTCTTATACTGTTTTATTTATTTGTTGCTCAGATTTTTCCATTGTTGTTCATTGGAAGGTCTTTCAGTTGGCTCTTCTTTCATTTTGAAATACACATATCATTGTGGTTTGATTTTGTTTCTTTGTTTGCTTGTGTTGTTGTGGTTTTGTTTAAATTTTTCTTGGTTTCTAGCACTACCTTATGCTCCAGGGTCATTGTGTTTATTCCCTTCCCATGGCTAGTATTCACCATTTCTTCAGGGAGACCTGATTCATTTATTGGAAAATGCTATTGGAAATGAAGATGTGGACACAGTGTGTGCAATTTGGCACAGACCTTGTCAGATGAAAAAGCAAATAAATATTTGGTTTTACAGTAGCTCACACGTGTACTCATTTCTACAAATATTTCTACACATGTCCATATTATCTATATTAAATTAAACATGAATTTCTATTAATGTCTCCAGCACACATGACCTAATCCAGTAGCACATGAATTAATCTGAATAAATCTACCCACTCTCACTGTCTTATATGTAACCTCATACTCTAACCATGAGAAATTTGACTCCATTTCCTTTATCATTCAGTTCCAAAATACATATATTGCTGTTTCAGAATCAATAATTCATATCCTCTTGGGAAACAACTTTACTAAATAAGTACAGTGGTTATATATGTCTTTAAGCCTTTGGATTTAGAATCTGTACTTATAAGCCACCCCCCTTTCCCCCTCCACTCCCTTCAGTGAGATTATTTTATGCATGTTTAGTACACTTATTTCATTTTGTTAGCATCCCTCCCTAGGAAACCCCAACTTACTAAATATTTTTTAATTTGCATATATTTAGGTTCACTGTTTGTGTCATAAAGTTCTGTGGAATTTGAAATACAGTATCATGTGTTCACCATTGCAGTTTCATTATAGAAACTTTTCACTGCCCTAAGAACTCCCAGTACCTCACCCATTCGACCTTTCTCTCTCCTAAGTCCCTGGTAGACACTAGTATTTTATAATCTCTATAGTTTCATCTACTCAAGAGCTTCATATAAACTGAAATATAGAGATGTGGTCTTTTCAAACTGGGTTATTTCACTTAGCAATATGCCTTTAAGATTTGTGCAGTACATTTCATGGTGGTTTAGACTTGCACTTCCCTAATGTATTAGTCCATTTTGCATTGCTGTAAAGGAATACCTAAATCTGGGTTAATTTATAAAGCGAAGAGGTTTATTTGGCTCAGAGTTCTGAAAACTGTGTAAGAAGCATAGTGTTGTTGGCAGCATCTTGTGTGGGCCTTAGGAAGCTTCCAATCATGGTGGAAGGCAAAGGGGAAGCAGGCTTGTCACATGACAAGAGAAACAGCAAGAGAGAGTAGGGGAGGTGCCAGGCTGTTTTTAACAATCAGATCTTTTGGTAACCTAATAGAGTGATAACTAAGTCATTACCACAAGGACAACACCAAGCCATTCATAAGGGATCCACCCCATGGGTCATTTCACCGGACCCCAACTCCAACACTGGGGATCACATTTCAACATTATATTTGGAAGGGATAAATATCCAAACTATATCACCTAATGACTAAAGGTATTAAACAGCTTTTCTTGTGAATTTATCTATTTTTTGTCAGTTTTTTTGGTGTCATATTCTAGAAAGCATTATTTAATCCAAGACCAGAGAAATTTATACCAATGTTATCCTATTTGGGTTTGTAGTTTTAGTGCTTACATTTATGTCTATGATCCATTTTGAGTCACTTAGGTATATTGGCATCCAACTTGCATGTAGCTATCCATTTGTGCCAGCAACATTTGTTGAAAAAAATATTTTTGCAAATTGAATTGTTTTGGTAACATTGTAAAATCTTGACTACAAGTGTAAGGGTTAATTTTGGGGCTCTCAATTCCATTGCATTGATCTGTATGTCTGTCTTTGTACTAAGCAATAGCACACTGTCTTGATTACTATCACTTTGTAGTAAGCCAAGGCTGGTCTCAATCTCCTGGTTTCAAGTGATCCTCCCACCTTGGCCTCCCAAAGTGCTGGCATATATTTCTTCTTCTAGATTGCTTTTCACTTTTTCGGATCTCTTGCATTTCCATACAAATTTTAGAATCAGCTTGTAAATTATTGCAAACAATAAGGCAGCTGGGATTTTGACCAATTTTTGAAGAGATAACTTGCATTGAACCCGTAAAGCTGCATTGAACTATTTGTGTAAGTATTGTCATCTTAACAATATCAAGCCTTCTGATCAATGGAGATGGGATTTTTCCACTTATCTTTTAAAAAAATTATTTAGAGAGAGATGGGGGTTTCACTCTGTCACCTAGGATGGAGTGCAGTGGTGTGATCATAGCTCACTGGAGCCTCGAACATCTGAGCTCAAGCGATCCTCCTGCCTTTGCCTCCCAAAGTGCTGGGATTACAGATGTGAGCCACCGTGCCCAGCCTTACTTGTTTTTATTTATTTTATTTTTTTCGTATTTGTATATTGGAAAAAAATGTTCATGCTTAGGAAAATCCCTTTAAGTCGCAGAAGTTCCCTTACCCCCTCTCAGGGCATGCGATGTGGGAGTGGCTAGCTTCTTCAGTGCCCTGCTGCTCAAACCCCTAGAGGGAGCATACAGACGGGCCAGTTGTGGGGCTCCTACCCCACAGCAGTGTCTAGGGGTGAATGTTTACAGCTCCTGAGGCCCCAGTGGGCATGTTTTACAGGGTGCTCTTTTAGTTTAGCTGTCGCAGGTGTCTTGGGTTAGTCAGCTCAATTAGACCTTCTGCCTTATTGCGAGGACAAAAGGCTTTCTGTATCCCGGCTGGGAGAATTGGAGGACACGTGGGCTTGGAGAATGAGCGCAAGATCTTATTGAGCAGACGTAGCTCTCAACAGATGGGGGAGCCAGAAGGGTGATGGAGTGGGAAGGTGGTTTTCCCCTGAAGTCGGGCCACTTAGCAGCTGGGGCTCTTCTCCAACTACCCCGGCCAAACTGTGTCGTTCTGCTGGTCGATGGCCTGCTGGCCTGCTGGCATCTGTCAGTGTGCTCTTCTGCTGGCATGCTCCCCTCAACGTCCTCTTGACGTCCAGCCACTTGTGTCTCTGCCCGCAAGGGTCTCGGGATTTTTATAGCCACAGGATGGGGACATGGCAGGCCAGGGTGGTCTTGGGAAATGCAACATTTGGGCAGGAAAACAGAAATGCCTGTCCTCACCTAGGTCCATGGGCACAGGCCCAGGAGTGGAGCCCTAGCCTGGGACCACACCTTTTCCTTCCCAGCGCTTCCTTGCCCCACTTCTATATCAACAGGATTTAATTTGCTTGTATTTCCTTGAGAATTTTTGCCTCTGTATTCATAAAGCATGTTAGTCTGTAATTTTCCTTTCATGTAATACCTTTTTCTGGTTGTAGTCTAAGGGCAAACTAGCCTTACAAATGAGTTGAGTGATCTGTTCCATTCTGTATTTTGGTTTTATTTGTAAGGGTTTTTTGAAGATTTAATATTAAATATTTAAACTTTTGGAATAATTCATCAGTAAAGTCATCTTGACCTGGACAAGATTTGGATCCTAACAGCAATTGTGTGAGCTGAGAGGAGGATCCGTATGACTTGAGCCTTCAGTTGAGACCTTAGCCTTGGCCATCAACTACATCTGGGTTCCTGACCTGGAGAAACTGTGAGATGATACATGGGTGCGAGGTTTTATGTACTAAGTTATGTGCTAATTTGTTATGCTGCAATAAATAGGTAATACACCTGACAGTAAATTTAATATGGTATCACATATTGGATCCTGGAACAGAGAAATAGCATTAGTAGAGAACGTGGCAAAATCTGAGGAAATTCCATGGTTGAGTTACTAGTTTTGTATCATTGCCAATTTCTCAGTTTCCATAAATATACTATGGTTATATACAATGTTAACGTTACAGGAAGCTGAAGCATATATAAAACTCTCTATACTATTGTTGCAACAGGCTCCAAACCTAAAATTATTTCAAAATAAATAAGTATTATTTTGGTACAGAAAAACGAAGATAGTTAAAAACCCCATTGCACTAAGGAGATTAATAGGCATGCAGATAGAAAATGGGAAAAATAGTTCTTCTTACCTATTCACAAGAAGAAAAAAAGTTTTCTTCAAGAAAACCTCCTCAACTCATCAGTTTTTTTTCCTTACCATCACACTCCCCAATACCCAGTCACCAGTTTGTGTGTCAGTAACCACTTCTTCAAAGAGTGGTGGCCATGCATCACCTATCCCAGAAAACCCCATTTTCAGACAACATCTGTAAGTGAATCTGCAGGATACCACTAAAGCCTCTTTGGAACACATGACTTCTGGACATTAAAAGCTAATACTGAGAAATTTCAATTATGGAGAACATAAATTTTATTTCTGAATTCAGGAGAGTATTTCCCTGGTACAGGGTTTCCTTCTTCCAAGTTTCCAAAAGACAACCATACTTTCAGCCCTATAATAAAACCCTGTAATAATTCAATTCTGTTTATTGTAAGACTTTTCTGGAATTTTCTGGGTTCAGGTATTTCACTGACACTCTTATCATGGAATTAAATTATGCATTGTCAAGCTTCAAAGCCACATAATAGATATCATCATGGTAGCAGGTAGGCTAGCTTTAAAAAAGAAAGCTTGTGGCCGGGTGCAGTGGCTCACACCTATAATCCCAGCACTTTGGGAGGCCGAGGCAGGCAGATCACGAGGTCAAGAGTTGGAGATCAGCCTGGCCAACATGGTGAAACCCCCTGTCTACTACAAAAATTAGCCAGGCATGATGGCGCGCACCTGCAATACTAGCTACTCAGGAGGCTGAGGCAGGAGAATTGCTTGAACCCAGAAGGCGGAGGTTACAGTGAGCCGAGATTGCACCACTGCACTCCAGCCTGGGCAACAGGGCGAGAATCCATCTCAAAAAAAAAAAAAACAAAACAAAAAAACTTGTATACATGGTGGTTTAGGCCAGTTCCTGCTTACACAGACCTGGAAATGAATCTTTATACACCAGGTTCTTGGCTAATGAAGGCAAATTAGTGATTCATAATTTGTTGTTCACAGATAGAAAAATCTTAGCAAGGAAAACAAAAAATAGAAGAACAACACACATACAGTGTATCCCCAACACACCATGCAGTGATCTAAGAGATGGACACAGGCTGAATGGTGACTCTGCATATATACTGGCTAAACAAAGATTCCCACAGCAGGGAGGACTGTCCCCTCATCCCCCACACAGCTCCCTGTTCACAGGCCACAGCACTCTGCTGTGTATCACCAGGGCTGTGTGCAGGAGCCATGCCCACAAAGCCTGCCACGACATGGGAACGCACTACCATGGACATTTACCAAGTCAAGACTCCTATATTTACTGTCTGTAATAATGAGGTATATTCTCCATACACATTCATAGCTTCAGGGATAAAGCTAGCTCCTGAGGCTTGGGGACTTGGAGTGAGAGATACAGCTAACCCAGACCACATGCATTGCTTCTGAGATTGGGATAGCAAATATTTAGGGGCTATGATTTGGGGCGTTTATAAATTAAGACACCTTGTCACCCCTCTGAGCTGATACTCCACTCCTTGAGAAAAGACAGACTTATTTAAATTCCTAATCTTAAAACATGGAGAGTTATTCAGTTCATTTTATTTTAACTGGAGCCTCCATAATAGCTAAGTGACTTGTCAAATCTCATTTTCCTTTTAATGTATACATTAAAATATATGATGATGTAGATTATGAATATTATCCCTGACCAAACTTTTCAGAAAAAAAAAGGTGGAGGAGCAAAGTTACAGGAGATGAACAGCCACAAGTAGATGTGAACAAGAAGGGACCCACCTCAACCTGGCCAATGAGCGGTCATCAAGCACCAAGTACTAAAGGTTAAGATGTGGCAGGTAATAGACACAAAACTGTACCAATATGATATCTCAGGCACAGAGGACACAGTCCTGAGCACCAGATGCCCAAACATGACTCTCTGATAGTGCAGAAGATTTGATTCCCCATAACCCACTAAAGGAGAGTCGATTTCACAGAGCTGGCCTGGACACTAGAATTCTCAGAAAGATGCTATTGAAAACATCCCAAAGTCAGACCACGTCGTGAGGTAAGAACCCTACACCCTGTCTCCACAGCAGCCTGAATAGAAGATAGAGTCCAGTGAAGATCAGGACTTGCTGTTATCTTAATTCAGCCTTCCTGAAGCCTCCAACTCTAGGTGTAAATGCATTCAACATCCTAAGTCATTAAATCATTAATTATATGAATTTATGATTTACTCCATATATTAATCAGGGAACATGAAAGCCCATTAGATAATCAATTACCCAAAAATAGGGTTGTTCATAGTAGCAATGGGGAAGAGAAAACATTTTATGGAAAACATAATACATCTACTTCTGTGCTGATTGATCATAAAGCCATTGTATGCTGACCGTGTGATTAGAAGGACTACTGTGAATGTGAATCTATATCTAAAATATAGATATACTAATGTATATCTATTAGATTGAATAATTAGACTTGGAGTGCCACTTATAGGGAGTATTGCTCATATTTTTTAAGATTAGAACAGGATTTCTCAAGACACAACGTTTTCTAAATCTTTAGATTACCACTCTTATGCAAACTTTCATCGAACCCTTTGGCATTATATTCCTTCTCCGGAAACTTTTGGAACCTTATGTTATAAAATTACCTGTCTGGCCAGGTGCAGTGGCTCATGCCTGTAATCCCAGCACTTTGGGAGGCCGAGATGGGCAGATCACCTGAGGTCAGGAGTTTGAGACCAGCTTGGCCAAAATGGTGAAACCCTGTCTCTACAAAAAAATACAAAAATGGCTAGGCATGGTGGCTCACACCTGTAATCCCAGCACTTTGGGAGGCAGGTGGATCACGAGGTCAAGAGATCGAGATCATCCTGGCCAACATGGCAAAACCCTGTCTCTACTAAAAAATACAAAAAATTAGCTGGGCGTGGTGGCGCATGCCTGTAGTCCCAGCTACTTAGGAAACTGAGGCAAGAGAATCGCTTGAACCTGGGAGGCGGAGATTGCAGTGAGCCGAGATGCACTCCAGCCTGGCAACAGAACTAAGACTTCTTCTCAAAAAACAGAAACAAAACAAAACAAAACAAAAGACAAGCAAACAAAAAAATACAAAAATTAGCCAGGTGCGGTGGCAGGCGCCTGTAATCCCAGCTACTCAGGAGGCTGAGGCAGGAGAATCGCTTGAACCTGGGGGGCGGAGGTTGCAGTGAGCCAAGATCGTGCCATTGCACTCCAGCCTGGGTGACAAGAGTGAAAATACGTCTCAAAAACAAAACAAACAAACAAAAATTACCTCTCCATATTTGTTGTATTTTTGTCATTTCTAGTTTGGTCTTGGGGCCTGTCTCTGGAGGGTGTCTATAAACTCTAGCACTGCCCTAATGGAGTTCGAAGGGAGGTACTCATGGTGTTTACAATGTGCCTATCACAGGATACTTCTTTATCCTGGTGGATGGCCTAATGCCTAATGTCTGACCCCTGATTAGTTGTTCCATCAGAGGGAAGGTTTGGACTGGCAGACATGCTTGTGTCCTTTGTCTTACCTAGGTCCAGTTTATTCCTACCAAGATAGCCACTGTGTAGGAGACCCTTGATTGGAAAAGAAATTAGGTTCTGGTGTGCTGGTCAAGTGAGATGCAAAGAAGGAAACTCACCATATGAAATAACAGAAACAGTGTATGACTTATAAATCCCATAAAGAAGAAGGCAGCACACCTCAGAGGGCAAACGGGAAGGAAGGAGCTTCCCTGGACACACTCCTACAGCCAGCAGGTGGGGAGCAAAGACAGAGGGAGAGAGAGTCTTGTGGGCCAAAACTTGTATTGGGGTCAAGCCTGTTGCTAAGCAGGTTTCCCGCAGGGAGTGTTAACTGGTCACTTTACAGCAAGCAGGCATGAATTCCATGGAGTCACACTGTGTGAGATGGCAACTGTGGCATATCTGTACAGTCCACATAGGGTGTGGGGATTGGTGTGTGGAATAAAGTAGGCTGTGTCTAGCTGTCCCATAGATAGACTCTACATGATAGATATCCAAATTGATCACATTAAGGAACTGGGAGGAAGCAGAGAACTGGAAACTGTGTCACAGGTGACTAAGTCCTGCTTCTGTTGTGAGCAAGTTAATCTTACAGACAAAATGGATGCTGAGGCAATATACAATTTTAATAATTCAGTATAACATGTCAAATAGGAATTCTGGTACTCCACTAGTAACTTTAATATCTCTAATTCTAATAGCTAGGTAGAAGGTAAGTGGAACTGGTCAACTTATATGAAATTCATATTGAAGCATGTTTCCTTGAAAACGAATCAGAATATGGCAGATGAGCCACTATGATTTCACACTGTGAAATGTAAGAGGGAAAAATAGTGTGTTCTATTAATGCTAGAGTGCATGTTTTCACATCTTTCAAATATAAATGCATCTTAAAATGCATAGTGTCAAATAGGATTAGCCAGGAGGCAGTCATAATGTGTTTGTCCTCATGTGAACATGCATGAACTTTATCTAAAACCTTTCATTGACATCTTATGATGCTATCATCAGCTTCAAAACCTGCAGAGTGGCTGTCAGGAGGTTGGAAAGATAATCTCCTGGAGAGTGACTTAGGAATCTCACAAGAAATGTGGCATAGCCAAAGCTGCTGATTGACACAGATGATGATAATATGGGGAAGGTCATGGAGAGGATGAGCTGCAAAGTTACGTAGAAGAGTTTTACCCAAATGAGAGAAATTTAGAAATATCTTTGTGGATATATTGTACTTAACTTTTTTTTTCCATCCCACATAATCATGGAAGTAATCTGAAACAAATATCCATATTTTTACAAATTATAAAAAGTTTTCTCAATATTTATAACATATTATAAATGATAAGTATTATCCGAGTCATAGTTTGTCAGTGATTTTATTCTTTGTGATCAGTAAAATAATGATGTATTTTACAATTGATGTGATTGATACATCATACAATTTTTAGAAAATGCTTTTAGTATTAACAAATGATCATTCAGTGGTTTGTATACACCTGGTATTATTCTACATGCTTGATGTATTATTAATTCATTCAATCTTCAC
This sequence comes from Homo sapiens, assembly GCF_000001405.40. Lineage (NCBI taxonomy): Eukaryota > Metazoa > Chordata > Mammalia > Primates > Hominidae > Homo > Homo sapiens. The sequence continues at coordinate 4,859,703 of NW_021160017.1, forward strand.
AGCATCTCAGGAGGGAGACAGTAACACCACTCCCGTGATCCAATTCTGAATCTAAGCCCAAGTCCTACAAGAAATAAACAGAAAAACCTGAGCTTGACTCAGCCTGTTTCCAGAATGCTTGCTCACATCAAATATGTTAGAGTATCTTTTATCTTATATAGTAAATACTTTATAGGTTTAGTTTAAGAATTGTTACTCTTCACCACAGTCATGAAGCTATCTTTTTAAGTTCTAAATAATGTATTAAATTGTTTTTATATTTAGGTCTGTGATCCATTTGGAATAGGTTATGTGTGTAATGTGAGACGGTAGATTTTATTTCCAATGACGCATATTCACATCCCTACATTTATTGAAAATTTATTTCCCCACTAATTTATCTTATATATTATTTGCCTATATATGCATGTGTTCGTTTTTAAGCTCTCTTTAATTTTTTTCCATTGATATTCTCCATCTTTGTGCAAATACTGAGTTAGTCCCTTCATTTAATGCAAGAATTTTCCTCCAGTGCCCTTTCTGTTGTCCACTGTACTGTTCTATAATGAAGTAAAAGAAGGGTGAAAATTTGCACACCTTACACCTACACCAGGATTCCCAGCTGTATCTTGAAGGAAGCGGAGGTTAGAACTTTCAAGATTAATGTCGACACTAATGTCTCTAATGTCCTTGTGAATCTTAGGCAATTCTCCCGAGATACTTTCTGCTTTATTGTGTGTGCGTGTGTTTAACGTTCTCAGTGAATTCCATTTGCTGTCAGGACTCCTGATTTTCTTTCCCTGCTTTTAGGATACTCAGTGACTTTCTACTCCCCTAGCAACAGCCAGCAGTGGTAGGAACCTGCACAGACAACCCCAGTACCTTGTGCGCGGGCGCAGACACGCCAAGGGTGGTGGGTTGCTTCCTCCAGACCACGCCCACCGATGCCGGCAGCAGCTGGTGCAGCGGAGCTCAGATCCTCTCTGTGGGGTCTGCACCGGCAAGGGCAGCTGCTCCCTGCCTTTCCTCAGGAGTCAGTGGAGGTAATAACTTGTTTTCATATAAAGAACAAGTTTGTTCAACAGTGATTTTGCCTGTTGACCAAAGACAGGACTCGTTACCCCTTAGGGCCTTGCTTGGTAATATGTGCTTTTGCTTTTTTTAGGTGGGGGTGGGTGGGCAGAGAGGCGCTCACGAATGTTTTTAAAACTTTTGTATAAATTTTCATTTTATTCGTAACATAAACATCATCTACAAGCAAATCCACATTCTGTTTTCTATATTAAGGCCTTTCATACTTGTGATTTAAAATGCATGCATTCATTTTTTTTCATTAGGTTTCAAATAATCGTTTCAATTATTTCCATGTTTTCAGGTATCACTCTTCACTATATTAAAAGATAATATCGCTTTTATTATTTTAAAGACATATATTATACATTCTCTGAGGATTTTCCAGAAATTTCCTCTGTAATACCTCTGGTTGGAAAGGTGAGGGACAGAGACTTTACTGGGAGTCACAGGAAAAGTCTGCTCAGTCTCCTGCTTAAAAAGAGCTCTGAATGTTTTTATTGCACAGATGAATTTTCTCTGATTGTCAGATGTTCACAAAGGCTTTAACTTGTATGAATGAACTCCGAGACCACCTTTCTGAATGCACAGACCTGCCACGTTGTTGCTGTGTAAGCATGAATTTCATCATATTGTCAGCTTTTCATCTTACCCAAAAGCTATAAACATTGGCTAAAGTCCTCAATTGCTTGCTCCTCATTTTTGTAAATGTGTGCATGGCATTTCCTTGAACAGATGGCTCATAAAACAGATATAAATTCTCTTTGATGAGTAAATACGAAAATTGTTTTCAGTTAAATAAAAAATGCCACTCAGAAAATTGGCAAATGCGTCTCCAGGCAGCAAATATTTTTAGATTACGGTCTTGTAGAAATATAATTACAATAAGTACTTATTTTGTTTTATCACATAGCATGTTTCAAAGAGGTTTTCATGCATGTTTCTTTTTCGGATTACCATTTTTATTGACAATAAGTTGCCCATCTTTCTATTTCTGATCTGATCTTTTGATGTCTGTTGTTTTTGTCTGAAGCTCTGACTCTCTTCTAATGTACTTTGCATATGAAGAGAAAGCTGGTTATCCTGACTAGTAAAGAAGGGATTATTGAACCTGAAACTGTGAAGAGACACAAAAGCAACAAGAGGACAGAAACAATTCAGGGTTTCAATAAGCAGAGTACAATCTATTTAGTGACTGCAATGTGGAAATCTCTAATGTCAGCAAGACTGTGTTGAGAGGAACACATTTTCTTGTGAGTGAGCATTCCTAGAGGATGAGTATCTTAGAGACTCAACGGCATATGTCTGCTATGCAAGTAATGAGTCCTCCATCTAATGGTGTACAAACTATTCTGGAAGGATCTGTTCAGGATTTATGAGGTGTTAGCAACCTACAGAGCAAGAACACTGATACTTTTTGGTTACTCCAAATTATTATTTATAAAATATTATTATAACTTGGTGTTTGTTTTGCCAGGTAAGACTTCAGTCAGGGGCTCTGAGGTCGGTACTGTATCCAGGGAATTTAAAGTCCAGATCTTAGTTTAAAAAAAATGGCCTGTCATCTTCACTCTATTATTGAATTAGAGCCTGACATCATTAATTTTAATTTTACTGAATATAAATAGCAACCCTATATTCTATGCATACTGTTTTGACTGTGGCATTTATTTAGAGAAGAATGGAGACAAGATGATTCCAACTTAAAGGAAACTGGAAGTATTCTGAGGAAACAAATAGAGAAGGTAAGCCTTACTGGTTTCTCCTTTTGATGGCAACCATCAAAAGGATGGTTATAAGTCTCTTATAAATAGAAAGCTCTATTTGAATTATTCCATTATGGTAATCTTATCAGCAAACATAAGACATCATAGGAAAGGCAGGTTAGGGTCCAGGTGGGGAGGTTTTACCTGCTTATAGGCATCATTTCCTTCAGCTCTGATGGGGCATCCCCTTCATCGCTTGGGCTTATTGCAAGATGGCTGGGTCATTTCTTTTTGAAGTTAGGAATAAGATGAAAGCATTGAAGGCCAAGTTTATTTAAATGAATTTTACTTGTTTCTCACTTTTTCTTCTGTACTGCTCCTTTAGTTCTGTGACCCATGTTTTGGTGAAGTAATGATGACACAGGGATACCCTGCCTCATGAACGCTGGTGTGACTTCTCTCTTCTGTTCTTACCACTGGACATGATGGCTTGATGAAGTCAGGCCACCTCGCTCTTCTATGCTCTCAGTTCCATCTTCTCAACTCGGAAAGCCTGCCAAGGTCCTTACAACATCACAGCTGGGAAACTCTCAAAGCAGTAAACTTGGGCAATAGTAGGCTTCACTCACATCATTGTTGTGTATTTCCAGGTATCATTGTTCTCCATCATTTGGTGTACAGTACTTTAAAAAAGTTTCATATTCTTTGTCCATTTTTTTATTTATGTGTGATAAGGCATGTCCAGTTCCTATTAGTTTTTCCATAACATCTTGATTCATTCCTCCTGCAAATTCTCGATGATCACTCCATCCCTGGCTATATGCTTCTTGTTCACAGTGTAAAGGAGAATAAAGACCAATGTAAGCTAAACTCACAGAGAGATAGATAATTTTATTGGCATTTGTAATGCTAAAGAGAAGGTCAGAATTGGCCTATGTACAGTATCTGTAGAAGTTTCCATAGGGGACATCCACTAGAAGTCAGTGAATCAAACATTTAAAATGGATAATATCTCTAAAAAAATATACTGTCTCTGTCAATTATAATATTTGACTCATAATAGCCTTATTTTATACTCATTGAAAAAGCCCTTCAGAATTGGTAAGATGTAGCTTTTATTTACATAAAAATGAAAACATGTTGAAATTAATTTGTCAATGAATTTCTAAGGATACAATGATATTCTAATTTTTCTGAATCAGATCTTGATCCAGAGTCATGTATATCTTAACATCACTCTGTGGAATGAAGAGTGATACGAGTGAAACATTTCCTAATACAAGAGGCACCACTGTCTGTGTAATTTCCAACTTCCCTGTTGACACCCAGTATTGATCTCAACTTTAAATTAACTGTGGTCTGAGAATAGATGTTTCATGATTTCTATTTTCTTAAATTTATTCAGGCCGGGCATGGTGGCTCACGCCTGTAATCCCAGCACTTTGGGATGTTGAGGCTGGTGGATCACTTGAGTTCAGGAGTTCTAGACCAGGCTGGTCAACGTGGTGAAACCCTGTCTCTACTAAAAATACAAAAATTAGCGAGGTATGGTGGCGTGCACCTGTAATCCCAGCTACTCAGAGACTGAGGCAGGAAAATCACTTAAACCAGGGAGGCAGAGGTTGCAGTGAGTCAAGATTGTGCCACTGCACTTCAGCCTGGGCAACAGAGCAAGACTCTGTCCCCAAAAAAATTGTTAAAGTATCTTTTATGACCAAGAATGTGGTCTGTCTTGGTGAATGTTCCATGTGGTCTTGAGAAGAATGTGTAATCTGCATTTGTTGGACAAAGTAGTTTGTAGATATCAATTATCCCCAGTTGACTGATGGTGTTGTTTAGTTCAACTGTGTACTTGTTTGCTGCCTGCTGGATCTGTCCTTTTTTAAAAAAAATTTATTATTATTGTTATTATTTCTTTTTTTTTTTTTGAGACGGAGTCTCGCTCTGTCATCCAGGCTGGAGTGCAATGGCGAGATCTTGGCTCACTGCAACCTCTGTCTGCCAGGTTCAAGTGATTCTCCTGACTCAGCCTCCCAAGTAGCTGGGATTACAGGTGCCTGCCACCACACCCAGCTAATTTTTGTATTTTTAGTAGAGATTGGGTTTCACCATGTTGGTCAGGCTGCTCTTGAAATCCTGACCTCGTGATCCGCCCACCTCAGCCTCCTAAAGTACTGGGATTACAGGCATGAGGCTACTGCGCCCGGCCGGATCTGTCTGTTTTTAATAGAAGGTGTTGAAGTCTCCAACAATAATAGTGAATTCATCTGTTTCTCCTTGCAGTTTGACCCATTTTTGTTATGTGCATACATTTTTTTTTTTTTGAGACGGAGTCTCACTCTGTCACTCAGGCTGGAGTGCAGTGTCACGATATTGGCTCACTTCAACCTCTGCCTCCTGGGTTCAAGTGATTCTCCTGCCTCAGCCTCCCGAGTAGCTGGGACTACAGGCACGCACCAACACACCCGGCTAATTTTTGTATTTTTAGTAGAGATGGGGTTTCACCATGTTGGCCAGGCTGGTTGAGAACTCCTGATCTCAGATAATCCACCTGCCTCGGTCTCCCAAAGTGCTGGGATTACAGGCGTGAGCCACTGTGCCCGGCCAAGAAAGAAATATTAATAGAAGGTCCTGAGTTTGAGTCAATCTGTCTCCAGAGTCCTTGCTCACAAGGATGTTAGAATATGTTTTTTCTCTTATATGGAAGATGTATCCTAAGTCTAGTTTTAGAAATAATACACTGCCCCATATTGTGAAATTATTGTCTTAAATTATGTTCTAAGTATTATATTAAATTAATTTTATATTTAAATCTGTGATACACCTGGAATTGATATTTAGAGTAATAGTAAAGTGAGCTCAAAAGACAGATTTTTATTCAGCACCAATGTATATTCAATTTCTTAGAACATTTATAGAAAAATTCATCTTTTCCCCATTGATCTTTCTTATTATTTACTTGCATATGCATTGATTTGTTTTGAGCTCTCTTTTCTTTCTTCATTCGTTCATTTCTCTATCTTTGTGCAAATACCACACTTAGTAAGAGACTTCATTGAACCCAAGAAGTTTTATTCCAGTGCCTTTTCTCTTAATCACTTGGCTATTCTGTAATGATTCATGAGAAAAGTTAAAAATCTGCATGCCTTCTACCTATACCAGTATGCCCAGCTTAACTTTTTGTTTTTGTTTTGAGACACGGTCTCACTTTGTTGCGCAGGCTGGAGTGCACTGGCACGATCATGGCTCAATGCAGCCTTGACCTTGTAGGCTCCAGTGATCATCCCACCTCAGCCTAGTAAGTAGCTTGGACTATAGGTGTGTGCCACCACACCTGGCTAATTTTTTAAAACATTTTGTACAGATGAGGTCTCACTGTGTTGCCCATGCTGATGTTGAGCTCCTGGGCTCAAGTGCTTCTCCTATCTTGGCTTCCCAAAGTGCTGAGATTACAGGTATGAGCCACCATGCCCAGCCCCCAACTTAACTTTGAATAAACAGGTGTGTTTAGAAAATTAGAACATTGGTGTTGCACTGCTGTCTCTATTATTTTGTGAGTCTTGAGTCAATACTCCCATTATCACTTATGGCAACATTTTTAGTACATTCTCAGTATTTTTTGGTATGTCCTCTCTTTTTCCTTTCTTGCTTTCTGGAGACTTAGGGACTTTATTTTTTACTGTACACAGCTTATGGAGGTGGGAACCTTAACAAACAGCCCTGAGTGAGCCAGGCACGGGGACTCACATCTGTAATCCCAGCATTTTGGGAGGCTGAGGCGGGCAGATCACAAGGTCAGGAGATTGAGACCATCCTGGCCAACATGGTGAAACCCCGTCTCTACTAAAATACAAAAAATTACCCAGGCATGGCGGTGCACACCTGTAGTCCCAGCTACTTGAGAGGCTGAGGCAGGGGAATTGCTTGAACCTGGGAGGTGGAGTTTGCAGTGAGCTGAGATCGCACCGCTGCACTCCAGCCTGGTGACAGAGCTAGACTCCATCTCAAAGAAACAAAAAACAAAAATAAAACAGCCTGGGTGGCTCCTGAACAAGCTCAGGTGATGCAGTGATGTGTCCTTCCTTCTCCGGACAAGGGATGTCAAGAACTGGGAAGTACTTGGTTATCACTGATAGTCTTCCTTGCTTCAAAATCTGTTATCTCCAACATTAATATTGGTATTCCTGCTTTCTTACAAATAGTGGTAGCATGATATATTTTGTTTTATGCATTTACTTTTGTAACTTTAAATTTTTAGTTTTTGTGGTTACATCGTGTATTTATTGGTTACTTGAGATGTTTTGATACAGGCATGCAATACATTAATAATCACATCAGCATAAATAGGGTATCCATTAATTTATATGTGTGCTTTATTTAAAGTGCATTTCTTGTAGAGAACATATAGTTGCACTGTATTTTTTTTCCCATTCACTCTGACAATCATTGTCTTTTAATTGGTTCATTTAGACTATTGGCATTCAAAGTGAATAGTGATATAGACAGATTAATATCGATCATACTTATTAATATCTTAAAGTTGACACTTGTCTGTGTTCCAGTTTTTGTCACCTACTAGTTTTCTGTGTTTTGTGGTTTTAATAGAGCATTTTATATAATTTTCTCTCCTTTATCAGTATGTCAGTCATATTTGCTTTTTTTTTACTTTTTTTAATCCTAGGAATAAAAACTTTTATTTTTCATATTATTAATTGATCTAATGGATACCATATTGTTAAAAATAATGATATCAACAGTGTATTTGACTAGGTATGCTTATATATATGTCATACATACAAATTCATATACATAAATATATTTGCAAATATGCTTATATATAGGTAAAATGAATGACAACAATGATACAAAGAATGAGAGGGAAGAATTCATATTATTCTCTTATTACAAGTAGTCATACTACCTCAGAAATGATATACTCTTATTTGAAAGGGAGCTTGGATTAGTTGTAAATGTAAACTGCAAACTGTTGGACTGGTTATTGGATCAAGGGCCCCGGTTCCTTGCTGGCCATTGGCCAGAGGCTGCATTTGTTTTCTTTCCATGTGAGCTTCTCTCACAGAGCAGAGTACTCCATCAAAACCACCAAGGGAGAGAGAGCTTGCAGGGAAGACAGAAATCACAATTTGTGTCATAATCACTAAAGTCTTCAACTTTCCAGTATTCTATCGTTTACATGCCAGTCACACTTTTTGTCCACACTCAGAAACAAAGAACTAGTACCCAAGGTTGTATAAGCCAAGATATTTGGGCACCATCATTGGGTCTACCTGCCACGTCAGGTCCTGTTTATTCTGCAAAAGTTTCTCAGTCTCCACTTAAGAATGTCAGGTATTGGCCAGGTGCGGTGGCTCACACCTCTAATGCCAGCACTTTGGGAGGCCGAGGTGGGTGGATCACAAGGTCAGGAGTTGGAGACCATCCTGGCTAACATGGTGAAACCTCGTCTCTACTAAAAATACAAAAAAATAGCTGGGCATGGTGGCGGGCACTTGTAGTCCCAGCTACTCGGGAGGCTGAGGCAGGAGAACGGTGTGAACCCGGGAGGCGGAGCTTGCAGTGAGCCGAGATTTCGCCACTGCCCTCTAGCCTGGGTGACAGAGCGAGACTCTATCTCAAAAAAAAAAAAAAAAAAAGAATGTCAGGTATTTTGCATGATGTATCACAATATGTATCTAAATAGTTTCTCATAATTTGACTAGGGTTATGGATTAATTTAGACATTTACATTTATCTAACCTTGAAGACAAGAAAAGCTGGATATTATATTACTTAGATAAACAAACGTAATAAAAAAGGGGAAATAAGAGAATGCAAAATAGGTAATTCAAAATAATAGTAGCCTTCACCAGGGTAAGGAAGAAAGTAGAATTTGGGAAATACATTTGTGCGCATTGGTAACATTAATAGTGTTCTGTTTATTGAGCTCCACAGTGAATTATAAAAAAGGGTAAGAATCTTTTTTAAATTTTGGAAGTGTTTTGGGCTTACAGAGCAGTTAGAAAGTGAATACAGAGACTTTACAAACACCCAACCCAGTTTTTTCTGATTATTAATCTCATACATTATTGTGGCACCTTTGTCACAATTAATAAACCAATATTACACATTTATCCCTCACTAATATCCACAGTTTATTCAGAATTCCTTAGTTTTTCACTTAATGTCCATTTCTGTTCCAGGTTCCCATCTGGGATCCCACATCACATTGAGATATCCTCTCTCCTTAGGCTCCTTTTTCCTGTGCCAGTTTCTCAAGACTTTCTTTGTTTTTGATAACCTCATTGCCCTTAATCTGGGACGTCTCTGTTGCTTTTCTCATGATTAGCCTGGATGGGTGGGTTTTGGCACGGAGGACCACAGAGGGAAAGTGCCATTCTCATTACAGTACTCTTAAGTGTGTATCCTTTCAATGAGCTTTGTCACTGTTAATGTTAATTTTATTATCTGGATGTTGTAGTTTTGGTCAGGTTTCTTTCTTGTAAAATTAATCATTTTTCCTCTTTCAGAGTTGTGCTTTTCAAAAGTCATTGTGCACAGCACACACTTAAGAAACAGAGAAACTTGCACTACCTCCTAATAGGCAGAGCCTCTATAAATATCATTTGTATTTCTTCACTGTGGTCAATTTATCTATTTTCCTCAATTTAGTATTTATTTATTTATTCAATATTTTACTTTTATGGATTGTTACATTAAATCGTGATATTTTTCTTACCGTATACCTACTTTATTTATTCCAGCGCTCATTTTTTTTAAGTTTTGGCCACTGAAAGGTCTTTTAGTTGGTTCCTGTATGACTTTGAAAAAGTTCCATCATTGCAATTCAATTTTGTTTGTCTGGTTTGTTGGTTGATTGTTTGTGTTGCTGCTTAGATTTTTCTTACTTTCTGGTAATACAAGGTGCTCCAGGTTAATTGTGGTGATTCCCTGCCCAAGTCTGGTATTAACCATTTATTTAGGGCATCTTAGCTCCTTTTTTGGTGAATGGTATTAGCAACAAAGATCTCGTCCATGGGTATACGTATTTCTACTAAGAATCTACTGATTTGAAGCTTTATCACTTGACAGCAAATAATATGGTTTTGTCAGCTGATAGCAAAGAATATGTATGTTTATACTAACTTACACATATGTATATATGTGTAAATATTTCCATACTTATCCACATTTATCTATATAAAGTTAAACCTGAATTTCTACTGTCCCTGGGTTCACATCAGTGGAATCCAGGAAAACATGAATCTGTAATATCTCCCCTTTCCCAGTACTTTACCTAACCTCTCACTCTAACTGAGGAAGTTGGCCTCCTTTAGTTAATTATTGAGTCTCAAAATACATGCATAGTGGTTACAGAATTGGTCATCTCTACTCCCATGGGAAATAAATTTAATAACTGAAGTACAGTGCTTTTATTCAAATCCTTTGGCCATTAGGCTTAGAATCTATCTTTACTGACTAAGTTTCTAAAAGGAGTCAGTCCCCTTTTAGTCTACACATTGCAGTGAAGTTATTTCTTATACTGTTAGATTATTTTGTCTGAATTGCTCCCTGGGGTCTCCAAACATACTAAGTAATGTGTAATGCCTTATTTAATGATGATTCAATGTATGCATTTAGGTTTACTCTTTGTGATATTAAGTTCTATATGATTTGAAAAACGATTATTAACACATCCTTATAGTATCATAGAGAAGAATTTGGCTTCACAAAATCTTCCCCATTTCCCCTATTTATTGAGCCTTCTTCTGTTCCAAGCTCCTCATACCCACTAATCTTTTTCATTTGCTATAATTTTACCTTTTCACAATGTCGTATAAATGGAATTACACAGTAAATAGTTTTTTCAAACTAGCTTTTTTCTTTTCTTTTTTCTTTTCTTTTTTGAGATGGAGTTTTGCTCTTGTTGTCCAGGCTGGAGTGCAATGGCGTGATCTCGGCTGACCACAACCTCCACCTCCCGGGTTCAAGTGATTCTGCTGCCTCAGCCTCCTCAGTAGCTGGGATTATAGGCATACACCACCACGCCCAGCTAATTTTGTATTTTTAGTAGAGACGGGGTTTCTCCATGTTGGTCAGGCTGGTCTTGAACTCCTGACTTCAGGTGATCCACCCATCTCAGACTTACAAAGTGCTGGGATTACAGGCATGAGCCACCATACCCGGCCCAAACTAGCTTTTTTCAATGATGAATATGCCCTTAAGATTTGTGAAGTGTGGACAGACACGGTGGTTCATACCTGTAATCGCAGCACTTTGAGAGGCTGAGGTAAGAGAGTTGCTTGAAGCCAGGATTTTTAGACCAGCCTGGGCAACAAGGTGACAGCCTGCCTCTAAAATTAAAAAAAATAATAATAAGCTGGGTGTGGTGGCCTATGCCTGTAGTCCTAGCTACTTGGGAGGCCGAGGTAGGAAGATCCCTGGAGCCCAGGAGTTCAAGCTTACAGTGAACTGTGATTACACCACTACACTCCAAACTGGGCTACAGAGCCGGGAGACCAAGAGACCCCGACCAAAAAAAAAAAAAAAATTATAAAGCATGTCTCATGATGGTTTAGATTTGCATTTCACTATGGACTAAAAGTGCTAAACATATTTTTATGCCCTTAGTGGACATTTCTATAGTCGTTTGGAGAAATGTCTATTGACACAGTTTACTCACATTTTTTTTTTTTTGAGACAGAGTCTTGCTCTGTTGCCCAGGCTGGAGTGTAGTGGCAGGATCTCGGCTCACTGCAACCTCTGCCTCCCTGGTTCAAGTGATTCTCCTGCCTCAGCCTCCTGAGTAGCTGGGATTATAGGCGCGCACCACCACGCCCAGCTAATTTTGTATTTTTAGTAGAGACAGGGTTTCACCATGTTGGTCAGGCTAGTCTCGAACTCCTGACCTCGTGATCTGCCTGCCTAAGCCTCCCAAAGAGCTGGGATTACAGGTGGGAGCCACCACACTCACTTTTCATTATTATATTCGTCTTTTTATTTTTGAGTTGTATGAGTGATCCGTATTTTCTGGATAATAGTCCTCTATCAGCTCTGTGATTTGGAAATATTTTCTTACTTTCTTGGATTGTCTCAGTGGTGTATTTTGAGTCACAAAAGTTAATTCTGATGAAGTCTGTTTCATCCAGTGTTTTCTTTTGTCACTTGTATTTTGGTGTCGTATTTTGGAATTGATTGTTTCACCTAAGGTGAAGCTGTTTCTTTTTTGGGATTTTTAGTTTTAGCATTTATATTCAGGTCGATGTTTGATTTTGAGTCAACGACATATATGGTATAAGACAGTTCAGTTTGCATGTGGATACCACTTGTCCCAGAAAATTCGTTGCAAAAACTATTTTTTCATATTGAATTGTCTTGGCAAGCTTTTAAAATCAGTTTACCATGTATGTAAAGGTTAATTTGGGGCACTCAACTCAATTCCATTAACACATATGTCAGTCCTCATATTGGTACTACAATGTCTTGATTACTATCAGTTTGCAGTACATTTTGAAATTTGGAAGTGTGACTGCAATACTCCAAAATTGTTTTTTCAAGATTGTTTTGTCTCTTCTGGAGTACTTCGATTTCCATAGGAATTTTAGAATCAGCTTGCCAGTTACTGCAAAAATATGGAAAAAAGGTTTCTGGGTTTCATTTTTGGATTAATTGTTAGTACATAGAAATATAGTTGATTTCAAAGTTTACTTTGTGTACTGCAATGTTACTGAACTCTTTTATGGTTATATTCTTATTTTAGTGGATATGTCAGGATTTTCTATACATGAGATCCTGTCATTTGCAAATATAAACAGTTTGATTTCTTGATTTACAATCTAGGTATCTTTTATTTATTTTCTAGCCTAATTACCCTGGCTACCTCCTTCTGTACAATATTGAATAGAAGTGGCAAAAGTGGTATTAAGTTCTGTATGATTTGAAAAATGATTATTTTTTGTCACATTTCTAATCTTGGGGAAATTACTGAGACTTTCATGATAGGTTATATTATGTGAGCTTTTAATGGATGCCATTTCTAGGCTGAGAAAGTTCCCTTCTATCCCTAATTTGTTCAGAGTTTTTATCATGAATAGGTTTTGGGTTTATCAAGTGCTTATTCTGTATCTTTTGCAATAATCATTTGGATTTTGTCCTTCATCTTATTAATACAATGTCTTACACCAATTGCTTTTGTATGTTTAACCGAACTGACATTCCAGTGATAAATATCCTTGGTCATAGTGTATAATCCTTTTCATATGTTGCTGATATGTTTTGGTAGTATTTCTTTGAGAATTTTTGCCTCTGTTTCATGAGGCATATTGGTCTGTAATTTTCCTATCCTGAAATATATTTGTCCCATTGCGGTATCAGGATAACTGCCCTCATAGAATAGATTGGTAAATTTTGTCTTCTCTTTTTTTTTTCTTTGAGGAAGAGTTAGTAAAGGATTGTTATTCATTCTTAACAGGTTTAGAGTAATTCACCCGTCATTTTGCCCTAGACAAGAATTGAATTCTAACAACAATTACATGAGCTTGGAAGGTGACCTTCCCTAGGCAAGCCTTCAGTTGTAACCTCAGCCTGAGTCATGTGACCCTGAAAAACCATGGGTAACACATTTATGAGGTTCTGAGTCACTAAGGTTTGAGGTAACTTGTTATGCAGTAATAAATAACTAATATACGTGGGAGTAACTGCAGTGTGTTATATTAGATTAGATCATGCAATAGAAAAAAGATATTAGTGAAAACCTAATACAACACGAAGAATGCCTGTATTTCAGTTACTAGTTTTGTACCACCAGTTTTCTGAGTTTTCATACACATACTGTGGCTATGTAAGGTATAAACATTACAGGAGGCTGAAAGGTATATGAAACACTCTGTACTATCATTGCATTTTTCTTTCTTTTTTTTTTTTTTTTGAGACAGAGCCTCACTCTGTCACCTGGGCTGGAGTGCCATTGCGTGATCTCAGCTTACTGCAACCTCCGCCTCCAGGGTTCAAGTGATTCTTCTGCCTTAGCCTCCCGAGTAGCTGAGGTTACAGGCACACACCACCACGCCAGGCTAATTTTTTTTTTTTTTGTATTTTTAGCAGAGAACGGGTTTCACCATGTTCGCCAGGCTGGTCCCAAACTCCTGACCTCAAGTGATCCGTGCGCCTTGGCCTGCCAAAGTGCTGAGATTACAGGTGTGAGCCACCACACCTGGCCTATCTTTGCATTTTTCTATACATCTAAAATTTTTTCAAAATAAAAACATTTTAAAATGTATTTGTTTGCTCCAAAAAAACAAAACAAAACAAAACAAACAAAAACAACAACAACAAAAAAAACCTTTGATCAGAGGATGAACAGAGATGTCGGGAAAGAATGGCAAAGCAGTTTGCCTATTATCCACCATTCCAAACCCAGATGAACCTATTTCAAGAAGACTCCCACAATCACTAGGGACTCCCCTCAATTTTCTCCCTTCCTGTAAAACTTCCCATTACACAGTCACCATTTTGTTTGTCACTACTTCTTTAAAGATAGTGGCCTGTGCCTCCCATACCTCATAAAGCCCCATTTTCAGACATTGGCAGTGTATCTGTTGGATCCACTAAAGACTTTTTAAAAGACATGGCTTCCATTCGTTAGAAGCTATCATAATATTGAGAAATATACGGGGAACATATATCACAATTCTGCATTCAAGGGTATAAGACAGTTCAGTTTGCATGTGGATACTACTTGTTCCACATTGTTTTCTTTTCTTTTTTTTTTTTTTTGAGATGGAGTTTCTCTCTTGTTGCCTAGGCTGGAGTGTGCAATGGCACCATCTCGGCTCACTGCAACCTCTACCTCCAGGATTCAAGCCATTCTCCTGCCTCAGCCTCCTGAGTAGCTGGGATTACAGGCGCCTGCCACCATGCCCAGCTAATTTTTGTATTTTTAGTAGAGACGAGGTTTCATTATGTTGGCCAGGCTGGTCTCGAACTCCTAACCTCAGGCGATCCAGCCGCCTCAGCCTCCCAAAGTGCTGGGACTACAGGTGTGAGCCACTGCGCCTAGCCTCAAGGGTGTTTTCTTAGTACAGGGATTCCTTTTTCAAGTTTTAAAAGAGAACTGTATCTTCAAGCCTTTGAGAAACACCTTGGTTAATTAATCTTTTTCTTCTACAAACCCAATCATGAATTCTTTGGGACCATGCACTCCACTGACACTTAACCTTATGGATTTATATTGAACATTGCCAAGTCCAAAAGCCACAGATTAAATATCATAGTGGTAGCAGGTGCGTAGGGCACACACATAACAACAATAACAACAACAGGCTTTAATAAACATGGGGCTTTAGGCCAGCCTCTGTTTATACAGATCAGGAAAAGAAACCTTTGGCCAGCTGTGGTGTCTCATGCCTGTAATCCCAGCACTTTGGGAGGCCCAGGCAGGAGGATCACTTAAGCTCCAGAGTTCAAGACCAGCCTGGGCAACATAGCGAGACCCCATCTCTACTAAAAATACCAAAAAAATAGCTTGGTGTCGTGGTATGCACCTGTGGTCCCAGCTACTCAGGATACTGAGGTGGGAGGATCACTTGAGCCCAGGGGACGGGGGCTGCAGTGAGCCAAGATCGTGCCACTGCATTCCAGCCTGGGTGACAGGTGAGACCTTGTCTCAAAACAAGAAAATAAAAAGGGAAAGAAACTTTAAAAACCAGGTCCACTCATGCCATGCACAGCTCCCTGTTCACAGATCTCAGCACTCTGCTGGGTAGCCCCAGGCCTGTGCGCAGGAACCATGCATACAAAGCGTACAAAGCCATAGGAGTACATACTGCACTCCCACAGAAATCCACAAGGTCAAGGCTCTTGCTTCTATTGTCCATAATCTGGAGAATATTCTCCATGCTGCAGTTATAGCTTCAATGAGAAAATGAGCTTCTGCAGCCTGCAGACCTGGAGTGAGAAGATACAGCTGACCTGGGCCACATATCTCACCACTGAGGTCAGGATAGCAGATATTTAGGTGCTGTTAAAATGGACATTTGTATTTCAATAATCCTTCTCACTCTTCCATGCTTATATTTTGCTCCATGAATAAGGATAATTTCCTTTAAATTGATAATCTTAAAACAAGGAGAGTTATTCTGTTAATTGTAACAGGAGTTCCTATAAGCTAAGTGACTTGTAAAATGCATTTCCTCTTCATTTTTATGTATACATTATAGTCTATTATGATGTTGTATACTGTGAATAACATCCCTCACCAAAATCTTCAGGGGACAAAAAAGTAGAATGGCAGACCATAAAGGAGACCCAAGAGGATATGGACAAGGAGTGATCCATCCCAAAATGGCAAGAGTGACAATGAGCTCTGTGTGCTGAGTTAAAAAAAAATAAATTTCAGACACAAAACTGTGCTAATATGATGTCACTGGCACAGACAGCACAATGCTGAGGACTGAGTTCCCAAACATGACTGATAGCCTGGAAGATGTGATTTCTCACAACCTGTTTAACAGCTTGTTACCAGATTTCACTTAGGCTGCCCTGCCTACAAGAACTCTTAGAAAGATGCCATTGAAAAGGTCTAAAGTCTTAGATGTCATCAGGAGCCAACACTGTCTCCACCCTCTATTCTGAATAGAAAAGAGTGTTCAGTGGATGCATAGCTTCTGTTTCTGAGATCAAGGCTTGTTGTTAACTTAATCGAGCCTTCCTAGAATTTGAAAATTTTAGTGCCAATAAACCCAGCATCCTAAATTATAAATTATATGAATTTCTTCTTCATTAAACATACTCTTTAGGCAACACCAAAGCCCATTTCATTTCTAAGTACCTGAAAGTAAAGTTGACCAGAGGAACAAGTGGTCAGAGAAGAACATTTTGTGAAAACTACAATGCATCTGCATCTGCAGTGACTATTCATAAAGTTGTTATTGGTGTGAGCATCATTCATGTGATTAGAAAGATGAATGGTGATGTATTGTGGATTTGTATTCCTGCTCAAATATCATGTTGAAATATAATCCCCAGTATTGAAGGTGGGGCCTGGTAGGAGGTGACTGGATCATGGAGGAAGTTTCTCATTAATGGTTTAGCACTGTTCTCCTTGGTACTGTTGTCACTATAGTGAGTTCTCACAAGATCTAGTTGTTTAAAGGTTTGTGGCAGTTCCCAGCCTCTCTCTTGCTCCTGCTCTGGCTATGTGTTGTGCCTGCTCCTCCTTCACTTTCAGTCATGATTGTGTTTTGAAGCCTCCCCAGAAGGTGAGCAGATGCCAGCATCATGCTTCCTGTGCAGCCTTACAGAATTGTGAGCCAATTAAACCTCTTTCCTTTATAAATTGCATGATCTCAGTTTTTTTTTTTTTTCTCTTTTTTTGACGGAGTCTAGCCCTGTCGCCCAGGCTGGAGTGCAGTGGCGCAATCTCGGCTCACCGCAACCTCCACCTCCCATGTTCACGCCATTCTCCTGCCTCAGCCTCTCGAGTAGCTGGGATTACAGGCGCACGCCACTATGCCCGGCTAATTTTTGTATTTTTAGTAGAGATGGGGTTTCACCATGTTGGTCAGGCTGGTCTCAAACTCCTAACCTCATGATCCGTCCACCTTGGCCTCCCAAAGTGCTGCAATTACAGGCGTGAGCCACCACACCCGGCCAGTTTTGTTTGTTTGTTTGTTTTTTATAGCAATGTGAGAACAGACTAACACAAATGGAAAATATAAATATATAATCATTCTGGATTGAAGAATTAGATTTGCAGTGCAGCTGATTGAGAATATTACATTATGATTAAGGCATACATTTCCAAGATACAGATTTTTCTGTCTTCAGAGAATTTCACTCAAGTGAAAACTTTGAAGTAACTCTTTACTATTTCTATCTTCCTTCTCAATGAACATTATGAACCATAGTCTACAAAGTTACCTTTCCACTTATGATGTATCTTTGTTATCTATAGTTTACTCTTTTTTTTTTTTTTTTTTTTTTTTTGAGACTGAGTCTTGCTCTGTTGCCCAGGCTAGAGTGCAGTAGCACAATCTAGGCTCACTGCAACCTCCACCTCCCAGGTTCAGGCCATTCTCTCACCTCTCCTTCCCGAGTAGCTTGGACTACAGGCATGTGCCACCATGCGCAGCTAATTTTTGTATTTTAGTGGAGACGGGATTTCACCATGTTGGCCAGGCTGGTCTCAAACTCCTGACCTCAAGTGATCCGCCGGCCTCCGCCTCCCAAAGTGCTGGGATTATGGGCGTCAGCCACCGCACCCTGCTTGTAGTTTACTCTTGAGTTCTGTCTCTCTACAGTGGCTGTAAAGTATAGCCTTACCAAATGGGACTCCAGAAGATTAACTCCTTGTTGTCTACAATGTCTACCTTTCGTGGGATACTTCTTTATCCTGGTGTATTTCCTAATATCTAAATGTCCTAGATGTCACCAGGTGTTCTTCTCACAGGAAACTTGTTTATACTAGCACATGCCCTTGAAGCTCTTGTCTGACCTATGTACAGTTTACTTCTACCAAGGTAGCCACTCTCTAGGAGAGCCCCAGATGAGAAAGAATTTAGGTTCAGGTGTGTTGGTTGTGTACGACAGAGTAAAACACAAAACTGGTGAAATAACAGAAGCACTGTATTACTCAAAGATCCCAGAAAGAAGAAAATAGCATGCCTCCCAAGGCCAATGGGAAGGCAAGAGCTGTCTGAAACATACACCCACAGCAAATGGGAGTGGGGTGAGTGTCAAAGGGAGGGTGATGGAATGAGGGACCAGTGGGCTGCAGCCTTTATTGGGTTCCAGAGTGTAACCCAAATCGGTTTCTCATAGGAAGTTCCAGCTGTTGGTTTACAGCAAGAAGGCATGAGTTTCATGAAGTCATCCTGTGATGTAGAGGTGCTCACTGGAATGTCTATACATTGTACATGGGGAATGGAGGTCAGTGGGGCAAGTCAAGTGTTGCATCTAGCTGTCCCATAGGGAGTAGTGACCTGGAGGGGTTGTATGAGGAGATATCTGGATCCACCACATTAAGGAATTGGAAGAAGGTGGAGAACTGGAAATGGTGTCATGGATGACTAAACCCTGGTTCTGATATGAGTAAATAAAACCTATATTTAATATGAATTCTGAGGCAATATATAGAATTGTAAGTATTTACTACAACATTTAAAAGAGAAATTCCGGTAGTTCGCTAAAAGCTCTAATATCTCCAGTATCTAGGCAGAAGGTAAATACAGTTGGGCAAGTTAAATAAACCTATATTGAAACATATTCCTTCGATAATAGACCAGAATACAACAGGTCAGCAGTGACATTACACTGATAAATGTGTAGTCACAGAGAAAAAGGGTATATTATGTTGATCCTACGGTAGGTATTTTCACATATTTCAGATATAAATGCATCTTAAAATAGACATTGTAGAAATACTCTTGGTCAGAGGCAGCAGTGATGTGATTGTCCTCGTGGGCACATACATCTCTGCAAATAGCCCATTCTCTTAACCACTGTGGTATTGTGTAATGAAGACATAGAAGAGTGAAAAGCTGTGTGCCTTGCACCTACACCAGTATTCCAAGCTGTGCCTTGAATGAAGCAGAGAGCATAGAACTTTATAACATTGCTGTTGATACTTATGTTTCTAGTGTTCTGCTGCATCTTAAACAATCCCCCAACACCACCCCATGTGTCACTTAGTATCATCTCAGCAAGTTTCTTTCAATCTCATGCCCCCTTATTTTCTTTCTCTGCTTTACGAAGCCGGAGGAACTTTCTACTCCAGCAGCAACAGGGAGCAGATCAGGAGCCTGTATAGACATCCCTGCATGGCTTTTGCACAAGTACAGACTGCCCAGTGACTGTGGTCACCTCCTCCAGACCATCCCATTAAGCATGGGAACACAGAAGGTACAGCTGAGTTCAGAGCCTCTCTTTTGGATCTGCCTGTCTAGCAGCTACCCTTTGGGGACCATGCGGGAATTCAGCTGTTTTGTACAAAGATCGAGTTAGTTCAGCAGTCATTCTTCTTACTGAACAATGATACAATGCCCACAAACCTTGCTTGTAATAATTTCTTCTTGGTTTTTGTTTTGGCATGCAAATGCTTTTAACATTTGTGTATAAATTTATTTTTTGGCATCATCTACAACCCAAATGTGTGTTTTTGTATTGTGTATTAATGCCTTTCATCCTACCTTTAACAATGCATTTATAATCATTTTTCAGCATACCTTTTCAATTATTTTCTTCTTTTCATTCATTACTCTTTATTAAATGGGAATATCACTTTTATTAGGAAAGACAGATGTTACGCATTCTCTCTTTTATCGTTTTCTGGAAATGTTCTCTAAAATACCTCTAGTTGGAAAGAAGAGGAACAAAGATTTTTCTGGAAACCACAAGACAAAATATGCTGAGAACATCATTGTGAATAAGAGATGTGACTATTGCCATTATATGATTCAGTTTGTCCTGGTTTTTAAAGGTTAAAAATTACTAATTTTTGTAGACAGAGCATTGAGAGATCGATTTTCTGGACAGGAATTTTGTTAATATGCATGTTTGTTTTTCTCTTACCCCAAAGTTAGAAACATTGGCTGGACTTTCTGATTCATTCCAAGTAGTTCTTCTAAAAGTATTCATGACATATCTCTGTACAGATGGCTTATAATATAGATTTGTATCATTTTCTTACTCTTTGATAAGTGAATACTAAAAGCATCTTTAGTTTTCAATTTTAAAATACCACTCAGAAAATGTGTACATATATGTTAGGCAGCACATATTTTTGTAGAGGATTAAATATATTAGAATACGTAATAGAAATGGTATGGTAGAAAGGGAGTTGAAACTTAATGTTTATTTTATCAGCTATAAATATTTTTAAAAGTTTCTCGTGTGTGACTTTTAGATGATCAGCACCTTTCGTATTATTCTTTGACCACTATATGCATGGGGGGTCACAGGAGAACAACACAGAGAAGTTTACATATTTTCTGATGCCTTGGTTCAACGGAGATTCAGAAAATATAACCAAAACTAAACTGTAGGTAGAAGAGCTGCCCTTGGGAACTCAGGGGACAGGCATCAGGCCTGGGATGGGATGGACAAGGGAGGCCTCCAGGAGGAGGAGCATGGAGGAGATGCTGGAGAGTGAGGAGCAGTGAGTCCAGCAGACAGGGGAGGGGAAGAGAGGAGGAAACAGTGTGTCCATGGCACAGGCCAGGCCATGAGAAGATGACAGTTGATTGGAAGGATTTCTGGGATGAGTAATACGTGAGAAAGCAGGAGCAGGAAGGGCAGACCATGGAGGGACTAGACAGGGAAGGCAGGGCCGCTCCCTGAGGACTGCATTCTGTGGGAAAGAAATGGAATGCCTCAGTTTCTTTTTTGAAATGTTATGCAGTCCATGAGGTATGCTTCTCAGGAAGACGGAATGAATGAGGATGGCCCCTGCCCACTGGGAGATCCTTGGGCATTACCAGGAGGATTGGATCTCAGGAGGAGGGAGGGTTGAGAGGGGCAGAGAGGACCCCCAGGCTAGATGACTGGCCAGCTTAGGGACCTTAAATGCTCCAGATCTCCTCTGTGCCTCCATCGCACAGACCTCCCACCGCACCCTAAGTAGAGGTTTCTCTCCCTTCAGTCATTTTGCAGGTATAAGTGGGATCAGAAAATTCAGTATGACTCACTCACGGCCACCCTTGCCCACATATGGGAGGCTGAAAACAGCCCAACAGGCAGTGCTGATGAGGGGATTTCAGGTTTTCAAACCTGCTCAGAGAGCTAATCTGAGGCCAGATGTACAGGGGAGGCCAATAAGGGGCCTGAGGTTCTGGCAAGAGGAAATGAGCGGTGGGTGGTGTGGGCTGCCTTTACAGGACGTTTCTCGGTGGACATTACCATGTTACCCATTTGTGTCTGCATGTCTCCTCCATGTTCTGTGATATTCTCATACAAACCTAATGATTTTCTTAGACCACGACAGATATTTTAACTTCATTCTTTCTGTCAGATTTGCCTATTTCCATCACGTATCTACAATTACCTAAATTTTGTATTGTCAGATTATTGGTAAACCATTTGCATAGTTACCTTTTTATTCACATATAATAATTGTGTATATTTATGGGTTACAATGTGTTTAGATTTTATCTATGTGTACATTTAATTAAGATTTAATCAAACTTAATGAACATATCCATCGCTTCACCAGTTTATCTTTTTTTTCTGGTGAAAAGTTAAAAAATCTATTATTTTAGCAATATAAAAATATGCAATACAATTTAATAAACAAATGACATTACCCTGTGATACCATGCTTTTTATCAATTCTGCAAATTAGTATCTCCTTATTTCAGAGGAGGATCTCTGCTACATGCTCCTAAGCAATTATGTTTTGGGGGAGTGTTATATTTTTCTATTACTTTTCAATACTTCTATATTCTGGGAACCATGATGCTATTGACACTTGTTTGAATAATCCAGTAGCTGTAGCTTTTACTTTTACTTTACTCTTTATATAATACTGTTCATTTTACTTACTTTGGAATTACTCTTCCTTTTCTAAGTTTGAAAGATGGAAACTCAGATGATTGAATTTAGACCTTTTTTCTCGGATGTATACATTCAATGCTATACATTTCCATCTATATGTTGTTTCATTGTATCACACAAATTTCGGTGTTATGTTTTTATTTTTATTTAGTTTTATTTTTATTTAGAAGTATTTTCTTTTACATTTCTCTTGTGATTTCTTCTTTGACCCTATTTATAACAAGTTTGTTGTTCAGTCCACATGCATTTCAAGATTTTCTAGTTATTTTTCAAGTTATCCCTTGATTTCTAGTTTTATGATTCTGTGGTCTGTGAACATACATTTTATGATTTCCATTCCTTTTTATGGTATGTTTTATGGCCAGATTGTGTTCTGTCTTGGTAAATGTATTCCAGATGAGCTTAAGAAGAATGTGTAGTCTGAATTTGTTTGATGAAGTAGGCTGTAGATGTCATTTCTAACCAGTTGACTGATGTTGCTGTTGAGTTCAGCTATGTCCTCACTGCAACTCTACCTGCTGGATCTGGCAGTTTCTCATAGAGGGTCTTGAAGTTTCCAAGTGTAATATTGAATTCGTCTCTTCATCCTTCCATTTCTGTCACATTTTGCCTCATGTAGGTTGATGTTCTATTGTTAGGTGGATACAGTTTAGGGGTTGTTATCTCTTGTTGGAGACTTACCCCTTCATCTTAATGTAATGTCAATTTTTGTTCCTAGTAACTTTCCTTATTTTGATGTCTGCTCTATCTGAAATTAATATGGCTAATCTTGCTTTCTTTGATTACTGTTATCTACTATGCTATTTGCTACATCTATTTACTTTTAATTTACATGTGGCTTTATATTAAAGGCAGATTTTTTTGGAGAAAATATATAATTGGTCTTCTTTGTCATCCACTCTGGCAAATCTAATTTAATTTATGCAGTTACACCATTTGCCATTCAGAACGATTATTGATGTAGTTGGATTAATATCTGCCATATTCATTACTGTTTTCTATTTGTTGCTCGTTTTTTCTTAATTTTTTTCTTCCACTCATTTTCTGCCTGTTGTTGTTTTAGCTGAGCATTTCATATGGTTATAGTTTTTCTCCTTTTCATGTAAGTTACATATCATGCTATGGTTTGGGTATGGTTAGTTTGGCCCCATGCTATGGTTTGGATACGGTTTGTTTGGTCTCATGTTGAAATTTGATCCCCAGTGTTGGATGTGAGGCATGATGGGAGGTGTTTTGATCATGGAGAGAGATCCTTCAGTAATGGCTTGGTGCCATTCTCACAGGATTGAGTGAGTTCCCACCCCTTAGTTCCTGCAAGCACTGGATGTTGAAGAGAGCCTGGCACTTAGCCACCTCTCTCTTGCTTCCTCTCTCAACATGTGATCTCTGCACACATCAGCTCCCCTTTACCTTCTGCTATTGAGTGGAAGCAGCCTGAGGCCCTCAAAAGATGCAGATGCCGGCACCGTGTTTCTTGCACAGCCTGCAGAATCATAAGGCAAGTAAACCACTTTTCTTTATAAATTACCCAGCCTCAGGTATTTCTTGATAGCAAGATAAAGATGTATGATTTTTACCTTTTAAGTGGTTTAAGAATTTTTCATGTTTTTGGCTGGGCGCGGTGTCTCACGCCTGTAATCCCAGCACTTTGGGAGGCCAAGGCAGGCGGATCACGAGGTCAGGAGATTGAGAACATCCTGACTAACACGGTGAAACCCCGTCTCTACTAAAAATACAAAAAATTAGCCGGGTGCGGTGGCGGGTGCCTGTAGTCCTAGCTATTCGGGAGGCTGAGGCAGGAGGATGGCGTGAACCCAGGAGGTGGAGCTTGCAGTGAGCCGAGATTGAGCCACTGCACTCCAGCCTGGGAAACAGAGAGAGACTCTGTCTCAAAAAAAAAAAAAAAAGAAGAATTTTTAATGTTTTTAATAGCTTCTATCAGATAATAGTTTCTTGAAAATAACAATTTATGTGATTATCTATGCACATGTATATGTATATGTGCAAGTATGCTTACGTATACTGAAAATAAATTACAGTAAGAATCCTAGGCACTGGAGAAGAAAGTAGGATTATTTTGTTATTGTAAGGTACTCAAACTACCTGCAAAGGATATCGTATAATTTGAAAAGGGGCTTGGATTAGTTTTAAATGTAGTACTGCAAACTTCAGGACAGCTTATTATGCAAAAGCACCAATCTCTTCCTAGCTGTTGACCAGAGGCTGCACTCAATTCCTTGCCAAATGGCCTTCTCTCCTATGGCAAAATGCTTCATAAAAGCCACCAAGTGAGTGAGGTTCCTAGCAAGACAGAAATCATAACGCAGTATAATTACCTAAGTGATATCTCATCATTTTTGCAAAATTATATTTTTTCCAAGTGAATAAAAGTTCTTATTCTTACTCAGCAAAAACACAACAGAATTCAAGGTTATGTAGATGAAGAGATGGGGATCACTGGTAGCCATCTGCCTGCCACATCAAGTCCTCTTGAGTCTGCAACAGTTTCTCAGTCTTCAGTTGTGTATCATGACCTTGACCCTTTTGAAAATAGTGGTCAGAAATTTTGTAGAATGTCCCACAATATGGATTTGTGGGATTTTATTCATGTTTAGACTAGGAGTATTGTTTAAATTGAACACTTGCTTTTATCTAAATTTGAAGACAAGAAAAAATGAACAATATATACAGTTTAGAAATACAAACATAGAAAGAAAGATAGTAAATAAAATGTAGAGAATGACAAAGAAAGAGTTCACCATAATAGTTCATTGTAACAGCTAAGGAAGATGATGACATTAGAGAGATGCCTGCCCCCAGGGGGCATCAAAATATGGTAAGGCTGTTTCTTAAACTTGGTAGTTTCTCTGCCAAGAAACTTTTAAAAGTTTCTCTTTTTAAAATTTAAGATTAGGCCAGGTAAGGTAACTCACACCTGTAGTCCCAGCTACTTAGGAGGCTGAGGTGGAAAGATCGCTTGAGCCCAGGAGGTCGAGTCTGCAGTGAGCCGTGATCATGCCACTGCATGCCAGCCTGAGTGGTAGAGTGAGACCCCATCAAAAATAAATAAATAAAATGAAATAAAGTTTTAAAAATTAAGATTAGTTTTATATGTACAAAGCAGTTGCAAATATAGTATAAAAGTTCTTGTATTCCCCACACAGAATTTCCTATATTATTAACCCCTTATATTAGTGTAGGACATTTATCACAATGAACCAGCCAATATTATACATTATCACTAACTACTTCCCATGCTTTATTCATATTTCATTGTTGCACTTAGTGTCCAGTTTCTATTTCAAGATCCCATCTAGTATACCACATCACAATTAGATATCATGTAGGCTTTTTTGACTGTGACAGTTTCTAGGAGTTTTTTCATTTTTGATGACATGAGCATTCTTGATTTGGGATTACTTGATGTTTTTCACAAGATTTCGGTGGATTGTGGATTTTGGTGTAGAAGACCACAGAGAAAAAAAAATGCCATTCTCATTACATGATATCAAGGATATATACTAAAATCACACTTTATCACTGTTGATGTTCATTTGATCACCTGGATGAGATAGTTGATATGAAATTTCTCCACTATAAATTACCTTTCCTCATTTTCCATGTTGTATGTATCAAAAAAGTTACTAATCACATAAGAAATGAGGAGTCATGCTCCATCTCCCAACAGGCAGAATATCTACAAAAATTATTTTTAGTTTTTCACCATTTGTGTGTATATTTTCTTCCATTTATATTTATTAAATCACTTATTTCTGTAAGTATGCAAATGTGTGTATTTATTTTACACTTTATTTATTTATTTATTTATTTATATATTTTTGAGACAGAGTCTTGCTCTGTTGCCAGGCTGGAGTGCATTGACACGATCTTGGCTCACTACAACGTACTCTGCCTCCTGGGTTCAAGCAATTCTTCTGTCTCAGCCTCCCTAGTAGCTTGGATTACAGGCACGTGCCACCACGCCCGGCTAATTTTTGTATTTTTAGTAGAGGGTTTCACCATGTTGGCCAGGATGGTCGCGATCTCTTGACCTCGTGATCTACCCACCGTAGCCTCTCAAAGTGCTGGGATTACAGGCGCAGGCCACCATGCTTGGACTCCTTCATTTATTTTATTGCTCAAATTGTTTTACTGTTGGTCATTCAAAGGTCTTTTAGTTGATCCTCTATCATTTTGAAATACTCTGGTAATTACAGTTTTATGTTGTGTGATTGGTTATTTGGTTTTATTGTTGATTAGCATATTCTTTTCTGGCACTGCATGGTGTTCCAGGCTCCTTGTGTTTTGATTCCTTCCCGAAGCCTAGTATCCATCATGTCTTCAGGAAGCCCTAGTTCCTTTTATTGGAAAATAGAATTTGAAACAAAGATCTGGGCACCAGGTCCACTCATTGCTACTGGGGCATCTGTTGATTCAAAGCCTTGCCAGCTGACCGAGAAAATAAATATATCTCTATATACTGACACATAAATATACACATATTTCTAAATATAGCAATATATGTCCATATGCATCTATATTAAATTAAACATGAATTCCTACTAATGCTCCATTACCACATAATCTAAATTATTAGCAGATGAATCAGTTTACCTATTCCCACTTATTTGTATGTAGCCTACCATTCTAACAGTGAGACAATTGGCTCTGTAAACAGTTTTACATTCTGAAAAGACATGCACAGTGTTTCCAGAATTGGTAATCCATATGCCCATGAGAAATGACTTTCACCAACTTTGGTTTTTAGACTTAGACTCTCCCCTCATTTTTAAAGTTACTCAGGTCATTCCCCCTTCCTCCTCCCATTCCCTTCAGTGAAATAACTCATACATTTGTAATACTGTTACATTATTTTGTGTATTTCTTTTTGGGTTCCCCCAACCTACTAAATAATGCTTTAAATTTGCATGCTTTTAGATTATTTCTTTTTGTTGTAAAATTCTATAGGATTTCAAAAACACTGTTATGTATCCATCACTGTAACGTCACACAGAATAATTACACTGCCCCATAGAAAACCCCTGTAATTTGGCCGGGCACGGTGGCTCACGCCTGTAATCCCAGCACTTTGGGAGGCGGAGGCAGGTGGATCACGAGGTCAGGAGATCGAGACCATCCTGGCTAACACAGTGAAACCCCTTCTCTACTACAAAAAATACAAAAAATTAGCCCGGTGTGGTGGCGGGTGCCTGTAGTCCCAGCTATTCAGGAGGCTGAGGCAGGAGAATGGCGTGAACCTGGGAGACGGAGCTTGCAGTGAGCCGAGATCACACCACTGCACTCCAGCCTGGGCGACAGAGCAAGACTCCGTCTCAAAAAAAAAAAAAAAAAAAAGAAAAGAAAAGAAAAGAAAACTGCTGTAATTCATATTCATGTTTTCTCTCTCCCAAGCCTCTTGTAACCACCAATCTTTTTACTACCTTTGTACATTTGTCTTTTCCAGAGTGTTCTGTAAATGGAATTATACAGTATTTTGCCTTTTCCACTTGCTTTTTTCACTTAACAATACACATTTTAGATTGGTGAAATGTAACTCCATCATTGTTTAAATATTCATTACCCTAATAACAAAGGAGTTGAGCAAACCTTCATGTCTTTCTTGGTTATAATTATAGCATTTTTGGAGAAATGTACATTTAAGTAATTGGCCATTTTACTTAGATATTTGCCTTTTTATTATTGAGTTAAAACATGTTTTATATATACTGAATATTAGATCCTTATGTGGCTAGCAAAAATTTTCTCCCTTCTTTGGTTTTTCTTTTTACTTTTTGATGATGCACTTTGAATCACAGAAGATTTTAATTCTGATGAAGACCAATATATCTCTTTTTTATTTTGTTACTTATGCATTATCTGTCACATCTTCGAAAACATTGTTTAATAATCTAATGTCATTGAAACGTATTTCTATGTTATCGTCTATGGTTTTGGCCTATCTAGCACTTATATTTAGATATATGATTAATTCGAATCAGTCATGTATATGGTGTGAGAGAGGAGTTCAACTTGCATGTAGATATCCACTTGTCCCAGCAACATTTGTTAAAAAATATTTATTTATTTTTCTTATTGAATTGCTTGGCAAACTTGAAAATCAGTTGATCTTGCAGGTAAGTGTTAATTTTTGGACACTCAATTTTATTGTATTGATGTATATATGTCTATCTTTATACTAGTTCCACAAATCTTTTTTTTTTCTTTTACTTTTTTCTTTTTGTTTTGGGACAGGGTCTTGCTGTCTCACCCAGGCCACAGTACAGTGGCATGATCATGCCTCACTGCAGCCTCCAATTCCTGGGCTCAAGAGATCCTCCCACCTCGGCCTCCTGAGTATGAAGAACTACTCATGTGGGCCACCAAGCCTGGCTAAGTTTTTTAAAACTTTTATTTATTTTTTTTTGAGACAGATTCTTGCTCTGTCACCCAGGCTGGAGTGCAGTGGCATGATCTCGGCTCACTGCAACCTCCGCCACCTGGGTTCAAGTGATTCTCGTGCCTCAGCCTCCCAAGTAGCTGGGAGTATAGGCATGCACCACTACACCTGGCTAATTTTGCATTTTTAGTAGAGATGGGGTTTCACCACGTTGGCCAGGCTGGTCTCGAACTGCTGATCTCAGGTGATCTGCCCTCCTCGGCCTCCCAAACTGTTGGGATTACAGGCATGAGCCACTGCACCTGGCCAAAAACTTTTTTGTAGAAAAAGATCTCGCTGTGTTGCACAGGCTGATCTCAAACTCTTGGCCTCAAGCAATCCTCCTGCCTCAGCCTCCTGAGTAGCTGTGATTACAGGCACAAGCCACTGCACCCAGCCAGTACCACAAAACTTTATTACTATTGCCTTGTAGTCATTTTGTAATCAGGAAGTGTGCATTTACTATGCAGATTAATTTCTTTGTTCTGGATCTATTCCATTTACATACCAGTTTTATAATCAACATTCAAATTTAAGCAAAATTTCATCTGGAATTTCGATGGGGACTGCATTAAATCTGTAGATCCATTTGGAAAATAGTGCTATCTTAGCAATATTAAGCCGTTCAATCAGTGAATAAAAAAGGCCTTTTCATTTATTTAGGATGTAATTGTTTTTGTTGAATAAGTTTTATAGTTTTCAATGTACATATCTAACAGTTGCTAGTGTGTATAAATGAAATTTATTTCTCTATTTTGACCTTGTTTACTGCAACCTTGATGAACTCATTTTTTATTTCTAATTATATTTCATTAAAATTCCTAGAATTTTCCATTCTCAAGACCATGTCATTTGCATCGTTGACTTTCTTTCCAAATCAGATTATTCGTATTTATTTTTCTAGCCTATTTGTCCTTACTGTACCTTCCAGTAAAATGTTAAAAATAGAAGTGGCAAGAGTGGACAACTTTCAAGTAAATTATGATGTTATGTGAGTTATTCATGGTTGTCTTTAAGGTGAAGAAAGTTCCCTTCTATGCCTAACCTGCTACATGTTTTTATCATCAGTTGATTTGGCATTGAGCAAGTGTTTAGTCTTCATTTTTGAGATAATCATGTGGATTTTGTCCTTTATTTTACTAATATAGTGCATGAATACTAATTTATTTTGTTGTTGAACCAAGTTTGCATTACTGATATATAAACATCCTTGGTCATACTGTATAATTCTTTTTACATGTTACTGATTTGTTTTGCTCATATTTAACATCTATATTCATAATATCCATTTATAATGTTCTCTTGAAATATCTTTGTTACATTTCTGTTTGAGATCAGGGTAAACTGTCTCATAAAATGCATTGCGAAGTGCTGTCTTCTCCTCTTTATTTGTGTCATTTTTAATTTTTTTGAACTATTGGTAATAGTTTGGTATTAATTTTTTAAAAGGTTTAGACATATGCACCAGTGAATCCTAACAACAAACACATGAGCTTGGAAGGGGATCCTTTTCCAAGTGAGCCTTCAGTTGAGAGCCCAGCCCTGGCCATCATCTAATCTGGATTCCTGGCCCAGAGAAACTGTGAGTAATATGTGTGTGGTTTTGAGGCACTAATTATGTGGTAATTTGTTATGCAGAAACTAATAAGTAGTACACCAGATAGTAAATGTAATGTGGCATCCTGGATTAGATCCTAGAACCAAAGAATGACATTACTGCAAAGCCTAGTAAAATATAGAAGCCTGTACTTCAGTTAAAATTTTAGTACCACGTACAACTTCTTTGTTTTCCTATATATACTATGGTTACATTAGATGTTATCATTCCAGATATCTGAAAGATGTATAAAACTCTCTGTACTATCTATGAATATTTCTGTATATCTAAAATTGTTTCAAATAGTAAAATGTGTAGATATTATTTTGGCACAAAGAAAACAAATCAGAAACAATAACCTCATGCACAGGAAATGAATGAATGTGTAGGGAGGGAAGAGCATCCCATCATTCTGAACACAGGTTGCTTCAGGAAGAGAACTTCGAGCTCCAGGGACTCTAGTCATCTTTCTTCATTGCCATCAGACTGCCTACTCCCCACTCACCAATTTGAGTGTCAGTAACCACATCTTCAAAGACAGGTGCTTGTGCCTCACATACATATTCCAGAAAGCCTACTTTCAGACTCTATTTTGAAGTGAATCTGCAGGATCCACTAAAAACTTATTGAAAGACATGACTGCAGGATATTAAAATCCAGTATTAAGAAATGTCAGTGGCTGAGTGTGGTGGCTCACACCCATAATCCCAGCACTTTGGGAGGCCGAGGTGGGCAGATCATGAGGTCAGGAGATTGAGGCCATCCTGGCTAACACGGTGAAACCTCGTCTCTACTAAAAATACAAAAAATTAGCCAGGCATGGTGGCGGGCGCCTGTAGTCCCAGCTACTCAGGAGGCTGAGGCAGGAGAATGATGTGAACCTGGGAGGCAGAGCTTGCAGTGAGCCAAGATCGCACCACTGCACTCCAGCCTGGGCAACAGAGCGAGACTCCGTCTCGGAAAAAAAAAAAGTCAGTGATAGGAGATATAAACTGTATTTCTGAATTTAGGAGAGTGTTTTTTCTATGTACAAGTATTTTTTGTTTACTTGCTCAAAAGACAGATATTCCTTCAAGTCTTTGAGAAAACTCTGTGAAAATTGTTATTTTCACTTTACAGACTGAATCATGAATTATTTGGAACCCTGTAGCCTATTGACATTGATATCATAGAATTGTATTGTCCCTTGCCAAACCCAAAAGCCACAAAGTAGATATCATGGTCGCAGGTGAGCTGGCTACAAAAAATAAGTTTATAAATATGCTACTTTAGGCCAGTCCCTGCTTACAAAGACCTACATATGAATCTCCGTACACAAAGTTTTTGGCAGGTGAAGTCAGATGTTGGTATGATCAGGCTTTGTGTCCCTACCCAAATCTCATCTTGAATTGCAATCCTCAGGTGTTTAGGGAGAGACCTGGTGGGAAATGATTGGATTATGTGGGTGATTCCCCCATGCTGTTCTCATGATAGTGAATTCTCGAGAGATTTGATGGTTTTATAACCAGCAGTTTTTCCTTCACTGACACACACTTGCTTGTGCACTCTCTCTCTCTGTCTCTCTCGCTTTCTTGCTTGTGCACTCTCTCTCTTTCTCTCTCTCTTTCTCCTTCTCTCCCTCCCCCTCCCTGCCTCACTCGCCTGCCACCATGTAAGATGTACCTGCTTCCCCTTCCGCTTTGATTGTAAGTTTCTGGAGGCCTCCCCAGCTATGTGGAACTATGAGTCAGTTAAACCTCTTTTTTTTTAAAATAAATTACCCAGTCTCAGGTATGTCTTTATAGCAGTGTGAAAGGAGACTAATACAGATGTGTTGTATGTAAGTGGAGAAAACGAGATAGAAAAAGCAAAAGAACAAGCCATATACAACATATGCTCAACCCTCCATGCCATGATCCAAGAGATGGAAACAGGCTGAATGAGGATTGTGCATATGTGCTGGCTAAAGAAAGAATCCCACTGCAGAGAGGACTGTCCACTGACCTGCCACCAACAGCTCCCAATTCACAGACCACAGCAATCTGATTGGCAGCACAAGGGTAATGTCCAGGAAACATACCTAAAAAGCCTACAAAGCCGTGTGAATGCGTACTGCACTCCATAGAGATCCATAAGATTAGCATAATTCCTTTTAAAGTCTATAATCATGTGTTATATTCTCCACATCAAATCAGTAGCGTCAGTGAGAAAAGTAGTTCACAGCTTAGAGTCTGGAGTGAGAGATACAGCTGACCTGAACCACATTTCTCATGTCTGAGATCAAGATAATAAGAACTGTTATTTAGGCGCTGTTATTTGAGTATTTGTATTTGTGAAAATCCTTAACTTCTCCAATCTCATATACTTTACTCTTTGAGATATAAAAGGCCTCATTAATACTTCACATCTCAACACATGGAGGATTATTTATTTTAAGTGGATATATATTAATACTTTAATGACTTGTGAAATCTCCTTTTACTCTTCGCTTCAATGCATATTTTAAAATCTGGCCGGGCACAGTGGCTCATGCCTGTAATCCCAGCACATTGGGAGGCCCAGACAGGCAGATCACCTGAGGTTGGGAGTTTGAGGCCAGCCTGACCAACGTGGAGAAACCTCATTGCTACTAAAAATACAAAATTAGCCGGGTATGGTGGCACCTGCCTGTAATCCTGAGGCAGGAGAATCACTTGAACCCAGGAGGTGGCAGTTGCAGTGAGCTGAGATAGTGCCATTGCACTCCAGCCTGGGCGACAGAGCAAGACTCTGTCTCAAAAATAAATAAATAAATAAATAAAAATAATAATAATAATCTGTCATGATGTATATACTGTCAACACTCTACCTTACTGAAGTATGGATCAACAACAAAAAGACCAGAGTGGAAGGCCATAAATGAGACACAAGAGATCTGGACAAGGAGTGGTCCCTCAAACTGGAAAATCAAAATCAATCAGGTGTGAGAGCTCAGACTTAACAGGAAAAAGCAAACAGATGCAAAAGTGTACTGAAATGAAGTTACATGATACAGTGTGGTGCACCAAGTCCCCAAACAAAACTTCCGACAGCATGGAAGATATGATTTGCCACAGTATACTAAACCACCAGATTTCACACAGATGGGCCTGGCCACAGCAGTTTTCAAAAGACGTCATTGCACACAGGCCAAACTCTTACACCACATCGTGAGGCAAATGCCCAACACTCTGCACACCCTACCCTGATTAGAAGTTAGAGTTCAATGAATGAATGGCTCCTATCTTTGAGATCATAACTTGATGTTCACTTAATTCAGTCTTCCTGGAGCCTAAAACTCTGGGTAAAATTTTAGTCATAATTCTGAATCATGAACTATATGAGTTTCTTCTTTACTCGATACATTCACGAGGAAATGGGAAAACCAATTCCAATATCCAAGTACCTCAAAGTAGAGTTGAACAAAGTAGCCAGGGGACATATCAAAGGGTTTAACAAGGACCACGAAGCATCCACATCTGCAGTGGGTCATCATGAGGTGACTTGCAGGTTCATCAGCCTCATGATTAAAAACATAAATGGAAATGAGGATATAGAGACACACACAAATATTATAGGTTGGAGAATTGAGTTTAGAATGAAGCTTACAAAGACTGTTACTCGTATTCCTAAAATAAAGGCAGGAATTATCAATTTAAAGCTTTTTCTAAGTATTTTTTCTTTTCTTCAACTTTTATTTTAGTTTCAGGAATACACGTGTAGGTTTGTTACCTGAATAAATTGCATGTCACTAGGGTCTAGTGTACAAATGATTTCATCACTAAAGTAGTCAGCGTAATACTCGATAGGTAGTTTAGTTTTTTGACCATCACCCTCCTCCCACCCTTGCTGTCAGGTAGGCCCTGGTGTCTATTGTTCCCATCTTTGTGCCATGTGTACTCAATAAGTCTTTAAAAAGCTAACACTTCAAGGAAAGCTTCTAGTAGCTCTTTACAATTGTGTCTTCCTCCTTAATTGATTTTTTGAATGATAGTTTTTATTTTTTTTAATTTTTTTTTCTTTGAGACAGAGTCTCGCTCTTTCACCCAGGCTGGAGTGCAGTGGCGCGATCTCAGCTCACTGCAAGCTCTGCCTCCCGGGTTCATGCCATTCCCCTGCCTCAGCCTCCCTAGTAGCTGGGACTACAGGTGCCCGCCACGCCCGGCTAATTTTTTTGTATTTTTAGTAGAGACAGGGTTTCACTATGTTAGCCAGGATGGTCTCGATGTCCTGACCTTGTGATCCGCCCGCCTCAGCCTCCCAAAGTGCTGGGATTACAGGCGTGAGCCACTGCGCCTGGCCGAATGGTAGTTTTTAAAAAGTTCTTTGCACTTAAAACAGACAGGAACACAACCATGATGATTTAACACTGAGAAGCGGGCAGTCTCAGGGAAAACTAATGTATTTCATTCACGCTGTGGTGCACCCAGTCACATCTCTTCACAGAAAGGCATCTTGAATCTGATAGTGTTGAAACACTGTTGGCCGGAAGACAGTCATAATGAGATTGTCCTCATGGACACTGACATGAACTTGGTCTAAAAACTTCCCATTGATATCTTCAGGTAATATCATCATCAAAACTTGCAGAAGGGATGTCAGGAGGTTGGAAAGATAATCTCACAGAGAGTAGCATAGGAATCCCATCAGAAATGCAGCATCATCAGTGCTTTTGATTAGTACAGATGATATGGGGTTAGTTATTGGCAAGATGGGTTTAAAAGTGATTCAGATAAGTTTTGCCTCAGTGAGAGAAATTTTAGGAGAAAAACTTTAATGTATTTTGCCTATGTTTCATCTCACGAAATCAAGAATTACGTCAGACAAAGATCCACATGTATAGAAACTGAAAATAGTTGAACTCTTTTTGAAAAGCTCAGTTTATATATATGTGGGAGGATTAAGATCATTTGATAAAGATATACTAGATGTGAGCACCATCAGAGCAAGAAGAATGCTATTTTATGGGTACTTTTACCCATGTTTTATGGGTGCTTTTGTTCTAAATTGGTAGATGGACATTTGTTTTCTCAGGTATGACAGCAGTCAGTCTTTGAGCTCCAATAGTGTACACAGATAATTTCGGTGACCGATTTTGGTAAAAAGAAGAAAAAGTACCCATCTATTTTATTACAGTGTGTCATCATTTGACTTAATTTCACTGACTATAAAGAACAGCCTGATATTTCATGCAAACCAGATAGAAAGTGGTGTTTATGTAGTGAAGAAGAAAGGAAAACTATTTCTCAAATTTAAAAACAATGAGAATTTCTAGGGAAACAAATAGAAAAAGTTTCATTGGTTTCTTCTTCTTTTGGTGATAATTTTGTTCTGCTCTTTTAAATAGAAAGCTTTACTGTCTTTTTTTTTTTTTTTTTTTTTGATACAAGGTCTCATTCTGTCACCCAGGGTGAGTTCAGTAGCATGATCATAGCTCACTGCAGCCTCGACCTCCCAGTATTCAAGCAGTCCTGCTGCATCAGGATCCTGAGCATCTGGACTACAGATGCATACCATGACGCCTAACTAATTTTAGATGTTTTGTAGAAATGGGGTCTTACCTTGTTTCCCACACTGGTCTTGAACCCCTGGATGCAAATGGTACACCCCCAAAAGTCCTGAGATTACAGACGAGAGCCACCACACCTTGCCTCTACTTTAGTTATTTCATAATGTAATGAGTTTATCAGCCACAACTAACAGGATAACATAGAAAAAGCAGGTTAGTGGGCCGGGCACAGTGGCTCATGTCACCTAGCACTTTGCGAGGCCGAGGCATGCAGATCACAAGGTCAGGAGATTGAGACCATCCTGGCTAACACGTTGAAACCCCGTCTCTGCTAAAAATACAAAAACAAAATTAGCCGGGCGTGGTTGTGGGTGCCTGTGGTCCCAGCTACTCAGGAGGCTGAGGCAGGAGAATGGCATGAACCTGGGAGGCGGAGCTTGCAGTGAGCCGAGATCGCACCGCTGCACTCCAGCCTGGGACAGAGCGAGACTCCGTCTCAAAAAAAAAAAAAAAAAGAAAAAAACAAAAAACAAAGAGGCAGGTTAGTGTTCACATGGGGTGGTTCATGTACTTAAATACATCGTTTACGTCATTTCTAAGGCCATCCCTTCATCCTCAAGCTTGGTGCAAGATCACAGCCATGAACAACCTGTTGTTTTCCGTTCAGGAATAAGATGAAAAGGTGAAGGCCAAGTTCATTCAAATTACTTGGTTGTGCCTTTGCCTTTTATTTATTTGCTACTCCTGTAGTTCTGTTCACCATGTTTTAGTGTAGTAATGATGACACCACAGCCCTGTCAGTATGGATGTTGGCATCTATGCTGTCTCACATCTTTACCATTAGATGTGGAAAATGGCTTGACAAAATTCAGCCACTGTGTTCTCCAGACTCTATGTTCCCTCTTGTCAACTCAGTGTGCCTTCCACAGTTTATGCTACAGCACAGCCTGGGAACTCCTAAAGCAGTATCCTTACTCAATAGTAGGTCTCAGACCATTTTTCAAATTTCTCACTTATCGCCATTCTTCACTGATGGATGTGTAGTGTCTGGAATCCATTTTCACATGTAATTCATCCAGTTTTTTGGTTTGTTTGTTTTTACATGTGGCAAGCCATGTCTAATCTCTATCAGTTGTTCCACATCTTGTTTCATTTTTTCTGGAATTACTCATACATGATTCTTCCCCAGTTAAGTGGTTCTACTTGGCCATGTGAAGGTGAGTGAGGACAAATGTGAGTCCAGCACAGTGAGGAAGGCAGACAGGAACTGGCATTTGTGACATTAAAGAAAAGTTAAGAATTGGTGAAATGTGGCCTGGCACAGTGGCTCACGCCTGTAATCTCAGCACTTTGGGAGGCCGCGGTGGGCGGATCATCTGAGGTCAGGAGTTCAAGACCAGCCTGGCCAACATGGAGAAACCGCGTCTAATAAAAATACAAAATTAGCCAGGCATGGTGGTGCATGCCTGTAATCCCAGCTACCCGGGAGGCTGAGGTAGGAGAATCGCTTGAACCTGGGAGGCAGAGGTTGTGGTGAGTTGAGATCACGCCATTGCACTCTAGCCTGGGCAACAAGAGTGAAACTCCGTCTCAAAAAAAAAAAAAAAAAAAAAGGTGAGATGTAGTCGCCAATAAAGATTTGGAAATATTTATCAAAGGAGCCATATTAACAGAGCTAATAGAGGTGAACAATATTTTTCTCAGTCTCAGAGGGCAGAACTGTGGTTAGGACAGAAGAGGAGCAAGTAGATGAGGTAGAAGCAGGCAGGTCAGTGAGAGGAGCTCTGCAGTGTATTGAGGTTGGGGAGGCTGGAGAAGAGGCTAAGGGGGAATTAGGATTCAGATTCTGTCCTGAGAACAGAAGGGACAACAACAACAACAACAAAAACCAGCTTTATCTTCAAGTTCAAATCATTTTCAGATAGAAAGACTTGAAATTTATTGGGAAGAAGACAAGAATGTAGGTGAGGAGTTAGATTTGTAAATTTATTTGTAGAATTCAATATAAAGCAGAATCTGTGTGTTGCTCTATTAACATGTGTGGGGCTCATAGGGGAACAACATAGACAAAGTTTCCCTCTTCTGTGATATTTCAGTTCAGTGGGCACTGAGAAAACTTAACAGAAACTAAACTGTAGGTGGAGGAACTGCCCTTGGGAGCCCAGAGGACAAGTTTCAGGCCTGGGATGGGATGGGCAAGGGAGGCCTCCAGGAGGAGGAGCGTTGGAGGAGATTCTGGAGAGTAAGGAGTAGTGAGTTCAGCAAACAGGGGAGGGAAAGGGAAGAGGAAACTGTGTCTGTGGCACAGGCTAGCCCATGAGAAGAGGACAGTGGATTGAAAGGACAGCTGAGATGAGAAATACGTGAGGAGGCAGGAGCTGGAAGGGCAGACCGTGGAGGCACTGGGTAATGATCCAGGAGAGATGTTTCTCCTTGGACATACACATGTTCACACACCTGTGACTGCATGTCCTGGTGATGTTTCTGTGTCTCTCAGATTGTAACATGTTACATAAATTTATTCTTTCATCACATGTCCCCTTTTAAATTATATTTGTACTAATTGTTAACTGTAGAAGTTTTTTACTGGTGGATTATTTGTACTTAAATGATTTGCTATCTTAGTAAATGAATGAAATTACCCACATATGTTTGACTTTGGAAACTAATATAGGTACACCTGCTTCCTTTGATTTTTGTAATCATGTTATATTTGTTGTACCCACTCACTTTTAGGTCATATAGGTCTTCATATTTAAAGTGAGTTTCATATAGACAACATATACTTGGGTCTTTTTGATTCACTCAGTCTTTTATCTACTGCATTTAGAACATTGACATTCAAATCATTGATATAGCTGATTAAAAATCTATGAAACTTGTCACTATCTTCCAGTTGTTTATTTGCTTTTGTTCCTATTTTTTGTATTTCACTCATTTTCTACCTTGTGTTGTTTGGATTAGCTTTTTTGTTTGTTTGTTTGTTTGTTTGTTTTTTGAGACGGAGTCTCGCTCTGTCTCCCAGGCTGGAGTGCAGTGGCAAGATCTTGGCTCACTGCAACCTCCGCCTCCTGGGTTCAAGCGATTCTCCTGCCTCAACCTCCTGAGTAGCTGGTACTACAGGCGCATACCACCACGCCTGGCTAATTTTTGTATTTTTGAGTAGAGACGGGGTTTCACCATATTGATCAGGCTGGTCTTGAACTCCTGACCTTGTGATCCACCCGCCTTGGCCTCCCAAACTGCTGGGATTACAGGTGTGAGCCACCACGCCTAGCCTAGATGAACATTTTATATAAATTCATCTTCTCTCCTTTCTTAGCATTTCAGCCATACATTTTTAAAACTTTGTTTAGTGGTTAAACTAGGCAATAAAAACTTTTATTTTTCATATTCTTAATTGATCTAACAAATAACAGTCTGTTAAAAATAGTAGTAGTACCAATGTATTTAAATAAGTATGCTTAAGTATGTGTCATACATAAATTAATATATATATACACACACATGTGTATTCTATGTAAGTGAAATGAATGACTGCAATGATACAAGGGATAAGAGAAAAGAATTAGGATTATTCTGGTATAATAAGGTGTTCACACTTTCTGTCAAGTGATA
This sequence comes from Homo sapiens, assembly GCF_000001405.40. Lineage (NCBI taxonomy): Eukaryota > Metazoa > Chordata > Mammalia > Primates > Hominidae > Homo > Homo sapiens. The sequence goes on from NW_021160017.1 coordinate 4,899,161, forward strand.
GGCTGTTATTTGAAAGGGGGCTTGGATTATTTGGAAGTGTAAATTGCAAACTCTAGGGCAGGCTGTTGGTCCAGAGCCTCAGTTCCTTGCTGGCTGTTGACCAGAGGCTGCATTCAGTTCCTTCCCATGTTGGCTTCTGCCTTATGGCAGAATGAGCCATCAAAGCCATCAAGGCAGAGAGCTTGCTAGCAAGAAAAAAAAAATCACACTTTTATGTAACATAATCACCCATATGATATCCCATCTCCTTGTATTATTCTATTGTATCAAAGCAAATCACATCTTATCTTGTGCCCAACCTTACAGGGAGATGATTACAATACAAGGTCGTGTAAACCAACAGGTGGTGATCATTGGGTACCGTCTTAGGGTACCTGCGATATCAGGTCCTTTCTGAGGTGCAGCAGTTTCCCAGTATTCAGTTATTTTTCAGAAAAGAACTGGTCAAATATTTTGTAGGACGCATCACAATGTGGATTCATCTGATGGTTTCTCGTTATTTGAATAGAACTACAGATCAATTGGAACAGCTTTATTTATTTAAATTGGAAGACAATACAAACTGAACAATATATTATTTAGAAAAACAAACTTAGCCATAAAAATAATATAGAAAAAAGTGGGAATGATAAAAAGAAAATGGAAAATAATAGTAACCTTCATGGGGGTAAGAAAGACTGTGGAATTGGGGAGATGAACATTTAGGGCATTAACAATATTGATAATATTCTGTTTATCAAGCTTGGCAGAGAGTATTTAGAAAGAGAGGAAAAAACTCTTCTGTTTTGCATTAGCTTTGGATTTACAGAACAGTTGCATAGTCAATACAGAGAGTTAATATATAGCCAACACAGAGTTTCCATTATTATTAACCTCTTACATTAGTGGGGGGCATCTGTCACAATTAACACACTAACATGCATTCTCATTCACTGATATACACATATCCACATATTAACCAGATTTATTTTTTCCTTTTTTCACTTAATGCCCATTTTCTGTTCCAGGAACTCTTCCAGGATAGCATATCACATTTTGATATCATGTCTCCTTAGTCTTTCTTTGTCTCTGTCAGTTTCTCTGAATTTCCTTGTTTTTGATGACATTGACATCCTCCATTTGGGATTTCCGTGATTTTTTTTTTCGCTTACAGTCAGACAGGAGTTCTGGGTTTTGGACAGTAAGACCATAGGGGTAAGTGTGATACTCACGACATTATATCAGAATGCTGTATCAACTATTGATACTAATTTGATCACCTACATTAGGGAGTTTAGGTCAGTTTCTCAACTCTAAAATTAATCTTTCTTCCCCTTTTCCATGCCATACTTTTTGGAAAACTGTTACTATGCATAGCACATACTTCACAAGTGGAGAATTATGCTCTACCTCCTTGGGGATAGGACATCTACAAATATAATTTGTATTTCATTACTATAGGCAATTTACCTATTCTCCAGCATTTATTTTATATTAATTTAATTAGAACATATGGAATATTATGCAAATAATAAATATTTATTTCCACTGTAATTGTACTAGTTTATTGTGTTACTCAAATTGCTCTAGTGTTGGTCATTAGAAGGTCTTTCAGTCAGCTGCTACTTTACCACTTTGAAATACCCACATCATTGCTGTTTGATTTTGTTTGTGTAGTTGGGTGGTTGGTTGTGGTGTTTAACTTTTTCTTACTTTCTGGCACTACAAGGTGCTTAAACTTAATAGTGTTGATTCCCTGCCCAACCCTACCATTAAGCATTTCTCCAAAAATTCCTAGTTCCTTTTTTGGTGAGTGGCATTAGAAACAAAACTCTGGGGAGTAGTGTTCTCATTTCTACTAGGGACTTACTAGTTCTATGCTTTGTCATCTGACAAAGTATGTGTGTGTGTAACTCATATTGACATATGTATTTGTAGGTCTACATTTCTCCATATGTATCTATGTAAAGTTAAGCATGAATTCTTCCTGTTTCTAGCACCCATGATCTAATTCAGTACCACATGAATCAATCTCCCCATTCCCACTACTTGTATGTTACCTCCCATGTTAACAGTGAGACGGTTGGGCTACTTTATGTAATTTCAGAGCCCAAAATACATGCAGAGTTTTTTTAGAATTGGTAATTCATACCCCGATGGGAAAGAATATTTCCAACTAAAGTAGAGTATTTATGTACAAATACTTTGACATTTAGCCTAAGAACTTCTATTTTTCTAAATTTCTTAGCTTGGTCTCCTTTGCCCCCACTTCCTTCCATGAGGTTATTTCATTTATTTGTTACACATTTATATTATTTTGACTGCATTCCCCCATAGGATCTCCTAACCTATTAAATGACATTTAAAATTCACATTTATGTAGGTTTATACTTTTTGATGTAAAATTCTACGGGGTTTGTAAAATAGTATAATTAACATACCATTGAAGTATCACAGAAAATTATTTCACTGCACACATACAAAGTTTCTATTTCACCTATTCAACCTTTCTCTCTCAAGCACCCAGCGCTTTTTTTTTTTTTTTTTTTTTTTTGAGACGGAGTTTTGCTCTTATTTCCCAGGCTTGGAGTGCTGGAGTGCTAGAGTGCAGTGGCATGATCTCGGCTCACTGCACCTTCTGCCTCCTGGGTTCAAGCGATTCTCCTGCCTTAGCCTCCTGAGTAGCTGGGATTACAGGCATGCACCACCATACCCGGCTAATTTTGTATTTTTAGTAGAGATGGGGTTTGACCATGTTGGCAAGGCTGGTCTCGAACTCCTGACTTCAGATGATCTGCCCGCCTTGGCCTCCCAAAGTGCTGGGATTACAGGCGTGAGCCACCGCTACTGGCCTCAAGCCCCTTTTAATCACTTACCTTTTTCCTAACTATAATTACACCTTGTCCACTATGTCATATAAATGTAATTAATTACACAGTATGTACTTTTTTCAAACTGGCTTCTTTCACTTAAGAATATGCTTTTAAGATTTGTGGGCCAGGCACGGTGGCTTATGCCTGTAATCTGAGCACTTTGGGAGGCCGAGGCGGGTGGATCACCTGTGGTTGGGAGTTCGAGACCAGCCTGACCAACATGGAGAAACCTCATCTCTTGAAAATACAAAATTAGCTGGGTGTGGTGGTGCTTGCCCGTAATCCCAGCTACTCGGGAGGCTGAGGCAGGAGAATTGCTTGAACCCGGGAGGCAGAGATTGCAGTGAGCTGAGATCATGCCATTGTACTCCAGCCCAGGCAAAAAGGGCAAAACTCCGTCTCAAAAAAAAATTTGGGAAGTGTATCTATCTCTTGATAATGTAGATTTGCATTTTAATAAATAAGTACTAAAGGTGTGGAAGATATTTTCATGTGCTTTTTGGACATTTGTGTAGCTTCTTTGGAGAAATATCTGTTCACACAATGTACTCATATTTAGTTATGATCTTTTCTTTGTTTTGTTTTGTAACAATGTTTTCTATATTCTCGACAACAGACCCCTATCAGCTATATGACTTGCAAACATTTCTCCCATGTTTGGGTTATCCTTATGGTGTACTTTGAATCACAAAAGTTTTAAAATCTAATGAAGTTCAATTTATCTATTTTTTTTTCTTTTGCGGCATGTATTTTGGTGTCAATCTATTGTTTCACCTAAGCCACAAAGATTTATTTCTATGTTCTATTCTATGGGATTTGTAGTTTCAGCTCATACATATGAGTCTATGATCTATTTTGAGTCAGTTAAGTATATTTTGTGAGGGAGGAGTCAACTTTCATGCCAATATCCACTTGTCCCAGTAATTTTACAGAAAATATTTTCCATACTAAATTATCTTGGCAGCCTTGAAAAGTCATTTTTCGGTAACTGTAACGATTAATTTTGAATACTTTATTCTATTTACATGGTTTTTATTTACATACTTGTGTATTCTGTATACTTTCCTCTATTTTACCGGAAGCTGGAAGCAGCCTGACAGGATGTGTGGTGCCCAAGTCTGCACAGTGAGGTGGGGAGTGAGGGCCGCAGGCAGAGGGCAAGGGACAGGGGACAGGGGGCAGGGGGCACAGGGCAGAGGGCAGCGGAGAGGCCCAGGCCTACAAGGAAAGCGAGGGCTGAGGAAGGACGGCGGGAGGACTGCAGAGGGAGGCAGGCAGAGTGAGGGCGGCAGGCAGACAGCAGGAGTGAGTGGGCGCCAAGAGCTGGGGGGGAGGCCCACAGGGAGAGAGAAGGCAGAGGGCAGAGGGCAAGGCTGACACTGGAATGTGGGGGCGGCGAGGCCCACAGGGGAACTGAGGGCGGCTCTCTGCAGGGTCAGAGGCATTGGGCTTTCAGGGTCGCTTTTCTGCGAACTTCCGCTTGTTCCCGAGGTGGTGCCTGCCTGTGTCGTCGTCCCTGTTTGTTCTCCTACAAACCTCAGGAGTTTTCCATGTTTCCCAGACCTTAAGGTACATTTAAACTGTGTGCTTTCTCTCACATGTGCCCTTTTATATTATGGACGTAGTAATAGTTATTTACCTAGGTTTTTTCTTTTTGAATTATTCGTAAAGAACTTACCAAAGTGGCTGGGCACGGTGGCTCACGCCTGTAATCCCAGCACTTGGAAGGCGGAGGCGGGTGGATCGCCTGAGGTCAGGACTTCGAGACCAGCGTGACCAAGATGGTGAAACCTCGTCTGTACTAAAAATACAAAAATTAGCTGGGCATGGTGGCGGGTGCCTGTAGTCCCAACTACTCGGGAGGCTGAGGCAGGAGAATCGCTTTAACCCGGGAGGCGGAGGTTGCAGTGAGCCAAGATTGCACCACTGCACTCCAGCCTAGGCGACAGAGTCCGATTCCGTCTCAAAAAAAAAAAAAAAAAAATTACCAAAGTGTTTTATTTATTTATTTATTTATTTATTTATTTTTATTTATTTATTTTAAGATGGAGTCTCGCTCAGTCGCCCAGGCTGGAGGTGCAGTGGCGCGATCTAGTCTGACTGCAAGCTCCGCCTCCTGGGTTCACTCCATTCTCCTGCCTCACTCTCCGGAGTAGCTGGGACTACAGGCGCCCACCACCACGCCCGGCTAATTTTTTTTTTTTTTTTTTTTGTATTTTTTAGTAGAGACGGGGTTTCACTGTATTAGCCAGGATGATTTCGATCTCCTGACCTTGTGATCCGCCCGCCTCGGCCTCTCAGAGTGCTGGGATTACAGGCATGAGCCACTGCGCCCGGCCCAAACTTTTTATTTTTAATGGACATCAATTGCGTATATTTATGGATTATGATGTGATGTTTTGATTTTTATATTCATAGTGGAAGATTTAATCAAGCTAATTAACATATGCATCAGCTTACCAGCTGACCAATATTTTATGGTGAGAATATTAAAAATCTGTTATTTAGCAATTCTAAAATGTTCAGTACGACTTTGGAGCAAATGAAAGTGCCCGGCCTCAGGAGCCTGAGACTGATCATTTCTGAAGCGTGGGGTCGTCATTTCTGAGAGGGTCATGGCTGCATGCCCGTAAGCAAGGGGGGTGTTTGGGATGCTTTGTTTGCCCTGTTAATTTTGGATGCCTCTGTGTTCTAAGAACTAAGATAATATTTGTGTGAAAAATGCAGTTGCTTTTACTTTTACTTTGTTTTACTGTTAATAGCCTTACAGCTTTTCTTTAACTGAGTTTGGATTTAATATATTCTTCTTTTTCTAAGTTGCAAAGCTAGAAACAGATGACAGATTTTTGATCTTTCATTGTTTCCTATGTATGCGTTCAGTGCTATACGTTTCCCTATATGCTCTGTTTTCCTTTCATCTCACAAATTTTGAGAAATTGTGTTTTCATTTTCATTTAGGTTGAAAAATTAAAAAATTAAAAAATTGTCTGGTTGTTTTCTTTGACCCATACGTTATATGGAAGTGTGTTGTTTAATCTTTATGCATTTTGTGATATTCCAGTTGCTGCAGTTATCCTGCGATTTCTGATTTAATTCCACTGTAGTCTGGGAGCTGACATTGTATGATTTCCATTTTCTTTAAATTGTTAGAGTATTTTTTTGTCCCAGAATGTGATATATTTTGCTGAATATTCCATACAAGCTTAAGAAGAATGTGTCATCTGCAGTAGTTGAGGGAAGTAGGCTGTAAGTGTCAGTTATGCCCAGTTGCTTGGTGGTGCTGTTGTGTTCAGGTTTTCCCTCCTGAATTGCTGCCTGCTAGATCTGCCCATACTTGACATATGATAACGTTTCCAACTGTAATAGTGAATACATATCTTTTTCCTTGTGGTTCTGTTGCTTTCTGTCTCACATAGTTTACACTCTGTTGTCAGGCTCATAGGCTTTAAGAATTATGACATCTTATTGGAAGAGTGGCTCTTCATCTCTATGTAATGCCTTTCTTTATTCTTGATAACTTTACTAACGAAAGAAGGGAATTAGAATTGTTTTGTTGTTATAAGATACAGTACCTGTGAAGCAGTGTAGTTGTATTTGAAAAGCAGCTTGGGTTAGTTTTATTTTTTTATTTTGATTATTTTGATATCTTTTAATATAATTTTGGTTTTTTAAAAAAATTATCTTTGGGGATACATATGCAGGTTCATTACTTAGGTAAACCGGTGTCACAGGGTTTGTTTGTTACTGAAACACCAGGGGTTTGGTCTAGGTCCTGCTGCTGGCTGCACAGAAAGCCAATTACTGAGAGGACAAAGTATTGCCAAGGAAGAAGGCCTTAATTGGGTGCTGCAGTCAAGGGGATGGGAGCTCAGTCTGCAATCTATCTCCCTGACTGACTAAAACCAGGGGTTTATGTAGCAGGGAAGAAATGTAACACTGTGTAAGAAAACACTAACTAGGGAGGGTGCAAGGAAGTAATCATGAAGAAAGAAGGGTCTGTGAAGTCTGGGGTCATTGTCTGCTTTCAGTTCTTTGATCCTTTTTGTGAGAGGCCTGAAGTTTGTTTCCTGGGGAGGGAACTCAGATAAAACAAATACAAGTTTCAAGGTTTAACAGCAGAAGGGTCAATTTCCATGTTTATCCAAAAATAACTGTCTATGGGACTGAGGCCAATTTTAGTTGTACAGATTATCTGATCACGCAGGTGCTAAGCCTAGTACCCAATAGTTATTTTTTTCTGCTCCTCTCCCGCCTCCCACCTTCCACCCTGAGGTAGGCCCCAATGTCTGTTGTTACCTTCTTTGTGTTCATGATTTCTCATCATTTAGTTCACAGTTTTAAGTAAGAACATAGCAGTAGTTCTCTATTCCTGTATTAGTTTGCTAATAGCCTCAGGCTCCATCCATGTTCCTGGAAGAGTGGAAGAGACATGATCTCCTTTTTTATGGCTACATAGTATTCCATGGTGTATATGTACCACATTTTCTTTTTTCTGTCATTGATGGGCATTTAGGTTTATTCCATGTCTTTACTATTGTGAATAGTACTGCAGTGAACATTCACATGCATGTAGAATGGTTTATATTTTTCTGAGTATATACCTAGTAATGGGATTGCCAGGTTGAATGGTTGTTCTGATTTTAACTCTGAGGAGTCCCCGTACTGCTTTCCACACTGGTTGAACTAATTTATATTCCCACCAACAGTGTATAAGTTATCCCTTTCTCCTGCAACCTCATCAGCATCTTTCATTTTTGGACTTTTTAATAAAAAGCCATTCTGACTGGTATAACATAGTATCTAATTGTGGTTTTGATTTGCATTTCTCTAATCATCTGTGATACTGAGCTTTTGTAAATATGTTTTTTGACTTTTTAATAAAAGCCATTCTGACTTGTGTGAGATAGTATCTCATTGTAGTTTTGATTTGCATTTCTCTAATTAGTGATATTGAGCTTTTTTTATATGCTTTTTAATTTTTTCATAAAAGCCATTCTGACTGGTGTGAGATAGTATCTCATTGTGGTTTTGATGTGCATTTCTGTATCAGTGATGCTGAACTTTTTTGTCATATGCTTGTTGGCCGCATGTATGTCTTCTTTTGAGAAGTTGTCCATGTCCTTTGCCCACTTTTTAATGGGGTTATTTGTTTGTTTTTCTCTTGTAAATTTGTTTAAGTTCCTTATAGATGCTGAATATTAGAGCTTTGTCAGATGCATAGTTTGCAGATATTTTCTATTTTCTCCCATTCTGTGGGTTGTCTGTTTACTTGTTGATAGTTTCTTTTGTTGTATAGCTCTTAAGTTGATTTGGATCCCTTTTGTGAGTATTTCCTTCAGTTGCAATTGCTTTTGGCGTTTTTTTCAGGAAATATTTTCCCATTCCTATGTCCAGAATGGTATTGCCTAGGTTGTCTTACAGGGCTTTTATAGCTTTGGGTTTTACATTTAAGTCTTTAATCCATCTTGGGTTGATTTTTGTATATGGTATAAGGATGGGGTCCAGTTTCAATCTTCTGCATATGGCTAACTAGTACTACCAGCACCATTTATTGAATAGGGAGTCTTTTCCCATTGCTTGTTTTTGTCTGCTTTGTCAAAGATCAGATAGCCATAGGTGTGTGGACTTATTTCTGGGCTATCTAGTCTGTTCACTTGGTCTGTGCTCACCTTTGTACCAGTACAATGCTCTCTTTTTTTACTGTAGCCCTGTAGTATAGTTTGAAGTCGGGCAATGTGATACTTCCGGCTTTGTTCATTTTGCTTAGGATTGCATTGTCTGTCTGGGCTCTTTTGTGATTTCATATGAATTTCAAAATAGTTTCTTCTAGGCCGGGCCTTGTGGTGGCTCATGCCTGTAATCCCAGCACTTTGGGAGGCCGATGTGGGCAGATCACGAGGTCAGGAGATCGAGACCATCCTGGCTAACATGCTGATACCCCATCTCTACTAAAAATACAAAAAATTAGCCAGGTGTGGTGGCACATGCCTGTAGTCCCAGATACTCGGGAGGCTGAGGCAGGAGAATGGTGTGAATCCAGGAGGCGGATCTTGCTGTGAGCCAAGATCGCACCACTGCACTTCAGCCTGGGTGACAGAGTGAGACTGCCTCAAAAAAAAAAAAAATAGTTTTTTCTACTTCTTAAAGAATGTCATTTGTAGTTTGATAGGAATAGCATTGAATCTGTAAATGTCTTTGGGCAGTATGAGTCAGTGTTAAATATAATATTACCAACTGTAGGACAGTCTATTGCATAAAAATCCCATTACTTTTCTGGCTATTGGCCATTGGCTGAATAAAGTGCCTTGCCAAGGGGACTTCTCTCACATGGCTTCATAAAATCCATCAAGCAAGAGATATTTCTAGCAAAACCAATATCATAATTGTATATAAGAATCCAAGTCACATTTATCCACCTTTGCACTATTCTGTTGTTTCAAGGCAAGTCACAATTCCTGCTTACACTAACCGGGATGGGATTAGAATAGAAAGTTATGCATTGGAGAAGATGGGGCTAATTGGGCACCACCTTAGAATCTACTTGACACATCAGATATTCTCCTATATGAAACAGTGTCTTGGTCTTCACTTGTTTTTAAAGTGACCTTTTTGAAAAGTACCAGTCAGGTATTTTATAGCATGTCCTACCTACAATATGGTTTTGTGTGATTTCTCATGATGACAATGTAAGTATGGATGGAATTAAATACAGTCACCTAAGTTTGAAGACAAAAAAGACCTAAACAATATAGTATTCAGATTTAAAAACTCAGAGGAGAATAATTTTTAAAATAGGAAATGACAACGAATTCACAATATAGTTTTAATTCAGTGGTTAAGGAAAACTATGAAATTAAGTAGATGGCACGAAGGAGGTATCAGCAATATTGCTAATGATTATTTTCTTAAGCTTGGGAGTGACATTTAAGAAAACACTTTTTCACTTTGGGGGGTCGAGGCAGGTGGATCACGAGGTCAGGAGATCGAGACATCCTGGCTAACACAGTGAAACCCTGTCTCTACTAAAAATACAAAAAAATTAGCCGGGCATGGTGGTGGGTGCCTGTAGTCCCAGCTACTTGGGAGGCTGAGGCAGGAGAATGGCATGAACCCAGGAGGCGGAGCTTGCAGTGAGCCGAGATTGGCCACTGCACTCTAGGCTCGGTGAGAGAGCGAGACTCTGTCTCACAAAAACAAAACAAAACAAAACAAAAAACTCTTTTTAAAGAATAGGTTTTTTTGTTTTGTTTTGTTTTTTTTTTTGAGATGGAGTCTTGCCCTGTCGCCCAGGCTGTGTGCAGAGTGGCGCGAGCTCAGCTAACTGCAACCTCTGCCTCCTGGGTTCAAGCGCTTCTCCTGCCTCAGCTTCCCAAGTAGCTGGGATTACAGGTATGCACCACCATGCCCAGCTAATTTTATTTGTATTTTTAGTAGAGACGGGGTTTTTCCATGTTGGTCAGGCTGGTCTCTAACTCCCGACCTCAGGTGATCCACCCGCCTCGGCCTCCCAAAATGCTGGGATTACAGGCGTGAGCCATCGCGCCGGGCCGTTTCTTTTTTTAAAAAAAGAATACTTTTACATTTACAGAATAGTTGCAAATATATTAAAGAGTTTCCAACATACCCCACACACAGTGTCCCTTATTATTTACCTTGTACATTAGTGTGGGATATTTGTCAAATTAACCAGCCAATATCATGGATTATCATTAAGTACCATCTACACTTTATTCAGATTTCTTAGTTGTCACTTAATGTTATGTTTACGTTTTAGGATCTCATCCAGGATACCTCATGACATTTAGGTATCATGTATTTTTAGGCTCTTCTGAATGTGATAATATCTCAGAGTTTTATTGTTTTTGATGGGATTGACATTTCTAATTTGTGGTTTCCCTGATGTTTCTCTCATGATGAGACTGGATTTGTGGGTTTAGGGGAGGAAGATCACAGAGGAAATGTGCCATTCTCATCACATAATATCCCGGGCACAGGGTATCAACTGGCTTTAATCACTGTTGATGTTAATTTGATAACCTGGATGAGGTAGTTACTAACAAGTCTCTTTTGTAAAATTACTCCTTTCCCCCCTTTTCATGTTGTATGCATGAAAAAAAGTCACTATATACAACACACACTTAAAAGTGGGGGAATCATGCACCACTGCTTTTTAAAAAAAATTGTAGCTTTAGGATTATAAGTGGTTTTGGGTTGCATGAATGAATTGTATAGTAGTGAAGTCTGGGGTTTTTAGTGTACCTGTGACCTGAATAGTGTATATTTTACCTCATAGTGAGAGGTGAAGCCAGCTGGACTTCCTGGGTCAAGTGGGGACTTGGGGAACTTTTCTTACAAGAGGATTGTAAAATGCACCAATCAGGAACTTTTGTGTCTTGCAAGAGGTTTGTAAAACGCACCAATCACCGCTCTGTAAAATGCACCAATCAGTGCTCTGTAAAACGCACCAATCAGCAGGATTCTAAAAGTAGCCAATAGTGGGGAGGATTGAAAAAAGGGCACTCTGATAGGATAGAAACGGAACATGGGAGGGGACAATACGGGAATAAACAATGACCTCCTCCCAGCAGCTGCAAGCTGGTCCGGTCCTTTTCGAGGGTGTGGAAGCTTTGTGTTTTTGCTCTTCACTGTTAACCTTGCTACCTCTTGTTGTTTGGGTCCGTGCCATCTTTAAGAGCTGTAACACTCATTGGGAAGGTCCGCTGCTGAGTCGGTGCCATCTTTAAGAGCTATAACACTCACTGCGAAGGTCGACTGCTGAGGGTTCCCGGCTGAAGTCAGCGGGACCACGAACCCACAGGCAGGAACCAACTCCGGACACAATGGGTGATTTTTCATTTCTCACTCCCCGCTAACCCTTCTCCTTTCTGAGTCTAATGTCCATGATCCCACTTTGATTTTGTTCGTATATTTGGTTGTATTATTGATTCACTTTTTCTTTCTTGGTGGCACTACAAGTTGCTCCAGGTTAACTGTGTTGATTTTCTTCTCAAGCATAGTATTAAACATGTTTATCCATATTATGAAAAACATAGTATTAAACATGTTTATTCATAACTTATCTCCCATTTATAAGTGATAATCTGCAGTGTTTTTCTGTTCCTGAGTTACTTCCCTTAGGATAATGGCCTCCAGTTCCATCCAAATTGCTGCAAAAGACTTTATTTTGTTCTTTTACATGGCTGAGTAGTATTTTGTGGTATAGTGATATATATATTTTGTGATATATATTGATATATATTTTGTGATATTTATTTTGTGATACATGTATTTTGTGATATTTTGTGATATTTTGTGATATATGTATTTTGTGATACATATATACCACATTTACTTTATCTGCTTGTTGATGGGCACTTAGATTCATTTAATATTTTTGCAGTTGTGAAATCTATTGTGATTAACCTAGAAGTGTAGATGTCTTTTTGATATATTGACTTCTTTTCATTCGAGTGTATACCCAGTAATGGGATTTCTGGATTGGATATTAGATCTGCTTTTAGTTCATTGAGAAATCTTCATACTGTTTACCATACAGGTTGTACTAATTTACATTCCCACCAAGGGTGTATAAGCGCATTCTCTTTTCACCTTATCTGCACCAATAGCTATTATTTATTGACTGTTGAATAATGGCCATTCTGACTAGGGTAAGGTGATATCTTATGATTTTAATTTGCATTTCCTGATACTGACATTGAGCATTTTTTCGTATGTTTTTGATCACTTACAAGTCATCTTTTGAAAGATACCTGTTCATTTGCCCACTTTTTAATGGGATTATTCATTTTTTTGCTGATTTTTTTAACTTGCCAAAATAAGGTTTTTAGTTGACAAATAAGTTTAAAGTTTATAAATAAGGTGATAAATAAGGTTTTTAGTTTATATACTTTTATGTTTACCTTTTGTATACTTTTATGTTTATCCTTTGTGTTATAAAATTATATAGGATTTATTCATTTACTTAAATATGCATAGTGTCTGATTTTGAGTTTTCTTTTGTCATTGTTCATCTTTGTGAAATATCGTATTGTCTTAGTGAGAGATTTCCGTTTAACACAAAATTTTTGCTCCAGAGCCCCGGGTTATTTATTTATTTATTTATTTTTTGGTTTTGTTTTGAGACAGAATCTCACTCTGTCGCTAGGCTGGAGTGCAGTGACGCTATCTCAGCTCATTGCAACTTTGACCTCCCAAAGTGCTGGGATTACAGGCGTGAGCCATCGTGCCTGGCCAGAGCCCTTTGTGTGTGTGTGTGTGTGTGTGCGCGCGCATGTGTGTGTGAGACGGAGTCTCGCTCTGTCACCCAGGCTGGAGTGCAGTGGCGCGATCTCGGCTCAGTGCCAGCTGTGCTTCCCGGGTTCACGCCATTCTCGTGCCTCAGCCTCCCCAGTAGCTGGGACTACAGGCGCCTGCCACCACACCCGGATAATTTTTTTGTATTTTTAGTAGAGACGGGGTTTCACTCTGTTAGCCAGGATGGTCTGGATCTCCTGACCGCGTGATCCGCCCTCCTCCGCTTCCCAAGGTGCTGGGATTACAGGCGTGAGCCACCGCGCCCGGCCCAGAGCCCATTTTTAATCATCTAGCTATTCTTTAATGAAGAGAGAGAAGAAATAAAATCCGTACGTCTTGAATCTAACCACTATTCCCAGTTTAACCTTGAAGAAATTTAGGTGTATTTATAACATTAAAACATTGTTATTCACACTTATGTCTCTAATATTCTTGTGAATCTTGGGTGATACTGGGCAGTGCCCTCAGTATCACTCCTGGTATTGTTTTTTGGTGGTGATTCATTCTTAGGGAATTAAACTCAATGTCATGCCGCCTCCTTTTTTTTTTTTTGGGGAGATGAATTCTTGCTCTGTCGCCCAGACTGGAGGGCAGTGGCGCAATCTCGGCTCACTGCAAGCTCCGCCTCCCGGGTTCACGCCATTCTCCTGCCTCAGCCTCCCGAGTAGCTGGGACTACAGGCGGGTGCCACCACGCCCGGCTAATTTTTTGTATTTTCAGTAGAGACGGGGTTTCACCGTCTTAGCCAGGATGGTCTCGATCTCCTGACCTTCTGATCCTTCCGCCTTGGCTTCCCAAAGTGCTGGGATTATAGGCGTGAGCCACCGTGCCTGGCCACCGCTTCCTTTTCTTTCTTGATTTCTGGAGCAAAGAATTCCCCAAAGTTGTATTCCATCTTCAACAGTCCGTGATGGGAAGAACCTGTACAAACATCCCTGCCTCCTCCTGCACAAGCTCAGATGACACAGTGGGTATGGCCTTTACTCTATAAACCACTCCCACCAAGGACTGGGCAGCAGCTTGTTATCCCTGATAATCTTCTTGATTCAGAATCTACTCTGTCTGACAATGTTGTTACACCAGCTATTTTTATAATTTTATATTTTATAATTAGTGTTGGCAGGATATATTTTATTGCATTCATTACTTTAGTTTCAAGTAATCATTTAAAATGGATTTTTTATGAATAACATACAGTTGTGCCTTGCTTTTTCATCCACTCTGACAATTTTATCTTTTAACTAATTTCCTGTTTAGAAAAAAAAAAAAGTGTAGCTTTGCTGCCAGTGCTCATTTCTTGGGGCAAACAGGTAATGGGTTAATTTGTAAGGTTAGACCCTTGGCATTCAGCATGAATTTTGATATAGTTGGATTAATATTTTTTATATTTGCTAATATCTTCTAGTTGTGGCCCTTTATTCTTACTTTTGTTATCTGCTTGTTTTCTGCCTTTTGTGGTTTTAATTGGGCATTTTATATTATTTCGTTCTCCTAAATAGCATATCAGTCATACTTTTAAAATTTGTTTTTTAGTGTTTAGAGTAAAAACTTTTATTTTTTCATATGCTTAATTGCTACTTAATAAATTGTTAAATACAATAATAGCAACATCATATGATTAGGTATTCTTATGTGTATGTCACACTTATATACCTGTACATGAATATACATACAAGTATGCTTTATTCAATTGATATTAATGACAAGAATGATACAAAGGATGGGATACAATAATTATTATTATTCTGTTATAAGGTGTTTACACTACCTTTTAAGTGATATACTGCTATTTGAAAGGGGACTTGGGATAGTCATGAATGTAAGTTGCAAACTTTAGGGCAGGCTGTTTGACCAGGAGCCTCAGTTCCTTGCTGGCTGTTGACCAGAGGCTGCATTTAGTTCCTTCCCATGTTGGCTTCTCTCACAGGGAGATTATTTCATATTGGTCATCAAGGGCGAGAGCTTGTATGCAAGACAGAAATCACAATTGTAAGTACCAAAACTGCATTACTGAATTGTTAGCAAGCAAGTCACAACTCCTGTTTACACTCATAAGGAGAAAAGTAGAATACCAGATTGTGTATCCCTGGAGGTGGGAATTACCATCTTAGGGCCTATCTACCACATCAGGTCTTGCCCAATCTAAAGTAGTTTCTCAGTCTTCACTTATTTTGCTGACCTTGGTCCTTGTGGGGAAAAAAAAAAAGAACCAGTCAGGTATTTTGTACAATGTACCATGATATGGATTTGTCCAAGTAGTTTCTCATAATTTGACTGGAGTTATGGATTAATTTAGGCACTACATTTCTCTAAGTTGGAAAAATGAAAAAACTGAATAGTATATTAGCAAAGCCAACTTACATAGAAAAATTAAAAAAAAATGACAGAGACAAATAATAGTAACCTTCACCAGTTTAAGGAAGAAAATAGAATTTGAGAAATGCACTCAGGAACATTAACAATATTGATAGTATTCTCTTTTATTAAGCTCAGGAGTTAATTGGGGAAAAAAGAGAAACGGTTCTATTTTAGAATACTTTTGGATTTATGGAACAGTTGGAAATCAGTACAGAGAGTTTATTGATATCCAACACAATTTTCTTTATTTTTAATCTCTTAGTGTGGGATATTTGTCATAGTTAACAAAGGGAACGTTACACAGTTAACAAAATGAACGTTACACATTCATTAACACACATTATTTGTATATCGTTAGCTTTCACTTAATGTCCATTTATTATTCCAGGATCCCACTTAGGATCTATATAACGTTTATATATCATGTCTAATTAGGCTGGTTTTACCTGGGCCAGTTTCTCAGACTTTCCCTGTTTTTGATGACATTAACATCCCTCATGGGGAATTTTTCTGATGTTAATCATGGTTAGACTCGACTGGTGGGTTTTGGAGAGGAAGACCACAGAGGGAAAGTGCCATTCTCATTACTTTATACCAAGTGAATATATGACAATATGCCTTATTGCTGTTGATGTTAACTTGATCATCTGGATAAAACTTAAATATTTCTTCTTCCGATGTTGCACTTTTTAAAAAGAAGTTGCTATGCACAACACATACTAAAGAAGTAGAAAAACATGCTCCACTTCCTCATAAGCAGATCTTCTTCTAAATCATTTGTATTTCTTCACCAAAGATAATTTATCTATTCTTCTTAATTTATTATCTATTTGTTCAATCATTTGTTTATATCGTATAAATTATAATATGAAGTCATAATATTAGTTTTACATTTTATTGTACTAATATATTATTAAAAATTGTTCTAGTGTTGGCCATTGGAAGGTCTGTATATACTCCTTTATGGTTTTGATATATTAGCATCATCACACTTTGATTTTGTTCGTATATTTGGTTGTATTATTGTTTCACTTTTTCTTTCTTGGTGGCACTACGAGTTGCTCCAGGTTAACTGTGTTGATGTTCTTCTCGAGCATAGTATTAAACATGGTTTTCAAGCAATCTCTGTTACTTTTTGGTAATTATATTAGAAACAAAGGTCTGGGCAGTGATTTCACTCATTTGTGTTTAGGATCTGTTGATCCTAGGTTATCTCAGCTAACGAGGGTAAAGGGATGTGTGTTTATACCAATTCACAAATGCATATGTATAGATAGTTCTACAGTTCTCTATATATGTCTGTATGAAGTTAGACATGAATTTCTACCTATATCTCCAGTACCACATGATATAATCCAGTACCACAGGAATCAGTGTACCCGATTCAACTACATTTATGTTACCTCTCAGTGTGTGAGAAAGTTAGTCATGTTTATGTAACCATGAGTCCCAAAATACAAGTATTGTAGTTTCTGAATTGGTAATCCATACTCCCAGGGGCAATAACTTCATCAACTAAAGTGCAGAGTTTATGTTTAAATATTTTGGTTTTTGGACATAGAATCTTATCAACTTACTTAGGTCAGTAAACCTTTTTTTCTTATACTTTTCACTCAGGTTATTCTATACTTTGGTTATATAGTTATGTTACTTTGTTTGAATTTCTCTCTGGGATCCCCCAACTTAATAATTATTGTTTTCTTAAAGCAATTTACATACATTATTTGGGTTTGCTCTTTGTGACGTGAAATTCTGTAGGATTAAAAAAATGGTATCATTAACACCATCACAGCATCATAATTTTTTTTTTTTTTTTGAGATGTGGTCTTACTCTGTCACTCAGGCTGGATTGCAGTGGCATGGCCTTGGCAGTCTGCAACCTCTGCCTCCTGGGCTGAACTGATCCTCCCATTTCAGCCTCCTGCAGCGCTGGAACGACAGGCACACGTGATTATGCCAGGGTGATTTTTGTATTTTTGATAGAGATGGAGTTTCACCATGTTGTCGAGGCTGGTCTCAAACTCTTGAGCTCAAGTGATCTGCCCACCTCACCTCCCAAAGTGCTGGGATTACAGGGGTGATCCACCATGCCTGGCCCAGATAATAATTTTAATGTACAAATAATCTTTTGTATTTCTCCTAATCAAACTTTCTCTCTTCTAGGACCTTAGTAATAGCTCATATTTTTATATTCTTTATAATTTTACCTTTTCCGCAGTGTCATATATTGAAATTGCATAGACTTTTAAATATTTCTTCAAACATTTATGAATATGCCTTTAAGATTTGTGAAGTGTGTCCTATGGTAGCTTAGATTTGTATTTCCCCGAGGAGTAAAGATGTTAAGCATCTTTTTGGGAGTTTATTGGACATTTCTACAGCTTTTTGGAAAAATGTCTATTCATTCATACAATTTACCTACTTTTAATTAGGCTGGGTGTCTTTTTAATGTTGCATTTAAGAATGTTTCATGTGTTCAGGTGCAGAGGCTCATGCCTGTAATCCCAGCACTTTGGGAGGCCAAGGCGGGTGGATTACGAGGTCACAAGATTGAGACCAGCCTGACCAACATGGTGAAATCCTGTCTCTACTTAAAAAAATACAAAAATTAGCTGGTCATGGTGGCGCGAGCCTATAATCCCAGGTACTCGGGAGGCAGAGGCAGGAGAATTGCTTGAACCCAGGAAGTGGAGGTTGCAGTGAGCCGAGAACGCGCCACTGCATTCCAGCCTGGTGACGGAGCGAGCCTCAGTCTCAAAAAAAAAAAAGAATGTTTCATGTATTCTGGACAATAGTCTCCTAACAACTATATGACTTGGAAATATGTTCTTCCATTATTTGGGTTGTCTTGATGGTGTATTTTGCATCACAAAATGTGTTAATCCACATGGAGTTCAATGCATCTATTTTTTTTTCCTCTCACTTGTATTTTCGTGTCACATGTTAGAATCCATTGTTTCACCTAAGGCCATGAAAATGTATTTCTATGTTCTCATCTATGGGATTTTTAGTTTTAGCTCCTACATTTAGACACATGCTCTATTTTGAGTTAGACACATACGTAGTGCAGGAAAGAGTTTAACTTCCATGTGGATATCACCTTCTCCCAGTAACATTTGTTGAGAAAATATTTTTCCATCTTTAATTTTTCAACCTTGAAAATAAGTTTGCCCTAAAGATTGATTTTGGAGGACTGTGTTCTGTTGGCTTATATATCTTTGTTTATGTTGTTATGTGACTTTTTCATAGATGCACTTTTTGGTTTAGAAAGTTTTCTTCTATGCCTAATTTTTCCAGAGCTCTTATCATGAATGGTTTTGGGATTTGTCAAATGCTTATTCCGCCTCTTTAGAGGTGACCATGAGGCTTTTGTTTTTTAAACTCTATTAGTATAGTTTATAACACCAATTGTTTTTGTGTGTTTAACCAAACTTACACTCCAGGAAATCAGTATTTTCGCCGATAGTGTGTAATCCTTTTTATATGTTACTGGTTTATTTTGATAGTATTTTTTTGAGAATTTTTGCCTCTGTTTCATATTGGTCTGTAGTTTTCCTTTCTCGAAATGTCTTTGTTTAGTTGTGGTGTCAGGGAACACTGGCTTCATACAGTGCATTGGGAAGGGTTCTCTACTCCTCTGTTTTTCTTGGAAGAAATTAGTAAAAGATTGTTTTATTAAATCTCAAAAGCTTTGGAATAATTCACCAGTGAAGTCATCTTGGCCTGGACGGAAATTGGATCCTCACAACAATCACAATAGCTTTGAAGGTGATCCTTCCCCAGGTGAGCCTTCCCTTGAAATCTCCCCCTGGGTCATCTGACCAGGAGAAACTATAAGTAATGTGTATTTATGGGTAGGTTTGAACCTCTTTGCTGTGTAGTACTTTGTTATAGAGCAATCAGTAGGTAATATGCCTGACAGTAAACATAATGTGGTATCTTGGATTAGATCCTAGAACAGAAAAATGACATTACTGAAAAACTTGGTAAAATGTGAAGAAAGTCTATATTTCAGTTAGTTAGTTTTGTACCACTGTAAATTTCTGAGCTTTCATAGATATGTTGATATAAACTGTTAACATTTCAGGAAGCTTTAGGATATATGAAACCTATCTTCATAACTTTCTGTAAATCTAAAATTATTTCAAAATAAAAAATGTTTCTTAAAATGTATTATTTATTAAAAAAAAACAGACATAAACCACAAAGAAACCTTGGACCAGAGGATGAGTGGAGATGCAGAGAGTGAAAGGCAAAGTAGCTTGCCTCATTATCCCCCATTCCTACATAGGGCACCTGCTTGAGAAAGACACCATCCAGCTCTAGGGACTCTCATCCATTTTCTTTTTTCCCATCACCTTCCCCATTACCCAGTCACCAATTTCTTGCCTCAGTAACCACGTTTTTAGAGAAAGGTGACTTTCTCACATAGGTTAGAAGGCCCTGTTTTCAGGTGCTTCCTGGCAGTGTGTTTGTAGGATCCCAGAAAAGACATTTTAGACATTTTAGGCCGGGTGCGGTGGCTCACGCCTATAATCCCAGCACTTTGGGAGGCCGAGGTGGGTGGATCATGAGGTCAAGAGATCGAGACCATCTGGCCAACATGGTGAAACCCCGGCTCTACTAAAAATACAAAAATTAGCTCGGCATGGTGGCTGGCGCCTGTAGTCCCAGTTACTCAGGAGGCTGAGGCAGGAGAATCGCTTGAACCCAGGAGGTGGAGGTTGCAGTGAGCTGAGATCACGCCACTGGACTCCAGCCTGGTGACAGAGTGAGACTCCGTCTTAAAAAAAAAAATTAAAAACATTAAAAGACAGAACTTCCAGACATTAG
This sequence comes from Homo sapiens, assembly GCF_000001405.40. Taxonomy (NCBI): domain Eukaryota; kingdom Metazoa; phylum Chordata; class Mammalia; order Primates; family Hominidae; genus Homo; species Homo sapiens. The sequence continues at coordinate 4,919,518 of NW_021160017.1, forward strand.
AAGACAAGTTTGAGAAATGCTCAGTGATGGGAAACATGAATCATATATCTGCATTAGGAGTGTTTTCTTTGTACAGGCATTCTTTTTCAAGTTTTAAAAGAGAAGGATACCTTTAAGCCCTTGAGAAAACACTGATAATTCAGTTTTCATCATGCAGACTCCATCATTAATTCATGGGACCACATATTTACCTAGGTCAGCTGCTTTCTTCCATTTTCTTTGGTGAGGTTATTCCATATATTCATAACATAGTTATATTATATTGTGGGCATCGTCCCTGGAAAGCCTCTACCTCCTAAATAAGGTTTTTAATTTGCATAACTTAGGTACACTCTTTGTGTTACAAAGCTCTTCAGGATTTGGAAAACATAATTAGGTATCCAGCATTACAGTATCAGAGAGTAATTTCACTGTCCAAAAGAAGTCTTGATAGTTAACTGATTCCACCTTTTTCTCCTTCAAGCCCCTCGTTACCACCAAACTCTTAATTATTGCTATCCTTTTGCCTTTTCTATAGAGTCATATAAATGAAATTGCACAGTATTTTGCCTTTACCAACTTACATTTTTTCACTTAGCAATATTTAGCAATATGTTTTTTTTTAGAATTTGAAGTATAATCCCGTGTCTGTTTAGATTTTAGTTCCCCTAATTTTTGCAGGATAGGTGACACCCAAAATTGGGGCTTCGCCTGGAGGGTTATTGGCTTTGCCAAGTAAAGAATTTAAGGGTGAACCAGTGGTGGTAGAAATCTTTTTATTTTATGGTACTTCTCCTTGCAGAGCAGGGCTAACTCTTAGGCAGTCTCTCCAGAGTTGGCAATCTATGGCCTCTTGACAACTGTATTTACACTAACGTAAATCTGCTTTCAGTTACATGAAAATTGAGGGTTGGATCATTACAAATTGAGAGGTGGGTTATTTAGAACTTTCTAGGGAATGGGCAGTAACTAATGGGTCATTGCCATTGAAATGGCTGGTAACTTTCAGGTTGTTGCCGCGGAATTTGTAAACAGTCATGGTGCTGATGGAGTGTCTTACGCTAATGAGGATGGCCAGGATCGCTTTTGTCTCTATCTACTGGTTTTGTTGGTTTCTTCACTTTATCCTGTGTGGAACAGATCTTGTTTTGGTCAGTAGGGTTGCTAGCAGAAAACAAGTGATGCCGTTCTCCCGCCTCAGAATGGCAAAAGGCATTGAGTGTCTTTTCATGTCATTTTTGGATATGACTAGATTTTTTGGAATAATGGCTATGCGAATAATTTTCAATTTTTGATTGGTATATTTGTCTTTTTATTTTCAAGTTTTAAGATAGTCATATATTCTGAATAATAAACCATTATTATGTATAAAATTTACATACATTTTCTCTTTCCTTGGGTTTCTAATTTTGATGGTGTTCTTTGAATCCCAAAATGTTTTAATTGTAATAAAGTTCAGTACATCTATTTTTTCTTCTTTTCCTGTGTTTTCAGTGTCATATCTTAGAAAACATTGTTTCACCTAAGATTGCAAAGATGTATTTCTGTGTTTTTTGTATGGTTTGGGCCTGTTTAGCTATTATATTTAGATGTATGATTATTTTGAGTCAATTACGTTTGTGGTGTGAGGCAGGAGTCCGACCTGCCTACGGATATCTGCGTTTTTCAGAAACGTTTGATTAAAAAAAAACTCCATACCTAATTTATTTGACCACATGCTAATATTATTTCCTCATAAATGTAAGGATTTATTTTTGTCCATTATATTCTATTCTGTTGATCAATATGTAAATCCTTATACAAGTACCATACATCTTGATTTGTATTCTTTTGTATTAACAGTAAGTTTTTCTTTTTTTTTCTTTTTTTCAGGACAGAGTCTTGCTGTGTCTCCCAGGCTGGAATGCAGTGGTGCAGTCTTGGCTCACTGCAACCTCCACCTCCTGTGTTCAAGCAATTCTTGCGCAAGCAATTCTCGTGCCTCAGCCTCCCGAGTAGCTGGAATTACAGGCATGCGCCACCATGCCCAATTTTTGGATTTTTAGTAGAGATGGGGTTTCATCATGTTGGCCAGGCTGGTCTCAAACTCCTGACCTCAAGTGCTCTGCCCACCTCAGCCTCCAAAAGTGCTGGGATTACAGGCGTTGAGCCACTGTGCCGGCCTGTATTAATAGTTAAGTTTTGAAATCAGGAAGTAGATGTCTACAATTCCAACCTTTTGCCTCTTATTCGAGATTATTTAGGCTGCTGTGGGTCTATTGCATTGCATATGAACTTTAAAATAACCTTGTTAATTTAGGGGAAGGAAATATCACCTGGGATTTTGGTAGATGTTGCATTCAATCTATAGATCTATTTGGAAAATAGTGCCATCCTAACAGTACTAATCCTTCTAAGCAATGAACATTCAAATATTTTCTATTCATTTAATTTTCTTCAATATGTTTTCTAGTTTTTGTGTACATGTCTTACACTTAATTTGATAAACATGCCTATTTTCGATGCCATCTCAAGTGGAATGGTTTTCTGAGTTTTGTTTTTAGGTTGTTAATTGCTAGTGTATAGAAATTCAAAGGATTTTATATGTTGACCGTATATACTGTAAGTTTGTTACTCATCTTTAAGGTTTAAATATATTTTATTAGAGTCCTTTGGATTTTTTTATACATAAGATTATGTCATTTGCAAACAAGAGTTTGACTTCCCTTATCTGCCTTATTTGCTGCATGTTTTTTTTTGTTTTTGTTTTTGTTTTTGTTTTTTGAGAAGGAGTCTCGCTCTGTCACCCAGGCTGGAGTGCAGTGGCGCAATCTTGGCTCACTACAAGCTCTGCCTCCCGGGTTCACGCCATTCTACTGCCTCAGCCTCCCGAGTAGCTGGGACTACAGGCGCCCGCCACCACGCCTGGCTAATTTTTTTTTGGTACTTTTAGTCGAGACAGAGTTTCACCGTGTTAGCCAGGATGGTCTCGATCTCCTGACCTCGTGATCCGCCTATCTCGGCCTCCCAAAGTGCTGGGATTACAGGTGTGAGCCACTGCGCCTGGCCTGCTGCATGTTTTCATCATAGTGAGTTCAGGAATTCTCAGGTGTTGCTGCATCTTTTGAGATGACTATGTGGTTTTGTTTTTTATCATATTAATATAGTGCATGGCATTAATTGTACTTGAATGTTGAACCAAATGTTGCTTTCCTGAGGTAAATACCCTTGACATATTTTATAATACTTTTTACATGTTGCTGATTTGTTTTACTAGGATTTCCTTGATGATTTTTGGCTCTATATTCGTAAGGTGTGTTCTTAATTTTCATTATTTGAAATCTGTTTGTCTAGTTGCGGTATCAGGGTAAGCCAACTCACAGTATAAATGAAATGCGATGCCTTCTCCACTTTGTTGTTGTTGTTTTTAACAACTTATTATAAATTAATATTAATTGTTAAGTGATTCCAATAACTGACTAATGAATTATCTTGACTGGGGCAAGGAAGCAAATCCTAGGAACAATCACGTGAGCTTGGAAGGAGACCTTTCCCCAGCTGAGCCTCAGCCTGGGCCATCACCTGCATCTGGACTGAAGACCCAAAGAAACTGTGAGTAATACGTGTGTGTTTTTTGAGCCACTTAGGTATATAGTAATTTGTTGTGCACCAAGTAATAAGTAATATAACTGACAGTAATTTTAAGATGGCATTCTGGATTAGGCGTGGAATAGATAAATACATCATTATCAGAAATCACGGTAAAATAGGAAGAAGGTTTGTAGATCAGCTGATGGTTTTGAAAAACAGTTAAAATTCTTAGTTTTCATTAAAACTATATTATGGTTATAATAGATAATAACATTGTAGTTAGCTGAAGGTTATACAAAACTCTCTGTACTACCAGTGCATCTTTATGTTAATGTGCAGTTATTTCAAAGTAAATGTTTTTTAAAATTATTAATTTGTTTTATAGAAATAAAATGAAGACATAAGGCAAAAATTTGGCCTCCAGAGACACAATAGCGTGTAGGGAGAGAATAGCAAACTGGCTTTTCTTATCTAGTCACCTTTCTAAACCCAGGTGCACCTGCTTCAGGAAGGCACCATCAAGCTCCAGGGACTGTCATCCTCTTTCTCCGTCCCCATTATGCAGTCACCAGTTTGAATGTCAGCAACCCCTTTTTCAAAGAAAGTTGCCTTTCCTTCACATATCCCGGAAAGACCCATCTGTGGGCGTCATTTAGCAGTGTATATGCAGTCTCCCACTGAAGCCTTTTTGGGAGATAGACTCTCAGATACTAGAAGCCAAGAATAAGAAATTTCAGTGACAGGGAGCATAAATCATATTTCTGCATTCAGGATAATGTTCTTGGTACAAGGGTATCAAGAAAGTACAAGAAGTACTTGTACTTCTTCTGCAAGTAATCAAAAGACAACTGTACTTTTAAACCTTTCAGGAAACCTGTACTAATATATATTTTTTTCTTTTTAACTCTACAGACTCCATCAGGAATTGTTTGAGACCATGCATTATGTGGACACTCATATCGTGGAATTATATTGCCAATTGGCATTCCTAAAGCTTCTACGCTAGCAGGTAGTAAGCAGAGTACAAAAAATATTTCTAATAGGGTGATTTAGGCCAGTCCCTGCTTACAGAAACCTGGATATAAATTTTTACACATCACGATTTTCTCAGGTGAATGTTAGGGAGTGATACACGTGCATTGTGTGTAAGTCAAGGAAGCTCAGTAGGAACAAAAACAAAAGAACAAGCAGCGTAGGATATACCCCCAACCCTCCATGCCGTGATCTTAGAGATGGCTACAGGCTGAGTGATGACTCAGTATATACTAGCAACTTCTTTTTTTTTTTAAAGACAGAGTCTCACTCTTTTGCCCAGGCTGGAGTGCAGCAGCGTGATGTCGGCTCACTGCAAGCTCTGCCTCCCGGGTTCATGCCATTCTCCTGCTTCAGCCTCCCAAGTAGCTGGGACTACAGGTGCCCGCCACCACGCCCAGCTAATTTTTTGTATTTTTAATAGAGATGGGGTTTCACCGTGTTAGTCAGGATGGTCTCTCGATCTCCTGACCTCGTGATACTATCTGCCTTGGCTTCCCAAAGTGCTGGGATTAGAGGTGTAAGCCACCGCACCCACCGCCCCCCCCCAACTTTTTTTTTATAAGACAGGGTCTCATTCTGTCTGTTGCCCCGGCTGGGGTGCAGTGGCATGATACTAGTTCAAGGCAGCCTTGAGCTCCTGGGCTCAAGTGATTCTTCTACCTCATCCTGTTGAGTGTCTAGGACTATAGGCATGTGCCACCATGCCAGGCTAATTTATTTTTACTTTTTACTTTTGTATAGGTGTAGTCTCCCTATGTTGCCTAGCCTTTTGTTGAAGTCCTGGCCTCTAGTGATCCTCTCACTTTGGCCTCTCAAAGTGCTGGAATTACAGGTGTGGGCTACCATGCCCAGCTGCCTTATCATGGTTAACGTTATTTGATCACCTGCATGAGGCAGTTTAGCTCAAGTTTACCACTACAAAATTAATATTTGTTCCTGTTTTCATGATGTATTTTTGGAAAAAAGTCATTATGAACAACACATATGTAGGAAGTAGGGAATTATGCTCCATCTCCTTATGAGCAAAAGTTCCATATATATCATTTGTATTTCTTCAAACATTTTTATACATTCTTTTGGGTGTTCTGGATTAAATGCATTTTCCTGTATATTTTAGAACCTGCAGTCCAGTTATCACAAAAAAATGGAAAACATGAAAGCTAGAATTTTTGTAGGGATTGTATTGAATCTGCATATACATTTGGAAAGTATAAGCATCTTGGTAAGTACCTAATAGCGTTCTCATCAAGGAAAATCTAGGTTTTTTTTTTCATTTATTCAGGATTTCTTTAATACTTCAGTATCACTTGTAATTTACAGTACATGTATATATAGTCTTGTACTTTTTTTTTTTGAGACAGAGTCTTGCACTGTTGCCCAGGCTGGAGTGCAGTGGTGCAATCTCACCTCACTGCAACTTCTACCTCCCAGGTTCAAGCAATTCTCCTGCCTCAGCCTCCCGAGTGGCTGGGATTACAGGCGCCCACCACCATGCCTGGCTAATTTTTTGTATTTTTTAGTGGAAACAGGGTTTCACTATTTTGGCCAGGCTGGTGTTGAACTCCTGACCTCATGATCTGCATGCCTCAAACTTACGTTAAATTTATTTCCAAATACATTTCCTTTTTGATGCCATGTTAAATGAATTTTTTTTAGTTTCTTTATTTGATTAGTTTGTATTTTTGTATTAGTTTGTTTCCCACTGCTGTAAAGATACTATATGAGACTGGGTAATTTATAAAGAAAAAAGGTTTAATTGACTCACAGTTCCACATGGCTGGGGAGGTCTTAGGAAACTTATACTCATGGCGGAAGGTGAAGGGGAAGCAGGCACCTTCTTCACAAGGTGGCGAGAAAGAGAGTGAAGAGGAAACTGCCAAACACCATCAGCTTTTTTGAGAACTCACTCACGATCCTGAGAACAGCACGGGGGAAACAATCCACATGGTCCAGTCACCTCCCACTCAGCCCCTCCCCCAACACAGGGGGATTCCAATTCCAGATGAGATTTAGGTGGGGACACAGAGTCAAACCATATCAATTGTATAAGAGTGCAATTTTTTTACATGAATCTTGCATCCTACAGGATTACTGAACTTTTTTAATGGCTCCTATCTCATTTTAGTGGATTCTTTAGGATTTTCTATACACTAGATTATTTACTGGGAAATAGAGATACTTTGATTTCTTCCTTCTCAATCTGGAAGTCTTAAATTTATTTGTCTAGGCTAGTTTTATCAATTAAATCTTAAAGAATAATGTTTAGTGGGAGTAGATAACCTTTTTATGTTTGTAATTTTTGGGAAATTACTGAGACTTTCTTGATATTATTGTTATGTGAGTTTTTCATAAATGACATTTTTATGTAAAGAACATTTCATTCTATGAAAAAGTCATTTAGTGTTTTTACTGTGAGTGGATTTTGGATTTGTCAAGTGCTTATTCTGCATCCTTAGAGGTGATAATGAGGCTTTATCATGTATTATATTGATATAATGTATTACAATAATTCTTTTTATATGTTTTACCAAATTTGCAATCTTGAGTAAATTAATACCTTTGTGTAACATATAACCCCTGTGTCATAATCCTGATTTGTGTTGAAATTATTTCCTTGAGGATTATTGCCTGGGTATCCATAAAGTATATTGGTTTAAATTTTTCCTTTTTTGGACTGTCTTTGTCTAGTTGTGGTATCAGAGGAAACTGTCTCACAGAATGCATTGCTTACTGGTCTCTTCTCTATGGTTTTTATCTTCTTGGAGAACAGTTAGTGAAAAATTGCTATTGATATTTTAAAGGTTTGGAGTAATTCACCAGTGAAGTCTTCTCAACCTGGGCAATCATGTGAGCTTGGAAGATGATGCATCCCCATCTCATCTTTCAGGTGAAACCTCAGCCTTGGCCATCACCTACATCTGGATTTCTGACCCAGAGAAACTGTAAGTAATGTGTGCATGCTTTTGAGCCACTAAGCTACATGGTAATTGGCTATGCTGCAATAAACAATAATACACTTGATGGTAAATGTAATATGTTATCCTGAATTGGATCAAAAAACAGAAAAATGGCATTGGGGAAAACCAGGTAAAATATGAAGACAGTCAGTACTTTAGTTAATAGTCCTATATACCTTTATCAATTTTTTGAGTTTTCACAGATATTCTTGTTTATGTATGATGTTAATATTACGGAAAGTTGAAGGGTATATGAAACTTTATGTAAGATCTCAGCAATTTTCTGTAAATTTAAAATTTTAAAATAAATAGAAGTGTAGACATTGCTCATATATTTGAGATCAGGACTTGCTGTTAACTTAATTGAGCCTTTGTGGAACCTAAAACACATGGTACAAATGCAGTAACGTTATAAAATATAAATGATATGATTTTCTATTTTATTCACTCGGGTTTTTTTTTGAGACGGAGTCTCACCCTTTCTCACAGGATGGAGTACAGTGGTGGGATCTTGGCTCACTGCACTTCCGCCTCCTGGGTTCAAGTGATTCTCCTGCCTCAGCTTCCCGAGTAGCTGGGACTACAGGCGGGCTAATTTTTTTGTGTGTTTATTTTTAGTTGAGATGGGGTTTCACCATGTTGGCCAGGCTGGCCTCAAACTCCTGACCTTGTGATCCGCCCGCCTCAGCCTCCCAATGTGCTGGGATTACAGGCGTGAGCCACCGCGCCCGGCCTATTCACTCTATTCTTCAGGGAACATGAAAGTCCATTTTTTTTCCAAAGCATCCAGAAGTACACTTGAGCTATGTAACAAGTAGACAACACAGAAGATGGAAACTATACTACATCTACATGTGCAGTAACTGATCTTAAAATGATTTGCATGATCATCATCCATGTGATTAAAATGACCACGGGAAAGAGGAAAAAGAAATGCAACTTTCTTGATTTAAAAATTCTAACTGGGCAGGTGTGGTGCTATGGGCATGTAGTTGCAGCTGCTTGGGAGGTAGGGCTGGATGATCACTTGACGTGAGGAGTTTTAGGCTGTAGTGTGCAGTGCTTGTGCCTGTGAGTAGCCATTGCACTCCAACCTGGGCAACATAGCGAGACTCGGTTTCTAAAATAATTAAATAAATAATAAATAAATGAATAATTGGATTTAGAGTGTAAGTTACAGAGATCGTTGCTTATATTTAGGGCTGCAATTCTCTAGATACAGATTTTTCTATGTATTTAAAGAGCTACCACTCCAGCACAGACTTTCAAGTACTGCTTTGCCATTTTTATTTTTCTCCCAATGGGTTCCTGGAATTACAGTTTGTAAAGTTATCTCATAGCGTATGTTTCATTTTTATTTCTGTTTGTTATTGATGTCTGTCTCTGGGTAGTGGCTATAATCTATAGCCTTGCCCAGTAGAACTCAGGCTTTGGTACAGGGTATGCTTTTCATGGGATGTTTATTCAACTTGGTTGATGGCCTAAAGCCTAATAATCCAACTTGCATCCAGGTATTTCTCTCACACAGTATACTTGCTTTTACTGGAAGACATCCTTGTAGCTCCTGTCAGACCTGTGTGTTATTTCTAACAAGATAGCCACTCTCTAGGAGAGTGCTGCCTGGGGAAAAAAAAGTGAGGTCTTCATGTGTTTGTAAAGCGACACACAGAGGAGGCAACTCAACAAAAGGTGTATAATGACATTAGTAATGTATTATTATTAACCAATCAAAGAGTGGAGGGCAGCATTCCTTGAAGCAGCAATAGGAAGGGAAGAGCTCTCCGGGACACACACTCACAAATAGTATGGGTGGTGGGGGAGCAACTACAGCAGACAGGGTAATGGGCCAGTCGGCTGAAGCCTTTATGGGTGTATTTCTCAGTTTTTTTTTTTAGAGAGACAGGACAAATGGTAGGTAGGATAGGTAGGTAGATAGATTAGATACATCGACAGATCAATACATAGATAGTTGATAGCAAGATAATAGAATAGTGGCATTTTTATTTGGGGATTCGCCCACATGATTATAGAGGCTGAGAATTCCCAGGACAGCCATTGGTAAGTTTATTATTTATTTATTTATTTATTTATTTATTTATTTATTTATTTATTTATTTTGAGACGAAGTCTCGCTCTGTTGCCATGGCTGGAGTTTAGTGGCGCGATCTCAGCTCATTGCAAGCTCCGCCTCTCAGGTTCACACCATTCTTCTGCCTCAGCCTCCCGAGTAGCTGGGACTACAGGCGTGCGCCATCATGCCCAGCTAATTTTTGTATTTTTAGTAGAGACAGGGTTTCACCGTGTTAGCCAGGATGGTCTCAATCTCCTGACCTCGTGATCCGCCCGCCTCAGACTCCCAAAGTGCTGGGATTACAGGCATGAGCCACTGTGCCCGGCCCATTTGTAAAGTTTAAGACTGTAGAATGTTACAGCATGGCTATAAGCCTGAGATCTTCAGAACCTGGAAAGCCCTTATTGTAATTCTCAGTTTATGACCAAAGGCCTGAGAATCCACAGGTTTCCCTCTTAAAGTCCTGGAGTTTCAAGGTCAGAGAATTCAGAGTTCTGTCAAGGGCAGGAAAAGAAGTGTACCTGCCGAAGGGGGTGGGCAGGGATTGGGGGAGAGAGAGAGGGAGATAGCTTTTTTAAAACTTTCACTTTAGGTTATACTGGGTCATCAAGGGGATTGTATGGTGCCTGCTTCCATTATGGGTGTATTTTCCTCACTAAATTCCTTCCCTCACACAACAATCTCCTCTGGAAATACCCTGGCAGACACATCCAGAAGTAATGCTTTATCAGTTCTCTAGGTATTCTTTAATCTACATTAAATTAACCACGAAAAGCCCATCACCTTTCTACCTGGCACCTATATGTATCACCTTAAGCCATACTAATCTCCAAATACAGACAGTAATAAGGCAACATGATGCAATTATTCTGTATACAACCAAAACATACTAATCTGTTTTTTTAGAGTAGTAAAAGTTTGTGGGTGAAGTTTACTATTCTGATATCCCATAATTTCAATACAAATATGTTAAATTACTAATACTTAACTGCTACTATCAGATCAATGCATTCTTGGGTTATGTGATAAAAGAAGAGAGGGATGAAAACAAAGTTATTTGCCTAATATATGTATATAAACACGCAAATGTATTCTTAAAGTAGATAGGAAATACTAGTGATAATTTTAATCCTTGTTTCTGTAACTGTTCACCTGGTCCTAACTGGTATTTATAACTTCCTTCCACTGCTCCCCACTCTGTATTCTCTTTGTGTTCAGCAAGCTCCTCAGCTGGTCTGAGGTCTTTACCTGGCAGGGTGATGCAGACCTTCATTCCTGAAAGATCTGGACCATTTGTACTGTTGCCGGGAATGGTTGTAGTTTTCCATTGAACTTAATAACAGGTCGTAGTAATACTAAGAGACTTTGTTTTAGCCCATTTTCTGTTACTTAAAACAAATACCTGGAACTGAGTAGTTGATAAAGAAGACATATATATTTCTTACAGTTATGGAGGCTGAAAAGTGGAATGTTTAGGGGCCACATGTGGTGAAGTCCTGTTGCTTCTTGGGACTCTCCAAAGAGTCCTGAAGCCATGCAGGGTATCATATGGCAATGCAGTAGAGCTTGCTAACATGGAAGATCAGGTCTCCCCTCTTACAAGCTATCAGTTTTTCTGTCTTAATAACACATTATTCTAAAACTCATCAGTGTATTAATCCATGAATGGATTAACTTAATCATAAGGGAAAACTCTTCATGATCCAGTCATCTTTTAAGGGTCTCACATCTCAGGACTGCCACATTAGGAATGAAGTTTAAACATGAGTTTGTGAGGAGAGCCCTCTACTTCTGGCTTTCTAAAAATCATGCCCTGTCACTTAAAAAAAATTATTCCATTTCTATAGTTCAAAGGCTTAAGTTGTTCCAGCACCAACCGAAAGTTCCAAAATCCAAAGTCTCATCTGTCAGCCTAAGAAATCAAAACAAGTTATCTTCATACAAAATTCAGTGATTAGATTGTTAAGGCCCAATGGATTCATCTTGGCTGCTGCCCAGATAGAGCCACATTACCAAGACAGGGAAATTGCTATGTAGAGAAAATTTAATACATGTAGAGCTGGCTAAAGGAGAGACCAGAGTTTTCTTATTACTCCAAACAGCCTCCCCAAATATTAAGAGGCTAGGGTTTTTATAGATAGTTTGGCATGCAAGGGGCTAGGGAAAGGGGAATGCTGATTGGTGGGTGTCAGGGATAAAATCTTAGGAAGTCAAAGTCATCTTCTCTTTCTGACTCAGTTCCTGGATGGGGGCCACATGTCCAGATGAGCCGGTTTACTGGTTTGAGTGGCACCTGCTGATCCATCAGTATGCAAGATCAGAAAAATATATCAAACACAAATCTTAGGTTTTACAATAGTAATGCTATTTATGGGAGCAATTGGGGAGGTTAGTAATATTGTGGCATCTGGATGTATGACTCCTGAGCCATACTTTATAACCCCATAGTTAATTTGTGAGTTTTACAAAGGCAATATGGTCTCCAAACAATGAGCGGTTTTGTTTCAGGAAAGAGCTGTTACTATCTTTGTTTCAAAGTTAAGCTATAAAATAAATTCCTCCCAAAGTTAGTTTGACTTTTGCCCATGATTGAACAAGGACAACTTGGAGGTTGAAGGCAAGATGAAGTCATTTAGGTCATCCCTCTCACTGTCACAATTTTGTCAGTGTTACAGTTTTTACAAAGATGATTTCAATTCTCTTTTTGGGGTTTTACTGCACATTATTCTTAAGGTGTGAGGCAGGCAGTTGGGAAGAGGCTGAAGACTAACTTCTTCCTGCCAACAGGGCTTGTACTTGGGATAGGGTTTGGCCCCAGGGTAAATGGAATGAAACTGCTTTGCAGCTGCCTGCATGTATTCACAGGTGCCTCGTTGGGGTTCCTAGGCTTGCATGACAAAGATGTTAGTACGCTCATCCACAATTTTAGTACAGCACTTAAGTGAGCAGCAGACTGTAGGACAATGAGTCCTAATGTAAGAAGTAGAAGTCCGAGCTTCAGAAGTCCTTATATAATTCATCTAAATTCCTGAGGGATTCAGGGGAATAGCCCCAAGAACCAGTCAGACATGGGGTCAGTAGTCAAGATAGATTTGAGCCATAAGTTGTTAGAAAGACAAATTGGAATAAATGGGAAAGAGTAAATTTGTATATACCATTCCACATCTTTTTAGTTAATTTCCTAGTCCTGCAAATAGATTCATTCAGTTAAATATTTACGTTTCATTTTAGAAAGTAGAATTGCAGATGGACTAGGCCTCTATTTGTGATGAAGGCAGAAAAAATTTTTAATAACAGGCATTTGAACAGAAATAGAAAAAAACTACAAAGGTTAATGTTGAGCACAGTGTATCCACATGATAAACTCAAATATTTTTAAGGCAATGGCAGTCTGACATATTTTCAAATCACCTGTATCACAAGAAATAAGCATCTGCGTGCAGGGCTTCAGGAAAGAGGTAATAGCAATTTCATTGAGTCCAGGTCAGTAAAAATGGAAGAAAAATTGGAAAGTGTTAGTTTGGGGGTATTTGGCTCTGAAAGAGTTCAGAGTTTTCCAAAGTGCAGAAAATAATTAAAAGCTCAAAAACAATGGGCAAGACTAGAATCTTAACAACAGGTCTGCTATAGTATTTTTCTGAAATATAATTTTTCTTGTTCTAGTTCTCATTTTTATTAAAGACACATCATAGTAGGACACATTTATTTACAAAATAAGTTTTGGCATTATTATACCTAGCCTTATTATTTGCATAAAGTGAAGCAAGAATAATTATTTGCCATATTAGCTGTTTCTAAATTGGCTTTGCTGGAACTTTGTTCCATAAGGAATCTTAGATTAGACATTTTTAAAAGCCTTGAGTCAACCCATGGATTTATCTGTGTCTACAAATGCGTGTATGGATTGGGTGAATTCCTCTCTTCTTGACATCCCAAGATAACATGGGGATCGTAGACCTGTCAGAAAGTAACATTTTTCCCTATCTCTGGTCAGGAACCCTGTACAAAGACTGCGCAGACAAGGTATGAGGCCAGATTCCCCCCCAGGGCTTTCATCATTTCTATTAGTCAATTTGAATTCCTTAAGGCAGTCTGTTTATATGTGAAAGTATGTCATTCCACTGGTAAAATAGGCATATTTTGGTAAAATAACCAGTGTATCCAGTTGTTTCCTGTTATAAAAGAAAACAGATTCTTAAATGTAAATAACGAATTATCCATATGTTTAAAAAAAATAAACAATTTTCAAATTCTGGAGAAACCAGGCAGAGAGAAATAATGCTTCAAATTTTACTCACAGGAGTATACTTCACTCAGTTGTTAAAAGCTCAAAACAAAACTCAATTGTTAAAAGCTCAGCTGACACTGAAAAACAACAAAAAGGCTCTCCAAACAAAAAAGCTTCCTTGACACTGAAAAACAGCGACAACAAAAGGATCAGCAACATATATATATATATATTTTTGACAGAGTCTCACTCTGTCTCCAGGCTGGAGTGCAGTGGCACCATCTCGGCTCACTGTAATCTCTGCCTCCTGGGTTCAAGCAATTCTCCTGCCTCAACCTCTCGAGTAGCTGGGACTACAGGCGCCTGCCACCACACCCAACTATTTTTTTTTTTTATTTTTAGTAGAGACAGGGTTTTACCATGTTGGCCAGGATGGTCTCGATCTGCTGACCTGGTGATCTGCCTGCCTCAGCCTCCCAGAAGTGCTGTGATTACTGGCGTGAGGCCACCACACCTGGCTGGATCAACAACATTTTAAGCAACAAATCATAAAAGGATTACTTCGGTCTCCTATTAGTTCAGTCCATGTAATTAACTCTTGTACTGCCTGACACTGGGCCAGTAGTCCTCATGAAAATATCAGCTATCTATGAAAGTATGTTTTTTCTATTTCACTGGCACAGTCTCTATCAGAAACCTGTATTCAAAGAACCTTTCATAAAGCAAATCACTTTTTGAAAAGGATCAAAATAATGCAACAGTTATCTGTGGATAACAAACGTTTCAGGACAGCCATTGATTTTTAATTTTACTTTTACTTTTTTTTGAGACAGCATCTTACTTAGTTACCCAGGCTGGAGTGCAGTGGCACAATCACGGCTCACTGCAGCCTCAACTTCCTGGGATCAAGAAATCCTCACACTTCAGTCCTCAGAGTAGCTGGGACCACATGCAAGTGCCACCACACTCAGCTAATTTTTTTTTTTTTTGAGACAGAGTTTTGCTCTTGTTGCTCAGGCTGGAGTGCAATGGCACGATCTAGGCTCACCGTATTCTCTGCCTCCTGGGTTCAAGCAATTCTCCTGCCTCAGCCTCCCAAGTAGCTGGGATTACAAGCATGTGCCACCACACCTGGCGAATTTTTTGTATTTTTAGCAGACCTGGGGTTTCTCCATGTTGGTCAGGCTGGTCTCAAACTCACGACCTCAGGTGATCCACCTGCCTCAGCCTCCCAAAGTGCTGGGATTACAAGCATGAGCCACCATGCTGGGTGACACTCAGCTAATTTTTATACTTATTTGTAGAGATGAGGTCTTTTTCAGGCTGGTCTCAAACTCCTGGGCTCAAGCAATCTTCCATACTTGGCCTCCAAAATGCTGGGATTACAGGCATGAGCCACCATGCCTGATGAGGACAGCCATTGTTAAAGACACAGTCAACAAGAAAATCTGGTCATCTCTGTGGCACATAATAATTTAACATAATCATAATTATTACTAATCACAATGAAATGAGGATTATAGGAATCATAATTTTGGAATACATATTTACATTTATATAAATATAATGCAAAGAAAATTCAACACCATTTTGTATTTGACAATGTTTTCTGTGTGGTCAATATACCAAATAAGGCAAATACGTCTTTTGGAGTTCAGCGGACCCAATACTTAAAAGGTTAATTAGGTAGAAAAAAAAAAGACTTAATTTACAATTTGATTTTTCAAAGTTTTTCAAATATTAAAGGTTTAAAACACTTCATATCACAAAATGGAATCCCAGATAACCACACATCATTTATTTAGAAAATAACTCAATTTCAAAAAGTCAAAAATCTCTACTCATTGATAGAGAAGGGAGACTCATCTCTCCAAACAAGACCCAATAAAGACAGCATGAGGCCGACCACATCTGTCTCTTCTCTCTCGGTGTTTTTCAGTTTATTTAAAAGGCGAACAAAAATATTTTATTATCCTTCAATATTATACAAAAGCCTTGTTCAAAGAAAAAAAAAAAACAAATTTTACCTCTGCATTAGTGTAGCGGGAAAATCAGAGAACTGGAGAGACCGAAGGGGTTCAGGAGGGTTTGTTTAAGGTGTACACCAGCTCAGTGGACTTGCATCCAGAAAGTCTGAGCATCAAACAAAGAAAGCACGTGCCTTTTATGCATTTGGGGCAGGAAAAACATGAAGTGGGAAGCAGATTTACAGAAGTGAGAACAAAAGCAGTTAATCTTCTTGTGACATGTCTTACATCTTGGGGAAAAAACATGTTTTGCAGCTTGTGCTTATCTTGTGGCCTTGCAGCTGCACAGCTAGAAAAACAGGAACTTACAAAATTTGCAGAGGGTAGATATGGTTAGTGTTTCACAGAAGGGCAATTAATAGTCTGTCTTAACTCCATTTTCGGGGTAGGGGTTACCTATAGCCCTCTTAGCCCAGGCTTAGCATTCTATGGAAGAAACTATTACTATGTCATTACTGTTTCATTTTTACTATTTCTGTTATTATTATTCTCTCTGCTTCATTAGTGTACTATTAATATTAAACCCAATTTTTATATAAAACCTTATAAACACATTATCTAATCTAAATCAGTTTGATTATAAAGTAAGAGTTTCATAAATATTTTATGGCATTTTACAATTGTATACTAAAGAGCAGATTAATGCTCCATGAAAACTCCATTTATCACACACAGGGCTGCAGACTCTGGGCCTATATCAGTGTACATTTTATTTTAATGTTTATTCTGTAGAAAAACTAAGTAATCCCTGGCTGGGCACGGTGGCTCACGCCTGTAATCCCAGCACTTTGGGAGGCTAAGGTGGGCAGATCACAAGGTCAGTAGATCAAGATCATCTTGGATAACACGGTGAAACCCCATCTCTACTAAAAAAAATAGCCGGGTGTGGTGGCGGGCACCTGTAGTCCCAGCTATTCGGGAGGCTGAGGCAGGAGAATGGTGTGAACCTGGGAGGCGGAGCTTGCAGTGAGCCGAGATCGTGCCACTGCACTCCAGCCTGGATGACAGAGCAAGACTCTGTCTCAAAAAAAAAAAAAAAAAAAAAAAAAAAGAAAAACTAATCCCCTTCAAATTTTGGCAGCTTGCTCATACACAGAACTTTCTTTACAAGTTCAATCTTTTATAAATCTATAAGTTGCTTAAACCTTCAGGTTTTCCTTTTTAACTTGAGATGATTTTTTAAAATCCTCTAAATTAGACAAAATTATTTTAACATTTTTATGTCTTTGTATAATTTTTTACCAAAACATATAATTTTTATATACCTTTCATGTAAATCTTTTTTCAGTAGTCTCAATTATGTATATTACAATGTAGAGTCTTAACAACTTTTATTTTTAGTGAACTCAGTGTTAATTTTGTACCAAGTACAGAGCCTAGGACACAGGACAGAACTGTAGATAATATCGGACCCTTTCCAGCATAGTTACAGGGCATAGCTAACTCAACATGTCCCCCAGTCCTTATCTAGAAGCTAATGCCTCTAATGCAGGCAGATTAGGCAATTATAAAAAGTCTCAGAAGCAGTTTATAACCTTAAATCATTTGGCAAAGACAGTATCTGACCTGCCTAATTTAGACCAAATATTTAAATATTGAAGACATTTTAATTTTATTTTACCAATAATCTATAAAACTGTCTTTATTATTCACAGATTATTAGAGTCATGTGAACTAAAAGGCAATGTAGTTAATTTTCTTGTGATAAAATATTTAAGTGCATTATATAGACATGCCAATTCATTAGAGCTCTTTTAAATATTTTGGTAGTGAAATATTATACTTATGAAGCATATCAATAAACAGACATAGAGAAGCTGTGACTTCAATGTGTCCTTTCAGACTGGGTGCCTGACATGAATAAAAAATTCCAACCCTCCATATGTGGGAGAAAAAGGGACAGTACTCTCACATGGTTACAAAGTTAAGTTCTCAAGGACAAAAAATGAGAAAAGAGGAAAATGTCACTTTTTTTTTTTTTCAGGAACCTGCAAGAAAGTTTGTAACTAACCAGTGCGCAGGGCCAGCTCAAACACTGAGTTTTTAGGGGTCTTAGGCCTACGTTCTATTCTGTGGTACTCCTCTCTATGACAGATTGACAACCGAATGACAAAAAGTTTAGTCACATAGATCTGTTTTTCTTCTAATCAAAACTTGCAGAGGAGACAAACAGTGACTTTTACAATTCATTCCACTGGTTTTGCACAGGGAGAGGTTGGCTGGTAAGAAATTTTTACTTTTTTGCTAGCTTGCCAGTTTTCCAAGTTCCCTTTGCAGCTTCCAGGAGAATGGAGCAACTTTTGATGACCCTGTTTTCTGCACCATATCTGTGGGGGCCAAGCTGTGTTACAAAATTTTGCAAGATGCCACCCAGTGGGCTGCAATGGGAACCAAATTAACACTCCTCATGTTGGCCAGAGCAAAATGCATGTGACAAAATACAGATACTAATCACCCCACTCACCATCAAAGTATTGATTTGGCAAAGCTTTAACTTGTTGCCATTGGCCCCTGTCATCTTTGATCCACTCAAGATAGGGAGAGATGACCTCCAAAAAGTAGTTTCAATGGGTGCTCCCCAGGTAACATGGAAGGGTGGATGGTCACCCTCAGTTAGACCTATTCAGCTCCTGCTAGCAGTTCCTGTAACGCTCACTAAACCCGAATGATCATACAAACTAGGAAAGCCTGCAGTAATTCCATCAACAATTTCTTCAGAGATCTCCTCCATACATGCAAACTCCCTCAATGAAATACAGAAAAACAGAAGGCCTTCCAAACCAAAATTTCTGATCAAATCCAAACCAGAAGAGTATTCCTCCAAACGTGTCCCCTATTCCCTTCCAACTGGAGAGAGAAATCTCCTCAAACCAAGACTCTTACTACAATTCAGGGAGATACAGGCAGACCCCATGATGGGGCCACAGTACCTTTGAGGCCAACAGAGCCTCTTCCTGCAGTCTAGGGAGAGCTGGACAGTTCCCATGATAGAGCTGCAATGCCTCTAGAGGGGCCAACAGATCAGGAGAAGTGGAATACTCACCAAACCAGCTAACATTTTTCATTCCAGGAATTATTTCTCTATTCCAGTTAGATCCATACACTGTGGGTAAGTAGCACCCTGCTGGTAGATACAGTGCCAGAGACAGCCTTTATTTGAAGAGAACTAGGCAGAAAATTGGGCTGTTCTCCAGATCTGCCACTAGTGAGAGATTGGCAAACACAAGGGATATATCCCTATGAGCTCCTAAGTTTGTAATGGCCTCATGGGTTCATCTTGACTGATGCCCAGATGGAGCCAATTTATCAAGAGGGGAATTACTATAGAGAAAGGGTTTGATACTTGTAGAGCCAGGTAAACAAGAGACAAGATTTATATTATTACCCAAAGCAAGCTTCCAAAAAAATCTGAGGTTAGGATTTTTTTTGTAGATAATTTGGCATGCAGGAGGCTGGAGAATGGGGAATTTAGATTATTTGGGTCAGAGATGAAATTATAGTAAGCAGATAGGAGGACAGATAGGCAACAGGAGGACATCTCCTCTTGCATTGTGTCAGTTCCTGTGTGGGGGCCACAAGTCCAGATGAGACAGGTTACTGTTTCGGGAAGCACCAGCTGATTCATCAGAATACAAGGTCCGAAAAATCCCTCAAACACCAATCTTAGGTTTTACTGTATTAATAGGTTATCTATAGGAGCCGCTGGGGAGGTTAATAGTCTTGTGGCCTCTGGCTTTATGACTCCTGAGTAATACTTTCTAATCTTGTGGTTATTTTCGTGTGTTTGCAGGAGTGGTCTAGTCCCCAAACAATGAGGGGATTTGTTTCAGGGAGGTTCTCTTGTCATCTTTGTTTCAAAGTTAAGCTAGCAACTAAATTCCTCCCAAAGTTAGTTTGGCCTTTTCCCAGGAATGAACAAAGGCAGCTTAGAGGTTAAAAGGCAAGATGGCGTCAACTTAGGTCATCTCTCTTTCACTGTCATAATTTTCTGTTACCATTTTTGCAAAGGCAATTTCAGGATAAGCATAATGTACACATTCCCTTTCTAAAAGAGAGAAATGGACAAAAAGTAACAGTCTTCAAGCAAATTTGAAATCGAGCAGGGCAACCATTACATCTTAAAGCTGGGGAATATTTTTTTGACTCTTTCTCTGACTCCTGAACACACTGGGGTAAAGGTTGGACTCACAGGCCCTCAGGTACTATCACTCCTATGGCTTTGCTTGGTACATTCTCCGTGGGTGCTTGTACAGGTTGCAGTCAGGTACATGAAGTTTTCCAGGGCAGACATTGCATGCTGTAGGTGACTACACATTTCTGGGGGGTCCCGGTAGTGGTACCACTTCCTCAACTTTGCTAAGCATTACCCACATGGAACTCTGCAGTGACCTCACTGCTGTGGCTTCACTTAGCATTGCCCTGGTGGGCACCCCTTGCAGTAGCTCTAACCCCACATTTGTGTTTGGCATCCCTCTATTTGGGACTCTCTTCAGTGGATCTGGCCCTGTGACAAGTGTCTTTTTGGACTTCCAGGCTTTCAGAGAAATCCTTTGAAATTTGTAGAAACTGCCAAGCCTCTACATATCTTCATTTCTGTAAGCCTACATGATTAGCACCACATGGACACCTCCAAGGTTTAGGGCTTGTACCTCCCAGAGCTCTGGGACATAAGCTCCACCTGGGTTTATGGTAAGCATCTGGAATGAGCAGAGCAACATCCTGACAATGTGCAGGGCAGTGGCCCAGGCTGTCCCCAGAAACCACCCTGTCCCCTTAGGCCTCTCGGCCTGCAATGGATGAGGCAGCCTAGAAAATGACTGAAATGGTTGTAGGGGCCTCTTTCCCGTTGTCTTGACTACTAACAGCTGGCTGTGCTTTAGCCATTGTAATTTCTGGCAAGCTATGGCTCTGCGACATCCTTGGATTTTTCTCCTGAAAATGCTCTTTCATTCTCTACCACATGGCTAGGCTGAAAATTTTTAGAATTTTTCTGTGTGTGTGTGTGTGTGTGTGTGTGTGTGTGTGTGTGTGTTTGTGTGTGTTTTCTCTAGCAGTTCACCTTAAGCAGTTAGAAGTAACCACACACACAGCTTAGAAGTAATATGAACACTTTGTGGCTTTAGAAATTTTTTCTGCCAGATTACCTAGTTCTTCAGTCAGTAGTCAGTGTCTTTACAAAGCCCTTGGCATGGACACAGTTCAGCAAAGTTATTTGCCAAATTTTTTTTCTTTTATTATTATACTTTAAGTTTTAGGGTACACGTGCACATTGTGCAGGTTAGTTACATATGTATACATGTGCCACGCTGGTGAGCTGCACCCACTAACTCGTCATCTAGCATTAGGTATATCTCCCAGTGCTATCCCTCCCCCCTCCCCCCACCCCACAACAGTCCCCAGAGTGTGATGTTCCCCTTCCTGTGTCCATGTGATCTCATTGTTCAATTCCCACCTATGAGTGAGAATATGCGGTGTTTGGTTTTTTGTTCTTGAGAGAGTTTACTGAGAATGATGATTTCCAGTTTCATCCATGTCCCTACAAAGGACATGAACTCATCATTTTTATGGCTGCATAGTATTCCATGGTGTATATGTGCCACATTTTCTTAATCCAGTCTATCATTGTTGGACATTTGGGTTGGTTCCAAGTCTTTGCTATTGTGAATAGTGCCGCAATAAACATACGTGTGCATGTGTCTTTATAGCAGCATGATTTATAGTCCTTTGGGTATATACCCAGTAATGGGATGGCTGGGTCAAATGGTGTTTCTAGTTCTAGATCCCTGAGGAATCGCCACACTGACTTCCACAATGGTTGAACTAGTTTACAGTCCCACCAACAGTGTAAAAGTGTTCCTATTTCTCCACATCCTCTCCAGCACCTGTTGTTTCCTGACTTTTGAATGATTGCCATTCTAACTGGTGTGAGATGGTATCTCATTGTGGTTTTGATTTGCATTTCTCTGATGGCCAGTGATGATGAGCATTTTTTCATGTGTTTTTTGGCTGCATAAATGTCTTCTTTTGAGAAGTGTCTGTTCATGTCCTTTGCCCACTTTTTGATGGAGTTGTTTGTTTTTTTCTTGTAAATTTGAGTTCATTGTAGATTCTGGATATTAGCCCTTTGTCAGATGAGTAGGTTGCAAAAATTTTTTCCCATTTTGTAGGTTGCCTGGTCACTCTGATGGTAGTTTCTTTTGCTGTACAGAAGCTCTTTAGTTTAATTAGATCCCATTTGAGCCCTCAGAAATAACGCCGCATATCTACAACTATCTGATCTTTGACAAACCTGAGAAAAACAAGCAATGGGGAAAGGATTCCCTATTTAATAAATGGTGCTGGGAAAACTGGCTAGCCATATGTAGAAAGCTGAAACTGGATCCCTTCCTTACACCTTATACAAAAATTAATTCAAGATGGATTAAAGACTTAAACGTTCAACCTAAAACCATAAAAACCCTAGAAGAAAACCTAGGCAATACCATTCAGGACATAGGCATGGGCAAGGACTTCATGTCTAAAACACCAAAAGCAATGGCAACAAAAGACAAAATTGCCAATTTTTAACAGAGATGTTCTTTCGTTTCCAATATTGTTTTTCCTTAGTTGTGATACATCTCCGATGAGTGGAGGAACACTAGGGCTCTTCTCTCACGCCAAATTAGATAAGATGACATGGACACACATGGAGTGGTTTTAAGGAGTGGAGAGTTTAATAGGCAAGAAGGGAAAAGAAAGAAAACAGAGGGAGGGCAGCTCCAAATCCAAGAGAGGAGACCCCATGTGCCACGGAAAAGTGGCTGCTTATATGAGTAGGCTGGAGGAGGTGGTGTCTGATTTGCGTAGGGCTCAGGGGATTGGTTTGACCAGGCAAGTCACTCAAGTAGCCCTCAAAAAAACTGGCCCTCCCACCCTAGACTTTTAATATGCAAATGCAGAGCACCATGATGTTTTAACACATGGGGATATGTGGGGGTGGCCATGTTGCCAGGCACATGTGGGGGCAAGGAAGAAGAGGGCAGGAATCACCATCTTTGGGTAGACTCAGTTTCTAATGGCCCGTATTTGCATATCAAAGGTTGCAGACCCGGCTCTAAGAGCCAGGGCTTTCCTGCTAGACAAGAAACGTTTCTGGAGCTGCTTTAAAAGACACACAAACTTTCCAAGGACCCCTTTTCCACTGTATTTGCTTAATAACTCCTATAACAGTTGCATCTGAAACCTTGTCAGCATAGCCTTTAGTCTCCATAGTTTTATCAGCAGTCTGGTCAAAACCACTTCATCAATCTCTAAGGACTTCCAAATACTTCCCAGTCTTTTTGTCTTCTGAATTGTCACAAGAACACAGGGTTTTTCTAGTCTGCCTCTCAAGGTTCTTTTAGCCTCTGCCCACAACCCAGTTTGAAAGCCACTTTCACATTTTTAGATACTCAGTTTCAACAGCAACCTATTTCTTATTACCAATTTTCTGTATTAGTCCCTTTTTTCTGCTTATAACAGGATACAAAATATTGGGTCATTTATAAAGAAAATAAATGTATTTCTTATGATAATACACTGATAACTTACATCAGCTGTTAAGTCCGAGGCTGAGGGGCCACATCTGGTGAGAGCCTCTTGCTGGTGGGGACTCTCTAAAGAGTCCTCATGACATGCAGGATATCAGCTGGTTAGGGGGCTGTTAGAAACAAGTGCTTGGTGTTGCTAAGAAAAAGGAGCACTTAGAAAATTTCTTAGCAAGGCACATTTGCTTCTGCAGAAGGGTGCTGCCTGTGTCTGTCTAATGGCAAGAGTACACTGAGTGGGGTAGGGCAGGGGTTTTCATCCTTAATGCAATCCCTGTTGCTATGTCCTTTCCCCATTGGCTGGAGTTAGACCACACAATCTAAGCTAACCTGATTGGCTACTGTTGGAAATTGAATATGGTTAATTAGGCAGGAAGGGAGAGGCTGTTCGTTGCTAAGGTAGGAAGGGTTGTTTACAGAACAAATACAAGGCATGTCTGGGCACAGCGAAGGGTTGTTTACAGAGTAATAGATTTGCTAGTTAAAGATTAAGGAGAGAAACATGCTTGTTACAGATCAAGCAGAAAAGGCTGTATGCAGAGCCAGAAAGACCAAGAAAGCTTTGAAGAGGAACTTATTATTTCTGGCAGGGCTGAGCATGCTAATGCAGGTCTTTTTTCCTTTAACAAAACCACCAATGGCCCTCACATGATAACCCGTTAATTTATGTATCCATGAATGAATGGATTCATCCTTGAGGGCAGGCCAGTCATGATTGATTCAAACACCTCTTAAAGGCCACACCTCTGAATAACTGCCACACTGGGAATTACATTTCACAATGAGTTTGGTAGGGGACAAATATTTCAAACACAGAAGACACAAGGAGATCTGTATTCCAGACATACTCTTCTGTCCTCCATTGTGGAGTACTTGTCCAATTTCCCCCTGGTAATCTGGATCAATTACCCCAAACAACAGTGCAACCCCCCTTCTTAGGCTGTTGGTTCAGGGACCTGAAGATTTGAAAGTGGCTAGGTGGGCCATTCTCATTATAATCTATTGATTCCTGAACTATATGTAAATTCTGGTTTGGGGAGAAACAGCACCATATAATGGGTGCTGATTCACGGGACGTATAGCCTTCCAGAGAACCTTGCAACAGTCTCCTAAAGTACTGTCACCTAGCAAGTGCTGGAACCGAAGTCTCCAAAGGACATCCCGTAATTTTATCAAGCCACTTTCTTCAGGATTACAGACGACATGGTAAACTCACAGAAGTTTCTGAGCATGAACTCACTTCTGCCCCTCTTTGTCTGTGAAATGAGTTCCCTGTTCAGAAGTGATGCTGTGTGAAATACCATGATGGTAGATAAGGTATTCTGTATGTCTATGGATGGTAGTTTTCACAGAATAATTATGTGCTATTTCTTTAAATTTCTATAAATTTCAATTTATAGAAAGAGTAACTATCTTACTATTCAGGGAAAGACAAAATGCTGCCCCTTCCTTGATGAAAGCTGCCCAAGGTAATCAGCCTACCACCAGGGAGTTGCCAGATCATCCTGGGGAATGGTGCCATATGAGGGGCTCAGTGGGTGTTAATTTCTGCTGCTGACAGTTTGAGCACTCAGAGGGAGCTGTAACCTGGTTGGCTATGGTGAGTGGAATTCCAGGTTGCTGTGTGCATGCATAATCCCATCCCTACCACTGTGGCCGCTTTATTCATGAGTCTAGTGGGTGATGACACAGGTGGGTGGGGAATGAAGCTGACTAGTGTCATAGAGTGCATTATCCCATCCACTGGATGATTAGAGTCCTCCTCTGCTGAGGTGACCATCCTTTGGTGAGCATCCACATGGGACACAGATGTTTTAAATTTTTGGCCACTCAGAGAGGTCTATTCCTGTACCACTCCTGCAAATTGCTTTGTCACCAATTTTTCAATCATGTATTTTTAAAGACCCTGACCATCTGGCCTAACCATTGGCTGCAACCCTTGGATCATTGTATAATTACACTTCTGAGCAGATTTTCTTCTAAGCAAAGTGCACAACTATATGCCCTCCTTAACATTCTGCTGATTGAGATCTCCCTTTTCTACTAAACTTCAGCAATGGCCCAGATAGGGGCTGTAGTGCCGCAGCTGTACAGTTTTGAGTGATGCCTGCATATTGTGCAGAACTGTCAGTAAGTGAGGCTCTAGCCTTCTCTTCTTCAACTGGTTGTAGTTGAGGCCATGATACATGCTTCTAGAGAGAAGGCGGTGTAATGGGAGTGGAGACCATGGGTATTTGGACACTTTATGTATCTTATTTGTGCCTCCTCAGCCTTTTTGGGACCAGTTTTGTATATACTACTCTCATGTGATGATGGTGCTGTGCACATCCAACTTTATGTCTTGGTATGACAGACAATGCCCAGTTCATAATGGGCAGCTGAGGCTGCCTGGTAACTTAATGGCCCACAGTCATGCATTTCATTTTTGTTAAGACCCAGTGACAAGCCAAGAGCTGCTTATGAAAATAATAGTAGTTATCTGCGGATGATGGCAGGGCCTTGCTGCAAAATCTGAAGGGCCTCCTCTGAATTCACCTGTAGGTATCACTGGTAAACTGGGCTCTTTCCTCACTTTTGATTAGTTGTACAGAAAGAACATTTAATTGAAAAAGACACTTAGGTTTTATTTGATGGCCAGCGACTGGAGAAGACAAGCTCTTTCTTTAAATGCATGAACAGAAGGCATGGGGTTCTTAAGGACTAGCTGTGGGGGAATGAAAGGAATATTAGCATGTGTGGGGTGGGACTCCAGATGTGCAGGCTCAATTTGTAAACATATGTCTTCATACATCACATGTGCACAGAATAGCAGAGATACTCTTTTACGGGTGGGAATTTTAACATTATAATAATATGTTAATGACCTGAAGGTAACTTAAGGTTGCGTGTTCCAGACTCCTTCAGTTTCATAGAGTCTTATCTTTCTCTGTATCTGGTCAGGGGTCAAGATGCTCTGGCATGTTCCTAGGCCATCTGGTTTCCTTCAGCAGCTGTGCCTATAAATAAGGAACTTAAGAAAAAGAGTAGGAAAAAGGAACATTCCCAGTTATTTCATCAGGACTGTCCTAGATGACCTCTGTTTATTTTCTCCTCATTCTTGACGGCTGCTGAGGGGCAGGGGTCCAACTTTTGGAGCTACTTCCTG
This sequence comes from Homo sapiens, assembly GCF_000001405.40. Taxonomy (NCBI): domain Eukaryota; kingdom Metazoa; phylum Chordata; class Mammalia; order Primates; family Hominidae; genus Homo; species Homo sapiens. The sequence continues at coordinate 4,946,095 of NW_021160017.1, forward strand.
ATGTTTATGGGTGTTGTCACTTGATAAATTAGAGGAGCAAAACCTTTCCCTTGCTATTCTAAGGTAGATCTGATTGTCTCTAGGCTGCAACCCCAATTGCTCATATCCCTGGGTGATTACCCTCTGCAGCTTGATTGCTTCCAGTCTCATTCTTAACCTGAATACTGGGGTCAAAAATTGATTAAAAAAAGGATCATCACCAGCAGGCCAAGCAGGAACAAAGTATGGTTGAACAGGACACTCTTTATTGCACTCCAGATGTCCTTAGAGCTGCTCTTGGTCAACACAAAGGAGTGAGGCCGTTCTTCTTGTTTGAATATTTGCTTTATTTTAGCTTCTATCTCCATAGAGGGTTTAACCCAGGTGCAACAAGTGGTATTGGTGATCACACATACTCTTGTTTATTTTGCCAGGAGCTAGTCTAAGGCTAACTGATTGTCCAGCACTACATTAGCTAGCCGATTGAAAGAAGGTTGTATATTTTGAATAACCTTCCTGGTATTACTTGCTAGATTTTTTGTTTGGGTTGTATTTATTAGGGTATCCTCATGTACGTACAGTGCTTTTCCCCACTCACGGGTCAGCCAACTCTACAGCAAGTCCTCGAGCCAGGAGCATCCCAAGACTCATCTTTGGCCTACTGTAATGGCAGGTTGTATTATGAATGGTTATCTCACTGTATTCCATAACACCTGTTGTACATTGTCCTATACGTATTTCATTATCTACAGCAGGGTGATCTACCACTAGCAATGGGGAGGAAAAAGTAGCAGCAGAGGAGCTGTTAGGGAGGTGGTGGTGAGGAGAGCCGCAAATGACCACATACTCTGGGGATGCACAAACCCTTGTGGGAATGTGGAAGTTTAGCCCATGAAGTAACTGAGAGCCTCAAGGGGGAGGGGAAGTCTTCTGACAATGACAGAGGGCCCTCTTGAGTTCAGGTGAAATTTATATTTCTTATTGGAGCTGGAAATATTGCTGGAGGAGGGGGTGCATAGTAGAGAGTAGAGTCAACAATATTTTTCATTTCCTGAGGTGAGTGCTAGACTACAAAAGTAGTTGATTTTAGGAGCGGGATCCATGCAACCCATATACTGAGAATTTCTCAGGTAGACAGCAACAGGTGTAGGTGGTTAGATTTCCATGGCAGCATTCTAAGGTTGAAACCACCTTCCCGAAGGTACACACTGGGCCCTGCGCCCCCAGTCTTGGGGTACCTGTGGTCATATAGCATTCAGACAGATTGTTTGCACTGGCTATATAATATGGGAAAATTTGACTGTCGTGTTGGTGTCCCAGAGACCCTTGGATGTTGAGGACTAAAAGGACCAAGTGGTATAAGAAAAAGTCAGAGTAAAGTTTTACTTACCTAGCTTAAGTATCCTGAGGTGGCTAAGAGATGAGGAGGTAGAGGGTGAGATAGTTCAAGGAAACACTGTGGGACTATCAGGGAGTCCTGAAGGTGTATAGTTAAGATATATGTAATTTTCTATCAAGATGCCAGGAGGGCCACAAGTCAGGGATACATGATCAAGATGATCTGGAATAAAAGGAAACAGATCTCTAAGCCAGAGACCAGCTTTGAGGACTACAGGACAAGCCCTAATGCCATCAGATAGCCCACAAGAACACTCCTGGCGGGTGGAGACATTTAAGTGTTATAGCAGCGACCGTTTAGATGGGTCAAAGTATCCTGTACTTATATTTTTGGGAGTCAGGTTGGTTTTTCAGAAGAGCAATTTTAAATCTGAGATGGGTTAAGCCTGGTACGAGGGAATTTACTGCACTGGTGCATCCACTCATTTCACTCGTGTGATGAAGCTGTGGGGTGACTCCCTGAAGCTTTAAGGCAGCATGTGTTGTCAGAATCACCACGTATGGCCCCATTCGTTTTGGACCTAATTGCCTCTCTGGACTTTGAACCTTCCAGATTTTCAGATATACCTAATATCGATGGACATAAGGATGCAGAACCAGGTCTGTCGGTGATGGAGAATCCTGGTTTCTATAAGCTGCAAGAACATGGGCCACGTTCCTAATATGTAACGCATATTTTAGTTGTTCCAGTTCCCATAGGCTCAACCACTTCCCTGTGGTTGCCTCTGGGATTGATCTCCAATACATTGAACACCGAGTTAAAATGCACTCAGTTAAAATTATTTTGGGGGGTGCAGTCCTTATTCTAAGGAGAACTATGGTAAGAGAGGAAGCCAGTTTTTGTTGGTTTCCCAGCACAGTTTAGCCAACATTCTGTTTAAGCTTTAGTTGATTCTTTCTATTTTTCCTGAGGACTGGGATCTCCATGCTGTGTGGAGTTTTCAGGGGATTTCTAGGCCTTGGACTAACTTTTGCATAATTTCAGATATAAAAGCTGGCCTGTTGTCACTATATGGCTTTAGTCAGCCCGAACATAAGGTATTTTTTTTTTTTTTTGACAGAGTCTTGCTCTGTCACCCAGGCTGGAGTGCAATGGCACCATCTCTGCTCACTGCCACCTCCACCTTCTGAGTTCAAGCGATTCTCCTGCCTCAGCCTCCCTAGCAGCTGGGATTACAGGTGCCCGCCACCCCGCCCAGCTAATTTTTATGTTTTTAGTAGATACGGTGTTTCACCATCTTGACCAGGCTGGTCATGAACTCCTGACCTCGTGATCCACCTGCCTTGGCCCAAAAGTTCTGGGATTACAGGCATGAGCTACCATGCACAGCCAGGAATTTTTTTTTTTTTTTTTTTTTTGAGACGGAGTCTTGTTCTGTAGCCTGGGCTGGAGTGCAGTGGCGTGATCTCAGCTCACTGCAGCCTCTGCCTCCCAGGTCTCGGTTCAAGCAATTTTTCTGCCTTAACCTCCCAAGTAGCTGGGATTATAGGCACACGCCACCATACCCAGCTAATTTTTGTATTTTTAGTAGAGATGGGGTTTCACCATGTTGGCTAGGCTGGTCTTGAACTCCTGACCTCGTGATCCACCTGCCTCGGCCTCCCAAAGTGCTGGCATTACAGGCGTGAACCACTGTGTCCGGCCAGAAAAAATTTTTTTAAGAGATGGCATGCTACCTAGAAGGTGTTCTCAGTGGGAGTTGGGAACACCTGCACCCATCCTGGGAAGATATCACCCACAACTAGAAGGTATCTAAAGTTCCCAGAAGTCTGGGACATGACTATAAAGTATAGTTGCCAGTCCTCACCAGGGTAAACTCCCTGAGTTGTACTGGCTTAACATGAGGCCTTGGGGGTGGTCTGTTAGGGGGCTGTTAGTCTGGCAGAGAGAGCAAATCTTGGTCGCTTGCTGTGCTGTCTCTCCAAGGTTAGGAGTGGTCATCATTTGAAGGAGCCAATTGTACAGGGTTCTGTACTATAATTTCAGCTCTCATGGGCCTCCTTAACTACCTGGGTGGCTATGGCTTTTGGAAAAATCTCTTGTCTCTGGGAGTTTTCAAGCCATCCTGGATATCCTCCTCTTTTTAGGAACACTTCCCTGGGGGTTACTGCTAGGGAGCCGGTGTGTCACCTACAGCAATTGCTGTATAATACCATGTCTGATACAGCAGCTACTGGTGTTAAGGAGGCTGTGGGTCTCAGGAGGGACCAGGTATCATAAGGCACTTCATGGGGAGAGTCTAATTCAGAAAATATTTGCTTGCCTTCTCTGGGTTTTATCTTTATGGAAGTCAATTTACACTTCTTTTGCAGTCCGTTATTCTGGCATAGGGCCATGAAGTACTGCTTTTTGCTTTTGGCAAAAGCTGTCTTCTTAAGAGATTTTCCCACTTTCTGAAATGAAAATATGTTATAAATATTTTCAGAGTAGTTGTTAACTGCACATCCACTGGGTTGAATCTGTATAATGCCATCAATGCCATGGACCAGTGTGATACCTTGTGAAAGGGGAAGGTGATCAGCTTCTCTGCAAATTGTGACTTAGTGAAGGAGAGTTGATACACCTTTGAGGTAGGACAGAGAAGGTATATTACGGGCATTGTTGCTGAAATTGAACTGCTTCTGATGGACCTTATGGAGAGAAACAGAGAAACAGCATTCACTAGATCAATAGGAGTATACAAGGTACCAGGGTATGTGTTAATTTTCTCAAGCAATAATATAATGTCTGATATAGTAGCTGCAATTAGAGGGAACACTTGGTTTACCTTATGGGAATCCACTGTCACTCTCCAGGATCCATCTGTCTTTTGCACAGGCCAAATTACACAGGTGTGTGGTGAAATCACAACCCCTGCATCATTCAAGACCTTGATAGTGGTGGTAATCTCTGAAATTTCTCCAGGGATGTGGTTATGAATTTGATTTTCTATTTCCCTAGGTAGCTCTAGTGCCTTCCATTTAGGATTTCCCACCTTACTAGCCCTCACTCCACAGGTCAGGGAACCAATGTGGGAAATGGGCCTAGTGCTAACTACGTCTATTACAGCTGTGCATCTGCAACTGGGGAAATTACCAGAGTATGTGTTTGTGGACCCACTAGACCCACTGTGATTTGATCTGACTAAAACTTGATTAATCACCTGACCTCCATATGCCCCTGCTCTGACTAGCATTCCATAGTGATGTTTTTGAGTCTTGTGGAATCAATGTGAGCTCAGAGCCAGTGTCTAGTAGTTCCCCAAAGTTCTTACTATATTCCTTTCCCTGAAACACAGCCTGTTAAAAGGCTGTAGGTCCCCTTTTAGGAAGGATAGGAGAAAGATTAACAGAATAAAAGCTTTTGTGGTATACCTGGGTCCTTCATCAAGGGGACCTGGCTGCTCCCTCCTTCAAGGAATTCTTGACTGTAAACTGGCTCTAATCTGGGATTTGAGTAGGGGCTGTGATTCTCTACTTTTCTGTTTCGAGTTAAACTTCTGTAAACTTAACATGAATGTTTTCAGTATATTCAGATCAATTAACAACTTATTAGGCTCTTACGTATTTCACTTCTAAGAGTACCAGGATTTTCTGGCCAACACCATAGATCAAATTGAGTCAGACTGACCTGACTGTTGGTTTACCTTTGCTGACTGTTAACGGTAACTATGCCCACCTTGACTTTGAAGGTTGACAGCTGCCATTTGGCCCTGGGACTCCTGAGATCCACTTATTCTCAATGCATTTAAATTTTTTATTGAGTGACTGTGGTTTTCATTCTACAGAGAAAGCAGGAGGTTATTCGAGGATGCTGGGCTCCCCTCACAAATCTGTTTCTCAAAGTATTGCAGAAAGGTGTGTCTTCTGGACACTCCCAGAGTAGGTGAGTAAATTTCAAATGACAAGTGCATTCCAGAGTCCCATTTGTTCTAAGCCTTTGAATCTTTTCCTCCACATAGGCCAAGGGAGATCACACACATCCAACTGGATAAAGGAGGGCCATCTTTTGATTCATGGTTCAGCCAACCAAACAATTAGAGCCCTTTCTAACTCCCCATACTGCAGCACTAAAACCAGTGTCTTTGTTTAATGGGTCCATATCAATAAATTTGGGCTGATCCGACTTTATGTTTTCTCCACCCATTATCCCAACTCTTAATATCCTTTTCCACATGTGTTCCCCAGATTTCTGCTTGTATAAATTAGAAAACTCAAATAGTTTTCTTGGACTGTAATGAAGTTCCTGTGGGTCAAACTTTGTATGTCATTTTTAAGGGACTGTTGGAATTCGAGTCTACTTACAGATCCAGAAGCAAAAAGGAAGTGGTGGGTGTGGGGTCTGAGGAGAAGCAGCACTGCATTCCTCAGCAACTGCTTCAGGGGAGTCCACTATCTTTTCCTCAGGCAATGCTGGATTACTCCCTTCAAACAGAGGTGGAACTGGATATACCAATGTGGGTGGGGAGGCCACTGCCATGGAGATGGGTGTAGGGGGCCATTTTCACTGGCAGAGACATCAGAATTTCAGAGCTCAATGTCTCCAACCTCCACACAGTCTCCCAACATGTTCCTAACCCAGTTTACAGGGTTTCATTCTTTCCTGAACAGTGCTATAAATTTACAGTAGACACCTTGCTAGGCTGGAAAGTCAACTTTCACAGTAATTCAGCCAACTGCTTGGTGATGGCTTGTGTTTCATTTTCAGCATTTTCAGCCCTATGACTACAGGAGATACAATTCTCTCTCAGAGCACTGTAAGGCTTTTTATGTGGAGCTGGATTCTGAAGTTTGAATCTCTTAGTTTATCTTTTTTTATTCATCCCTTTGCTCAGCAACACTAGAAGCAGAGTCCTTAAGTTTTCCACTGATATTTAAAGATAATGCTTTCAGAGTCACCAAGTTCCTTGCCTCTTATCAGTGGTTGATTACTAGTGTCAAAGGCAGATGTTTGCATGTCTCTTAAGCAGTTCATGAAATGGACTAGCAGTGTGTTCTCTTTACTATTAGAAGTAGAGTCTTAAGCATTTTTAGGTATCATCAGGTTACCGATCCAAAATTTTAGAAACCCCTAAGCCAGTGAAAAAAACTTATCCTTGAAATTTTGTTCCCTATAACCCATTCATGGTTAAAAAAAATCTGTATTACGGTTCTTTAGAGAGAGAGAACAAATAGGATAGATACATAGACAGACAGATGGGGGGAGATTAATTACAGAAATTGGGTCACATGATTATGGAACCTAAGGCAGATCTTCTGCAAGCTAGAAACGCTGAAATACCAGTAGCATAGCTCATTCCAAGTCTGAAAATCTCAGAATGAGGAAAGTTGACAATGTAATTCCCAGTCTGAGGTTAAAGGCCTGAGAATGTGGAGGGATGCAGAAGTAAGTTCTGGGGTCCCAAGGAAGAGAGCTTGTAGTTAAGATGTCCAAGGGCAGGAGGTAGAGAGTGTGCCAGCTCCAGGAGAGAGGGAGAGCAAAATCATTTTCACTCCTTTTTTGTTTTTTCTGGGCCCTCAGCCCACTGGATATTGCTCACACACAAAGTGAGTGGATTGTTACAGAACCGAACTGGGGTCTGTTCACACAGAGCAGCAAGCCCAGGTATCTACATTGATGTTTGCAGTGGGAGAAAAAGAGGTGTTTATGTGCATGCTGTCAAGAAAGAAGAATCACGCAGCTAATGCTTAAGTTCCCACTTCCCCAATGGCTTGTAGGTAAGGGTTAACTGAAGGGGTAAATTTCAGGAAAGCAGAAGTTTTTGGCAAAACTATAAATCAATACATGGAGTATTGCATTGGTTTTGTTATAAAACGATGGGATATCTTTTTCTTTCCTTTTTCTTTCTTTTTGAGACGGATTCTTACTCTGTTGTCCAGGCTGGAGTGCAATGGCACAATCTCAGCTGACTGCAACCTCCGCCTCTCGGGTTCAAGCAATTCTCGTGCCTCAGCCTCCTGAGTAGCTGGGACTACAGGCACCTGCCACCATGCCCGGCTAATTTTGGTAAATTTAGTAGAGACAGGGTTTCACCATATTGGCCAGGCTGGTCTCGAACTCCTGACGTTGTGATCCGCCCACCTCAGCCTCCCAAAGTGCTGGGATTACAGGCATGACCCACCGTGCCTGGCCAAGGATGGGATATCTTGAAGCAGTGCTCAAGCAGGGGCTTATAGGTTATATACAGATTCAAGGGTTTCTGATTTGCAGTTGGTTAAAGAAGAGAAGCTTTGTTTTAAAATTTGGGGTCAGTAGAAAAACGTGTTAGCTCTGGCTCACGGATATGACTCCCTGTAGGCCCCTTAGGAAGATATTTAGGACAACAGCAGTCAGAGTTCAGCCTTCAGGTCTCTCTTATCTGAGGTCTCCGTGTCAGCAGATCCATTTGGTGGGGGTCCAGGTTTATGAAAAATGACTCAGCAATGTATGTTAAGATGGTATCTTTGGTTTTCATAGGGAACAAAACAAACATCTTCTAACTGTAACATCCTTGGCTATTGTTTGAGCTACTATTACCTTCTTGCTTATCAAGTTCTTCATTGACTTCTCAGTGCTAGCTAGGTACCTGGGATTTGCCTTGAAGGGACTCACGATTTTCCTTTATTTCCCTGCTTGGGGAACCCATAGGCCCCTAACAAGGGGTCCCTGCTCTATCACAGGATCTTCCGCACTCTGTCCACTGACTCACGTATCAGACTTTTCTGGTGAAACCCTCATAGACCCAGAAGCAATGCTTTGCCAGTGTTCTAGGTGTTCCCTAATACAGTTAGTTGACTCCTAAAATAAAACATCACAATTGGGTTTTGGAGTGTCACCCAAGCAGGTTTCTCATGAGGAGTTCAAAGTGCTGGGTTAATGTCAAGCAACCATGATTTCCATAGCATCGTGCTGTGACCAAGAGTTGGTTATTGCAGAATATCTATGCATTTCCCTGAAGGGTCTGTGGGGGTGAAATAAGTGTTGTGTCCAGCTGTCCTACGTGGAATAGTCACCTGGAGAGCATTTTATAAGGACAAATATGGAATTACCACATTGAGGAAATTGGAAGAGGGCACAAACTGGAAACTATCATGGATTTCTAAACCCTATTTCTGGTATGAGCAAATCAAACCTATATCCAAAATAAATGCCCAAGTAATATGAAATTTAAATAATTCACAGCAACATTTAAAATAGGAGTTCTTGTAGTGCAGTAATAACTCTAACTCTAATCCTTAGGTAGCAGGTAAACCCAGTTGTTCAACTAATTTGAAACTAGTTGAGCATGTTTCTTCAATAATAGACCAGAATACATCAGATGAGCCACCATGATTTTATGCTGAGAAGGAGGCAGTCAGAGAGAAAAAGAGCGTGTTCCATTTATATTAAAGGGCATATTTTTTACATATTTCAAGTAGAGATGGATCATAAAATTAATATTGTAAGAACACTGTTAATCAGAAGACAGTCATAATGTGATTGCCTTTGTGTGCACACACATGAACTTGGTGTAAAAAACTCATTTTCACATTCTGGTGATACTGTTAATATAACTCATAGTGGGATATCAGTAGTTAAGAAAGATAATCTAACAGAAGGTTTTATGGTACTCACAATAATTGTGGCATCAACAAAGCTTCTAATTAGTAGTGATGATGCAATGTTGGGAAAATTCATGGACAACCTAAGTTGAAAAGTGATTTAGAAGAGTTTTATCTAAATATTACCTATTTGTCTGTTTTCATGCTGCTGATAAAGACATACCTGAGACTGGGCAATTTACAAAAGAAAAAGGTTTATTGGACTTAGAGCTCCATGTGGCTGGGGAGGCCTCACAATCTTGGTGGAAGGCAAGGAGAAGCAAGTCATGTCTTACATGGATGGCAGCAGGCCAAGAGAGAGCTTGTGCAGGGGAACTCCTCTTTTTAAAACCATCAGATCTCATGAGACATTGGCTATGGTGAGAACAGCATGAGAAAGATGAAACCAGTGAAAGATGATTCAATTATCTCTGACCAGCTCCCTCCCATGACACGGAATTATGGGAGCTACAAGATGAGATTTGGGTGGGGACACAAAGCCAAACCATATCATCTATTTTACTCTTATTTTCTATCTCATGTGATCATAGGAGTTACATAAGACATATATGTAAGTTCAAAAGTATTATTTTCACTATATATGAGATAAAATTTTTAAGTGGTAAGAAGAGTTACAGTTTTCCATAGTTTTATGCTTTTATTGAGACATAAAATAACAATGTATTTTACAATTGATGCATATGAAAATTACTTGAAAAAAGCTGTCAATAGTAGCAAATACTGACTTTTAATGTTTGGTGTAGACCTTTGTAAACCAAAAACAACTGAGACGTATCTCATTCATTTTAGAAAATTATTTTGTCAATTTTAAGGTTATGCCTGGGAAAAGGAAACACAAGTAACAGTAGGATGTTTGACCTGTACTTTTTCCAAAGAGGGTTTTGCTAACTTCAGTATTTATGGGGGTGAGACCACACTGAATGAAAAGGAGGAAAAGAAAATAAAGTAGGGGATAGGCAGTGGGTCAAGTGGTACATTCTTGTAAGGCCTTGATTAGCACTCACTACATTCTTATGTTACAAGTGTAAAGAGGAGTGGGGAAAAAGTTGATGTGCATTTCTTTAATGCTTGGTAGATATACATTTTACATAAGATAAGTGAACTTGTGAAATTACAGCTGTCTGTTTGGGAAACAAAAGGAAGGTGGTATTTGCATGACTCAGTTCCCAAGTTTTCCTTTGGCATAGTGAGTTTGGGGTCCCAAGATTTTATTTTCCTTGTTCTTTAAAATATTTCAGAGAAAGCATTTTAGAAGAAAATGAGTGTTTGGTTATGTTTTTCTCCCTGATATTTCAACACTACAATGGTTTACTCCTAGAATGTTAGGTTGCACATTTTTAAGAAGACTCATTCTAGAAGGTTGTGAAGAAATAGGGGGAAGAAGAAAGAAAGGAAAGAAATAAGAAAAAAGGAAACAGCTGGATTATAGCAACAAAGTAGAAAGCGATTCTGGAAAACTTATACAGGCTATATTACAGAGCAGTCCATATATCACTAGACAGTCATGAAAATATTTTGTGTACATAAACAAGATGCTGTTATTTCTCCCAAAGTTTAAGTTTTCTAGCTTCAGTCTGCAGGGCTTTATGAAAAGCACAGTTTTAATTTCTACTGATCCTAAGTCAGAAGAAATGGGAAAGAAGAAAAAAAAGATGTTGAAAATGCTTGTTTAGATATTTGTAGCCAGCAAAGAATTTAGGATCCAGTCCAGCTAAATTGTAGAAAATTATAAAACTGGAAGGCAATGGACAAGGCTAGAATCCAATAAAAGATATACTATAATTTCATTTGAAATTTATATTTTTTTCTCCAGTCTTCCATTTTTACTTAAGACAGATCATAGTAGGACCAATTTATTTTCAAAATAAGTTTTAGTTTATTTTACTTGACGTGATTATTTTCACAAAGTGTAGCAAGAATAATTTTTTTCATATAGGCTCTTATAAATTGGCTTTGATGGAGCATTTTTAATAAGGTATCTAAGATGTGACTTTTCAAAAAGCCTCTCAAACTCAACCAAGTATTTGCTGTGCCTGCAAATAACTACATGAATTGGGAGAATTCTTCTCATCTTGAGATCACAAGATTACTTGGAGTTCCTAGGCCTCTCAAAGTAACTTTTCCTGCCACAGGTCAGAAAACCTGCAAAGTAACTGCATAGAGAAGGTACAAAGCCCGTCTTTCCAGGAGGATTTTATTGCTCTATAATTCAACCTAAATTCCTCAAAGCAATCTGCTTATAGATGAAAATACGCTATTCCAGGCAAAGCCTTGGCAAGATAACCAGCATCTCCAATTGTGTCCCATTAAAAAAAAGATTATTATCGATTATATGCAAATAACTTATATTGCTGTATATTAAGAATATTCAGAAATAGCTTTCAAATTTTGGAGAAGTACAGGTAGAGGGAAATATGCTTCAAATTTTTCTCAAGAGTATTCTGTACTCAATTGTTAAAAACTGTAAATAACTTTTAGAAAGTTTACTCTGAAAAACAAAACGAAAAGAGTCATCAATGTTTCAAACAAAAAAGTCCTAAAAAGTTATTTCAGTCTTCTATTAGTTCAGTCCCACATAATTAACTTGTTCTACTTTATATTGGCTTAGCAATCCTCATGAACACATCAGCGTGTTAATTAGAGTTCTGGAAGTTTTTTGGTTTTTTTTTTATTGTTGTTTTCACTAGTACAATGGCACAATCTCCAAAGTTATCAGAAACCTAAATTCAAGAAAACTGGTCAGAGTCATTTTCATGAACTCCACTGAAGAAGCGAGTTTTGGCCCACTGCTTTTTTATAAACCACTTTTTTGAGAATATTTAATGTAAAATAATAGTTGTGAATGAAAAACTAAGACAGCATGTTTACAGGCAAAGCTGACAAGGAAATTTGGTTATTTCTGTGGCATACAACAATTTAACATAATCATAATTATTACCGATAACATATAGTAAGACATATCAGAATTACTAGCATCTCATATGATAATGGAGCACAAACTAATAAAACATTTAGATAAATAGAACCCAAAGTAAGTTAAATATTCAACCATGCTTCCTGTGTGATTTTTTTTATTATAGTTTAAGTTTTAGGGTACATGTGCACAACATGCAGGTTAGTTACATATGTACACATGTGCCATGCTGGTGTGCTGCACCCAGTAACTCGTCATTTAACATTAGATATATCTCCAAATGCTGTCCGTCCCCCCTCCCCCCACTCAACAACAGGCCCCGGTGTGTGATGTTCCCCTTACTGTGTCCATGTGTTCTCATTGTTCAGTTCCCACCTATGAGTGAGAACATGCGGTGTTTTGGTTTTTTGTCCGTGCGACAGTTTGCTGAGAATGATGGTTTCCAGCTTCATCCATGTCCCTACAAAGGACATGAACTCATCCTTTTTATGGCTGCATAGTATTCCATGGCGTATATGTGCCACATTTTCTTAATCCAGTCTATCATTGTTGGACATTTGGGTTGGTTCCAAGTCTTTGCTATTGTGAATAGTGCCGCAATAAACATACGTGTGCATGTGTCTTTATAGCAGCATGATTTATAATCCTTGGGGTATATACCCAGTAATGGAATGGCTGGGTCAAATGGTATTTCTAGTTCTAGATCCCTGAGGAATCGCCACACTGACTTCCACAATGGTTGAACTAGTTTACAGTCCCACCAACAGTGTAAAAGTGTTCCTATTTCTCCACATCCTCTCGAGCACCTGTTGTTTCCTGACTTTTGAATGATTGCCATTCTAACTGGTGTGAGATGGTATCTCATTGTGGTTTTGATTTGCATTTCTCTGATGGCCAGTGATGATGAGCATTTTTTCATGTGTCTTTTGGCTGCATAAATGTCTTCTTTTGAGAAGTGTCTGTTCATATCCTTCACCCACTTTTTGATGGGGTTGTTTGTTTTTTTCTTGTAAATTTGTTGGAGAATGTGCAAAAATCACAAGCATTCTTACACACCAGTAACGGACAAACAGAGAACCAAATCATGAGCGAACTCCCATTTGCAATTGCTTCAAAGAGAATAAAATACCTAGGAATCCAACTTACAAGGGATGTGAAGGACCTCTTCAGGGAGAACTACAAACCACTGTTCAATGAAATAAAAGAGGATACAAACAAATGGAAGAACATTCCATGCTCATGGGTAGGAAGAATCAGTATCGTGAAAATGGCCATACTGCCCAAGGTAATTTATAGATTCAATGCCATCCCCATCAAGCTACCAATGACTTTCTTCACAGAATTGGAAAAAACTACTTTAAAGTTCATATGGAACCAGAAAAGAGCCTGCATTGCCAAATCAATCCTAAGCCAAAAGAACAAAGCTGGAGGCATCATGCTACCTGACTTCAAACTATACTACAAGGCTACAGTAACCAAAACAGCATGGTACTGGTACCAAAACAGAGATATAGACCAATGGAACAGAACAGAGCTCTCAGAAATAAAGCCGAATATCTACAACCATCTGATCTTTGACAAACCTGACAAAAACAAGAAATGGGGAAAGGATTCCCTATTTAATAAATGGTGCTGGGAAAACTGGCTAGCCATATGTAGAAAGCTGAAACTGGTTCCCTTCCTTACACGTTATACAAAAGGTAATTCAAGATGGATTAAAGACTTAAATGTTAGACCTAAAACCTGTATGATTTTTAACACATGAAATAGGCCAAATGTGTCTCTCTTGGACTTCAGGGGAACTAATATTTAAAAAGTTAATTAGGCCATTAAGACTGAATTTAGAATTCGATTTGGAAATTTTGTCAAATATCAAAGGTTCAAGACACTTGATGTTACAAAACAGAACCAGTGATCAGTATAGAATAAATTATTAAGCCAAAAATGGTATTTTAAATATTTTTAAAAACCAAAACCTTTATTATTTGATAGAAAGAGAAGAGACTCAGTTTCTCAAACAATAAGGTCTAATATTGGGCCTGGTGTGAAGGTTCACATTTATAATCCCAGCACTTTGGGAGGCCAAGGCAGGAGGATTGCTTGATCCCAGGAGTTCAAGAACAGCCTGGGAAACATATTCTTTCCCTGGGGTAGCTCCTGTTCTTTGGGTTCTGGGGGTAATAAGCTGTTGATTGAGGGGATAATTCTTAAGGCAAGTCTCACAAGCATTAATGACCTATTTGACTGTTGGTAGCACATTTTTACCTGAAAACAATCTCTGGGGCAATTGATAGGTTTTATTCTTACTTTGGTGGAAGGCCTGGTGAAGGTTTCCATTGGCCGGCAGCTGGTAGATGAACCTTGCCATCCTCTGATTGTAACCATCCTGAGGACTGAAACATGTATCCCTGAGAGGTGGCCCATTCTGTTTCCACAGAAGAATATTGAGGTTTTATCTTACAGAGCCTTCCCAGATCAGAGGGGCTTCAAGTGGATCAGAAAAACGTTTTTGATCCACTGTTTGGTCTGCCAGCATAGAACTGACAATAAAATACCCAAAACATGTCCTATAATCTCTGGGACTGGGTCACATTCACCTGTAGATCCATCCAACCATATTTAGACCCAACAAAATTTAGAGGTGGACTCAAATGCAATGATTTACCATCAGCCACAAAGAAATATAAGGAAATTAGTCATTTTACAATTGGTATATTATAGCTAGAAGTGATATGCCACTCATTTGAAATTCTAGCTTCAAATGAAATTAAGAGCACCTATTATGAGTACCTCCTAACCTGAAAGTCTCCTAAAGGAACACTCTCTCAGCATGGACAAACATGTAAGATACACTGGAAACACTCAAACTTTTGGCAGATAAATCAGCTGCCTATAAGGTAATATTTATTACAAACCTAATACAAATACTAAGAAATAAACCCTGGAAGGCACTAAAATTAAATTTATGTTCAATATAAAAGTCTCAAATTTTATTTAAAATTGGGCTGTATACCTTGGCAAAATAAACCAACATAGAGAAATTGGTAACCCATGTAAAGTAATTCACAATCTAAACAAAATGATTGGCAAGCAAGGACATAAAGGCCAAACTGGCAACAGGACCATCTAAGGCCACCATCCGGATACCAAAATAACGGGAAAGACACTCCTGAATTCCAAGACTAAACCCACCTCTTCAGAAACAGCAGTGAAAACAGAAATTTTACAAGACATTTTTTTCTTAAATCTTGGACCCCCCCAGGCTATAATACTTGAACTTGGGGATCACAGGACATATATACACTGGCTATAGAGATAGACAAATATACACATATGGACACATTTCTTTTAGACACCAGATGACAAATAAGCCTCCTTAGATACAGCGTACCACACTTTGATACAAACATCTCTATAAAGGACTGAGGAATATTAACTAGAGTCTCCCCAGTCTCTGCTTCTATATGCACTATAAATGTATTTCTTGCATGTTTTACTGTTCACCAAAATTAGAAAACATTACAGAAATGGATTGATTGCAAAGCTTTTAAACCTGAGGTGGCTTATTAAGAAACTAAAGGAATGAAAGTTCTCTGACCTAACACAAATTAAAATGAAACCTCTAACAGTGACTACACCCCACCAGGCTACATACACTAAACAGTACCCATTACAGGGAATACATGAAGAAATAAAAGCAAAGGATGTGGACTCCTCAAAGAAGATATTACTATAATGGGCATATTGAATAACTTTAATTGTCCAGTATGGCCTGTCCTGAAACCAAATGAGAGCTATAGATGAACTATTGATGATACCAATTTAAATAAAGTCTCACCTAAAATGCCAGAAACATTACCAGATGTAGAATTTATTATTACAATTTCTTACTATAATCAAAAAGACTATGTAACCATAGACTTGTTAGATAGTGTCTTTGTTTTACCAGTAAAGAAAACCAGGAATATACCAACTTTATTTACAAAGACAAAAAATACTAATTTAAAAGTTTAATGCAAGGCAATTAAACAGCCCACTGTATTTTTTTTTTTTTTTTTTTGAGACGGAGTCTTGCTCTGTTGCCCAGGCTGGAGTGCAGTGGCGCAATCTCGGCTCACTGTAGGCTCCGCCTCCCAGGTTCACGCCATTCTCCTACCTCAGCCTCCCGAGTAGATGGGACTACAGGCGCCTGCCACCATGCCCGGCTAATTTTTTTTTTTTTTTTTTGTATTTTTAGTAGAGACAGGGTTTCACCGTGTTAGGATATCCGGTTTGGATCTCCTGACCTCGTGATCCGCCTGCCTCCCAAAGTGCTGGCATTACAGGTGTGAGCCACCGCGCCTGGCCAGCCCACTGTATTTTATCATCACTCATAGATGAATTAAAATACACATCATTAATAATATACATACATGACATTAAATGTTAACACAATGGCCAGATAAATGTTAAACAAGAAACATCCCAATTAATATTGCTTTTAAGATCACTGAGATAGACTATTCATATAGACAAACCACAGGCCCAGACACCAAATGCAAATTTTAAGGAGTACAACAGCCATTAGAAGGGAGAAAAGTAATGATGATAATGATAGATGAAAGCCCCTAAGGCATCAATTAACATGTAGGGCAAAGATTAGTAGGTTTATTTGGATATGGGAGACAGCATATGCCTATTTAAACATCATCCTAAAACCAATACATAAGACAACTAAGAATTTCCAAGTTCGTGTGGGGACAAAAACAAACATAAGCACTTGCAACACTGAAAGGCTACATTAACACATTTCACACTTTGCATCATCCATCTTCTGATTCACAACTTTGGTTGGAAATTCTGATGCGTGCTGAATGTGGAAAGGTCCGTGGTCATTGTGGACAAAGAAATTAGATTCTAAATTCTTCCTGCCAGTGGGATTTTGTACAATAAAATTTTCACACTCTAACAACAAATTAAAAGCCCATTTGAAAAATGTACATGGCCTACATGTACTTAAGATACTGAGCTTTTGCCTGGCAACAACATCATTACAGTTAGATGCTATGTGGCTCTCCTTCACTGGATAAAACTGAGTCCTGAAGAATTGACAGGTATCCAAATTGATTAAAGCTGCTCACCTGAAAATGGTGCATCCAGGGTTGAAACACTGGCCTTAAGGGTCAACCAGGTCTCCTCACTGAGGAGATTGTCAAGACTGAAATAGACTTGCCAGAATGTATTCTGAGGACAGGGACAATCCATGTCAATCTCGGCAAATGGGGCCCTGTCTGGTCTAATGTCTTGCTCAACACCTGGTTTACAGACGGATGAGCCTCCGTGACCCAAAGCCAGATCCAATGGACAAAGCAGCACTCAGATCCCAGGACCACACAATCCTGAAGGAAGCAGATCAGTTACTCTCTGCACAGAGTGCAGGACTGATTGCAGATGTTCTAGCAGTCAGAGACTCAGTATTAGAAAAACAACATAAAATTTGCATTTTTACAGACTCATGGGCAGTTGCAAATGAAATAAACCTATGGTCACACAAATAGATACAAAATGATTTTAAAATTAATGGTAAAGATATATGGTCCAAGTTTTATTGGGAGGAAGTGAGTTATCAAACAGAATTAAGATACTTATCATACAACAGTACAACAAAAATATAATTCAGAGACCTTAAATTTTTATAATCAAGTAGATGCATTATCAGGGAATATAACCATTGCACACAAAACACACCCCAACTAAAGCAACACAGAAATCCAGACAACTCATGGGACACTTCAGTACCACCTCTACAATGCAGCAGAAAATTGGACAATAAATGGGAGATACCACAAGTACCCCTAATAATTATAGTAAAACAGGAAAGTGATTTTACAATTAAACAGACACCAGAAGCAGCTTACACTTCACAAACACACCTCTAAGTATATAATGAAAAAAAGAGACTTAGGCACATGATCACTGTACAGGTGGCGATCAGACAAATTAAAAGTGGCATGGCATCAAATTCAATACGGCATAGGTAATTGTGAACAATATAAAGCCAATCTAGAAAAGTATAGTTATACTAAACCCATAGACCTGGCACGTTCAACTTGGGCTAACAAAAGATTTTTATTGGATACTGAATCATCCCTACCCACAAACATATGCACTAAAAAAGCTGGATATATGTACAGCAATTTGCATAGCAATAAAGTTAGCCACTTACCTGCCAAATACACCATCTCAGCCTTAGAATTTATGGTAGCTCACTATGCAGCCCCTAAAAAATTTGAAAGTGATCAGGTAACTCATTTTGCATCAAGCAATAACAGGCATTGGCAGATAAATGGGATATATAATGGAATTTTTTTTCCTACCTTATCATCTCACAGCAGCTGCATATATATAGATTTAAAATGGATTATCAAAAAGAGAATTAAAAACTTTAGGAAAAAATGAGTACAATCCAATAACCTGATACGTTTTAATTTAAAACAATGAGAAAGACTCAATGAGAGCAACCCTACTCTTATTTTAATCAACTGACCTTAGTGGTCTTACAGAATAAGGAGGCTGGGTGCAGTGGCTCACTCCTGTAATCTCAGCACTTTAGGAGGCCGAGGTGGGCAGATCACTTGAGGTCAGGAGTTCGAGACCAGCCTGAAAAGGGCATGGTGAAACCCGTTCTTTATTAAAAATACAAAAATTAGCCAGGTGTCATGGCGGATACCTTTAATCCCAGCTACTCGGGAGGCTGAGGCATAGGAATCACTTGAACCCAGGAGGCGGAGGTTGCAGTGAGTCAAGATCATGCCACTGCACTCCAGCCTGGGTGACAGAGTGAGACCCTGTCTAAAAAAAAAAATAGAATAAGGAAGAAAATGATGTAAATATTATCTATATCTTACAAGGTGAGCACTAGACTTAATGACATCAGTATCTCCCAAGTGGACATTGTGGCCAATGGACATGTAAATACTTACTGGACTATAGGAAAAATAGGAGAAATACAATTATACACAATCTGCAACCTTTCTCCTGGTTTTCACTAGAACTATATTTGTTATTATACTTTCTGCAAAATTGGTACTGCACTGCTGTTTTTTAATCATTGTATTAATGTAATTGAAATTGTATTGAATTCAATCGAATTTTACTTGCTACTAACCTAATACCATCACTTATAGCCATCACTGGAATAATAAAATATGTCACTCGCTTAAGACAACATCACACCTGTGAATTTTTGTAGCTTCTCAACTGTTGGTCTTACCACCTTTGTTATTCACATCTTACTAGCCATCATAGTGACTTTACAGTCTTGTGATTCCTTATATTGCCACCACAGAGATTGCAAACCAGAGTAATGCAAGCACACACTTCTCTCACTGTAGAAAAATTAAAAATTACACTATTTTCTTGCTAATTACATCATTGGATTAATAATTTGCACACCAACACCTGTAATGCACCTCCAGTGTATGGACTTAGCATCTCCAAGATCACATTCAGCAACTCCAAGATCTCTTATCACCCCTTTATGTTCTTGCCTTATTCACCTTTTTCTTTATCTTCAGCCACATCTTCACTGTCTAGGATCTTTATGACCATCTCACCAGATTTTCTTGATGAATCAGCTGAAGCATGTGAGCTCCATCAGATAGGCCCAAACTGGAATGTCAAACCAGACCTGGTGGAAACCAGACACCACTACCAGTTTTATCCTCTCTGTGTTTGTGAAGTAAGTACAGCATTAGGAACCATTTTAAGCTCAGCTGAATACACAGGCTTTGAGGATTACGGTGGTCCCCTGTCATATAGATTGTATTGCTAAACTGCTTAATAAGGTAAGAGAAAACCCATAGAACGAACTACCTTTGCTTTATGTACCTCACCTTACTCAAACTGCCATACCACTGCTAACAGCAACCCTATACTGTGTTGTTAGAACAGATGAAGATGCAATGCATCAGTGGGGTATTGTATCTTAGTTTATTTGCAGTGTTATGTTTAATTTTTAATATCAGATAATATATGCATATCAAACAATGCAAACTCACACAGCACCTAAATTTGTAGGATTACCAGAACACACTCCACAATTTGTACTTTACAAAAATATATCATGTTTGGAACAGTTGCTGGAAAACCAAGGAATTGATAACAATAATATTTAGAGCCTCAATTAGACCATTTCCTTGACATTCATTTGACCCAATACAATGCCTGAAGAGTTTCCATACACATATCTATTCAGTGCATCTACTTTTTTTAATAACAGAGATAGGGTTGGTTCCAAGTCTTTGCTGTTGTGAATAGTGCCACAATAAACATACGTGTGCATGTGTCTTTATAGCAGCATGATTTATAGTCCTTTGAGTATATACCCAGTAATGGGATGGCTGGGTCAAATGGTATTTCTAGTTCTAGATCCCTGAGGAATCACTACACTGACTTCCACAAGGGTTGAACTAGTTTAGAGTCCCACCAACAGTGTAAAAGTGTTCCTATTTCTCCACATCCTCTCCAGCACCTGTTGTTTCCTGACTTTTTAATGATTGTCATTCTAAACCCAAATGTTCAACAATGATAGACTGGATTAAGAAAATGTGGCACATATACACCATGGAATACTATGCAGCCATAAAAAATGATGAGTTCATGTCCTTTGTAGGGACATGGATGAAATTGGAAATCATCATTCTCAGTAAACTATCGCAAGAACAAAAAACCAAACACCGCATTTTCTCACTCATAGGTGGGAATTGAATAATGAGAACACATGGACACAGGAAGGGGAACATCACACTCTGGGGACTGTTGTGGGGTGAAGGGAGGGGGGAGGGATAGCTTTAGGAGATATACCTAATGCTAAATGATGATTTAATGGGTACAGCACACCAGCATGGCACATGTATACATATGTAACTAACCTGCACATTGTGCACATGTACCCTAAAACTTAAAGTATAATTAAAAAAATAATAACAGAGATAAGGTCTCACTCTTTTGTCTGGGCTAGAGTGCATTGGCACCATCACAGTTCACTGTAGCTTCAAAGTCCTGGGGTCAAGTGACCCTCCCACCTCAGTCTCCTGTGAAGCTAGAACTGCAGGTCCACACCACCATGCTCAGCTCGTTTTATTTTTTATAGAGACAGGTTC
This sequence comes from Homo sapiens, assembly GCF_000001405.40. Classification (NCBI taxonomy): domain Eukaryota; kingdom Metazoa; phylum Chordata; class Mammalia; order Primates; family Hominidae; genus Homo; species Homo sapiens. The sequence continues at coordinate 4,967,089 of NW_021160017.1, forward strand.
ACATTATGTAGTCCAGGCTGGTGTTAAACTCCTGGGCCCAAGGGATCCTCCTGCCTTGGCTTTTTAATCAGTGCATCTTCATAGAAGTTCTTTATGTATTCCTAAATACACCTTGGAAGAAAGCATACGTGACATGACTAAAGACGACTCACCCACCTTATATAGCTACAGCCAAGCATTTGTTGACATCACAAATCAACGGACAGCACACATAGTAGATATAGAAATACTAGTATAAACAGAAATAGCAATCAAAGGATGTCATTACATAAAAAGCCACATATCAGACCAAACACCAATTCTAGTAGCCCATATAGAACTATATATTGAAGGATCTAAGAATTGTAATGTTTTTAAATCGAAGTATGTCCTGGTGACTCTTGAAAGCAGTTTACTCTGATTGTTGCCTTTGCCCTGGTGCCAAGATGAGACTTTGGTTAACTTGAATTTGGTGTTAGATAATGGCAGGAGTCGGTGCCACTTTTTAGATGAGATATGTGTACTTAGGAGTCAAAGCTCTGTAACATAACAGCACAAGGATAGTTAATAGCACCTAATAAGGATTTTTTTAAGGGGCTGGAGGTGGTCATACTATGGTCCATGACCTGACTGGAAGTGGTAAAAAAAATTTATCATTCAGTGATTAATTTTATAGCTTTGATACAAACTTCAGCAATATGTCAGAGACTTAATTTAGGATTTGACTTTACCTCTGTCAAAGATGTTAAAGATGTTAAGAGTTTCAAAACATTTGATTAAAACAGAACCACCGGTCGTTGTAAAACAGTAGTTGCTCATTTTACCAAAGCAATAATCAAAACACTCTGAAGGCAATAAAGAAGGTTACATGAATGTAAAAACCTTAACCCTTTTAGGTATTTTTTTAGCAATTAAAAAACTAATAAAGAAAGTATAGAATTATTTTGATAAAACAAAGCAAAAAAAATGTTTCTTAAACCAGTTTACAGAAAGGCAGAGAGTAAAACTTGCAGTTATAGGAAGTCTATTTAGATAACCTGGATGTTAAATCTTATGAAAATGTGTTTTGAATTTAATCAGACTCAGAGTTTATCTTCAAGTTTATGAGTATAGCAGGGGAATTCATAATTTTTTGTAACTACATGAGCAGTTTTCTGATTACATTGAAAATTTAAACATACAAAGAAAAGCCAAAAGGACCACCCAACTACATGGACACTGAATAACCTGCTCCTGAATGAGTCTTGGGTAAATGATGATATTAAGGCATAAATCAAGAAGTTATTTGAAACTAATAAGAACAAAAACACAATGTACAATCTCTGGGACACAGCTACAGCAGTCTTAAGAGGGTAATTTATAATACTAAATGCCCATATCAAAAAGCTAGAAAGATCTCAAGTTAACAGCCTGACATCACAACTAAAAGAACTAGAGAACCAAGAGCAAACAAATCTCAAAGCTAGCAGAAGACAAGAAATAACCAAGAACAGAGCTGAACTGAAGGTGATAGAGGCACAAAAAAACCCTTGAAAAGTTAATGAATCCAGGAGCTGGTTTTTTGAAAATTTAGTAAAATAGATTGGCCATAGATCATTAGTTAGAGTAATAAAGAAGAAAAGATAGAAGATTCAAATAAACACGATCAAAAATGATAAGGGGGACATCACCACTGACCACACAGAAATACAACCATCAGAGAATACTGTAACTGTAATCTCTACGCACACAAAGTAGAAAATCTGGAAGAAAGGATAAATTCCTTGACACACCCTCCCAAAACTGAACCATGAAGAAATTGAATAGACCAATAATAAGTTCTGTTCTGAAATTGAGGCAGTAATAAATAGCCTCCCAACCATAAAAAGCCCAGGACCAGATGGATTCACAGCTGAATTCTACCAGAGGTACAAAGAAGAGCTGGTACCATTTATGCTGAATCTATTCCAAAAAGTGAAAAGGAGAAACTCTTCCCTAACTCATCCTGTGGGGCCAGTATCATCCTGATAGCAAAACCTGACGAGATACAACAAAAAGGGAAAACTTCAAGCCAATATCCTTGATGAACATCAATGAAAAAATCCTCAACAAAATACTGGCAAGCCAAATCTAGCAGTATATCAAAAAACATCCCTTCATGTTAAAAACTCTCAATAAACTAGGTATTAAAGAAACGTACCTCAAAATAATAGGAGCTATATATGACAAACCCACAGATAATATCATACTGAATGGGCAAATGCTGGAAGCATTTCATTTGAAAATGGACACAAGACAAGGATGCCCTCTCTTACCACTTGTATTCAACATGATATTGGAAGTTCTGGTTAGGGCAATCAGGCAAGAGAAATAAATAGTGATACTCCATCTCAATAAAAACAATTTAAAAAATAAAATGTTTTTCTGGAACCATTCTGATTACCAGTATTTGTATTAGTTAATTTTATCCAAATAGACGGAAGCAATAGAATGGATAAGTATGTATGTAGGTAGGTAAGTAGGTAGGTAGATAGGTAGATGAGAAGGGATTTATTTATGGTATTTTCTCACATAAGTATAGATCCAGGCTGAGATTTTCCACAAAAGGCTTTCTGGAAGCTGTAGATGCAGGGATGCTGGTAGTGCACCTAAGTGCAAGACCAAAATCCTCAGAACCATGGAAGCTTGGTGTAATTGAGTTTAGGCTGAATGCCACTGGGAAGTTTTTTCATTGTATCCCCAATCAATTTCAAATACCTGTATGTTTGCAGTTCGATATGTGGTTGTGTCATTTTCTAGCATATTCTATTGTTTTGGGACTACTAGATGCTCCAGGATAATTATGCTTATTTGCCACCTAATTGAACTCTAATCAATTTTCATAGCGTTCTAGCTTTTTTAAATTAGAAAATGGAATTAGAAATGAAGATTTAGCCACCAAGTTTATACATTGTGAATCAGAAATCTTTGATTCAAGACTTTGTACCTGAGAAAGCAAACAAATACATCTGTGCATTCTTGTTTTACTGACACAGAATATATATGTTAACATGGGTCAATATTCATTTACATTAAATTCAAGGTGAATCTATTGTTTCCAGCCACACATGATCTGATTCAGTAACACAGGAATCTATCTACCCATTACCCCTTACTTGTATATAGCCTACTGCTCTAACAGTAAGCTAGATGTTTCTGTTAATGTAATCATACCCTGAAAATACAGGTTGAGTATTACCTGTCCAAACTGTGTGGGACCAGAAGTATTTCAGATTTTGGAATTTCGGGGTTTTGGAATATTTTCATATACATGATGAGATATTTTATGGATGGTGGTGTGGGGTAACAATGGCCAGTGGTGCAAGGATAAAATAGTTTACCAAGAGACTAATGGGTAGAGAAAGGCAGATTTATTAGAGAAAGTAGGAAAACACATTGCAAGGATGGCAATGGTCAAGTTAACGTGAGGGAAGCTAACTGTGAGGAAACAAAGGCTTGCTGAGGATTTTATAGGATGGAACCTGGGCTAATTGATAATGTCAAGGTAGCAGGGCACTTAACCTGCATTCTTCTTTCAGCTGGCGTCCGCTGGGGTGTTTGATAAATTGAGGCATTTGATGGTAAGCAGGAAGTTTGTGAGTTATGTATGTTTTCTGAGTAGGAGGGCCATGTGTCTTGGGCCATATGTCCTCAGTCATATAGAAAGCAGACCTGTAACTTATCTGCCTTCTCTTGTTTACATTTTCTGGACATGGAGAAAGGCATATTTATAGCCTATTTGCTTTAACTCTTTTTGTTCCCCTGGTCCTGAAGTGTGGCATGTGGGTGAAGGTCTTATCTTCTAACTGCTTCCTGCTGATTGGAGGTGTAGAGCTGGCCCCATCTAGGATTGTTAGTAGGTCAGGTGGGTTACATGGGCCTAAATCCTTGAATTGGGACTTAAACTGGGCAGAGTTGATGTGGGACAGTAGGGGAACAACATTTGCAGCCTAAAATTTTGTCCTGCTGCATCCAAAGGAGATTTATGAATTTCTCTTACTGACTGATATTTTCGCTACAGTAACCTCTTGGTTCAAAATTGTTGCATTCTAGAAGACACAAAACAAGATATTGCATGAATAATACATGGTGCAAATAAATGAATATGAGCATTGTTATAGGTGACAAAGTGGAGCCTGATAGAAAAGACTTTTAAATATTAGTGGGATAAGAGAAAATTGAGGAAAAGTTGTAAATGTATTAGTGAGGTTGAGAAGTTGTCTAGTCTTGACCCCATTCTTATATATTCCATCCTGGTTGCTGAACTATTTATAGGCATAAAGGAATTACTACAAATTTTGCTGCCATTAACTTCGTTGTTTCCCCACCATAGAGAAAACCTGCAGAGGTACACGTAGTGAACTCGTCTCCCGTTTTGGTGTGTTTGATGATAGTTGAAGTGTAATTGCAATGGGCTGGTGTTAAAGCCCTTAGGGAAGAATTAGACCCTCGGACTTGCTGATGTAGAAGATAGCCTACAGGCCTCTACGTATGATGAAGGCAGACAAATTTCTAATAAGAGGTATTTTTATGTAAATAGAAAAAAAACAAAGATTAGCATTGGGCACAATTCATGCAGATGTTAGACTTAAAGCAATTTTAGTTATAGAGGAGAAAGGCAGTGGCATTTTTTTTCTTTCTCTTGCCTGTATTATAGAGTTTCAGTTTGCAGGACCTTAGCAAAGAGCTCTGTTGAGTTTAAGTTAGAAAACTGAAAGGAAAACAAACGGGAAGTATTAGTTTGGGAACTTGTAGGATTCAGTTAAAACTACGGAAAATAAGAAAAATGTGAAAACATTGGACAAGACTAGAATTTGACAACAGGTATACTACAGCTTTTCTGAAACATAATTTTTCTCTCCAGTCCCTGTTTTTACTAAAGACAAATTATAGTAGGACAAATCTATTGCCAAAATAAGTTTTTGTCATGTTATACTTGGTTTGACTGTTTGCATAAAGTCAGCAAGAATAATTATTTTTCATATATAGTCTTTTTAAAAATTGGCTTTGCTGAAACTTTATTCCATAAGGAATCTCAGATGTTAAAGCCTTGAGCCCAGTCGTGGGTTTGTGCCATTAAATACCTGTATGAGTTGTGTAAATTCCTCTCCTCTTGAGGACCCAAAATAACTTGGGGTTCCTGGGCCTGTTTGAAAGTGACATTCTTTACTTACTGCAAGCAAGAAACCCTGTACAGGGACTGAAGACAAGGTATGAGGCCAATTTTTCCAGCTTTGATTGGCTCTGTAAGTCAGCTTTGCTTCTTTAAAGCAATTTGTTTATATTTGAAAGCATGCCATTCCAGCCAAAGCTTTGGTAAAATAACCAGTGTTTCCAGTTGTGTCCTGTTATAAAAGAAAACAGATACTTAAAGAACTTATACAAATAACTATACTGCCATAAACTCAGTATACTTACAAATAGTTTTTAAATTCTGGAGAAATATGCTTCAGATTTTTGGTGATGAGATTGTACTTCATTTAATTGTAAAAGGCTATAAGTAGCTTAAAAAGTTTTTCTGGAGTTTGAAAAATAAAAAATTAGTAATATCCAAATATCATAAAAAGATGATTTTAGTATTTTGTTAGTTTATGTAATTAACTCCTACTCTGCTCAATATTTGGGAACACATTAGCTTTCAATTGGAGTTTTTGGAAGCTATTTATTTTAATATCACAATCTTTTAAGTTATCAGCAACCCACATCCAAGAGCACCTGTTAAGAGTTCTATAACTGATTATAGAACGACCTTGACAATAACTAAGTAAAACAATTGTAGATGAAAGAAGTCTTAGAACACCCATGGTTAAGGTCTGGTTATCTCTGTGGCACACAATAATTTAACGTAACAATCATAATTATTACTGATAGTGTATACTGAGACATATCACAATTATGGGAATCTTATAAAATTCTGGAACACACATCAATGACAATAACACAGTTATATAAGTGTAACTCAAAGTATGCTAAACACCATTTTGTACTTGATAATATTTCTTATATGAATTTAATACCAAATAAGCCAAATATGGGTTTTTTGGGACTTTAAAGTATTTAATATCTGCAAAAACTAAATAATCTCCTTCAAATCTTAGCAATTTGTTAAGGAGATCCACAGAATTTTCTTTACAAGATTAACCTTTTAGAAACCTATTACAACTTGCTTAAACCTTCTGTTTTATTCCATTACTTTTAGGTTAAGGCAATCCTTAAAACCTTCTCAACTAAACAAAATTACATTCCCTTTAAGAAAAATCATATTCTCATACCTTCTTACAAACTTTTGCCAAAAACACATTTTACTTTTCTTAAAACTGCTCTTCTAGTAGTTTAAGTACATGTTACGCTGTTAACTCTTAGCAACTTTTACTTTTGGTGAGAAATCTAGTAATTCAGCAACTTCAACCATTTATAAGATTGCAAAGCCCATAACTTTTCTAAGCCTAGCCAGGCGACTTGCCTAACTCCATATATTCCTAGGCCTTACCTAGAATGTAATCGCTGGAAAACAGAAAAGTTAAACAATTATTAAAGTCATAGAAGCAGTTTATGGTCTTGAAACATTTAGCAAACAGTACTTAGCTTGCCTAATTTAGATTAAATGTCAGAACTTTGAAGACATTTATTTTACCAACAATCTTTAAAACTGTCTTTGTTTAAAGATTAGAATCATGTGACCTAAAGCCATTAAAGTTTCCATTTTTTGACAATATGTTTGATTGAAGCCCCCTTTTTTTTTTTTTTTCTGATATGAAAGTCTAGCTCTGTCGCCCAGGCTGGAGTGCAGTAGTGCAATCTTGGCTCACTGCTAGCTCTGCCTAATGGGTTCTCACCATTCTCCTGCCTCAGCCTCCCGAGTAGCTGGGACTACAGGCGCCCACCACCATGCCCAGCTAAGTTTTTCATATTTTTAGTAGAGACGGGATTTCACCATGTTAGCCAGGATGGTCTTGATCTCCTGACCTCGTGATCTGCGCCCTTCGGCCTCCCAAAATGCTGGGATTACAGGCGTGAGCCACCGCTCCCGGCCTGAAGCACTTATTTTTCTTTAATCCAATTAATAAGAGCTCTTTTTTATAAACATCACATATATATCATATAATACACAGAAATGGAGAATTAAGACAGAATTCCATTGTGTGAGAAATTTTTAGAGGGCAATAAACCCAAACAAAAAAATACATATTCACAGTTTTTAAGACATTGTTTATATTATTTTATCAAGAATTTTTAAAGCTGGCTTATTTAAGGCTCTTGTGAGCTTGAAAAGTATTTGGACGTGATTTATGTGTACTGATTTATTTATATTGCCAGTTGGGTAGCATGCTAAACAAAAAAACAAGATAACATGTACATTGCATAAACATATTTAAACATGAATACATACATATATATACAAAGATTGAATAGCTTTTACATTAGAATTTTGGCCATGATTCAGTATTACAAATTTACTAACCTATAAAAGATACCTGACTTAAGTTATTTTTCTGATAAAATTGAAACCTGTTTATATGGCTACCTTTGCAATCCAAGGAGAGCTTTGAACCAAAATTTGGGGTAAAACAATCTTTATGGCAGTTTGTTTTAATAAAAGCTCTTTTATGCTTTAATTTCAAATGAGTTTTTAATGTTTACATTTTAGATAGACCATAAACAATGAGCTTTATCTCAGCACTAGCAGCTTAGTGAAAGCAGATTTAAAGCAGGCAGAAAAGAAAAGGGGAAGATAGCTTTATTTAGCAAATTTTACTTTACAGTGCAGGTTAAACACTTGAGCTCTGATTTTTTTTTTTTTTGATAGTGATTTGCCCATTCGTTTAAAATGTGCACCGAAACAGGCTATAACAAGTAACCAGCTGGAGTTTTAAAGAGAATGACAAAATCAGGGGTTAGATGTTAGAAACTGTTTTTTTCCCTTTTAAGGCTGGATCTTTGGATTGGACAGAAAAATGAAAAGAAAGGAGTGGAGAAGAAAGGGATACATTTTACAGGAGAGCTTGTGAGCCTCTTAGCCACTGTAGGGTGTGGAGCCAGCACCTTTTTTCCTTTTGTTTTTCTCCTTTAGCTCCTCGGACCTAAACCTATAAGGGGATGGGGCTTGTAAAGCAGCCAACATTTGAGCCTCCCTTTTGTCTCTGCTTTTTTCTTTAACCCTTTTCTCCTCATTTTGCTCTCCATTATAAATTTAGGCTAGGGAGGGCAATTTGAGGGTTTTTCTTATATGAGCCATGTTGTATTACATAAGAGGGTGTTTCTTTCTGAGGGTTTGGGGGTTGAATTTGTCCCAGTGCTTTAAAATACAGCCTAAGTGAGTTTGCAGGAATGGACAGGGTTGGTCTTACGGTTGGACTGGAAAACATGCTGCTCAAGGGCCAGCAGCCCTAAGGAACTCCGGGTACATTAAAGGTGTACCCACCTATTGGAAAAGACCACTCGGCCCCTCAAGGGCCTTATGCTGGATGGCCAGTCCAGGTACTCTCACTGAGTGATCAGCCTAGGTACGAGGAAAGAAGGTAAAGGAAGATCTTCATCTGGTTCCAGCCCAGTAGGAAAGCTCATCATTCTTAGGCTGTCTGAGATCATCTGATTTGGCAAGTCCAGAACAGGATGGCTGGCTGACTGTCCACAAGAGAATTTGGAATGAGAAAGAGAGTGTATGAGTTACCTGAAACAAGCTTCCACTGTCAGTTGTCTCCCATGTAGGGATAAGGGACTATAACCAGAAAAGAGAGGAGAGAGCCTTCCCTCGTTCTGGGCAGAGCGGCTATCCTTGTTCACTTTTTGGCCTTCAGACAACTCCGGAGAGTGGCCCTGGCCAGTTACCCTCAATTGTCAAAGAGATACTAGTAAATGGCCACTGAAAGACTGAAAAGAGAAAAGGATTCAGGTCACTCACCCGAACCAGGCAGCAGCAATCAGTTGCTTCCACATGGGGACCCTTCAGTCCCACCATTCAGTCCCAGAGTATAGTCGTGGCCAGAAACCTGCAATTGTCTCTGTGCTTAGACACTCTTCAATGAGGGTCCAAAATAGGGAAAGGGAAAGAGAGAGAAGGGAGGGAGTTCCTTGTGAGGAGAGAGAGTTCCTGTACAATAGAGTCCCCTTATGGGCCACTAAAATGTAGAGGAACAATGGACAGCAGTGCATGGGGTAAAAGAATTTTTACCAAGACAGCCGTAGCTAGAGATAGGTTAGATTTATTAGAGAAAGTAGGAAAATATGTTGCACAAAAGTCAGCGGACAAGTTAGCATGAGGGAAGCTAACTGTGAGGACACAAAGGATTGCTGAGGATTTTATAGAATGGAACTTGGGCTGATTGATAACACCAAGTAGCAGGGCACTTAACCTGCATTCTTCTGTCAGGGGTGTTTGATAAATTGAGGCAACTCATAGTAAGCAGGAAGGTTGTGAGTTATATATGTTATCTGAGCAGGAGGGCCATATGTCTTGGACCATATGTCCTGGGCCATAAAGAAAAGCAGACCTGTAACTTACCTGCTTTCTCTTGTTTAAATTTTCTGGACATGCAGAAGGGCCTATTGATAGCCTCTTTGCTTTATCTCTTTTGCTTTCCCCTGGTCCTTCCAGCCTGATTCCCTTTCGCTAATTAGGACCTGACAGATTGGATACAAATCTATACATGGATTTATTTATATTTTATTTTATTTTTAAAAAATTCTAAGGCTAGCCAAGTGAAGCAGTGGGAGTGGAACAGGCATTTATATTTCAAGTATACTTTACACAGATAGCCTGAAGCTAGTTGTATACAATATTTTAATAACTGTGCATGAAACAAAGCTTGCATACACTGAACCATCAGAAAGCAGTGTCACTATCTTGGCTTCCCGTGAGGTAGCCAAAGAAGTTATTTTTATTTATTTATTTATTTTTGATATGGAGTTTCCCTCTTGTTGCCCTGGCTGGAGTGCAGTGGCGCAATCTCGGCTCACTGCAACCTCCACCTCCCGGGCTCAAGCAATTCTCCTCCCTCAGCCTCCTGAGTAGCTGGGATTACAGGTTCCCGCCTCTATGCCCGGCTAATTTTTGTATTTTTAGTAGAGATGGGGTTTCACCATGTTGGCCAGGCTGGTCTCCAACTCTTGACCTCATGATCTGCCTGCCTCAGCCTCCCATAGTGCTGAGATTACAGGTGTGAGCCACAGTGCCCGGCCCCAGAGAAGTTGTTTTTATCATAGGAGAGGACAGTTCCATGCCTGTTACTGCCCCTGAAGACCACCTAGTGGAATAAGATGTGGAGGTGGACGATGGTGATACTGATGATTCTGACTCTGTGAAGGCCTAAGAAATTCTGTGTGTTTGCATCTTAGTTTTAAGCAAAAGTTTAAAAGGAAAAACTTTAAAATTTAAAATGGATAAAAGCTCAAAAATAAGAATATAAAGAGAATATTTTGTACAGATGTGCAATGTATAATGCGAATTGTTATTGCAAAACAGCAAAAACTTTAAACATCAAAAAGTTTATTAAGTTAAAAAGTTAAACTAAGATATGTTTTAATACTTGAATATAGGGGAACAATTTTCATAAGTTTATTGTTTAAGTGTACAGCATTTATAAAGTCTACAATAGTGTACAGTAACATCCTGGCTTTCACATCTGCTCACTACTCACCCACTGAGTCACCTGGGGTAACTTGCAGTCCTGCAAGCTCCATTCATTATAACTGTCTTAGACAGGCATACCATTTTCTATATTTTATACCATATTTTACTATATCTTTTTAATGTTGAAGTGTGTTTACATATACAAGTACTATAATAACATGCTATATTGGTTTGTAGCCTAGGACAATAGGCTATATTCTCCAGGTTCTGTAAGTACATTAGGATATTCCCAAAATGACAAAATCACCTAACAGCTCATTATTTTTCAGAACATATCCTTATCATTAAGTGACACATGACTGTGCCTGTACATTCCTGGTTGAGAGTGTCCAGGTTCTTGTGTCTTGAACAAAGAATTGGACAGAAGTTTTGCACAAATAAAGCAAGGAAAGAATGAAGCAACAAAAGCAAAGATTTACTGAAAATGAAAGCATGCTTCACAGATGTGAGTGGGCCCAAGCAAGCAGCTCAAGGACCTTGGTTACAGAATTTTCTGGGGTTTGAATACCCTCTAGAGGTTTCCCATTGGTTACTTGGTGTGTGCCCTATGTAAATGAAGAGGTTGGAGTTACAAAGCCATTTACATTCCTGTCATTGCTGAAGTGTTTCCATTCATTTAGTTCTAGGAAGTCCTTAGGTTCCCTGCCTCCAGGCCCCTATTCTCCTGCCTCATTTCCCCCCTGAAAGACGTGGTCCTCATAAGTCTTTATGGAGGCAGAGGGACCAATGCTTTAATCTGTAACTGCTTCATGGTGGCTTGGAGCATAGTCCCTGTCTATTGGGAATACACAGAACAGTGAAATTGGGTGGAATAGATGGAGAGTTGTCTACAGTGGAATCAGGTGGAATAGACAAAGAGTTGTCTACAGTGGAATTGGGTGGAACAGATGGAGAGCTGTCTACAATGGAATCAGGTCAAATAGAGGGAGAGTTGCCCATAGTGGTCTGGAAAAGGGAAAAGTGCTTTGAAAAGTGGAAGGTTTATCAGGTGACCCAAATTTTACTTGTGGTGTCCCCCTGGAAAAATGCTGGGCCCTGACTGGGGTCCCCATTGGTGTCCCCCTACTGGGCTTCATCTTAGTCTGTCAGAAATCTCTGACCTTATATGGGTGACAGCACTGCTTTGGAATGGTTCCTTCCACCACTGATGGTCTACTATTAGCTTTCCCTCTTGTTTCTGGATGAAGGTCTCAACTTGTGGAATTAATTTTCAGTCAAACCTTTGGATTTTTTTTATCCCACTTAATTATTTAACTCACTAAATTTAGGTACAATTAAATTGTACATAAATTCCCTTTTATGAATCAGTCCAATCACTCTCACAGACCATCTGCGACATGCCCAAACCCTCTGACTTGTCTTTAGCAGGCTGAGTAGGGGAAAGGAAGAATTTAGCATATGGAAAGAGGGTTTAAGAAAGATAAGAAAGAAAGATAGGTGAAATGTGTGAGTTCACCCTGGACAAGCTGCCGCTGCCAATTGCATCACATGTAGGGATCAGAAATTATAATTAGAAAGGATAGAAAAGAGTCCCCGTTCTGGGGAAGTGACCATCCCTGTTCATTCCTTGGCCTCTGGCAATGCCAGAGAGTGGCCCTAGCCAGTTGCCCTCACTTACAAAGGAGCTACTAGGAAATGGCCACTGAAAGACTGAGAAAGGAAGAAAAGAAAAGACCTCAGTAAAAGGTAAAAAGGAATAGGATTCAGAAAAAGGAAAAGGACTCAGGTCCCATTCCCAAACCTGGCCCTGGCAATCAGGCGCTTCCACATGGAAACCTTTCAGTTTCACCAGAGAGTGGCCCTGGCCATAAACTTGCAGTTTTCTCCATGCTTAGGTGCCATCCACCGAGGGTCCCGAGCTGGAAAGGGGGAGAGAGAGAGAGAGAGAGAGAAAGAAGGGGAAAAAAGAAAAACCCTAAACTTTGGTCTTACCTCCCATCTGGCCCACCAAAATATGTTACCACTTTAGGGTGTCCAGTTCTTGGCGTTTTGAGCAAAGAATTGGACAAAAGTTTTGCACAAATAAAGCAAGGAAAGAGTGAAGCAACAAAAACAGAGAATTACTGGACATGAAAGCATGTACCACAGGGTGGGAGCAGGCCCAAGCAGTGGCTCAAGGGCCCTGGTTACAGAATTTTCTGGGGTTTCAGGACCCTCTAGAGGTTTACTATTGGTTACTTGGTGTGTGCCCTATGTAATTGGAGAGGATGTTATTTGATGTGTGGCCTATGAAAATAGAGAGGATGAAGTAAAGTTACAAAGCCATTCACATTCCTGTCATTGCTGAGTTCTTTCCATTTGATTTAGTTCTAGGAACTGAAGGTTTTCTTCCTCCGGGTTCTATTCTCCTGCCTTATGTACCACCAATAACAAACAGTGGCATGGTTTCAGTTTCTTTCTATAATGTTGTGTTTTGATTTGAAGCTCACTGTACACTATATTTTTGTAGGCCAGAAGAAACATGAGCAGTTGAGGGACCAGGAAGTGCATCCTGTATAGATGAGGCGTTCTGCTGGGTGGCATTTTAAATGTTAATTTTTTTTTTATTTAGGGATGCACATGTATATGTACAGGTATAGTGAGTTCAAAATTGGTACTTGATATCCCTATGGGAAAGAACTTTACCAACTAAAGTGCAGTGCTTATGTATAAAACCTTTGACTTTAAGACTCAGAATCTCCACTTACTACTTATTTCATAGATGAGTCCCTCATTCCCCATCCCTTCAGTGAGGTTGTTTCTTACCATTGTTATATATTTGTACATGTTTTTGTCACATTTCTTTCTGGAATCCCCCTACCTCCTGAATAAGGTTTTTATTTATTTATTTATTTTTTATTTATTTTATTTATTTATTTTTTTGAAATGGAGTCTCGCTCTGTCACCCAGGCTGGAGTGCAGTGGTGCGATCTTGGCCCACTGCAAACTCTGCCTCCCAGGTTAACGCCATTCTCCTGCCTCAGCCTCCCGAGTAGCTGGGACTACAGGTGCCCACCACCATGCCCAGCTAATTTTTTGTATTTTTAGTAGAGACTGGGTTTCACTGTGTTAGCCAGGATGGTCTCGATCTCCTGACCTCATGATCTGCCCGCCTCGGCCACCTAAAGTGCTGGGATTACAGGCATAAGCCACTGCGCTCGGCCCTGAATAAAGTTTTTAATTTGCATACTTTTATGCTCACCCTTAGTAATAATGTAAGATAACATTTGAGACTCAGTGTCATGTGTGCACATTTACGCTATCACACAGAATAATTTCAGTACAGAGGAAAAGAAATCCTCTGTATGTATATTTTCCTTTCATCTCTCCAAATTCCTTAATAACCACTAAATTTTACTGTCTCCATGTGATTGCTCTTTCCAGAGTACCATGTGAGCAGAATTACATGGTACTTTGCCTTTTCCAACTTCCTTTTTTCACCTATCAATATACCTTTTAAGTTTGTAAATATATCTGACAGTTGTTTTGATTTGCATTTTTCTTATGACAAAAGGCATTGAGCATTTTTTGATGTGCTTATTGTATGTGACTATCACTTCCTTGGAGAAATCACTATTCAAATACTTCACTATTTTTATTGGGATTATTTACCTTTTGATATTTTATTTTTGAGCTGTAAGGTGCTTTCATGTATTCTGGGCAGTAGAAGCTTATTTGCTATATGACTTGAAAAGATTTTCTTCAATATTTTGGATGTCTTTTAATGGTATGCTTTGAGTCATAAAAGTGTTTAATTCTGAGAAATTTTAATATATCTATTTTTTCATCTGTTTCTTATGCTTGTGCATTCATGGCATAGAAATCATTGTTTAACCTGAAGCTGTAAGTATATATTCCTATCTGACTTTCTATGGGTTAAGCCTATTTATTTCTTATATTTAGGTGTAAATATAAGAAAACATATAAACACAGTCTTATTTATAGAAATAAGACTGCACACCTATAACCCTCTGATCTTCAACAAACCTGATAAAAACAAGCAATTGGAGAAGAATTCCCCACCTAATAAATGGTTCTGGGAGAACTGGATAGCCATATGCAGAAAAGTTGAAATTGGTCCCCTTCCTTAAGCTATATACAAAAATTAACTCAAGATGGATTAAAGACTTACATGTAAAACTCAAAACTATAAAAATCCTAGAATAAATCTAGGCAATACAATTCAGTACATAGGCACAGGCAAAATTTCATAATGAAAATGCCAAAAGCAATTGCAACCAAAGCAAAAATTGTCAAATGAGATGTAATTAAACTAAACAGCTTCTTCACATTAAAAGAAACTAACATTAAAGTAAACAGACAACCTACAGAATGGGAGAAAATTTTAGCAATGCATTCGTCTAACAAAGGTCAAATAGTCTACAAGGAACTTAAACAAATTTGAATAAACAAAACAGAACAAATGAACAACCCCATTAAAAAGTGGGCAAGTGAGATGAATGACCACTTTTCAAAATAAGACATACAGACAGCCAAAAAACGTGAAAAAAAAATCTCAACCTCACTGATAATTAGAGAAATGCACATCAAAACCACAATGAGATACCATCTCATGCCAGTCAGAATGGCAATTATTAAAAAGTCAGAAAAACTACAGATGCTGGCAAGATTGTGGAGGAAAAGGAACTCTTTTATACCATTGGTGGGAGTGTAAAAAAAGGTAAACTATTGTGGAAGACAGTGTGGTGATTCCTGAAAGACCTAGTGTCAGAAATACCATTTGTTCCACAAGACCATTACTGGGTATATACCTCCCAAAATATAAATTGTTCTGTTATAAAGACACATGCACACCTATGTTCATTGCAGCACTATTTACTATAGCAAAGACATGGAATCAAGACTGGATAAAGAAAGTGGTACATATACACCCTGGAATACTATACAGCCATAAAAAGGAATGAGATTATCTCCTTTTGCAGAAACACGGATGGAGTTGGAAGCCATTATCCTCAGCAAACTATCACAGGAACAGAAAACCAAACACCGGAGCTGAATGATGGGAGCGCATGGGTACATAGGGGGAACAACACACATGGGGGCCTGTCAAGGGTGGGGTTGGGTAGGGAGAGCATCAAATAGCTAATGGATACTTGCCCTTGAAGTAGTAGATAAGAATATTAACTTCCTTTTGGATACAGGGGCTGCTTACTCTGTTTTAACCCATTATAATGGGCATCCGTCACCCCAAAACTGTATGGTCATGGGAACATGTGGACAAGCTCATATGCCACTTTACCTATCCTTTAAAGCTTCTCTTCAGAGATTCTGGTTTCTCACATGTCTTTCTTATCATGCGTGAATGCCCCATCCCCTTGTTGGGAAGGGATTTGTTGACATAGCTGCAAACAGTGGTATCTTTGGAAATCGCAAGGCAGAGGAGGGGTTGCTCCTTCTCCTTTCCTGTGATAAGAGAGGAAACTCAGTAGGAAACTTACCTAGCTTATGTATTAAAGTAACCTCTCAAGTAAATCATATAGTATGGGACACTGAGTTTCCAGGCAAAGTGTTAAACATTCCTCTGGTTTGTGTCCAACTTAAGCTTAGTAACCCATACCCCTGGAAGAGACACTACCCCTTTAAACCAAAGGTGCAATCCAGCCATTAATAGCTAAGTTTTTGCAGTTTGGATAGATAAGACCCTGTGAGTCCCCTTGTAATACACCAATCTTGCCTGTTGAAAAAACAAATGGAGACTATAGATTTGTTGAAGATCTTCAAGCTGTCAATGAGGCTGTTATTCCCATACCTCCTATAGTAACTAATCTCTACATGCTGTTAGCCCAGGTCCCTGGGGATGTCAATTAGTTTAGCTCTTAGATCTTAAAGATGCTTTTTTTTTTTTTTCAATCTACTACATCCTGATTTGCAATTCCTCTTTGAATTTGAATGGGCTGATCCTGCTAGTCATTTTATTTCTCAATTAACTTGGATAGTTCTTCCCTAGAGGTTTAGGGACACACTCATCTATTTGGAAATGCATCAGCTAGAGAATTGTTACAATTGAATAAGGTACTATTATCTAATATATGGATGACTTCTTGGTCTCCAGCCCAACCAAAAGAGATTCAGATGAAAATACCATTAAGTTTCTAAATTTTCTGTGAACTAATGGGTATAGGGTCTCAACACATAAGGCCCAGATTTCAACTCAAAAGATTAAATACTTAAGGTATTTCCTAACCCCTCGTACTCACGCAATAGCCCCAGAATGAAGGGAAGCCGTCTTGGGCAAACTAGATGGAGCTTTGGCAGGGAGGATTGCAGCTGTGGCTGGAGCTGTGGGAGCAGCTGGGTGGAGAGCATTAAAAAGGCACAGTTCTGGCCGGGCGCAGTGGCTCACACCTATAATTCCAGCACTTTAAAAGGTCAAGGGGGGCGGATCACGAGGTCAGGAGATCGAGACCATCCTGGCTAACACGTTGAAACCCCGTCTCTACTAAAAAATACAAAAAATTAGCCAGGTGTGGTGACAGGCGCCTGTAGCCCCAGGTAGTTGGGAGGCAGAGGCGGGAGAATGGCGTGAACCTGGGAGGCGGAACTTGCAGTGAGCTGAAATCACACCACTGCACTTCAGCCTGGGCAACAGAGTGAGACTCCATCAAAGAAAAAAAAAAAGACACAGTTCTTTATCCTGAGTTTGGTTCTCTGGCTGAGTTTGGCTCTATGGCTTGTGAAGAACCTCCTTCTCCTCTTACCCTTCTGTACAGCTGGCAGCCAGCATCATTTCTTGTGGTCTGAACTCTGATTATGTAACAGCATAAAGGCTTGGATATATGATATTACTTTCCATTTTCCAGACCTCTGACAAAATGGCTCTAATTGGATTACAGTCCAGTGTGGGTTACTTACATTCAGAGACCAAAATTCATAACCCAATTGGTAGAGAGTCCAAACAGCATTGCAACATTTCTCTGTCACAGACACATTAGCAATAGGCTCTACATTTAGCTAGGATATACCACAGGGCCTTCCAAAGGAAATAGAGACCTCGTTTCCCCTCCTGGCTTGGTTCTTATATCCATACTGCTCACCCCTGTCGAAACAGTGATGACAACTTTTATTCGTTGTCTCTCTTCCATTCTGCACTGCTCATTCCTTCAACCATAACTCCAGGGTTGGAAAGACTTTTCTAGCTCTTCATATATGCAGTGCAAGTAGTACCACCCATGGACCCAAAAGGCATATGTGTGCAAATCTGACCATACAGCTGGAACAGCCAATGAGATCAGAGAATAAAGTCCTTGGCCAGGCTGGTAATTAGCAACAGCTAGCACAGCACTCCCCCACTGCTTCCTTAACCAGAATATCAACTTCATCCCAAGTCTGTGTTCTGCTGTACTTAGTACTCTAGTAGATAACCAAATGGCAACAAAAGAGATGGTGAATTCGGCAGACAAAAAGGGCAAGAGGTTGGAGTCAGGACTGCCTAAATACCAATCCCATATACTGTTAAGCTTTTTTTCACACAAACATTAAGCACCATAAGCATGGCAGAAAGCCCTTTAGACAACCTATGGAATGGTTCACATGCTTCCTTTCCCCATAAAAACTGGCACAGTTGTGAGAAGTACTCCAGGGTCCTAGAATGACCAAGCCAGGGCAGTGGAGACTGTTTCCTTGAGGGCTGGATCCTGGATGGAGTGGGGCTTATGGAGACCACCTTGCAGATGAAAGAGTGAGGAGGGGAGAGAGGCAGAGATAAAGGCCTGAATGTAGATATTACACACTTATACAGTTGCAGGTGCAGACTGCATACTCCCAGACAGATCCCCACCAAAGGGCCAGATAAAAGTCCTGAAACCTCATTTCAATATCAGATGCTCCCTGCCAAGCAGCTGAGGCCAAATGAAGCAAAGCTCAGGTCTTGACAAAGATACAGATGCCATACAAGCCCAGGTGGTCACAAGCAGCTATGTCTAAACAGGGCAGAGCTCAAGTGACATCACAGAGTAGGTAGTTCAGGGTGCATTTTGGTTCACTTACCCCGTTCTGAAGTCTGTCAGTTTCTGCAGATGTCACTTGCCCTGTGCTAAGGAAGCGTAGTAGGTAGCTGGTGCAGCAGCAAGAAGAGAAAGGAAGTTCCTCAAGACAAAAACATCTCAGCAGGTGCAGGGAAATTCTTTAGAGCCCCAACCATGGGGTCAGCTAGCCCCAAGCAGTTAGCATTTATCAGTGTTCCTTGCCTCCTTTGGTGGCATAAATGGTTAAGCTTTGGTGTGCTTCTGAGGATAATTGCCCCATTCGTTGGAAAGCAGACCTACAGTCTTACAAAGAAGTGCAGTGAAAGGAACATGGCTTTATTTGCTAAAGCTAGCAGTGGGGAAACAGTGGGATTACACCTTTGTAGACCACTTTGAAACTTTGGGGTGAGGGCAGAGATCTACAGAAAAAGAAATGTGACATGGGAGTTGTGCAAGAGTTGTGCAGAATTCAAGGACTGTTTGTCTTTCTCCAATGCCTACCATGAGTTATGTTCTACCTGGAGCCAGAGGCAGATGCCGTCTCAACTGCAGCTGGGCCATAGATTATCCATCTGAGGCAATCATTAAGAGGTGGAAAATTCTGCAGCTGGGGCTTTATGCTCAGTTCATTTAAAATTAGCCTCTGGAATTTCTTAAAAAGCATATAGTTAGTTTGCATGGTGTGAATTTAACAAACATACAGTTAGATAAATGTGCATAAGGCAAAGGAGTATACAGTGGGAAATGGAAGGTAGTGGAGTTTCAAAATATATTTCAAGAATATACTTTAAGACTAAAGAAAAGGCTAAAGCCTTTAGAAGGGAGAACATCAGGAAGAATAGCTAATGGATGCTGGTCTTAATGCCTAGGTGATGGGATTCGCTGTGCAGCAGACTACCATGGCACATGTCTACCTTTTCTAATAATGATATATTTATCTATTCCAGAACCTATTCCAGAATACCACATGACAATTACTGTCAGGTATTTTACTTATTATTACTTGGTGCATAACAAATTACTACATACCTTAGTGTCTCAAAATCACATACCTATTACTCACAGTTTCTCTGAGTCTTCAGTCCAGATGTAGATGATGACCCATGCTGAGGCTCAGTTGGAGAAGGGTCTCCTTCCAAGCTCATGTGATTGGTCTTCAGATTCACTTCCCTGCCCTGATCAAGAAGAATTCACTAGTGTGTTCTGACCCTTAAATTTCCCCTAAATTGACAATGTTATTCTAAAATTCATATATAATACAGTACAGCCAGAGCAGCCTACATAATCTAGAAAAAGTAATAAAAGGTTGGCATAATAGACACATACTTCCTGATTTCAAAACTTACTACAAAGTAAGAGTAATCAAAATTTATGGTAGTAGTGTAAGGATCTATTTATATTGTTCAATGGAATAGCATATAATGCTCAAAAATAAATTCTTAAATTTATCATGAAATAATTGTATACTGCGGCCATATAAATTAGGTATGGAGAAATTTTTTCATTAAGTGTTTCTGGAAGAAGTGGGTATCAACATGTAAGTCAGACTCCTGCCTTACACTGAAAACTTGACTCAAAATGATCATACTTGAAATATAAGAGCTAAATAGGTACAAACTGTAGAAAAGAACATAGGAATAAATCTTTGCAGTCCTATGTTAAACAATGCTTTCTAAGATATGACACTGAAAGCACCAGGAAAAGATGGAAAAAATAAATATATATTTAACTTCATTATAATTGAAAACCTTTGAAATTAAAAGTACACCATCAAATACAGAGAAACCCAAAGAGTGGGAGAAAAATGCAAATTTTATAGTTGATAATGGTCTGTTATGCAGAATATATGGCAATATCTTACACTTCAAAGATAAAATGGCAAATATCCCAATCCAAATTGGAAAGTTATTCAAGTAGCCAACTCTCCAAAAAGTTATTGTCATATCCAAAATCACATGAAAAGGCACTCAGTGCCTTTTGACATTATGAGGTGAGAGAATGGCAGGACTTGTTTTCTGTTAACAACCCTACTGAGCAAAACAAGATCTGTTTCACACAGGATAAAGTAAAGAAACCACCAGAAACCAGCAGATGGAGACAAAAGTGATCCTGGCTATCCTCATTGCTCACTGCCTTAAGACACTCCCAACAGCACAATGACTGTTTACAAATTCCATTGCAACCACCCGCAATTTCAATGGCAACAACCCAGAAGTTACTGCCCCTTTCTTAGAAAGTCCTAAATAACCTGCCCCTCAATTTGCATGTAATTGAAAGCAGATTTACCTTAGTATAAATACAGTTGCCAAAAGGTCACAGGTTGCCAACTCTGGATGCAATGCCTATGTGTTACTCCTGCTCTGGAAGAAGCAATACTCAGTAAAAAATTGCTGTCTAATACCAGCAGCTCAACCTTAAATTAATTTCGTGGGCAAACTAAGAACCTTCCCAGTCTAAGCCCTAATTTGGGGGCTCACCTGTCCCGCAATTATTAGTGGAAGGAAAATCTAAACAATCATGAAATATACTTCAAAAATCTAAATGTCATATTGCTAAATAAAAACATGGAAGTTGGAAAAGACAAAATACTGTATAATTCCCTTTGTATGATTCTAGAAAAAATATGGTGATAGTAAAGAATTCAGTGGTAACAAGGGGCTTGGGAGAGAGAGAAAGTTTGAATCAGTGAAGTATGGGAGATTTCTTTTGGGCAGTGAAATTACTTTCTCTGATACTGTAATGGTGGATACATAATAATGTTTTCCATATACTGAAGAACTTTATATTAGTACATATGTAACTAACCTGCACATTGTGCACATGTACCCTAAAACTTAAAGTATAATAATAATGAAATAAAAAAAAGAATTTTGTACACATATATCAGTGTATACTCGCTCACAAATATACATGTTTATTTGCTCTGTCAGCCAAGAAAGCCATGATTTAACAGAAACCCCAAGCATAATTAGTACACCCATTGAGTGCCCAGATCTTCTTTTTTATTCTATTTTCCAATAAATGTGAAGAAATCGTGAATACTAGGCATGTGAAGAGAATAAACACATTTAGCCTGTAGTTCCTAGTAGTGCCAGAACTAAAAACAATGACAAACAACAACATAACCAATCAACAAAACACATAACAACATCAAACCATAATTATTGAGGTATCAGTGGCCAACACTGGAACAAATTTAGCAAGAAAATCAATGAAGTAGTAATAAGTGGAATAAGTAATAAGTGGAAATTAGATATCTATGTTGGTATACTGATTTAAATAAATAATTGGATAAATATACAAAGAAATATAGACACACGTCCAAACAGGGTTTTTTTGGTTGTGTTTTGTTTTAATTCTGCCTCATCAGGAGGAGAGTGTGATTGCCCACTTCTTAAGTGTATGTTGTATATACTCACATTTTTTCTTGAAATATACAATATGGAAAGGGGGAAAAAGTAATTTTGCAATGGAGAAATTTGATAAGAATGATCTCACCCAGGTGATAAAATTAATACCAATAGTCATAAACCAGGTTAGTAATATTTAACCTTGATGTGATGTGATGTCATTTTCTCTGTGCGGTCTTCCTCCTTTAAACCAAGAAACTGGATCATTTTAGGCCAGGCGCTGTGGCTCACACCTGTAATCCTCACACTTTGGGAGGCTGAGGCGAGTGGATCAAATGAGGTCAGGAGTTTGACACCAGCCTGGCCAACATAATGAAACCCCATCTACACTAAAAATACAAAAATTAGCCAGGCATGGTGGCACACACCTGTAATCCCAGCTACTTGGGAGGCTGAGGCACGAGAATCTCTTGAACCTCGGAGGCGGAGGTTGCAGTGAGTCAAGATCACGCCACTGCACCCCAGCCTGGGTGATACAGTGGGACCCTGTCTCAAAAAAAAAAAAAAAATGGAATGACTTCATAATTCAAAGTCCACCTTCAAAACCACCTAAAAAAATGGGAGAAATGTTTGCAAATCATACAACTGATAGCAGTGTATTGTTCAAAATACATAGAACATCTCACAACTAAAAAATTAAAAGTGACATATCCTAATTAAAAGTGGGTGAGGCTGAGTGTGGTGGCTCATATCTGTAATCCCAGAGCTTTGGGAGGCTGAGATGGAAGAATCAATTGAGGCCAGGAATTTGAGCCCAGTCTATGCAACATAGTGAGACCCTGTACCCACATTTTTTTTTTATTAGCGGGGTATGGTAGCATGCACGTGTAGTCTCAGCTACTCGAGACAGTGAGGTATGAGAATCACTTGAGTGCAGGAGTTTGAGGCCACAGTGAGCTACAGTGACCACCCCATTGCACTACAGCCTGGGTGGAAGAGCCAGACCCCATTTCTATGCAACTTAAAATAAATAAATAAAAATAAAAGTGGGTAAATATTGTGAATAGACTCTTTCCTTCAAAGATGCTATGTAGATGTCCAAAAAGCACATGAAAAGTTGCTCAATACCTGACCTTTCAACTAAAATGCAAATCTGAACCAAGAGACACTTCACAAATACTAAAAACATATTATTACTATTATTATTTTTTTGAGATGGAGTCTCGATCTATCGCCCGGGCTGGAGTGCAGTGGCACAATCTCGGCTCACTGCAAGCTCTGCCTCCCGGGTTCACGCCATTCTTCTGTCTCAGCCTCCCAAGTAGGTGGGACTACAGGCACCTGCCACCACGCCTGGCTAACTTTTTTGTATTTTTAGTGGAGATGGGGTTTCACTGTGTTAGAGAGGATGGTCTCGATCTGCTGACCTCGTGATTTGCCTGCCTTGGCCTCCCAAAGTGTTGTGATTACAGGTGTGAGCCACCGCACCTGGCCTTAAAGGCATATTTTTAAGCAAAAGAAGCCAGTTTGAGGAGAGTGAATTCTGTGGGTAATTAAATTTAAACGATATTGTGACAAAGTGTAATTATAGAGACAGTAAAAAGATTAGTGGTTAGCAGGGACTTCAGAGAAAAAGGCTGAATAGGTAAAAAATATTCTTTACAGTGAAATTATTTTCTATTATACTGGAATAGTGGGTGAATGACACTATTTTTCAAATCCTGAAGAATTTTACATCACAAAGTGTGAATGCAGATGTATGCAAATTAAAAACCTTACTTAGTAGGTTGGGGAATCCCAGGGAGCCGTGCAGACAACATAACATAAATGTGTAACACATGTATGAAAAAAATTCATGAAGGGAGTGGGTGAAAAAGAGACTGACCAAAGTAACTTAGGAAATAAGAGGAGATTCACAGTCTAAAACATTTGTGATTTGCAAGTGAGCATCTTACTTGGTGCAGACACTTTCCACCACCAATTTGGAAACCACTATGCAAGTATTTTGGAACTCAATAATTACGCAAAGGAGGTGAACTGTTTCACTGTCAAAAGTGGGAGAGGGGGGCAGTTCCAAGATGGCCAAATAGGAACAGCTCCAGTCTACAGCTCCCAGTGTCAGTGACGCAGAAGTTGGATAATTTCTGCATTTCCAGCTGAGTTACCGGGTTCATCTCATTGGGGACTGACAGACAGTGGGTGCAGGACAGTGGGTGCAGTGCACTGAGCACTAGACAAAGCAGGGCGAGGCATCGCCTCACCTGGGAAGCACAAGGGGTCAGGGAATTCCCTTTTCTAGCCAAGGAAAGTGGTGACAGATGGCACCTGGAAGATCGGGTCACTCCCACCCTAATACTGCGCTTTTCCAACAGTCTTAGCAAACGGCACACCAGGAGATTATATCCTGTGCCTGGCTTGGAGGGTCCTACGCCCACGGAGTCTCACTCATTGCTAGCACAGCAGTCTGTGATCAAACTGCAAGGCGGCAGCAAGGCTGGGGGAGGGGTGCCTGCCATTGCCGAGGCTTGAGTAGGTAAACAAAGTGGCCAGGAAGCTCAAACTGGGTGGAGCCCACTGCAGCTCAAGGAGGCCTGCCTGCCTCTGTAGACTCCACCTCTGGGGGCAGGGCATAGCCAAACAAAAGGCAGCAGAAACCTCTGCAGACTTAAATGTCCCTGTCTGACAGATTGGAAGACAGTAGTGGTTCTCCCAGCATGCAGCTTGAGATGTGAGAATGGACAGACTGCCTCCTCAAGTGGGTCCCTGAACCCTGAGTAGCCTAACTGGGAGGTACCTCCCAGTAGGGGCAGACTGACACCTCACACGGCCGGGTACCCCTAAGACAAAACTTCCAGAGGAATGATCAGGCAGCAACATTTGCTGTTCACCAATATCTGCTGTTCTGCAGCCTCTGCTGCTGATACCCAGGCAAACAGGGTCTGGAGTGGACCTCCGGCAAACTCCAACAGACCTGCAGCTGAGGGTCCTGACTGTTAGAAGGAAAACTAACAAACAGAAAGGACATCCACACCAAAACCCCCTCTGTACGTCACCATCATCAAAGATCTAATGTAGATAAAACCACAAAGATGGGGAAAAAACAGCAGAAAAACTGAAAATTCTAAAAATCAGAGCGCCTCTCCTCCTCCAAAGGAATGCAGCTCCTCACCAGCAATGGAACAAAGCTCAGTGGAGAATGACTTTGACAAGTTGAGAGAAGAAGGCTTCAGACGATCAAACTTCTCCAAGCTAAATGAGGAAGTGTGAACCCATGGCAAAGAAGTTAAAAACCTTGAAAAAAGATTAGACAAATGGTTAACTAGAATAATCAATGCAGAGAAGTCCTTAAAGGACCTGATGGAGCTGAAAACCATGGCATGAGAACTATGTGTTGAATGCACAAGCCTCAGTAGCTGACTCGATCAACTGGAAGAAAGGGTATCAGTGATGGAAGATCAAATGAATGAAATGAAGTGAGAAGAGAAGTTTAGAGAAAAAAGAATAAAAAGAAACGAACAAAGCCTCCAAGAAATGTGGGACTATGTGAAAAGACCAAATCTACGTCTGATTGGTGTACCTGAAAGTAACGGGGAGAATGGAACCAAGCTGGAAAACACTCTGCAGGATATTATCCAGGAGAACTTCCCCAATCTAGCAAGGCAGGCCAACATTCAGATTCAGGAAAAACAGAGAATGCCACAAAGATACTCCTTGAGAAGAGCAACTCCAGGACACGTAATTGTCAGATTCACCAAAGTTGAAACGCAGGAAAAAATGTTAAGGGCAGCCAGAGAGAAAGGTCGGGTTACCCACAAAGGAAAGCCCATCACACTAACAGCTGACCTCCCGGCAGAAACTCTACGAGCCAGAAGAGTGGGGGCCAATATTCAACATTCTTAAAGAAAAGAATTTTCAACCCAGAATTTCATATCCAGCCAAACTAAGATTCATAAGTGAAGGAGAAATAAAATCCTTTACAGACAAGCAAATGCTGAGAGATTTTGTCTCCCCCAGGCCTGCCCTACAAGAGCTCCTGAAGGAAGCACTAAACATGGAAAGGAACAACCGATACCAGTCACTGCAAAATCATGCCAAATTGTAAGGACCATCGAGGCTACGAAGAAACTGCATCAACTAATGAGCAAAATAACCAGCTAACATCATAATGACAGGATCAAATTCACACATAACAATATTAACCTTAAATGTAAATGGGCTAAATGCTCCAATTAAAAGACACAGACTGGCAAATTGGGTAAAGAGTCAAGACCCACCAGTGTGCTGTATTCAGGAAACCCATCTCACGTGCAGTGACACACATAGGCTCAAAATAAAGAGATGGAGGAAGATCTACCAAGCAAATGGAAAACAAAAAAAGGCAGGAGTTGCAATCCTAATCCTAGTCTCGGTTAAAACAGACTTTAAACCAACAAAGATCAAAAGAGACAAAGAAGGCCATTACATAATGGTAAAGGGATCAATTCAATAAGAAGAGCTAACTATCCTAAATATATATGCACCCAATACAGGAGCACCCAGATTCATAAAGCAAGTCCTTAGAGACCTACACAGAGAGTTAGACTCCCACACGATAATAATGGGAGACTTTAACACCCCACTATCAACATTAGACAGATCCACGAGACAGAAAGTTAACAAGGATATCGAGGAATGGAACTCAGCTCTGTACCAGCGGACCTAATAGACATCTACAGAACTCTCCACCCCAAATCAACAGAATATACATTCGTCTCAGCACCAAACTGCACTTATTCCAAAATTGACCACATAGTTGGAAGTAAAGCACTCCTCAGCAAATGTAAAAGACCAGAAATTATAATGAACTGTCTCTCAGACCACAGTGCAATCAAACTAGAACTCAGGATTAAGAAACTCACTCAAAACCACTCAACTACATGGAAACAGAACAACCTGCTCTTGAGTGACTACTGGGTACATAATGAAATGAAGGCAGAAATAAAGATGTTCTTTGAAACCAGCGAGAACAAAGATACAACATACCAGAATCTCTGGGACACATTCAAAGCAGTGTGTAGAGGGAAATTTATAGCACTAAATGCCCACAAGAGAAAGCAGGAAAGATCTAAAATTGACACCCTAACATCACAATTAAAAGAACTAGAAAAGCAAGAACAAACACATTCAAAAGCTAGCAGAAGGCAAGAAATAACTAAGATCAGAGCAGAACTGAAGGAGATAGAGACACAAAAACCCTTCAAAAAATCAATGAATCCAGGAGCTGGTTTGTTGAAAAGATCAGCAAAATTGATAGACCACTAGCAAGACTAATAAAGAAGAAAAGACAGAAGAATCAAATAGATGCTATGAAAAATGATAAAGGGGATATCACCACCGATCCCACAGAAATACAAAGTACTGTCAGAGAATACTATAAACACCTCTACACAAACAAACTAGAAAATCTAGAAGAAATGAATAAATTCCTGGACACATACACTCTCCCAAGACTAAACCAGGAAGAAGTTGAATCTCTGAATACACCAATAACAGGCTTTGAAATTGAGGCAATAATTAATAGCTTACCAACCAAGAAAAGTCCGGGACCAGATGGATTCACAGCCGAATTCTACCAGAGGTACAAGGAGGAGCTGGTACCATTCCTTCTGAAACTATTCCAATCAATAGAAAAAGAGGGAATCCTCCCTAACTCATTTTATGAGGCCAGCATCATCCTGATACCAAAGCCTGACAGAGACACAACAAAAAAAAAGAGAATTTTAGACCAATAACCCTGATGAACATTGATGCAAAAATCCTTAATAAAATACTGGCAAACCGAATCCAGCAGCACATCAAAAAGCTTATCCACCAAGATAAAGTGGGCTTCATCCCTGGGATGCAAGGCTGGTTCAACACATGCAAATCAATAAACGTAATCTGGCATATAAACAGGACCAAAGACAAAAACCACATGACTAGATCATCATCAATAAATTCAGAAAAGGCCTTTGACAAAATTAAACAGCCCTTCATGCTAAAAGCTCTCAATAAATTAGGTATTGATGGGACATATCTCAAAATAATAAGAGCTATTTATGACAAACCCACAGCCAATATCATACCGAATTGGCAAAAACTGGAAGCATTCCCTTTGGAAACTGGCACAAGACAGGGATGCCCTCTCTCACCGCTCCTATTCAACATAGTGTTGGAAGTTCTGGCCAGGGCAATCAGGCAGGAGAAGGAAATAAGGGGTATTCAATTAGGAAAAGAGGAAGTCAAATTGTCCCTGTTTGCAGATGACATGATTGTATATCTAGAAAACCCCATCATCTCAGCCCAAAATCTCCTTAAGCTGATGAGCAACTTCAGCAAAGTCTCAGGATACAAAGTCAGTGTGCAAAAACCACAAGCATTCTTATACACCAATAACAGACAGAGAGCCAACTCATGAGTGAACTCCCATTCACAATTGCTTCAAAGAGAATAAAATACCTAGGAATCCAACTTACAAGGGATGTGAAGGACCTCTTCAAGGAGAACTACAAACCACTGCTCAATGAAATAAAAGAGGATACAAACAAATAGAAAAACATTCCATGCTCATGGATAGGAAGAATCAATATCATGAAAATGGCCATACTGCCCAAGGTAATTTACAGATTCAGTGCCATCCCCATCAAGCTACCAATGACTTTCTTCACAGAATTGGAAAAAACTACTTTAAAGTTCATATGGAACCAAAAAAGAGCCCGCATTGCCAAGTCAATCCTAAGCCAAAAGAACAAAGCTGCAGGCATCACGCTACCTGACTTCAAACTATACTACAAGGCTACAGTAACCAAAACAGCGTGGTACTGGTACCAAAACAGAGATATAGACCAATGGAACAGACCAGAGCCCTTAGAAATAATGCCACACATCTACAACTATCTGATCTTTGACAAACCTGACAAAAACAAGAAATGGGGGGAAAGGATTCCCTATTTAATAAATGGTGCTGGGAAAACTGGCTAGCCATCCATAGAGAGCTGAAACTGGACCCCTTCCTTACACCGTGTACAAAAATTAATTCAAGATGGATCAAAGACTGAAATGTTAGACCTACAACCATAAAAACCCTAGAAGAAAACCTAGGCAATACCATTCAGGACATAGGCATGGGCATGGACTTCATGTCTAAAACACCAAAAGCAATGGCAACAGAAGCCAAAATTGACAAATGGGATCTAATTAAACTAAAGAGCTTCTGCACAGCAAAAGAAACTACCATCAGAGTGAACAGGCAACCTACAGAATGGGAAAAAATTTTTGCAATCTACTTATCTGACAACAGGCTAATATGCAGAATCTACAAAGAACTCAAACAAATTTACAAGAAAAAAACAGCCCCATCAAAAAGTAGGCGAAGGATATGAGTAGACACTTCTCAAAAGATGACATTTATGCAGCCAAAAGACACATGAAAAAATGCTCATCATCACTGGCCGTCAGAGAAATGCAAATCAAAACCACAATGAGATACCATCTCACACCAGTTAGAATGGCGATCATTAAAAAGTCAGGAAACAACAGGTGCTGGAGAAGATGTGGAGAAATAGGAAAACTTTTACACTGTTGGTGGGACTGTAAACTAGTTCAACCATTGTGGAAGTCGGTGTGGTGATTCCTCAGGGATCTAGAACTAGAAATACCATTTGACCCAGCCATCCCATTACTGGATATATACCCAAAGGATTATAAATCATGCTGCTATAAAGACACATGCACATGTATGTTTATTGAGGCACTATTCACAATAGCAAAGACTTGGAACCAACCCAAATGTCCATCAGTGATAGACTGGATTAAGAAAATGTGGCACATATATACCATGGAATACTATGCAGCCATAAAAAAGGATGAGTTCATGTTCTTTGTAGGGACATGGATGAAGCTGGAAACCATCATTCTCAGCAAACTATCACAAGGACAAAAAACCAAGCACCGCATGTTCTCACTGATAGGTGGGAATTGAACAATGAGAACACTTGGACACAGGAAGGGGAACATCACACACTGGGGCCTGTTGTGGGGTGGGAGGAGGGGGGAGGGATAGCATTAGAAGATATACCTAATGTTAAATGACGAGTTAATGGGTGCGGCACACCAACATGGCACATGTATACATATGTAACAACCCTGCACGTTGTGCACATGTACCCTAAAACTTAAAGTATAACAAAAAAAAGAAAAAGAAAAAAAACCTTATTGCTAGATATGTAAATATGTCTATAAAATTATGATCTAAATAACAAATGTTAAAACCTGTGTGAGACCTTCAATGCTGTACTTAATAAAGGAAATGTCTTAAAAAATGTGAGAGATTACCTACAAGTAGTAGAAATGAAAAAATTGATTCATAGGGTACTGGATTACATCATGTGGTACTGAGGACATTAGTAGGAATTCATGTTTGACTTTATATACATATATATGATCAAATGTAGAAATATGTGTGCGTTTATAGATACACATATGTTGTGTTTATATGTGTATGTGAGAGTTAGTATACACACATATATTCTATTGCCTTGTTGGATGACAGAGTAGAATCAACAGATCCCTAGTAGAAATGGGAACACACATAGACCAAATGTTTTTTTCTAATACCATGCACAAAAACAAGAAACTATGATTCCTTGAAAAATAGTATCTGGCATGTGCAGGGAAACAACACAATAAGCCTGGAACACCTTAAAGTGCTAGCAAGTAAAATCATGCTAATGAACAACAGAATCAACCAACCAAACAAACAAACAAAATCAAACAGCAATCATGTTGGCAATTCCATATGGTACAGGATCCGACAGAAAGACCTTCCAATGACAAACCCTGAAACAATTTGAGCAGCAAAGTAAATAAATTAGTATAAGTATAGCTTACAATACTTATCTATAATTTTATATAATACCCCATATGATATAAATAATCGATTTAAAATATATAATAAATGATGGAGAACAGATAAATTGCCTGTGGAAAAGAAATGCAAATGATATTTCTGCAAGCACTGCCAATAAAATTTAAAGCTAATTCTTCACTTGTGAAGTATGTTTTGTACTTAGTGACTTTAAAATAAAAGCACAACATGGAAAGGGGGAAATAGATATATTAATACGTATAACTGGTATAATGTCATCAGAGTGGCACATATCCTCTGTGGTCTTCCTCACCTAAACCCACACCAGTCGAATCATCAGAAAAACGTCAAATTCCAAATGTAGGTGTAAGTATCATGAAAAAAAAAAAAAACAAGGAAAATTTGAGAACCTGGCACAGTGGAGAAGAGCACAAGGAGACATGATATCTAAATATGTTGTGGTATCCTGGATGGAATCCTGGAACAGAAAATTGACATTAAGGCAAAAAATATACAATTAATGCGTGCACTTGTTAAATGAATGAAAATGTATAATAATGGTGTGATAATTGTGAAAAAATATCCCACATAGTAATGTAGAAAGTTAATAAAGAAAACCCTGTGTTGGATAAATATACATACACTCTCTGTAGTGACTTCCAATGGTTCTGTAAACTTAAAACTATTCTAAAATAGAAAAAATGCATTTTCTTTGTCTTAATCCACTGTCAAGATTAATAACCAAATATTGTATATATATTACTGATGCATCACATATGTTCCATCCTCTCTTTTACCGTGGTGAATGTTACTATAACATTGAATTCGCTTTGTCATTCCCTCATTCTTATTATTTTCTATATTTGTATTTCTAAATAATATACTGTTCAGGTTTTTTGTCGTCAAAGTTAGATAAATATGTGTGTAAGTTAATGTGTAATCTTAGTCAAATTTTGAGAAAATTTAACACATCCATATTGTGTGATACAGGCTAAAAAATACTTTGTAAGTTCACAAGGGTCGACATCAACAAAATAAATAATGATGGGGAAACTGATGCATATTGGACAGAAACTGATGTGGCAGGTAGGTTCTAAGCTGCTTCCCAATGACCCACAACTCTAGATAATGCAAAACTCTTTTCTGATACTCTCCCTGTGAGGATTAGACTGCTATACCACATGTATAAACAAACAAAAAAAGGGGCAAAACAAGTGGAACAATGGCTTGTAAAACAGATTATATCAAACAATGAAGGACAGTGATATCTGAGACATACAAGACAGTGACATGAGCCCTACCAATTTCTCAAGACACTGCTTCGGGAGAGTTTCTGTCCTGTAGTGTGGCATGGACTTTTGAAGATACTCTGAGTTTTTGAGTTAAGAAGATGGAACTGAGAGTCAAGCACAAATTAGCTGAGTTTCATGAAGCCATTCTCCACATTCAGTGGTAAGAATGGGGGAGAGCATTCACGCCAGCATCCGTGCAGGCTGGGCTATTTATTTCTGCATAAATTATAACATACTAGATGGCTCAAAACCACATGCACACATTACAGTTTCTCTGGATCATTGAATTCAGATGTAGATCATTGCCAAGAATGAGGTCTTAAGTGTTCAACTGGGGAAGGATCCTCTTCCAAGCTCATGATTGTTGTTAGGAGTCAAGGCCCTGTACTGGTTGAGATGACTTCACTGGTGAACTATTCAATCCTGAAAATAATTGGTAACAATCTATCACAAATTCTTAAAACTTAAAAACAACTTAAACAAAAATGACAGAAGTGGAGAAGAGATCACTTTCCAATGTATACTATTGGTGAATTTATATGATGCTAAAACTAAAATAAGACACTGCAAGGTAGAAAAATTAAGATCAATATGTTTTGTAACTATTGAAGCAAATATTCTTAAGGAAGTGCCAGCAAAACAAGTCAGCAAATGTAAAAAGAATTATATACCATCACTAAGGGTATTTGGCTCAGAAATGCAAATTTGGTTCAACATATAAAATAATTAGTGTCATGCCCTTTATTAATAAAATCAAATACAAAAGCCATATGATCATCTCAAAAGATGCGGAATATTCACTTGAAAAATTCAAAATCAATTTGTGATAACAATACAAAGCAAATTAAGCCTATGAGAAAACTTTCTTTACGTTAAAGGGCATTCATGAAAACCTCACATATCATCACAATTTATCTGAAAGGCTCAAGTTTTTTCCACAAGATTAGAAACAAGACCAGGACCACTCTTGACACTTGTTGTCAACATTGTACAGGAGTATGTAAACAGGCTAAATAGTCAATAAATATGAACACAAGATTTAATATTGCTAAGTGGCAATATTTTTCATATTCACATATAGATGTAATGCAATCTCTTTAAAAATAGGTGACTTTTTTTCTAACTTGACAAGCTGCTTCTAAAATTCATGTATTATGCAATACAGCCAGAAAATTTTCAAATGAAAAGCAGAGTTCACAAAGTAGACTCATGCATTCGAATTTCAAAAGTTACTACAAAACAATCATAATCAAGATTTGTGGTACTAGTGTAAACATAGACTTACAGATAAAAGAAATATAATAGAACTGAATTCTAAAAATTACCCTTTTCCTTTATGGTGAAATGATTTTACAAGGTAGCTAAGTAAATTGAATATAGAAAATAGGTTTCCATCAAATGTTGCTAGGACAATTGAGTATCCAAAACAAATTGAACTTCTCTCTCACACCATACACATAATTGGACCAAAATGATCATATATCCAAATATAGGAGCTAAATATACCAGACCCACAGAAGACAATATGGGAATACATATTTGTGGTCTTAGGTTGAACAATAATTTGTGATTTCTAAGGTATGACAGCTAAAGCCCAAAAAAGTTAAGTAAAAAACATGAATATATTGAACTTCATAGAATTAAAATCTTTTGGAAATCAGAGTACATCATTAAAAGCAAAAAGATAACACAAAGTGTAGAAGAAAATCTTTGCAATCTCATAGCAGAAAAGGGTCTATTATCTACAACATATAAAAATATTTTACAACTAAAAATAAATATCACAATCAGATTGGTAAATTACTTTAATAGCTGTATCTCCAAAGATACTATAGTCATGTCTAGTTACCACATGATGTGAGGCCTAAGTCTTCTGCCATTAGGAAAATGCAAATCTAAACAACCATGAAATACACTTCACAAATCTAAAGGGCATATTGCAAAAAAACAAAGCAAATTTTAAAAGGCAAAATATGTGTGTGATTCTAGTTATGTGACACTCTGGAAAGTGAAAAAGCATAGAGACAATAAAATGTTTTGTATTTACCAGGGGCTTGGAAGAGAGGCAGGTCAAATTGGTGAGGCACAGCAGGTCTCCTCTGGGAAGTGAAATTATTGTAGTATCATACTGTAATGATAAACACATGATTATATTTTACAAATCCTAAATAACTTTATAATACAAATAAGCAAATTAAAAATCTTATACAGTAGGTAGGAGATAGCATGGGGCTATGCATATAATGTGACTGTATAACATTATCAGTGAAATAACCTCACTGAAGGGAGTGGGGGAAAAGCAGCGGACCCAAGTAACTTAGCAAACAAGTGAATATTCTGAGTCTAAAGGGTAAAGATTTATCCATAAGTACTTCAGTTGGTCAAGTATACATTTCCAGTTCTGAAACCACTATACATGTCTTTTGGATTATGTGATTAAATAAAAGAACTATCCTTATCACTGTATACATGGTAAAATATACATATGTGTATGTATGTGCATATATATAAACTTACATATATGTGTGTGTGCATATCCATATATGCATACGTATATATATGAATCAGTGTACGTAGATTTATTTGATCTGTCAGCAGGCAAGATCATGAATACAGATGCTACAGGAGTGATGAACACGTCCAGGCGCAGGTCTCCATTTGTAATTCAACTTTCCAATAAAAAGAACGAGGGAACTGTGGAAAAAAAAAAAAAAAAAAGGTTAATACCAGGCTTGCGCGGGAATCAGCACCATTAGCCTGAGCACCTAGTAATGCTAGAAAAAAAAAAAGCCAAACAACAATGCAAACAACTAAACAACCACATAACAACATCAAAGCTTAATTATGGTGGTGTTTCAAAATTGACAGATGATCCAATAGCCAACACTGCAACAATTTAATCAAATAAATGAAGTAATAAAAGTAAAGGGTAAAATAAACACCTGTGTTTGGGGTCTGACATAAAAAATGACTGAATCAATATAATAATTATTAAAGGAGAATACATACATATTCAGTGTTCATGGTGAAAGTTCCAAATAACTTTGGTAGACATTCTACCCATAAAGTGGAGCATGTCTTCTTGGGTTTTTGTTTCAAGATGCCAGATTGGAGGCTTCGTTAGCACACCTCCCTGCTTCTAAACAGCAAAATAGTGTGCAGAGATTTACACTAAATTTGTATCCAACAAACACAGGAACTCAACAGAAAAAGTGAAAGAAACTTTGGATAATTTGAAAGGAGCAGCAGGCAGCAACTCGCACCATGTGTCAGATGGGAAACTGAGTCTTCAAAGTGCAAAAGGGGGAGACAGTCTCCATGATACACACTCTCACTGGGGAGCCAGGCAATCCAGTCCATGGGGAAGTGCCTTAACCCTACCCAGCGCTGGAGCTGACTTAGAGAGGTGGGGAGCATGAAAGGAGTGGCACCTGGATGTGCTGCGTGTCTACTCTCAGACCACAGCAGGGACAGAAGAAGGATAATCCTGATACTAATTCATAGGGGAACCTTGTGGAAAACATCCAGGTAACCCAGGCAGTGGTCACACATTGTAAGAAGCTCCCAACTGACATGCGCAATCCAGTATTGAACAGGGGATGAACCCCCTATGACCAGAACGCAAGCAGGAAGCATTCTTTTGCCAGGGTCACGGGAGCTGGGTATTCCTGCTTCACATGCCAAATCGAGGGGTGTGGCCTCAGAGCTACTGTTTCAGTTTCATTCTCCAGTGGGAAGTCTTGTGGTTTGTCTTCTGAGCCTGGACTGCCTGGAACTAGCTGGCTGTTGTGGCTTTTTGCCAGCAGAAGTCTGCATGTGTGAGACCTGCTGTGTCAAGGTCGTGGGAACTGACCTGCCATTTGCTACCCTTCCCTGCATGTACAGACCCTCGTGAAGCAGAGCGTATTCTCTTTCTCCCTGGAACATTATCCTATCCCAGTGGCCAGGAAAGTAACCACCAATCCCCATTGGGCTGCTGCTTGTGCCCACACTCGAAAAGCCAGAGTGTGGACTTTCCTGACTCCCCACCCAGCTTTTCCCCTCTACCTACCCTAGTAGCAGAACAGGCATTCCTGTTCTGCTACCTGAGTACTTCCCCTGGGTAACAAAGGCTAAGCGTAAATCCCACCACCATGACTGCAGCTGGCTGTCTCCTGCAAGCACTGCACCCTTGCCCGAGGTCAAGAAATACAGTCCGTTACAACATCTGCTGGCACTCTAACATGACAGTGGTATAAACTTAAACATATAGACCAATGGAACAGAATACAGAACCCAGAAATGAAGACTTACAATCAACTGATACTCAACAGAGTAGACAAAAACATACACTGAAGAGTGAACACCCTATACAATAAAAGGTACTGGGAAAATAAGATAGCCACACGCAGAAGAATGAAATTGGATCCTTTTCTGTCACCATATAAAAAAATCAACTAAGATGGATTAAAGACTTAAATGTGAGATGTGAAACCAGAAAGATTCTAGAAGAAAAACTAGAAAAAAAAGTCTTCTGGACATTGACCTGGGCAAAGAATGTTTGACTAAAACCCCCAAAGCAACAGCAACATAAAAAAAATAAATGGAATTAAACTAAAAGGTTTCTGCACAGCAAAGCAAATAATCAACAGAGTAAACAGACAACCTACAGAATGGGAGAAAAATATTTGAAAAGTACACATCCAACAAAGGACTAATCAAGAATCTACAAAAAACACAAATCAGTAAGAAAAAAATGAATAATCCCATTAAAAAGTGAGAAAATGACATGAATAGATAGTTTTCAAAAGATACACAAATGGCCAACAAACACAGGAAAACATGTTCAACATGAATCAGCATCTGGGATGCAAATGAAAACCACAATGAGATACCACCCTACCCTATTCAGAATGGCTCTTATTAAAAAGTCAATAAATGATAGATATTGGTGTGGATGAGGTGAGAAGGGAATGCTTATACACCCTTGGGTGGGGATCAGCCTCATTATGAGCGAAACATCAGAGAAATCCCAAATTAGAAATGTCAATGGCATCAAAAACAAGGAAACTCTGAGAAACTTAAAGACATGATATCTAAATGTGATAACATATCCTGGATGAGATCCTAAAACATAACATTAAGTGAGAACTAAGAAATCTGAATAAAGTGTGTATAGTACTTAATGATAATACATGGTATTAGTTGGTTAGTTTTGACAAATGTCCCACATTAATGTACCAGATAAATAATATAAGAGGCACTGTGAGTGGAGTTTATGGAAACTGTCTACTACATTTGTAACTATTCTGCAAATGTATAACTCTTCTTTTAAAAAATGTGTTTTTTGTTTGTTTGTTTTTTAAGACAGGGTCTCACTCTGTCACCCAGGCTGGAGTGTAGTGGCACGACCTATGATTATATGTAGATAATTGTTTTATATTACACGTATGATTTATATGAGATGGGAAATACAAGCAAAATACACTAACATTAAGTATCCTGAAACTTTATCTCATTCAGATCAAACTCTGAATCACTTCTCAATACATCTTATCCAGGATTTTCCTTACATTATCAATATCTCTGCTAATCAGAAGCTTTGTTGATGCACATTTCTTAGTAGTATCCTGTACTACTCTTGTGAGATTATTTTTTCAACCTGCTCATGGCCCCTTTGCAAGTTTCGATGCTGACAATATCACTGGAAGGTGACTATGGAATGTTTTTACACCAAGTTCATGTGTGTGCTAATAAGGGCAATCACAATTTGCTGTCTGGCCAAGAGTGTTTTCGGAGTATCAAGTTCTTTACGCATTCTATTTGAAAGATGTAAATATGTGGGCTCATGCCTGTAATCCCAGCACTTTGGGAGGCCGAGGCAGGTGGATCAGTTGAGGTCAGGAGTTAGACCAGCTTGGCCAATATGTTGAAACCCCATCTCTACCAAAAATGCAGAAATAAGCCGTATGTGATGGTGCACGCCTGTAAAAAAAGAAAACTCAGCTGAAAAAAAAAAAAAAAAAAAATATATATATATATATATATATATATATATACATGATCAAATATTTTATAAGTCAGTGGATGGGAATAGATGGTTTTTTATAAAAATGTCCTAGAAAATTTAATATTCTTTGAGGGAAACTAAAACCTGATGTTTGACATCACATTACACATGAAGTCAATTCCAGGTGGATCATAGGCCAAAATATAAAAATATTTAAAACAGTATATAACACAACTTAGGAAAGTATCTTCATGACCATAAAGCAGGGTAAGAGTCCTGCAACTACCCCTAGGAAGTATTTACCATGTATGGGAATACACATTGGAACATAGTGTATGTGAGCTAGGCCTCTGGAGACAGACTGAATCAAGGTCAGATTCTTCTACTTTTTCTTTCAGAGTGTTTGGATCAGATTCAGTGTTGGACTATGGGAATGGTAATAGCGCCTACTTCTTGAATGTTGGCAGGATTGTATGAACTAATTACATTTAAAACACATAGCGTATGCTAGCTAGTATGACAACTTTTTCTAATTGTCAGATGTATTACTGAATCAACTGTAACATTTTATCATTATTTTATATATCAGAATGAAAAAATAAAAGCACTAACAGGTAATGAAACAAATACTTATTATTTAACATTTTAGAAATCATGATGTCAGAATCACTTCAAGATTTTACAATTATTGGAAAAACCTCTTTTGAACTTACATTCATGTAGATATTTGTCTTGTATCACTCCTATAATCACAGAACATAGAAGCAAAGGTATGCCTAAAATTTATTCAATTCAGAGCAAAGTCTTTGAAATCATTTTTACTTCACTAATCCATGGTTAGTTATTCTGTGGTAGTCAGAAGCACTGGTGATCTGGTGATGCTGCATGTCTTTCTTTTTCTTTCTTTTTTTTTTTTTTTTTGAGATGGTGTCTTTCTCTATTGCCCAGGCTGGAGTACAGTGTCGTGATATTGGCTGACTGCAGTCTCCAACTCCTGGGTTCAAGCAATTCTCTTGCCTCAGCCTTCCAAGTAGCTGACATTACAGGTGCATACTACCACACCTGGCTAATTTTTTTTTTTTGTATTTTTAGTAGAGATGGGGTTTCACTATGTTTGGCCAGGCTGGTCTTGAACTCCTGGCCTCAAGTTATCTGCCCTCCTCGGCCTCCCAAAGTGCTGGGATTACAGGCATGAGCCACTGTCCCCAGCCACTGCATTTCTTATGGGAGTCCTGGACTACTCTTTGTGAGATTATCTTTCCAACCTTATCACACCTCCTCTGCAAGTTTGTTGATATTATCCAAAGATATCAATGGAAGATCCTTAGGCCAGGTTCATGTGTGTGTACGTGAGGACAGTTACATTATAACTGCCTTCTGGCCAATAGTGTCCTAACACTATCAAATGTAAAATGCTTCATCTCTATTTGAAAGATGTGAAAATGTGCACTCTAGGATGAATGGAACGTACCATTTTTTCTCTGCGACTGCCCATTAATCATTGTTAAGTTAGGGTGGCAC
Source organism: Homo sapiens (assembly GCF_000001405.40). Classification (NCBI taxonomy): domain Eukaryota; kingdom Metazoa; phylum Chordata; class Mammalia; order Primates; family Hominidae; genus Homo; species Homo sapiens. Next base: position 5,006,716 of record NW_021160017.1, read on the forward strand.
ATCTGCTGTATTCTAGTCTATTATTGAGAAAACATGTATCAAAGCATTTTCACAAATTTAACCACCTCCATTTATATTCTTCCTAGCTATTAAAAATATCAGATTCTTTTACTGGAGTATTGGAATTCCTATTGTCTGTATGGGGAAGTTGTTTTATATACCATGGTTCGTGAAATTCATTGAGAAACAAAATAGATATTTTGAAGAGTTAGTTATTTGAAAATAACTGGAGTGATAGTTTTTTAAAGACTTGGGAAAAGCTGTATATTTCACATTTCTTTCCTTATTCTAGAAATATGAGCAATGTTTTGCTACAATCTGCAATAGAAATTCAATGCTTTCATCCGTAACATATGTTTCATATTTCTTCCTCATGCTGATCCTTTAATCACATAGCAGGTAATTACACAAATTACCTTATGATCAGTCACTGTGAACTAGGTGATCCTATGGTCTTTATAAAATATTTTGTTCTGCCCCCTTACTACTCTGGTTAACTCCACTTTGGGGCTATTGAATATAGGAATAACTTTTGGTGTTCCCTCATGAATGTATTGACTGAGAAGGAAACATGCAGTTTAGGATTAAGTGATAAACCCTTAGAGTTTACAATGTAGGATGTTGACTGAAAGTTTACCTAGAGAAGTGCACTCCAGGAATTATGAATTACGTGAACATGCAGTTATCATCTCAAATATACAGGCCATTCATTCACTGAACACTAACTTCTGATAAGGGTAGAGTTTTGGGTAATTGCTTCATGATGTGGTCTGAGAATCTGGCTTGTTTTCATGACAGCTTCTTGAAAAGGCAAGCTACTAGTAAATCTGGTGGTTTAATATACTGCGGAAAATCATACCTTCCTTTCTACTGGGGAGTTTGGTGCTTTGCTTCACTGTACTTTGTCATCTGTGCATGTGGCATCATATTAGTACAGTTTTGTTTACTGCCTGCTTTTTTAAAATTCTGACCTTTATAATTTAATTGATCCTGATTTGCCACATTTAAATGCATCCCTTCCATCTAGATCTACTAGTGTCTCACTTATGGACTGCCTGGTTTTTTTTTTTTATCCTAGATTCAGGTGAGTCACTGTATTTGCAGTCTACATCATGATACATTAGAATAGATGCATGTAATTGAAGAGGGAAGGAGGATTTGACTTGTCAGGTACCTCTTATACAATATCCAGTTAAAACTAAATAAATGGAACAATGAGAACACATGGACACAGGAAGGGGAACATCACACTCTGGGGACTGTTGTGTGGTGGGGGGAGGGGGGAGGGATAGCATTGGGAGATATACCTAATGCTAGATGACGAGTTAGTGGGTGCAGCGCACCAGCATGGCACATGTATACATATGTAACTAACTTGCACATTGTGCACATGTACCCTAAAACTTAAAGTATAATAATAATAAATTAAAAAAAAATAAATGGAATAACCCTTGATATGTTAAGATGTGGAATTTAAATGAGGCTGTCATGTCTTAATGAGTGAAGTATGAATATGAAGTTACAATCTTTCTTCAGTAACAAATGCTCACATAACTGCACCTAAATAACTGTTATCCTGATTTACAGTTGAGGTTTGTGGTCCAGATCAGCTTTCTCTCTTACTCCAGGTCACAGAAACTCATTTTCTCACTGAAACTATGTGAAACTTTGTGGTATGGAGAATATAACCCATGATATTAAACATAAAACAAGATACTTGACTTTGTGGATACTAGGAGTAGAGTGTACAGTATGGTTTGTAAGCTTTGTAGTCTTTGCAAACATGGTTTCTGGAGACAGTGCTGCTGCTACCCAACAGAGTGCTGTGGTCTGTGACAGGGCATCCTGTGGGGAATGAGTGGTCAACATCTCTGTTGTAATGTGGAACATACACGGAATCATCAGTCATCCTGTGTTCATCTTTTGGATCACTGCATGGTGAAGTTGGGATATGTTGTAACCGGTCTGTTCTTTTTTCTGTTCGTATGGCACTTTCTCCACCTATGCACAGTATATGTATATCACTCACTAGCCTTTACCTGGAAAACACCTGGTAGAGATGTATGTCTAGGTCTTTGTAAGCAAGGACTAACCTAAACCACCATAGTTGTAAGCTTTTATGTTGTATCTGCATGGCCATACCTATTCTGTGGATTTTTTTCGTGTTAGCAATGGGTAATATAATTCTACAGTGTAAGTGTCAACAGAATAAATGGTTCTAGAGAATTCATCATGGAGACCTTAGAATGAAAAGAAATTATGGAAGGGTTTTTTTTTCCCCAAAAAAATCTTGAAGGTAAAGTTATTTTTTGATCACTCAAAGAAGGAATCCCTGTCCCAAGGAAATGCTCTTCTGAGTGCTGAAGTAAGATTTCAATTCTGTGACACTAGACTTTCTCAATTTTGGCACCAAATGTCCAGAAGTTATGTCTTCCAAAAAGGCTTTAGTGAAATTCTGCAGACACATTTCTGAACAATATGTGAAAATGGAGGTTGTGGGGATGAGTGAAGCACAGGCACCAATCTATGAAGCAGTGCTTACTCCTTACTGGGTAGTGAAGAATATGACGGTGAATGTAGAAATGAATGAGAGAGTCCTTGGAGACTGTTGGTGTTGTACTGAAGTAGGTGCATGTGTATATGGAATGTTGGATAGATAAGGAAAGCTGTTCAGCTATTCTCTCCCTACATATCCATCTCCTGAGGAGTAGGTGTTCTGCTTATGTCCTCCATTGTTTTTGTTTTCTTCTTGGACCAAAGTAATACTATGGAAAACATTTTTAAATTTTGAAATAATTTTAGATTTACAGAATGATGTACACATATTCAAACGAGTTTCATAAATCCTTCAGCCAACTAGAATGTTAACATTTCTATAACTGTAGTTTATTCATGAAAACTAGGAAATGGACCATGTTACAATATTATTAACTGCAGTAGAGACGTTCTTCATATCATTGGGTTTCCTAATAATGACTTTTTTCTGTACCTAAATGTAATCCAGGATACCAAATTACATTTGTTGTCAGGTTAATACTTCTAGTTTCTGCAAAACAAATTAACATACGGATTAGCGGCTCCAAGCCACACACACATTAATCACAGTTTCTCTGGGTCAAGAATTCAACTGGAAATAATGACCAAGGCCGAAGTCTTAACTGAAGGATCAGTGGGGGAAGAAACCACTTTCAAAGTCATGTGATTGTTGTTAGGATTCACATCTCTCCCCTCACTGGGATGATTTCTCTGATAAATTATTGTAAATCATAAATAACATCAATCTATCACAAATTGTTCCAAAAAATAAAATAACCACAACACCAGTAATAAAAACAGTGGAGAAGAAATCACTCTACAACAGTTACTATGAGTTAGTTTATGCTGGTAAGAAAACAAGGCAAGGGCATTTCAAAAAAGGAAAAATGAAGACTAATATGCGATAAAAACACAGAAAAAATCCCCAAGAAACACTAGCAAAACAAATTAGAAATGTGTAAAAATTATTATACCATATGACCCAGGGTATTTTTCTCAGAAATGCAAATTTGGTTCAATACACAAAAACCATTAGTGCCATGCAATACATTAATAGAATGAACAGAAAACACATTTGTAGTACAAGAATAGGTATATGTAGGAAACAAATGTCTAAAACAAAACAAAAAAAGAATTAAAAACAGAAAAAACCAAGTAAATTAAAAAATAGGCATATAGCTCGATGGGATAAAACTGAATGTCTAAAAGTTAACTCTTACCTTTATGATCTCATGATTTTATAAGAATGTCAAGTTAATTCAGTATGGAAACTTTTTGATCAAGTGTTGCTGGGTCAAGGGGATATCTATGTTTGAGTTGAACTACTCTTTAAACTGATAAACACACATACACAAAACAGGAAAAGTTGCCTTGTCCCCTTCACAGGGCCTGTGGTGTGGGTGTGGCTCACTTCTTCAGTGCCCCCCCTGCTCAAACCTCTAGGAGAGCATACAGTCGGGCAGGTTGTGGGGCTTGAACCCCACGGCAGTGTCTAGGGATGAATGTTTAAAGGTGAAGCCCCAGTGGACGTGTGTTACAGGGTGCTCTTTTAGTTTGGACGTCCATAGGTGGCTTGTGTATTTAGCTCAGTTAGATCCTCACCTTATCACTAGGACAGAGGGGTTTCTGTATCCTGAGGTTCTTGCCTTGGTGTACCGGAAGAATCAGATCACACGTAGGACTGGAGAATGAGTGCAAAATTTTATTGAGTGGAAGTAGCTCTCAGCAGATGGGGGAACCAGAAGGGAGATGATTTTCCCCTGGAGTTGGGCTGCTTGGCAGCCTGGGCTCTCCTCTAACTGCCCCAGCCAAACTTCGTGTCATTCTGCCGGTCTGTGACTGGCCAGCATGCCAGTGCCTGTTGGTGTATTACTCTTGATGTCCAGCCACCCGTGTGTTCCTCCACTGACTAGCTGCCTGTGCCTCGGCCTACTAGGGTCTCAGGGTTTTTATAGGCACAGGATGGGGGTGTGGCAGGCCAGGATTGTCTTGGGAAATGCAACAGTTGGGCAGGAAAACAAAAATGCCTATTCTAACCTAGGTTCATGGGCACAGGCCCAGGGGTGGAGCCCTAGCCTGGGACCACGCCCTTCCACCATTTTGTATCATTTAAAGGGACCACACCATTCTCTTCCCAGCACTTCCCTTCCCCTCTTCCATATCATATGTGCTTTTATTATGTATATATATTGTTCACAGGAATATACTTTACTCCTTGAAATTGTGGAAAGCCTTAAATCGCTCAAAAGAAAAGTTTTCTTGGCTCTGAAAAACAAAAAAGATCAGCGATGTTTTTTCTAAAATTATTATTATACTTTAAGTTCTAGGGTACATGTGCATAACGTGCAGGTTTGTTACATATGTATACATGTGCCATGTTGGTGTGCTGTGCCCATTAAATTGTCATTTACATTAAGTATATCTCCTAATGCTATCCCCCGCCCCCCCGCCTCCCACCTCACAATAGGCCCCGGTGTGTGATGTTCCCCTTCCTGTGTCCAAGTGTTCTCATTGTTCAGTTCCCACCTATGAGTGAGAACATGTGGTGTTTGGTTTTTTGTCCTTGAGACAGTTTGCTGAGAATGATGGTTTCCAGCTTCATCCATGTCCCTATAAAGGACATGAACTCATCCTTTTTTATGGCTGTATAGTATTCCATGGTGTATATGTGCCACATTTTCTTAATCCAGTCTATCATTGTTGGACATTTGGGTTGGTTCCAAGTCTTTGCTATTGTGAATAGTGCCGCAATAAACATACGTGTGCATGTGTCTTTATAGCAGCATGATTTATAATCCTTTGGGTATATACCCAGTAATGGGATGGCTGAGTCAAATGGTATTTCTAGTTCTAGATTCTTGAGGAATCGCCACACTGTCTTCCACAATGGTTGAACTAGTGTACAGTCCCACCAACAGTGTAAAAGTTTTCCTATTTCTCCACATCCTCTCCAGCACCTGGTGTTTCCTGACTTTTTAATGATCACCATTCTAACTGGTGTGAGATGGTATCTCACTGTGGTTTTGATTTGCATTTCTCTGACGGCCAGTGATGATGAGCATTTTTTCATGTGTCTTTTGGCTGCATAAATGTCTTCTTTTGAGAAGTTTCTGTTCATTTCCTTCACCCACTTTTTGATGGGGCTGTTTTTTTCTTTAATTTTGTTTGGGTTCTTTGTAGATTCTGGATATTAGCCCATTGTCAGATAAGTAGATTGCAAAAATTGTCTCCCATTCTGTAGGTTGCCTGTTCACTCTGATGGTAGTTTCTTTTGCTGTGCAGAAGCTCTTTAGTTTAATTAGATCCCATTTGTCAATTTTGGCTTTTGTTGCCATTGCTTTTGGTGTTTTAGGCATGAAGTCTTTGCCCATGCCTATGTCCTGAATGGTATTGCCTAGGTTTTCTTCTAGGGTTTTTATGGTTTTAGGTCTAACATTTAAGTCTTTAATCCATCTTGAATTAATTTTTGTATAATGTGTAAGGAAGGGATCCAGTTTCAGCTTTCTACATATCATGATTGAACTCCCATTCACAATTGCTTCAAAGATCAGCAATGTTTTAAACAAAAATTTAAAAAAGATTACTTCAGACTTCTATTAGTTTAGTCCATGCAGTTAACTCCTGTTTTGCTTGATATTCATGAACATTTCAGCTCTCCGTGAGAGTCCTGAAAGGATTTTTTTCCTTTATTCTAATGTCACAATCTCCAAAGTTATCAGAAACCTGCACTAAAGAACACCTATGAAAGTTCTGGAACCAATCATAAACTACATTTGAAGAGGATTAAAACAAGACAACAATTGTCTGAGAATAACAAAAAGTTTTAGGACAGCCACAGTTAAAGGCACAATTGACGGAAATTTGTTACTTCTGTGGCACACAACAATTTTACATAACAATTCTGACTATTAATAATGTGCCCTAAGTTGTATCAGAATTCCATAACTTTGGAACACATATCAGTAACATATTTATACAAATACAGCCCAAGGAAAACCAAAAACCATGTCATATTTGACAATGCTTCCTCTTTGATTTTTATACGAAAGAAGCCAATGTCATTTTTGGACTTTAGAAGGCATAGTATGTTAAAGATTAATTAGGTCAGAAAAAGATAATTTACAATTTAATTTTTGGAGGTTTGTCAGATATCAAAACTTTGAATCACTTGATATCACAAAATAAATGTGAGTTTACCATAGGTCATTCATTTAAACAAAATAATAACTCAAAAATTTTATAAACGCAAAAACCTCTACCCTATTAAGAGGGAGACTTAGCTTTCCAATTTGTCTCTTTTCTTTCTCTTCTTTTTCCTACAGTTTATTCAAAAGGAAAATGAAAATCTTTCATTATCTTTTAATATTAAAAAATTCTTGTTCCACAGAGAAAGCCAAATCTCACCTTTGCATTAGTGTATTAGTAATGTTAAAGTCAATTATTAATAAAACCTTGTAGACAAATTTATTCAATTTTAATCAGTTTGACCATAAGGTAAGAAGTCTTTTATAATCCTTTACAATTTTTTTGCCAAAGAGAAGGTTGATGCTCCAAGGAAACTCTCTTGTTCTTTTATTCCAATGTTCAATTTATGGAAAAACTGAATAATACCCCTTTAACTTTCCCCAATATGTTTACACACAGAACCTATTTTATAATTAGTTGTTCACAAACCTTCCACAACTTGTTCAAACCGTCAGAGTTTTCCTATTTTACTTAAAACAATCCTTTAGCCCTCTGTAGTTAGGCAAGAAATCTACATTCCCATGCCTTCTTATAATCTTTTACCAAAAGGACATTCTACACACAGTTGTGTGTAAAGCTGTTTCTTCAGTAGTTTCAATTGCATCATTAACTCTTAGCAACTTTTACTTTTGGTGAAAAACCTGGGTATTAAGCAATTTTACTTATGTACCAGGTGTGGAGCCTAGGAAACCAGAGTGCAGATAGGTCTGACTCTTTCCAGCATAGCTAGGGTCATGGCTAACTCCACATGACCCCAGGCCTTAACTAGCCATAAAGTAGTTAAGTTGTGCAGTTGAGAGTCACACTGGCATTTTATGAAGCATTTATGAGGCCTGGTAACCTTTAAATTGTACATTTCTTTCATAAATTCTGTTTCACAAATTCTTCCATGAAATACACAAACCATCTACAACTTGTTTGTACCTTTTGACTTGTCCTAAATATCCCTCTATTTAAACAACCAGTATTTTACTTTAGGACAAGAATTTACCATACAGGATCCTTTCTTATATAAAATTTCTTTTCTTTAAAACTGTCTTTACCAAAAATACCTTTTTACCTTTATAACTTTTGAATTAGACAAAAGTCATTTTCCTCCCATTAGAAAGTTAAGATTTGTACTGCCTATTACTGTGTGTGTCCTGTGAAGGGGGAGCAGATAAAGAGGCTATCTGCATACTGTAGAAGTTATCCCCTCTCAAGAGATTGCTCAGTTATATTTTTGCCAGGGCTTGTCTGAATAAGTGTGGGCTACTTCTGGACCCCTGATGTAGCACTGTTTAGGTTATAGATTTGGTTAATGATTTAGGTGGAGACAAATAGGCTATTAGAAAGAGGAGTTCAGAGGTTGGATAAATATTAAATTAGTACAGATCTTAGAAAGTATATTTTTTCCCAAAGAGTTGTTGGGTATTTAGACATTACCAGGGACTGGTGGGAGAATGGTAATTGGTCCCTTAAGTAATATAAAGAGGTGTGAAACTTTTCTTTTGGAGGGAGGGGATGCCATTTGCCTTGTTCTCCTTAGCCCTGTCCTCCTTATTCTCCTCTTAGTTATAAAAGACTGAAGAGGCTAATCTGAGGACCTCTGCACAGGGTCATTGGGTTCCAATGCTGACTTTTATAATTTTCCTCTTAGTTCATTTTTAAGCCAGCTGAAGGTTTGGGGAAATTAAACTATTCCCAGGTTTGGGGGATGCATCCAAGAAGCATGTCCTGTCGTATAGAGATGTGATAACCCATCTGTGAAGAGATAGCAGAGGAGAAAGAGGAAAAAGAAGATCCCTTTCTTTCTATTATCATGAATGGGGCATCCCCCATGGTCCTGGGTTCCAGAATGAACCAGTCTTACTGTGTACCAATGGTCCCATCTCAACACAATTACCCACTTGAAAACAGAGGAGATGCTGGAGTGAACAGTAGTGGGCCCCTGTTAATCTTTGGGGTTCCGGAATGAACTGGTCTTTAACATGTACCACCTGAGCCTCTCATCTCTGTTCCAGTGGTAATCTGTTGGCCTGTGACCACCCTTTGTCTCTGTCCTATGGGTCTCTTGCATCTGTGGCCTCTGGCTGACCTTGTCTCCATGACCTTATAGCAACTCTCACTCAGAGTATTTTAACAATAAAATGAGTAACTCTTTTCTCAGAAGCGTGTTTTTCAGCTGCCACAGAGACTTGAGTTTCCTCCCTGCTCCCTTAGAATATGTCTTTAAAGGTCTTGATGCATGTTGAGAAGGGCATGGAAGTAATTAGAGAAATGAAGCCTAGAGGAGGAAGTGGAAGGAAGTGAGAGGAAAAAGAACCATCTGACTCCTACATCTGGAAAGCCTTCACATGCTCACGTAAATAACAGTCCTTGGATTCAAGACAGCAATGTTTATTCACACTCTGGACATAAAGCAGTATGCTCCAGAAGACTTAGGGCTTCGGGTAAGAACTCACAAGCAGCAAAGGGAGAATTTTTTCTCCTCCCAAAATAGTAGTGCTATCTCAAAAAAGCAAGCGGGTGGGATTCTTAAAGGGCCAGAATGAAGCCCTATGCAGGCAAACTGCTTTTAAAAGCCATCAGAAACTTGGCCCCGTGGTGGCATACGGGAATTGAAAAGCACGTGGTAAGTTATAAGATGCCAGCAGAGCCAGAGTTCCAATTAGAGTCTGTCCTGGCCATGTGCCAGCATGCAGGGGAAGGATTGAAGGTCACCTGAGCTGGTTAAAACAAATATAAACCTCAGGGGATATCCACCAGGGAGCCTGTGTCTTTGCTGCCATACAATGTAGAGAGCCGCAGGGTGTGAATAACAGGGAGTGTGTGTTTAGAAGTCCCGTGGCATGCAAAGTAAAAACAAAGAGGCAGACTTGCTCCTAAGGCAGAAGGTCCAGGGTGTGCGCTAGCCCATTGCAGAACACACAGAGAAAACCAGAAAATGGGTGGTGCAGGTTTTTGGAAAAGAGCCGATTGTAGTTTAATAAAGGCAAAGGAAACCCCAGACGTTGCGTGATTTTTAGGCCTTAGCCTCACCAATCTCATGAGCCTCCTGTTTAGGATGGCCATTAGTGCTTCCGATCTGCTGGGTGTGGACCCTAAGGTCCTTCACACCCCCACAAGCCACTGGTCTGGGTAAGCTGAGAAATCAGCCTGGGGGAGCAGAGTCAACTATGGCCAAGAGGAATTGCTCTGCGTGTTGGTTTGTAAGCAGGAGAGAGAGAGGGAAAGGGAAGAAAAAAAACCATGCTCTGGGTCAGATGCCTCCAGCCAAAGAAGGTGAGGCACAGAGCTCTCTTAACACTAGGGAATGATCTGAGTGAGTCACAAGGCACCAAATACATTAGGGGTAGGTCTCCAAGTTACCAGTGGTGAATCCATGTGGGTCTACAGCAACCTCAATTCTTGCCTCCTCAGAATAAAGAATTCAACTGAGAGGTATAGGGCAGAAAAAGAGACAGAGGCAAGTTTCAGAGCAGGAGTGGAAGTTTTTTTTTTTTTTTTGGAAAACTTTAAAAACCTTTAGAGCAGGAAAGAAAGGAAAGTACACTTGGAAGAGACAAAGTGGGCAACTTGAAGGACAAGTACAGTGTCTTACCTTGATCATAGGACTTTATATGCTGGCCCACCTTCGGCGTCTTGCTCCCCTTTCCCATGATTCTTCCATTAGGGTGGGCTGTGGACCTGTACAGTGCCCTCCTCATGCTTGGGAAGTGAACATGCGGCAGTATGTTTAGGAAGTGTTTTTATCCATTTGGAAAGTTGTTTCTCCCCGGCACCTGCGTTCAATTAACACTTTAGTGTGACAGCTCTGGGCAATCAGGAGATTGTCTGTCCCTGGCACTGGCTGCCAAATTATCATTTTTAGAGAGGCAATGTGATAACTGCTAAGCAATCATCTGATGATCGCCTGCTATTCCTTGTGAGTTGGGGGAGACAGCCCTCTTCTACCCTGCTCATGCCTTCCTAACTACCTATAACAATTTGGCATTTTCCACCTTCATATCTCTCACAACATCACTTTGGAAACCAATGTGGCAAAGATGTAGGCTGCTAAGTATGTCTATTCCAACTATGCATTGGGGAACTCGGAAATTAACAGAGGATGGGTTTCGGGACCAAATGGACACACTGTGACTAGGACATGAGCTAAAACATCATTGACCACCTGACCTCCATTAGCGCCAATTCTATCTGGAAGGGAACATTGATGTTTCAGGTCACCTGGAATCAATGTCCATTCACAGCAAGTGTCCAGACATCCCTAAATGATGTGATTATTTCCTTTTTGTCAGTAAACAATTGCCTTAATAAAAAGTGGTAAGTCTTTTTAGGAAAGTGTGGGAGGAAGATTAATGTATAGTTTTGGTAGTGTACCTCTGTCTTTATTGGAGGATCTCTGCCTCCCCTTCAAGGAAAGCTTCTGAGACTGTAAATTGGCTCAAGTCTAGGAATTGACTGTGGGTCTATAATTCTTTTTTTTTCTTTTTTATCATTTGAGTTAGAGTTGTGTTCATGGACACGAACATGTGTTTTGCTTAGAGAGATCAAATAAGGATTTAGTCAGCTTCTTACCTGTTTCACTTCTAGGAAAACTGTGGATAACTGGTTAAGTCCATAGATCTGTAGGAGTCAGATGGTTCTTATTGTTGCTTTGCCTTTGCTCTCCATTACCATAACAATGCCCCCTTGCTTTTGATAGTTGAGGACCACTGCTTGGTTCCTGCCACCCCTGGATCCACTTATTCTCATTGCATTTAAACTTTTCATTGGACTGATTTTGGTTCTCAGTGTAAGATCTGTCCTACAGAGAAAAGCATCCACAGAGCTCTTCAGGGATGCTGGGGATCCCATCACGAATCTATTTCTCACAGTATTGGTAAATGATAGGTCTTCTGGACCCTTCCAATGTGAATGAATAGGTTTTAATAACAAATTCACTCTAACATTAATCTGTCTCTAAGCCTTTGCATACCTTCCTCTGTGGTAAACCAAGATAGATGGCACAACTTGCTCATGGTCGGCCATTTTTTTATCCTTACTTCAGCTGATCAGCTAAAAAAACTATTAGAACCTTTCGTGACTCCCCAAACGGGAACATTAATGGGCCATGTTAATTAATTCAACTTGATCCAACGCTATTTTCCTTCCACTATCCCACAACCTTGCTGCCATTTAAGATCCATTTCCACAGACTTTCTGAAGGTTTTAGTTGATACATATTTTTTTAAAAAAAATTCAAGTAGGTTTTTTTTTAAATGTAGTGCACATCCTCATAAGTAACAATTTGTACCTCATATTTAAGATCCCACTGAAACTTGCACCTAGATATAGTTCTATTATAGAAACAGTGCTGTCAGTGGTCAGTCCTAATGAAAATCACCATTGTCTTGCTTGGCAACTGCCTCAGGTGAGTCCATTATCATTTCCATAGGTAAATAAATATTTAATCCTTTCAGACAGGGGATACAAGGCTTACATCATTGTACGTGGGAAAGCTGCTTCCACTGTGGGTAGGGTTAAAAAGTTCACTGCTGGTGGCAAACAAAATTCATTAGAATTTAGGAGTTCAATGTTCCCGCATCATCAGTGTCTTCCCAACTATCCTCTCCCCGTTTTACAGAATCCCATTATTTCCTAACCATTGCTCTCACTTAAACTTTAGACACCTTGCCAGACTGAGAGTTAAACTTTCTTTGTAATTTTGCCACTTTCATGATGAGAGCTTCTGTTTGACTTTTAGCAATTTCAGCCCCATTGACTAGAGAAGGGAAGAATCTGACTCAGAGCACAATTAAAAGCTATTAGGCTATTTATGCAGAGAAGATTCTGGAAATTTGAATATCTAGTCACTTCCTGTCATTTTATCTCTTTGCCAAGGCACATGAGAAGCAAACACACAATGACATTATCTTCCTTGGTTTTTCACAAATGCTCAAAGATCACCAAATTCCTTGCCTCTTACCTTACTTCAGCCAATCAGCTAAAGAAACTGATTAGGAGTGAGAAATGCAGATACTTTGCATGTCTCTATGAACAGTTCGTGCCATGGACTATCAGTGTTCTTTTTCTATTAGAAGTAGCATTGTGGCCAGGCGTGATGGCTCATGCCTGTAATCCCAGCACTTTGGGAGGCCAAGGCAGGTGGATCACCTGAGGTCAGGAGTTCAAGACCAGCCTGGCCAACATGGTGAAACCCTGTCTCTACAAAAATACAAACAGTAGCTGGGCATGATGGCAGGTTCCTGTAATCCCAGCTACTTGGGAGGCTGAGGCAGGAGAATGGCTTGAACCAGGGAGGCAGAGGTTGCAGTGAGCCAAGATCGTGCCATTGCACTCCAGCCTGGGTGACAGAGCAAGACTCTGTCTCAAAAAAAAAAAAAAAAAAAAAAGTAGCATTGTTAGAATTTTAGGTGTAATCAGATTGAGAGCCAATTCTAGAAACCCTCACACCAATTAGGGATGGTCATTTTAAAAATGTCGTTTCTCTAGAACCATTTTTATTACCAATATCTGTATTAGTTAATGTTCTCCAAACAGAAGCAATAGAATAGGTAGGTAGGTAGGTAGATACATAGAGATTTACTTTATGGTATTTGATCGCATAAATATGGAGGCTGAGATCTTTCACAAAAGGCTCTCTAGAAGCAGGAAATGCAGGGATGCTGATAGTGCACCTAAGTGCAAGACTGCAATCCTCAGAACCATGGAAGGGCTTGGTGTAATGATGGAATCAGGCCGAATGTCACTGGAAATTTTTTCAGTTGGATACTCTATTAATTTCCAATACCTGTGTCTGCAATTTTATGTGTGGTTGGTTGGTTGTTTTGTTGTTTAGCATTTTCTATTATTTTGGGACTACTGGGTGCACCAGGCTAATTGTGCTTATTCCCTATTTAAGCCTTGTATTAATCATTTGTTCACAAAGTTCTAGATTTTTTTAAGTTAGAGAATGGAATTAGTAATGGACCAGGTGCAGTGGCTTCCATCCGTAATCCCATCATTTTGGGAGGCCGAGGTGGGTGGATCCCTTGAGGCCAGGAGTTTGAGACCAGCCTGGTCAGCATGGCAAAAACCTGTCTCTACTAAAAATACAAAAATTAGCTGGGAGTGGTGGCACATCCCTTTAATCCCAGCTACTCTGGAGGCTGAGGCAGGAGAATTGCTTGAACCCGGAAGGCAGAAGTTGCAGTGAGCTGAAATCGTGCCACTGTACTCCAGCCTAGGCAACAGAGGCAGACTCTGTTTCAAAAAAAAAAAAGAAGGAGGAGGAAAGGAATGAAGATCCAGGCACTGGGTGTATACATTGTGACTTTGAAATCTATTGATTTGATGCTTTGTTAACAGAAAGTGCAAACAGATATATCTGTGCATTCTTTGTATACTGACACAATATATATCAACATGTGTCAATATGTATCCATATTAAATTAAACAGGAATTTTTACTAATGTTTCCTGCTACACAGGATCTTATTTAGTACCACATTAATCTATCTATTCTTTACCACTTACTTGTATATAGCCTACTGCTCTAATAATGAGCTAGTTGGTTCTGTTAATTTAATTATGCTGTTAGCAGTGGCACATTTATACAGGTCTGCAGCAACTTGGTTCTTGCCTCCTCAGAGGAAATAATTTGTCCTAGGGGCATGAAGCAGAGTGAGAGACAAAGGCAAGTTTTAGAACTGGATGAAAGTTTATTAAAAAGTTTTAGAGTAGGAGTGAAACGAAGTTAAGTACACTTGGAAGAGGGCCAAGTGGGTGATTTGAGAGATCCAAGTGCCTGGTTTGACCTTTTACTTGAGGTTTTATACATTAACAGGCTTCCAGGGTGTTGCATCTCTTCTCTTCTGATTCTTCCCATGGGGTGGGCTGTGCACATATGCAGTGGCCTGCCAGCACATGGGAGGGGCTGCGTGCGCAGTGTGTTTACTAAAGATGTGCACATGCTCACTTGAGGCATTTTTCCCTTACCAGTCAATGGTTCCTAGAGGAAGATCATACACCAAACACTGCCATTTTGCCTCTTAATGCACATGGTTGAGTCCACTTTCCCACATGCTGAGATCTTACGGGGAAACGGCTGATCACCAGCTTCAGGTGTTTTCTATCTATGGGGAGACTGCTCCCCCAGTGCCAGTTGCCACCAATTATTATTTAGAGAGACAGTTTAACAATCGCCTGACCATCATCTGATGGTTGCCTGACATTCCTGGTGGAGGGGGAACTCACTTCTGCACTGCTCATGTCTGCTAACTATCTACTCTAACAATACCACTTGAAAATACAGGTTGAGTATTATTTATTCAAAATGCTTGGGACCATAAATGTTTAAGATTTTTGATTTTTTGGGATTTTGGAATATTTTTATATACATGATGAGATATTTTATGGATGGGACACAAGTCCATACATGGATTCATTTATATTTTGTTTCATTAATATTTAAATATCTTTTAAAAGTCTAGTCAAATGAAGCAGTGGAAATGGAATAGGCATTTATATTTTAAATATGACTTATACACGTAGTCTCGGTAATTTTACACAATATTTTAATAACTGTGCATGAAACAAAGCTTACATATATTGAGCCATCAGAAAGCAGAGGTGTCACTATCTTAAGAGGCCTCCCATGCAGACAATCTTTGGTTGTTTAGCATCACCATGGTCCTTGACTCTGAATTTATGTTACTGATAAGCAATTATTTTCTTACACTTATTTATACATAAGTGCTTAACATTATAAAGAATGATATTCCTTTAATACAGTGAAATAGTTGCATGTTCAGGGTAACTAAGCAACAGAGTAGCATCCCTAGTATAAAGTCACATGCCCCCTAATGACATTTCAGACAAAGGTGGGCTGCAGATATGGTAGAGGTCTCATGAGAATATGATGGAGCTGAAAATTTTCTATCTTCTAGCTATGTACAAAGCATTACTCATGTGTTTGTTTATTGTGGTGTTGCGAAAATGAAGCCAGCCCAACTGTTCCATGGGACAAATATAATTTTTTTGAATAAACATAAATATTGACCCACACTGGTCTTAAAACTTGAAACTTTTATCTGTCTTATCTGAACTTCTTCTTCAGGAAACTGACCCTCAGGCAAGGAACTGAAACTGACCAGTTCACTGCATCTAGACAATGAGATGCTAGATTCCTCATTGTCATTACGGCTTCCTTACCCCTTCTAATGCCTGTTTTCTTGCTGGTGGCTACCTTCCTTCTGAACTACATAAACCCTCAATTTTAGTTGGTTGGAAGAGATGGATTTGAGGCTTATCTCCCATCTCTCTAGGTGATGTCACCTGAATATAAAGGCTTCTTCCCTGGCAAAATTTGTCTCAGTAATTAACTTTCTGTGTGGTGAGCAAAAGGACCTAGATTGAACCCCTGGTGTTTTGATAAGAAAAACAACCTTCTGTGCTGCCAGTTGTGTAAAAGTATAGCACATACAATTATGTACAGTACATAATACTTGATAATAGTAACAAACTATGTTACTGGTTTATGTTTTTACAATACTATATTATTTTAGAATGAACTCCTTCTACTAATTAAAAAAAAGTTAATTGTAAAACAAGCTCAGATAAGTAGTTCAGGAGGTAACCAGAAGAAGGTATTGTTGTAGAAGAGGACAGATCCATGGCTGTATTTTTCCACTGAAGACCTTCCAGTAAAGGAAGGTAGAAGATAGTGATATTGATGGTCCCTACCATATGTAGGCCTAAGCTATTCTGAGGTTTTAGCAAAATGTTGGAAATTTAAAATTAAGAGAATTTAAAGTAGAAAAAAACTCATCAAATATGAATATAAAGAAATTTTTTTACATCTGTACAATGTGTTATTACAAAACAGTCAAAATGTTAAAAAACCAAGTTTTAAAGTTAAACAGCTACACTAAGATACATTTTTATAACTGAATATAGGGAAATATTTTTATAATTTTATTTTAGTCTCAGTATACACTGTTTATGAAGTCTACATTCATGTACAGTAATATCCTAGCCTTCACATTCACTCACCACTTCCTCATTGACTCACCCAGTGAAACTTCCAGTCCTGCAAGCTCCGTTCATGATAAGTGCCCTAGACAGGTGACCAATTTTTTATCTTTTATACCACATTTTCACTGTATCTTTTCTGTGTTGAGGTGTGTTTAGAATAACAGGTACGATTGTGTTACAATTGTGTGCAGTATTTAGTATAATAATATGTTATACAGATTTGTAGCTTAAGGGCAATAGGCTATATACTCTCCAGGTTTCTATGTGTACACTAGGATGTTCACATATGATGAAGCCACCTAACCCATTTCTCAGAACTCTCATTCATTGAGCAATGCATGACTGTACCTTTACCATAAATAACAAATGATGGCATGTTTTCTGCCTCCTCCTGTGATGTTATGTTTTGATTTAAAGCTTACTATACATCATATTTTATTTTAATAGGTGAGAAGAAAAATCAAACAGTTGAGGAACCAGGAAGCACATCCCATATGGATGAGGAGGCATTCTGCTGAATGGCATTTTAAATGTTGAAATTTTGATTTTTGAATTAGGAATGCCCATGCATATGTACATATATAGTGAGTTTAGAATTGGTAATGTTCCCATGAGAAAGAATTTTGCCAATTAAAGTGCAGTGCTTATGTACAAAACCTTTAAGACTCAGCATCTCCATTTATTTCCTGTTTCATAGGTCAGTCCCTCATTCCCCACTCCATTCAATGAAGTTATGTCTTATAGTTATTATATAGTTGTATTTAATTTTTGCCTGCATTTCCTCCTGGGATACCCCTACCTACTGAATAAGGTTTTTAATTTGCATACTTTTATGCTCATTCTTAGTAATAATGTAAGTTAGAATTTGAAAATCAGTGTTATGTATCCGCACTTACAGTATCATACAGAATAATTTTACTGCCCAAAACAAATCCTCTGTACTTAAGATTTACTGGCATTTCCTCTCCTGATGCCATTGTAACCACTAAACTTTACTGCTTTACTGTCTCTACATGTTTGCCTTTCCCAGAATATGATGTCAGATTTATCACAAGATAAATAGCCACATGAATATAAGTTGAAAAGACTTTAAAAAGTAATTACATATCAATATGACTTCTAAGTTTGTGAAGTATATCTCTTAGTTGTTTTGAAATGCTTTTTTTTCCCCCTGAGACAGAGTCTCACTCTGTCTTCCAGGCTGGAGTGCAATGACACAATCTTGGCTCATTGCAACTTCCACCTCCCGGGTTCAAGCGATTCTCCTGCCTCAGCCTCCTGAGTAGCTGGGATTACAGGTGCGATTTGCATTTTTTTATGAGAAAAAGCATTGAGCATCTTTTGATGTGCGTATTGTACATGACAATCACTTCTTTAGAGAAATAACTATTCAAATAGTTTACCTTTTTTGATTGGGATATGTGCCTTTTGATTTTTGAGTTGTTAAGATGCTTTTATATATTCTGCATAGGAGAAGCTTAATTAGCTACATGGCTTGCAATGATTTTCTTCAATATTTTGTGAGTCTTTTTACTTAATGGTATACTTTGAGTCACAAAACTGTTTAATTCAGAAAAATTTTAATGTATCTATTTTTTCTTCAGTTTCTGGTGCGTGTGCATTCATATCATAGAAACCATTGTTTAACCTGAAGCTGCATGTATTCCTATGTGACTTTCTATGGGTTAAGCCTATTTATTTCTTGTATTTAAGTTAATCATAATTTGAGTCATTAATATACATGTATGTGTGTCAGATTAAATAGTTCAACTCATAGAGATCCCCTTGACCCAACAACACTTGATCAAAAAGTTTCCATATTGCATTAAATTGACATTCTTATAAAATCATGAGATCATAAAGTTGTAATTTTTAGACATTCAGCTTTATTCCATTGATCTATATACCTATCCTTTTTTATTGTTACTTTATTCCTTTTTAAAATTTTTTTTAGCCATTTGTTTCCTACATATACCTATTTTTATACTAGTGCTGTGTCGGGAATTGGTGGGTTCTTGGTTTCGCTGACTTCAAGAATGAAGCAGCAGACCCTCACGGTGAGTGTTACAGCTCTTAAAGGCAGCGCGGCCAGAGTTGTTCATTCCTCCTGGTGGGTTCGTGGTCTCGTTGGCTTCAGGAGTGAAGCTGCAGACCTTTGTGGTAAGTCTTAACAGCTCATAAAGGCAGCGTGGACCCAGAGTGAGCAGCGGCAAGATTCATTGCGAAGAACAAAGCTTCCACACCATGCAAGCGGACCCAAGTGGGTTGCCATTGCTGCTTTGGGCAGCCTGCTTTTATTCCCTTGACTCCACCCACATCCTGCTGATTGGTCCATTTTACAGACAGCTGATTGGCCCATTTTACAGAGAGCTGATTGGCCCATTGTACAGAGAGCTGATTGGTCCGTTTTCACAGGGTGTTGATTGGTGCGTTTACAAACCTTGAGCCAGACACAGAGTGCTGATTGGTGCATTTACAATCCTTTAGGTAGACACAGAAGTTTTCCAAGTCCCCAATAGATTAACTAGACACAGAGCACTGACTGGTGCCTTTACAAACCTTGAGCTAGACACAGAGCTAATTGGTGCATTTACAATCTTTTAGGTAGACACAAGTTCTCCAAGTCCCCACTAGATTAGCTAGACACAGAGCACTGATTGGTGCATTTACAAACCTTTAGCTAGACACAGAGTGCCGATTGGTGCATTTACAACCCTTTAGCTAGACATAAAAGTTCTCTAAGTCCCCACCCAACTCAGGAGCCCAGCTGGCTTTGCCTAGTGGATCCCACGCCTGGGGCCAAGGGCGGAGCTGCCCGCCAGTCCTGCACTGCACGCTCACACTCCTCAGCCCTTGGGTGGTCGATGGGACCGGATGTCATGGAGCAGGAGCCTTCACCCATCAGGGAGGCTTGGCGGGAGCCCACCAGTTGCGGGGCTCGGGCATGACAGGCTGCGGGTCCCGAGCCCTGCCCCGTGGGGAGGCAGCTGAGGCCTGGCAAGAATCCGAGCTCGATGTGGGCAGGCCGGCAGTGCTGGGGGACCTGGCGCACCCTCTGCAGCTGCTGGCCCAGATGCTAAGCACCTCACTGCCCAGGGCAGTGCCGTCGGCACTAGCTTGCTGCTGGGAGCGCGGAGCCTGCTGAGCCCCCGCCCACCCAGAACTCGCACTGGCCCGCCAGCACCATGCACAGCCCAGGTTCCCGCCTGTGGTTCTCCCTCCACACCTCCCCGCAAGCAGAGGGAGCCGGCTCCAGTGTCGGCCAGCCCAGAGAGGGGCTCCCACAGTGCAGCAGCGGCCTGAAGGGCTCCTCAAGTGCAGCCAGAGTGGACGCAGAGCCCCAGGCAGCACCCAGAGCAAGCGAGGGCTGCTAGCACATTGTCACCTCTCAGTACTACAAATCTTGATCATTTTTTTTTTCTTTCTCTTAATATATTGCATGGCACTAACTTTTTTTGTGTATTTAACCAAATTTGCATTTTCAAATACCTATTTAAAATTTCTATTTTGCTTCTCAATGGATTTCATGAATCATAGTTTATATAACAACTTCTCCACATAGAAAATAGGAATTCCAAAACCCCAGCAGAAGCTCTCATGTGTTTAATAGCTGGGAAGACACAGAGGTGGTCAATTTCTGTGAAAATGTTTCTAGGCACGTTTTCTCAATAACAGGCCAGAATACACAGATGTGCCACCCTTACTTAACAATGAGAAATGGGCATTAACAGAAATGCTGTGTTCCATTCATCTGAGAGTGCACATTTTCACATTTCACATACAGATGCAGCATTTTAAATTTGATAGTGTCAGAACACTGTTGGCCAGAAGGCAGTTTTAATGTCACTGTCCTCGTGTACACATACATGAAACTGGTCTAAGAATCTTCCTTTGATATCTTTGGATAATATCATCACTGTTGTAATTCACAGAAGTGTTTGGAGAGAGAATCTCACAAAGAGTAGTTCAGGACTCTCACAAGAAATGCAGAATCACCATTGCTTCAGATTAGCACAGATGATGAATAATCAATCATGGGCTAGTGAAGTAAAAATTATTCTAAAGACTTGGATCTAAGTGGAAAAGACTTTAAAATCAATTACAATGTAAAATTTTTATGCAATTCAAAAATCACTTAAAATTTCTTTTTTTTTCTTTTTTCTTTTTCTTTCTTTTTTTTTTTTTTTTTGGCGGAGTCTCACTTTGCTGCCAGGCTGGAGTGGAGTGCAGTGGTGTGATCTTGGCTCACCACAATCTCTGTCCCCCAGGTTCAAGCAATTCTCCTGCCTCTGCCTCTCAAGTAGCTGGGATTACAGGTGTGCACCACCACACCCAGCTAATTTTTGTATTTTAGTAGAGACGGGGTTTCAGCATGTTGGCCAGGATGGTCTCATACTCCTGACTCATGATCCACCTGCCTCAGCCTCCCAAAGTGCTAGGATTATGGGTGTGAGCCGCCACGCCCGGTCCCTAAAATTTCTAATATATTATGTGAAATGTATTTGTTTCATCATTTGGTTGTGGTTTTATTCTTCCATTCTTATATATAAACAAGTGATACATGTTACAATTGATGCAGTAATACATCTCGCAATTTACTAGAAAAAGTTTTAATACTTGTTAGTGTACACTATATATTTTAAATACTGTTAGTTCATACAATCCAGCCAACACGAGGAAGTAGGTGCTATTACCATTTCCATAGTCCAATTTTGAATGTGATCCAAAAACTCTGAAGGAAAGAATTAGGAGAATCTCAGTTTGACACAATCTGTCTCCAGAGACTTAGCTCTCATGAACTGTATTCCAATGTGTTTTCTCTTATATGGTAAATACTTTCTAAGTTTAGTTTTAGGAATCTTACCCTGCTCCATGCTCATGAAAATATTTCCCTAAATTGTGTTGTATATATTGGATTAAATATTTTTTATTTTGGTCTATGATCCACTTGGAATATATTTTGCATTTAATGTGAGGTCACATTTCAGGTTTTAATTCCTCTTAAAGGATATTCAATTTTCTAGAACATTTTTGAAAAAAATATCTTTTCCAATTCACTGACTATTCTTGCACTGTAATACTATTTCCTGTTTTTGTCTGCAAATGCATTTAGGTTAAATTTCCTCTGTGGTCACATAATCATCACGTATAGAGAAAATTTTATTTTTGTGTTGTGCAATAAGACATTCTTTTTTTTTCAAATGCATTCGTAATTGTTCCTTTCTTCTTCTTCTTCCTCTTCTTCTTCTTCTTACTCTTCTTCTTCTTCCTCTTCCTCCTCCTCCTCCTCCTCCTCCTCCTCCTCTTCCTCCTCCTCTTCCCCTTCCTCTTCTCCTTCTCTTTTTTGAGATACGGTCTTACTCTATCACCCACATTGGAGTGCAGTGGCATGATCACAGCTCGCAGCAGTCTTGACCTCCCAGGTTCAAGCAATCTTCTTGCCTCTGCCACATGAGTGGCTGGCACTGCAGATGCATGCCACCATGCCTGGCTAATTTTTCACTTTTTTTGTAGAGACAGGATTTTGCCATGTTGCCTAGGCTGGTCTCAAACTCCTGAGCTCAAGTGATTTTCCTGCCTCAACCTCTCGGAGTACTGGGATTACCAACGTGAGCCACTGCAGCTAGCCCATAATTGTTTTTCAAATAACCATTTCAATTATTGTAATCTGTTCACACATTCTCTGCCCTAAATTGAATTCCAATATCACGTTTTGAATAAATGTCAGGTGTGATACATTCTGTTTTAGCATTTTTCAGAAAGATCTCCTGAAATATCTCTGTTTGAAAAGGAGAAAAACAGACTATTCTGGGAGCCATAGGGCTGCTTGTACTGGTTGCAGTCAGGTGCCTGAAGCTTTTCCAAGCAAGTGGTCAATGCTGTGAGTGACTTTGCAGTTATGGGGTCCTGGTGGTGGTACCACCTCCACAGCAGCACTAAGCATTATCCTAGTGAGGACTCTGTGCTGACCCTGCTTTTATAGCTTCACCAGGCATGCTCTTGTGGAGAGTCTTTGCAGCAGCTCCAACCTACATTCCCACTTAATATTGCTCTACTGGGGGCTCTCTTTGGGGGCTCTACCCCTGTGAGAAATCTCTGATTGGGACCCCAGGCTTTTGAAATTTTTTTTTAAATTTGTGGAGGCTACCAAGCCTCCAGAGCTCTTGTTTTCTGTAAGCCTACAGAATTACCACCTCATAAGCATTTCCAGGTAGTACAATTTGTATCTTCCAGAGCTGGGGCACAAGCCCCACTTGGGAGCCAAAGCAGGTGGAATTCAGAGAGCAGCACCCTAAAGTGGCACATGGCAATGCCACCACCTGTCCCCAGAAACAATCCTGTCCCCTTATGCTGCTGGGCCTCTGATGGGATGGACAGCCTAGAAGATTACTGAAATGCCTGTGGGGTTTTTCTTCCATTGTCTTGAGTATTGACACCTAGCTCCCTTTAAATCATGCCCGTCTCTGGAACACTGTGGCTCTGCCGCAACCTTGGACTATTCTCCTGGAAAGGCTTTTTCATTCTCACTTGGCCAGGCTTCAGATTTTTTCTTTGTGTTTTTCTTTTCTCTAGCAGTTTTACCTTAAGCAGTTAGGAGTAACCACGCTACAGCTTGAACACTTTGAAGCTTAGAAATTTCTCCCGTCAGGTTCCCTAGTTCATCACTCTGAAGATAGGCCTCTCACAAAGCCCTTGAGCATGGACACAGCCACATTACTTGCCCGTTGATTTTAAGAATGGCCTTAATTTCCAATGTCTAATTCCTCAGCTCCATCTGAAACTTAGTCAGAATGGCCTTAAATCTTCATATTTCTGTAAACAGTCTGTTCACAACAACTTCACCTGTCTCTAAGGACTCCCAAACTTTTCCCATTTTCTTGTTTTCTAACCCCTCACCAGAACCTAGGCTTTTTCCAGCCTGTTTTTCCAAATTCTTCAAACTTCTGCCCTATTAATACCTAGTTCCAAGACTAGTTTTACAGTTTCAGGTATGGTATTCATTATCAGCAAGATCACACTTCTCATCACTGATTTCTGTAGTAACCTTTGTTCTTTGCTTATAAAACAGAATACAGAATATTGGGTAATTTATTTTTAAAAATTATTTCTTTTGGTTATGGAGGCTGAGAGGTCCAAGGTTAAGGGGCAGTATCTGGCAATAGCCTGTTGTTGGTGGAGACTCTCCGAAGATTCCTGAGGCCACACAGGGTATCGGCTGGCTGGAGGTTTGGAATGCTAGTGCAGACCTCTCTTCCTCCGACAAAGTCACCACTTAACCTCACATAATAAACCATTAATCCTTTAACCCATTAATACTTTAGTAGATGTATCCACTTATAAGGGCAGAGCACTTATGATATGGTCACCTCTATGAGGCCCCAACTCTCAATGCTGCCACATTGGGGATTAAATTTAAAAATGAGTTCGGTTAAGGGAAAATGTTCCAACCACAGTAACTGTCACAAGATCCGCTGTTTCCCATATAATACTCTTCTACCCATGTTGTGGAGTATTAGTCCCATTTTAAACTGGTAGTCTAGATCAGTTACTCCTGACCACACTGCAACTGTGTTCTCAGTCTTTTGACTCAGAAATATAAGGAGCTTAATATGGCTGAGTGGCAGTCTTAACTTTTAGTTCAGTTGAATAATTGCTGTATCTCTTAGCAGCAGCATTCCTCTGTCTGTAAGACCTCTAGACCAGTATAGCTTAAAATCACAGGAACAGAAAGTAAAATTTTTGCTAGTGTTACGTTAGGAATAGTGAATGGTGCAACTCTAATTTTTAATCCTGTGATTTCTAAACCTGTAAATTATGGTTTGGGGATAAAATTTTCTATATAATACATTCTGATTTTTTAGCATATACAATCTTCAGATGAACCTTGACTCAAACCTGCATAGTGTTCTCACCTAGCAGGTACCATACCTGTGACTTCCAAAGGCATATTCCACCATTTTATCCAACCAGTTTCTCCAAGATTATGGTGTGCATGGAAAAACCAGTGAAATTTATGAGCATAAGATCATTGCAACAATTTTATGGTTGTGTAGTTCTTTGTTGAGAAGGAATGCTGTATGGAATACTATCATTGTATATAAGGCAGGCTTTAAGTCCATGGATGGGTTTTGGCAAAAGGTCTGCATGCAGAAAAGGAAAACACATAATCAGAATAAGGGTCTATTCAGTAGGAAGCAAACCCCAGCCCCTTCCATGATCAGAGTAGGTCAATATAACCAACCTACCACCGGGTTAATGGTCGACTATTCTGGGGAATTGTGCCTTATCAGGGACTCAATGTTGGTCTTTTGGTGGGAATCCATATGGAACACAAATGTCTTCACATTTTCTTTTGCCACTCAGAGAGGGCTATCCACATGATTCTATTGCAAATTACTTTGTCAGCATGTTTCAATCATGTATTTCCAAGTTTCTGACTGATCAAATCATTGTACGCAGCCCATGAATCAATATATAAGCACACTCACAATAATTTTTCCTTCCAAGCAAAGTGCACAGCTAGATATACTGACTGATTTATGTCGATAGAGAAGATTTATTTCCCCACTGTCCTTCAGGGATGTCCCAGAAAGGGCGATAGTGCTGCAGCTGTCTACTTTCAGGTGGTGTCTGGATATCCTGAAGAACCATCTGAACAGTCTTCTCTTACTCTGTCAACTGATTATAGGGAACTCTTCATGAGGCCATAAGTGCAGATTAGGAGAGAGAAGGCAATGTGGCAGGAGTGGAGATTGTAGGCAGTTGTATATTTCTTCATGTAACTTGTGTTTTCAGGACCTGTTCTGGACCAATCACATATGTACCATTTCCATTTGTTAGAGTGCTACCATGCACACTCAACTTTATGGCTAGGTGGGTCAGGAAACACTTCATTCATGATGGGCAGCTCAGGATACATGGAACTTGGTGGCTCAAAATCATGCATTTTATTTTATTACAACCCAGTGGTAGGACACAAACTGACCCTGAAAAAGAGGGTATTTATCTGTGGATAAGGGCAGTGCCTTGCTCCAAAATTTGAAGACCCTCTACTGTGATTTACCTGTGGGAGCCTAAGAAAGACTCCAAAGAACATCTCTATCTGCCACTGACACCTCAAGTACTGTTGGATCTGCTGGATTATATGGCCTAAGTGGAAAAGCTGCTTGCATGGCAGCCTGTACTGCTGAAGTCTTGTGTTCTGGGCCCCCTCAAACCTAGAAGCTTTTTGAGTTGTTTGGTAGATGGGCCAGAGTAACACACCCAAAGGACAAAATTGTTGCCTCCAAAATCCAAATAGGCCCGCTAGGCCTTGTGCCTTTTTCTTGGTTGTTGGTGAGACCAGATGCAACCAATTTTACTTTATTTTGGAAGGAATACCTCAAAATGTTCCACACCACTGGATATCTACAAATTTCACTAATGTAGAAGGCCTCTGAATTTCATTTAAATATATTGCCCACATAATATATTTCTGTGGGCTGAATATATATATTAACATAATATATATTCAGTTAAATATATTGCCCACATAATATATATTGCCCACAATATATATTAACAGAATTTCAGTTAAATATATTGCCCACATATTATGTCATAATATATTGTCTGACATAAAAATATTTTATGAGTATGCTAAGTGTAAATGCTACTTGACATTCACTTGGTCCAATCACCATTATCCCATCAATGAAATGGACCAATGTGATACCTGTGGAAGGGAAGTTAATGAAGTGTTCTGTTTGTGACATGGGATAGATGGTTAATATACTCCTCAGGTAGGACAGTTAAGGTTTAGTGCTGTCTGTGGCATCTGAAAACAAACTTCTTTTGAAACTTATGGACAGAGATAGAGATAAAGCATTCACTAGATCAGTAGCTACATACCAGTTCCAGGAAATGTGTTAATTTGCTGGAACAATGAAACAACATTTTGTATAACAACTTCAATTTTAGTTGATACTTGATTGAGCTTCTGGGAATATACTGTCATTATCTAGTATCCATTTATCTTCTGCATAGGCCAAATAGGAGAGTTGCATGGGAATGTGGTGAAAATAACCATTCTTGCATCTTCCAAGTCCGTGATGGTGGCACTAATGTCTTAAATTCCTCCAAAGATGCAGTTATGTTTTTGATTTAATATTTTCCTAGATAGAAGCATCTCTCTTGGATTGCATTTGTGCTTTCTCACCCTAATTGTTCTCATTGGTTAGGCTACCAATATGGGCATTCTTTCAGCTGTTATGTGTTTCTATTCCGATTATGCATCAGGAACTGGAAAATTATCAGAGAATGGCTTCAGGGACCCACCAGACCCACTGTGAGTCAGACATGAGCTAAAACTCCATTAATCACCTGACCTCTATAAGAAGGTACTCTAATTAGTGGGCTACAGGGTTACTGTGGGTCTCCTGGAATCAATGTCAAGTGCAGAGTCAGTGTCCAGTGATCCTCAAAATTTATTTTATTAAAGCACAGTTACTGAAGGATGATTTTCAGTGCCACTTAAAACCAGCTGGAGACTTCCATGGCTGGCGATGCCCCTGCTCAGGCCTCCCTCCACCTCGGACTCACTGCAGGAGGCACCCTGCCCTCTCACCCTTCCAGATGGCACCTAGCTTGCACTCTGCCCTGGATCCCACACTGGCTGTGAGATCCATGCTTAGCCTGCAGCTGGGCTGGGCCTGCCACAAACTGCTTCACCTTGGGCACTGGCATCTGGATGAGGGGAATGCAGTGGCACCCAAAAAACTCGGAGACATCAGTAACCCCAAAGTCCCAAAGTGGGTGTTATAGCATGCTACAGCTCGTTCAGTACCATTGCCTCACTCTGACTCATGACTCTAGAGCTGGCCCAGCCCTCCTGCAGCTTCCCATCATGTGCAGTGGTTGGTGGGTACCGGCAGAGTGTGGAGGGCCACAGTATTACAGCTTTTTTGTACTCGCATTTGTTTGGCAGTTCCTGAGTTCTCATGTCCAAGGAGAATGAGGTTACACTGACAGTCAAAGTGTCAGAAAGGCAGAGAAGAGTTTTATTGAGTGATGGAACAGCTCTCAGTAGAGAGAATACATTAGGCAGGTGGTCCTCCCCACCCAGAGGCAGGTAGTCCCCAAGTGTGGCTGAGTCCAGGGCTTTTATGGGCTCAGAATGGGGGAGTGCATGCTGATTGGTTTGTGAGAATGCATAAAATGGTAAAATAAGCGACCACTCAAAGGTGGGTGCAATGGTGCCAAAAAAAAAAGAAAATTAGGAAAGAGTAGGTATATGTAAAGTAGGTGAAGGGTGGGGACCAATCAGAGGAAAGTGTGCCAAACGAGGAGCTTCCCAATATGGTCTGTGGATTTATCTGAGTCTTGGAGCTTGGCTTTCAGGCTTTAAACAGTCTTTGGTTTGAAGGTGGGGTTTCATCGGGGAGCGGCCCATATCTGCCTAAGGATGTGTCTACCTCCTGCTGCTGTCATTACTCTAGTAAGTGATTGTAGGTTCCTTTTAGGAAGGATAGCAGAAATATAAACTATAACATTTTGGTAGTGTACTTGTGTCCTACTTCAAGAGGACTGGGCTGCTGCTCCTTTCAAGGGGTTCTGAGATTGTAAACTCGCTCAATTGTGAGAATTGAGTGAGGTTCTTTGAGTCTCTGGTTTTTAGGATTTGAGGTAGAATCTTGTTCATTTGATCTAAAGATTTTCTGCTTCTTCAAATCAAGTAAGCCTTTAGTAGGCTACCTGTGTACTTCAATTCCAAGAACACTATTATAAACTAGCCAGCAACATAAATCTATAGGAATCAGATGAACCTGATTGTTGCTTCGCCTTTGCTGTCCATTGACATAACTATGCCAACCTTGCCTTTGAAGATCGAATGTTGCTACTTGCTCCCAAGATTCCCTGAAACTCGGTTATTCCCCTTGCATTTTGATTTTCCAGTTGGTGTACTGTGGTTTCTGTATTAAGGTCTGGTCTACAGAGAAGAGAGATCAGGGAGCTCTTCAGTTGTACCCAGCCTCCCCACACAAATCTACCTAACAAAGTCCTGATAAACAGTATGTTTTCTGGAGTCTATCAATATGGGTAAGTTGCATTTATTTTTTTATTTATTTAGAAACAGAGTCTCACTTTTTTTGCCCAGGCTGGAGTACAGTGGCATGATTTCAGCTTACCGCAAACTCTGCCTCCTGGATTCAAACCATCCTCCGGCCTCAGCCTCCTGAGTAGCTGGGGCAACAGGTGTGTGCTACCATGTCTGGCTAATTTTTGTAGTTTTTTGTAGAGGTGGGGTTTCACCATGTTGGCAAGGCTGGTCTTTTTTTTTTTTTTTTTCCATTTGAATTTTAGAATGAGTTTTTCTTTTTTTTTCAATTTTTTTTATTATACTTTAAGTTTTAGGGTATATGTGCACAACGTGCAGGTTAGTTACATATGTATACATGTGCCATGTTGGCGTGCTGCACCCATTAACTCGTCACTTAACCCTAGGTGTGAAGGCTGGTCTTAAACTCCTGACCTCAAGTGATGGACCTGTCTTGGCTTCCAAAAGTGCTGGAATTACAGGCATGAGCCACCATGCCCTGCTGTAAGTTGCTTTTAAACGGCAGATCCATTCTAGCATTCCTATCTCCCTAGGCCTATGAATTCCTTCATCCAACATAATACAGGGAAGATGGGGGAATCACCGACTTGCTCATGGTCATACATCTGTTGAACTATACTTCAGCCAACCTGTCATAAAACTACTAATACCATCCTTAAATACCCAAGCTGCAACATTAAACCGGAATATCTGCTTAATGGCCCCATATCATTAAATTTGGACCGATTCAAGTTTATATTCCTTCTACTGTTATCAACGCTTTTTTTTTTTTCTTGTTTTGGTTTCTTACAGATGAGGTCTTGTTCCTTTGGCCAGGCTGGAGTGCAGTGGCACAGTCATCACTCACTGTAGCTTCAAACACCTGGGTTCCAGCATTCATCCCACTTCAGCCTCCCGTGTAGCCGGGACTACAGGTACAAGCCACCACACCCAGCTATCCACAGCCATAATCTTTATTTCCACATAGGGTCTTCAGATTTCTGTTTGCATTAGTTAGAAAGCTCAGGTAGCTTTTTTCACATATATCACACCTCCTCATGGGCATGTTGTAACTTTAGTCTCACCATGAGTCTAGAAGAAACACAGCGGTCAGGGGTGGGTCTTGAAGATAATCAGCAGTGTATTGTTTGACAGCTGCTTCAGGGGAAGCCATTACCGTTTCCTTAGGCATTGTAGCTGTAAGCTACTCAGACACATATGGAAAGGCCTACATCACTTTGTGTGAGAAGGCCATTGCCAAGGGTGGCTGTAAGGAGGCTACTTCTGCTGGCAATAAAAACTCATTAGAATTTAGGAGATCAGTGTCCCCAGCCACATCAGTCTTCCCATCCATCCTCATCCCAAGTTACAGGATGCTATTCTTTCTCAACTTCCACTTCAACAGTAGACACCCTGCCAGACTGAGGAGTTCAGTGTTTCTTGTAATTCAGCCAGTGGCATGATAAGGGCTTGTGTTTGACTTTTAGCAAATACTTCCCTGTGGCTACAAGAGAGTTTTCTGGCTCAGAGCACAGGTAGAAACTCTTAGGCTGTGTATGTGGAGCTGGTTCTGCAAAATTGAATCCCTAAGCTCATTATTGTCTTTCATCAAATTTCCTAGTGAAATTAGAAGCAACAAACCCGTCATCATTATGTTCCATGGTTTTATGCAAATGTCTGTATTACATACAGAGTAAACAAGTACCTTGCCTCTTATCAGTGTTTAATTAAGAGCATCAAATGCAGACATTTTGGGGATCTCTAAAAACAGTTCATGTCATTGACTGTCATTGCTCTTTCTACTGTTAGAAGTACAGTTCTTAGAATTTAGGTCCAATCAGATTAGAAAGCCAATTCTAGAAACCCCAAATTTGATTAAGGACACTCATCCTTAAAATTCTCTTCCTATACAACTGTTCTTACTACCAAAATCTATACTAGTCAGGGTTATCTAGAGCAACAGAAGCAATAGGATAGATATGTAGGAGCTAGCTAGCTAGCGGTAGATAGGTAGATAGATAGATAGATAGATAGATAGATAGATAGATAGATAGATAGATTTTTAGGGGAACTGAATCATAGGATTATGGAGGCTGACCGTTTCCACCACATGCCATGTAAAGCTGGAGATCCTGGGATGCTTTTTGGGTACCATAGTCTAAGTCCAAAATGCTCAAACCAGAGAAAACCTTGTTTAAACACTCAGTATGAGACTGAATGCCATCAGAAAGTCTTTCAATTGAGTCTCCTGTCATTTTGAAATACCACCATATTTAAGATTTAATATTGTTATGTGGCTGATTCATTGGTTGCATTGTTGTTGAGCATTTTGTTGTTTGATCACCACTAGATACTCCAGGCTAATTGTATTTAGTCCCTGTTCAAGTCAATTATTGACCTTTTTTTCACAGATCCCTACCTTTTTTGTTGGAGAATGAAATTTAAAATGAAGATTTGGGCACTCATTGGTTGTACACATTGTTACTGGTGAACGTGTTGATTGGAGGCCTTCCTAGCTAACAGAGCAAAGAGTAAATATACACATATGTTTACAAATTTCTACAAGTCTCCATATGTATCTGCATTAAATTAAACATGAATTCCTGCAGCGTCCTCAGTCCCACACGATCTTATTCAGCACCATGTGAATCTGTCTACCCATCTCACTAATCTATATGTAGCCTACCACTGTAATATTTAACCACCTGAAAATGCAGGCATAGTGGTTTCAGAATAAGAAACACACAACCCCATGAGAAACACCCTTACCACCTGTTTATGTATACCAACTGCTTATGTATAAATCCTTTAGCCTTTAGACAGAATCTGCACTTATTATGCAAGTTGCTTAGGAAGGCTTATTTTTCCCCTTCCTTCAGTGGATTATTTCATAGATTTGTATAAAGTATTTTCTCTGCATTTCTTCCTGGACTGTTCCTATCTACTAAATAAGTTATTTTGTTAATTTACATACTTTTAGCTTCACTCTTTGTGTTATAAAGTTTTCTGGGAGTTGAAAAACTGTACCTTTTATCCACGTTACAGTAGCATACATAATAATATACAAAGAGAAATTTTCTATCTTTACAGATTTGTCTTTCCTTTTTGCTGAGACCCGGGTAACCAATAAACTCTTTACTGTCTTTATACTTATGCCTTTTCTAGAGTGTCATATATTTTTTAAAAAAGTATTTTGCTTTTTCCAAATTGCTTTTTGGACTTAGTAATATGCCTTTTGGGTTAGTAAAGGATATCTTCTGGTTGGGATTTACATTTCCCTAATGACAGAGGCATTGAGCATCTTTCCATATGCTTATTAAACATTACTATAGCTTATTTGGAGACATGATTGTTCAAATTTTCTATTTTTGATTGGAGCATTTGTCTTTGGATTTTTGAGTTGTAAGATGTTGTAGTATATTCTGGATTATAAATTCTTATTGGCTATTTGACATACAAAGACTTTTCTCCCATTTTTAAATTTTTATTCTTTTATTATGTACCTTAAATTATGATATATTTTATTAGTGATTTTTCAATATATCTATTTTCTCCTTCCTCTTGTGCATTAGTTGTCATATCTTAGAAACCATTGTTTTTGTTAAACAATTTGTTTCTGTTTTTAGTTTTGGCTATTTAGATGTATGATTGTATTAGTCTGTTCCCACACTGCTATAAAGAACTACCTGAGACTGCGTAGTTAATAAGGAACAGTGGTTTAATATATCCACAGTTCTACAGGTTGTACAGGAGGCATGACTGGGGAGAATTACAATCATGGTGGAAGGCAAAGGGGAAGTGAGCACATCTTACATGGCTAGAGAAGGAGGAATAGATAGAAGAGGGAAGTGCCACACATTTTTAAACAACCACATTTTGTGATAACTCACTATCACCAGAACAGCAAGGGGGAATCTACCCCCATGAGTCAGTCACCTCCCACCAGGCCCCTCCTCCAACATTGGAGATTACAGTTTGCCATGAGATTGGGAGGGGACACAAATCTAAACCATATCATCCTGCCCCTGGCCTCTTCTAAATAACATGTTTTTTCTCATATTGCAAAATACAATCATTGCTTCTCAATAGTCACCCAACTCTTAACTCATTTCAGCATTAACTCAAAAGTCCACAGTCCAAAGTCTCATCAGAGACAAGGCAAGTCCCTTCTACCCATGAGCCTGTAAAATCAAAAGCAAAGTTATTACTTTCAATATACAATGGGGGTACAGGCATTGGGTAAATACCCTCATTCCAAAAGTTATAAATCAGCTAGAACAGAGGGGCAACAGGCCCCATGCAAGTCTGAAACCCAGCAGGGCAGTCATTAAATCTTAAAGCTCCAAACTGATCTCCTTTGAGTCTGTATCTCACATCCAGGCCACACTGATGCAAGGGATGAGCTTTCAAGGCCTTGGGCAGCTCTGACCCTCTGGCTTGGCAGGGCTTAGCTACCATGGCTGCTCTCAAGGGCTGGCATTGAGTGCCTGTGGCTTTTCCAGGCACATAGTGCAAGCTGTTGGTGGATATACCACTCTGGGGTCTGGAGGACAGTGGCCTTCTTCTCACAGTTCCACTAGGCCCCCAGTGGAGACGCTTTGTGGGGGCTCCAACTCTGTACTTCTTCTCTGCACTGTCCTAATACAGGTTTTCCCTAAGGGCTCCATCACTGCAGCAGACTTCTGCCTGGGCATCAAGGCATTTCCATACATTCTCTGAAATCTAGGCAGAGGCTCCCAAGCCTCAACTCTTTCCCTCTGTGTACCTTCCGGCTTAACACCAAGTGGAAACTGCCAAGGATTATGGCTTGCACCTCCTGGAGCAGTGGCCTGATATGTATCTGGGGACCTTTTAGTCAGAGCTGGAGCTAGAGCCGCTGGGGCACAGTGATAAGCAGTGGCTCCAGGTTGCACAGGGCACCAAGGCCTTGGACTTGGCGCTTGAAATGATTATTTTCTCCTAGGCTTTTGTGCCTATTATGGGAGGGGCTGATGGGAAGGTTCCTGAAGTGGCTTTGAGGCATTTTCCTTATTGTCTTGGATATTAAAATTTGGTTCCTCTTTTTTTTTTTTTGTTTTGAGACGGAGTCTCGCTCTGTCGCCCAGGCCGGAGTGCAATGGTGCGATCTCGGCTCACTGCAAGCTCCAGCCTCCAGGGTTCACGCCATTCTCCTGCCTCAGCCTCCCGAGTAGCTGGGACTACAGGCACCCACCACCAAGCCTGGCTAATTTTTTGTATTTTTTAGTAGAGACACAGTTTCACTGTGATAGCCAGGATGGTCTCAATCTCCTGACCTCATGATCCGCCTGTCTCGGCCTCCCAAAGTGCTGGGATTACAGGCATGAGCCACCACGCCCTGCTAATTTGGCTCCTCTTATGCAAATTTCTGCAGCTGGCTTGAATTCCTCCCCAGAAAATGGATTCTTTTTTTTTTTTTTTTTTTTGAGACGGAGTCTCACTCTGTCGCCCAGGCTGCAATGCAGTGGTGCGATTTCAGCTTACTGCAACCTCCACCTCCCAGGTTCAAGTAATTCTTCTGCCTCAGCCTCCTGAGTAGCTGGGACTACAGGCATGTGCCACCATGCCAGGCTAATTTTTGTATTTTTAGTAGAGACGAGGTTTCACCATATTGGCCAGGCTGGTCTTGAACTCCTGACCTTGTGATCCACCCATCTCAGCTTCCCAAAGTGCTGGGATTACAGGCATGAGCCACAGCACCTGGTCAGGTTTTTCTTTTTTACAAAATGGCTGGACTGCAAATTTTCTAAACTTTTATGCTCTGCCTGTTTTTTAAATATAAGTTTTAGTTTCATAGCATCACTGTGCTCACACTATGACAATACACTGTTAGAAGCAGCCAGGCCACATCTTGAACACTTTGTGCTTAGCAATTTCTTCTACGAGATACCCTAAATCATCAGTCTCCAATTCAAAGTTCCAGAGATCCCTAGAGCAAGGGCACAATGCCAACAGTCTCTGTGCTAACATAACAAGAGTGATCCTTACTGTAGTTCCCAGTAAGTTCCTCATCTCCATCTGAGACCACCTCAGCCTGGACTTCATAGCCCATGTCACTATCAGCATTGTGGTCACAACAATTTAACCAGTCTCTGGAAAGTTCCAACTTCTCCTCATATTCCTGTATTTTTCTGACCCCTCCAGACTGTTCCAACCTCTGCTCATTACCCAGTTTCAAAGTCACTTCCACGTTTTCAAGTATCTTTATAGCAATGCCCCACTCCCAGTAGCAATTTTCTGTATTAGCCTGTTCTTGTATTGCTATAAAGAACTACCTGAAACTGGGTAATTTATAAAGCAAAGAGGTTTAATTAACTCATAGTTCTGCAGGCTGTAGAGGAAACATGGCTGGGGAGGCCTCAGGATACTTACAATCATGGCAGAAGGAGAAGGGAAAGCAGGCACATCTTTTATGGTCTGAGAATGAAGAGGAGAAAGAAGGGTGAGGTCCTACACACTTTTAAATAATGATATCTCATGAAAATTCACTTACTGTCATGAGAACAGCAAGGGGAAATCTTCCCCCATTATCCAATCACCTCCCCCCAAACCCCTCCTGTAACATTGGGGATTACAATATGGCGTGAGATTTGGGCAGGAACACAAGTCCAAACCACATCAGTGACTAATTTGAACTATTTATGCATATACTGTGAGGGAGGAGTTTAACTTGCCTGTTGATGTCAATGATGTCAGCTTGTCACAGAATCCATCCACAGTGCATGAATTGTATGCTGAACAAAATTTGCATTCCTGAGGAAATACCCTTAGCCATAGTGTATGATACTTTTTGCATGTTGCTGACTTGTTTTGCTATTATTTCCTTAAGGATTTTTGCCTCTTTATTCATAAGACATATTGGTCTTAATTTTCCTTTCTTGAAGTGTTTTGGTCTAATTGTGGTATGAGGATGAAATACCACATAGTGTGCATTGGGAAGTGATCTGTTCACCACTGTCATTGCTGTTGTTTAATGTTTTTAGAGAATTCATAATGAATTTGTATTTATTCTTTAAAAGTATGAAATAATTTCCTAGTGAAGTCATCTTAACATGGAACCAGAATTAAATCCTAACAACAATCATGTGAGCCTGGGGAGGATCCTTCCCCAGCTGAGCCTTCAGGGGAGACTTCAGCCTTGGCCATCTTCTGCATCTAGATTCCTGACCAAGAGAAACTATGAGTAATGTGTATGTGCTTTTCAGCCACTAAGCTGTATGGGAATTTGCTATACAACAATAGCTAAGTAATACACCTTGCATTAAATGTAATGTGGTATCCTAGATTAGATACTGGAATAGAAAAGTGACATTATTGGAAACCTGAAGAAAACTATGAAGAAAGTCTGTAGTTCCATTGATAGTTTTATATCACTGTCAATTTCTCAGTTTTCATGAATAGTCTATGGTTATATAACATGTTAACATTCCTTTAAGCTGAAAGGTATATGAAACGCTCTGCACTATATATACGTCCTTCTGTAAGTCAAATATGATTTCAAAATAATTTTTAAATAATATTTTGGTGCAAAACAAAAACCAACAAAAAGACACAAGCACATTAGCTTGGTTTCAGGAGATGGGGTGGGCAAGTAGGGAAAGAACAGCAGCAGAGCTTTCATAATCTAGCCACCATTCCGAACCCAGGTGCACCTGCTTCAGTTAAACACAGTTAGCTCCAGGGACTGTCATCCATTTTTGTCTTTGAAATCATGCTACTGATTATCCAGGACCATTTCAAGTGTCAGTAACCACTTCTTCAGAGAGAGGTGCCTGTTCCTCATATATCCCAGGACGCCCCATTTTCAGACATTGTCTGGCAGTTTATTCACATAATTCCACTAAAGCCTTTCTGGAAAAAATGACTGCTGGACATTAGAAGCCAATATTGCAAAATGTCAGTGACAGGGAACACAAATTGTATTTCTACAATCAGCAGAGTGTTTTAATTCCCTTGGTACAGGGATTTGTTCTTCAACTGATTATCAGATCACTGTGATAATTTCTATTTCTCTTGTCATGAATTATTTGGAACCATATATTCTGTTGCTCTTCACATCTTGGAATTATATTGTCCATTTCCAAGGTCAAAGACCACAGAATAAATGTCATCATGACAGCAGGTGAGTAGGGCACACAAACAATGCTTCTAAATATGGTGGTTGATGACAGTGCTTGCTTACTAAGACCTCCATATGAATCTGTGGACAACTGGTTTTTGGCAGGTGAAGTCATGTGAGTGATTCAGTATATGCTGTGTATGGCTGGAGAAAGCTCAGTAGATACAAGAAAAAGCAGTATGTAACAGATCTCCCTCCACCATGCAGTGATCTAAGAGAAGGACCCAGGCTAAATGGTGACTCTGCACATGTTCTGGCTAAACAAAGAATCTCATAGCAGGAAGAACTGTCCAGCTGTCCCCCACATAGGTCCCTGTTCGTAGTTCACAGCACTCTGCGGTGTTAGGAACAGGGTTGTGCCAAAGACCCATGCCTACAAAGCATACCAAGCCATGAATCTGCATGCTGCACTCACACAGACATAGACAAAGCCAAGACTATTGCCTTTATGATGGTCCATAAACATGGGGCATATTCTCTATAGCACATTCATAGTTTATATGAGAAAATGAGATCTTGCAGCCTGGAGACCTAGAGTGAGAGATATGACTGACCTTGACCACATTTTTCACTTCTGATATCAGCATAGAAGTGATTTAGGTGCTGTTATTTGAGCATCTGTACTTTAAGAAACCTTCCAAGTCTTACAAGTTCCATGTACTTTACTCTTTAAGACACGATTCCTCTTTTAAACTTGACATCTTAAAGGAGGTTTATTCAATTTTTTAAAATTTTAACTGAAGATACTATAGTACAATACTTAAATGACAGATCTTCTGTTTATCTTCATTTTAATGCATACTTTTTGATCTATTATGATGCATACTGTGAATATTGTGCCCACCAGTAAATGGACCCAAAAATGGCCAGAGCAACAGACATGAGCCACAGTTAGACCTGGACATGAGTTATGAGGACTACCACATGGTGGTCACAATAATTGAGCTCTGAGTTCTCAAGTTTAAAGGAAAACAGGCAATATACACAAAACTCTACTGCCATATTGGCGTGGACACAGGCAGAGTGCTGAGCACTGAGTGCCCAAACAAGTGCTTTAATAGCATGGAAGGCATGATTTCCCACAATATACTAAGCCACTAAATTCACAAAGGCCACTGCAATTCTGAAAAAGATGTCACTGCAAACAAACGCAAGTGTTAGACCACAATCTAAGACAAATGCTCCAATATGCTGTCTCCACACTCTAGCCTGATTAGGAGTTGTAGTTCAGTGGATGAATGGCTCATATATTTAACATCATTACTTCATGTTCATGTAATTCAACCTTCCTGGAGTCTAAAACTATAGGTGAAATTTCAGTCAAAGTCCTAAATTATGAATTGTATGAGTTTCTTCTTCACTTAATATTTTCCCAAGGAAACAGGAAAACTAATTTCAATATCCAAGTGTCCAAAAGTAGACTTTGCCAGAGTAGCAAGGGGGCAGAACAAAGCATTTTATGACAATCACAGTGCATCTGCTTCTACAGTGACTATATATTATCACCATTTGTGTGATTAAAAGGGTGAATGAGAATGAAGAAAAACAGAGATCAAGAATGTTATAGATTAAAGAATTAAATTTGTAATATAGCTTGCAGGGATCATTGGTTATATTTCTAACTTTAGGACACAATTTTTTAAATATAGATTTTCCTTAGTCTTTAGAAAACTAGCACTTCAGGAAAAATTTCAAGTGTCTCTCTACAATTTATATCTTCCTCATCAACAGATTTCTTGAACCATAGTTTATAAAACAATTACAGCACTTCACTAATAAGTCTAAAATTTCTAATAACTAAGTAGAATGTAAATATAGTTGGTAAATTAATGTGAAAATATATACAACAATGTTTACTTAATAACAGACTAAAATATAGCACATTAGCCACCATGATTTTTTTTTTTTTTTTTTGAGACGGAGTTCGCTGTTTTGCCCAGGCTGGAGTGAACTGGCGCGATCTGGGCTCACTGCAACCTCTGCCCCCGGGGTTCAAGCGATTCTCCTGCCTCAGCCACCATGATTTAACAGTGAGAAGTGGGCAGTCACAGAGAAAAAGTGTGTAAACAATTCTTTGGTATACATTTTAACATCTTTTAAAGAGAGATGCATCTTCTGTTTGAAAGGGTTATAACATTATTGCCAGAAAGCCGTATGATGTGGTTGTCCTCAGGCACACACACATGAACTTGGTCTAAACCTCCCCAAAGACATCTTTGGGTAATTACATCAAGCATCAAAACTTACAGAAGGGTGTCAGGAGACTGGAAAGATAAACTTACATAGAGTAGTGTAGGAGTCCCATGAGAAATGTAGCAACATTGATGCTTGTGATTAGCACAGATGATGATATTGTGGGGAAAATCATGGACAAGATGAGTTGAAAGTGATTCAGAGAGTTTGTTCTGAATGAAATAAGTGTTAGCAGTACCTTTGTAAACGTATTTTGCATATATGTTCTGTCTCATGTAATCACAGGAATGATATAAGACAAATATAAACGTGTTAGTCGAGAAAAGTTTATAAAATAATTATAAAACTCTAATTAGAAATATTTGCTCCATTATTTATTAGTGGTTTTATTATTTCATTCTGATATATAAATCTAAAAGATAAATCTCACAATTTATTATAAAAATTAGTCTTAATGATATGTATAGATGTGATATTATACTACATGCTTTATATATTATTTTATACAAACCCACCTGACATCTCAAGAAGTGAGCACTGTTACCACTGCCACGGGCCAGTTCTGAATCTGAGACTAAGCACTACATGAAAGGATTAAAAGTGCTTTGAGTTTGATTCAGTCTGTATCCAAAGTCGTTGCTCAAGTCAACTATGTATAATATGTAGAATATTTTCTTATATAATTAGTGCTTTCTAGGTCTAGTTTCAGGCATCTTACCCTACCACATAGTCCCAAAGATATTTTCTTACGTGTTCTACATACTGTACTAAATATATATATATATATAATGTCTGTGATCCACCTGATTTTGTGTGTAAAATGAAGTTAAAGGTCAGATTTTAATTCCCTTGTGAATATTCAGTTTTTTGAATAGTTTTAGAAAAATTGATCTGTCCCCATTTATTGACTTACAAATGATTTGTTCATATATACACGTCTGTATTTATGCTGTTTTCTTTCTTCATTGGTTTATTCCCCTGTCTCTGTGCAAATGCAACAGTTTCTTAGTTGCTAACAGACTTCATTTAATACAATAATTTTGTGACCATTCTCTTATTGAGTGTGCTTTTCCATAATGAAGTGAAAGATTAAAAATCTCCATGCCTTTCACCTACACCAATACTCTCAGCTGGACTTTGAATCCATCAGTGGCTTTAGAGTTTCAGAATATCACTGTTGTCTCTTATGTCTGTAATGTCTTGGTTAATCTTATAAGATCCATGAACACCATTCTTCAGTTTATGTATTTCATACTTTCAACAACAGCAAGTGGTGGGAAAACCTGGAGATGCAGCCCTGGGTGCCTCCTGCGTTGCTGTAGATGATGCTGTGGACATGGGTCTCCTCCTCCAGATGATGCACATCAAAGGCAGGACCAGCAGGGCGCCTCTGAGCTCAGAACCTCTCTGTGGGGTCTGCATGCACAAGGGGAGGAGCTCCCTGTTGGGTGGGGTGGGGAATTCAGTTATTTTGTATGAGCTTGAATTTGTTAAATAATCATTCTTCTTTCTGACCAATGGCACATTTCCCCTTGAGTCCTGGCACTGTAAAGTTACATCTTGGTTTTTGGTTTTGTGTACAAGTGTGTTTAAAACTTTTGTATTAAACACAAAGAAAACACTCTTTTCTTGGTCACATAGCCATCATGTACAACCAAATGCATACTTTTGTATTTTTCCAAAACAAACATCCCTGGGTGCTTCCTGCACAGACACAGACAACTCACTAGATAAGTTTACCTCCTCCACACCACGCCTATCCAAGACAGTGCCTAAGTAGATGCAGGAGAGTTGAGTCTGTCTCTGTGGTGTCTTCATGGGAAACACCAACATTTTCTTGCTCTACTTCTGGTGTTGGTTCGGGAACTTGGTTATTTCTTGGAAAGACTGAGTGTGTCAAAGAATCATTCTGTTTGCTGTCTGAAAACAAATGACACAGAATTTGTTTTGAACAAATGAAATGGTGTTTGTTTTGGTGTGCAAAGGCCTTTGACACTTTCTGTGTAAACGTACTTTTTATCATCACATAAACATCATGTATGACCAAATTTAAATTTTTTATTGCATATTAATGCCTTTTATTTTAATTATTCATAATCATTTTTCAAAATATCTTTATTTTAATAATTTATCACTCCATTAAATTAATGGAAACATCACCCATTCTCTATAATTGTTTTCCACAAATTTCCTCTGAAATACTTCTAGTTGAAGAGGTGCAGAAAGTTTGCTAGGAACCACAAGACAAAATTTGCTAGAGACTCATATTTAAAAAGGGTTGTGTATGTGGCGTAGTTTCTTCTAATTTGCAAGGTTCAAACGCATTAATTTGAATAGATGGTACATCAAGACTCCCAGCACACAAAGACCAGTTATTTTGTTAATATGCACGAATAAACTTCAGCATATTGTTTTTCTTTTACCTGAAATTTATAGATACTGGCTTGAATGTCTGATTCCTTCTACATAGTATTTGTAAACGTCTGCAAGGCATTTCCTTATACTTATGGCTCATAATATAGGTGTGTATTCTTCTCTTACTCTTTGATGAGTAAATACCAAAATTGCTTCTTCAGTAAAAAAAAAAAAAGCCACTCCGAAAATTTGTGCATACAACTCCACACAGCAAATGTTTTCCGATTATCGTCTGTAGAAAAGAAGTGGGAACTTCAATTTATTTTCTTTCATCAGATAATAATATTTTAAAAGTGATTTATACTTTTATAGATTACCAGAGAATTTTCAGAGTTGCTTTTTGTCCAGGACATGTGTGGGGCTCAGAGACACCATAGACAAAGTTGCCATGTTCTGTGATGCTTCTGTCCAATAGGGTTTCAGAAAACTTGACAAAAATTAAACTGTAAGGTGGAAGAGCTGCCCTTGGGAACTGAGAGGACAGGTTTCAGGCCTGGGGTGGGATGGACAGGGGAAGCCTCCAGGAGGAGGAACATTGGAGGAGATGCTGGAGAGTGAGGCGCAGTGGGTCCAGGAGACAGGGGAGGGAAAGCGAGGAGGAAAACGTGTGTGCCTGGCACAGGCCAGGCCATGAGAAGAGGACGGTGGATTTTCTAGGACCACTGGGATGAGTAATTGGTGAGGACGCAGGAGCAGGAAGGGCAGACCATGGAGGGACTGGGCAGGGGAGGCAGGGAGGGCTGATCCCTGAGGACTGCGCTCTGTGGGGAGGGATTCGAATGTCGGTTTGGTTCCCTGAGATGTTACCCCAGCCCATGAGCTCAGCCTATGGGAAGGACATTGAGGAGTGAGTGGGCCCTGTCCCCTGGGGAGGCTCCTGGGCTAAGTCAGTGGGGTGTGGGTCTGGGAGAAAGGAGGGTGGAGAAGAGCAAAGAGGACCCCCGGCTGCCTGACTGCAGGGCTCATGGGGCTGCTCTTGTTCGCCGCCTTTTCTCCATCGCTCAGACCCTCACTTCCCCGCCAGGGCAGGTTTCTGCCCCCTCCGTCCTTTTGCAGATGTAGGTGGGCTCCATGGACCAGAAAACTCAGATCTGCAGGCTCCTCTCCACCTGGCGCCCACACAGGTGAGGCTGGGAGCAGCCTGAAGGGAAGTGCGGGTGCGGGGGTCGCAGCTGCGCAGTGAGGGGAACCGGAGGCTGCCGCGCAGGCTGGGCTTGGGGGCGGGAGCCAGGCCCACGTGGGGCGTGAGGGCCGCGGGTGGAGGGCGAGGCTGACAGGGAGTGAGGGAGGAAGGTGGAGGGCGGTGATCAGAGGGCGCGGCTGACAGGGGGAGAGGGCGGTGAGATCTACAGGGGAACTCAGGGCGGATGTCTGCCGGGTCCGCGTTGGGCTTTCTGGTAGCTTCTCCGCGAAGCGCGCTTGTTCCTGAGGCG
This sequence comes from Homo sapiens, assembly GCF_000001405.40. Lineage (NCBI taxonomy): Eukaryota > Metazoa > Chordata > Mammalia > Primates > Hominidae > Homo > Homo sapiens. The sequence goes on from NW_021160017.1 coordinate 5,049,748, forward strand.
GTGCCTGCCTGTGTCGTCGTCCCTGTTTGTTCTTCTTCAAACGTCAGGATTTCTCCGTGTTTCCCAGACCGTAACGTACATTTAAAAAGCTTGCTTTCTGTCACATATGCCCTTTTATATTATGGACATAACAATTGTTACTTACCTACGTTTCCTATCTGTGAATTATTCATAGATACAGAATTTACCAAAACTTTTAGTTGACACATTGCGTATATTTATGGATAACAGTGTGATATTTTGATTCTTGTATTCATTGGGGAAGATTCAATCAAGCTAATTAACATGGGCATCAACTCACCAGCTAATACTTTATGGTGAGAACACTAAAAATCTATTATTTAGCTATTCTAAAATGTACAGCGTGACTTCGGAGGAAATGATACTGCCCGGCCTCAGTAGCCCGAGACTGATCATTTCTAAATCCTGAGGTTCCCATTTCTGAGGGGGTCATGGCTGCATGCCCGTAAGCAAGGGGGGTGTTGGGGTGCTTTGTTTGCCCTGTTAATTTTGGGTGCCTCTGTGTTCTGAGAACTATTAAGATAATATGTGTTTGAAAAATCCAGTTGCTTTAACTTTTCCTTTGTTTTAGTCTGTTAACAACGTTATCGCTTTTCTTTTACTGACTTTAGATTTAATATATTCTTCCTTTTCTAGGTTCCAAAGGTGGAAACACAGATGACAGATTTTTGGTCTTTTCGTCATTTCCTATATATGTGTTCAATGGTATTTATTTGCCTATATGTTCTGCTTTCCTTTCATCCTACAAATTTTGATAAATTGTGTTTTTATTTTCATTTAGTTAATTTAAAAAAATTTCTCTGGAGATATCTTCTTTGATCCATATATTATATGGAAGTGTGTTGTTTAATCTCAATGCGTTTTGGGATATTACAGTTATCATTCCATTCATCCTTTGATTTCTATTTTAATTCCACTGTGGTCTTAGAGCTGACATTGTATGATTTACTTTTTAAAAATTGTTGGGGTATTTTTTGTCCCAGAATGTGGCACATTTTGCTGAATATTCCATGTGAGCTTAAGAAGAATGTGTCATCTGCAGTAGTTGAGGGAAGGAGACTGTAGGTGTCAGTTATGCCCAGTTGCTTGTTGGTGCTGTTGAGTTCAGCTTTTCGCTCCTGAATTACTGCCTGCTAGATCTGTCCGTATCTGATATAGGGTTTTAATGTTTCCAACTATAATACTGAATTCATCTTTTTCCTTGTGGTTCTCTTGATTTCTGCCTCATAGTTTATGCTCTGTTATCAGGCTCATAGGCTTTAAGAATTAGGACATCTTCTTGGAAGAATGGCTCTTCATCTCTATGTAATGCCCTTCTTTATTCCTGATAACTTTTCTTGATTTGAAGTCTGCTCTGCCTGTAATTCATATAGCTCCTCTTGTTTACTTTGATTAGAGTTAGCATCGTACATTTTGTTCCATTCATTTACTTTTATTTGTCTTTATATTTAGATTGGGCTTATAAATAACAGTTGTGTCTTGTTTTTTGATTCACTTTGTAAATCTGTGTCTTTTACTTGGTGCAGTTGGACCACTGACATTCAAAGTGGTAAGCGATGCAGTTGGATTAATATTTATCATATTTGTCAATGTTTTCGATTTGTTGTCCTTGTTCCTTCTTCATATTTTCATCTTCCATTCATTTTCTGGCTTTTGTGGTTCTCATTGAGCATTTTACATTTTTCCATCTCGTATTTATAAAAATATCAGTTATATATAATTTTAACTTTTTATTGGTGTAACATTTTTATATTCTTAGTTTATTATAAGAGAAAGCAATTTCGTGAAAAAATAGAAAAATTATTAAATAATATATGCCCATGTATATATCTTATGTATAAGTCTATATGTGTACAGATATATGCACATGTGCATGTGTGTTTGTATATGTGTGTGTACATGTTTATATATACACATATATATGAAGTGGATATCAGCAATAATGCAAAGGACAGGAGAAAGGAATTAGGATTATTTGTTATAAGATACAGCAACTGTGAAGCAATATAACTTATTTGAAAAGTAGCTGAGTTTAGTATTTTTTCTTTTTTTTAATTTTATTTATTATTATTATTATTATTATTATACTTTAAGTTTTAGGGTACATGTGCACAATGTGCAGGTTAGTTACATATGTATACATGTGCCATGCTGGTGCGCTGCACCCACTAACCCGTCATCTAGCATTAGGTATATCTCCCAATGCTAACCCTCCACCCTCCCCCCACCCCACAACAGTCCCCAGAGTGTGATGTTCCCCTTCCTGTGTCCATGTGTTCTCATTGTTCAATTCCCACCTATGAATGAGAATATGCGGTGTTTGGTTTTTTGTTCTTGCGATAGTTTGCTGAGAATGATGATTTCCAATTTCATCCATGTCCCTACAAAGGACATGAACTCATCGTTTTTTATGGCTCCATAGTATTCCATGGTGTATATGTGCCACATTTTCTGAATCCAGTCTATCATTGTTGGACATTTGGCTTGGTTCCAAGTCTTTGCTATTGTGAATAATGCCACAATAAACATACATGTGCATGTGTCTTTATAGCAGCATGATTTATAGTCCTTTGGGTATATAGCCAGTAATGGGATGGCTGGGTCAAATGGTATTTCTAGTTCTAGATCCCTGAGGAATCGCCACACTGACTTCCACAATGGTTGAACTAGTTTACAGTCCCACCAACAGTGTAAAAGTGTTCCTATTTCTCCACATCCTCTCCAGCACCTGTTGTTTCCTGACTTTTGAATGATTGCCATTCTAACTGGTGTGAGATGGTATCTCATTGTGGTTTTGATTTGCATTTCTCTGATGGCCAGTGATGGTGAGCATTTTTTCATGTGTTTTTGGCTGCATAAATGTCTTCTTTTGAGAAGTGTCTGTTCATGTCCTTTTCCCACTTTTTGATGGGGTTGTTTGTTTTTTTCTTGTAAATTTGTTTGAGTTCATTGTAGATTCTGCATATTAGCCCTTTGTCAGATGAGTAGGTTGCGAAAATTTTCTCCCATTTTGTAGGTTGCCTGTTCACTCTGATGGTAGTTTCTTTTGCTGTGCAGAAGCTCTTTAGTTTAATTAGATCCCATTTGTCAATTTTGTCTTTTGTTGCCATTGCTTTTGGTGTTTTAGACATGAAGTCCTTGCCCATGCCTACGTCCTGAATGGTAAAGCCTGGGTTTTCTTCTAGGGTTTTTATGGTTTTTATAGGTTTTATGGTTTTTATGGTTTTTATGGTTTTTCTTCTATGGTTTTTATAGGGTTTTATGGTTTATATGCAAGCAATATAACTTTATTTGAAAAGTAGGTCAGTTTAGTATTTTTTAGTTTTTATAGTTTTTATATGATTTTGATTTTTTTAACGTTATATATTTAGGTTTGTGGATACATGTATAGTTTTGTTATATAGGTAATCTTGTGTAATGGAGGTTTATTGCACAGATCATTTTTTCACCCAGGTACTAAGCCTACTACCCAATATTTACTTTTTCTGCTCCTCTCCCTCCTTCTACCCTTCACTTACAAGTAGGCCCCAGTGTCCTTTGTTCCGTTCTTTGTGTTCATGAGTTCTCATCATTTAGCTCCCACTTAAAAGTGAGAATATGTGATAATTTGGTATTCTGCTCCTGTGTTAGTTTGCTAAGGATAATACCTTCTAGCTCCATTCATGTTCCTGTGAAAGACATGATCTCATTCTTTTTTTTCAGCTACATAGTATTCCATGATACACATGTACCACATTTTCTTTATCCATCCTGTCATTGATGGGCATTTAAGTTGATTCCATGTCTTTTTTCTTGTAAGTAGTGCTTCAATGAACATTCATGTTGATGTGTCTTTTTGGAAGAATGATTTGTATTCCTCTGGGTGTATACCCTGTAATGGGATTGCTGAGTTGAATGGTAGTTCTGATTTTAGCTCTTTGAGGAATTGACATATTGCTTTGCACAATGGTTGAATGAACTTACACTCCTACCAACAGTGTGTAAGTGATCCTTTTTATCTGCAACCTCACCAGCATCTGTTATTTTGACTTTTTAATAATAGCCATTCTGACTGGTGTGAGATGGTATCTCATTGTGGTTTTGATTTGCATTTCTCTAATGATCGGTGATACTGAGCTTTTATTCATATGCTTTTTGGCCGCATGTGTGTCGTCTTTTGAAAATTGTCTGTTCTTATCCTTTGCTAGTTTTTTTTTTCTTTTCTGAGACTGGGTCTCACTCTGTCACCCAAGCTGGAGTGCAGTGGCGCGATCTCGGCTCACTGCAACCTCCACCTCCCAGATTCGAGCCATTCTCCTGTCTCCCCCTCCCAAGTAGCTGGGACTACAGGTGCATGCCACCACACCTGGCTGATTTTTTGTATTTTTGGTAGAAATGGGGTTTCACCATGTTAGCCAGGATGGTCTCGATCGCCTGACCTCGTGATCTGCCCGCCTTGGCCTCCCAAAGTGTTGGGATTACAGGCGTGAGCCACCCCGCCCGGTGCTTTGCCTGTTTTTTAATGGGGTTGTTTGTTTTTCTCTTGTAAATTTGTTTAAGCAAGGGGTCGGGTGCACTACCGAGGCTGCCTTTATGGAGAACCCTGCACTTGTCCCAAGCCTGAAACCCCCGAATTGCCGGGTCCAGGAAGACTGGAGGTGGTGCCTGATAGAAAGACTTCTTTTCATTTGGGTCCATGCCCAGTGGTGGGATTGCTAGATTGAATGGTAGCTCTGCTTTTAAAAGTTCATTGAGAAATCTCCATACTGTTTACCATACAGGTTGTACTAATTTACATTCCCACCAAGGGTGTCTAAGCATTCCCTTTTCACCTCATCCACACCAATGTCTATCATTTATTGACTTTTTCATAATGATCCTTCTGACTAGGGTAAGATTGGTATCGCATTGTGGTGTTAATTTGCATTTCCTGATGATTAGTGATGTTGAGCATTTTTTTTTCATATGTTTGCTGGCCATTTGTGTATCTTCTTTTGCCTGTTCATGTCATCTCCCCACTTTTTAATGGGGTTATTTATTTTTTTCTTGCTGATTTGTTTGTGTTTCTTGAAGATTCTGGATTAGTCCTTTGTTGGATGGACAGTTTCCAAATATTTTCTCCCATTCTGTAGGTTGTTTCTTTATTCTGTCGATTATTTCTTTTGCTCTGCAGAAGCTTTTCAGTTTCACTAAGTCCCATTATTTGTTTTTATTTATGTTATAGCTGCTTTTGGGGTCTTAGTCAAACATTCTTTGCCAGGCTAATGTCCAAAAGATTTTTTCCTAGTTTTTCTTCTAGAATCTTTATGGTTTCGTGTCTTACATTTAAGTCTTTAATCCATCTTGAGTTAATTTTTATTTATGGTGACAGATAAGGATCCAGTTTCATTCTTCTGCATGTGGCTATCTTATTTCCCAGCACCTTTTATTGAATGGGGTGTTCATTCCTCAGTGTATGTTTTTGTCTGTTCTGTTGAAAATCAGTTAATCGTAAGTATTTGGCTTCATTTCTGGGGTCTCTGTTCTGTTCCTCTGGTCTGTATGTCTACATTTATACCAGTACCATGTTAGTGTGCCAGCAGATGTTGTAATGGACTGTGTTGGTTGACCGTGGGCCAGAAGGTGGCACTTGCAGGAGAGAGCCAGCTGCAGTCACGGTGGTGGGATTTATGCTTAACCTTTGTTACCCAGGGGAAGTAGTCAGCTGATGGGAAGTGACGCGGAACTCTGAAAAGTCACTGTTCCTGTTCTGCTACTAGGACAGGTAGAGGGGCAAAGCCGAGTGTGGACTGGGTCAGGAAAGTCCATACTCTGCCTCTCCAAGTGTGGGTGTAAGTAGAAGCCACAGTGGGATTCAGTGGACAGTTCCCTGACCACTGGGATAATGTTCCAGGGAGGAGAACACCCTCTGCTACATGAGAGTCTGTACATGGAGAGAGGGGTAGCAAGTGGCAGGTCAATTCCCACAACCTTGACACAGAAGGTCTTACACATGCAGACTTCTGCTGGCAAAAACCCACGACAGTCAGCTAAGTCTCAGGCAGTCTAGGCTGAGAACACAAACCTGCCCCAGGCTGCAAGACTTCCCACTGGAGACTGAAACTGAAACGGTAGCTCTGAGGCCACACCCCTTGATTTGACATGTGAAGTAGCAGTACCCAACTCCCATGACCCTGGCACAAGAAAGCTTCCTGCATGCCCCTTGGTTCGGGTCTTAGGGGGTTCATCCTCTGCTCAGTATTAGATCAAATACAAATCTTAGTTGGTCAGCTTCTCCCTCAGTTGGGAGCTTCTTCCAGTGCGTGACTGCTGCCTGGGTTACTTGGCTGATTTCTGCAAGATCTTCTGTGAATTAGGGTCAGGAATATCTTCCCTCTGTCCCTGCTGAGATCTGGGAGTGCACACGCAGCACACCCAGGTGCCACTCCTTCTTTCATGGTCCCCTCCTCTGTAAGTCAGCTCCAGTGCTGGGCAGGGTTAAGGCACTTCCCTGTGTCCTCGACTGCCTGGTTCCCCAGTGGGAATGTAACACAGAGAGAGTCTCCTCCTTTTGCACTCTGAAGGCTCAGTTGTCCATCTGACACATGGTGCAAGTTGCTGCCTGCTGCTCCTTTCAAAAGGTTCTTTCACTTTTTCTGTTGAGTTCCTGTGTTTGTTGCATACAAATTCACAGTGTGAATCTCTAGATACTATTTTGCTCTTTCTAAGCAGGTGAGGCACACTAACAAAGTCTCCAATCTGCCATTTTGAAAAACAAAAAACAAAACAAAACAAAAAATGCTCCACTTTATGAGCAGAATGTTTACCAAAAGTTATTTGGACCTTTCATCCTGAAAGTGTCTATTCTCCTCCAATCATCGTTGTATTTATGCAATCATTTTTATCAGTATGCAAACATGGATATTTGTTTTACTCTTTCCTTCTACTACTTCATTTATTTGTTTAAATTGTTGCAGTGTTGGCTATTGGAAGGTCTTTAAGTTGGATCGTTTGTCATTTTGAAACACTACCATAATGAAACTTCGCTGTTGTTATATGGTTGGTTAGATGTTTGCACTGTTGGCTATTGGAAGGTCTTTCAGTTGGATCGTTTGTCATTTTGAAAGACTACCATAATGAAACTTCGCTGTTGTTATGTGGTTGGTTAGTTGTTTGCACTGTTGTTTGGCGTTTTATTTTTTCTGGCACTACTAGGTGCTTAAGCTAATTGTGTGGATTTCCTCACAAGCCTGGTATTAAAAATTTTTTTTTTCACAGAGACCTAGTTCTTTTTCTGGGAAAATTGAATTAGAAATGGAGATCTGGGCTCTTGGCATATTCATTGCTCCTGGGGCATCTGTTGATTCGTGATCTTGTGTGCTGACAGAGCAAATACATCTATGTACACTGATTCACACACACACACACACACACACACAGAGACATACACACGCACACAAATATTTTATCATGTATCTGTATCTTTAAGTTAAACATGAATTCCTAATAATCCTCCAGCACCCCATGATCTAATCCAGTACCACGTGAATCACTGCACCTATTCCCGCTTACTTGTATGTAGCCTACCACACTAACAGTGATAAAGATGCTTCTGTTATTTAATCACATAATCTGAAAGACTTGTATAAGTGGTTTCAGAATTAGAAATGTATATGGCCATGAGAAAGAACTTTACCAACTAAAGTTTTTAGGGATAAATCTTTACCCTTTAGACTCAGAGTATCCACTTACTTGCTACGTTCCTTGGGTCAGTTGCTTTTCCACCACTCCATTCAGTGAGGTTATTTCACTGATGTGTTATTTCATTCTATTATGTGTATAGCCCCATGCTATCTGCCACCTACTCTAGGAGGTTTTTAATTTGTATATTTTAAATTCATTTTTTGTATTATAAAGTTATTTAGGATTTCTAAAATATAATCATGCATTTATCATTACAGTATGATACCAGAATAATTTCACTGCCTAGAGCAAATCTGCTGTACCTCACCAATTTGACCTGCCTCTTTTCCAAGCTCCTAGTAAATACCAAACATCTTATTATCTGTATACTTTTTCACATTGCAGAGTGTCACATGACCAAAATCACACAAATATTTTGCCTTTTTAAATTTACTTTTTTTTGCAATATACCCTTTAGATTTGTGAAATGTATCTCATGGTTGTTTAGAGTTGCATGTTCCTAATGACAAAAGACTTAGACCTCATATGATGTGCTTACTAGACGTGACTATAGTATCTTTGGATACATGTCAGTTCAGATAGTTCACCAATTTGATTGTGATATTTGCCTTTTTGAGTTGTAAAATATTTTATATATTGTGGCTAATAGATTGTTTTCTGCTATGTGATTGTGAAGATTTTCTTCTATTCTTTGCATTATCTTTTTACTTTTAATTATGTACTTTGAGTCTCAGAAGATTTTACTTCTCACAAAGTTAAATAAATTCATTTTTTATTTCCTTTTCTTGGGCTTTAAGTATCATATCTTAGAAATTATAGGAGTTATTGTTTAACCTAAGACCCAAATTATGTATTTCTATATTATCTTCTAAGGGTTTGGTCTATTTAGATCTTACATTTGGATATATGATTATTTTGAGCCAATTATGTATATGGTATGAGTGAGAAGTTCAACTTGCTTGTGGATATTCAATTGTCCTAGCAACATTTGTTACAAATATATTTTTCCATATTGAATTGGCTTGGCAACCTTATAAAATCATTTGACTATAAAGGTAAAGATTAATTTTTGGACATTCAATTCTACTATATTCCTTTGACCTGTATGTCCAAGTTTATACTATTCTTGAGCCTTTAAATTAAATTATGATGATACTGAGTTTTTCATGGATGCCCTTTAAAATAAAGAAACTTTCCTTATAGGCTTAATTTGTTGTATACTGTTATCAAAAATGGATTTTGGATTTGTCAGGTGCCTTTCCTGCATCTTTTGAGATGATCATATGGCTTTTGTTTTTTATTTTATTCTTATAGGTCATGACACTAATTATTTTATATGTTGAACCAAATTTGCATTCCTGAGACAAATACCCTTGATGATGGTGTATAATTCTTTTTACATTTGCTGATTTGTATTGCTAGCATTTTATTGAAGACATTTACCCTTTATTTATAAAACATATTGGCCTTAATTTTTCTTTCATGAAATGTCTTGCTTTAGTTGTAATGTCAGTGTAAACTAACTAATAGTATACATCAGGAAGTGATATCTTCTCCACTTTTACAGTTGTTTAAATTTTTATGAAGAGTTTGTGATAGATTTTTATTAATTATTTTCAGGTTTGGAATAGTTCACCAGTGAAGTCATCTCAACCAGCACAGGGCCTTGACTCCTAACAACAATCACACAAACTTGGAAGAGGAGCCTTCCCCAGCTGAACCTTCACTTGAGACCTCATCCTTGGCCATCATCTACATCTGGATTCATGATACAGAGAAACCGTGAGTAAGAGCCACTTAGTGTGTGACAATTTGTTATTCAGCATTAAATAATACACCTGACAGTCAATGCAATGTGGTATCCTGGACAGAAAAATGACATTTTTTACTTAAAAGCCTAGTAAAATATGGAAAAAGCCTATACTTCAATAAATAGTTTTGTGCCAACTATTTTTTAGGGCTCATGGTTACATAATCTATTACGTTGCATGTAATTCAAAGATGTCTAAAGCTTTCTGTACTATCTGTGCATATTTCTGTGTATTTAAAATTATTTCAAAGAAAAAATGTTTTTGAAAAAAGTATTAAATGTGATATGAAAAAAATTCCAAAGCACAGACAGAATAGCTTCAGCTCAGGAGATGAAAGGGCATGTAGAGAGAGAATAGCAAAGCATCCTTCCATATCGATTTACCAACTTGAACACCGGTACACTTGCTTCAGGAAGATCCCCCCAAGTTCCAGAGACTCATCCTCTTTCATCTTCTTCATCATATTCTGCATTTTTCAGTCACCAGTTTTAGCATCTGGTGCTAACTACGTAACGAGTTTTTGAAAGACAGATGCCTATTACTCACATGTCTCAAAAAGCCCCATTTTCAGATATAATTTAGCAGGACTCCAACAAACAGACCAGAATTTATTGAGAGCTTGCAGTGAGGAGTGTCTTAATTCGAACACGACTATGTTGACAACACATCCTCTTGTGAGTGAAGCATTCATACAGAATGAGTCGCTGAAACTCAATAACACATGTCTACTGTACAAGAAAGGTAACAATCAATATAATGATCTAAAATTATTCTGGGGACATAGGGGACATGTGTCCAAGATTTATGAGATGTGAGCAACCAAGAGAGCGTGAACACTGATATTTTATAAGTGCTCCAAATCAGTAGATGGGCATTTGATTTTCCAGTTAGGGCTGCAGTCAGGGTCTCTTGGCTTCAATACTGTACACGGAGAATTTCAATGACAGATCTTGGTTAAAATAACAACAGTAATAACCCCTCATCTATGATATTGCAGCCTGGCACCATTTAACTTAATTTTACTGCATATAAATAGCAACCGTATACTCCACGCAAACTAGAATGGCAGTGGAATTGATGTAGTGAAGAAAGTGACAAATTATTTTCCAAATATAAAGCAAACTTCAGGTTTTATAGGGAAACAAATGGAGGTAAAAATATTTTTATCCTTATTTTTCTGATAATTCTGTTCTGCTCTTATAAATAGAAAGCTCCACTTTCATTATTTTATAATATAGTGAGTTTATCAGCCACATGTATGAAAATTGTAGAGTAAAAGTAGGTTTGTGTCGACTTGGTTGGTTCATTTGACTTACACGCATCATTTACTTTATCTCGAATGGTTATTTTTTAAGCCTTGGTTTTGGTACAACATGTAAAAGTGTCAGTCTTTGTGCAATATTAAATCTTCACTCAAATAACGTTTCTTTGTGCCTTTGCCTTTGTTTCTGCGTTGCTCCTGTACTTCTGTGAACCATATTTCAGTGAGTACTGATGACACTAGCAGTCCAGCCTGCATGGATGCTGACATGGATGCTGTCTCCCATTCTTACCACTGGATGTGAAGAAATGCTAGATGCAATCCAGCCAATCTGTACTCGACTCTCAATTGCATCTTCTCAACTCACAGTGACTTCCAAAGTCCATGACACACCACAGCCTGGAACATCTCCCAAGATGGTATCTTGAGGCAATGGTAGAGCTCATGTCACAGTATTGTATGTCTCAGGTATCACTGTCCTTCACTGTTTGATATAATCTCTCTTACAAACCATTGTTCCATACATTTTGCCCCTTTTCTGTTTGTTTATACATGTGGTATGGCATGTCTAAACCTCAGTGAGGATATTAGAATAGGGTTCTGCATATTTAGAGGTGTGGATCATTGGAAAGCATCTTAGAACCTACCTGCCACATGAAGTCCTGTCTAATCTGTATCAGTTTCTGGGTCTTCACTTATTTTTTTGCCCTTGATCTTAGTGAAAAGAACTTGTCAGGTGTTCCATAGGATGTATCACAATATGGATTTGTTATATTTTTTCATAATTTGAGTAAGATTAAACATTAATTTATACACGTATTTGTCTAATGTTGAAGACAAAAAACCTGAACAATATATTATTTGGAAATACAAATTTAGAAAATAATAATGAAGAATGAGGCTGGGCATGGTGGCTCATGCCTGTAATCCCAGCAATTTGGGAAGCTCAGGTGGGTGGATCACTTGAGGCCAGGAGTTTGAGCCCAGCCTAAGTAACATGGCGAAACCCCATCTCTACTAAAAATACAGAAATTAGCCGGGTGTGGTGGTGCATGCCTGAATGTTTCATATATTCTGGATAATAATCTCCTAACAGTTGTATGACTTGAGAATATCTTCTTCCATTATTTCAGTTGTCTTGATGGTGTACTTTGCATCTTAAAAGGTATTGATCCACATGAAGTTCAATGTATCTATTTTTTTTTTCTGTCACTTGTACTTTTGTGTCACATGTTAGAATCCATTGTTTCATGTAAGGCCATGAAAATCTATTTTTATATTCTCTTCTGTGGGATTTTTAGTTTTAGCTCTTACATTTAGCCACATATTCTATTTTGAGTCAAATACATATATGGTGCAGGAAACAGTTTAACTTGCATGTGGATATCCCTTTCTCCCAGCAACATTTGTTGAAAAACTATTTTTTCATGTTGAATTAATTTTTCAACTTTGAAAATAAGTTTGCCCTATATATAAAGATTGATTTTGGGGTGCTCAACTCTATTCTGTTGGCTTATATGTCTTTCCTCATGTTATGTGAGTTTTCCATGGATGCTCTTTGTAGATTTAGAAAGTTTTCTTCTATGCCTAATTTTCCCAGAGCTTTTATCATGAATGGGTTTGGAATTTGTCAAATGCCTATTCTGTGTCTTTAGAGGTGACCATGAGTCTTTTTAAAAAATTCTGTTAGTATAGTTTATAACACCAGTTGTTTTTGTATGTTTAACCAGACTTACATTGCAGGGATAAATAGTTTTGCTCCTAGTGTATACTCCTTTTTATATGTTACTAGTTAATTTTGATAGTATTTCCTTGATAATTTTTGCCTGTTTCACATTGGTCTGTAATTTTCTTTTCTTGAAATGTCTTTGTCTAGCTGTGGTGTCAGGGAACACTGGCTTCATACATTGCATTAGGAAAGGTTCTTTACTAGTCTGTTTTTATTGATTGTTATTAATTCCCAAAAGGCTTTGAATAACACACCAGTGAAGTCATCTTGACCTGGACAGAAATTGAATCCTCCCAAGAATCCCAGGAGCTTGGAAGGGGATCCTTCCCCAGATGAGCCTTCCCTTGAAATCTCTGCCAGGCATCTGACCCAGAGAAACTGTAAGTACTGTGTAGGGCTGGGTTGGAAAGTCTAAACTATGTAGACAACAATCGGTCAGTTATATGCCTGACAGTAAATGTAATGTGGTATCTTGGATTAGATCCTAGAACAGAAAAATGACACTAGTGGAAAACCTCATAAAATATGAAGAAAATCTTTTCCAGTTAATAGTTTTGTACCACTGTCAATTTCTGAGTTTTCATAAATATGCTATGGTGATATAAGGTGCTAACATTTCAGGAAGCTGTAGGATATATGAAACTCTATTATCTTTACTACTTTCTATAAAACTAAAACTATGATAAAATAAAAATATTTCTTGAAATGTAATATTCAGGTACCAGAAAATAAAACAACAATAACAAAGACAGATTTAAACCACAATAAAACCACAGATCAGAGGATGAATGGAGATATAGGGAGACTATGGCAAAGTAGCTTGCCTTATTATCCCCCATTCCTACACAGGGCACCTGCTTCAGAAAGACACCATCAAGCTCCAGGGACACTCATCCACTTTCTTCTTTCCCATCACACTTCCCATTACCCAGTTATCAATTGTGTTCATAACCTCTTTTCCAAGGAAAGACGCCTTTCTCACATATGTTAGAAGGCCCTGTTTTCAGGCATTTTCTGTCAGTGTCTTTGTAGGATCTCACTATAAAGACATTTTAGAAGACATGACTTCCAGACATTAGAAGAGAAGATTGAGAAACGCCAGTGATGGTGAACATAAATACTTGTGCATTAAGGGTGTTTTCTTAGTACAGGGATTACTTTTATTCCCCAAGTTTTAAAAGGAAATGATGCCTTAAGCCTTTGAGAAAACACTGTGATAATTCAGTTTTCTTCGTCATGCAGACTCCATCACGAATTTATGGGACCACACATTCTCTTGACACTCACATCATGGATCTATATTGTCTTGTGGTATATTAATCTGTTCTCATGATGCTAATAAAGACATACCTAAGACTGGGTAATTTATAAAGGAAAGCAGTTTAATTGGCTCACAGTTTCACATGGCTGGGGAGGCCTCACAATCGTGGCAGAAGGCAAATGAGGAGCAAAGTCACATCCTACATAGCGGCAGACAAGAGAACTTGTGCAGGGGAACTCCCATTTATAAAACCATCAAATCTTGTGAGACTTGTTTACTACCATGAGAATAGTATGGAGGAAACTGCCCCCATGATTTACTTTTCTCCACCTGGCCCTGCCCTTGACACTTAGGGATTATTACATTTCAAGGTGAGATTTGGGTGGAGACACAGCCAAACCATTTCAAGCGACAAGCCCAAAAGCCACAGAATAGACATTATCATGGAGGAAAGTTAACTAGATATGAAAAAAGTTTATAATCATGGAGTTGTAGGTTAATTCCTGCTCAAAAAGACGTGGAAATGAGCCTTTAGACAGACATCAGATATATGAAGGTGAGGCATGTTAGTGATACAGAGTGTGTTGTGCAGAGGTGGAAATAGCCTAATAGAAAAAAGGAAAGAAAGTACAACGTACCCCAGCCCACCATGCAGTGATCTAAGAGATGGACAGAGGCTGAGAGCTGACTCTGGATATGTGCTGGATAAACAAAGATCCCCACGGCAGGGAGGACTGTTTCATCTTTCCCAACACAGCTCCCTGTTTACAGGCCACACCACTTTACAGAGGATCACCAGGGATGTTCCAGGAACCATGCCCACAAAGCTTACTAAGCCATGGGACTGCATACTACACTCCCAAGGACATCCACAAAGTCAAGACTCTTGCGTTTTCAGACTGTGATCATGGGCTACATTCTCCATACCATGTTCATAGCTTCAGCGAGAAAACAAACTCCTGCATCCTGGAGACCTACAGTGAGAGACACAGCTGACCTTGAACATATTTCTCACTTCTGAGAAGATTATAGCAGTAACTCAGGTGCTATTATTTGGGGCATTTATAATTCAGTAAACCTTCTTACTCCTCTAGTCTTACAATTCACCCCATAGGAAAGGACGGTTTCATTTAAATTGGCAATCTTAAGTCATGGAGGTTTGCTCTTTTTATTTCATTATAACAGGAGTTTCTGTAAGGTAAGTGACTTGTACAATCCCATTTTCCTCTTCATTTCAATGCATACATATGGTCTATTATGATGTGTACTGTTAAGATCATCCATGACCAAATTCTTCAGGAAAAAAAAAATCACCAAGTGGCAGGCCATGAGGAAGACAGAAGTAGATGTGTAGAAGGACAGACTCATCCGTAGGTGGCAAGAGGGTTGAGGAGCTCTGAGTGCTCAGGGTTAAGACTGGAAAAGTGATTAGACATGAAACTCTGCTACCATAATGTCCCAGGCACAGAGGACACAGTGCTGAGCACTAAGCTCCTAAACATTACCATGAGTCTGGATTGGCTGAGTCTGGATTGGCCACCAGAATTCTCAGAAAGATGCCATTGAAAACACCCCATCATCCAACCACTTCCTTAGGCAAGAACCCAGTGCTGTCTCTGCCCTCTAGTCTGAATACTGAATAAAGTTTAAAGCGTGCATGACTCCTAAACTTGAAATTAGGGCTTCTTGTTCACTGAATTGAGCCCTAGTAGAAGCTGAAACTCTCGGTACAAATATGCTCAACATTCTAAATTATAAATTATAAGAGTTTCCTCTTCATTCAGTACACTCTTTGGGGAACACCAAAGCCTTTTTCATTTTCTAAGTATCAACAAGTGGAGCTGACAAGAGTAACAAGTGGTCAGAGCAAGGCATTTCATGAAAACAGCAATGCACAGGCGTCTGCAGTCCCTGCTTACAGTGAGATTCACATGACCATCGTTCATGGGATACGAAGGATAAAAGGGGAGGGAGAAAAAAATATGCAGTTGATCTGGATGAAGAATCGGATTTGAAAGCAACTTAGAATAATCTCTGCTTATATTTCTAAGATTAAGGCAAAAAGTCTCAAGATACAGGATTTTCTGTCTTCAGAGAGTTGCACTCTGCTGCAAACTTTCAAGTAACACTTCACCATTTCTATCTTCCTTCTCCATGGGATCTTTGAGCCATAATTTATAAAATCACCTCTACATCTCTTGTATTTTTGTTATGTCTAATAATCTCTTGAGGTCTCTCTAGGGATAGTGACTATAAATTATCACCCTGCCCAACAGGACTCCAGGAAACTGTATCCTGGATGTTTACAGTGTGCCTTTCATGGGATACTTATTTATCCTGGTGGATACCCCAAAGCATAAGTGTACAATATTTGACCCAGCATCCTTCTCACAGGATATTTGTTTATACTGTCAGACACTCTTGTGGCACTTGTCAGACCTGTGTCCACTCCATTCCCACCAAGGTTGCCACAGTCTAGGGGAGCTCTGAGTTCAAAAAAAGTTGAGTTCACATGTGTTGGTCATGTGAGACATGGAGGAGGCAACTCAACAAAGTACAGGAATTTCTTGCAGTTGGGGATCACTGGGCACCATTGCAGGGTCTAACTGACACATTAGGTCTTCTCCAATCTGCAAGTTTCATAGTCTTCACTTCTTTTTCTTGACCTTGACCCTGTTGAAATGTACAGGTCAGATATTTTGTAAGATGTCCCACAATATGGATTTGTCTCATGATTTCTCATGATTAAACTAGGGACATGTATACATTAAACACATGTCATCTAATTTTGAAGACAGGAAAAACTAAACAGTATGGATATTAGAAATATAAACATAGAGATAAATATAACAAACACAAATTAGAGGATAAATCACAGTAATTGCGACCTTCAGTGATTAAGGAAGGTGATGAAGCTAAGGAGATCCATGAATGGCCATCAACATATTGCTCATGTTCTATTTTATAAGATCAGCAGTGACTTTAAATAAAAAGAAACTTTATACATTTTAGAGTCATTTAGGATTTACAGAATTGTTTTAAATACAGTACATAGACTTTCCATATATCCCACTACAGTTGCTCTTTTTATTAACTTCTTAATTTAGGACATTTGTCACAATTAACCAATTTTAAACAGTATCATTAACTACTCTTCATACTTTATTCAGATTTTCTCAGTTTTCACTTAATGTCTGATTTCTATTCCAGGATTTCATCCAGGATACCTCAGCACAGTTAGATATCATGTCTCCTTAGACTTCTCTGACTGTTGCAGTTTCTTAGAGTTTCCTAGTTTTTGATGACATTGACATTCCTAATGTGGGATTTCTCTGAGGTTTCTTTTATGATAAGACTAGATTTGTGGGTTTAGGAGAGGAAGATGACAGAGGAAAGGTGCCATTCTCTTCACATTATACCAAGGGCATAGGCTCTCAACAGGCTTTATCACTGCTAATGTTAATTTGATCACCTGGATGAGGTGGTTTTTATCAAATTATCAAACACTGTGAAATTATTATTATTTTTCCCTTTCCCCATAGAATGTTTCAGAACAAAGTCACTAACACAACACACATTCAAGAAGTGGGGGTCATGGGCCAAGCACCATGGCTCATGCCTGTAATCCCAGCACTGTTGGAGGCTGAGACAGGCAGATCATCTGAGGTCAGGAGTTCGAGACCAGTCTGGCCAACATGGCGAAACCTCATCTCTACTAAAAATACAAAAATTAGCTAGGCACAGTGGTCGTGCCTGTACTCCCAGCTACTCGGGAGGCTGAGGCAGGAGAATCACTTGAACCTGGGAGGCAGAAGTTGCGGTGAGCTGAGATCACACCACTGCCCTGCAGCCTGGGCAACAAAGCGAGACTGCAGACTCCATCTCAAAAAAAAAAAAGTGGGGATTCATGATCTACCTTCTTATTGGCAGAATGTCTACAAGTTTATTTGAACCCTCAACCGTAAACATGTGTCTATTCTAACTATTACATATTTATTCATTTCTATATAAATTATTTATATCATCATCTAAACATGGATATTTATTTTATACTTTACATATGCTAATTTATTTGATTGTTCAAATTGTTCCATGGTTGGCTATTGGAAGGTTTTTTAGTTGTCTCTGGTATAATTTTGAAATACCCACATAATTAAGGTTCAATGTTGTATGGTTGGTTGGTTTTGTTGTTGGTTAGCATTTTCTTTTCTTTAACCACTAGTAGGTGCTCCAGACTTGGTTGGTTTTCTTGTTGTTTAGCATTGTCTTTTCTTTAACCACTACTAGGTGCTCCAGGCTAACTGTGTATTTAATTGTACTCCAGGCTAGTTGTATAATTGTGTAATTTCTACTAATGTTTCCGATACCATATGATCTAATCCAGCACCATATGAATGATGTATGTAGTCTCTTACTCTCCCTGTGAAGAAGTCGATGCTGTTCACTTAATCGTACTACCTGAACATCCATGCAGAGTGGTTTCAGAACTGGTAACTTATACCCCAATGGGAAACAATTTTACCAAGCAAAGTACAGTACATAGGTATAAATACTTTGGCCTTTACCCTCAGAATATCCACTGATTACCCAAATTACTTAGGTCCATTGCTTTCCTCCACTTTCTTTAGTGAGGTTATTCCATACATTCATTACATAGTTATATTATTTTTTTGGGCATTCCTCCTTGGAAACCCTCTACCTACTAAATAAGGTTTTAAACTTGCATAATTTAGATACACTGTTTGTGTTACAAAGTTCTTCAGGATTCGGAAAACATTATTATGTATCCACCATTACAATATCAGAGAGAGTAATTTCACTGCCCCAAAGAAACCTCCTGTATTTCACGCATCCCACCTTCTCTCTCCCAAGCTCCTCGTTACCACCGAGCTCTTTGCTATCACTATCCTTTTCTCCTTTTCCAGAGAATCATATAGGTGGAATTACACAGTATTTTGCCTTTTCCAACTTATATTTTGTCACATAGCAAGATACCTTTTAGATTTTTGAAGTATGTATCATGTTTTTTTAGACTTCCCTTCCCCTATTGTTGCAGGACAGGTGAGCCCCAAATTTGGGGCTTCAGCTGGCAGGGTTCTTGGCTTTGCCTAGGAAAGTGTTTAAGGGCAAGACAGTGGTGATAGACAGAAATGTTTTATTGAACAGTACTGCTCCTTAAAGAGCAGGGCTAACTCATAGGCGTTGCGTTTGTTGGTAACCTATGGGCCCTTGTCAACTATCTTTACACTAAGGGAAACCCACTTTCAATTACATGTAAATTGAGGAGTGGATCAATGAAATTTGATGGGCAGGTTATTCAGAACTTTCCAGGACAGGAGTGGTAATTTCTGGGTTGTTGCCATGGAAAGAGGTGGTTAAATTCCAGGTTGTTGGCATGGAATTTATAAACAGTCATGGCGCTGGAGGGAATGTCTCATGCCAGTGAGCAATGAGGACAACCAGGGATCCCTTTGTCTCTTTTTGCCAGTTTCTTCACTGTATGCTGTCTGGACCAGATCTTGTTTTGATCAGCAGGGTTGTGACTAGAAAACAACTTGCCGGTCTCCTATCTCATAATGGCAAAAGGCATTGAGTGTCTTTTCGTGTGATTTGGGTATGACTGTAGCTTTTCTGGAGAATTGGGTATTTGAATAAATTCCATTTTTGATTGAGATATTTGCCTTTTTTATTTTTGAGCTCTAAGATGTTGTCATATATATATGATTAACAATAGACCATTATCACCTATAAAATTTGCAAATATTTGGTTTTTAATTTAACTTTTAAGTTTCAGGGTACAAGTGCACATTTGTTACATAGGTAAACTTGTGTTATGGTGGTTTGATGTAGATTATTTCATCACCAATGTACTAAGCCTAGTACCCATTAGTTATTTTTTCTGATCCTCTCTCACCGCCCACCCTCCACCATCTGATAGGCCTCTAATGAGGTTTAATATATCTGTTTTTTCTTCTTCCCTTTTGCTTTCAGCATCGTATCTTAGAAAAGAGTGTTTAACCTAAGACCATGAAGATGTATTCCTGTGTATTTTCTATATTTTGGACCTTTGTAGCTATTATATAGAGATATATGATCATTTTGAGTCAATTACATTTTCAGTGTGAGGCAGGAGTTCGACTTGCATGGAATATGCACTTGTTTCAGAAATATTTGAGTAAAAATATTTATCCATATATAATTTATTCAGTGACATTATAAAATTGTTTCACTATAAATGTAAGTATTCACTTTTGAACACTATATTCTATTACATTGATCAACATCTGTATTCTTATACTAGTACCATAAATCTTGATTATTATTACTTTGTAGTGAGTTTTGAAGGCAGGAATTATGTATCTCCCATGCCAGCCTTTTTTCTTCTTTCTCAAAATTGTTTAGGCTGCTCTGGGTCTATTGCATTATATATGAATTTTAGATAAACTTTGTGAATTTAGAAAAAGGAAATGTCACCTGGGATTTTGATAGAGGTTGCATTAAATCTATAGATCCATTTGGAAAATATTGCCAGGCTAACAACATTAACCTTTATAAACAATGAATAGTCAAAGGTTTTTTTCCATTTTTTTCAAAATGTTTTCTATAGTTTTTGTGTATATATCTTATACTTAACTTGATAAACTTATTTTTGATGTCATCTCAGATGGAACATTCTGAATTTTTTGTTTTAGATTGTTAATTGCTAGCATATAGAAATTCAGAGGATTTTATATATGTTGACCTTATATACTGGAAGTTTGTTGAACTCATTTCTAAATTCTAACCATATTTGATTAGAGCCCTTTGGACATTTTATACATAAGATCATGTCATATGCCAACAGACATAGTTTGACTTCCTTTCCATACTGGAAGCCTTACATTTATTTTTCTAGACTAATTGCCATGTCTATATCCTCCAGTACAATGTTAAAAACAAGTGTCAAGAGTGGAAATCCTTGTCTTGTTTCTAATCTTGGAGAAATTAGTGAACCTTTCAGATAACTTATGATGATATGTTGGTTGGTTTTTTATGGATCCCCTTTAAAAGGAAGACAGTTCCCTTATCTGCCTCATTTGCTGCATGTCCTTCTCATAGGGAGTTTGAGAATTCTCAAGTGCCTATGCATCTTCTGAGATGATTATGTGGTTTTTGTTCTTTATTATATCAACATAGTGCATAGCACTTGTTGTATGTTGAAGCAAATTTTGCTTTCCTGAGGTAAATACCCTTGACATAATGTGTAATACTTTTTACATGTTTCTGGTTTGTTTTGCTAATATTTCCTTGATGATTTTTGCCCCTGTATTCATAAGGTATAGTGTTCTTCGTTTTCCATATTTGAAATGTCTTTATCTAGCTGTGGTATCAGAGTAAACTAACTCAGTGTAGAATGGGAAATCATGCCTTCTCCACTTTTTTGGAATAATTTTTAATAAATTCGTATTAATTTTTTAAGTGATTCTAATAATTCACTAATGAATTCTTCCTGATGAGGTCAGAGAGGTTAATCCTAAGAACACTTACATGAGCTTGGAAGGAGACCCTTCCCCAGCTGAGCCTTAGCCTGGGCCATCACCTACATCTGGACTGAAGACCTAGAGAAACTGTGAGTAATATGTGTGTGGTTTTGAACCACTAAGATGTGTGGGAATTTGTTATGCATCAAGTCATAAGTAATATACCTGACAGTAATTGCAATGTGGTATTCTGGGTTAGGTCTTGGAACAGATAAATATATCATTATTAGAAATTCTGAGGCTGGGTGTGGTGGCTCACGCCTGTAATCCCAGCACTTTGGGAGGCTGAGGCGGGCAAATAACGAGTTCAGGAGATCGAGACCATCCTGGCTAACATGGTGAAACCCCATCTCTAATAAAAATAGAAAAATTTAGCTGAGTATGGTGGTGGGCGCCTGTAGTCCCAGCTACTCAGGAGGCTGAGGCAGGAGAATGGCCCAGAACCCAGGAGGCGGAGCTTGCAGTGAGCCAAGATGGCGCCACTGCACTCCAGCCTGGATGACAGAGCATGACTCTGTCTCAAAAACAAAACAAAATAAAACAAAAAGAAATTCTGGTAAAATATGAAGGAAGTCTGTAGATCAGTTAATAGTTTTGAAATAGTGAAATTCTTAGTTTTCATGAATATACTATGGTTAGAATAGTACATTCTAGTTAGCTGAAGGGTATATGGAACTGTCTGTTCTACCTGTGTATCTTTTTGTAAATCTGCAATTATTTCAAAATAAATTTGTTTTCTAAAATTATTATATTTTTTAAAAGAAAACAAAGACATAAGCAAAAAACTTTGGCTTCCAGAGATGCATGGACACATAGGGAGAGAAAAGCAATCTAGAGTTTTTTATCTAGTTGCCTTTCCAAACCCAAGTTCACCTGCTTCAAGAAGGCACCATCAAGCTCCAGGGACTGTCATCCTTTCTCTCCTTCTCCGTTACCCACTCAGCAGTTGGAGTGTCAGCAACCACTTATTCAGAAAAAGCTGCGTTTCCTTCACATATCCCAAAAAGCCCCATGTGTGGACATCATTTAGCAGTGTATATTCAGGATCCCACTGAAGCATTTTTGGGAGATATGACTCTCAGATATTAGAAGCCAAGAATAAGAAATTTCAGTGACAGGGAACATAAATCATATTTCTGCATTCAGGATAATGTTTTCCTGGTACAGGCATTTCTTCTTCAAGTAATCAAAAGACAACTGTACCTTCAAACCTTTCAGAAAAATATGTTCTAATTTAGTTCTTTTGATTCTACAGACTCCATCAGGAATTGTTTGGGACCGTGCATTCTGTTGACACTCACTTTGTGGAATTATGTTGCCCACTGCCAACCCTAAAGCCACCAAGGTAGCAGGTAAGCAGAGTACAAAAAATGTTTCTAATAAATTGGTTTAGGCCAGTCCCTACTTACAGAGACCTGGATATGAATCTTTTACACAACAGATTTTTTGCAGTTGGATGCTAGTGAGTGGAGAAAGCAGCTGACAAAGTGCTGAGCAATGAGTCTCCAGACAAACTCTAACTGCATGGAAGATGTGATTTCCCACAATATCTTAAACCAGCAGTTCCTTAGAGGCTGGCCTGGACACCACAATTCTAAAAGAGATACCATTTAAGAGAAACCAAATTCTAGACCAGATCATGAGGCAAACACCCAGCACTTTATCTCCACATTCTAACCTGATTAGAAGTTGCAGTTCAATGAAAGAATGTCTTAGATATTTGAGAGCATGACTTTATCTTTATTTAATTTAGCCTTGCTGGAATTTAAAACTGTAGGGCAAAATTCAGTCAACCTCCTAAATTATGTGAGTTTTTGTTTTTGTATGTGAGTTTCTGCATACACATAAAGAAACTCCTATAGTTTAGGAGGTTGACTGAATTTTGGGTATACAGAAACTCATACTTTATGTGCTGCTTCTTCAATCAGGGTATTCCTGAGGGAAAACCAAAAGCAATCCTCAAATTCAAGTACCCAAATTAAGGTTGAGCAGAGTAGCAAGGGGGCAGATTAAAACATTTTATAAAGACCATTATGCATCTACTTCTGCAGTGACTAATTACCAAGTGATTTCTATGATCACCAACCATATGGTTAAAACAGCAAATGGGAATGAAGAAAACAGAGTTACATAAATGATATAGCTGAAAGAATGGAGTTCATAATGAAGCTCACAAGGGTCATTGGTCAAATGCCTAAGATTGCAGTGGGAAGTTTCAAGTTACAGCTTTTTCTAGGTCTTTAGAAAGCTATCACTCCAGTGAATTTTTCAAGTAACTCTTTATAATTTCTATCTTCTTCCTCAGTGGATTTCTTAAACCATAGTTCATAGAACTACATTTCCATGCATAACAGAAGAATTATAGAATTCCACTAATAACTGTAATGTCTCTAATAGCTATGTAGAATGTAAATACAGTTGCTAAACTTATGTGATAAGATTTAAGCATGTTTCTTCAATAACAGATAAGAATACAGTTGATGAGCCACCATAATCTAACACTGAGAAATGGGCAGTCACAGAGGACAGTGTATTCCATTCATCATAGGGGGCACATTTTCACATTTGTGAAACACAGATGCACCTTAAATTTGATAGTGTTAAAACATTATTGACGAGACGGCGACCATAACGTGATTGTCCTCATTTACATATACATGAGCTTGGTCTATAAACCTTCCATTGACATCTTCAGGTCATACCATCAACATCATGTCTTGCATAGGGGGTTTCAGACGGTTGGAAAGATAAACTCACAGGAGCACCATAGGAATCTCGCAAGAAGTGCAGCATCACCAAAGTGTCAGATTAGCACAGGTGATAATAATATGGGGAAAATCATGAGCAGATGAGTTGAAGAGTGATTCAGGAGAGTTACATCTCAATGAGAGAAAATTTAGGAAAACCTTTGTCAATGTATTTTTCTTGTATGTTCCATCCCATGTAGGAATGACACAAGACAAATATCCACATGTACGCACATTGAATATATTTTTTCCAGTAATTGTAATGTATTTATGTTATTACTATGTGATTTATTTATAAGTGATAAAAGTACTAGTTTCTTCATTTGTTAGTGGTTTTGTTCTTCCATTCTGGTGCATGAAATAATGACATGTTACAATTGACGCAAATGATATATCTCGCAATTTATTAGAAAATTAATTTTTAGGGGTTAGAATAGGCTTGATAGTATACAACAATCTTTATATGTTATCATTTCATAGAATCCATACTGACATCTCAAGAAGTAAGCATGATTTTCACGTCTGTGGTCCATTTCGGAGTCTGAGCTGACTTTCTACAGGACAGGTATAAAGGAACCTTGAGTATGATACTGTCTGCCCCAGAGTCTTTGCTCACTTTGACTATGTAGAATGTGTCTTCTCTTACATGGTAAATAATTTTCAGGTCTAGTTAGACAGCTCAGCCTACCCTCTGTCATGAAGATATTTTCCTAAATTGTTTTGTTAATACTCTTTTATTTTTATATTTAAGCCTATGAACCAACTAGAATTGATTTTGTGTGTATGTGAGGTCAAAGGTCAGATATTGGTTATTCCCTGTGGATATTCAATTTCCTGGAACATTTTAATAAAAATTGATCTTTCCCCCATGCATCAATGTATAAATCAATTTTTATATATGTATATGTCTGCATTCTAGCTCTGTTTTTATTTTTTAAGTTACTGGTTGTTTCTTCTATCTTTGTGCAAATTCTACACTGTCTTATTATTATCATTATTATTATCTTTTTTTTTTGATACAGAGTCACTCTGTTGCCCAGGCTGGAGTGTTATGGTGCAATCATGGCTCACTGCAACCTCCTCCTCCTGGGTTCAAGCGATTCTTGTGCATCAGCCTCCCGAGTAATGGATTATAGGTGTGCGCCACCACACCAGGCTAATTGTTTTGTATTTTTAGTACAGATGGAGTTTCACCATGTTGGCTAGGCTGGTCTCGAGCTCCTGACCTCAGGTGATCTACCCGCCTCAGCCTCCCAGCATGCTGGGATTACAAGTGTGAGTCACTGCACCTATTCCACACTGTCTTATTATTAAGAGAGTCTATTTAGAACAATAATTTTCTCTCCAGAGATTTTTTTATATTTTTTCTTTTTTAAGAGAGATAGAAGATTTCATCCGGTTGTCCAGCTAGGGTATAGTGGCTCAGTCGTAGAACAGATTCTGTGTTCAAACTACTGGGATCAAGTGATCCTCCCCTCTCAGCATCCTGAATAGGTAGGACTACAGGCACAAGCCACCATGCCTGGTTAATTAATTTTTTTTTTTTGGTAGACACCAGGTCTTCCTGTGTTTCCCATGCTAGTGTAGAACTCTTAGCCACAAGCAATCCTCCCTGCTTTGTCTCCCAGGGTGCTAAGATTACAGGTGTAAGCCACTGTGCCTGGCCCAGAGCCTCTTCTTTTAGCCACGGTACTTCTCTATAATGAAGTAAAAAATGTAACAACCTGCATGTCTTGCACCTACACCAATACTTTCAGCTGTACCTTGAATAAAGCAGTAGGTTTAGAACTTTTTTTAAAAAAAAATTTTAATTGTTTTTTGAGACAGGATCTCGCTCTTACACCTGGGCTGGAGTGCAGTGGCAAGATCTTGGCTCACTGGAGCCTCGACTTCTGGGCTCAAGCAATCCTCCCACCTCACTTTCCCAAGTAGCTAGGATCACAGGTGCACAACTCCATGCCCAGTTAAATTTTTTTATTTTTGTATTTTTTGTAGAGATGGGGTTTCACCTTGTTGCCCAGGCTGATCTCGAATTCCCGATTTCAAGCAATCCACCCACCTCAGCCTCCTGAAGTGCTGGGATTACAGGTGTGAGCCACCGCACCCGGCTGGTTTAGAACTTAGAACGTTGCTGTAGACTCTTAAATCCCTTAATATGCTTGTGAATCTGAGACAATCCCCCAACACCACTCCCCAGTTTATGTATACATACTTTCAACAACAGCCAGTAATATTGAAAACCTTGAGATGCACCCATAGTAACCTCCTGCACTGGTGTAGATGACCCCGTGACAGGTTGCTTCTTCTCCAGACCATGCCCACCAAAGTCGCAGCCACATGGGAGCCTCTGAGCTCAGAGACACTGTTTGGGGTCTCCATGCACAAGGGCAGCAGCTCCCTGTCCTTTCTGTTGGTGAGGTGGGGAATTCAGTTCTTTTGAATAAGGCTGAGTTTATTCAATACTGATTCTGCTGGCTGACCAGTGATACCTTAAGACTTTATTTCTTGCATTGTAATATTTATCCTGGTTTTGATATGATTTGTTGTGCAAATGTGTTTAACTCTTGGGTATAATTTTTTTCTTTTTTTGTTGTCATAAACGTCATCTAAAATCAAATTTTTATTTTTGTGTTGTGTGTTTAAGGTCTTTAGTCCTCTGTTTTAAAAATGCATTCACAATTATTTTTCAATGAACACTTTTAATTTTTTTAATCTTTTCTCATATTTCTCTCTCCTAAATTGAATGTGAATATCACTTTTATTAGAAAAGATAGATGTTACACATTCTCTGTTTTATGTTTTTGTGCAAATTTTCTCTGAAATATCTCTGGTTGAAAAGGAGAAGGACAGAAACTGTTCTGGAAGCCAAAAGGCAAAATTGGCTCAGATTCCTAAAAATACAAAAAATTAGCCGGGCGAGCTGGCGGGCGCCTCTAGTCCCAGCTACTGGGGAGGCTGAGTCAGGAGAATGGTGTGAACCCCAGGGGGCGGAGCCTGCAGTGAGCCGAGGTCGCGCCACTGCACTCCAGCCTGGGCAACACCGAGACTCTGTCTCAAAAAAAAAAAAAAAAAATTGGCTCAGATCCTTATGCTTAAAAAGATGTGTGAAACTTTCTATTATATGGCTTAGTTTGCTGTACGTGTGGAAGGTTAACAAGGTATTGATTTGTGTAGCAGTACAGTAACACTTCACGTCTGAATACAAGGAGCAACCACTTCCTAACTGTGCAGGTGTGAACTTCATGATGTTGCTTTATCTTCCGCTTATACAAAGATTTAGACAATGGCTGGACTCCGTAATTCCTTCCACCTCACTTCCATAAATGTGTGCATGACATTTCTTTGTACAGATCACCTAGTCTATTAGATAATAATTTTTCTTATTTTTGATGAGTGATTATTAAATTTGGTTTTAGTTCTCAGAGATATAAAAAATACCACTTAGAAAATGTGTACATTGAGTGCTGTAATCAGAAAATACTTTTGTGCCATTGACTTGTAAAAAGGGAATTTCAATTTTTTATTTATTGTCATTTTCATCTACCTTAATATGCTCAAAAGGCTTTCATGCTTATGCTCTTTTTAGATTTTAATTTTTGTTGTCTTAGTCAAAAAACATGTGAGGGTTGGAAACACTTGTTCAAGATGTGTGAGACATGAGCAATCAACAGAGCAAAAACACTGGTATTTTATGGGAATATGTAATAATAGATGGGCACTAGCCCTGCTAGGTGTGGCAGCCGTCAGGGTCTGTGGGCTTCGGTGCTGTACACAGAATCGACAGATCCTGCTTGAAGGAAAAAGTGCCCCTCATCTGTCGTACGACAGCCTGGCACCATTTTGTTACGAAACCCAGGTTTGGCCATGGCCACTTCCAAAATCAAGTAACAGAAGGGTAGTAAAAAGAAAGTCACTGGCCGGGCGTGCTGGCTCACACCTGTGATCCCAGCACTTTGGGAGGCCAAGGCGGGATGATCACCTGAGGTCAGGAGTTCAAGACCAGCCTGGCCAACATGGCGAAACCCTGTCTCTACTAAAAATACAAAAATTAGCCGAGCACCGTGGCGTGTGCCTGTAATCCCAACTACTGGGGAGAGAGAGAGACTCCTTCTCCAAAAAAAAAAAAGAAAGTCACTTTATTCCCGAGCTTAGCAATGTGGAAGGGCTGGATTCATATCTAAAGGAACCATATAAGTTTTCTGGGCAGAAAACAGAGTTTTAAGAAGAAAAATTGGCAAGCAGGGCACGCAGAAGGGGTGTGGAGGTGCAGGATCTGCATGACTCGATGGATGACTTATCTCTAGTCATGGGTCATTCGTTAGCCTGCCCAGCATCACTGGGGACAGAGTCAGGTTGTGGATTAACTGATGTCTTGAGACAATCTCTCTGTGGAGGAGAATTCTGGTGGATGCTTATTTTCGTTCAAGATTTGGTAATTTGTAAGCAAACATGTACTTAGATAAGCTGACAGTGCTTGCTGGTTGTTTGGCTGGTGGAAAGGAAGGAGGGAAAAGTTTGAATTTTCATTTCTAAGGAGCTAAGTAAGACATGAACACACAGGAAAAAGAGAAAAAGTAAATATTTTTTAAGGAAAATGAAGTACTTGTTTACAACACCCCACTGTCAAATTCCACTTTATTTTTATGCGATTGGAGCATCATACACATTTGGTGTGCTTCCTACTGAAAGGGAGCATAGTTACAGAGCATTAGAATGGAATCTGTTTACCTGGAGTTGGAAATATTCTTGAGTTTTCAGCAGGAACTTACTGTGCATGTATGGTGTGAGGATCCAAGAATTTCTGAGAATGACTTCCTGCATCTCCATGTAGAGTGTACAACAGCAATAAAATTCATAGCAGCTGAAGAGGGCATTTAACAGTATTAATAATATCTATAAAAGTATTTTATGCATCAGGAAGCCAACTAAATCATGATGTCATAGAGTCCTGACAGAGGGCATCTATAGTAGAAATATGGGTATCTACATGTATAGCTTGGGTTATATTGTGAGAATAATCTGGTGTGTGTGTGTGTGTGTGTGTCTGTATGTGTGTAAAATGGTCAGCCTTAATGAATGCACAAGTGCCACCCTGGGCTGCAGTTAACATATCTAAAGCCATATGATTTAAAGACATCATGAGATTGGAGATAGGATTAGTTTGCTTGTGCATGTCTTTTAGGGCTGAGGATATGTTTCTGGAGTTATCCAGGAAGTATACACAGCATTTAGTCTTAATTATAGTGCAAAGCCCCAAATGTCAGTTGTACCCAGAGCTCCAGTGGAGATATGAGGACAAGTTGGTTAACTATACATACTTAACAGGCTACAGGAGGAGTTGTAAATGTTCATGAAGGTGGTCCTCACCCATGTGTATTAACAAATATCCATGGAACACACAACTCATTCATTTTGGGGCAGAGACTTAACTTTTCAATATATTATAATTATGCCCTATATTTCAAAAGTTCTTCTGAGGACAAAGGCATACAAGTGTGCATTTACTGTAAACCGGCCAAAACTAGTTTATGGTGAGTGATCTTTTATCAGGAGAAAATTACCGAAATTGGTCCCTTGTCTACTTCAATCTGTAGTTATGGCTGGTGGAACAGTGTCTGGGGTCAGTCAGTCAGCTTATCTTGAGGCTAGTGCTTGCTTGGCTGCTAGAGAAACACAGAAACCTTGTGGCAGTTGTAAACATAGTCTGCTTTTTTAAAGTGTAGGAATGTGAGACTTAACCCTTGCCTGGCATGTTTTTAAGTCCTGTTCATAATTTGGTATTTTATTGTTATAAAGAGTCTGTTTTACAGTTTTTATTGTAACGTTAATGCTGATCAGTTGTGCCTAAATTCCCATAATGGGAGGAAGGTATAGTGAAGCATGTTCAACACCCCTCTTGTTGTCATGGCCTGAATTAGTTTTTCAGGTTGCTTTGGCTAACATGCGGGTAGGGAGTCTCCATTAAGTTGGTGGGGGCTTAGGACTTTATTTTGTAGTTTATATTCTCCTTTTTTGTCAAGGTATGCCAGAGGCAGTATTGGTAGCCACGCTTCTATTTTCCCTCATGTCAATGCCAGAGCGGCGTGCTACCTGACCTGTGTCCATCATGTTCCTTGGTGAGACCACTATGTCCAAGGGACTTAGAATCAAAGGTCTTATATCCAATTAAATGTTGTAGGCCAGACTGGAATGAACATGGGCAGGCAGTCTTTAATCCTTAAAACCTCTTTTAAGCAATGTAAGAGCCAAAAACTAAAAGTCAAAAGGTAAGGTTATATAACTGAATTGTCTCTGAATTTTATGCATTGAGCTGTTGTAATCTTGGCTTATAGGAAATATAGCTATACAAAACATAAGTATTTTATTTAGCTGTTTAGGCATCCATGTGCCCATCCTTTATTTGGGGGTCTGAATTAATTTTATTCCACAAGAACCGGCCCTTACAATCTCATGCATTCATACCTTCCATGATAGTCCCTGGGTCTGCAGGAATTGAACAGTTTTAAATTCTGGATATATTAATAAAACAAAATATTCACCATTAACAACATTTTAAGCAAAAATGCCATAAGTCTTGTCTTTTCCTAAGAGTGACAGGACTGAGATGGGTGGATCACGAGGTCAGGAGATCGAGACCATCCTGGCCAACATGGTAAAACCCCGTCTCTACTAAAATACAAAAAAATAGCTGGGCGTGGTGGTGCACACCTGTAGTCCCAGCTACTCGGGAGGCTGAGGAAGGGGAATTGCTTGAACCTGGGAGGCAGAGATTGCAGCGAGCCAAGATCATGCCACTGCACTCCAGCCTGGGCAGCAGAGTGAGACTCCGTCTGAAAAAAAAAGAATGAGTGACAGGAAAGGAAGCCTATAGATAGATAAACATTTAAATTATTTAATATTAAGTCACAGAATAAATTATATATGTTAGATGCTGGCAGGATTCTGTGTCTTCTTTAGAGGAGCTACATGTATCCTGGAGTCAATTCTTTGTACCTTAACACCAGAAAGATTAGTTAATAGCACCTGATAAGAACTTTTTCAGGGTGTTGGAGGTGGTGATACACTTCACAGTGATTAAAGTTTTTTACCTTTGATAAGCCCCAGAAATAAGTCAGAGACTTAATTTAGGATTCAATTTGAGAGATGTCTGTGAAAGATGTGAGAAAGCTTAAAATACTTGATCAAAACTAAACCACAGGTCCTTGTAAAACAATAGTTATTCATTTAACCAAAGTGATTTAAAGGCAATAGAAAAAGTTACAAGGGTGTAAAAACCGTACTCCTCTCAAATTTCAGGGGTTTCTGAAAAGCATTAAACACTTAACAAAGGCAGCATAGGAACTATCTTGATAAAATGTAAAATCTTGTTTCTTAAGCCAGTTACCAAAAAGTCAAAGGAAAACCTTTCTTAGTGTGAGTGCCTCTCCTTAGAAGAAAGCCCGTTTACATAATCTGGAAGTACAACTTAAGATAAAAAGTGCTTGAATTTAATCAAACATGGGAAGAGTGTGTACAAGATTTTGAGTAGAACTGGGGAATACATGACTCTTAGTAGCTGCATGATAAGTTTCCTGATTACAGTGAAAATTTAGACACACCAAAAACAACAACAACAAAAAAACCCAAGAGTATAGAATCAGGTTATCCTGGAGGAAAACATTTCTTTTATAGACCTCTAAAATAAAATATTTCAGCATCAGCCACAACAACATTTAGAACTAAGGAAAAAAGTTATAGGAGCTGACAAGAAGCTGAAGGATAGAGTTATGATCCCAGGCCACATCAAAGGGAGAGAAAGCTGATAGCAGCAAGACAACAATTGAACATTTGAGATATGAATCTCAGAAGTTTTCAAAAGAAGTAGATTATAGAACAGAAAATCAAAATTTACTGTAATTTTATTAAGAGTAAATTGATACCTTAAGAAAATCTTGATTTAACATAGGGGACCATTCTTTAGAAAGACTTATTAACAATTCCTTTTTAATTATGGCTAACTTAATTGCATACAAAATTTCTTTTATAAATTTCCCTTCACAAGCCTTATCATGACTTACACAGACCATCTGTCACATGCTTGGACTGTATACTTGTCCTGTAGTACCTGTTTCTTTTTTAATTTTTTTTCAATTTTCTTTTTCTAGATTAACTTTGTAATAAGAATCTGTTGCTTAAATAACCAGTCATTTTACTTTAGGAGAATAATTTCCCATAGAAGATTCTTTCTCATAGAAAATTACTCTTTTTCCTTTATAACCTTCCTTACCAAAAGTATATGTTCCTTTCTGTATCTTTCTTCACAACTCTCTTCACCACTTACTGCTTCCTTCCCAGCTTGTTTCATAAATAACCTTTTCAAACCCGTAATTTGAATAAACTTTTATATAACTTTGGAATTAGACAAAATAATTCTTTTTCTCAATAAGGACACCTCTTCTTTGGCACATTTGATAGAAACCTAGGAAAAAAGAAATCCTGAACTATCAGATATTAGTATTGTATAGATGAGAACCATTTCACAATTTTTAGAACAGTTTTCTCTATATAATAACCCTTTCTTAATTGGAAATGACCTAGACATCTAGTAAGCATCCAAAATGATTTTAAGATTTTAAATTATACAAAAATTTCACTTAGAAACATTGATCTCATTTATGTGTACTCAGCTTTTCCATTTTACCAGTTTACCTAGAGTACTTTTGAAAACTGGGATATTACATCAAAGTAGTAATTATTTATTTATGTCCCTATGACCCATTTTTAAAGTCTGTGGACATTAGGTGTTTTACCTAAGTAAGAACCTTAAAGTTCAATATATGGGCATTTTGTCAATAGCACAGAAGATTTAACTGTTTTCATTGAACTAGTAATATTAAATTAGTCTAACTCATCTGTAAAATCACACAAACAAAAATGATTCTGTTTTTGGCTGGGTTTATGGTCTTATAACCTTTATGTCATATCCTGACACCTGATGATATAGACAGAGATAAATACAAAATCATTTGTTCAGTAAACTCAGATAAAAATATATGCTGATCATTTTGAAGATATTTCCAATATTATGTCACGAATAATCTTAAAACCAATTTTATTTGTCAAGGATTACTAAATTTACGTGAACTTGAAAAGCATCCTGACTTAATTTATGAGCACTTATTTACTTGTAAGTCAATTTGGTAGCAGGCTAGACATAACACATAATACACATACATACACACAAACATATCTAAATATGTATACACACAGAAGTAAAGTTCTAATAGCTTTTACCTTGGGATTCTAACCATAAAATAACAGTACACACTCAGTATTTTATAAAGATAGCTGGATACACGTTATTGTCTGACAAAACTGAAACCTGTTTCCATGGCTAAATTTTGTTTTCTGCAATACATAATCCCATGAAAGCTGTGAACCAAAATTTGGGTAAAGCAATCTTTATGGCAGTTTTGTTTTTAAAAAAGCATCTTTTCCCTTTTATTTCCTTTAGTTTTAAACAAGTTTCTTGTGTTTACTTTCTAGTTAGTCCATAAATAATGAGTCTTAGCACCGGCAGCTTAGTAACATCCAATTTGAAGCAGGCAGAAAAGAAAACAGAGGAAGAAAGAGAGGTTTTGATGACTCTGCTTAACTTAATAGTTGCAGTTAACCATTTGAGCTCTAAAGTTTTCTTGCTATAATTTGCCTATCTGTTTAAAATGTTCACAAAAGTAGGTCTTAATAAGTAACCAGCTGAAATCCCAAAGAGAATGAGAATATGAAGTTCCTGCCAGGCCTTTTAAAAGGAGGGAAAGAAAAAGAAAGAAAAGGAGGTTTGTGAACCTTCTAGCGCTGCATGGTATAGGGTTGGTACCCCCACCACTCTTGCTTACATCCCATCAGGGAGAGCCTCACTACCCTAGACATGCACAGTGTGAGACGAATCCCTCCCACCTCTGCCATCATGGGGGAAGGAAACTGTTTACAGCTGGAGAGAGCTAAGGGTACCTTTGACTGAAATGAGTAAGGCTGTAGGTGGCTTCCAAGATAGTCAGTAAGATGAAGTTGGAAGTGAAAAGGATAGGAAGAGATCAGGGCCCACACTCAAAGGTCATACACTCACACTTACAAACAAATGGTGAGCTTCCAAACAAACCCCAGTTAAGGGGCTGAGTAGAATCCTGAATTTCTCTCCTCTGTTCAAAACAGCTCCATGGGTGTCTGAGACCAAATCGAGCAATGTCCAGTAGTGCCACCAATACAAATCCGTAAAACACTCAAATGATAGTCCCATTAGTGGACCAGATGAAACAGCAAAGCCCCAGCAACACCCCAGAAGACACAGGAAAGCGGGGTGCACTCTACTAGCTCACTTGGTTGCATGGGCTGCCAGCTTCTTCAGAGGTCACATTCTTTGTACCAGCAAAGTGTTGATGGCTGCAGAAGTTGTGCAAGGAAGTGAAAGGGAGGGTCTAGGAAATGAAAGATTTTCAGCAGCTGCTTGGAAGTTCCCTAACATTCCTGCCATGGGGTCTGCTAGCCTTCAGCTGCTGGTGCTCACAGGCAACCCTCCGCCTTGGTAGAAAAACCAGGCTCACAGGCTTGGGTTGCTCAGAGCACATAATGCTGCCCATACGGGCCACCAAATTTGTTACCAAACACAGGTTTGGCCACTTGTCACTTACAATATTAAATAACAAGCAAGAGGGTGGTAAAAAGAAAGTGACTTTATTTCACAGCTTAGCAATGGAGAAGAACCAGGTTCATATCTAAAGGAGCCGCTTCAGTTTTCCGGGAAGAAAGCAGGGTTTTAAGAAGAGAAACTTTCTTGTGCAGGGTATGCAGAAGGAACATGGAGGTGTGGGGTCTATGTGACTTGCTGTAAAACTTAGCTAAGGGGTCATCTGTTAGTCTGACCAGTGTCATTGAGGAAAGAGTCAGAATGTGGATTAACTATTGTCTTGAGACAGTCTCCTTGTGAGGGAGAATTCTGGATGTTGCCTGCTTTGGTTCAACATTTGGTCCTTAGAATTTCTAAGGAAACATATACTTGGATAAGCTGGCAATACTTGCAGGTTGTTTCACTGGTGGAAACGAAGGAAGGAAAAGGTTACATTTGCATTTCTGAGGAGCTAAGCAAGAGGTGAACACTGAGAAAAAGAAAAAATGCAAAGGTAATTTTTAGGAAAATAGTATACTGGGTTACAACTTAACTTAATTTCACTGTGTCTAAAGAGCAACCCTATACTTCATGCAAACTACATAGCCTGGGGCATTCATGTAGTGAAGAACAGAGAAAAAATATTTTTTTTTTTTTTTTTTTTTTTTTTTTTTTAGTTGTAGTGCTCTTGAATTTATTTACAATGAAAATAACAAAAAGCAGTGAGAAACAGCATTTCACTGAATAACAGCACCTTAGTATTATAGTAAGCAGAGCATGGTTTGGGATAAAATTACCTGAATAATTGAAAGAATTCCATCGTAACATGATTTCACCTATATGTTAGACCCATGGATTCTATAAACCCACTTAGAGCGTTGTACCAATGTTTAAATTACATGCTTTACAGAATCCAATTCAAATGTATTTTTATATGTCATCAGAACTGCCATGGAAAGTGGTAACTATACATGCATTGTGGTTTTAGGTAAATTTTCTTTTAAAAAGAGGAATTGTATATGTCTTCATAGGAAGTGATCCAGGGAAAGCTTGATTTGTTTTAGTAATTCTTTTCTTAATACTTTTACACTCTTTATCCTACTCTCATTTCTTCACATTCACAAGAAAGAGGCTTTGTTTACCTTTCTGCTCACTTTTGGGTGATCATGATGTGTCAATGAACTCAAACAAATTTACAAGAAAAAAACAAACAACCCCATCAAAAAGTGGGCGAAGGACATGAACAGACACTTCTCAAAAGAAGACATTTATGCAGCCAAAAAACACATGAAGAAATGCTCATCATCACTGGCCATCAGAGAAATGCAAATCAAAACCACTATGAGATATCATCTCACACCAGTTAGAATGGCAATCATTAAAAAGTCAGGAAACAACAGGTGCTGGAGAGGATGTGGAGAAATAGGAACACTTTTACACTGTTGGTGGGACTGTAAACTAGTTCAACCATTGTGGAAGTCAGTGTGGCGATTCCTCAGGGATCTAGAACTAGAAATACCATTTGACCCAGCCATCCCATTACTGGGTATATACCCAAAGGACTATAAATCATGCTGCTATAAAGACACATGCACACGTATGTTTATTGCGGCACTATTCACAATAGCAAAGACTTGGAACCAACCCAAATGTCCAACAATGATAGACTGGATTAAGAAAATGTGGCACATATACACCATGGAATACTATGCAGCCATAAAAAATGATGAGTTCATGTCCTTTGTAGGGACATGGATGAAATTGGAAACCATCATTCTCAGTAAACTATCGCAAGAACAAAAAACCAAACACCGCATATTCTCACTCATAGGTGGGAATTGAACAATGAGATCACATGGACACAGGAAGGGGAATATCACACTCTGGGGACTGTGGTGGGGTCGGGGGAGCGGGGAGGGATAGCACTGGGAGATATACCTAATGCTAGATGACACATTAGTGGGTGCAGCGCACCAGCATGGCACATGTATACATATGTAACTAACCTGCACAATGTGCACATGTACCCTAAAACTTAGAGTATAATAAAAAAAAAAAAAAAAAAAACTCAACAATAAGAAAGCACACAGCCTGATTTTTTAAATGTGCCAAAGGCCTTAACTGATGCCTCTCCAAAGAAGATATTCAGATAGCAAATAAGCATACAAAAAGATGCTCTACCTTGTATGTCATTTGGGAAATGCAAGTTAAAACAACAATGTGATACCACTGTTACACAATTGATGAACCTACATTGACACATCATGATCACCCAAAAGAGAAAAAATATTTTTAAGATGCAAAGGAAACTGGAGATTTTTTTAAGGAAAATCAATGAAGGAAGAAACCTTTATTGGCTTCTCCTTTTGGTGACAAATGTATTGTTCTCTTATAAGTAGAAAACTATACTTTAATTATTTCGTAATGTAGTGATTTTACCAGCCACAACTAACAGGATAACATAGGAAAGGCAGGTTGGTGTCCACACAGGGTGACTGAATCTACCTAACACACCATTTACTTTGTTTCTAAACAGTGTGTATTCCTTCATTCTTGGGTTGGATGCAAGATCACTGAGTCATGGAAAACTTTGTCTTTTTGTAGTCAGAAATTAGATGAAAGCATAAAGGGGAATTACTGTTTATTAAATAATTCATTTAAATTACTTTACTTTCAATCTTTGCTTTTTGTTTCTGTACTGCGCCAGTACTCCTGTGAACCATGTCTCAGTGGAGTAATGATGGCACCACAGTCCGGCCTGCATGGCTGTTGGCATGCGTGCTCCCTCCTCGTGCAGCCATGGAGAATGGCTTCATGAAATTCAGCCACCTCTTTCTCCAGACTGTCAGTTCCATCTTCTCAACTCTGAGGGTCTTCCAGAGTCCGTGCCACACCACAGCCTGGAAACTCTCCCCAAGCAGTAACCTGAGGCAACAGTAGCCCTCATTGTTTCACGTCTCTCAGATGTCACTGTCCTTCATTGTTTGATGTGCGCTGTCTTGCAATCCATCCTTCCAGATAAATCGTCCATTTTTACCTGTGATAAGCCATGTCCAATTGCCATAAGTTTTTCCACAACATTTTGTTTCATTCTTCCTGCAATTACGCAATCATTACTGTACCACCGCCTATATGGATATACTTGTCAATGTGAAGCTGAGTAAGGAACAACGTTCACCAAACTCACAGACAAAGATGGACAAGCGAGCAGGCCTTTGTATCACTAAAGGGAAGCTCAGATTGGTAAATATGTAATGTCTGTAGTAGTCTCGTTGGGGACATCCACAGTATGTTAATGAATCAAAGACTGAAGAAGGATCTCAAAAAAAGAATAATATCTCTGTCTCAACTCTTATACACATAACAGACTTATTTACCTTTATTGAAAAAGTCCTTCTAGAATTTTAAATTTACACTTTATTCATATAAAAATGAAAGCAATATTGAAATTAATTCATAAATTCACACGTATCTTGGTATTCTGATTGTGATTGTTCTGAATTAGGTGTTGACACTTTTTCAAAGTGATGATTGATATAGTTGGATGAATATCCACCATGTTTGTTAGAATCTTCTAGTTTTTGCGCTTCCCTGTTTCCATTTTTGTCTTCCATTCATTTTCCTTTTTTTGTGGTTTTTATTCAGCATTTCATATAATTCAATCTTCTTTCTTAGCATCTCAGACTTTTTTATACTTTTTTATTGGTTACTCAAGATAAAAACTTTTAATTTTCATATTCTTAATTGATCTTACATATAAGAGCTTATTTAATATAATTATATTCAATAGCAGACAGGTGCCTTTCAAAAAAAATAGTAGCAAGGCCAGGCCCAGTGGCTCAGGCCTATAACATCTCAGCAGTTTGGGAGGCCGAGGTTGGTGGATCACCTGAGTTCCGGAGTTTGAGACCAGCGTCGCCAGCATGGTGAAACCCCATCTCTACTAAAAAAGAAAAAATACAAAGAATAGCTGGGCATTGTGATGTATGTCTGTAATCCTAGCTACTCAGGAGGCTGACGCAGGAGAATAGCTTGAATGCGGGAGGCAGAGGTTGCAGTGAGCTCAGAACGTGCCACTGCACTCCAGCCTGGGTGACAGAGCAAGACTCTGTTTCAAAAAAAAAAACAAAGCAGCAATTAATTTAATTATATTTTCCTAAGTATAAGATATATCTAGATATGTGTGTATATATATACATATAAGTAAAATGAAAGGAAAAAAGGGAGAAAAGAAAAAATACAGGAAAAAGGAAGAAATAGTTAGAACTATTCTTTTATAAGATGGTTACACTACTTCTGAGGCTGTATACTTTTATATGACAGGAGCTTAGATTAGTAGTAAATATAAATTGCAACCTCTAGGGGAGGACACTGGATGAGGAGCCTCAGTTTTTTGCTGTCTGTGGCCAGAGGCTGCATGCAGTTATTTCCCATGTTGGCTTCTCTCCCATGGCAGAATGTGTCATCAAAGCCACCATGACAGAGAGCTTGCAGCAAGACAGGTATCATAATCTTAGGTAACATGATTACCCAAGTGACATCCTATCAGGTTGTAGTCTTCTGATATATCAAAGCAAGTTTCAGTTTCTCCCCAAAGTCACAAGGAAAGGATTAGATATTCTAATTAAGCTGTGAGGATCATTGTGCACCATCTGAGAGTTCACCTGCCAACGTCAGGTCTTGCTTAATCTGGGACAGGTTCTCAGTCCTCACTTTGTGAGAAAACAGGTCACATAGTTTGTAAAATGTATCAAAATCCAGATTTCTATGAATGTTTCTCATAATTTTACTGAGCAATATAGAGAGAGACATGTAATTATCTATTTGTGAAGAGAAGAAACAGCAAACAGGACATTATTAACAAATACAAATTTAGAGACCAAAACTAAGAAAGAAAAGTTTGCGAATGGGAAAAGGAAAATTAAAAATAATGGTAATGTTCACCAGGGTAACAAAAAGCATGGGAATGGGGAGGTGAGCACCTGGGACACTACGAGATCGACAGTGTTCTGCTTAGTAAGCTCAATAGTGTAATTTTTAAAATATATATATTTTATTTATTTTTTAAGTCTGTGTTAGAATAGCTTGGATTTACAGAATAGTTAGAAGTACATACAGAGAGTTTATATATATTCAACACATAATTTCCCTTTTATAAATTCTTACATTCATTTGAGACATTTGTTGCAATTGATGAACCAATATTATACATTATCATTCAGCAACATTCACAATTAATCAGATGTTCTGTTCTCACCTAACGTCCATATTCTGTTCCAGGATTCCGCCCAGGACACCACATCACATTTAGGTATCGTGTGCCAGTTTCTCAGATTTTCCTTATTTCTGATATCATTGAAATCCTTCCTTTGGGATGTCTCTGGTGTTTTCTTAATGATTGGATGGCTGTTGTGGATTTAGCAGAGGAAACCCACAGAGGGAAACTTTTATTCTCATGATATTATAACAAGAGTACATAGTGTCAACATGCTGTATCAGTTTTTTTTTTTTTTTTTTTTTTTTTTGAGACAGGGTCTCACTCTGTTGCTCAGGCCGGAGTGCAGTGGCATGAACAAAGCTCGCTGCAGCCTCGAACTCCTGGGCTTGAATGATCCTCCACCTCATCCTCTTGAGTAGATGGGACTACAGGCATGTGCCACCACATCTGGGTGATTTAATTTTACTTGTACTTTTGTAGAGGCAGAGTCTCACGACATTGCTCAGGCTGGTCTCTAAGTCCTGGCCCTAAGCGATCCTCTCACCTCAGGCTCCCAAGTGCTGGAATTACAGGTGTGAGCCACTGTGCCCAGCTGCTTTATCATGGTTAATGTTATTTGATCACACGGATGAGGCAGTTTAGCTCAGTTTTCTCCACTATAAAATTAATATTATTCCCCTTCTCATGTTGTACCTTTTGGAAAAAACATCACTATGCACAGCACATACATACTTCTATAAATGTCATTTGTGTTTCTGTAAAAAATATTTAACATTCCTTGGGCTGTTCTGGATCAATTGCATTTTTCTGTGCGTTTTAGAGTCAGTGGTCCAAGAGTTGCTAAAAATGAAAAAAAATTAAAGTTAGAATTTTAGTAGGGCTTGTATTGAATCTGAAGATGCATTTAGAAAGTATAAGCATCTTGGTTAATACTTAATAGCTTTCTGATCAATGAAAATGTAGTTCATATAGTATATTACACTAATTCTTTTATTCATTTATTTAGGATTTCTTTAATACTTCAATATCATTTGTAATTTTCAGTATATATATCTTGCAGTTATATTATTTTCAAATATATTTCCTTTTGGATGCCATGTTAAATGAAATTACTTTCTGAGTTTCATTATTTGATTAGTTTCTATTGTATAAGAATGCAATTTATTACATCGATCATGCATACTGAATTTTTTTTTGTTCCAACCTTATTTTAGTGAATTTTTTAGGATTTTCTATACATTAGATTATGTCACTGGCCAATAGATGTTTGACTTCTTCCCTTTCAATTTGGAAGTCTTATATTTATTTTTCCAGCCTAATTTTATAAATTACATCCTCAGGCATAATGTTTAGTTGAATTAGTGGAATAGATAACCTTTTGTGTTTGTAATTTTGGGAAAATTACTGAGACCTACTTGATACCATGTGTTGTCATGTGAATTTTTCATGGGTGCCTGTGTTA
Source organism: Homo sapiens (assembly GCF_000001405.40). Lineage (NCBI taxonomy): Eukaryota > Metazoa > Chordata > Mammalia > Primates > Hominidae > Homo > Homo sapiens. The sequence goes on from NW_021160017.1 coordinate 5,091,082, forward strand.
GGTAAGAACATTCCCTTTATGCAAAATTTGTTTAGTGTTTTTACTGTGAGTGGTTTTTTGAATTGGAAAGTGCTTATTCCATATCTTTAGATGTGATAAAGAAAATTTTGTCATTTATTATATTAATATAGTGATTACACTAATTCTTTTTATATGTTTTACCAAACTTGTGATCCTGAGAAAATAAATAAATAAATTAGTGTTTAATTCTGTTTTACGATCCTGATCTGTGTTCAGACTATTTCCTCGAGAATTATTGCTTGGGTATCCATAAAGCATATGAGTTTATAGTTTTCCTTTTTTGGACTGTTTTTGTTTGGTAGTGGCCTCAGAGGAAACTGCCTCATAGAATGTATTGCACACTGATCTCTTCTCTATTATTTTATCTTTTTGGAGAACAGTTAGTAAAAAATTGCTGTTAATATTTTAAGGGTTTCATATAAATCATCAGTGAAGTCTTCTCAACCAGGTCAATCACGAGAACTTAGAAGATGATTCCTCCCCAGCTGATCCTCAGGTGAGACCTCAGCCTTGGCCATCATCTACATCTGAATTCCTGACTCAGAGAAACTGTGAGTAATTTGTATGTGCTTTTGAGCCACTAAGTTATGTGGTTATTGGCTATGCTGCAATAAACAATAATACACTTAACGGTAAACATAATATGTTATCCTTGATTAGATCCAAAAAAAGGAAAAATGGCATTAGTGGAAAACCTGGTAAAATATGAAGACAGTCAGTACTTTAGTTAATAGTTTTGCGCCTTTATCAGTTCTTGAGTTTTCATAGATAGTCTATGGTTCTGTTGTGATATTAATATAATAGGAAATTGAAGGGTATATACAACTTTATGTAAGGTTTTAACAACTCTCTGTTAATCTAAAATTATTTCAAAATAAATAGAAGTGTAGACATGGCTCATATATTTGAGATCAGGTCTCCCTGTTAACTTAATTGAGCCTTCATGGAACCTAAATCTCATGGCACAAATGCAATAATATTATAAAATATAAATCAGATGAGTTTCTATTTTACTCTCTTCTTCAGGGAACGCTAAAGCCCATTCTTCTTCTCAAGTATTCAAAAACAAAGTTGATCCAAGTAACAAGTGGACAGCATAAAAGATTGTATGGAAACTATAATGCATCTACATCTGCAGTAACTAATCATAAAATGATTTGTATGATCATTCTTCACATGATTAGAATGACTATGGGAAAGAAGAAAAAGAAGTGCAACTTTCTTGATTTAAAAATTGTATCCGTGCAAGTGTGGTGGCACACACCTGTAGTCAGTCCCAGCTGCTAGGGTGGGTGGGTAGGATGAACATGTGGTACCAGGATTTTGAGGCTGTGTAGCGTGCTATGCTTGTGCCAGTGAATAACCAGTGCACTCCGGCCTGGGCAACATAGTGAAACCCCATTAAATAAATAAATGAATAAGTTACAGAGATCATTGTTTATATTTCTATGATTAGGTCTGAAATCCTCTAGATAGAGATTTTTTGTTGTTTTGTTTTTTGAGACGGAGTCTCACTTTGTCACCCAGGCTGGAGTGCAGTGGCGTGATCTTCTCCCTGCAAGCGCCTCCTCCCAGGTTCACGCCATTCTCCTGGCTCAGCCTCCCCAGCAGCTGGGACTACAGGCGCCCGCCACCATGCCCAGCTAATTTTTTTGTGTTTTTAGGAGAGGCAGGGTTTCACCATGTTAGACAGGATGATCTGGATCTCCTGACCTCATGATCCGCCCGCCTCAGCCTCCGAAAGTGCTGGGAATACAGGTGTGAGCCGCCGCACCTGGCCTGAGATTTTTGTTTATCTTTGGAGAGCTACCACTCCAGTGCAAACTTTCAAATAATGCCTTGCCAGTTTTACTTTCCCTCTCAAGGATTCCTGGAACTATAGTTTATAAAATTATCTCGCAGCATGTGTGTTATTTCACAGCATGTGTTTTATTTTTACTTCTGTTTGCTGTTAAGGCCTCTCTGGATGGTGACTATAACCTATAACCTTGCCCAATACGACTCAGGGTTTGGTACTGGCTGTGCCTTTCATGGGATGCTTACTTATCCTGGTCGATGGCCTAAAGCCCAACCGTCCAGCTTACATCCAGGTATCCCTCTCACAGAGTACTTGTTTATACTGTAAGACACCCTGTGGCTCCTGTCTGACCTGTGTCTAGTTTATTTCTACCAAGGTAACCACTCTCTAGGAGAGTGCTAAGTGGGAGAAAAGTGATGTCCATGTGTGTTCATAAAGTGAAATACAGAGGAGGCAACTCAACAAAATGTGTATAATGGCATGAGTCATGTATTACTAACCAATCCCAGTAAGAAGAGGGCAGCATTCCTTGAAGTGCAGATGGAAAGAGAAGAGCTCTCCAGGACATACACTCATAAGCAGCAGGGGTGGTGGAGGAGCAACTAGAGACAGACATAGTATTGCACCATTTGGCTGAAGTCTTTATGGGTGTATTTGTCAGTTGTTTTTTTTTTCCAGAGAGACAGGGAGGTAGATAGGTAGGTAGATAGATACATATATAGATGGAGAGTTGATAGATAGATAATAGTTCAATGAGCGGCATTTTGTTTGGGGATTTACTCATGTAACATTGTAGAGACGGAGCATTCCCGAGACAGCCATCTGTGAGTTTAAGGACCTTGGATGCTGTAGCGTGGTGGCTCAGTCCAAAGCTGAAATCTTCAGAATCAGGGAAGCCCTTGGTGTAATTCTCAGTTTGGGACCAATGGCCTGAGAATCCAGGGCATTTACTGGTGTAACTTCTGGAGTTTCAAGGCCATAGATCATGGAATTCTGTTTTCCAAGGGCAGGAAAAGGAGTATACCTTCTTCAGGAGAGAGAGACAGGAAGACTTTTTAAAAATTTTTCATTTTTGGTTCTATTTGGTCCCCAAGGAGATTGTATGCTGCCTTCCCCCATTGAGGGTGGATTTTTTTCCACTAAATTCCCTGAGTCATACACCAATCTCCTCTGGAAACACCCTGGCAGACACACCTAGAAGTAATGCTTCACCAATTCTGTAGGTATTCTGTAATCCAGTCAGCGTCTTAAATTAACCATGACAAATCCAGCACCTTTCTAGTTGGCACCTATATGTGTCACCTTAAGCCATAACTAATCTTCAAATACAGACAATAACAAGGCAATAGTTCTACCTAACATTATGCAACGATCCTGTGTGCAACCAGAACACACTATACTATTTTTCTTAAGAGTAGTAGAAGTTTGTGGGTGATGTTTACTCTTCTGATACCCCATAACTTCAATACAAATATATTAAATTACTAACACTTAACTGCTAATATCAAGTTAATGCATTCTTGTGTTATGTGATAAAAGAAGAGAGAAATAAAAACAATGTTATTTGGCTAATAAATGTATATATAACATGCAAATGTATTCTTAAAGTAGATAGGAAATACTAGTGACAATTTTAATCCTTGTTTCTTTAACTGGTCACCTGGTCCTGTCTGCTATTTGTAACTCCCTTCTACTGCTACCCATTCAGTATTCTCTTTGTCTTCAGCAAGCCCCTCTGCTGGTCCTGGGTCTTTACCTGGCAGGGTGATGCAAACCTTCATTCCTGAAAGATCTGGATCATTTGTATTCTTGTCTGGAATGGTTGTAATATTCCATTGAACTTAATAACAGGGCATAGTAATACTAAGACTTTGTTTTAGTCCATTTTCTGTTACTTATAACAGAATACCTGAAACTGGGTAGTTGATAAAGAAAACACATGTGTTTCATACAGTTATGGAGGCTGAAAAGTCCAAGGTTGAGACGTTGTATGTGGCGAGATCCTGTTCCTGGTTGGGACTCTCTGAAGAGTTCTGAAACCTACAGGGTAGCGTATGGCAATGGAGTAGAGCTTGCTGACATGCAAGATCATGTCTCCCTTCTTATAAGCCACTCTTCTCTCATAGTAGACTATTAATCTTTAAATATTAATTTATTAATCCATGAAAGGATTAATTCATTTATGGGGTCAAACTCTTCATGATCCAGTCACATTTTAAAGGTCTCACAATTCAGTACTGCCATGTTAGGGATGAAATTTCAGCATAAATTTTGGAGGGAAGCAATATTCCAACCAGAGGACTCCACTTCTGACTCTAAAAATAAAGCCCTGTCACTTACAAAAAGTTTATTTAATTCCTATCGTTCAAAGGCTTAAATTGTTCTAGCACCAGCAGGAAGTTCCCAAATCTAAAGTCTCCTCTGTCAGCCCATGAAATCAAAACAAGTTATCTTCATACAAAATTCAGCAGTTGGGTTGTTAATGGTCAGTGGGTTCATGTTGGCTGCTGCCCAGATAGAGTCACTTTATCAAGATAGGGGAATTGCTGTAGAGAAGATTTTATACATGTAGAGCCAGCTAAAGGAGAGAGCAGTTTTCGTATTACTCAAAACTGCTTCCCCAAATATTCAGAGGCTAGAGTTTTTATAGATAGTTTTGTGGGCAGGGGTTAGAGAAAGGGACATGCTGATTGGTTGGGTCAGGGACGAAATCTTAGGAAGTCAAAGCCATCTTCTTTACTGACTTCAGCTCCTGAGTGTGGGCCACGTATCCAGATGAGCCAGTTTATGGGTTTAGGTGGCACCCACTGATCTGTCAGAATGCAAGTTATGAAAAATACCTCAAACACCAATCTTAGGTTTTACAATAGTAATGCTATTTATAGGAGCAATCGGGGAGGTTATTAATATTGTGGCCTCTGATTGTATGACTCCTGAGCCATACTTTCTAATATTGTGGTTAATTTGTTAGTTTTACAAAGTTGATGTGGTCCCCAAACAATGAGGGGTTTTGTTTCAGGGAGGAGCTGTCATTATCTTTGTTTCAAAGTTAAGCTACAAAGTAAATTTCTCCCGAAGTTAGTTTGTTTTTGCCCAGGAATCAGCAAAGGCCTCTTGGAGGTTAAATGCAAGATGAAGTCACTTAGGTCATATCTCTCTCCCTATCATAATTTTCTTACTGTTACTGTTTTTGCAAACGTGATTCCAATTTCCCCTTGCAAGTTTCATTGCATCTTATTCTTAATGGGTGAGGTACAGAGTTGGGAAAAGGCCAAAGACCATTCTAACTTCTTCCTGCTGACAAGGGGTATACTTGGGATAGGGTTTGGCCCAGAGTAAATGGAATGAAACTGCTTTGCAGCTGCCTGCATGTATTCACAGGTGCCTGGTTGGGGTTCCTAGGCTTGCATGACCAAGATGTTAGTGCTCTCATCCACAGTTTTAGTACAGCACTTAAGTGAACAGCTGACTATAGGATAATGAGTCCTAATATAAGGAGTGGAAGTCCTAGCTTCAGAAGTCCTTATATAATTCATCTAAATCCCTGAGCGATTTGGGTGAATAGCGCCAAGAACCAGTCAGACATGGGGTCAATAGTCAAGAGAGATATGGGTGAGAGATTGTTAGAAAGACAAATTTGGATAAACAGGAAAGAGCAAATTTAAATATACCATCTCATATCTTTTTAGTTAGTTTCCTAGTCCTCAGAATAGATCCCAGCAGTGTTTCATTCCAGGAGGCGTCACTGCAAATGAACTAGGCCCCCTTATGTGATTAAGGCAAAAAACATTTTTAATAACAGGCATTTGTATGGAAATAGAAAATAATAACAAAGATTTATATTGGGCACAATGCATCCAGATGTTAGATTCAAAGCATTTTTAAGTTGCAAAGGAGGATAGTGATGACAATCTCACATATTTCGCATCTGTATCTCAAGGGATAAGCTTCAGCCTGCAGGGCCTTGGGAAGAAGTTCGTAGCCATTTCATTGAGTCCAGGTCAGAAAAGTGGAAGAAAAATGTGAATGTGTTAGTTTGAGGACTTTAGCTCTGAGAGATTTCAGGATTCAGTACAAAATGCAGAAAACAATAAAAAGCTTAAAAACAATAGACAAGACTAGAATGTAACAACAGGTGTGCTATAGTATTTTTCTGAAATACAATGTTTCGCTCTCTAGTTCTCATTTTTTAAAGACATATCATAGTAGGACACATTTATTTGCAAAATAAGTTTTGGTATTATTATACTTAGCCTGATTATTTGCGTAAAGTTCAGCAAGAATAATTATTTGCCATATTAGCTCTTTCTAAATTGGGTTTGCTGGAACTTTGTTCCCTAAGGAATCTTGGATTGGACTTTTTTAAAGCCTTCAAGGGATGTATCTGTGCCTGCAAATACTTGTACAGATTGCTTGAAATTCTCTCTTCTTCAGCTCCCAAGATAATTTAGGAATCATAGGCCTGTCAGAATGTGACATTTTTTACTAACCACAGGTCAGGAACCCTGTACAAGGCCTGTGTAGACAGTTATGAGGTCAGTTTCTTAAGGGGCTTTTATCATGTCTGTTAGTCAACTTTAATTCCTCAAGCCTGTCTGTTTGTATCTGAAAGTAGGCCATTCCACTGGTAACATCATCACATCTTTGGTAAAATAATCAGTGTCTCCAATTGTGTTCTCTTACAAAAGAAATCAGATTCTTATTTTACTTATGTCAATAACTATATCTCCATAGTATAGAATACTCATAAATAAATAGTTTTCAAATTCTGGAGAAATCAAGTAGAGAAAATGAAATATCCTTCATCTTTTGTTCACAGGAATATACTTTACTCAATCATGAAAAGCTGTAAGTAGCTGAGAAGAAAAAATGTTGTCTTGACTCTGAAAAACAACAAAAAAGATCAGCAACATTTCAAGCAACAAGTCATAAAAGGATTATTGTGGTGTTCTATTTCTTCTATTAGTTCAGTCCATGCAGTTAACTTTGTCTGACATTAGGCCTGCAGTCCTCATAAACATACCAGCTATCTCTGACAGTCCTGGAAGTTTGTTTGTTTGGTTTTGTTTTTTTCCTATTTCAATGCCACAATCTTTAGTTATCAGAAACCTGTATTCAAGAGAACATTTCAAAGAGCAAACACATTTTGAATAGTTTAAAAAAAAAAGAGCACAATAATCTGTGGGTGACAGTAATCTCAGGACAGCCATTGTTTTATTAATTTTACTTTGATTTTGTTGAGACAGGGTCTGAAGCCACGCAGGCTGGAGTGCAGTGGCACAATTATGGCTCACTGTAGTCTCACCTTCCTGGAATCAAGCAATCCTCTTTCTTCAGCCTCCAGAGGAGCTGGGACCACAGGCAAGTGCTACCACATCCAACTAATTTTTTGACTTTTTTGTAGAGAAAAGTTCTCACTATCTTGCTCAGGCTGATCTCAAACACCTGAGCTCAAGCAATCCTCCCAACTTAGCCTCCTAAAGTTCTGGGATTACAGGTATGAGCCACTGTGCCCAGTGAGGACATTACAGGCATGAGTCACTGTGTCCAATGAGGCCATTGTTAAAGACACAGTCAACAAAGAAATCTGGTCATTTCTGTGACACATAACAATTCAGCGTAATAATCATAATTATTACTGATAACATATACTAAGACATATTAGAATTATTTCTGAATATTCTTAATTTATGGTATTATAAGTTATTTGCATATGATCGATATGATATTTTTTTTTGTATCATGATACAATTGGAGACAGTAGTTACCTTGCCAAGGCTTTGGCTGGAATAGCATATTTTCATCTATGAGCAGATTGCTTTGACAAATTTAGGTTGAATAATAGAGCCAATAAAATTCCCTTGGAGAGACTGGCCTTGTACCTTCTCTACAGATTTTCTAACCTGTGGTAAGAAAAGCATGTTACCTTCTGACAGGCCTAGGAACTCCAAGTAATCTTGCGACCTCAAGATGAGAGGAATTCACCCAGTTCATAAGTTATTTGCAGGCACAATAAATCCTTGTTTGAGCTTGAGGGGCTTTTTGAAAAGTCAAATCTTAGACACTTTGTTTAAAAAAAAAGTTCCATCAATGCCAAATTAAAAGAGCCTATATGGAAAAAAAAATATCCTTGCTGCACTTTGTGAAAATAATCAGGCCAAGTACAATAAAACGAAAACTTACTTTGGAAATAAGTTGGTCTTACTATGATTTTTCTTTAGTAAAAATGGAAGACTATAGAAAGAAAAATGTATTTCAAATGAAACTATAGTACATCCTTTATTGGATTCTAGCCCTGTTCATTGCTTTCCAGTTTTATTATTTGCCTACAATTTAGCTAGACTGGATCCTAAATTCTTTGCCGGTTACAAGTCTCCAAACTAACATTTTCAATGTTTTATTTTTTTTTCCCATTTTTTTCTGACTTGGAATTAGTAGAAATTAAAACTGTGCTTTGTGTAAAGCCCTGCACACTGAAACTAGAAAACTTAAACTTTGGGAGAAACAACAGCATCTTATTTATTTACATAAAAGATTTCAGGACTATCTAGTTATATATGGACTGCTCTGTAATATAGTCTATCAGTTTTCAAGGATTGCTTTCTACTTTGTTGCTATAATCCAGCTGTGTCTCTTTTTTCTTATCTTTTCCCTTTATTTTTTATTCCCCCTATTTCTTCACAACCTTCTAGAATGAGTCTCCTTAAAAATGTAGATCCTAACTTTCTAGGAATAAACCATCCTAATGTTGAAAGATTAGGGAAAAAATATAACCAAACACTCATTTTCTTCTAAAATGCTTTCTCTGAAATATTTTGAAGAACAAGGAAAATAAAATTTTGGGACCCCAAACTCACTGTGCCAAAGGAAAAGTTGGAAACTGAGTCATGCTAATACTACCTTCCTTTTGTTCCCAAAGAGTCAGCTGTAATTTCACAAGTTTGCCTATCTTATGTAAAATGTAGATCTACCACGCACAAGACAAATGCACAATTAACTTTTACCCCATTCCTCTTTACACATGCAACCTCTGGATGCAGTGAGTGCTAATTTGGATGTAACACTTGCCTCGCTGTCTTTCCCCCCTTTCTTTATCCTCCATCCACTCCTCCCTGGTCTCACCTCTATAAATATGGAAGTCAGCAAAACCTTCTTTGGAAAAAGCACAGGCCACAGAGCCTACTGTGACTTGTGTTTCTTTATCCTTAAACATGGCAAAATAATTCTCTGAATTGAATGAGATCTGTGTCAGTCATTTTTGTTTTACATAGTTCTGCACTAAACACTAAGTCAATATTTGCTACTAGTGACAGCTTTTTCCAAGTAATTGCAAGAAGTATCGTATGTATCAACTGTAAAATACATCATTATTTTACATCACAATAAAAGCATAAAACTATTGAAAAACTATGACATCACAAAAATTTTATCTCATATATGTGGCAAATAACACTTTTTGTTTGAAATGCCTGTTCCTTGGTGCCATAAAGAAATACCACTTGAATATCATTTCCTCAGCAAGGCCATTTTTATATTTTCTGCAGAAAGGGTACACTCACCAGCAGTTTTGCAATGAGAGTACACCGAACAAAAGAGACATGGTCATTTATAACCTGATGCTTCCACCCTACTGCTGTGTCCGGTTTCCATTGGCTGGAACAGGACCTCACATTCTATATTTGTCCCAACTGGCTAGCAACTTAGAACTTTTTAAAAGAGGCAAAGGCAGAGGAGAACAAAGGAAGGAGGAAGTAACTTTTGGAATCCGGAGAAAGGTAAAAACACCTTCAAATAAGGAAGAGGAACAGGCTATGACCTAATGCTTGCTTGGACCAGTATAAGCATGCCAGGGGAAATATTTAGGCTAAATTGTGGGAACTAAGAACATAAAGTACATTCATTTCTTTATTACGGCTAGCAGATATTTAAGAATGTTAGCACAGGTCTTTGAATAAATTTTGCTTCTAAGAGAAGTTACTATGTATTCCTAATGAGATGGGGAGGAAAGTCTTTGAAGAGGAATCTCTACTTTACTTTTTACACTTTTGAATATAAATGTGTGTATTTATGTTTTATCACTCCTATGATCATATGAGATAGAAAGTAAAAGCAAAATAGGTAATCAAGGTTTTCTAAAATTTCTCATATTTGGATAAAACTCTTCTAAATCACTGTGCGTCTCACCTTGTCCATGGATTCTTCCTACATTAGCATCATCTCTGCTAATTAGGAGCTTTGCAGATGCCATATTTGTAGTGAGAGAACTATAAGAGTTTATGTTAGATTGTTTCTCATCTACTAACGTCCCTCTCCAAGTTATGATGTTAAAGATACCACCAGAATGTGAAAATGGAAGTTTTTTACATCAAGTTCACGTGTGTGCACAGAAAGTTGATCACATTATGACTGTCTTCTAACCAATAGTCTTTTCAGAATATTATGATCCATCTCTATTTGGAAGATGTAAAAATATGCCTTATAAAATGAATGGAACACACTATTTTTTCTCTGTGACTGCCCCCTTCTCAGTATAAAATTTTGTTGGCTCATCATATATATTCTGGTCTATTACTGCAAAAACATGCTTAACTATAGTTTCAAATTAGTTGAACAACTAGATTTACCTGCTACCTCAGGATTAGAGAGAGAGTTATTGGGCTACTAGAATTCCTATTTTAAATGTTGCTGTGAATTGTTTTAATTTGATGTAACCTGGGCATTCATTTTCTACATAATTTTGACATTCTCATACCAGAAATAGGGTTTAGAAATCCATGACATTTTCCAGTTTGTGGCCTCCTCCATGTTCCTCAAGGTGGTCATTGAACATAGCCCCTTATAAAACCTGCTCAAGGTTTTATAAGCTGTCCATATAAGCTGTCCATATAAGACAGCTGAATACCACCTTTATCTCATCTCACTGTCCCCTGTGGGAACTGCACAGATATTCGGCAGTAACCACCTCTCCACCTCTCAGTCACAGTTTGACTCTATGGAAATCATGGTTGCTTCACCTTAACCCAGCAATTTGAACTCCTCATGAGAAACCTGCTTGGGTGACACTCCAAAACCCAATGTGATGTTTAGTTTTAGGAGTCAACTAACTGTATTAAGGAATACCTAGAACACTGGCAAAGCTTTACTTCTGGTTTGTGAGGTTTCACCAGAAAGGTCTGAAATGTGAGTCGGTAGACAGAGTGGGTAAGATCCTGTGATGGAGCAGGGACCCTTTGTTAGGGGCCTGTAGCTTCCCCAAGCAGGGAAATAAAGGAAAATCATGAGTCCCTTCAAGGGAAATCCCTTGTACCTAGCTAGCGCTGAGAAAGAAATGAGGAACTTGATAAGCAAGAAGGTAATAGTAGCCTAAACAATCGCCAAGGAAGTTACAGTCAGAAGACGTTTGTTTTGTTCCAAAGATCACATCTTAACATGCATTCCTGAGTCATTTTTCATAAACCTAGACCCCCACCAAATGCATCTGCTGACAAGTACACCTCAGATAAGGGGGGCCTGAAAACTGAATTCTGACTGCCATTCTTTGTACTAAATTTCTTCTGAGGGGCCTAGAGGGAGGCAAATCCATTAGCCAAAGAGCTAACATTTTTTTCTCCTGACCCCCAAATTTTAAAACAAACCTCCTTTTTTCAGAAGGAATGGTACCAGTTACTCCTTGTACCTCTGGTAGAATTCGGCTGTGAATCCATCTGGTCCTGGACTCTTTTTGGTTGGTAAGCTATTGATTATTGCCACAATTTCAGAGCCTGTTATTGGTCTATTCAGAGATTCAACTTCTTCCTGGTTTAGTCTTAGGAGGGTGTATGTGTCGAGGAATTTATCCATTTCTTCTAGATTTTCTAGTTTATTTGCGTAGAGGTGTTTGTAGTATTCTCTGATGGTAGTTTGTATTTCTGTGGGATCGGTGGTGATATCCCCTTTATTATTTTTTATTGCATCTATTTGATTCTTCTCTCTTTTCTTCTTTATTAGTCTTGCTAGCGGTCTATCAATTTTGTTGATCCTTTCAAAAAACCAGCTCCTGGATTCATTAATTTTTTGAAGGTTTTTTTGTGTCTCTATTTCCTTCAGTTCTGCTCTGATTTTAGTTATTTCTTGCCTTCTGATAGCTTTTGAATGTGTTTGCTCTTGCTTTTCTAGTTCTTTTAATTGTGATGTTAGGGTGTCAATTTTGGATCTTTCCTGCTTTCTCTTGTGGGCATTTAGTGCTATAAAGTTCCCTCTACACACTGCTTTGAATGTGTCCCAGAGATTCTGGTATATTGTGTCTTTGTTCTCGTTGGTTTCAAAGAACATCTTTATTTCTGCCTTCATTTTGTTATGTACCCAGTAGTCATTCAGGAGCAGGTTGTTGAGTTTCCTTGTAGTTGAGCGGTTTTGAGTGAGTTTCTTAATCCTGAGTTCTAGTTTGATTGCACTGTGGTCTGAGAGACATTTTGTTATAATTTCTGTTCTTTTACATTTCCTGAGGAGTGCTTTACTTCCAAGTATGTGGTCAATTTTAGAATAGGTGTGGTGTGGTGCTGAAAAGAATGTATATTCTGTTGATTTGGGGTGGAGAGTTCTGTAGATGTCTATTATGTCTGCTTGGTGCAGAGCTGAGTTCAATTCCTGGATATCCTTGTTAACTTTCTGTCTCGTGGATCTGTCTAATGTTGACAGTGGGGTGTTAGAGTCTCCCATTATTATTGTGTGGGAGTCTAAGTCTCTTTGTAAGTCACTAAGGACTTGCTTTGTGAGTCTGGGTGCTCCTGTATTGGGTGCATATATATTTAGGATAGTTAGTTCTTCTTGTTGAATTGATCCCTTTACCATTATGTAGTGGCCTTCTTTGTCTCTTTTGATCTTTGTTGGTTTAAAGTCTGTTTTATCCGAGACTAGGATTAGGATTGCAACTCCTGCCTTTTTTTGTTTTCCATTTGCTTGGCAGATCTTCCTCCATCCCTTTATTTTGAGCCTATGTGTGTATCTGCACATGAGATGGATTTCCTGAATATAGCACACTGATGGGTCTTGACTCTTTATCCAATTTGCCAGTCTGTCTTTTAATTGGAGCATTTATCCCATTTACATTTAAGATTAGTATTGTTATGTGTGAATTTGATCCTGTCATTATGATGTTAGCTCCTTATTTTGCTCGTTAGTTGATGCAGTTTCTTCCCAGCCTTGATGGCCTTTACAATTTGGCATGTTTTTGCAGTGGCTGGTACCGGTTGTTCCTTTCCATGTTTAGTGCTTCCTTCAGGAGCTCTTTTAGGGCAGGCCTGGTGGTGAGAAAATCTCTCAGCATTTGCTTGTCTGTAAAGTATTTTATTTCTCCTTCACTTATGAAGCTTAGTTTGGCTGGATATGAAATTCTGGGTTGAAAATTGTTTTCTTTAAGAATGTTGAATATTGGCCCCCACTCTCTTCTGGCTTGTAGAGTTTCTGCCGAGAGATCAGCTGTTAGTCTGATGGGCTTCCTTTTGTAGGTAACCCGACCTTTCTCTCTGGCTGCCCTTAACATTTTTGCCTTCATTTCAACTTTGGTGAATCTGACAATTATGTGTCATGGAGTTGCTCTTCTTGAGGAGTGTCTTTGTGGCGTTCTCTCTATTTCCTGAGTTTGAATGTTGGCCTGCCTTGCTAGATTGGGGAAGTTCTCCTGGATAATATCCTGCAGAGTGTTTTCCAACTTGGTTCCATTCTCCCCATCACTTTCAGGTACACCAATTAGACGTAGATTTGGTCTTTTCACACAGTCTCATATTTCTTGGAGGCTTTGTTCATTTCTTTTTATTCTTTTTTCTCTGAACTTCTCTTCAAGCTTCATTTCATTCATTTCATCTTCCATCACTGATACCCTTTCTTCCAGTTGATCACATCAGTTACTGAGGCTTGTGCATTCGTCACATAGTTCTCATGCCATGGTTTTCAGCTCCATCAGGTCCTTTAAGGACTTCTCTGCATTGGTTATTCTAGTTATCCATTCCTCTAATTTTTTTTCAAAGTTTTTAACTTCTTTGCCATTGGTTCGAACTTCCTCCTTTAGCTCGGAGTAGTTTGATCTTCTGAAGCCTACTTCTCTGACTTTTTTATATTTATTTTCTACACCAATTACCTTGGCCACATCCTCCAATACAGTGGTGAATAAAACTGTGAAAGTGATATCCTTCTCTTGTTTCTAATTTTACAAGAAAGTGTTTGAGCTTCTCAGAACATTTAGGATGTCATGTGAGGTTTTCTGTGCTTTCATGATGAGGAAATTTTTCTTATTTGCCTAACTTGTTGCATGTTTTTATAATGAATGACATTTCACTTTAGCAGGTGCTTATTGCTCATCTTTTAAGATGGCCATGTGTATTGTGTCCCTTATCTCTTAATATAGTTTATGGCACTAATTCTTTTCGTATGTTGAACCAAATTTGCCTTTGTAAGATGTATACCTTCGTCAAAATTTATGAATTTTTACATGTCTGTTATTTGCTTTGATAGTATTTCCTTTAATTTTTGTGTTTATGTTCATAAGTCATATTGATCATAGTTTTTCTTCAGTAACTTTGTCTATCTATGGTATAAGGCTGATAATTCACATTGGAAATTGATCCATTCTTCACTGTTGTTCTTACTGTTTTTTATGTGAAAGGTCTAAATTTATTTAGCACAAATAGAATTGAACACATAAAAAGGAGAAAAAAGTACACTTTTTCAAGCTAATTTTCAGACTTTGCAAACAATTATATTGTATAAGTGAATAAAACCAAATGAGAGTAGTAAAGAGATGTGATTGGGCTACATAGATGGAGATTTACAATACACTAGAAAGGGAGAGAGAAAGGTGGATGATAAATTACTCTTTTTAATATGATTTTCACTATTTTGCATATTTCTTTCTTTAAATACACTACCTACAAGTATAGAGAAAGATGAAAATATGGGTTGACAAACAGGTGCTCATTAATTAGAAGAAATACAAGATTTAAATTCTGGTATTTCATTAAGGCCAATTTAGTTTGTATGCTTAGGAGACCTAACCTGTAGACATTTGATGTGACACATTTTGTGAGCCTTCATAAATATCTATAAAAAATAGAAAATCAGAGTTTCTAAAAACTTAAAAATTGAACAAAACAAGGATTTAAATATTACTATTAAAGTTGTTACCTATTCCCAGATGAGGACTTAGAAAAACAAACAGTTGGCAAACCAGTGCAGCAGGTGACTTCCGTGAAGCCAGAGGCACACCCTGGGAACTGGGCTGTTGCTGGAGCCGACACTGCTGTGCTGCACATGTGGCTGCCACCAGTTTCCTCCCTCTCTGGGAACTGGAATTTGAAATGCAGGTGCTGATGGCTGATGGATGGAGGGACAAGAACACATTATCTCAAAATCCTTGGCTGGGTTGCTTGCTCCTCATTTCACTGCTAGGTGCCACAGGCTTGGGGTTTACTGTTTATTTGTTGAAAAATATATGATAAATTGGTATTAATTATTTGAAGATGTAAAATCATTCACTGGTGATGTCTTCTTGACCAAGTCAGGAATTTTTTTTTTTTTTCAGAGACAGTGTCTCACTCCATCCAGGATTGAGCACAGTAGCATGAATGTAGCTCATTGCAGACTTGAACACCTGGGGTCAAGCAATCCTTTTGCCTCAGCCACTTGAGTAGCTGGGGCCACAGGCACATGCCACCATGTCTGGCTAATCTTTTTTCTTGTTTTCTTTTCTTTTTATTTTGGTAGAAACAGGTTCTCACTATGTTGCCCAAGCTGGTCCTGAACCCCTAGCCTCAAGTAATCCTCCTGCCTCAACCTACCAAAGCATTGGTATTACAAGTTTGACCCACCGTGATCAGTCCAGGGTAGGAAATGGAATCTTAACAACTATCACATGAACTTTGAGGGGATCCTTCTCTGGATGAGCCTTCAGTTGAGACCTCAGCCTTGGACATCATCTACATCTGGATTCCTGACCCAGAGCAACTGTAAGTAATGTACGTGTGGTTGTGAGCCACCGCACTATGTGGCAATTTGTTGTGCAGCAACTGATAACTAATACAAAAGATAGTACCTTTAATTTATACTACTACCCTGGATTAGATTCTGGAACAGAAAAATGGCATTACTAGAAAACCTGGTAAACTCAGAAGAAAGTCTGTAGTTCAGTTAATAGTTTTATACCACTATAAATTTATTAGTTTTCATAAATACACTATGGGTATATGAATAAGATGTTAACATTCTAGTAAACTCCTGGGTATGTAAAACTAGCTGTACTATGTTTGCATCTTTATGTATATCAAAGTTATTTTAAAATGAAATCTTTGATTGTTTATTTTTAATTAAAAAAGACAGGCATGCATATGTTATCCCAGCTTCCGGGGAGGCTGACTTGGGAGGATTGCTTGAGCCCAGGAGTTCCAGGCTGAAGTGAGCCATGATTGTGTCACTGCACTCCAGCTTGGGAAACAGAGTGAGATCATGATTCAAAAAAAAAATTGGCCTCAGGAGATGAATGGACATATAGGAAAAAAATTGCCAAGCAGATTTCCGCATTTATTTACCTTCCATACATACATCCATCTACTTCAGGAAGCCAGCATCAAACTCAAGGAACTCTTGTCCACATTTGACCTCCCCATCACACTCTTTATTACCAAGTAACTCGTTTGAGTGTCAGTAACCTCTCTCTTTTCAGAGATATTTGCCTATGCCTCGCATACCCCAGAAAGGCCCATTTTCAGATATCATTTAGGAACATATCTACGGGTTCCCACTGAACATATTTTGGCAGACAAAGTTTCTGGATGCCAAAGACCAAGATTGAGGAATGTTAGTGACAAGAAATGTAAGTTATATTTTCATATTATGATTTTTTATTAATACAGGCTTAGTTTTCTAAAGATAATTCTGCCGTCAAGCCCTGTTGGAATTCTGTGATAATTTCTTTTCACTCCACGTTCTCCATCAGGAATTTTATGGAACCTTGTATTCTGTTGAGTAACAGAATTATATCAGCAATCCCAAAGTCACCAAATGGGCATCATCATGACAGCAGGTGGGTGGAATACAACATACATATATATGTATATATGATGGTTGGTGGTTTTGGCAGTTTCTACCTATCTGGACCTGGACAAAAAAATCTTTTCACACCAGATTTTTGGCAGCTGAGATTCAAAATAGGTTTTGCACAGGCATGGAAAACCTGATGCAGGCTAATCAACAGGCCAGGTGTGGTGGCTCATGCCTGTAATGCCAGCATATTGGGAGGCCAGAGTGGGTGGACTGCTTGAGTCCAGGAGTTCAAGACCAGCCTGGGCAACATGGAGAAACTGTGTCTCTACAAAAAAAAGAATAGGAAATTTAGCTCAGTATAATGGCACACACCTGTGGTCCCAGCTACTCAGGAGGCTGAGGCAGGTGGATGGATTGAGCCCAAGAGGTCAAGGCTGCAGTGAGCCATGATTGTGTGACTGCACTGCAGCCTGATCAATAAAGTCAGACCCAAGAAAGAAAGAGAGAGAGAGAGATCGAGAGAGAGAGAAAGAAAGAGAGACAAAAAGAGAGAGAGAAAGAGAGGAAACAGGGAAAGAAGGAAAGAGGGAAGGAAGGAAAGGAAGGAAGAAAATACAACATATCCCCAACCCTCCAGCAGTGATCTAAGAGATATACACAGGCTGAGTGGTGATTCTACATATGTGCTGGCTAAACAAAGAATCCCACAGCAGGAAGGACTCTCCACTCACCCCACACACAACTTCCTGTTCAACACGCTGCTGGACAGCACCAGGGTTGTTTCCAGGGACCATGCCTAAAAACCCAAAAAGACATCAGACTTCATTCTGCACACCCATGGCCATGTATAATGACTTGTTTTTTGGTCTATAAACATGGGGTCTATTGTCTACACCACAGTAATAGTGACAGTGAGAAAATGAGCTCTTGTGACCTAGAAAATTGGAAGACACATTCAGCTTCATGGATGTCATTTCTCATTCTTAGATGAGGATAACTGTTACTTAGGTGGTGTTAATTGAGCATTTGTAATTCAAGAAAACTAACTTCTTTAAGCTCATACTTTATTACTTGAGACATGACAGCTTCATTTAAGGTTCCCATTTTAAAACATGGTGAGTGTTTCCATTTATTTCATTTGAACTGGAGATACTATCATACTTAGGTGACTTGTCAAATCCCTTTTGTTCTTCATTTCAATGTATGTTTTCTAATCTATCATGATGAAGAGTGTGAAGATTGTCCTTCACCAAACAAGGAAGCAAGTAAAAAAAAAAAAAGCTAGAATGGCAAACCATAATATAGACATAAGTAAATGCATTCAAGGTGTAACCCATCTCAATGTGGCATATCAGGGAGATGGAGACTGGAGAGATGAGGTTTAAAAGAAAACAGGCACTAAACTGAAAGCTGTGCTAACTGAAGTCACAGGCACAGATGACATCGTGTTGTGCTCCAAGTTCCCAAACAACCTCTCTGACAGCACAAAAATTATGATTTCCCATAATATACTAAGCTACCAGGTTTCAGAGTGGCTGTCCTGAATCATTGCAAACAAGCCGAATTCTTAGACCTCTTCACAAGGCAAGTACATAACACTCTTTCTCCATCCACACTTTAGACTGATTGGAAGTTAGAGTTTAATGGATGGGTGGCTCGTACAATTGAGACCATGATTTCATGTTCACTTTATTCAGTCTTCCTGAAGCCTTAAATCTCTGTCAGGGAAACATTCATGTAACTCATTACAATTCTACTTCCTCCTCAACAGATTTCTAGGACCATCATTTTTAAAATTATTTCTACATACGCAAAATAGGGATTTCATTACTCCACTAAAAGCTCTCCATTTTTAATAATTAGCATTCCATGGAGGGCAGGTCTTTGTAAACCTACCACCAAAATATGAGGAAGCTGAACAGCTGAAGATAGAGGCTGATATAACCAGTCCCTTAGAAAGAAACATTTAGTAGGGATTTATGAACAGATATTTGAGTCTCACATAGGACTTATATACCATGGGGAAGGAATGTGTAGGAAAACTGAAGTCTACCTGTCAGGGAAAGGCAGAAATGCCATGTGAATCTAAGCACAGGATTTATAGTCATGGTGGTTCTGACCTAAGGGCAGGATTTACAGAAAAATAATGATTTTCACAAGGAACAGTAGACACAATAGAAATCTTATCCCCTAGTTTGCATATAAAGGAAAAAAATATTTATACCAAAAGCTTAGAGGCAGTCTCCAAACGGGGGTTAATCAGAAGTCAACATGATGAATTAGCTTTCAAGATTGAGTTGTTTTTGCCTCCACTGCTAGCTAGAGGGTAAATGCAGTTGGTCAGCTTATGTGAAAGTAGAAGTCTATTTCTTCAATAATATACTGTAATACAGAAGATGAGGTACCCCTTTTTCCAAGTAGTCATTGCCAGTCAAGGAGAAAAGTGCCATATTCCATTCCTCTTATGATACACATGTAACTGAGTGCAGGTCTGGCTGTTCTATGCATTCAAAAGCAATGACAAGGAGGACTTGCAGGGTGAAAGGAAAGTGACTTTATTTTTCAAATCCAGCAGTAGGGAAATGGCTGGATGACACCTGTATAAACCAGTTCACAAGGTTGGACTGAGGGCAGGTTTTTAAAGAAAGGGAAGCATAATGCATAACATGGGAGGCATGCAGGAGGTGTGCAGATTCAGGGAGTCTGTGTCTTACTCCCATGTGTATCTTGAGTTATGGTCCACCTGGAGCCACAGACTGATACCATCTTGATAGTGCCAGACCATAGGTATCCATCCAGAGGCAATCTTTAAGAGAGAGACAATACCACAGCTGGGCCTGTATGTTTGATTCATTTTAAATTAGCCTCTGGTATTTTTTGACAGGCATATAGTTAGATAATTATGCATTGTGTGAGTTTCGCCAGCATACAGTTAGATAAATGTGTATAAGGCATGGACATGTACAGTGGGAAACTGAATGGGGTGTGGTTCCAAAGTATATTTCAAGGTTCTACTTGAAGACTGAGGCAATGGTTTCTGCAGTTTGCTTCAAGGTTACATCCTGAGACTGGGAGGAAGGAAAAAAAAGAGAAAGGAAAAACTTAAGTGTATTTTGAAGCAACATGACTCAATTACAATCCTGCACCATAAAAGACCATAGCATTTCCAAGGAACGTGGGCAACACAGTCCATCTAGTTTCTTCCTGCTGAGAAGGGGCACAGTTAGAGGGTATCAGATTGGAATCTGTTTACCTGGAGTTGGAAATATTCGTGGGTTCCCAGAATAATGTGAGAATGTTTTGGAGCATTATAGTGTGGGGACCCAAAAGTTTCTGGGAAAGTTTTTCCTGCATCTCCATACAGATCTTGAAAAGCAACAAAAACTACAGCAACCAAACAGAACGGGGAGCAGAATACCAATTATACCATATATGAGAGTCTTCCATGGACATGGAAGTCGACTAAACCATGACATTGTGGGATCCTGGGAGAGGACATTTATAGCAGAAATATGAGTATTCAGTGCATGCATACCTTGGATTATATCGTGAGAGTAATCTGGTGTATATACGCACCATTCAGTCTTAATGCACTAGTGTCACACTGGGCTGCAGTTAGGATATCTAAGGCCATAGGGTTCTACAGGGTCACTTGTCTAATCTACGAGTTCTTTCAGTGGGAAGGGTAATGTTGGGTTAGGTGTTATTACAGGCAGCAGCTCTATACTTAAGGTCTCTACCTATAATTCTACATCTATGTTTGCTATCTGGGAGGAAAAGGCAGCTAGTGAGTAGAACCAACAGGGTGCCCATTTTTGATGGTGTTGTCTGTCTTTCACATTTTCCCAGTCGTCAGGGAGAGAGTCCAGATGGGACAGGATGTGTCCTGGTAGGTAAGGGGACCCCCAGGTGTACCTGCCAATCCAGCTGTAAGGTAAGTAAGACCAGCTATGACTGCCTCACACCCATAGCTAACTCCAGGAGAAAGGATAGGCCCCACCATGTAGCTTGATACTATTTTGCCATCCTAGCCACATATTATTATTCAGTTGATGGGTTTGGCCACATTACTAAGAGGTAACCATCCCTTAGCCTGGCTGCTAGTGTGGGGTGTGTTGCTCTTGTGTTTTTGGATGCGTAGAGGTGCCTGACCCATTGCCTGAATTTGCACCATCATCAGCCATCCTATGTTGTCATGTACAGCATAGTCTATAGAGGGGGTGATATTAACCTGCTTACAAGCCACATGGAAGAAATGTTTCCAGGTTTCTCCAAAAGTGGAGCACTCATGGTGAGTGGTACTGTAATCATAGATGGGAAATGGGTGAGAATTTTTACTCTTGTCCTATGTATAAACATAACTCCAAGTGCTCGAGGTGGTAGCTTGGATGTGCCATGGCAAGTCAGCAGTGGAGAAAGGGGTATCTCCCCCACAGACCCAGCAGTCTGTTTTGTTTTGGAGGAAAACCACTGTCTACACCCATTCGTGTAGTTTCAGCAAAGATCAAGTATGTACTTATTACTCTAGAACTAATTGAGAACTTCATGTTAACAAAAGTATATTGCTTATATCTCCTTCTTTTTCTTTTATTAATAACTTCAGATCTTTCCTTGGCGCACATAACCAGGTAGGCATCTGAGTGAAGCCCGCCTTTCAGTCTTTGAAGGGACTCAGCTCTTTGTACTATATCTCCTTTTTAGGAGGACTACATTCCATCTTGGGATTGTTTGTTTGTAGTGCACAAGATGCATCCCTGTGTAATTTTCCGAGTGATGTTTTGAAAGTGTGGTCTACTGAGGTGTGGTTGTACTAGGTTGGCGAGGACATCACTCCCATAGTGCATTCCTTTATGTAGATGTTTTGAGATTGGATAAACCAAGGCCTTGGGGTTTCATCATCCTGTAGGCGTTATCTTATAGGTGTCAGTTTTCTAGGGGAATTGGAATCTCTTTTCTCAAACCCCTGGCTTGGGCATGTTTGGGATCTTGTTCAGTGTAATGAGGTTTAAAATCTAGTAATTCCAAATGGAGTATTCATGTCCCAGGACCTGTGCCTCCCAAGCAGCTCATTTTGCAGCTTTGCCAGCTGCCTGGTTACCTTCGGTTGTGAATTATGTCTCTGGTGTTGGGGAAGTGCATGATGGAAGCCTGGGCAGGCAAGGCAATTGCCTTTACTAGGTCCAGAATTTCTCTTGGGTGTTTAATGTCTGTATTTTCTGATTTCAAGCAACCTCCTCTATGTTTCCAGATCACCCAATTGGCGTGCATTTCCAGGAATGCATATATGGAATCAGAATAAATCTTTACTCCCTTTTCCTGGGACAGTTCTAAAGACTCAGGTAAGAGCAATTAACTCAGCTCTTTGTGCGGAGGTAGCTGCAGGAAGGGTATGGACTACTATTACCCTTTTGGTAGTCACAGTGGCACATCCGGCTCTGTGCACATCTTCCATTAAGCTGCTCCCATCAGTGTAGTTCAAGTCCAGAGCACTCATTGTCTAGTTTGACAGGTTCAGCATGCTTGAATAAGCTGCATCAAGGATTTACAGTCATGCTTTAACCCAGGATTGTGTTCAGTGGCTGAGAGCAGTGTGGCAGGGTTTAGAGCCATGGTGGTTTGTAGGGTGATATTTGGATCATATAAGAGGATGGCCTGATATCTGCCCACTCACCCCACAGTGAGCCAGTAGCCTCCCGTTTGTTCTAGCAGAGTCAGCACCTGATGGGGTACAAACAAGGTAACTGGCTGTCCCAGAGTAAATTGTTCTACTTCCTGTAGGACTTCACAGTGGGTGCTCTTGCCCAGAGGAAGGGGAGCCATCCCTTAATCTTTGGTGTAATTGTTTAGAGAAATAGGCCATGGATTGTGGGGCATCTCCCAGCATTTGCATTAGCACAACCCACACCTATGCTTTGTTTCTCTTGGATATAGAATTTGAACAGCTTTTGGGAATTTGGTATCCCAGTGCAGGGGGTGATATCAGCTTTTCTTTGATGGTATAAAATGTTTGTTGACCTTTAGATGTCCAGAGAAGGGCCTCTGAGTCTAGTGAATCCTTTAAGGATTCATAAAGTGTTTTAGTCATTAGTCCAAACTTAGGAATCAAATCTGGCAGAAGCTAACCCTTTCTAAGAATCCCCATGGTTGCCCCCATTCTCTGGAGCTTTATGGCTGCTATTGCCTGTTTTTTGTTTTTTTTTTTTTACCAGACCAGGCTCCTTTGGCCTTGCTTTAACCTAAAGCCAAGACAGGTTACTTTCTACTTACATATTTGGGGCTTCTTGGGAATACTTTGTATCCATATTGTACCAGGTGATTTAGAACTAAAATGACATCAGCTAAGCATTTCCTATAGTTGTGGCTGGCTATTAATTATCTATGTGTTGTAGCCAGGCTTCTTAATCTTGTTGTAGGTCTCCTAAGTCTTTTGCCAGTATTTCCCCAAAAATTGTTGGTGCATTTTTTAACACATTGAGACCCCACTGTCTAACAGTATTGAAAGGTTGTTTTAGTCTCTCGGTCCTGTCATTAAAAATAATAATAATAATTGTTGGGTCTTTTCTTCAATTGGAATGCAGAAGAAAACATCTTTCAGATCTAGCACTGAAAAGCATTCATACTATCTATATATAGCAGTCAGTAGAGTATCTGGGTTAGGCACCACTGGGTGAATATCCAAGACTATTTTATTAACGGCTCTCAGGTCTTGGGCAAATTGATATTTGTAGAAGTGTAGCTTCCTTACAGGCACGATAGGGCTATTATATGGGGATCTGCAAGGATGAATCAGTCCACTTCTCAAATTTTTGAAAGACAGGCTGTATTCCTTCTAAGGCTTCCTTTCTTAATGTATACTGATTTTTTTATTCGCCTCCTCCCCGCCGCCCAGGTCACAGTAGCCCCTTCTATTTTTTCTATATGCACTCACTGTATATTTCTTGTTTTTCCTGGGATTCCTTCTGCCTATTCACAATTACGCACTCTCTCATAGACTTCTGAGGGAGAATTCTTGTTTCTTCTTAAGGCAAGTGAGTAACATCTTAGTTGCAGTGCTTGCTTTAGCAGGACCTGCAGCCATAGTTGTTTCTCTGGGGAGAAATTACTTGAGTATTTAATTTGCATAATAGGTCTTTTCCCAGCAAGGGAATTGGGCATTCTGGCATATAGAAATAGCAGTGCCTTAGGTCCAAACTTTCTAGTTTGCATTCTAAAGGTTGTAGGAAAGCCTTTTGTTGCATTATTCTTGCAACTCCTATCACAGGTACAATCATTTTGGTGCTTTTTGCTCATAAAGTGTTAAGAACTGAATAGTTTGCCCAGTATCAACCAGGAAATCAATTAACTTTTTCCTCACTGTCAGTTGTACCCAGGGTTCCTGTGGGGAAATTTTAATTGTCTCTGAGTGATTAAGGAGAGTCCCCAGGCATCACTGTCCGTGGTCAGAGCAGTGACCCTGCTCCATGATTTGACTGTGGGCTTTTTCCTCATCATATTCCTCCTTTTTCTGGCCCCTTGGTCCTTTCTTTTGGGACAGTCATCCTTTCAGTGGCCTTTCTCCTTACACTAGGCACACTGGCTGTGTTCCAGAGGCTTGCCTCGATTTTTCTGATGCAGAGGCTTCCTTGTTCATTCCACGTTTATGGTTGAAACTTCTGTTTCTTTGTCTCTGGAGCGGGGAAGGGGTCATTCCTAGTGAGGCTTCCTGTTTTGGTACCCCTTTCCTGAGTCCAAACAGGAAGAATGTTTGTGAATATTCCAGATGGGCCATGTCCCCTTATCAATTGGAGCCCCAATTAGGGTTTGCATCCAGAATGGTCCCTTCAGGTTTGGGGTATTTGGATTTGTTTCATGGAGGCACCAAGACTCTGGACCTTCTTTGGTCTGCAGTCAGAAACATATTTAGGAGAGACTACACATCTGCTCAGGTACACTGGTGGGTAGCACAGATAGACACATAGAGATCAGTCATTTTCTGGGGATCCATTGTATAAAGTGGGGTGGAGTTTTTCCATTTCACAAGTTAGATGTTGAAAATGGGCTGGATGTCCAGTAATGTCTGACAGGTTGCCCACTCTCATCCAAGCCACCCATGGCCATCCCTGTAAATGGTAATTCCCTTGCTCCGGCCATGGCACTTCCTTGCTAAATCATGTTCCCTGTCAAGCACTGGAGGGAGAGGCCGTCTCTGTTCTCTCATTATACTGAGGCGGCAGAGTAGCTCCCTCTTATTGGTCTGATGCCTCACTTGGTAGCATCAAGGCAATCCGGTCCAACGCAGAGGCCAGTGCTAAGGGCCCCGTATGGTGGTACTGCAGTGGGAGCTGTTGAGGTGGAGCAGAGGCCAGGTGCGTTCTGGCTGTGGTGGTTGGAGCTGCTAAAACAGCTTGGGTGTAGGAGATTTAAAAGTCCTAATTCTTCTTCATTGCTTTCTGCCTGAGTTTGGCTCTCTGGCTTGTGAAGAGCCTTTTTTCCATTCTGTCCTTTGGTATAGCTAGCAGCTGGCATCTTCCCTCATGGTATGAATCCTGATTTTCGAAAAGCATGAAGGCTTGGACATATGGTAGTTTTTCCTAATTTTCCAGACCTCTGACAAAATGAGTCTAACTGCATTAAAGGCTAATATTGGTTGCGTCCATTCAGAGGTCAAAATTTATAACCTAACTTGTCCACAGTCCAAACAGCACTGCAATAATAGACCATTTTTCTGTTAGTCATGGGCTGATAGCTATAGGCTCTACAGTTAGCTAGGGTATGCCCCAGGGGCCTCCCAGAGGTGATAGAGACCTTGTTTCCCCTCCTGACGTGGTTTCTATGTCCATACTGCTCATCCCTGTGAAACAGTGATGACAACTTTTATTTGTTGTCTCTCTTCTGTTCTGCACTGCTCATATCCTTCAACCAGACCTCTATGGGTTGGAAAGACGTTTCTAGCTTCATATAAGCAGTGCAATTAATACCACTCATGGTCCTAAAAGGAACACTTGTGGAAATCTCACCACACAGCTGGGACAGCCAAAGAGACCAGAGAATAAACTAGTTGGGCAGGCTAGTGATTAGCACCAGCTAGCACAGCACTCCCCCACCACCACCCTGCCCCCGCTCCACCCCCTGCCCCGGCCCACCAGCACATCAACTTCATCCCAAGTCCATGTTCTGCTGTCCTTAGTACCCTAGTAGATGGTAACCGAATGGCAACAAATTAAATGGTAAATTAGGCAGATAAAAAGGGCAGAGGGGTTGGAGTCAGGACTGCCTAAATACTTATCCCATATGCTGTTAAGCTTTTTTTCACATAAACAACATTAAGCACCATAAGCATGGTGGCAAGCCCTTTAGATAACCTATGGAATTGTTCACATCCTTCCTTTCCCCATAAAAACTGGCACAGCTGTGAGAAGTACTCCAGGGCCCTAAAAAGAGTGACCCTGCTAGGGCAGTGGAGGCTGTTTCCCTCCAGGGCCGGATCCTGGATGGAGTGGGGCTTATGCAGATCACCCTGCAGAGGAAAGGAGGAGGAGGAGAGAGAGACAGAGATGAGGGCCTAAATGTAGATATTGTACCTTTTACAGTTGCAGATTCAGACTGCACAGTCCCGGACAGATCCCCACTAAAGGGCTGGGTAAACGTCCTGAAACCTCCTCTCAATTTCAGATGCCCTCCTGCCAATCAGCTGACTCCAAGTGGAGCAAAGCCCAGGTCTTGACATAGATACAGATACCATACATGCCCAGATGATGTCACAAGCAGCTATATGTAAACAGAGCAGAGGTCAGGTGACATCACAGAACAGGCAGAGGCAGTTCAGGGGGTATTCTGGTTGCCTTACCCAGCTCTGAAGTCTGT
Organism: Homo sapiens; assembly: GCF_000001405.40. Taxonomy (NCBI): domain Eukaryota; kingdom Metazoa; phylum Chordata; class Mammalia; order Primates; family Hominidae; genus Homo; species Homo sapiens. The sequence continues at coordinate 5,117,756 of NW_021160017.1, forward strand.
CAGCCTCTTCAGATGTCACTTGCCCTGTGGTAAGGAAGTGTAGTCGGCAGCTGGTGCAGTGGCAAGAAGAGAAAGGAGGTTCCCCAAGACAGAAATATCTCAGCAGGTAAAGAGAAATTCCCTAGAGCCTCAATCATGGGATCAGCTAGTTGGAAGCAGGTGGCATTCCTGGGTAGTTTCTTTCCCTTCCAGTGAGCAGAGCGGTTAAGCCTTGGTGTGCTTGTGTGTCTGATTGCCCCACTCATTGGAAACCAGACCAATGGTTTCAGGAACTCTGAGTGTGTTCTTCCCCTCTATGTGTCCATGTGTTCTTATCATTTAGCTCCCACTTATAAGAGAACATGGAGATATTTGGTTTTCTATTCCTGTGTTAGCTTGCTAAGAATAATGGACTGCAGCTCCATTCACGTCCCTGCAAAGGACATCATCTGGTTGTTCCTTATAGCTGCATTGTATTCCATGGTGTATATGTGCCACATTTTCTTTATACAGTCTATCATTGATGGACAATTTAGATTGATTCCATGTTTTTGCTATTGTGTATAGTGCTGCAGTGGACATATGTGTTCATGTGTCTTTATAACAGAATGATTTATATTCCTTTGGATATATACTTAGAAATGGGATTGTTGGGTCAAATGGAAGTTCTGTCATTAGGTCTTTTAGGAATCATCACACTGTCTTCCACAATGGTTAACCTAATTTACACTCCCACCAACATTGTATAAGTGTTCCTTTTTCTCCACAATCTTGCCAGCCTCTGTTATTTGTTTGATTATTTGTTATTTGTTATTTTTTGACTTTTTAATATATACGTTCTGACTGGTGTTAGATGGTATTTCATTTTGGTTTTGATTTGCGTTACTCTAATAATGAGCGATGTTGAGAAGATTCAAATAAATGCAATCAGAAACAACAAGGGTGATATTACCACTGACCCCACAGAAATATAAACAACCATCAGAGAATATTATGAACACCTCCATGGACATAAATTAGAAAATCTAGAAAGAATGAAGAATTCCTGCAAAAATACACCCTCCCAAGACTGAACCAGAGAGGAACTGAATCCCTGAACAGATCAAGAATGGCTCTGAAATTGAGGCAGTAATAAATAGTCTCAGTGACAAATTTTTAAAATGCCACTTAGAAAATGTACACATAATTTTGCTCTATTCAGCAAATATATCTGTAACAATCACTTTTAGGAAAGGTGTTAAAATATTTTATTATTTTTTCTCATTTAGCTTAACATTTTAAAAATACTTTTCTGCTGGCAACTATTTATATCTCCATTTTCATTGACATAGTCAATAATTTACCCACCTTTCTATTAAATAATAGTGGATCAACTGATGTGCATTATTTTATACTGAACTTTGGCACTCTTGACATAATTCATATACGAATAGTCATCCAAATGTCTTGGCCAGTGAAGATGAGATTCGTCTGCCAAGGTTGAACAGGAGTTTTCCTACCTGAAAGCGGCAAGCAGTACAAAAGCAAGAACATGGTAGATGAAATTCAGGAGTCCCACAAGCAGATGAGGATTCATTTAGGGCCTGAGAAGGTGCAGGGACCCCTCATAGGGGCCTGTGTACCACCCGAAGCATGGAAATAAAGGAAAATCTTGAGTCCCTTCACAGAAATTCCAGGCACCTCTCTACCTCTGAGAAGTACACGAGCCACTGGACAAGCAAGAAGGTAAAACAGTAGCAAGGAATGGAGAGTCATGGGAATATGGGGTTCCCTATGGAAACTAAAAATCAAAGCTTAGCATATGTCCCTGAGTTGTTGTTCAGAAAGCTGCCCCTCTACTAAATGGATCCACTGGCACATAGACCTCAGATAAAGGGGATCTATGAAATGAACTCTGCCATTCTTTATTCTCAATTTCTTCCTGAGTGGCCTATGGAATGTTACGTCTATGAGCCAAAAGTACCATTACTTTCTGCTGATCCCAAATTTTCTGACAAATTTTACTTTCTTAAATAATCACACATCAGAAAATCTCTGAATCCCCCTATGACCTGTAAGCTTCCACTTCAAGATACTTCATCCTTTTAGTCTAAAACCAATGTGTAACCTCAATATATTAATTTATGACTGTGTATTACCCCTCCCCTCTGTGTCTTTAAAATCCCCTACCTGTAAGCTGTCTGGTAGTTTTAGTCTTTATTTTATTTTATTATTTTATTTTATTTTTGGGATGGAGGTTTGCTCTCGTAGCCCAGGCTGGAGTGCAGTGACTCCATCTCAGCTCACTGAAACCTTTGCCTCCTGAGTTCAAGCGATTCTCCTGCCTCAGCCTCCTGAGTAGCAAGGATTACAGGCAGGTGCCACCATGCCCAGCTAATTTTTGTATTTTTAGTAGAGATGGGGTTTCCCCAAGTTGGCCAGGTTCGTCTCGAACTCCTAACCTCAAGCGATCCGCCCTCCTCGGCCTCCCATAGTGCCGGGATTACAGGTGTTGGCCACCATGCCCGGCCTGTCTGTGTGACTTCTTAAATGTTCTTTGATATTCTCCTGCAAACCTCATGATGTTCTCTTGTTTCTCAGATTGTAACGTGTTACATGAATTTATTCTTTCTATCCCATGCTTCCTTTTATTGATGCATTCTGTCCTTTAAGTAGTGCATTTAGAACATTGACATTTAAAGTGATTATTGATATAGTTGGATTAAAAATCTACCAAATTTGTTACCATTTTTCAGTTGTTGATTTGTCTTTGTTCTTATTTTTGTATTTCACTCATTTTCTACCTTTTGTTGTTTTGAGCACTTTATATCAGTTCATCTCATTTCTTAGCATATCTCTTTTTTTTTTACCTTTTTAGTGACTAGTCTAGGTAATAATTTTATGCTTAATCTAACAAATAACAGCTTGTTAAAAACATTAGTTTGAATATATTTGATTAGATATGGTTAAATATATATCATTGTGTGTGTATATGTATACATACAAACATTTATGTGCATTTATTCTTATGTAAGTGAGATGAATAACTGCAATAGGTGATAGAAGGAAAGAATGTGGGTTATTCTGTTACTGTAAGGTGTTCACACCACATCTTAAGTGATATATTGTTACTTGAAAGGGGGCTTGGATTAGCCAGAATTTTAAATTGCAAACTCTAGGGCAGCCTCAGTTCCTTGCTGGCTGTTGACTAGAGGCTGCATTCAGTTTCTTCCCATGTTGACTTCTCCCATGTGGCAGAATGCTCTATCAAAGCCATCAAGGCAAAGAGCTTGCTAGCAAGACCAAAAAAAAAAAAAAAAAATCACAACTTTACGTAACATGATCAGTCGTGTGACATCTAATATTCTTGTATTATTGTGTTGTGTGAAAGCAAGTCACATTTCATGCCCATACTCACAGGGAGAGGATTACAATACAGAGTCATGCACCCTGGCAGGTGTGGATCACTGGGCACCATCTTAAGGTCTACCAGCCACATCAGGTCCTGTCTGATGTGCAACAGTTTCCCAGTCTTCGTTTATCTTGAAGACTCTCAGCTGCTAAGAAAAGAACTGGTGAGGTATTTTATAGGAAGCATCACAATGTGGATTCATCTGATGATTTCTCATTATTTGAATAGAATTATAGACTTATTTTGAACACCTTTATCTTAATTTGAAGACAATAAAAACTGAATATATTATTTAGAAATATAAACATAGACATAAAAATAATACAAAAAGGAAATGACAAATAGGAAACTGAAAATAATAGTAACCTTCATGGGGGTAAAAAATGCCATGAAATTGGGGAGCTGCACATTTAGAGCATCAACAATATTGATAATATTCAGTTTGTTAAGGTCAGCAGTGAATTTTTAAAGAAAGAAAAAAAGCTTTTCTATTTTACGTTAGCTTTGGACTTACATAACAGTTGCATAGTCAGCATGGAGAGTTAATATGCAACCAACCAGAGTTTCCATCATTATTAACCTCTTATATGAGCATGGGTATTTGCCACAATTAACACACCAACATTATGCATTCTCATTCACTGATATCCACATATTAATCAGATTTCTTTTCTTCCTAATTACTGTTTGTTTTCTGTTCTAGGATCTCTTCCAGGATAACACCTTTAGATATCATGTCTCCTTAAGCTTTTTTTGTCTCTGCAGTTTCTCTGAATTTCCATGTTTTTCGTGGCATTGACATCCTCCATTTAGGATTTCTATGATTGTTTTTACTAACAATTAGACTGAATTTGTACATGTGGAAGAAGAAGAGACAGGAGTGAGTGTAATACTCATTATACCATGGGCATATATTCTCAAAATGCTTTTATCACTATTGATACTAATTTGAGCACCTGGATGAGGCAGTGTGGGTCCAGTTTCTCCACTGTAAAATTAATTTTCCCCCTATCCACGTCGTACTTTTTGAAAAAAACGTCACTATGCACAGCGCATACTTAATATTGGGGAATTATTCTTCACCTCCTTAGGGCAGAACTTGTATAGTATCGTTTGTATTTCATTATCATAGGCAATGTATCTCTTCTCCAGCATTTATTTAGTCAATTATTTATATTATATGGAATATTGGCAAATAAAAAATATTTATTTCCCCTGTGATTAGACTAGTTTATTGTATTGTTCAAATTGCGCTAGTGCTGGTCATTAGAAGGCCTTTCAGTCAGCTGCTTTACCACTTTGAAATACCCATATTATTGCTATTTGATTTGGTTTGTGTAGTGTGTTGTTTGGTTGCGTTGTTTAACTTTTTCTTACTTTCTGGCTCTACAAGGTACTTAAGCTTAATAGTGTTGATTCCCTTCCCAGCCATGCCATTTACCATTTTCCCCCAAATTCCTAGTTCCTTTTTTGGTGAATGGCATTAGAAACAAAGGTCTCGGCAATGGTGTTGTCATTTCTGCTAGGCGTCTGTTAATTCTATGTTTTGTCATCTGACAGAGCAAAGGATTATATGTATGTATGTAATTCACACTCACATACGTATATGCATTTCTACAACATTTCTCCATTTATTCCTATGTAAAGTTCAGCATGAATTCTTATTAATGTTTCCAGCACCCATGATCTAATTCAAGACTACATAAATCAGTTTCCCCATTGCCACTACTTGTATGTAACCTCCCACGCTAACAGTGAGATAGTTGGCCTCCTTTATATAATCAATGAGTCCAAAATACATGCAGAGTAGTTTTAGAATTGGTAATTCATACACCCATGGGAAAGAATGTTTCTAACTAAAGAAGAGAATTTATGTACAGATACTTTGACATTTAAACTAAGAATCTCTCCTTATTTTTATATTTCTTAGGTTGGTCCCCTTTGCCCCCAAATGTCTGTTTCTTTTTCACAATATTTTAAATGGAATTGTTTTCTATGTTTTATTTTAGATTAATTGACAATATATAGAAATGCAATTGATTTTTATTACTCTAGTATACTAAAGTGTTACTGAACTCATTTTTTGTTTCTAATCTTCTTTTAGTAATTTCCTTAGGATTTTCTATACATAGGATTATGTCATTTATGAATAGAGAAAGCTTAACTTCATCCTTTTCATTCTAGAAGTCTTATATTTATGTTTCTTGCCTAATTACCCTGGCTACATGTTCCAATACAATACTGAATAAAAGTAGCAAGAGCATACATCCTTGTCCTGTTGCTAATTTTTTGAAGAAATTACTGAAACATTCATAATATGGTGTGTTGTTGTGTGAGTTTTTCATAGATGCCTTTTATCACTTAAGAAAATTTCCTTTTATGCCTAATTTGCTCGGCATTGTTATCATGAATGTGTTTTGGATTTTTCAACTGCTTATTCTGTATCTTTAGAGATAATTATGAAGCTTTTGTCCTTCACTCTGACAATATAGCGTATTACAGTAATAGTTTTTGTATGTTTAACAAAACATATTTCAGGGACAAATGACTTTGCTCATAATGTCTATTTTTATTAGGTTACTGGTTTATTTTGATAGTATTTCCTTCAGAATTTTTGCCTCTGTTTCATGGGGCATATTTGTCTGTAATTTTCCTTTCTTGAAATCTCTTTGTCCAGTTGTGCTATCAGGGAAAACGGGCTTCATGCGGCATATTGGGAAGTGTTCTCTACTCCTCTGTTTTTATTTCTTTTTCTTGAAAGATTAGTTAATAAAGATTGTTATTAATTTTCAAAGGGGTTAGAATAATTCACCAGTGAAGTCATCACAACCTAGAAAAAAATTGAATCCTACCAACACTAACATGAGCTGGGAAAGGGATCCTTCCTCAGGGGAGGCTTCGCTTGAAACCTCAGCCTGGGTCATCTGATCCAGAGAAAAGGTTAAGTAATAGTTACGTGTGGGTTTGAACATCTAAGCTGTTCAGTTATATGTTATACAGCGACCTGTAGGTAATATACCTGAGAGTAAATGTAATTAGATTCTAGAAGAGAAAATGACATCAGTGGAAAACCTGGCAAAATATTAAGAAAGTCTGCCTTTCAGTTAATGCTTCAAAACTATTAACTGTATTTCAGGTAATAGTTTTGTACCACTGTCAATTTCTGAGTTTTCATAAATACATTCTGGTTACATGAGTTGTTAACATTTCAGAAAGCTGTAGATTATGTAAAACTGCATTATCTTTGAAACTTTCTGTAAAACTAAAATTATTTTCAAATAAAAATATTCTTAAAATATATTATTTAGGAACAAAAAAAAATACCAACACAGATGGACATAAACAACAAGAAACCTTGGACCAGAGGATGAGTGGAGATGCAGGGAGTGAAAGGCAAAGTACTTGCCTTATTATCCCCATTCCTACACAGGGCACCTGCTTCAGGCTTCAGGCACCTCATCAAGCTCCAGGGACTCTCATCCATTTTCTTCTTTCCCATCATATGCTCCATTACCCAGTCACCAGTTCATACATCAGTAACCACTTTTTCAAAGAAAGGTGCCTGCCCCACATGTGTTAGAAGGCCCTATTTTCAGGCACTTTGTGGTAGTGTCTTTGTAGGATCTCACTAAAGACATTTTGAAAGACATGACTTCCAGACAAGATTGAGAAACACCAGTGATGGGGAACATAAATAATATTTCTACATTAGGAGTGTTTTCTTAGTTCAGAGATTCTCTTGTTCAAGTTTTAAAGTTTTTAAAGCCTTTGAGAATACCCTATGATAATTAAGTTCTTTTTATTATGCAGACTCCATCATGAATTCATGGCACCACACAGTCCCCTGATGCTATAATATCATGGATTTCTTTTGTCCAGTGAGAGGCCCAAAAGCTGCAGCACAGACAATATCATAGTGTAGAAGGTTCACTAGCTATGAAAATAAAAGCTTCTAATCATGGGGTTGTAGGCTGATTCCTGCTTACAGAGACCTGAAATGAACCTTTAGACACCAGGCATATGGAAGTGAGGCATGTTAGTGATACAGAGTGTGTTGTGCAGAGGTGGAAATAGCCTAATAGAAAAAAGGAAAGAAGAGCACAGTACAACATAGCCCAGCCCACCATGCAGTGATCTAAGAGATGGACACAGGCTCAGTGCAGACTCTGCATCTGTGCTGGTTAAACAAAGATCTCCACAGCAGGGAGGATTGTCCCCTCATCCCCCACACAGCTCCCAGTTCACAGGCCACACCACTTTATGGGAGGGCACCAGGGTTGTTCCGGGAACGATGTCCACAAAGCTTACTAAGCCATGGGACTGTGTGCTGCACTCCCAAGGACATCCACGAAGTTAGGACTCTTTTTGCTTTTTCAGACCGTGATCATGGGCTACATTCTCCATACCAGCTTCATAGCTCCAGTGAGAAAATAAATTCCTGCACCCAGGAGACGTGGAGTAAGAGATACAGCTGACCTTGACCACATTTCTTACTTCCAAGAAGATTGTAGCAATAATTCAGGTGCTACTATTTGGGACATTTATAATTCAATAAACCTTCTTACCCCTCTGAGCTTACAATTCACCCCATAGGAAGGAGAGCCTCATTTAAATTGATAATCTTAAACTGGGCGTGGTTGTTCACGCCTGTAATCCCAGCAGTTTGGGAGGCCGAGGCGGGTGGATCGCGAGGTCAGGAGATTGAGACCATCCTGGCTAACACGGTGAAACCCTGTCTCTAATAAAATACAAAAAATTAGCCAGACATGGTGGCGGGTGCCTGTAGTCCCAGCTACTCGGGAGGCTGAGGCAGGAGAACGGTGTGAACCCAGGAGGCGGAGCTTGCAGTGAGCCGAGATCATGCCACTGCCCTGCAGCCTGGGGGACAGAGCAATACTGTGTCTCAAAAAAAAAAAAAAAGGACAATCTTAGTAAATGGAAGTTTGCTCTTTTCATTTCATTATAAGAGGAGTTTCTATAAGGTAAGTGACTTGTCAAATCCCGTTTTTCTCTTCATTTCTATGCATACATATGGTCTGTTATGATGTGTACTGTGAAGATCATTCATGACCAAACTGTTCAGGAAAAACAAAATCACCAAGTGGCAGGCCATGAAGGAGATGGAAGTAGATTTGTCTAAGGAGAGACTCATCTCTAGGTAGCAAGAGGGTCAATGAGTTCTGAGTGCCCAGGGTTAAGATAGGAAAGGTGATAGACACAAAACTGTGCTACCGTGATGTCCCTGGCACAGAGAACAAACACAGTGCTGAGCACCGAGCTCCGAAACTCTACCACCATAGCATGGAAGTTATGATTTCTCACAAGACAGTAAACCACCTGTGACCACGTTGTACTGAGGCTGGATTGGCCACCAGAATTCTCAGAAAGATGCTATTGAAAACATCTCATTGTCTGACCACATCATGAGGCCTGAACCCAACCCCTCTCCACCCTCTACCCTGAATGGAGAATAAAGCTTAAAAGGTGCATGACTCCTATATTTGAAATTAGGGCTTTCTGTTCACTGAACTGAGCCCTCATAGAAGCTGAAACTCTCAGTGCAAATATGCTCAACATTCTAAATTATAAATTATATGAGTTTCTTCTTCATGCAGTGCAGTCTTCAGGGAACACCAAGGCCTGTTTGATTTTCCAAGTATCAACAAGTGGAGTTGACAAGAGTGACAAATGGTCAGAGCAAAGCATTTCATGATGACTGTAACGTGCCTGCGTCAGCAGCGACTGCTTACAGTGAGATTCACATGACCATCGTTTATGACATAGGAAGAATAAAAGGAGAGGAGAAAAAGATAGGTAGTTGATCGAAATGAAGAATTGGATTTGGAAAGCAACTTCGAATAGTCTCTGCCTATATTTCTGAGATTAAGGCAAACAGTCTCAAGATGAGTATTTCTGTCTTGAGAGAGCTGCACTCTGCAACTCTGTAAACTTTCAAGTAACACTTTACCATTTCTATCTTCCTTCTCCATGGGATCTTCGAGCCATGATTTGTAAAATTACCTATACATCTATGTTGTATTTTTGTAGTATCTAATATTCTCTTGAGGTCTCTCTTGGGACAATGGCTTCAAATTATAACGATGTCCAACAGGACTCCAGGAAATTGGTCCTGGATGTTGACAGTGCACCTTTCATAGGATACTTATTTATCCTTGCAGATGACACAATGCCTAATTGTCCAGTCCTTTACCAGGCATCCTTCTTACTGTAATTTTTTTTAATTTCCATACGTTATTCGGGAACAGGTGGTTTGGGTTACGTGAGTAAGTTCTTTAGTGGTGATTTGTGAGATTTTGGTGCACCCATCACCCGAGCAATATACACTGCACCCTATTTGTAGTTTTTGATCCCTCACCCCCTTCCCACCCTTTTCTCCTGAGTTCCCAGAGCCCATTGTATCATTCTTAGGCCTTTGCATCATAACTTAGTTCCCACTTATGAGTGAGATCCTACGATGTTTGGTGTTCTATTCCTGAGTTACTTCACTTAGAATAATAATCTCTAATCTCATCCAGGTTGCTGCAAAAGCCATTAACTCATTCCTTTTTATGGTTGAATAGTAGTCCATTATATATATATATATACCGCAGTTTCCTTATCCACTCATTGATTGATGGGCATTGGGGTTGGATTACTGTAACCTTTTAAATACTGTCAGATGCCCTTATGGCACTTTGCAGAACTGTGACCACTACATTCATATCAAGACAACCACTTTCTAGGAAAACTCTGAATTGGAAAAATGTTAAGTTCAGGTGTGTTGGTCATGTGAGACACAGAGGAGGCCACTCAACAGAGCACATGAGATAATGTAAGCGGTGTATTTCTTACAGGTGAGGTTCACTGGGCACCATCGTAGGGTCTACCTGACACATCAAGTATTCTCTAATCTGCAGATTTCTCAGTCTTCACTTATTTTTTGTGAACTTGACTTTTTTGAAAACACAGGTCAGATATTATGTAGGTTTTCCCACAATATGAATTTGTCTCATGATTTCTCATGATTAAACTGGGACATAAATACATTAAAACCATGCATGTGTGTTTGAAGACAAGAAAAATAAACATTATAGATATTAGAAATATAAACATAGAGGTAAATGTAATAAACACAAATTAGAGGATAACAAATAATTCACAGTAATAGCTATTTTCAGTGATTAAGGAAGATGGTGAAGCTCAGGAGATGCACTATGGGCCATCAAACATATTGCTCATGTTGTTTTATAAGGTCAACAGTGACTTTAAAGATAAAGAAACCTTATAAATTTAAGAATGGTTTTAGGTTTACAGAACAGTTGTAAATGTAGTACATAGAATTTCCACATATCCTACGAAATTTCCATTTTTATGAAATTCTTACATTAATGTAGGACATTTGTCACAAGCAATCAGTTTTATAACACTATAACTACTCTTCATACTTTATTCATTTTTTTTTAGTTTTGACTTAATGTCCTGTTTCTATTCCAGGATTTCATCCAGGATACCTCATCACAGGTACATGTCATGTCTCCTTAGAATTCTCTGACTGTCACAGTTTCTCAGAGTTTCCTTATTTTTGATGACATTAATATTACTAATGTGGGATTTGTCTGATGTTTCTCTAATGATAAGACTGGATTTGTGGGTTTAGGAGAGGAAGATCACGAGGAAAAGTGTCATTTTTATTTATTTATTTAATTTTGAGACAGTGTCTCACTCTCTCGCCTAGCCTGGAGTGCAGTGTCATGAGCTTGGCTCACTACAGCCTCCATCTTCTGAGCTTAAGGATCCTTCCCTCTCAACCTCCAGGGTAGCTGAGACTGCAGGTATGTGCCACCATGCTGGACTAATTTATTGTTGTTGTTGTTTGTTATTTTTTTTGGTAGAGGCAAGGTTTCACCATGTTGCCCAGGCCGGGGTCAAACTCATGGGCTCAAGTGATATTTATTTTGTTATAGAGATGGGGTCTTAATGTGGTGTCCAGGCTGGTCTGGGATTACAGGCGTGAGCCACTGTGCCTGGCCAAAAAGTGCCATTCTCATCATATCATACCAAGAGTAAAAACTGTCAACAAGGGTAGACAGTCATTATTGGCAGAATGTCTACAAATTCCTTTAAACCTTCACCGTAAACATGTGCCTATTCTCTTCCAATTATTTCATGTGTATTAATTTATTCACTTAAACATGCATCTTTTATTTATATCATTATCTAAATATGGAGATTTATTTTACAATGCATATGTGCTATTTTTTTTTTTGAGACAGAGCCTTTCTGTGTTGCCAAGGCTGGAGTGCAATGGTGCGATCTCAGCTCATTGCAACCTCTGCCCCCTGGGTTCAAGCGATTCTCGTGCCTCAATCTCCTGAGTGGCTGGGATTACAGGCATGAGACACTACACCTGGCTAAGTTTTGTATTTTTAGTAGAGACTGAGTTTCACCATGTTGGCCAGGTTGGTCTCAAACTCCATACCTCAGATGATCCACCCTCCTCGGCCTCCCAAAGTGCTGGGATTACAGGCATGAGCCACCATGCTCGGCTGCTATTTTTTTTTTTAATTGCACAAATTGTTCCAATGTTGGCTATTGGAAGGTTTTTAAGTTGTCCCTTCTATCACTTTGAAATACCTGCATAATTAAAGTTTGATGTTGTGTGGTTGGTTGGTTTTGTTGTTGTTTGGCATTTTCTTTTGTTCAGTCACTATTATATGCTCCAGTCTGTGAATTTAATTCTGCTTCAGGGTAATTTGGTAATTTTATGCTTTCTGCTAATGTTTCCAACACCATATGACCTAATCCAGGACCATACACATGGATCCACTCATTCTCATTTGTATGTGATCTAGCACTCCCTGCAAGCAAGTTGATGTTGTTAATTTAATCATGCTACCTGAACAAGGTATATGGCTATGTAGAAAAATACAAGTTGAAACAGTCAAAATACTGTGTAATTCCATTTATATGACTCTCTAGAAAAGGAAAAAGTGTAGTGATAGTAAAGAGTTCAGTGGTAACAAGGGGCTTGGGAGAGAGATAGGTGACATCAGTGAACTACCAAAGATTTCTTTTGGGCAGTGAAATTCCTCTCTTTGATACTGTAATAGTGGATACATAACAATGTTTTCCAAATCCTGAAGAACTTTGTAACACAAAGAGTGTAGCTAAATTACGCAAATTTAAAAGCTTATTTAGTAGGTCACAAGTTTGCCTTTTCACAGTATTTTACCTTTTCCAACTTATATTTTTTAGCAATATGCTTTTTAGATTTTTGAAGTACACCTCATGGTTTTTAGATTTGCCTTCACCCAATTTTTGTAGGACAGGTGAGTCACAGAATTTTGGCTTATCCTGAGAGGGTTATTAGCTTTGTCCAAGAAAGAATTTAAGGGCTAGTGGGTGATGTTAGACTGCAATATTTTATTGAATGGTACTGCTCCTTGCAGAGCAGGGCTAACTCTTAAGCAGTGTGTTCAGAGTTGGCAACATATAGGCCTCTTGGCAACTGTATTTATATGCAATCAAACCCACTTTTAATTATATGCAAATTGAGGGGCAAGTCAAGGCAAATTGAGGCAGGACAGGGGCAGTGACTTCTAGGTTGTCTCCATGGAAAGGGCAGTAACTTCTGAGTTGTGGCCATGGAATTTGTAAACACTTATGTGGTTGGTAGGAGTGTCTTATGTGAGTGACAAATGAAGACTGCCAGGGATCACATTTACCGCAATGTACAGGCTTCTGCCAGTTTTTTCACTTTATCCTGTCTGGAGCAGATCTTATTTTGGTCATCAAGGTTGTGAAACCAGAAAACAAATCCTTCCAGTCTCCTACCTCATAATGACAAAAGACATTGAGCATATTTTCATGTGATTTTGGATATGACTATGGCTTTCTTTTGAGAATTGGCTATTTAAGATTTTGCCATTTTTGATTGGGATATTTGCCTTTTTAATTTTGAGTTGTAAGACATTGCATATTCTGGATAATAGACCATTATCACCTATAAAATTTGCAATTTTCACATATTTTCTGCCATTCTTTGGGTGCCTCTTTATATTTGATGGTGGACTTTAAATTGCAAAAGGTTTTAATTCTAATGAAGTTTAATATTTCTATATTTTCTTCTTTCCTTTGTGTTTTTCAGTGTCATATCTTAAAACATTGTTTAACCAAAGACCACAAAGATGTATTCCTGTGTTTCTTTTTATGGGTTGGCTCTGTTTAGCTCTTATATTTAGATAGATTGTCATTTTGAGTCAATTATGTTTCTGGTATGAGGCAAGAATCTAACTTGCATGTGGATATCCACTTGACCCAGAAACATTTGACAAGAAAATATTGCTTCATAACTAATTTATTTGGCCACAATATAAAAGCATTTCACCATAAATGTAAGGATTCATTTTTGAGTATTATATTCTACTCCATTGATCAATACATATATCCCTACACTAGTACCACAAATCTTGATTACTATTACTTTGTAGTAAGTTTTGAAATCAGGAAGCATATGTCTACTATGCAAACCCTTTTTGTCTTTCTCAAGAGTATTTTGGCTGCTCAGGATCTATATTATATATAAATTTGAGGATAACCTTCTGAATTTAGGGGAATGTTTTGAGAGAAGTTGCATTAATTCTATAGATCCATTTGGAAAATATTGCCAACCTAACAATATTAACCCTTGTAAACAATGAGCATTCAAAGATTTTCTATTAATTTTGTTCAATATGTGTTATATAGTTTTTAGTGTACATATCTTATACTTAATTTGATAAGCTTATTCCTAAGTATTTTTGATTCGATCTCAATTGGAACGGTTTTCTGAGTTTTGTTTTTAGATTGTTAATTGCTAGTATAGAGAAATTTAAAATATTTTATATATTTTATATACTGCAAATTTCTTTGAACTCGTCTTTAAATTCTAAACATATTTGATTAGAATTCTTTGGACGTTTTGTACATACGATCATGTCATTTGCAAACAGTCAGAGTTTGACTTCCTTTCCATATTAGAAACATTATATTTATTTTTCTAAGCCAATTGCCCTGTCTACATTCTCCAGTACAATGTTGCAAACTAGTGTCAACAGTGGAAATATTTGACTTGTTTCTAATATCAGAGAAATTAGTGAACCTTTCAGATTACTTATGATGATATGTGAGCTTTTCATAGATGCCCTTTGAAATGCAGAAAGTTCTCTTATCTGCTTAATTTGCTGCATGTTTTTATAATATGGAATCTGGGAATTTTCAAGTGCTTGTTGCATACCTTCTGAGATGATTGTGTAGTTTTTATTCTTTATTAATATAGTGTATGACTTTAGTTGTATCCTATATTGAACCAAATTTGCATTCCTGAGGTAAATACCCTTTACCATAGTGTATAATACTTTCTACATGTTGCTGATTTCATTTGATAATATCTCGCTGGTGATTTTTGTCTCTGTATTTATAAGGCATATTGGTCTTCATTTTCCTTATTTGAAATGTCTTTGTGTAGTTGTTCAATCAGGGTAAACTAATTCATAGTATACAATGGGAAGTGATCTATTTTCTACTTCTTTATTATTATTGTATTGTTTTGAAATATTTTTGATAAATTAGTATTAATTTTATGTGATTTTAATAACACATCAATGAGTTCCTGATGAGGGCAGGGAGGTGAATCCTAAGAACAATCATGTGAGTTTGGAAGGAGACCCTTCCCCAGCTGAGCCTCAGCCTGAGCCATCACCTACATCTAGACCGAAGACCCAGAGAAACTGTGAGTAGTATGTGTGTGGTTTTGAGCCACTAAGGTATGTGGTAATTTGTTATGCACCAAGTAGTAAGTAATATACCTGACAGTAATTGTAAGGTGGTATTCTGGATTAGGTCCTGGAATAGATAAGTATATCATTATTAGAAAACCTGGTAAAATATGAAGGAAGTTTGTAGATCAGTTAATAGTCTTGAAAAACAGTTAAATTCTTAGTTTTCATGAATATGCTATGGTTATAATAGATACTAACATTCTAGTTATCTGAATGGTATATGAAACTGTCTGTACTTACCTATGTGCATTTATGTAAATCTGCAGTTATTTCAAAATAAATATTTTTTTAATATTATTATTTTGTTTTTTTTTAAAAAGTAAGCAAGTAAAGACATCAGCAAAAAACTTTTGCCTCCAAATACAAGTGGGCATGTAGGGAGAGAACAGTAAACTAGCTTTTCTTTTCTAGGCAACATTTGAAACCCAGGAGCCACTGCTTCAGGAAGGTACCTTCAAGCTCCAAGGACTCTTATCCTCTTTCTCCTTCCCCACTACCTAGTCATTAGAGTGTCAGCATCCACTTCTTGAAAGGAAGATGCCTGTTTTTCACATATCCCAGAAAGCCCCATTTTAGGACAGCATTTAGCAGAGTATATTCAAGATCCCACTAACCTTTTCGGAAGACATGAATTCCAGATGATATAAGGCAAGAATAAGAAATTTCAGTGTCAGGGAACATAAATCATATTTCTGCATTCAGGATCACGTTTTCTTGGTACAGGGATTTCTTCTTCAAGTAATCCAAAGACAACTTTACTTTCAAACCTTTCAGAAAACCTGTTCTAATTTACTTTGCTTCATTCTACAGGCTCCATCAGGAACTGTTCAGGACCATGCACTCTGTTGATACTCACATGGTGGAATTATATTGCCCTTGGCCAACCCTAAAGCCATCAAGATAGCAGGTAAACAGAGTACAAAAAATATTTCTAATAAGTTGCTTTAGGGCAGTCCCTGCTTCCAGAGGCCTGGGAATAAATCTTTACAACAGGGTTTTTGCAGGTGAATGCTACTGAGTGATATATACATGTTGTGCACAAAAAGAGAAATCTCATTAGGTGAAAAACAAAAAAAAAAAGAAAACAATATACAGCATATCTCCAACCCTCCATGCAGTGATCTGAGAGACAGAAACAGGCTGTGTTTGTTTCTGCATGTGTACTGGCTGCCCACTAATTCTCCACACAGCTTCCTATTAAGAGGCCATTGCACCCTTCTTAGTAGCAGCAGAGTTGTTTTCAGGAACCATGCCTAAAAGGCCTACAAAGCCATGGAACTACATATATGGAACTACGTATGTCAACTCCCATTGACTTCCATAAATCTTGAATAGCATGATGTCACAGGCACAGATGACGAAGTGCTGAGCACTGAGTCCCTAGACAAACTTTCACTGCATGGAAGATATGATTTTGCACAGTATCCTAAATCAACTGTTGTATAGAGGCTGGTCTGGACACAAGTCTACAACAGATGCTATTGCAAACAAACTACATTTTTAGACCACATCATGAGGCAAACCCAATGCTCTGTCTCCACACTCTAACCTGATAAGAAGATTGAGTTCAAGGAAGGAATGTCTCATATATGTAATGACATGACTTTGTGTTTACTTAATTCAACCTTCCTGGAGTCTAAAACTCTAGGTGAAATTTCAGTCAACCCCCTTAACTGTGACTGTATGAGTTTTTTTATCACTCAGTGTACTCATGAGGGGATACCGAAACCGATTCCAATATCCAAGTACCCAAAGTAGAGTTGACCAGAGTAGCAAGGGGCCAGATCAAAATATCTTATAAAGACCATTATGCATTCACTTCTGCAGTGACTAATCATGAGGTGATTTCTACGATCACCAGCCATGTGATTAAAAGGACAAATGTGAATGAAGAAAAAGATACACAAATGTTACATCCGAAAGAATGGAATCTGTAAGGAAGTTTACAGGAAGGATTGCTCATATTTCTAAGATTACAGTTTAAAGTTTCAAAATACTTTTTTCCAGGTCTTTAGAGAGCTACCACGCCAGTGAATTTTTCAAGTAGCTCTTTACAATTTTCATCTCTGTCTTCAGTGGATTTCTTAAACCATGGTTCATAGAACTATATTTCCATACGTGACATAAGAATTCTAGTACTCCACTAATAACTCTAATGTGTCTAAAATTATAAATGCAGTTTATAACACCTCTCTGGACACTCACTTTAATGAGAAGTGAACAAACTGGACTTCCCTAATGGAGGACAGCGGTGAAGCTCCCAGGTAGAATATAAATGCAGTTTATAAATTTATGTGATAAGATTTAAGCATATTTCCTCAATAACAAACAAGAATATAGCCAATGAGCCACCATAATTTAACACTGAGAAATGAGCAGTCACAGAGAAAACAGTGTATTCCATTCATTGTAGAGTGCACATTTTCACATCTATCAAATACAGATGCATCTTAAATTTGAAAGCGTTAAAACACTATTGACGAGAAGGCAGTCATAATGTGATTGTCCTCATTTACCTGTATAAACTTGGTCTGCAAACCTCCTGTCAATGTTTTTGGGTGATGTCATCAACATCAGCATCAAATCTTGCACGGGAGGTTTCAGAAGGTTGAAAATATAAACTCGCAGGAGCAACGTAGGAATATCACAGGAAATGCAGCATCACCAAATCCTCAGATTAGCACAAATGATGATAACATGGGGAACACCATGAGCAAGATGAATTGAAGATTGATTTAGGAGAGTTGGATCTGAATGGGAGAAAATTTAGGAAAACCTTTGTCGGTGTATTTTCCTTATGTGTTCCATCCCATGTAATCATAGGAGTGACAAAAGACAAGAGAAATATCCACATATATATGTCTTGAAAATAGCTTTTTTTCCAATAATTATAATATAATGATGTTATTATTATACAATGTATTTCCACATGATAAAAGTATTAGTTTCATTGTTGGTGGTTTTGTTCTTTCATTCTGATACAGAAAATAATGACATGTTACAACTGATGCAATTGATACATCTCACAATTTACTAGAATATTGATTTCTCGGGGTTAGTGTAGGCTTAGTAATATACTGCATGGTTTATATGTTACCATTTCATACAATCCACCTGCCATCTCAGAAAGTAAGGACTATTCCCGCTCCTCTGGTCCATTTCTAAGTCTGAGCTAAATCTCCACAGGAGAGGCCTAACGGAACCTTGAGTTTGATTCTATATGCCCTAGAGTCTTTGCTGACATCAACTACATAGAATATGTTTTGTCTTATATGTTAAATGCTTTTCAGGTCTAGTTTCAGACAGCTTAGCCTACCTCATGGTCTTGAAGTTATTTTCCTGAATTGTGTTCTGTATACTCTACTACATATTTTTGTATTTATGTCTATGAACTGACTATAATTAATTTTGTGTGTAATGTCAGGTCATAGGTCAGATTTTAGTTTCTCCCTGTGGATATTCAATACCCTGGAATATTTTAATAAAAATCCAATTTTCCCCCATTCAGCAACTTAAATATATGCTTATATATGCATACGTCTGTTTTTTAAGTTATTGGCTGTTTATTCTATCTCTGTGCAAATACCACACTCTTATTATTAAGAGAGTCTATTC
Source organism: Homo sapiens (assembly GCF_000001405.40). Lineage (NCBI taxonomy): Eukaryota > Metazoa > Chordata > Mammalia > Primates > Hominidae > Homo > Homo sapiens. The sequence goes on from NW_021160017.1 coordinate 5,136,560, forward strand.
AAGAATTTTCTCTCTAGAGATTGTTCTTTCTCTTCTTTTTTAAGAGATAATTTTGTTCTGTCACACCAACTGGGGTACAGTGGCACAAACACAGAACACATTCTGTGTGTGAGCTGCTGGACTCAAGTGATCCTCCCCACGCAGTCTCCTGAGTAGCTGGCACTACAGGTGCAAGCCACCATGCCCGGCTAATTTTTAACTTTTTTAGTGGAGAGGAGGTCTCTCTTTGTTGCCCAGGCTGATCTAGAACTCCTGGCCTTAAGCAATCCACCCTCCTTAGTCTCCCAAAGTATAGGAATTGCAAGCGTGATCCATTGTGCCTGGCCCAGGGCCTGTTCTTTTTAACCACTGAGCTGCTCTATAATGAGGTGAAAGAAGTTCAGACCTGCATGCCTTGCACTTACACCAATCCTTTCAGCTGTACCTTGAATGAGGCTGTGGATATACAACTTTAGAACGTTGCCATTGACTCTGAAATCTCTACGTCCTTGTGAATCTTAGGCAGTCTCCCAACACCACTGCCCACCTTATGTATTTAGTATCTTTGACAACAGCCAAGGTTGTTGAAAACCTAGAGAGGCAACCCTGGCTCCCTTCTGCCCTGCTGTAGATGATCTGTGAACAGGGTCCCCCTCCAGACCATGCCCAACAGAGGCAGGTTCACAGGGGAGCCTCTGAGCTCAGAGCCTCTCTGGGGGCTCTGCATGCACAAGGACAGCACCTCCCTGCCTTGGTTGTGGGGTGAGGTAGGGAATTCAAGTCTTTTAAAAAAGGCTCAGTTTGTTCAAAAATGATTCTGTTTGCTGACCAATGACACCTTAAGACTTTAGATTTTACATCGTGATATTTCTCCTTGATTTTGATTTAATTTGTTGTGCAAATGTCTTAAATGCTTGTGTATAAATATTCTCTTTTTTTGGTCATATAAACATCATCTAAAACCAAATATTTATTTTTGTATCATAGATTTAAGGCCTTTATTTCTCTATTTTAAATATGCATTCATAATTATTTTTCAGTGAACCGTATCAATTATTTTCATCTTTACTCCTATTTCTCTTTCATAAATTGAACGTTAATATCACTTTTATTAGAAGCGACAGACGTTACACATTCTGTTTTATGATTTTCCAGAGATTTCCTCTTAAATAGCTCTGGTTAAAAAGAAGGACAGAAACTATTCTATAAGCCACAAGGCAAAATTGTCCCACATTAAAAAGATCTTCTTATGTTTAAAAAGATCTGTCAAACTTTCTATTCTATGGCTTAGTTTGCTGTACATGTCAAAGGTTAGGTAGATAAACATTTAAATAATTTAGGATTAAGGCACAGAATAAATTATATTTCATATATTCCTATTTCAGATAGAGGCAAAATTATTAAATAAAGTATAATACAGGCCTGTCCCTGTGTTGCTTGAAAGCAGTGTACTTTGATTATTGCCTTTGCTTGAGTCTAAAGATGAGGCTTTGGTTAAGTTGAGTTTGATGTTAGATGCTGGCAGAAGTCTGTTTCTCCTTTAGAGGAGCTACATGTATCCAGGAGTCAATTCCTTGTACCTTAACACCACAAAAATTAGTTAATAGCACCTGATAAGAACTTCTTCAGGGTGTTGGAGGTGGTGATACACTTCACAGTGATTAATGTTTTTTAGCTTTGATAAGCCCCAGCAATAAGTCAGAGACTTAATTTAGGATTCAATTTGGGAGATGTCTGTGAAAGATGTTAGAAAGCTTAAAATATTTCATCAAAACTAAACCACAGGTCCTTGTAAAACAATAGTTATTCATTTAACCAAAGTGATCATTGAAAGACGTTAAAGGCAATATAAAAAGTTACACAGGTCTAAAAACCTTACTCCTTTCAAATTTCGGGTTTTTTTTTTTAAAGCAATTAAACACTCAATAAAGGCAGCATAGGAACTATCTTGATAAAATGTAAAATCTTGTTTCTTAAGCCAGTTACCAAAAAGTCAAAGGAAAACCTTTTTTAGTGTGACTGCCTCTCCTTAGAAGAAAGCCCATTTAGATAATCTGGAAGTACAATTTAAGATAAAAAGTGTTTGAATTTAATCAAACATGGAAAGAGTGTGTACAAGGTTATGAGTAGAACTGGGGAATACATGACTCTTAGTAGCTGCATGATAAGTTTCCTGATTACAGTGAAAATTTAGACACAAAATAACAACAACAAAAAAACCCCCAAGAGTATAGAATCAGGTTATCCTGGAGGAAAACTTTTCTTTTATAGACCTCTAAGATAAAATATTTCAGCATCAGCCACAACAACATTTAGAAGTAAGGAGACAAGTTACAGGAGCTGACAAGAAGCTGAAGGATAGATTTATCATCCCAGGCCACATCAAAGGGAGAAAAAGCTGATAGCAACAAGACAACAATTGAACATTTGAGATATGAATCTCAGAAGTTTTCAAAAGAAGTAGATTATAGAATAGAAAATCAAAATTTATTGTAATTTTATTAAGAGTAAATTGATACCTTAAGAAAATCTCGATTTAACATAGAGGACCATTCTTTAGAAAGACTATTCTCCTTTTTAATTATGGCTAGCTTAATTGCATACAAAATTTCTTTTATAAATTCCTCTTCATGAGCCTTATCATGACTTACACAGACCATCTGTCACATGCTTGGACTGTATACTTGTCCTGTAGTACCTGTTTCTTTTTTAATTTTTTTTCAATTTTCTTTTTCTAGATTAACTTTGTAATAAGAATCTGTTGCTTAAATAACCAGTCATTTTACTTTAGGAGAATAATTTCCCATAGAAGATTCTTTCTCATAGAAAATTACTCTTTTTCCTTTATAACCTTCCTTACCAAAAGTATATGTTCCTTTCTATATCTTTCTTCACATCTCTCTTCACCACTTACTGCTTCCTTCCCAGCTTGTTTCATAAATAACCTTTTCAAACCCGTAATTTGAATAAACTTTTATATAACTTTGGAATTAGACAAAATAATTCTTTTTCTCAATAAGGACACCTCTTCTTTGGCACATTTGATAGAAACCTAGGAAAAAAGAAATCCTGAACTATCAGATATTAGTATTGTATAGATGAGAACCATTTCACAATTTTTAGAATAGTTTTCTCTATATAATAACCCTTTCTTAATTGGAAATGACCTAGACATCTAGTAAGCATCCAAAATGATTTTAAGTTTTAAATTATATAAAAATTTCACTTAGAAACATTGATCTCATTTATGTGTACTCAGCTTTTCCATTTTACCAGTTTACCTAGAGTACTTTTGAAAACTGGGATATTACGTCAAAGTAGTAATTATTTATTTATGTCCCTATGACCCATTTTTAAAGTCTGTGGACATTAGGTGTTTTACCTAAGTAAGAACCTTAAAGTTCAATATATGGGCATTTTGTCAATAGCACAGAAGATTTAACTGTTTTCACTGAACTAGTAATATTAAATTAGTCTAACTCATCTGTAAAATCACACAAACAAAAATGATTCTGTTTTTGGCTGGGTTTATGGTCTTATAACCTTTATGTCATATCCTGACACCTGATGATATAGACAGAGATAAATACAAAATCATTTGTTCAGTAAACTCAGATAAAAATATATGCTGATCATTTTGAAGATATTTCCAATATTACGTCACGAATAATCTTAAAACCAATTTTATTTGTCAAGGATTACTAAATTTATGTGAACTTGAAAAGCATCCTGACTTAATTTATGAGCACTTATTTACTTGTAAGTCAATTTGGTAACAGGCTAGACATAACACATAATACACATACATACACACAAACATATCTAACTAAATATGTATATACACACAAGCAAAGGTCTAATAGCTTTTACCTTGGGATTCTATCCATAAAATAACAGTACACACTCAGTATTTTATAAAAATAGCTGGATACACATTATTGTCTGACAAAACTGAAACCTGTTTCCATGGTTAAATTTTGTTTTCTCCAATATATAATACAATGAAAGCTGTGAACCAAAATTTGGGTAAAGCAATCTTTATGGCAGTTTTGTTTTTAAAAAAGCATCTTTTTCCTTTCTTTCCTTCAGTTTTAAACAAGTTTCCTATGTTTACTTTCTAGTTAGTCCATAAATAATGAGTCTTATCACAGCACCAACAGCTTAGTAACATCCAATTTGAAGCAGGCAGAAAAGAAAACAGAGGAAGAAAGAGAGGTTTTGATGACTCTGCTTAACTTAATAGTTGCAGTTAACCATTTGAGCTCTAAAGTTTTCTTGCTAGAATTTGCCTATCTGTTTAAAATGTTCACAAAAGTAGGTCTTAATAAGTAACCAGCTGAAATCCCAAAGAGAATGAGAATATGAAGTTCCTGCCAGGCCTTTTAAAAGGAAGGAAAGAAAAAGAAAGAAAAGGAGGTTTGTGAACCTTCTAGCGCTGCATGGTATAGGGTTGGTACCCCCACCACTCTTGCTTACATCCCATCAGGGAGAGCCCCACTACCCTAGACATGCACAGTGTGAGACGAATCCCTCCCACCTCTGCCATCATGGGGGAAGGAAACTGTTTACAGCTGGAGAGAGCTAAGGGTACCTTTGACTAAGATGATTAAGGCTGTAGGTGGCTTCCAAGACAGTCAAGAAGATGAAGTTGGAAGTGAAAAGGATAGGAAGAGATCAGGGCCCACACTCAAAGGTCTTATACACTCACACTTACAAACAAATGGTGAGCTTCCAAACAAACCCCAGTTAAGGGGCTGAGTAGAATCCTGAATTTCTCTCCTCTGTTCAAAACAGCTCCATGGGTGTCTGAGACCAAATGGAGCCATGCCCAGTAGTGCCACAAATACAAATCCGTAAAACACTCAGATGATAGTCCCATTAGTGGACCAGACGAAACAGCAGAGCCCCAGCAACACCCCAGAAGACACAGGAAAGCCGGATGCACTCTACTAGCTCACTTGGTTGCAAGGGCTGCCAGCTTCTTCAGAGGTCACATTCTTTGTACCAGCAAAGTGTTGATGGCTGCAGAAGTTGTGCAAGGAAGTGAAAGGGAGGGTCTAGGAAATGAAAGATTTTCAGCAGCTGCTTGGAAGTTCCCTAACATTCCTGCCATGGGGTCTGCTGGCCTTCAGCTGCTGGTGCTCACAGGCAACCCTCCACCTTGGTAGCAAAACCAGGCTCACAGGCTTGGGTTGCCCAGAGCACATAATGCTCCCCATACAGGCCACCAAATTTGTTACCAAACACAGGTTTGGCCACTTGTCACTTACCGTATCAAATAACAAACATGAGGGTGGTAAAAAGATAGTGACTTTATTTCACAGCTTAGCAATGGAGAAGAACCAGGTTCATATCTAAAGGAGCCACTTCAGTTTTCCGGGAAGAAAGCAGGGTTTTAAGAAGAGAAACTTTCTTGTGCAGGGTATGCAGAAGGAACATGGAGGTGCGGGGTCTATGTGACTTGCTGTAAAACTTAGCTAAGGGGTCATCTGTTAGTCTGACCAGTGTCATTGAGGAAAGAGTCGGAATGTGGATTAACTATTGTCTTGAGACAGTCTCCCTGTGAGGGGGAATTCTGGATGGTGCCTGCTTTGGTTCAACATTTGGTCCTTAGAATTTCTAAGGAAACATATACTTAGATAAGCTGGCAATACTTGCAGGTTGTTTCACTGGTGGAAACGAAGGAAGGAAAAGGTTACATTTGCATTTCTGAGGAGCTAAGCAAGAGGTGAACACTGAGAAAAAGAAAAAATGCAAAGGTAATTTTTAGGAAAATAGTATACTGGGTTACAACTTAACTTAATTTCACTGTGTCTAAAGAGCAACCCTATACTTCATGCAAACTACATAGCCTGGGGCATTCATGTGGTGAAGAACAGAGAAAAAATATTTTTAAGATGCAAAGGAAACTGGAGATTTTTTTAAGGAAAATCAATGAAGGAAGAAACCTTTATTGGCTTCTCCTTTTGGTGACAAATGTATTGTTCTCCTATAAGTAGAAAACTATACTTTAATTATTTCGTAATGTAGTGATTTTACCAGCCACAACTAACAGGATAACATAGGAAAGGCAGGTTGGTGTCCACACAGGGTGACTGAATCTACCTAACACACCATTTACTTTGTTTCTAAACAGTGTGTATTCCTTCATTCTTGGGTTGGATGCAAGATCACTGAGTCATGGAAAACTTTGTCTTTTTGTAGTCAGAAATTAGGCGAAAGCATAAAGGTGAATTACTCTTTATTAAAGAAATCATTTAAATTACTTTTCTTTGTATCTTTGCTTTTTGTTTCTGTACTGCTCCAGTACTCCTGTGAACCATGTCTCAGTGGAGTAATGATGGCACCACAGTCCAGCCTGCATGGCTGTTGGCATGCATGCTCCCTCCTCCTGCAGCCATGGAGAATGGCTTTATGAAATTCAGCCACCTCTTTGTCCAGACTGTCAGTTCCATCTTCTCAACTCCAAGTATCTTCCAGAGTCCGTGCCACACCACAGCCTGGAAACTCTCCCCAAGCAGTAACCTGAGGCAACAGTAGCCCTCATTGTTTCACGTCTCTCAGATGTCACTGTCCTTCATTGTTTGATGTGCACTCTCTTGCAATCCATCCTTCCAGATAAATCATCCATTTTTACCTGTGATAAGCCATGTCCAATTGCCATAAGTTTTTCCACAACATTTTGTTTCATTCTTCCTGCAATTACTCGATCATTACTATACCACCGCCTATATGGATGTACCTGTCAATGTGAAGCTGGGTAAGGAACAATGTGCGCCAAACTCACAGAGAAAGACAAGCGAGCTGGCCTTTGTATCACTAAAGGGAAGCTCAGATTGGTAAATATGTAATGTCTGTAGTAGTCTTGTTGGGGACATCCACAGTATGTCAATGAATCAAAGACTTAAGAAGAATCTCAAAGAAAGAATAATATCTCTCTCTCAACCCTTATACACATAATAGACTTATTTACCCTTATTGAAAAAGTCCTTCTAGAATTTTAAATTTACACTTTATTCATATAAAAATGAAAGCAATATTGAAATTAATTCATAAATTCACACGTATCTTGGTATTCTGATTATGATTGTTCTGAATTAGGTGTTGACACTTTTTCAAAGTGATGATTGATATAGTTGGATGAATATCCACCATGCTTGTTACTATCTTTTAGTTTTTGCGCTGCCTCTGTTTCCATTTTTGTCTTCCATTCATTTTCCTTTTTTTGTGGTTTTTATTCAGCATTTAAAAAATTCAATCTTCTTTCTTAGCATCTCAGACTTTTTAATACTTTTTTATTGGTTTCTCAAGATAATAAAAACTTTTAATTTCCATATTCTTAATTGATCTTACATATAACAGCTTATTTAAAATAATTATATTCAATAGCAGACAGGTGCCTTTCAAAAAAATAGTAGGAATGCCGAACCCGGTGGCTCAGGCCTGTAATCACAGCAGTTTGGGAGGCCAAGGTGGGTGGATGACCTGAGTTCGGGAGTTTGAGACCAGTCTCGCCAGCATGGTGAAACCCCATCTCTACTAAAAAAAAAAAAAAGTACAAAGATTAGCTGGGTTTGTGACGCATGTCTGTAATCCTAGCTACTCAGGAGGCTGAGGTAGGAGAATAGCTTGAATGCGGGAGGCAGAGGTTACAGTGAGCTCAGAACGCGCCACTGCACTCCAGCCTGGGTGACAGAGCAAGACTCTGTTTCAAAAAAAAAAAAAGCAGCAATTAATTTAACTATATTTTCATAAGTATAAGATCTATATAGATATGGGTATAGATATACATATAAGTAAAATGAAAGGTACGAAAAGAGGGACAAAAGGAAAAATACAGGAAAAAGGAAGAAATAGAACTATTATTTTATAAGATGGTTACACTACTTCTGAGGCAGTATACTTTTATATGAAAGGAGCTTAGATTAGTTGTAAATATAAATTGCCACCTCTAGGGCAGGATACTGGACCAGGAGCCTCAGTTTTTTGCTGTCTGTGGCCAGAGGCTGCATTCAGTTATTTCCCATGTTGGCTTCTCTCCCATGGCAGAATGTGTCATCAAAACCACCATGACAGAGAGCTTGCAGCAAGACAGGTATCATAATCTTAGGTAACATGATTACCCAAGTGACATCCTATCAGGTTGTAGTCTTCTGATGTATCAAAGCAAGTCTCAGTTTCTCCCCAACGTCACAAGAAAAAAGATTAGATATTCTAATTAAGCTCTGAGGATCATCGTGCACCATCTTAGAGATCACCTGCCAATGTCAGGTCTTGCTTAATCTGGGACAGGTTCTCAGTCCTCACTTTGTGAGAAAACAGGTCACATAGTTTGTAAAATGTATCAAAATCTGGATTTCTCTGAATGTTTCTCATAATTTTACTGAGCAATATAGATAGAGACATGTAATTATCTATTTGTGAAGACAAGAAACAGCAAACAGGACATTATTTACAAATACAAATTTAGAGACCAAAACTAAGAAAGAAAAGTTTGCGAATGGGAAAAGGAAAATTAAAAATAATAATAATGTTCGCCAGGGTAACAAAAAGGGTGGGAATGGGGAGGTGAGCACCTGGGACGCTACAAGATCAACAATGTTCTGCTTAGTAAGCTCAATAGTGTAATTTTTTTTAAATATATATTTTATTTATTTTTTAAATCTATGTTAGAATAGTTTGGATTTACAGAATAGTTAGAAGTACATACAGAGAGTTTATATATATTCAACACATAATTTCCCTTTTATAAATTCTTACATTCGAGACATTTGTCGCAATTGATGAACCAATATTATACATTATCATTCAGCAACATTCACAATTAATCAGATGTTCTGTTTTCACCTAATGTCCATATTCTGTTCCAGGATTCCGCCCAGGACACCACATCACGTTTAGGTATCGTGTGCCAGTTTCTCAGATTTTCCTTATTTCTGATATCATTGAAATCCTTTGGGATGTCTCTGGTGTTTTCCTAATGATTGGATGGCTGTTGTGAATTTAGCAGAGGAAACCTACAGAGGGAAACTTTTATTCTCATGATGTTATAACAAGAGTACATAGTGTCAACATGCTGTATCACTTTTTTTTTTTTTTTTTTTTTTTTTTGAGACAGGGTCTCACTCTGTTGCTCAGGCCGGAGTGCAGTGGCATGAACAAAGCTCGCTGCAGCCTCGAACTCCTGGGCTTGAATGATCCTCCACCTCAGCCTCTTGAGTAGATGGGACTACAGGCATGTGCCACCACATCTGGGTGATTTAATTTTACTTGTACTTTTGTAGAGGCAGAGTCTCACGACATTGCTCAGGCTGGTCTCTAAGTCCTGGCCCCAAGCGATCCTCTCACCTCAGGCTCCCAAAGTGCTGGGATTACAGGTGTGAGCCACTGTGCCCAGCTGCTTTATCATGGTTAATGTTATTTGATCACATGGATGAGGCAGTTTAGCTCAGTTTTCTCCACTATAAAATTAATATTATTCCCCTTTTCATGTTATACCTTTTGGAAAAAACATCACTATGCACAGCACATACATAAAAAGTGGGGAATTATGCCTCTTTCCCCTATGGATGGACCTTCTATAAATGTCATTTGTGTTTCTGTAAAAAATATTTAACATTCCTTGGGCTGTTCTGGATCAATTGTGTTTTTCTGTGCATTTTAGGATCAGTGGTCCAAGAACTGCTAAAAATGAGAAAAAATTAAAGTTAGAACTTTAGTAGGGCTTGTATTGAATCTGAAGATGCATTTAGAAAGTATAAGCATCTTGGTTAATACTTAATAACTTTCTAATCAATGAAAATGTAGTTCATATAGTATATTACACTAATTCTTTTATTCATTTATTTAGGATTTCTTTAATACTTCAATATTATTTGTAATTTTCAGTATATATATCTTGCAGTTATATTGTTTATTTTCAAATATATTTCCTTTTTGATGCCATGTTAAATGAAATTATTTTCTGAGTTTCATTATTTGATTAGTTTCTATTGTATAAGAATGCAATTTATTACATTGATCATGCATACTGAATTTTTTTTTGTTCCAACCTTATTTTAGTGAATTTTTTAGGATTTTCTATACATTAGATTATGTCACTGGCCAATAGATGTTTGACTTCTTCCCTTTCAATTTGGAAGTCTTATATTTATTTTTCCAGCCTAATTTTATAAATTACATCCTCAAGCATAATGTTTAGTTGAATTAGTGGAATAGATAACCTTTTGTGTTTATAATTTTGGGAAAATTACTGAGACCTACTTGATACCATGTGTTGTCATATGAATTTTTCATAGGTGCCTGTGTTAGTAAGAACATTCCCTTTATGCAAAATTTGTTTGGTGTTTTTACTGCGAGTGGGTTTTTGAATTGGAAAGTGTTTATTCCATATCTTTAGATGTGATAAAGAAAATTTTGTCATTTATTATATTAATATAGTGATTACACTAATTCTTTTTATATGTTTTACCAAACTTGTGATCCTGGATAAATAAATAAATAAATAAGTTAGTGTTTAATTATGTTTTACGATCCTGATCTTTGTTCAGACTGTTTGCTCGAGAATTATTGCTTGGGTATCCATAAAGCATATTAGTTTATAGTTTTACTTTTTTGGACTGTCTCTGTTTGGTTGTGGCCTCAGAGGAAACTGCCTCATAGAATGTATTGCACACTGATCTCTTCTCTATTATTTTATTTTTTGGAGAACAGTTAGTAAGAAATTGCTGTTGATATTTTAAAGGTTTCGAATAATTCATCAGTGAAGTCTTCTCAACCAGGTCAATCACGAGAACTTAGAAGATGATTCCTCCCCAGCTGATCCTCAGGTGAGACCTCAGCCTTGGCCATCATCTACATCTGGATTCCTGACTCAGAGAAACTGTGAGTAATTTGTATGTGCTTTTGAGCCACTAAGCTATGTAGTTATTCGCTATGCTGCAATAAACAATAATACACTTTATGTAAACATAATATGTTATCCTTGATTAGATCCAAAAAAAGGAAAAATGGCATTAGTGGAAAACCTTGTAAAATATAAAGACAGTCAGTACTTTGGTTAATAGTTTAGTGCCTTTATCAGTTTCTGAGTTTTCATAGATAGTCTGTGGTTCTGTGTGTGATATTAATATAACAGGAAATTGAAGGGTATATACAACTTTATGTAAGATTTTAACAACTCTCTGTTAATCTAAAATTATTTCAAAATAAATAGAAGTGTAGACATGGCTCATATATTTGAGATCAGGTCTCCCTGTTAACTTAATTGAGCCTACATGGAACCTAAATCTCATGGTACAAATGCAATAATATTATAAAATATAAATCAGATGAGTTTCTATTTTACTCTCTTCTTCAGGGAACACTAAAGCCCATTCTTCCTCTCAAGTAACCAGAAATAAAGTTGATCCAAGTAACAAGTGGACAGCATAAAAGATTGTATGGAAACTATAATGCATCTACATCTGCAGTAACTAATCATAAAATGATTTGTATGATCATTCTTCACATGATTATGATGACTATGGGAAAGAAGAAAAAGAAATGCAACTTTCTTGATTTAAAAATTGTATCTAAGGGGCATGAAGCACCTTTCTGGGGCAATGGTAAGATTTTTTGAATCTTGACAGCAGTGATGTTTATATTCCTGTATTCATTGTCCAAATGAATAAAATAGTTCATGTAAAAGGGTGAATTTTGCTGTACAAAACAATGTAATAAATTTGACTTTAAAAGCCAAAAAAAAAAACATAAAATAAAAATTGTATCTGTGCAAGTGTGGTGGCACACACCTATAGTCAGTCCCAGCTGCTAGGGAGGGTGGGTAGGATGAACATGTGGTACCAGGAATTTGAGGCTGTGTAGTGTGCTGTGCTTGTGCCAGTGAATAACCAGTGCACTCCAGCCTGGGCAACGTAGTGAAACGCCATTGAATGAATGAATAAATAAATAAATAAATAAATAAATAAATAAATAAATAAATAAATAAGTTATAGAGATCATTCTTTGTATCTCTATCATTAGGGCTGAAATCCTCTAGATAAAGTTTTTTTTTTTTTTTTTGAGACAGCGTCTCACTTTGTAACCCAGGCTGGAGTGCAGTGGCGTGATCTCAGCTCACTGCAAGCTCTGCCTCCCAGGTTCACGCCATTCTCCTGCCTCAGCCTCCCCAGCAGCTGGGACTACAGGCGCCCGCCACCATGCCCAGCTAATTTTTTTGTGGTTTTAGTAGAGACGGGGTTTCACCGTGTTAGCCAGGATGGTCTCAATCTCCTGAGCTTGTGATCCACCCGCCTCGGCCTCCCAAAGTGCTGGGATTACAGGTGTGAGCCACCGCTCCTGGCCTGAGATTTTTCTTTATCGTTGGAGAGCTGCCACCCCAGTGCAAACTTTCAAATAATGCCTTGCCAGTTTTACTTTCCCTCTCAAGGATTCCTGAAACTATAGTTTCTAAAATTATCTCACAGCATGTGTTTTATTTTTACTTCTGTTTGCTGTTAAGGCCCCTCTGGATGGTGGCTATAACCTATAGCCTTGCCCAATATGACTCAGGGTTTGGTACTGGCTGTGCCTTTCATGGGTTGCTTACTTATCCTGGTCGATGGCCTAAAGCCCAACTGTCCAGCTTACATCCAGGTATCCTTCTCACAGAGTACTTGTTTATACTGTAAGACACCCTGTGGCTCCTGTCTGACCTGTGTCTAGTTTATTTCTACCAAGGTAACCACTCTCTAGGAGAGTGCTAAGTGGGAGAAAAGTGATGTCCATGTGTGTTTGTAAAGTGAAATACAGAGGAGGCAACTCAACAAAATGTGTATAATGGCATGAGTCATGTATTACTAACCAATCCCAGTAAGAAGAGGGCAGCATTCCTTGAAGTGCAGATGGAAAGAGAAGAGCTCTCCAGGACATACACTCATAAGCAGCAGGGGTGGTGGAGGAGCAACTAGAGAAAGACATAGTATTGCACCATTTGGCTGAAGTCTTTATGGGTGTATTTGTCATTTTTTTTTCAGAGAGACAGAACTACAGGGAGGTAGATAGGTAGGTAGGTAGATAGATAGATACATAGATGGAGAGTTGATAGATAGATAGACAATAGTTAGATGAAAGGCATTTTGTTTGGGGATTTACTCATGTAACATTGTAGAGACAGAGCATTCCCAAGACAGCCATCTGTGAGTTTAAGGACCTTGGATGCTGTAGCGTGGTGGCTCAGTCCAAAGCTGAAATCTTCAGAACCAGGGAAGCCCTTGGTGTAATTCTCAGTTTGGGACCAATGGCCTGAGAATCCAGGGCATTTACTGGTATAAGTTCTGGAGTTTCAAGGCCATAGATCATGGAGTTCTGTTTTCCAAGGGCAGGAAAAGGAGTATAACTTCTTCAGGAGAGAGGGCAGAAAAAGGAGTATAACTTCTTCAGGAGAGAGACAGGAAGACTTGAAAAAAATTTTTAATTTTTGGTTCTATTTGGTCCCCAAGGAGATTGTATGCTGCCTTCCCCCATTGAGGGTGGATTTTTCCCACTAAATTACCTGACTCATACACCAATCTCCTCTGGAAACACCCTGGCAGACACACCCAGAAGTAATGCTTCACCAATTCTGTAGGTATTCTTTAATCCAGTCAGCATCTTAAATTAACCATGACAAGTCCAGCACCTTTCTAGTTGGCACCTATATGTATCACCTTAAGCCCTAACTAATCTTCAGATACAGACAATAACAAGGCAATAGTTCTACCTAACATGATGCAACGATCCTGTGTGCAACGAGAACACACTATACTATTTTTCCTAAGAGTAGTAGAAGTTTGTGGGTGATGGTTACTCTTCTCCTGATACCCCATAACTTCAACAGAAATATGTTAAACTACTAACACTTAACTGCTAATATCAAGTTAATACATTCTTGTGTTATGTGACAAAAGAAGAAGAGAGAAATAAAAACAATGTTATTTGTCTAATATATTTATATATAACATGAAAATGTATTCTTAAAGTTGATAGGAAATACTAGTGACAATTTTAATCCTTGTTTCTGTAACTGGTCACCTGGTCCTGTCTGCTATTTGTAACTCCCTTCTACTGCTACCCATTCAGTATTCTCTTTGTCTTCAGCAAGCCCCTCTGCTGGTCCTGGGTCTTTACCTGGCAGGGTGATGCAAACCTTCATTCCTGAAAGGTCTGGATCATTTGTATTCTTGTCTGGAATGGTTGTAATAATCCATTGAACTTAATAACAGGTCATAGTAATACTAAGACTTTGTTTTAGTCCATTTTCTGTTACTTATAACAGAATACCTGAAACTGAGTAGTTGATAAAGAAAACACTTGCATTTCATACAGTTATGGAGGCTGAAAAGGCTGAGGTTGAGAGGTTGTATGTGGCGAGATCCTGTTGCTGGTTGGGACTCTCTGAAGAGTTCTGAAGCCTACAGGGTATCATATGGCAATGGAGTAGAGCTTGCTGACATGCAACATCATGTCTCCCTTCTTATAAGCCACTCTTCTCTCATAGTAGACTATTAATCTTTAAATATTAATTTATTAATCCATGAAAGGATTAATTCATTTATGGGTCAAACTCTTCATGATCCAGTCACCTTTTAAAGGTCTCACAATTCAGTACTACCACGTTAGGGATGAAATTTCAGCATAAATTTTGGAGGGAAGCAATATTCCAACCACAGGGCTCCACTTCTGACTCTAAAAATCTCGTCCTGTCACTTACAAAAAGTTTATTTCATTCCTATCGTTCAAAGGCTTAGATTGTTCCAGCACCAACAGAAAGTTCCCACAGCTAAAGTCTCCTCTGTCAGCCCATGAAATCAAAACAAGTTATCTTCATACAAAATTCAGCAGTTGGGTTGTTAATGGCCAATGGGTTCATGTTGGCTGCTGCCCAGATAGAGCCACTTCACCAAGATAGGGGAATTGCTGTAGAGAAAATTTTATACATGTAGAGCTGGCTAAAGGAGAGAGCAGAGTTTTCCTATTACTCAAAACTGCTTCTCCAAATATTCAGAGGCTAGAGTTTTTATAGATAGTTTTGTGGGCAGGGGTTAGAGAAAGGGACATGCTGATTGGTTGGGTCAGGGATGAAATCTTAGGAAGTCAAAGCCATCTTCTTTTCTGACTCAGCTCCTGGGTGTGGGCCACGTATCCAGATGAGCCAGTTTACTGGTTTGGGTGGCACCCGCTGATCTGTCAGGATGCAAGTTATGAAAAATACCTCAAACACCAATCTTAGGTTTTACAATAGTAATGTTATTTATAGGAGCCATTGGGGAGGTTATTAATATTGTGGCCTCTGATTGTATGACTCCTGAGCCATACTTTCTAATATTGTGGTTAATTTGTTAGTTTTACAAAGTTGATGTGGTCCCCAAACAATGAGGGGTTTTGTTTCAGGGGGGAGCTGTTATTATCTTTGTTTCAAAGTTAAGCTACAAAGTAAATTTCTCCCGAAGTTAGTTTGTTTTTGCCCAGGAATCAGCAAGGGCCTCTTGGAGGTTAAATGCAAGATGAAGTCACTTAGGTCATATCTCTCTCCCTATCATAATTTTCTTACTGTTACTGTTTTTGCAAACGTGATTCCAATTTCCCCTTGCAAGTTTCATTGCATCTTATTCTTAATGGGTGAGGTACAGAGTTGGGAAAAGGCCAAAGACCATTCTAACTTCTTCCTGCTGACAAGGGGTATACTTGGGATAGGGTTTGGCCCCAGAGTAAATGGAATGAAACTGCTTTGCAGCTGCCTGCATGTATGCACAGGTGCCTGGTTGGGGTTCCTAGGCTTGCATGACCAAGACGTTAGTACTCTCATCCACAGTTTTAGTACAGCACTTAAGTGAACAGCTGACTATAGGATAATGAATCCTAATATAAGGAGTGGAAGTCCTAGCTTCAGAAGTCCTTATATAATTTGTCTAAATCCCTGAGCGATTCGGGTGAATAGCGCCAAGAACCAGTCAGACATGGGGTCAATGGTCAAGAGAGATATGGGTGAGAGATTGTTAGAAAGACAAATTTGGATAAACAGGAAAGAGCAAATTTAAATATACCATCTCATATCTTTTTAGTTAGTTTCCTAGTCCTCAGAATAGATCCTAGCTGTGTTTCATTCCAGGAGGTGTCACTGCAAATGAACTAGGCCCCCTTATGTGATTAAGGCAAAAAATATTTTTAATAACAGGCATTTGTATGGAAATAGAAAATAATAACAAAGGTTGATCTTGGGCACAATGCATCCAGATGTTAGATTCAAAGCATTTTTAAGTTGCAAAGGAGGATAGTGATGACAATCTCACATATTTCGCATCTGTATCTCAAGGGATAAGCTTCAGCCTGCAGGGCCTCAGGAAGAAGTTCGTAGCCATTTCATTGAGTCCAGGTCAGAAAAGTGGAAGAAAAATGTGAATGTGTTAGTTTGAGGACTTTAGCTCTGAGAGGTTTCAGGATTCAGTCCAAAGTGCAGAAAACAATAAAAAGCTCAAAAACAATAGACAAGACTAGAATGTAACAATAAGTGTGCTATAGTATTTTTCTGACATACAATCTTTTGCTCTCTAGTTCTCATTTTTTTAAGACATATGATAGTAGGACACATGTATTTGCAAAATACATTTTGTTATTATTATACTTAGCCTGACTATTTGTGTAAAGTTCAGCAAGAGTAATTATTTGCCGTATTAGCCCTTTCTAAATTGGGTTTGCTGGAACTTTGTTCCCTAAGGAATCTTGGATTGGACTTTTTTAAAGCCTTCAAGGGATGTATCTGTGCCTGCAAATACTTGTACAGATTGCTTGAATTTCTCTCTTCTTCAGCTCCCAAGATAATTTAGGAATCATAGGCCTGTCAGAATGTGACATTTTTTACTAACCACAGGTCAAGAACCCTGTACAAGGCCTGTGTAGACAGTTAGGAGGTCAGTTTCTTAAGGGGCTTTTATCAACTCTGTTAGTCAACTTTAATTCCTCCAGCTTGTCTGTTTGTATCTGAAAGTAGGTCATTCGACTGGTAACATAACCACAGCTTTGGTAAAATAATCAGTGTCTCTAATTGTGTTCTGTTACAAAAGAAATCAGATTCTTATTGTACTTATGTAAATAACTATATCGCCATAGCATGGAATACTCATAAATAGTTTTCAAATTCTGGAGAAATCAAGTAGAGAAAATGAAATATCCTTCATCTTTTGTTCACAGGAATATACTTTACTCAACCATGAAAAGCTGTAAATAGCTGAAAAGAAAAATGTGGTCTTGAGGTCGGGCACGGTGGCTCACGCCTGTAATCCCAGCACTTTGGGAGGCCGAGGCAGGTGGATCACGAGGTCAGGAGATCGAGACCATCCTGGCTAACACGGTGAAACCCCGTCTCTACTAAAAATACAAAAAATTAGCCAGGAGAGGTGGCAGGCGCCTGTAGTCCCAGCTACTCGGGAGGCTGAGCCAAGAGAATGGCATGAACCCCAGGGGGTGGAGCCTGCAGTGAGCCCAGATCGCGCCACTGCACTCCAGCCTGGGTGACATCGAGACTCAATCTCAAAAACAAAAATAAAAAAGAAAAAAGAAAAATGTGGTCTTGACTCTGAAAAACAACAAAAAGGATCAGCAGCATTTCAAGCAACAAGTCATAAAATGATTATTGTGGTCTTCTATTAGTTCAGTCCATGCAGTGAACTTTGTCTGACATTGGGCCTGCAGTCCCCATAAACATACCAGCTATCTCTGACAGTCCTGGAGGTTTGTTTGTTTGGTTTTGTTTTTTTCCTATTTCAATGCCACAATCTTTAGTTATCAGAAACCTGTATTCAAGAGAACATTTCAAAGAGCAAACACCTTTTGAATAGTTTAAAAAAAAAGAGCACAATAATCTGTGGATGACAATAATCTCAGGACAGTCATTGTTTTATTAATTTTACTTTGATTTTGTTGAGACAGGGTCTGAAGCCATGCAGGCTGGAGTGCAGTGGCACAATTATGGCTCACTGTAGCCTCACCTTCCTGGGATCAAGCAATCCTCTTTCTTCAGCCTCCAGAGGAGCTGGGACCACAGGCAAGTGCTACCACATCCAACTAATTTTTTGATTTTTTTGTAGAGAAAAGGTCTCACTATCTTCCTCAGGCTGATCTCAAACACCTGAGCTCAAGCAATCCTCCCAACTTAGCCACCTAAAGTTCTAGGATTACAGACATGAGCCACCGTGCCCAGTGAGGACATTACAGGCATGAGTCGCTGTGTCCAATGAGGCCATTGTTAAAGACACAATCGACAAAGAAATCTGTTCATTTCTGTGGCACATAACAATTCAGCATAATAATAATAATTATGACTGATAACATATACTAAGACATATTAGAATTATAGGAACCATATAATTTTGGAATACATACTAATAACATATTTATATAAATATAACCCAAAGAAAGTTAAACATGATTTTATATTTGACAGTGTTTTCTGTAGGTTAATATACCAAATAAGCCAAATATATCTCTTTTGGACTTCAGGGGACGTAATATTTAAAAGGCTAATGAGTTAAAATAAAAATTCTTAGTTTATAATTTTATTTTTCAAAGTGTGCAAATATTAAAGTTTTAAAA
This sequence comes from Homo sapiens, assembly GCF_000001405.40. NCBI lineage: Eukaryota > Metazoa > Chordata > Mammalia > Primates > Hominidae > Homo > Homo sapiens. The sequence continues at coordinate 5,155,148 of NW_021160017.1, forward strand.
CACTTCATATCACAAAATAGAATCCCAGATAACCACAAATCATTTGTTTAGCCAAAATGATAGCTCAAAAATTTAAAAAGGCAAAAGCCTTTATTCATTGGTAGAGAGGAGACTCAGCTCCCAAACAACAGGACCAAGTAACGACTGCATGAGGCCATCTGAATCTGTGTCTTCTCTCTCCCCTACTTTTTTCAGTTTATTTAAAAGACAAATAAAAAACATTTTATTATCTGTCAGTATTATACAAAAATATTGTTTAAAGAGAAAACCAAATTTTACCTTTTATTAATGTTTTATTAGTGTTTTATTAATTAGTGTTTTATTAATGTCAAACACAATTTTTCATAAAACCTTATAAACAAATCTATCCAATCTAAATCAGTTAGACCATAACTGTTTACAATTTTCTACTAAACAACTGATTAATGCTCCATGAAAACTCTGTTGATCACACCTAAGGGGGCAGATTCTGGGCCTGTATCACTGTGATTTTTACATTAATGATCATTCTGTAGAAAAACTAAGTAACCTGCTTCAAGTTTTGGCAAGTTGCTCACACTCACACACAGAACTTTCTTTACTAGACCAATCTTTTACAAACCTTTTATAACCTGCTTAAACCTTCCGTTTTCTCCTATTATTTTTTAACTTAAGACAATTTTTAAAACCTCTAATTTAGACAAGATTACTTTTTTAAACAAAAACAATATCTTCAGGTCTTTTTATAACTTTTTACAAAAACACATTTTATAATTTTTATATACCTTGAATGTCAATCTTTTCTCAGCAGTGTCAATCACATGTGTTACAATGTTAAATCTTCACAACTTTTATTTTTAGTGAAAGCAATTTTAATTTCATACCAAGTGCAGAGCCTAGGACACAGGACAGAAATGAAGATAATGTCTGACTGTTTCCAACATAGCTCGGGGGCGTGGCTAACTCAGCACGTCCCCAGGCTTTACCTAGAAGCTGCTGGCTCTAATGCAGGCAGGTTGGACACTTACAAAAAGTCATAGATATTTGTAACCTTAAAACAGCAAAGAGAATATCTGACCTGCCTAATTTAGACCAAATGTCTAAATGTTGAAGAAATAATTTTATTGTACCAATAATCTTTAAAGCTATCTTTATCATTCAAAGATTATTAGAGTCATGTGAACAAAAAGCAGTTTAGTTAAATTTTTTCTGATAAAATATTTTATTTAAGTGCATATATACGCCCATTTATTAGAGCTCTTTTATATAGTTTGTCAGCAAAATATTGCATATATGGAGCATATAAATACACAGACATAGAGAAGCAGATCTGGTAGAGTTATATGGATTCTTCATTTGTCAGTTTTTAAGTTTTTCTTTTTCATTTTAGATCATCAGTCTCTTGATTACCTGTTCCCTGCCCTAAAAAGTTTTTAACCAGGCAGTTCCACACTTTTATTTTAAAGGGATAATTCTTAGGTGAAATAATTATAGAGAATTTATATTTTATCTAAAGCAAGGAAAAATGTGGGGGTAAAAGTTCAGTGAGGATGGCCAGGAAAAGCAGACACTCTTACATGTGGAGATTTTCTTAAAGTTGTTAAGTTTTTAAATGGGATTATTGCCTTTGGGGTGGAACCTCTTAAGGAAAAGAACCAGGAAAGCATGCAGTTTCTAGGTCCTAGTAATCAGGCAGAGGTGGAAGGCAAAACAGATTCCCCTAAATGATGAATCTTATTTTTGTACTGAATCCTGGGTCCCCTAAAGAGGCAAACAATATGGCATTCTATGGCATGACACAGTGCAATGCTTCCACAGAGTATTTCATTGTAAGGACATTTCCTCAAGGCCGCTGGACAACCCAGCACGCATCAGCCCACTCTGTAATCAGCTCATAAGAGCACATCCTTCTTATTTAAATGTACAAATAAAAGAGTATCACCCTGTAGTAATAATCACTTACTATAAGCAACTACCATTAGTCATTTCAAAAAGTATATTTTTCATCTAGTTATTACACATCAAGGTTAAGTTTTTTTTCATAATGCAAAGTAATTTCAGGTCTCTGCAAGTCAAAAAGGTTAGATACAAGAGGAAGGAGGAACAGACAGGAGTAAATGGAGGATCAGAAAGAATTCCACTGAATGAGAAACTTTTACAGAGGGAGAGCAAAGGCTTTAAAATAGTATCTGTACACATGTAGCTCAATATCAGCCTTAATCAAGTTGATTTTTGATTACAGAGATCTCCAAAGAAAATCTGCTGAAATCTTTTATTAATAGATTTTAGCCAGGACAAATAGGTAGTATTTTTGGCTTTAAACTTTTCCAGAGGTAACTTCCCATGAGAAACTTATAAGCCTAACTAAGGTTATGACTTAACCATGGATGCATGAGGTGTCTCACAGAGATGGCAAGCAGTTTTTGCAAGATTGAGAATTTCCCCAAAGATAGCTTAGAAAGGAAAATTTAAGACAGAAAGTGAGAAGATGTCCATGGAGAAGAAAATCATCGAATGAATGGCAAACAGTCTCCAAATATCACACTAGAAAGGGCTTAGTGCTTGAGTTGAAAATCAAACCCAGGCTGCTGCAGTAAAAGGGAAAAACCTTAGTTACTGAGCTACAGCATGGGGCAGTTGCTGTTGGTCAGAAATAATGTAGGTCAGTCAGCTCCAAGCTTCAAGGATTGTAACTGCTCAAGAGAATCCTTAAAGCTAGCTGTGACATTATTATGTATCCTTTCAGACTGGCTGCCTGAACTGAATCCAGAAATTCCAACCCTGTGTATGTGGGAGAACAAGGGACAGCATCCTCACATGGTTACTAAGTCAAGTTTTCAAGGACATAAAACAAGATAAGAGGGAAACTTCAACTTTTTTGTTTCAGGGAGGTGTAGCAAATTTTGTAACTAACAAGTCTGCAGGGCCAGCCCAAACAGTGGGCTTATAGGGATCCTAGGCCCCTTAGGTTCACAGTATGAATGCTGTCTCTAGGATCAATTGAGGATGTTAGTAATCTTATGGCCTCTGGCTGTATGGCTCTTGAACCATATTTTCTAATCTTGTGGTTAATTTGTTGGTTTTACAAAGGTGATCTGGTCTCCAAGCAATTAAGGGATTTGTTTCAAGGAGGGGCTGTCATCTTTGTTTCAAAGTTAGGCTATAATTTTAATATTCCCTTTGTCCAGGAACAAACATGGGCAGCTTGGAGATTAAAGGCAAGATGTATTCAGTCAGGTCATCTCTCTTTTACAGTCATAATTTTCTCACTGTTAGAATTTTTTCAAAGGTGATTTCAGGATAAACATAATGTACACATTCCCATTCTATAAGAGAGAAATAGACACAAAGAAAACAGTAACAGCCCCTAAGTAAATTTGAAGTCCAGGAGGGCAAACATTACATCTTAAAGCTGGAGAGCCTATTTTTTTTTTAACTCCTTAACACACTGAGGTGAGGGTTGGAGTGGCAAGCCCTAGGCAGTGTCACCCCTACGGTTCCCCTTGGTGAATCACCTGTGGGTGCTTCTACTGGTTGAAATTTTCCCAGGCAGGCATTGAATGCCACAGGGGACTTCACAATCCTGGGATCCTGGTATTGGCACCACTAGGCATTACCCATGTGGAACTCTCTGCAGTGATTTCACTGCTGTGGCTTCACTTGGCATTGCCCTGGTGGGGACTCTTTGCAGCAGCTCCAACCCCACATTTGTGTTTGGCATCCTTCTACTGGGGGCTCTCTGCAGTGGATCTAGCCGTGTGACAACTCTCTCTCTGGACTCCCAGGCTGTCAAAAAAAATACTTTGAAATTTGTGGAGGCTGCCAAGCCATCATTTGTGCCTTAAGTGTAAGAAATACATTTATTTTCTTTATAAATTACCCAATATTTTGTATTCTGTTTTAAGCAACAAAGAAGGGACTAATACAGAAAACTGGTAATGACAAGTAGGTTGTTGCTGAAAATGAATACCTGAAAATATGAAAGTGTCTTTCAAACTGGGTGATGGGCAGAGGCTAAAAGAATCTTGGAGAGGCAGACTAGTAAAAGCCTGTATTCTTGTGAGGGTTTAGAAGATAGGAAATATTTGGGAGTCCTTAGAGATTGATGAAGTGTTTGTGACCACACTGCTTCGGGAGAAATGGCGCCATATAATGCATGCTGGTTCAGAGCATATACAGCCTTCTAGAGAACCTTGCCCCACAGTTAACACAGTATTGTCATCTAGCAGGTGCTGGAACTGTAACTCCCAAAGGTCATTCCACCATTGTTTCAAGTGAGTTGCTTCAGGATTATAGGGAACATGGTGAATTCACTGAAGTTTCTGAGCATGAGCTCATTTCTGCCCTTCTTTGTGTGTGAAGTGAGTTACTTGTTCAGAAGCAAGGCAACGTGGAATACCATGATGGTAGATAGGCATTAAGTCCATGGGTGGTAGTTTCCACAGAATACTTGCATGCAAGGAAGTAAAATTTATAGACAGAGTAACTGTCTTACTATTCCAGGAAGAACTAAATGCTGCCCCTTCCCTGACGAAAGCTGCCCAATGTAAACAACCTACCACAAGGAAATTGGCAGATCTTCCTGGGGAATGGTGCCATATAGGGGCTCGGTGTTAGTTTCTGCTGCTGACAGTTGGAACACTCAGAGGGGTCTGTAACCTGGTTGGCCATGGTGAAAGGAATTCCAGATTGCTGTGTGTATGCAAAACCTCAGTCCCTACCACAGTGGCCACTTTATTCATAAGCCCGGTGACTGATGACATAGGTGCCTGGGAAAAGAGGCTGACTACTGTCAGAGAATGCATGATCACATCCACCGGATGATTACAGTCCAGAAGAGCTATGGTAAGAGAGTGAGTCAGTTTTCCTCTGTTTCCCAGCACAGTTTACCCAATGTTCTCTTTAAGCTTTAAGTGGCTTTTTCTGCTTCTCCTGAGGCCTGGGGTCTCCCTGCTGTGTGGAGTTTTAAGGGGATTTCTAGGCCTTGGGCTACCTTTTGAGTAATTTAAGATGTAAAAGCTCTCCCATTGGCCAGGCACGGGTCAAGAGACAAATGCACTCTGGAGTTCCATTTGTTCTAAGCCTTTAAATCTCTGCCTGTATGTTAGTCCAAGGGAGATCAGGCATATCCAACTGGCTAAATAAGGGCCATCTTTTGATTCATGGTTCAGCCAACCAACCGTTAGGGCCCTTTCTAATTTCCAATGCTGCAAAACTAAAACCAGTATCTTTTTTAATGAGTCCATATCAATAAATCTGGGTGATCCAACTTTGTTTCCTCCACTATTATCCTAACTCTTAATACCCTTTTCCACACATGTTCTCCAGATTTCTGCTTGTATAAATTATAAAGTCAAATAGTTTTCTTGAACTGTCATGAACCTCCCGTGGGCCAAACTTTGTATATCATTTTTAAGGGCATTTTGAGGTTTGAGTCTACTTACAAGTCTAGAAGCAAAAAGGAGTGGTGGGTGTGGGGCCTTAGGAGAATCTGCATTGCATTCCTCGGCAACTGCCTCAGGGGAGTCCATTACCTTTCCCTCAGGCAATGCTGGCGTAATCCCCTCAGAGGAGGTGGAACCACCTATACCAGTGTGGGTGAAGAGGCTACTGCCAAGAGGGTGTCAGTAGGGGGTCAGGTCTGCTGGCAAAGAAGACATCGGAATTTCAGAGCTCAATGTCTCCAGCCTCAACATGGTCTCTCAAAATGTTCCCAACCCACTCTACAGAGTTCCATTCTTCTCGGTACAGTGCTGTAAATTTACAGTAGGTACCTTGCCAGGCTGAAAGTTCAACTTTCATAGTAACTCAGCCAACTGCACGGTGAAGGTTTGTGTTTGACTTCTAGCGTTTTCAGCCCCGTGACTATAGGAGATATAATTCTCACTCAGAGCGCTGTAAGAAGCTCTAAGGCTTTTTATGTGAAGCCGAATTTTGAAATTCTGAAATTTGAATCTCTTAGCTTATCTTTTTTATCGATCACTTTACTCATCAATGCTAGAAGCAGAGGCCTTGATTTTCCACAGACGTTTAAAGATGTGATGTCAGAGTCACCAAGTTCCCTGTCTTTTATCAGTGTTGATTAGGAGTGTCAAAGCTAGATGTTTGCATATCTCTTAAGCTGTTTATGACATGGACTAGCAATGTTTTCTGGACTATTAGAAATGGAGTCTTTAACATTTTTAGGTATCATCAGTTTAGAGATCTAAGTTTAGAAACCCCAAAACCAATGAAAGAAACTCGTTCCTAAAATTCCAGTTCTCTGCAATCATTCATGGTTTAAAAAATAAAACCTGTTTTAGCATTCTTCAGAGATACAGGACCAATAGGATACATATATAGGTAGACAGATGGGGGGGGCATTAATTAGATAAATTGGGTCACATTATGATGGAAGCCAAGACAGGTCTTCTGTAAGCTGTAAACCATGGAGTACCAGTAGCATGGCTCATTCCAAGGCTGAAAGTATGAGAATGAGGAAAGCTGACAGTGTAATTCTCAGTCTGAGGCCAAAGGCCTGAGAATGTGGAGGGATGCAGAAGTAAGTCCTGGAGTCCCAAGGAAGAGAGTCTGTGGTTAAGATGTCCAAGGGCAGGAGGCAGAGAGTGTATCAGCTCCAGGAGAGAGGGAGAGCAAAATCATTCTCATTACTTTTTCATTCTATCAGTACTCCCAGCCCACTGGATCGTGCCTACCCACATAGAGGGTGGATTGTTATAGAATTCAGCTCAGGTCTGCTCACCCAGTACAGTAAGACTAGATACCTACACTGACATTTGCAGTGGGAGAAAAGGAGGTGTTTATCTGGACATTGTGAAGCAAGGCGGATGAGGCAGCTAATGCTTAAGTTCCCACTTCCCCAGTGGCTTGCAGGTAAGGGTTTTTTTAAAGCAGGGGTAAATTTCAGGAAAGCAGAAGTTACTGGCAAAATTATAAATCAGTACATGGAGTTTACACATTGGTTTTGTCCTGAAAAGTCACGATATTTTGAAGCAGGGGCTTACAGGCCATACATAGATTCAAGGGTTTTCTGATTTGTAATTGGTTAAAGAAAAGAAGGTTTGGTTTAAAATTTGGGGGTCGGCAGAAAAAAAATGTTAGCTCTTTGGCTAATGGATTTGCCTCCCTCTAGGCCCCTCAGGAAGAAATTTAGTACAAAGAATGGCAGTCAGAATTCAGTTTTCAGGCCCCCTTATCTAAGGTGTACTTGTCAGCAGATGCCTTTGGTGGGGGTCTAGGTTTATGAAAAATGATTGAGGAATGTATGTTAAGATGTGATCTTTAGAACAAAACAAACATCTTCTGACTGTAACTTCCTTGGTGATTGTTTAGGCTACTATCACCTTCTTGCTTATCAAGTTCCTCATTTCTTTCTCAGCGCTAGCTAGGTACCAGGGATTTCCCTTGAAGGGACTCATGATTTTCCTTTATTTCCCTGCTTGGGGAAGCTACAGGCCCCTAACAAAGGGTCCCTGCTCCATCACAGGATCTTACCCACTCTGTCTACTGACTCACATTTCAGACCTTTCTGGTGAAACCTCACCGACCCAGAAGTAAAGCTTTGCCAGTGTTCTAGGTATTCCTTAATACAGTTAGTTGACTCCTAAAAGTAAACATCACATTGGATTTTGCAGTGTTACCCAAGCAGGTTTCTCATGAGGAGTTCAAATTGCTGAGTTAAGGAAAAGCAACCATGATTTCCACAGAGTCAAAGTTTGACTGAGAGGTAGTTACTGCTGAATATCTGTGCAGTTCCCACAGGGGACAGTGAGGTGAGATAAAGGTGGTATTCAGCTGTCTTATATGGAGTAGTCACCTTGAGCAGGTTTCATAAGGGTCTATGTTCAATGACCACCTTGAGGAACGTGGAGGCAGCCAGAAACTGAAAACTGTCATGGGTTTCTAAACTCTATTTCTGGTATGAGAATGTCAATACTATGTAGAAAATAAATGCCCAGATGATATAAAATTAAAACAATTCATAGGAACATTTAAAATAGGAATTCTAGTCACCCAATAATAACTCTCTCTCTAATCCTGAGGTAGCAGGTAAATCGAGTTGTTCAACTAATTTGAAACTATAGTTAAGCATGTTTTCACAATAAGAGACCAGAATACATATGATGAGCCGACAAAATTTTGTACTGAGAAGGCGGCAGTCACAGAGGAAAAATAGTGTGTTCCATTTATTTTAAAAGGCATATTTTTTACATCTTGCAAATACAGATGAATCATAATATTGTAAAAGACTATTGGTTAGAAGACAGTCATAATGTGATTGACTTTGTGTGCACACAAGTGAACTTGATGTAAAAAACTTCCATTTTCACATTCTGGTGGTATCTTTAACATCATAACTTGGAGAGGGACGTTAGTAGATGAGACACATAATCTAACAGAAACTCTTATAGTTCTCTCACTACAAATATGGCAACAGCAAAGCTCCTAATTACCAGAGATGATGCTAGTGTAGAAAAAATCCATGGACAAGGTGAGTTGCACAGTGATTTAGAAGAGTTTTATCCAAATATGAGAAATTTTAGAAAACCTTGATTACCTATTTTGCTTTCACTTTCTATCTCATGTGATCATAGAAGTGATAAAACATAAATACACACATTTATGTAAGTTCAAAAGTGTAAAAAGTAAAACAGAGGTTCCTCTTCAAAGACTTTCCTCCCTATCTCATTAGGAATAAATAGTAACTTCTCTTAGAAGCAAAATTTATTCAAAGACCTGTGCTAACATTCTTAAATATCTGCTAGCCATAATAAAGAAATGAATGTACTTTATGTTCTTAGCTCCCACAATTTAGCCTAAATATTTCCCCTGGCATGCTTATACTGGTCCAAGCAAGCATTAGGTCATAGCCTGTTCCTCTTCCTTATTTGAAGGTGTTTTTACTTTTCTCAGCATTCCAGAAGTTACTTCCTCCTTCCTTTGTTCTCTTCTGCCTTTGCCTCTTTTAAAAAGTTCTAAGTTGCTAGCCAGTCGGGACAAATATAGAATGTGAGGTCCTGTTCCAGCCAATGGAAACTGGACACAGCAGTAGGGTGGAAGCATCAGGTTATAAACGACCATGTCTCCTTTGTTCGGTGTACTCTCATTGCAAAACTGCTGGTGAGTGTACCCTTTCTGCAGAAAATATTAAAATGGCCTTGCTGAGGAAATTATATTCAAGTGCTATTTCTTTATGGCACCAAGGAACAGGCGTTTCAAATAAGATATATTATTTTCAACATATATGAGATAAAATTTTTGTGATGTCATATTTTTTCAATAGTTATATGCTTTTGCTGTGATGTAAAATAATGATGTATTTTACAGTTGATACATATGATACTATTTGCAATTACTTGGAAAAAGCTGTCACTAGTAGCAAATACTGACTTAGTGTTTAGTGTAGACCCACGTAAAACAAAAATGACTGACACAGATCTCATTCAGTTCAGAGAATTACTTTGCCAAGTTTAAGGATAAAGAAACACAAGTCACAGTAGGCTCTGTGGCCTGTGCTTTTTCCAAAGAAGGTTTTGCTGACTTCCATATTTATAGGGGCGAGACCAGGGAGGAGTGGATGGAGGATAAAGAAAGGGGGGAAAGACAGTGAGGCAAGTGTTACATCCTTACGAGGCCTGGATTATCACTCACTGCATCCAGATGTTGCATGTGTAAAGAGGAATGGAGAAAAAGTTGATTGTGCATTTGTCTTGTGCGTGGTAGATATACATTTTACATAAGATAGGCAACCTTGTGAAATTACAGCTGACTCTTTGGGAACAAAAGGAAGGTAGTATTAGCATGACTCAGTTCCCAACATTTCCTTTGTCATAGTGAATTTGGGGTTCCAAAATTTTGTTTTCCTTGTTCTTCAAAATATTTCAGAGAAAGCATTTTAGAAGAAAATGAGTGTTTGGTTATATTTTTTCCCTAATCTTAAACATTAGGATGGTTTATTCCTAGAAAGTTAGGATCCACATTTTTAAGGAGACTCATTCTAGAAGGTTGTGAAGAAATAGGGGGAATAAGAAATAAAGGGAAAAGATAAGAAAAAAGAGACACAGCTGGATTATAGCAACAAGGTAGAAACCAATCCTTGAAAACCGATAGACTGTATTACAGAGCAGTCCATATATAACTAGACAGTCATGAAATGTTTTATGTAAATAAATGAGATGCTGTTATTTCTCCCAAAGTTTAAGTTTTCTAGTTTCAGTGTGCAGGGCTTTACAAAAAGCACAGTTTTAATTTCTACTAATTCCAAGTCAGAAAAAAATGGAAAAGAAAAAAAAATAAAACATTGAAAATGTTAGTTTGGAGACTTGTAAGCGGCAAAGAATTTAGGATCCAGTCTAGCTAAATTGTAGACAAATGATAAAACTGGAAAGCAATGAACAGGGTGAGAATCCAGTAAAAGATGTACTATAGTTTCATTTGAAATACATTTTTCTTTTTATAGTCTTCCATTTTTACTAAAGAAAAATCATAATAAGACCAATTTATTTCCAAAATAAGTTTTCATTTTATTGTACTTGGCCTGATTATTTTCACAAAGTGCAGCAACAGTATTTTTTTTCCTTATAGGCTGTTTTAATTTGGCATTGATGGAACCTTTTTTTAAACAAAGTGTCTAAGATTTGACTTTTCAAAAAACCCCTCAAGCTCAAACAAGGATTTATTGTGCTTGCAAATAACTGTATGAACTGGGTGAATTCCTCTCACCTTGAGGTCGCAAGATTACTTGGAGTTCCTAGGCCTGTCAGAAAGTAACATGCTTTTCTTACCACAGGTTAGAAAATCTGTAAGGAAAATGCATAGAGAAGGTACAAGGCCAGTCTCTCCAAGGGAATTTTATTGGCTGTATTATTCAACCTAAATTTCTCAAAGCAATCTGCTCATAGATGAAAATATGCTATTCCAGCGAAAGCCTTGGCAAGGTAACCAGTGTCTCCAATTGTGTCCCGATCCAAAAAAAAAAAAAAATCTTATTGATGATATGCAAATAACTTATAGTACCATAAATTAAGAATATTCAGAAATAGTTTTCAAATTCTGGGGAAATCAGGTAAGAGAAAGAAGTATACTTAAAATTTTTCTCTAAAGAGTATACCATATTCAATTGTTAAAAACTATAAATATCTAAGAAAAAAGTTTTCTTTACTCTGAAAAAGGAAAGAAAAATAGTCATCAATGTTTCAGACAAAAAGTCCTAAAAAATTGTTTCAGTGTTCAGTTACTTCAGTCCCACATAATTACCTTGTTCTACTTTATATGGGCTTAGCAATCCTCATGAACACATCAGCCTGTTAATTAGAATCCTGGGAGTTTTGTTGTTTTTATTGTTGTTGTTTTCATTAGTACAATGGCACAATCTCCAAAGTTATCAGAAACCTAAATTCAAGAAAACCTATCAGAATCATTTTCATGAACTCCCCTAAAGAAGCAAGTTTTGCGCCACTGGTTTTTTATAAACTATGTATTGAGAATACTCAAAGGAAAACAACAATTGTGAATGAAAAACTCTTAGGACAGTCATAGTTACAGGTACAGTCAACAAGAAATTTGGATATTTCAGTGTCATACAACAATTTGACATAATAATCATAATTATTACTGATAACATATAGTAAGGCATGTCAGAATTATTGGCATCTCATATGATTTTGGAGCACATGCTAATATTTAGGTAAATACAACTCAAAGAAAGTTAAATATTCATCCATGCTTCCTGTATGATTTTAACATATTAAATATGGCTAATGTGTCCCTGTTGGACTTCAGGTGACCTAATATTCAAAAAATTAGGTCACTAAGGCTGAATTAGAATTTGATTTGGAAAGTTTGTCAAATATCAAAGGTTTGAAACACTTGATGTTACAAAATAAAATCACCAATCACGATGAAATAAATTACTCATTATGCCAAAATGATATTTTAAATATTTCTAAAAAGCAAAAAACCTTTTTCTTTGATATAGAGAAAGGAGATTCAGTTTCTCAAATAATAAGGTCTAATATCAGGCTGAGTGCACTGCTTGTGCCTGTAATTCCATTGCTTTGGGAGGCCAACATGGGAAGATCATTTGAGCCCAGGAGTTCAAGACGAGCCTGGGCAATATAGTGAGACCTCGTCTCTACAAAAAAGAAATCTGTAAATTATCTGGTTGTATTGGTGTGTGCCTGTGGTCCTAGCTACTACAGAGTCTGAGGAAAGAGGGTCACTTGAACCCATGAAGTGGAGGTTGCAGTGAGCCAAGATCACACCACTGCACTCCAGCCTGGGTGACAGAGTGAGACCCTGTCTCAGAAAAACAAACAAAACTACCCTGAAAAAATGAAAATCCAGTAAGAACTAATAAATACAGTGTGAGACCAACTGAACTTACTCCCCTCTTCTTTTTTTGCAATTTGCCCAAAAGGCAAACAAAAATCTTTCAGTCTCTCTTAATATTAAGCAAAATCCTGGTTCAAAAAAGAAAACCAACTTTACCTTTGCATGGTGTGGTATTAATACTAAAGCAATTTTAATAAAATTTTATAGATGTATTCATCAAATCTGAATCAGTTTAATCATAAGGTACAATTTAAGAAATGCTTGTTAATATTTTACTATTTTCTACTGAGGAGCAGATAAGTTCTCTGAGAAAATCATGTCCAGATACTGGGCTTGCATAAGTGTGCTTTTTAATGTTCAATTTATAGAAAGACTAAATAATACCCTTTAAATTTCAACCCACTTGGTCACACACAATATTTCTTTTGTAAGATCAATCTGCTACAAATCTACAATTCCATCGAACTTTCAGTTTTCTCCTATCATTTTCCCTTAGAACAACCAAAAAATTTCTTTCCAAGTTTCCTTTACCTTTTTTTTTTTTGAGACAAGGTCTCCCTCTATCACCTGGGCTGGAATGCAGTGACACAATCATAGCTTACTATAGCTTCAAATTCCTAGCCTCAAGCAGTCCTCCCACCTCAGCCTCTTGAGTAGCTGAGACAACAGGCACACACTACTGTGCCTGGCTCATTTTTTTTTCTGTTTTTTTTGTAGATATGGTGTCTCACTTTGTTGCCCAGGCTGGTCACAAACTGCTGGCTTCATGTAGTCCTCCCATTTTGGCCTCCAAAAATGCTGGGATTACAGGAAAGAACCACCACACGAAGCCCCAACTTTCTGTATCCATTTAGCTTTATCCATCAATTTGTCTTCAATTTAAAGACAATTTGAAAACCTCTACAGTAGACAAAATGACTTTCGCTTTGTAAGGAAAACACATTTCTCATACCTTTCTATAGCAATTTTTTTTCTAAAAACACATCTCAATTTTATTATACACTTTGGATGCATCTAGTAGATTTAATTATATATGTTAATTGTAATGTTACCCCTCAGTAACTCTTATTTTTAGTGAAAAAATCTAGGAAGTAAGAAATTTTCCTTATGTATCAGGTACAGAGCCAGGGACAAAAGACACAGCTGCCAATAACGTCTGACCCTTCCCAGTGTAGTCAGAGGGCACAGCTAGGTTAGGGAGAACACTGTATGTCCCCTGACTTACTATGGCTATAAGAAAGACAAGTCAAACAATTATTTAAAATATCACAGCAGTTTATGGCCCTAAAACATCCAGCAAAAACAGTATCTGACTTGCCCGACCATTTCAGACCAAATATCTAAATTAAATTCTGAAAACATTTCTATTTTATTTTACCAATTATTTTGTTTTAGGTTTGAGGTACATTTGCAGGTTTGTAATACAGGTAAATTGTGTGTCAAGAGGTTTGGTGTACAATTTTGGAACACACACTAACACATGTATGTGCATTGAACCCAAAGAAAGTTAAATATTTGACCATGGACTTTAATCAAGGGTATGTCTTCTGAATTTAAAGCAATGCTAATAGATTTTAATGTACAGAGCCAGAATTCTCAAGGACAGTCATGATGCTATTGTAAGTCATTTGTAAAATTTTATTTTCTAATCAATTATTAAGAATATGAGGTCTCTAAAATCTTTTTTATGTATCTCCAATCAAAACTTTGTAGAGGAGACAAACAGTGATTTTTACCAAAACAGTAACAAAAAGTGATTGCACAATTTACATAAGTTGAGATCTTTGAACCTAAGAATTTGTAACTGGCTAAGAAGAAAGCTAGACTCAAAGCCACCAAATCCAATTTAAAAACCCCCAGCCAGCTCCTTACTTGGAGATGCTGGCCCAAGTGGAAGACTGCGCTCTGCCTCCTCAGAAGCAGCAAACTCCCAGAGAGGGAGTTCTACAAGAGAACATACCTCAGACCTCCAGTAAAAAGTTTGGGAGATCAGGGATCTCTGTAGGGGGAGGCTCCCAGACCTCAGCAAATCATCCAATCAGTCAGAGCAATACAAAGCTTCCAGTTGGCTGTACCAGGGCCCTGCTAGGAGAGTTGCTGCAGGCCAAAGGGCCAAACTCTGCACAGAATTCATTGTGGTTTCCAAAATGTAAACCAAAAAGTGACTGAGGCAGGTCTCAATAAATTTAGAGCTAGATCTTGCCAACGTTGAGGATGTTCATGGGAAAAAGAAACAAAAGTTACAGCAGGATCTGTGATCTGTGCTTTTTCCAAAGAGAGTTTTGATGGCTTAAGCATTTAAAGGAGGAAAAGTGAGCAGTACAGGGAGGAGCGAAAAAGAAGCAAAAAGGGCTAGGCACTGAGGCAAGCGTTTGCATTCTGGTGAGGCTTTGATTAGCACTGACTGAAACCACATTTGATATGTGAAAATAGAGGAGTGGGGGATAAAGTTGATTATGCATTCATCTCATGTTTACTGGATCTACATTTTGCATAAGATAAAGTGACCATGTATAATTACAGCTATCTATTTGGGAAAAAAGGGAAGTCAGTTTTTGTGTGACCCGATTCCCAAGCCTAACTTTCCCATTGGGCATAGTGATTTAGTGTCCTGAGATTTTATTTTCCTTTCAAACCTGCTATTAGTCTACACATTTTGTGTATGAGTGCATTAAGTTGTCACAGCATCTCAAGAGGTACACACTACTGTGACCTTCTGAAAGTTCTAACTCTGAATCTGAGCTAAAGCCCTACAGGAAAAGACTTAGAACAACCTTGAGCTTGACCCAGTGTCCCTACTCATATCAACTATGTTAGAATAGCATTTCTCTCTTAGAGTAAACACTTTCTAGGTGCTTTTTAAGAATTCCTCACGTACACTATTATAATGAAATTCTTTTCCTATGTTAAATTCTAAATACTCTATTTAATTCTTTTTTCTATGGAGGTCTATAATCTACCTGAAGTTGATTTTGCACATGAGTTTAAAAGTAAATTTTATTTTTCCAGATGGATATTCAGTGTCCTGAAATATTTATTGAAAATTCATTTTTTCCCATTAATTTTTCTTTTGGATTATTTGTTTATACATGCATCTATCAGATTTTCAACTCCTTTTTATTTTTATTGATTCTTCTTCTTTTTTTTTTTTTTTTTTTGAGAAGGAGTTTCACTCTGTTGTCCAGGCTGGAGTGTGATGTTGTGATCTCCGCTCACTGCAACCTCCGCCTCCTGGGTTCAAGCAATTCTTATGCCTCAGCCTCCTGAGTAGCTAGGATTACAGATGCATGCCAGCACACTCAGCTAGTTTTTTGTTTTTTGTTTTGTTTTGTTTTGTTTGTATTTTTAGTAGAGATGGGATTTCCCCATGTTGGTCAGGCTGGTCTCGAACTCCTGACCTCATGATCCATCTGCCTTGGCCTCCCAAAGTGCTGGGATTACAGGCGTAAGCCACCATGCCTGGCCTATTGATTCCTCTATCTGTGCTCAAATATTACATCTTCTTATTTTTTGGAGAGTTCATTTCACACTAGAAATTTCCCTCCAGAGACTGTTCTCTTCATCACTGTGCTACTGAAGACAAGGAAGGATAAAACCTTGCATGTCTTGCATTTACATTAATATTCCCAGCTGTACTTCGAAAAAACAGCAGGTCATAGAACCTGTGGAGACAAAATGACCCATCTTGGATGCTAGTCCACCATGTTACTTCTGATTTGCCCCAGTTCCATGAATGCCTTCTGATCTCTCAATTATTTACTGTCCTTAGTGTAAAATCATGTCAACCTGGGTGTTACCACAAAAATTAGAGGCTATGATGCATGTAGCCTCCTTTTCCATTGTGGAGGGTTGCTTTTAATTGCCTTGCCAAAGCAAGTATACCCTTTCCCTGTGGAGTATTAACCCTGGGTCTGGAGAGTAACAGTGTGAACAGCTACCTACCTGCAGCCATCCAAGGTTATGCTTCTGTGTGTAAGTTCCATCAATAAATTAACCAGTACTGACTAAATGGATTTTCAGCCTTCTTTAATTTTCCGATCCTTTGGCATTTGAGAGTTGTTTTGTGTATACGGCCCTTTAACAGAGCAAATGGCCAGCCAGGAAACCAAAGTATGGACAAGGGGAAAGAAGCATCTGTGGAGGAAGTTTTACAAGCGGCCCTCCTCATCCACGTGGGTGGCGTTGCCCATATGCTCCACGTCTTTTGGCCACTATGTGTGTTTGAGAGCACCTCAAAAGTGACAGAGGGTGTAGAAAGCTTGTTAGTAAAATGCTACTAAAAAGTATGACTCACAGTGGTGAGAAAGGTTGCCAAGCAGTGCCAGCAGTGAGTTTGCTACTGTTATTTTCTATGCGAGTGGTCACAAAAGCACAGGTAGCAGCTGAGGCAAGTGTAGGGAAGCTAGGAAAAGAATCGCAGTGAGAAAGGGATGAGAACTTCCATGTCTGTGCTAATGTCTGGTTTTTTGGATAAACTTGAAACTCAAGAGGCACAGTTGGAAATCGTACCTTGCCACTTTGTGTGGCTGAGAGAGAGAAAGCTGTGCCAGCTGAATGTGTGGACTGTCCTTGCCAAGCCAGGCTGGGATGCAAATACCTGCAATTCTTGGGAACCAACCAGTGAGCCAGATGATGACATAGAGTTTAACTCAGAGGAGGAAGATCATTATCCTCCCCATTTGAGGTTGAAACTGTTCATGCAGTGGAAAGCAAAATTCCAATACACACAGGCATGGTTAGGATTACTGGATATAGCAAAAACTTTTAAACAGCTGCCAAGAGAAAGCCTTATGTACATGAGTGGTGCAGCTATGGGACACCAGTGGGGATGGTATCTCCCTAGAAGGGAATGAACCTGAAAAATCGAGATAGAAGTACCCCCGGAAGTGAAATAATCCCCTTATGGGATAAGTTATAGGGAAAGCCATTTCAGATTTCCTAGAAACTCAAAAGGGAAGAGATTAGGTCTGACTGGTTGCTAAAGGAAAATGGAAAAAGGGAGAAACAAAGTTTGCTGGATTGAAAAAAGGAGTTAAAAAAGGCGCAATTAGTGTTACTAGGAAACAAATGTGGTATGATCTGATTTCAGCTGGGATTGACAAAGAGAATATAGATGGGCAACCCAGTGGCATATTAGTGGGGTTTGGAAAGACCTGACTCCTGATCAGTAGTTTAGACCCCTTCTTAGTAACCCCCCTCCACCAGAAGAGGGAGAAAGACAAGAAGAAACCCTTGGTAAAAGGATCCCAATCTCTGCAATTCAGGGGTGGACTTCTTTCCAGCCTGGAGATCATAGGTAGGGTCAAGGCTGCTTCTGTGTAAGAGCAATAGGGGGTGACCAGAGGCCATATTTGGAGCTCACTGTTGATTGGAGAACCTTAGCTTTAGTGGGCACAGGTGCAGAATGTGTCTGAATTGATGGAAATCGAGAGACACGCTGGTAAGTGGGAAGCTATAGATGGTTGTGAGGGTTTAAAAATCTGAGTGAAACAAACTCCTCTCCTCCTTAGTTTTGTCTGGAGTTCCCACCTTGCTTACTCTCCTGTCTTTAACTTATCTATTTCAGAAAACATCTTGATGGATGTCTTCTTAGGATGCACTTTACAAACATCTGTGGGGGAATTTCACCCATGACAAAGGCTATATTAAGAGGGGAAGCAAAATGGGAAGGTGTACACCTCCCTCCCCCACAATGTATTGTTAATGTGAGAAAATATAATCTTCCTGGTAGAATACAAGAAGTCACAGCCACCATGGAGAAACTGGCGAAAGTTAATATTATCCAGCCAGCCCAGAGTCCTTTCAACCATCCTGTATGACAACTAAGAAAATCTGATGGCACTTGGATATGACAGTAGACAACTGGACACTACTAATCTTTCCAAGATACATGCTACTGTGTGTAATATAACTCAAGTGATTGAGGAATTAATATAAAACATAGGCACTTATCATGCTGTGTTAGATTTAGCTAATGCCTTCTTAAGCATCCCTTTTACCCTGACTTGCAGGCATTCTGTGGATGATATTCTGGCTTCTGAAGACTTGTCATTGCTACAGCAACACCGAGATGCATTGGCACTCTTCAATCCAGAGGATGGGCCATCAACGCACAAAAGTGGAAGGCTTGGACTAGCTGCAAAGTTCCTATGGATCACTTGGCCTGGTAAGACACACCTTACTTTAGGCTTGGTCATTGAAAAAATACAACAGTTTTCCATACCTAAAGCAGTTAAACAGTTTCAAAGTTTCCTAGGTCTTTTGGGATATTGGTGGTCTTTCATCTCGTATTTATCTCAGTGTTTGCCTCCCCTATACTGACTATTAAAGAAGCAATCTAAGCTGGGCACGGTAGCTCACACCTGTAATCCCAGCACTTTGGGAGACCATGGCGGGTAGATCACTTGAGGCCAGTAATTTGAGACCAGCGTGGCCAACATGGTGAAACCTCCTCTCTATTAAAAATACAAAAAATTATCCAGGCATGGTGATTCATACCTGTAATCCCAGTTACTTGTGCGGCTGAGGCATGAGAGTTGTTTGAACCTGGGAGGCAGAGGATTTAGTGAGCTGAGATCATGTCACTGCACTCCAACCTGGGTGACAAGAAAGAGAGACCCTGTCTCAAAAAAAAAAAAAAGAAAGAAAGAAAAAGGTATCTAGGATAAAGAACAAGTGGTAGTAATTTGAGAAAGCTAAAATATTGATGGCTCAGGCACAAGCTCTAGTTCCCCCCTTCCGGGATACCAGTGTCTTTAGATGTGACTGTAAACTCTGAAGGGACAAGACGGGTCCTCTGGCACGTTCAGCATGGGAAAGCAGTTCTTCTGAGATTCTGGTCACAGCTATGGAAATGTGCTGAAACCCAGTATTCTCCAATTGAACAACAGGTTCTGGGAGCGTGTAAGGCCATGCAGCACATTGAGCCTGTAACTGATCATCTGCCAGTAACAATGAGAACAGATCTCTCCATTAAGGGCTGGATAGAAGGGTTGTTTTCCAGGCCTATATCAGCTATTTCTCAAGCCTGCATTATACAGAAGTGGCATGCATACCTGCAACAATGTAGTGCCCTTTCCATGAGTCCCTTGAGAGATGCATGCTAATAGGTACAGGACACTATGAGACCAGTGCTGCCCCTGTTGTGGAGCCCCTGCAGGAGATGCCGCCAGTAATATACGAAGGCACATCTCCATTCTTGAAAATGCTTGGCACTTAGATGGGTGGAGCTGAGGTAACCCTTGTGTGTAGATGACAGTAACTGTACAGTTGCAGACAAATACTGTCTGACAGAGAGTGTTGAGGTTTCCAACTATAATAATGAATTAATCTCTTTCTGTTTGCAGTTGTATCAGTTTTGGCCTTACATAGTTTGACATTCTGTTGTTAGGCACTTAAATCCTTTAAGAATTATTATGTTGTACTGGAGAACTGACCCCTTCATCTTTGTGTAATGCCCGTCTTTATTTTTAGTGACTTTCCTTGCTTGAAGACTTCTCTGTCTGTAATTCATGCAGCGACTCTTCCTTTATTTGATAAGTAAGTGTTAGCCTAGGCTATTTTGTTTCGTCTATTTCCTTTACGTGTATACATGTCTTTAGATTTCATAGATTTTACTTAACATCATTTAGTTGGGGGTTGACTTTATTGATCTACACTGACATTCTCAGTTCTTTGATTGATGCTTTAGACTATTGACAACCAATGGAGTTGGATTAATATCAACCATATGTGTTACTGTTTTTGATTTGTTGCCCTTGTTCTTTCTTCCCGTTTTTGTACTTCACTTATTTTCTGTGTTTTGTGGTTTTAATTGAGAATTTTATGCAATTCTGTTTTCTTTCCATTCTTAGCATATCAATTATATAACTTTTTTTTGTTTTTACTATTTTAGTGGTTGCCTTATGGAGTAAAACTTCTATTTTTCATATTCTTAATTTAGTCTCACAGATAATGGTTTCCAGAAAATAATAATAGCACAGATGTATTTGATTAGGCATGGTTATATCTGCATGTTATGTGTATATAAATATACATGTATATGTGTATGTGTACTCACGTAAAAGTGAAATGAATGACAGCACTAATAGGGAGAACAAAAGAGGTAAGATTATTTTGTTATTCCAAGATATTCATACTATCTGTGAGCGATACAGTGTTTTTTGAAAAGTATCTTGGATTCATTTTAAATGTAATATTGCAAACTCTGGGTAAGGGTTTTGGGCCAAGGGCCTCAGTTCCTTGCTGGCTTTGGCCTGTTTCTGCATTCAGTTTCCTCCCATGTTGGCTTCTCCCTTATGGCAAATGTTCCATCAAAGTCACCAAGGGAGGGACTTTGCTAGCAACACAAGAATCACAATCTAATGTAACATAATCATCCTACTAATGTCCAATCACCATTGTAGTATTCTGTTGATTTTAAGCAACTCACAGTTTCTGACTACATTCTTTAGAAGGAATTAAAATACAAAGTTACTTATCAACTTTACTTATGCTTAGAAGTGGGAGTCATTGAGTGCCATCTTAGGTTCTACCTACCATATCTGATCTTCTCCAATATGAAATAGTTTTTCAGTCTTCACTTATTTTCTATTACCTTGACCCTTTTGACAAGGACTGCTAGTCAGTTCTATTGTAAAATTTCCCACAATATGAATTTGTCTGATGTCTTCTCATAATTAGACTAGGGATATGGATTAAATTCAATGTTTTCAATATTTATATTTATTTAGGTTTAAAGAGAAGAGACTAAACAATATAGTATTTATATATACAAACATACAGGAAAAATGAATATAAGAAAATTAGAGATTGACAAAGATAATCCATAATAATAGTTACCTTCAGCTGTTAACAAAGATGATGAAATTCAGGAGATACATTCAGGGGGCATCAATGATATTGTTAATGTTCTTTTTGTTTTATAAGCTCAGCAAAGGCTTAAAATAAAATAGATTTTTGAAATTTAAGAATAGTTTTAGATTTACAGAGCAGTTCAAAATATAATACATAGAGTTTCCACAGACTCCATACACCATGTTCCTGAATAACCCCCTTACATTATTGTGGGATATTAGTCACAATGAACCAACCGATATTACACTATTATTAGCTATCCACACGTTATTCAGATTGATTTAGTTGTCATTTAATGTCGAGTTTCTATTCCAGGATCCTATCCAGGGTACCTCATTACATTTACAATTCATGCTCCTTAATCAACTTTGACTGTGACAATTTCTCCAAGTTTCCATGATTGCTATGACATTGGTGTTCCTAATTTGGGATTTCTCTAGTGTTTCTTTCCCGATTAGACTGGATTGTAGGTTTCAGGGAGGAAGACCACAGAGGGAAAGTGCCATTCTCATCACATCCTGTTAACGGTACGGACTGTAACATGCTTTATGCAAATGGAGGCAGGGTGAGATCACAGGACCGCAGGACAGAGGCAAAATTAAAATTGCTAATGAAGTTTCAGGCACGCATTGTCATTGATAACATCTTATCAGGAGACAGAGTTTGAGAGCAGACAACCGGTCTGACCAAAATTTATTAGGCGGGAATTTCCTCCTCCTAATAAGCCTAGGAGCACTGTGGGAGACTGGGGCTTATTTCATCCCTACAGCTTCAACCATAAAAGACGCCCGTCCCTGAAGCGGCCATTTTAGAGGCCTACTCTCAGGGATGCATTCTCTTTCTCAGGGATGTTCCTTGCTGAGAAAAAGAATTCAGTGATATTTCTCCCATTTGCTTTTAAAAGAAGAGAAATATGGCTCTGTTCCACCCAGCTCACTGGCAGTCAGAGTTTAAGGTTATCTCTCTTCTTCCCTGAACATTGCTGTTACCCTGTTCTTTTTTCAAGGTGCTCAGATTTCATATTGTTCAAACACACATGCTCTACCAACACTTTGTGCAGTTAATGCAATCATCACAGGGTCCTGGGGTGACATACATCCTCCTCAGTTTAGGAATATGATGAGATTAAGAGATTAAAGTAAAGACAGGCATAGGAAATCACAAGGGTATTGATTGGGGAAGTGATAAGTGTCCATGAAATCTTCACAATTTATGTTCAGAGATTTCAGAAAAGACAGGTGTAAGAAATTATAAAAGTCTGAATTTGGGGAACTAATAAATATCTATGAAATCTTCACAATCCCTGTTCTTCTGCCATGGCTTCAGCTGGTCCCTCGGTTCAGGGTCCCTGACTTCCCGCAACATCTCTCCTTCTCACATAGTAGATAAACAGACACAGGGTACATGATATGTTTTGGTACAGGCATGTAATACGAAATAAGCACACATCATGGAGAATTGGACATCTATCTCTATAAGCATTTATCCTTTGTGTTACAAACAGTTCAATTATACTTTTTATGTTTTGTAAAAATATACAATTATTATTGACTTTCATAGTTATCCTGTTAATGCTGTCAAACAGTTTGTTTTATTCATTCTTTCTATTTGTTTTGTAACCATTAAACATCCCTACCTTCCCCCAGCCCCCTGCTACCATTCCCAGCCTCTGTTAACCATCCTTCTACTCTCTATGTCCATGAGTTCAACTGTTTTGATTTTTAGAACCCACAAATCAGTGACAACATGTGATATTTGTCTTTCTGTGCCTGGTTTATTTCACTGAAGATAGTCATCTCCAGTTTTATCCCTGTTGTTGCAAATGACTGGGTCTCTTTATTTTTTATGGCTTACTATTACTCCACTGTTTATATGCACCATATGTTCTTTATCCAATCATCTGTTGATGGACACTTAGATTACTTCCAAATCTTAGCTGTTGTAAACAGTGCTGCAACAAGCATAGGAGTGCAGATATCTCATTGACATACTGATTTCCTTTCTTTGGGGTATATATCCAGCAGTAGGCTGCTGGATATATTTGGTAGCTCGATTTTAGTTTTCTGAGGAACCTCCAAACTGTTCTCCATAGTGGTTGTGCTAATTTATGTTCCCACCAACAGTGTACAAGGGTTGCTTTTCTTCACATCCTCACCAGCATTTGTTATTACCTGTCTTTTGGATAAAAGCTATTTTATATGGGGTGAGATGAAATGCAAAAAATTGTAGTTTCGATTTGCATTTCTCTGATGATTAATGATTTTGAGCACCTTTTCATATGCTTGTTTGCCATTTGTATGTCTTTTGAGAAATGTTTATTCCAATATTTTGTCCTTTTTTGGTTGGATTATTTGACTTTTTTCCTATAGGGTTGTTTGAGCTGCCTATATATTCTAGTTATTAATCCATCAGATGGGTAGTTTGCAGATATTTTTTCCCATTCTGTGGATTGTCGCTTCACTTTGTTGATTATATCCTATGCTGTGCAGGAGCTTTTAACTTGATATGATCTCATTTGCCCATTTTTGCATTGGTTGCGTATGCTTGTGGGATATTGCTCAAGAAATTTTCTCCTAGACCAACATACTGGAGAGTTTCCTTAATGTTTTCTTGTAGTACTTTCATAGTTGGAGGTCTTCAATTTAAATCTTTAATCCATTTTGATTTGATTTTTTGCATACAGTGAGAGACAGAGTTCTAGTTTCATTCTTCTGCATATGGATAACCAGTTTTCCCAGCACCATTTATTTAAGAGACTGGCTTTTTCCCCAGTGTACCTTCTTGGCAACTTTGTCGAAAATGAGATAACTATAGGGTTGTGGATTTGTTCCTTGGTTTTCTATTCTGTTCCATAGGTCTATATGGGTATTTTTATTCCAATACCTTGCTGTTTCATTTACTATAGCTCTCTAGTATAATTGGAAGTCAGGTAATGTAATTCCTCTAGTTTTGTTCTTTCTGCTTAAGATAGCTATGGCTACTCTGGGTCTTTTGTTGTTCCATATCCTTAACACAATTTTGATTACTATTGCTTTTGTAGTATGTTTTGAAATCAGAAAGTAGCATTTTACTACACAAACTTTGTTCTTTTTCAAAATTATTTTGTCTGTTCTGGAATTCTATTGCATTATATATGAATTTTAGAGTAAAATTGTCAATTAGGGGAGAAAATGTCACCTAGGATTTAGCTAGGGATTGCATTAGATATATTTGGGAAGTACCAGCAAGCTAATGATACTAAGCTTTCTAATCAGTGAAAGCTCAATGTATTTAATTTATAATAGTATTAATTTGTTTGATATGTTTTGTAGTCCTCAGTATATGTGTCTTATACTTATTTTATTAAATTAATTCATAGGTATTTAACTTTTATGCCATTTTACATGAAATGGTTTTGAAATTTTGTTTTTAGATTGTTAATTGCTAATAAATAAAAATACAGTTGATTTTGTATATTGACCTGTACTAAGCTGTACTACAAGCTTGCTTATCCCTTTTTTCATATTTTGTTATGTTTTATTAGAGTTTTTATGATGTCTATAGGCAGGATCATGTCATATGGAGACATAATTTGACTTTCCTTCCAATCTGAGTTTTTTATATTTATTTTCTACACCAATTACCTTGGCCACATCCTCCAATACAGTAGTGAATAAAACTATGAAAGGTAATATCCTTCTCTTGTTTCTAATTTTACAAGAAAGTGTTTGAGCTTCTCAGAACATTTAGGATGTCATGTGAGGTTGTCTGTGCTTTCATTGTGAGGAAATTTTTCTTATTTGCCTAACTTGTTGCATGTTTTTATAAGGAATGAAATTTCAATTTAGCAGGTGCTTATTGCTCATCTTTTAAGATGACCATGTGTATTGTGTCCCTTATCTCTTAATATAGTTTATGGCACTAATTCTTTTCGTATGTTGAACCAAATTTACATTCGTAAGACGTGTACCTTCGTCAAAATTTATAAATTTTTACATGTCTGTTATTTGTTTTGATAGTATTTCCTTTAATTTTTGTGTTTATGTTCATAAGTCATATTGATCATAGTTTTTCTTCAGTAACTTTTTCTAGCTTTGGTATGAGGCTGATAATTCACATTGGAAAGTGATCTATTCTTCACTGGTGTTCTTACTGATTTTTATGTGAAAGGTCTAAATTTATTTAGCACAAATAGAATTGAACACATAAAAAGGAGAAAAAAATGTACATTTTTTCAAGATAATTTTCAGACTTTGCAAACAATTATATTGTATAAGTGAATAAAACCAAATCAGAGTAGTAAAGAGATGTGATTGGGCTACATAGATGGAGATTTACAATACACCAGAAAGGGAGAGAGAAAGGTGGGTGATAAATTACTCTTTTTAATATGATTTTCACTATTTTGCATATTTCTTTCTTTAAATACACTACCTACAAGTATAGAGAAAGATGAAAATATGGGTTGACAAACAGGTGCTCATTAATTAGAAGAAATACAAAATTTAAATTCTGGTATTTCATTAAGGCCAATTTAGTTTGTATGCTCAGGAGACCTAACATGTACACATTTGATGTGACACATTTTGTGAGCCTTTATAAATATCTATAAAAAATAGAATATCAGAGTTTTTAAAAACTTAAAAGTTGAAAAAAACAAGGATTTAAATATTATTATTAAAGTTGTTACCTATTCCCAGATGAGGACTTAGAAAAACAAACAGTTGGCAAACCAGTGCAGCAGGTGACTTCCGTGAAGCCAGAGGCACACCCTGGGAACTGGGCTGTTGCTGGAGCCGACACTGCTGTGCTGCACATGTGGCTGCCACCAGTTTCCTCCCTCTCTGGGAAGTGGAATTTGAATTGCAGGTGCTGATGGCTGATGGACGGAGGGACAAGACCACATTATCTCAAAATCCTTGGCTGGGTTGCTTGCTCCTCATTTCACTGCTAGGTGCCACAGGCTTGGGTTTACTGTTTATTTATTGTAAAATATATGATAAATTGGTATTAATTATTTGAAGATGTAAAATCATTCACTGCTGATGTCTTCTTGACCTAGTCAGGATTTTTTTTTTTTTTTTTCAGAGATAGGGTCTCACTCTAGATCCAGGCTGGAGCACAGTGGCATGAATGTAGCTCATTGCAGACTTGAATTCCTGGGATCAAGCAATCCTTTTGCCTCAGCCACTTGAGTAGCTGGGGCCACAGGCACATGCCACCATATCTGGCTAATCTGTTTTCTTCTTTTTTTTTCTTTCTTTTTTTTTTGGTAGAAACAGGTTCTCCCTATGTTGCCCAAGCTGGTCCTGAACCCCTAGCCTCAAGTAATCCTCCTGCTTCAACCTACCAAAGCATTGGGATTACAAGTTTGACCCACCATGGTCAGTCCAGGGTAGGAAATGGAATCTTAACAACTATCACACGAGCTTTGAGGGGATCCTTCTCCAGATGAGCCTTCAGTTGCGACCTCAGCCTTGGACATCATCTGCATCTGGATTCCTGACCCAGAGCAACTGTAAGTAATGTGTGTGTGATTTTGAGCCACCGCACTATGTGGCAATTTGTTGTGCAGCAACTGATAACTAATACAAAAGATAATACGTTTAGTTTATAATACTACCCTGGATTAGATTCTAGAACAGAAAAATGGCATTACTAGAAAACCTGGTAAACTCTCGAGAAAGTCTGTAGTTCAGTTAATAGTTTTATACCACCATAAATTTATTAGTTTTCATAAATACACTATGGGTATATAAATGAGATGTTAATATTCTAGTAAACTCTTGGGTATGTAAAACTAGCTGTACTATGTTTGGATCTTTATGTATATCAAAATTATTTTAAAATGAAATCTTTGTTTATTTATTTTTAATTAAAAGAGACAGGCATACATATGTTATCCCAGCTTCTGGGGAGGCTGGCTTGGGAGGATTGCTTGAGCCCAGGAGTTCCAGGCTGAAGTGAGCCATGATTGTGTCACTGCACTCCAGCTTGGGAAACAGAGTGAGATCATGACTCCAAAAAAAAAAGTTGGCCTCAGAAGATGAATGGACATACAGAAAAAAATAGCCAAGCAAATTTCCGCATACATTTACCCTTCCATACATACATCCATCTACTTTAGGAAGCCAGCATCAAACTCAAGGAACTCTTGTCCATATTTGACCTCCCCATCACACTCTTTATTACCAAGTAACTCGTTTGAGTGTCAGTAACCTCTCTGTTTTCAGAGGTATTTGCCTATGCCTCACATACCCCAGAAAGGCCCATTTTCAGATATCATTTAGGAACATATCTACAGGATCCCACTGAACGTATTTTGGCAGACAAAGTTTCTGGATGCCAAAGACCAAGATTGAGGAATGTTAGTGACAAGAAATAGAAATTATATTTTCATATTATAATGTTTTTATTAATATAGGCTTAGTTTTCTAAAGATAATTCTGCCTTCAAGCCTGGTTGGAATTCTGTGATAATTTCTTTTCACTCCACGTTCTCCATCAGGAATTTTATGGAACCTTGTATTCTGTTGAATACCAGAATTATATCAGCAATCCCCAAGTCACCAAATGGGCATCATCATGACAGCAGGTGGGTGGAATACAAAAGAAAAAAATATATATATATGTATGTATGTGTGTCTATATATATATGTATGTGTATATATATGTGTGTGTTTGTGTGTATATATATGTACATATGTGTATATATGTACATATGTGTATATATATGTATATATATGTATATATATGTGTGTGTATATGTGTGTGTGTGTGTGTGTGTGTGTATATATATATGTATATATATATATGGTGGTTGGTGGTTTTGGCAGTTTCTACTTATCTGGACCTGGACAAAAAAATCTTTTCACACCAGATTTTTGGCAGCTGAGATTCCAAATAGGTTTTGCACAGGCATGGAAAACTTGATAGAGGCTAAACAACAGTCCAGGTGTGGTGGCTCATGCCTGTAATGCCAGCATATTGGGAGGTCAAAGTGGGTGGATTGCTTGAGTCCAGGAGTTCAAGACCAGCCTGGGCAACATGGAGAAACTGTGTCTCTACAAAAAAAAAAATAGAAAAATTAGCTGAGTATAATGGCACACACCGGTGGTCCCAGGTACTCAGGAGGCTGAGGCAGGTGGACGGATTGAGCCCAAGAGGTCAAGGCTGCAGTGAGCCATGATTGTGTGACTGCACTGCAGCCTGAGCAATAAAGTCAGACCCAAGAAAGAAAGAGAGAGAGAAAGAGAGAAATAAAGTGAGAAAGAGACAGAGGAAAGAGGGAAAGAAGGAAAGAGGGAAGGAAGAAAAGGAAGGAAGAAAATACCACATAACCCCAACCCTCCACCAGTGATCTAAGAGATAGACACAAGCTGAGTGGTGATTCTGCATATGTGCTGGCTAAACAGAGAATCCCACAGCAGGAAGGACTCTCCATTCACCCCACACACAACTTCCTGTTCAACACGCTGCTGGACAGCACCAGGGTTCTTTCCAGGGACCATGCCTAAAAACCCACAAAGACATCAGACTTCATTCTCCACACCCGTGGCCATGTATAATGTTGATTTGTTTTTTGGTCTATAAACATGGGGTCTATTGTCTACACCACAGTAATAGTGACAGTGAGAAAATGAGCTCCTGTGACCTAGAAACTTGGAAGAGACATTCAGTTTCATGGATGTTATTTCTCATTCTTAGATGAGGATAACTGTTACTTAGGTGGTGTTAATTGAGCATTTGTAATTCAAGAAAACTAACTTCTTTAAGCTCATACTTTATTACTTGAGACATGACAGCTTTCATTTAAGGTTCCCATTTTAAAACATGGTGAGTGTTTCCATTTATTTCATTTGAACTGGAGATACTATCATACTTTCGTGACTTGTCAAATCCCTTTTTATCTTGATTTCAATGCATGTTTTCTAATCTATCATGATGAAGAGTGTGAAGATTGTGCTTCACTAAACCAGGAAGCAATTTAAAAAAAAGCTAGAATGGCAATCCATAAGTTAGACATAAGTAAATGCATACAAGGTGTAACCCACCTTAATGTGGCATATCAGGGAGATGGAGACTGGAGAGATGAGGTTTAAAAGAAAACAGGCACTAAATTCAAAGCTGTGCTAAATGATGTCACAGGCACAGATGACATCGTGTGGTGCTCCAAGTTCCCAAACAACCTCTCTGACAGCACAAAAATTATGATTTCCCATAATATACTAAGCTACCAGGTTTCAGAGTGGCTGTCCTGGACACTGCAATTTTCAAAAACTATCATTGCAAACAAGCCAAATTCCTAGACCCTTTCATGAGGCAAGTACCTAACACTCTTTCTCCATCCACACTTTAGACTGATTGGAAGTTAGAGTTTAATGGATGGGTGGCTCATATAATTGAGAACATGATTTCACGTTCACTTTATTCAGTCTTCCTGAAGCCTTAAATCTCGGTCAGGGAAACATTCATGTAACCATTACAATTCCGCTTCCTCCTCAACAGATTTCTACGACCATCATTTTTTAAATTATTTCTACATACGTAAAATAGGGATTTCATTACTCCACTAAAAGCTCTCCATTTTTCATAGTTAGCATTCCATGGAGGGCAGGTCTTTGAAAACCTACCACCAAAATATGAGGAAGCTGAACAGCTGAAGATAGAGGCTGATATAACCAGTCTCTTAGAAAGAAACATTTAGTAGGGATTTATGAACAGATATTTGAGTCTCACATAGGACTTATATACCATGGGGAAGGAATGTGTAGGAAAACTGAAGTCTACCTGTCAGGGAAAGGCAGAAATGCCATGGGAATCTAAGCACAGGATTTATAGTCATGGTGGTTCTGACCTAAGGGCAGGATTTACAGAAAAATAATGATTTTCACAAGGAACAGTAGACACAATAGAAATCTTATCCCCTAGTTTGCATATAAAGGAAAAAAATATTTATACAGAAAGCTTAGAGGCAGTCCCAGAACAGGGGTTAATCAGAAGTCAACATGGTGAATTAGCTTTCAAGATTGAGTTGTTTTTGCCTCCACTGCTAGGTAGAGGGTAAATGGAGTTGGTCAGCTTATGTGAAAGTATAAGTCTATTTCTTCAATAATATACCACAATACAGAAAATGATGTACCCTTGTTTCCAAGTAGTCATTGGCAGTCAGAGAGAAAAGTGCCATATTCCATTCCTCCTATGATACACATGTAACTGAGTGCAGGTCCAGCTGTTCTATGCATTCAAAAGCAATGACAAGGAGGACTTTCAGGGTGAAAGGAAAGTGACTTTATTTTTCAAATCCAGCAGTAGGGAAATGGCTGGATTACACCTCTATAAACCAGTTCAAAAGTTTGGGCTGAGGGCAGGGGTTTAAAGAAAGGGAAGCATGATGCATGACGTGGGAGGCATGCAGGTGTTGTGCAGATTCAGGGAGTCTGTGTCTTACTCCAGTGTGTATCTTGAGTTATGGTCCACCTGGAGCCACAGACTGATACCATCTTGATAGTGCCAGGCCATAGGTATCCATCCTGAGGCAATCTTTAAGAGAGAGACAATTCCACAGCTGGGCCTTTGTGTTTGGTTCATTTTAAATTAGCCTCTGGTATTTTTTTGACAGGTATATAGTTAGATAAGTATGCATGGTGTGAGTTTCGCCAGCATACAGTTAGATAAATGTGTATAAGGAATGGATGTGTACAGTGGGAAACTGAATGGGGTGTGGTTCCAAAGTATATTTCAGCGTTCTACTTGAAGACTAAAGCAATGGCTTCTGCAGTTTGCTTCAAGGTTACATCTTGAGACTGGGAGGAAGAAAAAAAAAAGAGCAAGAAGAAACTTATTTTGAAGCTATATTACTCAATTACAATCCTTCACCATAAATGACCATTCCATTTCCAAGGAAAATGGGCAACACAGTCCATCTAACTTCTTCCTGCTGAGAAGGGGCACAGTTAGAGGGTATCATATTGGAATCTGTTTACCTGGAGTTGGAAATATTCATGGGTTCCCAGACTAATGTGAGAATGTGTTGGAGCATTATAGTGTGGGGACCCAAATGTTTCTGGGAAAGTTTTTCCTGCATCTCCATACAGATCTTGAAAAGCAACAAAAACTACTGCAACCAAACAGAACAGGGAGCAGAATACCAATTATACTGTATATGAGAGTCTTCCATGGACCTGGAAGTCGACTAAACCATGACATTGTAGGATCCTGGGAGAGGACATTTATAGCAGAAATATGAGTATTCAGTGCGTGCATAGCCTGGATTATATCGTGAGAATAATCTGGTGTATATACGCACCATTCAGTCTTAATGCACAAGTATCACACTGGGCTGCAGTTAGGATATCTAAGGCCATAGGGTTCTATACAGCCACTTGTCTAATCTGCAGGTTTTTTCAGTGGGAAGGGTAACGTTGGGTTAGGTGTTATTACTGGCAGCAGCTCTATACTTAGGGTCTCTACTTATAATTCTACATCTATGTTTGCTGTCTGCGAGGAAAAGGCAGCTAGTGAGTAGAACCAACAGGGTGCCCATTTTTGATGGTGTTGTCTGGCCTTCACATTTTCCCAGTCGTCAGGGAGAGAGTCCAGATGGGACAGGATGTGTCCTGGTAGGTAAGGGCACCCCCAGGTGTATCTGCCGGTTCAGCTGTAAGGTAAGTAAGACCAGCTATGACTGCCTCACACCCATAGCTAACTCCAGGAGAAAGGATAGGCCCCACCATGTAGCTTGATACTATTTTGCCATCCTAGCCACATATGATTAGTCAGTTGATGGGTTTGGCCACATTGCTAAGAGGTAACCATCCCTTAGCCTGGCTGCTAGTGTGGGGTGTGTTGCTCTTGTGTTTTTGGATGTGTAGAGGTGCCTGACCCATTGCCTGAATTTGCACCATCACCAGCCATCCTATGTTGTCATGTACAGCATAGTCTATAGAGGGGGTGATATTAACCTGCTTATGAGCCAGATGGAAGATTTGTTTCCAGGTTTCCCCAAAAGTGGAGCACTCATGGTGAGTGGTACTGTAATCATAGATGGGAAATGGGTGAGAATTCTTACTCTTGTCCCACGTATAAACATAACTCCAAGTGCTCGAGTTGGTTGCTTGGATGTGCAACGGCAAGTCAGCAGTGGAGAAAGGGGTATTTCCCCCACAGACCCAGCAGTCTTTTGTTTTGGAGGAAAGCCACTGTTTACACCCATTCAGGTAGTTTCAGCAAAGATCAAGTATGTACTTATTACTCTAGAACTAATTGAGAACTTCATGTTAACAAAAGTATATTGCTTATATCTCCTCCTTTTTCTCTTATTAATAGTTTCAGAACTTTCCTTTGCACACATAACCAGGTACGCATCTGAGTGAAGCCCACCTTTCAGTCTTTGAAGGGACTCAGCCCTTTGTACTATATCCCCTTTTTAGGACGGCTACATTCCATCTTGGGATTGTTTCAAGTGCACGAGATGCATCCTTGTGTAATTTTCCAAATGATATCTTGGAAGTGTGGGCTACTGAGATGTGGTTGCACTAGGTTGGCGAGGACATCACTCCCATTTTGTGTTCCTTTATGTAGATGTTTTGAGATCAGATAAACCAAGGCCTTGGGGAATATCATCATCCTGTAAGTGTCAGTTTTCCAGGGGGAGTTGGACTCTCTTTTCTCAAACCCCTGGCTCGGGCACGTTTGGGATCTTATTCAGTGTAATGAGGTTTAAAATCTAGTAATTCCAAATGGAGTATTCATGTCCCAGAACCTGTGCCTCCCAAGCAGCTCATTTTGCAGCTTTGCCAGCTGCCTGGTTACCTCTGGTTATGAATTATCTCTCTGGTGTTGGGGCAGTGCATGATGGAGGCCTGGGCAGGCAAGGCAATTGCCTCTCCTAGGGCCAGAATTTCTTTTGGGTGTTTAATGTCTGTATTTTCTGATTTGAAGCGGCCTCCTCTATGTTTCCAAAACACCCAATGGGTGTGCATTACCAGGAATGCATGTATGGAATGAGAATCCCTTTTCCTGGGACAGTTCTAAAGACTCAAGTAAGAGCAATTAACTCAGCTCTTTGTGCGGAGGTAGCTGCAGGAAGGATATGGACTTCTGTTATCCTTTTGATAGTCATGGTGGCACATCCGGCTCTGTGCACATCTTTCATTAAGCTGCTCCCATCAGTGTAGTTCAAGTCCAGAGCACTCATTGTCTAGTTTGACAGGTTCAGCATGCTTGAATAAGCTGCATCAAGGATTTACAGTCATGCTTTAACCCAGGATTGTGTTCAGTGGCTGAGAGCAGTGTGGCAGGGTTTAGAGCCATGGTGGTTTGTAGGGTGATATTTGGATCACGTAAGAGGATGGCGTGGTATCTGCCCACTCACCCCACAGTGAGCCAGTAGCCTCCCGTTTGTTCTAGCAGAGTCAGCACCTGATGGGGCACAAATACGGTAACTGGCTGTCCCAGAGTAAATTGTTCTGCTTCCTGTAGGACTTCACAGTGTGTGCTCTTGCCCAGAGGAAGTGGGGGGCATCCCTTAACCTGTGGCCTAATTGTTTAGAGAAATGGGCCATGGAATGTGGGACAACTCCCAGCATTTGGATTAGCACAACCCACACCTATGGTTTGTTTCTCTTGGATATAGAATTTGAACAGCTTTTGGGAATTTGGTATCCCAGTGTGGGGGCTGATATCAGCTTTTCTTTGATGGTATAAAATGTTTGTTGACCTTTAGATGTCCAGAAAAGGGCCTCTGAGTCTAGTCCGTGTAGGGACTCATAAAGGGTTTTAGTCATTAGTCCAAACTTAGGAATCCGAATCTGGCAGAAGCTAACCCTTTCTAAGAATCCCCACGATTGCCCCCATTCTCTGGGGCTTTATGGCTGCTATTGCCTGTTTTTTTACCAGAACAGGCTCCCT
Organism: Homo sapiens; assembly: GCF_000001405.40. Lineage (NCBI taxonomy): Eukaryota > Metazoa > Chordata > Mammalia > Primates > Hominidae > Homo > Homo sapiens. The sequence continues at coordinate 5,189,206 of NW_021160017.1, forward strand.
TGGCCTTGCTTTAACCTAAAGCCAAGTCAGGTTACTTTCTACTTACATATTTGGGGCTTCTTGGGAATACTTTGTATCCATATTGTACCAGGTGATTTAGAACTAAGATGAGGTCAGCTAAGCATTTCCTATAGTTGTGGCTGGTATTAATTATCTATGTGTTGTAGCCAGGCTTCTTAATCTTGTTGTAGGTCTCCTAAGTCTTTTGCCACTATTTCCCCAAAAATTGTTGGTGTGTTTTTTTAACACATTGAGGTCCCACTGTCTGACAGTATTGAAAAGTTGTTTTACTCTCTGGGTCCTGTCATTAAAATAATAATAATAATTGCTGGGTATTTTTTTCAATTGTAATGCAGGAAAAAAATCTTTCAGATCTAGCACTGAAAAGCATTCATAACATCTATATATAGCAGTCAGTAGATTGTATGGGTTAGGCACCATTGGGTGAATATCCAAAACTATTTTATTAACGGCTCTCAGGTCTTGGGCAAATTGATATTTGTAGAAGTGTAGCTTCCTTACAGGCACGATAGGGCTATTATATGGGGATCTGCAAGAATGAATCAGTCTACTTCTCAAATTTTTGAAAGACAGGCTGTATTCCTTCTAAGGCTTCCTTTATTAATGTATACTGATTTTTTTATTCGCCTCCTCCCCGCCGCCCAGGTCACAGTAGCCCCTTCTATTTTTTCTATATGCACTCACGGTATTTTTTGTTTTTCCTTGGATTCCTTCTGCCTATTCACAATTACGCACTCTCTCATAGACTTCTGAGGGAGAATTCTTCTTTCTTATTAAGGCAAGTGAATAACATCTTAGTTGCAGTGCTTTCTGTAGCAGGACCTGCAGCCGTAGTTGTTTCTCTGGGAGAAATTACTTGAGTATTTAATTTGCATAATAGGTCTTTTCCCAGCAAGGGAATTGGGCATTCTTACATATAGAAATAGCAGTGCCTTAGGTCCAAACTTTCTAGTTTGCATTCTAAACTTTGTAGGAAAGCCTTTTGTTGCATTATTCTTGCAACTCCTATCACAGGTATGATCATTTTGGTGCTTTTTGCTCATAAAGTGTTAAAACTGAATAGTTTGCCCAGTATCAACCAGGAAATCAATTAACTTTTTCCTCACTGTCAGTTGTACCCAGGGTTCCTGTGGGGAAATTTTAATTGTCTCTGAGTGATTAAGGACTCTCCTTGGTCCTTACTCTCTGTGGCATCACTCTCTGTGGTCAGAGCAGTGACCCTGCTCCATGATTTGACTGTGAGCTTTTTCCTAGTCATATTCCTCCTTTTTCTGGCCCCTTGGTCCTTTCTTTTGGGACAGTCATCCTTTCAGTGGCCTTTCTCCTTACACTAGGCACACTGGCTGTGTTCCAGAGGCTTGCCTCGATTTTTCTGATGCAGAGGCTTCCTTGTTCATCCCACGTTTATGGTTGAAACTTCTGTTTCTTTGTCTCTGGAGCGGGGAAGGGGTCATTCCTAGTGAGGCTTCCTGTTTTGGTACCCCTTTCCTGAGTCCAAACAGGAAGAATGTTTGTGAATATTCCAGATGGGCCATGTGCCCTTATCAATTGGAGCCCCAATTAGGGTTTGCATCCAGAATGCTCCCTTCAGGTTTGGGGCATTTGGATTTGTTTCATGGAGGCGCCAAGACTCTGGATCTTCTTTGGTCTGCAGCCAGAAACATATTTAGGAGAGACTACACATCTGCTCAGGTACACTGGTGGGTAGCACTGATAGACACATAGAGATCAGTCATTTTCTGGGGATCCATTCTATAAAGTGGGGTGGAGTTTTTCCATTTCACAAGTTAGATGTTGAAAATGGCCTGGATGTCCAGTAATGTCTGACAGGTTGCCCACTGGCATCCAAGCCACCCGTGGCCGTCCTTGTAAATGGTAATTCCCTTGTTCCGGCCATGGCACTTCCTTGCTAAATCGTGTTCCCTGTCAAGCACTGGAGGGAGAGGCCGTCTCTGTTCTCTCATTATACTGAGGCGGCAGAGTAGCTCCCTCTTATTGGTCTGATGCCTCACTTGGTAACATCAAGGCAATCTGGGCCAACGCAGAGGCCAGTGCTAAGGGTCCCGTATGGCAGTACCGCAGTGGGAGCTGTTGGGGTGGAGCAGAGGCCAGGTGCATTCTGGCTGTGGTGGTTGGAGCTGCTAAAACAGCTTGGGTGTAGGACATTTAAAAGTCCTAATTCTTCTTCATTGCTTTCTGCCTGAGTTTGGCTCTCTGGCTTGTGAAGAGCCTTTTTTCCATTCTGTCCTTTGGTACAGCTAGCAGCTGGCATCTTCCCTCATGGTATGAATCTTGATTTTTGAAAAGCATGAAGGCTTGAACATACGGTATTTTTTCTAATTTTCCAGACCTCTGACAAAATGAGTCTAACTGCATTAAAGACTAGTATTGGTTGCGTCCATTCAGAGGTCAAAATTTATAACCTAACTTGTCCACAGTCCAAACAGCACTGCAATAATAGACCATTTTTCTGTTAGTCATGCGCTGATAGCTATAGGCTCTACAGTTAGCTAGGGTATGCCCCAGGGGCCTCCCAGGGGGGATAGAGACCTTGTTTCCCCTCCTGACTTGGTTTCTATGTCCATACTGCTCATCCCTGTTGAAACAGTGATGACAACTTTTATTTGTTGTCTCTCTTCTGTTCTGCACTGCTTATATCCTTCAACCAGAGCTCTATGGGTTGGAAAGACTTTTCTAGCTTCTTATAAGCAGTGCAATTAGTACCACTCATGGTCCTAAAAGGAACACTTGTGCAAATCTCACCACACAGCTGGGACAGCCAAAGAGACCAGAGGATAAACTCATTGGGCAGGCTAGTGATTAGCACCAGCTAGCACAGCACTCCCCCACCACCGCCCCGTCCCCCACTGGCCCAGCCCACCAGCACATCAACTTCATCCCAAGTCCATGTTCTGCTGTCCTTAGTACCCTAGTAGAGGGTAACTGAATGGCAACAAATTAAATGGTAAATTAGGCAGACAAAAAGGGCAGAGGCTTTGGAGTCAGGACTGCCTAAATACTTATCCCATATGCTGTTAAGCTTTTTTTCACATAAAAAACATTAAGCACCATAAGCATGGTGGCAAGCCCTTTAGATAACCTATGGAATAGTTCACATCCTTCCTTTCCCCATAAAAACTGGCACAGTTGTGAGAAGTACTCCAGGGCCCTAAAAAGAGTGACCCTGCTAGGGCAGTGGAGGCTGTTTCCCTCCAGGGCTGGATCCTGGATGGAGTGGGGCTTATGCAGATCACCCTGCAGAGGAAAGAAGGAGGAGGAGAGAGAGACAGAGATGAGGGCCTAAATGTAGATATTGTACACTTTTACAGTTGCAGATTCAGACTGCACAGTCCCAGACAGATCCCCACTAAAGGGCTGGGTAAACGTCCTGAAACCTCCTCTCAATTGCAGATGCCCTCCCGCCAATCAGCTGACTCCAAGTGGAGCAAAGCCCAGGTCTTGACGTAGATACAGATACGAGACACACCCAGATGATGTCACAAGCAGCTATATGTAAACAGAGCAGAGCTCAGGTGACATCACAGAACAGGCAGAGGCCGTTCAGGGGGTATTCTGGTTGCCTTACCCAGCTCTGAAGTCTGTCAGCCTCTTCAGATGTCACTTGCCCTGTGGTAAGGAAGTGTAGTTGGCAGCTGGTGCAGTGGCAAGAAGAGAAAGGAAGTTCCCCAAGACAGAAACATCTCGGCAGGTAAAGAGAAATTCCCTAGAGCCCCAATCATGGGATCAGCTAGTTGGAAGCAGGTGGCATTCCTGGGTAGTTTCTTTCCCTTCCAGTGAGCAGAGCGGTTAAGCCTTGGTGTGCTTGTGTGTCTGATTGCCCCATTCATCGGAAACCAGACCGATGGTTTCAGGAACTCTGAGTGTGTTGTTCCCCTCTATGTGTCCATGTGTTCTCATCATTTAGCTCCCACTTATAAGAGAACATGGAGGCATTTGGTTTTCTATTCCTGTGTTAGCTTGCGAAGAAAAATGGACTGCAGCTCCATTCATGTCCCTGCAAAGACATCACCTGGTTCTTCTTTACAGCTGTGTTGTATTCCATGGTGTATATGTGCCACATTTTCTTTATACAGTCTATCGTTGATGGACAATTTAGATTGATTCCATGTTTTTGCTATTGTGAATAGTGCTGCAGTGAATATATGTGTTCATGTGTCTTTATAACAGAATGACTTATATTCCTTTGGATGTATACTTAGAAATGGGATTGTTGGGTCAAATGGAAGTTCTGTCTTTAGGTCTTTTAGGAATCACCACACTGTCTTCCACAATGGTTAACCTAATTTACACTGCCACCAACAGTGTATGTGTTCCTTTTTCTCCACAATCTTGCTAGCCTCTGTTGTTTGTTTGATTATTTGTTATTTGTTATTTTTTGACTTTTTAATATAGCCATTCCGACAGGTGTTAGATGGTATTTCATTTTGGTTTTGATTTGCGTTACTCTAATAATGAGTGATGTTGAGAAGATTCAAATAAATGCAATCAGAAACAACAAGGGTGATATTACCACCGACCCCACAGAAATATAAACAACCATCAGAGAATATTATGAACACATCCATGGACATAAACTAGAAAATCTAGAAAGAATGAAGAATTCCTGCACAAATACACCCTCCCAAGACTGAACCAGGGAGGAACTGAATCCCTGAACAGACCAAGGATGGCTCTGAAATTGAGGCAGTAATAATTAGTCTCAGTGACAAATTTTTAAAATGCCACTTAGAAAATGTACACATAATTTTGCTGTATTCAGCAAATATATTTGTAACAATCACTTTTAGGAAGGGTGTTAAAATATTTTATTTTTTCTCATTTAGCTTAATATTTTAAAAATATTTTCCTGGTAGCAACTATTTATATCTCCATTTTCATTGATATAGTCAATAATTTACCCACCTTTCTATTAAATAATAGTGGATCAACTGATGTGTATTATTTTATACTGAACTTTGGCACTCTTGACATAATTCATATACGAATAGTCATCCAAATGTCTTGGCCAGTGAAGATGAGATTCGTCTGCCAAGGTTGAACAGGAATATTCTCACCTGAAAGCGGCAAGCAATACAAAAGTAAGAAAATGGTTGATGAAATTCAGGAGTCCCACAAGCAGATGAGAATTTATTTAGGGCCTGAGAAGGTGCAGGGACCCCTCATAGGGGCCTGTGTACCACCCGAAGCATGGAAATAAAGGAAAATCTTGAGTCCCTTCACAGAAATTCCAGGCACCTCTCTACCTCTGAGAAGTACACGAGCCACTTGAGAAGCAAGAAGGTAAAACAGTAGCAAGGAATTGAGAGTCATGGGAATATGGGGTTCCCTATGGAAACTAAAAATCAAAGCTTAGCATATGTCCCTGAGTTGTTGTTCAGAAAGCTGCCCCTCTACTAAATGGATCCACTGGCACATAGACCTCAGATAAAGGGGATCTATGAAATGAACTCTGCCATTCTTTATTCTCAATTTCTTCCTGAGGGGCCTACGGGATGTTATGTCTATGAGCCAGAAGTGCCATTATTTTCTGCTGATCCCAAATTTTCTGACAAATTTTACTTTCTTAAATAAATCACAAATCAGAAAATCTTTGAATCCTCCTATGACCTGTAAGCTTCCACTTCAAGATACTTCATCCTTTCAGGCTAAAGCCAATGTGTAACCTCAATGTATTAATTTATGACTGTGTATCACCCCTGCCTCTGTGTCTTTAAAATCCCTGAGCTGTAAGCTGTCTGGTAGTTTTAGTCTTTATTTTATTTTATTATTTTATTTTATTTTTGGGATGGAGTTTTGCTCTTGTAGCCCAGGCTGGAGTGCAGTGACTCCATCTCAGCTCACTGCAACCTCTGCCTCCCGAGTTCAAGCGATTCTCCTGCCTCAGCCTCCTGAGTAGCCAGGATTACAGGCAGGTGCCACCATGCCCAGCTAATTTTTGTATTTTTAGTAGAGATGGGATTTCCCCATGTTGGCCAGGTTCGTCTCGAACTCCTGACCTCAAGTGATCCTCCCCGCTCAGCCTCCTCAGTAGCTGGAACTACAAGTGCGAGCCACCATGCCCGGCTAATTTTTAATTTTTTTTAGTGGAGAGGAGGTCTCTCATTGTTGCCCAGGCTTATCTAGAACTCCTGGCCTGAAGCAATCCACCCTCCTTAGTCTCCCAAAGCGTAGGAATTGCAAGCGTGATCCATTGTGCCTGGCCCAGGGCCTGTGCTTTTAACCACTGAGCTGCTCTATAATGAGGTGAAAGAAGTTCAGACGTGCATGCCTTGCACCTACAGCAATCCTTTCAGCTGTACCTTGAATGAGGCTGTGGATATACAACTTTAGAATGTTGCTATTGACTCTGAAATCTCTATGTCCTTGTGAATCTTAGGAGTCTCCCAACACCACTACCCACTTTATGTATTTAGTATCTTAGACAACAGCCAATGTTGTTGAAAACCTGGAGAGGCAGCCCTGGCTGCCTCCTGCCCTGCTGTAGATGATCCTGTGAACAGGGTCCCCCTCCAGACCATGCCCAACAAAGGCAGGTTCACAGGGGAGCCTCTGAGCTCAGAGCCTCTCTGGGGGCTCTGCATGCACAAGGACAGCAGCTCCCTGCCTTGGTTGTGGGGTGAGGTAGGGAATTCAGGTCTTTTAAAAAAGGCTGAGTTTGTTCAAAAATGATTCTGCTTGCTGAACAATGACACCTTAAGACTTTAGATTTTACATCGTGATATTTCTCCTTGATTTTGATTTAATTTGTTGTGCAAATGTCTTAAATGCTTGTGTATAAATATTCTCTTTTGTTGGTCATATAAACATCATCTAAAACCAAATATTTATTTTTGTATCATAGATTTAAGGCCTTTATTTCTCTATTTTAAAAATGCATTCATAAATATTTTTCAATGAACCATATCAATTATTTTCATCTTTACTCCTATTTCTCTTTCAAAAATTGAATGTTAATATCACTTTTATGGGAAGCGACAGACGTTACACATTTCTGTTTTATGATTTTCCAGAAATTTCCTCCTAAATAGCTCTGGTTAAAAAGAAGGACAGAAACTATTCTATAAGCCACAAAGCAAAATTGTCCCACATTAAAAAGATCTTCTTATGCTTAAAAAGATCTGTCAAACTTTCTATTCTATGGCTTAGTTTGCTGTACATGTGAAAGGTTAACAAGGTATTGATTTGTGTGGCAGGAAAGTTAGACTTCACATCTGAATGCAAGGAGCAACCTCTTCTTAACCATGCAGGTGTGAACTTCATGATGTTGTTTCATTTTCTCCTTGTACAAAAGATGTAGACATTGACTGGACTCCATAATTCCTTCCACCTCACCGCCATGTACGTGTACATGACAGTACGGATCACCCATTCTATTAGATATGGATTATTTTCTTATTTTTGATGAGTGATGATTAAACTCGTTTTTAGTTCTCAGTGATATAAAAAATACCAGTTAGAAAATGTGTACATCATGTGCTGTGATCAGAAAATATTTTTGTGTTATTAGCTTACAAAAAGGAATTTCAATCTTTTATTTATTATCATTTTCATCCGGTTTAATAGTCTCAAAAGGTTTTCATACTTGTGAATTTTTTAGATTTTACTTTTGTTGTCTTAGTCAAAACTTAGACAAAGATTGGAGACATTTGTTCAAGACGTGTGAGACATGAGCAATCAACACAGCAAAACACTGGTATTTTATGGGAATGTGTAATAATAGATGGGCACTTGCCCTGCTAGGTGTGGCAGCCGTCAGGGTCTGTGGGCTTCGGTGCTGTACACAGAATCAACAGATCCTGCTTTAAGGAAAAAGTGCCCCTCATCTGTCGTACGACAGCCTGGCACCATTTTGTTACGAAACCCAGGTTTGGCCATGGCCACTTGCAGAATCAAGTAACAGAAGGGTAGTAAAAAGAAAGTCACTGGCCGGGCGCGCTGGCTCACACCTGTAATCCCAGCACTTTGGGAGGCCGAGGCGGGATGATCACCTGAGGTCAGGAGTTCAAGACCAGCCTGGCCAACATGGCGAAACCCTGTCTGTACTAAAAATACAAAAATTAGCCGAGCACCGTGGCGTGTGCCTGTAATCCCAACTACTGGGGCACAGAGCGAGACTCCGTCTCCAAAAAAAAAAAGAGAAAGTCACTTTATTCCCGAGCTTAGCAATGTGGGAGGGCTGGATTCGTATCTAAAGGAACCATATAAGTTTTCTACGAAGAAAACAGGGTTTTAAGAAGAAATATTGGAAGCAGGCCATGCAGAAGGGGTGTGGAGGTGCAGGATCTGCATGACTCGATGGATGACTTATCTCTAGTCTTGGGTCATTCGTTAGCCTGCCCAGCATCACTGGGGACAGAGTCAGGTTGTGGATTAACTGATGTCTTGAGACAATCTCTCTATGGAGGAGAATTCTGGTGGATTCTTACTTTGGTTCAAGATTTGGTAATTTATAAACAAACGTATACTTAGCTAAGCTGACAGTGCTTGCTGGTTGTTTGGCTGGTGGAAAGGAAGGAGGGAAAAGTTTGAATTTTCATTTCTAAGGAGCTAAGTAAGACATGAACACACAGGAAAAAGAAAAAGTAAATGTTTTTTAAGGAAAATGAAGTACTTGGTTACAACACCCCACTGTCAAATTCTACTTTATTTTTATTCAATTGGAGCATCATATTCATTTAGTCTGCTTTCTACTGAAAGGGGGCATAGTTATAGAGCATTAGAATGGAATCTGTTTACCTGGAGTTGGAAATATTCTTGAGTTTTCAGCAGGAACTTACTGTGCATGTATGATGTGAGGATCCACGAATTTCTGAAAATGATTTCCTGCATCTCCATGCAGAGTGTACAACAGCAATAAAATTCATAGCAGCTGAAGAGGGCATTTAACAGTTTTAATAATATATATAAAAGTATTTCATGCACGAGGAAGCTGACTAAATCATGATGCCATAGAGTCCTGAGAGAGGGCATCTATAGCAGAAATATGGGTATCTACATGCATAGCTTGGGTTATATTGTGAGAATAATTTGGTGTATGTGTGTGCGTGTGTGTGTGTATGTGTGTAAAATGGTCAGCCTTAATGAATGCACAAGTGCCACCCTGGGCTGCAGTGAAGATATCTAAAGCCATATGATTTAAAGACATCATGAGATTAGACATAGCATTAGTTTGCTTGTGCATGTCTTTTAGGGCTGAGAATATGTTTCTGGAGTTATCCAGGATGTACACAGAGCATTTAGTCTTTCAATTGAGTCCCTTGTCATTTTGAAATACCACCATATTTAAGATTTGAGCTTGTTATGTGGCTGATTCATTGGTTGCATTGTTGTTGAGCATTTTGTCTTGTTTGATCACCACTAGATACTCCAGGCTAATTGTATTTAGTCCCTGTTCAAGTCTATATTTGACCTTTTTCTCACAGACCCCTACCTTTTTTGTTGGAGAATGAAATAAAAAATGAAGATTTGGGCACTCACTGGTTTGTACCCATTGTTACTGGGGAATGTGTTGATTGGAGGCCTTGTTATCTAACAGAGCAAAGAGTAAATACACACATATGTTTACAAATTTCTACAAGTCTCCATATGTATCCACATTAAATTAAACATGAATTCCTGCAGCGTCCTCAGTCCCACACGATCTTATTTAGCACCATGTGAATCTGTCTACCCATCTCACTTATCTGTATGTAGCCTACCAGTGTAATATTTAACCACCTGAAAATGCAGGCATAGTGGTTTTGGAATAAGAAACATACAACCCCATGATAAACACCGTTACCACCTGTTTATGTATACCAACTGCTTATGTATAAATCCTTTAGCCTTTAGACAGAATCTGAATAACTTATGTCAGTTGCTTAGGTCAGCTTCTTTTTACCCTTCCTCCAGTGGATTATTTCATAGATTTGTATATTTTCTCTGCATTTCTTCCTGGTCTGTTCCTATCTACTAAATAAGTTTTTTTGTTAATTTACATACTTTTAGGTTCACTCTTTGTGATATAAAGTTTTGTGGGAGTTGAAAAACTGTATCTTTTATCCACATTACAGTAGCATACATAATGCTATACAAAAAGAAATTTTCTGTCTTTACAGATTTGTCTTTCCTTTTGGCTGACACCCTGGTAACCAGTAAACTCTATACTGTCTCCATCCTTATGCCCTTTCTAGAGTGTCATACATTTTTTAAAACAAAAAGTATTTTGCTTTTACAAAATTGCTTTTTGGACTTAGTAATATGCCCCTTGGATCAGTAAAGGATATCTTATGGTTGGGATTTGCATTTCCCTAATGACAGAGGCATTGAGCATCTTTCTATATGCTTATTAAATATTACTATAGCTTCTTTGGAGACATGACTGTTCAAATTTACTATTTTTGATTGGAGCATTTGCCTTTGGATTTTGGAGTTGTAAGATGTTGTAATATATTCTGGATTATAAATTCTTATTGACTATTTGACGTACAAAGACTTTTCTCCCATTTTAAAATTGTTTTTACTATTTTATTATGTACTTTAAATTATGATATATTTTATTAGTGATGTTTCAATATATCTATTTTCTCCTTCCTCTTGTGTATTAGTTTTCATATCTTGGAAACCATTGTTTAACCTTTGTTAAACAATTTGTTTTTGTTTTTGGTTTTGGCTTTTTAGGTGTATGATTGTATTAGTCTGTTCCCACACTGCTATAAAGAACTACCTGAGACTGGGTAATTAATAAAGAACAGTGGTTTAATATATCCACAGTTCTATAGGCTGTACAGGAGGCATGACTGGGGAGACTTACAATCATGGTGGAAGGCAAAGGGGAGGCAAGAATATGTTACATGGCTGGAGAAGGAGGAATAGATAGAAGAAGGAAGTGTCACTCACTTTTAAACAATCACATTTTGTGATAACTCACTGTCATAAGAACAGCAAGGGGGAATCTACCCCCCATGAGTCAGTCAACTCCCACCAGGCCCCTCCTCCAACATTGGAGATTATAATTTGCCATGAGATTGGGAGGGGACACAAATCTAAACCATATCATCCTGCCCCTGACCCCTCCTAAATATCATGTTTTTCTCATATTGCAAAATACAATCATTCCTTCTCAATAGTCACCCAACTCTTAGCTCATTTCAGCATTAACTCAAAAGTCCACAGTCCAAAGTCTCATCAGAGATAAGGCAAGTCCCTTCTACCCATGAGCCTGTAAAATCAAAAGCAAAGTCGTTACTTTCAATATACAATGGGGGTACAGGCATTGGGTAAATACACTCATTCCAAAAGTTATAAATCAGCTAGAACAGAGGGACAACAGGTCCCATGCAAGTCTGAAACCCAGCAGGGCAGTCATTAAATCTTAAAGCTCCAAAATGATCTCCTTTGAGTCTGCATCTCACATCCAGGCCACACTGATGCAAAGGATGGGCTTTCAAGGCCTTGGGCAGCTCTGCCTCTCTGGCTTGGCAGGGCTCAGCTACCATGGCTGCTCTCAAGGGCTGGCATTGAGTGCCTGTGGCTTTTCCAGGCACATAATGCAAGCTGTTGGTGGATATACCACTCTGGGTTCTGGAGGACAGTGGCCCTCTTCTCACAGTTCCACTAGGCCCCCAGTGGAGACTCTTTGTGGGGACTCCAACTCTATACTTCTTCTCTGCGCTGTCCTAGTACAGGTTTTCCCTAAGGGCTCCATCACTGCAGCAGACTTCTGCCTGGGCATCGAGGCATTTCCATACATTCTCTGAAACCTAGGCAGAGGCTCCCAAGCCTCAACTCTTTCCCTCTGTGTACCTTCAGGCTTAACACCACGTGGAAACTGCCAAGGATTATGGCTTGCACCTCCTGGAGCAGTGGCCTGATACATATCTGGGGACCTTTTAGTCATAGCTGGAGCTGGAGCAGCTGGGGCACAGGGATCAGTGGCCCAAGGTTGCACAGGGCACTGAGGACTTGGGCTTGGTCCTTGAAACCATTATTTTCTCCTAGGCTTTTGTGCCTATGATGGGAGGGGCTGTTGGAAGGCTTCTGAAGTGGCTTTGAGGCATTTTCCTTATTGTCTTGGCTATTAAAATTCGGTTCCTCTTTTTTTTTTTTTGAGATGGAGTCTCGCTCTGTTGCCCAGACTGGAGTGCAGTGGCGTGATCTCAGCTCACTGCAAGCTCCAGCCTCCCGGGTTCATGCCATTCTCCTGCCTCAGCCTCCCGAGCAGCTGGGACTACAGGCACCCACCACCATGCCAGGCTAATTTTTTGTATTTTTTAGTAGAGATGGAGTTTCACTGTGTTAGCCAGGATGGTCTCGATCTCCTGACCTCGTGATCCACCCTTCTCAGACTCCCAAAGTGCTGGGATTACAGTCGTGAACCACCGCGCCCGGCTAATTTGGCTCCTCTTAAGCGAATTTCTGCAGCTGGCTTGAATTCCTCCCCAGAAAATGGATTCTTCTTTTTTTGTTTTCCTTCTTTTTTTTTTTATTTTTTTTTTGAGACAGAGTTTCACTCTGTTGCCCAGGCTGGAGTGCAGTGGTGCGATCTCAGCTCACGGCAACCTCCACCTCCCAGGTTCAAGTAATTCTTCTGCCTCAGCCTCCTGAGTAGCTGGGACTACAGGCATGTGCCACCACGCTCAGTTAATTTTTGTATTTTTAGTAGAGACAAGGTTTCACCATATTGGCCAGGCTGCTCTTGAACTCCTGACCTTGTGATCTGCCCACCTCAGCTACCCAAAGGGCTGGGATTACAGGCATGAGCGACAGCACCTGGTCAGGTTTTTCTTTTTTTACAAAATGGCTGGACTACAAATTTTCTAAACTTTTATGCTCTGCCTGTTTTTTAAATATAAGTTTTAGTTTCATAGCATCACTTTGCTCACACTATGACAATACACTGTTAGAAGCAGCCAGGCCACATCTTGAATGCTTTGCTGCTTAGCAGTTTCTTCCACAAGATACCCTAAATCATCAGTCTGAAATTCAAAGTTCCACAGATCCCTAGAGCAGGGGCACAGTGCCACCAGTCTCTGTCCTAACATAACAAGAGTGACCCTTACTCTAGTTCCCAATAAGTTCCTCATCTCCACCTGAGACCACCTCAGCCTGCACTTCATAGCCCATGTCACTATCAGCATTGTGATCACAACAATTTAACCAGTCTCTGGAAAGTTCCAAAGTTCTCCTCATATTCCTATTTTTTTCTGACCCCTCCAGACTGTTCCAACCTCTGCTCATTACCCAGTATCAAAGTCACTTCCACGTTTTCAACTATCTTTATAGCAATGCCCCACTCCCAGTAGCAATTTTCTGTATTAGCCTGTTTTTGTATTGCTATAAAGAACTACCTGAAACTGGGTAATTTATAAAGCAAAGAGGTTTAATTGACTCATAGTTCTTGAGGGTGTAGAGGAAACATGGCTGGGGAGGCCTCAGGAAGCTTACAAACATGGCAGAAGAAGAAGGGAAAGCAGGCACATCTTTTATGGCCTGAGAAGGAAGAAGAGAAAGAAGGGTGAGGTCCTACACACTTAAATAACGATATCTCATGAAAATTCACATACTGTCATGAGAACAGCAAGGGGAAATCTTCCCCCATTATCCAATCACCTCCCACCAGGCCCCTCCTGTAACATTGGGGATTACGATGTGGCATGAGATTTGGGCAGGGACACAAGTCCAAACCATATCAGTGACTAATTTGAACTATTTATGCATATACTGTGAGGGAGGAGTTTAACTTGCCTGTTGATGTTGACGATGTCGACTTGTCCCAGAATCCATTGATGAAAAAAATACTTTTCCATATTGAATTTACTTGGAGCCCTTGTAAAATTATTTGACCATAAATGTAAAGGTTAACTTTTTGATATTCAATTTTATTCTATTTATCTGTATGTCTACACCATACATATGAATTAGTATGGTTTGTCTTAGTTTTAAAATCAGAAAATATGGGTCTATTTTACAAATTCTGTTTTTTTTCAAAATTATTTTAACTCTTCTCTATTGCATTATATATACAATTTAAAATCTGACAAGTTAGTGAAAAAAGGTCACCTGGGATTTTCATGGAAATTGCATTAAATCTGTAGAGCTATATAAAAAGTATTCTCAACTTAATAATATCAAGCCTTTTAATCAGTGATCATTCAACATTTGTCTGTTTTTATATAATTTTATTAATTACATTTAATGTATTTTACAATTTTCAATATACATGTCGTATGCATATTTTGTTGAATTTTTTCTTATGTATTTTTCCTTTTTGATGCTATTTTAAATAGCATGGGTTTCTGAGTTTTTTGTTAAGTTTGTTAATTTCTAGTATATAGAAGTATGTATTTCTATATACTGAGCTTGTGTACTGGAACTGTATTGAACTTATATTTTAATTTGCATTCTATTTTATTAGAGTCATTTTGATGTTCTATACACAAATCATGTCAATTGCCAAGAGAGTTTTACTTTCTTTTATACTAGATGTCTTATATTCATTTTTCTAGACTAGTTGTCCTTGCTACATCCTCTAGCATAATGTGGGGAAAAAATGTGGCCAGAATGAAATTCCTTGTCTTATTTCTAATCTTGGAGAAAGTATTGAGCCTTTCAGAAAACTTTTATATCATGTGAGGGTTTTTATTTTTTTCAATGCTTTAAAGTGAAGACAGTTTCTTTACAGTTCTAATTTGCTGCATATCTTTATCATGAATGTGTTTTTGACTTGTCAAGTGCTCATTCTGTGTTTTTGAGATGATCGTGTAGGTTCTGTGCTTTAATCCATTAATACAGTGCATGAATTGTATGTTGAACAAAATTTGCATTCCTGAGGAAATACCCTTTGTCATAGTGTATAATACTTTCTGCATGTTGCTAATTTGTTTTGCTATTATTTCCTTAAGGATTTTTGCCTCTTTATTCATAAGGCATATTGGTCTTATTTTCCTTTCTTGAAATGTTTTGGTCTAATTGTGGTATGAGGATAAAGTACCTCATAGTGTGCATTGGGACGTGATCTCTTCACCGCTGTCATTGCTGTTGTTTAATATTTTTAGAGAATTCGTAATGAATTTGTATTAATTCTTTAAAAGTATGAAATAATTTCCTAGTGAAGTCATCTTAACATGGAACTGGAATTAAATCCTAACAACAATCATGTGAGCCTGGGGAGGATCCTTCCCCAGGTGAGCCTTCAGGGGAGACTTCAGCCTTAGCCATTTGTGTGATTAAAAGGGTGAATGAGAATGAAGAAAAACAGAGATCCAGAATGTTATAGATTAAAGAATTGAATTTGTAATATAGCTTGCAGGGATCATTGCTTATATTTCTAACTTTAGGACACAATTCTTTTAATATAGATTTTCCTTAGTCTTTAGAAAACTAACACTTCAGGAAAAATTTCAAGTGTCTCTCTACAATTTATATCTTCCTCATCAATAGATTTCTTGAACCATAGTTTATAAAACAATTACAGCACTTCACTAATAAGTCTAATATTTCTAATAACTAAGTAGAATGTGAATGGAATTGGTAAATTAATGTGAAAAGATATACAACAATGTTTCCTTAATAACAAACTAAAATATAGCACATTAGCCACCATGATTTTTTTTTTTTTTTTGAGATGGAATTCGCTGTTTCGCCCAGGCTGGAGTGAAGTGGCGCGATGTGGGCTCACTGCAACCTCCGCCCCCAGGGTTCAAGGGATTCTCCTGCCTCAGCCACCATGATTTAACACTGAGAAGTAGGCAGTCACAGAGAAAAAGTGTGTAAACAATTCTTTGGTACACATTTTAACATCTTTTAAAGAGAGATGCATCTTCTGTTTGAAAGGGTTATAACATTATTGCCAGAAAGCAGTCATGATGTGGTTGTCCTCAGGCACACACACATGAACTTGGTCTAAACCTCCCCAAAGACATCTTTGGGCAATTACATCAAGCATCAAAACTTACAGAAGGGTGTCAGGAGACTGGAAAGATAAACTTGCATAGAGTAGTATAGGAGTCCCATGAGAAATGCAGCAACATTGATGCTTGTGATTAGCACAGATGATGATATTGTGGGGAAAATCATGGACAAGATGAGTTGAAAGTGATTCAGAGAGTTTGTTCTGAATGAAATAAGTGTTAGCAGTACCTTTGTAAATGTATTTTGCATATATGTTCTGTCTCATGTAATCACAGGAATGATATAAGACAAATATAAACATGTTAGTCGAGAAAAGTTTATAAAATAATTATAAAAATCTAATTAGAAATATTTGCTCCATTATTAGTGGTTTTATTATTTCATTCTGATATATAAATCTAAAAGATAAATCTCACAATTTATTATAAAAATTAGTCTTAATGATATGTATAGATGTGATATTATACTACATGCTTTATATATTATTTTATACAAACCCAACTGACATCTCAAGAGGTGAGCACTTTTACCACTGCCACGGGCCAGTTCTGAATCTGAGACTAAGCACTACATGAAAGGATTAAAAGTGCTTTGAGTTTGATTCAGTCTGTATCCAAAGTCATTGCTCAAGTCAACTATGTAGAATATGTAGAATAGTTTATTATATAATTAGTGCTTTTTAGGTCCAGTTTCAGGTATCTTACCTACCACATAGTCCCGAAGATATTTTCTTATGTGTTCTACCTAGTGTACTAAATATATATATATGTCTGTGATCCACCTGATTTTGTGTGTAAAATGAAGTTAAAGGTCAGATTTTAATTCCCTTGTGAATATTAAGTTTTTTTAATAGTTTCAGAAAAATTAATCTGTCCCCATTTATTGACTTACAAATGATTTGTTCATATATACATGTCTGTATTTATGCTGTTTTCTTTTTTCATTGGTTTATTCCTCTGTCTCTGTGCAAATGCAACACTTTCTTAGTTGCTAACAGACTTCATTTAATACAATAATTTAGTGACCATTCTCTTAATGACTGTGCTTTTCCATAATGAAGTGAAAGAAGTTTAAAAATCTCCATGCCTTTCACCTACACCACTACTCTCAGCTGGACTTTTAATCAGAGGCTTTAGAGTTTCAGAATATCATTGTTGTCTCTTATGTCTGTAATGTCTTTGTTAATCTTATAAGATCCGTGAACACCACTCTTCAGTTTATGTATTTCATACCTTCAACAACAGCAAGTGGTGGGAAAACCTGGAGATGCAGCCCCGGGTGCCTCCTGCCTTGCTGTAGATGATGCTGTGGACATGGGTCTCCTCCTCCAGACGATGCACATCAAAGGCAGGACCAGCAGGGAGCCTCTGAGCTCAGAACCTCTCTGTGGGGTCTGCATGCACAAGGGGAGGAGCTCCCTGTTGGGTGGGGTGGGGAATTCAGTTATTTTATATAAGCATGAATTTGTTAAATAATCATTCTTCTTTCTGACCAATGGCACATTTCCCCTTGAGTCCTGGCACTGTAATGTTACATCTTGGTTTTTGGTTTTGTGTACAAGTGTGTTTAAAACTTGTGTATTAAGCACAAAGAAAACACTCTCTTCTTGGTCACATAGCCATCATGTACAACCAAATGTATACTTTTGTATTTTTACAAAACAAACATCCCTGGGTGCTTCCTGCACAAACACAGACAACTCACTAGACAAGGTTTACCTCCTCCAGACCACGCCTATCCAAGACAGTGCCTAAGTAGAGGCAGGAGAGTTGAGCCTGTCTCTGTGGTGTCTTCATGGGAAACACGAACATTTTCTTGCTCTACTTCTGGTGTTGGTTGGGGAACTCAGTTATTTCTTGGAAAGACTGAGTGTGTCAAAGAATCATTCTGTTTGCTGTCTGAAAACAAATGACACAGTATTTGTTTTCAACAAATGAAACAGTATTTGTTTTCAACAAATGAAACAGTGTTTGTTTTGGTGTGCAAAGGCCTTTGACACTTTCTGTGTCAACGTACTTTTATCATCACATAAACATGTATGACCAAATTTAAATTTTTGTAGTGTGTATTAATGCCTTTTTTTGTTTAATTATTATAATCATTTTTCAAAATATCTTTGTTTTAATATTTTATCACTCTTTATTAAATTAATGGAAATATCACCCATTGTCTGTCATTGTTTTCCACAAATTTCATCTGAAATACTCCTAGTTGAAGAGGTGCAGAAAGTTTGCTGGGAACCACAAGACAAAATTTGCTAGAGACTCATACTTAAAAAGGGTTTTGTACATGGCTTAGTTTGTTCTAATTTGCAAGGTTCAAAAGCATTAATTTGAATAGATGGAATATCAAGACTCCCTTCCAGCACACAAAGACCAGTTATTTTGTTAATATGCACGAATAAACTTCAGCATATTGTTTTTCTTTTACCTGAAATTTATAGATACTGGCTTGAATCTCTGATTCCTTCTACATAGTATTTGTAAACGTCTGCAAGACATTTCCTTATGCTTATGGCTCATAATATAGGTGTGTATTCTTCTCTTACTCTTTGATGAGTAAATACCAAAATTGCTTCTTCAGTTAAAAAGAAAAACGCCACTCCGAAAATTTGTGCATACAACTCCACACAGCAAATGTTTTCCGATTATCGTCTGTAGAAAAGAAGTGGGAACTTCAATTTATTTTCTTTTATCAGATAATAATCTTTTAAAACTGATTTATACTTTTATAGATTACCAGAGAATTTTCAGAGTTGCTTTTTGTCCAGGACATGTGTGGGGCTCAGAGACACCATAGACAAAGTTGCCATGTTCTGTGATGCTTCTGTCCAATAGGGTTTCAGAAAACTTGACAAAAATTAAACTATAAGGTGGAAGAGCTGCCCTTGGGAACTGAGAGGACAGGTTTCAGGCCTTGGATGGGATGGACAGGGGAAGCCTCCAGGAGGAGGAACATTGGAGGAGATGCTGGAGAGTGAGGCGCAGTGGGTCCAGGAGACGGGAGGGAAAGCGAGGAGGAAAACGTGTGTGCCTGGCACAGGCCAGGCCATGAGAAGAGGTCGGTGGATTGGAAGGAGCGCTGGGATGAGTAATTGGTGAGGACGCAGGAGCAGGAAGGGCAGACCATGGAGGGACTGGGCAGGGGAGGCAGGGAGGGCCGCTCCCTGAGGACTGCGCTCTGTGGGGAGGGATTCGAATGTCTGGGTTTGGTTCCCTGAGATGTTACCCCAGGCCATGAGCTCAGCCTATGGGAAGGACGTTGAGGAGTGAGTGGGCCCTGTCCCCTGGGGAGGCTCCTGGGCTAGGTCAGTGGGGTGTGGGTCTGGGAGAAAGGAGGGTGGAGAAGAGCAAAGAGGACCCCCGGCTGCCTGACTGCAGGGCTCATGGGGCTGCCCTTGTTCGCCGCCTTTTCTCCATCGCTCAGACCCTCACTTCCCCGCCAGTGCAGGTTTCTGCCCCCTCAATCCTTTTGGAGGTGTAGGTGGGATCCATGGAGGAGAAAACTCAGATCTGCGGACTCCTCTCCACCTGGCGCCCACACAGGTGAGGCTGGGAGCAGCCTGAAGGGAAGTGCGGGTGCGGGGGTCGCAGCTGCGCAGTGAGGGGAACCGGAGGCTGCCGCGCAGGCTGGGCTTGGGGGCGGGAGCCAGGCCCACGTGGGGCGTGAGGGCCGCGGGTGGAGGGCGAGGCTGACAGGGAGTGAGGGAGGAAGGTGGAGGGCGGTGATCAGAAGGCGCGGCTGACAGGGGGAGAGGGCGGTGAGATCTACAGGAGAACTCAGGGCGGATGTCTGAGGGGTCTGCGTTGGGCTTTCTGGTCGCTTCTCTGCGAAGCGCGCTTGTTCCTGAGGCGGTGCCTGCCTGTGTCGTCGTCCCTGTTTGTTCTTCTTCAAACCTCAGGATTTCTCCGTGTTTCCCAGACCGTAACGTACATTTAAAAAGCTTTCTTTCTGTCACATATGCCCTTTTATATTATGTACATAACAATTGTTACTTACCTACGTTTCCTATTTGTGAATTATTCATCGATAAAGAATTTACCAAAACTTTTATTTTTAGTTGACACATTGCGTATATTTATGGATAACAGTGTGATATTTTGATTCTTGTATTCATTGGGGAAGATTCAATCAAGCTAATTAACATGGGCATCAACTCACCAGCTAATACTTTATGGTGAGAACACTAAAAATCTATTATTTAGCTATTCTAAAATGTACAGCGTGACTTCGGAGGAAATGATACTGCCCGGCCTCAGTAGCCCGAGACTGATCATTTCTAAATCCTGAGGTTCCCATTTCTGAGGGGGTCATGGCTGCATGCCCGTAAGCAAGGGGGGTGTTGGGGTGCTTTGTTTGCCCTGTTAATTTTGGGTGCCTCTGTGTTCTGAGAACTATTAAGATAATATGTGTTTGAAAAATCCAGTTGCTTTAACTTTTCCTTTGTTTTAGTCTGTTAACAACGTTATCGCTTTTCTTTTACTGACTTTAGATTTAATATATTCTTCCTTTTCTAGGTTCCAAAGGTAGAAACACAGATGACAGATTTTTGGTCTTTTCGTCATTTCCTATATATGTGTTCAATGGTATTTATTTGCCTATATGTTCTGCTTTCCTTTCATCCTACAAATTTTGATAAATTGTGCTTTTATTTTCATTTAGTTAATTTAAAAAAATTTCGCTGGAGATATCTTCTTTGACCAATATGTTATATGGAAGTGTGTTGTTTAATCTCAATGCATTTTGGGATATTACAGTTATCATTCCAGTCATCCTTTGATTTCTATTTTAATTCCACTGTGGTCTTAGAGCTGACATTGTATGATTTACTTTTTAAAAATTGTTGGGGTATTTTTTGTCCCAGAATGTGGCACATTTTGCTGAATATTCCATGTGAGCTTAAGAAGAATGTGTCCTCTGGAGTAGTTGAGGGAAGGAGACTGTAGGTGTCAGTTATGCCCAGTTGCTTGTTGGTGCTGTTGAGTTCAGCTTTTCGCTCCTGAATTACTGCCTGCTAGATCTGTCCGTATCTGATATAGGGTGTTAATGTTTCCAACTATAGTACCGAATTCATCTTTTTCCTTGTGGTTCTGTTGATTTCTGCCTCATAGTTTATGCTCTGTTATCAGGCTCATAGGCTTTAAGAATTAGGACATCTTCTTGGAAGAATGGCTCTTCATCTCTATGTAATGCCCTTCTTTATTCCTGATAACTTTTCTTGCTTTGAAGTCTGCTCTGCCTGTAATTCATATAGCTCCTCTTGTTTACTTTGATTAGAGTTAGCATTGTACATTTTGTTCCATTCATTTACTTTTATTTGTCTTTATATTTGGGTTGGGCTTATAAATAACAGTTGTGTCTTGTTTTTTGATTCATTTTGTAAATCTGTATCTTTTACTTGGTGCAGTTAGACCACTGACATTCAGAGTGGTAAGCGATGCAGTTGGATTAATATTTATCATATTTGTCAATGTTTTCGATTTGTTGTCCTTGTTCGTTCTTCCTATTTTCATCTTCCATTCATTTTCTGCCTTTTGTGGTTCTCATTAAGCATTTTACATTTTTCCATCTCTCGTATTTCTAAAAATATCAGTTATATATAATTTTAACTTTTTATTGGTGTAACATTTTTATACTTAGTTTATTATAAGAGAAAACAGTTTCTTGAAAAAATTGAAAAATTGTTAAATAATATATGCCTATGTATATATCTTATGTACATATCTTAAGTATATATGTGTACAGATATATGCACATGTGCATGTGTGT
This sequence comes from Homo sapiens, assembly GCF_000001405.40. NCBI lineage: Eukaryota > Metazoa > Chordata > Mammalia > Primates > Hominidae > Homo > Homo sapiens. The sequence goes on from NW_021160017.1 coordinate 5,210,908, forward strand.
TTGTATGTGTGTGTATACATGTATATATATACACATATATATGAAGTGGATATCAGCAATAATGCAAAGGACAGGAGAAAGGAATTAGGACTATTTGTTATTATAAGATACAGTAACTGTGAAGCAATATAACTTTATTTGAAAGGTAGCTCAGTTTAGTTTTTTTATTTTTTATAGTTTTTATATGATTTTGATTTTTTTAACTTTATATCTTTAAATTTAGGTTTGTGGATACACATATAGTTTTGTTATATAGGTAATCTTGTGTAATGGAGGTTTATTGTACAGATCATTTTATCACCCAGGTACTAAGCCTACTACCCAATATTTACTTTTTCTGCTCCTCTCCCTCCTTCTACCCTTCACTTACAAGTAGGCCCCAGTGTCCTTTGTTCCGTTCTTTGTGTTCATGAGTTCTCATCATTTAGCTCCCACTTAAAAGTGAGAATATGTGATAATTTGGTATTCTGCTCCTGTGTTAGTTTGCTAAGGATAATACCTTCTAGCTCCATTCATGTTCCTGTGAAAGACATGATCTCATTCTTTTTTTTCAGCTACATAGTATTCCATGATACACATGTACCACATTTTCTTTATCCATCCTGTCATTGATTGGCATTTAAGTTGATTCCATGTCTTTTTTCTTGTAAGTAGTGCTCCAATGAACATTCATGTGGATGTGTCTTTTTGGAAGAATGATTTGTATTCCTCTGGGTGTATACCCTGTAATGGGATTGCTGAGTTGAATGGTAGTTCTGATTTTAGCTCTTTGAGGAATTGACATATTGCTTTCCACAATGGTTGAATGAACTTACACTCCTACCAACAGTGTGTAAGTGATCCTTTTTATCTGCAACCTCACCGGCATCTGTTATTTTGACTTTTTAATAATAGCCATTCTGACTGGTGTGAGATGGTATCTCATTGTGGTTTTGATTTGCATTTCTCTAATGATCAATGATATTGAGCTTTTATTCATATGCTTGTTGGCCGCATGTGTGTCCTCTTTTGAAAATTATCTGTTCTTCTCCTTTGCTACTTTTTTTTTTTCTTTTCTGAGACTGGGTCTCGCTCTGTCACCCAAGCTGGAGTGTAGTGGCACGATCTCGGCTCACTGTAACCTCTGCCTCCTGGGTTCAAGCAATTCTCCTGTCTTCCCCTCTCTAGTAGCTGGGACTACAGGTGAATGCCACCACACCTGCCTGATTTTTTGTATTTTTAGTAGAGACAGGGTTTCACCATGTTAGCCAGGATGATCTCGATCTCCTGACCTCATCATCCGCCCACGTTGGCCTCCCAAAGTGCTGGGATTACAGGCATGAGCCACCCCGCCCAGTGCTTTGCCTACTTTTTAATGGGGTTGTTTGTTTTTCTCTCGTAAATTTGTTTAAGTTTTTATAGATGCTGGATATTATACTTTCATCAGATGCATAGTTTGCAAATATTTTCTCCCATTCTATAGTTTGTCTGTTCACTCTGATGATAATTTCTTTTGCTCTGCAAAGCTCTTGAGTTTAATTGGATCACATTTGCCAATCTTTGCTTTTGTTGCCATTGCTTTCAGAGTTTTTATTATGAAATGTTTGCCTATTCCTATATCCAGGATGGTATTGCTTAGGTTGTCTTCCAGGGTTTTTATAATTTAGGGTTTTACATTTAAGTCTTTAATCCATCTTGAGTTAATTTTTGTATATGATGTAAGGAAGGGGTCCAGTTTCAGTCTTCTGCATATGGCTAGCCAGTTCTCCCAGCACCGTTTATTGATTAGAGAGTCTTTTCCCCATTGCTTGTTTTGGTCAGCTTTGTCAAAGATCAGTTGGTGATAGGTGTGCGGCCTTATTTCTAGGCTCTCTATTCTGTTCAGGTGGTCTATGTGCCTGCTGTTGTAGCAGCACCATGCTGTTTGGTTACTTTATCCCTGTAGTATAGTTTGAAGTCAGGTAACATGATGCCTCCAGCTTTGTTCTTTTTGTTTATGATTGCCTTGTCTATTGGGGCTCTTTTTTGGTTCCATATGAGTTTTAACACACTTTTTTTCTAGTTCTGTGAAGAATGTCATTAGTAGTTTGGTAGGAACGGCATTTAATCTGTAAACTTCTTTGGGCAGTATGGTTAGTTTAAAATATAGTATTTCCAACTGTAGAACAGTCTATTGTACAAAAGCCTCTTACTTTCTTGGCTGTTGGCCATTGGCTAAATAAAGTGCCTTGCCAAGGGGGCTTCTCTCACATGGCTTCATAAAATCCATCGAGAGAGACATTTCTAGGAAGACCAAAATCATAATCATATATAAGAATCCCAGTGACACTTCTATACCTTTGCACTATTCTGTTGTTTCAAAGCAAGTCTCAATTCCTGCTTAGACTCACTTGGATGGGATTACAGTAGAAGGTTCTGTATGTGAGAAGGTGGGGATAAATGGGCACCAACTTAGAGTCTACCTGACACATCAGGTATTCTCCTATATGAAACAGTTTCCTGGCCTTCACTTCTTTTTCACGACCTTGACCCTTTTGAAAAGTACCAGTCAGGTATTTAATAGGATGTCCCATGATGTGGTTTCAGCTGATGTTTTCTCATGATTAAACTAGGAATATTAATGAATTAAACACCTTCACTTAAATCTGAAGACAAAATGACCTGAAGAATATAGTATTCAGAAATACTCAAAGAGGAAAAACTATTTTTAAAGTATGGAATGACAATTCACAATATAGTTAAGTTCAGTGCTTAAGGAAAACTGAGAAATTAAGGAGATGCACAAAGGAGGTATCAACAATATTGCTAATGATTTGTTTTTTTAAGCTTGGGAGTGACATTAACAACAACAACAACAACAACAACAACAAAAACAAGTTTTAAAGAATGGTTTTCCAAAGCCGGGCATAGTGGCTCACGCCTATAATCCCAGCACTTTAGGAGACTGAGGCGGGCAGATCACCTGAGGTCAGGAGTTCGAGACCAACATGTCAAAACCCTGTCTCTAATAAAAATACAAAAAATTAGCCTGGCATGGTGGTGGACGATTGTAATCCCAGCTACTCGGGAGGCTGAGACAGCAGAATCGCTTGACCCCAGGAGGCGGAGGTTGCAGTAAGCCGAGATCATGCCACTGCACTCCAGCCTGGGCAACAGAGGGAGACTCTGTCTCAGAAAAAAAACAAAAAACAAAAACAACAACAAAAAATGGTTCTGTGGTTTTACATTTACAGAATAGTTGCAAATCTAGTAGAGAGTTTCCATATACTCCATGCACAGTGTCCTTTATTATTAATCTCATAGCGTGAAACCTTTGTCAAAATTAACCAACCAATCTCATGTATTGTCATTGAGTACTATACATACTTTATTCTGATTTTTTGGTTTTTGCTTAATGTTAAGTTTATGTTTTAGGATCTCTTCCAGGATACGTCATCACATTTAGATATTTTGGCTTCATAGGCTCCATTGAATGTGATAGTTTCTCAGAGTTTCCTTGTTTTTGATGCCATTGACATTTCTAATTTAGGATTACTCTGATGTTTCTCATGATGAGACTGGACTTCTGGGCTTAAGGGAGGAAGAATATAGATGAAAAGTACCATTCCTATCACATAATATCCAGGGCACAAGCTGTCAACAGGCTTTATCACTGTTGATGTTAATTTGATCACCTGGATAAAAATCTTTTCGTTCTAAAAATCTCTTCTGTAAAATTATTCTTTTTCTCCCTTTTCATGTTGTGTGTATTAAAAAAAGTCAGTATATACAACACACACTCAATACTGGGAGAATCATACACCACTGCTTTTTCTTTGAAATAAATTTATTAAAATTTCAATAGCTTTGGGATTACATGTAGTTTTTGGTTACATGCATGAATTGTATGGTGGTGAAGTCTGGGGCTTTTAGTGTACCTGTCACCTGAATAGTGTACGTTTTACCTCATAGGTAATTTTTTACCCCTCACTAGCCTCCAACCCTCCTCCTTTCAGAATCTTTAATGTCCATGATCCCCCTCTGCATGCTCCTGCATATCCATTGCTTACCCCAAACTTGTAAGTGAGAACCTGCAGTATTTGGTTTTCTGCTCCTGAGTTACTTCAATTATGATAATGGCCAAATTGCTTTGAAAAACATAATTTTGTTCTTTTCTATGGCTGAGTAGTATTCTGTAATATACATACACACACACACACACACACACACACACACACACCACATTTTCTTTATCCACTAATTGGTTGATGGGCACTTAGATTGATTTCATATTTTTGCAATTGTGAATTGTGCTGTGATAAACCTAGAAGTGTAAGTGCCTTTTTGGTAGAATGACTGTGTGTGTGTGTGTGTGTGTGTGTGTGTGTGTGTGTGTGAGAGAGAGAGAGAGAGAGAGAGAGAGAGACAGGGTCTCACTTTGTCCTACAGGCTGGAGTGCAGTGGACCAATCTCATCTCACTGCAACCTCTGCCTCCTGGGTTCAAGGAATTCTTGTGCCTCAGTCGCTGGAGGAGCTGGGACTGCAGGCGTGACACACCTGGCTAATTTTTGTATTTTTAGTAGAGATGGTGTTTTGCCTTGTTAGCCAGGCTGGTCTAGAACTCCTGGCCTCCAGTGATCCACCTGCCTCTGCCTCCCAAAGTACTGGAATTACAGGTGTGAGCCTCTGCACCTGGCTGCCTAAATGACTCTGTCTTGCTTCTAAACTTTTAAGCAGTCCTTGTTCCTTCCTGGGCATAAGCTAAACTAACTTTTGGAGGAACTTACTCTACAGTTTATAGTTTAAAACAAAGACAGTAACAGCCCTTTCTCAACACAAACCTCTTTCTTACCTGGAGACTAGACTGTGTTTGTAGGACTAACAAATTAGCCACATGATTAGAAATTATGGCTTAGGAGTCATGCAGCTGGAGGCTACAAGATTCTGACCCTCCCTAAACTGCTCCAAAGATCAGTGCTTGAGGTATTTTGCAGCCCCTGCACTTGATGGATCAGCTGGCACAACCCTGGTGGATAAACTGCCTGATCTGATCTTGTGGCCTCCACCTAGGAACTGACTCAGCATAAGAGGACAGCTTGGACTCCCTGTGATTCCATCTCTGATCTGACCAATCATAACTCCCAACTCACTAGCCTTCCCCCACCCACCAAATTATCCTTAAAAACACTGATACCTGAATGTCCTGGGAGACTGATTTGAGTAATAATAAAACTCCTCCAGTGTCCTGCACAGCTGGCTCTCCGTGAATTACTCTTTTTATATTGCAATTTTCCTGTCTTGATAAATCAACTCTTTTAGGCAGCAGGCAAGGTGAACCCACTAGGTGGTTACACTGTGTGTCATTTTCAGCATAGACTGTCTTCTTGAACATACGTTTATTTTGTCCCACCCCAACCCCCAAAGGATGTGGCTAAGAAAAAAAAATAAAATGTCCCAACATATTTTCTTTTTCCTTCTGGATCTCCTTTCCGGAAGCAGGGCGTCAGTGACAGGAACATTTTGACTCCAGCTGTTAGTCCCTCTTAGGTCTGTGGAAGCCTCAGAAGGCGTGGCCAGGCCAGGGCATCCTGGCTGAGCACAGGGTTTGGCACCTCCTCCCTCCCTGGCACTATGGAGACAACTCTGAGTACTGAAAGATGAAACTAACACACCTCAAGGAAGGATACGTACCTCGATGCATGCCACAGAGACACACTTCCAGGATCTTTTTAAGATCTTACCCATGTTTTCCAAGGAAAAGCAACACAGAACTGAAGTGCCTTCAGTTATTTCAGGTGGGGCTGTCTTGTACACGGCAGTCAGGGAGAGAGACTGGAAGGCAAGGGAAGGGAACAGCCAGTCCTTCCAGTTAGCAAAGTTCAGGCTCACTGACTGCTTCTAAGTCACTGCTCACTCACTGCTTCTTAGATTAGAATACCCTGGGAATCAGCTACAATAACCTCAGACAAGGAACCATAAAAACCTGAAATGCACATTGGGTGCCAGCCAACAACGAAGCTTGGCTTCCAAGACAAAAAGTTGCTCTTTCTCCTCCTGCTACCTTGGGTGTGCCAGGTTGTAATTTGCAAATGTATTGTCTGGCCCTTAGGGGTTGGCAGCTAACAATTGTTTGCAGAAGGAGCCTAGCCTAGGAGTGAGAGAGATGCCAGCACAAGAGAAACCCGCTGACTATGAGCCAGGAAGTGGGCTGTCACCAGACACCAAACCTGCTGGCGCCTTGATCTGGGACCTCCCATTCTCAGACTCGTCAGGGCCACTGTCATCTCCTGAAGCAATCACCACATGTTCCCATCACAGCTGATGGTGGCAAATAACCCATGCAGAGTACTGAAATGAGCCAGGCTCTGTCTGCCCTCTCGTGTGTAGTCACCTAGTTAATCCTGGCAGCAGTCCTGGGTTCTCTGCATTTCCAGAGTGCAAGTCCTCCAGTAACCACTGAAATGCTTTCTCAGGAGTTGTCAACTCCTTAAAAACATTTCTCTCTACTTGGTGCAGAGCACAGTGACACCAGAAACAGGTTTCCCTGGACCCCAGCCCTGGCAATGGCCATGTCACTTCACTCAGGCCCAGGAAGAAGGCAGACTCGGGTCTCCCGCTGGGCAGCAACACCTAACTTAACCCGGATTTCTCACTTCCTCCCTTCCCCGGCGGAATGCCACCAAGAACCAACCTGACGGTGCCAAGAGGGCGAATTTCCCCAAAGTCCTCTGAAATATGTTGTCATGATTTGTAACAGGAAGCCGAGCGAGGAGCACAAAGTGCTTCCAGAGACTAGGTGATGGGCCACATCCCTGGCCAGTGTGTTGACCCCCTGAACCAAAGTCTCTGCGACCAACACCTTTGCCTGTCTGCCCCAGTTTTCTGAGCATGTGCTCCACTGACACATATGCGCCAGGCCGCCAGCCACTCTCGCCTGTACTCCCCCAGCCCCAGCGGAGCTGCCACATGGGCCTCTTGCTCACCAGGTGGAATTTGCCTTTTATCTTGTGCAGCAGGCTGCAGAACGCGCCCCTCCGCTCCCTCTGTGTGGGGCTGCAAGGGGTCGGGTCCACCACCGAGGCTGCCTTTATGGAGAACCCTGCACTTGTCCCGAGCCTGAAACCCCCGAATTGCGGGGTCAGGAAGACTGGAAGTGGCACCTGATAGAATGACTTCTTTTCATTTGGGTCCATGCCCAGTGGTGGGATTGCTAGATTGAATGGTAGCTCTGCTTTTAAAAGTTCATTGAGAAATCTCCATACTGTTTACCATATAGGTTGTACTAATTTACATTCCAACCAAGGGTGTCTAAGCATTCCCTTTTCACCTCATCCACACCAATGTCTATCATTTATTGACTTTTTCATAATGGTCCTTCTGACTGGGGTAAGATTGGTATCGCATTGTGATGTTAATTTGCATTCCCTGATGATCAGTGATGTTGAGCATTTTTTTTTCATATGTTTTCTGGCCATTTGTATGTCTTCTTTTGCCTGTTCATGTCATCTCCCCACTTTTTAATGGGGTTAGTTATTTTTTTCTTGCTGATTTGTTTGTGTTTCTTGTAGATTCTGAATTAGTCCTTTGTTGGATGGACAGTTTCCAAGTATTTTCTCCCATTCTGTAGGTTGTTTCTTTATTCTGTCGATTATTTCTTTTGCTGTGCAGAAGCTTTTCAGTTTCGCTAAGTCCCATTAATTTGTTTTTGTTGATGTTGTAGTTGCTTTCGGGGTCTTAGGTTTGCCTAGGCCAATGTCTTTACGGTTTCATGTCTTACATTTAAGTCTTTAATCCATCTTGAGTTAATTTTTATTTATGGTGACAGATAAGGATCCAGTTTCATTCTTCTGCATGTGGCTTATTTCCCAGCACCTTTTATTGAATGGGGTGTTCATTCCTCAGTGTATGTTTTTGTCTGTTCTGTTGAAAATCAGTTAATCGTAAGTATTTGGCTTCATTTCTGGGGTCTCTGTTCTGTTCCTCTGGTCTGTATGTCTACATTTATACCAGTATCATGTTAGTGTGCCAGCAGATGTTGTAATGGACTGTGTTGGTTGACCACGGGCCAGAAGGTGGCACTTGCAGGAGAGAGCCAGCTGCAGTCACGGTGGTGGGATTTATGCTTAACCTTTGTTACCCAGGGGAAGTAGTCAGCTGATGGGAAGTGACACGGAAGTCTGAAAAGTCCCTGTTCCTGTTCTGCTACTAGGACAGGTAGAGGGGCAAAGCCGAGTGTGGGCTGGGTCAGGAAAGTCCATACTCTGCCTCTCCAAGTGTGGGTGTAAGCAGAAGCCTTAATGGGGGTCAGTGTACAGTTCCCTGACCACTGGGATAATGTTCCAGGAAGGAGAACACCCTCTGCCACATGAGAGTCTGTACATGGAGAGAGGGGTAGCAAGTGGCAGGTCAATTCCCACGACCTTGACACAGAAGGTCTTACACATGCAGACTTCTGCTGGCAAACACCCACGACAGTCAGCTAAGTCTCAGGCAGTCTAGGCTGAGAACACAAACCTGCCCCAGGCTGCAAGACTTCCCACTGGAGACTGAAACTGAAACAGTAGCTCTGAGGCCACACCCCTTGATTTGACCTGTGAAGCAGCAGTACCCAACTCCCATGACCCTGGCACAAGAACGCTTCCTGCATGCCCCTTGGTTCAGGCCTTAAGGGGTTGATCCTCTGCTCAATATTAGATCAAATGCAAATCTTAGTTGGTCAGCTTCTCCCTCAGTTGGGAGCTTCTTCCAGTGCATGACTGCTGCCTGGGTTACTTGGCTGATTTCTGCAAGATCTTCTATGAATCAGGGTCAGGAATATCTTCCTTCTGTCCCTGCTGGGATCTGGGAGTGCACACGCAGCACACCCAGGTGCCACTCCTTCTTTCATGGTCCCCTCCTCTCTAAGTCAGCTCCAGCGCTGGGCAGGGTTAAGGTGCTTCCCTGTGACCTGGACTGCCTGGTTCCCCAGTGGGAATATATCACAGAGAGAGTCTCCTCCTTTTGCACTCTGAAGCCTCAATTTCCCATCTGACACATGGTGCAAGTTGCTGCCTGCTGCTCCTTTCAAAGTATCCAAAGATTCTTTCACTTTTTCTGTTGAGTTCCTGTGATTGTTGGATACAAATTCACAGTGTGAATCTCTAGATATTGTTTTGCTCTTTCTAAGCAGGTGAGGCACACTAACAAAGTCTCGAATGTTCCATTTTGAAAAACAAAAAACAAAACAAAACAAAAAATGCTCCACTTTATGAGCAGAATGTTTACCAAAAGTTATTTGGAACTTTCATCCTTAAAGTGTCTATTCTCCTCCAATAATCGTTATATTTGTGCAATCATTTTTATCAGTATGCAAACATGGATATTTCTTTTACTCTTTCCTTCTACTACTTCATTTATTTGTTTAAATTGTTGCAGTGTTGGCTATTGGAAGGTCTTTCAGTTGGATCGTTTGTCATTTTGAAACACTACCATAATGAAGCTTTGCTGTTGTTATGTGGTTGGTTAGTTGTTTGCTCTGTTGTTTGGTGCTTTATTTTTTCTGGCACTACTAGGTACTTAAGCTAATTGTGTGGATTTCCTCACAAGCCTGGTATTAACCATTTTTTCCACAGAGCCCTAGTTCTTCTTATTGGAAAATTGAATTAGAAATGGAGATCTGGGCTCTTGGCATATTCATTGCTCCTGGGGCATCTGTTGATTCGTGATCTTGTGTGCTGACAGAGCAAATACATCTATGTACACTGATTCACACACACACACACAGAAACACACACACACACACACACACAAATATTTTCTCATATATCTGTATCTTTAAGTTAAACATGAATTCCTAATAATCCTCCAGCACCCCATGATCTAATCCAGTACCACATGAATCAGCGCACCTATTCCCGCTTACTTGTATGTAGCCTACCACACTAACAGTGATAAAGATGCTTCTGTTATTTAATCACATAATCCGGAAGACTTGTGTAAGTGGTTTCAGAATTAGAAATGTATATGGCCATGAGAAAGAACTTTACCAACTAAAGTTTTTAGGGATAAATCTTTACCCTTTAGACTCAGAATATCCACTTACTTGCTACGTTCCTTGGGTCAGCTGCTTTTCCCCCACTCCATTCAGTGAGGTTATTTCACTGATGTGTTATTTCATTCCATTATGTGTATAGCCCCATGCTATCTGCTACCTACTGTAGAAAGTTTTTAATTTGTATATTTTAAGTTCACCTTTTGTATTATAAAATTATTTAGGATTTGGAAAATATAATCATGTATTTATCATTACAGTATATGATACCAGAATAATTTCACTGCCTAGAGCAAATCTGCTGTACCTCACCAGTTTGACCTGCCTCTTTTCCAAGCTCCTAGTAAATACCAAACATTTTAGTATCTCTCTACTTTTTCACATTGCAGAGTGTCACATAACTGAAATCACACAAAGTATTTTGCCTTTTTAAATTTACTTTTTTTTGCAATATACCCTTTAGATTTGTGAAGTGTATCTCATGGTTGTTTAGACTTGCATTTTCCTAATGACAAAAGGCTTAGGCCTCATATCATGTGCTTACTAGACGTGACTATAGTATCTTTGGATACATGTCTATTCAGATAGTTCACCAATTTGATTGTGATATTTAACTTTTTATTTTGAGTTGTAAAATATTTTATATATTGTGGCTAATATATTCTTTTCTGCTATGTGATTGTGAAGATTTTCTTCTATTCTTTGCATTATCTTTTTACCTTTAATCATGTACTTTGAATCTCAGAAGATTTTAATTCTTATAAAGTTAAATATATTCATGTTTTTTATTTCCTTTTCTTGGGCTTTAAGTATCCTATCTTAGAAATTATAGGAGTTATTGTTTAACCTAAGACCCAAATTATGTATTTCTATATTATCTTCTAAGGGTTTGGTCTATTTAGATCTTACATTTGGGTATATGATTATTTTGAGCCAATTATGTATATGGTGTGAGTGAGAAGTTCAACTTCCTTGTGGATATTCAATTGTCCTAGCAACATTTGTTACAAATATATTTTTCCATATTGAATTGGCTTGGCAACTTTATAAAATCATTTGACTATAAAGGTAAAGATTAATTTTTGTACATTCAATTCTACTATATTCCTTTGATCTGTATGTCCAAGTTTATACTATTATTGAGCCTTTAAATTAAATTATGATGATACTAATTTTTTCATGGATGCCCTTTAAAATAAAGAAACTTTTCTTATAGGCTTAATTTGTTGTATACTGTTATCAAAAATGGATTTTGGATTTGTCAGGTGCCTTTCCTGCATCTTTTGAGATGATCATATGGCTTTTGTTTTTTATTTTATTGTTATAAGGTATGATACTAATTATTTTGTATGTTAAACCAAATTTGCATTCCTGAGACAAATACCCTTTTTGATGGTGTATAATTCTTTTTACATTTGCTGATTTGTATTGCTAGCATTTTATTGAAGACATTTACCCTTTATTTATAAAACATATTAGTCTTAATTTTTCTTTCTTGAAAGGTCTTGCTTTGGTTGTAATATCAGTGTAAACCAACTAATAGTATACATCAGAAAGTGATCTCTTCTCCACTTTTACTGTTGTTTAAGTGTTTATGAAGAGTTTGTGATAGATTGTTATTAATTATTTTCAGGTTTGGAATAGTTCACCAGTGAAGTCATCTCAACCAGCACAGGGCCTTGACTCCTAACAACAATCACACGAACTTGGAAGAGGATCCTTCCCCAGCTGAAACTTCACTTGAGACCTTCTCATTGGCCATCATCGACATCTGGATTCATGATACAGAGAAACTGTGAGTAAGAGCCACTTAGTATGTGAGAATTTATTATTCAGTAATAAATAATACACCTGGCAGTCAATGGAATGTGTTATCCTGGACAGAAAAATGACATTACTTAAAAGCCGAGTAAAATATGGAAAAAGCCTATACTTCAATAAATAGTTTTGTGCCAACTATTTTTTAGGGCTCATGGATACATAATCTATTACATTGCATGTAATCCAAAGATATCTAAGCTTTCTCTACTATCTGTGCATATTTCTGTGTATTTAAAATTATTTCAAAGAAAAAATGTTTTTGAAGAAAGCATTAAATGTGTTATGAAAATAACTCCAAAGCACAAACAGAATACCTTCAGCTCAGGAGATGAAAGGGCACGTAGAGAGAGAATAGCAAAGCATCTTTCCATATCGATTTACCAACTGGAACACAGGTACACTTGCTTCAGGAAGATCCCCCCCAAGATCCAGAGACTCGTCCTCTTTCATCTTCTTCATCATATTCTGCATTTTTCAGTCACCAGTTTTAGCATCTGGTGCTAACTACGTAACCAGTTTTTGAAAGACAGATGCCTATTACTTGCATGTCTCAAAAAGCCCCATTTTCAGATATTATTTAGCAGGACTCCAACAAACAGACCAGAATTTATTGAGAGCTTGCACTGAGGAGTGCCTTAATTCCAACACGACTATGTTGACAACACATCCTCTTGTGAGTGAAGCATTCATACAGAATGAGTCGCTGAAACTCAATAACACATGTCTACTGTACAAGAAAGGTAATAGTCAATATAATGCTCTAAAATTATTCTGGGGACATAGGGGACATGTGTCCAAGATTTATGAGATGTGAGCAGCCAAGAGAGCGTGAACACTGATATTTTACAAGTGCTCCAAATCAGTAGATGGGCATTTGATTTTCCAGTTAGGGCTGCAGTCAGGGTCTCTTGGCTTCAATACTGTACATGGAGAGTTTCAATGACAGATCTTGGTTAAAATAACAAAAATAATAACAACCCCTCATCTATGATATTGCAGCCTGGCACCATTTAACTTAATTTTACTGCATATAAATAGCAACCCTATACTCCATGCAAACTAGAATGGCAGTGCAATTGATGTAGTAAAGAAAGTGACAAATTATTTTCCAAATATAAAGCAAACTTAAGGTTTTATAGGAAAACAAATGGAGGTAAAAATATTTTTAATCTTTATTTTTCTGATAATTTTGTTCTGCTCTTATAAATAGAAAGCTCCACTTTCATTATTTTATAATATAGTGAGTTTATCAGCCACATGTATGAAAATTGTATAGTAAGAGTAGGTATGTGTCCACTTGGTTGGTTTATTCGACTTATACACATCATTTACTTTATCTCGAATGGTTATTTTTTAAGCCTTGGTTTTGGTACAACATGTAAAGGCGTCAGTCTTTGTACAATATTAAATCTTCATTCAAGTAACTTTTCTTTGTGTCTTTGCCTTTGTTTCTGCGTTGCTCCTGTACTTCTGTGAACCATATTTCAGTGAGTAATGATGACAATAGCAGTCCAGCCTGCATGGATGCTGACATGGATGCTGTCTCCCATTCTTACCACTGGATGTCAAGAAATGCTAGATGCGATCCAGCCAGTCTGTACTCGACTCTCAGTTCCATCTTCTCAACTCACAGTGTCTTCCAAAGTCCATGCCACACCACAGCCTGGAAGATCTCCCAAGGTGGTATCTTGAGGCAATGGTAGAGCTCATGTCACAGTATTGTATGCCTCAGGTATCACTGTCCTTCACTCTTTGATATAATCTCTCTACAAACCATTGTTCCATACACTTTGCCCCTTTTGTGTTTGTTTATACATGTGGTATGGCATGTCTAAACCTCACAGTGAGGATATTAGAATAGGGTTCTGCATATCTAGAGGTGTGGATCATTGGAAAGCATCTTAGAACCTACCTGCCACATCAGGCCCTGTCTAATCTGTATCAGTTTCTGGGTCTTCACTTATTTTTTTGCCCTTGATCTTAGTGAAAAGAACTTGTCAGGTGTTCCATAGGATGTATCACAATATGGATTTGTTATATTTTTTCATAATTTGAGTAAGATTAAACATTCATTTATACACGTATTTATCTAAAGTAGAAGATAAAAAATATCTGAACAATATATTATTTAGAAATACAAATTTAGAAAATAATAATGAAGAACGAGGCTTGGCACAGTGGCTCATGCCTGTAATCCCAGCAATTTGGGAAGCTCAGGTGGGTGGATCACTTGAGGCCAGGAGTTTGAGCCCAGCCTAAGTAACATGGCGAAACCCCATCTCTACTAAAAATACAAAAATTAGCCAGGGGTGGTGGTGCATGCCTGAATGTTTCATATATTCTGGATAATAGTCTCCTAACAGTTATATGACTTGAGAATATCTTCTTCCGTTATTTCAGTTGTCTTGATGGTGTACTTTGCATCTTAAAAGGTATTGATCCACATGAAGTTCAATGTATCTATTTTTTTTTCTGTCACTTGTACTTTTGTGTCACATGTTAGAATCCATTGTTTCACGTAAGGCCATGAAAATCTATTTTTATGTTCTCTTCTGTGGGATTTTTAGTTTTAGCTCTTACATTTAGCCACATATTCTATTTTGAGTCAAATACATATATGGTGCAGGAAACAGTTTAACTTGCATGTGGATATCCCTTTCTCCCAGCAACTTTTGTTGAAAAACTATTTTTTCATCTTGAATTAATTTTTCAACCTTGAAAATAAGTTTGCCCTATATATAAAGATTGATTTGGGGTGCTCAACTCTATTCTGTTGGCTTATATGTCTTTCCTCATGTTATGTGAGTTTTCCATGGATGCTCTTTGTAGATTTAGAAAGTTTTCTTCTATGCCTAATTTTCCCAGAGCTTTTATCATGAATGGGTTTGGAATTTGTCAAATGCCTATTCTGTGTCTTTAGAGGTGACCATGAGTCTTTTTAAAAAATTCTATTAGTATATTTTATAACACCAGTTGTTTTTGTATGTTTAACCAGACTTACATTGCAGGGATAAATAGTTTTGCTCCTAGTGTATACTCCTTTTTATATGTTACTAGTTAATTTTGATAATATTTCCTTGATACTTTTTACCTGTTTCACATTGGTCTGTAATTTTCTTTTCTTGAAATGTCTTTGTCTAGCTGTGGTGTCAGGGAACACTGGCTTCATACATTGCATTAGGAAAGGTTCTTTACTAGTCTGTTTTTATTGATTGTTATTAATTCCCAAAAGGCTTTGAATAACTCACCAGTGAAGTCATCTTGACCTGGACAGAAATTGAATCCTCCCAAGAATCCCAGGAGCTTGGAAGGGGATCCTTCCCCAGATGAGCCTTCCCTTGAAATCTCTGCCAGGCATCTGACCCAGAGAAACTGTAAGTACTGTGTAGGGCTGGGTTGGAAAGTCTAAACTATGTAGTAATATATTATACAACAATCGGTCAGTTATATGCCTGACAGTAAATGTAATGTGGTATCTTGGATTAGACCCTAGAACAGAAAAATGACACTAGTGGAAAAGCTGGTAAAATATAAAGAAAATCTTTTCCAGTTAATAGTTTTGTACCACTGTCAATTTCTGAGTTTTCATAAATATGCTATGGTGATATAAGGTGTTAACATTTCAGGAAGCTGTAGGATATACGAAACTCTATTATCTTTACTACTTTCTATAAAACTAAAACTATGATAAAATAAAAATATTTCTTGAAATGTAATATTCAGGTACCAGAAAATAAAACAACAATAACAAAGACAGATTTAAACCACAATAAAACCACAGATCAGAGGATGAATGGAGATATAGGAGACTATGGCAAAGTAGCTTGCCTTATTATCCCCCGTTCCTACACAGGGCACCTGCTTCAGAAAGACACCATCAAGCTCCAGGGACACTCATCCACTTTCTTCTTTCCCATCACACTTCCCATTACCCAGTTATCAATTGTGTTCATAATCACTTTTTCAAGGAAAGACGCCTTTCTCACATATGTTAGAAGGCCCTGTATTCAGGCACTTTCTGGCAGTGTCTTTGTAGGATCTCACTATAAAGACATTTTAGAAGATATGACTTCCAGACATTAGAAGAGAAGATTGAGAAACGCCAGTGATGGTGAACATAAATAGTTCTGAATTAAGAGTGTTTTCTTAGTACAGGGATTCCTTTTATTCCCCAAGTTTTAAAGGAAAAGGATGCCTTAAGCCTTTGAGAAAACACTGTGATAATTCAGTTTTCTTCGTCATGCACACTCCATAACGATTTTATGGGACCAGACATTCTCTTGACACTCACATCATGGATCTATATTGTCCTGTGGTATATTGATCTGTTCTCATGATGCTAATAAAGACATATCTAAGACTGGGTAATTTATAAAAGAAAGAGGTTTAACTGGCTCACAGTTGCACATGGCTGGGGAGGCCTCACAATCATGGCAGAAGGGAAATGAGGAGCAAAGTCACATCCTACATAGTGGCAGACAAGAGAACTTGTGCAGGGGAACTCCCATTTATAAAACCATCAAATCTTGTGAGACTTGTTTACTACCATGAGAATAGTATGGGGGAAACTGCCCCCATGATTCAGTTTTGTCCACCTGGCCCTGCCATTGACACATGGGGATTATTACAATTGAAGGTGAGATTTGGGTGGAGACACAGCCAAACCATTTCAAGCGACAAGCCCAAAAGCCACAGAATAACATTATCATGGAAGAAAGTTAACTAGATATGAAGAAAAATTATAATCATGGAGTTGTAGGTTAATTCCTGCTCAAAAAGATGTGGAAATGAACCTTTAGACATCAGATGTATGAAAGTGAGGCATGTTAGTGATACAGGGTGTGTTGTGCAGAGGTGGAAATAGCCTAATAGAAAAAAGGAACGAACAGCACAGTACAACATACACCAGCCCACCATGCAGTGATCTAAGAGATGGACACAGGCCGAGTGCTGACTCTTCAAATGTGCTGGTTAAACAAAGATCCCCACAGCGGGGAGGACTGTCCCCTCTTCCCCAACACAGCTCCCTGTTCACAGGCCACACCACTTTACAGAGGAACACCAGGGATGTTCCAGGAACCATGCCCACAAAGCTTACTAAGCCATGGGACTGCATACTACACTCCCAAGGACATCCACAAAGTCAAGACTCTTGCTTTTTCAGACTGTGATCATGGGCTACATTCTCCATACCATGTTCATATCTACAGTGAAAAAACAAACTCCTGCATCCTGGAGACCTACAATGAGAGACACAGCTGACCTTGACCATATTTCTTACTTCTCAGAAGACTGTAGCAGTAATTCAGGTGCTATTATTTGGGGCATTTATATTTCAGTAAACCTTCTTACCCCTCTAATCTTACAGTTCACCCCATCGGAAAGGATGGTTTCATTTAAATTGGCAATCTTAAGTCATGGGGGTTTGCTCTTTTTCTTTCATTATAACAGGAGTTTCTATAAGGTAAGTGACTTGTACAATCCCATTTTCCTCTTCATTTCAATGCATACATGTGGTCTATTATGATGTGTACTGTGAAGATCATCCATGAGTAAATTCTTCAGCAAAAAAAAAAAAAAGAAGAAAGAAATCCAGTGGCAGGCCATGAAGTAGACAGAAGTAGATGTGTAGAAGGACAGACTCATCTCTAGGTGGCAAAGGGGGTCAATGAGCTCTGAGTGCTCAGGGTTAAGACTGGAAAAGTGATTACACATAAAACTCTGCTACCATGATGTCCCAGTCACAGAGGACACAGTGCTGAGCACTCAGCTCCCAAACATTAGCATGATAGCTTGGAAAATATGATTTGTACTGAGTCTGGATTGGCCACCAGAATTCTCAGAAAGATGCCATTGAAAACACCTCATCATCTGACCACGTCCTTAGGCAAGAACCCAACTCTGTCTCCGCCCTCTAGTCTGAATAGTGAATAAAATTTAAAGGGTGCATGACTCCTAAACTTGAGATTAGGGCTTCATGTTCACTGAATTGAGCCCTTGTAGAAGCTGAAACTCTCAGTGCAAATATGCTCAACATTCTAAATTATACGTTATATGAGTTTCCTCTTCATTCAGTAAACTCTTTAGGGAACACCAAAGCCTGTTTCATTTTCTAAGTATCGGCAAGTGGGGCTGACAAGAGTAACAAGAGGTCAGAGCAAGGCATTTCGTGAAAACAGCAATGCACAGGCATCTGCAGTCCCTGCTTACAGTGAGATTCACATGACCGTCGTTCATGGGATACGAAGGATAAAAGGGGAGGGAGGAAAAAAATATGCAGTTGATCTGGATGAAGAATCGGATTTGGAAAGCAACTTAGAATAAACTCTGCTTATATTTCTAAGATTAAATCTCAAGATACAGGATTTTCTGTCTTCAGAGAGTTGCACTCTGCTGCAAACTTTGAAGTAACACTTTACCATTTCTATCTTCCTTCTTATGGGATCTTTGAGCCACAATTTATAAAATCACCTCTACATCTCTTGTATTTTTGTTATGTCTAATAATCTCTTGAGGTCTCTCTAGGGATAGTGACTATAAATTATCACCCTGCCCAACAGGACTCCAGGAAACTGTGTCCTGGATGTTTACAGTGTGCCTTTCATGGGATACTTATTTATCCTGGTGGATACCCCAAAGCATAAGTGTACAATCTTTGACCCAGCATCCTTCTCACAGGATATTTGTTTATACTGTCAGACACCCTTGTGGCACTTGTTCGACCTGTGTCCACTCCATTCCCACCAATGTAGCCACTGTCTAGGAGAGCTCTGAGTTCGAAAAAAGTTGAGCTCACATGTGTTGGTTATGTGAGCCACGGAGGAGGCAACTCAACAAAGCACAGGTATTTCTTGCAGGTGGGGATCGTTGGGCACCATTGCAGGGTCTAACTGACACGTTAGGTCCTCTCCAATCTGCAAGTTTCATAGTCTTCACTTATTTTTCTTGACCTTGACCCTTTTGAAATGTACAGGTCAGATATTTTGTAAGATGTCCCACAGTATGGATTTGTCTCATGATTTCTCATGATTAAACTAGGGACATGTATACATTAAACACATGTCATCTAAGTTTGAAGACAAGAAAAACTAAACATTATGGATATTAGAAATATAAACATAGAGATAAATATAACAAAC
This sequence comes from Homo sapiens, assembly GCF_000001405.40. Taxonomy (NCBI): domain Eukaryota; kingdom Metazoa; phylum Chordata; class Mammalia; order Primates; family Hominidae; genus Homo; species Homo sapiens. Next base: position 5,229,857 of record NW_021160017.1, read on the forward strand.
ACAAATTAGAGGATAACAAATTCACAGTAATAGTTACCTTCAGTGATTAAGGAAGATGATGAAGCTAAGGAGTTCCATTAACAGCTATCAACATATTCCTCATGTTCTATTTTATAAAGTCAGCAGTGACTTTAAATAAAAAGAAACTTTATACATTTAAGAGTCATTTAGGATTTACAGAATTGTTTTAAATACAATACATAGACTTTCCATATATCCCACTACAGTTGCTCTTTTTATTAACTTCTTAATTTCAGACATTTGTCACAATTAACCAATTTTAAACAGTATCATTAACTACTCTTCATGCTTTATTCAGATTTTCTTAGTTTTCACTTAATGTCTAATTTCTATTCCAGGATCTCCTCCAGGATACCTCAGCACAGTTAAATATCATGTCTCCTTAGATTTCTCTGACTATTGCAGTTTCTTAGCGTTTCCTAGTTTTTGATGATATTGACATTCCTAATGTGGGATTTCTCTTGAGGTTTTTTTCATCATAAGATGTGTGGGTTTAGGAGAGGAAGATGACAGAGGAAAGGTGCCATTCTCCTCACATCATACCAAGGGCACAGGCTCTCAACAGGCTTTATCACTGTTAATGTTAATTTGATCACCTAGATGAGGTCATTTTTATCAAATTATCACACATGGTGAAATTATTATTTTTCCCTTTCCCCACAGAATGTTTCAGAACAAAGTCACTAACACAACATGCATTTAAGAAGTGGGGAGTCATGGGCTAAGCACGATGGCTCTCGCCTGTAATCCCAGCACTGTTGGTGGCTGAGACAGGCTGATCATCTGAGGTCAGGAGTTCGAGACCAGTCTGGCCAACATGGGGAAAGCTCATCTCTATTAAAAATACAAAAATTAGATAGGCACAGTGCACATGCCTGTACTCCCAGCTACTCGGGAGGCTGAGGCAGGAGAATCACTTGAACCTGGGAGGCAGAGTTTGCAGTGAGCTGAGATCACGCCACTGCACTCCAGCCTGGGCAACAGAGCGAGACTCCAGACTCCATCTCAAAAAAAAAAAAAAAAGTGGGGATTCACGATCTACCTTTTTATTGGCAGAATGTCTACAAATTTATTTGAACTCTCAACCGTAAGCATGTCTATTCTACTACAAATTTATTCATTTATACATAAATTATTTATATCATCATCTAAACATGGATATTTATTTTGTACTTTATATATGCTAATTTATTTGATTGCTCAGATTGTTTCATGGTTGGCTATTGGAAGGTTTTTTAGTTGTCTCTGGTATAATTTTGAAATACCCACATAATTAAGGTTCAATGTTGTATGATTGGTTGGTTTTGTTGTTGTTTAGCATTTTCTTTTCTTTAACCACTACTAGGTGCTCCAGGCTAACTGTGTATTTAATTGTACTGCAGGCTAATTGTATGATTGTATAATTTCTACTAATGTTTCCAATACCATATGATCTAATCCAGCACCATATGAATGATGTATGTAGTCTCTTACTCTCCCTGTGAAGAAGTTGATGCTGTTCACTTAATCGTACTACCTGAACATCCATGCAGAGTGGTTTCAGAACTGGTAACTTATACCCCAATGGGAGACAATTTTACCAAGCAAAGTACAGTACTTAAGTATAAATACTTTGGCCTTTACCCTCAGAATGTCCACTTATTTCCCAAATTACTTAGGTCCATTGCTTTCCTCCACTTTCTTTAGTGAGGCTATTCCATACATTCATTACATAGTTATATTATTTTTTTGGGCATTCCTCCTTGGAAACCCTCTACCTACTAAATAAGGTTTTAAACTTGCATAATTTAGATACACTGTTTGTGTTATAAAGTTCTTCAGGATTCGGAAAACATTATTATGTATCCACCATTACAGTATAAGAGAGAGTAATTTCACTGCCCCAAAGAAACCTCCTGTATTTCACGCATCCCACCTTCTCTCTCCCAAGCTCCTCGTTACCACCGAGCTCTTTGCTATCACTATCCTTTTCTCCTTTTCCAGAGAATCATATAGGTGGAATTACACAGTATTTTGCCTTTTCCAACTTATATTTTTTCACATAGCAATATACCTTTTAGATTTTTGAAGTACGTATCATGTTTTTTTAGACTTCCCTTCCCCTATTGTTGCAGGACAGGTAAGCCCCAAATTTGGGGCTTCAGCTGGCAGGGTTCTTGGCTTTGCCCAGGAAAGTATTTAAGGGCAAGACAGTGGTGATAGACAGCAATCTTTTATTGAACAGTACTGCTCCTTAAAGAGCAGGGCTAACTCATAGGCATCGCATCGGTTGGTAACCTATGGGCTCTTGTCAACTATCTTTACACTAAGGCAAACTCACTTTCAATTACATGTAAATTGAGGAGTGGATCAATGAAACTTGATGGGCAGGTTATTCAGAACTTTCTAGGAGAGGAGCAGTAACTTCTGGGTTGTTGCCATGGAAAGAGGTGGTTAAATTCCAGGTTGTTGGCATGGAATTTATAAACAGTCATGGTGCTGGAGGGAATGTCTCATGCCAGTGAGCAGTGAAGACAACCAGGGATCCCTGTGTGTCTGTTTGCCTGTTTCTTCACTGTATGCTGTCTGGACCAGATCTTGTTTTGATCAGCAGGGTTGTGACCAGAAAACCACCTGCCGGTCTCCTACCTCATAATGGCAAAAGGCATTGTGTGTCTTTTCGTGTGATTTGGGTATGACTGTAGCTTTTTTAGAGAATTGGGTATTTGAATAATTTCCATTTTTGATTGAGATATTTGCCTTTTTATTTTTGAGCTCTAAGATGTTGTCATATATGGTTAACAATAGACCATTATCACCTATAAAATTTGCAAATATTTGGTTTTTAATTTAACTTTTAAGTTTCAGGGTAGATGTGCACATTTGTTACATAGGTAAACTTGTGTTATGGTGGTTTGTTGTAGATTATTTCATCACCAATGTACTAAGCCTAGTACCCATTAGTTATTTTTTCTGATCCTCTCTCGCCTCCCACCCTCCACCCTTCAATAGGCCTCAGTGTGTGTTGTTCCCCACTGTATGTTTATGTGTTCTCGTCATTTACCTCCGACTTATAAGGGGAAAAATATGGTATTTGGTTTTCTGTTATTGCGTTAGTTTGGTAAGGATAATAGCCTCCAGCTCCATTCATTTTCCTGTAAAGGACATGATATTCTTTTTTATGGCTGCGTAGTGTTCCGTGCTGTATATGTACCACATTTTCTTTATGCAGTCCACCATTGATGGGCATTTAGGCTGATTCCATGTTCTTGCTATTGTGAGTAGGGCTGCAATGAACATATGCATGCATGTGCCTTCTTAATAGAGCACTTTTTATTTCTTTGGGTATATGCTCAGTAATGGGATTGCTGGGTTACATGATATTTCTGTTTTTAGGTCTTTGTGGAATCTCCACACTGCATTAGTTCCACAATGGTTGAACTAATGGAGACATCCACCAATTAGTTAGATGGCTGGTGTTAGATGGTGTCACATTGAGTTTTGATTTGCATTTCTTTAAGGATCAGTGAGGTTGAGGTTTTCTCATATGATTGTTAGCTACATATGTATCTTCTGTTGAAAGTGTCTGTTCATGTCCTTTGCCCTCTTTTTTTTAGGGTTGGTTTTTTTTTTTCTTGAACATTTGTTTCAGTTCCTTATAGATGCTAGATATTAGACCTTGGTCAGACGCATAGGTTGCAAAACTTTTCTCCCATTCTGTAAGTTGTCTGTATATTCTGTTGATAGTTTTCTTCTGCTGTGCACAAGCTCTTAAGTTTTATTGGATTTAATTTGCCAGTTTTTGCTTTTGTTTGCAAATATTTAGTCCCATTCTTTGGGCGTCTTTATTTTTGATGGTGTAGCGTGAATCACAAAAGTTTCAAATTCTAATGAGATTTAATATACCTGTTTTTTCTTCTTCCCTTTTGCTTTCAGCATCATATCTTAGGAAAGATTTTTTAATCTAAGACCACGAAGATGTATTCTTGTGCTATTTTCTGTATTTTGGAATTGTTTAGCTATTATATGGAGATATATGATCATTCTGAGTCATTTACATTTTCAGTGTGAGGCAGTTCAACTTACACGGAATATGCACTTGTTTCAGAAATATTTGAGTAAAAATATTTATCCATATATAATTTATTTGGTGACATTATAAAATTATTTCACTACAAATATAAGTATTCATTTTTGAGCATTATATTCTATTACATTGATCAACATCTATATTCTTATACTAGTACCGTAAATCTTGATTACTCTTACTTTGTAGTGAGTTTTGAAGTCAGGAATTATGTATCTCCCATGCCAACATTTTTTCTTCTTTCTCAAAAGTATTTAGGCTGCTCTGGGTCTATTGCATTATATATGAATTTTAGATAAACTTTGTGAATTTAGAGAAAGGATATGTCACATGGGATTTTGATAGAGGTTGCATTAAATCTATAGAACCATTTGGAAAATATTGCCAGCCTAACAACAATAACCATTATAAGCAATGAATAGTCAAAGTTTTTTTTCCATTTATTTTTTATGAAAATATTTTCTATAGTTTTGTGTATATATCTTATACTTAATTTGATAAACTTATTTTTGATGTCATCTTAAATGGAACATTCTGAGTTTTTATTTTAGATTGTTAATTGCTAGCATATAGAAATTCAGAGGATTTTATATATTGACCTTATATACTGCAAGTTTGTTGAACTCATTTCTAAATTCTAAACATACTTGATTAGAGCCCTTTGGAAATTTTATACATAAGATCAGGTCATATGCCAACAGACATAGTTTGACTTCCTTTCCATACTGGACGCCGTATATTTATTTTTCTAGACTAATTGCCATGTCTATATCCTCCAGTACAATGTTGAAAACAAGTGTCAAGAGTGGAAATCCTTGTCTTGTTTCTAATCTTGGAGAAGTTAGTGAACCTTTCAGATAACCTATGATGACATGTTAGTTTTTCATGGATCCTCTTTAAAAGGAAGAGAGTTCCCTTATCTGCCTCATTTGCTGCATATTTTTCTCATAGAGAATTTGAGAATTTTCAAGTGCCTATGCAACTTCTGAGATGATTATGTGGTTTTTTTCTTTATTATATGAATATAGTGCATAGCACTAATTGTATTGTATGTTGAACTAAATTTTGCTTTTCTGAGGTAAATACCCTTGACATAGTGTATAATACTTTTTACATGTTTCTGGTTTGTTTTACTAATATTTCCTTGATGATTTTTGCCCCTGTATTCATAAGGTATATTGCTCTTCATTTTCCATATTTGAAATGTCTTTGTCTAGTTGTGGTATCAGAGTAAACTAAATCAGTATACAATGGGAAATCATGCCTTCTCCACATTATGGGAATAATTTGTAATAAATTAGTATTAATTGTTTAAGTGATTCCAATAATTCACTAATGAATTCTTCTTGATGAGGTCAGAGAGGTTAATCCTAAGAACAGTTACATAAGCTTGGAAGGAGACCTTTCCCCAGATGGGCCATAGCCTGGGCCATCACCTACATCTGGACTGAAGAACCAGAGAAACTGTGAGTAATATGTGTGTGGTTTTGAACCACTCAGATGTATAGTAATTTGTTATGCACCAAGTCTTAAGTAATATACCTGACAGTAATTGCAATGTGGTATTCTAGATTAGTCTTGGAACAGATGAATATATCATTATTAGAAATTCTGGTAAAATATGAAGGAAGTCTGTAGATCAATTAATAGTTTTGAAACATAGTGAAATTCTTAGTTTTCATGAATATACTATGGTTATAATAGTAACATTTTAGTTAGCTGAAGGGTATATGAAACTGTCTGTTCTACCTGTGTATCTTTTTGTAAATCTGCAATTATTTCAAAATAAATTTGTTTGCTAAAATTATTATATTTTTTAAAAGAAAACAAAGACATAAAAAAACTGGCTTCCAGAGATGAATGGGCACATAGGGAGAGAATAGCAAAGTAGCACTCTTTTTATCTAGTCACCTTTCAAAACCCAGGTGCACCTGCTTCAAGAGGGCTCCATCAAGCTCCAGGGACTGTCATCCTTTTTCTCCTTCTCCATTACCCAGTCAGCAGTTGGAGTGTCAGCAACCATCTATTCAGAAAAAGCTGCCTTTCCTTCACATATCCCAGAAAGCCCCATGTGTAGACATCATTTAGCAGTGTATATTCAGGATCCCACTGAAGCATTTTTGGGAGATATGACTCTCAGATATTAGAAGCCAGGAATAAGAAATTTCAGTGACAGGGAACATAAATCATATTTCTGCATTCAGGATAATGTTTTCTTGGTACAGGGATTTCTTCTTCAAGTAATCAAAAGACAACTGTACCTTCAAACCATTCAGAAAAATATGTTCTAATTTAGTTCTTTTCATTCTACAGACTCCATCAGGAATCGTTTGGGACCGTGGGTTCTGTTGACACTCACATTGTGTAATTATGTTGCCCACTGCCAACCCTAAAGCCACCAAGGTAGCAGGTAAGCAGAGTACAACAAATGTTTCTAATAAATTGGTTTAGGCCAGTCTCTACTTACAGAGACCTGGATATGAATCTTTTACACAACAGAATTTTTGCAGTTGGATGCTAGTGTGTGGAGAAAGCAGCTGATGAAGTGCTGAGCAATGAGTCCTCAGACAAACTAACTGCATGGAAGATGTGATTTCCCACAATATCTTAAACCAACTGTTCCTTAGAGGCTGGCCTGGACACCACAATTCTAAAAGAGATGCCATTTAAAAGAAACCAAATTCTAGACCAGATCATGAGGCAGACATCCAACTCTTTGTCTCCACATTCTAACCTGATTAGAAGTTGGAGTTCAATGGAAGAATGTCTTGGATATTTGAGAGCATGACTTTATCTTTATTTAATTTAGCCTTGCTGGAATTTAAAACTGTAGGGCAAAATTCAGTCAACCTCCTAAATTATGTGAGTTTTTGTTTTTGTATGTGAGTTTCTGCATACACATAAAGAAACTCCCATAGTTTAGGAGGTTGACTGAATTTTGGGTGTACAGAAACTCATACTTTATGTGTTTCTCCTTCAATCAGTATATTCCTGAGGGAAAACCAATACCAATCCTCAAATCCAAGTACCCAAATTAGGGTTGAGCAGAGTAGCAAGGGGGCAGATTAAAACATTTTATAAAGACCATTATGCATCTACTTCTGCAGTGACTAATTATCAAGTGATTTCTATGATCACCGACCATATGGTTAAAACAGCAAATGGGAATGAAGAAAAAAGAGTTACATAAATGTTATAGCTGAAAGCATGGAATTTATAATGAAGCTTACAAGGGTCATTGGTCAAATTCCTAAGATTGCAGTGGGAAGTTTCAACTTACAGCTTTTTCTAGGTCTTTAGAAAGCTATCACTCGAGTGAATTTTTCAAGTAACTCTTTATAATTTCTATCTTCTTCCTCAATGGATTTCTTAAACCATAGTTCATAAAACTACATTTCCATGCATAACAGAATAATTATAGTATTCCACTAATAACTGTAATGTCTCTAATAGCTATGTAGAATGTAAATGCACTTGGTAAACTTACATGATAAGATTTAAGCATGTTTCTTCAATAACAGATAAGAATACAGTTGATGAGCCATCATAATCTAACACTGAGAAATGGGCAGTCACAGAGGACAGTGTATTCCATTCATCATAGAGGGCACATTTTCACTTTTATGAACCACAGATGCACCTTAAATTTGATAGTGTTAAAACATTATTGACGAGAAGGCGACCATAACGTGATTGTCCTCATTTACATATACATGAGCTTGGTCTATAAACCTTCCATTGACATCTTCAGGTCATATCATCAACATCATGTCTTGCGTAGGGGGTTTCAGACGGTTGGAAAGATAAACTCACAGGAGCAACATAGGAATCTCGCAAGAAGTGCCGCATCACCAAAGCGTCAGATTAGCACAGGTGATAATAATATGGGGAAAATCATGAGCAGATGAGTTGAAGAGTGATTCAGGAGAGTTACATCTCAATGAGAGAAAATTTAGGAAAACCTTTGTCAATGTATTTTTCTTGTATGTTCCATCCCATGTAGGAATGACACAAGACAAATATCCACATGTATGCACATTGAAAATATTTTTTCCAGTAATTGTAATGTATTTATGTTATTACTATGTGATTTATTTATAAGTGATAAAAGTACTAGTTTCTTCATTTGTTAGTGGTTTTGTTCTTCCATTCTGGTGCATGAAATAATGACATGTTACAATTGACGCAAATGATATATCTCGCAATTTATTAGAAAATTAATTTTTAGGGGTTAGTATAGGGTTGATAATATACTACAAGCTTTATATGTTACCATTTCATACAATCCACACTGACATCTCAAGAAGTAAGCATGATTTTCACGTCTGTGGTCCATTTCAGAGTCTGAGCTGACTTTCTACAGGACAGGTATAAAGGAACCTTGAGTTTGATACTGTCTGCCCCAGAGTCTTTGCTCACTTTGACTATGTAGAATGTGTCTTCTTTTACATGGTAAATAATTTTCAGGTCTAGTTAGACAGCTCAACTTACCCTCTGTCATGAAGCTATTTTCCTAAATTGTTTTCTGAATACACTATTATTTTTATATTTAAGCCTATGAACCAACTAGAATTGATTTTGTGTGTATGTGAGGTCAAAGGTCAGATCTTGGTTGTTCCCTATGGATATTCAATTTCCTGGAACACTTTAATAAAAATTGATCTTTCCCAAATGCATCAATGTATAAATTAATTTTTATATATGTATATGTCTGCATTCTAGCTCTGTTTTTATTTTTTAAGTTACTGGTTGTTTCTTCTATCTTTGTGCAAATTCCACACTGTCTTATCATTATTATTATCTTTTTTTTTTTTTGATACAGAGTCACTGTGTTGCCCAGGCTGGGGTGCTATGGCACAATCCTGGCTCACTGCAACCTCCTCCTCCCAGGTTCAAGCGATTCTTGTGCCTCAGCCTCCTGAGTAATGGATTACAGGTGTTTGCCAGCACACCCGACTAATTGTTTTGTATTTTCAGTAGAGATGGAGTTTCACCACGTTGAGTAGGCTGGTCTGGAACTCCTGACCTCAGGTGATCTGTCCGCCTCGGCCTCCCAACATACTGGGATTACAAGTGTGAGTCACTGCACCTAGCCCACACTGTCTTATTATTAAGAGAGTCTAGAACAATAATTTTTTCTCCAGAGATTGTTTTGTATTTTTTCTTTTTTAAGAGAGAGAGAAGATTTCATCCTGTTGTCCAGCTAGGGTATAGTGGCTCAATCCTAGAGCAGATTCTGTGTTCGAACTACTGGGATCAAATGATGCTCCCCTCAGCCTCCTGAATAGCTAGGACTACAGGCACAAGCCACCATGCCTGGTTAATTAATTTTTGTTTGTTTGTTTTGGTAGAGACCAGGTCTTCCTGTGTTTCCCATGCTAGTGTAGAACTCTTAGCCACAAGCAATCCTCCCTGCTTTGTCTCCCAGGGTGCTAAGATTACAGGTGTAAGCCACTGTGCCTGGCCCAGCGCCTCTTCTTTTAGCCACGGTACTTCTCTATAATGAAGTAAAAAATGTAACAACCTGCATGTCTTGCACCTACACCAATACTTTCAGCTGTACCTTGAGTAAAGCTGTAGGTTTAGAACTTCTTTTAAAAAAAAAATTTTAATTGTTTTTTGAGACAGGATCTCGTTCTTACACCTGGGCTGGAGTGCAGTGGCAAGATCTTGGCTCACTGGAGCCTCGACTTCTGGGCACAAGTGATCCTCCCACCTCACTTTCCCAAGTAGCTAGGATCACAGGTGCACAACTCCATGCCCAGTTAAATTATTTTTTTTGTATTTTTTGTAGAGATGGGGTTTCACCTTGTTGCCCAGGCTGATCTCGAATTCCCGATTTCAAGCAATCCACCCACCTCAGCCTCCTGAAGTGCTGGGATTACAGGTGTTAGCCACCGCACCCGGCTGGTTTAGAACTTAGAACATTGCTGTAGACTCTTAAATCCCTTAATATCCTTGTGAATCTTAGACAATCCCCCAACACCACTCCCCAGTTTATGTATACATACTTTCAACAACAGCCAGTAGTAGTGAAAACCTTGAGATGCACCCATAGTAACCTCCTGCACTGGTGTAGATGCCCCTGTGACAGGTTGTTTCTCCTCCAGACCATGCCCACCAAAGTCAAAGCCACATGGGAGCCTCTGAGCTCAGAGCCACTGTATGGGGTCTCCATGCACAAGGGCAGCAGCTCCCTGTCCTTTCTGTTGGTGAGGTGGGGAATTCAGTTCTTTTGAATAAGGCTGAGTTTATTCAATACTGATTCTGCTGGCTGACCAGTGATACCTTAAGACTTTATTTCTTGCATTGTAATATTTATCCTGGTTTTGATATGATTTGTTGTGCAAATGTGTTTAACTCTTGGGTATATTTTTTTTCTTTTTTTGTTGTCATAAACATCATCTAAAACCAAATTTTTATTTTTGTGTTGTGTGTTTAAGGTCTTCAGTCCTCTGTTTTAAAAATGCATTCACAATTATTTTTCAATGAACACTTTTAATTATTTTAATCTTTTCTCATATTTCTCTCTCCTAAATTGAATGTGAATATCACTTTTATTAGAAAAGACAGACGTTACATATTCTCTGTTTTATGTTTTTGTGCAAATTTTCTCTGAAATATCTCTGGTTGAAAAGGAGAAGGACAGAAACTGTTCTGGAAACCAAAAGGCAAAATTGGCTCAGATCCTTATGCTTAAAAAAATGTGTGAAACTTTCCTGTATATGACTTAGTTTGCTGTACAAGTGGAAGGTTAACAAGGCATTGATTTGTGTAGCAGTCACGTCTGAATAGAAGGAGCAATCATTTCATAACTGTGCAGGTGTGAACTTCATGATGTTGCTTTATCTTCTCCTTATACAAATATTTAAACAATGGCTGGACTCCATAATTCCTTCCACCTCACTTCCATAAATGTCTACATGACATTTCGTTGTACAGATCACCTATTCTATTAGATATTAATTTTTCTTATTTTTGGTGAGTGATTATTAAATTTGGTTTTAGTTCTCAGACAGATAAAAAATACCAATTAGAAAATGTGTACATTGAGTACTGTAATCAGAAAATACTTTTGTATTTTTATTATTTTTTTAATTATGTATATTTATTTGTACCACTATGGCCAAGGTACTTAGAATCAAAAGTCTTATATCCAATTATATCCAATTCCAGTCTGTAGGCCAGACTGGAATGAATGCGGCAGGCAGTCATTAATCCTTAAAACCCCTTTTAAGCAATGTAAGAGTCAAAAACTAAAAGTCAAAAGATAAGGTTGCATAACTGAATTGTCTCTGAATTTTATGCATTGAGCTGTTGTAATCTTGGCTTATAGGAACTATAGCTATACAAAACATAAGTATTTTATTTAGCTGTTTAGGCATCTGTATTCCCATCCTTTATTTGGGGGATCTGAATTAATTTTATTCCACAAGAACCGGCCCTTACAATCTCATGCATTTGTATCTTCCATGATAGTCCCTGGGTCTGGAGAAACTGAACAGTTTTAAATTCTGGTTATATTAATAAAACAAAATATTCACCATTAAGAACATTTTAAGCAAAAATGCCATAAGCCTTGTCTTGTCCTAAGAGTGACAGGACTGAGACAGGCAGATCACAAGGTCAGGAGATCGAGACCATCCTGGCCAACATGGTAAAACCCCGTCTCTACTAAAATGCAAAAAAAAAATAGCTGGGTGTGATGGTGTGTGCCTGTAGTCCTAGCTACTTGGGAGGCTGAGGCAGGGGAATTGCTTGAACCCTGGAGGCAGAGATTGCAGTGAGCCAAGATCGCACCAGTGCACTCCAGCCTGGGCAACAGAGCTAGACTCCATCTCAAAAAAAAAGAATGAGTGACAGGAAAGGAAGCCTATAGGTAGATAAACATTTCAGTTATTTAATATTAAGGCACAGAATAAATTATATTCCATATATTTCTATTTCAGTTAGAAGGAAAATTATTAAATAAAGTATAATACAGGCCTGTCCCTGTGTTGCATGAAAGCAGTGTACTTTGATTATTGCCTTTGCTTGAGTCTAAAGATGAGGCTTTGGTTAAGTTGAGTTTGATCTTAGATGCTGGCAGGAGTCTGTTTCTCCTTTAGGGGAGCTACATGTATCCAGGAGTCAATTCCTTGAACCTTAACACCACAAAGATTACTTAATAGCACCTGATAAGAACTTTTTCAGGGTGTTGGAGGTGGTGATACACTTCACAGTGATTAATGTTTTTTAGCTTTGATAAGCCCCAGCAATAAGGCAGAGACTTAATTTAGGATTCAATTTGGGAGATGTCTGTGAAAGATGTGAGAAAGCGTAAAATATTTGATCAAAACTGAACCACAGGTCCTTGTAAATCAATAGTTATTCATTTAACCAAAGTGATCATTGAAAGACTTTAAAGGCAATAGAAAAAGTTACACGGGTTTAAAATCCTTACCCCTTTCAAATTTCAGGAGATTTTAAAAAGCAATTAAACACTTAATAAAGGCAGCATAGGAACTATCTTGATAAAATGTAAAATCTTGTTTCTTAAGCCAGTTACCAAAAAGTCAAAGGAAAACCTTTTTTAGTGTGTCTGCCTCTCTTTAGAAGAAAGCCCATTTAGATAATCTGGAAGTACAACTTAAGATAAAAAGTGCTTGAATTTAATGAAACATGGGAAGAGTGTGTACAAGGTTTTGAATAGAACTGGGGAATACATGACTCTTAGTAGCTGCATGATAAATTTCCTGATTACAGTGAAAATTTAGACACACCAAAAACAACAACAACAAAAAAACCCAAGAGCATAGTATCAGGTTATCCTGGAGGAAAACATTTCTTTTATAGACCTCTAAGATAAAATATTTCAGCATCAGCCACAACAACATTTAGAAGTAAGGAGAAAAGTTACAGGAGCTGACAAGAAGCTGAAGGATAGAGTTATCATCCCAGGCCACATCAAAGGGAGAAAAAGCTGATAGCAGCAAGACAACAATTGAACATTTGAGATATGAATCTCAGAAGTTTTCAAAAAAAGTATATTATAGAATAGAAAATTAAAATTTATTGTAATTTTATTAAGAGTAAATTGATGAGCAAGACTGTTTCAACAACAACAAAAAAGCACCATTAATGTAATTATATTTTCATAAGCATAAGATATATATATATAGATATGTGTATATATATATATATATAGATATGTGTATATATATATATATAGATATGTGTATATATATATATATAGATATGTGTGTATATATATATATATATATATAATACATATGAGTAAAATGAAAGTTAGGAAAGAGGGACAAAAGGAAAAATACAGGAAAAAGGAAGAAATAGGACTATTCTTTTATAAGATGGATACACTACTTCTGAGGCTGTATACTTTTATGTGAAAGGAGCTTAGATTAGTTGTAAATATAAATTGCCACCTCTAGGGCAGGATACTGGACCAGGAGCCTCAGTTTTTTGCTGTCTGTGGCCAGAAGCTGCATTCAGTTATTTCCCATGTTGGCTTCTCTCCCATGGCAGAATGTGTCATCAAAGCCACCATGACAGAGAGCTTGCAGCAAGACAGGTATCATAATCTTAGGTAACATGATGATCCAAGTGACATCCTATCAGGTTGTAGTCTTCTGATGTATCATAGCAAGTTTCAGGTTCTCCCCAAAGTCACAAGGAAAGGATTAGATATTCTAATTAAGCTGTGAGGATCATTCTGCACCATCTTGGAGTTCACCTGCCAACATCAGGTCTTGCTTAATCTGGGACAGGTTCTCAGTCCTCACTTTGTGAGAAAGCAGGTCACATATTTTGCAAAATGTATCAAAATCTTGATTTCTCTGAATGTTTCTCATAATTTTACTGAGCAATATAGATAGAGACATGTAATTATCTATTTGTGAAGACAAGAAACAGCAAACAGGACATTATTTACAAATACAAATTTAGAGACCAAAACTAAGAAAGAAAAATTTGCGAATGGGAAAAGGAAAATTAAAAATAATAATAATGTTCACCAGGGTAACAAGAAGGGTGGGAATGGGGAGGTGAGCACCTGGGACGCTACGAGATCGACAGTGTTCTGCTTAGTAAGCTCAATAGCTTAATTTTTTAAATATATATTTATATTATTTATTTTTTAAATCTATGTTAGAATAGTTTGGATTTACAGAATAGTTAGAAGTACATACAGAGAGTTTATATATGTTTAGCACATAATTTCCCTTTCATAAATTCTTACATTCATTTGAGACATTTGTCGCAATTGATGAACCAATATTATACATTATCATTCACCAACATTCACAATTAATCAGATGTTCTGTTTTCACCTAATGTCCATATTCTGTTCCAGGATTCCGCCCAGGACACCACATCACATTTAGGTATCGTGTGCCAGTTTCTCAGATTTTCCTTATTTCTGATATCATTGAAATCCTTTGGGATGTCTCTGGTGTTTTCCTAATGATTGGATGACTGTTGTGGATTTAGCAGAGGAAACCCACAGAGGGAAACTTTTATTCTCATGATATTATAACAAGAGTACATAGTGTCAACATGCTGTATCAGTTTTTTGTTTTTTTTTTTTGAGACAGGGTCTCATTCTGTTGCTCAGGCCGGAGTGCAGTGGCGTGAACAAAGCTTGCTGCAGCCTGGAATTCTTGGGCTTGAATGATCCTCCACCTCAGTCTCTTGAGTAGATGGGACTACAGGCATGTGCCACCACATCTGGGTGATTTAATTTTACTTTTACATTTGTAGAGGCAGAGTCTCACTACATTGCCCAGGCTGTTCTCTAAGTCTTGGCCCCAAGTGATCCTCTCACCTCAGGCTCCCAAAGTGCTGGGATTATAGGTGTGAGCCAGTGTGCCCAGCTGCTTTGCCATCGTTAATGTTATTTGATCACATGGATGAGGCAGTTTAGCTCAGTTTTGTCCACTATAATATCGGGCGAAATTCACCCCCAATATTTCACATAGGTTCTTTTCTATTTTCCCTAAGTGTCAGCTGGTCTGAGAAATAAAGGGACAGAGTACAAAAGAGAGAAATTTTAAAGCTGGGTGTCTGGGGGAGACGTCACATGTCAGCAGGTTCCATGATGCCCCCTGAGCCATAAAACCAGCAAATTTTTATTAGTGATTTTCAAAAGGGGAGGGAGTGTACGAATAGGGTGTGGGTCACAGAGATCATATGCTTCACAAGGTAATAAGATATCACAAGGTAAATGGAGGCAGGGCGAGATCACAGGACCACAGGACTGGGGCGAAATTAAAATTGCTAATGAAGTTTTGGACATGCATTGTCATTGATAACATCTTATCAGGAAACAGGGTTTGAGAGCAGACAACTGGTCTGACCAAAATTTATTAGGCGGGAATTTCCTTGTCCTAATAAGTCTGGGAGCACTATGGGAGACCAGAGCTTATTTCATCCCACAGCCACGACTGTAAAAGACAGCGGCAACCGTAAAAGACAGCTGCCCTCAAAGCGGCCATTTTAGAGGCCTCCCCTCAGGGACGCATTCTCTCTCTCAGGGATGTTCCTTGCTGAGAAAAAGAATTCAGCGATATTTCTCCTATTGGCTTTTGAAAGAAGAGAAACATGGCTCTGATCCACCTGGCTCACCGGCAGTCAGAGTTTAAGCTTATCTCTCTTGTTCCATGAATATTACTGTTATCCTGTTGTTTTTTCAAGGTGCCCAGGTTTCATATTGTTCAAACACACATGCTCTATAAACAATTTGTGTAGTTGACGCAATCATCACAGGGTCCTGATGTGACATACATCCTCCTCAGCTTACAAAGATGACGGGATTAAGAGATTAAAGTAAAGACAGGCATTCACAAGGGTATTGACTGGGGAAGTGATAAATGTCCATGAAATCTTCACAACTTATGTTCAGAGATTGCAGTAAAGACAGGCACAAGAAATTATAAAAGTCTTAATTTGGGGAACTAATATATGTCCATGAAAACTGCAAAATTTATGTTCTTCTGCCGTGGCTTCAGAGATTGCAGTAAAGACAGGCACGAGAAATTATAAAAGTCTTAATTTGGGGAACTAATATATGTCCATGAAATCTTCACAATTTATGTTCTTCTGCCATGGCTTCAGCTGGTCCCTCCGTTTGGGGTCGCTGACTTCCTGCAACAATAAAATTAATATTATTCCCCTTTTCATGTTGTTCCTTTTGGAAAAAACATCAATATGCAGAGCACATATATAAAAAGTGGGGAATTATGCCCCATTACCCTATGGACAGACCTTCTATAAATGTCATTTGTGTTTCTGTAAAAAATATTTAACATTCTTTGGGCTGTTCTAGATCAATTGCATTTTTCTGTGTGTTCTAGAATCAGTGGTCCAAGAATTGCTAAAAATGAAAAAAATTAAAGTTAGAATTTTAGTAGGGCTTGTATTGAATCTGAAGATGCATTTAGAAAGTATAATCATGTTGGTTAATACTTAATAGCTTTCTGATCAATGAAAATCTAGTTCATATAGTATATTATGCTAACTCTTTTAGGCATTTATTTAGGATTTCTTTAATACTTCAATATCATTTGTAATTTTTAGTATATATATATTGCAGTTATATTAGGTTTATTTTCAAATATATTTCCTTTTTGATGCCGTGTTAAATGAAATTGTTTTCTGTTTTGTTATTTGATTAGTTTCTATTGTATAAGAATGCAATTTATTACATTGATCATGACTGAATTTTTTTTTGTTCCAACCTTATTTTAGTGGATTTTTTAGGATTTTCTATACATTAGATTATGTCACTGGCCAATAGATGTTTGACTTCTTCCCTTTCAATTTGGAAGTCTTATATTTATTTTTCCAGCCTAATTTTATAAATTACATCCTCAAGAATATTTAGTTGAATTAGTGGGAATAGATAACCTTTTGTGTTTGTAATTTTGGGAAAATTACTGAGACCTACTTGATACCATGTGTTGTCATGTGAATTTTTCATGGGTGTCTGTGTTAGGTAAGAACATTCCCTTTCTGCAAAATTTGTTTAGTGTTTTTACTGTGAGTGGGTTTTTGAATTGGAAAGTGCTTATTCCATATCTTTAGATGTCATAATGAAAATTTTGTTATTTATTATATTAATATAGTTATTACACTAATTCTTCTTCTGTGTTTTACCAAACTTGTGACCCTGAGTAAATAAATAAATAAATTAGTGTTTAATTCTGTTTTACAATCCTGGTTTGTGTTCAGACTATTTCCTTGAGAATTATTGCCTGGGTACCCATAAAGCATATTAGTTTATAGTTTTCCTTGTTTGGACTGCGTTTGTTTGGTTGTGGCCTCAGAGGAAACTGCCTCATAGAATGTATTGCACACTGATCTCTTCTCTATTATTTTATTTTTTTGGAGAACAGTTAGTAAAAAATTGCTGTTGATATTTTAAAGGTTTCAAATAATTCATCAGTGAATTCTCCTCAACCTGGTCAATCATGTGAACTTAGAAGATGATTCCTCCCCAGCTGATCCTCAGGTGAGACCTCAGCCTTGGCCATCATCTATATCTGGATTCCTGACCCAGAGAAACTGTGAGTAATTTGTATGTGCTTTTGAGCCACTAAGCTACATGGTAATTGGCTATGCTGCAATAAACAATAATACACTTGATGGTAAACATAATATGTTATCCTTGATTAGATCCAAGAAAAGGAAAAATGGCATTAGTGAAAAACCTGGTAAAATATAAAGACAGTCAGTACTTTAGTTAATAGTTTTGTGCCTTTATCAGTTTCTGAGTTTTCATAGATAGTCTATGGTTATGTGTATGATATTAATATAACAGGAAATTGAAAGCTATATACAACTTTATGTAAGATTTTAACAACTCTCTGTTAATCTAAAATTATTTCAAAATAAATAGAAGTGTAGACATGGCTCATATATTTGAGATCAGGTCTCCCTGTTAACTTAATTGAGCCTTCATGGAACTAAATCTCATGGTACAAATGCAGTAAGGTTATAAAATATAAATCAGATGAGTTTCTATTTTACTCTCTTCTTCAGGGAACACTAAGGCCCATTCTTCCTCTCAAGTATCCAGAAATAAAGTTGCTCCAAGTAACAAGTGGACAGCATAAAAGATTGTATGGAAACTATAATGCATCTACATCTGCAGTAACTAATCATAAAATGATTTGTATGATCATTCTTCACATGATTAGAATTACTATGGGAAAGAAGAAAAAGAAATGCAACTTTCTTGATTTAAAATTTTATCTGTGCAAGTGTGGTGGCACACACCTGTAGTCAGTCCCAACTGCTAGGGAGGGTGGGTAGGATGATCATGTGATACCAGGAGTTTGAGGCTATGTAGTGTACTATGATTGTGTTAGTGAATAACCAGTGCATTCCAGTCTGGGCAATGTAGTTAAACCCCATTAAATAAATAAATAAATAAGTTACAGAGGTCGTTGTTTATATTTCTATGACTAGGGCTGAAATCCTCTAGATAGAGATTTTTTTTTTTTTTTTGAGATAGAGTGTCGCTCTGTCACCCAGGCTGGAGTGCAGTGGCGTGTCCTCAGCTCACTGCAAGCTCTGCCTCCCAGAGTCATGCCATTCTCCTGCCTCAGCCACCCCTGCAGGTGGGACTACAGGTGCCTGCCACCACACCCAGCTAATTTTTTTTTCTTTTTAGTAGAGACAGGGTTTCACGGTGTTAGCCAGGATGGTCCCAATCTCCTGACCTCGTGATCCGCTCACGTCTGCCTCCTAAAGTGCTGGGATTACAGGTGTAAGCCACCACGCCCAACCTGAGATATTTCTTTATCTTTGGGGAGCCACCACTCCAGTGCAAACTTTCAAATAATGCCTTGCCATTTTTAGTTTCCCTCCCTAGGATTCCTGGAACCATAGTTCATAAAATTATCTCACAGCGTGTGTTTTATTTTTACTTCTGTTTGCTTTAAGTCCTCTCTGGATGGTGGCTATAACCTATAGCCTTGCCCACTACGACTCAGGGTTTGGTACTGGCTGTGCCTTTCATGGGATGCTTTCTTATCCTGGTCGATGGCCTAAAGCCCAACTGTCCAGCTTACATCCAGGTATCCTTCTCACAGAGTACTTGTTTATACTGTAAGACACCCTGTGGCTCCTGTCTGACCTGTGTCTAGTTTATTCTACCAAGGAAACCGCTCTCTAGGAGAGTGCTAAGTGGGAGAAAAGTGATGTCCATGTGTGTTCGTAAAGTGAAATACAGAGGTGGCAACTCAGCAAAATGTGTATAATGACATGCGTAATGTATTACTAACCAATCCCAGTAAGAAGAGGGCAGCATTCCTTGAAGTGCTGATGGACAGAGAAGAGCTCTCCAGGACATACACTCATAAGCAGCAGGGGTGGTGCAGGAGCAACTAGAGAAAGACATAGTATTGCACCATTTGGCTGAAGTCTTTATGGGTGTATTTGTCAGTTATTTTTTTTCAGAGAGACAGAACTACAGGGAGGTAGTTTTTTAGGTAGATAGATACATAGATGGAGAGTTGATAGATAGATAGACAATAGTTAGATGAACAGCATTTTGTTTGGGGATTTACTCATGTAACATTATAGAGACGGAGAATTCCCAAGACAGCCATCTGCGAGTTTAAGGACCTTGGATGCTGTAACGTGGTGGCTCATTCCAAAGCTGAAGTCTTCAGAATCACAGAAGCTCTTGGTGTAATTCTTAGTTTGGGACCAATGGCCTGAGAATCCAGGGCATTTACTGGTATAAATTCTGGAGTTTGAAGGCCATAGATCATGGAGTTCTGTTTTCCAAGGGCAGGAAAAGGAATATACTTTCTCCAGGAGAGAGACAGGAAGACTTTTTTAAAATTTTTCATTTTTGGTTTTGTTTAGTCCCCAAGGAGATTGTATGCTGCCTTCCCCCATTGAGGGTGGATTTTTCCCACTAAATTCCCTGACTCATACATCAGTCTCCTCTGGAAACTTCCTGGCAGACACACCCAGAAGTAATGGTTTACCAATTCTCTAGGTATTCTGTAATCCAGTCAGCACCTTAAATTAACCATGACAAGTCCAACACCTTTCTAGTTGGCACCTATATGTGTCACCTTAAGCCATAACTAATCTTCAGATACAGTCAATAACAAGGCAATAGTTCTACGTAACATGATTCAATGATCCTGTGTGCAACCAGAACACACTATACTATTTTTCTTAAGAGTGGTAGAAGTTTGTGGGTGATGTTTACTCTTCTCCTGATACCCCATAACTTCAGTACAAATGTTAAATTACTAACACTTAACTGCTAATATCAAGGTAATACATTATTGTGTTATGTGACAAAAGAAGAAGAGAGAAATAAAAACAATGTTATTTGCCTAATATATTTATATATAACACGCAAATGTATTCTTAACAAAGTAGATAGGAAATAATAGTGACAATTTTAATCCTTGTTTCTGTAACTGGTCACCTGGTCCTGTCTGGTTATGTATGTATTTATTTATTTACTTTTTTATTTTTATTTTTGAGACAGAGTCTCGCTCTGTCACCCAGGCTGGAGTGCAGTGGCATGATCTTGGCTCACTGCAAGCTCCGCCTCCCAGGTTCACACATTCTCCTGCCTCAGCCTCCCAAGTAGCTGCGACTACAGGCGCCCGCCACCACGCCCGGCTTATTTTTTGTATTTTTAATAGAGATGGGGTTTCACCGTGTTAGCCAGGATAGTCTTGATCTCCTGATCTGGTGATCTGCCTGCCTTGGCCTCCCAAAGTGCTGGGATTACAGGCTTGAGGCACCACGCCTGGCCCTATCTGGTATTTGTAACTCCCTTCTACTGCTACACATTCTGTATTCTCTTTGTCTTCAGCAAGCCCCTCTGCTGGTCCTGGGTCTTTACCTGGCAGGATAATGCAAACCTTCATTCCTGAAAGATCTGGAGCATTTGTATTCTTGTCTGGAATGGTTGTAATAATCCATTGAACTTAATAACGGGGCATAGTAATGTGAAGACTTTTTTTAGTCCATTTTCTGTTACTTACAACAGAATACCTGAAACTGAGTAGTTGATAAAGAAAACACATGTATTTCTTACAGTTATGGAGGCTGAAAAGTCTAAGGTTGAGAGGTTGTATGTGGTGAGATCATGTTGCTGGTTGGGACTCTGTGAAGAGTTCTGAAGCCTACAGGGTATCGTATGGCAATGGAGTAGAGCTTGCTGACATGCAAGATCATGTCTCCCTTCCTATAAGTCACTCTTCTCTCATAATAGGCTATTAATTTTTATATATTAATTTATTAATCCATGAAAGGATTAATTCATTTATGGGGTCAAACTCTTCATGATCCAATCACCTTTTAAAGGTCTCACAATTCAATACTGCCATGTTAGGGATGAAATTTCAGCATAAATTTGGGAGGGAAGCAGTATTCCAACCACAGGGCTCCACTTCTGACTCTAAAAATCACGCCCTGTCACTTAAAAAAGTTTATTTCATTCCTATCGTTCAAAGGCTTAAATTGTTCCAGCACCAACAGAAAGTTCCCAAATCTAAAGTCTCCTCTGTCAGCCCATGAAATCAAAACAAGTTATCTTCATACAAAATTCAGCAGTTGGGTTGTTAATGGCCAATGGGTTCATGTTGGCTGCTGCCCAGTTAGAGCCACTTTACCAAGATAGGGGAATTGCTGTAGAGAAAATTTTATACATGTAGAGCTGGCTAAAGGAGAGAGCAGAGTTTTCCTATTACTCAAAACTGCTTCCCCAAATATTCAGAGGCTAGAGTTTTTATAGATAGTTTTGTGGGCAGGGGTTAGAGAAAGGGACATGCTGATTGGTTGGGTCAGGGATGAAATCTTAGGAAGTCAAAGCCATCTTCTTTACTGACTCAGCTCCTGGGTGTGGGCCACGTATCCAGATGAGCCAGTTTACTGGTTTGGGTGGCACCCGCTGATCTGTCAGGATGCAAGTTATGAAAAATACCTCAAACACCAATCTTAGGTTTTACAATAGTAATGTTATTGATAGGAGCAATCAGGGAGGTTATTAATCTTGTGGCCTCTGATGGTATGACTTCTGAGCCATACTTTCTAATATTGTGGTTAATTTGTTAGTTTTACAAAGTTGATGTTGTCCCCAAACAATGAGGGGTTTTGTTTCAGGGAGGAGCTGTTATTATCTTTGTTTCAAAATTCAACTACAAAGTAAATTTCTCCCAAAGTTAGTTTTGTTTTTACCCAGGAATAAGCAAGGGCTGCTTGGAGGTTAAATGCAAGATGAAGTCTCTTAGGTCATATCTCTCTCCCTGTCATAATTTTCTCACTGTTACTGTCTTTGCAAATGTGATTTCAATTTCCCCTTCCAAGTTTCATTGCATCTTATTCTTAATGGGTGAGGTACAGAGTTGGGAAAAGGCCAAAGACCATTCTAACTTCTTCCTGCTGACAAGGGGTATACTTGAGATAGGGTTTGGCCCCAGAGTAAATGGAATGAAACTGCTTTGCAGCTGCTTGAGTATATTCACAGGTGCCTGGTTGGGGTTCCTAGAATTGCATGACCAAGATGTTAGTACTCTCATCCACAGTTTTAGTACAGCACTTAAGTGAACAGCTGACTATAGGATAATGAGTCCTAATGTAAGGAGTGGAAGTCCTAGCTTCAGAAGTACTTATATAATTCATCTAAATCCTTTAGGGATTCGGGTGAATGACCCCAAGAACCAGTCAGACATGGGGTCAATAGTCAAGAGAGATTTGGGTCAGAGGTTGTTAGAAAGACAAATTGGGATAAACAGGAAAGAGCAAATTTAAATATACCATGTCATATCTTTTTAGTTAGTTTCCTAGTCCTTGGAATAGATCCTAGCAGTGTTTCATTCCAGGAGGCGTCACTGCAAATGAACTAGGCCTCCTTATGTGATTAAGGCAAAAAATATTTTTAATAACAGGCATTGGTATGGAAATAGAAAATAATAACAAAGATTGATATTGGGCACAATGCATCTGGATGTTAGATTCAAAGCATTTTTAAGTTGCAAAGGAGGATAGTGATGACAATCTCACATATTTCACATCTGTATCTCAAGGGATAAACTTCAGCCTTTGGGGCCTCAGGAAGAAGGTCGTAGCCATTTCATTGAGTCCAGGTCAGAAAAGTGGAAGAAAAATGTGAATGTGTTAGTTTGAGGACTTTAGCTCTGAGAGATTTCAGGATTCAGTCCAAAATGCAGAAAACAATAAAAAGCTCTAAAACAATGGACAAGACTAGAATCTAACAACAGGTGTGCTATAGTATTTTTCTGAAATACAATGTTTTGCTCTCTAGTTCTCATTTTTATTTAAGACGTATCATAGTAGGTCATATTTATTTGCAAAATAAGTTTTGGTATTATTATACTTAGCCTGATTATTTGTGTAAACTTCAGCAAGAATAATTATTTGCCATATTAGCTCTTTCTAAATTGGGTTTGCTGGAACTTTGTTCCCTAAGGAATCTCGGATTGGACTTTTTTAAAGCCTTGAAGGGATCTATCTGTGCCTGCAAATACTTGTACAGATTGCTTGAAATTCTCTCTTCTTCAGCTCCAAAGATAATTTGGGAATCATAGGCATGTCAGAATGTGACATTTTTTTACTAACCACAGGTCAGGAACCCTGTACAAGGCCTGTGTAGGCAGTTATGAGGTCACTTTCTTAAGGGGATTTTATGATCTCTGTTAGTCAACTTTAATTCCTCAAGCCTGTCTGTTTGTATCTGAAAGTAGGCCATTCCACTGGTAAAATAACCATGTCTTTGATAAAATAATCAGTGTCTCCAATTGTGTTCTGTTACAAAAGAAATCAGATTCTTATTGTACTTAGTCAATAACTATATTTCCATAGTATAGAATACTCATAAATAGTTTTCAAATTCTGGAGAAATCAAGTAGAGAAAATGAAATATCCTTCATCTTTTGTTCACAGGAATACACTTTACTGAATCATGAAAAGCTGTAAATAGCTGAAAAGAAAAATGTGGTCTTGACTCTGAAAAACAACAAAAAGGATCAGCAACATTTCAAGCAACAAGTCATAAAACGATTACTGTGGTCTTGTATTAGTTCAGTCCATGCAGTGAACTTTGTCTGACATTGGGCCTGCAGTCCTCATAAACATACCAGCTATCTCTGAGAGTCCTGAAAGTTTGTTTGTTTTGTTTTGTTTTGTTTTCCTATTTCAATGCCACAATCTTTAGTTATCAGAAACCTGTATTCAAGAAAACATTTCAAAGAGCAAACACCTTTTGACTAGTTAAAGAAAAGACCACAATAATCTGTGGATGACAATAATCTCAGGACAGTCATTGTTTTAATAATTTTACTTTGATTTTTTTGAGACAGGGTCTCAAGCCACCCAGGCTGGAGTGCAGTGGCACAATTATGGCTCACTGTAGCCTCACCTTCCTGGGATCAAGCAATCCTCTTTCTGCAGCCTCCAGAGGAGCTGGGACTGCATGCAAGTGCTACCACATCTAACTAATTTTTTGATTTTTTTTTGTAGAGATAAGATCTCACTATCTTGCTCAGGCTGATCTCAAACACCTGAGCTCAAACAGTCCTCCCAACTTAGCCTCCTAAAGTTCTAGGATTACAGGCATGAGCCACCGTGCCCAGTGAGGACATTACAGGCATGAGTCACTGTGTCCAACGAGGCCATTGTTAAAGACACAGTCGACAAAGAAATCTGGTCATTTCTGTGGCACATAACAATTCAATGTAATAATCATAATTATGACTGATAACATATACTGAGACATATTAGAATTATAGGAACCATATAATTTTGGAATACATACTAATAACATATTTATATAAGTATAACCCAAAGAAAGTTAAACATGATTTTGTATTTGACAGTGTTTTCTGTAGGTTAATATACCAAATAAGCCAAATATATCTCTTTTGGATTTCAGGGGACCTAATGCTTAAAAGGCTAATGAGTTAAAATAAAAATTCTTAGTTTATAATTTTATTTTTCAAAGTGTGCAAATATTAAAGGTTTGAAACAGTTCAAATCACAAAATAGAATCCCAGATAACCACAAATCATTTGTTTAGCCAAAATGATAGCTCAAAAATTTAAAAAGGCAAATGCCTTTATTCATTGGTAGAGAGGAGACTCAGCTCCCAAACAACAGGACCAAGCAACGACCGCATGAGGCCATCTGAATCTGTGTCTTCTCTCTCCCCTACATTTTTCAGTTTATTTAAAAGACAAATAAAAATATTTTATTATCCCTCAGTATTATACAAAAATCTTGTTTAAAGAGAAACCAAATTTTACCTTTGCCTTAGTGTTTTATTAATGTCAAACCCAATTTTTACATAAAACCTTATAAACAGATCTGTCCAATCTAAATCAGTTTGAGCATACTGTTTACAATTTTCTACTAAACAACTGATTAATGCTCCATGAAAACTCTGTTGATCATACCTAAGGGGGCAGATTCTGGGCCTGTATCACTGTGATTTTTACATTAATGATCATTCTGTAGAAAAACTAAGTAACCTGCTTCAAGTTTTGGCAAGTTGCTCACACTCACACACAGAACTTTCTTTACTAGACCAATCTTTTACAAACCTTTTATAACCTGCTTAAACCTTCTGTTTTCTCCTATTATTTTTTAACTTAAGACAATTTTTAAAACCTCTAATTTAGACGAGATTACTTTTCTAAACAAAGACAATATCTTAGGTCTTTTTTATAACTTTTTACAAAAGCACATTTTATAATTTTTATATACCTTGAATGTCAGTCTTTTCTCAGCAGTGTCAATCACATGTGTTACAATGTTAAATCTTCACAACTTTTATTTTTAGTGAAAGCAATTTTAATTTCGTATCAAGTGCAGAGCCTAGGACACGGGACAAAAATGAAGATAATGTATGATTCTTTCCAACATAGCTCAGGGGCGTGGCTAACTCAACATGTCCCCAGGCTTTACCTAGAAGCTGCTGGCTCTTATGCAGGCAGGTTGGACACTTACAAAAAGTCATAGATATTTATAACCTTAAAACAGCAAAGAGAATATCTGACCTGCCTAATTTAGACCAAATGTCTAAATGTTGAAGAAATAATTTTATTGTACCAATAATCTTTAAAGCTATCTTTATTATTCAAAGATTATTAGAGTAGTGTGAACAAAAAGCATTTTAGTTAAATTTTTTCTGGTAAAATATTTTATTTAAGTGCATATATATATATGCCAATTAATTAGAGCTCTTTTATATAGTTTGTTAGCAAAATATTACATATATGAAGTATATAAATACACAGACATAGAGAAGCAGATCTGGTAGAGTTATATGGATTCTTCATTTGTCAGTTTTTTAAGTTTTTCTTTTTCATTTTAGATCATCAGTCTCTTGATTACCTGTTCCCTGCCCTAAAAAGTTTTTAACCAGGCAGTTCCACACTTTTATTTTAAAGGGATAATTCTTAGGTGAAATAATTATAGAGAATTTATATTTTATCTAAAGCAAGGAAAAATGTGGGGGTAAAAGTTCAGTCAGGATGGCCAGGAAAAGCAGACACTCTTACATGTGGAGATTTTCTTAAAGTTGTTAAGTTTTTAAATGGGATTATTGCCTTTGGGGTGGAACCTTTTAAGGAACAGAACCAGGAAAGCATGCAGTTTCTAGGTCCTAGTAATCAGGCAGAGGTGGAAGTCAAAACAGATTCCCCTAAATGATGAATCTTATTTTTATACCAAATCCTGGGTCCCCTAAAGAGGCAAACAATATGGCATGACACAGTGCAATGCTTCCACAGTGTGTTTCATTGTAAGGACATTTCCTCAAGGCTGCTGGAAAACCCAGCGCCCATCAGCCCACTCTGTAATCGGCCCATAAGAGCACATCCTTCTTATTTAAATGTACAAATAAAAGAGTATCACCCTGTAGTAATAATCACTTACTATAAGTGACTACCATTAGTCATTTTAAAAAGTATATTTTTTATCTAGCAATTACACATCAAGGTTAATTTTTTTTCATAATGCAAAGTAATTTCAGGTCCCTGCAAGTCAAAAAGGTTAGATACAAGAGGAAGGAGGAACAGACAGGAGTAAATGGAGGATCAGAAAGAATTCCACTGAATGAGAAACTTTTACAGAGGGAGAGCAAAGGCTTTAAAATAGTATCTGTACACATGTAGCTCAATATCAGCCTTAATCAAGTTGATTTTTGATTACAGAGTTCTCAAAAGAAAATCTGCTGAAATCTTTTATTAATAGATTTTAGCCAAGACAAATAGGTAGTATTTTTGGCTTTAAACTTTTCCAAAGGTAACTGCCCATGGGAAACTTATAAGTCTAACTAAGGTTATGACTTAACCATGGATGCATGAGGTGTCTCACAGAGATGGCAAGCAGTTTTTGCAAGATTGAGAATTTCCCCAAAGATAGCTTAGAAAGGAAAATTTAAGACAGAAAGTGAGAAGATGTCCATGGAGAAGAAAATCATCGAATGAATGGCAAACAGTCTCCAAATATCACACTAGAAAGGGCTTACTGTTTGAGGTGAGAATCAAACCCAGGCTGCTGCAGTAAAAGGGAAAAACCTTAGTTACTGAGCTACAGCATGGGGCAGTTGCTGTTGGTCAGAAATAATGTAGGTCAGTCAGCTCCAAGCTTCAAGGATTGTAACTGCTCAAGAGAATCCTTAAAGCTAGCTGTGACATTATCATGTATCCTTTCAGACTGGCTGCCTGACCTGAATCCAGAAATTCCAACCCTCTGTATGTGGGAGAACAAGGGACAGCACCCTCACATGGTTACGAAGTCAAGTTTTCAAGGACATAAAACAAGATAAGAGGGAAACTTCAACTTTTTTGTTTCAGGGAGGTGTAGCAAATTTTGTTAACTGACAAGTCTGCAGGGCCAGCCCAAACAGTGGGCTTATAGGGATCCTAGGCCCCTTAGGTTCACAGTATGAATGCTGTCTCTAGGAGCAATTGAGGATGTTAGTAATGTTATGGCCTCTGGCTGTATGGCTCTTGAACCATATTTTCTAATCTTGTGGTTAATTTGTTGGTTTTACAAAGGTGGTCTGGTCTCCAAGCAATTAAGGGATTTGTTTCAAGGAAGGGCTGTCATCTTTGTTTGAAAGATAGGCTATAATATTAATGTTCCCTTTGTCCAGGAACAAACAAGGGAAGCTTGGAGATTAAAGGCAAGATGGATTCAGTCAGGTCATCTCTCTTTTACAGTCATAATTTTCTCACTGTTAGAATTTTTTCAAAGGTGATTTCAGGATAAACATAATGTACACATTCCCATTCTATAAGAGAGAAATAGACACAAAGAAAACAGTAACAGCCCCTAAGTAAATTTGAAGTCCAGGAGGGCAAACATTACGTCTTAATGCTGGAAAGCCTTTTTAGTTTTACCCCTTAACACACTGAGATAAGGGTTGGAGTGGCAAGCCCTAGTCAGTGTCACCCCTAAGGTTTTACTTGGTGAATCACCCGTGGGTGCTTGTACTGGTTGAAATTTTCCCAGGCAGGCTTTGAATGCCACAGGGGACTTCACAATCCTGGGATCCTGGTATTGGCACCACTAGGCATTACCCATGTGGAGCTCTCTGTAGTGACTTCACTGCTGTGGCTTCACTTGGCATTGCCCTGGTGGGGACTCTTTGCAGCAGCTCCAACCCCACATTTGTGTTTGGCATCCTTCTACTGGGGGCTCTCTGCAGTGGATCTGGCCCTGTGACAACTCTCTCTCTGGGCTCCCAGGCTGTCAAAAAAAAATACTTCAAAATTTGTGGAGGCTGCCAAGCCATCATTTATGCCTTAAGTGTAAGAAATACATTTATTTTCCTTATAAATTACCCAATAATTTGTATTCTGTTTTAAGCAACAAAGAAGGGACTAATACAGAAAACTGGTAATGACAAGTAGGTTGTTGCTGAAAATGAATACCTGAAAATATGAAAGTGTCTTTCAAATTGGGTGATGGGCAGAGGCTAAAAGAATCTTGGAGAGGGAGACTAGTAAAAGCCTATATTCTTGTGAGGGTTTAGAAGACAGGAAATATTTGGGAGTCCTTGGAGATTGATGAAGTGTTTGTGACCACACTGCTTCGGGGGAAATGGCGCCATATAATGCATGCTGGTTCAGAGCATATACAGCCTTCTAGAGAACCTTGCCCCACAGTTACACAGTATTGTCATCTAGCAGGTGCTGGAACTGTGACTCCCAAAGGTCATTCCACCATTGTTTCAAGTGAGTTGCTTCAGGATTATAGGGAACATGGTGAATTCACTGAAGTTTCTGAGCATGAACTCGTTTCTGCCCTTCTTTGTCTGTGAAGTGAGTTCCTTGTTCAGAAGCAATGCTGTGTGGAATACCATGATGGTAGATAGGCATTAAGTCCATGGATGGTAGTTTCCACAGAATACTTGCATGCAAGGAAGTAAAATTTATAGATGGAGTAACTCTCTTACTGTTCCAGGAAGAACAAAATGCTGCCCCTTCCCTGATGAAAGCTGCCCAGTTAATCAACCTACCACAAGGAAATTGGCAGATCTTCCTGGGGAATGGTGCCATATAGGGGCTCAGTGTTAGTTTCTGCTGCTGACAGTTGGAACACTCAGAGGGGTCTGTAACCTGGTTGGCCATGGTGAAAGGAATTCCAGATTGCTGTGTGTATGCAAAACCTCAGTCCCTACCACTGTGGCCACTTTATTCATAAGCCCGGTGATTGATGACATAGGTGCCTGGGAAAAGAGGCTGACTACTGTCAGAGAATGTATGATCACATCCACCGGATGATTAGAGTCCAGAAGAGCTATGGTAAGAGAGTGAGTCAGTTTTCCTCTGTTTCCCAGCACAGTTTAGCCAACGTTCTCTTTAAGCTTTAAGTGGCTTTTTCTGCTTCTGAGGACTGGGGTCTCCTTGCTGTGTGGAGTTTTCAGGGAATTTCTAGGCCTTGGGCTACCTTTTGAGTAATTTAAGTTATAAAACCTCTCCCACTGGCCGGGCACGGTGGCTCATGCCTATACTTTGGGAGGCCAAAGCTGGCTCATGCTAGCACTTTGGGAGACCAAGGCAGGCAGATCATAAGGTCAGGGGTTTTAGACCAGCCTGGCCAACATGGTGAAACTCCATCTCCACTAAAAAATACAAAAAAACAGCCAGGCGTGGTGGTGGGCACCTGTAATCCCAGCTACTCTGGAGGCTGAGGCAGGAGAATTGGTTGAACCCGGGAGGGAGAGGTTGCAGAGAGCTGAGATCACGCCATTGCGCTCCAGCCTGGGCAACAGGGTGAGACTCCATCTCAAAAAAAAAAAACAAAAAAAAAACTTGTCCACTACATGGTTTTAGGCAGCCCAAACCTAGGAAAATATCCTTTAAGAGATGGCATGATACCTCCGAGGTGGTATCAGAGCGAGTTGATCACCTTTATCCATCGTGGGAAGATAACAACCACACCTAGAAGGTATCTAAAGTTCCCGGGGGTCTGGAGCATGACCGTAAAGTGTGTTTGCCAGTCCTTGCCAGGCTAAATTCCCCTAAATTGTACTCCTTAACATGAGGCCTTGTGGGTGATCTGTTATGGGGACTGTTAGTGTGGCAGAGAGAGCAACTGTGGGTCACTTGCTGCACTGTCTCCAAGGTTGGGAGTGGTCATCATTTGAAGGAGCCAACTGTACAGGGTTATCTACCATAATGTGAGCTCTCATGGGCATCCTTAACTACCTGGATAGCTATGGATTTTTGAAAAAATAGTTGCCTTGAGAATTTTCAAACCATCCTGGATATCCTCTGCTTTTTAAGAAGACTTTCCAGGGGGATTACTGCTAGGGAGCCAGTGTGCCAATTACAGAGACTGCTGGTGTCAAAGAGGCTTTGGGTCTCAGGGGAGACCAGGTGTCACAAGGCTCTTCATGGCTTCATGGGGAGAGTCTAACTCAGGAAATATTTGCTTGGCTTCTCTGGCTTTTATCCTTGTGGAAGTCAATTTACATGTTTTCTTGTAGTCCCTTATTCTGGCATAGGGACATTAATACCTTTTTTTTGTTTGTTTGCTTTTTGCTTTTGGTAAAAGAGGTCTAGTTAGAGAATTTCCCACTATCTGAAATGAAAATACCTTATAAGTGTCCAGAGTACTTGTTACTGCACATCCACTAATTTAAATCTGCATAATGTTATCAATGCCATGGACCAGTGTAGTATCTTGTGGAAGGAGAAGGTGATCAACTTCCTGCAAACTGTGACTTAGTTATGGAGAGTTGATATTATGTTGAGGTAGGACAGAGAAGTTATTGACACTGAAATTAAATGACTTCTGGTGGGCCTTATGAAGAGAAATAGAGAAAAAGCTTCATTAGATCAATAGGTGCATACCAGGTATCAGGGAATGTGTTAATTTGCTCAAGCAATAAAACCACATCTGATACAGCAGTTGCAATTACAAGGAACACTTGGTTTAGCTTGTGGGAATCCACTGTCACTCTCCAGGATCCATCTGTCTTTTGCACAGGCCAAATTAGACAGGGATGTGTTGGAATCTCCACCCCTGCATCCTTCCAGTCCTTGATGGTGGTGGTAATCTCTACAGTCACTCCAGAGGTGTGGTTATGAATTTGATTTTCTATTTTCCTAGGTAGAGGCAGCTCTAGTGCCTTCCATTTAGATATTC
Organism: Homo sapiens; assembly: GCF_000001405.40. Taxonomy (NCBI): domain Eukaryota; kingdom Metazoa; phylum Chordata; class Mammalia; order Primates; family Hominidae; genus Homo; species Homo sapiens. Next base: position 5,261,607 of record NW_021160017.1, read on the forward strand.
CCACCATACTAGCGCCCACTCCACAGGTCAGGGAACCAATGTGGGAAATGTGCCAGGTGCTAACTAGGTCTATTAAAGCTTTGCATCTACAACTAGAGAAATGACCAGAGTATGTGTTTGGGGCCACTGGACCCATGGTGATTTCATGTGACTAAAATTTAATCACCTGACCTCCATAAATCCCCACTCTGACTGGCATTCTATAGTGATGTTTTGAGTTGGGTTGAGTCTTCTGGAATCAATGTAAGGTCAGAGCCAGTGTCTACTAGTCCTGAAAAGTTCTTACTATATTCCTTTCCCCAAAACACAGCTGTTAAAAGGTTATAGGTTCCCTTTTGGGAAGGACAGGAGAAAGATGAACAGTATAAAGTTTTTGTGGTATACCTGGGTCCTTCATCAAGGGGACCTGGCTGCTCCTTTTTTCAAGGATTTCTTGACTATAAACTGGCTCTAGTCTTGGACTTTAGTAGGAGCTGTGATTCTCTAGTATTTTGATTTGAGTTAGACTTTGGTAAACATAAATGTTTTCAGTATTTTCAGATCAATTAAGGGTTTATTAGGCTTCTTTTCTATTTTACTTCTGAGAACACCACAGTCAAACTAGCCAACACCATAGATCTACTTGAGTCAGATGCATCTGAATGTTGCTGTACCTTTGCTGCCCATTTTGGTAACTATGTCCATCTTGACTCTGAAGGTTGACAGCTGCCACATGGCTCTGGGACCTGTGAGATCCAGTTATTCCCAATGCATTTAAATGTTCTATTGAGTGACTGTGGTTCTCAGTATAAGCTTCCACCTACAGAGAAAGTTATTCAAGGATGCTGGTCTCCCCTTAGAAATCAGTTTCTTAAAGTATTGCTGAAAGGTTGGTCTTCTGGAGCCTCCCAGTGTGGGTGAGTAGATTTCAAATGACAAATGCACTCTGGAGTTCCATTCGTTCTAAGCCTTTGAATCTCTTCCTCTACATGAGGCCAAGGGAGATCAGGCATATCCAACTGGCTAAATAAGGGCCATCTTTTGATTTATAGTTCAGCCAACCAACCAAACTGTTAGGGCCCTTTCTAATTTCCCATGCTGCAAAACTAAAACCAGTATCTTTTTTAATGAGTCCATATCAATAAATCTGGGTGATCCAACTTTGTTTCCTCCACTATTATCCTAACTCTTAATACCCTTTTCCACACATGTTCTCCAGATTTCTCCTTGTATAAATTATAAAGTCAAATAGTTTTCTTGAACTGTCATGAACCTCCCATGGGCCAAACTTTGTATATCATTTTTAAGGGCATTTTGAGATTTGAGTCTACTTATAGGCCTAGAAGCAAAAAGGAGTGGTGGGTGTGGGGCCTTAGGAGAATCTGCATTGCAGTCCATTACCTTTCCCTCAGGCAATGCTGGCGTAATCCCCTCAGAGGAGGTGGAACCACCTTTACCAGTGTGGGTGAAGAGGCTACTGCCAAGAGGGTGTCAGTAGGGGGTCAGGTCTGCTGGCAAAGAAGACATCGGAATTTCAGAGCTCAATGTCTCCAGCCTCAACATGGTCTCCCCAAATGTTCCCAACCCACTCTACAGAGTTCCATTCTTCTCTGTACAGTGCTGTAAATTTACAGTAGGTACCTTGCTAGGCTGAAAGTTCAACTTTCATAGTAACTCAGCCAACTGCACGGTGAAGGTTTGTGTTTGACTTTTAGCATTTTCAGCCCTGTGACTATAGGAGATATAATTCTCACTCAGAGCACTGTAAGAAGCTCTAAGGCTTTTTATGTGAAGCCGAATTCTGAAATTTGAATCTCTCTTATCTTTTTTATTGATCACTTTACTCATCAACGCTAGAAGCAGAATCCTTGATTTTCCACAGATATTTAAAGATGTGCTGTCAGAGTCACCAAGTTCCTTGTCTTTTATCAGTGTTGATTAGGAGTGTCAGAGGTAGATGTTTGCATATCCCTTAAGCAGTTTATGACATGGACTAGCAATGTTTTCTGGACTATTAGAAATGGAGTCTTTAGCATTTTTAGGTATCATCAGTTTAGAGATCTAAGTTTAGAAACCCCAAAACCAATGAAAGAAACTCATTCCTAAAATTCTGGTTCTCTACAATCATTCATGGTTTAAAAAATAAAACCTGTTTTAGCATTCTTCAGAGATACAGGACCAATAGGATACATATATAGATAGATGGGGGGGGCATTAATTAGATAAATTGGGTCACATGATTATGGAAGCCAAGACAGGTCTTCTGTAAGCTATAAACCATGGAGTACCAGTAGCATGGCTCATTCCAAGGCTGAAAGTATGAGAATGAGGAAAGCTGACAGTGTAATTCTCAGTCTGAGGCCAAAGGCCTGAGAATGTGGAGGGATGCAGAAGTAAGTTCTGGAGTCCCAAGGAAGAGAGTCTGTAGTTAAGATGTCCAAGGGCAGGAGGCAGAGAGTGTACCAGCTCCAGGAGAGAGGGAGAGCAAAATCATTCTCATTACTTTTTCATTCTATCAGGACCCCTAGCCCACTGGGTGGTGCCTACCCACATAGAGGGTGGATTGTTAAAGAATTCAACTCAGGTCTGCTCACCCAGTGCAGTAAGACTAGACATCTACACTGACATTTGCAGTGGGAGAAAAGGAGGTGTTTATCTGGACATTGTGAAGCAAGGCGGATGAGTCAGCTAATGCTTAAGTTCCGCCTTCCCCAGTGGCTTGCAGGTAAGGGTTTTTTTAAAGCAGGGGTAAATTTCAGGAAAGCAGAAGTTACTGGCAAAATTATAAATCAGTAGTGGAGGTTACACATTGGTTTTGTCCTGAAAAGTCGTGATATTTTGAAGCAGGGGCTTACAGCCCATACATAGATTCAAGGGTTTTCTGATTTGTAATTGGTTAAAGAAAAGAAGAGTTGTTTTAAAATTTGGGGGTTGGCAGAAAAAAATGTTAGCTCTTTGGCTAATGGATTTGCCTCCCTCTAGCCCCTCAGGAAGAAATTTAGCACAAAGAATGGCAGTCAGAATTCAGTTTTCAGGCCCCCCTTATCTGAGGTGTACTTGTCAGCAGATGCCTTTGGTGGGGGTCTAGGTTTATGAAAAATGACTCAGGAATGTATGTTAAGATGCGATCTTTAGAACAAAGCAAACATCTTCTGACTGTAACTACCTTGGCTGTTGTTTAGGCTACTATTACCTTCTTGCTTATCAAGTTCCTCATTTCTTTCTCAGTGCTAGCTAGGTACCAGGGATTTCCCTTGAAGGGACTCACGATTTTCCTTTATTTCCCTGTTTGGGGAAGCTACAGGCCCCTAACAAAGGGTCCCTGTTCCATCACAGGATCTTACCCACTCTGTCTACCGACTCACATTTCAGACCTTTCTGGTGAAACCTCACAGACCCAGAAGTAAAGCTTTGCCAGTGTTCTAGGTGTTCCTTAATACAGTTAGTTGACTCCTAAAAGTAAACATCACATTGGGTTTTGGAGTGTTACCCAAGCAGGTTTCTCATGAGGAGTTCAAATTGCTGGGTTAAGGTGAAGCAACCATGATTTCCCAGAGTCAGAGTTTGACTGAGAGGTGGTTACTGCCGAATATCTGTGCAGTTCCCACAGGGGACAGTGAGGTGAGATAAAGGTGGTATTCATCTGTCTTATATGGAGTAGTCACCTTGAGCAGGTTTTATAAGGGTCTATGTTCAATGACCACCTTGAGGAATGTGGAGGAGGCCACAAACTGGAAACTGTCACGGATTTCTAAACCCTATTTCTGGTATGAGAATGTCAAAACTATGTACAAAATGAATACCCAGGTTATATAAAATTAAAACAATTCATAGCAACATTTAAAATAGGAATTCTAGTAGCCCAATAATAACTCTCTCTCTAATCCTGAGGTAGCAGGTAAATAAGTTGTTCAACTAATTTGAAACTATAGATAAGCATGTTTTCGCAATAATAGACCAGAATACATATGATGAGCCGACAAAATTTTATACTGAGAGGGGGCAGTCACAGAGAAAAAATAGTGTGTTCCATTTATTTTAAAAGGCATATTTTTTACATCTTTCAAATAGAGATCAATCATAATATTGTTAAAAGGCTATTGGTTAGAAGACAGTCATAATGTGATGGACTTTGTGTGCACACAAGTGAACTTGATGTAAAAAACTTCCATTTTCACATTCTGGTGGTATCTTTAATATCATGACTTGGAGAGGGACGTTAGTAGATGAGAAACATAATCTATCAGAAACTCTTATAGTTCTCTCACTACAAATATGGCATCAGCAAAACTCCTAATTACCAGAGATGATGCTAGTGTAGAAAAAATCCATGGACAAGGTGAGTTGCACAGTGATTTAGAAGAGTTTTATCCAAATATGAGAAATTTTAGAAAACCTTGATTACCTATTTTGCTTTCACTTTCTGTCTCATGTGATCATAGGAGTGATATGACATCAATACACACATTTATATAAGTTCAAAAGTGTAAAAAGTAAAATAGAGGTTCCTCTTCAAAGACTTTCCTCCCAATCTCATTAGGAATAAATAGTAACCTCTCTTAGAAGCAAAATTTTTTCAAAGACCTGTGTTAACATTCTTAAATATCTGCTAGCCGTAATAAAGAAATGAATGTACTTTATGTCCTTAGCTCCCACAATTTAACCTAAATATTTGCCCTGGCATGCTTATACTGGTCCAAGCAAGCATTAGGTCATAGCCTGTTCCTCTTCCTTATTTCAAGGTGTTTTTACCTTTCTCCAGATTCCAAAAGTTACTTCCTCCTTCCTTTGTTCTCCTCTGCCTTTGCCTCTTTTAAAAAGTTCTAAGTTGCTAGCCAGTCGGGACAAATACAGAATGTGAGGTCCTGTTCCAGCCAGTGGAAACCGGACACAGCAGTAGGGTGGAAGCATCAGGTTATAAATGACCCTGTCTCCTTTGTTTAGTGTACTCTCATGGCAAAAATGCTGGCGAGTGTACCTTTTCTGAAGAAAATATAAAAATGGCATTGCTGAGGAAATTAAATTTATATTCAACTGCTATTTCTTTATGGCACCAGGGAGCAGGCATTTCAAACAAAAAGTATTATTTTCAACATATATGACATAAAATTTTTGTGATGTCATAGTTTTTCAATAGTTTTATGCTTTTATTGTGATGTAAAATAATGATGTATTTTACAATTTATACATATGATACTTCTTGCAATTACTTGAAAAAAGCTGTCACCAGTAGCAAATACTAACTTAGTGTTTAGGTTAGACCTATGTAAACCAAAAATGACTCACACAGATGGCATTCATTTCAGAGAATTATTTTGCCAAGTTTAAGGATAAAGAAACACAAGTCACAGTAGGCTCTGTGGCCTGTGCTTTTTTCAAAGAGGGTTTTGCTGACTCCCATATTTATAGGGGTGAGACCAGGCAGGAGTAGATGGAGGATAAAGAAAGGGGAGGAAAGACAGTGAGGGAAGTACATCCTTATGAGGCCTGGATTAGCACTCACTGCATCCAGATGTTGCATGTGTAAAGAGGAATGGAGAAAAAGTTGATTGTGCATTTGTCTTGTGCGTGGTAGATCTACATTTTACCTAAGATAGGCAAACTTGTGAAATTACAGCTGTCTCTTTGGGAACAAAAGGAAGGTAGTATTAGCATGACTCAGTTCCTGACTTTTCCTTTGGCATAGTGAGTTTTGGATCCTAAGATTTTATTTTCCTTGTTCTTCAAAATATTTCAGAGAAAGCATTTTAGAAGAAAATGAGTGTTTGGTTATATTTTTTCCCTAATCTTTCAACATTAGGATAGTTTATTCCTAGAAGGTTAGGATCCACATTTTTAAGGAGACTCATTCTAGAAGGTTGTGAAGAAATAGGGGGAAGAAGAAATAAAGGGAAAAAAGAAGGAAAAAGAGACACAGCTGGATTATAGCAACAAAGTAGAAAGCAATCCTTGAAAACCGATGGACTATATTACAGAGCAGTCCATATATAACTAGACAGTCATGAAATGTTTTATGTAAATAAATAAGATGCTGTTATTTCTCCCAAAGTTTAAGTTTTCTAGTTTCAGTGTGCAGGGCTTTACAAAAAGCACAGTTTTCTACTAATTCCAAGTCAGAAAAAAATGGGAAAGAAAAAAAAAAAGACATTGAAAATGTTAGTTTGGAGACTTGTAACCAGCAAAGAATTTAGGATCCAGTCTAGCTAAATTGTAAACCAATAATAAAACTGGAAGACAAAGAACAGGGCTAGAATCCAATAAAAGATGTACTATAGTTTCATTTGAAATACATTTTTTCTCTCTACAGTCTTCCGTTTTTACTAAAGAAAAATCATAGTAAGACCAATTTATTTCCAAAATAAGTTTTAGTTTTATTGTACTTGGCCTGATTATTTTCATAAAGTGCAGCAAGACTATTTTTTTTCCATATAGGCTCTTCTAAGTTGGCATTGATGGAACTTTTTTTTAAACAAAGTGTCTACTATTTGACTTTTCAAATAGCCCCTCAAGCTCAAACAAGCATTTATTGTGCCTGCAAATAACTGTATGAACTGGGTGAATTACTGTCATCTTGAGGTCGCAAGATTACTTGGAGTTCCTAGGCCTGTCAGAAAGTGACATGCGTTTCTTACCACAGATCAGAAAATCTGTAAAGAAACTGCATACGGAAGGCACAGGGCCAGTCTCTCCAAGGGAATTTTACTAGTTCTGTTATTCAACCTAAATTTCTTAAAGCAATCTGCTCATTGATGAAAATATGCAATTCCAGCCAAAGCCTTGGCAAGGTAACCAGTGTCTCCAATTGTGTCCCATTACAAAAAAAAATTGTTATTGATCATATGCAAATAACTTATATTACCATAAATTAAGAATATTCAGAAATAGTTTTCAAATTCTGGGGAAATCAGGTAAAGAGAAAGAAGTATACTTGAAATTTTTCTCTAAAGAGTGTACCATATTCAATTGTTAAAAACTATAAATAGCTAAGAAAAAACCTTTCTTTACTCTGAAAAACAAAAATAGTCATCAATGTTTCAAATAAAAGAGTCCTAAAAATTTGTTTCGTTCTTCTGTTACGTCAGTCCCACATAATTAACTTGTTCTACTTTATATTGGCTTAGCAATCCTCATGAACACATCAGCCTGTTAATTAGAGTCCTGGGAGTTTTGTTGTTTGTATTGTTGTTGTTTTCATTCGTACAATGGCACAATCTCCAAAGTTATCAGAAACCTAAATTCAAGAAAACCTATCAGAGTCATTTTCACCAACTCTTCTAAAGAAGCAAGTTTTGGCCAACTGGTTTTTTATAAACTACTTTTTGAGAATAATCAAAGTAAAACAACAATTGTGAATGAAAAACTCTTAGGACGGTTGTAGTTACAGGCATAGTTGATAAGAAATTTGTTTTTTTCTGTGTCATACAACAATTTAACATAATATAATTATTACTGATAACATATAGTAAGGCATGTCAGAATTATTGGCATCTCATATGATTTTGGAGCACATGCTAATATTTGGGTAAGTAGAACTCAAAAGTTAAATATTTCACCATGCTTCTGTATGATTTTAACATGTTAAATGTGGCTAATTTGTCACTGTTGGACTTCAGGTGACCTAATATTCAAAAAGTTAATTAGGTCACTAAGGGTAAATTAGAATTTGATTTGGAAAGTTTGTCAAATATCAAAGGATTGAAACAGTGTTACAAAATAGAATCACCAATCACGATTAAATGAATTACTCATTAAGTCAAAAATGATATTTTAAATATTTCTAAAAAGCAAAAATCTTTATTCTTTGATATAGAGAAAGGAGATACAGTTTCTTAAACAATAAGGTCTAATATCAGGCTGAGTGCACTGGCTTGTGCCTGTAATTCCATTGCTTTGGGAGGCCGACACGGGAAGATCATTTGAGCTCAGGAGTTCAAGACGAGCCTGGGCAATATAGTGAGACTTCGTCTCTACAGAAAATAAATTTGTAAATTTTCTGGTTGTATTGGTGTGTACATGTAGTCCTAGCTACTACAGAGTCTGAGGAAAGAGGATCACTTGAACCCATGACGTGGAGATTGCAGTGAGCCGAGATCACACCACTGCACTCCAGCCTGTGTGACAGAGTGAGACCCTGTCTCAAACAAACAAACAAAAATACCCTGAAAAAATGAAAAACCAGTAAAACCTAATAAATATAGTATGAAACCAAGTGAACCTTACTCCCCTCCTCTTTTTTTGCAGTTGGCCCAAAAGGCAAACAAAAATCTTTTAGTCTCTCTTAATATTAAACAAGATCCTGGTTCAAAAAAGAAAACCAACTTTACCTTTGCATGGCATGGTATTAATACTAAAGCAATTTTAATAAAATTTTATAAATGAATTCATCAAATATCAATCAGTTTAATCATAAGGTACGATTTAAGAAATGCTTGTTAACCTTTTACTATTTTCTACTGAGAAGCAGATAAATTCTCTGAAAAAATGATGTCCAGATCCTGGGCTTGCATAAATGTGTTTTTTAATGTTCAATTTATAGAAAGACTGAATAATACCCTTTAAATTTCAGCCCACTTGGTCACACACAATATTTCTTTTGTAAAATCAATCTGCTACAAATCTACAATTCCGTCAAACTTTCAGTTTTGTCCTACGATTTTACCTTAGAACAAAAAAAAAAAATTTCCTTCCAAGCTTCCTTTACCTTTCTTTTGAGACAAGGTCTCACTCTATCACCTGGGCTGGAATGTAGTGACACAATCATAGCTTACTACAGCTTCAAATTCCTAGCCTCAAGCAGTCCTCCCACCTTAGCCTCTTCAGTAGCTGAGACAACAGGCACACACTACTGTGCCTGGCTCTTTTTTTTTTTTTTTGGTAGATATGGTGTCTCACTTTGTTGCCCAGGCTGGTCACAAACTGCTGGCTTCATGTAGTCCTCCCATTTGGGCCTCCAAAAGTGCTGGGATTACAGGAATGAACCACCACACCAAGCCCCAACTTTCTGTATCCATTTAGCTTTATCTGTCAGTTTGTCTTCAGTTTAAAGACAACTTGAAAACCTCTACAGTAGACAAAATTACTTTCCCTTTATAAGGAAAACACATTTCTCATACCTTTCTATAGCATTTTTTTTTTTCTAAAAACACATCTCACTTTTATTATGCACTTTGGATGTATCTAGTAGATTCAATTATATATGTTAATTGTAATGTTACCTCTCAGTAACTCTTACTTGCATTGAAAAACTCTAGGAAGTAAGAAATTTTACTTGTGTATCAGGTGCAGAGCCAGGGACAAAAGACAGAGCTGCCAATAACGTCTGACCCTTCCCAGTGTAGTCAGAGGGCACAGTTGGGCTAGGGAGAACACTATATGTCCCCTGAACTTACTATGGCTGTAAGAAAGACAAATCAAACAATTATTTAAAATATCACAGAGCAGTTTATGGCCCTAAAACATCCAGCAAAAACAGTATCTGACTTGCCTGACCAGTTCAGACCAAATATCTAAATTAAATTCTGAAGATATTTCTATTTTATTTTACCAATTGTGTTGTTTTAGGCTCAGGGGTACATTTGCAGGTTTGTAATACAGGAAAATTGTGGTCACAGAGTTTTGGTGTACAATTTTGGAACACACACTAACACATGTATGTGCACTGAACCCAAAGAAAGTTAAATATTTGACCATGGACTTTAATCAAGGGTATGTCTTCTGAATTTAAAGCAATGCTAATAGATTTTAATGTACAGAGCCAGAATTCTCAAGGATAGTCATGACGCTATTGTAAGTCATTTGTAAAATTTGATTCTCTAATCGATTATTAAGAATATGAGATCTCTAAAATCTTTTTTATGTATCTCCAGTCAAAACTTTGTAGAGGAGACAAACAGTGATTTTTACCAAAACAGTAAGAAAAAGTGATTGCACAGTTTACGTAAGTTGAGATCTTTGAACCTAAGAATTTGTAACTGGCTAAGAAGAAAGCTAGACTCAAAGCCACCAAATCCCATTTAAAAACCCCCAGCCAGCTCCTTACTTGGAGATGCTGGCCCAAGTGGAAGACTGCGCTCTGCCTCCTCAGAAGCAGCAAACTCCCAGAGAGGGAGTTCTACAAGAGAACATACCTCAGACCTCCAGCAAAAAGTTTGGGAGATCAGGGATCTGTGTAGGGGGAGGCTCCCAGACCTCAGCAAATCATCCAATCAGTCAGAGCAATACAAAGCTTCCAGTTGGCTGTACCAGGGCCCTTCTAGGAGAGTTGCTGCAGGCCAAAGGGCGAAACTCTGCACAGAACTCATTGTGCTTTCCAAAATATAAACTGAAAAGTGACTGAGGCAGGTCTCAGTAAATTTAGAGCTAGATCTTGCCAACGTTGAGAAAGTGCATGGGAAAAAGCAACACAAATTACAGCAGGATCTGTGATCTGTGCTTTTTCCAAAGCAAGTTTTGATGACTTCAGCATTTAAAGGGGAAAAAGTGAGCAGTAGGGGAAGGGGGAAAAAAGCAAAGAGGGCTAGGCACTGAGGCAAGCGTTTGCATTCTCGTGAGGCTTTGATTAGCACTCACTGAAACCACATTTGATATGTGCAAATAGAGGAGTGGGGGATAAAGTTGAGTATGAATTCATCTCGTGTTTGCTGGATCTACATTTTGCATAAGATAAAGTAACCATGTATAATTACAGCTGTCTACTTGAGAAAAAAAGGAAGTCAGTTTTAGTGTGACACAGTTCCCAAGCCTAACTTTCCCACTGGGCATAGTGATTTAGTGTCCTGAGATTTTATTTTCCTTTCAAAGCTGCTATTAGTCTACACATTTTGTGTATGAGTGCATTAAGTTGTTACAGCATCTCAAGAGGTAGACACTACTGTGACCTTCTGAAAGTTCTAACTCTGAATCTGAGCTAAAGCCCTATAGGAAAAGACTTAGAACAACTTTGAGTTTGACCCAGTGTTCCTACTCACATCAACTATGTTAGAATAGCATTTCTCTCTTAGAATAAACACTTTGTAGGTGCTTTTTAAGAATTCCTCACCTACCCTATTGTAATGAAATTATTTTCCTATATTAAATTCTAAATACTCCATTGAATTCTTTTTTCTATGGAGGTCTATAATCCACCTGAAGTTGATTTTGTGCATGAGTTTAAAAGTAAATTTTATTTCTCCCGATGGACATTAGGTATACTGAAATATTTATTGAAAATTCATCTTTTTCCAGCCTGGCACGGTGGCTCATGCCTGTAATCCCGGCACTTTGGGAGGCTGAGGTGGTGGATCATGAGGTCAGGAGATCGAGACCATCCTGGCTAACACGGTGAAACCTCATCTCTACTAAAAATACAAAAAATTAGCCAGGGGTGGTGGCGGGCACCTGTAGTCCCAGCTACTTGGGAGGCTGAGGCAGGAGAATGGCGTGAACCTGGGAGGCGGAGCTTGCAGTCAGCCAAGATGGCCCCACTGCACTCCAGTCTGGGTGACAGAGTAAGACTCCGTCTCAAAAAAAAAAAAAAGAAAAAATAAGAAAATTCACCTTTTTCCATTACTTTTTCTTTTGGATTATTTGTTTATATAGGCATCTATCAGATTTTCAACTCTTTTTTTATTTTTATTGATTCTTTATTTTATTATTATTAATTTTTTGAGACACAGTCTCGCTCTGTCACCCAGGCTGGAGTGCAATGTTGCGATCTCGGCTCACTGCAACCTCTGCCTCAAGGGTTCAAGCAATTCTCCTCCCTCAGCCTCCTGAGTGGCTGGGACTACAGGCACACGTCCCCACACCTGGCTATTTTATTTTATTTTATTTTTAGTAGAGATGGGGTTTCACCATGTTGGTCAGGCTGGTCTCAAACTCCTGACCATACGCCTTGGCCTCCCAAAGTGCTGAGATTACAGGTGTGAGCCACCGTGCCCAGCCTATTGATTCTTCTGTCTGTGGTCAAATATTACATGTTCTTATATTTTGGAGAGTTCATTTCACACTAGACATTTCCCTGCAGAGACTGTTCTCTTCATCACTGTGCTACTGAAGACAGGGAAGGATAAAACCTTGCATGTCTTGCACTTACATTAATATTCCCAGCTGTACCTCGAAAAAAAAAGCAGGTTATAGAACACCTGTGGAGACAAAATGACCCATCTTGGATGCTAGTCCACCATGTTACTTCTGATTTGCCCCTGTTCAATGAATGCCTTCTGATCTCTCATTTATTTACTGTCCTTAGTGTAAAATCATGTCAACCTGGGTGTTACCACAAAAATTACAGGCTATGAGACAGGTAGTCCTCCTGGATTTTCTGCCTTCTTCTTTAATTTTTCAGATCCTTTGGCATTTGAGAGTTGCTTTGTGTATACGGCCCTTTAATGGAGCAAATGGCCAGCCAGGAAACCAAAGTATGGACAAGGGGAAAGAAGCATCTGTGGAGGAAGTTTTACAAGCGACCCTCCTCATCCATGTGGGTGGCGTTCCCATATGCTACATGTCTGTGGGCCACTATGTGTGTTTAAAGCTTTTTAGTAAAACGTTACTAAAAACTATGACTCACTGTGGTGAAAAAGGTGGGAAAACAGTGACAACAGTAAGTTTGCTGCTGTTATTATCTATGTGAGTGGTCACAAAAGCACAGGTAGCAGCTGAGGCAAGGGTAGGGAAGCTAGGAAAAGAATCGCAGTGAGAAAGGGATGAGAACTTCCATGTCTGTGTTAATGTCTGGTTTTATGATAAACTTGAAACTCAAGAGGCACAGTTGGAAATTGTACCTTGCCACTTTGTGTGGCTGAGAGAGAGAAAAATGTGCTAGCTGAATGTGTGGACTGTCTTTGCCAGTGGAGGCTGGGATGCAAATACTTGTAATTCTTGGCAAACAACCAGTGAGCCAGATGATGACATAGAGTTTAACTCAGAGGAGGAAGATTATTATCCTTCCCATTTGAGAGTGAAACTGTTCATGCAGTGGAAAGCAAAATTCCAACACACAGAGGCCTGGGTAGGATTACTGGATATAACAAAAACTTTTAAACAGCTGCCAAGAGAAAGCCTTATGTACATGAATGGTGCAGCTATGGGACACCAGTAGGGATGATATCTCCCTAAAAGGGAATGAACCTGAAAAATTGAGACAGAAGTACCCCCGGAAGTGAAATAACCCCTTTATGGGACAAGATATAGGGAAAGCCATTTCAGATTTCCTAGAAACTCAAAAGGGAAGAGATTAGGTCTGACTGGTTGCTAAAGGAAAATGGAAAAAGGGAGAAACAAAGTCTGCTGGACTGGAAAAATGAGTTTAAAAAGGCACAATTAAGGTTACTAGGAAACAAATGTGGTATGATCTGATTTCAGCTGGGATTGACAAAGAGAATATAGATGGGCAACCCAGTGGCATATTAGTGGGGTATGGAAAGACCTGACTCCTGATCAATAGTTTAGACACCTTCTTATTACCTCCCCCACCCCCCATGAGAAGAGGGAGAAAGACAGGAAGAAACCTTTGGTAAAAATTCAGGGGTGGACTTCTTTCCAGCCTGGAGATCATAGGTAGGGTCAAGGCTGCTTCTGTGCAAGAGCAATAGGGGGTGACCAGAGGCCGTATTTGGAGCTCACTATTGATTGGAGTCTTAAACAGCACTAAGAGAACCTTAGCTTTAGTGGGCACAGGTGCAGAATGTGTCTTAATTGATGGAAATCCAGAGAGACACCCTGGTAAGTGGGAAGCTATAGATGGTTGTGAGGGGTTAAAAATCTGAGAGAAACAAACTCCTCTCCTCCTTAGTTTTGTCTGGAGTTCCCCCTTTGCTTACTCTCCTGTCTTTATCTCACGTATTGCAGAAAACATCTTGAGTATGGATGTCTTCTTAGGATGCACTTTACAAACATCTGTGGGGGAATCTCACCTATGACAAAGGCTATATTAAGATGGGAGGCAAAATTAGAAGGTGTACACCTCCCTCCCCCACAATGTATTGTTAATGTGAGACAATACCATCTTCCTGGTAGAATACAAGAAATCACAGCCACCGTGGAGAAATTGGCCAAAGTTAATATTATCTGGCCAGCCCAGAGTCCTTTCAACCATCCTGTGTGACCAATAAGAAAATCTGATGGCACTTGGATATGACAGTAGATGAGTGGACACTACTGATCTTTCTAAGATATATGCTCCTTTATGTAATATAACTCAAGTGATTGAGCAATTAATACAAAACATAGGCACTTATCATGCTGTGTTAGATTTAGCTAATGCCTTCTTTAGCATCCCTTTTACCTTGACTTGCAGTCATTATATTGATGTTACTCTAACTTCTGAAGACTTGTCATTGCTACAGCAACATGGATATGCATTGACACCGTTCTTCAATCCAGAGGATGGGCCATCAACTCACAAAAGTACAAGGCCTGGAACCAGCTGCAAAGTTCCTATGGATCACTTGGCCAAGTAAGACACACCTTACTTCAGGCTTGGTCATTGAGAAAATATAACAGTTTTCCATACCTAAAACAGTTAAACAGTTACAAAGTTTCCTAGGTCTTTTGGGATACCAGTGGGCTTTCATTCCATGTTTACCTCCATGTTTGCATCCCCATACTGACTATTAAAGAAGCAATCTCAGCTGGGCACAGTAGCTCACACCTGTAATCCCAGCACTTTGGGAGACCGTGGCAGGCAGATCACTTGAGGCCAGGAGTTCGAGACCAGCATGGGCAACGTGGTGAAACCTCATCTCTACTAAAAATGCAAGAAATTAGCCAGGCATGGTGATGTGTACCTGTAATCCCAGTTACTTGTGTGGCTGAGACATGAGAGTTGCTTGAACCTGGGAGGTGGAGTATTTAGTGAGCTGAGATCGTGCCACTGCACTCCAACTTGGGCAAAAGAACTAGAAACCCTGTGTCAAAGCAAAAAAACAGATCTAGGATAAAGAACTAAAGAACAAGTGGTAGCATTTGAGAAGGCTAAAATATTGATTGCTCAGGCACAAGCTCTAGTTCCCCGCTTCTGGGATACCAGTGTCTTTTGATATGACTGTAAACCCTGAAGGGACAAAACAGGTCCTCTGGCACGTTCAGCATGGGAAAGCAGTTCTTCTAAGATTCTGGTCACAGCTATGGAAATGTGCTGAAACCCACAGTTCTCCAATTGAACAACAGGTTCTGGGAGCATGTAAGGCCATGCAGCACATTGAGCCTGTAACTGATCATCTGCCAGTAACAATGAGAACAGATCTCTCCATTAAGGGCTAGATAGAAGGGTTGTTTTCCAGGCCAATATCAGCTATTTCTCAAGTCTCCATTATACAAAAGTGGCATGCATACCTGCAAGAATGTAGCGCCCTCTCCACGAGTCCTTTGGGAGATGCATGCTATCATAGGGCCAAGACACTATGAGACCAGTGCTGCCCCTGTTGTGGAGCCCCTGCAGGAGATGCCTCTGGTAATATACGAAGGCACATCTCCATTCCTGAAAATGCCTGGCACTTAGATGGATGGAGCTGAGGTAACCCTTGTGTATAGATGACAGTAACTGTACAGTTGCAGACAAATACTGTCTGACAGAGATTGTTGAGGTTTCCAACTATAATAATGAGTTAATCTCTTTCTGTTTGCAGTTATATGAGTTTTGGCGTTACATAGTTTGACATTCTGTTGTTAGGCACTTAAATGCTTTAAGGATTATTACGTTGTACTGGAGAACTGACCCCTTCATCTTTGTGTAATGCCCGTGTTTATTTTTAGTGACTTTCCTTGCTTGAGGACTTCTCTGTAATTCATGCAGCAACTCTTCCTTTATTTGATAAGTGTTAGCCTAGGCTATTTTGTTTCATCTATTTCCTTTAAATGTATACATGTCTTTATATTTCATAGATTTTACTTAACATCATTTAGTTGGGTTGACTTTATTGATCTACACTGACATTCTCAGTTCTTTGATTGATGCTTTTAGATTACTGACAACCAATGGAGTTGGATTAATATCAACCATATGTGTTACTCTTTTTGATTTGTTGCCCTTGTTCTTTCTTCCCTTTATTGTACTTCATTTATTTTCTGTGTTTTGTGGTTTTAATTGAGAATTTTATGCAATTCTGTTTTCTCTCCATTCTTAGCATATCAATTATATAACTTTTTTTTGACTATTTTAATGGTTGCCCTATGGAATAAAACTTTCATTTTTCATATTCTTAATTTAGTCTCACAGATAATGGTTTCTGGAAAATAATAGTAGCACCAATCTATTTGATTAGGCATGCTTATGTCTATATGTTATATGTATATAAATATACATGTATATGTGCATGTGTACTCATGTATAAGTGAAAGGAATGACAGCACTAATAGGGAGAACAAAAGAGTTAAGATTATTTTGTTATTCTAAGATATTCACACTACCTGTGAGTGATACAGTGTTTTTTCAAAAAACACTTTTTGAGAAGTATCTTGGATTCATTTTAAATGTAATATTGCAAACTCTGGGTAAGGGTTTTGGACCAAGGGCCTCAGTTCTTTGCTTGCTTTGGCCTGTTTCTGAATTTAGTTTCCTCCCATGTTGGCTTCTCCCATATGGCAAATGTTCCATCAAAGCCATCAAGGGAGGGACTTTGCTAGCAAGACAAGAATCACAATCTAACATAATATAATCATCCTGCTAATGTCCCATCACCATTGTAGTATTCTGTTGATTTTAAGCAACTCACAGTTTCTGACTACATTCATTAGAAGGAATTAAAATATGAAGTTACTTATCAACTTCACTTATACTTAGAGGTGGGAGTCGTTGGGTGCCATCTTAGGTTCTACCTACCACATCTGATCTTCTCCAATATGAGATAGTTTTTCAGTCTTCACTTATTTTCTATTACCTTGACCCTTTTGACAAGGACTGGTCAGTTCTATTGTAAAATTTCCCACAGTATGAATTTGTCAGATGTCTTCTCATAATTAGACTAGGGATATGGATTAAATTCAATATTTTCAATATTTATATTTATTTAAATTTAAAGATGAGACAAAACAATATAATATTTATATATACAAACATACAGGAAAAATGAATATCAGAAAATTAGAGACTGACAAAGATAATCCATAATAATAGTTACCTTCAGCTGTTAACATAGATGATGAAATTCAGGAGATACATTCAGGGGACATCAATAATATTGTTAATGTTCTTTCTGTTTTATAAGCTCAGCAAAGGCTTAAAATAAAATAAACTTTTGAAATTTAAGAATAGTTTTAGATTTACAGAGCAGTTCCAAATATAATATAGAGTTTCCACAGACTCCATACACCATGTTCCTTAATAACCCCCTTACATTAGTGTGGGATATTAGTCACAATGAACCAACCAATATTACACTATTATTAACCATCCGCGCTTTATTCAGATTGATTTAGTCATCATTTAATGTCGAGTTTCTGTTCCAGGATCCTATCCAGGATACCTCATTACATTTACAATTCATGCTCCTTAATCGACTTTGACTGTGACAATTTCTCCAAGTTTGCATGATTGCTATGACATTGGCATTCCTAATTTGGGATTTCTTTGGTGTTTCTTTCATGATTAGAATGGATTGTAGGTTTCAGGGAGGAAGACCACAGAGGGAAATTGCCATTCTCATCACATCCTGTTAAGGGTACAGACTGCAACAGCTTTATCACTTTTGATGTTAATTTAATCACCTGAATGAGATAGTTCCAATCAAATTTCTGCACTGTGAAATTACTGTTTTTTTCTTCTCCTTTCCATGTTGTATGTTTCAAAAAGAAGTCACTACACACAACACACAAATAAGAAGTGAAGACTTATGTTCCACTTCCTAGGGGCAGAGTGTCTGCAAAAATTATTTGGAATTAATCACAATGAACAAATGCCTATTCTTCTTCAATTGTTCCATATTATTCCATCATTGTTCTACCCATAGACAAATATGGGTACTTATTTTACACTTCACTTGAAATAATTTATTTGGCTTATTGCTCAAATTGCTTCAGTATTGTCCAAGAAACTTTCTTTTTCTTTTTTTTTCCTTTTTTTTTTTTTTTGAGATGAAGTCTCGCTCTGTCACGCAGTCTGGAGTGCACAGGCGCGATCTCGACTCAGTGCAACCTCTGCTTCCTGGGTTCACACCAGTCTCCTGCCTCAGCCTCCTGAGTAGCTAGGACTACAGGCGCTTGCCACCATGCCCAGGTAATTTTTTGTATTTTTAGTAGAGACAAGGTTTCACCATGTTATCCAGGATGGTCTTGATCTCTTGACCTCATGATCTGCTCGCCTTGGTCTTCCAAAGTGCTGGGATTACAGGCGTGAGCCACCGCTCCCGGCTGGGACTTTCTTTCAGTTGGATCGTCTATAATTTTGAAATCTCCCCATAATTATGGTTTGTTGGTGTTGTGTGGCTGTTTGGTTTGTTGCATCGTTGGTTGGCATTTTCTTTTCTTCTGGCACTACTAGGTGCTGCAGGCTGATTGTGTTTATTCGCTGTCTAACCCTATTTTATCCACCGTTTCTTCACAATGCCCTAGTTCCTTTGAATGGAAAATGGGATTAGAAATGAAGATCTAGAGACTGTGGTATATTCATTGCCCCTAGGGCATCTGATGACTTGAGGCCGTGTCAGCTGACTGAGCAAAAGAATACCCATGTGTTTACTGACTTACAAATATATACAAGTGTATAAATACTTCAACATGTATGCATAGGTATCTATATTAAACTAACCATGAGTTCCACGTAATGTTTCTGGCAGCACATGATCTAATTCAGTACCACATGAAGCTGTCTACCTGTTCCAACTCGCTTGTATGTAGCTTGCACCTCTAACATGGAACTAGTTGGCTTTATTAACATAATGATATCATCCAAAAAAACATGCATAGTGTTTTCAAAAGTAGTAATTTATACACCCCTGGGAAACTACTTTACCAACTAAAACTAAGTCCTTATATACAAATTATTTGTCCTTTTGACTTAGAATCTCAGAATTTCCCTCTATTTCCTAATTTACTTAGGTTAGCCCCCTTTTCCCACTCTAGTGAGCTTATTTCACACATTTGTTATACAGTTATAATATTTAGTTAATCTCTCTCTATCAACTAAATAAGGCTTTTTTTTTTTTTTTTTTTTGTTGGATACAGTCTCGCTCTGTTGCCCAGGTTAGAGTTCGGTGGTGTGATCTTGGCTTACCTCAACCTCTGCCTCCCAGGTTCAAGGACTTCTCCTGCCTCAGCCTCCCAAGTAGCTGGGATTATAGGCATGTGCCACCATGCATGCCTGATTTTTGTGTTTTGTATTTTTAGTAGAGGCAGGGTTTTGCCATGTTGGCCAGGCTGGTGTCAAACAACTGTCTTCAAGTGATCCCCTCCACCTCAGCCTCCCGAAGTGCTGGGATTACAGGTGTGAGCCATGGCGCCTGGCCTAAATAAGGTTTTTATTTTACCATCTGTGTGTTATGAAGTTCTGTAGGTCTTGAATAACAGTGTCACATATTCAGTGTCACGTTGTCGTATAGAACAATTTCACAGCCCCAGAGACATTTCTTGTACTTTACTGATTCAAATTTTCTGTGGTCCAATCCCTTCATACTCACCGAATACTTTACTGTCTCTGTACTTTTTTCTTTTTCAGAGTGTTATATAAATGGCATCAGATAGTATTTTGCCTTTTCCAACTCGTTTTATTTAGTTATCAAAATGCTGTTTAGGTTTGTAAAGTATATCTTATGGTTGTTTAGATTTGCATTTCTTGAATAACAAAAGAATTGAGCATGTTCTCGTGTTTATTGGACAAAACTACAACATTTTTGGAAAAATGACTCTTCAAATTATTTGCCATTTTTGATTAAGATGTTTGCCTTTTTATTTTCGAGAAGTAAGACTTTTTATCTATTCTGGATAACAGACCCTAATTAGCTATGAGATTTTTGAAGATTTTCTCTCATTCTTTGGTGTTGCCTTTTTACTTTTAACCATGTACTTTGAGTCACACAATACTTTTTTGTAATGAGTTCAATATGTCTGTTTTTTAATTTTAATACTTGATTTCTGATGAAGTTCTTTATGTCTTTTTAAAATTATGTTCATTTGCTTTAGGTGTCATAGCTTAGAAACCATTGTTTAACCCAAGGCTACTGTATTAGTCTGTTCTCCCATTGGTATAAAGAAATACTGAGACTGGGTAATTTATATAGAAAAGAGGCTTAATTGGCTCATGGTTCTGCAGGCTGTACAGGAAGCATAGTGACTTCTGCTTCTGGGAAGGCCTCAGGAAATTTCCAATCATGGTGGAAGGCAAAGGGGGAGCCAGCACTTCACACGGCCAGAGCAGGATGAAGAGAGGGGCTGGAGTGCTACACACTTTTAAGCAACCAGATCTTGTGAGAACTCACCCACTATCAGGAGAACAACACCAGTGGTGCTAAAACCATTCATGAAAATCACCCTCAGGAGCCAATCACCTCCCACCAGATCCCATGGCAAACACTGCAGATTACAATTTGACATGAGATTTGGTGGGGACAAAGATCCAATTTATTTCAGCGATGAAAATGTATTCTTATGTTCTATGGAATTGGTCTATTTGGCCCCTATATTTAGATGCATAATTAATTTGAGTCAATTATGCATATGGTGCTAGGGAGGAGATAACTTCCATGTAAATGTCCATTTGTCCCAGCAACACTGTGTGAGGAAATATTTCTTTATATTGAATTGACCTGTCAACCTTGTAAAATTGTTTTACCATGCATGTAAGAATTAATTTTCGACATTTGATTTTATTCCATTGATATATATGTCTCACTATTGGGGGAAATTCAGCCAGATATCAGGCGAAATTCACCCCCGATATTTCACGTACGTTCTTTTCTAGATTCCCTGAGTGTCGGCGGGTCTGAGAAATAAAGGGACAGAGTACAAAAGAGAGAAATTTTAAAGCTGGGTGTCTGGGGGAGACATCACAGGTCGGCAGATTCCGTGATGCCCCCCGAGCCGTAAAACCAGCAAGTTTTTATTAGTGATTTTCAAAAGGGGAGGGAGTGTACGAATAGGGTGTGGGTCACAGAGATCACGTGCTTCACAAGGTAATAGAATATCACAAGGCAAATGGAGGCAGGGCGAGATCACAGGACCACAGGACTGAGGCAAAATTAAAATTGCTAATGAAGTTTCAGGCATGCATTGTCATTGATAACATCTTATCAGGAAACAGCATTTGAGAGCAGACAACCAGTCTGTCCAAAATTTATTAGGCGGGAATTTCTTCATCCTAATAAGCCTAGGAGCGCTATGGGAGACTAGGGCTTATTTCATCCATACATCTTTGACCATAAAAGATGGCTGCCCCCGAAGTGGCCATTTTAGAGGCCTACACTCAGGATCGCATTCTCTTTCTCAGGGATGTTCCTTGCTGAGAAAAAGAATTCAGTGATATTTCTCCCATTTGCTTTTGAAAGAAGAGAAATATGGCTCTGTTCTGCCCAGCTCACTGGCGGTCAGAGTTTAATGTTATCTCTCTTGTTCCCTGAACATTGCTGTTATCCTGTTCTTTTTTCAAGGTGCCCAGATTTCATATTGTTCAAACACACATGCTCTACAAACACTTTGTGCAGTTAATGCAATCATCACAGGGTCCTGAGGCGACACACATCCTCCTCAGTTTACGAAGATGATGGGATTAAGAGATTAAAGTAAAGACAGGCATAGGAAATCACAAGGGCATTGATTGGGGAAGTGATAAGTGTCCATGAAATCTTCACAATTTATGTTCAGAGATTGCAGTAAAGACAGGAGTAAGAAATTATAAAAGTCTGAATTTGGGGAACTAGTAAATGTCCATGAAATCTTCACAATCCACGTTCTTCTGCCATGGCTTCAGCCAGTCCCTCGGTTCCGGGTCTCTGACTTCCCACAACATCTCTCCTTCTCACGTAGTAGATATACACACACACGGTACATGATATGTTTTGGTACAGGCATGTAATGTGAAATAAGCACACATCATGGAGAATTGGACAACTATCTCTATGAGCATTTATCCTTTGAGTTACAAACAATTCAATTATGCTTTTTAAGTTTTGTAAAAATATACAATTATTATTGACTTTCATAGTTACCCTGTTATGCCATCAAACAGTTTGTTTTATTCATTCTTTCTATTTGTTTTGTAACCATTAAACATCCCTACCTTCCCCCAGCCCACTGCTACCATTTCCAGCCTCTGTTAACCATCCTTCTACTCTCTGTATCCATGAGTTCAACTGTTTTGATTTTTAGAACCCACAAATAAGTGACAACATGTGATATTTGTCTTTCTGTGCCTGGTTTATTTCACTGAAGATAGTGATCTCCAGTTTTATCCCTGTTGTTACAAATGACTGGGTCTCTTTATTTTTTATGGCTTAATAGTACTCCACTGTTTATATGCACCATATGTTCTTTATCCAGTCATCTGTTGATGGACACTTAGATTGCTTCCAAATCTTAGCTGTTGTAAACAGTGCTGCAACAAGCATAGGAGTGCAGATATCTCGTTGATATACTGATTTCCTTTCTTTGGGGTATATATCCAGCAGCCTACTGCTGGGTATATTTGGTAGCTCAATTTTAGTTTTCTGAGGAACCTCCAAACTGTTCTCCATAGTGGTTGTGCTAATTTACATTCCCACCAACTGTGTACAAGGGTTGCTTTTCTCCACATCCTCACCAGCATTTGTTATTACCTGTCTTTTGGATAAAAGCTATTTTACCTGGGGTGAGATGATATCTCATTGTAGTTTTGATTTGCATTTCTCTGATGATTAATGATTTTGAGCACCTTTTCATATGCTTGTTTGCCATTTGTATGTCTTTTGAGAAATACTTATTCCAATATTTTGTCCTTTTTTGGTTGGATTATTTGACTTTTTTCCTATAGGGTTGTTTGAGCTGCCTATATATTCTAGTTATTAATCCATCAGATGGGTAGTTTGCAAATATTTTTTCCCATTCTGTGGATTGTCGCTTCACTTTGTTGATTATATCCTATGCTGTACGGGAGCTTTTAACTTGATATGATCTCATTTGCCCATTTTTGCATTGGTTGCGTATGCTTGTGGGATATTGCTCAAGAAATTTTCTCCTAGACCAACATACTGGAGAGTTTCCTTAATGTTTTCTTGTAGTACTTTCGTAGTTGGAGGTCTTCAATTTAAGTCTTTAATCCATTTTGACTTGATTTTTTGCATACAGTGAGAGACAGAGTTCTAGTTTCATTCTTCTGCATATGGATAACCAGTTTTCCCAGCACCATTTATTTAAGAGACTGGCTTTTTCCCCAGTGTACCTTCTTGGCAACTTTGTCAAAAATGACATAACTGTAGGGTTGTGGATTTGTTCCTTGGTTTTCTATTCTGTTCCATAGGTCTATATGGGTATTTTTATTCCAATACCTTGCTGTTTCATTTACTATAGCTCTCTAGTATAATTGGAAGTCAGGTAATGTAATTCCTCTAGTTTTGTTCTTTCTGCTTAGGATAGCTATGGCTATTCTGGGTCTTTTGTTGTTCCATATCCTTAACACAATTTTGATTACTATTGCTTTTGTGGTATGTTTTGAAATCAGAAAGTAGCATTTTACTACACAAACTTTGTTCTTTTTCAAAATTATTTTGTCTGTTCTGGAATTCTATTGCATTATATATGAATTTTAGAGTAAAATTGTCAATTAGGGGAGAAAATGTCACCTAGGATTTAGCTAGGGATTGCATTAGATATATTTGGAAAGTACCAGCAAGCTAATGATACTAAGCTTTCTAATCAGTGAAAGCTCAATGTATTTAATTTATAATAGTATTAATTTGTTTGATATGTTTTGTAGTCCTCAGTATATGTATCTTATACTTATTTTATTAAATTAATTCATAGGTATTTAACTTTTATGCCATTTTACATGAAATGGTTTTTGAAATTTTGTTTTTAGATTGTTAATTGCTAATAAATAAAAATACAGTTGATTTTGTATATTGACCTGTACTAAGCTGTACTACAAGCCTGCTTATCCCTTTTTTCATATTTTGTTATGTTTTATTAGAGATTTTATGATGTCTATAGACAGGATCATGTCATTTGGAGACATAATTTGACTTTCCTTCCAATCGGACTGCGTTATGTTTATTTTCTACACCAATTACCTTGGCCACATCCTCCAGTACAGTGGCGACTAATACTGTGAAAGTGATATCCTTCTCTTGTTTCTAATTTTACAAGAAAGTTCTTGAGCTTCTCAGAAGATTTAGGATGTCATGTGAGGTTTTCTGTGCTTTCATGATAAGGAAACTTTTCTTATTTGCCTAACTTTTTGCATGGTTTTATAAGGAATGAAATTTCACTTTAGCAGGTGCTTATTGCTCATCTTTTAAGATGACCATGTGTATTGTGTCCCTTATCTCTTAATATAGTTTATGGCACCAATTCTTTTCGTATGTTGAACTAAATTTGCATTCGTAAGATGTATACCTTCATCAAAATTTATAAATTTTTACATGCCAGTTATTTGCTTTGATAGTATTCCCTTTAATTTTTGTTTTTATGTTCATAAGTCATATTGATCATAGTTTTTCTTCAGTAACTTTGTCTAGCTGTGGTATAAGGCTGATAACTCAGATTGGAAAGTGATCTATTCTTCGTGTTGCTCTTACTGTTTTTTATGTGAAAGGTCTAAATTGATCTAGCACAAATAGAATTGAACACATGAAAAGGAGAAAAAATGTACATTTTTTCAAGATAATTTTCAGACTTTGCAAACAATTATATTGTATAAGTGAATAAAACCAAATCAGAGTAGTAAAAAGATGTAATTGGGCTACATAGATGGAGATTTAGAAAACACTAGAAAGGGAGAGAGAAAGGTGGGTGATAAATTACTCTTTTTAATATGATTTCATTGTTTTGCATATTTCTTTCTTTAAATACATTACCTACAAGTATAGACAAAGATGAAAATGTGGGTTAACAGGTCCTCATTATTTAAAAGAAATATCAGATTTAATTCTGGTATTTCATTAAGGTCAATTTAGTTTGTATGCTCAGGAGACCTAACATGTAGACATTTGAAGTGACACATTTTGTGAGCCTTCATAAATATCTATAAAAAATGGAATATCACAGTTTTTAAAAACTTAAAAGTTGAGCAAAACAAGGATTTAAATATTATTATTAAAGTTGTTACCTATTCCAAGATGAGGACTTAGAAAAACAAACAGTTGGCAAACCAGTGCAGCAGGTGACATCCGTGAAGCCGCAGGCACACCCTGGGGACTGCGGTGTTGCTGGAGCTGACACTGCTGTGCTGCACATGTGGCTGCCACCAGTTTCCTCCCTCTCTGGGAAGTGGAATTTGAATTGCAAGTGATTATGGCTGATGGACGGAGGGACAAGACCACATTATCTCAAAATGCTTGGCTCTGTTGCTTGCTCCTCATTTCACTGCTAGGTGCCACAGGCTTGGGGTTTACTGTTTATTTTTTGAAAAATATATGATAAATTGGTATTAATTATTTGAAGATGTAAAATCATTCACTGGTGATGTCTTCTTGACCAAGTCAGGAAATTTTTTTTTTTTCACAAACAGGGTCTCACTCTGCATCCAGGCTGGAGCACAGTGGCATGAATGTAGCTCACTGCAGACTTGAACTCCTGGGGTCAAGCAATCCTTTTGCCTCAGCCACTTGAGTAGCTGGGGCCACAGGCACATGCCACCATGTCTGGCTAATCTTTTTTCTTCTTTTCTTCCTTCCTTTTTTTTGTGTGGTAGAAACAGGTTCTAAGTATGTTGCCCAAGCTGGTCCTGAACCCCTAGCCTCAAGTAATCCTCCTGCCTCAACCTACCAAAGCATTGGGATTACAAGTTTGACCCACCGTGATCAGTCCAGGGTAGGAAATGGAATCTTAGCAACTATCACATGAGCTTTGAGGGAATCCTTCTCCAGATGAGCCTTCAGTTGAGACCTCAGCCGTGGACATCATCTACATCTGGATTCCTGGCCCAGAGCAACTGTAAGTAATGTGTGTGTGATTTTGAGCCATCACACTATGTGGCAATTTGTTGTGCAGCAACTGATAACTAATACAAAAGATAGCACATTTAATTTCTAATACTACCCTGGATTAGATTCTGGAACAGAAAAATGGCATTACTAGAAAACCTGGTAAACTCAGAAGAAAGTCTGTAGTTCAGTTAATAGTTTTAAGCCACTGTAAGTTTATTAGTTTTCATAAATACATTATGGGTATATAAATAAGATGTAACATTCTAGTAAACTCCTGGGTATGTAAAACTAGCTATACTATGTTTGCATCTTTATGTGTATCTAAAATTATTTTAAAATGAAATCTTTGATTTTTTATTTTTAATTAAAAAAGACAGGCATGCATATGTTATCCCAGCTTCTGGGGAGGCTGACTTGGGAGGATTGCTTGAGCCCAGGAGTTCCAAACTGAAGTGAGCCATGATTGTGTCACTGCACTCCAGCTTGGGAAACAGAGGGAGATCAAGACTCAAACAAAAAATTGGCCTCAGAAGATGAATGGACATACAGAAAAAAAATAGCCAAGCAGATTTTCGCATACATTTACCCTTCCATACATACATCCATCTACTTCAGGAAGCCACTATCAAACTCAAGGAACTCTTGTCCATATTTGACCTCCCCATCACACTCTTTATTACCAAGTAACTCGTTTGAGTGTCAGTAACCTCTCTGTTTTCAGAGATATTTGCCTATGCCTCACATACCCCAGAAAGGCCCATTTTCAGATATCATTTAGGAACATATCTACAGGATCCCACTGAACATATTTTGGCAGACAAAGTTTCTGGATGCCAAAGACCAAGATTGAGGAATGTTAGTGACAAGAAATATAAATTATATTTTCATATTATGTTTTTTTTATTAATACAGGCTTAGTTTTCTAAAGATAATTCTGCCTTCAAGCCTTGTTGGAATTCTGTGATAATTTCTTTTCACTCCACGATCTCCATCAGGAATTTTATGGAACCTTGTATTCTGTTGAATACCAGAATTATATCAGCAATCCCCAAGCCCCAAAGTCACCAAATGGGCATCATCATGACAGCAGGTGAGTGGAATACAAAGATATATATGTATATATATATATATATATATATATGGTTGTTGGTGGTTTTGGCAGTTTCTACTTATCTGGACCTGGACAAAAAAATCTTTTCACACCAGATTTTTGGCAGCTGAGATTCAAAATAGCTTTTGCACAGGCATGGAAAACCTGATAGAGGCAAAACAACAGGCCAGGTGTGGTGGCTTATGCCTGTAATGCCAGCGCATTGGAAGGCCAAAGTGGGTGGATGGCTTGAGTCCAGGAGTTCAAGACCAGCCTGGGCAACATGGAAAAACTGTTTCTCTACAAAAAAATAGTAAAATTAGCTGAGTATAATGGCACACCCTGGTGGTCCCAGTTACTCAGGAGGCTGAGGCAGGTGGATGGATTGAGCCCAAGAGGTCAAGGCTGCAGTGAGCCGTGATTGTGTGACTGCACTGCAGCCTGAGCAATAAAGTCAGACCCAAGAAAGAAAGAGAGAGAGAGAGAGAGAGGAAAGAGAGAAAGAAGGAAAGAGGCAAAAAAGGGAAGGAAGGATAGGAAGGAAGAAAATACAACATATCCTCAACCCTCCAGCAGTGATCTAAGAGATAGACAGAGGCTGAGTGGTGATTCTGCATATGTGCTGGCTAAACAGAGAATCCCAGAGCAGGAAGGATTCTCCACTCACCGCACACACAACTTCCTGTTCAACACGCTGCTGGACAGCACCAGGGTTGTTTCCAGGGACCATGCCTAAAAACCCACAAAGACATCAGACTTCATTCTGCACACCAATGGCCATGTATAATGTTGACTTGTTTTTTGGTTTATAAACATGGGGTCTATTTTCTACACCATGGTAATAGTGACAGTGAGAAAATGAGCTCCTGTGACCTAGAAACTTGGAAGAGACATTCAGCTTCATGGAAGTCATTCCTCATTCTGAGATGAGGATTCTTAGCATTCCTGAAATGGCACTTCCTTGCTTAATTGTGTACCCTGTCAAGCACTGGAGGGAGAGGCCATCTCTGTTATCTCATTATACTGAGGAGGCAGAGTAGCTCCCTCTTATTGGTCTGATGCCTCACTTGGTAGCATCAAGGCAATCCGGGCCAACGCAGAGGCCGGCGCTAAGGGCCCCGTATGGCGGTACCGCAGTGGGAGCTGTTGGGGTGGAGCAGAGGCCAGGTGCGTTCTGGCTGTGGTGGTTGGAGCTGCTAAAACAGCTTGGGTGTAGGACATTTAAAAGTCCTAATTCTTCTTCATTGCTTTCTGCCTGAGTTTGGCTATCTGGCTTGTGAAGAGTCCTTTTTCCATTCTGTCCCTTGGTACAGCTGGCAGCTGGCGTCTTCCCTCATGGTATGAATCCTGATTTTCAAAAAGCATGAAGGCTTGGACATATGGTATTTTTTCTAATTTTCCAGACCTCTGACAAAATGAGTCTAACTGCATTAAAGACTAGTATTGGTTACGTCCAGTCAGAGGTCAAAATTTATAACCTAACTTGTCCACAGTCCAAACAGCACTGCAATAATAGACCGTTTTTCTCTTAGTCAAGGGCTCATAGGTATAGGATCTACACTTAGCTAGGGTATGCCCCAGGGGCTCCCAGAGGGGATAGAGACCTTGTTTCCCCTCCTGACTTGGTTTCTATATCCATACTGCTCTTCCCAGTTGAAACAGTGATGACCACTTTTATTTGTTGTCTCTCTTCTGTTCTGCACTGCTCATGTCCTTCAACCAGACCTCTGTGGGTTGGAAAGACTTTTCTAGCTTCATATAAGTAGTGCAGTAATAGCACTCATGGTCCTAAAGGAACACTTGTGCAAATCACACCACACAGCTGGGACAGCCAAAGAGATCAGAGAATAAATTCCTTGGGCAGGCTACTGATTAGCACCAGCTAGCACAGCACTCCCCCACCACCACCCCCACTCCGCCCCCCGCCCAGCCCCAACAGCACATCAACTTCATCCCAGGTCCATGTTCTGCTGTACTTAGTACCCTAGTAGAGGGTAACCGAATGGCAACAAATTAAATGGTAAATTAGGCAGATAAAAAGGGCAGAGGGGTTGGAGTCAGGACTGCCTAAACACTTAACCCATATGCTGTTAAGCTTTTTTTCACATAAACAACATTAAGCACCGTAAGCATGGTGGCAAGCCCTTTAGATAACCTATGGAATAGTTCACATCCTTCCTTTCCCCATAAAAACTGGCACAGTTGTGAGAAGTACTCCAGGGCCCCAAAAAGAGTGACCCTGCTAGGGCAGTGGAGGCTATTTCCCTCCAGGGCTGGATCCTGGATGGAGTGGGGCTTATGCAGATCACCCTGCAGAGGAAAGGAGGAGGAGGAGAGAGAGACAGAGATGAGGGCCTAAATGTAGATATTGTACCTTTTACAGTTGCAGGTTCAGACTGCAGAGTCCCGGACAGATCCCCACTAAAGGGCTGGGTAAACGGCCTGAAACCTCCTCTCAATTTCAGATGCCCTCCTGCCAATCAGCTGACTCCAAGTGGAGCAAAGCCCAGGTCTTGACATAGATACAGATACCATACATGCCCAGATGATGTCACAAGCAGCTATATGTAAACAGAGCAGAGGTCAGGTGACATCACAGAACAGGCAGAGGCAGTTCAGGGGGTATTCTGGTTGCCTTACCCAGCTCTGAAGTCTGTCAGCCTCTTCAGATGTCACTTGCCCTGTGGTAAGGAAGTGTAGTCAGCACCTGGTGCAGTGGCAAGAAGAGAAAGGAAGTTCCCCAAGACAGAAACATCTCAGCAGGTAAAGAGAAATTCCCTAGAGCCCCAATCATGGGACCAGCTAGTTGGAAGCAGGTGGCATTCCTGGGTAGTTTCTTTCCCTTCCAGTGGCCAGAATGGTTAAGCCTTGGTGTGCTTGTGTGTCTGATTGCCCCATTCATCGGAATCCAGACCAATGGTTTCAGGAACTCTGAGTGTGTTGTTCCCCTCTATGTGTCCATGTGTTCTCATCATTTAGCTCCCACTTATAAGTGAACATGGAGGTATTTGGTTTTCTGTTCCTGTGTTAGCTTGCTAAGAATAATGGACTGGCAGCTCCATTCCTGTCCCTGCAAAGGACATCATCTGGTTCTTCTTTATAGCTGCGTTGTATTCCATGGTGTATATGTGCCACATTTTCTTTATACAGTCTATCGTTGATGGACAATTACTTTGTTATTAGCTTTGTCCAGGAAAGAATTTAAGGGCAAGTGGGTGATGTTAGACTGCAATATTTTATTGAATGGTAGTGCTCCTAGCGGAGCAGGGTTAACTCTTAAGCAGTGTATTCAGAGGTGGCAACATATAGGCCTCTTGGCAACTGTATTTATATGCAATGAAACCCACTTTTAATTACATGCAAATTGAGGGGCAGTCAATGCAAATTGAGGCAGGAAAGGGGCAGTGACTTCTAGGTTGTCTCCATGGAAAGGGCAGTAACTTCTGAGTTGTGGCCATGGAATTTGTAAAGAGTTATGTGGTTGGTAGGAGTGTCTTATGTGAGTGACAAATGAAGACTGCCAGGGTGACATTTGCCACAATGTACAGGCTTCTGCCAGTTTTTTCACTTTATCCTATCTGGAGCAGATCTTATTTTGGTCATCAAGGCTGTGAAACCAGAAAACAAGTCCTTCCAGTCTCTTACCTCATAGTGACAAAAGACATTGAGCATATTTTCATGTGATTTTGGATACGACTATGGCTTTTTGAGAATTGGCTATGTAAGATTTTGCCATTTTTGATTGGGATATTTGCCTTTTTAATTTTGAGTTGTAAGACATTGCGTATTCTGGATAATAGACCATTACCACCTATAAAATTTGCAATTTTCAAATATTTTCTGCCATTCTTTGGGTGCCTCTTTGTATTTGATGGTGGACTTTAAATTGCAAAAGGTTTTAATTCTAATGAGGTTTATCATTTCTATATTTTCTACTTTTCTTTGTAATTTTTCAGTGTCATATCTTAAAACATTGTTTAACCAAAGACCACAAAGATGTATTCCTGTGTTCCTTTTTATGGGTTTGGTCTGTTTAGCTCTTATGTTTAGATGGATTATCATTTTGAGTCAATTATGTTTCTGGTATGAGGCAAGAGTCTAACTTGCATGTGGATATCCACTTGACCCAGAAACATTTGACAAGAAAATATTGCTTCATACCTAATTTATTTGGCCACATTATAAAAGCATTTCACCATAAATGTAAGGATTCATTTTTGAGTATTATATTCTACTCCATTGATCAATACATATATCCCTATATTAGTACCACAAATCTTGATTACTATTACTTTGTAGTAAGTTTTGAAATCAGGAAGCATATGTCTACTAT
The DNA here is from genome assembly GCF_000001405.40 of Homo sapiens. Lineage (NCBI taxonomy): Eukaryota > Metazoa > Chordata > Mammalia > Primates > Hominidae > Homo > Homo sapiens. The sequence continues at coordinate 5,293,036 of NW_021160017.1, forward strand.
GCAAACCCTTTTTGTCCTTCTCAAGAGTGTTTTGGCTGCTCAGTATCTATATTATATATAATTTTAGGATAAGCTTCTGAATTTAGGGGAAGGTAATGCCACCTGGGGTTTTGAGAGAAGTTGCATTAATTCTATAGATCCGTTTGGAAAATATTGCCTACCTAACAATATTAACCCTTCTAAACAATGAGCATTCAAAGATTTTCTATTAATTTTGTTCAATATGCGTTCTATCGTTTTTAGTGTACATATCTTATACTTAATTTGATAAGCTTATTCCTAAGTATTTTTGATGTGATCTCAATTGCAACGATTTTCTGAGTTTTGTTTTTAGATTGTTAATTGCTAGTATAGAGAAATTTAAAATATTTTATATATTTTATATACTGCAAACTTCTTTGAACTCATCTTTAAATTCTAAACATGTTTGATTAGAGTCCTTTGGACTTTTTATACATGAGATCATGTCATTTGCAAACAGTGAGAGTTTGACTTCCTTTCCATATTAGAAATATTATATTTTTCTAAATGATTTGCCCTGTCTACATTCTCCAGTACAATGTTGCAAACAAGTGTGAACAGTGGAAATAGGTGACTTGTTTCTAATATCAGAGAAATTAGTGAACCTTTCAGATTACTTATGATGATATGTGAGCTTTTCATAGATGCCCTTTGAAATGAAGAAAGTTCTCTTATCTGCCTAATTTGCTGCATGTTTTTATAATACTGAATCTGGGAATTTTCAAGTGCTTGTTGCACACCTTCTGAGATGATTGTGTAGTTTTTATTCTTTATTAATATAGTGTATGACATTAATTGTATCATATGTTGAACCAAACTTGCATTCCTGAGGTAAATACCTTTTGCCATAGTTTATAATACTTTCTACATGTTGCTGATTTCATTTGATAATGTCTCCCTGGTGATTTTTGTCTCTGTATTTATAAGGCATATTGGTCTTCATTCTCCTTATTTGAAATATATTTGTGTAGTTGTTCAATCAGGGTAAACGAATTCATAGTATACAATGGGAAGTAATCTATTTTCTACTTCTTTATTATTATTGTATTGTTTTGAAATATTTTTGATAAATTAGTATTAATTTTCTGTGATTTTAATAACACATCAGTGAGTTCCTGATGAGGGAAGGGAAGTGAATCCTAAGAACAATCATGTGAGTTTGGAAGGAGACCCTTCCCCAGCTGAGCCTCAGCCTGAGCCATCACCTACATCTAGACCGAAGACCCAGAGAAACCGTGAGTAATATGTGTGTGGTTCTGAGCCACTAAGGTACGTACTAATTTGTTATGCACCAAGTAGTAAGTAATATACTTGACAGTAATTGTAAGGTGGTATTCTGGATTAGGTCCTGGAATAGATAAGTATATGATTATTAAAAAACCTGGTAAAATATGAAGGAAGTTTGTAGATCAGTTAATAATCTCGAAAAACAGTTAAATTCTTAGTTTTCATGAATATGCTATGGTTATAATATATATTAACATTCTAGTTAGCTGAATGGTATATGAAACTGTCTGTACTTACCTATGTGCATTTATGTAAATCTGCAGTTATTTCAAAATAAATATGTTTTTTAATATTATTATTATTTTTTTAAGAAAAGTAAGCAAGTAAAGACATCAGCAAAAAACTTTTGCCTCCAGATACAAGTGGGCATGTAGGGAGAGAATAGTAAACTGGCTTTTCTTTTCTAGGCAACATTCGAAACCCAGGTGCCACTCCTTCAGGAAGGTACCATCAAGCTCCAAGGACTCTTATCCTCTTTCTCCTTCCCCACTACCTAGTCATTAGAGCGTCAGCATCCACTTCTTGAAAGGAAGATGCCTGTTTTTCACATATCCCAGAAAACCCCATTTTAGGACAGCATTTAGCAGAGTATATTCAGGATCCCACTAACCTTTTTGGAAGACATGACTTCCAGATGATATAAGGCAAGAATAAGAAATTTCAGTGACAGGGAACAGAAATCATATTTCTGCATTCAGGATCATGTTTTCTTGGTACGGGGATTTCTTCTTCAAGTAACCCAAGGTCAACTTTACCTTCAAACCTTTCAGAAAACCTGTTCTAATTTACTTTGCTTCTTTCTACAGGCTCCATCAGGAACTGTGCAGGACTGTGCACTCTGTTGATACTCACATGGTGGAATTATATTGCCTTTGGCCAACCCTAAAGCCATCAAGATAGCAGGTAAGCAGAGTACAAAAAATATTTCTCATAAGTTGGTGCAGGGCAGTCCCTGCTTCCAGAGGCCTGGGAATAAAACTTTACAACAGAGTTTTTGCAGGTGAATGATACTGAGTGATATATACATGTTGTGCACAAGAAGAGAAATCTCAGTAGACAAAAAAACAAACAAACAAAAAAACCAGTATACAGCATATCTCCAACCCTCCATGCAGTGATCTGAGAGACAGAAACAGGGTGACTGATGACTCTGCATGTGTACTCGCTGCCCACTAATTCTCCACACAGCTTCCTATTAAGAGGCCATTGCACTCTTCTTAGTAGCAGCAGAGTTGTTTTCAGGAACCATGCCTAAAAGGCCTACAAAGCCATGGAGGTACATATTAAACTCCCATTGACATCCATAAATCTTGAATAGCAGGATGTCACAGGCACAGATGACAAAGTGCTGAGCACTGAGTCCCCAGACAAACTTTCACTGCATGGAAGATATGATTTCGCACAGTATCCTAAATCAACAGTTGTATAGAGGCTGGTCTGGACACCACAAGTCTACAGAAGATGCTATTGCAAACAAACCACATTTTTAGACGACATCATGAGGCAAACCCAGTGCTCTGTCTCCACACTCTAACCTGATAAGAAGATTGAGTTCAAGGAAGGAATGTCTCATATATGTAATGGCATGGCTTTGTGTTTACTTAATTCAACCTTCCCGGAGTCTAAAACTCTAGGTGAAATTTCAGTCAGCCCCCTTAACTCTGACTGTATGAGTTTTTTCATCACTCAGTGTACTCATGAGGGGACATCGAAACCGATTCCAATATCCAATTACCCAAAGTAGAGTTGACCAGAGAAGCAAGGGGGCAGATCAGAATATCTTATAAAGACCATTATGCATTCACTTCTGCAGTGACTAATCATAAGGTGATTTCTACGATCACCAGCCATGTGATTAAAAGGACAAATGTGAATGAAGAAAAAGATATACAAATGTTACAGCTGAAAGAATGGAATCTGTAATGAAGTTTACAGGAAGCGTTGCTCATATTTCTAAGATTACAGTTTAAAGTTTCAAAATACAGGATTTTCCCACGTCTTTAGAGAGCTAGCACTCCAGTAAATTTTTCAAGTAACTCTTTACAATTTTCATCTTTGTCTTCAATGGATTTCTTAAACCATGGTTCATAGAACTATATTTCCATATGTGACATAAGAATTCTAGCACTCCACTAATAACTCTAATGTGTCTAAAATTATAAATGCAGTTTATAACACCTCTCTGGACACTCACTTTAATGAGAAGTGGACAAACTGGACTTCCCTAATGGAGGGCAGTGGTGAAGCTTCCAGGTAGAATATAAATGCAGTTTATAAATTTATATGGTAAGATTTAAGCATATTTCCTCAATAACAAACAAGAATATAGCCAATGAGCCACCATAATTTAACAGTGAGAAACAAGCAGTCACAGAGAAAACAGTGTATTCCATTCATCGTAGAGTGCACATTTTCACATCTATCAAATACAGATGCATCTTAAATTTGAAAGCGTTAAAACACTGTTGACGGGAAGGCAGTCATAATGTGATTGTCCTCATTTACCTGTATATGAGCTTTGTCTGCAAACCTCCTGTTGATGTTTTTGGGTGATGTCATCAACATCAGCATCAAATCTTGCACAGGAGGTTTCAGAAGGTTGAAAATAGAGACTCGCAGGAGCAAGGTAGGAATCTCACAGGAAATGCAGCATCACCAAATCCTCAGATTAGCACAAATGATGATAACATGGGGAACACCATGAGCAAGATGAATTGAAGAGTGATTTAGGAGAGTTGGATCTGAATGGGAGGAAATTTAGGAAAACCTTTGTTGGTGTATTTTCCTTATATGTTCCATCCCATGTAATCATAGGAGTGACAAAAGACAAGACAAATATCCACAGATATATGTCTTGAAAACAGCTTTTTTTCCAATAATTATAATATAATGATGTTATTATTATACAGTGTATTTCCACATGATAAAAGTATTAGTTTCATTGTTAGTGATTTTGTTCTTTCATTCTGATATAGGAAATAATGACACATTACAACTGATGCAATTGATACATCTCACAATTTATTAGAATATTTGTTTTTTGGGGTTAGTGTAGGCTTAGTAAGATACTACGTGGTTTATATGTTATCATTTCATACAATCCACCTGCCATCTCAGGAAGTAAGCACTATTCCCGCTCCTCTGGTCCATTTCCAAGTCTGAGCTAACTCTCGAAAGGAGAGGCCTAAAGGAACCTTGAGTTTGATTCTATATGCCCCACAGTCTTTGCTCACATCAACTACATAGATTATGTTTTGTCTTACATGGTAAATGCTTTTCAGGTCTAGTTTCAGACAGCTTAGCCTACCTCGTGGTCTTGAAGTTATTTTCCTGAATTGTGTTCTGTATACTCTACTAAATATTTTTATATTTATGTCTATGAACCAAGTATAATTAATTTTGTGTGTAATGTCAGGTCATAGGTCAGATTCTAATTTCTCCCTGTGGATATTCAATACCCTGGAACATTTTAATAAAAATCCAAGTTTCCCCCATGCAGCAACTTAAATATATGCTTATATATGCATATGTCTGATTTTTAAGTTATTGGTTGTTTATTCTATCTCTGTGCAAGTACCACACTCTTATTATTAAGAGAGTCTATTCAAGAATTTTCTCTCTAGAGATTGTTCTTTTTCTTCTTTTTTAAGAGATAATTTTGTTCTGTCACACCAACTGGGGTACAGTGGCACAAACATGGAACACATTCTGTGTGTGAGCTGCTGGACTCAAGTGATCCTCCCCGCTCAGCCTCCTGAGTAGCTGGGACTACAGGTGCAAGCCCCCATGCCCGGCTAATTTTTAATTCTTTTTAATGGAGAGGAGGTCTCTCTTTGTTGCCCAGGCTGATCTAGAACTCCTGGCCTTAAGCAATCCACCCTCCTTAGTCTCCCAAAGCATAGGAATTGCAAGCGTGATCCATTGTGCCTGGCCCAGGGCCTGTTCTTTTAATCACTGAGCTGCTCTATAATGAGGTGAAAGAAGTTCAGACGTGCATGCCTTGCACCTACAGCAATCCTTTCAGCTGTACCTTGAATGAGGCTGTGGATATACAACTTTAGAACGTTGCTATTGACTCTGAAATCTCTACGTCCTTGTGAATCTTAGGCAGTCTCCCAACACCACTATCCACTTTATGTATTTAGTATCTTAGACAACAGCCAATGTTGTTGAAAACCTGGAGAGGCAGCCCTGGCTGCCTACTGCCCTGCTGTAGATGATTCTGTGAACAGAGTCCCCCTCCAGACCATGCCCAACAAAGACAGGTTCACAGGGGAGCCTCTGAGCTCAGAGCCTCTCTGGGGGCTCTGCATGCACAAGGACAGCGCCTCCCTGCCTTGGTTGTGGGGTGAGGTAGGGAATTCAAGTCTTTTAAAAAAGGCTGAGGCCGGGCGCGGTGGCTCACGCCTGTAATCCCAGCACTTTGGGAGGCCGAGGCGGGCGGATCACGAGGTCAGGAGATCGAGACCATCCTGGCTAACACGGTGAAACCCCGTCTCTACTAAAAATACAAAAAATTAGCCAGGCGTGGTAGCGGGCGCCTGTAGTCCCAGCTACTCGGGAGGCTGAGGCAGGAGAATGGCGTGAACCCGGGAGGCGGAGCTTGCAGTGAGCCGAGATCGCGCCACTGCACTCCAGCCTGGGCGACAGAGCGAGACTCCGTCTCAAAAAAAAAAAAAAAAAAAAAAAAAAAGGCTGAGTTTGTTCAAAAATGATTCTGCTTGCTGACCAATGACACCTTAAGACTTTAGATTTTACATTGTGATATTTCTCCTTGATTTTGATTTAATTTGTTGTGCAAATGTCTTAAACGCTTTTGTATAAATATTCTCTTTTGTTGGTCATATAAATATCATCTAAAACCAAATGTTTTTTTTGTATCATAGATTTAAGGCCGTTATTTGTCTATTTTAAAAATGCATTCATAATTATTTTTCAATGAACCATATCAATTATTTTCATCTTTACTCCTATTTCCCTTTCATAAATTGAACGTTAATATCATTTTTATTAGAAGCGACAGACGTTACACATTCTGTTTTATGATTTTCCAGAAATTTCCCCTTAAATAGCTCTGGTTAAATAGAAGGACAGAAACTATTCTGTAAGCCACAAGGCAAAATTGTCCCACATTAAAAAGATCTTCTTATGCTTAAAAAGATCTGTCAAACTTTCTATTCTATGGCTTAGTTTGCTGTACATGTGAAAGGTTAACAAGGTATTGATTTGTGTGGCAGGAAAGTTAGACTTCACATCTGAATGCAAGGAGCAACGTCTTCTTAACCATGCTGGTGTGAACTTCATGATGTTGTTTCATATTCTCCTTGTACAAAAGATGTAGACATTGACTGGACTCCATAATTCCTTCCACCTCACCTCCGTGTACGTGTACATGACAGTTCTCTGTATGGATCACCCATTCTATTAGATATGAATTATTTTCTTATTTTTGATGACTGATGATTAAATTCGATTTTAGTTCTCAGTGATAGAAAAAATACCAGTTAGAAAATGTGTACCTCATGTGCTGTGATCAGAAAATATTTTTGTGCCATTAGCTTACAAAAATGAATTTCAATATTTTATTTATTGTCATTTTCATCCGGTTTAATAGTCTCAAAAGGTTTTCATGCTTGTGAATTTTTTAGATTTTACTTTTGTTTTCTTAGTCAAAACTGAGGCAAGTTTGGAGACATTTGTTCAAGATGTGTGAGACATAAGCAATCAACACAGCAAAACACTGGTATTTTATGGGAATATGTAATAATAGATGGGCACTTGCCCTGCTAGATATGGCAGCAGTCTGGGTCTGTGGGCTTCAGTGCTGTACACAGAATTGACAGATCCTGCTTGAAGGAAAATGTACCCCTCATCTGTTGTACGACAGCCTGGCACCATTTTGTTACGAAACCCAGGTTTGGCCATGGCCACTTCCAAAATCAAGTAACAGAAGGGTAGTAAAAAGAAAGTCACTGGCCGGGCGCGGTGGCTCACACCTGTAATCCCAGCACTTTGGGAGGCCGAGGCGGGATGATCACCTGAGGTCAGGAGTTCAAGACCAGCCTGGCCAACATGGCGAAACCCTGTCTGTACTAAAAATACAAAATTTAGCCAAGCACAGTGGCGTGTGCCTGTAATCCCAGCTACTGGGGGACAGAGCGAGACTCCGTCTCCAAAAAAAAAAAAAAAAAAAAGAAAGTCACTTTATTCCCGAGCTTAGCAATGTGGAAGGGCTGGATTCATATCTAAAGGAACCATGTAAGTTTTCTGGGCAGAAAACAGAGCTTTAAGAAGAAAAATTGGCAAGCAGGGCACGCAGAAGGGGTGTGGAGGTGTAGGATCTGCATGACTCGATGGATGACTTATCTCTAGTCATGAGTCATTCGTTAGCCTGCCCAGCATCACTGGGGACAGAGTCAGGTTGTGGATTAACTGATGTCTTGAGACAATCTCTCTTGTGGAGGAGAATTCTGGTGGATGCTTATTTTCGTTCAAGATTTGGTAATTTCTAAACAAACGTATACTTAGCTAAGCTGACAGTGCTTGCTTGTGATTTGGCTGGTGGAAAGGAAGGAGGGAAAAGTTTGAATTTGCATTTCTAAGGAGCTAAGTAAGACATGAACACACAGGAAAAAGAAAAAGTAAATATTTTTTAAGGAAAATGAAGTACTTGTTTACAACACCCCACTGTCAAATTCCACTTTATTTTTATTCAATTGGAGCATCATATTCATTTGGTCTGCTTGCTACTGAAAGTGGTCTAGTTATAGAGCATTAGAATGGAATCTGTGTACCTGGAGTTGGAAATATTCTTGAGTTTTCAGCAGGAACTTACTATGCATGTATGGTGTGTGGATCCAAGAATTTCTGAGAATGATTTCCTGCATCTCCATGCAGAGTGTACAGCAGCAATAAAATTCATAGCAGCTGAAGAGGGCGTTTAGCAGTATTAATAATATATATAAAAGTATTTTATGCACCAGGAAGCCGACTAAATCATGATGCCATAGAGTCCTGAGAGAGGGCATCTATAGCAGAAATATGGGTATCTACATGCATAGCTTGGGTTATATTGTGAGAATAATCTTGTGTGTGTGTGTGTGTGTGTGTGTGTGTATGTGTGTAAAATGGTCAGCCTTAATGAATGCAGAAGTGCCACCCTGGGCTGCAGTGAAGATATCTAAAGCCATATGATTTAAAGACATCATGAGATTAGACATAGCATTAGTTTGCTTGTGCATGTCTTTTAGGGCTGAGGATATGTTTCTGGAGTTACCCAGGAAGTACACACAGCATTTAGTCTTAATTATAGTGCAAATCCCCAAATGTCAGTTTACCCAGAGCTCCTGTGGAGATATGAGGACAAGTTGGTTAACTATACATACTTAACAGGCTACAGGAGGAGTTGTAAATGTTCATGAAGGTGGTGCTGACCTATGTATTAACAAATATCCATGGAACATATGACTCATTGATTTTGGGGCAGAGACTTAACTTTTAAATGTATTATAATTATGCCCTATATTTCAAAAGTTCTTTTTAGACAAAGGCATGCAAGTGTGTATTTACTGTAAACCGGCCAAAACTAGTTTATGGTGAGTGATCTTTTATCAGGAGAAAATTACCGAAATTGGTCCCTTGTCTACTTCAATCTGTAGTTATGGCTGGTGGAACAGTGTCTGGGGTCAGTCAGTCACCTTATCTTGAGGCTAATGCTTGCTTGGCTGCTAGAGAAACACAGAAACCTTGTGGCAGTTGTAAACATAGTCTGCTTTTTTTAAAGTGTAGGAATGTGAGACTTAACTCTTGCCTGGCACGTTCTTAAGTCCTGTTCATAGTTTAGTATTTTATTGTTATAAAGAGTCTGTTTTACAGTTTTTATTGTAACGTTAATGCTGATCAGTTGTGCCCAAATTCCCATAATGGGAGGAAGGTGTAGTGAAGCTTGTTCATCACACCTCTTGTTGTCATGGCCTGAATTAGTTTTTCAGGTTGCTTTGGGTAACATGGGGGTAGGGTTTGTCCATTAAGTTGGTGGGGGCTTAGGACTTTCTTTTATAGTTTATATTCTCGTTTTTTGTCAAGGTATGCCAGAGACAGTATTGGTAGCCACACTTTTATTTTCTCTCATGTCAATGGCAGAGCAGCATGCTACCTGACCTGTGTCCATCATGTTTCTTGGTGCTACCACTATGGCCAAGGGACTTAGAATCGTAAGTCTTATATCCAATTATATCCAATTCCAGTCTGTAGGCCAGACTGGAATGAATGCGGCAGGCTGTCATTAATCCTTAAAACCCCTTTTAAGCAATGTAAGAGCCAAAAACTAAAAGTCAAAAGGTAAGGTTATGTAACTGAATTGTCTCTGAACTTTATGCATTGAGCTGTTGTAATCTTGGCTTATAGGAACCATAGCTATAGAAAACATAAGTATTTTATTTAGCTGTTTAGGCATCTGTATGCCCATCCTTTATTTGGGGGGTCTGAATTAATTTTATTCCACAAGAACCAGCCCTTACAAACTCATGCATTCGTATCTTCCATGATAGTCCCTGGGTCTGGAGAAATTGAACCGTTTTAAATTCTGGATATATTAATGAAACAAAATATTCACCATTAACAACATTTTAGCAAAAAATGCCATAAGCCTTGTCTTGTTCCAAGAGTGACAGGACTGAGACAGGCATACGAGGTCAGGAGATCGAGACCATCCTGGCCAACATGGTAAAACCCCGTTTCTACTTAAAGACAAAAAAATAGCTTGGCGTGGTGGTGCACGCCTGTAGTCCCAGCTACTCAGGAGGCTGAGGCAGGGAAATTGCTTGAACCCGGGAGGCAGAGATTGCAGTGAGCCAAGATCACGCCACTGCACTCCAGCCTGGGCAACAGAGCAAGAGTCCGTCTCAAAAAAAAAGAATGAGTGACGGGAAAGGAATCCTATAGGTAGATAAACATTTAAATTATTTAGTATTAAGGCACAGAATAAATTATATTTCTTGTATTTCTATTTCAGATAGAAGGTAAATTATTAAATAAAGTTTAATACATGCCTGTCCCTGTGTTGCATGAAAGCAGTGTACTTTGATTATTGCCTTTGCTTGAGTCTAAAGATGAGGCTTTGGTTAAGTTGAGTTTGATCTTAGATGCTGGCAGGAGTCTGTGTCTTCTTTAGAGGAGCTACATGTATCCAGGAGTCAGTTCCTTGTACCTTAGCATGACAATGATTAGTTAATAGCACCTGATAAGAACTTTTTCAGGGTATTGGAGGTGGTGATACACTGCATAGTGATTAATGTTTTTTAGCTTTGATAAGTGACAGCAAGAAGTCAGAGACTTAATTTAGGATTCAGTTTTGGAGATGTCTGTGAAAGATGTGAGAAAGCTTAAAATATTTGATCAAAACTGAACCACAGTTCCTTGTAAATGAATAGTTATTCATTTAACCAAAGTGATCTTTGAAAGACTTTAAAGGCAATAGAAAAAGTTACACGGGTATAAAATCCTTACTCCTCTCAAATTTCAGGGGTTTTTTAAAAGCAATTAAACACTTAATAAAGGCAGCATAGGAACTATCTTGATAAAATGTAAAATCTTGTTTCTTAAGCCAGTTACCAAAAAGTCAAAGGAAAACCTTTTTTAGTGTGACTGCCTCTCCTTAGAAGAAAGCCCATTTAGATAATCTGGAAGTACAACTTAAGATAACAAGTGCTTGAATTTAATCAAACATGGGAAGAGTGTGTACAAGGTTTTGAGTAGAACTGGGGAATACATGACTCTTAGTAGCTGCATGATAAGTTTCCTGATTACAGTGAAAATTTAGACACACCAAAAACAACAACAAGAAAAAAATCAAGAGTATACAATCAGGTTATCCTGGAGGAAAACATTTCTTTTATAGACCTCTAAGATAAAATATTTCAGCATCAGCCACAACAACATTTAGAAGTAAGGAGAAAAGTTACAGGAGCTGACAAGAAGCTGAAGGATAGAGTTATCATCCCAGGCCACATCAAAGGGAGAAAAAGCTGATAGTAGCAAGACAACAATTGAACATTTGAGATATGAATCTCAGAAGTTTTCAAAAGAAGTAGATTATAGAACAGAAAATCAAAGTTTACTGTAATTTTATTAAGAGTAAATTGATATCTTAAGAAAATCTTGATTTAACATAGGGGACCATTCTTTAGAAAGACTATTATTAACAGTTCCTTTTTAATTATGGCTTAGTTAATTGCATACAAAATTTCTTCTATACTGGCTCAGTTGTGAGAATTGAGTGAGGTTCTGTGAGTCTCTGGTTCTTAGGATTTGAGGCAGAATCTTGTTCATTTGATCTAAAGATTTTCTGCTTTTTCAAATCCAGTAAGCATTTAGTAGGCTACCTGTGTACTTGAATTCCAAGGACACTATTATAAACTAGCCAGCAACATAAATCTATAGGAATCAGATGAACCTGATTGTTGCTTCGCCTTTGCTGTCCATTGAGATAACTATGCCAACCTTGTCTTTGAAGACTGAGTGTTGCTACTTGCTCCCAGGTTTCCCTGTAACCCAGTTATTCCCATTGCATTTTGATTTTCCAATTGGTGTACTCTGGTTTCTATATTAAGGTCTGGTCTACCGAGAAGAGAGATCAAAGAGCTCTTCAGCTGTTCCCAGCTCCCCACACAAATCTACCTAACAAAGTCCCGATAAACAGTCTGTTTTCTGGAGTCTATCAATACTGGTAAGTTGCATTTATTTATTTAGAGACAGAGTCTCACCTTTTTTGCCCAGGCTGGAGCGCAATGGCATGATCTCAGCTCACTGCAACCTCTGCCTCCTCGATTGAAACCATCCTCCTGCCTCAGCCTCCTGAGTAGCTGGGGCAACAGGTGTGTGCCTCATGTCTGGCTAATTTTTGTAGTTTTATTGTAGAGATGGGGTTTCACTGTGTTGGCAAGGCTGGTCTTAAACTCCTGACCTCAAGTGATGGACCTGTCTCGGCTTCCAAAAGTGCTGGGATTACAGGCATGAGCCACTATGCCCTGCTGTAAGTTGCTTTTAAGTGGGAAATCCATTCTAGCATTCCTGTCTCTCCAGGCCTATGAATTCCTTCATCCAACATAATGCAGGGAAGATGCGGGAATCACTGACTTGCTCATGGTCATACATCTGTTGAACTATATTTCAGCCAACCAGTCATAACACTACTACTACCATCCTTAAATACCGAAGCTGCAACATTAAACCGGAATATCTGCTTAATGGCCCCATATCATTAAATTTGGACTGATTCAAGTTTATATTCCTTCTACTGTTATCAACACTTTTTTTTTCTTGTTTTGGTTTCTTACAGATGAGGTCTTGTTCTTTTGGCCAGGCTGGAGTGCAGTGGTACAGTCGTGACTCACTGCAGCTTCAAACACCTGGGTTCCAGCATTCATCCCACTTCAGCCTCCCGTGTAGCCGGGACTACAGGTACAAGCCACCACACCCAGCTATCCACAGCCATAATCTTTATTTCCACATAGGGTCTTCAGATTTCTGTTTGCATTAGTTAGAAAACTCAGGTAGCTTTTTTGACATAGATCACACCTCCTCATGGGAAATACTATCCATCAGCTTTAGGGGCCTGTTGTAACTTTAGTCTCACCATGAGTCTAGAAGAAACACAGCTGTCAGGGGTGGGTCTTGAAGATAATCAGCAATGTATTGCTTGACAGCTGCTTCAGGGGAAGCCATTACCGTTTCCTTAGGCATTGTAGCTGTAAGCTACTCAGACGTATATGGAAAGGCCTACATCACCTTGTGTGGGAAGGCCATTGCCAAGGGGGTGGCTGTGAGGAGGCCACTTCTGCTGGCAATAAAAACTCATTAGAATTTAGGAGATCAATGTCCCCAGCCACATCAGTCTTCCCATACATCGTCATCCCAAGTTACAGGATGCTATTCCTTATCAACTTCCACTTCAACAGTAGACACCCTGCCAGACTCAGTTCAATGTTTCTTGTAATTCAGCCAGTGGCATGATATGGGCTTGTGTTTGACCTTTAGCAAATACTTCCCTGTGGCTACAAGAGAGTTTTCTGGCTCAGAGCACAGGTAGAAACTCTTAGGCTGTTTATGTGGAGCTGGTTCTGCAAAATTGAATCCCTAAGCTCATTATTGTCTTTCATCAAATTTCCCAGTGAAATTAGAAGCAAGAAACCCGTCATCATTATGTGCCATGGTTTTAAACAAATGTCTGTATCACATACAGAGTAAACAAGTACCTTGCCTCTTATCAGTGTTTAATTAAGAGTATCAAATGCAGATATTTTGGGGATCTCTAAAAACAGTTCATGTCATTGACTGTCATTGCTCTTTCTACTGTTAAAAGTACAGTTCTTAGAATTTAGGTCCAATCAGATTAGAAAGCCAATTCTAGAAACCCCAAATTTGATTAAGGACACTCATGCTTAAAATTCTCTTTGTATAGAACCGTTCATACTACCAAAGTCTATACTAGTCAGGGTTATCGAGAGCAATGGAACCAATAGGATAGACACGTAGGAGCTAGCGGTAGATAGATAGATAGATAGATAGATAGATAGATAGGGATTTTTAGGGGAACTGAATCACATGATTATGGAGGCTGACCGTTTCCACCACATGCCATGTAAAGCTGGAGATCCTAGGATGCTTGTTGGGTACCATAGTCTAAGTCCAAAATGCTCAAACCAGAGAAAACCTTGGTTAAACCCTCAGTATAAGGCTGAATGCCATCAGAAAGTCTTTCAATTGAGTCCCCTGTCATTTTGAAATACCACCATATTTAAAATTTAACATTGTTATGTGGCTGATTCATTGGTTGCATTGTTTTTGAGCATTTTGTTGTTTGATCACCACTAGATACTCCAGGCTAATTGTATTTAGTCCCTGTTCAAGTCTATTATTGAGCTTTTTCTCACAGGTCCCTATCTTTTTTGTTGGAGAATGAAATTAAAAAAGATTTGGACACTCATTGGTTGTACACATTGTTACTGGGGAATGTGTTGATTGGAGGCCTTGTTAGCTAACAGAGCAAAGAGTAAATATACACATATGTTTACAAATTTCTACAAGTCTCCATATGTATCTGCATTAAATTAAACATGAATTCCTACAGCCTCCTCCGTCCCACACAGTCTTATTCAGCACTATGTGAATTTGTCTACCCATCTCACTAATCTGTATGTAGCCTACCACTGTAATATTTAACCACCTGAAAATGCAGGCATAGTGGTTTCAGAATAAGAAACATACAACCCCATGAGAAACACCCTTACCACCTGTTTATGTATACCAACTGCTTATGTATAAATCCTTTAGCCTTTAGACAGAATCTGCACTTATTATGTCAGTTGCTTAGGTCAGCTTCTTTTTCCCCTTCCTTCAGTGGATTATTTCATAGATTTGTATAAAGTATTTTCTCTGCATTTCTTCCTGGGCTGTTCCTATCTACTAAATAAGTTTTTTTTGTTAATTTACATACTTTCAGGTTCACTCTTTGTGTTATAAAGTTTTGTGGGAGTTGAAAACCTGTATCTTTTATCCACATTACAGTAGCATACATAATAATATACAAAAGGAAATTTTCTATCTTTACAGATTTGTCTTTCCTTTTGGCTGAGACCGTGGTAACCAATAAACTCTTTACTTTCTCTATCCTTGTGCCTTTTCTAGAGTGTCATATATTATGTTAAAAAAAAGTATTTTGCTTTTTCCAAATTGCTTTTTGGACTTACTCATATGCCTTTAGGATTAGTAAAGGATATCTTATGGTTGGGATTTGCATTTCCCTAATGACAGAGGCATTGAGCATTTTTCCATATGCTTATTAAACATTACTATAGCTTCTTTGGAGACATGACTGTTCAAATTTTCTATTTTTGATTGGAGCATTTGCCTTTGGATTTTTGCGTTTTAAGATGTAATATATTCTGGATTATAAATTCTTATTGGATATTTGACATACAAAGACTTTTCTCCCATTTTTAAATTGTTTCTTTTGTTATGTACTTTACATTATGATGTATGTTATTAGTGATGTTTCAATATATCTATTTTCTCCTTCCTCTTGTGCATTAGTTGTCATATCTTAGAAATCATTGTTTAACCTTTGTTAAACAATTTGTTTTTGTTTTTAGTTTTGGCTTTTTAGGTGTATGATTGTATTAGTCTGTTCCCACACTGCTATAAAGAACTACCTGAGACTGGGTAAGTAATAAAGAACAGTGGTTTACTATATCCACAATTCTACAGACTGTACAGGAGGCATGACTGGGGAGACTTACAATCATGGTGGAAGGAAAAGGGGAAGCAAGCACATCTTACATGGCTGGAGAAAGAGGAATAGATAGAAGAAGGAAGTGCCACACAGTTTTAAGCAACCACAGTTTGTGATAACTCACTATCATAAGAACAGAAAGGGGGAATCTACCCCCATGAGTTAGTCGCCTCGCACCAGGCCCCTCCTCCAACATTGGAGATTACAATTTGCCATGAGATTGGGAGGTGACACAAATCTAAACCATATCATCCTGCCCCTGGCCCCTCCTAAATATCATGTTTTTTTCTCATATTGCAAAATACAATCATTCCTTCTCAATAGTCACCCAACTCTTAACTCATTTCAGCATTAACTCAAAAGTCCACAGTCCAAAGTTTCATCAGAGATAAGGCAAGTCCCTTCTACCCATGAGCCTGTAAAATCAAAAGCAAAGTCATTACATTCAATATACAATGGGGGTACAGGCATTGGGTAAATACACTCATTCCAAAAGTTATAAATCAGCTGGAAAGGAGGGACAACAGGCCCCATGCAAGTTTGAAACCCAGTAGGGCAGTCATTAAATCTTAAAGCTCCAAAATGATCTCCTTTGAATCTGCATCTCACATCCAGGCCTCACTGATGCAAGGTAAGGGCTTTCAAGGCCTTGGGCAGCTCTGCCTCTCTGGCTTGGCAGAGCTCATCTATTGTGGCTGCTCTCAAGGGCTGGCATTGAGTGCCTGTGGCTTTTCCAGGCACATAGTGCAAGCTGTTGGTGGATATACCACTCTGGGTTCTGGAGGACAGTGGCCCTCTTCTCACAGTTCCACTAGGCCCCCAGTGGAGACTGTTTCTCGACGCTCCAACTCTATACTTCTCTGTGCTGTCCTAGTACAGGTTTTCCCTAAGGGCTCCATCACTGCAGCAGACTTCTGCCTGGGCATCGAGGCATTTCCATACATTCTCTGAAACCTAGGCAGAGGCTCCCAAGCCTCAACTCTTTCCCTCTGTGTACCTTCAGGCTTAACACCACGTGGAAACTGCCAAGGATTATGGCTTGCACCTCCTGGAGCATGGACTGATAAGTATCTGGGGACCTTTTAATCATACCTGGAGCTGGAGCAGCTGGGGCACAGGGAGCAGTGGCCCAAGGTTGCACAGGGCACCAAGGCCTTGAGCTTGGTCCTTGAAACAATTATTTTCTCCTAGGCTTTTGTGCCTATGATGGGAGGGGCTGATGGGAAGGTTTCTGAAGTGGCTTTGAGGCATTTTCCTTATTGTCTTGGGTATTAAAATTCAGTTTCTCTTTCTTTTTGTTTTGTTTTGTTTTTTTTTTAGATGGACAAGTCTCGCTCTGTCACCCAGGCTGGAGTGCAGTGGTGCGATCTCAGCTCACTGCAAGCTCCATCCTCCCAGGTTTACACCATTCTCCTGCCTCTGCCTCCCGAGCAGCTGGGACTACAGGCACCCACCACCATGCCCGGCTAATTTTTTGTATTTTATAATAGAGTTGGAATTTCACCTTGTTAGGCAGGATGGTCTCAATCTCCTGACCTCGTGATCCACCCATCTCAGCCTCCCAAAGTGCTGGGATTACAGGCGTGAGCCACCATGCCTGGCTAATTTGGCTCCTCTTATGCGAATTTCTACAGCTGGCTTGAATTCCTCCCCAGAAAATGGATTCGTCTTTTATTGTTTTACTTTTTTTTTTTTTTTTTGAGACAAGTCTTACTCTGTTGCCCAGGCTGGAGTGCAGTGGTGCGATCTCAGCTCACTGCAACCTCCACCTCCCGGGTTCAAGTAATTCTTCTGCCTCAGCCTCCTGAGTAGCTGGGACTACAGGCATGTGCCACCACGCCCAGCTAAATTTTGTATTTTTAGTAGAGACGAGGTTTCACCATATTGGCCAGGCTGGTCTTGAACTCCTGACCTTATGATCCACCCACCTCAGCTTCCTAAGGTGCTGGGATTACAGGCATGAGCCACAGTACCTCGTCAGGTTTTTCTTTTTTACAAAATGGCTGGACTGCAAATTTTCTAAACTTTTATGCTCTGCCTGTTTTTTAAATATAAGTTTTAGTTTCATAGCATCCCTTTGCTCACACTATGACAATACACTGTTAGAAGCAGCCAGGCCACATCTTGAACACTTTGCTGCTTAGCAATTTCTTCCACAAGATACCCTAAATCATCAGTCTCCAATTCAAAGTTCCACAGATCCCTAGAGCAGGGGCACAATGCCACCAGTCTCTGTGCTAACATAACAAGAGTGACCCTTACTCTAGTTCCCAATAAGTTCCTCATCTCCATCTGAGACCACCTCAGCCTGGACTTCATAGTCCATGTCACTATCAGCATTGTGGTCACAAAAATTTAACCAGTCTCTGGAAAGTTCCAAACTTCTCCTCATATTCCTGTCTTTTTCTGACCCCCTCCAGACTGTTCCAACCTCTGCTCATTACCCGGTATCAAAGTCACCTCCACTTTTCAAGTATCTTTATAGCAATGCCCCACTCCCAGTAGCAATTTTCTGTATTAGCCTTCTTGCATTGCTATAAAGAACTATCTGAAACTGGGTAATTTATAAAGCAAAGAGGTTTAATTGACTCATATAGTTCTGCAGGCTGTAGAGGAAACATGGCTGGGGAGGCCTCAGGAACTTACAATCATGGCAGAAGGAGAAGGGAAAGCAGACACATCTTTTATGGCCTGAGAAGGAAGAAGAGAAAGAAGGGTGAGGTCCTACACACTTAAATAACGATATCTCATTCACTTACAGTCATGAGAACAGCAAGGGGAAATCTTCCCCCATTATCCAATCACCTCCCACCAGGCCCCTCCTGTAACATTGGGGATTACTATGTGGCATGAGATTTGGGCAGGGACACAAGTCCAAACCATATTAGTGACTAATTTGTACTATTTATGCATATACTGTGAGGGAGGAGTTTAACTTGCCTGTTGATAATGTTGATAATGTTGACTTGTCCCAGAATCCGTTGATGAAAAAAATACTTTTCCGTATTGAATTTACTTGGAGCCCTTGTAAAATTATTTGACCGTAAATGTAAAGGTTAACTTTTTGATATTCAATTTTATTCTATTTATCTGTATGTCTACACCACACATGTTAATTAGTATGGCTTTGTCTTTAATTTTAAAATCAGGAAGTATGAGTCTATTTTACAAATTCCATTTTTTTTTTCAAAATTATTTTAACAATTCTCTATTGCATTATATATACAATTTAAAATCTGTTTGATAAGTTAGTGAAAAAAGGTCACCTGGGATTTTCATGGAAATTGCATTAAATCTATACAGTCATAGAAAAAGTATTGTCAACTTAATAATATCAAGCCTTTTAATCAATGATCATTCAACATTTGTCCATTTTTATAGAATTTTATTAATTACATTTAATATATTTTACAGTTTTAATATACATGTCATATGCGTATTTTGTTAAATTTATTGTTATGTGTTTTTCCTTTTTGGTGCTATTTTAAATAGCATGGGTTTCTGAGATTTTTGTTTAGTTTGTTAATTTCTACTATATAGAAGTACATATTTCTGTATACTAACCTTGTGTACTGGAACTGTATTGAACTTATATTTTAATTTGCATTCTATTTTATTAGAGTCATTTTGATGTTCTGTAAACAAATTATGTCAATTGCCAACAGAGTTTTACTTTCTTTTATGCCAGATGTCTTATATTCATTTTTCTCTACTAATTGTCCTTGCTACATCCTCTAGCATAATGTGGGGAAGAATTGTGGCCAGAATGAAATTCTTTGTCTTATTTCTAATCTTGGAGAAAGTATTGAGCCTTTCAGAAAACTTTTATATCATGTGAGGGTTTTTATTTTTTTGGATGCTTTAAAGTGAAGACAGTTTCTTTACAGTCCTAATTTGCTGCATATCTTTATCATGAATGTGTTTTTGATTTGTCAAGTGCTTATTCTTTGTCTTTGAGATGATCGTATAGGTTCCGTGCTTTATTCCATTAATACAGTGCATGAATTGTATATTGAACAAAATTTGCATTCCTGAGGAAATACCCTTAGCAATAGTGTATAATATTTTTGCATGTTGCTGATTTGTTTTGCTATTATTTCCTTAAGGATTTTTGCCTCTTTATTCATAAGGCATATTGGTCTTAATTTTCCTTTCTTGAAATGTTTTGGTCTAATTGTGGTATGAGGATAAAATACCTCATAGTGTGCATAGGGAGTGATCTCTTCACCGCTGTCATTGCTGTTGTTTAATGTTTTTAGAGAATTCATAATGAAGTTGTATTCTTTAAAGGTATGAAATAATTTCCTATTGAAGTCATCTTAACATGGAACCAGAATTAAATCCTAACAACAATCATGTGAGCCTGGGGAGGATCCTTCCCCACGTGAGCCTTCAGGGGAGACTTCAGCCTTGGCCATCTTCTCCATCTAGATTCCTGACCAAGAGAAACTGTGAGTAATGTGTATGTGCTTTTCAGCCACCAAGATGTGTGGGAATTTGTTATGCAACAATAACTAAGTAATACACCTGGCATTGAATGTAATGTGGTATCCTAGATTAGATACTGGAATAGAAAAGTGACATTATTGGAAACCTGAAGAAAACTATGAATAAAGTCTGTAGTTCCATTGATAGTTCTACAACACTGTCAATTTCTCAGTTTTCATGAATAGTCTATGGTTATATAACGTGTTAATATTCCTTTAAGCTGAAAGGTATATGAAACTCTCTGCATTATATATATTATATATTATATATATTATACCTCCTTCTGTAAGTCAAATATGATTTCAAAATAATTTTAAAATAATATTTTGGTGGAAAGCAAAAACCAACAAAAAGACATAAGCACATTAACTTGTTTTCAGGAGATCGGGTGGGCAAGTCGGGAAAGAACAGCAGCACAGCTTTCCTAATTTAGCCACCATTCTGAACGCAGGTGCACCTGCTTCAGTTAAACACAGTTAGCTCCAGGGACTCTCATCCATTTTTGCCTTTGAAATCGTGCTACCCATTATCCAGGAACATTTTAAGTGTCAGTAACCACTTCTTCAGAGAGAGGTGCCTTTTCCTCATATATCCCAGGACGCCCCATTTTCAGACATTGTCTGGAAGTTTATTCACATAATTCCACTAAAGCCTTTCTGGAAAAAATGACTGCTGGACATTAGAAGCCGATATTGCAAAATGTCAGTGACAGGGAACACAAATTGTATTTCTACAATCAGGAGAGTGTTTTATTTCCCTTGGTACAGGGATTTGTTCTTCAACTGGTTATCAGATCACTGGGATAATTTCTATTTCTCTCGTCATGAATTATTTAGGACCATATATTCTGTTGCTCTTCACATCTTGGAATTATATTGTCCATTTCCAGGGTCAAAGACCACAGAATAAATGTCATCCTGGCAGCAGGTGAGTAGGGCACACAAACAATGCTTCTAAATATGGTGGTTGATGACAATGCTTGCTTACTAAGACCCCGATATGAATCTGTGGACAACTGGTTTTTGGCAGGTGAAGTCATGTGAGTGATTCAGTATATGCTTTGTATGGCTGGAGAAAGCTCAGTAGATACAAGAAAAAGCAGTGTGTAACAGATCTCCCCCCACCATGCAGTGATCTAAGAGATGGACCCAGGCTAAATGGTGACTCTGCACATGTTCTGGCTAAACAAAGAATCTCACAGCAGGAAGAAATATCCAGCTATCCCCCACATAGGTCCCTGTTCATAGTTCACAGCACTCTGCGGTGTTAACACCAGGGTTGTGTCAAAGAACCATGCCTACAAAGCCTACCAAGCCGTGAGTCTGCATGCTGCACTCACACAGACATAGACAAAGCCAAGACTATTGCCTTTATGGTGGTTCTGAGTTCTCAAGTTTAAAGGAAAACAGGCAATATACACAAAACTCTACTGCCATATTGGCATGGAAAGGACAGAGTGCTGAGCACTGAGTGCCCAAACAAGTGCTTTAACAGCATGGAAGGCATGATTTCCCACAATATACTAAGCAACTAAATTCACAAAGGCCACCACAATTCTAAAAAAAGATGTCATTGCAAACAAACCCAAGTCTTAGACCACAATATGAGACAAACATTCCAACATGCTGTCTCCACACTGTAGCCTGATTAGGAGTTGTAGTTCAATGGATGAATGGCTCATATATTTAACATCATTACTTCATATTCATGTAATTCAACCTTCCTGGAGTGTAAAACTATTGGTGAAATTTCAAAGTCCTAAATTATGAATTGTATGAGTTTCTTCTTCACTTAGTATTTTCCCAAGGATACAGGAAAACTAATTTCAATATCCAAGTGTCCAAAAGTAGAGTTTGCCAGAGTAGCAAGGGGGCAGAACAAAGCATTTTATGAAGATCACAATGCATCTACTTCTACAGTGACTATGTATTATCACCATTTGTGTGATTAAAAGGGTGAATGAGAATGAAGAAAAACAGAGATCAAGAATGTTATAGATTAAAGAATTGAATTTGTAATATGGCTTGCAGGGATCATTGCTTATATTTCTAACTTTAGGACACAATTTTTTTAATATAGATTTTCCTTAGTCTTTAGAAAACTAACACTTCAGGAAAAATTTCAAGTGTCTCTCTACAATTTATATCTTCCTCGTCAATAGATTTCTTGAACCGTAGTTTATAAAACAATTACAGCACGTCACTAATAAGTCTAATATTTCTAATAACTAAGTAGATTGTAAATAGAGTTGGTAAATTAATATGAAAATATATACAAGAATGTTTACTTAATAACAGACTAAACTGATCATTTCTGAAGTGCGGGGTCCCCATTTCTGAGGGGGTCATGGCTGCATGCCCGTAAGCAAGGGGGGTGTTGTGGGTGCTTTGTTTGCCCTGTTAATTTTGGATCCCTCTGTGCTCTGTGAACTATTAAGATAATATTTGTTTGAAAAATCCAGTTGCTTTAACTTTTCCTTTGTTTTAGTCTGTTAACAAAATTATCGCTTTTCTTTTACTGACTTTAGATTTAATATATTCTTCTTTTTCTAGTTTCCAAAGGTGTAAACACAGATGACAGATTTTTGGTCTTTTCATTGTTTCCTATGTATGTGTTCAATGGTATTTATTTGCCTTTATGTTCTGCTTTCCTTTCATCCTACAAATTTTGATAAATTGTGTTTTTATTTTCATTTAGTTAATTTAAAAAAATTTCTCTGGAGATATCTTCTTTGACCCATATATTATACCGAAGTGTGTTGTTTAATCTCAATGCATTTTGGGATATTACAGTTATCATTCCATTCATCCTTTGATTTCTATTTTAATTCCACTGTGGTCTTAGAGCTGACATTGTATGATTTACTTTTTAAAAGTTGTTAGGGTATTTTTTGTCCCAGAATGTGGCACATTTTGCTGAATATTCCATGTGAGCTTAAGAAGAATGTGTCATCTGCAGTAGTTGAGGGAAGGAGACTGTAGGTGTCGGTTATGCCTAGTTGCTTGTTGGTGCTATTGAGTTCAGTTTTTCCCTCCTGAATTACTGCCTGCTAGATCTGTCTGTATCTGTTATAGCGTGTTAATGTTTCCAACTATAATACTGAATTCATCTTTTTCCTTGTGGTTCTCTTGATTTCTGCCTCATAGTTTATGCTCTGTTATCAGGCTCATAGGCTTTAAGAATTAGGACATCTTCTTGGAAGAATGGCTCTTCATCTCTATGTAATGCCCTTCTTTATTCCTGATAACTTTTCTTGCTTTGAAGTCTGCTCTGCCTGTAATTCATATAGGTCCTCTTGTTTACTTTGATTAGAGTTAGCATCGTACATTTTGTTCCATTCATGTACTTTTATTTGTCTTTATATTTGGGTTGGGCTTATAAATAACAGTTGTATCTTGTTTTTTGATTCAGTTTGTAAATCTGTGTCTTTTACTTGGTGCAGTTAGACCATTGACATTCAAAGTGGTAAGCGATACAGTTGGATTAATATTTATCATATTTGTCAATGTTTTCGATTTGTTGTCCTTGTTCCTTCTTCCTATTTTCATCTTCCATTCATTTTCTGCCTTTTGTGGTTCTCATTGAGCATTTTATATTTTTCCATCTCTCGCATTTCTAAAAATATCAGTTATATATAATTTTAACTTTTTCTTGGTTTAACATTTTTATATTCTTAGTTTATTATAAGAGAAAACAATTTCTTGAAAATAATAGAAAAATTATTAAATAATATATGCCTATGCATATATCTTATGTATAAGTATATATGTGTACAGATATATGCACATGTGCATGTGTGTTTGTATGTGTGCATGTATATGTATATATATATACACATATATATATATGAAGTGGATATCAGCAATAATGCAAAGGACAGGAGAAAGGAATTAGGATTATTTGTTATTATAAGATACAGTAACTGTGAAGCAATATAACTTTATTAGAAAAGTAGCTCAGTTTAGTATTTTTTATTTTTTATAGTTTTTATATTATTTTGATGTTTTTTAACTTTATATATTTGAATTTAGGTTTGTGGATACATTTGTTATATAGGTAACCTTGTGTAATGGAGGTTTATTGTACAGATCATTTTATCACCCAGGTACTAAGCCTACTACCCAATATTTACTTTTTCTGCTCCTCTCCCTCCTTCTACCCTTCACTTACAAGTAGGCCCCAGTGTCCTTTGTTCCGTTCTTTGTGTTCATGAGTTCTCATCATTTAGCTCCTACTTAAAAGTGAGAATATGTGATAATTTGGTATTCTGCTCCTGTGTTAGTTTGCTTAAGGATAATACCTTCTAGTTCCATTCATGTTCCTGTAGAAGACATGATTTCATTCTTTTTTTCCAGCTATATAGTATTCCATGATATATATGTACCACATTTTCTTTATCCATCCTGTGATTGATGGGCATTTAAGTTGATTCCATGTCTTTTTTCTTGTAAGTAGTGCTCCAATGAACATTCATGTGGATGTGTCTTTTTGGGAGAATGATTTCTATTCCTCTGGGTGTATACCCTGTAATGGGATTGCTGAGTTGAATGGTAGTTCTGATTTTAGCTCTTTGAGGAATTGACATATTGCTTTGCACAATGGTTGAATGAACTTACACTCCTACCAACAGTGTGTAAGTGATCCTTTTTATCTGCAACCTCACCAGCATCTGTTATTTTGACTTTTTAATAATAGCCATTCTGACTGGTGTGAGATGGTATCTCATGTGGTTTTGATTTGCATTTCTCTAATGATCAGTGATATTGAGCTTTAGTTCATATGCTAGTTGGCCACATGTATATCCTGTTTTGAAAATGTTCTGTTCTTATCCTTTGCCTACTTTTTTTTTTTAAGACCGTGTGTCACTCTGTTGGCCAAGCTGGAGTGCAGTGGCGCGATCTCGGCTCACTGCAACCTCCACCTCCCGGGTTCAAGCGATTCTCCTGTCTCGCCCTCCCAAGTAGCTGGGAGTACATGAGCGTATCATCACACCCGGCTGATTTTTTGTATTTTCAGTAGAGACGGGTTTCACCATGTTAGCCAGGATGGTCTCGATCTCCTGACCTCATCATCCGCCCGCCTCGGCCTCCCAAAGTGCTGGGATTACAGGCATGAGCAACCGCGCCCAGCGCTTTGCCTGCTTATTAATGGGGTTGTTTGTTTTTCTCTTGTAAATTTGTTTAAGTTTTTTATAGATGCTGGATATTATACTTTCATCAGATGCATAGTTGCAAATATTTTCTGCCATTCTATAGTTTGTCTGTTCACTCTGATGATAGTTTCTTTTGCTGTACAAAGCTCTTAAGTTTAATTGGATCGCATTTGCCAATTTTTGCTTTTGTTGTGATTGCTTTCAGAGTTTTTATTATGAAATCTTTGCCTATTCCTATATCCAGGATGGAATTGCCTACATTGTCCTCCAGGGTTTTTATAATTTAGGGTTTTACATTTAAGTCTTTAATCCATCTTGAGTTAATTTTTGTATATGGTGTAAGGAAGGGGTCCAGTTTCAGTCTTCTGCATATGGCTAGCCAGTCCTCCCAGCACCATTTATTGAATAGAGAGTCTTTTCCCCATTGCTTGCTTTTGTCAGCTTTGCCAAAGATCAGATGGTCATAGGTGTGTGGCTTTATTTCTAGGCTCTCTATTCTGTTCAAGTGGTCTATGTGCCTGCTGTTGTAGCAGCACCATGCTGTTTGGTTACTTTATCCCTGTAGTGTAGTTTGAAGTCAGGTAACATGATGCCTCCAGCTTTGTTCTTTTTGTTTATGATTGCCTTGTCTATTGGGGCTCTTTTTTGGTTCCGTATGAATTTTAACACAATTTTTTTCTAGTTCTGTGAAGAATGTCATTAGTAGTTTCATAGGAACGGCATTTAATCTGTAAACTTCTTTGGGCAGTATGGTTAGTTTTAAATATAATATTTCCAACTGTAGAACAGTCTATTGCACAAAAAACCTCTTATCTTCCTGGCTGTTGGCCATTGGCTAAATAAAGTGCCTTGCCAAGGGGGCTTCTCACACTTCATAAAATCCATCAAGAGAGACATTTCTAGCAAGACCAAAATCATAATCATATGTAAGAATCCAAGTGACACTTCTATACCTTTGCACTATTCTATTGTTTCAAAGCAAGTCACAATTCCTACTTAGACTCACTTGGATGGGATTACAGTAGAAGGTTGTGTATATGAGAAGGTGCGGATAAATGGGCACCAACTTAGAGTCTACCTGACACATCAGGTATTCTCGTTTATGAAACAGTTTCCTGGCCTTCACTTCTTTTTCTTGACCTTGACCCTTTTGAAAAGTACCAGTCAGGTATTTAATAGGATGTCCCACGATATGGTTTTAGCTGATGTTTTCTCATGATTAAACTAGGAATATCAATGAATTAAACACCTTCACTTAAATCTGAAGACGAAAAAGACCTAAAGAATATAGTATTAAGAAATACTCAAAGAGGAAAAACTATTTTTAAAGTATGGAATGACAATTCACAATATAATTAAGTTCAGTGCTTAAGGAAAACTGAGAAATTAAGGAGATGCACAAAGGAGGTATCAACAATATTGCTAATGATTTTTTTTTAAGCTTGGGAGTGACATTAACAACAACAACAACAAAAAAAAAACAAGTTTTAAAGAATGGTTTTCCAAGGCTGGGCATAGTGGCTCACATCTATAATCCCAGCACTTTAGGAGACTAAGGCGGGCAGATCACCTGAGGTCAGGAGTCCTAGAGCAACATGGCAAAACTCTGTCTTTAGTAAAAATACAAAAAATTAGCCTGGCATGGTGGTGGATGATTGTAATCCCAGCTACTCGGGAGGCTCAGACAGGAGAATCGCTTGACTCCAGGAGGCGGAGGTTGCAGTAAGCCGAGATCACGCCACTGTACTCCAGCCTGGGCAACAGAGGGAGAGTGTCTCAAAAAAAAAACCAAAAAACAAAAACAAAAACAAAAAACAGTTCTGTGGTTTTACATTTACAGAACAGTTGCAAATCTAGTAGAGAGTTTCCATATACTCCATGCACAGTGTCCTTTATTATTAATCTCATAGTGTGAAACCTTTGTCAAAATTAACCAACCAATATCATGTATTGTCATTGAGTACTATACATACTTTATTCTGATTTTTTAGTTTTTGCTTAATGTTAAGTTTATGTTTTAGGATCTCTTCCAGGATACGTCATCACATTTAGATATTATGGCTTTACAGGCTCCATTGAATGTGATAGTTTCTCAGAATTTCCTTGTTTTTGATGCCATTGACGTTTCTAATTTAGGATTACTCTGATGTTTCTCTCATGATGAGACTGGACTTCTGGGGAGGAAGAATACAGACGAAAAGTACCATTCCTATCACATAATATCCAGGGCACAAGCTGTCAACAGGCTTTATCACTGTTGATGTTAATTTGATCACCTGGATAAAAATCTTTTAGTTCTAAAAATCTCTTCTGTAAAATTTTTCTTTTTCTTCCTTTTCATGTTGTGTGTATAAAAAAAGTCACTATATACAACACACACTCAGTACTTGGAGAATCATACACCACTGCTTTTTCTTTGAAATAAATTTATTAAAATTTCAATAGCTTTGGGATTACATGTAGTTTTTGGTTACATGCATGAATTGTATGGTGGTGAAGTCTGGGGCTTTTAGTGTACCTGTCACCTGAATAGTGTACATTTTACCTCATAGGTAATTTTTTATCCCTCACTAGCCTCCAACCCTCCTCCTTTCGGAATCTTTAATGTCCATGATCCCCCTCTGCATGCTCCTGCATATCCATTGCTTACCCCAAACTTATAAGTGAGAACATGTGGTATTTGGTTTTCTGCTCCTGAGTTACTTCACTAATGATAATGGCCAAATTGCTTTGAAAAACACTATTTTGTTCTTTTCTATGGCTGAGTAGTATTCTGTAATATACATACACACACACACACACACACACACACACACACACACACACACCACATTTTCTTTATCCACTAATTGGTTGATGGGCACTTAGATTGATTTCATATTTTTGCAATTGTGGATTGTGCTGTGATGAACCTAGAAGTGTAAGTGTCTTTTTGATAGAATGACTGTGTGTGTGTGTGTGTGTGTGTGTGTGTGTGTGTGTGTGTGAGAGAGAGAGAGAGACAGAGACAGGGTCTCACTTTGTCCTACAGGCTGGAGTGCAGTGTATTTAATTTATTTAAGCTCAATGTATTTAATTTATAATTGTATTAATTTCTTTGATATGTTTTCTAGTCCTCAGTATATGTATCTTATACTTATTTTATTAAATTAATTCATAGGTATTTAATTTTTATGCCATTTTACATGAAATGGTTTTTGAAATTTTGTTTTTAGATTGTTAATTGCTAATAAATAAAAATACAGTTGATTTTGCATATTGACCTGTACTAAGCTGTACTACAAGCTTGCTTAACCCTTTTTTCATATTTTGTTATGTTTTATTAGAGATTTTATGATGTCTGTAGGCAGGATCATGTCATTTGGAGACATAATTTGACTTTCCTTCAAATCTGACTTTTTTATATTTATTTTCTATACCAATTACCTTGTTCATATCCTCCAATACAGTGTTGAATAAAACTGTGAAAGTGATAGCCTTCTCTTGTTTCTAATTTTACAAGAAAGTTCTTGAGCTTCTCAGAAGATTTAGGATGTCATGTGAGGTTTTCTGTGCTTTCATGGTGAGGAAACTTTTCTTATTTGCCTAACTTGTTGCATGGTTTTATAAGGAATGAAATTTCACTTTAGCAGGTGCTTATTGCTCATCTTTTAAGATGACCATGTGTATTGTGTCCCTTATCTCTTAATATAGTTTATGGCACTAATTCTTTTCGTATGTTGAACCAAATTTGCATTCGTAAGATGTATACCTTCGTCAAAATTTATAAATTTTTACATGTCAGTTATTTGCTTTGATAGTATTTCCTTTAATTTTTGTGTTTATGTTCATAAGTCATATGATCAATATGATCATAGTTTTTCTTCAGTAACTTTGTCTAGCTGTGGTATAAGGCTGATAATTCACATTGGAAAGTGATCTATTCTTCATGTTGCTCTTACTGTTTTTTATGTGAAAGGTCTAAATTTATTTAGCACAAATAGAATGGAACACATGAAAAGGAGAAAAAATGTACATTTTTTCAAGGTAATTTTCAGACTTTGCAAACAATTATATTGTGTAAGTGAATAAAACCAAATCAGAGTAGTAAAAAGATGTAATTGGGCTACATAGATGGAGATTTAGAAAACACTAGAAAGGGAGAGAGAAAGGTGGGTGATAAATTACTCTTTTTAATATGATTTCATTGTTTTGCATATTTCTTTCTTTACACTACCTACAAGTATAGACAAACATGAAAATATGGGTTGACAAACAGGTACTTATTATTTAGAAGAAATACAAGATTTAAATTCTGGTATTTCATTAAGGTCAATTTAGTTTGTATGCTCAGGAGACCTAACATGTAGACATTTGATGTGACACATTTTGTGAGCCTTCATAAATATCTATAAAAAATGGAATATCACAGTTTTAGAAACTTAAAAGTTGAACAAAAGAAGGATTTAAATATTATTATTAAAGTTGTTACCTATTCCCAGATGAGGACTTAGAAAAACAAACAGTTGGCAAACCAGTGCAGCAGGTGACTTCCGTGAAGCCGGAGGCACACCCTGGGGACTGCGGTGTTGCTGGAGCTGACACTGCTGTGCTGCACATGTGGCTGCCACCAGTTTCCTCCCTCTCTGGGAAGTGGAATTTGAATTGCAGGTGCTGATGGCTGATGGACGGAGGGACAAGACCACATTATCTCAAAATGCTTGGCTCTGTTGCTTGCTCCTCATTTCACTGCTAGGTGCCACAGGCTTGGGGTTTACTGTTTATTTTTTGAAAAATATATGATAAATTGGTATTAATTATTTGAAGATGTAAAATCATTCACTGGTGAAGTCTTCTTGACCAAGTCAGGATTTTTTTTTTTTTCACAGACATGGTCTCACTCTGCATCCCGGCTGGAGCACAGTGGCATGAATGTAGCTCACTGCAGACTTGAACTCCTGGGGGGGTCAAGCAATCCTTTTGCCTCAGCCACTTGAGTAGCTGGGGCCACAGGCACATGCCACCATATCTGGCTAATCTTTTTTCTTCTTTTCTTTTCTTCCTTCCTTTTTCTTTTTTGTGTGTGGTAGAAACAGGTTCTAAGTATGTTGCCCAAGCTGGTCCTGAACTCCTAGCCTCAAGTAATCCTCCTGCCTCAACCTACCAAAGCATTGGGATTACAAGTTTGACCCACCATGATCAGTCCAGGGTAGGAAATGGAATCTTAACAACTGTCACGTGAGCTTTGAGGGAATCCTTCTCCAGATGAGCCTTCAGTTGAGACCTCAGCCTTGGACATCATCTACATCTGGATTCCTGACCCAGAGCAACTGTAAGTAATGTGTGTGTGATTTTGAGCCACCACACTATGTGGCAATTTGTTGTGCAGCAACTGATAACTAATACAAAAGATAGCACATTTAATTTCTAATACTACCCTGGATTAGATTCTGGAACAGAAAAATGGCATTACTAGAAAACCTGGTAAACTCAGAAGAAAGTCTGTAGTTCAGTTAATAGTTTTAAACCAGTGTAAGTTTATTAGTTTTCATAAATACATTATGGGTATATAAATAAGATGTAACATTCTAGTAAACTTCTGGGTATGTAAAACTAGCTGTACTATGTTTGCATCTTTATGTATATCTAAAACTATTTTAAAATGAAATCTTTGATTTTTTATTTTTAATTAAAAAGACAGGCATGCGTATATTATACCAGCTTCCGGGGAGGCTGACTTGGGAGGATTGCTTGAGCCCAGGAGTTCCAAACTGAAGTGAGCCATGATTGTGTCACTGCACTCCAGCTTGGGAAACAGAGGGAGATCAAGACTCAAAAAAAAATTGGCCTCAGAAGATGAATGGACATGGAGAAAAAAAATAGCCAAGCAGATTTCCGCATACATTTACCCTTCCATACATACATCCATCTACTTCAGGAAGCCACTATCAAACTCAAGGAACTCTTGTCCATATTTGACCTCCCCATCACACTCTTTATTACCAAGTAACTCGTTTGAGTGTCAGTAACCTCTCTGTTTTCAGAGATATTTGCCTATGCCTCACAAATCCCAGAAAGGCCCATTTTCAGATATCATTTAGGAACATATCTACATGATCCCACTGAACATATTTTGGCAGACAAAGTTTCTGGATGCCAAAGACCAAGATTGAGGAATGTTAGTGAGAAGAAATATAAATTATATTTTCATATTTTTTTTTATTAATACAGGCTTAGTTTTCTAAAGATAATTCTGCCTTCAAGCCTTGTTGGAATTCTGTGATAATGTCTTTTCACTCCACGATCTCCATCAGGAATTTTATGGAACCTTGTATTCTGTTGAATACCAGAATTACATCAGCAATCCCCAAGCCCCAAAGTCACCGGATGGGCATCATTATGACAGCAGGTGGGTGGAATTCAAAAAACAAAACAAAACAAAAAAAATATATATATATGTATGTATGTGTGTATATATATGTATGTATATGTATGTGTGTGTAGATATATATATGTGTGTATGTGTGTGTATGTATGTGTGTGTGTGTGTGTGTGTGTGTGTATATATATATGTATATATGGTGGTTGGTGGTTTTGGCAGTTTCTACTTATCTGGGCCTGGACAAAAAAATCTTTTCATACCAGATTTTTGGCAGCTGAGATTCAAAACAGGTTTTTCAAGGGCATGGAAAACCTGATAGTGGCTAAACAACAGGCGAGGTGTGGTGGCTCATGCCTGTAATGCCAGCATATTGGGATGCCAAAGTGGGTGGATTGCTTGAGTCCAGGAGTTCAAGACCAGCCTGGGCAACATGGAGAAACTCTGTCTCTACAAAAAAAAAAAAAAAAATAGAAAATGTAGCTGAGTACAATGGCACACACAGGTGGTCCCAGCTACTCAGGAGGCTGAAGCAGGTGGATGGATTGAGCCCAGGAGGTCAAGGCTGCAGTGAGCCATGATTGTGTGACTGCACTACAGCCTGAGCAAAAAAGTCAGACCCAAGAAAGAAAGAGAGAGAGAGAGAGAGAGGAAAGAAGGAAAGAGGGAAGAAAGGGAAGGAAGGATAGGAAGGAAGAAAATACAACATATCCCCAACCCTCCAGCAGTGATTTAAGAGATAGACAGAGGCTGAGTGGTGATTCTGCATATGTGCTGGCTAAACAAAGAATCCCACAGCAGGAAGGACTCTCCACTCACCACACACACAACTTCCTGTTCAACACGCTGCTGGACAGCACCAGGGTTGTTTCCAGGGACCATGCCTAAAAACCCACAAAGACATCAGACTTCATTCTGCACACCCATGGTCATGTATAATGTTGACTTGTTTTTTTCGTCTATAAACATAGGGTCTATTGTCTACACCATGGTAATAGTGACAGTGAGAAATGAGCTCCTGTGACCTAGAAACTTGGAAGAGACATTCAGCTTCATGGAAGTCATTCCTCATTCTTAGATGAGGATAACTGTTACGTGGTGTTATTTGAGCATTTGTAATTCAAGAAAACTAACTTCTTTAGGCTCATACTTTATTACTTGAGACATGACAGCTTCATTTAAGGTTCCTATTTTAAAACATGGTGGGTGTTTCCATTTATTTCATTTGAACTGGAGATACTATCATACTTTCGTGACTTGTCAAATCCCTTTTTATCTTGATTTCAATGCATGTTTTCTAATCTATCATGATGAAGAGTGTGAAGATTGTGCTTCACCAAACCAGGAAGCAATTAAAAAAAAAGCTCGAATGGCAAGCCATAAGTTAGACATAAGTAAATGCATACAAGCTGTAACCCATCTCAATGTGGCATATCAGGGAGATGGAGACTGGAGAGCTGAGGTTTAAAAGAAAACAGGCACTAAATTCAAAGCTGTGCTAAATGATGTCACAGGCACAGATGACATCGTGTGGTGCTCCAAGTTCCCAAACAACCTCTCTGACAGCACAAAAATTATGATTTCTCATAATATACTAAGCTACCAGGTTTCAGAGTGGCTGTCCTGGACACTACAATTTTCAAAAACTATCATTGCAAACAAGCCAAATTCCTAGACCTCTTCATGAGGCAAGTACCTAACACTCTTTCTCCATCCACACTTTAGACTGATTGGAAGTTAGAGTTCAATGGAAGGGTGGCTAATATAATTGAGACCATGATTTCATGTTCCCTTTATTCAGTCTTCCTGAAGCCTTAAATCCAGGTCAGGGAAACATTCATCTAACTCATTACAATTCTGCTTCCTCCTCAACAGATTTCTAGGACCATCATTTTTAAAATTATTTCTACATATGTAAGATAGGGATTTCAGTACTCCACTAAAAGCTCTCCATTTTTAATAGTTAGCAGTCCATGGAAGGCAGTTCTTTGCAAACCTACCACCAAAATATGAGGAAGCTGAATAGCTGAAGATAGAGGCTGATATAACCAGTCTCTTAGAAAGAAACATTTAGTAGGGATTTATGAGCAGATATTTGAGTCTCACATAGGGCTTATATACCATGGGGAAGGGGCACAGTTAGAGGTTATCAGATTGGAATCTGTTTACCTGGAGTTGGAATTATTCGTGGGTTCCCAGACTAATGTGAGAATGTGTTGGAGCATTATAGTGTGGGGACCCAAAAATTTCTGGGAAAGTTTATCCTGCATCTCCGTACAGATCTTGAAAAGCAACAAAAACTACAGCAACCAAACAGAACGGGGAGTAGAATACCAATTATACAGTATATGAGAGTCTTCCATGGACCTGGAAGTCGACTAAACCATGATATTGTGGGATCCTGGGAGAGGACATTTATAGCAGAAATATGAGTATTCAGTGCGTGCATAGCCTGGATTATATCGTGAGAATAATCTGGTGTATATATGCACCATTCAGTCTTAATGCACAAGTGTCCCACTAGGCTGCAGTTAGGATATCTAAGGCCATAGGGTTCTGTAGGGTCACTTGCCTAATCTGCATGATTTTTCAGTGGGAAGGGTAATGTTGGGTTAGGTGTTATTACTGGCAGCAGCTCTATACTTAGGGTCTCTACTTATAATTCTACATCTGTGTTTGCTATCTGGGAGGAAAAGGCAGCTGGTGAGTAGAACCAACAGGGTGCCCATTTTTGATGGTGTTGTCTGTCCTTCACATTTTCCCAGTTGTCAGGGAGACAGTCCAGATGGGACAGGATGTGTCCTGGTAGGTAAGGGCACCCCCAGGTGTTTCTGCCAGTCCAGCTGTAAGGTAAGTAAGACCAGCTATGACTGCTTCAGGCCTATAGCTATCTCCAGGAGAATGGATAGGCCCCACCATGTAGCTTGATACTATTTTGCCATCCTAGCCACATATTATTATTCAGTTGATGGGTTTGGCCACATTGCTAAGAGGTAACCATCCCTTAGCCTGGCTGCTAGTGTGGGGTGTGTTGCTCTTGTGTTTTTGGTTGCGTAGAGGTGCCTGACCCATTGCCTGAATTTGCACCATCATCAGCCATCCTATGTTGTCATGTACAGCATAGTCTATAGAGGGGGTGATGTTAACCTGCTTATGAGCCAGATGGAAGATATGTTTCCAGGTTTCCCCAAAAGTGGAGCACTCATGGTGAGTGGTACTGTAATCATAGATGGGAAATGGGTGAGAATTTTTACTTTTGTCCTACGTATAAACATAACTCCAAGTGCTCGAGGTGGTTGCTTGGATGTGCAATGGCAAGTCAGCAGTGGAGAAAGGGGTACCTCCCCCAGAGACCCAGCAGTCTATTTTGTTTTGGAGGAAAGCCACTGTCTACACCCATTCAGGTAGTTTCAGCAAAGATCAAGTATGTACTTATTACTCTAGAATTAACTGAGAACTTCATGTTAACAAAAGTATATTGGTTATCTCTCCTGCTTTTTCTCTTATTAATAGCTTCACATCTTACTTTAGCTCACATAACCAGGCAGGCATCTGAGTGAAGCCCACCTTTCAGGCTTTGAAGGGACTCAGCCCTTTGTACTGTATTTCCTTTTTAGGAGGACTACATGCTGTCTTGGGATTGTTTGTAGTGCACAAGATGCATCCTTCTGTAATTTTCCGAGTGATATTTTGGAAGTGTGGGCTACTGAGATGTGGTTGCACTAGGTTGGCGAGGACATCACTCCCATAGTGCGTTCCTTTATGTAGATGTTTTGAGATTGGATAAACCAAGGCCTTGTGGTTTCATCATCCTGTAGGTGTCAGTTTTCCAGGGGAATTGGAATCTCTTTTCTCAAACCCCTGGCTCGGGCACATTTGGGATCTTGTTCAGTGTAATGAGGTTTAAAATCTAGTAATTCCAAATGGAGTATTCATGTCCCAGGACCTGTGCCTCCCAAGCAGCTCATTATGCAGCTTTGCCAGCTGCCTGCTTACTTTTGGTTGTGAATTGTCTCTCTGGTGTTGGGGAAGTGAATGATGGAAGCCTGGGCAGGCAAGGCAATTGCCTTTACTAAGGCCAGAATTTCTCCTGAGTGTTTAATATCTGTATTTTCTGATTATAAGTAACCTCCTCTATGTTTCCAGATCACCCAATTGGCGTGCATTTCCAGGAATGCATTTATGGAATAAGAATAAATGTTTACTCCCTTTTCCTGGGACAGTTCTAAAGACTCAGGTAAGAGCAATTAACTCAGCACTTTGTGCGGAGGTAGCTGCAGGAAGGGTATGGACTACTATTACCCTTTTGGCAGTCACGGTGGCATATCCGGCTCTGTGCACATCTTTCATTAAGCTGCT
Organism: Homo sapiens; assembly: GCF_000001405.40. Classification (NCBI taxonomy): domain Eukaryota; kingdom Metazoa; phylum Chordata; class Mammalia; order Primates; family Hominidae; genus Homo; species Homo sapiens. The sequence goes on from NW_021160017.1 coordinate 5,328,991, forward strand.
CCCATCAGTGTAGTTCAAGTCCAGAGCACTCATTGTCTAGTTTGACAGGTTCAGCATGCTTGAATAAGCTGCATCAAGGATTTACAGTCATGCTTTAACCCAGGATTGTGTTCAGTGGCTGAGAGCAGTGTGGCAGGGTTTAGAGCCATGGTGGTTTGTAGGGTGATATTTGGATCATGTAAGAGGATGGCCTGGTATCTGCCCACTCACCCCACAGTGAGCCAGTAGCCTCCCTTTCATTCTAGCAGAGTCAGCACCTGATGGGGCACAAACACAGTAACTGGCTGTCCCAGAGTAAATTGTTCTACTTCCTGTAGGACTTCACAGTGGGTGCTTTTGCCCAGAGGAAGGCGGGGGCATCCCTTAACCTGTGGCCTAATTGTTTAGAGAAATGGGCCATGGAATGTGGGACAACTCCCAGCATTTGGATTAGCACAACCCACACCTATGGTTTGTTTCTTCTGGATATAGAATTTGAACAGCTTTTGGGAATTTGGTATCCCAGTGCAGAGGGTGATATCAGCTTTTCTTTGATGGTATAAAATGTTTGTTGACCTTTAGATGGCCAGAGAAGGGCCTCTGAGTCTAGTCCCTTTAGGGATTCATAAAGGGTTTTGGTCATTAGTCCAAATTTAGGAATCCAAATCTGGGAGAAGCTAACCCTTTCTAAGAATCCCCGCAGTTGCCCCCATTCTCTGGGACTTTATGGCTGCCATTGCCTGTTTTTGACCAGACCAGGCTCGTTTGGCCTTGCTTTAACCTAAAGCCAAGACAGGTTACTTTCTACTTTTGTATTTGGGGCTTCTTGGGAATACTTTGTATCCATATTGTACCAGGTGATTTAAAACTAAGATGACCTCAGCTAAGCATTTCCTATAGTTGTGGCTGGTATTAATTATCTACGTGTGGTTAGCCAGGCTTCTTAATCTTGTTGTAGGTCTCCTAAGTCTTTTGCCAGTATTTCCCCAAAAATCGATGGTGCATTTTTCAACACATTGAGGCCCCACTGTCCAACAGTATTGAAAGACTGTTTTAGTCTCTGGGTCCTGTCATTAAAAATAATAATAATAATTGCTGGGTCTTTTCTTTAATTGGAATGCAGAACAAAACATCTTTTAGATCTAGCACTGAAAAGCATTCATACTATCTATATATAGCAGTCAGTAGAGTATATGGGTTAGGCACCATTGGGTGAATATCCAAGACTATTTTATTAACAGCTCTCAGGTCTTGGGCAAATTGATATTTGTAGATGTGTAGCTTCCTTACAGGCACGATAGGGCTATTATATGGGGATCTGCAAGGATGAATCAGTCCACTTCTCAAATTTTTGAAAGACAGGCTGTATTCCTTCTAAGGCTTCCTTTCTTAATGTATACTGATTTTTTTTATTCGCCTCCCCCCCGCCGCCCAGGTCACAGTAGCCCCTTCTATTTTTTCCATGTGCACTCACTGTGTATTTCTTGTTTTTCCTGGGATTCCGTCTGCCTATTCACAATTACACACTCTCTCATAGACTTCTAAGGGAGAATTCTTGTTTCTTCTTAAGGCAAGTGAATAACATGTTACTTGCAGTGCTTGCTCTAGCAGGACCTGCAGCTGTAGTTGTTTCTCTGGGGATAAATTACTTGAGTATTTAATTTGCATAATGGGTCTTTTCCCAGCAAGGGAATTGGGCATTCTTGCATATAGAAATAGCAATGCCTTAGGTCCAAACTTTCTAGTTTGCATTCTAAAGGTTGTAGGAAAGCCTTTTGTTGCATTATTCTTGCAACTCCTATCACAGGTATGATCATTTTGGTGCTTTTTGCTCGTAAAGTGTTAAAACTGAATAGTTTGCCCAGTATCAACCAGGAAATCAATTAACTTTTTCCTCACTGTCAGTTGTACCCAGGGTTCCTGTGGGGAAATTTTAATTGTCTCTAAGTGATTAAGGAGAGTCCCCAGGCATCACTGTCTGTGGTCAGAGCAGTGACCCTGCTCCATGATTTGACTGTGGGCTTTTTCCTAGTCATATTCCTCCTTTTTCTGGCCCCTTGGTCCTTTCTTTTGGGACAGTCATCCTTTCAGTGGCCTTTCTCCTTACACTAGGCACGCTGGCTGTGTTCCAGAGGCTTGCCTCGATTTTTCTGATGCAGAGCCTTCCTTGTTCATTCCACATTTATGGTTGAAACTTCTGTTTCTTTGTCTCTGGAGCAGGGAAGGGGTCATTCCTAGTGAGGCTTCCTGTTTTGGCACCCCTTTCCTGAGTCCAAACATGAAGAATGTTTGTGAATATTCCAGATGGGCCATGTCCCCTTATCAATTGGAGCCCCAATTAGGGTTTGCATCCAGAATGGTTCCTTCAGGTTTGGGGTATTTGGATTTGTTTCATGGAGACACCAAGACTCTGGATCTTCTTTGGTCTGCAGCCAGAAGCATATTTAGGAGAGGCTACACATCTGCTCAGGTACACTGGTGGGTGGCACAGATAGACACATAGAGAGCAGTCATTTTCTGGGGATCCATTCTATAAAGTGGGGTGGAGTTTTTCCGTTTCACAAGTTAGTTGTTGAAAATGGGCTGGATGTCCAGTAATGTCTGACAGGTTGCCCACTCGCATCCAAGCCACCCATGGCCATCCTTATAAATGGGAATTCCCTTGCTCTGGCCATGGCACTTCCTTGCTAAATCGTGTACCCTGTCAAGCACTGGAAGGAGAGGCCGTCTCTGTTCTCTCATTATACTGAGGTGGCAGAGTAGCTCCCTCTTATTGGTCTGATGCCTCACTTGGTAGCATGAAGGCAATTTGGGCCAACGCAGAGGCCAGTGCTAAGGGCCCGGTATGGCAGTACTGCAGTGGGAGCTGTTGGGGTGGAGCAGAGGCCAGGTGCGTTCTGGCTGTGGCGGCTGGAGCTGCTAAAACAGCTTGGGTGTAGGACATTTAAAAGTCCTAATTCTTCTTCATTGCTTTCTGCCTGAATTTGGCTCTCTGGCTTGTGAAGAGCCTTTTTTCCATTCTGTCCTTTGGTACATCTTCCCTCATGGTATGAATCCTGATTTTCAAAAAGGATGAAGGTTTGGACATATTGTATTTTTTCTAATTTTCCCGACCTCTGACAAAATGAGTCTAACTGCATTAAAGGCTAGTATTGGTTGCGTCCTTTCAGAGGTCAAAATTTATAACATAACTTGTCCACAGTCCAAACAGCACTGCAATAATAGACCATTTTTCTCTTAGTCATGGGCTTATAGCTATAGGATCTACACTTAGCTAGGGTATGCCCCAGGGGCCTTTCAGAGGTGATAGAGACCTTGTTTCCCCTCCTGACTTGGTTTATATGTCCATACTGCTCATCCCTGTGAAACAGTGATGACAACTTTTATTTGTTGTCTCTCTTCTGTTCTGCACTGCTCATATCCTTCAACCAGACCTCTATGGGTTGGAAAGACTTTTCAAGCTTCATATAAGCAGTGCAATTTATACCACTCATGGTCCTAAAGGAACACTTGTGCCAATGTCACCACAGAGTTGGGACAGCCAAAGAGACCAGAGAATAAACTACTTGGGCAGGCTAGTGATTAGCACCAGCTAGCACAGCACTCCCCTACCACCGCCCCCCCTCCACCCCCCGCCCCGGGCCCACCAGCACATCAACTTCATCCCAAGTCCATGTTCTGCTGTCCTTAGTACCCTAGTAGAGGGTAACCGAATGGCAACAAATTAAATGGTAAATTAGCAGACAAAAAGGGCACAGGGGTTGGAGTCAGGACTGCCTAAATACTTATCCCATATGCTGTTAAGCTTTTTTTTCACATAAACAACATTAAGCACCATAAGCATGGTGGCAAGCCCTTTAGATAACCTATGGAATAGCTCACATCCTTCCTTTCCCCATAAAAACTGGCACAGCTGTGAGAAGTACTCCAGGGCCCTAAAAAGAGTGACCCTGCTAGGGCACTGGAGGCTGTTTCCCTCCAGGGCTGGATCCTGGATGGAGTGGGGCTTATGCAGATCACCTTGCAGAGGAAAGAAGGAGGAGGAGAGAGAGAAAGAGATGAGGGCCTAAATGTAGATATTGTACCTTTTACAGTTGCAGATTCAGACTGCACAGTCCCAGACAGATCCCCACTAAAGGGCTGGGTAAACGTCCTGAAACCTCCTCTCAATTTCAGATGCCCTCCCGCCAATCAGCTGACTCCAAGTGGAGCAAAGCCCAGGTGTTGACATAGATGCAGATAACATACACACCCAGATGATGTCACAATCAGCTATATGTAAACAGAGCAGAGGTCAGGTGACATCACAGAACAGGCAGAGGCAGTTCAGGGGGTATTCTGGTTGCCTTACCCAGCTCTGAAGTCTGTCAGCCTCTTCAGATGTCACTTGCCCTGTGGTAAGGAAGTGTAGTTGGCAGCTGGTGCAGTGGCAAGAAGAGAAAGGAAGTTCCCCAAGACAGAAACATCTCAGCAGGTAAAGAGAAATTCCCTAGAGCCCCAATCAAGGGACCAGCTAGTTGGAAGCAGGTGGCATTCCTGGGTAGTTTCTTTCCCTTCCAGTGGCCAGAATGGTTAAGCCTTGGTGTGCTTGTGTGTCTGATTGCCCCATTCATCGGAATCCAGACCGATGGTTTCAGGAACTCTGAGTGTGTTGTTCCCCTCTATGTGTCCATGTGTTCTCATCATTTAGCTCCCACTTATAAGTGAGAACATGGAGGTATTTGGTTTTCTGTTCCTGTGTTAGCTTGCTAAGAATAATGGACTGTAGCTCCGTTCATGCCCCTGCAAAGGGGGACATCATCTGGTTCTTCTTTATAGCTGCATTATATTCCATGGTGTATATGTGCCACATTTTCTTTATACAGTCTATCATTGATGGACAATTGAGATTGATTCCATGTTTTTGCTATTGTGAATAGTGCTGCAGTGAACATATGTGTTCATGTGTCTTTATAACAAAATGACTTATATTCCTTTGGATATATACTTAGAAATGGGATTGTTGGGTCAAATGGAAGTTCTGTCTTTAGGTCTTTTAGGAATCACCACACTGTCTTCCACAATGGTTAGCCTAATTTACACTGCCACCAACAGTGTATGTGTTCCTTTTTCTCCACAATCTTGCCAGCTTCTGGTATTTGTTTGATTATTTGTTATTTGTTATTTTTTGACTTTTTAATATACCCATTCTGACTGGTGTTAGATGGTATTTCATTTTGGTTTTGATTTGCACTACTCTAATAATGAGCGATGTTGAGAAGATTCAAATAAATGCAATCAGAAACAACAAGGGTGATATTACCACCGACCCCACAGAAATATAAACAACCATCAGAGAATATTATGAACACCTCCATGGACATAAACTAGAAAATCTAGAAAGAATGAAAAATTCCTGCACAAATACACCCTCCCAAGACTGAACCAGGGAGGAACTGAATCCCTGAACAGACCAAGAATGGCTCTGAAATTGAGGCAGTAATAAATAGTCTCAGTGACAAATTTTTAAAATGCCACTTAGAAAATGTACACATAATTTTGCTCTATGCAGCAAATATATTTGTAACAATCACTTTTAGGAAGGGTGTTAAGATATTTTATTATTTTTTCTCATTTAGCTTAATATTTTAAAAATATTTTTCTGCTGGCAACTATTTATATCTCCATTTTCATTGACATAGTCAATAATTTACCCACCTTTCTATTAAATAATAGTGGATCAACTGATGTGTATTATTTTATACTGAACTTTGGCACTCTTGACATAATTCATATATGAATAGTCATCCAAATGTCTTGGCCAGTAACGATGAGATTCATCCACCAAGGTTGAACAGGAATTTTCTCACCTGAAAGCAGCAAGCAATACAAAAGCAAGAACATGGTAGAAGAAATTCAGGAGTCCCACAAGCAGATGAGGATTTATTTAGGGCCTGAGAAGGTGCAGGGACCCCTCATAGGGGCCTGTGTACCACCCGAAGCATGGAAATAAAGGAAAATCTTGAGTCCCTTCACAGAAATTCCAGGCACCTCTCTACCTCTGAGAAGTTCATGAGCCACTTCACAAGCAAGAAGTTAAAACAGTAGCAAGGAATGGAGAGTCATGGGAATATGGGGTTCCCTATGGAAACTAAAAATCAAAGCTTAGCATATGTCCCTGAGTTGTTGTTCAGAAAGCTGCCCCTCTACCAAATGGATCCACTGGCACATAGACCTCAGATAAAGGGGATCTATGAAATGAACTCTGCCATTCTTTATTCTGAATTTCTTCCTGAGGGGCCTACAGGATGTTATGTCTATGAGCCAGAAGTACCATTATTTTCTGCTGATCCCAAATTTTCTGACAAATTTTACTTTCTTAAATAATCACAAATCAGTAAATCTTTGAATCCCCCTATGACCTGTAAGCTTCCACTTCTTCCCTTCAAGATACTTCATCATTTTAGGCTAAAACCAATGTGTAACCTCAATATATTAATTTATAACTGTGTATTACCTCTGCCTCTGTGTCTTTAAAATCCCCTACCTGTAAGCTGTCTGATAGTTTTGGTCTTTATTTTATTCTATTTTTTTATTTTATTTTTGGGACAGAGTTTTGCTCTTGTAACCCAGGCTGGTGTGCAGTGACTCCATCTCAGCTCACTGCAACCTCTGCCTCCCAAGTTCAAGCGATTTTCCTGCCTCAGCCTCCTGAGTAGCCAGGATTACAGGCAGGTGCCACCACGCCCAGCTAATTTTTGTATTTTTAGTAGAGATGGGGTTTCCCCATGTTGGCCACGTTGGTCTCAAACTCCTAACCTCAAGTGATCCACCCTCCTCGGCCTCCCATAGTGCCGGGATTACAGGTGTTGGCCACCATGCTTGGCCTGTCTGCGTGACTTCTTAAATGTTCTTTGACATTCTCCTGCAAACCTCATGATGTTCTCGTGTTTCTCCGATTGTAACGTGTTACATGAATTTATTCTTTCTATCCCATGCTTCTTTTTATTGATGCATTCTGTCCTTTAAGTAGTGCATTTAGAACATTGACATTTAAAGTGATTATTGATATAGTTGGATTAAAAATCTACCAAATTTGTTACCATTTTTCAGTTGTTGATTTGTCTTTGTTCCTATTTTTGTATTTCACTCATTTTCTACCTTTCGTTGTTTTGAGCACTTTATATCTGTTCATCTCATTTCTTAGCATATCTGGTTTTTTTTACCTTTTTAGTGGCTAATCTAAGTAATAATTTTATGCTTAATTAATCTAACGAAGAACAGCTTGTTAAAAACAGTAGTATGACTAATATTTGATTAGATATGGTTAAATATATATCATTGTGTATGTATATATATATACATGCAAACATTTATGTGCATTTATGCTTATATAAGTGAGATGAATAACTGCAATAAGTGATAGAAGGAAAGAATGTGGGTTATTCTGTTACTGTAATGTGTTCACACTACATCTTAAGTGATATATTGTTACTTAAAAGGGGGCTTGGATTAGTCAGAAATTTAAATTGCAAACTGTAGGGCAGCCTCAGTTCCTTGCTGGCTGTTGACCAGAGGCTGTATTCAGTTTCTTCCCATGTGGACTTCTCCCAAGTAGCAGAATGCTCTATCAAAGCCATCAAGGCAAAGAACTTGCTAGCAAGACAAAAAAAAAAAAAATCACAACTTTATGTATCATGATCAGTCATGTGACATCTAATATTCTTGTATTATTGTGTTGTACGAAAACAAGTCAAATTTCATGCCTATACCCACAGGGAGAGGATTACAATACAAGGTCATGCACCCTGGCAGGTGGGGATCATTGGGCACCATCTTAGGGTCTACCAGCCACATCAGGTCCTGTCTGATGTGCAACAGTTTCCCAGTCTTTGTTTATCTTGAAGAATCTTGGCCCCTAAGAGAAGAACTGGTGAGGTACTTTATAGGAAGCATCACAATGTGGATTCATCTGATGATTTCTCATTATTTGAATAGAATTATAGACTTATTTTGAACACCTTTATCTTAATGTGAAGACAATAAAAACTGAACAACATATTATTTAGAAATATAAACCTAGACATAAAAATAATATAAAATGGCAATGACAAATAGGAAACTGAAAATAATAGTAACCTTCATGGGGGTAAAAAATGCCATGAAATTGGGGAGCTGCACATTTAGAGCATCAACAATATTGATAATATTCAGTTTGTTAAGGTCAGCAGTAAATTTTTAAAGAAAGAAAAAAGCTTTTCTATTTTACGTTAGCTTTGGACTTACAGAACAGTTGCATAGTCAGCATGGAGAGTTAATATGCAACCAACACAGAGTTTCCATCATTATTAACCTCTTATATGAGCATGGGTATTTGCCACAATTAACACACCAACATTATGCATTCTCATTCACTGATATCCACATATTAATCAGATTTGTTTTTCTCCTACTTAATGTTTGTTTTCTGTTCTACGATGTCTTCCAGGATAACACATTTAGATATCTTGTCTGCTTAAGCTTTTTTTGTCTCTGCAGTTTCTCTGAATTTCCATGTTTTTCGTGGCATTGACATCCTCCATTTAGGATTTCTATGATTGTTTTTAGTAACAATTAGACTGAAGTTGTAGATGTGGAAGAAGAGACAGGGGTGAGTGTAATATTCATTATACCATGGGCATATATTCTCAAAATGCTTTTTATCACTATTGATACTAATTTGAGCACCTGGATGAGGCAGTGTGGGTCCAGTTTCTCCACTGTAAAATTAATTTTCCCCCTTTCCATGTCGTACTTTTTGAAAAAAAGTCACTATGCACAGCGCATACTTAACAAGTGGGGAATTATTCTTCACCTCCTTAAGGCAGAACCTCTATAGTATCGTTTGTATTTCATTACCATAGGCAATGTATCTGTTCTCCAGCATTTATTTTACATTTATTTAATCAATTATTTATATTATATGGAATATTGGCAAATAATAAATATTTATTTCCACTGTGATTAGACTAGTTTATTGTATTGTTCAAATTGCTCTCGTGCTGGTCATTAGAAGCCTTTCAGTCAGCTGCTTTACCACTTTGAAATACCCATATTATTGCTATTTGATTTGGTTTGTGTAGTGTGTTGGTTGGTTGTGTTGTTTAACTTTTTCTTACTTTCTGGCACTACAAGGTACTTAAGCTTAATAGTGTTGATTCCCTTCCCAACCCTGCCATTTACCATTTTCCCCCAAATTCCTGGTTCCTTTTTTGGTGAATGACATTAGAAACAAAGGTCTCGGCAATGGTGTTGTCATTTCTGCTAGGCGTCTGTTAATTCTATGCTTTGTCATCTGACAGAGCAAAGGATTATATGTATGTATGTAACTCACACTCACGTATGTATATGTATTTCTACAACATTTCTCCATTTATTCCTAAGTAAAGTTCAGCATGAATTCTTATTAATGTTTCCAGCACCTGTGGTCTAATTCAAGACCACATGAATCAATTTCCCCATTCCCACTACTTGTATGTAACCTCCGATGCTAACAGTGAGATAGTTGTCCTCCTTTATATAATCAATGAGTCCAAAATACATGCAGAGTAGTTTTAGAATTGGTAATTCATACCCCCATGGGAAAGAATGTTTCTAACTAAAGAGAATTTATGTACAGATACTTTGACATTTAAACTAAGAATCTCTCCTTATTTTTATATTTCTTAGATTATTCCCCTTGCCACCAAATGTCTATATCTTTTTGACAATTTATTTTATTTTATTTTATTTTTTATTATTATTACACTTTAAGTTTTATGGTACATGTGCACAGTGTGCAGATTAGTTACATATGTATACATGTGCCATGCTGGTGTGCTGACAATATTTTAAATGGAATTGTTTTCTATGTTTTATTTTAGATTAATTGACAATATATAGAAATACAATTGGTTTTTATTGCCCTAGTATACTAAAGTGTTACTGAACTCATTTTTTGGTTCTAATCTTATTTTAGTGATTTTCTTAGGATTTTCTATACACAGGATTATGTCATTTATGAATAGAGATAGCTTAACTTCATCCTTTTCATTCTAGAAGCCTTATATTTATGTTTCTTGCCTAATTACCCTGGCTACATGTTCCAATACAATACTGAATAAAAGTAGCAAGAGCATACATCCTTGTCCTGTTGCTAATTTTTTGAAGAAATTACTGAAACATTCATAATATGGCATGTTGTTTTTTGAGTTTTTCATAGATGTCCTCTATCACTTAACAAAATTTCTTTCTATGCCTAATTTGCTCGGCCTTTTTATCATGAATGTGTTTTGGATTTTTCAACTGCTTATTCTGTATCTTTAGAGATAATTATGAAGCTTTTGTCCTTCATTCTATTAATATAGTGTATTACACTAATAGTTTTTGTATGTTTAACAAAACATATTTCAGGGACAAATGACTTTGCTCATAATGTGTATTCTTATTAGGTTACTGGTTTAATTTGATAGTATTTCCTTCAGAATTTTTGCCTCTGTTTCATGGGGCATATTTGTCTGTAATTTTCCTTTCTTGAAATCTCTTTGTCCAGCTGTGCTATCAGGGAAAACGGGCTTCATGCTGCGTATTGGGAAGTGTTCTCTACTCCTCTGTTTTTATTTATTTTCTTGAAAGATTTGTTAATAAAGGATTGTTATTAATTCTCAAAAGGGTTAGAATAATTCACCGGTGAAGTCATCTCAACCTAGAAAAAAATTGAATCCTACCAACACTAACATGAGCTGAGAAAGGGATCCTTCCCCAGGGGAGGCTTCACTTGAAACCTCAGCCTGGGTCATCTGACCCAGAGAAAATGTTAAGTAATAGTTATGTGTGGGTTTGAACATCTAAGCTGTGCGGTTATATGTTATACAGCGACCTGTAGGTAATATACCTGAGAGTAAATGTAATTAGATTCTAGAAGAGAAAATGACATCAGTGGAAAACCTGGCAAAATATTAAGAAAGTCTGCCTTTCAGTTAATGCTTCAAAACTATTAACTGTATTTCAGGTAATAGTTTTGTACCACTGTCAATTTCTGAGTTTTCATAAATACATTCTGGTTACATAAGTTGTTAACATTTCAGGAAGCTGTAGATTATGTAAAACTGTATTATCTTTGCAACTTTCTGTAAAACTTAAGTTATTTTCAGATAAAATTACTCTTAAAATGTATTATTTAGGAACAAAAAAATACCAACACAGATGGACATAAACAAGAAGAAACCTTGGACCAGAGGATGAGTGGAGATGCAGGGAGTGAAAGGCAAAGTACTTGCCTTTTTATCCCCATTCCTACACAGGGCACCTGCTTCAGGCTTCAGGCGCCTGAAGCTCCAGGGACTCTCATCCATTTTCTTCTTTTCCATCATATGCTCCATTACCCAGTCACCAGTTCATACATCAGTAACCACTTTTTCAAAGAAAGGTGCCTGCCCCACATATGTTAGAAGGCCCTATTTTCGGGCACTTTGTGGTAGTGTCTTTGTAGGTTCTCACTAAAGACATTTTGGAAGACATGACTTCCAGACAAGATTGAGAAACACCAGTGATGGGGAACATAATATTTCTACATTAGGAGTGTTTTCTTAGTTCAGAGATTCTCTTGTTCAAGTTTTAAAGTTTTTTAAAGCCTTTGAGAATACCCTATGATAATTAAGTTCTCTTTATTATGCAGACTCCATCATGAATTCATGGCACCACACAGTCCCCTGATGCTATAACATCATGGATTTCTTTTGTCCAGTGAGAGGCCCAAAAGCTGCAGCACAGACAATATCATAGTGTAGAAGTTTAACTAGGTATGAAAATAAAACCTTCTAATCATGGGGTTGTAGGCTGATTCCTGCTTACAGAGACCTGAAATGAACCTTTAGACACCAGGCATATAAAAGTGAGGCATGTTAGTGATACAGAGTGTGTTGTGCAGAGGTGGAAATAGCCTAATAGAAAAAAGGAAAGAAGAGCACAGTACAACATAGCCCAGCCCACCATGCAGTGATCTAAGAGATGGACACACGCTGAGTGCTGATTCTGCATCTGTGCTGGTTAAACAAAGATCTCCACAGCGGGGAGGATTGTCCCCTCATCCCCCACACAGCTCCCAGTTCACAGGCCACACCACTTTATGGGAGGGCACCAGGGTTGTTCCAGGAACGATGTCCATAAAGCTTACTAAGCCATGGGACTGTGTGCTGCACTCCCAAGGACATCCACGAAGTTAGGACTCTTTTTGCTTTTTCAGACCGTGATCATGGGCTACATTCTCCATACCAGCTTCATAGCTCCAGTGAGAAAATAAATTCCTGCACCCAGGAGACGTGGAGTAAGAGATACAGCTGCCCTTGACCATATTTCTTACTTCCGAGAAGATTGTAGCAGTAATTCAGGTGCTATTATTTGGGACATTTATAATTCGATAAACCTTCTTACCCCTCTGAGCTTACAATTCACCCCATAGGAAGGAGAGCCTCATTTAAATTGATAATCTTAGGCCAAGCGCGGTGGCTCACACCTGTAACCCCAGCACTTTCTGAGGCCGAGGCAGGTGGATCACAAGGTCAGGAGATTGAGACCATCCTGGCTAACACGGTGAAACCCTGTCTCTAATAAAATACAAAAAATTAGCCGGGCGTCATGGCGGGCAGCTGCAGTCCCAGCTACTGAGGAGGCTGAGGCAGGAGAACTGCATGAAACCATAAGGCGGAGCTTGCAGTGAGCCAAGATCATGCCACTGCACTGCAGCCTGGGGGACAGAGCAAGACACCATCTCAAAAAAAAAAAAAAGAGAGAGAATCTTAGTACATGAATGTTTTCTCTTTTCATTTCATTATAAGAGGAGTTTCTATAAGCTAAGTGACTTGTCAAATCCCATTTTTCTCTTCATTTCAATGCATACATATGGTTATGATGTGTACTGTGAAGATCATTCATGACCAAACTATTCAGGAAAAAAAAAAATCACCAAGTGGCAGGCCATGAAGGAGATGGAAGTAGACGTGCATAAGGAGAGACTCATCTCTAGGTAGCAAGAGGGTCAATGAGTTCTGAGTGCTCAGGGTTAAGATAGGAAAGGTGATAGACACAAAACTGTGCTACCGTGATATCCCTGGCACAGAGAACAAACACAGTGCTGAGCACTGAGCTCCCAAACTCTACCACCATAGCATGGAAGTTAAGATTTCTCACAAGACAGTAAACCACCTGTGACCACATTGTACTGAGGCTGGATTGGCCACCAGAATTCTCAGAAAGATGCTATTGAAAACATCTCATTGTCTGACCACATCTTGAGGCCTGAACCCAACCCTGTCTCCACCCTCTACCCTGAATAGAGAATGAAGCTTAAAAGGTGCATAACTCCTATATTTGAAATTAGGGCTTTCTGTTCACTGAAATGAGCCCTTGTAGAAGATGAAACTCTCAGTGCAAATATGGTCAACATTCTAAATGATAAATTATATGAGTTTCCTCTTCATGCAGTACAGTCTTCAGGGAACACCAAGACCTGTTTCATTTTCAAGTATCAAAAAGTGGAGTTGACAGGAGTGACAAATGGTCAGAGCAAAGCATTTCATGATAACTGTAATGTGCCTGCATCAGCAGCGACTGCTTACAGTGAGATTCACATGACCATCGTTTATGAGATAGGAAGAATAAAAGGAGAGGAGAAAAAGATAGGTAGTTGATTGAAATGAAGAATTGGATTTGGAAAGCAACTTCGAATAGTCTCTGCTTATATTTCTGAGATTAAGGCAAACAGTCTCAAGATAAGTATTTCTGTCTTGAGAGAGCTGCACTCTGCAACTCTGTAAACTTTCAAGTAACACTTTACCATTTCTATCTTCCTCTCCATGGAAACTTAGAGCCATGATTTATAAAATTACCTCTACATCTTTGTTGTATTTTTGTAGTATCTGATGTTCTCTTGAGGTCTTTCTTGGGACAATGGCTTCCAATTATAACGCTGCCCACCAGGACTCCAGGAAATTGGTCCTGGATGTTTACAGTTCACCTTTCATGGGATACTTATTTATCCTTGCAGATGACTCAATGCCTAATTGTCCAATCCTTGACCAGGCATCCTTCTTACTGTAATTTGTTTTTATTTCCATAGGTTATTGGGGAACAGGTGGTTTGGGTTACAGGAGTAAGTTTTTTAGTGGTGATTTGTGAGATTTTGGTGCACCCATCACCCAAGCAGTATACACTGCACCCTGTTTGTAGTTTTTGATCCCTCACCCCCTTCCCACCCTTTTCTCCTGAGTCCCCAGAGTCCATTTTGTCATTCTTATGCCTTTGCATCCTCATAACTTAGCTCCAACTTATGAGTGAGATCCTACAATGTTTGGTGTTCTATTCCTGAGTTACTTCACTTAGAATAATAATCTCTAATCTCATCCAGGTTGCTGCAAAAGCAATTAACTCATTCCTTTTTATGGTTGAGTAGTAGTCCATTACATGTATATATATATATATGTGTGTGTGTGTGTGTGTGTGTGTATATATATATATGTGTACGTATATATATATGTATACGTATACATATACATATATATGTATATATATGTATATGTATACGTATATATATACATATATATGTATACGTATACGTATACGTATACATATATATGTATACGTATATGTATACGTATACATATATATGTATACGTATACATATATATACATATATATGTATACGTATACATATATATCACAGTTTCCTTATCCACTCATTGATTGATGGGCATTTGGTTTGGATTACTGTAAACTTCTAATTATTGTCAGATGCCCGTACGGAACTTTTCAGACCTGTGACCACTACATTCATATCAAGACAACCACTTTCTAGGAGAACTCTGAATTGGAAAAATGTTGAGTTCAGGTGTGTTGGTCATGTGAGACACGGAGGAGGCCACTCAACAGAGCACATGAAATAACGTAAGCGGTGTATTTCTTACAGGTGAGGTTCACGGGCACCATCGCAGGCTCTACCTGACACAGCAAGTATTCTCCAGTCTGCAGATTTCTCAGTCTTCACTTATTTTTTGTGAACTTGACTTTTTTGAAAAGTACAGGTCAGATATTTTGTAGGTTTTCCCACAATATGAATTTGTCTCATGATTTCTCACGATTAAACTAGGGACATAAATACATTAAAACCATGCATGTATGTTTGAAGACCAGAAAAATAAACATTATAGATATTAGAAATATAAAGATAGAGGTAAATATAATAAACACAAATTAGAGGATAACAAATAATTCACAGTAATAGCTACTTTCAGTGATTGAGGAAGATGGTGAAGCTCAGGAGATGCACTAAGGGCCATCAAACATATTGCTCATGTTGTTTTATAAGGTCAGCAGTGACTTTAAAGATAAAGAAACCTTATAAATTTAAGAATGGTTTTAGGTTTACAGAACAGTTGTAAATGTAGTACATAGAATATCCATATATCCCACGAAGTTTCCATTTTTATGAAATTCTTACATTAATGTAGGACATTTGTCACAAGCAATCAGTTTTATAACACTATAACTACTCTTCATACTTTATTCATTTTTTTTAGTTTTTACTTAATGTCCTGTTTCTATTCCAGAATCTCATCCAGGATACCTCATCACAGGTACATGTCATGTCTCCTTAGAATTCTCTGACTTTCACAGTTTCTCGGAGTTTCCTTATTTTTGATGACATTAATATTACTAATGTGGGATTCCTCTGATGTTTCTCTAATGATAAGACTGGATTCGTGGGTTTAGGGGAGGAAGATCATGAGGAAAACTATCATTTTTATTGATTTAATTTTGAGACAGTGTCTCACTCTCTCGCCCAGGCTGGAGTGCAGTGTCATGAGCTTGGCTCACTACAGCCTCCATCTTCTGTGCTTAAGGATCCTTCCCTCTCAGCCTCCAGGGTAGCTGAGACTGCAGGTATGTGCCACCATGCTGGGCTAATTTATTGTTGTTGTTGTTTGTTAGTTTTTTTGGTAGAGGCAAGGTTTCACCATGTTACCCAGGCGAGGGTCAAACTCCTGGGCTCAAGTGATATTTATTTTGTTATAGAGATGGGGTCTTTATGTGCTGGCCAGGCTGGTCTGGGATTACAGGCGTGAGCCACTGTGCCTGGCCAAAAAGTGCCATTCTCATCATATCATACCAAGTGTACAAACTGTCAACAAGAGTAGACATTCATTATTGGCAGAATGTCTACAAATTCCTTTAAACCTTCACCATAAACATGTGCCTATTCTTTTCCAATTATTTCATGTGTATTAATGTATTTACTTATACATGCATCTTTTATTTATATCATTATCTAAATATGGATATTTATTTTACAATGCATATGTGCTATTTTTTTTTTTTTTTGAGACAGAGCCTTTCTGTGTTGCCCAGCCTGGAGTGCAATGGTGCGATCTCAGCTCATTGCAACCTCTGCCTCCTGGGTTCAAGCGATTCTCGTGCCTCAGCCTCTCAACTGGCTGGGATTACAGGCATGAGACACTACACCTGGCTAAGTTTTGTATTTTCAGTAGAGACAGGGTTTCACCATGTTGGCCAGTTTGGTCTCAAACTCCATACCTCAGACGATCCACCCTCCTTGGCCTCCCAAAGTGCTGGGATTACAGGCATGAGCCACCATGCTTGGCCACTATTTTTTTTTAATTGCACAAAGTGTTCCAGTGTTGGCTATTGGAAGATTTTTAAGTTGTCTCTTGTATCATTTTGAAATACCTCCATAACTAAAGTTTAATGTTGTGTGGTTGGTTGGTTTTGTTGTTGTTTGGCATTTTCTTTTGTTCAGTCACTATTATATGCTCCAGTCTGTGAATTTAATTGTGCTCCAGGGTAATTTGGTAATTTTATAATTTCTACTAATGTTTCTAACACCATATGACCTAATCCAGCACCATATAAATGGATCCACTCATTCTCATTTGTATGTAATCTAGCACTCCCTGCAAGCAAGTTGATGTTGTTAATTTAATCACACTACCTGAACAAGGTATATTGCTATGTAAAAAAATAGAAGTTGAAACAGTCAAAATACTGTGTAATTCCATTTATATGACTCTCTAGAAAAGGAAAAAGTGTAGTGATAGTAGAGTTCAGTGGTAACAAGGGGCTTGGAAGACAGAAAGGTGTAAACGGTGAACTACCAAAGATTTCTTTTGGGCAGTGAAATTCCTCTCTTTGATACTGTAATAGTGGGTACATAATAATGTTTTCCAAATCCTGAAGAACTTTGTAACACAAAGAGTGTAGCTAAATTACGCAAATTAAAAACCTTATTTAGTAGGTCACAAGTTTGCCTTTTCACAGTATTTTACCTTTTCCAACTTATATTTTTTAGCAATATGCTTTTTAGATTTTTGAAGTACACCTCATGGTTTTTAGATTTGCCTTCACCTAATTTTTGTAGGACAGGTGAGTCACACAATTGGGGCTTATCCTGAGAGGGTTATTAGCTTTGTCCAGGAAAGAATTTAAGGGCAAGTGGGTGATGTTAGACTGCAATATTTTATTGAATGGTACTGCTCCTTGCAGAGCAGGGCTAACTCTTAAGCAGTGTGTTCAGAGTTGGCAACATATAGGCCTCTTGGCAACTGTATTTATATTCAATCAACCCCACTTTTAATTATACACAAATTGAGGGGCAGGTCAATGCAAATTGAGGCAGGAAAGGGGCAGTGACTTCTAGGCTGTCTCCATGGAAAGGGGCAGTAACTTCTGAATTGTGGCCATGTAATTTGTAAACAGTTATGTGGTTGGTAGGAGGGTCTTATGTGAGTGACAAATGAAGACTGCCAGGGATCACATTTTCCACAATGTACAGGCTTCTGCCAGTTTTTTCACTTTATCCTGTCTGGAGCAGATCTTATTTTGGTCATCAAGGTTGTGAAACCAGAAAACAAGTCCTTCCAGTCTCCTACCTCATAATGACAAGATATAGAGCATATTTTCATGTGATTTTGGATATGACTTTGAGAACTGGCTATTTAAGATTTTGCCATTTTTGATTGGGATATTTGCCTTTTTAATTTTGAGTTGTAAGACATTGCATATTCTGGATAACAGACCATTATCACCTATAAAATTTGCAATTTTGAAATATTTTCTGCCGTTCTTTGGGTGCCTATTTGTATTTGATGGTGGACTTTAAATTGCAAAAGATTTTAATTCTAATGAAGTTTAATATTTCTATATTTTCTTCTTTCCTTTGTGCTTTTCAGTGTCATATCTTAAAACATTGTTTAACTAAAGACTACAAAGATGTATTTCTGTGTTCCTTTTTATGGGTTGGCCCTGTTTAGCTCTTATATTTAGATGGATTATCATTTTGAGTCAATTATGTTTCTGGTATGAGGCAAGAGTCTAACTTGTATGTGGATATCCACTTGACCCAGAAACATTTGACAAGAAAATATTGCTTCATACCTAATTTATTTGGCCACATTATAAAAGCATTTCACCATAAATGTAAGGATTCATTTTTGAGTATTATATTCTACTCCATTGATCAATACATATATCCCTATATTAGTACCACAAATCTTGATTACTATTACTTTGTAGTAAGTTTTGAAATCAGGAAGCATATGTCTACTATGCAAACCCTTTTTGTCCTTCTCAAGAGTATTTCGGCTGCTCAGTATCTATATTATATATAATTTTAGGATAACCTTCTGAATTTAGGGGAAGGTAATGCCACCTGTGGTTTTGAGAGAAGTCACATTAATTCTATAGATCCATTTGGAAAATATTGCCAACCTAACAATATTAACCCTTCTAAACAATGAGCATTCAAAGATTTTCTATTAATTTTGTTCAATATATGTTCTATAGTTTTTAGTGTACATATGTTATACTTAATTTGATAAGCTTATTCCTGAGTATTTTTGATTCGATCTCAATTGCAACGGTTTTCTGAGTTTTGTTTTTAGATTGTTCATTGCTAGTACAGAGAAATTTAAAATATTTTATATATTTTATATACTGCAAACTTCTTTGAACTCATCTTGAAATTCTAAACATATTTGATTAAAGTCCTTTGGACTTTTTATACATAAGATCATGTCCTTTGCAAATAGTCAGAGTTTGACTTCCTTTCCATACTAGAAACATTATATTTATTTTTCTAAACGAATTGCCCTGTCTACATTCTCCAGTACAATGTTGCAAACAAATGTCAACAGTGGAAATATTTGACTTGTTTCTAATATCAGAGAAATTAGTGAACCTTTCAGATTACTTATGATGATATGTGAGCTTTTCATAGATGCCCTTTGAAATGAAGAAAGTTCTCTTATCTGCCTGATTTGCTGCATGTTTTTCTAATACTGAATCTGGGAATTTTCAAGTGCTTGTTGCACACCTCCTGAGATGATTGTGTAGTTTTTATTCTTTATTAATATAGTGTATGACATTAACTATATCATTTGTTGAACAAAATTTGCATTCCTGAGGTAAATACCCTTTGCCATAGTGTCTGATACTTTCTACATGTTGCTGATTTCATTTGATAATATCTCCCTGGTGATTTTTGTCTCTGTATTTATAAGGCATATTGGTCTTCATTTTCCTTATTTGAAATATCTTTGTGTAGTTGTTCAATCAGGGGAAACGAATTCATAGTATACAATGGGAAGTAATCTATTTTCTACTTCTTTATTATTATTGTATTGTTTTGAAATATTTTTGATAAATTAGTATTAATTTTCTGTGATTTTAATAACACATCAATGAGTTCCTGATGAGGGCAGGGAAGTGAATCCTAAGAACAATCATGTGAGTTTGGAAGGAGACCCTTCCCCAGCTGAGCCTCAGCCTGAGCCATCACCTACATCTAGACCGAAGACCCAGAGAAACCGTGAGTAATATGTGTGTGGTTCTGAGCCACTAAGGTATGTACTAATTTGTTATGCACCAAGTAGTAAGTAATATACCTGACAGTAATTGTAAGGTGGTATTCTGGATTAGGTCCTGGAATAGATAAGTATATGATTATTAGAAAACCTGGTAAAATATGAAGGAAGTTTGTAGATCAGTTAATAGTCTTGAAAAACAGTTAAATTCTTAGTTTTCATGAATATGCTATGGTTATAATAGATATTCATAGTCTAGTTAGCTGAATGGTATATGAAACTGTCTGTACTTACCTATGTGCATTTATGTAAATCTGCAGTTATTTCAAAATAAGTATGTTTTTAAATATTATTATTTTGTTTTTTTTTAAAAAGAAAGCAAGTAAAGACACCAGCAGAAAACTTTTGCCTCCAGATACAAGTGGGCATGTAGGGAGAGAATAGTAAACTGGCTTTTCTTTTCTAGGCAACATTCGAAACCCAGGTGCCACTCCTTCAGGAAGGTACCATCAAGCTCCAAGGACTCTTATCCTCTTTCTCCTTCCCCACTACCTAGTCATTAGAGCGTCAGCATCCACTTCTTGAAAGGAAGATGCCTGTTTTTCACATATCCCAGAAAGCCCCATTTTAGGACAGCATTTAGCAGAGTATATTCAGGATCCCACTAACCTTTTTGGAAGACATGACTTCCAGATGATATAAGGCAAGAATAAGAAATTTCAGTGACAGGGAACAGAAATCATATTTCTGCATTCAGGATCATGTTTTCTTGCTACAGGGATTTCTTCTTCAAGTAATCCAAAGACAACTTTACCTTCAAACCTTTCAGAAAACCTGTTCTAATTTAGTTCTCTTCATTCTACAGGCTCCATCAGGAACTGTGCAGGACTGTGCCCTCTGTTGATACTCACATGGTGGAATTATATTGCCCTTGGCCAACCCTAAAGCCATCAAGATAGCAGGTAAGCAGAGTACAAAAAATATTTCTAATAGGTTGGTTTAGGGCACTCCCTGCTTCCAGAGGCCTGGGAATAAATATTTAAAACAGAGTTTTTGCAGGTGAATGATACTGAGTGATATATATATGTTGTGCACAAGAAGAGAAATCTCAGTAGGAAAACAAAACAAAACAAAACAAAACAAAAAAAACCAGTATACAGCATATCTCCAACCCTCCATGCAGTGATCTGAGAGACAGAAACAGGCTGACTGATGACTCTGCATGTGTACTGGCTGCCCACTAATTCTCCTTACAGCTTCCTATTAAGAGGCCATTGCACTCTTCTTAGTAGCAGCAGAGTTGTTTTCAGGAACCATGCCTAAAAGGCCTACAAAGCCATGGAGGTACATATTAAACTCCCATTGACATCCATAAATCTTGAATAGCATGATGTCACAGGCACAGACGACAAAGTGCTGAGCACTGAGTCCCCAGACAAACTTTCACTGCATGGAAAATATGATTTTGCACAGTATCCTAAATCAACAGTTGTATAGAGGCTGGTCTGGACACCACAAGTCTACAAAAGATGCTATTGCAAACAAACCACATTTTTAGACGACATCATGAGGCAAACCGAGTGCTCTGTCTCCACACTCTAACCTGATAAGAAGATTGAGTTCAAGGAAGGAATGTCTCACATATGTAATGGCATGGCTTTGTGTTTACTTAATTCAACCTTCCCGGAGTCTAAAACTCAGGTGAAATTTCAGTCAACTCCCTTAACTCTGACTGTATGAGTTTTTTCGTTACTCAGTGTACTCATGAGGGGACACCGAAACCAATTCCAATATCCCAGTACCCAAAGTAGAGTTGACCAGAGTAGCAAGGGGACGGATCAAAATATCTTATAAAGACCATTATGCATTCACTTCTGCAGTGACTAATCATAAGGTGATTTCTACGATCACCAGCCATGTGATTAAAAGGACAAATGTGAATGAAGAAAAAGATATACAAATGTTACAGCTGAAAGAATGGAATCTGTAATGAAGTTTACAGGAAGCGTTGCTCATATTTCTAAGATTACAGTTTAAAGTTTCAAACTACAGCTTTTTCCAGGTCTTTAGAGAGCTACCATGCCAGTGAATTTTTCAAGTAGCTCTTTACAATTTTCATCTTTGTCTTCAATGGATTTCTTAAACCATGGTTCATAGAACTATATTTCCATATGTGACATAAGAATTCTAGTACTCCACTAATAACTCTAATGTGTCTAAAATTATAAATGCAGTTTATAACACCTCTCTGGACACTCACTTTAATGAGAAGTGGACAGACTGGACTTCCCTAATGGAGGACAGTGGTGAAGCTCCCAGGTAGAATATAAATACAGTGTATAAATTTATGTGATAAGATTTAAGCATATTTCCTCAATAACAAACAAGAGTGTAGCCAATGAGCCACCATAATTTAACACTGACAAATGAGCAGTCACAGAGAAAACAGTGTATTCCATTCATCGTAGAGTGCACATTTTCACATCTATCAAATACAGATGCATCTTAAATTTGAAAGCGTTAAAACACTGTTGACGGGAAGGCAGTCATAATGTGATTGTCCTCATTTACCTGTATATGAGCTTGGTCTGCAAACCTCCTGTCGATGTTTTTGGGTGATTTCATCAACATCAGCATCAAATCTTGCACAGGAAGTTTCAGAAAGTTGAAAATATAACCTCGCAGAAGCAACGTAGGAATATCACAGGAAATGCAGCATCACCAAAGCTTCAGATTAGCACCAATGATGATAACATGGGGAACATCATGAGCAAGATGAATTGAAGAGTGATTCAGGAGAGTTGGATTTGAATAGGAGAAAATTTAGGAAAACCTTTGTTGGTGTATTTTCCTTATATGTTCCATCCCATGTAATCATAGGAGTGACAAAAGACAAGACAAATATCCACATATATATGTCTTGAAAACAGCTTTTTTCCACTAATTATAATATAATGATGTTATTATTATACAGTGTATTTCCACATGATGAAAGTATTAGTTCCGTTGTTAGTGGTTTTGTTCTTTCATTCTGATATAGGAAATAATGACATGTTACAACTGATGCAATTGATACATCTCACAATTTATTAGAATATTTATTTTTGGGCTTAGTGTAGGCTTAGTAATATACTACATGATTTATATGTTATCATTTCATACAGTCCACCTGCCATCTCAGGAAGTAAGCACTACTCCTGCTCCTCTGGTCCATTTCCAAGTCTGAGCTAACTCTCGAAAGGAGAGGCCTAAAGGAACCTTGAGTTTGATTCTATATGCCCCACAGTCTTTGCTCACATCAACTACATAGAATATGTTTTGTCTTACATGGTAAATGCTTTTCAGGTCTAGTTTCAGGCAGCTTAGCCTACCTCGTGGTCTTGAAGTTATTTTCCTGAATTGTGTTCTGTATATTCTACTAAATATTTTTATATTTATGTCTATGAACCAAGTATAATTAATTTTGTGTGTAATGTCAGGTCATAGGTCAGATTCTAATTTCTCCCTGTGGATATTCAATACCCTGGAACATTTTAATAAAAATCCAAGTTTCCCCCATGCAGCAACTTAAATATATGCTTATATATGCATATGTCTGTTTTTTTAAGTTATTGATTGTTTATTCTGTCTCTGTGCAAATACCACACTCTTATTATTAAGAGAGTCTATTCAAGAATTTTCTCTCTAGAGATCGTTCTTTTCCTTCTTTTTTAAGAGATAATTTTGTTCTGTCACACCAACTGGGGTACAGTGGCACAAACATGGAACACATTCTGTGTGTGAGCTGCTGGACTCAAGTGATCCTCCCCGCTCAGCCTCCTGAGTAGCTGGGACTACAGGTGCAAGCCACCATGCCCGGCTAATTTTTAATTCTTTTTAATGGAGAGGAGGTCTCTCTCTGTTGCCCAGACTGATCTAGAACTCCTGGCCTTAAGCAATCCACCCTCCTTAGTCTCCCAAAGCGTAGGAATTGCAAGCGTGATCCATTGTGCCTGGCCCAGGGCCTGTTCTTTTAACCACTGAGCTGCTCTATAATGAGGTGAAAGAAGTTCAGACGTGCATGCCTTGCACCTACAGCAATCCTTTCAGCTGTACCTTGAATGAGGCTGTGGATATACAACTTTAGAACGTTGCTATTGACTCTGAAATCTCTACGTCCTTGTGAATCTTAGGCAGTCTCCCAACACCACTACCCACTTTATGTATTCAGTATCTTAGACAACAGCCAATGTTGTTGAAAACCTGGAGAGGCAGCCTTGGCTCCCTCCTGCCCTGCTGTAGATGATTCTGTAAACAGAGTCCCCCTCCAGACCATGCCCAACAGAGGCAGGTTCACAGGGGAGCCTCTGAGCTCAGAGCCTCTCTGGGGGCTCTGCATGCACAAGGACAGCAGCTCCCTGCCTTAGTTGTGGGGTGAGGTAGGGAATTTAAGTCTTTTAAAAAAGGCTGAGTTTGTTCAAAAATGATTCTGCTTCCTGACCAATGACACCTTAAGACTTTAGATTTTACATTGTGATATTTCTCCTTGATTTTGATTTAATTTGTTGTGCAAATGTCTTAAACACTTGTGTATAAGTATTCTCTTTTTTTTGGTCATGTAAACATCATCTAAAACCAAATATTTATTTTTGTATCATAGTTTTAAGGCCTTTATTTCTCTATTTTAAAAATGCATTCATAATTATTTTTCAGTGAACCGTATCAATTATTTTCATCTTTACTCCTATTTCTCTTTCATAAATTGAACGTTAATATCACTTTTATTAGAAGTGGCAGACGTTACACATTCTGTTTTATGATTTTCCAGAAATTTCCTCTTACATAGCTCTGGTTACAAAGAAGGACAGAAACTATTCTGTAAGCCACAAGGCAAAATTGTCCCACAATAAAAAGATCTTCTTATGCTTAAAAAGATCTGTCAAACTTTCTATTCTTTGGCTGTTTGCTGTACATGTGAAAGGTTAACAAGTTATTGATTTGTGTGGCAGGAAAGTTAGACTTCACATATGAATGCAAGGAGTAACCTCTCCTTAACCATGCAGGTGTGAACTTCATGATGTTGTTTCATTTTCTCCTTGTACAAAAGATGTAGACATTGACTGGACTCCATAATTCCTTCCACCTCACCTCCGTGTACGTGTACATGACAGTTCTCTGTATGGATCACCCATTCTATTAGATATGAAGTATTTTCTTATTTTTGATGAGTGATGATTAAACTCGTTTTTAGTTCTCAGACATATAAAAAATACCAGTTAGAAAATGTGTACATCATGTGCTGTAATCAGAAAATATTTTTGTGCCATTAGCTTACAAAAAGGAATTTCAATCTTTTATTTATTATCATTTTCATCTGGTTTAATAGTCTCAAAAGGTTTTCATGCTTCTGAATTTTTTAGATTTTACTTTGTTGTCTTAGTCAAAACTTAGACAAAGATTGGAGACATTTGTTCAAGATGTGTGAGACATAAGCAATCAACACAGCAAAACATTGGTATTTCATGGGAATATGTAATAATAGATGGGCACTTGCCCTGCTAGGTGTGGCAGCAGTCAGTGTCTGTGGGATTCAGTGCTGTAAACAGAATTGACAGATCCTGCTTTAAGGAAAAAAGTGCCCCTCATCTGTCGTATTACAGCCTGGCACCATTTTGTTACCAAACCCAGGTTTGGCCATGGCTACTTCCAAAATCAAATAACAGAAGGGTAGTAAAAAGAAAGTCACTGGCCGGGCGTGGTGGCTCACATCTGTAATCCCAGCACTTTGGGAGGCCGAGGCAGGATGATCACCTGAGTACAGGAGTTCAAGACCAGCCTGGGCAATATGGCAAAACCCTGTCTCTACTAAAAGTACAAAAATTAGCTGGGCACACTCTCGTGTGCCTGTAATCCCAGCTACTGGGGAGAGAGAGAGACTCCTTCTCCAAAAAAAAAAAAAGTCACTTTATTTCCAGAGCTTAGCAATGTGGAAGGGCTGGATTCATATCTAAAGGAACCATATATGTTTTCTGGGCAGAAAACAGGATTTTAAGAAGAAATATTGGCAAGCAGGGCACGCAGAAGGGTTCTGGAGGTGTAGGATCTACATTACTTGCTGGATGACTTATCTCTAGTCTTGGGTCATTCGTTAGCCTGCCCAGCATCACTGGGGAAAGAGTCAGGTTGTGGATTAACTGATGTCTTGAGACAATCTCTCTATGGAGGAGAATTCTGGTGGATGCTTATTTTCGTTCAAGATTTGGTAATTTCTAAACAAACATATATTTAGCTAAGCTGACAGTGCTTGCTGGTGGTTTGGCTGGTGGAAAGGAAGGAGGGAAAAGTTTGAATTTGCATTTCTAAGGAGCTAAGTAAGACATGAACACACAGGAAAAAGAAAAACTAAATATTTTTAAAGGAAAATGAAGTACTTGTTTACAACACCCCACTGTCAAATTCCACTTTATTTTTATTCAATTGGAGCATCATATTCATTTGGTCTGCTTCCTACTGAAAGGGGTCTTGTTATAGAGCATTAGAATGGAATCTGTGTACCTGAAGTTGGAAATATTCTTGAGTTTTCAGCAGGAACTTACTGTGCATATATGGTGTGAGGATCCAAGAATTTCTGAGAATGATTTCCTGCATCTCCATGCAGAATGAACAAGAGAAATAAAGTTCATAGCAGCTGAAGAGGGCATTTAACAGTATTAATAATATATATAAAAGTATTTTATGCACCAGGAAGCCGACTAAATCATGGTGCCATAGAGTCCTGACAGAGGGCATCTATAGCAGAAATATGGGTATCTACATGCATAGCTTGGGTTATAATGTGAGAAGAATCTGGTGTGTGTGTCTCTGTGTGTGTGTGTGTGTGTGTATGTGTGTAAAATGGTCAGCCTTAATGAATGCAGAAGTGCCACCCTGGGCTGCGGTGAAGATATCTAAAGCCATATGATTTAAAGACATCATGAGATTAGACATAGCATTAGTTTGCTTGTGCATGTCTTTTAGGGCTGAGGATGTTTCTGGAGTTATCCAGGAAGTACACACAGCATTTAGTCTTAATTATAGTGCAAAGCCCCAAATGTCAGTTGTACCCAGAGCTCCTGTGGAGATATGAGGACAAGTTGGTTAACTATACGTACTTAATAGGCCACAGGAGAAGTTGTAAATATTCATGAAGGTGGTCCTGACCCATGTGTCTTAACAAATATCCATGCAACAGATAACATATTTATTTTGGAGCAGAGACTTAACTTTTAAATGTGTTATAATTATGCTCTGTATTTAAAAAGTTCTTTTGAGGACAAAGACATACAAGTGTCCATTTACTGTAAACCGGCCAAAACTACTTTATGGTGAGTGATCTTTTATCAGGGTAACTTACCGAAATTGGTCTCTTGTCTACTTCAATCTGTAGTTATGGCTGGTTGAACAGTGGCTGGGGTCAGTCAGTCAGCTTATCTTGAGGCTAGTGCTTGCTTGGCTACTAGAGAAACACAGAAACCTTGTGGCAGTTGTAAACATAGTCTGCTTTTTTTAAAGTGTAGGAATGTGTGTCTTAACTCTTGCCTGGCATGTTCTTAGGTCCTGTTCATAATTTGGTATTTTATTGTTATAAAGAGTCTGTTTTACAGTTTTTATTATAACATTAATGCTGATCAGTTGTGCCTAAATTCCCATAATGGGAGGAAGGTGTAGTGAAGCTTGTTCAACACCCCTCTTGTTGTCATGGCCTGAATTAGTTTTTCAGGTTGCTTTGGCTAACATGGGTGTAGGGAGTGTCCATGAAGTTGGTGGGGGCTTAGGACTTTATTTTATAGTTTATATTCTCGTTTTTTGTCAAGGTATGCCAGTGGCAGTATGGGTAGCCACACTTTTATTTTCTCTCATGTCAATGGCAGAGCGGCGTGCTACCTGACCTGTGTCCATCATGTTCCTTGGTGCGACCACTATGGCCAAGGGACTTAGAATCAAAAGCCTTATATCCAATTAAATGTTGTAGGCCAGACTGGAATGAATGTGGGCAGGCAGTCATTAATCCTTAAAACCCCTTTTAAGCAATGTAAGAGCCAAAAACTAAAAGTCAAAAGGTAAGTTTATATAACTGAATTGTCTCTGAATTTTATGCATTGAGCTGTTGTAATCTTGGCTTATAGGAACTATAGCTATACAAAACATAAGTATTTTATTTAGCTGTTTAGGCATCTGTATGCCCATCCTTTATTTGGGGGGTCTGAATTAATTTTATTCCACAAGAACTGGCCCTTACAATCTCATGCATTCGTATCTTCCATGATAGTCCCTTGGTCTGGAGAAATTGAACCGTTGTAAATTCTGGATATATTAATAAAACAAAATATTCACCGTTAACAACATTGTAAGCAAAAATGCCATAAGCCTTGTCTTGTCCTAAGAGTGACAGGACTGAGACGGGCAGATCACGAGGTCAGGAGATCGAGACCATCCTGGCCAACATGGTAAAACCCCGTCTCTACTAAAATACAAAAAAATAGCTGGGTGTGGTGGTGCGTGCCTGTAGTCCCAGCTACGCGAGAGACTGAGGCAGGCGAATTGCTTGAATCCGGGAGGCAGAGATTGCAGTGAGCCAAGATCACGCCACTGCACTCCAGGCTCGCCAACAGGGTGAGACTCTGTCTCAAACAAAAAGAATGAGTGACAGGAAAGGAATCCTATAGGTAGATAAACATTTAAATTATTTAGTATTAAAGCACAGAATAAATTATATTTCATATATTTCTATTTCAGATAGAAGGAAAATTATTAAATAAAGTATAATACAGGCGTGTCCCTGTGTTGCATGAAAGCAGTGTACTTTGATTATTGCCTTTGCTTGAGTCTAAAGATGAGGCTTTGGTTAAGTTGAGTTTGATGTTACATGGTGGCAGGAGTCTGTGTCTTCTTTAGAGGAGCTACATGTATCCAGGAGTCAATTCCTTGTACCTTAACACCACAAAGATTAGTTAATAGCACCTGATAAGAACTTCTTCAGGGGTGTTGGAGGTGGTGATACACTTCACAGTGATTAATGTTTTTTAGCTTTGATAAGCCCCAGCAATAAGTCAGAGACTTAATTTAGGATTCAGTTTTGGAGATGTCTGTGAAAGATGTTAGAAAGCTTAAAATATTTGATCAAAACTAAACCACAGGACCTTGTAAAACAATAGTTATTCATTTAACCAAAGTGATCGTTGAAAGACTTTAAAGGCAATAGAAAAAGTTACACGGGTATAAAATCCTTACTCCTCTCAAATTTCAGGGTTTTTTTTAAAAGCAATTAAAAACTTAATAAAGGCAGCATAGGAACTATCTTGATAAAATATAAAATCTTGCTTCTTAAGCCAGTTGACAAAAAGTCAAAGGAAAACCTTTTTTAGTGTGTCTGCCTCTCTTTAGAAGAAAGCCCATTTAGATAATCTGGAAGTACAACTTAAGATAAAAAGTGTTTGAATTTAATCAAACATGGGAAGAGTGTGTACAAGGTTTTGAATAGAACTGGGGAATACATGACTCTTAGTAGCTGCATGATAAGTTTCCTGATTACAGTGAAAATTTAGACACACCAAAAACAACAACAACAAAAAACCCCAAAGGTATAGAATCAGGTTATCCTGGAGGAACACATTTCTTTTATAGACCTCTAAGATAAAATATTTCAGCATCAGCCACAACAACATTTAGAAGTAAGGAGAAAAGTTACAGGAACTGACAAGAAGCTGAAGGATAGAGTTATCATCCCAGGCCACATCAAAGGGAGAAAAAGCTGATAGCAGCAAGACAACAATTGAACATTTGAGATATGAATCTCAGAAGTTTTCAAAAGAAGTGGATTTTAGAATAGAAAATCTAAATTTATTGTAATTAAGAGTAAATTGATACCTTAATAAAATCTCGATTTAAACTAGGGGATCATTCTTTAGAAAGGCTATTATTAACAATTCCTTTTAAATTATGGCTAACTTAATTGCATACAAAATTTCTTCTATACTGGCTCAGTTGTGAGAATTGAGTGAGGTTCTATGAGTCTCTGGTTTTTAGGATTTGAGGCAGAATCTTGTTCATTTGATCTAAAGATTTTCTGCTTCTTCAAATCCAGTAAGCATTTAGTAGGTTACCTGTGTACTTCAATTCCAAGAACACTGTTATAAACTAGCTAGCAACATAAATCTATAGGAATCAGATGAAACTGATTGTTGCTTTGCCTTTGCTGTCCATTGACATAGCTATGCCAACCTTGCCTTTGAAGATTGAGTGTTGCTACTTGCTCCCAAGATTCCCTGAAACCCAGTTATTCCCATTGCATTTTGATTTTCCAATTGGTGTACTGTGGTTTCTATATTAAGGTCTGGCCTACAGAGAAGAGAGATCAGGGAGCTCTTCAGTTGTACCCAGCCTCCCCACACAAATCCACCTAACAAAGTCCTGATAAACAGTATGTTTTCTGAGTCTATCAATATGGGTAAGTTGCATTTATTTATTTATTTATTTAGAGACAGTCTCACTTTTATTGCCCAGCCTGGAGTGCAGTGGCATGATCTCAGCTCACTGCAACCTCTGCCTCCTCGATTGAAACCATCCTCCTGCCTCAGCCTCCTGAGTAGCCGGGGCAACAGGTGTGTGCCACCATGTCTGGCTAATTTTTGTAGTTTTTTGTAGAGGTGGAGTTTCACCATGTTGGCAAGGCTGGTCTTAAACTCCTGACCTGAACTGATGGACCTGTCTGTGCTTCCGAAAGTGGTGGGATTACAGGCATGAGCCACCATGCCCTGCTGTAAGTGGCTTTTAAATGGCAAATCCATTCTAGCATTCCTATCTCCCCAGGCCTATGAATTCCTTCATCCAACATAATACAGGGAAGATGGGGGAGTCACCGACTTGCTCATGGTCATACATCTGTTGAAGTATATTTCAGCCAACCAGTCATAACACTACTAATACCATCCTTAAATACCCAAGCTGCAACATTAAACCGGAATATCTGCTTAATGGCCCCATATCATTAAATTTGGACTGATTCAAGTTTATATTCCTTCTACTGTTATCAACACTTTTTTTTTCTTGTTTTGGTTTCTTACAGATGAGGTCTTGTTCTTTTGGCCAGGCTGGAGTGCAGTGGTACAGTCGTGACTCACTGCAGCTTCAAACACCTGGGTTCCAGCATTCATCCCACTTCAGCCTCCCGTGTAGCCGGGACTACAGGTACAAGCCACCACACCCAGCTATCCACAGCCATAATCTTTATTTCCACATAGGGTCTTCAGATTTCTGTTTGCATTAGTTAGAAAACTCAGGTAGCTTTTTTGACATAGATCACACCTCCTCATGGGAAATACTATCCATCAGCTTTAGGGGCCTGTTGTAACTTTAGTCTCACCGTGAGTCTAGAAGAAACACAGCTGTCAGGGGTGGGTCTTGAAGATAATCAGCAATGTATTGCTTGACAGCTGCTTCAGGGGAAGCCATTACCGTTTCCTTAGGCATTGTAGATGTAAGCTACTCAGACACATATGGAAAGGCCTACATCACTTTGTGTGGGAAGGCCATTGCCAAGGGGGTGGCTGTGAGGAGGCCACTTCTGCTGGCAATAAAAACTCATTAGAATTTAGGAGATCAGTGTCCCCAGCCACATCAGTCTTCCCATCCATCCTCATCCCAAGTTACAGGATGCTATTCTTTCTCAACTTCCACTTCAACAGTAGACACCCTGCCAGGCTGAGGAGTTAAATGTTTCCTGTCATTCAGCCAGAGGCATGATAAGGGCTTGTGTTTGACTTTTAGCAAATACTTCCCTGTGGCTACAAGAGAGTTTTCTGGCTCAGAGCACAGGTAGAAACTCTTAGGCTGTTTATGTGGAGCTGGTTCTGCAAAATTGAATCCCTAAGCTCATTATTGTCTTTCATCAAATTTCCCAGTGAATTAGAAGCAACAAACCCGTCATCATTATGTTCCATGGTTTTACGCAAATGTCTGTATCACATACAGACTAAACAAGTACCTTGCCTCTTATCAGTGTTTAATTAAGAGTATCAAGTGCAGATATTTTGGGGATCTCTAAAAACAGTTCATGTCATTGACTGTCATTGCTCTTTCTACTGTTAGAAGTACAGTTCTTAGAATTTAGGTCCAATCAGATTAGAAAGCCTATTCTATAAACCCCAAATTTGATTAAGGACATTCATCCTTAAAATTCTCTTCCTGTAGAACCGTTCTTACTACCAAAATCTATACTAGTCAGGGTTATCTATAGCAACAGAACCATTAGGATAGATACGTAGCAGCTAGCTAGCGATAGACAGACAGACAGACAGATACATAGATACATAGATAGATAGATAGATAGATAGATAGATAGATAGATAGATAGGGATTTCTAGGGGAAGTGAATCACATGATTATGGAGGCTGAGTGTTTCCACCACATGCCATGTAAAGCTGGAGATCCTAGGATGCTTGTTGGGTACCATAGTCTAAGTCCAAAATGCTCAAACCAGAGAAAACCTTGGTTAAACCCTCAGTATGAGGCTGAATGCCATCAGAAAGTCTTTCAATTGAGTCCCCTGTCATTTTGAAATACCACCATAGTTACGATTTGACATTGTTATGTGGCTGATTCATTGGTTGCATTGTTGTTGAGCATTTTCTCTTGTTTGATCACCACTAGATACTGCAGGCTGATTGTATTTAGTCCCTGTTCAAGTCTGTTATTGACCTTTTTCTCACAGATCCCTACCTTCTTTGTTGGAAAATGAAATTAAAAATGAAGATTTGGGCACTCACTGGTTTTACACATTGTTACTGGGGAATGTGTTGATTGGAGGCCTTGCTAGCTAACAGAGTAAAGAGTAAATATACACATATGTTTACAAATTTCTACAAGTCTCCCTGTATATCCACATTAAATTAAACATGAATTCCTACAACGTCCTCAGTCCCACATGATCTTATTCAGCACCATGTGAATTTGTCTACCCATCTCACTAATCTGTATGTAGCCTACCACTGTAATATTTAACCACCTGAAAATGCACGCATAGTGGTTTCAGAATAAGAAACATACAACCCCATGAGAAACACCCTTACCACCTGTTTATGTATACCAACTGCTTATGTATAAATCCTTTAGCCTTTAGACAGAATCTGCACTTATTATGTCAGTTGCTTAGGTCAGTTTCTTTTTCCCCCTCCTTCAGTGGATTATTTCATAGATTTGTGTGCAGCTAAAGTATTTTCTCTGCATTTCTTCCTGAGCTGTTCCTATCTACTAAATAAGTTTTTTCGTTAATTTACATACTTTTAGTTTCACTCTGTGTTATATAGTTTTGTGGGAGTTGAAAACCTGTATCTTTTATCCACATTACAGTAGCATACATAATAATATACAAAAAGAAATTTTCTATCTTTACAGATTTGTCTTTTCTTTTGGCTCAGACCCTGGTAACCAATAAACTCTTTACTGTCTCTATACTTATGCTTTTTCTAGATTGTCATATATTAAAAAAAAAGTATTTTGCTTTTTCCAAATTGCTTTTTGGACTTAGTAATATGCCTTTTGGATTAGTAAAGGATATCTTACGGTTGGGATTTGGATTTCCCTAATGACAGAGGCATTGAGCATCTTTCCATATGCTTATTAAACATTACTATAGCTTCTTTGGAGATATGGCTGTTCAAATTTCATATTTTTGATTGGAGCATTAGTCTTTGGATTTTTGAGTTGTAAGATGTTGTAATATATTCTGGATTATAATATGATATAATATAATGTAATATAATATACTAGCTAGGGATTTTCAGGGTATTTGACATACCCTAGAATTGGCTATTCTTACTGGCTATTTGACATACAAAGACTTTTCTCCCATTTTTAAATTGTTTTTATTCTTTTATTATGTACTTTCAATTATGATATATTTTATTAGTGATGTTTCAATATATCTATTTTCTCCTTCCTCTTGTGCATTAGTTGTCATATCTTAGAAACCATTGTTTAACCTTTGTTAAACAATTTGTTTTTGTTTTTAGTTTTGGCTATTTAGGTGTACGATTGTATTAGTCTGTTCTCAAACTGCTATAAAGAACTACCTGAGACTGGGTAATTAATAAAGAACAGTGGTATAATATATCCACAGTTCTACAGGCTGTATAAGAGGCATGACTGGGGAGACTTACAATCATGGTGAAAGGCAAAGGGGAAGCAAGCACATCTTACATGGATGGAGAAGGAGGAATAGATAGAAGAGGGATTTCCACACAGTTTTAAACAACCACATTTTGTGATAACTCACTATCACAAGAACAGCAAGGGGGAATCGACCCTCATGAGTCAGTCGCCTCCCACCAGGCCCCTCCTCCAACATTGGAGATTACAGTTTACCATGAGATTGGGAGGTGACACAAATCTAAACCATATCATCCTGCCCCTGGCCCCTCCTAAATATCATGTTTTTCTCATATTGCAAAATACAATCATTCCTTCTCAATAGTCACCCATATCTTAACTCATTACAGCATTAACTCAAAAGTCCACAGTCCAAAGTCTCATCAGAGATAAGGCAAGTCCCTTCTACCCATGAGCCTGTAAAATCAAAAGCAAAGTCATTACTTTCAATATACAATGGGAGTACAGGCATTGGGTAAATACCCTCATTCCAAAAGTTATAAATCAGCTAGAACAGAGAGAGGGGCAACAGGCCCCATGCAAGTTTGAAACCCAGCAGGGCAGTCATTAAATCTTAAAGCTCCAAAATGATCTCCTTTGAGTCTGCATCTCACATCCAGGCCACACTGATGCAAAGGATGGGCTTTCAAGGCCTTGGGCAGCTCTGCCCCTCTGGCTTGGCAGGGCTCAGCTACCACGGCTGCTCTCAAGGGCTGGCATTGAGTGCCTGTGGCTTTTCCAGGCACATAGTGCAAGCTGTTGGTGGATATACCACTCTGGGTTCTGGAGGACAGTGGCCCTCTTCTCACAGTTCCACTAGGCCCGCAGTGGAGACTCTTTGTGGGGGCTCCAACTCTATACTTCTTCTCTGCACTGTCCTAGTACAGGTTTTCCCTAAGGGCTCCATCACTGCAGCAGACTTCTGCCTGGGCATCAAGGCATTTCCATGCATTCTCTGAAATCTAGGCAGAGGCTCCCAAGTCTCAACTCTTTCCCTCTTTGTACCTTCAGGCTTAACACCATGTGGAGAAACGGCCAAGGATTATGGCTTGCACCTCCTGGAGCAGTGGCCTGATATGTGTCTGGGGACCTTTTAGTCATAGCTGGAGCTGGAGGATCTGGGACACAGGGAGCAGTTGCCCAAGGTTGCACAGGGCACCAAAGCCTTCGGCTTGGTCCTTGAAACCATTATTTTCTCCTAGGCTTTTGTGCCTATGATGTGAGGGGCTGTTGGGAAGGTTTCTGAAGTGGCTTTGAGGGATTTTCCTTATTGTCTTGGCTATGAAAATTCGGCTTCTCTTATGCGAACTTCTGCAGCTGGCTTGAGTTCCTCCCCAGAAAATGGATTCTTCTTTTTTTTGTTTTCCTTTTCTTTCTATTTTTTTCTTTTGAGATGGAGTCTCACTCTGTTGCCCAAGCTGGAGTGCAGTGGTGCAATCTGAGTTCACTACAACCTCCACCTCCCAGGTTCAAGTAATTCTTCTGCCTCAGCCTCCTGAGTAGCTGGGACTACTGGCATGTGCCACCATGCGTGGATAATTTTTGTATTTTTAGTAGAGACACGGTTTCACCATATTGGTCAGGCTGGTGTTGAACTCCTGACCTTGTGATCCACCCACCTCAGCTCCCCAAAGTGCTGGGATTACAGGCATGAGCCACAGCACCTGGTCAGGTTTTTCTTTTTTACGAAATGGCTGGACTGCAAATTTTCTAAACTTTTATGCTCTGCCTGTTTTTTAAATATAAGTTTTAGTTTCATAGCATCCCTTTGCTCACACTATGACAATACACTGTTAGAAGCAGCGAGATGACATCTTGAACACTTTGCTGCTTAGCAATTTCTTCCACAACATACCCTAAATCATCAGTCTCAAATTCAAAGTTCCACAGATCCCTAGAGCAGGGGCACAATGCCACCAGTCTCTGTGCTAACATAACGGAAGAGTTGACCCTTACTCTAGTTCCCAATAAGTTCCTCATCTCCATCTGAGACCACCTCAGCCTGGACTTCATGTCACTATCAGCATTGTGGTCACAACAATATAACCAATCTCTGGAAAGTTTGCAACTTCTCCTCATATTCCTCTCTTTTTCTGACCCCTCCAGACTGTTCCAACCTCTGCTCATTACCCGGTTTCAAAGTCACTTCCATGTTTTCAAGTATCTTTATAGCAATGCCCCACTCCCAGTAGCAATTTTCTGTATTAGCCTGTTCTTGCATTGCTATAAAGAACTAACTGAAACTGGGTAATTTATAAAGCAAAGAGGTTTAATTGACTCATAGTTCTGCAGGCTGTAGAGGAAATATGGCTGGGGAGGCCTCAGGAAACTTACAATCATGACAGAAGGAGAAGGGAAAGCAGACACATCTTTTATGGCCTGAGAAGGAAGAAGAGAAAGAAGGGTGAGGTCCTACACACTTTTAAATAACGATATCTCATGAAAATTTTCTTACTGTCATGAGAACAGCAAGGGGAAATCTTCCCCCATTATCCAATCACCTCCCACCAGGCCCCTCCTATAACATTGGGGATTACAATGTGGCATGAAATTTGGGCAGGAACACAAGTCCAAACCATATCAGTGACTAATTTGAACTATTTATGCATATACTGTGAGGGAGGAGTTTAACTTGCCTGTTGATGTCGATGATGTCAACTTGTCCCAGAATCCATTTATTTAAAAAAGTACTTTTCCATATTGAATTTACTTGGACCCCTTGTAAAATTATTTGACCATAAATGTAAAGGTTAACTTTTTGATATTCAATTTTATTCTATTTATCCGTATGTCTACACCACACATCTTAATTAGTATGGCTTTGTCTTTAGTTTTAAAATCAGAAAGTATGAGTCTATTTTACAAATTCTGTTTTTTTTTCAAAATTATTTTATCTCTTCTCTATTGCATTATATATACAGTTTAAAATCTGTTTGACAAGTTAGTGAAAAAACGGTCACCTGGGATTTTCATGGAAATTGCATTAAATATATAGAGCCAGATAAAAAGTATTGTCAACTTAATAATATCAAGCCTTTTAATCAATGATCATTCAATATTGTCTGTTTTTATAGAAGTTTATTAATTACATTTAATATATTTTACAGTTTTCAATATACATGTCGTACGTGTATTTTGTTAAATTTATTCTTATGTATTTTTCCTTTTGGATGCTATTTTAAATAGCATGGGTTTCTGAGTTTTTTCTTTAATTTGTTAATTTCTAGTATATAGAAGTACATATTTCTATATATTGACCTTGTGTACTGGGACTGTATTGAACTTATATTTTAATTTGCATTCTATTTTATTAGAGTCATTTTGATGTTCTATACACAAATCATGTCAATTGCCAACGGAGTTTTACTTTCTTTTATACTAGATATCTTATATTCATTTTTCTAGACTAATTGTCCTTGCTACATCCTCTAGCATAATGTGGGGAAGAATTGTGGCCAGAATGAAATTCCTTGTCTTATTTCTAATCTTGGAGAAAGTATTGAGCCTTTCAGAAAACTTTTATATCATGTGAGGGTTTTTTTTTTTTGGATGCTTTAAAGTGAAGACATTTTCTTTATAGTCCTAATTTGCTGCATATCTTTATCATGAATGTGTTTTTGATTTGTCAAGTGCTTATTAGGTGTCTTTGAGATGATTGTGTAGGTTCTGTGCTTTATTCCATTAATACAGTGCATGAATTGTATATTGAACAAAATTTGCATTCCTGAGGAAATACCCTTAGCCATAGTTTATAATAGTCTTTGCGTGTTGCTGATTTGTTTTGCTATTATTTCCTAAAGGAATTTTGCCTCTTTTTTTTAATTTTTCTAAGTGTTTTTTTTCTTATTTTTATATTATACATTAAGTTTTAGGGTACGTGTGCTCAACGTGCAGGTTAGTTACATATGTATACGTGTGCCATGTTGGTGTGCTGCACCCAGTAACTCGTCATTTACATTAGGTATATCTCCTAATGCTATCCCTCCCCCTCCCCCCACCCCACAACAGCCCCGGTGTGTGATGTTCCCCTTCCTGTGTCCATGTGTTCTCATTGTTCAATTCCCACCTATGAGTGAGAACATGCTGTGTTTGATTTTTTGTCCTTGTGATAGTTTGCTGAGAATGGTGGTTTCCAGCTTCATCCATGTCCCTACAAAGGACATGAACTCATCCTTTTTTATGGCTGCATAGTATTCCATGGTATATATGTGCCACATTTTCTTAATCCAGTCTATCATTGTTGGACATTTGGCTTGGTTCCAAGTCTTTGCTATTTTGAATAGTGCCACAATAAACATACATGTTCATGTGTCTTTATAGCAGCATGATTTATAATCCTTTGGGTATATACCCAGTAATGGGATTGCTGGGCCAAATGGTATTTCTAGTTCTAGATCCCTGAGGAATCACCACACTGACTTCCACAATGGTTGAACTAGTTTACAGTCCCACCAACAGTGTAAAAGTGTTCCTATTTCTCCACATCCTCTCCAGCACCTGTTGTTTCCTGACTTTTTAATGATCGCATTCTAACTGGTGTGAGATAGTATCTCATTGTGGTTTTGATTTGCATTTCTCTGATGGCCAGTGATGGTGAGCATTTTTTCGTGTGTCTTTTGGCTGCATAAATGTCTTCTTTTGACAAATGTCTCTTCATATCCTTAGCCCACTTTTTGATGGGGTTGTTTTTTGCCTCTTTATTCATAAGGCATATTGTTCTTAATTTTACTTTCTTGAAATGTTTTGGTCTAATTGTGGTACAAGGATAAAGTACCTCATAGTGTGCATTGGGAAGTGATCTCTTCACCACTGTCATTGCTGTTGTTTAATGTTTTTAGAGAATTCATAATGAATTTGTATTATTTCTTTAAACGTATGAAATAATTTCCTAGTGAAGTCATCTTAACATGGAATGGGAATTAAATCCTAACAACAATCATGTGAGCCTGGGGAGGATCCTTCCCCACGTGAGCCTTCAGGGGAGACTTCAGCCTTGGCCATCTTCTACATCTAGATTCCTGACCAAGAGAAGCTGTGAGTAATGTGTATGTGCTTTTCAGCCACTCAGCTGTGTGGGAATTTGTTACACAACAATAACTAAGTAATACACCTGGCATTAAATGTAATGTGGTATCCTAGATTAGATACTGGAATAGAAAAGTGATATTATTAGAAACCTGAAGAAAACTATTAAGAAAGTCTGTAGTTCCATTGATAGTTTTATAACACTGTCAATTTCTCAGTTTTCATGAATAGTCTATGGTTATAT
This sequence comes from Homo sapiens, assembly GCF_000001405.40. Lineage (NCBI taxonomy): Eukaryota > Metazoa > Chordata > Mammalia > Primates > Hominidae > Homo > Homo sapiens. The sequence continues at coordinate 5,368,270 of NW_021160017.1, forward strand.
AATGTGTTAACATTCCTTTAAGCTGAAAGGTATATGAAACTCTCTGCACTATATATACCTCCTTCTGTAAGTCAAATATGATTTCAAAATAATTTTAAAATAATATTTTGGTGCAAAACAAAAGCCAACAAAAAGACATAAGCACATTAACTTGGTTTCAGGAGATGCATTGGGCAAGTAGGGAAAGGTCAGCAGTGCAGCTTTCCTAATCTATCCACCATTCGGAACCCAGGTGCACCTGCTTCAGTTAAACACAGTTAGCTCTGGGGACTCTCATCCATTTTTGTCTTTGAAATCATGCTACTCATTATCCAGGAACATTTTAAGTGTCAGTAACCACTTCTTCAGAGAGAGGCGCCTTTTCCTCATATATCCCAGAATGCCCCATTTTCAGGCATTGTCTGGCAGTTTATTCACATAATTCCACTAAAGCCTTTCGGGAAAAAATGACTGCTAGACATTAGAAGCTGATATTGCAAAATGTCAGTGACAGGGAACACAAATTGTATTTCTACAATCAGGAGAGTGTTTTATTTCCCTTGGTACAGGGATTTGTTCTTCAACTGGTTATCAGATCACTGTGATAATTTCTATTTCTCTCGTCATGAATTATTTGGGACCATATATTCTGTTGCTCTTCACATCTTGGAATTATATTGTCCATTTCCAAGGTCAAAGACCACAGAATAAATGTCATCCTGGCAGCAGGTGAGTAGGGCACACAAACAATGCTTCTAAATATGGTGGTTGATGACAGTGCTTGCTTACTAAGACCTCGATATGAGTCTGTAGACAACTGGTTTTTGGCAGGTGAAGTCATGTGAGTGAGTCAGTATATGCTTTGTATGGCTGGAGAAAGCTGAGTAGATACAAGAAAAAACAGTATGTAACAGATCTCCCCCCACCATGCAGTGATCTAAGAGATGGACCCAGGCTAAATGATGACTCTGCACGTGTTCTGGCTAAACAAAGAATCTCACAGCAGGAAGAACTGTCCAGCTGTCCCCCACATAGGTCCCTGTTGATAGTTCACAGCACTCTGCGGTGTTAGCATCAGGGTTGTGCCAAAGAACCATGCCTACAAAGCCTCCCAAGCCATGAGTCTGCATGCTGCACTCACACAGACATAGACAAAGCCAAGACTATTGCCTTTATGATGGTCTGTAAACATGGGGCATATTCTCTATAGCACATTGATAGCTTATATGAGAAAATGAGATCTTGCAGCCTTGGGACCTAGAGTGGGAGATATGACTGACCTCGACCACATTTTTCACTTCTGATATCAGCATAGAAGTGATTTAGGTGCTGTTATTTGAGCATCTGTACTTAAAGAAACCTTCCAAGTCTTCCAAGTTCCATATACTTTACTCTTTAAGACATGACTCCTCTTTTAAATTTGACATCTTAAAGGAGGTTTATTCCATTTTTTAAATTTTAACTGAAGATACTATAGTACAATACTTAAATGACAGATCTTCTGTTTCTCTTCATTTTAATGCATACTTTTTGATCTATTATGATGCATACTGTGAATATTCTGCCCACCAATAAATGACTCAAAAATGGCCAGAGTGACACATATGAGCCACAGTTAGACCTGGACATGAGTTATGAGGACTACCACATGGTGGTCACAATAATTGAGCTCTGAGTTCTCAAGTTTAAAGGAAAACAGGCACTATACACAAAACTCTACTGCCATATTATCATGGACACAAAGGACAGAGTGCTGAGCACTGAGTGCCCAACAAGTGCTTTAACAGCATGGAAGGCATGATTTCCCACAATATACTAAGCCACTAAATTCACAAAGGCCACCACAATTCTAAAAAAAGATGTCATTGCAAACAAACCCAAGTGTTAGACCACAATATAAGACAAACATCCCAACATGCTGTCTCCACACTCTAGCCTGATTAGGAGTTGTAGTTCAATGGATGAATGGCTCATATATTTAACATCATTACTTCATGTTCATGCAATTCAACCTTCCTGCAGTTTAAAACTATAGGTGAAATTTCAGTCAAAGTCCTAAATTATGAATTGTATGAGTTTCTTCTTCACTTAATATTTTCCCAGGGAAACAGGAAAACTAATTTCAATATCCTAGTGTCCAAAAGTAGAGTTTGCCAGAGTAGCAAGGGGACAGAACAAAGCATTTTATGAGGATCACAATGCATTTGCTTCTACAGTGACTATGTGTTATCACTATTTGTGTAATTAAAAGGGTGAATGAGAATGAAGAAAAACACAGATCAAGAATGTTATAGATTAAAGAATTGAATTTGTAATGGATTAAAGAATTGAATTTGTAATGTAGCTTGCAAGGATCATTGCTAATATTTCTAATTTTAGGACACAAATTTTTTAAATATAGATTTTGCTTAGTCTTTAGAAAGCTAACACTTCAGGAAAAATTTCAAGTGTCTCTCTACAATTTATATCTTCCTCATCAATAGATTTCTTGAACCATAGTTTATAAAACAATTACAGCAATTCACTAATAAGTCTAATATCTCTAATAACTAGGTAGAATGTAAATAGAGTTGATAAATTAATGTGAACATATATACAAGAATGTTAATTACAGACTAAAACATAGCAGACTTGCCACCATGTTTTTTTTTTTTTTTTTTTTTTTGGAGACGGAGACGGAGTTCGCTTTTTCGCCCAGGCTGGAGTGAAGTGGTGCGATCTCGGCTCACTGCAAACTCCACCACCAGGGTTTAAGCGATTCTCCTGCCTCAGCCACCATGATTTAACACTGAGAAGTGGGCAGTCACAGAGAAAAAGTGTGTAAACAATTCTTTGGTACACATTTTAACATCTTTTAAAGAGAGATGCATCTTCTATTTGAAAGGGTTATAACATTATTGCCAGAAAGCAGTCATGATGTGGTTGTCCTCGGGCACACACACACGAACTTGGTCTAAACCTCCCCAAAGACATCGTTGGGTAATTATATCAAGCATCAAAACTTACAGAAGGGTTGTCAGGAGACTGGAAAGGTAAACTTACATAGAGTAGCATAGGAGTCCCATGAGAAATGCAGCACTATCAGTGCTTGTGATTAGCACAGATGATGATATTGTGGGGAAAATCATGGACAAGATGAGTTGAAAGTGATTCAGAGAGTTTGTTCTGAATGAAATAAGTGTTAGCAATACCTTTGTAAATGTATTTTGCATATATGTTCTGTCTCATGTAATGATAGGAATGATATAAGACAAATATAAACGTGTTAGTCAAAAAAAGTTTTTAAAATAATTATAAAACTCTAATTAGAAATATTTGCTCCATTATTTATTAGTGGTTTTATTATTTCATTCTGATATGTAAATCTAAAAGATAAATCTCACAATTTATTATAAAAATTAGTCTTAATGATATGTATAGATGTGATACTATACTACATGCTTTATATATTATTTTATACAAACCCACCTGACATCTCAAGAAGTGAGCACTGTTACCACTGCCACGGGCCAGTTCTGAATCTGAGACTAAGCACTACATGAAAGGATTAAAAGTGCTTTGAGTTTGATTCAGTCTGTCTCCAAAGTCATTGCTGAAGTCAACTATGTAGAATATGTAGAATAGTTTATTTATATAATTAGTGCTTTTTAGGTCCAGTTTCAGGTATCTTACCCTACCACATAGTCCTGAAGATATTTTCTTATGTGTTCTACCTAGTGTACTAAATATATATATATGTCTGTGATCCACCTGATTTTGTGTGTAAAATGAAGTTAAAGGTCAGATTTTAATTCCCTTGTGAATATTCAGTTTTTTGAATAGTTTTAGAAAAATTAATCTGTCCCCATTTATTGACTTACAAATGATTTGTTCATATATACACGTCTGTATTTATGCTGTTTTCTTTTTTCATTGGTTTATTCCTCTGTCTCTGTGCAAATGCAACACTTTCTTAGTTGCTAACAGACTTCATTTAATACCATATTTTGTGACCATTCTCCTAATGACTGTGCTTTTCCATAATGAAGTGAAAAAAGATTAAAAATCTCCATGCCTTTCACGTACACCGATACTCTCAGCTGGTCTTTGAATCAATCAGTGGCTTTAGAGTTTCAGAATATCATTGTTGTCTCTTATGTCTGTAATGTCTTTGTTAATCTTATAAGATCCATGAACACCACTCTTCAGTTTGTGTATTTCATACCTTCAACAACAGCAAGTGGTGGGAAAACCTGGAGATGCAGCCCCGGGTGCCTCCTGCCTTGCTGTAGAAGATGCTGTGGACATGGGTCTCCTCCTCCAGACAATGCACATCAAAGGCAGGACCAGCAGGGAGCCCTGAGATCAGAACCTCTCTGTGGGGTCTGCATGCACAAGGGGAGGAGCTCCCTGTTGGGTGGGGTGGGGAATTCAGTTATTTTATATAAGCATGAATTTGTTAAATAATCATTCTTCTTTCTGACCAATGGCACATTTCCCCTTCAGTCCTGGCACTGTAATGTTACATCTTGGTTTTTGGTTTTGTGTACAAATGTGTTTAACACTGTGTATTAAACACAAGGAAACACTCTTTTGTTGGTCACATAGCCATCATGTACAACCAAATTTATACTTTTGTATTTTTCCAAAACAAACATCCCTGGGTGTTTCGTGCACACACACAGACAACTCACTAGACAAGGTTTACCTCCTCCAGACCACGCCTATCCAAGACAGTGCCTAAGTAGAGGCAGGAGAGTTGAGCCTGTCTCTGTGGTATCTTCATGGGAAACACCAACATTTTCTTGCTCTACTTCTGGTGTTGGTTGGGGAATTCGGTTATTTCTTGGAAAGACTGAGTGTGTCAAAGAATCATTCTGTTTGCTGTCTGAAAACAAATGACACAGTATTTGTTTTGAACAAATGAAACAGTGTTTGTTTTGGTGTGCAAAGGCCTTTGACCCTTTCTGTGTCAATGTACTTTTTTATCATCACATAAACATCATGTATAACCAAATTTAAATTTTTGTAGTGTGTATTAATGCCTTTTATTTTGTTTAGTTATTCATAATCATTTTTCAAAATATCTTTATTCTTATATTTTATCACTTTTTATTAAATTAATGGAAATGTCACCCATTCTCTATAATTGTTTTCCACAAATTTCCTCTGAAATACTTCTAGTTGAAAAGGTGCAGAAAGTTTGCTAGGAACCACAAGACAAAATTTGCTAGAGACTCATACTTAAAACGGGTTTTGTATATGGCTTAGTTTGTTCTAATTTGCAAGGTTCAAAAGCATTGATTTGAATACATGGAATACCAAGACTCCCTTCCAGCACACAAAGACCAGTTATTTTGTTAATATGCACGAATAAACTTCAGCATATTGTTTTTCTTTTACCTGAAATTTATAGATACTGGCTTGAATCTCTGATTCCTTCTACATAGTATTTGTAAACGTCTGCAAGACATTTCCTTATACTTATGGCTCATAATATAGGTGTGTATTCTTCTCTTTCTCTTTGATGAGTAAATACCAAAATTGCTTCTTCAGTTAAAAAAAAAAAAAAGCCACTCCGAAAATCTGTGCATACAACTGCACACAGCAAATGTTTTCCGATTATCGTCTGTAGAAAAGAAATGGGAACTTCAATTTATTTTCTTGTATCAGATAATAATCTTTTAAAAGTGATTTATACTTTTATAGATTACCAGAGAATTTTCAGAGTTGCTTTCTGTCCAGGACATGTGTGGGGCTCAGAGACACCATAGACAAAGTTGCCATGTTCTGTGATGCTTCTGTCCAACAGGGTTTCAGAAAACTTGACAAAAATTAAACTGTAAGGTGGAAGAGCTGCCCTTGGGAACTGAGAGGACAGGTTTCAGGCCTGGGATGGGATGGACAGGGGAAGCCTCCAGGAGGAGGAACATTGGAGGAGATGCTGGAGAGTGAGGCGCAGTGGGTCCAGGAGACAGGGGAGGGAAAGCGAGGAGGAAAACCTGTGTGCCTGGCACAGGCCAGGCCATGAGAAGAGGGCGGTGGATTGGAAGGAGCGCTGGGATGAGTAATTGGTGAGGACGCAGGAGCAGGAAGGGCAGACCACGGAGGGACTGGGCAGGGGAGGCAGGGAGGGCCGCTCCCTGAGGACTGCGCTCTGTGGGGAGGGATTCGAATGTCTGGGTTTGGTTCCCTGAGATGTTACCCCAGCCCATGAGCTCAGCCTATGGGAAGGACGTTGAGGAGTGAGTGGGCCCTGTCCCCTGGGGAGGCTCCTGGGCTGGGCCAGGGGGGCGTGGGTCTGGGAGAAAGGAGGGTGGAGAAGAGCAAAGAGGACCCCCGGCTGCCTGACTGCAGGGCTCATGGGGCTGCCCTTGTTCCTGGCCTTTTCTCTATCGCTCAGACCCTCGCTTCCCCGCCAGGGCAGGTTTCTGCCACCTCAGTGCTTTTGCAGGTGGTGGGATCCATGGAGGAGAAAACTCAGATCTGCGGACTCCTCTCCACCTGGCGCCCACACAGGTGAGGCTGGGAGCAGCCTGAAGGGAAGTGCGGGTGCGGGGGTCGCAGCTGCGCAGTGAGGGGAACCGGAGGCTGCCACGCAGGCTGGGCTTGGGGGCGGGAGCCAGGCCCAGGTGGGGCGTGAGGGCCGCGGGTGCAGGGCAAGGCTGACAGGGAGTGAGGGAGGAAGGTGGAGGGCGGTGATCAGAGGGCGCGGCTGACAGGGGGAGAGGGCGGTGAGATCTACAGGAGAACTCAGGGCGGATGTCTGAGGGGTCTGCGCTGGGCTTTCCGGTGGCTTCGCCCGGAACGCGCGCTTGTTCCTGAGGCGGTGCCTGCCTGTGTCGTCGTCCCTGTTTGTTCTTCAAACGTCAGGATTTCTCCGTGTTTCCCAGACCGTAACGTACATTTAAAAAGCTTGCTTTCTGTCACATATGCCCTTTTATATTATGGACATAACAATTGTTACTTACCTACGTTTCCTATTTGTGAATTATTCATAGATAAAGAATTTACCAAAACTTTTATTTTTAGTTGACACATTGCGTATATTTATGGATAACAGTGTGATATTTTGATTCTTGTATTCATTGGGGAAGATTCAATCAAGCTAATTAACATGGGCATCAACTCACCAGCTAATACTTTATGGTGAGAACACTAAAAATCTTTTATTTAGCTATTCTAAAATGTACAGCGTGACTTCGGAGGAAATGATACTGCCCGGCCTCAGTAGCCCGAGACTGATCATTTCTAAATCTTGAGGTTCCCATTTCTGAGGGGGTCATGGCTGCATGCCCGTAAGCAAGGGGGGTGTTGGGGTGCTTTGTTTGCCCTGTTAATTTTGGGTGCCTCTGTGTTCTGAGAACTATTAAGATAATAGGTGTTTGAGAAATCCAGTTGCTTTAACTTTTCCTTTGTTTTAGTCTGTTAACAACGTTATCGCTTTTCTTTTACTGACTTTAGATTTAATATATTCTTCCTTTTCTAGGTTCCAAAGGTGGAAACACAGATGACAGATTTTTGGTCTTTTCGTCATTTCCTATGTATGTGTTTAATGGTATTTATTTGCCTATATGTTCTGCTTTCCTTTCATCCTACAAATTTTGATAAATTGTGTTTTTATTTTCATTTAGTTAATTTAAAAAATTTCTCTGGTGATATCTTCTTTGACCCATATATTATATGGAAGTGTGTTGTTTAATCTCAATGCATTTTGGGATATTACAGTTATCATTCCATTCATCCTTTGATTTCTATTTTAATTCCACTGTGGTCTTAGAGCTGACATTGTATGATTTACTTTTTAAAAATTGTTGGGGTATTTTTTGTCTCAGAATGTGGCACATTTTGCTGAATATTCCATGTGAGCTTAAGAAGAATGTGTCCTCTGGAGTAGTTGAGGGAAGGAGACTGTAGGTGTCAGTTATGCCCAGTTGCTTGTTGGTGCTGTTGAGTTCAGCTTTTCCCTCCTGAATTACTGCCTGCTAGATCTGTCCGTATCTGATATAGGGTGTTAACGTTTCCAACTATAATACTGAATTCATCTTTTTCCTTGTGGTTCTGTTGATTTCTGCCTCATAGTTTACGCTCTGTTATCAGGCTCATAGGCTTTAAGAATTAGGACATCTTCTTGGAAGAATGGCTCTTCATCTCTATGTAATGCCCTTCTTTATTCCTGATGACTTTTCTTGCTTTGAAGTCTGCTCTGCCTGTAATTCATATAGCTCTTCTTGTTTACTTTGATTAGAGTTAGCATCGTACATTTTGTTCCATTCATTTACGTTTATTTGTCTTTATATTTGGGTTGGGCTTATAAATAACAGTTGTGTCTTGTTTTTTGATTCATTTTGTAAATCTGTGTCTTTTACTTGGTGCAGTTAGACCATTGACATTCAAAGTGGTAAGTGATACAGTTGGATTAATATTTATCATATTTGTCAATGCTTTTGATTTGTTGTCCTTGTTCCTTCTTCCTATTTTCATCTTCCATTCATTTTCTGCCTTTTGTGATTCTCATTGAGCATTTTATATTTTTCCATCTCTCACATTCCTTAAAATATGAGTTATATATAATTTTATCTTTCTGTTGGTTTAACATTTTTATATCCTTAGTTTATTATAAGAAAAAACAATTTCTTGAAAATAGAAAAATTATTAAATAATATATGCCTATGCATATATCTTATGTATAAGTATATATGTGTACAGATATATGCACATGTGCATGTGTGTTTGTGTGTGTGTATATGTATATATATATACACATATATATATGAAGTGGATATCAGCAATAATGCAAAGGACAGGAGAAAGGAATTAGGATTATTTGTTATTATAAGATACAGTAACTGTGAACAATATAACTTTATTTGAAAGTAGCTTAGTTTAGTATTTTTTATAGTTTTTATATGATTTTGATTTTTTAACTTTATATCTTTAAATTTAGGTTTGTGGATACAGGTATGGTTTTGTTATATAGGTAACCTTGTGTAATGGAGGTTTATTGTACAGATCATTTTTTCACCCAGGTACTAAGCCTACTACCCAATATTTACTTTTTCTGCTCCTCTCCCTCCTTCTACCCTTCACTTACAAGTAGGCCCCAGTGACCTTTGTTCCGTTCTTTGTGTTCATGAGTTCTCATCATTTAGCTCCCACTTAAAAGTGAGAATATGTGATAATTTGGTATTCTGCTCCTGTGTTAGTTTGCTAAGGATAATAGCTTCTAGCTCCATTCATGTTCCTGTAAAAGACATGACTCTGTTTTTTTTCAGCTACATAGTATTCCATGATATATATGTACCACATTTTCTTTATCCATCCTGTCATTGATAAGCATTTAAGTTGATTCCATGTCTTTTTTCTTGTAAGTAGTGCTCCAGTGAACATTCATGTGAATGTGTCTTTTTGGAAGAATGATTTCTATTCCTCTGGGTGTATACCCTGTAATGGGATTGCTGAGTTGAATGGTAGTTCTGATTTTAGCTCTTTGAGGAAATGACATATTGCTTTCCACAATGGTTGAATGAACTTACACTCCTACCAACAGTGTGTAAGTGATCCTTTTTATCTGCAACCTCACCAGCATCTGTTATTTTGACTTTTTAGTAATAGCCATTCTGACTGGTATGAGATGGTATCTCATTGTGGTTTTGATTTGCGTTTCTGTAATGATCAATGATATTGAGCTTTTATTCATATGCTTGTTGGCCGCATGTATCTCCTGTTTGGAAATTGTCTGTTCTTATCCTTTGCTACTTTTCTTTTCTTTTCTTTTTTTTTTTTTTTGAGACCGGGTCTTGTTCTGTTGCCCAAGCTGGAGTGCAGTGGCGCGATCTCGGCTCACTGCAACCTCCGCCTCCCGGGTTCAAGCGATTCTCCTGTCCCCTCCCAAGTAGCTGGGACTACAGGCACCTGCCACCACACCTGGCTGATTTTTTGTATTTTTAGTAGAGACGAGGTTTCACCATGTTAGCCAGGATGGTCTCGATCTCCTGACCTTGTGATCCGCCCGCCTTGGCCTCCCAAAGTGCTGGGATTACAGGCGTGAGCCACCGCGCCCGGTGCTTTGCCTACTTTTTAATGCGGTTGTTTGTTTTTCTCTCGTAAATTTGTTTAAGTTTTTTATAGATGCTGGATATTATACTTCCATCAGATGCATAGTTTGCAAATATTTTCTCCCAGTCTATACTTTGTCTGTTCACTCTGATAGTTTCTTTTGCTGCGCAAAGCTGTTAAGTTTAATTGGATCACATTTGCCAATTTTTGCTTTTGTTGCAATTGCTTTCAGAGTTTTTGTTATGAAATCTTTGCCTATTCCTATATCCAGGATGGTATTGCCTAGGTTGTCTTCCAGGGTTTTTATAATTTAGGGTTTTACATTTAAGCCTTTAATCCATCTTGAGTTAATTTTTTATATGGTGTAAGGAAGGGGTCCAGTTTCAGTCTTCTACATATGGCTAGCCAGTTCTCCCAGCACTGTTTATGGAATAGAGAGTCTTTTCCCCATTGCTTGTTTTTGTCAGCTTTGTCAAAGGTCAGATGGTCATAGGCTCTCTATTCTGTTCAGCTGGTCTATGTGCCTGCTGTTGTACCAGCACCATGCTTTTTGGTTACTTTATCCTTGTAGTATAGTTTGAAGTCAGGTAACATGATGCCTCCAGCTTTGTTCTTTTTGTTTATGATTACCTTGGCTATTGCGGCTGTTTTTTGGTTCCATATGAATTTTAACACAGTTTTCTTCTAGTTCTGCGAAGAATGTCATTAGTAGTTTGGTAGGAATGGCATTTAGTCTGTAAACTTCTTTGGGCAGTGTGGTTAGTTTTAAATATAATATTTCCAACTGTAGAACAGTCTATTGCACAAAAAGCCTCTTACCTTCCTGGCTGTTGGCCATTGGCTAAATAAAGTGCCTTGCCAAGGGGGCTTCTGTCACATGGCTTCATAAAATCCATCGAGAGAGACATTTCTAGCAAGACCAAAATCATAATCATATATAAGAATCCAAGTGACACTTCTATACCTTTGCACTATTCTATTGTTTCAAAGCAAGTCACAATTCCTGCTTAGACTCACTTGGATGGGTTTACAGTCGAAGGTCGTGTATATGAGAAGGTGGGGATAAATGGGCACCAACTTAGAGTCTACCTGACACATCAGGTATTCTCCTATATGAAACAGTTTCCTGGCCTTCACTTCTTTTTCATGACCTTGACCCTTTTGAAAGGTACCAGTCAGGTATTTAATAGGATGTCACACGATATGGTGTTAGCTGATATTTTCTCATGATTAAACTAGGAATATTAATGAATGAAATAACTTCACTTAAATCTGAAGACAAAAAAGCCCTAAAGAATATAGTATTCAGAAATACTCAAAGAGGAAAAACTATTTTTAAAGTATGGAATGACAATTCACAATATAGTTAAGTTCAGTGCTTAAGGAAAACTGAGAAATTAAGGAGATGCACAAAGGAGGTATCAACAATATTGCTAATCATTGGTTTTTTTTAAGCTTGGGAGTGACATTAACAACAACAACAACAACAAAAAAAAAAAAACAAGTTTTAAAGAATGGTTTTCCAAAGCCGGGCACAGTGGCTCACACCTATAATCCCAGCACTTTAGGAGACTGAGGCGGGCAGATCACCTTAGGTCAGGAGTTCAAGACCAACATGGCAAAACCCTGTCTCTAATAAAAATACAAAAAATTAGCCTGGCACGGTGGTGGACGATTGTAATCCCAGCTACTTGGGAGGCTGAGACAGCAGAATCGCTTGACCCCAGGAGGCGGAGGTTCCAGTAAGCCGAGATCATGCCACTGCACTCCAGCCTGGGCAACAGAGGGAGACTCTGTCTCAGAAAAAAAACAAAAAAGAAAAAACAAAAACCAACAAAAAAATGTTCTATGGTTTTAAGAATAGTTGCAAATCTAGTATAGAGTTTCCATTTACTCCATGCACAGTGTCCTTTATTATTAGTCTCATAGTGTGAAACATTTGTCAAAATTAAGCAACCAATATCATGTATTGTCACTGAGTACTATACATACTTTATTCGGATTTTTTAGTTTTTGCTTAATCTTAAGTTTATGTTTTAGGATCTCTTCTAGGATATGTCATCACATTTAGATATTATTGCTTCATAGGCTCCATTGAATGTGATAGTTTCTAAGAGTTTCCTTGTTTTTGATGCCGTTGATGTTTCTAATTTGGGATTTCTCTGATGTTTCTCTCATGATGAGACTGGACTTCTGGGCTTAAGGGAGGAAGAATACAGATGAAAAGTACTATTCCTATCACATAATATCCAGGGCACAAGCTGTCAACAGGCTCTATCACTGTTGATGTTAATTTGATCACCTGGATAAAAATCTTTTAGTTCTAAAAATCTCTTCTGTAAAATTATTCTTTTTCTCCCTTTTTATGTTGTGTGTATTAAAAAAGTCACTATATACAATGCACACTCAATACTGGGAGAATCATACACCACTGCTTTTTCTTTGAAATAAATTTGTTAAAATTTCAATGGCTTTGGGATTACATGTAGTTTTTGGTTACATGCATGAATTGTATGGTGGTGAAGTCTGGGGCTTTTAGTGTACCTGTCACATCAAAAGTGTACATTTTACCTCATAGGTAATTTTTTATCCCTCACTCACCTCCAACCCTCCTCCTTTCAGAATCTTTAATGTCCATGATCCCCCTCTGCATGCTCCTGCATATCCATTGCTTACCCCAAACTTGTAAGTGAGAACATGTGGTATTTGGTTTTCTGCTCCTGAGTTACTTCAATTATGATAATGGCCAAATTGCTTTGAAAAACACTATTTTGTTCTTTTCTATGGCTGAGTAGTATTCTGTAATACACACACACACACACACACACACACACATTTTCTTTATCCACTAATTGGTTGATGGGCACTTAGATTGATTTCATATTTTTGCAGTTGTGAATTGTGCTGTGATAAACCTAGAAGTGTAAGTGTCTTTTTGATAGAATGACTGTGTGTGTGTGTGTGTGTGTGTGTGTGTGTGTGTGTGTGTGAGAGAGAGAGAGAGAGAGAGAGAGAGAGAGAGAGAGAGAGAGAGAGAGAGACAGGGTCTCACTTTGTCCTACAGGCTGGAATGCAGTGGACCAATCTCATCTCACTGCAACCTCTGCCTCCTGGATTCAAGGAATTCTTGTGCCTCAGCCGCTGGAGGAGCTGGGACTGCAGGCATGACACACCTGGTTAATTTTTGTATTTTTAGTAGAGATGGGATTTTGCCTTGTTGGCCAGGCTGGTCTGGAACTCCTGCCCTCAAGTGATCCATCTGCCTCTGCCTCCCAAAGTACTGGAATTACAGCTGTGAGCCTCTGCACCTGGCTGAAACTGCCTTTGCAAAATTATGACTGAGACAGTGAAAGAGATCTAACCTAACCGACTCCATCTTGCTTCTAACCTTTTAAGCAGTCCTTGTTCCTTCCTGGGCAAAGTTAAACTAACTTTGGGAGGAACTTACTTTACAGCTTATAGTTTAAAACAAAGACAGTAACAGTACTTTCTCAAAACAAACCTCTTTCTTACCTGGAGACTAGACTGCGTTTGTAGGACTAAGAAATTAGCCACATGATTAGAAATTATGGCTTAGGAGTCATGCAGCTGGAGGCTACAAGATTCTGACCCTCCCTAAACTGCTCCAAAGATCAGTGCTTGAGGTATTTTGCAGCCCCTGCACTTGATGGATCAGCTGGCACAACCCTGGTGGATAAACTGCCTGATCTGATCTTGTGGCCTCCACCTAGGAACTGAGTCAGCATACGAGGACAGCTTGGACTCCCTGTGATTCCATCTCTGATCTGACCAATCAGAACTCCCAACTCACTGGCCTTCCCCCACCCACCAAATTATCCTTTAAAACACTGATACCTGAATGTCCTGGGAGACTGATTTGAGTAATAATAAAACTCCTCCAGTCTCCTACACAGTTGGCTTTCTGTGAATTACTCTTTCTCTATTGCAATTCTCCTGTCTTGATAAATCCACTCTTTTAGGCAGCAGGCAAGGTGAATCCATTGGGTGGTTATACTGTATGTCATTTTCAGCATAGACTGTCTTCTTGAACATACATTTATTTTGTCCCATCCCAACCCCCAAAGGATGTGGCTAGGAAAAGAAGAAAAAAAAAAAGGTCCCAACATCTTTTCTTTTTCCTTCTGGATCTCCTTTCCGGAAGCAGGGCGTCAGTGACAGGAACATTTTGACCCCAGCTCTTAGTCCCTCTTAGGTCTGTGGAAGCCTCAGAAGGCGTGGCCAGGCCAGGGCATCCTGGCTGAGCACAGGGTTTGGCACCTCCTCCCTCCCTGGCACTATGCAGACAACTCTGAGTACTGAAAGATGAAACTAACACACCTCAAGGAAGGATACGTACCTCGATGCATGCCACAGAGACACACTTCCAGGATCTTTTTAAGACCTTACCCATGTTTTGCAAGGAAAAGCAACACAGAACTGAAGTGCCTTCAGTTATTTCAGGTGGGGCTGTCTTGTACAGGGCAGTCAGGGAGAGAGACTGGAAGGTAAGGGGAGGGGACAGCCAGTCCTTCCAGTTAGCAAAGTTCAGGCTCACTGACTGCTTCTAAGTCACTGCTCACTCACTGCTTCTTAGATTAGAATACCCTGGGAATCAGCTACAATAACCTCAGACAAGGAACCATAAAAACCTGAAATGCACATTGGGTGCCAGCCAACAATGAAGCTTGGCTGCCAAGACAAAAGTTGCTCTTTCTCTTCCTGCTACCTTGGATGTTCCAGGTTGTAATTTGCAAATGTATTGCCTGGCCCTTAAGGGTTGGCAGCTAACGATTGGTTGCAGAAGGAGCCTGGCCTAGGAGTGAGAGAGATGCCAGCACAAGAGAAACCCACTGACTATGAGCCAGGAAGTGGGCTGTCACCAGACACCAAACCTGCTGGCGCCTTGATCTGGGACCTCCCAGTCTCCAGACTCCTCAGGGCCACTGTCATCTTGTGAAGCAATCACCACATGTTCCCATCACAGCTGATGGTGGCAATTAACCCATGCAGAGTACTGAAATGAGCCAGGCTCTGTCTGCCCTCTCATGTGTAGTCACCCAGTTAATCCTGGCAGCAGTCCTGGGTTCTCTGCATTTCCAGAGTGCAAGTCCTCCAGTAACCACTGAAATGCTTTCTCAGGAGTTGTTGTCAACTCCTTAAAAACATTTCTCCTTACTTGGCACAGAGCACAGTGACACCAGAAACAGGCTTCCCTGGACCCCAACCCTGGCAGTGGCCATGTCACTCAGGCCCAGGAAGAAGGCAGGCTCTGGTCTCCCGCTGGGCAGCAACACCTAACTTAACCCAGATTTCTCACTTGGGTGAACTCTTGGATCACCATGCCCAGTCTGACGGAGTCTGCAGCAGATGCAATAAGGGCTTTGGGGCCTGGAAGTGGAGCTCATCCAGGTGCCAAGCCCGAGATTGGGCACCCCTCCTTCACACCATCTGTGGGGACTTCCTCCCTTCCCCGGGGGAACGCCACTGAGAACCGACCTGACGGTGCCAAGAGGGCGAATTTCCCCCAAGTCCTCTGAAATATGTTGTCATGATTTGTAACAGGAAGCAGAGTGAGGAGCACAAAGTGCTTCCAGAGACTAGGTGATGGGCCACATCCCTGGCCGATGTGTTGAGCCCCTGAACCAAAGTCTCTGCGACCACCACCTTTGCCTGTCTGCCCCAGGTTTCTAAGCATGTGCTCCGCAGACTCTTGTGCCCCAGGCCACCAGCCACTCTTGCCTGTACTCCCCCAGCCCCAGCGGAGCTGCCACAGGCGCCTTCTGCTCACCAGGTGGAATTTACCTTTTATCCTGTGCAGCAGGCTGCAGAACGCGCCCCTCCGCTCCCTCCATGTGGGACTGCAAGGGGTCGGGTCCACCACCGAGGCTGCCTTTATGGAGAACCCTGCACTTGTCCCGAGCCTGAAACCCCCGAATTGCAGGGTCCAGGAAGACTGGAGGTGGCGCCTGATAGAATGACTTCCTTTCATTTGGGTCCATGCCCAGTGGTGGGATTGCTAGATTGAATGGTAGCTCTGCTTTTAAAAGTTCATTGAGAAATCTCCATACTGTTTACCATATAGGTTGTACTTATTTACATTCCCACCAAGGGTGTCTAAGCATTCTCTTTTCACTTCATCCACACCAATATCTATCATTTATTGACTTTTTCATAACGGTCCTTCTGACTAGGGTAAGATTGGTATCGCATTGTGGTGTTAATTTGCATTTCCTGATGATTAGTGATGTTGAGCATTTTTTTTTCATATGTTTGCTGGCCATCTGTGTATCTTCTTTTGCCTGTTCATGTCATCTCCCCACTTTTTAATGGGGTTATTTATTTTTTTCTTGCTGATTTGTTTGTGTTTCTTGTAGATTCTGAATTAGTCCTTTGTTGGATGGACAGTTTCCAAATATTTTCTCCCATTCTGTAGGTTGTTTCTTTACTCTGTCGATTATTTCTTTTGCTGTGCAGAAGCTTTTCAGTTTCGCTAAGTCCCATTTATTTGTTTTTGTTTATGTTGTAGTTGCTTTCAGGGTCTTAGTCAAACATTCTTTGCCTAGGCCAATGTCCAGAAGATTTTTTCCTAGTTTTTCTTCTAGAATCTTTATAGTTTCGTGATTTACATTTAAGTCTTTAATCCATCTTGAGTTAATTTTTATATATGGTGACAGATAAGGATCCAGTTTCATTCTTCTGCATGTGGCTATCTTATTTCCCAGCACGTTTTATTGAATGGGGTGTTCATTCCTCAGTGTATGTTTTTGTCTGTTCTGTTGAAAATCAGTTAATCGTAAGTATTTGGCTTCATTTCTGGGGTCTCTGTTCTGTTCCTCTGGTCTGTATGTCTACATTTATACCAGTATCATGTTAGTGTGCCAGCAGATGTTGTAATGGACTGTGTTGGTTGACCGTGGGCCAGAAGGTGGCACTTGCAGGAGAGAGCCAGCTGCAGTCACGGTAGTGGGATTTATGCTTAACCTTTGTTACCCAGGGGAAGTAGTCAGCTGATGGGAAGTGACATGGAACTCTGAAAAGTCCCTGTTCTGCTACTAGGACAGGTAGAGGGGCAAAGCCGAGTGTGGGCTGGGTCAGGAAAGTCCATACTCTGCCTCTCCAAGTGTGGGTGTAAGCAGCAGCCACAATGGGGATCAGTGGACAGTTCCCTGACCACTGGGATAGTGTTCCAGGGAGGAGAACACCCTCTGCCACATGAGAGTCTGTACATGGAGAGAGGGGTAGCAAGAGGCAGGTCAATTCCCACAACCTTGACACAGAAGGTCTTACACATGCAGACTTCTGCTGGCAAACACCCACAATAGCCAGCTAAGTCTCAGGCAGTCTAGGCTGAGAACACAAACCTGCCCCAGGCTGCAAGACTTCCCACTGGAGACTGAAACTGAAACGGTAGCTCTGAGGCCACACCCCTTGATTTGACATGTGAAGCAGCACTACCCAACTCCCATGACCCTGGCACAAGAAAGCTTCCTGCATGCCCCTTGGTTCAGGCCTTAAGGGGTTCATCCTCTGCTCAATATTAGATCAAATACAAATCTTAGTTGGTCAGCTTCTCCCTCAGTTGGGAGCTTCTTCCAGTGCATGACTGCTGCCTGGGTTACTTCGCTGATTTCTGCAAGATCTTCTGTGAGTTAGGGTCAGGAATAGCTTCCTTCTGTCCCTGCTGGGATCTGGGAGTGCACACGCAGCACACCCAGGTGCCACTCCTTCTTTCATGGTCCCCTCCTCTCTAAGTCAGCTCCAGTGCTGGGCAGGGTTAAGGTGCTTCCCTGTGACCTCGATTGCCTGGTACCCCAGTGGGAATGTATCACAGAGTCTCCCCCTTTTGCACTCTGAAGGCTCAGTTGTCCATCTGACACATGGTGCAAGTTGCTGCCTGCTGCTCCTTTCAAAGTATCCAAAGGTTCTTTCACTTCTTCTGCTGAGTTCCTGTGATTGTTGGATACAAATTCACAGTGTGAATCTCTAGACACTATTTTGCTCTTTCTAAGCAGGTGAGGCACACTAACAAAGTCTCCAATCTGCCATCTTGAAAAAAAAAAAACAAACAAAACAAAAAATGCTCCACTTTATGAGCAGAATGTTTACCAAAAGTTATTTGGACCTTTCATCCTGAAAGTGTCTATTCTCCTCCAATAATCGTTATATTTATGCAGTCATTTTTGTCAGTATGCAAACATGGATATTTGTTTTACTCTTTCCTTCTACTACTTCATTTATTTGTTTAAATTGTTGCAGTGTTGGCTATTGGAAGGTCTTTCAGTTGGATCGTTTGTCATTTTGAAACACTACCATAATGAAGCTTCGCTGTTGTTATGTGGTTGGTTAGTTGTTTGCACTGTTGTTTGGCATTTTATTTTTTCTGGCACTACTAGGTACTTAAGCTAATTGTGTGGATTTCCTAACAAGCCTGGTATTAACCACTTTTTTTTTCACAGAGACCTAGTTCTTTATATTGGAAAATTGAATTAGAAATGGAGATCTGGGCCCTTGACATATTCATTGCTCCTGGGGCATCTGTTGATTTGTGATTTTGTGTGGTGACAGAGCAAATACATCTGTGTATGCTGATTCACACACACACACACAGAGACACACGCACACATAAATATTTTATCATGTATCTGTATCTTTAAGTTAAATATGAATTCCTAATAATCCTCCAGCACCCCATGATCTAATCCAGTACCATGTGAATCAGTGCACCTATTCCCGCTTACTTGTATATAGCCTACCACACTAACAGTGATAAAGATGCTTCTGTTATTTAATCACATAATCCGGAAGACTTGTGTAAGTGGTTTCAGAATTAGAAATGTATATGGCCATGAGAAAGAACTTTACCAACTAAAGTTTTTAGGGATAAATCTTTACCCTTTAGACTCAGAATATCCACTTACTTGCTATGTTCCTTGGGTCAGCTGCTTTCCCCCCTCCATTCAGTGAGGTTATTTCACTGATGTGTTATTTAATTCTATTATGTGTATAGCCCCATGCTATCTGCTACCTACTGTAGAAGGTTTTCAATTTGTATATTTTAAGTTCATTTTTTGTATTATAAAGTTATTTAGGATTTGGAAAATATAATCATGTATTTATCATTACAGTATGATGCCAGAATAATTTCACTGCCTAGAGCAAATCTGCTGTACCTCACCAGTTTGACCTGCCTCTTTTCCAAGCTCCCAGTAAATACCAAACATTTTATTATCTCTCTACTTTTTCACATTGCAGAGTGTCACATGACCAAAATCACACAAAGTATTTTGCCTTTTTAAATTTACTTTTTTTTGCAATATACCCTTTAGATTTGTGAAGTGTGTCTCATGGTTGTTTAGAGTTGCATTTTCCTAATGACAAAAGGCTTAGGCCTCATATCATGTGCTTACTAGACATGACTATAGTATCTTTGGATACATGTCTATTCAGATAGTTCACCAATTTGATTGTGATATTTGCCTTTTTATTTTGAGTTGTAAAATATTTTATATATTGTGGCTAATAGATTCTTTTCTGCTATGTGATTGTGAAGATTTTCTTCTATTCTTTGCATTATCTTTTTAATTTTAATTATGTACTTTGAGTCTCAGAAGATTTTAATTCTCACAAAGTTAAATATATTCATTTTTTTATTTCCTTTTCTTCGGCTTTAAGTATCATAACTTAGAAATTATAGGAGTTATTGTTTAAGCTAAGACCCAAATTATGTATTTCTGTATTATCTTCTAAGGGTTTGGTCTATTTAGCTCTTACATTTGGATATATGATTAATTTGAGCCAATTATGTATAAGATGTGAGTGAGAAGTTCAACTTGCTTGTGGATATTCAATTGTCCTAGCAACATTTGTTACAAATATATTTTTCCGTATTGAATTGGCTTGGCAACCTTATAAAATCATTTGACTATAAAGGTAAAGATTAATTTTTGGACATTCAGTTCTACTATATTCCTTTGATCTGTATGTCCAAGTTTATGCTATTATTGAGCCTTTAAATTAAATTATGATGATACTGAGTTTTTCATGGATGCCCTTTGAAATAAAGAAACTTTTCTTATAGGCTTAATTTGTTGTATACTGTTATCAGAAATGGATTTTGGATTTGTCAGGTGCCTTTCCTGCATCTTTTGAGATGATCATATGGCTTTTGTTTTTTATTTTATTCTTATAGGTCATGACACTAATTATTTTATATGTTGAACCAAATTTGCATTTCTGCGACAAATACCCTTTTTGATGGTGTATAATTCTTTTTACATTTGCTGATTTGTATTGCTAGCATTTTATTGAAGACATTTACCCTTTATTTATAAAACATATTGGCCTTAATTTTTCTTTCGTGAAATGTCTTGCTTTAGTTGTAATGTCAGTGTAAACTAACTAATAGTATACATCAGGAAGTGATATCTTCTCCACTTTTACTGTTAAGTTTTTATGAAGAGTTTGTGATAGATATTTATTAATTATTTTCAGGTTTGGAATAGTTCACCAGTGAAGTCATCTCAACCAGCACAGGGCCTTGACTCCTAACAACAATCACACGAACTTGGAAGAGGAGCCTTCCCCACCTGAACCTTCACTTGAGACCTCGTCCTTGGCCATCCTCTACATCTGGATTCATGATACAGAGAAACTGTGAGTAAGAGCCACTTAGTGTGTGACAGTTTATTATTCAGCAATAAATAATACACCTGACAGTCAATGCAATGTGGTATCCTGGACAGAAAAATGACATTTTTTACTTAAAAGCCTAGTAAAATATGGAAAAAGCCTATACTTCAATAAATAGTTTTGTGCCACCTATTTTTTAGGGCTCATGGTTACATAATCTATTACATTGCATGTAATTCAAAGATATATAAAGCTTTCTGTAGTATCTTTGCATATTTCTGTGTATTTAAAATTATTTCAAAGAAAAAATGTGTTTGAAAAAAGTATAAAATGTGATATGAAAATAATTCCAAAGCACAAACAGAATACCTTCAGCTCAGGAGATGAAAGGGCACATAGAGAGAGAATAGCAAAGCATACTTCCATATCAATTTACCAACTCCAACACAGGTACACTTGCTTCAGGCAGATCCCCCTCAAGTTCCAGAGACTAATCCTCTTTCATCTTCTTCATCATATTCTGCATTTTTCAGTCACCAGTTTTAGCATCTGGTGCTAATTATGTAACCACTTTTTGAAAGACAGATGCCTGTTACTTGCATGTCTCAAAACGGCCCATTTTCAGATATTATTTAGCAGGACTCCAACAAACAGACCAGAATTTATTCAGAGCTTGCAGTGAGGAGTGTCTTAATGCCAACACGACTATGTTGACAACACATCCTCTTGTGAGTGAAGCATTCATACAGAATCAGTCGCTGAAACTCAATAACATATGCCTACTGTACAAGAAGGGTACTAATCAATATAATGCTCTAAAATTATTCTGGGGACATAGGG
This sequence comes from Homo sapiens, assembly GCF_000001405.40. NCBI lineage: Eukaryota > Metazoa > Chordata > Mammalia > Primates > Hominidae > Homo > Homo sapiens. The sequence continues at coordinate 5,389,756 of NW_021160017.1, forward strand.
GACATGTGTCCAAGATTTATGAGATGTGAGCAACCAAGAGAGCGTGAACACTGATATTTTACAAGTGCTCCAAATCAGTAGATGGGCATTTGATTTTCCAGTTAGGGCTGCAGTCAGGGTCTCTTGGCTTCAATACTGTACACGGAGAATTTCATTGACAGATCTTGGTTAAAATAACAAAAATAATAACAACCCCTCATCTATGATATTGCAGCCTGGCACCATTTAACTTAATTTTACTGCATATAAATAGCAACCCTATACTCCATGCAAACTAGAATGGCAGTGGAATTGATGTAGTGAAGAAAGTGACAAATTATTTTCCAAATATAAAGCAAACTTAAGGTTTTATAGGGAAACAAATGGAGGTAAGAATATTTTTATCCTTATTTTTCTGATAATTCTGTTCTGCTCTTATAAATAGAAAGCTCCACTTTCATTATTTCATAATGTAGTGAGTTTATCAGCCACATGTATGAAAATTGCATAGTAAAAGTAGGTTTGTGTCCACTTGGTTGGTTCATTCGACTTATATACATCATTTACTTTATCTCAAATGGTTATTATAAGATAAAATGGTTATTTTGAGATAAAACCAAAGCCTTGGTTTTTGTACAACATGTAAAGGCGTCAGTCTTTGTGCAATATTAAATCTTCATTCAAGTAACTTTTCTTTGTGTCTTTGCCTTTGTTTCTGCGTTGCTCCTGTACTTCTGTGAACCATATTTCAGTGAGTAATGATGACAATAGCAGTCCAGTGTGCATGGATGCTGACGTGGATGCTGTCTCCCATTCTTACCACTGGATGGGAAGAAATGATAGATGCAATCCAGCCATTGTGTTCTCGACTCTCAGTTCCATCTTCTCAACTGACATTGTCTTCCAAAGTCCGTGCCACACCACAGCCTGGAACATCTCCCAAAGTGGTATCTTGATGCAATGGTAGAGCTCATGTCACAGTATTGTATGTCTCAGGTATCGCTGTCCTTCACTGTTTGATATAATCTCTCTTACAAACCATTGTTCCATACACTTTGCCCCTTTTGTGTTTGTTTATACATGTGGTATGGCATGTCTAAACCTCACAGTGAGGATATTAGAATAGGGTTCTGCATATTTAGAGGTGTGGATCATTGGGAAACATCTTAGAACCTACCTGCCCCATCAGGTCCTGTCTAATCTGTATCAGTTTCTGGGTCTTCACTTATTTTTTTGCCCTTGATCTTAGTGAAAAGAACTTGTCAGGTGTTCCATAGGATGTATCACAATATGGATTTGTTATTTTTTTATAATTTGAGTAAGATTAAACATTAATTTATACACGTATTTATCTAATGTTGAAGACAAAAAATACCTGAACAATATATTATTTAGAAATACAAATTTAGAAAATAATAATGAAGAACGAGGCTTGGCACAGTGGCTCATGCCTGTAATCCCAGCAATTTGGGAAGCTCAGGTGGGTGGATCACTTGAGGCCAGGAGTTTGAGCCCAGCCTAAGTAACATGGCGAAACCCCATCTCTACTAAAAATACAGAAATTAGCTGGGTGTGGTGGTGCATGCCTGAATGTTTCATATATTCTGGATAATAGTCTCCTAACAGTTATATGACTTGAGAATATCTTCTTCCATTATTTCAGTTGTCTTGATGGTGTACTTTGCATCTTAAGAGGTATTGATCCACATGAAGTTCAATGTATCTATTTTTTTTTCTGTCACTTGTACTTTTGTGTCACATGTTAGAATCCATTGTTTCATGTAAGGCCATGAAAATCTATTTTTATGTTCTCTTCTGTGGGATTTTTAGTTTTAGCTCTTATATTTAGCCACATATTCTATTTTGAGTCAAATACATATATGGTGCAGGAAACAGTTTAACTTGCATGTGGATATCCCTTTCTCCCAGCAACATTTGCTGAAAAACTACTTTCTCATCTTGAATTAATTTTTCAACCTTGAAAATAAGTTTGCCCTATATATAAAGATTGATTTTGGGGTGCTCAACTCTATTCGGTTGGCTTATATGTCTTTCCTCATGTTATGTGAGTTTTCCATGGATGCTCTTTGTAGGTTTAGAAAGTTTTCTTCTATGCCTAACTTTCCCAGAGCTCTTATCATGAATGGGTTTGGAATTTGTCAAATGCCTATTCTGTGTCTTTAGAGGTGACCATGAGTCTTTTTAAAAAATTCTATTAGTATATTTTATAACACCAGTTGTTTTTGTATGTTTAACCAGACTTACATTGCAGGGATAAATAGTTTTGCTCCTAATGTATACTCCTTTTTATATATTACTAGTTAATTTTGATAGTATTTCCTTGATACTTTTTACCTGTTTCACACTGGTCTGTAATTTTCTTTTCTTGAAATGTCTTTGTCTAGCTGTGGTGTCAGGGAACACTGGATTCATACATTGCATTAGGAAAAGTTCTCTACTTGTTTGTTTTTATTGATTGTTATTAATTCCCAAAAAGGTTTGAATAACTCACCAGTGAAGTCATCTTGACCTGGACAGAAATTGAATCCTCCCGAGAATCCCAGGAGCTGGGTAGGTGATCCTTCCCCAGATGAGCCTTCCCTTGAAATCTCTGCCAGGCATCTGACCCAGAGAAACTGTAAGTACTATGTAGGGCTGGGTTGGAAAGTCTAAACTATGTAGTAATATGTTATACAACAATCGGTCAGTTATATGCCTGACAGTAAATGTAATGTGGTATCTTGGATTAGATCCTAGAACAGAAAAATGACACTAGTGGAAAAGCTGGTAAAATATGAAGAAAATCTTTTCCAGTTAATAGTTTTGTACCACTGTCAATTTCTGAGTTTTCATAAATATGCTATGGTGATATAAGGTGTTAACATTTCAGAAAGCTGTAGGATATATGAAACTCTATTATCTTTACTACTTTCTGTAAAACTAAAACTATGATAAAATAAAAATATTTCTTAAAATGTAATATTCAGGTACCAGAAAATAAAACAACAATAACAAAGACAGATTTAAACCACAATAAAACCACAGATCAGAGGACAAATGGAGATATAGGGAGACTATGGCAAAGTAGCTTGCCTTATTATCCCCCATTCCTACACAGGGCACCTGCTTCAGAAAGACACCATCAAGCTCCAGGGACACTCATCCACTTTCCTCTTTCCCATCACACTTCCCATTACCCAGTTATCAATTCCTGTGTTCATAACCACTTTTTCAAGGAAAGACGCCTTTCTCACATATGTTAGAAGGCCCTGTTTTCAGGCACTTTCTGTCAGTGTCTTTGTAGGATCTCACTATAAAGACATTTTAGAAGACATGACTTCCAGATATTAGAAGAAAAGATTGAGAAACACCAGTGATGGTGAACATAAATAGTTCTGAATTAAGAGTGTTTTCTTAGTACAGGGATTCCTTTTATTCCCCAAGTTTTAAAGGAAGAGGATGCCTTAAGCCTTTGAGAAAATACTGTAATAATTCAGTTTTCTTCATCATGCAGACTCCATTATGGATTTATGGGACCACACATTCTCTTGACACTCACATCATGGATCTATATTGTCCTGTGGTATATTAATCTGTTCTCATGTTGCTGATAAAGACTTACCTAAGACTGGGTAATTTATAAAGGAAAGAGGTTTAACTGGCTCACAGTTGCACATGGCTGGGGAGGCCTCACAATCATGGCAGAAGGGAAATGAGGAGCAAAGTCACATCCTACATAGTGGCAGACAAGAAAACTTGTGCAGGGGAACTCCCATTTATAAAACCATCAAATCTTGTGAGACTTATTTACTACCATGAGAATAGTATGAGGGAAACTGCCCCCATGATTCAGTTTTGTCCACCTGGCCCTGCCCTTGACACATGGGGATTGTTACAATTCAAGGTGAGATTTGGGTGGAGACACAGCCAAACCATTTCAAGTGATAAACCCAAAAGCCACAGAATAGACATTATCATGGAGGAAAGTTAACTAGATATGAAAAAAGTTTATAATCATGGAGTTGTAGGTTCATTCCTGCTCAAAAAGACGTGGAAATGAACCTTTAGACAGACATCAGATATATGAAGGTGAGGCATGTTAGTAATACAGATTGTGTTGTGCAGAGGTGGAAATAGCCTAATAGAAAAAAGGAAAGAAAGTATAACGTACCCCAGCCCACCATGTAGTGATCTAAGAGATGGACAGAGGCCGAGTGCTGACTGTGCATATGTGCGGGCTAAACAAAGATCCCCACGGCAGGGAGGACTGTTCCCCTTCCCCAACACAGCTCCTTGTTCACAGGCCACACCACTTTACAGAGGAACACCAGGGATGTTCCAGGAACCATGCCCACAAAGCTTACTAAGCCATGGGACTGCATACTACACTCCCAAGGACATCCACAAAGTCAAGACTCTTGCTTTTTCAGACCATGATCATGGACTGCATTCTCCATACCATGTTCATATCTTCAGTGGGAAAACAAACTCCTGAGTCCTGGAGACCTAGAATGAGAGACACAGCTGACCTTGACCGTATTTCTCACTTCTGAGAAGATTGTAGCAGTAATTCAGGTGCTATTATTTGGGGCATTTATAATTCAGTAAACCTTCTTACCCCTCTAATCTTACAATTCACCCCATAGGAAAGGATAGTTTCATTTAAATTGGCAATCTTAAGTCATGGAGGTTTGCTCTTTTTATTTCATTATAACAGGAGTTTCTGTAAGGTAAGTGACTTGTACAATCCCGTTTTCCTCTTTATTTCAATGCATACATATGGTCTATTATGATGTGTACTGTTAAGATCATCCATGACCAAATTCTTCAGGAAAAAAAAATCACCAAGTGGCAGGCCATGAAGGAGACAGAAGTAGATTTGTAGAAGGACAGACTCATCTCTAGGTGGCAAGAGGGTTGAGGAGCTCTGAGTGCTCAGGTTTAAGACTGGAAAAGTGATTAGACATGAAACTCTGCTACCATAATGTCCCAGGCACAGAGGACACAGTGCTGAGCACTAAGCTCCTAAACATTACCATGAGTCTGGATTGGCTGAATCTGGATTGGCCACCAGAATTCTCAGAAAGATGCCATTGAAAACACCCCATCATCTGACCACATCCTTAGGCAAGAACCCAGTGCTGTCTCTGCCCTCTAGTCTGAATACTGAATCAAGTTTAAAGGGTGCATGACTCCTACACTTGAGATTAGGGCTTCTTGTTCACTGAATTGAGCCCTAGTAGAAGCTGAAACTCTCGGTACAAATATGCTCAACATTCTAAATTATAAATTATAAGAGTTTCCTCTTCATTCAGTACACTATTTGGGGAACATCAAAGCCTGTTTCATTTTCTAAGTATCGACAAGCGGGGCTGACAAGAGTAACAAGTGGTCAGAGCAAGGCATTTCGTGAAAACAGCAATGCACAGGTGTCTGCAGTCCCTGCTTACAGTGAGATTCACATGACCATCGTTCATGGGATACGAAGGATAAAAGGGGAGGGAGAAAAAAATATGTAGTTGATCTGGATGAAGAATCGGATTTGAAAGCAACTTAGAATAATCTCTGCTTATATTTCTAAGATTAAGGCAAAAAGTCTCAAGATACAGGATTTTCTGTCTTCAGAGAGCTACACTCCGCTGCAAACTTTCAAGTAACACTTCACCATTTCTATCTTCCTTCTCCATGGGATCTTTGAGCCATAATTTATAAAATCACCTCTACATCTCTTGTATTTTTGTTATGTTTAATAACCACTTGAGGTCTCTCTAGGGACAGTGACTATAAATTATCACCCTGCCCAACAGGACTTCAGGAAACTGTGTCCTGGATGTTTACAGTGTGCCTTTCATGGGATACTTATTTATCCTGGTGGATACCCCAAAGCATAAGTGTACAATCTTTGACCCAGCATCCTTCTCACAGGATATTTGTTTATACCGTCAGACACCCTTGTTGCACTTGTCGGACCTGTGTCCACTCCATTCCCACCAAGGTAGCCACTATCTAGGAGAGCTCTGAGTTCGAAAACAGTTGAGTTCACATGTGTTGCTCGTGTGAGACACAGAGGAGGCAACTCAACAAAGCACAGGTATTTCTTGCAGTTGGGGATCGTTGGGTACCATTGCAGGGTCTAACTGACACATTAGGTCTTCTCCAATCTGCAAGTTCATAGTCTTCACTTCTTTTTCTTGACCTTGACCCTGTTGAAGTGTACAGGTCAGATATTTTGTAAGATGTCCCACAATATGGATTTGTCTCATGATTTCTCATGATTAAACTAGGGACATGTATACATTAAACACATGTCATCTAAGTTTGAAGACAAGAAAAACTAAACATTATGGATATTAGAAATATAAACATAGAGATAAATATAACAAACACAAATTAGAGGATAAATAAATTCACAGTAATAGCGACCTTCAGTGATTAAGGAAGGTGATGAAGCTAAGGAGATCCATGAATGGCCATCAACATATTGCTCATGTTCTATTTTATAAGATCAGCAGTGACTTTAAATAAAAAGAAACTTTATACATTTAAGAATCATTTAGGTTTTACAGAATTGTTTTAAATACAGTACATAGACTTTCCATATTTCCCACTACAGATGCTCTTTTTATTAACTTCTTAATTTAGGACATTTGTCACAATTAACCAATTTTAAACAGTATCATTATCCACTCTTCATAGTTTATTCACATTTTCTTAGTTTTCACTTAATGTCTAATTTCTATTCCAGGATCCCATCCAGGATACCTCAGCACAGTTAGGTATCATGTCTTCTTAGACTTCTCTGACTGTTGCAGTTTCTTAGAGTTTCCTAGTTTTTGATGACATTGACATTCCTAATGTGGGATTTCTCTGAGGTTTTTTTCATGTTAAGACTAGATGTGTGGGTTTAGGAGAGGAAGATGACAGAGGAAAGGTGCCATTCTCCTCACATCATACCAAGGGCACAGGCTCTCAACAGGCTTTATCATTGTTAATGTTAATTTGATCACCTAGATGAGGTTGTTTTTATCAAATTATCAAACACTGTGAAATTATTATTATTTTTCCCTTTCCCCATAGAATGTTTCCAAACAAAGTCACTAAAACAACACGCATTCAAGAAGTGGGGGTCATGGGCCAAGCACGATGGCTCACGCCTGTACTCCCAGCACTGTTGGAGGCTGAGGCAGGCAGATCACCTGAGTTCAGGAGTTTGAGACCAGCCTGGCCAACATGGCGAAACCTTGTCTCTACTAAAAATACAAAGATTAGCTAGGCACAGTGCTCGTGCCTGTACTCCCAGCTACTCGGGAGGCTGAGGCAGGAGAATCACTTGGACCTGGGAGGCAGAGGTTGCAGTGAGCTGAGATCACACCACTGCCCTGCAGCCTGGGCAACAGAGCGAGACTCCAGATTCCATCTCAAAAAAAAAAAAGTGGGTATTCATGATCTACCTTCTTATTGGCAGAATGTCTACAAATATATTTGAACCCTCAACCATAAACATGTGTCTATTCCATTACATATTTATTCATTTATACATAAATTATTTATATCATCATCTCAACATGGATGTTTATTTTACACTTTACATATGCTAATTTATTTGATTGCTCAAATTGTTCCATGGTTGGCTATTGGAAGGTTTTTTAGTTGTCTCTGGTATAATTTTGAAATACCCACATAATTAAGGTTCAATGTTGTATGGTTGGTTGGTTTTGTTGTTGTTTAGCATTTTCTTTTCTTTAACCACTACTAGGTGCTCCAGGCTAACTGTGCATTTAATTGTACTGCAGGCTAATTGTATGATTGTATAATTTCTACTAATGTTTCCAATACCATATGATCTAATCCAGCACCATGTGAATGATGTATGTAGTCTCTTACTCTCCCTGTGAAGAAGTTGATGCTGTTCACTTAATCGTACTACCTGAACATCCATGCAGAGTGGTTTCAGAACTGGTAACTTATACCCCAATGGGAGACAATTTTACCAAGTAAAGTACAGTACTTAGGTATAAATACTTTGGCTTTTAGCCTCAGAATGTCCACTTATTTCCCAAATTACTTAGGTCCATTGCTTTCCTCTACTTTCTTTAGTGAGGCTATTCCATACATTCATTACATAGTTATATTATTTTTTTGGGCATTCCTCCTTGGAAACCCTCTACCTACTAAATAAGGTTTTAAATTTGCATAATTTAAATGCACTGTTTGTGTTATAAAGTTCTTCAGGATTCAGAAAACATTATTATTTATCCACCATTACAATATCAGAGAGAGTAATTTCACTGCCCCAAAGAAACCTCCTGTATTTCACGCATCCCACCTTCTCTTTCCCAAGCTCCTCGTTACCACTGAACTCTTTGCTATCACTATACTTTTTTTTCTTTTCTAGAGAGTCATGTAGGTGGAATTACACAGTATTTTGCCTTTTCCAACTTATATTTTGTCACATAGCAAGATACCTTTTAGATTTTTGAAGTATGTATCATGTTTTTTTAGACTTCCCTTCCCCTATTGTTGCAGGACAGGTGATCCCCAAATTTGGGGCTTCAGTGAAGGGTTCTTGGCTTTGCCTGGGAAAGTATTTAAGGGCAAGCCAGTGGTGATGGACAGAAATGGTTTATTGAACAGGACTGCTTCTTAAAGAGCAGGGCTAATTCATAGACATTGCATCGGTTGGTAACCTATGGGCCCTTGTCAACTATCTTTACACTAAGGTACACCCACTTTCAATTACATGTAAATTGAGGGGTGGATCAATGAAACTTGATGGGCAGGTTATTCAGAACTTTCCAGGACAGGAGTGGTAATTTCTGGGTTGTTGCCATGGAAAGAGGTGGTAAATTCTGGGTTGCTGGCATGGAATTTGTAAACAATCATGGCGCTGGAGGGAATGTCTCATGCCAGTGAGCAATGAGGACAACCAGGAATCCCTGTGTCTCTTTTTGCCAGTTTCTTCACTGTATGCTGTCTGGACCAGATCTTGTTTTGATCAGCAGGGTTGTGACTAGGAAACAACTTGCCGGTGTCCTACCTCATAATGGCAAAAGACATTGAGTGTCTTTTCATGTGATTTGGATATGACCATAGCTTTTCTGGAGAATTGGGTATTTGAATAATTTCCATTTTTGATTGAGACATTTGCCTTTTTATTTTTGAGCTCTAGGATGTTGTCATATATTATTAACAGTAGACCATTATCACCTATAAAATTTGCAAATATTTCGTTTTTAATTTAACTTTTATTTTAATTTTCAGGGTACATGTGCACGTTTGTTACATAGGTAAACTTGTGTTATGGTGGTTTGATGTAGATTATTTTCATCACCAATGTACTAAGCCTAGTGCCCATTAGTTATTTTTTCTGATGCTTTCTCGCCGCCCACTCTCCACCATCTGATAGGCCTCAGCTTGTGTTGTTCCCTGCTGTATGTTTATGTGTTCTCGTCATTTACCTCCCACTTACAAGGGAAAAAATACGGTATTTGGTTTTCTGTTTCTGCATTAGTTTGCTAAGGATAATAGCCTCCAGCTCCATCCATTTTCCTGTAAAGGACATGATATTCTTGTTTATGTCTACGTAATGTTCCATGGTGTATATGTACCACATTTTCTTTATGCAGTCCACCATTGATGGGCATTTAGGCTGATTCCATATTCTTGCTATTGTGAATAGTGCTGCAATGAACATATGCATGCATGTGTCTTCTTCGTAGAACACTTTTTATTTCTTAGGGTATATGCTCAGTAATGGGATTGCTGGGTTAAATGATATTTCTGTTTTTAGGTCTTTGTGGAATCTCCACACTGCCTTCCACAATGGTTGAACTAATTTGGACGTCCACCAACGGTGTGTAAGTAATTTCTTTGTTCCGCAACCTTGCCAGCATCTGTTAATTCTTGACTTTTTAATAATAGCCATTCTGACTGGTGTTAGATGGTATCACATTGTGGTTTTGATTTGCATTTCTTTAAGGATCAGTGAGGTTGAGCTTTTCTTCATATGATTGTTAGCCGCATATATATCGTCTGTTGAAAGTGTCTGTTGATGTCCTTTGCCCTGTTTTTTATGGGGTTGGTTTTTTTTCTTGAACATTTGTTTAAGTTTCTTATAGATGCTGGATATTAGACCTTGGTCAGATGCATAGTTTGCAAAACTTTTCTCCCATTCTGTAGGTTGTCTGTTCATTCTGTTGATAGTTTTCTTTTACTGTGCAGAAGCTGTTAAGTTTAATTAGATTTCATTTGCCAATTTTTGCTTTTGTTTGCAAATATTTACTCTCATTCTTTGGGTGTCTTTATTTTTGATGGTGTAGCATGAATCACAAAAGTTTCAAATTCTAATGAGGTTTAATATACCTGTTTTTTCTTCTTCCCTTTTGCTTTCAGCATCATATCTTAGAAAAGAGTGTTTAACCTAAGACCACGAAGATGCATTCCTGTGATATTTTCTATATTTTGGGCCTGTTTAGCTATTATATATAGATATATGATGATTTTGAGTCAATTTCAGTGTGAGGCAGGAGTTCGACTTCCATGGAATATGCACTTGTTTCAGAAATATTTTATTAAAAATATTTATCCATATATAATTTATTTGGTGACATTATAAAATTATTTCGCTATAAATGTGAGTATTCATTTTTGAACATTATATTCTATTACATTGATCAACATCTATATTCTTATACTAGTACCATAAATCTTGATTACTATTACTTTGCAGTGAGTTTTGAAGTCAGGAAGTATGTATCTCCCATGCCAACCTTTTTTCTTCTTTCTCAAAATTATTTAGGCTGCTCTGTGTCTATTGCATTATATATGAATTTTAGATAAACTTTGTGAATTTAGAAAAAGGAAATGTCACCTGGGATTTTGATAGAGGTTGCATTAAATCTATAGATCCATTTGGAAAATATTGCCAGGCTAACAACATTAACCTTTATAAGCAATGAATAGTCAAAGGTTTTTTTCCATTTTTTTCAAAATGTTTTCTATAGTTTTTGTGTATATATCATATACTTAACTTGATAAACTCATTTTTGATGCCGTCTCAAATGGAACATTCTGAATTTGTTTTAGAATGGAACATTGAACATTGTTTTAGAATGGAACATTCTGAATTTAATTGCTAGCATATAGAAATTCAGAGGATTTTATATGTATTGACCTTATATACTGTAAGTTTGTTGAACTCATTTCTAAATTCTAACCATATTTGATTAAAGCCCTTTGGAAATTTTATACATAAGATCAGGTCATATGCCAGCAGACATAGTTTGACTTCCTTTCCATACTGGAAGCCTTACATTTATTTTTCTAGACTAATTGCCATGTCTATATCCTCCAGTAGAATGTTGAAAACAAGTGTCAAGAGTGGAAATCCTTGTCTTGTTTCTAATCTTGGAGAAATTAGTGAACCTTTCAGATAACTTATGATGGTATGTTGGTTTTTCATGGATCCTCTTTAAAAGGAAGACAGTTCCCTTATCTGCCTCATTTGCTGCATGTCTTTCTCAGGGATTTTGAGAATTCTGAAGTGCCTATGCGTCTTCTGAGATGATTATGTGGTTTTTGTTCTTTATTATATGAATATAGTGCATAACGCTAGTTGTATGTTGAACCAAATTTTGCTTTCCTGAGGTAAATACCCTTGACATACTGTATAATACTTTTTACATGTTTCTGGTTTGTTTTACTAATATTTCCTTGATGATTTTTGCCCCTGTATTCATAAGGTATAGTGTTCTTCATTTTCCATATTTGAAATGTCTTTGTCTAGTTGTGGTATCAGAGTAAACTAACTCTGTATATAATGGGAAATCATGCCTTCTCCACTTTTTTGAAATAATTTGTAATAAATTAGTATTAATTTTTTAAGTCATTCTAATAATTCACTAATGAATTCTTCTTGATGAGGTCAGAGAGGTTAATCCTAAGAACAGTTACATGAGCTTGGAAGGAGACCCTTCCCCAGCTGAGCCTTAGCCTGGACCATCACCTACATCTGGACTGAAGACCTAGAGAAACAGTGAGTAATATGTGTGTGGTTTTGAACCACTAAGATGTGTAGGAATTTGTTATGCACCAAGTCATAAGTAATATACTTGAAAGTAATTGCAATGTGGTATTCTGGGTTAGGTCTTTGAACAGATAAATATATCATTATTAGAAATTCTGAGGCTGGGTGTGGTGGCTCATGCCTGTAATCCCAGCACTTTGGGAGGCAGAGGCGGGTGGATAATCAGTTCAGGAGATTGAGACCATCCTGGCTAACATGGTGAAACCCCCTCTCTAATAAAAATACAAAAATTTAGCCAAGTGTGGTGGCGGGTGCCTGTAGTCCCAGCTACTCAGGAGGCTGAGGCAGGAGAATGGCCAGAACCCGGGAGGTGGAGGTTGCAGTGTGCGAAGATCGCGCCACTGCACTCCAGCCTGGGTGACAGAGCATGACTCTGTCTCAAAAACAAAACAAAATATAACAAAAAGAAATTCTGGTAAAATATGAAGGAAGTCTGTAGATCAGTTAATAGTTTTGAAACAGTGAAATTCTTAGTTTTCATGAATATACTATGGTTAGAATAGTACATTCTAGTTAGCTGAAGGGTATATGGAACTGTCTGTTCTACCTGTGTATCTTTTTGTAAATCTGCAATTATTTCAAAATAAATTTGTTTTCTAAAATTATTATATTTTTTAAAAGAAAACAAAGACACAAGCAAAAAACTTTGGCTTCCAGAGACAAATGGGCACATACAGAGAGAAAAGCAATCTAGCCTTTTTTATCTAGTTGCCTTTCCAAACCCAGGTGAACCTGCTTCAAGAAGGCACCATCAAGCTCCAGGGACTGTCATCCTTTTTCTCCTTCTCCGTTACGCACTTAGCAGTTAGAGTGTCAGAAACCACTTATTCAGATAAAGTTGCCTTTCCTTCACATATCCCGGAAATCCCCATGTGTAGACATCACTTCGCAGTGTATATTCAGGATCCCACTGAAGCATTTTTGGGAGATATGACTCTCAGATATTAGAAGGCAAGAATAAGAAATTTCAGTGACAGGGAACATAAATCATATTTCTGCATTCAGGATAATGTTTTCTTGGTACAGGGATTTCTTCTTCAAGTAATCAAAAGACAACTGTACCTTCAAACATTTCAGAAAAATATGTTCTAATTTAGCTATTTTGATTCTACAGACTCTATCAGGAATCACTTGGGACTGTGCATTCTGTTGACACTCACTTTGTGGAATTAAGTTGCCCACTGCCAACCCTAAAGCCACCAAGGTAGCAGGTAAGCAGAATACAACAAATGTTTCTAATAAATTGGTTTGGGCCAGTCCCTACTTGCAGAGACCTGTATATGAATCTTTTACACAACAGATTTTTTGCAGTTGGATGCTAGTAAGTGGAGAAAGCAGCTGACAAAGTGCTGAGCAATGAGTCTCCAGACAAACTCTAGCTGCATGGAAGATGTGATTTCCCACAATATCTTAAACCAACAGTTCCTTAGAGGCTGGCCTGGACACCACAATTCTAAAAGAGATACCATTTAAGAGAAACCAAATTCTAGACCAGATCATGAGGCAAACACCCAACACTTTGTTTCCACGCTCTAACCTGATTAGAAGTTGGAGTTCAATGGAAGAATGTCTTGGATATTTGAGAGCATGACTTTATCTTTATTTAATTTAGCCTTGCTGGAATTTAAAACTGTAGGGCAAAATTCAGTCAACCTCCTAAATTATGTGAGTTTTTGTTTTTGTATGTGAGTTTCTGCATACACATAAAGAAACTCCCATAGTTTAGGAGGTTGACTGCATTTTGGGTATATAGAAATTCATACTTTATGTGTTTCTTCTTCAATCAGTATATTCCTGAGGGAAAACCAAAAGCAATCCTCAAATCCAAGTACCCAAATTAGGGTTGAGCAAAGTAGCAAGGGGGCAGATTAAAACATTTTATAAAGACCATTATGCATCTACTTCTGCAGTGACTAATTACCAAGTGATTTCTATGATCACCGACCATATGGTTAAAACAGCAAATGGGAATGAAGAAAAAAGAGTTACATAAATGTTATAGCTGAAAGCATGGAATTTATAATGAAGCTTACAAGGGTCATTGGTCAAATTCCTAAGATTGCAGTGGGAAGTTTCAAGATACAGCTTTTTCTAGGTCTTTAGAAAGCTATCACTCGAGTGAATTTTTCAAGTAACTCTTTATAATTTCTATCTTCTTCCTCAATGGATTTCTTAAACCATAATTCATAAAACTACATTTCCATGCATAACCGAAGAATTATAGAATTCCACTAATAACTGTAATGTCTCTAATAGCTATGTAGAATGTAAATACACTTGGTAAACTTATGTGATAAGATTTAAGCATGTTTCTTCAATAACAGATAAGAATACAGTTGATGAGCCACCATAATCTAACACTGAGAAATGGGCAGTCACAGAGGACAGTGTATTCCATTCATCGTAGAGGGCACATTTTCACTTTTATGAAGCACAGATGCACCTTAAATTTATTAGTGTTAAAACATTATTGACGAGAAGGTGACCATAACGTGATTGTCCTCATTTACATATACATGAGCTTGGTCTATAAACCTTCCATTGACATCTTCAGGTCATATCATCAACATCATGTCTTGCATAGGGGGTTTCAGACGGTTGGAAAGATAAACTCACAGGAGCAACATAGGAATCTCGCAAGAAGTGCAGCATCACCAAAGCGTCAGATTAGCACAGGTGATAATAATATGGGGAAAATCATGAGCAGATGAGTTGAAGAGTGATTCAGGAGAGTTACATCTCAATGAGAGAAAATTTAGGAAAACCTTTGTCAATGTATTTTTCTTGTATGTTCCATCCCATGTAGGAATGACACAAGACAAATATCCACATGTATGCACATTGAAAATATTTTTTCCAGTAATTGTAATGTATTTATGTTATTACTATGTGATTTATTTATAAGTGATAAAAGTACTAGTTTCTTCATTTGTTAGTGGTTTTGTTCTTCCATTCTGGTGTATGAAATAATGACATGTTACAATACACAAATGATATATCTCACAATTTATTAGAAAATTAATTTTTAGGGGTTAGTATAGGGTTGATAATACACTACAAGCTTTATATGTTATCATTTCATACAATCCACACTGACATCTCAAGAAGTAAGCATGATTTTCACATCTGTGGTCCATTTTGGAGTCTGAGCTGACTTTCTGCAGGAAAGGTATAAAGGAACCTTGAGTTTGATACTGTCTGCCCCAGAGTCTTTGCTCACTTTGACTATGTAGAATGTGTCTTGTATTACATGGTAAATAATTTTCAGGTCTCGTTAGACAGCTCAGCCTACCCTCTGTCATGAAGATATTTTCCTAAATTGTTTTCTGAATATTATTTTTATATTTCAGCCTATGAACCAACTAGAATTGATTTTGTGTGTATGTGAGGTCAAAGTTCAGATCTTGGTTATTCCCTGTGGATATTCAATTTCCTGGAACACTTTAATAAAAATTGGTCTTTCCCCCATGCATCAATGTATAAATTAATTTTTGTATATGTATATGTGTGCATTCTAGCTCTGTTTTTATTTTTTAAGTTACTGGTTGTTTCTTCTATCTTTGTGCAAATTCCACACTGTCTTATTATTATCATTATTATTATATATATATTTTTTGATACAGAGTCACTCTGTTGCCCAGGTTGGAGTGCTATGGTGCAATCCTGGCTCACTGCAACCTCCTCCTCCAGGGTTCAACGATTCTTGTGCCTCAGCCTCCCGAGTAATGGATTATAAGTGTGCACCACCACACCCGGCTAATTGTTTTTTATTTTTATTAGAGATGGAGCTTCACCATGTTGGGTAGGCTGGTCTCGAACTCCTGATCTCAGGTGATCTGCCCGCCTCGGCCTCCCAACATGCTGGGATTACAAGTGTGAGTCACTGCACCTAGCCCACACTGTCTTATTATTAAGAGAGTCTATTTAGAACAATAATTTTTTCTCCAGAGGTTGCTTTATATATTTTCTTTTCTAAGAGAGAGAGAAGATTTCATCCTGTTGTCCAGTGAGGGTATAGTGGCTCAATCGTAGAGCAGATTCTGTGTTCGAACTACTGGGATCAAATGATACTCCCCTCTCAGCCTCCTGAATAGCTAGGACTACAGGCACAAGCCACCATGCCTGGTTAATTAATTTTTTTTTTTTGGTAGACACCAGGTCTTCCTGTGTTTCCCATGCTAGTGTAGAACTCTTAGCCACAAGCAATCCTCCCTGCTTTGTCTCCCAGGGTGCTAAGATTACAGGTGTAAGCCACTGTGCCTGTCCCAGAGCCTCTTCTTTTAGCCACGGTACTTCTCTATAATGAAGTAAAAAATGTAACAACCTGCATGTCTTGCACCTACACCAATACTTTCAGCTGTACCTTGAGTAAAGCTGTAGGTTTAGAACTTTTTTTAAAAAAAGAATAAATTTTAATTTTTTTTTTGAGACAGGATCTGGCTCTTACACCTGGGCTGGAGTACAGTGGCAAGATCTTGGCTCACTGGAGCCTCGACTTCTGGACTCAAGCAATCCTCCCACCTCACTTTCCCAAGTAGCTAGGACCACAGGTGCACAACTCCATGTCCAGTTAAATTTTTTTTTTTTGTATTTTTTGTAGAGATGGGGTTTCACCTTGTTGCCCAGGCTGATCTCGAATTCCCGAGTTCAAGCAATCCACCCACCTCAGCCTCCTGAAGTGCTGGGATTACAGGTGTGAGCCACCACACCCGGCTGGTTTAGAACTTAGAACATTGCTGTAGACTCTTAAATCCCTTAATATCCTTGTGAATCTTAGACAATCCCCCAACACCACTCCCCACTTTATGTATACTTTCAGCAACAGCCAGTAGTACTGAAAACCTTGAGATGCACCCATAGTAACCTCCTGCACTGGTGTAGATGCCCCTGTGACAGATTGTTTCTCCTCCGGACCATGTCCACCAAAATCAAAGCCACATGGGAGCCTCTGAGCTCAGAGACACTGTCTGGGGTCTCCATGCACAAGGGCAGCAGCTCCCTGTCCTTTCTGTTGGTGAGGTGGGGAATTCAGTTCTTTTGAATAAGGCTGAGTTTATTCAGTACTGATTCTGCTGGCTGACCAGTGATACCTTAAGACTTTATTTCTTGCATTGTAGTGTTTATCCTGGTT
Source organism: Homo sapiens (assembly GCF_000001405.40). NCBI lineage: Eukaryota > Metazoa > Chordata > Mammalia > Primates > Hominidae > Homo > Homo sapiens. Next base: position 5,406,951 of record NW_021160017.1, read on the forward strand.
TTGATATGATTTGTTGTGCAAATGTGTTTAACACTTGGATGTAATTTTTTCTTTTTTTGTTCTCATAAACATCATCTAAAAATTTTTATTTTTGTGTTGTGTATTTAAGGTCTTTATTCCTCTTTTAAAAATGCATTCACAATTATTTTTCAATGAACACTTTTAATTATTTTAATCTTTTCTCATATTTCTCCTAAACTGAATGTGAATATCACTTTTATTAGAAAAGACAGATGTTACACATTCTCTGTTTTATGTTTTTGTACAAATTTTCTCTGAAATGTCTCTGGTTGAAAAGGAGAAGGACAGAAACTGTTCTGGAAGCCACAAGGCAAAATTGGCTCAGATCCTCATGCTTAAAAAGATGTGTGAAACTTTCCATTATATGGCTTAGTTTGCTGTACGTGTGGAAGGTTAACAAAGTATTGATTTGTGTAGCGGTACAGTAACACTTCACGTCTGAATAGAAGGAACAACCACTTCCTAACTGTGCAGGTGTGAACTTCATGATGTTGCTTTATCTTCTCCTTATACAAATATTTAGACAATGCCTGGACTCCATAATTCCTTCCACCTCACTTCCATAAATGTGTACATGACATTTCTTTGTACAGATCACCTATTCTATTAGAAATTATTTTTTCTTAGTTTTGATGAGTGATTATTAAATTTGGTTTTAGTTCTCAGAGATATAAAAAATACAGCTTAGAAAATGTGTACATTGAGTGCTGTAATCAGAAAATACTTTTGTGCCATTGACTTGTAAAAAGGGAATTTCAATTTTTTTGTTTATTGTCATTTTCACCTACCTTAATATTCTCAAAAGGCTTTCATGATTATGCTCCTTTTAGATTTTAATTTTTGTTGTCTTAGTCAAAAAACATGCGAGGGTTGGAAACACTTGTTCAAGATGTGTGAGACATGAGCAATCAACAGAGCAAAAACACTGGTATTTTATGGGAATATGTAATAATAGATGGGCACTTGCCCTGCTAGGTATGGCAGCAGTCAGGGTCTGTGGGCTTCAGTGCTGTATACAGAATTGACAGATCCTGCTTTAAGGAAAAAAGTGCCCCTCATCTGTCGTACGACAGCCTGGCACCATTTTGTTACCAAACCCAGGTTTGGCCATGGCCACTTCCAAAATCAAGTAACAGAAGGGTAGTAAAAAGAAAGTCACTGGACGGGCGCGGTGGCTCACATCTGTAATCCCAGCACTTTGGGAGGCCGAGGCGGGATGATCACCTGAGGTCAGGAGTTCAAGACCAGGCTGGCCAATATGGTAAAACCCTGTCTCTACTAAAAATATAAAAATTAGCCGGGCACAGTACTGTGCGCCTGTAATCCCAGCTACTGGGGCACAGAGCGAGACTCCGTCTCCAAAAAAAAAAGAGAAAGTCACTTTATTTCCAGAGCTTAGCAATGTGGAAGGGCTGGATTCGTATCTAAAGGAACCATATAAGTTTCTGGGGAGAAAACAGGGTTTTAAGAAGAAATATTGGCAATCAGGGCATGCAGAAGGGGTGTGGAGGTGTAGGATCTACATGACTTGCTGGATGACTTATCTCTAGTCTTGGGTCATTCCTTAGCCTGCCCAGCATCACTGGGGACAGAGTCAGGTTGAGGATTAACTGATGTATTGAGACAATCTCTCTATGGAGGAGAATTCTGGGGGATGCTTATTTTCGTTCAAGATTTGGTAATTTCTAAACAAACATATACTTAGCTAAGCTGACAGTGCTTGCTGGTGGTTTGGCTGGTGGAAAGGAAGGAGGGAAAAGTTTGAATTTGCATTTCTAAGGAGCTAGGTAAGACATGAACACACAGGAAAAAGAAAAACTAAATATTTTTTAAGGAAAATGAAGTACTTGGTTACAACACCCCACTGTCAAATTCTACTTATTTTTATTCAATTGGAGCATCATCTTCATTTGGTCTGCTTCCTACTGAAAGGGGGCATAGTTATAGAGCATCAGAATGGAATCTGTTTACCTAGAGTTGGAAATATTCTTGAGTTTTCAGCAGGAACTTACTGTGCATATATGGTGTGAGGATCCAAGAATTTATTAGAATGATTTCCTGCATCTCCATGCAGAGTGTACAACAGCAATAAAATTCATAGCAGCTGAAGAGGGCACTTAACAGTATTAATAATATATATAAAAGTATTTTATGCACCAGGAAGCCAACTAAATCATGGTGCCATAGAGTCCTGGGAGAGGGCATCTATAACAGAAATATGGGTATCTACATGTATAGCTTGGGTTATATTGTGAGAATAATCTGGTGTGTGTGTGTGTGTGTGTGTGTGTGTGTGTGTGTGTATAAAATGGTCAGCCTTAATGAATGCACAAGTGCCACCCTTGGCTGCGGTGAAGATATCTAAAGCCATATGGTTTAAAGACATCATGAGATTAGACATAGCATTAGTTTGCTTGTGCATGTCTTTTAGGGCTGAGGATATGTTTCTGGAGTTACCCAGGAAGTACACACAGCATTTAGTCTTAATTATAGTGCAAAGCCCCAAATGTCAGTTGTACCCAGAGCTCCTGTGGAGATACGAAGACAAGTTGGTTAACTATACATACTTAACAGGCTACAGGAGGAGTTGTAAATGTTCGTGAAGGTGGTCCTGACCCATGTGTATTAACAAATATCCATGGAACATATGACTTATTTATTTTGGAGCAGAGACTTAACTTTTAAATGTATTATAATTATACCCTATATTTCAAAAGTTCTTCTGAGGACAAAGGCACAAAAGTGTGCATTTACTGTAAACCGGCCAAAACTAGTTTATGGTGAGTGATCGTTTATCAGGAGATACTTACTGAAATTAGTCTCTAGTCTACTTCAATCTGTAGTTATGGCTGGTTGAACAGTGGCTGGGATCAGTCAGCTTATCTTGAGGCTAGTGCTTGCTTGGCTGCTAGAGAAACACAGAAACCTTGTGGCGGTTGTAAACATAGTCTGCTTTTTTAAAGTGTAGGAATGTGAGACTTAACCCTTGCCTGGCATGTTTTTAAGTCCTGTTCATAATTTGGTATTTTATTGTTATAAAGAGTCTGTTTTACAGTTTTTATTGTAATGTTAATGCTGATCAGTTGTGCCTAAATTCCCATAATGGGAGGAAGGTGTAGTGAAGCTTGTTCAACACCCCTCTTGTTGTCATGGCCTGAATTAGTTTTTCAGGTTGCTTTGGCTAACATGGGTGTAGGGAGTGTCCATTAAGTTGGTGGGGGCTTAGGACTTTATTTTATAGTTTATATTCTCCTTTTTTGTCAAGATATGCCAGAGGCAGTATGGGTAGCCACACTTTTATTTTCTCTCATGTCAATGGCAGAGCGGCGTGCTACCTGACCTGTGTCCATCATGTTCCTTGGGGCGACCACTATGGCCAAGGGACTTAGAACCAGAAGTCTTATATCCAATTATATCCAATTCCAGTCTGTAGGCCAGACTGGAATGAATGCGGCAGGCTGTCATTAATCCTTAAAATCCCATTTCAGCAATGTAAGAGCCAAAACTAAAAGTCAAAAGGTAAGGTTATATAACTGAATTTTCTCTGAATTTTATGCATTGAGCTGTTGTAATCTTGGCTTATAGGAACCATAGCTATAGAAAACATAATATTTTATTTAGCTGTTTAGGCATCTGTATGCCCATCCTTTATTTGGGGGGTGTGAATTAATTTTATTCCACAAGAACTGGCCCTTACAATCTCATGCATTCATACCTTCCATGATAGTCCCTGGGTCTGGAGAAATTGAAGAGTTTTAAATCCTGGATATATTAATAAAACAAAATATTCACCATTAATAACGTTTTAAGCAAAAATGCCGTAAGCCCTGTCTTGTTCCAAGAGAAACAGGACTGAGGCGGGTGGATCACGAGGTCAGGAAATCGAGACCATCCTGGCCAACATGGTAAAACCCCGTCTCTACTAAAATACAAAAAAAATGGCTGGGCATGGTGGTGTGTGCCTGTAGTCCCAGCTACTCAGGAGGCTGAGGCAGGGGAATTGCTTGAACCCGGGAGGCAGAGATTGCAGTGAGCCAAGATCACGCCACTGCACTCCAGCCTGGGCAACAGAGCAAGACTCCGTCTCAAAAAAAAAGAATGAGTGACGGGAAAGGAAGCCTATAGGTAGATAAACATTTAAATTATTTAGTATTAAGGTACAGAATAAATTATATTTCATATATTTCTATTTCAGATAGAAGGAAAATTATTAAAGTATAATACATGCCTGTCCCTGTGTTGCATGAAAGCAGTGTACTTTGATTATTGCCTTTGCTTGAGTCTAAAGATGAGGCTTTGGTTAAGTCGAGTTTGATGTTAGATGCTGGCAGGAGTCTGTGTCTTCTTGAGAGGACCTACATGTATCCAGGAGTCAATTCCTTGTACCTTAACACCACAAAGATTACTTAATAGCACCTAATAAGAACTTTTTCAGAGTGTTGGAGTTGGTGATAAACTTCACAGTGATTAATGTTTTTTAGCTTTGATAAGCCCCAGCAAGAAGTCAGAGACTTAATTTAGGATTCAATTTTGGAGATGTCTGTGAAAGATGTGAGAAAGCTTAAAATATTTCATCAAAACTAAACCACAGGTCCTTGTAAAACAATAGTTATTCATTTAACAAAGTGATCACTGAAAGACTTTAAAGGCAATAGAAAAAGTTACACGGGTATAAAATCCTTACTCCTTTCAAATTTCGGGGGTTTTTTAAAAACAATTAGACGCTTAATAAAGGCAGCATAGGAACTATCTTGATAAAACGTAAAATCTTGTTTCTTAAGCCAGTTACCAGAAAGTCAAAGGAAAACCTTTTTCAGTGTGACTGCCTCTCCTTAGAGGAAAGCCTGTGTAGATAATCTGGAAGTACAACTTAAGATAAAAAGTGCTTGAATTTAATCAAACATGGGAAGAGTGTGTACAAGGTTTTGAATAGAACTGGGGAATACATGACTCTTAGTAGCTGCATGATAAGTTTCCTGATTACAGTGAAAATTTAGACACACCAAAAACAACAACAACAAAAACCCAAGAATATAGAATCAGGTTATCCTGCAGGAAAATATTTCTTTTATAGACCTCTAAGATAAAATATTTCAGCATCAGCCACAACAACATTTAGAACTAAGGAGAAAAGTTACAGGAGCTGACAAGAAGCTGAAGGATAGAGTTATCATCCGAGGCCACATCAAAGGGAGAAAAAGCTGATAGCAGCAAGACAACAATTGAACATTTGAGATATGAATCTCAGAAGTTTTCAAAAGAGGTATATTATAGAATATAAAATCAAAATTTATTGTAATTTTATTAAGAGTACATTGATACCTTAAAAAAATCTTGATTTAACATAGGGGACCATTCTTTAGAAAGAGTATTATTAACAATTCCTTTTAAATTATGGCTAACTTAATTGCATACAAAATTTCTTCTATACTGGCTCAATTGTGAGAATTGAGTGAGGTTCTATGAGTCTCTGGTTTTTAGGATTTGAGGCAGAATCTTGTTCATTTGATCTAAAGATTTTCTGCTTCTTCAAATCAAGTAAGCACTTAGTAGGCTACCTGTGTACTTCAATTCCAAGAACACTATTATAAACTAGCCAGCAACATAAATCTATAGGAATCGATGAACCTGATTGTTGCTTTGCCTTTGTCGTCCATTGACATAACTATGCCAACCTGGTCTTTGAAGACTGAGTGTTGCTACTTGCTCCCAAGATTCCCTGAAACCGGGTTATTCCCATTGCATTTTGATTTTCCAGTTGGTATACTGTGGTTTCTGTATTAAGGTCTGGTCTACAGAGAAGAGAGATCAGGGAGCTCTTCAGTTGTGCCCAGCCTCCCCTCACAAATCCACCTAACAAAGTCCTGATAAAGTGTATGTTTTCTGGAGTCTATCGATATGGATAAGTTGCATTTATTTATTTATTTATTTATTTAGAGACAGTCTCACTTTTATTGCCCAGGCTGGAGTGCAATGGCATGATCTCAGCTCACTGCAACCTCTGCCTCCTGGATTCAAACCATCCTCCTGCCTCAGCCTCCTGAGTAGCCGGGGCAACAGGTGTGTGCCACCATGTCTGGCTAATTTTTGTAGTTTTTTGTAGAGATGGGGTTTCACCATGTTGGCAAGGCTGGTCTTAAACTCCTGACCTGAACTGATGGACCTGTCTCGGCTTCCGAAAGTGCTGGGATTACAGGCATGAGCCACTATGCCCTGCTGTAAGTGGCTTTTAAATGGCAAATCCATTCTAGCATTCCTATCTCCCCAGGCCTATGAATTCCTTCATCCAACATAATACAGGGAAGATGGGGGAGTCACCGACTTGCTCATGGTCATACATCTGTTGAACTATATTTCAGCCAACCAGTCATAACACCACTAATACCATCCTTAAATACCGAAGCTGCAACATTAAACCAGAATATCTGCTTAATGGCCCCATATCATTAAATTTGGACTGATTCAAGTTTATATTCCTTCTACTGTTATCAACGCTTTTTTTTTTTCTTGTTTTGGTTTCTTACAGATGAGGTCTTGTTCTTTTGGCCAGGCTGGAGTGCAGTGGTACAGTCGTGACTCACTGCAGCTTCAAACACCTGGGTTCCAGCATTCATCCCACTTCAGCCTCCCGTGTAGCCGGGACTACAGGTACAAGCCACCACACCCAGCTATCCACAGCCATAATCTTTATTTCCACATAGGGTCTTCAGATTTCTGTTTGCATTAGTTAGAAAACTCAGGTTGCTTTTTTGACATAGATCACATCTCCTCATGGGAAATACTATCCATCAGCTTTAGGGGCCTGTTGTAACTTTAGTCTCACCATGAGTCTAGAAGAAACACAGCTGTCAGGGGTGGGTCTTGAAGATAATCAGCAGTGTATTGTTTGACAGCTGCTTCAGGGGAAGCCATTACCGTTTCCTTAGGCATTGTAGATGTAAGCTACTCAGACACATATGGAAAGGCCTACATCACCTTGTGTGGGAAGGCCATTGCCAAGGGGGTGGCTGTAAGGAGGCCACTTCTGCTGGCAATAAAAACTCATTAGAATTTAGGAGATCAGTGTCCCCAGCCACATCAGTCTTCCCATCCATCCTCATCCCAAGTTACAGGATGCTATTCTTTCTCAATTTCCACTTCAACAGTAGACACCCTGCCAGACTGAGGAGTTCAACGTTTCTTGTAATTCAGCCAGTGGCATGATAAGGGCTTGTGTTTGACTTTTAGCAAATACTTCCCTGTGGCTACAAGAGAGTTTTCTGGCTCAGAGCACAGGTAGAAACTCTTAGGCTGTTTATGTGGAGCTGGTTCTGCAAAATTGAATCCCTAAGCTCATTATTGTCTTTCATCAAATTTCCCAGTGAATTAGAAGCAACAAACCCATCATCATTGTGTTCCATGGTTTTACGCAAATGTCTGTATCACATACAGAGTAAACAAGTACCTTGCCTCTTATCAGTGTTTCAAGAGTATCAAGTGCAGATATTTTGGGGATCTCTAAAAACAGTTCATGTCATTGACTGTCATTGCTCTTTCTACTGTTAGAAGTACAGTTCTTAGAATTTAGGTGCAATCAGATTAGAAAGCCAATTCTAGAAACCCCAAATTTGATTAAGGACACTCATCCTTAAAATTCTCTTCCTATAGAACCGTTCTTACTACCAAAATCTACACTAGTCAGGGTTTTCTAGAGCAACAGAACGAATAGGATAGATACATAGGAACTAGCTAGTTAGCGATAGATAGATAGATAGATAGATAGATAGATAGATAGATAGACAGATAGATAGATAGAGATTTTTAGGGGAACTGAATCACATGATTATGGAGGCTGACCATTTCTACCACATGCCATGTAAAGTTGGAGATCCTGGGATGCATGTTGGGTACCATGGTCTAAGTCCAAAATGCTCAAACCAGAGAAAACCTTGGTTAAACCCTCAGTATGAGGCCACCATGCTGGGCTAATTTTTTGTATTTTTTAGTAGAGACAGAGTTTCACCTTGTTAGCCAGGATGGTCTCGATCTCCTGACCTCATGATCCACCCGTCTCAGCCTCCCAAAGTGCTGGTATTACAGGCTTGAGCCACCGCGCCCGGCTAATTTGGCTCCTCTTATGCGAATTTCTGCAGCTGGCTTGAATTCCTCCCCAGAAAATGGATTCTTCTTTTTTTGTTTTTCTTTTCTTTTTTTTTTTTTTCTTTGAGATGGAGTCTCACTCTGTTGCCCAGGCTGGATTGCAGTGGTGCGGTCTCAGCTCACTGCAACCTTGCAACCTCCACCTCCCAGGTTCAAGTAATTCTTCTGCCTCAGCCTCCTGAGTAGCTGGGACTACAGGCATGTGCCACCATGCCCAGCTAATTTTTGTATTTTTAGTAGAGGCGAGGTTTCACCATATTGGCTGGGCTGCTCTGGAACTCCTGACCTTGTGATCTGTCCGCCGCAGCTTCCCAAAGTGCTGGGATTACAGGCATGAGCCACAGCACCTGGACAGGTTTTTCTTTTTTACAAAATGGCTGGACTGCAAATTTTCTAAACTTTTATGCTCTGCCTGTTTTTTAAATATAAGTTTTAGTTTCATAGCATCACTTTGCTCGCACTATGACAATACACTCTTAGAAGCAGCCAGGCCACATCTTGAATGCTTTGGCGCTTAGCAGTTTCTTCCACAAGATGCCCTAAATCATCAGTCTCAAATTCAAAGTTCCACAAATCCCTAGAGCAGGGGCACAATGCCACCAGTCTCTGTGCTAACATAGCAAGAGTGACCCTTACTCTAGTTCCCAATAAGTTCCTCATCTCCATCTGAGACCACCTCAGCCTGGACTTCATAGCCCATGTCACTATCAGCATTGTGGTCACAACAATTTAACCAGTCTCTGGAGAGTTCCAAAGTTCTCCTCATATTCCTATCTTCTTCTGACCCCTCTAGACTGTTCCAACCTCTGCTCATTACCCGGTTTCAAAGTCACTTCCACATTTTCAAGTATCTTTATAGCAATGCCCCACTCCCAGTAGCAATTTTCTGTATTAGCCTGTTCTTGCACGGCTATAAAGAACTACCTGAAACTGGGTAATTTATAAAGCAAAGAGGTTTAATTGACTCATAGTTCTGCAGGCTGTAGAGGAAACATGCCTGGGGAGGCCTCAGGAAACTTACAATCATGACAGAAGGAGAAGGGAAAGCAGGCACATCTTTTATGGCCTGAGAAGGAAGAAGAGAAAGAAGGGTGAGGTCCTACATACTTTTAAATAACGGTATCTCATGAAAATTCACTTACTGTCATGAGAACAGCAAGGGGAAGTCTTCTCCCGTTATCCAATCACCTCCCACCAGGCCCCTCCTGTAACATTGGGGATTATAATGTGGCATGAGATTTGGGCAGGGACACAAGTCCAAACCATATCAGTGACTAATTTGAACTATTTATGCATATGCTGTGAGGGAGGAATTTAACTTGCCTGTTGATGTTGATGATGTTGACTTGTCCCAGAATCCGTTAATGAAAAAAATACTTTTCCATATTGAATTTATTTGGAGCCCTTGTAAAATTATTTGACCGTAAATGTAAAGGTTAACTTTTTGATATTCAATCTGTATGTCTACACCACACATATTAATTAGTATGGCTTTGTCTTTAGTTTTAAAATCAGAAAGTATGAGTCTATTTTACAAATTCTGTTTTTTTTTCAAAATTATTTTATCTCTTCTCTATTGCATTATATATACAGTTTAAAATCTGTTTGACAAGTTAGTGAAAAAACGGTCACCTGGGATTTTCATGGAAATTGCATTAAATCTATAGAGCCATATAAAAAGTATTGTCAACTTAATAATATCAAGCCTTTTAATCAATGATCATTCAATATTTATCCATTTTTATAGAATTTTATTAATTACATTCAATGTATTTTACAGTTTTCAATATACATATGGTACGTGTATTTTGTTAAATTTATTCTTATGTTTTTTTCCTTTTTGATGCTATTTAAAATAGCATGGGTTTCTGAGTTTTTTGTTTAGTTTGTTAATTTCTAGTATATAGAAGTACATGTTTCTATATACTGACTGTGTACTGGAACTGTATTGAACTTATATTTTAATTTGCATTCTATTTTATTAGAGTCATTTTGATGTTCTATACAAAAATCATGTCAATTGCCAACAGAGTTTTACTTTCTTTTATACTAGATGTCTTATATTCATTTTTCTAGACTAATTGTCCTTGCTACATCCTCTAGCATAATGTGGGGGAAAAATGTGGCCAGAATGAAATTCCTTGTCTTATTTCTAATCTTGGAGAAAGTATTGAGCCTTTCAGAAAACTTTTATATCATGTGAGGGTTTTTATTTTTTTGGATGCTTTAAAGTGAAGACAGCTTCTTTACAGTTCTTATTTGCTGCGTATCTTTATCGGAATGCATTTTTGATTTGTCTAGTGCTTATTCTGTGTCTTTGAGATGATCGTGCAGGTTCTGTGCTTTATTCCATTAATACAGTGCATGAATTGTATGCTGAACAAAATTTGCATTCCTGAGGAAATACCCTTAGCCATAGTGTATAATACTTTTTGCATGTTGCTGACTTGTTTTGCTATTATTTCCTTAAGGATTTTTGCCTCTTTATTCATAAGGCATATTGGTCTTAATTTTCCTTTCTTGAAATGTTTTGGTCTAATTGTGGTATGAGGATGAAATACCTCATAGTGTGCATTGGGAAGTGATCTCTTCACCACTGTCATTGCTGTTATTTAATGTTTTTAGAGAATTCATAATGAATTTGTATTAATTCTTTAAAGGTATGAAATAATTTCCTATTGAAGTCATCTTAACATGGAACCAGAATTAAATCCTAACAACAATCATGTGAGCCTGGGGAGGATCCTTCCCCACGTGAGCCTTCAGGGGAGACTTCAGCCTTGGCCATCTTCTACATCTAGATTCCTGACCAAGAGAAGCTGTGAGTAATGTGTATGTGCTTTTCAGCCACTCAGCTGTGTGGGAATTTGTTATACAACAATAGCTAAGTAACACACCTGGCATTGAATGTAATGTGGTATCCTAGATTAGATACTGGAATAGAAAAGTGACATTATTGGAAACCTGAGGAGAACTATGAAGAAAGTCTGTAGTTCCATTGATGGTTTTATAACACTGTCAATTTCTCAGTTTTCATGAATAGTCTATGGTTATATAATGTGTTAACATTCCTTTAAGCTGAAAGGTATATGAAACTCTCTGCACTATATATACCTCCTTCTGTAAGTCAAATATGATTTCAAAATAATTTTAAAATAATATTTTGGTGCAAAACAAAAACCAACAAAAAGACACAAGAACATTAGCTTGGTTTCAGGAGATGGGGTGGGCAAGTAGGGAAAGAACAGCAGTGCAGCTTTCCTAATCTATCCACCATTCGGAACCCAGGTGCACCTGCTTCAGTTAAACACAGTTAGCTCTGGGGACTCTCATCCATTTTTGTCTTTGAAATCATGCTACTCATTATCCACGAACATTTCAAGTGTCAGTAACCACTTCTTCAGAGAGAGGTGCCTGTTCCTCATATATCCCAGGATGCCCCATTTTCAGGCATTGTCTGGCAGTTTATTCACATAATTCCAGTAAAGCCTTTCTGGAAAAAATGACTGCTGGACCTTAGAAGCCGATATTGCAAAATGTCAGTGACAGGGAACACAAATTGTATTTCTACAATCAGGAGAGTGTTTTAATTCCCTTGGTACAGAGATTTGTTCTTCAACTGATTATCAGATCACTGTGATAATTTCTATTTCTCTTGTCATGAATTATTTGGGACCATATATTCTGTTGCTCTTCACATCTTGGAATTATATTGTCCATTTCCAAGGTCAAAGACCACAGAATAAATGTCATCCTGGCAGCAGGTGAGTAGGGCACACAAACAATGCTTCTAAATATGGTGGTTGATGACAATGCTTGCTTACTAAGACCTCGATATGAATCTGTGGACAACTGGTTTTTGGCAGGTGAAGTCATGTGAGTGATTCAGTATATGCTGTGTATGGCTGGAGAAAGCTGAGTAGATACAAGAAAAAGCAGTGTGTAACAGATCTCCCCCCACCATGCAGTGATCTAAGAGATGGACCCAGGCTAAATGGTGACTCTGCACGTGTTCTGGCTAAACAAAGAATCTCACAGCAGGAAGAACTGTCCAGCTGTCCCCCACATAGGTCCCTGCTCATAGTTCACGGCACTCTGCGGTGTTAGCATCAGGGTTGTGCCAAAGAACCATGCCTACAAAGCCTCCCAAGCCATGAGTCTGCATGCTGCACTCACACAGACATAGACAAAGCCAAGACTATTGCCTTTATGATGGTCTGTAAACATGGGGCATATTCTCTATAGCACATTGATAGCTTATATGAGAAAATGAGATCTTGCAGCCTGGAGACCTAGAGTGGGAGATATGACTGACCTCGACCACATTTTTCACTTCTGATATCAGCATAGAAGTGATTTAGGTGCTGTTATTTGAGCATCTGTACTTTAAGAAACCTTCCACGTCTTCCAAGTTCCATATACTTTACTCTTTAAGACATGACTCCTCTTTTAAATTTGACATCTTAAAGGAGGTTTATTCCATTTTTTAAATTTTAACTGAAGATACTATAGTACAGTACTTAAATGACAGATCTTCTGTTCCTCTTCATTTTAATGCATACTTTTTGATCTATTATGATGCATACTGTGAATATTCTGCCCACCAATAAATGGACCAAAAAATGGCCAGAGTGACACATATGAGCCACAGTTAGACCTGGACATGAGTTATGAGGACTACCACATGGTGGTCACAATAATTGAGATCTGAGTTCTCAAATTTAAAGGAAAACAGGCACTATACACAAAACTCTACTGACATATTATCATGGACACAAAGGACAGAGTGCTGAGCACTGAGTGCCCAAACAAGTGCTTTAACAGCATGGAAGGCATGATTTCCCACAATATACTAAGCCACTAAATTCACAAAGGCCACCACAATTCTAAAAAAAGATGTCACTGCAAACAAACCCAAGTCTTAGACCACAATATAAGACAAACATCCCAACATGCTGTCTCCACACTCTAGCCTGATTAGGAGTTGTAGTTCAGTGGATGAATGGCCCATATATTTAACATCATTACTTCATGTTCATGCAATTCAACCTTCCTGCAGTCTAAAACTATAGGTGAAATTTCAGTCAAAGTCCTAAATTATGAATTGTATGAGTTTCTTCTTCACTTAATATTTTCCCAGGGAAACAGGAAAACTAATTTCAATATCCAAGTGTCCAAAAGTAGAGTTTGCCAGAGTAGCAAGGGGGCAGAACAAAGCATTTTATGAAGATCACAATGCATCTGCTTCTACAGTGCCTATGTATTATCACCATTTGTGTGATTAAAAGGGTGAATGAGAATGAAGAAAAACAGAGATCAAGAATGTTATAGATTAAAGAATTGAATTTGTAATGTAGCTTGCAGGGATCATTGCTTATATTACTAACTTTAGGACACAATTTTTTTAATATAGATTTTCCTTAGTCTTTAGAAAACTAGCACTTCAGGAAAAATTTCAAGTGTCTCTCTACAATTTATATCTTCCTCATCAACAGATTTCTTGAACCATAGTTTATAAAACAATTACAGCACTTTACTAATAAGTCTAATATTTCTAATAACTAAGTAGAATGTAAATAGAATTGTTAAATTAATGTGAAAATATATACAACAATGTTTACTTAATAACAGACTAAAATATAGCAGATTAGCCACCATGATTTTTTCTTTTTCTTTTTGAGTTGGAGTTTGCTGTTTCGCCCAGGCTGGAGTGAAGTGGCGAGATCTCCCCTCACTGCAACCTCCGCCCCCGGGGTTCAAGTGATTCTCCTGCCTCAGCCACCACCATTTAACACTGAGAAGTGGGCAGTCACAGAGAAAAAGTGTGTAAACAATTCTTTGGTACACAATTTAACATCTTTTTTTTTCTTTTTTTAATTTTATTATTATTGTACTTTAATTTTTAGGGTACATGTGCACAATGTGCAGATTTATTACACATGTATACATGTGCCATGTTGGTGTACTGCACCCATTAACTGGTTGGACACAGGAAGGGGAACATCTTTTAAGGAGAGATGCATCTTCTATTTGAAAGGGTTATAACATTATTGCCAGAAAGCAGTCATGATGTGGTTGTCCGTTGGCACACACACAAGAACTTGGTCTAAACCTCCCCAAAGACATCTTTGGGTAATTATATCAAGCATCAAAACTTACAGAAGGGTGTCAGGAGACTGGAAAGATAAACTTACATAGAGTAGCATAGGAGTCCCATGAGAAATGCAGCACTATCAGTGCTTGTGATTAGCACAGATGATATTGTGGGGAAAATCATGGACAAGATGAGTTGAAAGTGATTCAGAGAGTTTGTTCTGAATGAAGTAAGTGTTAGCAATACCTTTGTAAATGTATTTTGCATATATGTTCTGTCTCATGTAATCACAGGAATGATATAAAACAAATATAAACATGTTAGTTGAGAAAAGTTTTTAAAATAATTATACATAATATAAATTTAAAATAATATAAATTTAAAATAATTATAAAACTTGAATTAGAAATATTTGCTCCATTATTTATTAGTGGTTTTATTATTTCATTCTGATATATAAATCTAAAAGATAAATCTCACAACTTATTATAAAAATTAGTCTTAATGATATGTATAGACGTGATATTATACTACATGCTTTATATATTATTTTATACAAACCCACCTGACATTTCCAGAGGTGAGCACTGTTACCACTGCCACGGGCCAGTTCTGAATCTGACACTAAGCACTACATGAAAGGATTAAAAGTGCTTTGAGTTTGATTCATTCTGTCTCCAAAGTCGTTGCTCAAGTCAACTATGTAGAATATGTAGAATATTTTCTTGTAGAATTAGTGCTTTCTAGGTCTAGTTTCAGGTACCCTACCCTACCACATAGTCCCAAAGATATTTTCTTATGTGTTCTACATATTGTACTAAATATATATATATATACTGTACTAAATATATATATATATGTCTGTGATCCACCTGATTTTGTGTGTAAAATGAAGTTAAAGGTCAGATTTTAATTCCCTTATAAATATTCAGTTTTTTGAATAGTTTTAGAAAAATTAATCTGTCCCCATTAATTGACTTACAAATGATTTGTTCACATATACACGTCTCTATTTATGATGTTTTATTTTTTCATTGGTTTATTCCTCTGTCTCTGTGCAAATGCAACAGTTTCTTAGTTGCTAACAGACTTCATTTAATACAATAATTTAGTGACCATTCTCTTAATGACTGTGCCTTTCCATAATGAAGTGAAAGAAGATTAAAAATCTACATGCCTTTCACCTACACCAATACTTTCAGCTGGACTTTGAATCAATCAGTGGCTTTAGAGTTTTAGAATATCATTGTTGTCTCTTATGTCTGTAATGTCTTTGTTAATCTTTTTTTTGTTTTCTTTTTTATTATTTATTTATTTATTTTTTAATTTTATTATTATTGTACATTAAGTTTTAGGGTACATGTGCACAACATGCAGGTTTGTTACATATGTATACATGTGCCATGTTGGTGTGCTGTACCCATTAACTCGTCATTTAGCATTAGGTATATCTCCTAATGCTATCCCTCCCCCCTCCTCCCACCCCATAGCAGTCCCCGGTGTGTGATGTTCCCCTTCCTGTGTCCATGTGTTCTCATTGTTCAATTCCCACCTATGAGTGAGAACATGTGGTGTTTGGTTTTTGTCCTTGCGATAGTTTGCTAAGAATGATGGTTTCCAGTTTCATCCATGTCCCTACAAAGGACATGAACTCATCATTTTTTATGGCTGCATAGTATTCCTTGGTGTATATGTGCCACATTTTCTTAATCCAGTCTATCGTTGTTAATCTTATAAGATCTGTGAACACCACTCCTCAGTTTATGTATTTCATACCTTCAACAACAGCAGGTGGTGGGAAAACCTGGAGATGCAGCCCCGGGTGCCTCCTGCCTTGCTGTAGATGATGCTGTGGACATGGGGCTCCTCCTCCAGACGATGCACATCAAAGGCAGGACCAGCAGGGAGCCCTGAGATCAGAACCTCTCTGTGGGGTCTGCATGCACAAGGGGAGGAGCCCCTGTTGGGTGGGGTGGCGAATTCAGTTATTTTGTATGAGCATGAATTTGTTAAATAATCATTCTTCTTTCTGACCCATGGCACATTTCCCCTTCAGTCCTGGCACTGTAATGTTACATCTTGGTTTTTGGTTTTGTGTACAAATGTGTTTAAAACTTGTGTGTTAAACACAAGGAAACACTCTTTTCTTGGTCACATAGCCATCATGTACAACCAAATTTATACTTTTGTATTTTTCCAAAACAAACATCCTTGGGTGCTTCCTGCACAGACACAGACAACTCACTAGGCAAGATTTACCTCCTCCAGACCACGTCTATCCAAGACAGTGCCTAGGTAGATGCAGGAGAGTTGAGTCTGTCTCTGTGGTGTCTTCATGGGAAACACCAACATTTTCTTGCTCTACTCTGGTGTTGGTTGGGGAATTCGGTTATTTCTGGGAAAGATTGAGTGTGTCAAAGAATCATTCTGTTTGCTGTCTGAAAACAAATGACACAGTATTTGTTTTGAACAAATGAAACAGTGTTTGTTTTGGTGTGCAAAGGCCTTTGACCCTTTCTGTGTCAACGTACTTTTTAATCATCACATAAACATCATGTATGACCAAATTTAAATTTTTGTAGTGTGTATTAATGCCTTTTATTTTGTTTAATTATTCATAATCATTTTTCAAAATATCTTTATTTTTATATTTTATCACTCTTCATTAAATTAATGGAAATATCACCCATTGTCTATAATTGTTTTCCACAAATTTCATCTGAAATACTCCTAGTTGAAGAGGTGCAGAAAGTTTGCTAGGAACCACAAGACAAAATTTGCTAGAGACTCATACTTAAAAAGGGTTTCGTATATGGCTTAGTTTGTTCTAATTTGCAAGGTTCAAAAGCATTAATTTGAATAGATGGAATATCAAGACTCCCTTCCAGCACACAAAGACCAGTTATTTTGTTAATAAGCACAAATAAACTTCAGCATATTGTTTTTCTTTTACCTGAAATTTATAGATACTGGCTTGAATCTCTGATTCCTTCTACATAGTATTTGTAAACGTCTGCAAGACATTTCCTTATACTTATGGCTCATAATATAGGTGTGTATTCTTCTCTTACTCTTTGATGAGTAAATACCAAAACTGCTTCTTCAGTTAAAAAAAAAAAAAAAGCCACTCCGAAAATCTGTGCATACAACTGCACACAGCAAATGTTTTCCGATTATCGTCTGTAGAAAAGAAATGGGAACTTCAGTTTATTTTCTTCTATCAGATAATAATCTTTTAAAACTGATTTATACTTTTATAGATTACCAGAGAATTTTCAGAGTTGCTTTCTGTCCAGGACATGTGTGGGGCTCAGAGACACCATAGACAAAGTTGCCATGTTCTGTGATGCTTCTGTCCAATAGGGTTTCAGAAAACTTGACAAAAATTAAACTATAAGGTGGAAGAGCTACCCTTGGGAACTGAGAGGACAGGTTTCAGGCCTGGGGTGGGATGGACAGGGGAAGCCTCCAGGAGGAGGAACATTGGAGGAGATGCTGGAGAGTGAGGCGCAGTGGGTCCAGGAGACAGGGGAGGGAAAGCGAGGAGGAAAACGTGTGTGCCTGGCACAGGCCAGGCCATGAGAAGAGGTCAGTGGATTGGAAGGAGCGCTGGGATGAGTAATTGGTGAGGAAGCAGGAGCAGGAAGGGCAGACCACGGAGGGACTGGGCAGGGGAGGCAGGGAGGGCCGCTCCCTGAGGACTGCGCTCTGTGGGGAGGGATTCGAATGTCTGGGTTTGTTTCCCTGAGATGTTACCCCAGCCCATGAGCTCAGCCTATGGGAAGGACGTTGAGGAGTGAGTGGGCCCTGTCCCCCGGGGAGGCTCCTGGGCGGGGCCAGGGGGGCGTGTGTCTGGGAGAAAGGAGGGTGGAGAAGAGCAAAGAGGACCCCCGGCTGCCTGACTGCAGGGCTCATGGGGCTGCTCTTGTTCGCCGCCTTTTCTCCATCGCTCAGACCCTCACTTCCCCGCCAGGGCAGGTTTCTGCCCCCTCAGTCCTTTTGCAGGTGTAGGGTGGGATCCATGGAGGAGAAAACTCGGATCTGCAGGCTCCTCTCCACCTGGCGCCCACACAGGTGATGGTGGGAGCAGCCTGAAGGGAAGTGCCGGTGCGGGGGTCGCAGCTGCGCAGTGAGGGGAACCGGAGGCTGCCGCGCAGGCTGGGCTTGGGGGCGGGAGCCAGGCCCACGTGGGGCGTGAGGGCCGCGGGTGGAGGGCGAGGCTGACAGGGAGTGAGGGAGGAAGGTGGAGGGCGGTGATCAGAGGGCGCGGCTGACAGGGGGAGAGGGCGGTGAGATCTACAGGAGAACTCAGGGCGGATGTCTGCCGGGTGCGCGTTGGGCTTTCTGGTCGCTTCTCTGCGAACGCGCGCTTGTTCCTGCGGCGGTGCCTGCCTGTGTCGTCGTCCCTGTTTGTTCTTCTTCAAACCTCAGGATTTCTCCGTGTTTCCCAGACCGTAACGTACATTTAAAAACCTTGCTTTCTGTCACATATGCCCTTTTATATTATGGACATAACAATTGTTACTTACCTACGTTTCCTATTTGTGAATTATTCATAGATACAGATTTTACCAAAACTTAGTTGACACATTGCGTATATTTATGGATAACAGTGTGATATTTTGATTCTTGTATTCATTGGGGAAGATTCAATCAAGCTAATTAACATGGGCATCAACTCACCAGCTAATACTTTATGGTGAGAACACTAAAAATCTATTATTTAGCTATTCTAAAATGTACAGCGTGACTTCGGAGGAAATGATACTGCCCGGCCTCAGTAGCCCGAGACTGATCATTTCTAAATCCTGAGGTTCCCATTTCTGAGGGGGTCATGGCTGCATACCCGTAAGCAAGGGGGGTGTTGGGGTGCTTTGTTTGCCCTGTTAATTTTGGGTGCCTCTGTGTTCTGAGAACTATTAAGATAATATGTGTTTGAAAAATCCAGTTGCTTTAACTTTTCCTTTGTTTTAGTCTGTTAACAACGTTATCGCTTTTCTTTTACTGACTTTAGATTTAATATATTCTTCCTTTTCTAGGTTCCAAAGGTGGAAACACAGATGACAGATTTTTGGTCTTTTCGTCATTTCCTATATATGTGTTCAATGGTATTTATTTGCCTATATGTTCTGCTTTCCTTTCATCCTACAAATTTTGATAAATTGTGCTTTTATTTTCATTTAGTTAATTTAAAAAAATTTCGCTGGAGATATCTTCTTTGACCAATATGTTATATGGAAGTGTGTTGTTTAATCTCAATGCATTTTGGGATATTACAGTTATCATTCCAGTCATCCTTTGATTTCTATTTTAATTCCACTGTGGTCTGACAGGTGACATTGTATGATTTACTTTTTAAAAATTGTTGGGGTATTTTTTGTCCCAGAATGTGGCACATTTTGCTGAATATTCCATGTGAGCTTAAGAAGAATGTGTCCTCTGGAGTAGTTGAGGGAAGGAGACTGTAGGTGTCAGTTATGCCCAGTTGCTTGTTGGTGCTGTTGAGTTCAGCTTTTCCCTCCTGAATTACTGCCTGCTAGATCTGTCCGTATCTGATATAGGGTGTTAACGTTTCCAACTATAATACTGAATTCATCTTTTTCCTTGTGGTTCTGTTGATTTCTGCCTCATAGTTTATGCTCTGTTATCAGGCTCATAGGCTTTAAGAATTATGACATCTTCTTGGAAGAATGGCTCTTCATCTCTATGTAATGCCCTTCTTTATTCCTGATAACTTTTCTTGCTTTGAAGTCTGCTCTGCCTGTAATTCATATAGCTCCTCTTGTTTACTTTGATTAGAGTTAGCATCGTACATTTTGTTCCATTCATTTACTTTTATTTGTCTTTATATTTGGGTTGGGCTTATAAATAACAGTTGTGTCTTGTTTTTTGATTCATTTTGTAAATCTGTGTCTTTTACTTGGTGCAGTTAGACCACTGACATTCAAAGTGGTAAGCGATATAGTTGGATTAATATTTATCATATTTGTCAATATTTTCGATTTGTTGTCCTTGTTCCTTCTTCCTATTTTCATCTTCCATTCATTTTATGCCTTTCGTGGTTCTCATTGAGCATTTTATATTTTTCCGTCTCTCGCATTTCTAAAAATATGAGTTATATATAATTTTAACTTTTTCTTGGTTTAACATTTTTATAATCTTAGCTAATTATAAGAGAAAACAATTTCTTGAAAATAATAGAAAAATTATTAAATAATATAAGCCTATGGATATAGCTTATGTATAAGTATATATGTGTACGGATATATGCACATGTGCATGTGTGTTTGTATGTGTGCGTGTATATGTATATATATACACACATATATATATGAAGTGGATATCAGCAATAATGCAAAGGACAGGAGAAAGGAATTAGGATTATTTGTTATAAGATACAGTAACTGTTAAGCAATATAACTTTACTTGAAAAGTAGGTCAGTTTAGTTTTTTTTATTTTTTATAGTTTTTATATGATTTTGATTTTTTTAACTGTATATATTTAAATTTAGGTTTGTGGATACATGTATAGTTTTGTTATATAGGTAATCTTGTGTAATGGAGGTTTATTGTACAGATCATTTTATTACCCAGGTACTAAGCCTACTACCCAATATTTACTTTTTCTGCTCCTCTCCCTCCTTCTACCCTTCACTTACAAGTTGGCCCCAGTGACCTTTGTTCTGTTCTTTGTGTTCATGAGTTCTCATCATTTAGCTCCCACTTAAAAGTGAGAATATGTGATAATTTGGTATTCTGCTCCTGTGTTAGTTTGCTAAGGATAATACCTTCTAGCTCCATTCATGTTCCTGTAAAAGACATGATCTCATTTTTTTTTCAGCTACATAGTATTCCATGATATATATGTATCACATTTTCTTTATCCATCCTGTCATTGATGGGCATTTAAGTTGATTCCATGTCTTTTTTCTTGTAAGTAGTGCTCCAGTGAACATTCATGTGGATGTGTCTTTTTGGAAGAATGATTTCTATTCCTCTGGGTGTATACCCTGTAATGGGATTGCAGAGTTGAATGGTAGTTCTGATTTTAGCTCTTTGAGGAATTGACATATTGCTTTCCACAATGGTTGAATGAACTTACACTCCTACCAACAGTGTGTAAGTGATCCTTTTTATCTGCAACCTCACCAGCATCTGTTATTTTGACTTTTTAATAATAGCCATTCTGACTGGTGTGAGATGGTATCTCATTGTGGTTTTGATTTGCATTTCTCTAATGATCAATGATATTGAGCTTTTATTCATATGCTTGTTGGCCGCATGTGTGTCCTGTTTTGAAAATTGTCTGTTCTTATTCTTTGCCACTATTTTTTTTCTTTTCTGGGACCGGGTCTCACTCTGTTGCCCAAGCTGGAGTGCAGTGGTGCAATCTCGGCTCACTGCAACCTCCGCCTCCCGGGTTCAAGCGATTCTCCTGTCTCCCCCTCCCAAGTGGCTGGGACTACAGGTACATGCCATCACACCTGGCTGATTTTTTATATTTTTAGTAAAGACGAGGTTTCACCATGTTAGCCAGGATGGTCTCGATCTACTGACCTCATGATCCGCCCAACCTGGCCTCCCAAAGTGCTGGGATTACATGCGTGAGCCAATGCGCCCGGTGCTTTGCCTACTTTTTAATGCGGTTGTTTGTTTTTCTCTCGTAAATTTGTTTAAGTTTTTTATAGATGCTGGATATTATACTTTCATCAGATGCATAGTCTGCAAATATTTTCTCCCATTCTGTAGTTTGTCTGTTCACTCTGATGATAATTTCTTTTGCTGTGCAAAGCTCTTCAGTTTAATTGGATCACATTTGCCAATATTTGCTTTTGTTGTGATTGCTTTCAGAGTTTTTATTATGAAATCTTTGCCTATTCCTATATCCAGGATGGTATTGCCTAGGTTGTCTTCCAGGGTTTTTATAATTTAGGGTTTTACATTTAAGTCTTTAATCCATCTTGAGTTAATTTTTGTATATGGTGTAAGGAAGGGGTCCAGTTTCAGTCTTCTGCATATGGCTAGCTAGTTCTCCCAGTACCGTTCATTGATTAGAGAGTCTTTTCCCCATTGCTTGTTTTTGTTAGCTTTGTCAAAGGTCAGATGGTCATAAGTGTGCGGCCTTATTTCTAGGCTCTCTATTCTGTTCAGGTGGTCTATGTGCCTGCTGTTATAGCAGCACCATGCTGTTTGGTTACTTTATCCCTGTAGTATAGTTTGAAGTTAGATAACATGATGCCTCCACCTTTGTTCTTTTTGTTTATGATTGCCTTGGCTATTGGGGCTCTCTTTTGGTTCCATATGAGTTTTAACACAGTTTTTTTCTAGTTCTGTGAAGAATGTCCTTAGTAGTTTGGTAGGAACGGCATTTAATCTGTAAACTTCTTTGGGCAGTATGGTTAGTTTTAAATATAATGTTTCCAACTGTAGAACAGTGCATTGCACAAAAAGCCTCTTACCTTCCTGGCTGTTGGCCATTGGCTAAATAAAGTGCCTTGCCAAGGGGGCTTCTCTCACATGGCTTCATAAAATCCATCAAGAGAGACATCTCTAGCAAGACCAAAATCATAATCATATATAAGAATCCCAGTGACACTTCTATACCTTTGCACTATTCTATTGTTTCGAAGCAAGTCTCAATTCCTGCTTAGAGTCACTTGGATGGGATTACAGTAGAAGGTTGTGTATATGAGAAGGTGGGGATAAATGGGCACCAACTTAGAGTCTACCTGACACATCAGGTATTCTCCTATATGAAACAGTTTCCTGGCCTTCACTTCTTTTTCATGACCTTGACCCTTTTGAAAAGTACCAGTCAGGTATTTAATAGGATGTCCCACGATATGGTTTCAGCTGATGTTTTCTCATGATTAAACTAGGAATATTAATGAATGAAATAACTTCACTTAAATCTGAAGACAAAAAAGCCCTAAAGAATATAGTATTCAGAAATACTCAAAGAGGAAAAACTATTTTTAAAGTATGGAATGACAATTCACAATATAGTTAAGTTCAGTGCTTAAGGAAAACTGAGAAATTAAGGAGATGCACAAAGGAGGTATCAACAATATTGCTAATCATTGGTTTTTTTAAGCTTGGGAGTGACATTAACAACAACAAAAATAACAAGTTTTAAACAATGGTTTTCCAAGGCCAGGCACAGTGGCTCACGCCTGTAATCCCAGCACTTTAGGAGACTGAGGCGGGCAGATTACCTGAGGTCAGGAGTTCGAGACCAACATGGCAAAACCCTGTCTCTAGTAAAAATACAAAAAATTAGCCTGGCATGGTGGTGGACGATTGTAATCCCAGCTACTCAGGAGTCTGAGACAGGAGAATCACTTGACCCCAGGAGGCGGGGATTGTAGTAAGCTGAGATCATGCCACTGCACTCCAGCCTGGCAACAGAGGGAGACTCTGTCTCAAAAAAAAAACAAAAAACAAAAACAACAACAAAAAACGGTTCTATGGTTTTACATTTACAGAATAGTTGCAAATCTAGTAGAGAGTTTCCATATACTCCATGCACAGTGTCCTTTATTATTAATCTCATAGCGTGAAACATTTGTCAGAATTAACCAACCAATCTCATGTATTGTCATTGAGTACTATACATACTTTATTCTCATTTTTTAGTTTTTGCTTAATGTTAAGATTATGTTTTAGGATCTCTTCTAGGATAAGTCGTCACATTTAGATATTATGGCTTCATAGGCTCCATTGAATGTGATAGTTTCTCAGCGTTTCCTTGTTTTTCATGCCATTGACGTTTCTAATTTGGGATTTCTCTGCTGTTTCTCTCATGATGAGACTGGACTTCTGGGCTTAAGGGAGGAAGAATATAGATGAAAAGTACCATTCCTATCACATAATATCCAGGGCACAAGCTGTCAACAGGCTTTATCACTGTTGATGTTAATTTGATCACCTGGATAAAAATCTTTTCATTCTAAAAATCTCTTCCGTAAAATTATTCTTTTTCTCCCTTTTCATGTTGTGTGCATAAAGAAAAGTCACTATATACAACAAACACTCAGTACTTGGAGAATCATACACCACTGCTTTTTCTTTGAAATAAATTTATTAAAATTTCAATAGCTTTGGGATTACATGTAGTTTTTGGTTAAATGCATGAATTGTACAGTGGTGAAGTCTGGGGCTTTTAGCATACCTGTCACCCGAATAGTGTACATTTTACCTCATAGGTAATTTTTTATCCCTCACTCACCTCCAACCCTCCTCCTTTCAGAATCTTTAATGTCCATGATCCCCCTCTGCATGCTCCTGCATATCCATTGCTTACCCCAAACTTGTAAGTGAGAACCTGCGGTATTTGGTTTTCTGCTCCTGAGTTATTTCAATTGTGATAATGGCAAAATTGCTTTGAAAAAACATTATTTTGTTCTTTTATATGGCTGAGTAGTATTCTGTAATATACATACATACATACACACACACACACACACACACACACACACACACACATTTTCTTTATCCACTAATTGGTTGATGGGCACTTAGATTGATTTCGTATTTTTGCAATTGTGAATTGTGCTGTGATAAACCTAGAAGTGTAAGTGTCTTTTTGATAGAATGACTGTGTGTGTGTGTGTGTGTGTGTGTGTGTGTGTGTGAGAGAGAGAGAGAGAGAGAGAGAGAGAGAGACAGGGTCTCACTTTGTCCTACAGGCTGGAGAGCAGTGGCCCAATCTCATCTCACTGCAACCACTGCCTCCTGGGTTCAAGGAATTCTTGTGCCTCAGCCGCTGAGGAGCTGGGACTGCAGGTGTGACACACCTGGCTAATTTTTGTATTTTTAGTAAAAATGGGGTTTTGCCTTGTTGGCCAGGCTGGTCTGGAACTCCTGGGCTCAAGTGATCCACCTGCACTGAGACAGTGAAAGAGATCTAACCTAACCGACTCCGTCTTGCTTCTAACCTTTTAAGCAGCCCTTGTTCCTTCCTGGGCAAAGTTAAACTAACTTTGGGAGGAACTTACTTTACAGCTTATAGTTTAAAACAAAGACAATAACAGTCCTTTCTCAAACCTCTTTCTTACCTAGGGCCTATACTGCCTTTGTATGACTAACAAATTAGCCACATGATTAGAAATTATGGCTTAGGAGTCATGCAGCTGGAGGCTACAAGATTCTGACCCTCCCTAAACTGCTCCAAAGATCAGTGCTTGAGGTATTTTGCAGCCCCTGCACTTGATGGATCAGCTGGCACAACCCTGGTGGATAAACTGCCTGATCTGATCTTGTGGCCTCCACCTAGGAACTGAGTCAGCATACGAGGACAGCTTGGACTCCCTGTGATTCCATCTATGATGTGACCAATCAGAACTCCAAACTCACTGGCCTTCCCCCACCCACCAAATTATCCTTTAAAACACTGATACCTGAATGTCCTGGGAGACTGATTTGAGTAATAATAAAACTCCTCCAGTCTCCTACACAGTTGGCTTTCTGTGAATTACTCTTTGTCTATTGCAATTTTCCTGTCTTGATAAATCAACTCTTTTAGGCAGCAGGCAAGGTGAATCCATTGGGTGGTTACACTGTGTGTCATTTTCAGCATAGACTGTCTTCTTGAACATAGGTTTATTTTGTCCCACCCCAACCCCCAAAAGATGTGGCTAGGAAAAGAAAAAAAAAAGGTCCCAACATCTTTTCTTTTTCCTTCTGGATCTCTTTTCTGGAAGCAGGGCGTCAGTGACAGGAACATTTTGACCCCAGCTCTTAGTCCCTCTTAGGTCTGTGGAAGCCTCAGAAGGCGTGGCCAGGCCAGGGCATCCTGGCTGAGCACAGGGTTTGGCACCTCCTCCCTCCCTGGCAATATGCAGACAACTCTGAGTACTGAAAGATGAAACTAACACACCTCAAGGAAGGATACGTACCTCGATGCATGCCACAGAGACACACTTCCAGGATCTTTTTAAGATCTTACCCATGTTTTGCAAGGAAAAGCAACACAGAACTGAAGTGCCTTCAGTTATTTCAGGTGGGGCTGTCTTGTACAGGGCAGTCAGGGAGAGAGACTGGAAGGTAAGGGGAGGGGACAGCCAGTCCTTCCAGTTAGCAAAGTTCAGGCTCACTGACTGCTTCCAACTCACTGCTCACTCACTGCTTCTTAGATTAGGATACCCTGGGAATCAGCTACAATAACCTCAGACAAGGAACCGTAAAAACCTGAAATGCACATTGGGTGCCAGCCAACAACGAAGCTTGGCTTCCAAGACAAAAAGTTGCTCTTTCTCCTCCTGCTACCTTGGATGTGCCAGGTTGTAATTTGTAAATGTATTGTCTGGCCCTTAGGGGTTGGCAGCTAACGATTGGTTGCAGAAGGAGCCTGGCCTAGGAGTGAGAGAGATGCCAGCACAAGAGAAGCCCACTGACTGTAAGCCAGGAAGTGGGCTGTCTCCAGACACCAAACCTGCTGGCGCCTTGATCTGGGACCTCCCAGTCTCCAGACTCCTCAGGGCCACTGTCATCTTGTGAAGCAATCACCACATGTTCCCATCACAGCTGATGGTGGCAACTAACCCATGCAGAGTACTGAAATGAGCCAGGCTCTGTCTGCCGTCTCGTGTGTAATCACCTAGTTATTCCTGGCAGCAGTCCTGGGTTCTCTGCATTTCCAGAGTGCAAGTCCTCCAGTAACCACTGAAATGCTTTCTCAGGAGTTGTTGTCAACTCCTTAAAAACATTTCTCCCTACTTGGCACAGAGCACAGTGACACCAGAAACAGCCTTCTCTGGACCCCAGCCCTGGCAATGGCCATGTCACTTCCCTCAGGCCCAGGAAGAAGGCAGGCTCTGGTCTCCCGCTGGGCAGCAACACCTACCTTAACCCGGATTTCTCACTTGGGTGAACTCTTGGATCACCGTGCCCAGTCTGACGGAGTCTGCAGCAGATGCAATAAGGGCTTTGGGGCCGGGAAGTGGAGCTCACCCATGTGCCAAGCCTGAGGTCGGGCACCCCTCCTTCACACCATCTGTGGGGACTTCCTCCCTTCCCCAGCGGAACGCCACAGAGAACCGACCTGATGGTGCCAAGAGGGCGAATTTCCCCCAGGTCCTCTGAAATATATTGTCACGATTTGTAACAGGAAGCCGAGTGAGGAGCATAAAGTGCTTCCAGAGACTAGGTGATGGGCCACATCCCTGGCCGGCGTGTTGAGCCCCTGAACCAAAGTCTCTGCGACCACCACCTTTGCCTGTCTGCCCCAGTTTTCTGAGCATGTGCTCTGCATACACTTGTGTGCCAGGCCGCCAGCCACTCTCGCCTGTACTCCCCCAGCCCCAGCGGAGCTGCCACAGGCGCCTTCTGCTCACCAGGTGGAATTTACCTTTTATCCTGTGCAGCAGGCTGCAGAACGCGCCCCTCCGCTCCCTCTCTGTGGGGCTGCAAGGGGTCGGGTCCACCACCGAGGCTGCCTTTATGGAGAACCCTGCACTTGTCCCGAGCCTGAAACCCCCGAATTGCAGGGTCCAGGAAGACTGGAGGTGGGGACTGATAGAATGACTTCTTTTCATTTGGGTCCATGCCCAGTGGTGGGATTGCTAGATTGAATGGTAGCTCTGCTTTTAAAAGTTCATTGAGAAATCTCCATACTGTTTACCATACAGGTTGTACTAATTTACATTCCCACCAAGGGTGTCTAAGCATTCCCTTTTCACCTCATCCACACCAATGTCTATCATTTATTGACTTTTTCATAATGGTCCTTCTGACTAGGGTAAGATTGGTATCGCATTATGGTGTTAATTTGCATTCCCTGATGATCAGTGATGTTGAGCATTTTTTTTTCATATGTTTGCTGGCCATTTGTGTATCTTCTTTTGCCTGTTCATGTCATCTCCCCACTTTTTAATGGGGTTATTTATTTTTTTCTTGCTGATTTGTTTGTGTTTCTTGTAGATTCTGGGTTAGTCCTTTGTTGGATGGACAGTTTCCAAATATTTTCTCCCATTCTGTAGGTTGTTTCTTTATTCCGTCGATTATTTCTTTTGCTGTGCAGAAGCTTTTCAGTTTCGCTAAGTCCCATTTATTTGTTTTTGTTTATGTTGTAGTTGCTTTCGGGGTCTTAGGTTTGTCTAGGCCAATGTCTTTACGGTTTCATGTCTTACATTTAAGTCTTTAATCCATCTTGAGTTAATTTTTATATATGGTGACAGATATGGATCCAGTTTCATTCTTCCGCATGTGGCTATCTTATTTTCCCAGCACCTTTTGTTGAATGGGGTGTTCATTCATCAGTTATGTTTTTGTCTGTTCTGTTGAAAATCAGTTAATCGTAAGTATTTGGCTTCATTTCTGGGGTCTCTGTTCTGTTCCTCTGGTCTGTATGTCTACATTTATACCAGTATCATGTTAATATGCCGGCAGATGTTGTAATGGACTGTGTTGATTGACCTTGGACCAGAAGGTGGCAATTGCAGGAGAGAGCCAGATGCAGTCATGGTGGTGGGATTTATGCTTAACCTTTGTTACCCAGGGGAAGTAGTCAGCTGATGGGAAGTGACACGGAATTCTAAGAAGTCCCTGTTCCTATTCTGCTACTAGGACAGGTAGAGGGGCAAAGCCGAGTGTGGGCTGGGTCAGGACAGTCCATACTCTGCCTCTCCAAGTGTGAGTGTAAGCAGAAGCCACAATGGGGGTCAGTGGACAGTTCCCTGACCACTGGGATAGTGTTCCAGGGAGGAGAACACCCTCTGCCACATGAGAGTCTGTACGGAGAGAGGGGTAGCAAGTGGCAGGTCAATTCCCATGACCTTGACACAGAAGGTCTTACACATGCAGACCTCTGCTGGCAAACACCCACAATAGCCAGCTAAGTCCCAGGCAGTCTAGGCTGAGAACACAAACCTGCCCCAGGCTGCAAGACTTCCCACTGGAGACTGAAACTGAAACGGTAGCTCTGAGGCCACACCCCTTGATTTGACATGTGAAGCAGCAGTACCCAGCTCCCATGACCCTGGCACAAGAAAGCTTCCTGCATGCCCCTTGGTTCGGGCCTTAAGGGGTTCATCCGCTGCTCAATATTAGATCAAATACAAATCTTAGTTGGTCAGCTTCTCCCTCAGTTGGGAGCTTCTTTCAGTGCGTGACTGCTGCCTGGGTTACTTCGCTGATTTCTGCAAGATCTTCTATGAATCAGGGTCAGGAATATCTTCCTTCTGTGCCTGCTGGGATCTGGGAGTGCACACGCAGCACACCCAGGTGCCACTCCTTCTTTCATGGTCCCCTCCTCTGTAAGTCAGCTCCAGTGCTGGGCAGGGTTAAGGCACTTCCCTGTGACCTGGACTGCCTGGTTCCCCAGTGGGAATGTATCACAGAGAGAGTCTCCCCCTTTCGCACTCTGAAGCCTCAATTTCCCATCTGACACATGGTGCAAGTTGCTGCCTGCTGCTCCTTTCAAAGTATCCAAAGGTTCTTTCACTTCTTCTGTTGAGTTCCTGTGATTGTTGGATACAAATTCACAGTGTGAATCTCTAGACACTATTTTGCTCTTTCTAAGCAGGTGAGGCACACTAACAAAGTCTCCAATCTGCCATCTTGAAAAAAAAAAACAAACAAAACAAAAAATGCTCCACTTTATGAGCAGAATGTTTACCAAAAGTTATTTGGACCTTTCATCCTGAAAGTGTCTATTCTCCTCCAATAATCGTTATATTTATGCAGTCATTTTTGTCAGTATGCAAACATGGATATTTGTTTTACTCTTTCCTTCTACTACTTCATTTATTTGTTTAAATTGTTGCAGTGTTGGCTATTGGAAGGTCTTTCAGTTGGATCGTTTGTCATTTTGAAACACTACCATAATGAAGCTTTGCTATTGTTATGTGGTTGGTTAGTTGTTTGCTCTGTTGTTTGGCGTTTTATTTTTTCTGGCACTACTAGGTGCTTAAGCTAATTGTGTGGATTTCCTCACAAGCCTGGTATTAACCATTTTTTCCACAGAGCCCTAGTTCTTCTTATTGGAAAATTGAATGAGAAATGGAGATCTGGGCTCTTGACATATTCATTGCTCCTGGGGCATCTGTTGATTCGTGATCTTGTGTGCTGACAGAGCAAATACATCTATGTACACTGATTCACACACACACACACAGAAACACACACACACACACAAATATTTTCTCATATATCTGTATCTTTAAGTTAAACATGAATTCCTAATAATCCTCCAGCACCCCATGATCTAATCCAGTACCACGTGAATCACTGCACCTATTCCCGCTTACTTGTGTGTAGCCTACCACACTAACAGTGATAAAGATGCTTCTGTTATTTAATCACATAATCCAAAAGACTTGTATAAGTGGTTTCAGAATTAGAAATGTATATGGCCATGAGAAAGAACTTTACCAACTAAAGTTTTTAGGGATAAATCTTTACCCTTTAGACTCAGAATATCCACTTACTTGCTACGTTCCTTGGGTCAGCTGCTTTCCCCCCTCCATTCAGTGAGGTTATTTCACTGATGTGTTATTTAATTCTATTATGTGTATAGCCCCATGCTATCTGCTACCTACTGTAGAAGGGTTTTAATTTCTATATTTTAAGTTCACTTTTTGTATTACAAAGTTATTTAGGATTTGTAAAATATAATCACGTATTTATCATTACAGTATGATACCAGAATAATTTCACTGCCTAGAGCAAATCTGCTGTACCTCACCAATTTGGCCTGCCTCTTTTCCAAGCTCCTAGTAAATACCAAACATTTTATTATCTCTATGCTTTTTCACATTGCAGAGTGTCACATAACCGAAACCACACAAAGTATTTTGCCTTTTTAAATTTACTTTTTTTTTGCAATATACCCTTTAGATTTGTGAAATGTATCTCATGGTTGTTTAGAGTTGCATTTTCCTAATGACAAAAGACTTAGGCCTCATATCATGTGCTTACTAGATGTGACTATAGTATCTTTGGATACATGTCTATTCAGATAGTTCACCAATTTGATTGTGATATTTGCCTTTTTATTTTGAGTTGTAAAATATTTTATATATTGTGGCTAATATATTCTTTTCTGCTATGTGATTGTGAAGATTTTCTTCTATTCTTTGTGTTATCTTTTCACTTTTAATTATGTACTTTGAATCTCAGAAATTTTTAATTCTTACAAAGTTAAATATATTCATTTTTTAATTTCCTTTTCTTGGGCTTTAAGTATCATATCTTAGAAATTATAGGAGTTATTGTTTAAGCTAAGACCCAAATTATGTATTTCTATATTATCTTCTAAGGGTTTGGTCTATTTAGCTCTTACATTTGGATATATGATTACTTTGAGCCAATTATGTATATGGTGTGAGTGAGAAGTTCAACTTCCTTGTGGATATTCAATTGTCCTAGCAACATTTGTTAAAATATATTTTTCCATATTGAATTGGCTTGGCAGACTTATAAAATCATTTGACTATAAAGGTAAAGATTAATTTTTGGACATTCAATTCTACCATATTCCTTTGATCTGTATGTCCAAGTTTATGCTATTATTGAGCCTTTAAATTAAATTATGATGATACTGAGTTTTTCATGGATGCCCTTTAAAATAAAGAAACTTTCCTTATAGGCTTAATTTGTTGTATACTGTTATCAAAAATGGATTTTAGATTTGTCAGGTGCCTTTCCTGCATCTTTTGAGATGATCATATGGCTTTTGTTTTTTATTTTATTCTTATAGGTCATGACACTAATTATTTTGTATGTTGAACCAAATTTGCATTCCTGGGACAAATACCATTGGTGATGGTGTATAATTCTTTTTACATTTGCTGATTTGTATTGCTAGCATTTTATTGAAGACATTTACCCTCTATTTATAAAAGATATTGGTCTTAATTTTTCTTTCTTGAGATGTCTTGCTTTAGTTTTAATATCAGTGTAAACTAATAGTATACATCAGGAAGTGATCTCTTCTCCACTTTTACTGTTGTTTAAGTTTTTATGAAGAGTTTGTGATAGATTGTTATTAATTATTTTCAGGTTTAGAATAGTTCACCAGTGAAGTCATCTCAACCAGCACAGGGCCTTGACTCCTAACAACAATCACACGAACTTGGAAGAGGAGCCTTCCCCAACTGAACCTTCGCTTGAGACCTCGTCCTTGGCCATCCTCTACATCTGGATTCATGATACAGAGAAACTGTGAGTAAGAGCCACTCAGTGTGTGAGAATTTATTATTCAGCAGTAAATAATACACCTGACAGTCAATGCAATGTGGTATCCTGGACAGAAAAATGACATTACTTAAAAGCCTAGTAAAATATGGAAAAAGCCTATACTTCAATAAATAGTTTTGTGCCAACTGTTTTTTAGGGCTCATGGTTACATAATCTATTACATTGCATGTAATTCAAAGATATCTAAAGCTTTCTGTAGTATCTTTGCATATTTCTGTGTATTTAAAATTATTTCAAAGAAAAAATGTTTTTGAAAAAAGCATTAAATGTGATATGAAAATAATCTCAAAGCACAAACAGAATACCTTCAGCTCAGGAGATGAAAGGGCACGTAGAGAGAGAATAGCAAAGCATCTTTCCATATTGATTTACCAACTCGAACACAGGTACACTTGCTTCAGGAAGATCCCCCCAAGTTCCAGAGACTCATCCTCTTTCATCTTCTTCATCATATTCCGCATTTTTCACTCACCAGTTTTAGCATCTGGTGCTAACTACGTAACCAGTTTTTGAAAGACAGATGCCTATTACTCGCATGTCTCAAAAAGCCCCATTTTCAGATATAATTTAGCAGGACTCCAACAAACAGACCAGAATTTATTGAGAGCTTGCAGTGAGGAGTGCCTTAATTCCAACACGACTATGTTGACAACACATCCTCTTGTGAGTGAAGCATTCATACAGAATGAGTCGTTGAAACTCAATAACATATGCCTACTGTACAAGAAAGGTAATAATCAATATAATGCTCTAAAATTATTCTGGGGACATAGGGGACATTTGTCCAAGATTTATGAGATGTGAGCAACCAAGAGAGCGTGAACACTGATATTTAACAAGTGCTCCAAATCAGTAGATGGGCATTTGATTTTCCAGTTAGGGCTGCAGTCAGGGTCTCTTAGCTTCAATACTATACACAGAGAATTTCAATGACAGATCTTGATTAAAATAACAATAATAACAACCCCTCATTTTTATATTGCAGCCTGGCACCATTTAACTTAATTTTACTGCATAAAAATAGCAATCCTATACTCCATGCAAACTAGAATGGCAGTGGAATTTATGTAGTGAAGAAAGTGACAAATTATTTTCCAAATATAAAGCAAACTTAAGGTTTTATAGGGAAATAAATGGGGGTAAAAATATTTTAATCCTTATTTTTCTGATAATTGTGTTCTGCTCTTATAAATAGAAAGCTGCACTTTCATTATTTTATAATATAGTGAGTTTATCAGCCACCTGTATGAAAATTGTATAGTAAGAGTAGGTATGTGTCCACTTGGTTGGTTCATTCGACTTATACACATCATTTACTTTATCTCGAATGGTTATTTTTTAAGCCTTGGTTTTGCTACAACATGTAAAGGTGTCCATCTTTTTGCAATATTAAATCTTCATTCAAGTGACTTTTCTTTGTTTCTTTGCCTATGTATCTGCGTTGCTCCTGTACTTCTGTGAACCATATTTCAGTGAGTAATGATGACACTAGCAGTCCAGCCTGCATGGATGCTGACATGGATGCTGTCTCCCATTCTTACCACTGGATGGGAAGAAATGCTAGATGCAATCCAGCCAGTCTGTACTCGACTGTCAGTTCCATCTTCTCAACTCACAGTGTCTTCCAAAGTCCGTGCCACACCACAGCCTGGAACATCTCCCAAGGTGGTATATTCAGGCAATGGTAGAGCTCATGTCACGCTATTGTATGTCTCAGGTATCACTGTCCTTCACTGTTTTATATATTCTCTCTTACAAATCATTGTTCCATACACTTTGCCTCTTTTGTGTTTGTTTATACATGTGTTATGACATGTCTAAACCTCACAGTGAGGATATTAGAATTGGGTTCTTCATATCTAGAGGTGTGGATCATTGGGAAGCATCTTAGAACCTACCTGCCACATCAGGCCCTGTCTAATCTGTATCAGTTTCTGGGTCTTCACTTATTTTTTTGCCCTTGATCTTAGTGAAAAGAACTTGTCAGGTGTTCCATAGGATGTATCACAATATGGATTTGTTATTTTTTTTTCATAATTTGAGTAAGAATAAACATTAATTTATACACGTATTTGTCTAATGTTGAAGACAAAAAAATACCTGCACAATATATTATTTAGAAATACAAATATAGAAAATAATAATGAAGAGTGAGGCTGGGCATGGTGGCTCATGCCTGTAATCCCAGCAATTTGGGAAGCTCAGGTGGGTAGATCACTTGAGGCCAGGAGTTTGAGCCCAGCCTAAGTAACATGGTGAAACCCTATCTCTACTAAAAATACAGAAATTAGCCGGGTGTGGTGGTGCATGCCTGAATGTTTCATATATTCTGGATAATAGTCTCCTAACAGTTATATGACTTGAGAATATCTTCTTCCATTATTTCAGTTGTCTTGATGGTGTACGTTGCATCTTAAAAGGTATTGATCCACATGAAGTTCAATGTATCTATTTTTTTTTCTGTCACTTTTACTTTTGTGTCACATGTTAGAATCCATTGTTTCATGTAAGGCCATGAAAATCTATTTTTATGTTCTCTTCTGTGGGATTTTTAGTTTTAGCTCTTACATTTAGCCACATATTCTGAGTCAAATACATATATGGTGCAGGAAACAGTTTAACTTGCTGTGGATATCCCTTTCTCCCAGCAACATTTGTTGAAAAACTATTTTTTCATGTTGAATTAATTTTTCAACCTTGAAAATAAGTTTGCCCTATATATAAAGATTGATTTTGGGGTGCTCAACTCTATTCTGTTGGCTTATATGTCTTTCCTCATGTTATGTGAGTTTTCCATGGATGCTCTTTGTAGGTTTAGAAAGTTTTCTTCTATGCCTAATTTTCCCAGAGCTTTTATCATGAATGGGTTTGGAATTTGTCAAATGCTTATTCTGTATCTTTAGAGGTGACCGACCATGAGTCTTTTTAAAAAATTCTATTAGTATAGTTTATAACACCAATTGTTTTTATATGTTTAACCAGACTTACATTGCAGGGATAAATAGTTTTGTTCCTAGTGTATACTCCTTTTTATATGTTACTAATTAATTTTGATAATATTTCCTTGATACTTTTTACCTGTTTCACATTGGTCTATAATTTTCTTTTCTTGAAATGTCTTTGTCTAGCTGTGGTGTCAGGGAACACTGGCTTCATACATTGCATTAGGAAAAGTTCTCTACTCGTCTGTTTTTATTGATTGTTATTAATTCCCAAAAGGCTTTGAATAACTCACCAGTGAAGTCTTCTTGACCTGGACAGAAATTGAATCCTCCCAAGAATCCCAGGAGCTTGGAAGGGGATCCTTCCCCAGATGAGCCTTCCCTTGAAATCTCTGCCAGGCATCTGACCCAGCGACCCATTTCTATCTTCCTTCTCCATGGGATCTTTGAGCCATAATTTATAAAATCACCTCTACATCTCTTGTATTTTTGTTATGTCTAATAATCTCTTGAGGTCTCTCTAGGGACAGTGACTATAAATTATCACCCTGCCCAACAGGACTCCAGGAAACTGTGTCCTGGATGTTTACAGTGTGCCTCTCCTGGGATACTTATTTATCCTGATGGATACCCCAAAGCATAAGTGTACAATCTTTGACCCAGCATCCTTCTCACAGGATATTTGTTTATACTGTCAGACACCCTTGTGGCACTTGTTCGACCTGTGTCCACTCCATTCCCACCAATGTAGCCACTGTCTAGGAGAGCTCTGAGTTCGAGAAAAGTTGAGCTCACATGTGTTGGTCATGTGAGCCACGGAGGAGGCAACTCAACAAAGCACAGGTATTTCTTGCAGGTGGGGATCGTTGGGCACCATTGCAGGGTCTAACTGACACATTAGGTCTTCTCCAATCTGCAAGTTTCATAGTCTTCACTTCTTTTTCTTGACCTTGACCCTGTTGAAATGTACAGGTCAGATATTTTGTAAGATATCCCACAGTATGGATTTGTCTCATGATTTCTCATGATTAAATTAGGGACATGTATACATTAAACACATGTCATCTAAGTTTGAAGACAAGAAAAACTAAACATCATAGATATTAGAAATATAAACATAGAGATAAATATAACAAGCACAAATTAGAGGATAACAAATAAATTCACAGTAATAGTTACCTTCAGTGATTAAGGAAGATGATGAAGCTAAGGAGATCCATTAATGGCTATCAACATATTGCTCATGTTCTATTTTATGAGGTCAGCAGTGACTTTAAATAAAAAGAAACTTTATACATTTAAGAATCGTTTAGGATTTACAGAATTGTTTTAAATATATAACATAGACTTTCCATATATCCCACTACAGTTGCTCTTTTTATTAACTTCTTAATGTAGGACATTTGTCACAATTAACCAATTTTAAACAGTATCATTATCCACTCTTCATACTTTATTCAGATTTTCTTAGTTTTCACTTAATGTCTAATTTCTATTCCAGGACCTTGTCCAAGATACCTCAGCACAGTTAAATATCACGTCTCCTTAGATTTCTCTGACTGTTGCAGTTTCTTAGCGTTTCCTAGTTTTTGATGGCATTGACATTCCTAATGTGGGATTTCTTTTTAGGTTTTTTTTCATGATGAGACTAGATTTGTGGGTTTAGGGGAGGAAGATGACAGAGGAAAGGTGCCATTCTCCTCACATCATACCAAGGGCACAGGCTCTCAACAGGCTTTATCACTGTTAATGTTAATTTGATCACCTAGATGAGGTCATTTTTATCAAATTGTCACACACGGTGAAATTATTATTTTTCCCTTTCCCCATAGAATGTTTCAGAACAAAGTCACTAACACAACACACATTTAAGAAGTGGGGAGTCATGGGCTAAGCATGATGGCTCACGCCTGTAATCCCAGCACTGTGGGAGGCTGAGACAGGCAGATCATCTGAGGTCAGGAGTTCGAGACCAGTCTGGCCAACATGGCGAAAGCTCGTGTCTATTAAAAATGCAAAAATTAGCTAGGCACAGTGCACACGCCTGTACTCCCAGCTACTCGGGAGGCTGAGGCAGGAAAATCACTTGAACTTGGGAGGCAGAGTTTGCAGTGAGCTGAGATCACGCCACTGCACTCCAGCCTGGGCAACAGAGCGAGACTCCAGACTCCATCTCAAAAAAAAAAAAAAAAGTGGGGATTCACGATCTACCTTTTTATTGGCAGAATGTCTACAAATTTATTTGAACTCTCAACTGTAAGCGTGTCTATTCTACTACACATTTATTCATTTATACATAAATTATTTATGTCATCATCTAAACATGGATATTTATTTTATACTTTACATAAGCCACTGTGCCTGGCCCAGAGCCTCTTCTTTTAGCCATGGTACTTCTCTATAATGAAGTAAAAAATGTAACAACCTGCATGTCTTGCACCTACACCAATACTTTCAGCTGTACCTTAAATAAAGCTGTAGGTGTAGAACTTTTTTAAAAAAAATAAATTTTAATTTTTTTTTTGACAGGATCTTGCTCTTACACCTGGGCTGGAGTACAGTGGCAAGATCTTGGCTCACTGGAGCCTCGACTTCTGGGCTTAAGCGATCCTCCCACCTCACTTTCCCAAGTAGCTAGGATCACAGGTGCACAACTCCATGCCCAGTTAGATTTTTTTTGTTGTTGTATTTTTTGTAGAGATGGGGTTTCACCTTGTTGCCCAGGCTGATCTCCAATTCCCAATTTCAAGCAATTCACCCACCTCAGCCTCCTGAAGTGCTGGGATTACAGGCGGGAGCCACTGCACCCGGCTGGTTTAGAACTTAGAACGTTGCTGTAGACTCTTAAATCCCTTAATATCCTTGTGAATCTGAGACAATCCCCCAACACCACTCCCCACTTTATGTATAAATACTTTCAACAACAGCCAGTAATATTGAAAACCTTGAGATGCACCCATAGTAACCTCCTGCACTGGTGTAGATTCCCCTGTGACAGGTTGTTTCTCCTCCAGACCATGCCCACCAAAGTCAAAGCCACATGGGAGCCTCTGAGCTCAGAGCCACTGTATGGGGTCTCCATGCACAAGGGCAGCAGCTCCCTGTCCTTTCTGTTGGTGAGGTGGGGAATTCAGTTCTTTTGAATAAGGCTGAGTTTATTCAATACTGATTCTGCTGGCTGACGAGTGATACCTTAAGACTTTATTTCTTGCATTGTAATATTTATCCTGGTTTTGATATGATTTGTTGTGCAAATGTGTTTAACACTTGGGTATATTTTTTTTCTTTTTTTGTTCTCATAAACATTATCTAAAACCAAATTTTTATTTTTGTGTTGTGTGTTTAAGGTCTTTAGTCCTCTGTTTTAAAAATGCATTCACAATTATTTTTCAATGAACACTTTTAAATATTTTAATCTTTTCTCGTATTTCTCTCTCCTAAACTGAATGTGAATATCACTTTTATTAGAAAAGACAGATGTTACACATTCTCTATGTTTTTGTGCAAATTTTCTCTGAAATATCTCTGGTTGAAAAGGAGAAGGACAGAAACTGTTCTGGAAGCCACAAGGCAAAATTGGCTCAGATCCTTATGCTTAAAAAGATGTGTAAAACTTTCCATTATATGGCTTAGTTTGCTGTACATGTGGAAGGTTAACAAGGCATTGATTTGTGTAGCAGTCACGTCTGAATACAAGGAGCAACCATTTCTTAACTGTGCAGGTGTGAACTTCATGATGTTGCTTTATCTTCTCCTTATACAAAGATTTAGACAATGGCTGGACTCCATAATTCCTTCCACCTCACTTCCATAAATGTCTACATGACATTTCTTTTTACAGATCACCTATTCTATTAGATATTAATTTTTCTTATTTTTCATGAGTGATTATTAAATTTGGTTTTAGTTCTCAGAGATATAAAAAATACCACTTAGAAAATGTGTACATTGAGTGCTGTAATCAGAAAATACTTTTGTGCCATTGACTTGTAAAAAGGGAATTTCAATTTTTTATTTATTGTCATTTTCCTCTACCTTAATATTCTCAAAAAGCTTTCATGCTTATGCTCTTTTTTAATTTTAATTTTTGTTGTCTTAGTCAAAAAACATGCGAGGGTTGGGAATACTTGTTCAAGATGTGTGAGACATGAGCAATCAACAGAGAAAAATACTGGTATTTTATGGGAATATGTAATAATAGATGGGCACTTGCCCTGCTAGGTATGGCAGCAGTCAGGGTCTGTGGGCTTCAGTGCTGTACACAGAATTGACAGATCCTGCTTTAAGGAAAAAAGTGCCCCTCATCTATCGTATCACAGCCTGGCACCATTTTGTTACGAAACCCAGGTTTGGCCATGGCCACTTCCAAAATCAAGTAACAGAAGGGTAGTAAAAAGAAAGTCACTGGCCGGGCGCGGTGGCTCACATCTGTAATCCCAGCACTTTGGGAGGCCGAGGCGGGATGATCACCTGAGGTCAGCATTTCAAGACCAGCCTGGCCAACATGGCGAAACCCTCTCTGTACTAAAAATACATAAATTAGCCGAGCACAGTGGCATGTGCCTGTAATCCCAGCTACTGGGGGACAGAGCGAGACTCCGTCTCCAAAAAACAAAAAGAAAGTCACTTTATTCCCGAGCTTAGCAATGTGGAAGGGCGGGATTCATATCTAAAGGAACCATATAAGTTTTCTGGGCAGAAAACAGGATTTTAAGAAGAAATATTGGCAAGCAGGGCATGCAGAAGGGGTGTGGAGGTGCAGGACCTATATGACTTGCTGGATGACTTATCTCTAGTCTTGGGTGATTCGTTAGCCTGCCCAGCATCACTGGGGAAAGAGTCAGGTTGTGGATTAACTGAGGTCTTGAGACCATCTCTGTATGGAGGAGAATTCTGGCGGATGCTTGTTTTGGTTCAAGATTTGGTAATTTGTAAGCAAACATATACTTAGCTAAGCTGACAGTGCGTGCTGGTGGTTTGGCTGGTGGAAAAGAAGGACGGAAAAGTTTGAATTTGCATTTCTAAGGAGCTAAGTAAGACATGAACACACAGGAAAAAGAGAAAAAGTACATATTTTTTAAGGAAAATGAAGTACTTGGTTACAACACCCCACTGTCACATTCCACTTTATTTTTATTCAATTGGAGCATCATACTCACTTGGTCTGCTTCCTACTGAAAGGGGGCATAGTTATAGAGCATTAGAATGAAATCTGTTTACTTGGAGTTGGAAATATTCTTGAGTTTTCAGCAGGAACTTACTGTGCATGTATGGTGTGAGGATCCAAGAATTTCTGAGAATGATTTCCTGCATCTCCATGCAGAGTGTACAACAGCAATAAAATTCATAGCAGCTGAAGAGGGCATTTAGCAGTATTAATAATATATATAAAAGTATTTGATGCACCAAGAAGCCGACTAAATCATGAAGTCATAGAGTCCTGAGAGAGGGCATCTTTAACAGAAATATGGGTATCTACATGCATAGCTTGGGTTATATTGTGAGAATAATCTGGTGTGTGTGTGTGTGTGTGTGTATGTGTATAAAATGGTCAGTCTTAATGAATGCACAAGTGCCACCCTGGGCTACAGTGAAGATATCTAAAGCCATATGATTTAAAGACATCCTGAGATTAGACATAGCATTAGTTTGCTTGTGCATGTCTTTTAGGGCTGAGGATATGTTTCTAGAATTATCCAGGAAGTCCACACAGCATTTAGTCTTAATTATAGTGCAAAGCCCCAAATGCCAGTTGTACCCAGAGCTCCTGTGGAGGTATGAGGACAAGTCGGTTAACTATACATACTTAACAGGCTACAGGAGGAGTTGCAAATATTCATGAAGGTGGTGCTGACCTATGTTTATTAACAAATATCCATGGAACATGCAACTCATTTATTTTGGGGCAGGGACTTAACTTTTAAATGTATTATAATTATGCCCTATATTTCAAAAGTTCTTTTGAAGACAAAGGCATGCAAGTGTGCATTTACTGTAAACCGGCCAAAACTAGCTTATGGTGAGTGATCTTTTATCAGGAGAAAATTACTGAAATTGGTCTCTTGTCTACTTCAATCTGTAGTTATGGCTGGTGGAACGTGGCTGGGGTCAGTCAGTCAGCTTATCTTGAGGCTAGTGCTTGCTTGGCTGCTAGAGAAACACAAACCTTGTGGCAGCTGTAAACATAGTCTGCTTTTTTTAAACTGTAGGGATGTGAGACTTAACTCTTGCCTGGCATGTTCTTAAGTCCTGTTCATAATTTGGTATTTTATTGTTATAGTCTGTTTTACAGTTTTTATTGTAATGTTAATGCTGATCAGTTGTGCATAAATTCCCACGATGGGAGCAAGGTATAGTGAAGCCTGTTCATCACCCCTCTGGTTGTCATGGCCTGAATTAGTTTTTTAGATTGCCTTGGCTAACATGGGGGTAGGGAGTGTCCATTAAGTTGATGGGGGCTTAGGACTTTATTTTGTAGTTTATATTCTCCTTTTTTGTCAAGGTATGCCAGAGGCAGTATGGGTAGCCACACTTTTATTTTCTCTCATGTCAATGGCAGAGCGGCGTGCTACCTGACCTGTGTCCATCATGTTCCTTAGTGGGACCACTATGGCCAAGGGACTTAGAATCAAAAGTCTTATATCCAATTATATCCAATTCCAGTCTGTAGGCCAGACTGGAATGAATGTGGGCAGGCAGACATTAGTCCTTAAAACCCCTTTTAAGCAATGTAAGAGCCAAAAACTAAAAGTCAAAAGGTAAGGTTATATAACTGCATTGTCTCTGAATTTTATGCATTGAGCTGTTGTAATCTTGGCTTATAGGAACTATAGCTATACAAAACATAAGTATTTTATTTAGCTGTTTAGGCATCTGTAT
Source organism: Homo sapiens (assembly GCF_000001405.40). Lineage (NCBI taxonomy): Eukaryota > Metazoa > Chordata > Mammalia > Primates > Hominidae > Homo > Homo sapiens. The sequence continues at coordinate 5,449,224 of NW_021160017.1, forward strand.
GCCCATCCTTTATTTGGGGGGTCTGAATTAATTTTATTCCACAAGAACCAGCCCTTACAATCTCATGCATTCGTATATTCCATGATAGTCCCTGGGTCTGGAGAAACTGAACAGTTTTAAGTTCTGGATATATTAATAAAACAAAATATTCACCATTAACAACATTTTAAGCAAAAATGCTGTAAGCCTTGTCTTGTTTTAAGAGTGACAGGACTGAGATGGGCAGATCACGAGGTCAGGAGATCGAGACCATCCCGGCCAACACGGTAAAACCCCGTCTCTACTAAAATACAAAAAAATAGCTGGGTGTGATGGTGGGTGCCTGTAGTCCTAGCTACTCGGTAAGCTGAGACAGGGAAATTGCTTGAACCCGGGAGGCAGAGATTGCAGTGAGCCAAGATCGTGCCACTGCACTCCAGCCTGCGCAAGAGAGGGAGACTCCATCTCAAAAAAAAAGAATGAGTGACAGGAAAGGAAGCCTATAGATAGATAAACATTTCAGTTATTTAATATTAAGGCACAGAATAAATTATATTTCATATATTTCTATTTCAGATAGAAGGAAAATTATTAAATAAAGTTTAATACAGGCCTGTCCCTGTGTTGCATGAAAGCAGTGTACTTTATTGCCTTTGCTTGAGTCTAAAGATGAGGCTTTGGTTAAGTTGAGTTTGGTGTTAGATGCTGGCAGGAGTCTGTGTCTTCTTTAGAGGAGCTACATGTATCCAGGAGTCAATTCCTTGAACCTTAACACCACAAAGATTACTTAATAGCACCTGATAAGAACTTTTTCAGGGTGTTGGAGGTGGTGACACACTTCACAGTGATTAATATTTTTTAGCTTTGATAAGCCCCAGCAAGAAGTCAGAGACTTAATTTAGGATTCAATTTTGGAGATGTCTGTGAAAGATGTGAGAAAGCTTAAAATATTTGATCAAAACTGAACCACAGGTCCTTGTAAATCAATAGTTATTCATTTAACCAAAGTGATCACTGAAAGACTTTAAAGGCAATAGAAAAAGTTACACGGGTATAAAATCCTTACTCCTTTCAAATTTCAGGAGATTTTAAAAAGCAATTAAACACTTAATAAAGGCAGCATAGGAACTATCTTGATAAAACGTAAAATCTTGTTTCTTAAGCCAGTTACCAAAAAGTCAAAGGAAAACCTTTTTTAGTGTGACTGCCTCTCCTTAGAAGAAAGCCCATTTAGATAATCTGGAAGTACAACTTAAGATAAAAAGCGCTTGAATTTAATCAAACATGGGAAGAGTGTGTACAAGGTTTTGAATAGAACTGGGGAATACATGACTCTTAGTAGCTGCATGATAAGTTTCCTGATTACAGTGAAAATTTAGACACACCAAAAACAACAACCAAAAAAAAAAAACCCAAGAGCATAGAATCAGGTTATCCTGGAGGAAAACATTTCTTTTATAGACCTCTAAGATAAAATATTTCAGCATCAGCCACAACAACATTTAGAAGTAAGGAGAAAAGTTGCAGGAGCTGACAAGAAGCTGAAGGATAGAGTTATCATCCCAGGCCACATCAAAGGGAGAAAAAGCTGATAGCAGCAAGACAACAATTGAACATTTGAGATATGAATCTCAGAAGTTTTCAAAAAAAGTAGATTATAGAATAGAAAATTAAAATTTATTGTAATTTTATTAAGAGTAAATTGATGAGCAAGACTCTGTTTCAACAACAACAAAAAAGCAGCCATTATTTAATTATATTTTCATAAGCATAAGATATATATAGATATGTGTATATATATATATACATATAAGTAAAATGAAAGATAGGAAAGAGGGACAAAAGGAAAAATACAGGAAAAAGGAAGAAATAGGACTATTCTTTTATAAGATGGATACACTACTTCTGAGGCTGTATACTTTTATGTGAAAGGAGCTTAGATTAGTTGTAAATATAAATTGCCACCTCTAGGGCAGGATACTGGATGAGGAGCCTCAGGTTTTTGCTGTCTGTGGCCAGAAGCTGCATTCAGTTATTTCCCATGTTGGCTTCTCTCCCATGGCAGAATGTGTCATGAAAACCACCATGACAGAGAGCTTGCAGCAAGACAGGTATCATAATCTTAGGTAACATGATGACCCAAGTGACATCCTGTCAGGTTGTAGTCTTCTGATGTATCATAGCAAGTTTCAGGTTCTCCCCAAAGTCACAAGGAAAGGATTAGATATTCTAATTAAGCTGTGAGGATCATTGTGCACCATCTTAGAGTTCACCTGCCAACGTCAGGTCTTGCTTAATCTGGGACAGGTTCTCAGTCCTCACTTTGTGAGAAAGCAGGTCACATATTTTGTAAAATGTATCAAAATTTTGATTTCTCTGAATGTTTCTCATAATTTTACTGAGCAGTATAGATAGAGACATGTAATTATCTATTTGTGAAGACAAGAAACAGCAAACAGGACATTATTTACAAATACAAATTTAGAGACCAAAACTAAGAAAGAAAAATTTGTGAATGGGAAAAGGAAAATTAAACATAATAGTAATGTTCACCAAGGTAACAAGAAGGGTGGGAATGGGGAGGTGAGCACCTGGGACACTACGAGATCGACAATGTTCTGCTTAGTAAGCTCAATAGTGTAATTTTTAAAATATATATATTTTATTTATTTTTAAATCTATTTTAGAATAGTTTGGATTTGCAGAATAGTTACAAGTACATACAGAGAGTTTATATATGTTCAACACATAATTTCCCTTTTATAAATTCTTACATTCATTGCAGACATTTGTCGCAATTGATGAACCAGTATTATACATTATCATTCAGCAACATTCACAATTAATCAGATGTTCTGTTTTCACCTAATGTCCATATTCTGTTCCAGGATTCCGCCCAGGACACCACATCACATTTAGGTATCATGTGCCAGTTTCTCAGATTTTCCTTATTTCTGATATCGTTGAAATCCTTTGGGATGTCTCTGGTGTTTTCCTAATGATTGGATGACTGTTGTGAATTTAGCAGAGGAAACCCACAGAGGGAAACTTTTATTCTCATGATATTATAACAAGAGTACATAGTGTCAACATGCTGTATCAGTTTTTTTTTTTTTTTTTGAGACAGGGTCTCATTCTGTTGCTCAGGCCGGAGTGCAGTGGCGTGAACAAAGCTTGCTGCAGCCTGGAATTCTTGGGCTTGAATGATCCTCCACCTCATCCTCTTGAGTAGATGGGACTACAGGCATGTGCCACCACTCTGGATGATTTAATTTTACTTTTACATTTGTAGAGGCAGAGTCTCACTACATTGCCCAGGCTGGTCTCTAAGTCCTGGCCCCAAGCGATCATCTCACCTCAGGCTCCCAAAGTGCTGGGATTACAGGTGTGAGCCACTGTGCCCAGCTGCTTTGTCATGGTTAATGTTATTTGATCACATGGATGAGGCAGTTTAGCTCAGTTTTGTCCACTATAATATCGGGCGAAATTCACCCCCAATATTTCACGTGGGTTCTTTTCTATTTTCCCTAAGTGTCAGCCGGTCTGAGAAATAAAGGGACAGAGTACAAAAGAGAGAAATTTTAAAGCTGGGTGTCTGGGGGAGACGTCACATGTTGGCAGGTTCCATGATGCCCCCTGAAGCATAAAAGCAGCAAGTTTTTATTAGTGATTTTCAAAAGGGGAGGGAGTGTACGAATAGGGTGTGGGTCACAGAGATCACATGCTTCACAAGCTAATAAGATATCACAAGGTAAATGGAGGCAGGGCGAGATCACAGGACCACAGGACTGGGGCAAAATTAAAATTGCTAAAGAAGTTTTGGGCATGCATTGTCATTGATAACATCTCATCGGGAAACAGGGTTTGAGAGCAGACAACTGGTCTGACCAAAATTTATTGGGCGGGAATTTCCTTGTCCTGATAAGTCTGGGAGCACTACGGGAGACCGGAGCTTATTTCATCCCACAGCTACAACCGTAAAAGACAGCTGCAACCGTAAAAGACAGCTGCAACCGTAAAAGACAGCTGCCCTCAAAGCGGCCATTTTAGAGGCCTCCCCTCAGGGACGCATTCTCTCTCTCAGGGATGTTCCTTGCTGAGAAAAAGAATTCAGCGATATTTCTCCTATTTGCTTTTGAAAGAAGAGAAATATGGCTCTGTTCCACCTGGCTCACCGGCAGTCAGAATTTAAGCTTATCTCTCTTGTTCCCTGAATATTACTGTTATCCTGTTCTTTTTTCAAGGTGCCCAGATTTCATATTGTTCAAACACACATGCTTTATAAACAATTTGTGTAGTTAACGCAATCATCACAGTGTCCTGAGGCGACATACATCATCCTTAGCTTACAAAGATGACGGGATTAAGAGATTAAAGTAAAGACAGGCATAGGAAATCACAAGGGTATTGATTGGGGAAGTGATAAGTGTCCATGAAATCTTCATAACTTATGTTCAGAGATTGCAGTAAAGACAGGCACAAGAAACTATAAAAGTATTAATTTCAGGAACTAATATATGTCCATGAAATCTTCACAATTTATGTTCTTCCACCATGGCTTCAGCTAGTCCCTCCGTTTGGGGTCCCTGACTTCCCGCAACAATAAAATTAATATTATTCCACTTTTCATGTTGTACCTTTTGGAAAAAACATCAGTATGCACAGCACATACATAAAAAGTGGGGAATTATGCCCCATTGCCCTATGGACAGACCTTCTATAAATGTCATTTGTGTTTCTGTAAAAAAAATTTAACATTCTTTGGGCTGTTCTAGATCAATTGCATTTTTCTGTGTGTTCTAGAATCAGTGGTCCAAGAATTGCTAAAATTGAAAAAAAATTAAAGTTAGAATTTTAGTAGGGCTTGTATTGAATCTGAAGATGCATTTAGAAAGTATAAGCATCTTGGTTAATACTTAATAGCTTTCTGATCAATGAAAATCTAGTTCATATAGTATATTATGCTAACTCTTTTATTCATTTATTTAGGATTTCTTTAATACTTCAACATCATTTGTAATTTTCAGTATATATATCTTACAGTTATATTAGGTTTATTTTCAAATATATTTCCTTTTTGATGCCGTGTTAAATGAAATTGTTTTCTGTTTCGTTATTTGATTAGTTTCTATTGTATAAAATGCAATTTATTACATTGATCATGACTGAATTTTTTTTTGTTCCAACCTTATTTTAGTGGATTTTTAAGGATTTTCTATACATTAGATTATGTCACTGGCCAATAGATGTTTGACTTCTTCCCTTTCAATTTGGAAGTCTTATATTTATTTTTCCAGCCTAATTTTATAAATTACATCCTCAAGAATATTTAGTTGAATTAGTGGGAATAGATAACCTTTTGTGTTTATAATTTTGGGAAAATTACTGAGACCTACTTGATACCATGTGTTGTCATGTGAATTTTTCATGGGTGCCTGTGTTAGGTAAGAACATTCCCTTTCTGCAAAATTTGTTTAGTGTTTTTACTGTGAGTGGGTTTTTGAATTGGAAAGTGCTTATTCCATATCTTTAGATGTGATAATGAAAATTTTGTTATTTATTATATTAATATAGTTATTACACTAATTCTTTTTATAGGTTTTACCAAACTTGTGACCCTGAGTAAATAAATAAATAAATTAGTGTTTAATTCTGTTTTACAATCCTGGTTTGTGTTCAGGCTATTTCCTTGAGAATTATTGCCTGGGTACCCATAAAGCATATTAGTTTATAGTTTTCCTTGTTTGGACTGCGTTTGTTTGATTGTGGCCTCAGAGGAAACTGCCTCATAGAATGTATTGCACACTGATCTCTTCTCTATTATTTTGTTTTTTTGGAGAACGGTTAGTAAAAAATTGCTGTTGATATTTTAAAGGTTTCAAATAATTCATCAGTGAATTCTTCTCAACCTGGTCAATCATGTGAACTTAGAAGATGATTCCTCCCCAGCTGATCCTCAGGTGAGACATCAGCCTTGGCCATCATCTACATCTGGATTCCTGACCCAGAGAAACTGTGAGTAATTTGTGTGTGCTTTTGAGCCACTAAGCTACATGGTAATTGGCTATTCTGCAATAAACAATAATACACTTGATGATAAACATAATATGTTATCCTTGATTAGATCCAAGAAAAGGAAAAATGGCATTAGTGAAAAACCTGGTAAAATATGAAGACAGTCAGTAGTTTAGTTAATAGTTTTGTGCCTTTATCAGTTTCTGAGTTTTCATAGATAGTCTATGGTTATGTGTATGATATTAATATAACAGGAAATTGAAGGCTATATACAAATTTATGTAAGATTTTAACAACTCTCTGTTAATCTAAAATTATTTCAAAATAAATAGAAGTGTAGACATGGCTCATATATTTGAGATCATGTCTTCCTGTTAACTTATTTGAGCCTTCATGGAACTAAATCTCATGGTACAAATGCAGTAAGGTTTTAAAATATAAATCAGATGAGTTTCTATTTTACTCTCTTCTTCAGGGAACACTAAGACCCATTCTTCTTCTCAAGTATCCAAAAATAAAGTTGATCCAAGTAAGAAGTGGACAGCATAAAAGATTGTATGGAAGCTATAATGCATCTACATCTGCAGTAACTAATCATAAAATGATTTGTATGATCATTCTTCACATGATTAGAATTACTATGGGAAAGAAGAAAAAGAAATGCAAGTTTCTTGATTTAAAATTTTATCTGTGCAAGTGTGGTGGCACAAACCTGTAGTCAGTCCCAACTGCTAGGGAGGGTGGGTAGGATGATCATGTGATACCAGGAGTTTGAGGCTATATGGTGTACTATGATTGTGTTAGTGAATAACCAGTGCATTCCAGCCTGGGCAACGTAGTTAAACCCCATTAAATAAATAAATAAATAAGTTACAGAGGTCGTTGTTTATATTTCTATGATTAGGGCTGAAATCCTCTAGATAGAGATTTTTTTTTTTTTTTTTGAGATGGAGTCTCGCTCTGTCACCCAGACTGGAGTGCAGTGGCGTGACCTCAGCTCACTGCAAGCTCCCCCTCCCAGAGTCACGCCATTCTCCTGCCTCAGCCTCCCCAGCAGGTGGGACTACAGGTGCCTGCCACCACGCCCAGCTAATTTTTTTTTGTTTTTAGTAGAGACAGGGTTTCACAGTGTTAGCCAGAATGGTCCTGATCTCCTGACCTCCTGATCCGCTCACGTCTGCCTCCCAGAGTGCTGGGATTACAGGTGTAAGCCACCACGCCCAACCTGAGATTTTTCCTTATCTTTGGAGAGCCACCACTCCAGTGCAAACTTTCAAATAATGCCTTGCCATTTTTAGTTTCCCTCCCTAGGACTCCTGGAACCATAGTTCATAAAATTATCTCACAGCGTGTGTTTTATTCTTACTTCTGTTTGCTTTAAGGCCTCTCTGGATGGTGACTATAACCTATAGCCTTGCCCAATATGACTCAGGATTTGGTACTGGCTGTGCCTTTCATGGGATGCTTACTTATCCTGGTCGATGGCCTAAAGCCCAACCGTCCAGCTTATATCCAGGTATCCTTCTCACAGAGTACTTGTTTATACTGTAAGACACCCTGTGGCTCCTGTCTGACCTGTGTCTAGTTTATTCTACCAAGGAAACCACTCTTTAGGAGAGTGCTAAGTGGGAGAAAAGTGATGTCCATATGTGTTCATAAAGTGAAATACAGAGGAGGCAACTCAGCAAAAGGTGTATAATGACATGCGTAATGTATTACTAACCAATCCCAGTAAGAAGAGGGCAGCATTCCTTGAAGTGCTGATGGACAGAGAAGAGCTCTCCAGGACATACACTCATAAGCAGCAGGGGTGGTGGAGGAGCAACTAGAGAAAGACATAGTATTGTGCCATTTGGCTGAAGTCTTTATGGGTGTATTTGTCAGTTATTTTTTTTCAGAGAGACAGAACTACAGGGAGGTAGTTAGGTAGGTAGATAGATACATAGATGGAGAGTTGATAGATAGATAGACAATCGTTAGATGAACAGCATTTTGTTTGGGGATTTACTCATGTAACATTATAGAGATGGAGAATTCCCAAGACAGCCATCTGCGAGTTTAAGGACCTTGGATGCTGTAACGTGGTGGCTCATTCCAAAGCTGAAGTCTTCAGAATCACAGAAGCTCTTGGTGTAATTCTTAGTTTGGGACCAATGGCCTGAGAATCCAGGGCATTTACTGGTATAAGTTCTGGAGTTTGAAGGCCATATATCATGGAGTTCTATTTTCCAAGGGCAGGAAAAGGAGTATACTTTCTCCAGAAGAGAGACAGGAAAACTTTTTAAAAATTTTTCATTTTTGGTTTTGTTTAGTCCCCAAGGAGATTGTATGCTGCCTTCCCCCATTGAGGGTGGATTTTTCCCACTAAATTCCCTGACTCATACATCAGTCTCCTCTGGAAACACCCTGGCAGACACACCCAGAAGTAATGGTTTACCAATTCTCTAGGTATTCTGTAATCCAGTCAGCACCTTAAATTAACCATGACAAGTCCAGCACCTTTCTAGTTGGCACCTATATGTATCACCTTAAGCCCTAACTAATCTTCAGATATAGACAATAACAAGGCAATAGTTCTACGTAACATGATTCAATGATCCTGTGTGCAATGAGAACACACTATACTATTTTTCTTAAGAGTAGTAGAAGTTTGTGGGTGATGTTTACTCTTCTCCTGATACCCCATAACTTCAGTACAAATTACTAACACTTAACTGCTAATATCAAGTTAATACATTATTGTGTTATGTGACAACAGAAGAAGAGAGAAATAGAAACAATGTTATTTGCCTAATATATTTATATATAACACGCAAATGTATTCTTAACAAAGTAGATAGGAAATAATAGTGACAATTTTAATCCTTGTTTCTGTAACTGGTCACCTAGTCCTGTCTGGTTATGTATGTATTTATTTATTTACTTTTTTATTTTTATTTTCATTTTTGAGACAGAGTCTCGCTCTGTCACCCAGGCTGGAGTGCAGTGGCATGATCTTGGCTCACTGCAAGCTCCGCCTCCCAGGTTCACACATTCTCCTGCCTCAGCCTCCCGAGTAGCTGGGACTACAGGCGCCCGCCACCACGCCTGGCTAATTTTTTTTGTATTTTTAGTAGAGATGGGGTTTCACTGTGTTAGCCAGGATGGTCTTGATCTCCTGACCTGGTGATCTGCCTGCCTTGGCCTCCCAAAGTGCTGGGATTACAGGCTTGAGGCACCACTCCTGGCCCTGTCTGGTATTTGTAACTCCCTTCTACTGCTACCCATTCGGTATTCTCTTTGTCTTCAGCAAGCCCCTCTGCTGGTCCTGGGTCTTTACCTGGCAGGATGATGCAAACCTTCATTCCTGAAAGATCTGGAGCATTTGTATTCTTGTCTGGAATGGTTGTAATAATCCATTGAACTTAATAACAGGGCATAGTAATACTAAGACTTTGTTTTAGTCCATTTTCTGTTATTTATAACAGAATACCTGACACTGAGTAGTTGATAAAGAAAACACATGTATTTCATACAGTTATGGAGGCTGAAAAGTCTAAGGTTGAGAGGTTGTATGTGGTGAGATCATGTTGCTGGTTGGGACTCTCTGAAGAGTTCTGAAGTCTACAGGGTATGGTATGGCAATGGAGTAGAGCTTGCTGACATGCAACAACATGTCTCCCTTCTTATAAGCCACTCTTCGCTCATAGTAGACTATTAATCTTTAAATATTTATTAATCCATGAAAGGATTAATTCATTTATGGGGTCAAACTCTTCATGATCCAATCACCTTTTAAAAGTCTCACAATTCAATACCGCCATGTTAGGGATTAAATTTCAGCATAAATTTGGGAGGGAAGCAATATTCCAACCACAGGCCTCCACTTCTGACTCTAAAAATCACGCCCTGTCACTTACAAAAAGTTTATTTCATTCCTATCGTTCAAAGGCTTAAATTGTTCCAGCACCAGCAGAAAGTTCCCAAATCTGAAGTCTCCTCTGTCAGCCCATGAAATCAAAACAAGTTATCTTCATACAAAATTCAGCAGTTGGGTTGTTAATGGCCAATGGGTTCATGTTGGCTGCTGCCCAGATAGAGTCACTTTATCAAGATAGGGGAATTGCTGTAGAGAAGATTTTATACATGTAGAGCTGGCTAAAGGAGAGAGCAGAGTTTTCGTATTACTCAAAACTGCTTCCCCAAATATTCAGAGGGTAGAGTTTTTATAGATAGTTTTGTGGGCAGGGGTTAGAGAAAGGGACATGCTGATTGGTTGGGTCAGGGATGAAATCTTAGGAAGTCAAAGCCATCTTCTTTGCTGACTCAGCTCCTGGGTGTGGGCCACGTATCCAGATGAGCCTGTTTACTGGTTTGGGTGGCACCCGCTGATCTGTCAGGATGCAAGTTATGAAAAATACCTCAAACACCAATCTTAGGTTTTACAATAGTAATGTTATTGATAGGAGCAATCAGGGAGGTTATTAATCTTGTGGCCTCTGATGGTATGACTTCTGAGCCATACTTTCTAATATTGTGGTTAATTTGTTAGTTTTACAAAGTTGATGTGGTCCCCAAACAATGAGGGGTTTTGTTTCAGGGAGGAGCTGTTATTATCTTTGTTTCAAAGTTCAGCTACAAAGTAAATTTCTCCCAAAGTTAGTTTTGTTTTTACCCAGGAATAAGCAAGGGCCACTTGGAGGTTAAATGCAAGATGAAGTCACTTAGGTCATGTCTCTCTCCCTATCATAATTTTCTCACTGTTACTGTTTTTGCAAATGTGATTTCAATTTCCCCTTCCAAGTTTCATTGCATCTTATTCTTAACGGGTGAGGTACAGAGTTGGGAAAAGGCCAAAGACCATTCTAACTTCTTCCTGCTGACAAAGGGTATACTTGAGATAGGGTTTGGCCCCAGAGTAAATGGAATGAAGCTGCTTTGCAGCTGCCTGCATGTGTTCACAGGTGCCTGGTTGGGGTTCCTAGGCTTGCATGGCCAAGATGTTAGTGCTCTCATCCACAGTTTTAGTACGGCACTTAAGTGAACAGCTGTCTATAGGATAATGAGTCCTAATATAAGGAGTGGAAGTCCTAGCTTCAGAAGTCCTTATATACTTCATCTAAATCCCTGAGGGATTTGGGTGAATAGCCCCAAGGACCAGTCAGACATGGGGTCAATAGTCAAGAGAGATTTGGGTCAGAGGTTGTTAGAAAGACAAATTTGGATAAACAGGAAAGAGCAAATTTAAATATACCATCTCATATCTTTTTAGTTAGTTTCCTAGTCCTCAGAATAGATCCTAGCTGTGTTTCATTCCAGGAGGTGTCACTGCAAATGAACTAGGCCCCCTTATGTGATTAAGGCAAAAATATTTTTAATAACAGGCATTGGTATGGAAATAGAACATAATAACAAAGGTTGATATTGGGCACAATGCATCCAGATGTTAGATTCAAAGCATTTTTAAATTGCAAAGGAGGATAGTGATAAAAATCTCACATATTTCACATCTGTATCTCAAGGGATAAACTCAGCCTGCGGGGCCTCAGGAAGAAGGTCGTAGCCATTTCATTGAGTCCAGGGCAGAAAAGTGGAAGAAAAATGTGAATGTGTTAATTTGAGGACTTTAGCTCTGAGAGGTTTCAGGATTCAGTCCAAAATGCAGAAAACAATAAAAAGCTCAAAAACAATGGACAAGACTAGAATCTAACAACAGGTGTGCTATAGTATTTTTCTGAAATACAATGTTTTGCTCTCTAGTTCTCATTTTTATTTAAGACGTATCATAGTAGGTCACATTTATTTGCAAAATAAGTTTTGGTATTATTATACTTAGCCTGATTATTTGTGTAACGAGTCATAAAATGATTATTGTGGTCTTGTATTAGTTCAGTCCATGCAGTGAACTTTGTCTGACATTGGGCCTGCAGTCCTCATAAACATACCAGCTATCTCTGAGAGTCCTGAAAGTTTGTTTGTTTTGTTTTCTTTTTTTTCCTATTTCAATGCCACAATCTATAGTTATCAGAAACCTATATTCAAGAGAACATTTCAAAGAGCAAACACCTTTTGACTAGTTGAAGAAAAGACCACAATAATCTGTGGATGACAATAATCTCAGGACAGTCATTGTTTTAATAATTTTACTTGATTTTTTTGAGACAGGGTCTCAAGCCACCCAGGCTGGAGTGCAGTGGCACAATTATGGCTCACTGTAGCCTCACCTTCCTGGGATCAAGCAATCTTCTTTCTTCAGCCTCCAGAGGAGCTGGGACCACAGGCAAGTGCTACCACATCCAACTAATTTTTTGATAATTTTTTGTAGAGATAAGGTCTCACTATCTTGCTCAGGCTGATCTCAAACAACTGAGCTCAAACAATCCTCCCAACTTAGCCTCCTAAAGTTCTAGGATTACAGACATGAGCCACCGTGCCCAGTGAGGACATTACAGGCATGAGTCACTGTGTCCAACGAGGCCATTGTTAAAGATACAGTCGACAAAGAAATCTGGTCATTTCTGTGGCACATAACAATTCAATGTAATAATCATAATTATTACTGATAACATATGCTAAGACCTATTAGAATTATAGGAACCATATAATTTTGGAATACATACTAATAACATATTTGTATAAATATAACCCAAAGAAAGTTAAACATGATTTTGTATTTGACAGTGTTTTCTGTAGGTTAATATACCAAATAAGCCAAACATATCTCTTTTGGACTTCAGGGGACCTAATACTTAAAAGGCTAATGAGTTAAAATAAAAATTCTTAGTTTATAATTTTATTTTTCAAAGTGTGCAAATATTAAAGGTTTAAAACACTTCATATCACGAAATAGAATCCCAGATAACCACAAATCATTTGTTTAGCCAAAATGATAGCTCAAAAATTTAATAAGGCAAATGCCTTTATTCATTGGTAGAGAGGAGACTCAGCTCCCAAACAACAGGACCAAGCAACGACCGCATGAGGCCATCTGAATCTGTGTCTTCTCTCTCCCCTACATTTTTCAGTTTATTTAAAAGACAAATAAAAATATTTTATTATCCCTCAGTATTATACAAAAATCTTGTTTAAAGAGAAACCAAATTTTACCTTTGCCTTAGTGTTTTATTAATGTCAAACCCAATTTTTACATAAAACCTTATAAACAAATCTGTCCAATCTAAATCAGTTTGAGCATACTGTTTACAATTTTCTACTAAACAACTGATTAATGCTCCATGAAAACTCTGTTGATCACATATAAGGGGGCAGATTCTGGGCCTGTATCACTGTGATTTTTACATTAATGATCATTCTGTAGAAAAACTAAGTAACCTGCTTCAAGTTTTGGCAAGTTGCTCACACTCACACACAGAACTTTCTTTACTAGACCAATCTTTTACAAACCTTGTATAACTTGCTTAAACCTTCTGTTTTCTCCTATTACTTTTTAACTTAAGACAATTTTTAAAACCTCTAATTTAGACAAGATTACTTTTTTAAACAAAAACAATATCTTCAGGTCTTTTTATAACTTTTTACAAAAACACATTTTGTAATTTTTATATACCTTGAATGTAAATCTTTTCTCAGCAGTATCAATCACATGTGTTACAATGTTAAATCTTCACAACTTTTATTTTTAGTGAAAGCAATTTTAATTTCGTACCAAGTGCAGAGCCTAGGACACAGGACAGAAATGAAGATAATGTCTGACTCTTTCCAACATAGCTCGGGGGCATGGCTAACTCAACATGTCCCCAGGCTTTACCTAGAAGCTGCTGGCTCTAATGCAGGCAGGTTGGACACTAACAAAAAGTCACAGATATTTATAACCTAAAACAGCAAAGAGAATATCTGACCTGCCTAATTTAGACCAAATGTCTAAATGTTGAAGAAATACTTTTATTGTACCAATAATCTTTAAAGCTATCTTTATTATTCAAAGATTATTAGAGTCATGTGAACAAAGAGCAGTTTAGTTAAAATTTTTCTGGTAAAATATTTTATTTAAGTGCATATATATGCCAATTAATTAGAGCTCTTTATATAGTTTGTTAGCAAAATACTACATATATGAAGTATATAAATACACAGACATAGAGAAGCAGATCTGGTAGAGTTATACGGATTCGTCATTTGTCAGTTTTTGAAGTTTTTCTTTTTCATTTTAGCTCGTCAGTCTCTTGATTACCTGTTCCCTGCCCTAAAAAGGTTTTAACCAGGCAGTTCCAAACTTTTATTTTAAAGGGATAATTCTTAGGTGAAATAATTATAGAGAATTTATATTTTATCTAAAGCAAGGAGAAATGTGGGGGTAAAAGTTCAGTCAGGATGGCCAGGAAAAGCAGACACTCTTACATGTGGAGATTTTCTTAAACGTGTTAAGTTTTTAAATGGGATTATTGCCTTTGGAGTGGAACCTTATAAGGAACAGAACCAGGAAAGCATGCAGTTTCTAGGGCCTAGTAAGCAGGCAGAGCTGGAAGGCAAAACAGATTCCCCTAAATGAGGAATCTTATTTTTATACCAAATCCTGGGTCCCCTAAAGAGGCAAATAATATGGCATGACACAGTGCAATGCTTTCACAGTGTGTTTCATTTTAAGGACATTTCCCCAAGGCTGCTGGACAACCCAGTGCCCATCAGCCCACTCTGTAATCGGCCCATAAGAGCACACCTTTCTTATTTAAATGTACAAATAAAAGAGTATCACCCTGTAGTAATAATCACTTACTATAAGCGACTACCATTAGTCATTTTAAAAAGTATATTTTTTATCTAGCAATTACACATCAAGGTTAATTTTTTTTCATAATGCAAAGTAATTTCAGGTCCCTGCAAGTCAAAATGGTTAGATACAAGAGGAAGGAGGAACAGACAGGAGTAAATGGAGGATCAGATAGAATTCCATTGAATGAGAAACTTTTAGAGGGAGAGCAAAGGCTTTAAAATACTATCTGTGCACATGTAGCTCAATATCAGCCTTAATCAAGTTGATTTTTGATTACAGAGCTCTCAAAAGAAAATCTGCTGAAATCTTTTATTAATAGATTTTAGCCAGGACAAATAGGTAGTATTTTTGGCTTTAAACTTTTCCAAAGGTAACTGCCCATGAGAAACTCAGAAGCCTAACTAAGGTTATGACTTAACCATGGATGCATGAAGTGTCTCACAGAGATGGCAAGCAGTTTTTGCAAGATTGAGAATTTCCCCAAAGATAGCTTATAAAGGAAAATTTAAGACAGAAAGTGAGAAGATGTCCATGGAGAAGAAAATCATCGAATGAATGGCAAAAAGTCTCCAAATATCACACTAGAAAGGGCTTACTGCTTGAGGTGAGAATCAAACCCAGGCTGCTGCAGTAAAAGGGAAAAACCTTAGTTACTGAGCTACAGTATGGGGCAGTTGCTGTTGGTCAGAAATAATGTAGGTCAGTCAGCTCCAAGCTTCAAGGATTTTAACTGCTCAAGAGAATCCTTAAAGCTAGCTGTGACATTATTATGTATCCTTTCAGACTGGCTGCCTGACCTGAATCCAGAAATTCCAACTCTGTGTATGTGGGAGAACAAGGGACAGCATCCTCACATGGTTACTAAGTCAAGTTTTCAAGAACATAAAACAAGATAAGAGGGAAACTTCAACTTTTTTGTTTCAGGGAGGTGTAGCAAATTTTGTAACTAACAAGTCTGCAGGGCCAGCCCAAACAGTGGGCTTATAGGGATCCTAGGCCCCTTAGGTTCACAGTATGAATGCTGTCTCTAGGAGCAATTGGGGATGTTAGTAATGTTATGGCCTCTGGCTGTATGGCTCTTGAACCATATTTTCTAATCTTGTGGTTAATTTGTTGGTTTTACAAAGGTGGTCTGGTCCCCAAGCAATTAAGGGATTTGTTTCAAGGAAGGGCTGTCATCTTTGTTTCAAAGTTAGGCTATAATGTTAATGTTCCCTTTGTCCAGGAACAAACAAGGGCAGCTTTGAGATTAAAGCCAAGATGGATTCAGTCAGGTCATATCTCTTTTACAGTCATAATTTTCTCACTGTTAGAATTTTTTCAAAGGTGATTTCAGGATAAACATAATGTACACATTCCCATTCTATAAGAGAGAAATAGACACAAAGAAAACAGTAACAGCCCCTAAGTAAATTTGAAGTCCAGGAGGGCAAACATTACATCTTAAAGCTGGAGAGCCTTTTTTTTTTTGTTTTTTACTCCTTAACATATTGGGGTGAGGGTTGGAGTGGCAAGCCCTAGGCAGTGTCACCCCTAAGGGTTTCCTTGGTGAATCACCCGTGGGTGCTTGTACTGGTTGAAATTTTCCCAGGCAGGCATTGAATGCCACAGGGGACTTCACAATCCTGGGATCCTGGTATTGGCACCACTAGGCATTACCCATGTGGAACTCTCTGCAGTGACTTCAGTTCTGTGGCTTCACTTGGCATTGCCCTGGTGGGGACTCTTTGCAGCAGCTCCAACCCCACATTTGTGTTTGGCATCCTTCTACTGGGGGCTCTCGGCAGTGGATCTGACCCTGTGACAGTTCTCTCTCTGGACTCCCAGGCTGTCAAAAAAAAAATACTTTGAAATTTGTGGAGGCTGCCAAGCCATCATTTATGCCTTAAGTGTGAGAAATATATTTATTTTCCTTATAAATTACCCAATATTTTGTATTCTGTTTTAAGCAACAAAGAAGGGACTAATACAGAAAACTGGTAATGACAAGTAGGTTGTTGCTGAAAATGAATACCTGAAAATATGAAAGTGTCTTTCAAACTGGGTGATGGGCAGAGGCTAAAAGAATCTTGGAGAGGCAGACTAGTAAAAGCCTGTATTCTTGTGAGGGTTTAGAAGATAGGAAATATTTGGGAGTCCTTAGAGACTGATGAAGTGTTTGTGACCACACTGCTTCGGGAGAAATGGCGCCATATAATGCATGCTGGTTCAGAGCATATACTGCCTTCTAGAGAACCTTGCCCCACAGTTACACAATATTGTCATCTAGCAGGTGCTGGAACTGTAACTCCCAAAGGTCATTCCACCATTGTTTCAAGTGAGTTGCTTCAGGATTATAGGGAACATGGTGAATTCACTGAAGTTTCTGAGCATGAGCTCATTTCTACCCTTCTTTGTCTGTGACGTGAGTTCCTTGTTCAGAAGCAATGCTGTGTGGAATACCATGATGGTAGATAGGCATTAAGTCCATGGATGGTAGTTTCCACAGAATACTTGCATGCAAGGAAGTAAAATTTATAGATGGAGTAACTGTCTTACTATTCCAGGAAGAACAAAATGCTGCCCCTTCCCTGATGAAAGCTGCCCAATGTAATCAACCTACCACAAGGAAATTGGCAGATCTTCCTGGGGAATGGTGCCATATAGAGACTTGGTGTTAGTTTCTGCTGCTGACAGTTGGAACACTCAGAGGGGTCTGTAACCTGGTTGGCCATGGTGAAAGGAATTCCAGATTGCTGTGTGTATGCAAAACCTCAGTCCCTACCACAGTGGCCACTTTATTCATAAGCCCGGTGACTGATGACATAGGTGCCTGGGAAAAGAGGCTGACTACTGTCAGAGAATGCATGATCACATCCACCGGATGATTAGAGTCCAGAAGAGCTATGGTAAGAGAGTGAGTCAGTTTTCCTCTGTTTCCCAGCACAGTTTAGCCAACGTTCTCGTTAAGCTTTAAGTGGCTTTTTCTGCTTCTCCTGAGGCCTGGGGTCTCCTTGCTGTGTGGAGTTTTCAGGGGATTTCTAGGTCTTGGGCTACCTTTTGAGTGATTTAAGATATAAAAGCTTTCCCACTGGCCGGGCATGGTGGCTCATGTCTGTACTTTGGGAGGCCAAAGCTGGCTCATGCCAGCACTTTGGGAGGCCAAGGCAGGCGGATCATAAGGTCAGGGGT
Source organism: Homo sapiens (assembly GCF_000001405.40). Classification (NCBI taxonomy): domain Eukaryota; kingdom Metazoa; phylum Chordata; class Mammalia; order Primates; family Hominidae; genus Homo; species Homo sapiens. The sequence goes on from NW_021160017.1 coordinate 5,467,099, forward strand.
TTGAGACCAGCCTGGCCAACATGGTGAAACTCCGTCTCTACTAAAAAATACAAAAAAACAGCCAGGCGTGGTGGTGGGCACCTGTAATCCCAGCTACTCTGGAGGCTGAGGCAGGAGAATTTGTTGAACCCGCTAGGCAGAGGCTGCAGTGAGCTGAGATCACGCCATTGCACTCCAGCCTGGGCAACAGGGTGAGACTCCATCTCAAAAAAAAAAAAAAGAAAAAAAAAAAACTTGTCCACTACATGGTTTTAGGCAGCCCAAACCCAGGAAAAATATCCTTTAAGAGATGGCATGATACCTCCGAGGTGGTATCAGAGCGAGTTGATCACCTTTATCCATCGTGGGAAGATAACAACCACACCTAGAAGGTATCTAAAGTTCCCGGGGGTCTGGAGCATGACCGTAAAGTGTGTTTGCCAGTCCTTGCCAGGGTAAATTCCCCTAAATTGTACTCCTTAACATGAGGCCTTGAGGGTGATCTGTTATGGGGACTGTTAGTGTGGCAGAGAGAGCAACTGTGGGTCACTTGCTGCACTGTCTCCAAGGTTGGGAGTGGTCATCGTTTGAAGGAGCCAATTGTACAGGGTTATCTACCATAATGTGAGCTCTCATGGGCCTCCTTAACTACCTGGATAGCTATGGATTTTTGAAAAAATAATTGTGAGAAATTTCAAACCATCCTGGATATCCTCTGCTTTTTAAGAAGACTTCCCAGGGGGATTACTGCTAGGGAGCCAGTGTGCCAATTACAGAGACTGCTGGTGTCAAAGAGGCTTTGGGTCTCAGGGGAGACCAGGTGTCACAGTGCTCTTCATGGCTTCATGGGGAGAGTCTAACTCAGGAAATATTTGCTTGCCTTCTCTGGCTTTTATCCTCGTGGAAGTCAATTTACATGTTTTCTTGTAGTCCCTTATTCTGGCATAGGGCCATTAATACCTTTTTTTTGTTTGTTTGTTTGCTTTTTGCTTTTGGTAAAAGAGATCTAGTTAGAGAATTTCCCACTATCTGAAATGAAAATACCTTATAAGTGTTCAGAGTACTTGTTACTGCACATCCACTAGTTTAAATCTGCATAATGTTATCAATGCCTTGGACCAGTGTAGTATCCTGTGGAAGGAGAAGGTGATCAACTTCCTGCAAACTGTGACTTTGTTATGGAGAGTTGATATTATGTTGAGGTAGGACAGAGAAGTTATTGACACTGAAATTAAACGACTTCTGGTGGGCCTTATGAAGAGAAATAGAGAAAAAGCTTCATTAGATCAATAGGTGCATACCAGGTATCAGGGAATGTGTTAATTTGCTCAAGCAATAAAACTACATCTGATATAGCAGTTGCAATTACAAGGAACACTTGGTTTAGCTTGTGGGAATCCACTGTCACTCTCCAGGATCCATCTGTCTTTTGCACAGGCCAAGTTAGACAGGGATGTGTTAGAATCTCTACCCCTGCATCCTTCCAGTCCTTGATGGTGGTGGTAATCTCTACAGTCACTCCAGAGGTGTGGTTATGAATTTGATTTTCTATTTTCCTAGGTAGAGGCAGCTCTAGTGCCTTCCATTTAGATATTCCCACCATACTAGCGCCCACTCCACAGGTCAGGGAACCAATGTGGGAAATGTGCCAGGTGCTAACTATGTCTATTAAAGCTTTGCATCTACAACTAGAGAAATGACCAGAGTATGTGTTTGGGGCCACTGGACCCATGGTGATTTCATGTGACTAAAATTTAATCACCTGACCTCCATAAATCCCCACTCTGACTGGCATTCTATAGTGATGTTTTGAGTTGGGTTGAGTCTTCTGGAATCAATGTAAGGTCAGAGCCAGTGTCTACTAGTCCTGAAAAGTTCTTACTATATTCCTTTCCCCAAAACACAGCTGTTAAAAGGTTATAGGTTCCCTTTTGGGAAGGACAGGAGAAAGATGAACAGTATAAAGTTTTTGTGGTATACCTGGGTCCTTCATCAAGGGGACCTGGCTGCTCCTTTTTTCAAGGAGTTCTTGACTATAAACTGGCTCTAGTCTTGGATTTTAGTAGGAGCTGTGATTCTCTATTATTTTGATTTGAGTTAGGCTTTCGTAAACATAAATGTTTTCAGTATTTTCAGATCAATTAAGGGTTTATTAGGCTTCTTTTCTATTTTACTTCTGAGAACACCACAGTCAAACTAGCCAACACCATAGATCTACTTGAGTCAGATGCATCTGAATGTTGCTGTACCTTTGCTGCCCATTTTGGTAACTATGTCCATCTTGATTCTGAAGGTTGACAGCTGCCACATGGCTCTGGGACCTGTGAGATCCAGTTATTCCCAATGCATTTAAATTTTCTATTGAGTGACTGTGGTTCTCAGTATAAGCTTCCAGCTACAGAGAAAGTTATTCAAGGATGCTGGTCTCCCCTTAGAAATCAGTTTCTTAAAGTATTGCTGAAAGGTTGGTCTTCTGGAGCCTCCCAGTGTGGGTGAGTAGATTTCAAATGACAAATGCACTCTGGAGTTCCATTCGTTCTAAGCCTTTGAATCTCTTCCTCTACATGAGGCCAAGGGAGATCAGGCATATCCAACTGGCTAAATAAGGGCCATCTTTTGATTTATAGTTCAGCCAACCAACCAAACTGTTAGAGCCCTTTCTAATTTCCCATGCTGCAAAACTAAAACCAGTATCTTTTTTAATGAGTCCATATCAATAAATCTGGGTGATCCAACTTTGTTTCCTCCACTATTATCCTAACTCTTAATACCCTTTTCCACACATGTTCTCCAGATTTCTCCTTGTATAAATTATAAACTCAAATAGTTTTCTTGAACTGTCATGAACCTCCCATGGGCCAAACTTTGTATATCATTTTTAAGGGCATTTTGAGATTTGAGTCTACTTATAGGCCTAGAAGCAAAAAGGAGTGGTGGGTGTGGGGCCTTAGGAGAATCTGCATTGCAGTCCATTACCTTTCCCTCAGGCAATGCTGGCGTAATCCCCTCAGAGGAGGTGGAACCACCTATACCAGTGTGGGTGAAGAGGCTACTGCCAAGAGGGTGTCAGTAGGGGGTCAGGTCTACTGGCAAAGAAGACGTCGGAATTTCAGAGCTCAATGTCTCCAGCCTCAACATGGTCTCCCCAAATGTTCCCAACCCACTCTACAGAGTTCCATTCTTCTCTGTACAGTGCTTTAAATTTACAGTAGGTACCTTGCTAGGCTGAAAGTTCAACTTTCAAAGTAATTCAGCCAACTGCACGGTGAAGGTTTGTGTTTGACTTTTAGCATTTTCAGCCCTGTGACTATAGGAGATATAATTCTCACTCAGAGCACTGTAAGAAGCTCTAAGGCTTTTTATGTGAAGCCGAATTCTGAAATTTGAATCTCTTAGCGTATCTTTTTTATTGATCACTTTACTCATCAACTCTAGAAGCAGAGTCCTTGATTTTCCACAGATATTTAAAGATGTGCTGTCAGAGTCACCAAGTTCCTTGTCTTTTATCGGTGTTGATTAGGAGTGTCAAAGGTAGATGTTTGCATATCCTTTAAGCAGTTTATGACATGGACTAGCAATGTTTTCTGGACTATTAGAAATGGAGGCTTTAACATTTTTAGGTATCATCAGTTTAGAGATCTAAGTTTAGAAACCCCAAAACCAATGAAAGAAACTCATTCCTAAAATTCTGGTTCTCTACAATCATTCATGGTTTAAAAAATAAAACCTGTTTTAGCATTCTTCAGAGATACAGGACCAATAGGATACATATATAGATAGATGGGGGAGCATTAATTAGATAAATTGGGTCACATGATTATGGAAGCCAAGACAGGTCTTCTGTAAGCTGTAAACCATGGAGTACCAGTAGCATGGCTCATTCCAAGGCTGAAAGTCTCAGAATGAGGAAAGCGGACAGTGTAATTCTCAGTCTGAGGCCAAAGGACTGAGAATGTGGAGGGATGCAGAAGTAAGTCCTGGAGTCCCAAGGAAGAGAGTCTGTAGTTAAGATGTCCAAGGGCAGGAGGCAGAGAGTGTACCAGCTCCAGGAGAGAGGGAGAACAAAATCATTCTCATTACTTTTTCATTCTATCGGGACCCCCAGCCCACTGGATGGTGCCTACCCACATAGAGGGTGGATTGTTAAAGAATTCAGGCCGGGCGCGGTGGCTCACGCCTGTAATCCCAGCACTTTGGGAGGCCGAGGCGGGTGGATCATGAGGTCAGGATCATGGCTAACAAGGTGAAACCCCGTCTCTACTAAAAATACAAAAAATTAGCCGGGCGCGGTGGCGGGCGCCTGTAGTCCCAGCTACTCGGGAGGCTGAGGCAGGAGAATGGCGTGAACCCGGGAAGCGGAGCTTGCAGTGAGCCGAGATTGCGCCACTGCAGTCCGCAGTCCGGCCTGGGCGACAGAGCGAGACTCCGTCTCAAAAAAAAAAAAAAAAAAAAAAAAAGAATTCAACTCAGGTCTGCTCACCCAGTACAGTAAGACTAGATACCTACACTGACATTTGCAGTGGGAGAAAAGGAGGTGTTTATCTGGACATTGTGAAGCAAGGCGGATGAGTCAGCTAATGCTTAAGTTCCCACTTCCCCAGTGGCTTGCAGGTAAGGGTTTTTTTAAAGCAGGGGTAAATTTCAGGAAAGCAGAAGTTACTGGCAAAATTGTAAATCAGTACTGGAGGTTACACATTGGTTTTGTCCTGAAAAGTCGTGATATTTTGAAGCAGGTGCTTACAGCCCATACATAGATTCAAGGGTTTTCTGATTTGTAATTGGTTAAAGAAAAGAAGAGTTGTTTTAAAATTTGGGGGTTGGCAGAAAAAAATATTAGCTCTTTGGCTAATGGATTTGCCTCCCTCTAGCCCCTCAGGAAGAAATTTAGCACAAAGAATGGCAGTCAGAATTCAGTTTTCAGGCCCCCCTTATCTGAGGTGTACTTGTCAGCAGATGCCTTTGGTGGGGGTCTAGGTTTCTATGAAAAATGACTCAGGAATGTATGTTAAGATGCGATCTTTAGAACAAAACAAACATCTTCTGACTGTAACTACCTTGGCTGTTGTTTAGGCTACTATTACCTTCTTGCTTATCAAGTTCCTCATTTCTTTCTCAGTGCTAGCTAGGTACCAGGGATTTCCCTTGAAGGGACTCACGATTTTCCTTTATTTCCCTGCTTGGGGAAGCTACAGGCCCCTAACAAAGGGTCCCTGCTCCATCACAGGATCTTACCCACTCTGTCTACCGACTCACATTTCAGACCTTTCTGGTGAAACCTCACAGATCCAGAAGTAATGCTTTGCCAGTGTTCTAGGTATTCGTTAATACAGTTAGTTGACTCCTAAAACTAAACATTACATTGGGTTTTGGAGTGTTACCCAAGCAGGTTTCTCATGAGGAGTTCAAATTGCTGGGTTAAGGTGAAGCAACCATGATTTCCACAGAGTCAAAGTTTGACTGAGAGGTGGTTACTGCCGAATATCTGTGCAGTTCCCACAGGGGACAGTGAGGTGAGATAAAGGTGGTATTCAGCTGTCTTATATGGAGTAGTCACCTTGAGCAGGTTTTATAAGGGGCTATGTTCAATGACCACCTTGAGGAATGTGGAAGAGGCCACAAACTGGAAACTGTCACGGATTTCTAAACCCTATTTCTGGTATGAGAATGTCAACACTATGTACAAAATGAATGCCCAGGTTACATAAAATTAAAACAATTCACAGCAACATTTAAAATAGGAATTCTAGTAGCCCAATAATAACTCTCTCTCTAATCCTGAGGTAGCAGGTAAATTGAGTTGTTCAACTAATTTGAAACTATAGTTAAACATGTTTTCTCAATAATAGACCAGAATACATATGATGAGCCGACAAAATTTTATAGTGAGAAGGGGGCAGTCACAGAGAAAAAATAAGGTGTTCCATTTATTTTAAAAGGCATATTTTTTACATCTTTCAAATAGAGATCAATCATAATATTGTTAAAAGGCTATTGGTTAGAAGACAGTAATAATGTGATGGACTTCATGTGCACACAAGTGAACTTGATGTAAAAAACTTCCATTTTCACATTCTGGTGGTATCTTTAACATCATGACTTGGAGAGGGATGTTAGCAGATGAGAAACATAATCTAACAGAAACTATTATAGTTCTCTCACTACAAATATGGCATCAGCAAAGCTCCTAATTACCAGAGATGATGCTAGTGTAGAAAAAATCCATGGACAAGGTGAGTTGCACAGTGATTTAGAAGAGTTTTATCCAAATATGAGAAATTTTAGAAAACCTTGATTACCTATTTTGCTTTCACTTTCTGTCTTATGTGATCATAGGAGTGATATGACATCAATACACACATTTATATAAGTTCAAAAGTGTAAAAAGTAGAATAGAGGTTCCTCTTCGAAGACTTTCCTCGCCATCTAATTAGAAATAAATAGTAACTTCTCTTAGAAGCAAAATTTTTTCAAAGACCTGTGCTAACATTCTTAAATATCTGCTAGCCGTAATAAAGAAATGAATGTACTTTATGTTCTTAGCTCCCACAATTTAACCTAAATATTTGCCCTGGCATGCTTATACTGGTCCAAGCAAGCATTAGGTCATAGCGTGTTCCTCTTCCTTATTTGAAGGTGTTTTTACCTTTCTCTGGATTCCAAAAGTTACTTCCTCCTTCCTTTGTTCTCCTCTGCCTTTGCCTCTTTTAAAAAGTTCTAAGTTGCTAGCCAGTCGGGACAAATACGGAATGTGAGGTCCTGTTCCAGCCAATGGAAACCAGACACAGCAGTGGGGTGGAAGCATCAGGTTATAAATGACCCTGTCTCCTTTGTTCTGTGCACTCTCATGGCAAAAATGCTGGCGAGTGTACCCTTTCTGAAGAAAATATAAAAATGGCCTTGCTGAGGAAATTAAATTTATATTCAAGTGCTATTTCTTTATGGCACCAGGGAACAGGCATTTCAAACAAAAAGTATTATTTTCAACATATATGACAAAATTTTTGTGATGTCATAGTTTTTCAATAGTTTTATGCTTTTATTGTGATGTAAAATAATGATGTATTTTACAATTGATACATATGATACTTCTCGCAATTACTTGAAAAAAGCTGTCACTGGTAGCAAATAGTAACTTAGTGTTTAGTGTAGACCTATGTAAACCAAAAATGACTGACACAGATCTCATTCAATTCAGAGAATTATTTTGCCAAGTTTAAGGATAAAGAAACACAAGTCACAGTAGGCTCTGTGGCCTGTGCTTTTTCCAAAGAGGGTTTTGCTGACTTCCATATTTATAGGGGTGAGACCAGGCAGGAGCAGGTGGAGGATAAAGAAAGGGGAGGAAAGACAGTGAGGCAAGTACATCCGAATGAGGCCTGAATTAGCACTCACTGCATCCAGATGTTGCATGTGTACAGAGGAATGGAGAAAAAGTTGATTGTGCATTTGTCTTGTGCGTGGTAGATCTACATTTTACATAAGATAGGCAAACTTGTGAAATTACAGCTGTCTCTTTGGGAACAAAAGGAAGGTAGTATTAGCATGACTCAGTTCCTGACTTTTCCTTTGGCATAGTGAGTTTGGGGTCCCAAGATTTTATTTTCCTTGTTCTTCAAAATATTTCAGAGAAAGCATTTTAGCAGAAAATGTGTGTTTGGTTATATTTTTTCCTAATCTTTCAACATTAGGATGGTTTATTCCTAGAAGGTTAGGATCCACATTTTTAAGGAGACTCATTCTAGAAGGTTGTGAAGAAATAGGGGGAATAAGAAATAAAGGGAAAAGATAAGAAAAAAGAGACACAGCTGGATTATAGCAATAAAGTAGAAAGCAATCCTTGAAAACCAATAGACTATATCACAGAGCAGTCCATATATAACTAGACGGTCATGAAAATATTTTATGTAAATAAATAAGATGCTGTTATTTCTCCCAAAGTTTAAGTTTTCTAGTTTCAGTCTGCAGGGCTTTACAAAAAGCACAGATTTCTACTAATTTGAAGTCAGAAAAAAATGGGAAAGAAAAAAAAAAAACATTGAAAATTTTAGTTTGGAGACTGGTAACCAGCAAAGAATTTAGGATCCAGTCTAGCTAAATTGTAAACCAATAATAAAACTGGAAGACAATGAACAGGGCTAGAATCCAATAAAAGATGTACTATAGTTTCATTTGAAATACATTTTTTCTCTCTACAGTCTTCCATTTTTACTAAAGAAAAATCATAGTAAGACCAATTTATTTCCAAAATAAGTTTTAGTTTTATTGTACTTGGCCTGATTATTTTCATAAAGTGCAGCAAGACTATTTTTTTTCCATATAGGCTCTTCTAAGTTGGCACTGATGGAACTTTTTTTTAAACAAAGTGTCTACTATTTTTTTCAAATAGCCCCTCAAGCTCAAACAAGCATTTATTGTGCCTGCAAATAACTGTATGAACTGGGTGAATTCATCTCATCTTGAGGTCGCAAGATTACTTGGAGTTCCTAGGCCTGTCAGAAAGTGACATGCGTTTCTTACCACAGATCAGAAAATCTGTAAAGAAACTGCATAAAGAAGGCACAGGGCCAGTCTCTCCAAGGGAATTTTACTGGTTTTATTATTCAACCTAAATTTCTCAAAGCAATCTGCTCATAGATGAAAATATGCTATTCCAGCCAAAGCCTTGACAAGGTAACCAGTGTCTCCAATTGTGTCCCATTACAAAAAAAAAATTGTTATTGATTATATGCAAATAACTTATATTACCATAAATTAAGAATATTCAGAAATAGTTTTCAAATTCTGGGGAAATCAGGTAAAGAGAAAGAAGTATAGTTGAAATTTTTCTCTAAAGAGTATACCATATTCAATTGTTAAAAACTATAAATAGCTAAGAATAAACCTTTCTTTACTCTGAAAAACAAATATAGTCATCAATGTTTCAAATAAAAAAGTCCTAAAAAATTGTTTCATTCTTCTGTTACATCAGTCCCACATAATTAACTTGTTCTACTTTGTATTGGCTTAGCAATCCTCATGAACACGTCAGCCTGTTTAGAGTCCTGGGAGTTTTGTTGTTGTTATTGTTATTGTTTTCGTTTGTACAATGGCACAATCTCCAAAGTTATCAGAAACCTAAATTCAAGAAAACCTATCAGAGTCATTTTCACCAACTCTTCTAAAGAAGCAAGTTTTGGCCGACTGGTTTTTTATAAACTACTTTTTGAGAATAATCAAAGTAAAACAACAATTGTGAATGAAAAACTCTTAGGACAGTCATAGTTACAGGTATAGCTGATAAGAAATTTGGTTATTTCTGTGTCATACAACAATTTAACATAATAATCATAATTATTACTGATAACATATAGTAAGGCATGTCAGAATTATTGGCATCTCATATGATTTTGGAGCACATGGTAATATTTAGGTAAATAGAACTCAAAAGTTAAATATTTCACCATGCTTCTATATGATTTTAACATGTTAAATGTGGCTAATTTGTCACTGTTGGACTTCAGGTGACCTAATATTCAAAAAGTTAATTAGGTCACTAAGGCTAAATTAAAATTTGATTTGGAAAGTTTGTCAAATATCAAAGGTTTGAAACAGTGTTACAAAATAGAATCACCAATCACGATGAAGTGAATTACTCATTAAGCCAAAAATGATATTTTAAATATTTCTAAAAAGCAAAAATCTTTATTCTTTGATATAGAGAAAGGAGATTCAGTTTCTTAAACAATAAGGTCTAATATCAGGCTGAGTGCACTGGCTTGTGCCTGTAATTCCATTGCTTTGGGAGGCCGACACGGGAAGATCATTTGAGCCCAGGAGTTCAAGACGAGCCTGGGCAATATAGTGAGACTTCGTCTCTACAGAAAATAAATTTGTAAATTATCTGGTTGTATTGGTGTGTGTAGTCCTAGCTACTACAGAGTCTGAGGAAAGAGGATCACATGAACCCATGACATGGAGGTTGCAGTGAGCCAAGATCACACCACTGCACTCCAGCCTGGGTGACAGAGTGAGACCCTGTCTCAAAAAAACAAACAAAAATACCTCGAAAAAATGAAAAACCAGTAAAACCTAATAAATATAGTATGAAACCAAGTGAACCTTACTCCCCTCCTCTTTTTTTGCAGTTTGCCCAAAAGGCAAACAAAAATCTTTTACTCTCTCTTAATATTAAACAAAATCCTGGTTCAAAAAAGAAAACCAACTTTACCTTTGCGTGGCGTGGTATTAATACTAAAGCAATTTTAATAAAATTTATAAATGAATTCATCAAATATCAATCAGTTTAATCATAAGGTATGATTTAAGAAATGCTTGTTAACCTTTTACTATTTTCTACTGAGAAGCAGATAAGTTCTCTGAAAAAATCACATCCAGATTCTGGGCTTGCATAAATGTGCTTTTTAGTGTTCAATTTATAGAAAGACTGAATAATACCCTTTAAATTTCAGCCCACTTGGTCACACACAGTATTTCTTTTGTAAAATCAATCTGCTACAAATCTACAATTCCGTCAAACTTTCAGTTTTATCCCATGATTGTATCTTAGAACAACCAAAAAATTTCTTTCCAACCTTCCTTTACCTTTTTTTTTTGAGACAAGGTCTCCCTCTATCACCTGGGCTGGAATGCAGTGACACACTCATAGCTTACTATAGCTTCAAATTCCTAGCCTCAAGCAGTCCTCCCACCTTAGCCTCTTGAGTAGCTGAGACAACAGGCGCACACTACTGTGCCTGGCTCTTTTTTTTTTTGTAGATATGGTGTCTCACTTTGTTGCCCAGGCTGGTCACAAACTGCTGGCTTCAGGTAGTCCTCCCATTTGGGCCTCCAAAAGTGCTGGGATTACAGGAATGAACCACCACACCAAGCCCCAACTTTCTGTAGCCATTTAGCTTTATCCGTCAGTTTGTCTTCAATTTAAAGACAACTTGAAAACCTCTACAGTAGACAAAATTAGTTTCCCTTTGTAAGGAAAACACATTTCTCATACCTTTCTATAGCATTTTTTTTCTAATAACACATCTCACTTTTATTATATACTTTGGATGCATCTAGTAGATTCAATTATATATGTTAACTGTAATGTTACCTCTCAGTAACTCTTACTTGTATTGAAAAACTCTAGGAAGTAAGAAATTTTACTTACGTGTCAGGTGCAGAGCCAGGGACAAAAGACACAGCTGCCAATAACATCTGACCCTTCCCAATGTAGTCAGAGGGCACAGCTGGGCTAGGGAGAACACTATATGTCCCCTGAACTTACTATGGCTGTAAGAAAGACAAATCAAACAATTATTTAAAATATCACAGAGCAGTTTATGGCCCTAAAACATCCAGCAAAAACAGTATCTGAGTTGCCTGACCAGTTCAGACCAAATATCTAAGTTAAATTCTGAAGACATTTCTATTTTATTTTACCAATTTTTTTGTTTTAGGTTTGGGGTACATTTGCAGGTTTGTAATACAGGAAAATTGTGGTCACAGAGTTTTGATGTACAATTTTGGAACACACACTAACACATGTATGTACATTGAACCCAAAGAAAGTTAAATATTTGACCATGCCCTTTAATCAAGGGTATGTCTTATGAATTTCAAGCAATGCTAAGAGATTTTACTGTACAGAGCCAGAATTCTCAAGGATAGTCATGACGCTATTGTAAGTCATTTGTAAAATTTCATATTCTAATGTATTATTAAGAATATGAGATCTCTAAAATCTTTTTTATGTATCTCCAGTCAAAACTTTGTAGAGGAGACAGACATAGATTTTTGCCAAAACAGGAAGTAAAAGTGATTGCACAATTTACATAAGTTGAGATCTTTGAACCTAAGAATTTGTAACTGGCTAAGAAGAAAGCTAGACTCAAAGCCACCAAATCCAATTTAAAAACCCCCAGCCAGCTCCTTACTTGGAGATGCTGGCCCAAGTGCAAGACTGCGCTCTGCCTCCTCAGAAGCAGCAAACTCCCAGAGAGGGAGTTCTACAAGAGAACATACCTCAGACCTCAAACAAAAAGTTTGGGAGATCAGGGATCTGTGTAGGGGGAGGCTCCCAGACCTCAGCAAATCATCCAATCAGTCAGAGCAATACAAAGCTTCCAGTTGGCTGTACCAGGGCCCTGCTAGGAGAGTTGCTGCAGGCCAAAGGGCGAAACTCTGCACAGAACTCATTGTGGTTTCCAAAATATAAACTGAAAAGTGACTGAGGCAGGTCTCAGTAAATTTAGAGCTAGATCTTGCCAACGTTGAGAAAGTGCATGGGAAAAAGCAACACAAATTACAGCAGGATCTGTGATCTGCTTTTTCCAAAGCAAGGTTTGATGACTTCAGCATTTAAAGGGGAAAAAGTGAGCAGTAGGGGAAGGGGGAAAAAAGCAGAGAGGGCTAGGCACTGAGGCAAGCGTTTGCATTCTCGTGAGGCTTTGATTAGCACTCACTGAAACCACATTTGATATGTGCAAATAGAGGAGTGGGGGATAAAGTTGATTATGCATTCATCTCATGTTTGCTGGATCTACACTTTGCATAAGATAAAGTAACCATGTATAATTACAGCTATCTATTTGGGAAAAAAAGGAAGTCAGTTTTAGTGTGACACAGTTCCTAAGCCTAACTTTCCCATTGGTCATAGAGATTTAGTGTCCTGAGATTTTATTTTCCTTTCAAAGCTGCCATTAGTCTACACATTTTGTGTATGAGTGCATTAAGTTGTCACAGCATCTCAAGAGGTAGACACTACTGTGACCCTCTGAAAGTTCTAGCTCTGAATCTGAGCTAAAGCCCTATAGGAAAAGACTTAGAACAACCTTGAGCTTGACCCAGTGTTCCTACTCATATCAACTATGTTAGAATAGCATTTCTCTCTTAGAGTAAACACTTTGTAGGTGCTTTTTAAGAATTCCTCACCTACCCTATTGTAATGAAATTATTTTCCTATATTAAATTCTAAATACTCCATTGAATTCTTTTTTCTATGGAGGTCTATAATCCACTTGAAGTTGATTTTGTGCATGAGTTTAAAAGTAAATTTTATTTCTCTCGATGGACATTCAGTATACTGAAATGTTTATTGAAAATTCATCTTTTTCCAGCCTGGTGCGGTGGCTCACGCCTGTAATCCCAGCACTTTGGGAGGCCGAGGCGGCAGATCACGAGGTCAGGAGATTGAGACCATCCTGGCTAACATGGTGAAACCTCATCTCTACTAAAAATACAAAAAATTAGCCAGACATGGTGGCAGGCACCTGTAGTCCCAGCTACTTGGGAGGCTGAGGCAGGAGAATGGCGTGAACCTGGGAGGCGGAGCTTGCAGTGAGCCAAGATTGCGCCACTGCTCTCCAGTCTGGGTGACAGAGTGAGACTCCGTCTCAAAAAAAAAAAAAAAGAAAATTCACCTTTTTCCATTACTTTTTCTTTTGGATTATTTGTTTATATAGACATCTATCAGATTTTCAACTCTTTTTATTTTTATGGATTCTTCTTTATTATCATTAATTTTTTGAGACAGAGTCTCGCTCTGTCACCCAGGCTGGAGTGCCATGTTGTGATCTCGGCTCACTGCAACCTCTGCCTCACGGGTTCAAGCAATTGTCCTGCCTCAGCCTCCTGAGTGGCTGGGACTACAGGCACACGTCCCCACACCTGGCTATTTTATTTTGTTTTATTTTTAGTAGAGATGGGGTTTCACCATGTTGGTCAGGCTGGTCTCAAACTCCTGACCATCCGCCTTGGCCTCCCAATGTGCTGGGATTACAGGTGTGAGCCACCGTGCCCGGCCTATTGATTCTTCTGTCTGTGTTCAAATATTACATGTTCTTATTTTTTGGAGAGTTCATTTTACACTAGACATTTCCCTGCAGAGACTGTTCTCTTCATCACTGTGCTACTGAAGACAGGGAAGGATAAAACCTTGCATGTCTTGCACTTACATGAATATTCCCAGCTGTACTTCGAAAAAACAGCAGGTCATAGAACCTGTGGAGACAAAATGACCCATCTTGGATGCTAGTCCACCATGTTACTTCTGATTTGCCCCAGTTCCATGAATGCCTTCTGATCTCTCATTTATTTACTGTCCTTAGTGTAAAATCATGTCAACCAGTGTGTTACCACAAAAATTACATGCTATGAGGCATGTAGCCTCCTTGTCCATTCTGGAGGGTTGCTTTTAATTGCCTTGCTAAAGCATGTATACCTTTTCCCTGTGGAGTATTAACCCTGGGTCTGGAGAGTAACAGTGTGAACAACTGCCTACCTGCAACCATCCAAGGGTATGGTTCTGTGTGTAAGTTCCATCTATAAATTAACCAGTACTGACTAAATGGATTTTCTGCCTTCTTCTTTAATTTTTCAGATCCTTTGGCATTTGAGAGTTGCTTTGTGTATACGGTCCTTTAACGGAGCAAATGGCCAGCCAGGAAACCAAAGTATGGACAAGGGGAAAGAAGCGTCTGTGGAGGAAGTTTTACAAGCGCCCTCCTCATCCATTTGGGTGGTGTTGCCCATATGCTACATGTCTGTGGACCACTATGTGTGTTTAAAGCTTTTTAGTAAAACGTTACTAAAAACTATGACTCACTGTGGTGAAAAAGGTGGCAAAACAGTGACAACAGTGAGTTTGCTGCTGTTATTATCTATGTGAGTGGTCACGAAAGCACAGGTAGCAGCTGAGGCAAGGGGAGGGAAGCTAGGAAAAGAATCGCAGTGAGAAAGGGATGAGAACTTCCATGTCTGTGTTAATGTCTGGTTTTATGATAAACTTGAAACTCAAGAGGCACAGTTGGAAATTGTACCTTGCCACTTTGTGTGGCTGAGAGAGAGAAAGCTGTGCCAGCTGAATGTGTGGACTGTCTTTGCCAGTGCAGGCTGGGATGCAAATACCTGTAATTCTTGGGAAACAACCAGTGAGCCAGATGATGACATAGAGTTTAACTCAGAGGAGGAAGATCATTATCCTTCCCATTTGAGAGTGAAACTGTTCATGCAGTGGAAAGCAAAATTCCAACACACAGAGGCCTGGGTAGGATTACTGGATATAATAAAAACTTTAAAACAGCTGCCAAGAGAAAGCCTTATGTACATGAATGGTGCAGCTATGGGACACCAGTAGGGATGATATCTCCCTAAAAGGGAATGAACCTGAAAAATTGAGACAGAAGTACCCCGGAAGTGAAATAACCCCCTTATGGGATAAGTTATAGGGAAAGCCATTTCAGATTTCCTAGAAACTCAAAAGGAAAGAGATTAGGTATGACTGGTTGCTAAAGGAAAATGGAAAAAGGGAGAAACAAAGTCTGCTGGACTGAAAAAAGGAGTTTAAAAAAGACACAATTAAGGTTACTAGGAAACAAATGTGGTATGATCTGATTTCAGCTGGGATTGACAAAGAGAATATAGATGGGCAACCCAGTGGCATATTAGTGGGGTATGGAAAGACCTGACTCCTGATCAATAGTTTAGACACCTTCTTATTACCTCCCCCACCCCCCATGAGAAGAGGGAGAAAGACAGGAAGAAACCTTTGGTAAAAATTCAGGGGTGCACTTCTTTCCAGCCTGGAGATCATAGGTAGGGTCAAGGCTGCTTCTGTGTAAGAGCAATAGGGGGTGACCAGAGGCCGTATTTGGAGCTCACTATTGATTGGAGTCTAAAACAGCACTAAGAGAACCTTAGCTTTAGTGGGCACAGGTGCAGAATGTGTCTTAATTGATGGAAATCCAGAGAGACACCCTGGTAAGTGGGAAGCTATAGATGGTTGTGAGGGGTTAAAAATCTGAGAGAAACAAACTCCTCTCCTCCTTAGTTTTGTCTGGAGTTCCCTCTTTGCTTACTCTCCTGTCTTTATCTCACCTATTGCAGAAAACATCTTGAATATGGATGTCTTCTTAGGATGCACTTTACAAACATCTGTGGGGGAATCTCACCTATGACAAAGGCTGTATTAAGATTGGAGGCAAAATTAGAAGGTGTACACCTCCCTCCCCCACAATGTATTGTTAATGTGAGACAATACCATCTTCCTGGTAGAATATAAGAAGTCACAGCCGCCATGGAGAAATTGGCCAAAGTTAATATTATCTGGCCAGCCCAGAGTCCTTTCAGCCATCCTGTGTGACCAATAATAAAATCTGATGGCACTTGGATATGACAGTAGATAAGTGGACACTACTGATCTTTCTAAGATACATGCTCCTTTATGTAATGTAACTCAAGTGATTGAGCAATTAATACAAAACATAGGCACTTATCATGCTGTGTTAGATTTAGCTAATGCCTTCTTTAGCATCCCTTTTACCCTGACTTGCAGTCATTATATTGATGATACTCTAACTTCTGAAGACTTGTCATTGCTACAGCAACACGGAGATGCATTGACACCCTTCTTCAATCCAGAGGATGGGCCATCAACTCACAAAAGTACAAGGCCTGGAACCAGCTGCAAAGTTCCTATGGATCACTTGGCCAGGTAAGACACCTTACTTCAGGCTTGGTCATTGAGAAAATATAAGTTTTCCATACCTAAAACAGTTAAACAGTTACAAAGTTTCCTAGGTCTTTTGGGATACCAGTGGGCTTTCATTCCATGTTTACCTCCATGTTTGCATCCCCTATACTGACTATTAAAGAAGCAATCTCAGCTGGGCACAGTAGCTCACACCTGTAATCCCAGCACTTTGGGAGACCGTGGCAGGCAGATCACTTGAGGCCAGGAGTTCAAGACCAGCATGGGCAACGTGGTGAAACCTCATCTCTACTAAAAATACAAGAAATTAGCCAGGCATGGTGATGCATACCTGTAATCCCAGTTACTTGTGTGGCTGAGGCATGAGAGTTGCTTGAACCTGGGAGGTGGAGTATTTAGTAAGCTGAGATCGTGCCACTGCACTCCAACTTGGGCGAAAGAGCTAGAAACCCTGTCTCAAAAAAACAAAAACAGATCTAGGATAAAGAACTAAAGAACAAGTGGTAGCATTTGAGAAGGCTAAAATATTGATTGCTCAGGCACAAGCTCTAGTTCCCCGCTTCTGGGATACCAGTGTCTTTTGATATGACTGTAAACCCTGAAGGGACAAAACAGGTCCTCTGGCACGTTCAGCATGGGAAAGCAGTTCTTCTAAGATTCTGGTCACAGCTATGGAAATGTGCTGAAACCCACAGTTCTCCAATTGAACAACAGGTTCTGGGAGCATGTAAGGCCATGCAGCACATTGAGCCTGTAACTGATCATCTGCCAGTAACAATGAGAACAGATCTCTCCATTAAGGGCTGGATAGAAGGGTTGTTTTCCAGGCCTATATCAGCTATTTCTCAAGTCTCCATTATACAGAAGTGGCATGCATACCTGCAACAATGTAGCACCCGCTCCACGAGTCCTTTGGGAGATGCATGCTATCATAGGGCCAAGACACTATGAGACCAGTGCTGCGCCTGTTGTGGAGCCCCTGCAGGAGATGCCTCCAGTAATATACGAAGGCACATCTCCATTCCTGAAAATGCTTGGCACTTAGATGGATGAAGCTGAGGTAACCCTTGTGTATAGATGACAGTAACTGTACAGTTGCAGACAAATACTATCTGACAGACAGTGTTGAGGTTTCCAACTATAATAATGAGTTAATCTCTTTCTCTTTGCAGTTGTGTCAGTTTTGGCCTTACATAGTTTGACATTCTGTTGTTAGGCACTTAAATGCTTTAAGGATTATTATGTTGTACTGGAGAACTGACCCCTTCATCTTTGTGTAATGCCCGTCTTTATTTTTAGTGACTTTCCTTGCTTGAAGACTGCTCTGTCTGTAATTCATGCAGCGACCCTTCCTTTATTTGATAAGTGTTGGCCTAGGCTATTTTGTTTCATCTATTTACTTTAAATGTATACATGTCTTTATATTTCATAGATTTTACTTAACATCATTTAGTTGGGTTGACTTTATTGATCTACGCTGACATTCTCAGTTCTTTGATTGATGCTTTTAGACTACTGACAACCAATGGAGTTGGATTAATATCAACCATATGTGTTACTCTTTTTGATTTGTTGCCCTTGTTCTTTCTTCCCGTTATTGTGCTTCACTTATTTTCTGTGTTTTGTGGTTTTATTTGAGAATTTTATGCAATTCTGTTTTCTCTCCATTCTTAGCATATCAATTATATAACTTTTTTTGACTATTTTAGTGGTTGCCCTATGGAATAAAACTTTTATTTTTCATATTCTTAATTTAGTCTCACAGATAATGGTTTCTGGAAAATAATAGTAGCACCAATCTATTTGATTAGGCATGCTTATGTCTATATGTTATATGTATATAAATATACATGTATATGTGCATGTGTACTCACGTATAAGTGAAACGAATGACAGCACTAATAGGGAGAACAAAAGAGTTAAGATTATTTTGTTATTCTAAGATAGTCACACTACCTGTGAGTGATACAGTGTTTTTTCAAAAAACACTTTTTGAAAAAAAGTGGATTCATTTTAAATGTAATATTGCAAACTCTGGGTAAGGGTGTTGGACCAAGGGCCTGAGTTCTTTGCTGGCTTTGGCCTGTTTCTGAATTTAGTTTCCTCCCATGTTGGCTTCTCCCATATGGCAAATGTTCCATCAAAGCCATCAAGGGAGGCACTTTGCTAGCAAGACAAGAATCACAATCTAATGTAACATAATCGTCCTACTAATGACCCATCACCATTGTAGTATTCTGTTGATTTTAAGCAACTCACAGTTTCTGACTACATTCATTAGAAGGAATTAAAATACAAAGTTATTTATCAACTTCACTTATACTTAGAGGTGGGAGTCATTGGGTGCCATCTTAGGTTCTAACTGCCATATCTGATCTTCTCCACTATGAAATAGTTTTTCAGTCTTCACTTATTTTCTGTTACCTTGACCCTTCTGACAAGGACTGGTCAGTTCTATTGTAAAATTTCCCACAGTATGAATTTGTCAGATGTCTTCTCATAATTAGACTAGGGATATGGATTAAATTCAATATTTTCAATATTTATATTTATTTAAGTTTAAAGATAAAAGACAAAACAATATAGTGTTTATATATACAAACATACAGGAAAAATGAATATAAGAAAATTAGAGACTGACAGAGATAATCCATAATGATAGTTACCTTCAGCTGTTAACATAGATGAAATTCAGGAGATACATTCAGGGGGCATCAATGATATTGTTAATGTTCTTTCTGTTGTATAAGCTCAGCAAAGGCTTAAAATAAAATAAACTTTTGAACTTTACGAATAGTTTTAGATTTACAGAGCAGTTCCAAATATAATATAGAGTTTCCACAGACTCCATACACCATGTTCCTTAATAACCCCCTTACATTGGTGTGGGATATTAGTCACAATGAACCAACCAATATTACACTATTATTAACCATCTGCACTTTATTCAGATTGACTTAGTCGTCATTTAATGTCGAGTTTCTGTTCCAGGATCCTATCCAGGATACCTCATTACATTTACAATTCATGCTCCTTAATCGACTTTGACTGTGACAATTTCTCCAAGTTTGCATGATTGCTATGACATTGGCATTCCTAATTTGGGATTTCTTTGGTGTTTCTTTCCTGATTAGACTGGATTGTAGGTTTCAGGGAGGAAGACCACAGAGGGAAAGTGCCATTCTCATCACATCCTGTTAAGGGTACAGACTGTAACAGCTTTATCACTTTTGATGTTAATTTAATCACCTGAATGAGATAGTTCCAATCAAATTTCTGTACTGTGAAATTACTGTTTTTTTTCTTCTCCTTTCCATGTTGTATGTTTCAAAAAGAAGTCACTACACACAACACACAAATAAGAAGTGAAGAATTATGTTCCACTTCCTAGGGGCAGAGTGTCTGCAAAAATTATTTGGAATTAATCACAATGAACAAATGCCTATTCTTCTTCAATTGTTCCATATTATTCCATCATTGTTCTACCCATAGACAAATATGGGTACTTATTTTACACTTCACTTGAAATAATTTATTTGGCTTGTTGCTCAAATTGCTTCAGTATTGTCCAAGAAACTTTCTTTTTCTCTTTTATTTTTGAGATGAAGTCTTGCTCTGTCACCCAGGCTGGAGTGCAGAGGCGCGATCTCGACTCAGTGCAACCTCTGCTTCCTGGGTTCATGCCATTCTCCTGCCTCAGCCTCCTGAGTAGCTGGGACTACAGGCGCCCACCACCATGCCCGGCTAATTTTTTGTATTTTTAGTAGCGACAAGGTTTCACCATATTATCCAGGATGGTCTCGATCTCCTGAGCTCATGATTCGCTCGCCTTGGCCTCGCAAAGTGCTGGGATTACAGGCGTGAGCCACCGCTCCGGGCTGGGACTTTCTTTCAGTTGGATCGTCTATAATTTTGAAATCTCCCCATACTTATGGTTTGTTGGTGTGGTGTGCTGTTTGGTTTGTTGCATTGTTGGTTGTTATTTTCTTTTCTTCTGGCACTACTAGGTGCTGCAGGCTGATTGTGTTTATTCTCTGTCTAACCCTATTATCCACCGTTTCTTCACAATGCCCTAGTTCCTTTGAATGGAAAATGGAATTAGAAATGAAGATCTAGAGACTGTGGTATATTCATTGCCCCTAGGGCATCTGATGACTTGAGGCCTTGTCAGCTGACTGAACAAAAGAATACACATGTGTTTACTGACTTACAAATATATACATGTGTATAAATATTTCAACATGTATGCGTATGTATCAATATTAAACTAGCCATGAATTCCATGTAATGTTTCTGGCAGCACATGATCTAATCCAGTACCACATGAAGCTATGTACCTGTTCCAACTCGCTTGTATGTAGCTTGCGCCTCTAACATGGAACTAGTTGGCTTTGTTAATAACTTAATGATATCATCCAAAAATACATGCATAGTGTTTTCAAAAGTGTTAATTTATACACCCCTGGGAAACTACTTTGCCAACTAAAACTCAGTCCTTATATACAAATTATTTGTCCTTTTGACTTAGAATCTCAGAATCTCCCTCTATTTCCTAATTTACTTAGGTCAGCCCCCTTTTCTCACTCTAGTGAGCTTATTTCACACATTTGTTATACAGTTATAATATTTAGTCAATCTCTATCAACTAAATAAGGCGTTTGGTTTGTTTGTTTGTTTGTTTGGATGCAGTCTCGCTCTCTTGCCCAGGTTAGAGTTCAGTGGTGTGATCTTGGCTTACCTCAACCTCTGCCTCCCAGGTTCAAGGACTTCTCTTGCCTCAGCCTCCCAAGTGGCTGGGATTATAGGTATGTGCCACCATGCGTGGCTAATTTTTGTGTTTTGTATTTTTAGTAGAGGCAGGGTTTTTCCATGTTGGCCAGGCTGGTCTTGAACTCCTGTCTTCAAGTGATCCCCTCCACCTCAGCCTCCCGAAGTGTTGGGATTACAGGCGTGAGCCATGGCGCCTGGCCTAAATAAGGTTTTTATTTTACCATCTGTGTGTTATGAAGTTCTGTAGGTCTTGAATAACAGTGTCACATATTCAGTGTCACGTTGTCATATAGAACAATTTCAAAGCCCCAGAGGCATTTCTTGTACTTTACTGATTCAAATTTTCTGTGGTCCAATCCCTTCATACTCACTGAATACTTTACTGTCTCTGTACTTTTTTCTTTTTCAGAGTGTTATATAAATGGCATCAGATAGTATTTTGCCTTTTCCAACTCATTTTATTTAGTTATCAAAATGCCGTTTAGGTTTGTAAAGTATATCTTATGGTTGTTTAGATTTGCATTTCTTGAATAACAAAAAAATTGAGCATATTCTCATGTGTTTATTGGACAAGACTACAACTATTTTTGGAAAAATGACTCTTCAAATTATTTGCCATTTTTGATTAAGATGTTTGCCTTTTTATTTTCGAGAAGTAAGACTTTTTATCTATTCTGGATAACAGACCCTAATTAGCTATGAGATTTTTAAAGATTTTCTCTCATTCTTTGGTGTTGCCTTTTTACTTTTAACCATGTACTTTGAGTCACACAATACTGTTTTGTAATGAGTTCAATATGTCTGTTTTTTAATTTTAATACTTGATTTCTGATGAAGTTCTTTATGTCTTTTTAAAATTATGTTCATTTGCTTTAGGTGTCATAGCTTAGAAACCATTGTTTAACCCAAGGCTACTGTATTAGTCTGTTCTCCCATTGGTATACAGAAATACTGAGACTGGGTAATTTATAAAGAAAAGAGGCTTAATTGGCTCATGGTTCTGCAGGCTGTACAGGAAGCATAGTGACTTCTGCTTCTGGGAAGACCTCAGGAAATTTCCAATCATGGTGGAAGGCAAAGGGGGAGCCAGCACTTCACACAGCCAGAGCAGGATGAAGAGAGGGGCTGGAGTGCTACGCACTTTTAAGCAACCAGATCTTGTGAGAACTCACTCACTATCAGGAGAACAACACCAGTGGTGCTAAAACCATTCATGAAAATCACCCTCAGGAGCCAATCACCTCCCACCAGATCCCACGGCAAACACTGCAGATTACAATTTGACATGAGATTTGGTGGGGACAAAGATCCAATTTATTTCAGCGATGAAAATGTATTCTTATGTTCTCTTCTATGGATTTGGTCAATTTGGCTCCTATATTTAGATGCATTATTAATTTGAGTCAATCATGCATATGGTGCTAGGGAGGCAATAACTTGCATGTCAGTGTCCATTTGTCCCAGCAACACTGTGTGAGGAAATATTTCTTTATATTGAATTGACTTGTCAACCTTGTAAAATTGTTTTACCATGCATGTAAGAATTAATTTTCGACATTTGATTTTATTCCATTGATATATATGTCTCTCTATCGGGAGAAATTCAGCCAGATAGCAGGCGAAATTCCACCCCGATATTTCACGTAGGTTCTTTTCTAGATTCCCTGAGTGTCAGCCAGTCTGAGAAATAAAGGGACAGAGTACAAAAGAGATAAATTTTAAAGCTGGGTGTCCGGGGGAGACATCACGTGTCGGCACCTTCCGTGATGCCCCCCGAGCCGTAAAACCAGCAAGTTTTTATTAGTGATTTTCAAAAGGGGAGGGAGTGTACCAATAGGGTGTGGGTCACAGAGATCACGTGCTTCACAAGGTAATAGAATATCACAAGGCAAATGGAGGCAGGGCGAGATCACAGGACCACAGGACTGGGGCAAAATTAAAATTGCTGATGAAGTTATAGGCACGCATTCTCATTGATAACATCTTATCAGGAGACAGGGTTTGAGAGCAGACAACCAGTCTGTCCAAAATTTATTAGGCGGGAATTTCCTCATCCTAATAAGCCTAGGAGCGCTATGGGAGACTAGGGCTTATTTCATCCCTACAGCTTTGACCATAAAAGATGGCTGCCCCCGAAGCGGCCATTTTAGAGGCCTACACTCAGGATCGCATTCTCTTTCTCAGGGATGTTCCTTGCTGAGAAAGAATTCAGTGATATTTCTCCCATTTGCTTTTGAAAGAAGAGAAATATGGCTCTGTTCCATCCGGCTCACTGGTGGTCAGAGTTTAAGGTTATCTCTCTTGTTCCCTGAACATTGCTGTTATCCTGTTCTTTTTTCAAGGTGCCCAGATTTCATATTGTTCAAACACACATGCTCTACAAACACTTTGTGCAGTTAACGCAATCATCACAGGGTCCTGAGGCGACACACATCCTCCTCAGCTTATGAAGATGATAGGATTAAGAGATTAAAGTAAAGACAGGCATAGGAAATCACAAGGGCATTGATTGGGGAAGTGATAAGTGTCCATGAAATCTTCACAATTTATGTTCAGAGATTGCAGTAAAGACAGGAGTAAGAAATTATAAAAGTCTGAAATTGGGGAACTAGTAATTGTCTGTGAAATCTTCACAATCCACGTTCTTCTGCCATGGCTTCAGCCGGTCCCTCGGTTCGGGGTCCCTGACTTCCCGCAACCTCTCTCCTTCTCACATAGTAGATAAACACACACAGGGTACATGATATGTTTTGGTACAGGCATGTAATGTGAAATAAGCACACATCATGGAGAATTGGACAACTATCTCTATGAGCATTTATCCTTTGAGTTACAAACAATTCAATTATGCTTTTTAAGTTTTGTAAAAATATGCAATTATTATTGACTTTCATAGTTACCCTGTTACGCTATCAGTTTGTTTTATTCATTCTTTCTATTTGTTTTGTAACCATTAAACATCCCTACCTTCCCCCAGCCCCCTGCTACCATTCCCAGCCTCTGTTAACCATCCTTCTACTCTCTATGTCCATGAGTTCAACTGTTTTGATTTTTAGAACCCACAAATAAGTGACAACATGTGATATTTGTCTTTCTGTGCCTGGTTTATTTCACTGAAGATAGTAATCTCCAGTTTTATCCTTGTTGTTGCAAATGACTGGGTCTCTTTATTTTTTCTGGCTTAATAGTACTCCACTGTTTATATACACCATATGTTCTTTATCCAATCATCTGTTGATGGACACTTAAGATTGCTTCCAAATCTTAGCTATTGTAAACAGTGCTGCAACAAGCATAGGAGTGCAGATATCTCGTTGATATACTGATTTCCTTTCTTTGGGGTATATATATGCAGCAGCCTACTGCTGGGTATATTTGGTAGCTCAATTTTAGTTTTCTGAGGAACCTCCAAACTGTTCTCCATAGTGGTTGTGCTAATTTACATTCCCACCAACTGTGTACAAGGGTTGCTTTTCTCCACATCCTCACCAGCATTTGTTATTACCTGTCCTTTGGATAAAAGCTATTTTACCTGGGGTGAGATGATATCTCATTGTAGTTTTGATTGGCATTTCTCTGATGATTAATGATTTTGAGCACCTTTTCATATGCTTGTTTGCCATTTGTATGTCTTTTGAGAAACATTTATTCCAATATTTTGTCCTTTTTTGGTTGGATTATTTGACTTTTTTCCTATAGGGTTGTTTGAGCTGCCTATATATTCTAGTTATTAATCCATCAGATGGGTAGTTTGCAGATATTTTTTCCCATTCTGTGGGTTGTTGCTTCACTTTGTTGATTATATCCTATGCTGTGCAGGAGCTTTTAACTTGATATGATCTCATTTGCCCATTTTTGCATTGGTTGCTTGTGGGATATTGCTCAAGAAATTTTCTCCTAGACCAACATACTGGAGAGTTTCCTTAATGTTTTCTTATAGTAGTTTCATAGTCGGAGGTCTTCAATGTAAGTCTTTAATCCATTTTGATTTGATTTTTTGCATACAGTGAGAGACAGAGTTCTAGTTTCATTCTTCTGCATGTGGATAACCAGTTTTCCCTGCACCATTTATTTAAGAGACTGGCTTTTTCCCCAGTTTACGTTCTTGGCAACTCTGTCGAAAATGACATAACTGTAGCGTTGTGGATTTGTTCCTTGGTTTTCTATTCTGTTCCATAGGTCTATATGGGTATTTTTATTCCAATACCATGCTGTTTCATTTACTATAGGTCTCTAGTATAATTGGAAGTCAGGTAATGTAATTCCTCTAGTTTTGTTCTTTCTGCTTAGGATAGCTATGGCTATTCTGGTTATTTTGTTGTTCCATATCCTTAACACAATTTTGATTACTATTGCTTTTGTAGTATGTTTTGAAATCAGAAAGTAGCATTTTACTACACAAACTTTGTTCTTTTTCAAAATTATTTTGTCTGTTCTGGAATTCTATTTCATTATATATGAATTTTAGAGTAAAATTGCCAATTAGGGGAGAAAATGTCACCTAGGATTTAGCTAGGGATTGCATTAGATATATTTGGAAAGTATCAGCAACCTAATGATACTAAGCTTTCTAATCAGTGAAAGCTCAATGTATTTAATTTATAATTGTATTAATATCTTTGATATGTTTTGTAGTCCTCAGTATATGTATCTTATACTTATTTTATCAAATTAATTCATAGGTATTTAACTTTTATGCCATTTTACATGAAATGGTTTTTGAAATTTTGTTTTTAGATTGTTAATTGCTAATAAATAAAAATATAGTTGTTTTTGTATATTGACCTGTACTAAGCTGTACTACAAGCTTGCTTATCCCTTTTTTCATATTTTGTTATGTTTTATTAGAGTTTTTATGATGTCTATAGGCAGGATCATGTCATTTGGAGACATAATTTGACTTTCCTTCCAATCGGACTGCGTTATGTTTATTTTCTACACCAATTATGTTGGGGACATCCTCCAATACAGTGGTGACTAAAACTGTGAAAGTGATATCCTTCTCTTGTTTCTAATTTTACAAGAAAGTGTTTGAGCTTCCAGAACTTTTAGGATGTCATGTGAGGTTTTCTGTGCTTTCATGATGGGGAAATTTTTCTTATTTGCCTAACTTGTTGCATGATTTTATAAGGAATGAAATTTCAATTTAGCAAGTGCTTATTGCTCATCTTTTAAGATGACCATGTGTATTATGTCCCTTATCTCTTAATATAGTTTATGGCACTAATTCTTTTTCTATGTTGAACCAAATTTGCATTTGTAAGATGTATACCTTCGTCAAAATTTATAAATTTTTACATGTCTGTTATTTGTTTTAATAGTATTTCCTTTAATTTTTGTGTTTATGTTCATAAGTCATATTGATCATAGTTTTTCTTCAGTAACTTTGTCTAACTGTGGTATAAGGCTGATAATTCACATTGAAAAGTGATCTATTCTTCATGTTGCTCTTACTGTTTTTATGTGAAAGGTCTAAATTTATTTAGCAGAAATAGAATGGAACACATGAAAAGGAGAAAAAATGTACATTTTTTCAAGATAATTTTCAGACTTTGCAAACAATTATATTGTATAAGTGAATAAAACCAAATCAGAGTAATAAAGATATGTAATTGGGCTACATAGATGGAGATTTACAATACACTGGAAACGGAGAGAGAAAGGTGGGTGATAAATTACTCTTTTTAATATGATTTTATTGTTTTGCATATTTCTTTCTTTAAATACACTACCTACAAGTATAGACAAAGATGAAAATATGGGTTGACAAACAGGTGCTCATTATTTAGAAGAAATATAAGATTTAAATTCTGGTATTTCATTAAGGTCAATTTAGTTTGTATGCTTAGGAGACCTAACATGTAGACATTTGAAGTGACACATTTTGTGAGCCTTCATAAATATCTATAAAAAATAGAAAATCAGAGTTTTTAAAAACTTAAAAGTTGAACAAAACAAGGATTTAAATATTATTATTAAAGTTGTTACCTATTCCCAGATGAGGACTTAGAAAAACAAACAGTTGGCAAACCAGTGCAGCAGGTGACTTCCGTGAAGCCAGAGGCACACCCTGGGGACTGCGGTGTTGCTGGAGCCGACACTGCTGTGCTGCACATGTGGCTGCCACCAGTTTCCTCCCTCTCTGGGAAGTGGAATTTGAATTGCAGGTGATGATGGCTGATGAACGGAGGGACAAGACCACATTATCTCAAAATGCTTGGCTCTGTTGCTTGCTCCTCATTTCACTGCTAGGTGCCACAGGCTTGGGGTTTACTGTTTATTTTTTGAAAAATATATGATAAATTGGTATTAATTATTTGAAGATGTGAAATCATTTACTGGTGATGTCTTCTTGACCAAGTCAGAATTTTTTTTTTTTTCACAGACATGGTCTCACTCTGCATCCAGGCTGGAGCACAGTGGCATGATTATAGCTCACTGCAGACTTGTACTCCTGGGGTCAAGCAATCCTTTTGCCTCAGCCTCTTGAGCAGCTGGGGCCACAGGCACATGCCACCATGTCTGGCTAGTCTTTTTTCTTCTTTTCTTTTCTTCCTTCTTTTTTTTTTTTTGTGTGGTAGAAACAGGTTCTAACTATGTTGCCCAAGCTGGTCCTGAACCGCTAGCCTCAAATAATCCTCCTGCCTGAACCTACCAAAGCATTGGTATTACAAGTTTGACCCACCGTGATCTGTCCAGAGTGGGAAATAGAATCTTAACAACTATCACATGAACTTTGAGGGTATCCTTCTCCAGATGAGCCTTCAGTTGAGACCTCAGCCTTGGACATCATCTGCACCTGGATTCCTGACCCAGAGCAACTGTAAGTAATGTGTGTGTGATTTTGAGCCACCACACTATGTGGCAATTTGTTGTGCAGCAACTGATAACTAATACAAAAGATAGCACATTTAATTTCTAATACTACCCTGGATTAGATTCTAGAACAGAAAAATGGCATTACTAGAAAACCTGGTAAACTCAGAAGAAAGTCTGTAGTTCAGTTAATAATTTTAAGCCACTGTAAGTTTATTAGTTTTCATAAATACATTATGGGTATATAAATAAGATGTTAACATTCTAGTAAACTCCTGGGTATGTAAAACTAGCTGTACTATGTTTGCATCTTTATGTATATCTAAAATTATTTTAAAATGAAATCTTTGATTTTTTATTTTTAATTAAAAAAGACAGGCATGCATATGTTATCCCAGCTTCTGGGGAGGCTGACTTGGGAGGATTGCTTGAGCCCAGGAGTTCCAAACTGAAGTGAGCCATGATTGTGTCACTGCACTCCAGCTTGGGAAACAGAGGGAGACCAAGACTCAAAAAAAAAAACTGGCCTCAGAAGGTGAATGGACATATAGAAAAAAAATAGCCAAGCAGATTTCCGCATAAATTTACCCTTCCATACATACATCCATCTACTTCAGGAAGCCACTATCAAACTCAAGGAACTCTTGTCCATATTTGACCTCCCCATCACACTCTTTATTACCAAGTAACTCGTTTGAGTGTCAGTAACCTCTCTGTTTTCAGAGATATTTGCCTATGCCTCACATACCCCAGAAAGGCCCATTTCCAGATATCATTTAGGAACATATCTACAGGATCCCACTGAACATATTTTGGCAAACAAAGTTTCTGGATACCAAAGACCAAGATTGAGGAATGTTAGTGACAAGAAATATAAATTATATTTTCATATTATGGTTTTTTTAATATAGGCTTAGTTTTCTAAAGATAATTCTGCCTTCAAGCCTTGTTGGAATTCTGTGATAATTTCTTTTCACACCATATTCTCCATCAGGAATTTTATGGAACCTTGTATTCTGTTGAATACCAGAATTATATCAGCAATCCCAAAGTCACCAAATGGGCATCATCATGACAGCAGGTGAGCGGAATACAAAAGATATATATATATATATGGTGGTTGGTGGTTTTGGCAGTTTCTACTTATCTGGACCTGGACAAAAAAATCTTTTCACACCAGATTTTTGGCAGGTGAGATTCAAAATAGGTTTTGCACAGGCATGGAAAACCTGATAGAGGCAAAACAAGAGGCCAGGTGTGGTGGCTTATGCCTGTAATGCCAGCACATTGGAAAGCCAAAGTGGGTGGATTGCTTGAGTCCAGGAGTTCAAGACCAGCCTGGGGAACATGGAGAATTGTTTCTCTACAAAAAAATAGAAAAATTAGCTGAGTATAATGGCACACACCCATGGTTCCAGTTACTCAGGAGGCTGAGGCAGGTGGTTGGATTGAGCCCAAGAGGTCAAGGCTGCAGTGAGCCATGAGTGTGTGACTGCACTGCAGCCTGAGCAATAAAGTCAGACCCAAGAAAGAAAGAGAGAGAGAGAGAGAGAAAGAGAAAGAGAAAAGAGGGAAAGAAGGAAAGAGGGAAAAAACGGAAGGAAGGATAAGAAGGAAGAAAATACAACATATCCCCAACCCTCCAGCAGTGATCTAAGAGATAGACAGAGGCTGAGTAGTGATTCTGCATATGTGCTGGCTAAACAAAGAATCCCACAGCAGGAAGGACTCTCCACTCACCGCACACACAACTTCCTGTTCAACACGCTGCTGGACAGCACCAGGGTTGTTTCCAGGGACCATGCCTAAAAACCCACAAAGACATCAGACTTCATTCTGCACACCCATGGCCATGTATAATGTTGACTTGTTTTTTGGTCTCTAAACATGAGGTCTATTGTCCACACCACGGTAATAGTGACAGTCAGAAAATGAGCTCTTGTGACCTAGAAAGTTGGAAGAGACATTCAGCTTCATGGATGTCATTTCTCATTCTTAGATGAGGATAACTGTTACGTGGTGTTATTTGAGCATTTGTGATTGAAGAAAACTAACTTCTTTAAGCCCATACTTTATTACTTGAGACATGACAGCTTCATTTAAGGTTCCTATTTTAAAACATGGTGAGTGTTTCCATTTATTTCATTTGAACTGGAGATACTATCTCACTTACGTAACTTGTCAAATCCCTTTTTATCTTCATTTCAATGCATGTTTTCTAATCTATCATGATGAAGAGTGTGAAGATTGTGCTTCACCAAACCAGGAAGCAATTAAAAAAAAACTAGAATGGCAAGCCATAAGTTAGATATAAGTAGATGCATGTAAGGTGTAACCCATCTCAATGTGGCATATCAGGGAGATGGAGACTGGAGAGATGAGGTTTAAAAGAAAACAGGCACTAAATTCAAAGCTGTGCTAAATGATGTCACAGGCACAGATGACATCGTGTGGTGCTCCAAGTTCCCAAACAACCTCTCTGACAGCACAAAAATTATGATTTCCCATAATATACTAAGCTACCAGGTTTCAGAGTGGCTGTCCTGGACACTACAATTTTCAAAAACTATCACTGCAAACAAGCCAAATTCCTAGACCTCTTCATGAGGCAAGTACCTAACACTCTTTCTCCATCCACACTTTAGACTGATTGGAAGTCAGAGTTCAATGGATGGATGGCTCGTATAATTGAGATCATGATTTCATGTTCCCTTTATTCAGTCTTCCTGAAATGTTAAATCTAGGTCAGGGAAACATTCATCTAATTCATTACAATTCTGCTTCCTCCTCAACAGATTTCTAGGACCATCATTTTTTAAATTATTTCTACATACATAAAATAGGGATTTCAGTACTCCACTAAAAGCTCTCCATTTTTAATAGTTAGCAGTCCATGGAGGGCAGGTCTTTGCAAACCTACCACTAAAACATGAGGAAGCTGAACAGCTGAAGATAGAGGCTGATATAACCAGTCTCTTAGAAAGAAACATTTAGTAGGGATTTATGAACAGATATTTGAGTCTCACACAGGACTTATATACCATGGGGAAGGAATGTGTAGGAAAACTGAAGTCTACCTGTCAGGGAAAGGCAGAAATGCCATGTGAATCTAAGCACAGGATTTATAGTCATGGTGGTTCTGACCTAAGGGCAGGATTTAGAGAAAAATAATGATTTTCACAAGGAACAGTAGACACAATAGAAATCTTATCCCCCAGTGTGCATATAAAGGAAAAAAATATTTATACAGAAAGCTTAGAGGCAGTCCCAGAACAGGGGTTAATCAGAAGTCAACATGGTGAATTAGCTTTCAAGATTGAGTTGTTTTTGCCTCCACTGCTAGCTAGAGGGTAAATGGAGTTGATCAGCTTATGTGAAAGTATAAGTCTATTTCTTCAATAATATACCATAATACAGAAGATGAGGCACCCCTGTTTCCATGTAGTCATTGGCAGTCAGGGAGAAAAATGCCATATTCCATTCCTCTTATGATACACATGTAACTGAGTGCAGGTCCAGCTGTTCTATGCATGCAAAAGCAATGACAAAGAGGACGTGCAGGGTCAAAGGAAAGTGACTTTATTTTTCAAATTCAGCAGTAGGGAAATGGCTGGATTACACCTCTATAGACCAGTTCAAAATTTTGGGCAGAGGGCAGGGGTTTAAAGAAAGGGAAGCGTGACGCATTACATGGGAGGCATGCAGGTGATGTGCAGATTCAGGGAGTCTGTGTCTTACTCGAGACAGACTGATACCATCTTGATAGTTCCAGGCTGTAGATATCCATCCTGAGGCAATCTTTAAGAGAGAGACAATTCCACAGCTGGGCCTTTATGTTTGGTTCATTTTAAATTAGCCTCTGGTATTTTTTGACAGGCATATAGTTAGATAAGTATGCATGGTGTGAGTTTAGCCAGCATACAGTTAGGTAAATGTGTATAAGGCATGGACGTGTACAGTGGGAAACCGAAGGGGGTGTGGTTCCAAAGTATATTTCATGGTTCTACTTGAAGACTAAAGCAATGGCTTCTGCAGTTTGCTTCAAGGTTACATCTTGAGACTGGGAAGAAAAAAAAGGAGAAAGAAAAAACTTAAATGTATTTTGAAGCTATATGACTCAATTACAATCCTTCACCATAAAAGACCATTCCATTTCCAAGGAAAGTGGCAACACAGTCCATCTAGCTTCTTCCTGCTGAAAAGGGGCACAGTTAGAGGGTATCAGATTGGAATCTGTTTACCTGGAGTTGGAAATATTCGTGGGTTCCCAGACTAATGTGAGAATGTGTTAGAGCATTATAGTGTGGGGAACCAAAAGTTTCTGGGAAAGTTTTTCCTGCATCTCCATACAGATCTTGAAAAGTGACAAAAACTACAGCAACCAAACAGAACAGGGAGCAGAATACCAATTATACTGTATATGAGAGTCTTCCATGGACCTGGAAGTCGACTAAACCATGATATTGTGGGATCCTGGGAGAGGACATTTATAGCAGAAATATGAGTATTCAGTGCATGCATAGCTTGGATTATATCGTGAGAATAATCTGGTGTATTTATGCACCATTCAGTCTTAATGCACAAGTGTCCCACTGGGCTGCAGTTAGGATATCTAAGGCCATGGGGTTCTATACAGCCACTTGTCTAATCTGCGAGTGTTTTCAGTGAGAAGGGTAATGTTGGGTTAGGTGTTATTACAGGCAGCAGCTCTATACTTAGGTTATCTACTTATAATTCTACATCTATGTTTGCTGTCTGGGAGGAAAAGACAGCTAGTGAGTAGAACCAACAGGGTGCCCATTTTTGATGGTGTTGTCTGTCCTTCACATTTTCCCAGTCGTCAGGGAGAGAGTCCAGATGGGACAGGATGTGTCCTGGTAGGTAAGGGCACCCCAGGTGTATCTGCCGGTCCAGCTGTAAGGTAAGTAAGACCAGCTATGACTGCCTCAGACCCATAGCTAACTCCAGGAGAAAGGATAGGCCCCACCATGTAGCTTGATACTATTTTGCCATCCTAGCCACATATGATTAGTCAGTTGATGGGTTTGGCCACATTACTAAGAGGTAACCATCCCTTAGCCTGGCTGCTAGTGTGGGGTGTGTTGCTCTTGTGTTTTTGGATGTGTAGAGGTGCATGACCCATTGCCTGAATTTGCACCATCATCAGCCATCCTATGTTGTCATGTACAGCATAGTCTATAGAGGGGGTGATATTAACCTGCTTATGAGCCAGATGGAAGATATGTTTCCAGGTTTCCCCAAAAGTGGAGCACTCATGGTGAGTGGTACTGTAGTCATAGATGGGAAATGGGTGAGAATTC